>NC_000006.12:78898261-81398261 GCF_000001405.40 Homo sapiens
AATACATGCTGCTTCAAAAGTATTTATAACTTTTGAGGTAAAGGGAAAAGAGAAGAGAAAAAAGCACCTTTGAAATTCCAAACAAATTATATTGTACTTGTATCTTTTTACCTATTTTTATACTTTTTATAATGTTTACGTTTGTCCTGAATATATATATATATATATATATATATATATATATGGTATAGGAGATAAGCTATTTCTTTCCAAAATCTATAAATCTTTGAATATAGTCCCACAGAATACTTATGTTCACTTTCTATTTTTAAAAGACTACTCTGAAAAACACTCTTGGATAATAAATGTATTATGTGCATACTTATATACTGACAGTTCATACAAGCACATGTGTAATATTTCTATTATAAGGACAGATATTGACCCTTGCATTTCATAATTTTTAAAGATATTTAAGCTAAAATTTTCTCAGCCACATTTTTATATAAAACCAAATTTTATGTAAAAACTAGGCTTCAATAAGTTAGCTAAATTTTTTAAATTGTAAGACAAAATTTTTATGGAAAAGAATTCCTATATCCCATCAAACCTAATAATTTTCCACAACTAAAAATGAGTATAAATACATAATTTTAAGTGCATCCTGTCAGGTCTGATATTTAATTTTACTTTAGTTAGAAGCTAAGTAGTTACCCTGTTACTTCTTCATGGATGCTAACAGAAGACTTGAGATTCCCAGACAGAAACAAAGGACTATTACTCATGGCACAACAAGGAGCATGAGCATCAGCACATTCTCATTGCTTCCCCTTGTCCCAGGTCCCATGGGGGCAAAATGATATGGCCATATGCAATATGGCTACATATACAGCAGGCTTTTGTTGTAGGTAAAGAATACTGAGCTTGGAGGGTTCACTGCTTTTTATCCATGAACAGAAGCAAACCTGCTCTTTGCCTCATCCCTTATAGATGCTCACTCAAAACTCAATACTGAGAAATGGCCCAGGTAAAGAACAGCCAAGGTCTTTCATGCTTGCCACACCCAGCAATATGTTTAGGAAGGTGAAGTCTACTGAGGGCTATCTCACATCTAACAGTTTCTTTACTAGGACCAGAGACCATTTTGGTAAGATGCAGATAACAACCCCAACCTTAACAACTTCACAACATGAATAGAAATAGTGATAAATAATTCATAGCTTTTTACAAAAGAATAATGAGGTATAATAGGAAAATGTTTTGATGCCAAAAATAAAAGAGTTAATGTTTGGATCGGACTCCAACAGGGCTCCTTAGAGTGATACAAATACAAAGCAAACGATATGTGTAATTTAAAATTTCCTAGTGCACATGTTTTTTTATTTTTCTTTTTCGAGATGGAGTCTTTCTCTGTCGCCCAAGCTGGAGTGCAGTGGTACGATCTCAGCTCACTGCAACCTCTGCCTCCTGAATTTAAGCGATTCTCCTGCCTCAGCCTCCCAAGTAGCTGGGATTACAGGCGTGAGCCACTGCATCTGGCCCTGTACGCACATTTTTAAAAATAAAACTTTAAAAAAGAAACAGTTGAAACTAATTTTAATAACATTTTATTTAACCAAATATATCAAAAATATTATTTCAGCATGTAATCAGTATTTTTTAAATTGAGATATTTGTTTTATCTTCAAAATTCAGTGTATATTTTTACATAATAGCACATCTCAATTCACATGCTAAATTTTCATCAGAAATATTTTATCTGTATTTAAATTTCCTAAAATGTACAGTTGAAAAAAAGAGATTCACATACCCAGGTTGTTCTAGCATGCCTAAAAAATCTTGTAACTGGATCAAGTATCAGTTTTTAAATTAGTTAAAATTAAATAAAATTTAAAATTTAGTTCCTCAGTCACACTAGCCATATTTCAAGTACTTGAAGGCCACAAATGGCTTGAGACTACCTTGCTGAACAGACCAAGGTCAAACACTGAGATAATAATGATTCTTAAGGCCATTTGAAAGTTAACAGCAAGTATGTATTACTGCTATCTACAGTAAGAATTACATTTTATCTACAGGCAATCATAAGCCATGTCTGTTATGCAGCATAGGCTTTCCATTCTCTATACATCTAGGTCATAGAGTTTTTCCATTGATAAATCTGGATGTTTATATACCAACAGTACTTTCTTACAACATATTCCAGTATATAGTGTCCAGCTTCACCCACTTTTTAAAGTGGCCCTGAAACAATTTTATTCATCTTATTGGAGTGTTGCTGTAGGGGAAGAGTAGAAGCTAAGAAGAGTTTGAGTTCAACACCATTATATCCAAATCCTGACCTTACTACTGGAATGTAAGCTCCTTGAAAGTGGAGATCTTGTCTGTCTTGTTCACAGTTGTGTTCCCAGCCCCAGAGGTAGTCTCAGGGCCAATATCAAGTATGCTCTCAAATATTTGCTGGGAAAATTTACTAGCTGGATAAAAGGCAAGTTACTTTAATCTCTTTAATCTTCCTTTGTCCTTACAAATGAAAGAGACTAATAGTACTTAACCTTGCAGTGTTATTATAAGGATTAAAGTTGATAAATATATGATCATGAGAACAATTGCTAGCACATAACGGTCACTCTGAAAATAGTAGCTGATATATCAGCTGCATTGTTTGATTATTGTTGGCTCAATTAAAAGTTGGCTTTTCCAAATCCTCCATTAGGAAGAATTTTTAAATAGCCATATTGAAAATAAAGTTGTCAGAAAACCAATGTAACATATGTTGAATTTTTATTACCAAAAAGAAGTTACTATCCAGTTGTACAGAAAAGTAGAATGAGGTTGTGCATCAAGAAAAAAATTGTTCGTTCTCAACAAAAATTTAATCACATGGGTAGTTTTTTTTTTTTTAGCTATGGGTTCATGCTGTATTTGGTTGCATCATATTTGATAAAGAAGCTTCCAACTTAGCATGAAATACCTAAAGACAATTTTTTTTTTAAGTTAGTAGGCACTTTTTAGAATTTCCAGGAACTTTTAAAGATGTTGTCTCCAAAAAAAACAAAAAAATCCTGTAAAGTATACAATCCTACATTTTTCTATAGAAGAGCTTAGGGAAGAAATCATTCAAAGATTGGAAAGACTTATGTGTAGTATTCTGTATACTAAAGGGTATCAAATTTAGTTGTCAGTTGATAGCAATTTAATTTCTTGATACATGGCATACACTGGAATCTTATGATGAATTATTTAGGGGACCTGTGCCACAAAGTCTACTAGAATAAACCTATCCTAAACTTAATCCTGTTAGAATTTCCTTCTTTTGAACTCTGTTTAAAAAAAAAAAAATCTTTCCAGAAAGTAGGAAGTTATAATTTCTATTTTCTGAAAGACAAACAAAAATTCTAAATAGGATATTTGAAACAGACCCACTGTATCCTAAATGGAAGTGCTATTAAAAGGAAATGCTATTAAAATAAGATTTCATATATTACTGATAATTCATAATGAATTTTAGGATTCCATTCAATTACATACTAAAAATTACATTTTTTATAGTGGCAATGTACTTTTATCAGTATTCTTATTTGACGGTCAATTTGAGTTCAGTGTAAACAAATAGGACTTAGAAAAATAATTTGTAACTCAAGATGCTGTACCTCATCCTATAATTGTTGTTTTGTAATATTCCTTCTCAGGAATATGGGCTAAGGATATCTCAACTCTGTCAGATTTGTTGATAAGAATTTAATAGTAAGGAGTTCTTATAGCCTATAAAAAGCATGAATTATGAGATCAAATGTGGGAGTTACTATATGATTATCTGCATTACAAAATGAAAGCAAATGCTTTATTTATTCCAACAAAAAAAGACCTATATAAATTAGTTTAAGCTAACATTTAGACATTTACTATTACATATATGGTATTTGCAACCAAATCACTGAGTTTGTTGTTGTCGTTGTTTGAGGCTGTTGCTCTGTCACCCAGGATGGAGTGCAAGTAGCTCAATCATAGCTTACTGCAGCCTAAAAACTCCTGGGCTGAAGAAATCCTCTCACCTCAGCCTTTTAAGTAGCTGAAACATTAGGTGCACACCACCAGGCCTGGCTAATTTTTTATTAGTGATAAGGTCTTGCTATGTTGCCCAGGCTGGTCTCAAACTCCTGGCTTCAAGCAGTCCTGCCTCAGCTTCCCAGAGTGCTGGACTACAGGCTTGAGCCACTGCACCCAGCCCCAAATAGCTTCTACTCATAACCTAGTGTGGCCTAAATTTATTTAAAATGCCCGGGTAGGCCAGGCACGTTGGCTCACGCCTGTAATCCCAGCACTTGGGAGGCCGAGGTAGGCAGATCACTTGAGGTCAGGAGTTCGAGACCAACCTGGCCAATATATTGAAACCCTGTCTCTTCTAAAAATACAGAAGTTACTCAGGCGTGGTGGCGTGTGACTGTAATCTCAGCTACCGGGGAGGCTGAAGCAGAAGAAACGCTCGAACCTGGGAGGCAGAGCTTACAGTGAGCCGAGATCGCACCACTGCACTTCAGCCTGGGTGACAAAGTGAGACTCCATCTACATACATACATACATACATACATACATACATACATACATACATACATACATAAAATGCCCAGTATCTTACAAGACTGTAGTTCACAGTGGGTAATTCAAATCAGACACTGCTCTTCAAGAGAGGTAATATTAATAGAAATCTTTCAAGAAGGATTGTTTTCTACTATTAAAACAATAAAACTCTTATAAACCTGTTTATCAGAAGGATATTTCTGTTTCAGCAACTCCTGGAATCCTTCTTCAACATCCCAACCAACAATTACTCCCAGATAGCCATGTCACCTGTGAATTATCATGAATCCCACATCAAATGAACAAATACTGCCTCTGGACTCTGAATGTAAGTTGGTTCATTATAAGAGTGAGAAAAAGAAGACTAAGAAAAAGCATACTGTATTCTTTGCTACATAGGGTTTAAACTTTATTAGGAGGCCAGGCATGGTGGCTCACATGTGTAATCCCAACACTTCGGGAGGCCGAGGCAGGTGGATCACTTGAGACCAAGAGTTTGAAACCAGCCTGGACAACATGGCAAAACCCCGTCTCTACTAAAAATACAAAAAAAAAAAAATTAGCTGGGTGTGGTGGCACACGCCTGTAATCCCAGCTACTCGGGAGGCTGAGACATGAAAATCACTTGAACCCAAGAGGCAGAGGTTATAGTGAGCTGAGATCACACCACTGCACTCCAGCTTGGGCGACAGTGCGAGACTATTGCAAAAAAAAGAAAAAGATGTATTAGGGTTTTATATGCTCAGTATAATTAACAAGACAATATTAGTGAACCAAAAACTAAAAATAATTTACACACTAAAAGATGAAAAGCCCAGGTGGCAGGTGAAAGTTCTAATCTAAAATGATCCTGAAATAAGTTACTGATCCCTGAATTAAAAAAAAAAAAGCCTCCCAAATGCCATGTCGCTTACCATGTGATAGGCAGGGGTCAGGCAGTGACAGTACGTGTGGGACTGTATGTCCATTTTTCAGAATAAGACACTTTTTCAGTGTCTTTCAAAAATAAAGATTCTGTCTCCTATCCTGCTCCTTTTTTCAAAGAACAATTTTGGGCAAAGAGTAAAATACAGACATATAGTTTCAGTGCTTCATATGGACATCAGTTTTACGCTGGTCACATTAATTATGCCCTAATTATTTTTTATCTTCCCCTTCACAAGACTGTGAACTCCTCAAGAGTAGGGCTATGCTTGAAACAGTTTTTTTCCCAAGGTTTGGGTAATAAAAGGCTAAGGAGGAAAAAAGTTGGCTGTGAGGTATCGTGCTTTATTCTCAAATAAGACAGATACTGTTTATGGCAAAGTTACCTGAACATTGGTACACCTGGAAGCAGGGATGGGAAATGCAGGACACATATTCAAACTGTGTTTGCACATTTTGCAGTCCAATAAGCATGCTTTTATTTCTCCAGAGCTTAGCTTTCTCAAAAAGTAGTTTGTGGCTATGCAACAACATACATTCTGTTGTGTAAACAAGCCTCTTAAATCATTTCAGAACCTATGTTCATTTCAAGCTTATTGGATCAGCTATAAGTGTGTATCTTTGCCCTTTACCTCCTATTGCCACTGAGGGTGATTACCACTTAAGCCACACATTCCTCACCAGCAGGCCATAACTTGCTGGCCAGAGAAAGTTGCTTTTGAAATTCTGACAGCAGCCACTATAAAATTGCATCTAATAAATTCAGTAAACTTACAATTTTTAGTAAACAGATGCTTAAATTGAATTTGTTCGCACGGGCATTAATTTTACTTCCAAAGGATATTTTAGAAAATCATATTTGTATTTGATAGCAACAGTAAATGTATAGCTCATACAAAAGAGTAATGCTTTGTTCTTCCATTGAATCAGTCATATATATTATAATTTCATTTAAAAAGAATTAGTATAACAATTCAGATAAATCAACTCCAGCCCAAGTAAATAGCATCAAAAGAAATTGTTTAGTTTGTACCAAATTAATCATGAAAACTTCAAGGTATTACATTCTATAGGGAATAGGAGGTGAAGTATAATTAATTCAAAGTTTAATGTCAACAAAATAAAATACAGAATTATGTTTAATATATCAAATATTTCACTAGCTCAATACGTACAAAGTAAGCATAGATTTCATCTTCATTTTCAATGTACCTATTTCTAAAAAGATATAGTGATACAGATTCATGTCGTCCACAAAGAAATCAATAGGAATATGCAGCTAAAACTTTTAAAGAGAATTTACTTGCAAACCACAAAATTCAGCATATATTTGAAGAATGACTGTATTGGTTTCATTTTGTAGGAATGTTGAGAATTTACAGTATCCCAAAATATTACTCCTCTGAAGCATTGCATTCATTTTCAAAATATTCAATTATTAAATACTTGAAAAAGAAGAAATAGAGGATTGATCTCCCTAATATTAAATACAACGCTTTAGAAGTGTTTTCTCTAAAAGATTAGACACTTCATTGACCAATATTAATTAATGATATTTCATATTGTTTGGTGATAACTCTGGAAACATAACACTGCAACAGCCACCTAAATAACTATGAGAATACATGAAGCTCTGAGTTTTGGACAGATTTCAGCCCTCAGTTGATCACTGTAGCCCTGATGACAGGAAAAGTTGAAACATCAGCAATGTTCAAAGAGCCATGCAATTACTGCTTCTCTATGTGTGAATTAGAATATTCAGAAAGGGACAGAGACATGCAGTTGAAGAAACAGTAAATTCCTTGAAAAATAGTGTGGCATGATAGGGCCTATAATATTACTTCCAGAATATATGGAGGTAATACTTTGAATGCTAAGTTTTCAGTCTGCTACTTGTTAGAAATGTTTTTTTTGAGATTGAATCTTGCTCTGTTGCCCAGGCTGGAGTGCAGTGGTGCGATCTCGGCTCACTGCAACCTCCGCCTCCTGGGTTCAAGTGATTCTCCTGCCTCAGCCTCTCGAGTAGCTGGGACTACAGGCACATGCTACCATGCCTGGCTAATGTTTTGTATTTTTAGTAGAGACAGGGTTTCACCATGTTAGCCAGGATGGTGTCGATCTCCTGACCTCGTGATCCACCTGCCTCGGCCTCCCAAAGTGCTGGGATTACAGGCGTGAGCCACCGTACCTGACCTAGAAATATTATCCATACTTTTTGTACACCCACAGATAAATTCAATACATCTGTACCTAAGTGAAAGTCAAGACTGGAAAGAAAAGTAAAAATCTAAAGAATGTTTTAAAATGATCAGCAGTATGGGATGTAGTATAGTTGTAATGCTACACTTCCAAGAAACATTACTTATGAAGAAGAGATGAAATTTAAAATTGACTAACATGATTGAAATTAATAAAATACATGAGAAATTTGTTAAGTCTTCTGGAAGTAAGTCTAGCTAGAAGTAAGATTTTATATATGCTGGAATAAATTATCCTCAGGTATATAGGAGATTGAATACTCTTTTTTTTTTCTGAGTAACCTAGTTTATTTTGCACATTTATTGGGAAATGGCAGATGAAACAAAGTGGACAAAGAACAGATTGAGGTCACTTTTTCATTGTCCTCATCTTCTTGCTTCACTTTTCATGAGATAAAGCTGAAAAGTACATATTTTTCCGAAATTACACGTTGTCACCTAAGGTTACTAAGTGACCTCATTTTTCTACAAAATTGTTTGCCCCCATTTGCCCATCAGTGATCAGAGCTAGTTTTTGAAAATATTTTAATAAGAGTTCGTGTTTATCTTAAAGCTAAGTATAATGTGTAAGTATTCAAATCACCAAAATATTTTTGAAAAGTACTGTACTAATCTCAATAAGTACATGGAGTGTTACAATTTATTGACTCACATTCCTCTACTCCCCACCCCAAGAAAATGATTAGGGAGGATGATTCAGTTACAAACTTACACTGCAAAAGGAAAATGCATACTGATCTTGGATTAGGGTTTTTTTTCCCCAAATATTTACAAAAGGATGATTATACCAGTGTTTTAGGGGATTTTTATTCCAGGACTTCACCTTTCAACATAAATGGTAAAATGTGCACGTGTCATTTTATATATTTTATTTGCCAAAAAGAGGTATTAATTAATCACATTATTTTCTGCCCTGAAATCCCAAAATACTATCTTAAATGATGGGTAAAGATCTTCTCTGAAAGATGGTGGCTATTTTTTCAAGGATGAAAGAAATAAAGTAAGACAATATTCTTCGAAGACTGAGCAGAATCATTGTCATACCCCGGAGAGATGAAATGCCATATTGATACAGCTGCTAGGAGAACACAGAGTTGCAAACTGTCACTACACTATTTGTACACAACTCCACAGTGATGTCTTCCATGATGCATCTCTAAGCAGTATATGAGGAAAAAAGATGAAAAACAAGGTTACTAACTTTGCTGTGCAAATTATTTTAGAAATATTTACCCTTAAAATGCTAGGTGTTTTTCTAGTTACTGTGTGAATCTGTCACTAATTTTTATTTTTTGGTATTGGATTGAAAACTAATTAGAAACATTACCATATAATTAGCTTTCTTCCTAGTTATACCTATTTTTATTAAAATAAATGATAAATAGCACAATTTCCTCTGATTCAAGCACCATATTTTCCACAAAACTTGGGGTCATATAACAGGTATCTTACATTTGTGTGTCCAGATAAAAGCCCACCTGGTATTTGTGATGAAAATAAAGAGGAAGCTTCTACTGCAAGAAAAGCTTTCTTCACTAGGAACAGAAGATCCTTTCCTGAGGAAAGGGAAGTGAAATTCCAGAGACCCATTTAATCCATAGTTTCTGTGTTAAAACTAAAACTTTAGAAGCTGTTACTGAGAATGTTTATTTTGTCTGTGTGTTGTTGAATACACACACACAATGAAAAATTGAGGTAGCCTAATTATATTAGATGTTTTGCTTAGTAACTGAGATAACACTTGTTTTTATTTATTTATTATTATTTTTTTTTGAGACAGAGTCTCACTCTGTCACCCAGGCTGGAGTGCAATGGCGCAATCTCCATTCACTGCAACCTCTGCCTCCCGGGTTCAAGCCATTCTTCTGCCTCAGCCTCCCCAGTAGCTGGGACTACAGGCGCATGCCTCCAGGCCCAGCTAATTTTTGTGTTTTTAGTAGAGACGGGGTTTCACCATATTGGCCAGGCTGGTCTCAAACTCCTGACCTCTTGATCCGCCCGCCTCAGCCTCCCAAAGTGCTGGAATTACAGGCATGAGGCACTGCACCCGGCCTTTTATTTTTTATTTTATTTATTTATTTATTTATTTATTTATCTATTTTTTGAGACAGAGTCTCACTCTGTTGCTCAGGCTGGAGTGCATTGGTGTAATCTTGGCTCACTGCCACCTCTGCCTCCCGGGTTCAAGCAATTCTCCTGCCTCAGCCTCCCGAGTAGCTGGGAATACAGGTGCCCGCCATCATGCCTGGCTAATTTTTTTGTATTTTTAGTAGAGATGGGGTTTCACCATATTGGTCAGGATGGTCTTGAACTCCTAACCTCGTGATCCACCCGCCTCAGCATCCCAAAGTGCTGGGATTAAGGCGTGAGCCACCACACTCGGCCATTATTTTTTATTTTTTTAGAGCAGGGTCACACTCTGTTGCCCAGGCTGGAATGCAGTGGTGCCATCATAGCTCACTGTAACCTTGAACACCAGACTCAAGTGATCTTCCTGTCTCAGCCTCTTGAGTAGCTAAGACTCAACCAACACACCTGGCTAATTTTCCTATTTTTAGTAGAGATGAGGTCTCACTATGTTGCCCAGGCTGGTCTCAAACTCCTGGCCTCAGCTTATCCTCCCACCATGGCCTCCCAAAGTGCTAGGATTACAGGTGTAAGCCACCAGACTCAGCCAAGATGGCACTCATTGGTCAGTGTTCAATAGGTGCCTACATATTGCTAGCGTGTGCACATCTACCAGAAGAACTTCTGGGTTTAGACACATAATGGGGTGGAAAATCAATGTGCAATATTTTTTTAAGCCACCCTCAGCTGACTCTTCACCAACAGTAGTCTAATAGGTAGAAGATGGTGAGTCATCATCTGCCTTTCAAGTTCTTTCCCAACAACAGGTTTATTTCTTGATGTATGTGCAGTCCTAGAGCTGAAGGAGATAGATAGGATCAATTCTGGGCCCACCTTCTGTCTAATCTCAAACCTCTTCTACAGCATCCTTGATGATTTGTCAGCCAGCCTTTGGCATTAGAACGTTGATCAGAAACTGTGAGGAGTAATAGCATGAAAGGCCAGTCTTGGGACTACAGAGAAAATATGAAGTGATAAGAGGGAAAAGTGTATACTGAGAAGGAAAACTAATGATTTAAGATGGCGAAGCAAGCAAATACAGATGATCCTAACTTACGATAGTTCAATTTATGATTTTTCAACTTTATGGTGGTGCAAAAGCCATACACATTCAGTATATACCTCCACTTATGGCAGGAATATGTCCAGACAAGCCCATTATAAGTTGAAAATATCCTAAGTCAAAAACACACTTCTGACTTAGCAATATTTTCAATTTACATTGAGTTTATCCAGACATAATCTCATGGTGAATCAAGGAGCAGTTGTATCAGATTGGCCTGAAGCTTAGCACAGCCTCCTTCTCTTTCCCTGAAATGTAAAGATTTTAACCTAGCTTCTCTCAGCAATTTTCATAAAGTACTTCAACGTTCCCCTGAATGAAAACATAATTAAAGAGACATGTATTTGTATGCTCTTTTCACTTCCTGATTCCAAGCCGAAAAGCTGGGCTATTTAAGGGCATGACAAATGCAGAATTGCACAACTCTAAATCTGAACAGCACTGCTGGGTCCCCACATTTCACTAGGAGAAGGGCCTTTAATTTGCTCCAGCAACAATAAAAAGTGGTACATAGGCTAAGATGAAGTCCAGATGCCAAGGGAACCTATGAATTACTTTAAGACACATGGGAACCAATTACAATGTGTGGAGTTTATTTGGATCTTGATTCAAACACGCTAAATCAACAAATATTTATAGCAGGAGACATTTGGAAATTTGAATACAGACCAGATGTTTGATGTTATTTCTTTTCTTTTTTTGCTCACTCTCAGCAGAATCAGTGATGTTATTTCTATATGTTGGATATTTTTCATAATTTTTTAATGGCATCTTTTCATTACAGTATTCTGTTTCCCACAAAAATACAGGAAAAGGGTGGAAGGGAAACAATGAAAAAGTTCAGGTGGGTCACAAACATGGACACAAGGAGTCTGAAAGGCAGGCCTTGACATTTGTCTGAATAATACTAACGATGACCCTTCGGAGTTTCACGGGAGAGGAGGGTTGCCAGACTGTAATGGAGAGAAACTGGACTTAGTTGCTAATTAGGATGATGGTGCAAGGTCCATGACAGGGGATGAGGGAATGCCTGCTCGGGGAGGGGAAAAGGGGACTGGACGGAGGGCACGGCAGGATGGCCTAGGGAGGACGGGCGAGGGCCTATCAGTTACAAGAGGAAGGAGAAAGAGGATACTGGTTTTCCTCTGCATAAAAAACGCGATGGATTCTCAAGAATTTATTGAAAGTCTGTGTGTCCACCATAGTCCAGGATATTTTGGAATATTCAAGGGAAATACAAATCCAAGAATTTAGCTCAGGAATCAGCATCAGAACAGAATCCCCGAAGAGTAAACTATTCATGGAAAACAGTAGACTGATAACATTTGAAAAACTGATTTCCCATAGAAACAATAGTTACTGTTTGACGAATTATACAACGTAGACCTAGGTCGTGCGATAGCTACAAAATACCTAAGGAAATGGACTAGGTCGTAACAAGAAAAAGTGATATCAAGCCCGGGCAGAAGGGCGCATTCTCGGCGCGGAGGGCGGAGCCTTTCCTGGAGTGGCGGCGGATGACCCGGGCTCCCGCTCCTCACCTCGGCGTGGGGCGCAGGCGGCGGCCGCAAGGACCGCGGATGCTTGAATCGCGCTTCTCGCCGGCTGGGACTGCCCCAGACACGCACACCCTCCCGACCTCCGCCCTGTCGCAGTTCCAGGGCGCTCCGCGCTGTCATGATTGCTGGGTGCGCGCTCCGTGCTGGGACAGCCGCGCACCAACAGCGGAGGGCGTTAGCACCCCAAGACGCTGCTGCAGGGGTCTGAACCGCTCCTTGGCCTACTGGCACCGGGTCCTGGACGAAATCTACCGCGGTCCAACTGAGCTTTATCTTGTGCGGTGACGCCCATGCCTAGGTCTTGACACTTCCCTCCTATGCCCTTTATTGCCAAGGGTCGGGATGGCCTTCGTGTCCTCTGCAGCCTCCGCCTTCCTTCTGCTGCCAGCAGCTGTAGATTTTACCTCTTTCCCCTAACTTCCTCTCAGGCTCCTACTCCATTCCTATCGCGACTGCTTGAGACCGGGCCACCTCCCCCGCAAATTACCTACTCCAGTGTCAAAATCAGGTCAGGGCAAATCCATGCCAGAACGCAGTGACCTAACTTAAATGCGACTCTGATTGCGTTCTTCCCAGCTTAGAACTTTTGGTGTCTCCTGATGGTCAAAGGGACCGAGGTCAACCTCCTCTGCCCCTTTCAAGGCACCTCAAGATCCGATCCCTTTATATTCCCCAGTCTTGATCCTTCTCTCCTGCTCCAGGGGAATGAAACACAATCCCACATCTGGGATGTTACTCATCCCCATTGCCTCACCAGTTTTTCTGGATTTTATTTTATTGTGCAAAAACATCAATAAAATGAAATTATCCAGTTTCTCTGGATGATTTACTCGCCTTTAAGTTGAAAACTGATAACATCATATCCTGCAGGACTGCCACCTCAGCTGAATTAGATGACCCTTTTGTATCTTACAGCAGCTGCATGTTTCTCTCCAATGTAGTCAAGATCACTACTGTAGCTATTTAGTTACCTATTTATCTCACTTCATTCCCAGCAATTTATTATCTGAGTACTCTGTACCGGGCACTGGGTTAAGTAGATGTTATGAATACTGTACTACCATGTGAAGTAGCTTCTGTTACCCTCGTCATTTACAAGCGAGCATATAGAGGCTAAGAGAGTTTAATCTGTCAATCTACATGGCCAGGATGCAGAGAACTCAGACAGGCACCCTTATTGTTGTTGTTGGTTTTTGTCTCTGTACCTAGTACAGTGACTGGGACATAGCAGGTGTTCACTAAGTGTGAAATATATGGAAGCTTTGTTTTGTTTTGTTTTTTGATCCTCAACACCACTCCAGAGGGCAGGCCATACAGGAATCATACTTGCCTTTTTTAGATATGCAAAGAGATCCAGAAAATTGACTTGGCAATTCATAAAGACCAGGGACATGTGACTCCTCTCATGCTTTTTTCACCATTATAGCTTTTTCTGGGACAACTTCCCAGAAGAGGATTTCCTTTTTATTTTTCCTGGAAAAGTTTGATGATAAGAGATTCGTTTTTACATCTGATCAGATTTAGACTCTCTATAGTGCCAGAATAGAGAGCAAAGAGGGACAAGAGTAGGTTCTGCTGACAAAAGAAAGTGGAAGGGGTAGCAAACCCACTTCACAACATCATTATTTTGATGTGTAGCATCAAAAAAATTGCTTGAGTTTCTGTAGCAATTGCTATATAAGTACAATAATGTATCTTGAAGTCATTCTAGGCCATCTGGAATATTATTCCTGGTGGTACCAAGCCACCAGCTGAAGAGTTTTAAGTAATAACATGATCAGAATTGGATTTGCTGTATACACACATAAATGTGTATACACACATACACACCACCACCACCACCAGCAACAGTGCAGGGAGTGAGCTGCAGTGATACAAAGGAACTACAGGAAATGTTGTCAATAACAGGTTTGTTCCTAATAGCAAAAGGTGGAAACAACCACCATGTCTACTGGCAACAGAATGGTTAGATTGTGATGTTTTCACACAATAAATATTATATAGCAATAAAAATGAATGAATTTTACCTTATGTAAAAACGTGAATAAATCTTTGAAATATTACAAATTATTATCGTATGAAGAGACAAAGAATATGCCACCAGAAATGTGGAAAAAAATATATTAGCACCCAGGCTCTTGATTTGTTAAAGAGAAATGTACTATCCATGTTTACACTTATATACAATATCTGCAATTTATTAAATTTATTACATAAATATTTGAATGTTTATAATTCATAAGGGATCTATAAGCATATATATGTGGGTGTGTATGTGTGTGTGTCATGGTCTAAAATGGACTGCAAAATCATGATTGATTCCATAAAAGTATAAGTCATGGCCGGGTGCGGTAGCTCACGCCTGTAATCCCAGCACTTTGGGAGGCCAAAGCAGGCGGATCATTAGGTCAGGAGATCGAGACCATCCTGGCTAACACGGTGAAACCCCATCTCTACTAAAAATAAAAAAAATTAGCCAGGCGTGGTGGCATGCACCTGTAGTCCCAGCTACTCGGGAGGCTGAGGCAGGAGAATCCCTTGAACCCTGGAGGCTGAAGTTGTGGTGAGCTGAGATCACACCACTGCACTCCAGCCTGGGCAACAGAGCAAGACTCTGTTTCAAAAAAAAAAAAGTACAAGTCATTACTGGGGCCGGGCGCAGTGGCTCACGCCTGTAATCCCAACATTTTGGGAGGCCGAGGCAGGTGGATCACTTGAGGTCAGGAGTTCAAAACCAGACTGGCCAATGCGGTGAAACCCCATCTGTACTAAAAATATAAAAATTAGCTGCGCATAGTGGCACACACCTGTAATCCCAGCTACTTGGGTGGCTGAGGCACAATAATCACCTGAACCCAGGAGCCAGAGGTTGCAGTGAGCCAAGATTACACACTGTACTCCAGCCTAGGTGATAGAGCGAGACTCTGTCTCAAAAAAAAAGTCATTGCTGAGAAGATGACTGCATCTTTAAAATACAGTTTAGACTAAAAAGTGATGAGAGTGAACTAATTAATGGCTATTTACAGTGAAACCTCTACTTTTTTCACTCCAGGAGTATTTCAACTATTTATATCAAAGGAATAGAAAATGGGCATTTGTTAAAATTCTTGGAAAAATACTGATATTGGGTAAAATAAAATAGTGAGCAGCAAATAGGAAGTGAACAGATGATATACTGTTATGCTTTTGACATTTGCTAGTTGCTTCTTAGTAACCACATATGACAGAATATAGAATCTATATTTGTAATCATCACAACATTATACTAAGCTAAAATGCATAAGTCATATGAAGTGTTCCAAAATATGAGGTCATATGATATGTTCCAAAATGTTACAAATTTCACTTGTAATATAGATCATTTTAACCATTCCACTAAATTAAAAGAAGCTTGCTTTAATTGATGATTAGCACATTAATAAATTAATTAACTCACTACTAGGTAATCTTAATAACTTGCAAAAGAACATTGAAAAAAAAATCTTAAAACTGGAGAAAAAGAGTGTTTGTTAACTTGCCTTTCAACTGACAAGAATTATGAAAAGGTTAACCCAAAGATTAACTTTTTAAAACATCTTGCCTGAAAATGAATCTTAATTTTGAAGATAAGCCATTATCTGAGTTTTGGTATCATAATATTCAGCACATTAAAATGATTTGTATAATACCTTCATGTTTCTAAAATAAAATGTCTTGCTGTTGCATACCAGGGTTATTGGTAGACAGACATTCAAACTATATGAGGAAAAAAGAAATGAGTGTTTCCCAAGATGCAAAGCATTACGCAGTTGTAATGTGACATTTCTGCATTATGTTCAGTGGAGCTGTTTTGTCTAAATTCCATGTCTTCTATTTTTTTGGTTGATTATCTCTTTCTTTTAAAAAATTAATTTAAGGCAATGCTCCTAAACAATTTCACTGCTTCTGTGAAATATGACATATTTATAATTGCTAGAAAGATTTCCAGTGAATTGTCACTGCCTACATGTAATGATGGAACAACTCACTTATTAAGTGATTATGACATTTGGCTTAATACGATGAACAAATTTTATCAGTACCAATTAATACTAACAAGTTACAGGTTTTTGGTTTTGTTTTGTTTTTATTTTGTTTTTGTTTTTTGAGATGGAGTCTTGCTCTATCACCCGGGCTGGAGTGCAGTGGTGTGATCTCAGCTCACTGCAACCTCCACCTTCCAGGTTCAAGTGATTCTTCTGCCTCAGCCTCCCGAGTAGCTGGGATTATAGGCACGTGCCACCATGCCCGGCTAATTTTGTATTTTTAGTAGAGACAGGGTTTTGCCATGTTGGTCAGGCTGGTCTCGAACTCCTCACCTCAGGTGATCCACCCACCTCAGCCTCCCAAAGTGCTGGGATTACAGGTGTGAGCCACCGCACCTGGCCTAAGTTACATGTTTTTATAACCTAGGTATTATAAGCAGAAATGTCATCATGCCTCAAATGTGAACTTCTGGCCACATGATATGGATCACTGTATATTACAATGCATATGATGCATTAAATTATGAGCAACTAAAATTGATAGAGTGATTCAAAGACTGTCAGCATTTCTAACAATATAATTCATCAAGAAGTTGGAAAATATGGCAATAGTGTAAGCAAAAATGTTGCATAGACCTCATGACTAAAATAAAGCCCAAAACTTTTAGGATGCTAAAGCATGTTATAGTGGCCAAGAAAACGTGCCTCACAGAGTTTCACCTGCAGGGAGTTTATTAGATCAAGGCCCGAGCAGCTGCACTCTGAATTTCACTGCTGTGTGTGTGCTGTGGATTCACACTTCCCTCAGACTATCCTAGCCAATAATGAGTACACAGGGATACCTAAGTTGGTGCATACCTGGGAGACAGGGGACTCCTGTGATGATCAAATTTGGCCCAAGGACTCCCCAACAGCCTTGCCAAACCTTCCTTAGACTACATAGAGGTCAAGGACACTTCATTCAACCTTACTTCCTTTTCTCCTTCACTTGTGGCTCACACTGGCATGACAGCCTGAAAGACCTCCCAGCCTTTCCTGGCTCCCTTCCCACTTTCTTTTGTAGGCATTTCTTTTATTATAATCCTTGTGCATTTTATTCTATCTTGGCATCTGCTTTTTGAAGGACATGGACAAACCCATATGTCCAGATAATAGTGTTGGCAATTCAATTAAAAGTAATATGATCTGTGGCAGATTGATGATGTTTTGTTACCAGTCAAGGGTGTCCATGAACAAAGAATTGGACAAAATTCACAAACAAAGCAAGGAAAGAATGAAGCAACAAAAGCAGAGATTTATTGAAAACAAAATCACACTCCACAGGGTGTGAGCAGCCGGAGCAAGCAGCTCAAGGGCCCAGTTACAGAATTTTCTGGGGTTTAAATACCCTCTAGAGGTTTCCATTGGTTATTTTGTGTACCTCCTATGTAGATGAAGAGGCTAAAGTGAAGTTATAAAGTTATTTTCTTGGGCTTAGAAGGTTGGGTTTTTTGTTCATTTGTTTGTCTAATTTGGTTCTAGAAAGTCTTTAGATTGCCTGCTTCTAGACCCTATTTCTTGCCTCAGTTTTGTTAAATCCTAGATATCAGAAAATGATTATGTGTAGTGCAAGAAGGTCCTCTTGGTGGTCTGTACACTGGCCTTTTATAATAAGACCCAACCTTAGAGTTGCATTTGGAGTATTATAATCCATATGTAGAAGTCACTCATCAATCCAGTCAACTAATTTGGCAGTGTGGTGGGGGGAGGGAAGTTACTTAATCTGTCTGTGTTTTACTTTGTCTAATATAATATGGGAATAATAGTATCTGACTCATAAACATGTTTAGACTAAATGAGCTACTCCATGTAAAGAATGCAGAACAGTGCCTAACACCTAGTGTTTAATTCGTTGTGTTAGTCATTATTGTTACTATCAATGAGTTTGGCACTTGAACATACGTAGTTTGCCAAGACAGCTAATATAGAAAAATCTACATCTAGGTGAACAAAGAGCTAGAAAAGAAACAGAGTGGTTAGAGACAAGCCCAGGCAGATCTCCAGACATCAGAGCACTCTAAAACAATACAAAAAAAAAATAGCCGGACATGGTGGCACACACCTGTAGTCCCAGCTGCTTGGGAGGCTGAGGCGGGAGAATTGCTTGAACCCAGGAAGTGGAGGTTGCAGTGAGACAGGAATGTGCCATTGCACTCCAGCCTGGTCAATAGAGTGAGACTCCACCTAAAAAAAAAATTAGAAGTTCCAGTGTCTTCAGATGAGAAGAAACCAGTGCAAGAATTCTGGCACTGTGAAAAATCTGAATGTAGTGATACCACCAAAGGATCACACCAGCTCTCCAGCAATGGTTCCTAAACAAAATGGAAACTCAGAAATAACAGATCAAGATTTCAAAGCATGGAATTGAAAGGAAACTCAATGATATCCAAGACAAGGTTGAAAATAAACACAAAGAATCTTCTAAAGCAATTCAAGAAATGAAGGAAGAGATAAACATTTTAAAAATAAGTCAACCAGAGCTTCTGGAATTGAAAAACTCACTTAAGAAATTTCAAAATACAATGGAAAGCTTTATCAATAGACTAGACCAAGCAGAAGAAAAAAATTCAGATTTCGAAGACAGGTCTTTCAAATTAGCCAGACAAAAGTAAAGAAAAAATAATTTTTTTAAAGAACAAAGTCTTTGAGAAGTATGGAATAACGTACAGCAACCAAACCTACAAATTGTTGGGATTCCTGAAAGAGAAAATGTAAACAATGTGGAAAACATATTTCAAGGAATAATTCAAGAAAATTTTTCTAATCTTGATAGAGGTAGACATCCAGATACAAGAAATTCAGAGAACACCTGTGAGATACTATACAAAATGAACATTGCCAAGGCATATAGTCACCAGACTGTCAAAGTCAACACTAAAAAAAAAAAAAAAAAAAAAAAATCTTAAAGGCAACTACTGAAAAAGGTCAGATACATACAAAGAGAATTCCATCAGACTAACAGTAGACTTCTCAGCAGAAAGCTAACAGCAGGAGATATTGGGTGCCTATTTTCAGCATTCTTAAAGAAAAGAAATTCTAACCAAGAATTTCATATCCTGCCAAACTAAGCTTCATAAGTGAAGGAGAAATAAAATCTTTTCCAGACAAGCAAGTGCTAGGGGAATTTGTTACCACTAGGTCAGCCTTACAAGAGATCCTCACAGGAGTTCTAAACATGAAAATGAAAGAATGATAACTGCTACCACAAAACACACTTAAGTACATAGCCCACAACCACACCTAAGTACATAGGCCACACAGTAGAAACTACAAAGCAGCTAGCTAATAACTTCATGATAGGATCAAAACCTCACATATCTTGCTTGAGCCCAGGTATTTGTTACCAGCCTAGCCAACATAGAGGGATCCCATCTCTATAAAAAATACAAAATTAGCTGGGTATGGTGGCACACACCGGTGGTCCCAGCCACTTGGGAGGCTGAGGTAGAAGGATTGCATGAGCCTAGAAGTTTGAGGCTGCAGTGAGCCATGATTATGCCACTGCACTCCATCCTGAGTGACAGAGTAAGACCCTGTCTCAAAAAAAAATTATTTTTAAAATATCAATATTAACCCAGTATACACGTATCAATATTAACCCTGAATGCAAATGGTCTAAATGCCCCACTTAAGAGGCAGAGACAAGTTGAAGAAAAAAACAAGACCTATCTGTCTGCTGTCTTCAAGGGACCCTTCTTACATGTTATGACACTCATAGGCTCAGAGTAAAGGGCTGGGGAAAGATTTATTACTCATACAGAAAAAAAAAGCAGAGGTCATGGTTGTTATATCAGATAAAACAGACTTTAAGCCAAAAACAGTAAAAAAAAAAAAAAAAAAAAAAGGGACAAAGAAGGGTGTTACATAATGATAGGGAGATCAATTCAACAAGAGGACAACTGTCCTAAATATGTATGCACCCAACATTGCAGAACCCAGATTCATAAAACAAATACTTCTAGACCTATAACAAGACTTAGACAGCCACACAATAATAGTGGGGGACTTCAACACCCTCCTGACAGCACTAAACAGATCATCAAGGCGGAAAACTAACAAAGAAATTACAGACTTAAATTAGATACTTGACAATTGGATGTAATAGGCACTACAGAATACTCCAGTCATCAACCACAGAATATAGTTCTTCTCATCTGCAAATGAAGCATACTCCAAGATTGACCACATGCTTGGCCATAAAGCAAGTGTCAATAAATTCAGAAAAATCAAATCATACCAAACATACTCTATGACCACAGTGGAATAAAAATAGAAATTAATACCAAGAAGATCTCTCAAAACCACACAATTACAGGGAAATTGAACAACTTGTTCTTAGACTTTCAAGTAAACAACAAAATTAAAGCAGAAATTTAAAAAGTTCTTTAAAATAAAGGAAAACAGAAATACAACATACCAAAATATCTGAGATGCAACAAAGGCAAGGTTAAGATAAAGGTTATAGCACTAAAGAACTCAATGAGTTAGAAAGATCTCAAATAAATGTTCTGACTCACACCAAGAGGAACTAGAAAAACAAGAACAAACTAGCCCCAAAGTGACCAAAGGAAGAGAAATAACTAAAATCAAAGCAGAACTGAATGAAATTGAGAACCAAAAATCCATACAGAATCAATGAGACCCAAAGCTGGCTCTTTGAAAGGATAAACAAGATGGATAGACCACGAGGTAGGTTAACAAAGAAAAAAAGAGAGAAAATCCAAACAAGCACAATTAGAAATTACAAAGGTGACATTACAACTGACCCTACAGAAACACAAAAGATTATCAGAGACTATTATGAACATCTGTATACACACAAACTAGAAACTCTAGAGAAAAATGGATAAATTCCTGGAAATACAACCTCCCAAGAGTGAATCAGGAAGAAACTGAAACCCTGAATGGATCAATATTAAGTTCCAAAATTGAATCAGCAGTAAGAAAATTACCAATCAAAGAACTCCCAGACCAGATGAATTCACAGCCAAATTCTACCTGATGTACAAAGTACCAATTCTACTGAAACTATTCCAAAAAAATCAAGGAGGAGGGACTCCTCCCTGACTCATTCTATGTAGACAGCATGAGAAAAGCTGGAAAACACATAATGAAAAAAGAAAACTGTGAGCCAGCATCCCTGATGAACTTAGACACAAAAGTCCTCAACATAATACTAGCAAACTGCATCCAGCAGCACATCAAAAAGTTAATTTTGGTGGGGCGTGGTGGCTTATGGCTGTAATCCCAACACTTTGGGAGGCCAAGACAGGTGGATCACGAGGTCAGGAAATCGAGACCATCCTGGCCAACATGGTGAAACCCTGTCTCTACTAAAAATACAAAAATTAGCTGGGTGTGATTGTGCATGCCTGTAATCCCAGCTACTCAGGAGGCTGAGGTAGGAGAATGGCTTGAACCTGGGAGGCAAAGATTGCAGTCAGCCAAGATTGTGCCACTGCACTCCAGCCTGGCAACAGAGCAAGACTCCATCTCAAATAAAAAATTTTACAAAATTTGAAAAAAACTATTCTAAACTCATATGGAACCAAAAAAGAGCCCAAATAACCAAAGCAATCCTAAGCAAAAAGAAAAAACCCAAAGGAATCACATTACCTGACTTCAAACAAGGCTACAGTAACCAAAATAGGATGGTACTGGTACAAAAACAGACACATGGACCAATGCAACAGAATAGAGAACCCAGAAATAATGCCACACACCTACAGTCATCTGTAGCTGCTCTTTGACAAAGATGAAAATAACAAGCAATGGTGAAAGGATTCCTTACTTAATAAATGGTGCTATGATAACTGGCTATCCACATGCAGAAGGTTGAAACCAGGCTCATTCCTTTCACCATATACAAAAAGCAACTCAAGATGGATTTGAAGACATAAATGTAAAACCTAAAACTGTAAAAACACTAGAAGGAAACTGAGGAAATACCATTCTTGAGATGGGCCCTGTTAAAGATTTCATGACAAAGACTCCAAAAGCAATTGAAACAAAAACAAAAATTGACAAGTGGGACTTAATTAAACTAAAGAGCTTGTGCATAGCAAATATATATATATATCAACAGAGTAAACAACCTACAGAATGGGAGAAAATATTTGCAAACTATGCATCTGAAAAAGTTCTAGTATGTAGAATCTATAAGGAACCTAAACAAATCCACAAGCAAGTGAAGCCAAGATAGCCAAATAGGAACAGCTCCGGTCTACAGCTCCTAGTGTGAGTGACACAGAAGATGAATGATTTCTGCATTTCCAACTGAGGTACCAGGTTCATCTCACTGGGGATTGTCATCCAGTGGGTGCAGGACAGAGGGTGCAGTGCACTGAACATGAGCCGAGCAGGGCGAGGCATTGCCTCACCCAGGAAGTGCAAGGGGTCAGGGAATTCCCTTTCCTAGCCAAGGAAAGGGGTGACAGATGGCAACTAGAAAATCGGGTAACTCCCACCCTAATACTGCACTTTTCCAACGATCTTCGCAAACGGCACACCAGGTGATTGTATCCCACCCCTGGCTTGGAGGCTCCAATGCTCATGAAGCCTCACTCATTGCTAGCAAAGCAGTCTGAGATCAAACAGCAAGGCCGCGGCAAGGCTGGGGGAGGGGCGCCCATCATTGCCAAGGCTTCAATAGGTAAACAAAGCAACCGGGAAGCTCGAACTGGGTGGAGCCCACGGCAGCTCAAGGAGGCCTGCCTGCCTCTGTAGACTCCACCTCTAGGGGCAGGGCATAGCCAAACAAAAGGCAGCAGAAACCTCTGCAGACTTAAATGTCCCTGTCTGACACCTTTGAAGAGAGTAGTGGTTCTCCCAGCACACAGCTGGAGATCTGAGAAGGGACAGACTGCCTCCTCAAGTGGGTCCCTGACCCACGAGTGGCCTAACTGGGAGGCATCCCCCAGTAGGGGCAGACTGACACCTCACACGGGCAGGTACTCCTCTGAGACAAAACTTCCAGAGGAACGATCAGGCAGCAACATTGGCTATTCACCAATATCTGCTGTTCTGCAGCCTCTGCTACTGATACCCAGGAAAACAGGGTCTGGAGTGGACCTCCAGCAAACTCCAACAGACCTGCAGCTGAGGGTCCTGACTGTTCGAAGGAAAACTAACAAACGGAAAGGACATCCATATCAAAACCCCATCTGTACATCACCATCATCAAACACCAAAGGTAGATAAAACCACAAAGATGGGGAAAAAACAGAGCAGAAAAACCGAAAATTCTAAAAATCAGAGAGGCTATCCTCCTCCAAAGGAACACAGCTCTTCATCAGCAATGGAACAAAGCTGGATGGAGAATGAATTTGACAAGGTGAGAGAAGAAGGCTTCAGATGATCAAATTACTCTGAGCTAAAGGAGGAAGTTTGAACCCATGGCAAAGAAGTTAAAAGTCTTGAAAAAAGATTAGATGAATGGCTAATTAGAATAACCAATGCAGAGAAGTCCTTAAAGGACCTGATGGAGCTGAAAACCATGGCACGAGAACTACATGACAAATGCACAAGCCTCAGTAGCTGATTCGATGAACTGGAAGAAAGGGTATCAGTAATGGAAGATCAAATGAATGAAATGAAGAGAGAAGAGAAGTTTAGAGAAAAAAGAGTAAAAAGAAATGAACAAAGCCTCCAAAAATATAGGACTATGTGAAAAGACCAAATCTACATCTGATTGGTGTACCTGAAAGTCACGGGGAGAATGGAACCAAGTTGGAAAACACTTTGCAGGATATTATCCAGGAGAACTTCCCCAATCTAGCAAGGCAGGCCAACATTCAAATTCAGGAAATACAGAGAGTGCCACAAAGGTACTCCTTGATAAGAGCAACTCCAAGACACATAATTGTCAGATTCACCAAAGTTGAAATGAAGGAAAAAATGTTAAGGGCAGCCAGAGAGAAAGGTCGGGTTACCTTCAAAGGGAAGCCCATCAGACTAACAGCTGATCTCTCGGCAGAAACTCTACAAGCCAGAAGAGAGTGGGGGCCAATATTCAACATTCTTAAAGAAAAGAATTTTCAACCCAGAATTTCATATCCAACCAAACTAAGCTTCAGAAGTGAAGGAGAAATAAAATCCTTTACAGACAAGCAAATGCTGAGAGATTTTGTCACCCCCAGGCCTGCCCTACAAGAGCTCCTGAAGGAAGCACTAAACATGGAAAGGAACAATCGGTACCAGCCACTGCAAAAACATGCCAAATTGTAAAGACCATCGAGGCTAGGAAGAAAATGCATCAACTAACGAGCAAAATAACCAGCTAACATCATAATGACAGGATCAAATTCACACATAACAATATTAAGTTTAAATGTAAATGGGCTAAATGCTCCAATTAAAAGGCACAGACTGGCAAATTGGATAAAGACTCAAGACCCATCAGTGTGCTGTATTCAGGAAACCCATCTCATGTGCAGAGACACACATAGGCTCAAAATAAACAGAAGGAGGAAGATCTACCAAGCACATGGAAAAAAAAAAGGGCAGGGGTTTCAATCCTAGATTCTGATAAAACAGACTTTAAAGCAACAAAGATCCAAAGAGACAAGGCCTTTACATAATGGTAAAGGTATCAATTCAACAAGAAGAGCTAACTCACCTAAATATATATGCACCCAATACAGGAGCACCCAGATTGATAAAGCAAGTCCTTAGAGACCTACAAAGAGACTTTGACTCCCACACAATAATAATGGGAGACTTTAACACCCCACTGTCAACATTAGACAGATCATGAGACAGAAAGTTAACATGGATATCCAGGAATTTAACTCAGCTCTGCACCAAGCAGACCTAATAGACATCTACAGAACTCTCCACCTCAAATCAACAGAATATACATTCTTTTCAGCACCACACCACACCTATTCCAAAATTGACCACATAGTTGGAAGTAAAGCACTCCTCAGCAAATGTAAAAGAACAGAAATTATAACAAACTGTGTCTCAGACCACAGTGCAATCAAACTAGAACTCAGGATTAAGAAACTCACTCAAAACCACTCAACTACATGGAAACTGAACAATCTGCTCCTGAGTGACTACTGGGTACATAACGAAATGAAGGCAGAAATAAAGATGTTCTTTGAAACCAACGAGAACAAAGAGACAACGTACCAGAATCTCTGGGGCACATTCAAAGCAGTGTGTAGAGGGAAATTTATAGCACTAAATGCCCACAAGAGAAAGCAGGAAAAATCTAAAATTGACACCCTAACATTACAATTAAAAGAACTAGAGAAACAAGAGCAAACACATTCAAAAGCTAGCAGAAGGCAAGAAATAACTAAGATCAGAGCAGAACTGAAGGAAATAGAGACACAAAAAACCCTTCAAAAAATCAATGAATCCAGGAGTTGGTTTTTTGAAAAGATCAACAAAATTGATAGACCGTTAGCAAGACTAATAAAGAAGAAAAGAGAAGTATCAAATAGATGCAATAAAAAATGATAAAGGGGATATCACCACTGATGCCACAGAAACACAAACTACCATGAGAGAATACTATAAACACCTCTACGCAAATAAACTAGAAAATCTAGAAGAGATGGATAAATTCCTCAACACATACACCCTGCCAAGAGTAAACCAGGAAGAAGTTGAATCCCTGAATAGAGCAATAACAGGCTCTGAAATTGAGGCAATAATTAATAGCCTACCAAACAAAAAAAGCCCAGGACCAGATGGATTCACAGCCGAATTCTATCAGAGGTACAAAGAGGAGCTGGTACCATTCCTTCTGAAACTATTCCAATCAATAGAAAAAGAGGGAATCCTCCCTAACTCATTTTATGAGGCCAGCATCATCCTGATACCAAAGCCTGGCAGAGACACAACAAAAAAGAGAGGATTTTAGACCAATATCCCTGATGAACATTGATGCAAAAATCCTTCATAAAATACTGGCAAACTGAATCCAGCAGCACATCAAAAAGCTTATCCACCATGATCAAGTGGGCTTCATCCCTGGGATGCAAGGCTGGTTCAATATATGCAAATCAACAAATGTAATCCAGCATATAAACAGAACCAACCATTACTGGGTATATACCCAAAGGATTATAAATCATGTTGCTATAAAGAGACATGCACACATATGTTTATTGCGGCACTATTCACAATAGCAAAGACTTGGAACCAACCCAAATGTCCAACAATGATAGATTGGATTAAGAAAATGTGGCACATATACACCATGAAATCCTATGCAGCCATAAAAAATGATGAGTTCATGTCCTTTGTAGGGACATGGATGAAGCTGGAAACACCATCATTCTCAGTGAACTATGGCAAGGAGAAAAAACCAAACACGCACGTTCTCACTCATAGGTGGGAATTGAACAATGAGAACACATGGACACAGGAAGGGGAACATCACACACCGGGGCCTGTTTTGGGGTGGGGGTATGGGGGAGGGATAGCACTGGGAGATATACCTAATGTTAAATGACGGAGTTAGTGGGTACGGCACACCAACATGGCACATGTATACATATGTAACAAACCTGCACATTGTGGACATGTACCCTAAAACTTAAAGTATAATTAGAAAAAAATCCACAAGCAAAAAAACCAAAAGTCTCATTCAAGAAATGACAAAAGACATGAACGGACACTTCTCAAATAAAGACATACACGTGATCAACAAGCATATGAAAAAATGCTCAACATCACCAATCATTAGAGGAATGCAAATCAAAACCGCAATGAAATACTATCTCACACCAGTGGAACAGTTCCTGTTAAAAAGTCAAAACACAACAGATTCTGACAAGGCTGCAGAGAAAAGGAAACACTTATACACTGCTGCTGGTAGGAATGTAAATTAGTTCAACCCCTGTGGAAAGCAATTTGGAGAGTTCACAAAGAATTTAAAAACAGAACTACTATTCAACTCAGTAATCCCATCACTAGGTATATTCCCAATGGAATATAAATCATTCTGTCATAAAGATATATGCACATATATGTTCATCACAGCAGTATTCATAATAGGAAAAAGATGGAATCAACCTAGATGCCCATCACTGGTGGAGTGGATAAAGAAAATATGGTACATATACACCATGGAATACTATGCAGCCATAATAAAGAACAAAATTATGTCCTTTGCAGCAACGTGGATGTACCTCAAGACCGTTATCCTAAGCAAATTAACACAGGAACAGAAAACCAAATACTGTGTGTTCTTATAAGCGGAAAATAAGCACTGATTAAACATGGGCACAAAGAAGGAATAATAGACAGTAGGACCTACTGAAGGATGGAGGGTGGGAGGAGGGTGAAGATCAAAAAATGCTCAATATTAGTAATCATCAGTGAAATGCAAATCACAATCACAATTAGATAACATCTCACACCAGTCAGAATGGCTATTACTAAAAAGTCAAAAAACAACAGATTCTGGTGAGGCTGCAAAGAAAAGGGAATGCTTATACACCGTTTGCAGGAATGTAAATTAGTTCAGCCACTGTGGAAAGCAGTTTGGAGATTTTCCAAATAACTTAAAACAGATCTACCATTTGATCCAGCAATCCCATTACTGGGTATATATCCAAAAGAAAATCATTCTACTAAAAGACACATGCACTTGTATTTTCATCACGGCACTGTTTGTTTTAAATTTTTTATTTTAATTTTTCTGGGTACGTGGTAGGTGTGTATATTTATGGGATATATGAGATGTTTTGATACAGACTTGAAATGTGTAATAATCACATCATGTAAAATGGGGTATCCATCTCCCTAAGTATTTATCATTTGTGTCACAAATTATCCAAGTATACACTTTAAGGAATTTAAAAATATACAATTAAATTATTATTGACTATAGTCACCCTGTTGTGCTATCAAATACTAGGTCTTATTCATTGTTTCAATTTTTTTGTACCCCTTAACCATCCCCACCTCCCCGACACCCTCCCACTACATTTCTCAGCCTCTGACAACCATCCTCTACTCCCTATCTCCATGAATTCAGCTGTTTTTATTTTTAGATCTGACAAATGAGTAAGAACATATGATGTTTGTCTTTCTGTGCCTGGCTTATTTCCCTTAACATGATGACCTCAGTTCCATCTATGTTGTTGCAAATGGCAGGATCTTATTCTTTCGTATGGCCAAATAGTACTCCATTGTGTATATGTACCACATTTTGTTATCCATTCATTTGTTGATGGACACTTAGGTTCCTTCCAAATCTTGGCTACTGTGAACAGTGCTACAATAAACATGGAAGTTCAGGTATCTCTTGGATATACTGATTTCCTTTTTTTTTTGGTGTATACCCAACAGTCGGATTGCTGGATCATATGGTAGCTCAATTTTTAGTTTTTTGAGGAACCTCCAAACTATTCTCCATAGTGGTTATACTAATTTACATTCCCACCAACAGTGTATGTGATTTCCTTTTCTCCACATCCTCGCCAACATTTGTTATTGCCTGTCTTTTGGATAAAAGCCATTTTAACTGGGGTGAGATGATATCCCATCGTAGTTTTGATTTGCATTTCTCTGTTGACCAGTGATATTGAGCACCTTTTCATATGCCTTTTTGCCATTTGTATGTCTTCTGAGAAATGTCTATTCAAATCTTTTGCCCATTTTTAAATCGGATTATTGGATGTTTTTCCTATAAAGGTGTTTGAGCTCCTGGTTATTAATCCCTTGTCAGATGGGTAGTTTACAAATATGTTCTCCCATTCTGTGGGTTGTCTCTTCACTTTGCTGATTGTTTCCTTTGCTGTGCAGTAGCTTTTTAACTTGATGTGATCCCATTTGTCCATTTTTGCTTTGGTTATCTGTGGTTGTGTGTTACTCAAGAAATTTTTGTTCAGAACAATGTCCTGGAAAGTTTCCCTCATGTTTTCTTGTAGTAGTTTCATAGTTTGAGGTCTTAGATTTAAGTCTTTAATGCATTTTGATTTGAGTTTTGTATACAGTGAGAGATAGGGGTCTAGTTTCATTCTTCTGCATATGAATATCCAGTTTTCCAGGCACCATTTACTGAAAAGACTGTCTTTTCCCAACTGTATGTTCCTTGCACGTTTGTCAAAAATGAGTTCACTGTACGTGTGTGGATTTGTTTCTGGGTTCTATATTCTGTTCCATTGGTCTATGTGTGTCTGTTTTTATGCCAGTACCATGCTGTTTTGCTCACTATAGCTCTGTAGTATAATTTGGAGTCAGATAATGTGATTCCTCCAGTTTTGTTCCTTTTACTTACAATAGTTTTGGCTATTCTGGGTCTTTTCTGATGTTATATAAATGTTAGGATTGTTTTTGCTGTTTCTGTGGGGAATGTCATTGGTATTTTGATATCTGTAGATTCTTTGGGTAGTATGGACATTTTAACAATATTGATTCTTCTAATCTATGAACATGGAATCTTTCCATTTTTTGTGTTCTTTTCAATATCTTTCACCAGTGTTTTATAGTTTTCATTATAGAGATCTTTCACTTCTTTGGTCAATTCCTAGGTATTTAATTTTATTTGTGGTTATTATAAATGGGATTATTTGTTTGACTTCTTTTTCGGATTGTTCACTGTTGGCATACAGAAATGCTACTGATTTTTGTATGTTGATTTTGTATCCTGCAACTTTACTGACTTTGCTTATCAGTTTTAATAGTTTTTGTGTGTGTGTGTGGAGTCTTCAGGTTTTCCAAATATAAGATGATATCGTCTGCAAACAAGAATAATTTGACTTATTCCTTTCCAATTTGGATGCCCTTTATTTCCTTTCCTTGTCTGATTGCTCTAGCCAGGACTTTCAGTACTATGTTGAATAGCAATGGTGACAGTGTCCTTGTTGTATTCCAGATCTTTAAGGAAAGGTTTTCAGTTTTTCCCCACTCAGTATGATACTAGCTGTGGGTCTCTAATATATGGCTTTTATTATGTTGAGATATGTCCCTTCTATGTCCAGTTTCTTGAGCATTTTTATCATGAAGGGATGTTGAATTTCATCAAATGCTTTTTCGGCATCAATTGAAATGATCATATGGTTTTTGTTTGTTATTCTGTCCTGTATTATACTGATTGATTTGTATATGTTGACCTATCCTTCCATCCCAGGGACAAATTCCACTTGGTCATAATGAATGATCTTTTTCACTTATTGTTGAATTCAATTTGCAAGTATTCGTTGAGGATTTTTGCATCAATATTCATCAGAGAAATTGACCTGCAGTTTTCTTGTTTTTGATGTGTTTTTGTCTGGTTTTGGTATTAGGGGAATACTGGCCTCATAGTATGAGGTTAGAAGTATTCCCTCCTCCTGTATTTTTTGGAATAGTTTCAGTATGATTGGTGTTAGTTCTTCTTTAAATGTTTGGTAGAATTCATCAGTGAAGCCATCAGGTGTCAGGCTTTTTTTTACTGGGAGACTTTTCATTATGGCTTTGATCTCATTACTTGTTATTGGTCTGTTGAAGTTTTGGATTTCTTAATGATCAATCTTGGCAGGTTGTACATCACAGCACTATTAACCATAGCCAAGATATGGAATAAACCTAGGTGCCCATCAAAGGTGGGTTGGATAAATAAAATGTGGTACATACATAACATGGAATACTAAGCAGCCATAAGAAATGAAGTCATGTCATTTGCAGCAACATGGATGCACCCCAAGGCCACTGTCCTAAGTGAATTAATGCAGAAACAGAAAAGCCACGTACCACATGTTCTCACTTATAAGTAGGAGCTAAACATTGGTTACTCATGGATATAAAGATGGAAACAATAGACACTGAAGACTAGTAGATGGGGGAAGGAAGGAGGGGGACAAGCATTGAAAAACTATGGGTACTATGCTTGGTACCTGGATTATAGGATCAATTGTATCCCAAACCTCCGCAGTATACCTGGGTAACAAACTTGCTCATGTACCCTCTGAATCTAAAATAAAAATTGAAATTATATTTTTAAAATGGCTTTTTTTCCTGTATAAGTGTGGAATATAATATAAGCATACATTTAATTTGTTAAGTGAACATTGGGTTTGCTTTCTCAAGAAGAGACAAGTTAGTCTGGAGTACCTAAACTTCTTATATTGGTCCACTGAACATATAAGCTAATATTACTTTTACATAATATTTGGAGTAGCTAAAAACATAAAACACATGTTCAAATAAATTGAATCATAATTCTGACACAGTTTTTTTTTGTTTTCGTTTTTTGAGACAGGCTCTCCCTCTGTCACTCAGGCTGGAGTGCAGTGGCACTATCTCAGCTCACTGCAGCCTCAACCTCCTGGGCTCAAGCATTCCTCCTATGTGAGCCTCCGAGTGGTTGGGACTAGAGGCATGTACCACCATGCCCAGCTAATTTTTTGTAGAGACAGGGTTTCACCATAATGCCCAGGTTGGTCTTGAACTCTTGGGCTCAGAGTTCTTGGCCTCCCAGAGTGCTGAGATTACAGTTGTGCACCACCATGCCCAGCCTTGACAAAGTTTTTTATAACAGTAATTGTTCTATAGCATGTCAGCTTGAACATAATTTCAAAGATCCTCAGGTATCTTAAAATTGAGTATATTTCAGTTATAAGCAACACTGAAATACTGCTATGAATAATTTTAAGTATATATACAGTTGTTTCTTATATTTGTACACTATGGAGTTGCTGTCTTCAAGTCATATTTTTAATAAAAGTGTTCATTTTTGCAAATTCAAGGTTTAAAAATTTTGCTATATATATTAATGAGATTTGCTGTTCTACAAAAATACTTGCATATTATAGTTTTAAATTACCATCCTTTCAGTTTTCTCTGTGAAACTTGTTATTTTCATTAAAATTTTTGATTAATATAGGTAGCTGACACTAAACTAAGAACAATAGTGAAATACAGAGAAACAGAGAAATACAACTGTGTGGCTGGGCACCGTGGCTCACACCTATAATCCCAGCACACTTTGAGAGGCCGAGGCGGGCGGATCACCTGAGGTCAGGAGTTTGAGACCAACCTGGCCAACATGGTGAAACCTTGTCTCTACTGAAAATACAAAAATTAGGTGGTTGAGGTGGTGAGCGCTTGTAGTCCCAGTTCTTGGGAGGCTGAGGCAGGAGAATCACTTGAACCCGGTAGGTGGAAGTGGCAGTGAGCCGAGATCGCACCACTGCACTCCAGCCTGGGCAACAGAGTGAGACTCTGTCAAAAACATAAATAAAAATAAAAAATAAAAATAAAATAAAAAAAAATTAACCAGAAAACCAACTATTATTCTCAGGTATGCAACATCCTATCTTAATCGAATGATTAATTTATCTCTGAAAGCCACTGATTCTGTTTTACCACTGAATTGGATCTTAAATTTAGAAAAAATGAGATAAAAATTTCAGGATGGGCTGGGCTTAGTGGTTCATGCATGTAATCTTAGCACATTGGAAGGCCAAAGTAAGAGGATTACTTTAGCCCAGGAGTTTGAGACCAGCATGGGAAACACAGTGAAATTCCTGTCTCTACAATCAATCAATCCATCAATCAATAAATGCCTGGTGAGGTGGTGTCTACCTGTAGTCGAAGCTACTCATGAGGCTAAGGCAGGAGGATTGCTTGAGCCCAGGGGTTCAAGGTTGCAGTGAGCTACGATTTGTGCCACTGCACTCCAGTCTGGGCAAGAGAGAGACCCTGTCTCAAAAAACAAGAAAAAGAAGTAGGGTATTTTACACTAAAATTATCTTGGAGATTTCTCATAGGTTCCTGGAAAATCACAAACTTTAGTACAGGTATACCGTGGAGATATTGTGAGTCTGGTTCCGGACCACCAAAATATAACAAATATTGCAATAAAGCGAGTCACACAAACTTTTTGTTTCCTGGTGCATATAAAATTATGTTTGTACCATACTGTTAGTCTGTTACATGTGCAACAGAATTGTGTCTTAAAAACAATGTACATATTTTAGTTTAAAAATACTTTATTGCTAGAAAATGCTAATGATCATCTGAGCTTTCAGAAAGTCAGAATCTTTTTCTGGTGGAGGGTCTCGCTCCAATGTTGATGCCTGCTGACTGATCAGGGTGGTGGTTGGGGTGGCTGTGTCAATTTCTTAAGATAACACTGAAGTATGCTGCATCCATTGGACTCTTCCTTTCGCAAAAGATTTCTTTGTAGCATGCAATGCTGTTTGATTGCATTTTACCCACAGTAGAACTTTCGAAATTGGAGTCAATCCTCTCAAACAGCTTCTGCTTTATTAACTAAGTTTATGTAGTATTTAAATTCTTTGTTGTCATTTCAACAATGTTCACAGCATCTTCACCAAAAGTAGATTTAATCCCAAGAAACTTCGCTCATCCATAAGAAGCAACTCCTTAGCCATTCAAATTTTATCATGAGATTGCAGCAATTCAGTCACATCTTTAGGCTCCACTTTCCAATTCTAGTTCTCGAGCTATTTCCATGTCTGCAGTGACTTCCTCCACTGAATTCTTGAACCCTCAGAATCATCCATGAGGGTTGGAATCAACTTCCTCCAAATTTCGGTTAAAGTTGATATTTTGATCTCCAATGAATCACGAACGTTCTTAATGGCATCTAGAATGGTGAATTCTTTCCAGGTTTTCAATGTACTTTGACCAGATTCCTCAGAGGAATCTCTGAAAGCTATAGCCTTACAACATGTATTTCTTTTCTTTCTTTTTCTTTTTTTTTTTTTTTTTGAGATGGAGTTTCGCTGTTGTTGCCCAGGCTGGAGTGCAATGGTGCACTCTTGGCTCACTGCAACCTCCACCTCCCAGGTTCAAGCAATTCTCCTGCCTCAGCCTCCTGAGTAGCTGGGATTACAGGCACACACCAAGCCTGGCTAATTTTTGTATTTTTAGTAGAGACGGGGTTTCACCACGTTGGCCAGGCTGGTCTTGAACTCCTGACCTCAGGTGATCCACCCACCTTGGACTCCTAAAGTGCTGGGATTACAGGCGTGAGCCACTGTGCTTGGCCTACAACATGTATTTCTTAAATAACAAGACTTGAAAATCAAAATTACTCCTTGATCTGTGAGGTGCAGAACGGATGTTGTGTTAGCAGGCATGAAAGCAACACTAATCACCTTGTACATTGCCATCAGAGTTCTTGGGTGACCAGGTTGTCAATGAGCAGTAGTGTTTTCAAAGGTATCTTTTTTATTTTTTTATTTTTTTTCTGGAAAGCAGGTCTTAACAATGGACTTAAAATATTCAGTAAACCATGCTATAAACAGATGGGCTGTCATGCAGGCTTTGTTGTTCCATTGACAGAGCATGGTAGGGTAGATTTAATATAATTCTTAAGGGCCCTAGAATTTTTGGAATGGTAAAGAAGCACTGGCTTCATCTTAACACCAGCTGCATTAGCCCCCAATGAGAGCCTGTCCTTTGAAGCTAGGCATTGACTTCTCTCTAGCTATGAAAGTCCTAGATTGGTCCTTCTACCAATATAAGGATGTTTCATCTGCGTTGAAAATTTGTATAGATTTTCATCAATGATATTAGCTAAATCATCTGGATAACTTGCTTCTTCATCAGCACCCCCTTGCACTTTTATTAGAGATGGCTTCTTTCCTTAAACATCATGAACCAGGCCGGACGCGATGGCTCACGCCTGTAATCCCAACACTTTGGGAGGCTGAGGCGGGCGGATCACGAGGTCAGGAGTTTGAGACCAGCCTGGCCACCATGGTGAACCCCTTCTCTTCTTAAAATACAACAATTAGCCAGGCATGGTGGCAGGCGCCTGTAATCCCAGATATGCAGGAGGCTGAGGCAGGAGAATCGCTTGAACCCAGGAGGTGGAGGTTTCAGTGAGCTGAGATCGCACTTTTGCACTCCAGCCTGGGCAACAAGAGCAAAACTCTGTCTCAAACAAAAACAAAAACCAAAACCATCATGAACCAACCTCTGCTAGCTTCCAACTTTTTTTTTTTTTTTTTTGGCAGCTTTCTTGCCTCTCTCACCTTTACAGAATTGAAGAGCTTTAATGCCCTTCTCTGGATTAGGTTTTGGCTTCAGGGAATATTGTGGCTGATTTGATCTTCTATCCAGACCACTGCACCTTTCTCCTTATCAGCCATAAGGTTGCTTGCTTTCTTATCATTCATATGTTCACTGAAGTAGCATCCTTAACTTCCTTCAATGACTTTTCCTTTGCTTACACAACTTGGCTGCTTGGCACAATAGTTTCAGCTTTCAGCCTCTCTTGGCTTTTGACATGCCTTTTTCACTAAGCTTAATCATAGCTAGCTTTTGATGAAAGTGAGAGACTTGAGACTCTTCTATTCACTTGAACATTTAGAGGCCACGGTAGGGTAACTAATTGGTTTAATTTCAATATTGGTGTGTCTGAGGGAATAGAAGTCTCAAAAAGAGGGAGAGGGGGGAATGGCCATTTATTGGAACAGTCAGAACACACAGAACATGTATTAACTATCTTATATGGGTGTGGTTTGTGGCACCTCAAAACAATTACAGTGGTAACATAAATGACTACTGATCACAGATCACCATGGACAGATAGAATGAGATTTTAAAAGTTGGAAATATCGCAATTACCAAAATGTGACACATGAAGTTATCACCTGCTGTTGGAAAAATGGTACTGACAGCCTTGCTGGATGCATGGTTACCAGTTATCTGCAAAGTGCAATAATGCAAAGCACAATAAAATAAAGTGTGCCTGTACTTCTTTTTATTAGTAAACATGTACTTTTAAAGCAATTCACAATTTATAGCAATACAATAGTGTGTTGTAAAAACATTAAAAGTCCTTCTGCTAAGGGTTCAGAAAACCTCACACTTAACAACAATCAGGTCATGGCCGCAAGACACAGCTTGTCTGGAAGCTACACATTAAATGATGTATTCTATTTAGGGACTAAATATAAAAGCCAAAGTTGAGCCATGAATACAGAGGACAGTATACAAATGAGATTATCACCACTGGCTATTTGAACAGAATTAGACCTCACAGATAATTTAATCAACCTTTAAAACTTTACAGATGAGGAAAATGAAGCTCTGAGATACGACTTTGCTGGGGTTCCTCTACTTCCTGTCAGGAATGAAGGTCAAATTCCCATTTCCCAACTCCAGGCCAGTTCATTACACTGTGCTGCCAGTATGTCTAACCAATTAGGTAGAAAGGTATTTCATTGAATGACTTCCACCATTCTTTTCCCAAAGACTAATCAGTAAGTGGTAAATGTGTTAAATTTACCACACATTGATTACAAACACGAAGTACTATATTGCAAGGAACAGAGGTTTTGTGCTTTGGTCTTTAATCTTACTTCCGTTAAATACTGGGGAATCCTGGGTCATAAAATTGGTATTATTACAAAAGAGAAATAAGTAAAGAGTGGTTGCTGAAAGGTAATTTTTCTTGGCTGGTTCTTCTAAGTATATACTAGGTATTGTTATTAGCAGACTTCATAAAGAAAAGGTTATCAGGAATTTTTTTTACCTTCCTTCCTCAACTTAGAAATTTATTATATACAAAATCATTTTAACAAAACATCTTAGGGAGAAATTAACACAAAATTACAAATCACTCCATGTGCTTAATTTGAAATGTTATGGCCTTATGTATTCATATCTAATGGTCTTCATGCTAAAATTGGGATTCTTAGTCAATAAAAATGCATGCCAATCTGACAAAATTTCTAGGAAAACTGCAATAACCTTCTTTCCATCATTCCTTTTTTCCCAGAAATTGCACATTTTTGAGAAAATATTTATGCAAAGTGTTCCACTGAAATGTATCTCTTACGAAAGTATCTGAATAGTGAAGTATTTATCACTCATCACAGTAACTTACGGTAAGAAATCAATAAAATTGTTTTATTAAATGTACACATAAAAAGGCATATAAGTTTTTGACCTTCAGTTGTTTTGGAATTAAATTACATTTCGGCACCCAAATATCTTTTAACTGACAGTTTTCACACTTTGCAAAACACACAGGGCACTGGAAACTCTAATGAACCAGCATTTACATAATGGTATCTGCCATATGACCACTTTGGTAAGCAGCTTGTTGAGATTATGTACTAAGTGCTTTATGTGATGCCAAAAAACTTTAAAAAGCAAATAATAAATCATGAGGCTCTACAAAATAGCTTAGAAAAACAAGTTTTCTATTTATTTAAAAATAAGTTTGTAGTTACTACATTGCAGGGACAGGTATTCTTACACATACATTCTAGTTTGTATAAAAGGATTCAAAGAATTATGCATCAAAACTAACATAGAAAGTGTCCACGTAACAGTAAAGAAAGGTCCAATCAGTATGTACAAAAAGAAAGGGCACTGCTATTCTGGTGTGAAACTGCTGTTTATAATATGATACTCCAGGTTCGGAAGGAAAAAAACAAACTTCAATAAAGCTAAATAATTAATTTGTTTTAAAACTCTGTGTTACTTATTACATACAACAGATCTGCTTGTGTTTAAACATTGTTTTCTGTACAAAATAAGCATAATCTTAATTTGAAAATGTGTCAGTTTCAACTTTCACCCTCTAGGTCAGTTACTTTTTAAAAATTGAGCTACATTCTACACATGTCTAAATATCCTGTGACAGGATTTAAGTTTTCTAAAAGATCTTCAGTAAGACCCCTGTCTTCTTGCAGTTTTAATATGGTCCAAAAATGTAACTTTGTATTGTCTCATGTTATAGTCTATCATTGTGACTAATCAACACACACAATCTTAAAGTAACCAGCATGTGTGCATCTGCCTTATATGCATGTACTATATTCCATCTTGAACCTATTTTCTTGGCTCCTTGAATTGTAGAAACTCAGCCATGCACTAAGTATTTGGTCTGTGCCATAAGGTTAATTTCCTGATAATTTTTATCTGCATTAAAAAAGTATTTCAACACAGAGCTATCAAAACTAAAAATAATATCTATTTATAGCTCATATTTTCTACTCACTGTTCTACTGCAGTGTGTACAAGGTTTATCTCTGGAGCGCCAAAAGTGGTACTTACAGTCTTCTGACTCAATTTGACCTTTTCTTGGGTACTATACATAGTTCGTAATGACTTTTCATTTGGAGCAAACTTTGCTCAGTATAATTAACAAAAATAGTTTCTTAGTAAATGTAATATTAATTTTAGTTCAGATCACTTGGAAATTAGGGGAACTAAGGGAAACTGCAAGGGTAGAAGCAAAGAAAAGTGTATTTTTCAAATTTTAATGGGAAAATAAATTCTTGCCTAAGTGTAACAAAACCACTGCTCAATCTGTTATGTTAGAAATACTTTTTAGGTTAATAGGAGTAATCAGATGATAAAACTACTTCCCCTATTATGACTTTTAAAATCATGTAACTCCTGCATATAAGCAGAACACTTACAGTCCTTTAATCACTCAAGTATCTTGGTCCTTTCAACCTACTCAAAAATAAATTTCAGGTAACAAAAACATTCAGAATATATCCGTTTTCATTAGATAGAAAACTGAAAAAGTTGCTTCTAGCTGACATTTGAGAGAGATATACAGTAGGTATATATGTATAAAATGGAATGTCAGAATTGAAGTAAACATTGTTAACTGGAGAAATTAATTTATATTACAAATCATATCTGAAAACATGTAAATGCTGCTAACATATAAGATAAAAATATTTGAATACATTTCTTAAAATGTCTGATTCCTCTACTGCACTGCAGATGAGGGACAGTTCTAGATGTTAACATACATGCTGCATAAAGATATTTTCTCTGATTACTGTATCTTATGTAATTCATTTCCAAGTGATAACTAAATTTAGTCAATCCCAAGTCTCAGATGTTACCTAATCCAGCTCACAAATATTCCACATACTTATTTACTTGGATTGGAGGAAGACAGTTTTATAATAATGCCAGCAGTCTTTAAATTTGTAGTGAAGTTGTGCAATAAAAACAATTGAAATAAGGCCAATCTTTAGTTTATAATACATGCAGAAAATAGTCCAATGCCACTATAGCAGGTCACAAAGGATAAAATTTTAAAAAGCTATGTATCTATTGCCCAGGGCTGTGAGTCTCTGATTAGACTAAATATTTAAACTAATGCTCCACTGAAACTTTTCATCTGGGACTTGAGAATGTTGGAGTTGAGGGAGAGAATACTAGGGTTGGGTACTTAGAAATACCTAAATTGGTTTACACTTTCCATGCATGTAAGAGTTATATTTCTGAACTTTCAGTAAATTGGAGATGTTTTTATTGCTTACCTAAGACAACTGCCAATATTTCTTTCTGGCCTATTAACAGTACATACATAGTGTTACTGCCTCAAAGAGGATTATTTTCCCAAGTGGTAAAGAAAACAAAAATATGGTGATGACTTAAATTTCTTAATTCAACTTCTGTAATGCATAGAAGCTAAATTATAAAAATATAAAATCTAAATATATTGGTATTACTAATACATGTTTAAGTGTTTCGGTTACAAAGAATCTGATCCAAGTTACTGTGCTTTACTAAGAAACCAGTGTCTAATAATGTCCAAATAAGGTCATAAATATACAGTGTCTGTAGAACAGGAATAATACATTTACATGTTATAGGAAAGATGGTAAATACTCATTTCTTTGCTTGAGTTGGAATTAACACATACACTGTACTAGAGGTATATTCCACTCTAAGACTGTGTACGCTCTTCCTTTTTCTGTACACAACTTAAAACTGTACATTTTTTTTACAAAAATTGATTTTATAGCCTATTATTTTTTTCTTAACACAATGCAGATAACATCAGGAAATTACATATTTCAAATAGATTGCCTTCAAAAGCAACTAATTAATGACAAATTTCAAACATACACTATTATTTTCAAGAATGGTGTAACTGAAAGACTCATTTTTCTATACAATCAAGCCATCCATTTCTGCATTATGAAGAGTTTAACTACTGAATTTTAATTTTATAGTTAAATATATTTGTTAGAAAAAAATAAATATACAAAAAACCTGAAAAATTTGAAATTATTTTTCAACTGCAAAATCTCAGCAATGCAGTCAAGATCTGGAAAATGGTTTACTTAATTTCACAGGAGAATTTCTGTACAAATTTAGTTACAAATGATCTAAAAAGCCCAAATGTATCACTTTTTCATTCTTCACGACAGTTAAATGACAGCTAATATTTATCCTTATCAGAAATAATTATGTAATGTATTTTGCCAAGGTTCAATTGCAGACTTTATTTTTCTACATCAGGGTCATGCTGATACATATTTTCCCCATCCTCACTTTTTAAAAATGTAGTATCTGAAAATTTTGATTACATTTTTGTACCATACCAGTCCTCAGAAAATACTACATTCTTTAAATTTTTAAAAAAATGGACAGTAATTTTTAAACAATAGAAATGGTAAGTATGTTGGTTTTTAAGGTATAAAATAACTAACTGTACCATAAACAAATAAATAACTGCTTTCCTTTTCCATAGCAGTACATATAGCAATACATTCTCCTAAGTCATATAGTTATCATTTACAATAGACAACTTAATTTTACTAATGATGCAAAAAATAATAGAATACAAGGCACAATCATTAAATGGAGTTTTTCTTTAGGGTGTATATTGACATACCAGCATGATAAGGATACCGTAAAAAGTGCAGAAAAAACACAATGTGCAATGAGACCACTGTATAAAACATGATTGCATAAAAAGTGATTTGGCCTATTTTAACCTTTAATAATTGAAAATAACCAATTTCCCCCTTAAAATTAAACTATAAAGTATGACATTTTAAAATTATTTTTATTCTACTGCTATCTAAAAAATCCTGAAAAAAGAATTTATACCTGGGTAATAGTATATAAGTATGTGTTTGTATATATATTTAATTATACCCATTTATCAATATATACACATACACACACAGACACGTTTCTTTGTAAGTCATTTTAGGCTATTAGATATGTCTAAAGTTTAGAAATGACATTAATCCAGATCAACAAGTAAACATCAAATCCCATACCTTTTTTCCTGTATTTTCCTTGAATCCTTTAACCACTTAAACATTTCCTCTAGAACATCTCTGTCAAAGGACCCACCAGTGCATTATTTTCTATTAGTACCAAAAAAAGATATATCTCAGCATAACTCTTTAATAACTTGCTCTTTAGAATATATAGCCTTTCCAATATTGAAAAGTGTATGCTGTCCTGACGTCAAAAACAGGCTTTCCACTGCACTGATTCTCAGTCTTTGGCACAATAAACAGAGATTGAGTGATATAAGAATCAAGGTCTGAAAAATTAGACAGTCAAATGTTTTCCAATGTGGATATGTTTCCCTTCATCAGTACATTTTCTCTTGTTTGGCAGAAATGGAATAAAGCAAAAGCCTCCTCTAGATACTTTGTAGATGAACATTCTATAATTAAAATTAAACTGTTTAGGGTATCAAATGGTGGAAATTTTATATTTATCTTTTAGAGGAAACATTTCTTAATTCACTGCTACTCTGTATAACATCTATCTTTTAGGGGCATGACTTGTATCAATAGAAATGTACCTCACTTGGTCAAAAATAATTCATTTTAACATGAAATGCTCTATCACTAGGAATATTATGCTCCTAAAGAGTGTAGCAGAATTGTCTTTTCTATAAATAAATCAGGAATTCATTATAGATCAATTTCTTTCGTTTCAAACAGTGAATGAAATGAATGTGAAAATGCATAACCTATCTAAGGGCAATAAATAGCAAACATTTAAAATATATATGTATATATTTATATATATATATATATATTCATTTAAAGAAGTGAAGTGTCTCGTAAGTTTGTTTTTTTTTTTTTTTTTTTTTTTGCAAATCAAATCATAACATTCCCTACTCCACCACAGCAGCAAGGAAGCAGAAGCCTTAGTTCTACTTATTCCTTAACTGTACCTGCTTTATAGATTTTGAAGTAAAATATTTTGGTACAAGTTACCAACCAATTAAATTAGCTTTTGCTTTTTCAGTCAACTTTCGGACTCGTCCTCTACTAGAAGTTCCAAAAGTTAAAGAGGTGTCTTCGAACAACAGCTGCCTTTGCTCCTCTTCAGAGTCATCCTCATTATAGAAAGCTGTCCTTCGACCTTGATTTCTAGTTCTCATGTGGGGTTCAGAGCCTTTGAGTTCTTCAAACTCTTCTTCCTCATCTATAGGATCATCTATCTTTTTTCGGTTACTTCTCCTTAACACTTTGACACTTGCAGGGACTAGGAGATCTGCATCTAATTTTTGTGTCTTCATCTTCCTTTTGGGCTTCCTACCTCCACGATTCTTTTTCTGTAACAAATCTTCCTTTACATTATTAGTTTCAGAAAGAAAATTGCATGTTGAAGAAGGAAGTACTTCATCTCTGATGGGATGCACATTATTTTGCTCTAAATCTTCTGGCTTTGCATACTGTAGCTTTTTGGGCTTTCTACCCCTTTTCTTGTGTATAATTTCACCACTATTGGTATTAACTTCTACTTTAGGTTTCCTTCCAGGTCCCCTCTTCACAAGTTTTGATGGCTGTCCTCCATGGCCATTTACTTGAATGGTTCCTGGTACAAGAGCGTTGTTCTTACAATCTCCTAAAAGGGAACAACAGTACACTTAATATATGGAGTTTCTTTTTTTGTTTGACTCTCAAACTTGTCAGTAAGGCCCCATTGGTATACTTATATGTAATGACATAATCCAAATTATTTTATTAAAATGAGAAAAAAGAACCTAGAAAACACTAATAGTTCAATGATCTTATTTATTTTCTAATTAAAAGAGACAGATTCTTAACGATCTCATGAGGGAGGTAAAGCTCATAGAAAATAAGTGACTTATCTAAGTTAACATTGTGATTGAGTATAAAGCTGGGATGACTAAAGGTTTCTTATTCCTAACTTAGAAATAAGTTACTCTTGGTCAAAAACTTTGTTCTTAGAACTGTTTAAAGAGGATTTAAAAACAACTAAATGGCAGTTTTCACAGGCTTTGAAAAGTCCTATCTCCTTGTGTAATAAATGGCAAATGACTATAATCCTAGGAAATACTGATTATATATATATATCAATCAAAATCACTATGTGTGCCACCATTATCATGATTAAGATCCCACTGTAACAAACTCCATGATAAAAGGCCATTATGCTTCATAAAACAGGAGAGAAAATCTGGCAATCAAATTCTAAACCTGAAGGATCTGGAGATGATGAATTACCTTTCTGTTGTAGAAAAAAATGCTATAACTTAGATAAAGGAAAAATATGCCACAGGAACTACCAGTAACTAACTCTCTTTCCCTCCAAATTTCTGACATGTTTTTATTTGATATGGTAGGTGATTTGCAATGCTCTATTTTTGAGGAAATTCATAGATGGAAACTGCTTTTAAAGAGAATACATCTTCATAACAGCATTTTTGGTCACAGGTTGGAACTGTACTTTGTAAATAAGAAAATCATGGTTGGTCGGGTGCAGTGGCTCACGATTATAATCCCAGCACTCTGGGAGGCCAAAGTGGGCGGATCACCTGAGGTCAGGAGTTCGAGACCAGCCTGGCCAACATGGCGAAACCCCGTCTCTACTAAAAGTACAAAAAGTAGCTGGGCGTGGTGGTGGGTGCCTGTAATCCCAGCTACTCAGGGGGCTGAGGCAGGAGAATCCTTTGAACCCAGGAGGCGGAGGTTGCAGTGAGCTGAGATCACGCCACTGCACTCCAGCCTGGGCGACAAGAGGGAGACTCCATCTCAAAAACAAAACAAAACAAAACAAAACAACATGGTTAAGAGACTTACCAAAGGTCAGAGCCAAGTACAGACAGAAAATGCAAAGCTTTTAATTCCTGACCCCCATAGTGAAATGACTCTCTTTAGATTAGTGGTTGGGAAAAAATGTGGGTGTGGACATAAAGTAGTTAAGTATTTCCTATGGAGCAACTGACATTTAAACTGCCCAGGGATTCTGTCAATCTCTTTTGTTTTACATTATGACTACAAGGGTTCTAAATATCCAGTACATGTACCTACTACAGAAGATAGGCTTTAAGGACTACATGAATCCCTTGTAATGGTCCCAAATTTTGTATGGATATGTTTATGTACATTTTTCTGAGACAGGGACTATAGGACTCATCAACTTTATAAAGCAATATATAATGTAAAAAGGTTAAGAATGAATGCAGCTTTCTTAAAAAGGAATTCAGAAGTTTTTTAAAAAAGTTTAAAAACCACTGATATTGAACGGTGTTGTCCTGGGCACATGAAAAGTTATGCAGCTTAGGAACTAAATTTTTATTTAAATTTCAATTTAAATACCAAAGCAGTATACATTTTAAAATACTGATTAAATACTGAAATAACATTTTGGATATAATGGGATAAATAAAATATTATTAAAATTAACTTTACCTGTTTTTACTGAACATGGTGAGTACAAAATTTAAAATTACATATATGGCTTGTATTATATTCCACTAGACAACACTGCTTGATTCTAAATAGTTAATTTAGGTGTCATTATTTGTAATAAAACACTGTTAATGTTAACTAATAGATAATGATATTTCTATACAGTACCAGTACTCGAGTATTTGTAATACTCAAAAATTAAAAATCAAACAGGTTATGATACCAGACCTCCGCTATCATAATGCTAGAACCAATTCATCATATATATTTGATTTCTCTAGGATTCATGAATAAAAAGAAGCAAGGCCAATATACTATTCAAACTCTAAATTCAGTTCAGAAAGGGGGCAGATTATTAAAAATGTGAAACACTCATATGCAAAGCATTTTGGTTATTCAAACACTTATTATCTTCTGTATAATGGGCATTAAAAATGAGTAAACACATTAAGCTCAGATTCTTTGGAGATACAGACATGTGAAAATGAATAATATGATCAACATTATAAGTACCACCAAAGGTAATGAACAGGGTTTTCTGGGACATAAAGATGGAAGTGCTTGGCTGGGCGTGGTGGCTCACATCTGAAATCACAATACTTTGGGAGGCCGAGTGGGGTGGATCACCAGAGGCCAGAAGTTTGAGACCAGCCTGGTCAAAATGGTGAAATCCTGTCTATATCAAAAATACAAAATCAGCCAGGTGTGATGGCACACACCTATAATTCCAGCTACTTGGGAGGCTGAGGCAGAAGAATTGCTTGAACCGGCAAGGCAGAGGTTGCAGTGAATGGAAATCAGGCCATTGCACTTCAGCCTCGGTGACAGAGCAAGATCCTGTCTTTTTTTAAAAAAAAAAAAAAAAAAAAAAAGGAAGTGCTTGATTCTATCTAAAGAAGCCAGGAGAAGACTTCCTAAAGAAGACGATATTTTAAGTGAGACGTGAAAGGCAACAGACAATTAAACTAGGAGGGAAAAAAAGACATTCCCCCAAAAGGAGAAAAGAACAAAGACTCAGGAACTTCTAAGTGTTTAGGATGACTGGGATACAAAAGAGAGAAAGAAGGTAAAAGAACCTGGAATGTTAGGCAAGAGCCAAGTAATAAAGAGTCTTGTGTAACAGGCAAAAAATTTAAAATGTTTCCATATATGATTTGAAGGCAAGGAAGTGTTTTCTCTGTGTGTACGTACACACATCCACATGTGCTAGAGAGAAATAAAAAGATCGCTTTGGCTGCAATATGAGAGAGGGACTGGTTAAGAAAGAGTTGAGAACTGAGGCAGGAAGACCAGTTAGGAAACTAGGAAAATAGTCCAAGCAAGAAATTATGTAGGCCTTGAAATAATGTCATGGAGGTGAGAATGGAGAGGAGAGAATAGATTTAAGAGATGTTATGGAGGGAGAAACAACAAAAACAAAAAGCTGTTGAACAGATTCAGTTGCTGAAGAGAAGGCTAGGATGACTCCCTGATTTTAAGTTTACACGGGTAGATCCCAATGCCATTAACAAAAATAAGATTTCAGTAGAGAAATTAAATTTTGAGAGAGGTTTCTGAAGACAACAATGAAGAAATGTCTTAGACACACTTTGAAAGTCATGATGCAAAATGCTTATTATTGGGCTGTCTGCTGCCAAGAAGCCATATTATTTTAACATGTCACATGGCATATTTTATTATTTACCTTCTTCATCTTTCAAACATAAAGACTTTACAATAAAAACCTGGAGGTGAAAGAACTTGAAGTGTAACAGTAAGGTGTCAAAAGTTGTATTCTACAGTTGTAGACAACCCCAATGAATTATTATTTAGTAAAAGTCAGTCTAGAAAAATAAGTAGTTTTGTGATCCAATAATTACTTAAACATTTTTCTAGAAAAGTGAAGAATGCTACATTGGGTTAACTATACCCTATTTAATTTAAACTTTGAAGATTTATTTCTTTTTTTTTTTTTTCTTTTGAGACAGGGTCTCATTCTGTTTACCAGGATGGAGTGCAGTGGCACAATAATAGCTCATTGCAGTAAATTTATCAACTAATACAGATGTGTGACTTTTAAGTGGGCAACCTGAAAAGTGGATATAAATGCTGATTCCAACAAAAGCATTATTTATAATAAGGATCTACTGTATCTTGAAAGATACAAGTAATACCTTACCTTGCTCAATGACAGCTGATGACTTTGAAAGAGTGGACGCCTTTGGGAGTACAGATGACTTCATTTTACGTTTGACTGGCTTTTCCTTTTCCATGTTTTCTTTTGCAGAATTATTCCTAGTGCCATGACTAAAACTGGATTGACCAGGACTGGAAAGAGTATTCAAAGCTTTGGAATGTTTCACAGAATTCTCTAGTACTAAAACATACAAACAAAATTTAAAAATTAAGAGTTATTGAACCTAAAGATAAGAAAAAAGGTTAACCTGAATTATTTGAATTAGCCAAGACAACAAAACCTGAAGGATGCTTAAAGCTTTCTTAGGAAAGCTACTTTCTAATAGGAAAAAGGCGTATCCAACTAGAAACTCTTAATAGTTTCAGCCCTTTTAGAAGCTGTCCCATCATTTCAAAATTTCGAAGGCAAGTCTTGGCAAATTGCTAGCTAGTGTGGGTACTGTGATTTAAATTCAGGTAGTTTAGATCAGAGTTGCCATTTTTAAGCATTAGTCTATAATGACCTAAACCTCAATTTAATTCTTCTTATTAAAAACTTTTTTTTAAAATAGGAAATTAATAAAGAAGGCAAAAACAACAGTGTCTGCTAGGAATTACTAAAACTCAGTATATTGCATTTGGCAAAGTAAAAGCTTAAATTAAGAAAATCATCATATACATTTCAATTTAGAAAGTGAGTCTTACTTGTTTTCCCTGGTATTGCAGATGCATTAGCTTTTGTAATAAAAGTCTTTGCAGCTGAAGAAGTAGATGGTTGCTCAGTGACAACTGGATCTACAACCACTCGGTTGCTTCTGGTTCGAACCACAGAACTAGATTCTGTTTTACCGTTTATCTGAGCAGCATTGTGTCTTGGCGGTATTGATCGTGTAGGTGTAGAGAATGCAGAGGTAGAGCTTTCTGATTTTAGCTGGGGTTTTAAGATCCTTTTTTTCCTTTCAGGGCTGTAAATAAAATAGTATTGTCAGTCACTCTTATAGCTCTATGTGAACGAATAAAACAGTTTATAATATTTTTGGATTCAATATTTGTACTATTATGAAATATGTTAAAATATGAGATTTATAGTGGATTTCATATGATTGTGAGCCTTTGAAAGTGAATATTTAGTGAAGGATCGCTGTAAATGCTAAAGTTATATGACGGAAAGCATGATGCCATCACTATCCTAAAAATGCTGTTTTACTGTATAGATTTAGCAGTTTGAATTTAAGCACTTACACTAGTATAGCTTTAGTTAAAAGATTAAAAATCCTCCACATCATAGGAACTTGCATGTCAAATTATCATTCTGCAATATAGGGAATAGTAAAGGAAGTATTAAAAAACACCAAGTTCTATCATTTAGATGAAAGTTATAGATCAGCTAGTGGTATTTAAAAGAAATTAAATACCTTGATGCAGCACTACTGGAAACAGAGCTGCTTCTGTTTCTTTTCTTCCTCCTTTTGGTTATGGTATTTCTTTTATGAAAACGAAGAGCAGATTTATAATCTGATAAAACTGAACTAATGTGTTCTTCAAAGAAAGCAGACAGGCGCAAACTCATGCTGTAAATCTGTGAGGGAAAAAAAAAAGTGTTCAACCATTCCTTGGAGGAAAATACCTTTGTTCAGTAAATACTGTAATGTAAATATTTTTCCAGTAAAAAATATTTAGAATTTAATTATTGTTTTTTACATCCCTTTTTCCTAATCTTTTGATGAAAAGGTAAACTGAAGCATTTTAACAATTATGTATTTTTGTGTTTAGAACAGAAATCTTCCAAGTTTTGAGATTCTTAAAGAAAAGTCCGACTCTAAATTCAAATGGCTCATACAGACAAAACTTATTGTCAACTTTATTACACTGAAACTATCCCAAATGTTTGAACCTGTTTTCTATCTAGGACTAGCATCTATTCTTTCTCATTTCGTTGCTATATAGCACTCCTTTGTGATGTCATGTCTGGTCAGAGTGTTAAATTATATTTTTACTTATTTGTAAAAATCTTCGCAAAAATGCTCCACAAGGCAGATAATAGCTAGAAAACTCAAGGCCAGATGGCTCTGGTGCATACCAGGACAATTTGCATCAACCGCACTACTTCAAGAAAAGTAACCATTCCCAGACATCAAAGATAACATCAATGTTATTTCATACAAGGAGCTGAGTAGAAAGGTATAATTTCTTTTTCCAGTAGGACAACATTAAGAATGTAACAGAAAGTTAACTTTGACCTAAATTTTAAGTAAAGCAACATTTAGTCATTTAACACACTCCTCTAACTTAATCTAGTCATAAAAGAAAATAATGTAATTATATACCCTTGATCTTTTGCTTGGTGTATATGCTTTGGAATTACTGAAAATAAGTCTGACATCTTTACATAACTCCATTGGTGACTCATAATTCCCAGCCTCTAAAGTTTCTCTAACGGTAGCAAAATCCATTGGAGTGTCAATGATGTCTCTGTAGTCCTAGGAGAGGGAAAACAGGTGGTGTTATGATTATTACTACACAAAGCATCACTTCTCAGTGCAGGGATTCGCACAGGATTTTTATGATGACTGCAAGTCCTAGAACTCTTAATAATCACTCCTGTTCCCCTTATCAAGAGTCCCTTTTTTCTAATAATTCTTATTTATTTCATACTCCCCCCCCTTATACTGCAATCAACAATAATTTTCTTATTCAAGAACACAGAAGTTATTAATTTTTCACTGGAGACTTGGGAGATGGAGTTGTATTGGAAAAGGGAAAGTAAAAGAGTAAGGAAAAAGCCCAGCTCTACAACCGAAAGTTTGAAAGAAAAACTCAAAACTTTATACTACTTATAAATTCTAAAGGTCTGACTCATTAAAACACAACTGTAACTTTAAGGAAATAAAAACAATGGAAGTATGCCAGCATCCCATTTATGCAGACACCTAAGTTCTAGTAATCTCAACTTCAGTACTAAAATTGGGAGTTTTGCTTTGCAGTAATAAAGAATTACGAATGTAAATAGTTGTCACAAAGTCTATGCATGTCACCTGAGATGTCTACCTAGTCAATAGAGTATAAAATTAGGTAACAGATTGGAACCAATAAAAACACACACGTGAAACAGGAAGAGCAACAGAAAATTATCATAATATGGTATATAATTCTAAAATTATCAGAATATGCTATTTTTTTTTAGCAGGGACAAAGAGTATTGTACCCCCCCTTTTTGGGAGACACAGTCTTGCTGCTGCCCAGGTTAGAGTGCAGTTGGTGCCATCAAAGCTCACTGCATCCTTGGCCTCCCAGACTCAAGCAACCTTCCCACCTCAGCCTCTCAAGTAGCGGGGACTACAGGCAGGCGCTACCACACCCAGCTAATTTTTATAATTTTTGTAGAGACGGGTCTTAGCATGTTGCTGAGACTGGTCTCAAACTCCTGGGCTTAAATGACCTGCCCGTCTTGACCTCCCAAAGTGCTGGGATTATAGGCATTAGCCACCACACCTGGCCTGCAGCTTTTCAACAGTCCCTCAGTATGCGACTATATTTTTTGAAGTGTAACAACTTGACTTTGCACCATCAAGTTTAAATTATGATCAAATACGTCTGACCATGAAGAAGGTGTCCTATAAGGTAGGATTACTGCCTTTACAAATTTTTATTTCTTCCTTTCCAATAGTTATGCCTTTTATTTCCTTTTCTTGCCTTATTGCATTGGCTAGAATTTCCAGTACTACATTGAATAGCAGTGGTGAGAGTGAACATTTTTCAGTCATTCCTAATTCTTAGGGGGAAAGCACTCAGTCTGTCACCAGTAAACATGATATTAGCTGTAGATGTACTTTTTATAGATGTACTTTATCAAGTTGTGGAAGTTTTCCTTTGTTCCCGGTTTTCTTAGGGGTTTTATAATGAATTAATGTCTCACTTCTTCAGATTCTGCATTTGTCTATTTGCCATCTATTCACAGGCCAATGATGATCTGGTACCTGGGGGGCCTTACAGACCTGGGAAAAGATTGCCCCTTCCTGGGCAGTCTTAGTGAGGGGTTCCACTGAGAACATGTCTTTCATATACATACCAATGAATCCCAAGTATAAAGCCACAATCAGCTCCTTTTCTCACTCTCACACACTAAGCCAGTATTTCCCTGTTTTAAATCATCTCAGAGCTGGGACCAGACAACTAGATACCTGTGCCCCAGGGCCCACTGGAATTATTCAAACTAGCCAATAATAAGCTGTTAACTGTGACCTGCCTTGCATTTCCTGCAGAAACCCCAATAAAGGATTTCTAAGCTTTTCCCTGGTTTTGGTCTCTCCTACCCAACCAAAACCTAGCACTTCCCCTGTGGCCCTGTGTGGCATGTGGTAAGCCCCGACTTTTCTGGGACTCTTTTTTACTTTTTTTTTTTTGTTGTTAATGAGATAGGGTCTCACTCTATTGCCAGGCTAGAGTTCAGTGGTATCATCTTGGCTCACTGCAATGTCTACCTCCCAGGCTCAAGCAATCCTCCCACCTCAGCCTCATTAGTAGCTTGAACTATAGGTGCACGCCACTGCACCCGGTTAATTTTTGTATTTTTTGTAAAGACGGGGTTTTGCCATATTGCTCAGACTGGTCTCAAACTCCTGAGCTCAAGTGATCCACCTACCTTGGCCTCCCAAAGTGCTGGGATTACAGGTGTGAGCCACCATGCTTGGCCTGGGACTCGAGTATAATAAACTTTTTCCTTCCAAGCCTTGTTTTCATTTCCTCCTGTGACCGCACTGACTTTACCATAACCAAAATACACATTCACAGAACAAATGGGTGTGAAATTTTGTCAAATGTTCTTTCTGGATTACTTGATATAATCATGAGATTTTTCTTCATTAGCCTATTAATATGATGGATTACACTGACTGGTTTTTGAATACTGAACCATCCTTGTATCTCTGGAATAAACAGCACTTGGTCATGGTATAAAATCATTTTTTAATATATTCCTGAATTCTATTTGCTGTTATTTCGTTAAAGGTTTTTCTTCTTTTCTACTCTTATTGTCTGGTTTTGAGATCAGGGGAACACTGGTCTTCATAGAGTGAGTTGGGAATTTTGAGTTTTTCTATCTTCTGGAAGAGATTGTGTAGAATTTGTGTTAATTCTTTAAATGTTTGGTTGAATTCTCCAGTGAAGCCATCCAGGACTAGACATTTGTTTTTTGAAAACTTATAATCACAAATTAAATTTCCTTAATAGGGTTACTGAGTTATTTGCTTCATACTGGGTGAGTTGTGGTAGTTTATACTTTGAATATCGGTCTATTTCATGTAAGTTATCAAATTTATATATGTAGAATTCTTTGTAGTATTACTTATTTTTACTTTATTATCCTTCTGGTATTTGCAGGGTCTACAGTGATATGCTCTATATCATCTCTGATATTAACAATCTGTCTTCTCTCTTTATAAGCTGTGTAAATCTTAACAGAGGCTTGTCAATTCTGTTGATCTTCTCAAAGAACCCAGCTTTCAATTTCATAGATTTTCTTTATTGTTTTTCTTTTTTGAGTTTCACTGATTTCAGCTCTTTATTATTTCCTTTTGTTGGCTTACCTTTGGGTGATTTTACTCTTCTTTCTCTAGGTTCTTGAGGAGTGAGCTTCGATTATTGATTTGAAACTTCTCCTTTTCTGCTGTACTCTTTAGTACATTTTAGTATTAGAAATTTCCCTGCATTGCTTTAACTGCATCCTACAAATTTTGATATACTGAATTTGTTTTAATTGAGTTCAATGCATTTTTTAAATTCCCATGAGATTTGTTTGATCCATAGATTATTTAGAGGTGGGCTCTTTCGTTAACAAGTCCTTGGAGATTTTACATTATTGGCTTTACAAACTTTGTGGATTTGGGCAAAATATAAAAATGATTTTTTAAAATGTTTTGCAATATTTTGGTTAATGTAAATTTTATTTATGTAGAATACTTAATTTTTCTTGGCTCATATCTTGGGCTTACACCATGTAGTATAGTACATAATAGCTGCTCAATACAATTCTGTTGAATAAATGAACGTTGTAGAATATTAAGCCCATTCATTTCCATTAAAAATTTAATTTTTAACATCTTGCTTTGAATATTTGATTAAACTCAAAATGTGAACCAATATTTTCATATAAAAGATGAAATATGAAGTGCATGATCTGCCTTAAATATTCCACTAAAGGATGATACAGTTAATTCTGAATTATAAAAAGTAGATTATCCGAAGTTTTCTTTTTCTCTTCTGTGACAGTAATTAACAAAACAACAAACCTCCATCATGGAGTACTGCAAGAGGCAAGAGATTACATTTTTCTTATTTCTACTACTTTTTGTTGCCTAACACGTTTAGCTGGTGGGACAGGTTCTAAGTATTTGCTAAATATTGTTCTCATTATTTTGAACATGTAAAAGATGACTGCATTCTTATATATTTCCCTTTTAAGTTTGAAAAGTGAACTACTTTCTTTATATAAAAATTCATTTGCCTATTGTCTCAGAATATCACATATAACTGGTGCACTGGACATAAGGGATACGGGTTCCCATTGTGGCTTTGTCTATAAATAGCTACAAATAAATAGCTATAAATAGTTTTGTCTATAAATCTTAGAGTGATGAGTATCAGTTCAACATCAGTAAAGTGAGTGGCTTGGAGCAGTCTCAGGTCTCCTCCATTTTTTCTGTATGACTGTTTCAATATTTTCTTTTTGACTTTCAATTGTTGAGTTTTTTTCACTCTTATTCTAGGTAAAGATTCTTTTCTTGTATATCCCGATCAGGAATCATAGCTTCTCAAATGTTTACCAATTCTAGAAAATTCTTGGCCATCGGGCATGGTGGCTTATGCCTGTAATCCCAGCACTTTGGGGAGGCTGAGGCAGGCAGATCACAAGGTCAAGAGATTGAGACCATCCTGGCCAACATGGTGAAACCCCACCTCTACTAAAAATATACAAATTAGTTGGGCGTGGTGGCATGCGCCTATAATCCCAGCTACTCGTGAGGCCGAGGCAGGAGAATCGCTTGAATCCAGGAGGCAGAGTTTGTAGTGAGCCGAGATTGAGCCACTGCACTCCAGCCTGGAGACAGAGTGAGACTCTGTCCCAAAAAAAAAAGAAAAAAAAAAAAGAAAAAAAAAAAGGAAAAAAAAATTCTTGGCCATTAGCTCCTCAAATATTGCTCCTCTCCCATTCTGTCTATTCTCTTCCACTGAAATTTTTGTTAGACATATTTTGGACCTTCTCTTTCTATCTACCACTACCTCTTACCCTCTCCTTCACACTCTTAATCTCTTTATCATTCTGTGTGGGATTCTATAGAATTTGCTTAGATCTTTACACTTACTATCTCTTTAGTCTGTTTTTAAAACTGTCCAGTAAGTTTAATTTCAGTAATTATACATTTCATTTCCAGGATTCTATTTAGTTGATTTTAATATGTCTTCACTCTTTTCCTCTCAAATAACATATTTTTTCCCTATGTTTCTTATTCTTTCATTTATTCCTTTAACCAAAACTATCTATCAAAGTTTAACTCAACAGCATTTCTTTTTTCTTGGTGGTACATATAACAACAGTAATCTTACAAGGAATGTCATCTCTCTTTTTTTTAATGAAGTACAGTACTTCAGAATAATCTATTACTCAAATTTTCAGGGAGAGGGTACTAATATTTTCATTTGTTGTTTCTGTTATCTTATTATGGTAGATCACTCCCTTATATAGGTGTTGTTTTTTTTTTAAATCATTAGTTCATTCAGTTAAGGATTAACATTTTTTCCATAATGGATTTCTACACAAGGGTGGTGCAAATTTGGATTCTAAGTCCATGTATAGTGTAAGTTTAGGAAAATTTCTCCTCTCTGACACTAGAACCACTGGGGGAAACATTCTTTGTTGTGAAAGGAATTATTCAATTCTTCTTTTCATTCAGGGTACAGTTCTTCAATATTTCTGGTTTAGGGTTGGGTTTCAGCTCCAAATTCCTTTTTCACCACTGCCCAAGGACTCAATTATCTCTGTATAGTGTTAATACTTGTGCCTCTAGAATAAAAACATTGTCTTATTTCTATCTCTTCTTTTCTGTGCAAAGCCCAGAATACAAACGCTTAAAACAATGAATAAACTGCAACTTATTTTTCAAAAGAATACATAGCTGAGCTTGCAAGAACCAAAGCGAAATCCATAAGTTGTGAAAACACAGAGAGAAATGAAAGCCAGAACATTATAGCATCAGCTCAGTCCCAGGTTTTTTGAAAGGTGAGGTTCTAATTAGCTCAATTTATCACGCCGCTGGAATTAAAGATTTCTCTTCCACATTTAACATTCTATGTTTCTGGCATTTTAAATGACATGAAAAAAGTCATTTTCTGATATTTATCTGTTGATGAAATTTCTTTATTTTCATCATTGTAAGTTAGAACAAAAATTAGCCCGGCTAATTTTTGTACTTTTAGTAGAGACGGGATTTTACCATGTTGGTCAGGCTGGTCTTGAACTCCTGGCCTCAGGTGATCCGCCTGCCTTGGCTTCCCAAAGTGCTGGGATTACAGGTGTAAGACACCACGCCCGACCCCTGAACTATATAACATTTAATTACTTTTTAAAGGGATGAGAAATCACTCTACATTAAATTTAGATTGCTATGATTGCACGCCAAAATAAATACTTAAATCATGTTTACTTAGCTCTTTTTACCATGTATTCCATAAAGATTACACATTGGCATAACCTAAATATATACAATAATGTCACCTTACATTTGTACACAGTGCTTCACATTTAAAACTATTTTTTGTTTGCTTTTGAGACTCAGTCTCTTGCTCTGTCGCCCAGGCTGGAGTACGGCAGTGGGATCTCGGCTCACTGCAAGCTCCACCTCCCGGGTTCACGCCATTCTCCTGCCTCAGCCTCCCAAGTAGCTGGGACTACAGGCACCCGCCCACACGCCTGGCTAATTTTTTTTTTTGTATTTTAAGTAGAGACGGGATTTCACCGTGTTAGCCAGGATGGTCTCGATCTCCTGACCTCGTGATCTGCCTGCCTCGGCCTCCCAAAGTGCTGGGATTACTGGCATGAGCCACCGTGCCCAGCCTAAAAACTATTTTTATATATTCTCTTTACATCTCCATAATCCTGTAAGGACGTAGGCATTATTCTTTTTTTCTAGATAATTGCCATAATAAATTCATGGAATCAGTGTAGGGAAGACAAAAAAAGAAAAAAAAAATTCAGATGAGAAAACTAAGGGACTTGCTCAAAGCTGCACAACTAGTAGGAACAGAATAACCCAATTCTTACAGTGTCTTCATTCAGGGCTCCTTCCATTTTACCACACTATTCAAAATTTGGATTCTCTATGTAGCCAAATGGATAATGAGAACATGTATAAAATAATAAAGAAATAAACTATAATCATAAAAAGTAACTAAAATAGCCAACTGTCATGTAAAAGGTATGTAGCAAACTGACAGGTAAAGAAAATATTTTCAAAAATACTTACTGGATATTCAAGGAGATCTACCGGCTGACGGAAAGGCTCTGAATCTTCACATTGAAATATGAGATTTAACAATTCTTCACACTGTTTCTTCCATGCTTGAATATCGTAAGACTGGGCTCTATTACGTAATCTTCTTCTAGGCTGATGGTCCTGTGATAAAAGTGTTCAAATATATTAATAAAAGAGCACTTACACAATAAAATTTGTACTTTTAATGTAGTCTTAGATAATTGGGTAATATACAATAATTCAAACAAAAGAAAATATTCACCAAGTTCTAAAAAACATACATTTTGTAATTGAAACTAATTTGAAATACTTAATGTCTTTTAAAATGCTAAGAGTAAAAAAATAAAGAAAGCTCTTAATACATTTTAATTCATATAAAGTACTTCTGCTAAAACTAAAACTATATTACCTTCCTTTTTCGAGTAGAAGTTCCTGGCACATCAGCATCTTTCTCTTCATCCTTTGAGGCAAGAATTTACCAGATTCATAAAACATTTTAGATGTCATTATACTTTATAGTTGATTAACTAGCAATTATTTCCTTTACACACTGGAACACCTGTAATGTATATGCTGGGGCACTTTATTGACTCATTAAAAAGGTTCCCCCCATTAAAAAATTTTTTTTAACTATAAGAAGAATATTCTACTGCCAGTTGTTTTTTTTTTTTAAATTAACTACACTAGACAAAAAATAATGTTCACAACAGCTTTTACCTGAAAACTACAATATGTAAATTTTTTTATATAGAGAATATCAATATGGTAATAATAATGAAATATTACATACCTCAGAATCAGACAAAACTTTCTTCTTCATTGAATTATAAAGTGGAATTATGTTATAACAAGTCTGATCCCTACATAACAAGGAAATGTTAACATGTAAGATTAGAACCATGATAATTTTTTTCCTTAAAAATTTGTTCGTAAAACCATATTTTAAGGTAAAAGTTGAAGCTGAAGGCTTGCTTTCTTCTCCATTGGCTTACTCCAATAATTTATGCACACACATTTAACCCTGACCCCTCCACTCTATGTAGAGCTTTCAGTGTGGCCTCACTATATCATTACACCAAACCCAAGTCTCATCTCCCAGTCTTTGCTTAGGTATCTGCTGTGCTTCTTCCATTCCTCAGTCTTCAAACAGCTAATACATTTCTTGTCTTCCAACTCTTTCTTTTATTTTTAAATGTATTTCCTAAAATTTTGTTCTTAACGCATCTTGACACTGTACCTTTTGCTTCACATACTTGTGGTTTATCTGTGTAAATGAATTCCAAAATTCCTGCAATTTGTCCTAACCCTTCTCCTGAGCATTCTACCAACACCTAAAATTCCACGTCTAAACTTAATAGTGACTCCCCAGATATCCTTGTTCCTTTTTCTATTTTTCTTTAACAACATATCATTCTTACAGTAATGGGAATCTTGGTTTTTCATTATTCTTTCCCTTTCCTCCTCCTTATAAACCCAATTAGTGGTCAAGGGCTGTGAACTCTATCCTCAAGTATGTCTGGGCATCTGTCCCTTTCTCACTTTCATAAATTAAGCCCTCATCAACTCTTAGTTGGTCAACTGTAGCAGTCAATCTGCTATTTATGCTTTTTGTCTCTTCTCTGTCAATTAAATTAGACACTGCAGTCAAATTAACATTTTTAAGGCATAGTGTAAAACATGTTATTCTCATGTTAATATACTTTCAACAGCCCCTTGCTCTCAGAGCTTATATTTTAGATTCATATTCAAAGCCACCCACGATGTGGCCCCAACTCAGATTTATAGCACTGTATCTCTACTGTGACTTCTCCAATTTATATTACCCTTAATTAAAACTTCCTACCTCACGCTGCTCCTTATCCCTGGAATGGCTTTCTTTTCATCTAACATTTCCAGAATCTATCAGTATCTACACCTTGTATACAATGTCTTAACAGACTTCTCCTCCCCTGTATCTGAATCCCCATCATCACAGCTAAAAGTAATCCTATTCTTATCTAAACTTTTATACAATTCTCTTACTACTTGTCACAGTTTTCCTTATATTATACTTTCTTACAGATTTATCTATCCTATGAAACTGTATTAAAAGGATCCATCACATTACTTTGTATGTATCAATTGCTTGAAATTTTGCCAAATAACTCAATTAAAAAGTATAATAATCAAAATTTCAAGGAATACTTAATATCTTGAAGACTATCTGCTAAAAAAAGTATTTTTAAACAAACTATACACATCTAAAAAAATGCCATGGATTTATTTTTAGAAATATACAATACAAATGCTTTAAGTATTTCATGAATCTGACTTCAAAGACATTTCAAAGTAGCCGTTTGAAAGAAATACATTTCACAGACTTTCAAATGTATTAACAATTTTCATCTAAATTATTTCACTGAAATATGAATATACTATCTCATGTAGTTCTACTGATTCTCTTTGAAAAAACAGATACACATACACATAGTTATAACACTTATAAAAAATTACAGACATAAGAGTCTTCAGAGGATAATGCTTAATTACTAATTTCAATAAGGAAAACAAAAGCATAGCAATAATAGCCCCCAAACCATTGGAAAGCAATAGATTTCTTAGAGAATAAGGTAGAGAAAGGGCACAAACTTTACCTTATTAATTATGTTTGGTGTTTTCTTATACTGAAATGACCTGCATTCCTCAGTTAAAACACATTAATCAAAAAGGAGCTCAAAGATTATGTCCATTAATGAGAATGAAGCAGGGATGTTTATTAAAAAAAAAAAAAAAACTGAATAATCCTGAATTTTTCATTATGTAAAAATGAAAGCTGATAACAGCTAAGTAAGCTTTTAAAATGCTGTTACTACTTCTCAACCAGGAAAAAAAAATTCAATACAAATAATGACATGGAATCACAGCAGTCTTTGTACAAAATATAGAATTCATTTCTCTGCCTTCAACTTAGGAGGCTCAATTCATTATATGATTGCATAAAATCCTTAAGATAAGGAAGGGAAAGTACTTCTGCCTTAATAAATAGTGCTTATCACTCTTGTTATGGGATCAATGAGGAAGTAAACTTGACTTTGAAGAAGAATCATGAAAGTTAAATTCAGTCTCCTGCTGGACTATTTAAATACTTGTTAATATACTTGACAGGGGCAATATACTGTTAGGATGAAAAATTCTCAAATCAGATGGCAGACACTCATTTACCGTGCAACCTTATACATGTTAACCACTATAGGCCACAGTTTCCTCAATTCAAAATTCCAGATAATTATCTCTTCCACCTGTAAGATTGTTATTTGGGTTAGAAGAGTTAATGTAGGTAAAACATTACATGTTAAATAAATTTTTACTATTATTATTGTCTAACAGTTAGATTGAGAAAATAATCTTTTTTTAAACAATTTTAACCTTAAAACACAATGGTAATACGATTTTTATGATTTCATTCTTATTATTAGCCAATGAACTGTTTCTTCTGAAACCCAGGATCAAACCAGAGACCTTTAGATCTTCAGTCTAATGCTCTCCCAGCTGAGCTATTTTGGCTACTCTTAAATGTTTCTTCTTTACAAACAGTATGTTTTCTATTTTAAGAGGAACTGTAGTGCCATTAATTATTAAAACTATCATAATTACATATGAAAAGATAACTTACTTTATAAAATGTAGAAGAAGATCAGTCACGAATTTAGCAGATTTCACAATAGGGCTTCCAGGCTCATTAAATGTTCGTGTATTATGCTCTATATATCGAACTTCCCACATTAGGGAAGAAACCCGCCTTAAAAAAACAAAATATAGAAGTTTTAACTTCCTTATATTTAGAAATATGTGTACATCATTTAAAACCAAGACATTCCAACTTTTCAACTTCAGTCTAAACCAACTGTAAAAACCATTGGTCTTATAAAGTCATTTTCAAAGCAGCATAACTGCATTTGTGTTAGGGGAAAAAAAGAGGGGCAACCATAACTACGTATTTGCATACAAGATGTCTGGAATGGAACACACCATATTAACAAAGGCCTCTTTTTGGGAGGGAGAACGTCTATATGGGGAGTGGCAGGAGAGTAGAAAGGGGAGAGTTTTAAGTTTTGGCTTTATGTATTTTTGTCATGTGTGCTGTCATTTTTTGGTAATAAAGAACCCTCACTTCTGAACAAAAAGGAAACAAGTAATTTTAATCTAATTATCTTACTGGTAATCAAATGACATATACAAATGAGAAGTTAACTGACAGCCACCTTATGAGATACAAAATCATAAAAATATAGCATGCTAGTTTACCAAGAAACCTAACTAAATGAGAATTATTTTCTGAACACTTAATTGACAATGCTAAAATAAAATCTGGAGTTTTACAATTTTATTTCTGAAAGTAAATAAAAATCCAAGGACAACTTTTGAGAATATTATCTAATATGTGGCCTGACTTAAAATAATAAAGAAAACACTTAGAAAATCTTACTGATTGTGAACAGAAATACAATCATATGGAATAACACTGTATCTAATTGTGGACATAGAAACATAAAGAAAAACTGTGCATTTCAAATAGATTCACAAGGCTCATTCTGATAACAGAATCACAGATATCTTCAGTGTATCATATAGAAAACTGTGTGTAAAATAAAGTATTAGATTAATACCAGCAGGGCAAACTGACAGTAATAGTTTAACAAGAGATTGAACTAGAAGTTTCACGAAAGAAAAACAAACTGTAAGAAGTCTAACACCAATGAGTGAAGGAAGAAGCAAAAACCTACTTACATTGTATTGAATGTAATACATTGAAGTCATCATTGTATTGAATAAGAACATAACTTAGGTTTATAACAGAGTTTATTATCAGGTTGGAAAACAGGCAATTTCTAATTCATGTAAGTATTGTCTTTCAAATGTTTTTTTCCTAAATTGGCTACAAAACTAGGGTAATGCCAAAAGCCTATTTAAAATATAATGTATCTTGAAATACAGATGTTCCTCAACTAACGATGGTGTTACATCCTGATAAACCCACTGTAAATTCAAAATACCATTAAGTCAAAAATGCATGCGATATACTTAACCTAGCAAATATTTTACCTCAGCCAAGCCTACCTCAAATGTGCTCAGAACACTGACATTAGCCTATGGTTGGGCAACATCATATGGCAATCAACTGTACAATACACTGTACAGTATTGGTTTAACCTCATGATCACGTGGCTGACTGGGAGCTACTGGGAGCTGTAGCTCACTGACATCGCTCAGCATCATGAAAGAGTACATCACAAGCCCAGAAAAAGATGAAAATTCAAAATTTGAAGTATGGTTTCTACTGAATTCATATCCCTTTCATATCACTGTAAAGCTGAAAAATCTAAGTCAAACCATTGTAAGTCAAACCTTATGTATAGTATACTTTAGCAATTATCATGTTGAGCAATATGTGAGATATTTACAACAATATTGGAAGACATCAGCAGCTTATATTTCTAGTTGCAGTCCAACAATTAGTGTATGTATACAAATAGTTCTTTCCTTCTCATCCACCCATGTCTTGTTTCATCTCTGAAGCACTAGGTTTAATTTCCAATCTTTAGCAATTTAAGGGGTCAAGGGAGAAAGAGGAATATAGTTAGGAATTCCTTTTTTTTTTTTTTTTCTCTTAAACTTCCAACACCTGATATTGAAAAAGACTTGAAGAATGCTTTGAGGGTGGGATGGTTGGGAACCACATAGCAGGGAGGACTTCTCCTTATCTCTACGCTTTTTGACAAATATCAAGGAAGCAACAGCAAGTACACCTAAGAAGATCAGAAAAATCTTTAGAAACTAAAGTCTAATATATTAGTTTTCTTTATTCCAGTGGTTCTCAATCAAGGACAATTATGCTCCCCAGAAGACATGTGACAATGTCTGAACACATTTTTGGTTTTCACAACTAGGGGGCTGCTACTGGCATCTAGTGGGTACAGGCACAGGATAGCCCCTCACAATGAGATACAGAAATAAAATTTAAGTCATAAAAAGAACCAAAGGCACATTTTATATAGAAAAATATTAATACAAAATATGAATAAAGCTTCTCTATGTTAAAAAGAAGAATAACGGAAAGGACTTCAGTAATAAATAACTGGTCACAAAAACTTTTAATGCAATGTTACACAAATTAAATTGTTGGACTGCTAAGCAAAGGTCATATGATAAAAATTAAAACTAAAAACAGGATTCCATTATTTAAAAACTATAAACATATTTTTTGACAAAACATTTTAGGTAATAATAAAGCCTACTGACGATTAAAGACATTCATCAAAATTACCTAGATAATGCAAATTAATTGAAATTATGCCTGGGCCATTTAACTCTAATTCTTTTTCATGCTAAACTACAACTATGAAAAACTGAGTATTTTCAAATTTCAGTGTTATAAGTAATGATAAGCTGAATACAGGCAAAATAAGAACAAAATACATAATACGAATACAAAATTTTTATTATATATTATATTAAAAATCAATGAACAAATATTTTAATGTTATCTAGGAGAAAATGAAATACCTTGCCTTGCTTTATAAAATACAATATAAAGACAGTGAATATCAAATCATGTCAGCCTCTAGGAAAAACTGTATCTAGGATCTAGGAATTGTATTTTAAGTGTCTAAAGACCAGCAGCATCGACATTACTGGGACTTGTTAGAAATGCAGAATCTCAGGTCCCACTCCAAATCTACTGAATAAGATTCTACATTTTAACATAATCCCCATAATCTTATGTGCATTCCTATATACAAAAAGTTGAGAAACACTGCTAAAGATCAGTAAATGGGTGGAAAGATCACCAGCTTTCCTTTGATAGTAGCTACATCAAATGGTTCTAACCTGTAAAACCTGTTTTCCAGTCTTTGTTTAATTGTACTTAGATCCGTTGGATATGCCACTACTGTGCAATACATGGGATAGGCTTGCAGATCCACGGGGGCCACAAATGCTGAGGCAATATCTAAAATAAATAGATAAGTTTGTAAATTTATTTTTGTATGCCTAAAATAATTCAAGAAGAATTCTGCTTGAATTAAGACTTAAAAAGTCCTAATCTACATAATCATTAGTCTGCCACTGTCTTTTCATAAACAATATAGTGTAGCTGACATAAAGAGTCTCACTTTTTATTATGTCTACATTTACACTGCCAAATTCTAGGGGTATTGTTTTATTCATAGGTTCACCGGGAGAAAGAAACAAATTATATATACATATATCAGACCTAATAAGTACACATACATTGCCGTAATTGACAGTTGGCCATTCCTGAATCTATATTTGGCAAAGCCATTCTATTATTAACACTGTAACATACTGCATTCAAATCTAACCTTTGACTTTCTCAAACGTATCCCTTTATCTCAACTTTACATTATTCTGTGAAATATTAGACAAGTAGAGAAAAGGAAACAGACCCAGAAGTTTTGATTCAGTGATACTGACCCAATACACACCGTAAAGTTGTACAGCAAAAACTATAACTAGTTAAGATCACTCCCAATTTTTTGCTCATTCGCATATAATACTTAATATCCTAAAATATTGCTAAAATTATTTAAGGTAGTATTTATAAGGCTATTCCTATAAAGTGTTGGCATTTTATAAAATACTTCAGATTTGAATATTCCTCAATCTCCGTGTCCATCCAGCTCTTCTTACTCATGTTAATTTCTCTCTAGACTCTTTGCAGCTGATTCTTTATTGAGAGAGTGGGTTGCTACAAACCACCACATAATCTAGTTACTTCAGAAGCCCAGAATTTAGATAATCAAGTTTTGTGGTCACTGTTTTCTTTTAACAAGGCAGAGCAATTAATATACCCTCTCCTCTCCCCTTAAGAAGATCCTCTTTTGTGTGTGTATATTAAGTTGGGGGAGACCAGTACAAGCTACCCATATAATTATAACTCAGCTTTCAATCCTCCTCCTCCAATTCATATCATGTCAGCCTGAATATGTCAAGTGTTTTAAATTGGGTTGTGGAGGACCCAGTTTTTTCAGAGATGCCTCTGGCACTTCTAGGAGGCCCTTATTCTAAAATTCAGCTAACATAACCTAATTTATAACTGTTTTAAATAGTTAAGTCCTGTGTTAAGACCACATTCAAAAAGAGATTCCACTTAAAATGTCTGAAACCACTGACTTAGGATATTGTGAAAAAAAATTTTTGTTGGAGAATAACAGTATTTTTCCATTACTTTGTGTTCTGCCAGTTTTTTCTATACTCGCGTGTTGCTTTACTTACCTAGTGTCATCAACTGGTTTATTCCTGCCACAATTCTTTCACATTCTTCATCCCTGGGATTGGTACCCCATTCTCCATCAAGAGGTTTATAGATTAGTGATCTGCACTCACCATCAGTTAAAGGAACACTGGTACCTAGTTCTTCAGGAAATACAGCTGAAATAGAAAAGCAGATCATTGCAAATACATGGTAACTTATTAGTATTCAGGTTAGCTTTAGAATGTAAAAATAACAGTCACAAAATTAAAGTATATTTTGTATAGATTTGTAAATATACTCTTTATTTTAACAAAGGAAAGTATGTTTTAAGGGTCACTAAAATTTAAATTAATTTTTAAATGATACTATAAGTAATTCTCTAAATAATTACTTCTCCAAAATTATACCTGAAAATCTGCTCTGTAATCAAGTACATGTGCAGAAATCATTTCTATAAAATATGCAAATTTCAAAGTTTTCTGAATCACTTCATAATTGCCATGTTTACTTTGATAAAGTATACACAAGGTAAAACTGAACTAAAGTGACATTTTCTAGAAATACTTCAATCAAAGCTTCAATTTTTGAATGTAGGAACAGAGAGAATTATGAAAACTGACAAATGATGCTTATGCTTATTACTCATAAATTATGAAGGTATGCTTTCTGCATGCTTGAATCTTTAACAGTTTTAGCTGAGAGAATCACTAGAGGGTTGCGGTAACCCAAAATCTAGAAACGTGCTAGGTAATTTTTCCTTTAGACTAAGTTTTGGCAGATACACTCTAGAAAATACGCCACTGTTTGTGTACAATCAAAATTCTCATCACAAACTACGATTAAACTCTATAGGTTCGTATGAATGTGTATCCAAATAGAACAACAACAGTAACCACCCTTCAATATATTTAGGTAGGAAACAAAACAGTGAATCAGTATCACTTATTCATTTAAAAAATATCCAAGGCATTATAACACCAACTGGCTGCATTGCTATCATATTCACAACAGTTCAATGTGAGTTCAAATTCAAACTTTCTTTTTAATAAATGAGAGAAACAAAACAAAAACATAAGCCATGTAACATGGTTACCAATTGATTTAAGATATTTTATAATTTTAAACAGCTCTAATTTAGCAGTGAGATAAAAAAAAATATATTATTGGCATTAAATTTTCAAAGTGATAATTCCTGCAGAGAACTAATCTTAGCTAATCAGTATGACAATTTTCTCATTTCTGAGGTCTACGAGACTGGGTTATTTTCTCCAACAGTTATTTTTTCTCTGACTTTGGATTACAATAACTACTGAGCAACTCAATTAATAAAAGATTATTTCTACTATGTTAGAAATTAGATGTTTTCCTTTTTGTTTTTTAAAGATCTTATTTATTTTTATCTGCTAAGAGATGTAATATATTATTATTATTTTTGAGATGGAGTCTCGCTCTGTTGCCCAGGCTGGAGCGCAGTGGTGCAATCTCGGCTCACTGCCACCTCCGCCTCCCAGGTTCAAGTAATTTTCCTGCCTCAACCTTCTGAGTAGCTGGGACTACAGGCACACGCCACCACGCCAGGCTAATTTTTGTATTTTTAGTTGAGACGGGGTTTCACCATGTTGGTCAGGCTGCTCTCCAACACCTGACCTCGTGATCCACCTGCCTCAGCCTCTCAAAGTGCTGGGATTACAGGTGTGAGCCACCACTCCTGCCCTGTAATATATTATTTTTTAAAAATCAAACAATATAGAATAACGTAAAAGAATTTATGAAGTCTTTATAATGCTACTCTATAAATAATCATTATTAAAATCTCGACAATATCCTTCTAATCCCTTTTTGGCTTATGCAATTGTGCATGTGTGTTGTATTTTTTACAAACAAACAAAAATGGGCAATGAAGTGGAAAGAAAATATAATCTCCAGGCTTTGGTCCCAACGTCCTTTTCTCAGTGCAAGGAAGATGTCATACTCACTGCCTAAGGCTAATTATTAAATCCTGAATGTGTCAGGCCATATGCATAATGACAGTTATATTATCATTATTAATTACAACTATATCTTCATTGAGCTCTTATATGTGTCAGGCTCTACAATAAGCACTTTACACACATGATGCTATTTAATCTTCAAAGTAGCCCTATAAGGAAGGTATTAGCTTTGACGGTTTCTAAGGCCGAGTACTAAAAAGTTGGGGTGTGAGGCTTTATGGAACTTGCCAAGATCACATAAAAAATGACAAGTCAGGATATGAACTGATGTCCGTCTCACTCAAAAGCATGACCTCTTAACTATTATGTTACACTTTAAACACTCTGCTAAAGTTACAAAAGTGTCTCTGCCTCCCAAATGCACACTTTCTTGGGTGAATAGTAATTAATAAAACAATTTCATGTTTTGCTGTAATAAATTAATTTCAATCAATTCCAAGTAGGCAAGAGTTATATCTATCTTCTTCACTGCTGAATCTCCCCTACTTCAAGGTGTACAATAATAAATATTTGCCAAATGAATGTTTTCTATTTGATACTCACAACTGTAAGTGGTAGCATGTTAGCAAATCTTAAATAATTTCTTAAGAAATTAACTCCATAATGGAGAAACAAAAAGCCTAACACACACTTACCATTATTAGGTATAAGCTCCATATCCCAAGGACTCATCTTTTCTGTATCTCCATTGTCCCAGCTTAAAGAAAGAAAAATCATTATATTAAAAAATCTAAATTATTGTATCACAATTTTAATAAAATCAATTATCAAAATAATTGCTTCTGTGTTTAAAAGAAGTCTCTTTATCTCTTAATAGATGGAAAAAAAAATTCAAAGCAAGCCTAGGTGAACTAAAATACAACAAATATTTCCTTACCAAACATTGTAGCATTGAAACAGACTATCAGGGTACTCAAGTTGAAGAGGTTCCTGGCTTTCGATTGTTCCAAACCACCAGGCATCATCTATGACAGACCTGAAGCGGTCACCTGGCCAAGAACAAAAACTAACTCATCATTCTGAAATGCATGGCTGCTGTCACTGCTTTTTCCTAACGTTAACCTTTAAGTACCTAAACTGCCTGTATGATTTCAGAAGACAAAAAGTGAACCACAAACTCCAAAAATAAGTAAGTACAATCAGCAATACCAAGAGAAAAAAGGAATTTAGTAAGCATACTTGAAGTGTGACTTAACAGTTTTCAATTCTATTTTTTATATTTCATTAAGGTATACAGAAATTCACTTGTTTTAGGCATTTTTACCAATCTAGCATTTGAAATTCATCATTAACACTATACCCAAACTTTTCACTGAAATAAAATTATAATTGCGGCAAGTTCCACTCAACAATTACTTAGTCTTTTAATTTCTTACTTTCTGTAAGCAAGTTTCCCCAACCAACAATCAATCAAGACTCCACGCTAAAAACAACAAACAACATAAAATCCAACCTGTCTTCCTTCATCTCAATCACCCTTAATACTCACTCACTCTCCCTTTCCTGTAAAAGGAAACAAAAAAGAAACAAAAATAAAACAACTATTCTTTTTAAAACAGAGGACACTCCTTGTGTCTATTTCCTTATCCAATTGCTGTCGTCGTATTACTTAACCTGCTTTTTCCCAAAGACCTGAACAAGCTATAAATGCTATGGCTTTTTCTTATCTAAATATTCTCATGTTCCTTCTGTGTCATAAGAAAACTGTAAGTCACTTACTTCCTTTATGCAATGTTTTCCTGTTCCTCAGCTATCACAGTACTTGAGTTTTCTCGTGGCTAGCATAGGCTAGAGCCTGAAAGACTTGGGTTCAAATAACGTATCTGTATAACTTTGAATATATTAATTATTTTTGAACTTCATTTTCCTTGTCTATAAAATAGAAATGGTGATGTCTACCTCCTGGTAGTTTTTGACTAATGAGTTCTATTAAAGCACTCCACATTTTGACACACAGTTAAGTTAAAATGAATTAAGTTAGCAATTAATCTGAATCAGTTTTATTTTTAAACTCAAAGAGAAAAGTAGTTATGTTCTCATTTTCTTACCAAAAAGGATTTAAAAGTTTATAAAAACATATAGCATGAAATGAATTAAAAATTAGAAAAACAAGGTAAAAGAATATGATAAAAAAGAAAATTGGAGCCAGGAGAAAAGTTAATAGAACACAACTGCATGCTGTTGACAGTTGTTCCTCAGATGCATACTAGTGACACTTAACAAAAAGCTACTATATAGTTTAATAAGAAGCATTCTTGACACCACCACTACCTCACACTAAACATAAAGTTTCAAAGAGCTGTATCTTATGACCCTACACAGACTGATTATTATGCTAAAGAGGAAGGACTGAGTAATGTGTGCCTAATCATAACGAACAATATCTGTAGAATAACAAGAAAGTTAAGCAAAGAACCTGGACTACTACTGAAGTCCACCATTGAGAGTAAGCCTTAATACATTTCCGAGGAGGGGCTGAAGTAAAAATTACTAATGTAATTTTAAATGGCAGTCGGTGGGTGAATGCATATATCCTCAGATATAAAAGATTAATTAGATACTAACTTTAGAGAAATATTAACCCATAAATTAGAATAAAATTGTAAGATCCAAATGAGAAAATTATGATGCTCATTCATTTTAATTCTCTGTGATTTGTCCAATGTTAGCCACATTACTTTGCCAAGGTTATGAGCTCACTTCTGGAATATTGCTGCACTTTGATCTCTATTATTTGTTCCGCAATTTATTGGCAAATGCAACTCCTTAAAAAATAAAATTTATCGGCCGGGCGCGGTGGCTCATGCCTGTAATCCTAGCACTTTGGGAGGCTGAGGCGGGCGGATCACAAGGTCAGGAGATCAAGACCATCCTGGCTAACGCGGTGAAACCCTGTCTCTACTAAAAATACAAAAAAAAAATTAGCCAGGCGTGGTGGCAGGAGCCTGTAGTCCCAGCTAATCGGGAGGCTGAGGTAGAATGGTGTGAACCTGGGAGGTGGAACTTGCAGTGAGCCAAGATCACGGCACTGCACTCCAGCCTGGGTGACAGAGCGAGACTCCATCTCAAAAATAAAATAAAATACAATTTATCATATCAAGTAATGTATGTGAAAAATTTAAACAATCAGATGTACCAAAGGCTGATAGCCAAAACCAAGAAAAATGTTTTCATCTATTTTACCTACTACTTCTTGACTTACAGATTTCTTCACTCATCAATTTTTGACAGTAAGTATCAGAGTTGATTCTTGAAGACATGGGTTTTAACTGACCAGGTCTACTTATACACAGATTTTTCCAATAAACAGATTTGGCCCTCTGTATTGGCAGATTCTGCATCAGCAACCAAATGCAGATTGAAAATACAGTATTAGTGGGATGTGAAATCCATGAATATGGAAGGGCCAACTTTTCACATCGGGGGGTTCCGTAGGATCAATTCTGGAACCTATGTATGCAAAGATTTTGGTATCCATGGAGGTCCTGGAAGTAATTCCCTGTGGATACTAAGGGACAACTATAACTTCAATACAACTGTGCATAAAAAGTATGTGTATTATATTTAATCCATATTCAATTTTTAATCATGACTGTGTAAATACTGCTTGCTCCTAAGCAAAACAGCATATAATTCCTTCCTTATATAATTTTGTTTTCCCTAAAATTAATAATTGCTTCATTTTTTTAATGCTTGGTTTTCAGTGAATTTACAATTAAATCTTCCCACAATCTCTAACAGCTCAAGCTGTAAAAAACATTCTTCAATGTAATTTTCCACAAAGACAAACTTGTTAGATAAGTTATGTGTTCCAATTTTTTCCCCCTGAAGACTTTCCTCTTGAAGGAGATTTGGACCTGCTAGGTAGCTGCTATCCTGAGGCTTCTACTGAATATTATTTGGGATTCCTTTTAACTTTTCCTGTTCTGGACTTCCTGTTTCCTGAGGGGATTCCATTCTTTTCCCTTTCTTGGTTACTCCCTTATTTGATGAAACACATCTTTCAAAACTTCTAGGGAAATGGAACATGAGATGTAAATTTTCTTTCTAACTTCCATGTCCATAATTTTGATAGCTTCCAAATTTTCCTAATTTCTCCTTACAGAGCACATACAAGTTTTTAACAAAGGACAAACCACCATGTCAATGCGTTCTAGTGGCACTGAAGGACAGACTGGTATATCAATTGATGTGCTTTTTCAAACCATACATACCGTGTACACATCATACCATGACACACACTGGTCCTATATGAAATTTTTAAGAGAACTACTCTCATAAGTGGCACATCATCTATATGTAAATTAATGCACCTTAAGTGCCTGAAAACTTTTACAGATTTTAGTTTCTTTGAGACTTGTTTATGATACTAATTTTAAAGATTATAATAGGATTAACCAATAAAAGAAAAATGTCAGTTTAGCTTTAGTCCCAGTACAAACTTATACATCTTGTTAAGCTTCTTTTGGCTTCAAATTTAAATTGTTATTAATATTTTTATACAAAAATTTAACTTAACATGTAAAACATGAAAATAAAGTCAAATGTAACAGAAAAAATGTTTTAAATTTCAACATCGACTGTTTTCATTCCTAAACAAAACTTAACAATACCTCTGACATAGTATCTTACTTTGCTATTAACATTCCTACAAATAGCAAAAAGATTTCTCTGATAATCTTTTTCTCAATTATGAAAAATAGTAAATCACTTACTAAGAAAAAAAAACCACATCAAACATCGATAGCTTCTAAATAAATTACCCACCTATATTCCATCGCCTGTATTTTGCATCATCAAATTGTTGTCTCAAGACTAGGAAATCTATAACGTCAGGCATATCATGGTATCTAATTACAAACAGAAACAAATTGATTAGGTCACATACCTAAAAATACCTAAAAGATGTTCAAATGTATCTGAATCTTGAAAAACAATCTACAATACTAAGAAAACCATTGCCTCTTTCAACAGTCCTTACTTCATGGTAAATGATCCGCCAGTCAGTTTACCAGTATCAGGATCTAGAAAAGCAAGTTTAAGGCAGCAAAGGGTAGGTAATCCCACTTCATACTTTATGCCAACTATTTTCATAAGTTCTTGTTCCTGAGAGAGACAGAGAATATAAGGAACCATCTTTACAAAATAAACCACAAAATAGACTGCTAAACATTGTTGAGAAAAAACTTCTTGGTTTAAATCTTGATCTGGATGGTGATGACTGTGTACATGTAAAAATTCACTGAGCTCTGTATTAAGATTTGTGCACTTTATAGTATGCAAGTTACAATGAAATTTTTAAAACGTAAAAAAGGAAAAAAAAATAAGGAGAACTTTACTAAAGTATAGTTACTAAAGTAAGTTTTCTATCACCATTCCAAAGACCTATTGGTAACTGAACTACTGATGACAAATCTAGAAATACGCATCAAATTTACGAATACAAAGCTTACTTTAGACTTATTACCTAATTTTCACTATAACTAAATTTTGTACCCAACCCATAAACTGCATTGGAGTATATAAATTCAGTCAAATCTTGTGTTTCTCTGGATGAAAATTAAACACCTCCTACTCTCTAGGACTGCTTCAATTAAACAAGGTATCTTCATGATGCAGTTTCTTATTGTGTTAATAGTAACCTTTGATACAATTTTCTCCAAATTCCATAATTGTATTTTTGGGGCTATTAAATAATAAATCAATGTCATACCCGTAGCTCCATTTTATGCCATGGTTGTTTTTTGGGATTGATACTATATATTTTATTTTTCCGGGCCATTTCGACATAGGCTTCATGTCCTTGTCGGAAATAATAAACCTAAAAAATAAAGTCATAATCTTACAACCTGGATGTGTTTCCTTTAATCCAATATACAGGGTATCAGCTGAAATTGCAAAGAGAAAATCTAATGCCTTTTCAGCTAATAGAAATTCTAATATTTTCTCCCTCCTCCTTTCTCTCAAGTTGTCTTAACATCACTAAATCATAACCAAAGTGTTCTAAATAACATTACTTTGAATACACACTTATAAGTTAAGATGAAAAGTTATTTTCTGGTTTCACCATTTTATTCTTAAAATCAAAATAAGTTAATCTATGTTGCATAATAACGTTGACTAATAAGTTTATTGTCCACTTTTGTTGTTAACTTTTTTAGCAAGTAGTTTGTACATATGCAGAAAACATTGAAATGAAAAATGTACTTTCACATATATTTTAATCCTTACACAAATCCTGGTAAGACAGCAGGGCATACATTTATCCACATTTCATGAAGATCAAATTTAAGTGACTCCTGACTACTGTCTTGGAGAACTAGTACTTGAACACAGCAGTCTGACACCCACTAGTAGAAGAACGTGTTTTAAAATGCTAAGTTTTTAGTAACATTTTGGGATAGCCACTATCCCATACTTTCATTCTATTCATTAATACCATTATTGCGGGGAGGGGCCAAGATGGCCGAATAGGAACAGCTCCGGTCTACAGCTCCCAGCCTGAACGATGCAGAAGACGGGTGATTTCTGCATTTCCATCTGAGGTAACGGGTTCATCTCACTAGGGAGTGCCAGACAGTGGGCGCAGGTCAGTGGGTGCGCGCACCGTGTGCGAGCCGAAGTAGGGTGAGGCATTGCCTCACTCAGGAAGCACAGGGAGTCAGGGAGTTCCCTTTCCTAATCAAAGAAAGGGGTGACGGACGGCACCTGGAAAATCGGGTCACTCCCACCCGAATACTGCGCTTTTCCAATGGGCTTAAAAAACGGCGCACCACGAAATTATATCCCGCACCTGGCTCGGAGGGTCCTACCCCACGGAGTCTCGCTGATTGCTAGCACAGCAGTCTGAGGTCAAACTGCAAGGCGGCAGCGAGGCTGGGGGAGGGGCGCCCACCATTGCCCAGGCTTGCTTAGGTAAACAAAGCAGCCGGGAAGCTCGAACTGGGTGGAGCCCACCACAGCTCAAGGAGGCCTGCCTGCCTCTGTAGGCTCCACCTCTGGGGGCAGGGCACAGACAAACAAAAAGACAGCAGTAACCTCTGCAGACTTAAATGTCCCTGTCTGACAGCTTTGAAGAGAGCAGTGGTTCTCCCAGTACGCAGCTGGAGATATGAGAACGGGCAGACTGCCTCCTCAAGTGGGTCCCTGACCCCTGACCCCTGAGCAGCCTAACTGGGAGGCACCCTCCAGCAGGGGCACACTGACACCTCACACTGCAGGGTACTCCAACAGACCTGCAGCTGAGGGTCCTGTCTGTTAGAAGGAAAACTAACAAACAGAAAGGACATCCACATCAAAAACCCATCTGTACATCACCATCATCAAAGACAAAAAGTAGATAAAACCACAAAGATGGGGAAAAAACAGAACAGAAAAACTGGAAACTCTAAAAATCAGAGCACCTCTCCTCCTCCAAAGGAACACAGCTCCTCACCAGCAATGGAACAAAGCTGGACGCAGAATGACTTTGATGAGCTGAGAGAAGAAGGCTTCAGACGATCAAATTACTCTGAGCTACAGGAGGACATTCAAACCAAAGGCAAAGAAGTTGAAAACTTTGAAAAAAATTTAGAAGAATGTGTAACTAGAATAATCAATACAGAGAAGTGCTTAAAGGAGCTGATAGAGCTGAAAACCAAGGCTCGAGAACTATGTGAAGAATGCAGAAGCCTCAGGAGCCGATGCGATGAACTGGAAGAAAGGGTATCAGCAATGGAAGATGAAATGAATGAAATGAAGCGAGAAGGGAAGTTTAGAGAAAAAAACAATAAAAAGAAATGAGCAAAGCCTCCAAGAAATATAGGACTATGTGAAAAGACCAAATCTACGTCTGATTGGTGTACCTGAAAGTGATGGGGAGAATGGAACCAAGTTGGAAAACACTGCAGGATATTATCCACGAGAATTTCCCCAATCTAGCAAGGCAGGCCAACGTTGAGATTCAGGAAATACAGAGAACGCCATAAAGATACTCCTCGAGAAGAGCAACTCCAAGACACATAATTGTCAGATTCACCAAAGTTGAAATGAAGGAAAAAATGTTAAGGGCAGCCAGAGAGAAAGGTCGGGTTACGCTCAAAGGGAAGCCCATTAGACTAACAGCGGATCTCTCAGCAGAAACTCTACAAGCCAGAAGAGAGTGGGGGCCAATATTCAACATTCTTAAAGAAAAGAATTTTCAACCCAGAATTTCATATCCAGCCAAAGTAAGCTTCATAAGTGAAGGAGAAATAAAATACTTTACAGACAAGCAAATGCTGAGAGATTTTGTCACCACCAGGCCTGCCCTACAAGAGCTCCTGAAGGAAGCGCTAAACATGGAAAGGAAAAACCGGTACCAGCCGCTGCAAAATCATGCCAAAATGTAAAGACCATCGAGACTAGGAAGAAACTGCATCAACTAATGAGCAAAATAACCAGCTAACATCATAATGACAGGATCAAATTCACACATAACACTATTAACTTTAAATGTCAATGGACTAAATTCTCCAATTAAAAGACACAGACTGGCAAATTGGATAAACAGTCAAGACCCATCAGTGTGCTGTATTCAGGAAACCCATCTCACCTGCAGAGACACACATAGGCTCAAAATAAAAGGATGGAGGAAGATGTACCAAGCAAATGGAAAACAAAAAAAGACAGGGGTTGCAATCCTAGTCTGATAAAACAGACTTTAAACCAACAAAGATCAAAAGAGACAAAGAAGGCCATTACATAATGGTAAAGGGGTCAATTCAACAAGAAGAGCTAACTATCCTAAATATATATGCACCCAATACAGGAGCACCCAGATTCATAAAGCAAGTCTTGAGTGACCTACAAAGAGACTTAGACTCCCACACATTAATAATGGGAGACTTTAACACCCCACTGTCAACATTAGACAGATCAACGAGACAGAAAGTTAACAAGGATACCCAGGAATTGAACTCAGCTCTGCACCAAGCAGACCTAATAGACTTCTGCAGAACTCTCCACCTCAAATCAACAGAATATACATTTTTTTCAGCACCACACCACACCTATTCCAAAATTGACCACATACTTGGAAGTAAAGCTCTCCTCAGCAAATGTAAAAGAACAGAAATTATAACAAACTATCTCTCAGACCACAGAGCAATCAAACTAGAATTCAGGATTAAGAATCTCACTCAAAACCGCTCAACTACATGGAAACTGAACAACCTGCTCCTGAATGACTACTGGGTACATAATGAAATGAAGGCAGAAATAAAGATGTTCTTTGAAACCAACGAGAACAAAGACACAACATACCAGAATCTCTGGGACGCATTCAAAGCAGTGTGTAGAGGGAAATTTATAGCACTAAATGCCCACAAGAGTAAGCAGGAAAGATCCAAAATTGACACCCTAACATCACAATTAAAAGAACTAGAAAAGCAAGAGCAAACACATTCAAAAGCTAGCAGAAGGCAAGAAATAACTAAGATCAGAGCAGAACTGAAGGAAATAGAGACACAAAAAACCCTTCAAAAAATTAATGAATCCAGGAGCTGGTTTTTTGAAAGATCAACAAAATCGATAGACCGCCAGCAAGACTAATAAAAGAAAAAAAGAAGAATCAAATAGATGCAATAAAAAATGATAAAGGGGATATCACCACCGATCCCACAGAAATACAAACTACCATCAGAGAATACTACAAACACTTCTACGCAAATAAACTAGAAAATCTAGAAGAAATGGATAAATTCCTTGACACATACACTCTCCCAAGACTAAACCAGGAAGAAGTTGAATCTCTGAATAGACCAATAACAAGATCTGAAATTGTGGCAATAATCAACAGCTTACCAACCAAAAAGAGTCCAGGATCAGATGGATTCACAGCCGAATTCTACCAGAGGTACAAGGAGGAACTGGTACCATTCCTTCTGAAACTATTCCAATCAATAGAAAAAGAGGGAATCCCCCCTAACTCATTTTATGAGGCCAGCATCATTCTGATACCAAAGCTGGGCAGAGACACAACCAAAAAAGATAATTTTAGACCAATATCCTTGATGAACATTGATGCAAAAATCCTCAATAAAATACTGGCAAACCGAATCCAGCAGCACATCAAAAAGCTTATCCACCATGAACAAGTGGGCTTCATCCCTGGGATGCAAGGCTGGTTCAATATACGCAAATCAATAAATGTAATCCAGCATATAAACAGAGCCAAAGACAAAAACCACATGATTATCTCAATAGATGCAGAAAAGGCCTTTGACAAAAATCAACAACCTTTCATGCTAAAAACTCTCAATAAATTAGGTATTGATGGGACATATTTCAAAATAATCAGAGCTATCTATGACAAACCCACAGCCAATATCATACTGAATGGGCAAAAACTGGAAGCATTCCCTTTGAAAACTGGCACAAGACAGGGATGCTCTCTCTCACCACTCCTATTCAACATAGTGATGGAAGTTCTGGCCAGGGCAATTAGGCAGGAGAAGGAAAGAAAGGGTATTCAATTAGGAAAAGAGGAAGTCAAATTGTCCCTGTTTGCAGATGACATGATTGTGTATCTAGAAAACCCCACTGTCTCAGCCCAAAATCTCCTTAAGCTGATAAGCAACTTCAGCAAAGTCTCAGGATACAAAATCAATGTGCAAAAATCACAAGCATTCCTATACACCAACAACGGACAAACAGAGAGCCAAATCATGAGTGAACTCCCATTCACAATTGCTTCAAAGAGAATAAAATACCTAGGAATCCAACTTACAAGGGATGTGAAGGACCTCTTCAAGGAGAACTACAAACCACTGCTCAAGGAAATAAAAGAGGATACAAACAAATGGAAGAACATTCCATGCTCATGGGTAGGAAGAATCAATATTGTGAAAATGGCCATACTGCCCAAGGTAATTTACAGATTCAATGCCATCCCCATCAAGCTACCAATGCCTTTCTTCACAGAATTGGAAAAAACTACTTTAAAGTTCATATGGAACCAAAAAAGGGCCCGCATTGCCAAGTCAATCCTAAGCCAAAAGAACAAAGCTGGAGGCATCACACTACCTGACTTCAAACTATACTACAAGGCTACAGTAACCAAAACAGCATGGTACTGGGACCAAAACAGAGATATAGATCAATGGAACAGAACAGAGCCCTCAGAAATAACGCCGCATATCTACAACTATCTGATCTTTGACAAACCTGAGAAAAACAAGCAATGGGAAAAGGATTCCCTATTTAATAAATGGTGCTGGGAAAACTGGCTAGCCATATGTAGAAAGCTGAAACTGGATCCCTTCCTTACACCTTATACAAAAATCAATTCAAGATGGATTAAAGACTTAAACGTTAGACCTAAAACCATAAAAACCCTAGAAGAAAACCTAGGCATTACCATTCAGGACATAGGCATGGGCAAGGACTTCATGTCTAAAACAACAAAAGCAATGGCAACCAAAGCCAAAATTGACAAATGGGATCTAATTAAACTAAAGAGCTTCTGCACAGCAAAAGAAACTACCATCAGAGTGAACAGGCAACCTACAAAATGGGAGAAAATTTTCGCAATCTACTCATCTGACAAAGGGCTAATATCCAGAATCTACAATGAACTCAAACAAATTTACAAGAAAAAAACAAACAACCACATCAAAAAGTGGGCGAAGGACATGAACAGACACTTCTCAAAAGAAGACATTTATGCAGCCAAAAAACACATGAAAAAATGCTCACCATCACTGCCCATCAGAGAAATGCAAATCAAAACCACAATGAGATACCATCTCACACCAGTTAGAATGGCAATCATTAAAAAGTCAGGAAACAACAGGTGCTGGAGAGGATGTGGAGAAATAGGAACACTTTTACACTGTTGGTGGGACTGTAAACTAATTCAACCATTGTGGAAGTCAGTGTGGCGATTCCTCAGGGATCTAGAACTAGAAATACCATTTGACCCAGCCATCCCATTACTGGGTATATACCCAAAGGACTATAAATCATGCTGCTATAAAGACACATGCACACGTATGTTTATTGTGGCATTATTCACAATAGCAAAGACTTGGAACCAACCCAAATGTCCAACAATGATAGACTGGATTAAGAAAATGTGGCACATATACACCATGGAATACTATGCAGCTATAAAAAATGATGAGTTCATGTCCTTTGTAGGGACATGGATGAAATTGGAAACCATCATTCTCAGTAAACTATTGCAAGAACAAAAAACCAAACACCGCATATTCTCACTCATAGGTGGGAATTGAACAATGAGATCACATGGACACAGGAAGGGGAACATCACACTCTGGGGACTGTTGTGGGGTGGGGGACGGGGGAGGGATAGCATTGGGAGATATACCTAATGCTAGATGACGAGTTAGTGGGTGCAGCACACCAGCATGGCACATGTATACGTATGTAACTAACCTGCACAATGTACACATGTACCCTAAAACTTAAATTAAAAAAATACCATTATTGCTCCAGTTGTCTGGAACTTTAAATGATGGAATAGTGCTGAATAATGAAGACCTTCAAGCACCAGCAGCTAAAAAGACAACCTAACCATTTTGAAAGGAAATCATTCAACAAGGAATTACAAACTTTTCTGGCCATGTTGAAATAATGTATTAAATATAATTTCACATCTTAATGCTACAGGATGTTAAGATCTATCACTGTACTATATCACAACAATGTGGTAATGTTCTGTGCTCTTCAAGTCGTATGAGGCAAGTAGGATTTTTAAATAAATTCTTTCAGACTGTTCTTTAGAATCACTCTAGCATTAAAAAGTTTTTGTTTTCTTTTTTTTCTTAAAGTGTCAATTACCACTTTATACTGTAAATTAGTGTGCTTTGCTAAAGAAGCCTCTATTTTAATTCCCAATTTATTTATGGTCAATCTGTTGGACACCAGATAACACTGCCTCTTAAAATTTGTGTACAAAACAAGGAGACATTAACCTTGAGTAAAAAATGTTGAGACCAGTTCTTACATTTTCATTCTAAATTCACAAGTACATATTCTAAAACAATGGTCTCATCCTCAGTTTCTTAAAAATTAAATAGTATTTCTTATTCTAAGATTATAGATTTTTTAAAGATCTAATGAACTGTGAACACTGTGGGTAAACAAAACACTAACACTTTTTGAAATAAAATTAAATGAAAACAAATTGCTAAATTTCATTTTTCCTTTAACATGTTATACATTAAGCCTTAAGATAAATGAATATATTTTAATTTAAAAAGAAAAAGAAAGCTGGCAATAAAAACCTCTTACTAAAACATACATTTCTTTTTAAAACACTAACAAAATTTTCATTCTTATAATATTCAGATTTACAGCAGCTTCAAAGAAGATTATTAGACTTTCACTCCTAATTGTACTTTCTCCATACATAGATACAAATATCTAGAATGAGATACTTTACAAAACTGCTTCTATTTTCCAGAAGTCTATTTCAAGAGCTGTTAAAAAATGTTTAAAACTATGTGAGGAAAAATGGATAATTTAAAACTTTTAAAGTACCTCATCACCCATCTGTGGCACAAATGGACATCTTCGGGGAATGGTATCTGTAATCCATGTTGATGGCAACCATTCTTCTAATGTCAAACCATTTTCAGTTAGTTCTCCCACAGCCAATCTCTGACAAAATTTAAGTAATAATTGTTAAGTAATAATCAAAAAAGCATTAATCCACAAATCTACTCTTTAAAATAACTATAAAGATAATTAAATAAAAGGGGAAGGGCACCATTGTACAATATTATATACAGTTGGCCCTGTGTATCCATGGGTTCCACATCCATGCATTCAACCAACCTTGACTGAAAATATTTGGAAAAAAAATTCCACAAAGTTCCAACAGGCAAAACTTGAATTTGCTACATTCTGAATACTATGTTGAATCCACACAAATAAAATGATGTGTAGGCACTGTAGTAGGTATTATAAATAATCTAGAAATGACTTAAAGTATATAGGAGACTGTGTGTAGGTCACATGCAAATACTATATGCCATTTTTTATAAGAGACTTGAACATCCCTGGATTTTGTTATCTGCAGGGGTCTTGGGACCAATCCTCCGTGTCTACTGAGAGATGACTATCCTTTAAGCAACAAAACACTTATTCTAGAAAAAATGGCAGCAGTGGCAACAGAGTTATTCAATCTCTCCAAATCACTGTCTACAAAGAGAACTAACTAGAAGCAAAACCCAAAAATCCATAGCCAACACTCACAACAAGGTAACAAGATATCCCCACAAACCCCAAAGTACAAGCTCTGTGTATTCTCCTTTCCTTTCAAAATGCTATCAATTTTATAAACATTCCATATAACAAACCAAGACAGCCTAGAGTTTTTTTTTAATCCTAGTTATAGTAAGTTACAACTAAATAAGGTATTCTCATAGGAGTTGAGTAGTGCAACATGTAGAAAGCTAATTATTTCCATAAGCTGGACATTACACTTCTACACAGCATGAGAAACTATGCCTCTGAGAAAGTTCCTTAACTTTGCTGGTCACCCACAAGTGGCCACAATGGTCTTGATGTTGTTACCTTAGACTCAGGAAAAAAATGAACTTTCTAAGAACATTTGAAACCTAATATTTTTACAAGTAAAAAAAGTTATGCAATTGATTAAAGTCTTTTGTGAATCACACGTAAAACATTAAAAATGATTGTACACTAAGACTGCTACATTTTACTTGTTTTTTTAAAAACAAGGTAGTGTAATTATCAGTATAAAATAATACTTGTTTACTAAAAGAAGCAATGCCATAACATGATATCAGAGAACACTACTTGCAATAGGTAATACTACTACTTCCCAACTGTAGTAGTTGTCATTTTCCTCTTTTTCCTATTAGCCACAGCCACACTGAGTGTTTCTCAGTCAAACATATCAAGAGCATTACCCTGGAGAGTTAGGGTAAAGGTCTTTGGAATTTACTGTACGTGAGATGGGCTCGTTACAGAATTTTAGGCAGAAGCATAGTACGATCTCACTTATATTTTAAAAGGATCACTCTGGATGCATCAAAACAAGGATCAGCAAATCATGACCCTCAGGGCAAGTCTGGCCTGCCACAATTTTCATAAATTTTTATCGGAACACAGCCATACCCATTTATGTATTGTCTATAAATGCTATTATGGCAGAGTAGCTGGCCTTCTGTAGAAAAAATCTGTCAACCTATGCTTTAAAGAATAGACCCTAGGGAGAAACAAGGAGAAACAGGAAGACACATGAGATGCTACCACAGTAATATAAATGAGAGTTCAGGGTGATTCACACCAATGTGATGGCAGTGGAGTGGTGAAAAACAGTAAAGTGCTGAATATACTTATAATCCATTAGATAATTAATTCCCTGATGGACTGGATGTGGAATATGAGAGAAAAAGAGGAATCAAAGATATCTCCAGGGTTTCTGGTATAAACAACTAAGAGAGTCGTCATATTACTGAGATAAAGAGGGCTGGGGTACAGCGGGTTTGAGGAAAAAGCTTGGTAAATAAGTTTTGTAGGTGTTGGATGTGAGGAGTAAAATGATATCCAAACAGTAATTTGATATATACACAGTTATCAAATAAAGTAGCCATTATGTTATGCACTGAGTATATCACAGAGATCCCACAACCCAGGAACTTCCACTGTGCTTTATTCAGAGCAGCTGCTATCAGTTTTGTATACTGAGGAGCTAAAAGTTTGTTTGAAAAAGGTTTCCTTTGACTAATAAAAAGGAAAAGAAAGACAGAAAAGTTTGAAAATCATAATTCTAGCCTCAATATGGACTATTAATTGCTAGGCAAGGATTTCTCCCCATAAGGAATTTATCTATGTTCAATGGGGAAGCTAACAACTTTTACATCAAGACAGGTAAGTTGTATATTAAATAAGAATAATCATATGTATGACTGAAAGACTTTGGGCATCACCAAAAATCATTATGAGGACATATCTTATTCCCCAATAATTCCTGAGGAACTTAGAATGTTTGGTTGAGGAAGATTTCTGTCACTTATTAATTATAACCATTAAGGGGTTAAGAATGCATTGAGTATTCTTTAACATTTCTAGCTCCATGATTTGAGGTTTTTTTAAATATGGAAAGTATAAATAATTTCTTTCCTTTCCAACCATGGGAATGCTTCTAGGCGCAGCTCAAATCTTATTTCCTCTAGGAAATCTCATCTGAAATCCCAACATAAGATGACCCTGTTTAAGAATGGAAATACTTTTATGTTTATTTGAGATAACTAGAGGACTAGGGAATAAGAACAAGTCCATCTACTGTTACATCACTGCTAGGCATGCGAACAAAATTTAAACTAAAGGGAATACCCTCCAGTATCCTAACCTTACCATATTTAAAGTGACCCACATAATTCTATTGGCAGAGTCATCCTATCACAATACTTTGTTGCAACAACACAGTGAAATTAAAACCTGCCAAATGTTAACAATAGATCTATATGTGCCAGTGCATGAAGGAGCCCATGGTATTAGTTTGAGGAAAATTATCAAATTAAGGGGACCAGATGAAGCAAACTGTACTCTTGGGATGAAGGAACTGTTCTCACAGTAACTTATCACTGCAAACCTCAAAAGTTCATCAAAACTGTCCTGAGATGAAAAAGAATATTTACCTAATTAGCCAGACACATGGCTAAATCAGTTTTCTTTAACCAATCTGTCTACTACATACATAAAATAACAAATCAGACTACATTTATCATCACTGACAAGGTAGAAAAGAAAATGTGTGGGTAAATGTGTGGCATTCTCTTTGGTAAAGCTTCCCCAAACAAAAGCAAAGGAGACAACAAGAAAAACAGCAGCTGTGGAATCCAAATTAAAGTAACTCATAATTATAAAGCTGAAACAAGAACTCAACAAATGTAGATAAAATAAACACTTAAAACAGATATATTCTTATACTTTTTGAAAGCTCTGTGGGAATAAAGACCCTACGGTCTCCTACTATTTAATTCTACAAACGACAATTTATACTTAAATGGCAGAGGTTACAAAAAAATCTTCCTTTTAACCAAATACTGCTTCCCATTTACAGTCTTTTGGGAAGCAGAAAACATGCCCCTCGTGTTGTATTTACTTTAGAACAAAAATTAAACAGGTCTCATTTTCATTCCTATGTTAAAGAATTTCAACTCCATAAGAGCTGACAGATATTCTTCCTATAATATTTCTTACGTTCTCTGCTTTCTCTCAAATTGTCCACAGACCTAATTGTGGTAATCAAATCAATACTGCTACTGACCAAAGGACTGAAAACTTATAGCTCACACACTGTAGATTAATGAAGGAATGTTACAAGACCATCTTACCCCACTTTATTCGCCTTGGGGTCAACTGTAACAAGTTGTGTCATTTCTACTCTGTGTGATGTTCCTCACAGACTTTGTTTATTTTCAGCAATAACAATTAATAAGGATGGTTAAACATAAAGGCAATTCATAGATTAATACACTATATGTTTTGTATCATTATGTATTTCACATAAAAAAATCCCACCAAACTGTCAAGAAAAATCTGATCTTTTTAAGGTTAAATGTTCAATGTTTAGAATATGGCAATTTTGTAAGTAAATACTTTTACATGTTAAATATCTAAAAACTCGAATAAACTAAATATATTTAGGTAAACTTTTTTACTACTGTGTATTTCTGAGTTTTTTCTATTATTATTTGCTGATACACTTCAACAATGTTTGTGATCAATTGTACTTCAAGATGTGTGCTTTAAACTGTTTCTCTAGAAAACACCAAATTTGTAATGTTAAAAACCAAACCTTTTGTTTTCTTTCTTTGGGCTTCTTTTTCTTTGGTGATATTGGTCCATCTTTTTCTTCATTTACTTTTTTCTTTTCCTTTTTAATCTGTTTTTGCTTCTGTTTTTCAGATTCTTCTTCTTCATCTGAACTGCTTTCTGCTTTCTTGGTTTTATTCTTAGGAACTTTCTTTGGTGGCTGCAGATTAATTCCTGCATCTGCTGTCCAGTCAGAGTAATCACTGGAGTAGTCACTAGAAGGAGAGAAGGGATTATTAGATAACACACAAGATAAAATTTTAAGACTTGTTTTATAAAAACGAAAAGAAAGATTATAATAAAGAGAAATGACAGAACAAATACTTAAACTACAAAAAAACTTCCCTAATTTTCAACTCATCTTCAAAAGTTTCTTGAAATTCTATAGGCTTTACTTAAATATCGCAAAAAAACTCCCCCAAAACCTGAAGATACATAAAGTCACAACTTTAAGTGAAAAAACAAATTTAAGTACCTTCCAAGATTTTAAGAAAAATACTGACTTCTGAGTGTTGCATATGTTACAAATTCTGTGAGCATATAAAAATAAGAGGGGGTCACTTTTCTCAGTTCTATTGACAGCAAAAAGATAACCCTGGAGAGCACAGAAGGTGTCAACATTAAGGAGATATGGGGATTCCTTTTTTAAGGGGAGGTGGGAGTTCCAGACAGGGGAACTCTTATGGTCCAGTACTAGTGCTCTCAGGGTAGCTGGATATTGAACTGGCAGAGTCAGAAGTGTTCCTACCCAGGGGAAAGACTGTGTTTGCAAACTTTACTCTGCATGTAAAGTAACAAAATTTCATTTAGATAAAATTATTCTACCTACCTACACCCTACACGTTAGGTGTATCTTATGCTTCAAAGCATGCCATGATTCAGAAAAATACAGGCCTTACTATATTTTGTATACTGCTTCCAATCATGTTTGTCATTTCTTTTTAGTTTACCTTCATTGACAAACGATTTACTGAACCAATCATGTTGCAAAATAAAGAATCTAGTTGTATTATCTTCTATATTAATTTTAGTATGTGAGCATATTTACTTATTTTGTACAATTTTATGAACATAAATGTCTTAAAGGAACCTAAGTTATACTATGTTAAAAGCAATAATTAGCTTTCCCAGATTTAATGATATATGACCTCATGCCTCTAAAAATACTGCTGTTAACATTAACACTGAAAAAGCAGATTTTTCTGGAGCTTTATTCCATTGTCACTAACCCTCCCCACTACCCCTCTCCACTGTCCAAATGTTCTTTATAAGCACGTACCTAAATCTCTGATTATCCTAATCATCCCAGATAAGAATCAAATAATTAAGATGTTCTCTAGCATGATTTAGTGATTTCACTATGAAATTTAAAATGATTTTTAAGAACTTACACTATTTTCAGCTATGCTATTCTAAAATAGGTTGTCTTCAACTTATGAGCATTTTATTTATACTAGCTCCAGCCATGGCCACTGTAAATGGTACCTGCCAAATCACACAGTTATCACTCTCTGGAGTACTTGGCTCTTACAGAAGATCTTCTGCTGTCAGCATAAACATAATTACAAACTCCAGAGTCCAGCATTCTTTACAACCGTCCTCAACTGCTAAAACCACCACTACTCTTTTAATACAGGAACTCCTATGTCATCTCAGGGTTTGAAATACTCTGATTCTGCTGTCGAGCCAAAAGAAATTCAATTTTTCCTTCATTGACCTGTTTTGAATACAGAAAACTACTAGATATAACCACACACATTTGCACATCATTACCAGAAATCACTACTGTGGGAATAGGAGAGCCCTTGATTGTACAACTGAGGAACTCTTACAGCCTCTACTTCATACTTTGTCTCGTCTATTTTAAGAGCCACTAAGGTGGGGGATAAGTGTAGCAGCTAATCATAATTGCCATCCCCAAAGGCTATACTCTCTTTTTGCTATTAAGACCTTGCAAAGTTAGCCAAGGTCATAAGCTCTGCAACAATGTGAATCGCCAGTATAAGGAGTTGAAGGAATCCTCACTGGTCTGGTCAAATAAGGTAGGCATAACAAGAAAAAGGAGAGCTTATTCCTCTTATCATTAGTATTCCATAAATTCCACTATATAAGATAGTTAACTCAGGAGGCTTGCATTGCTTTCTTAACTTCATACTTTTCAAAACCAGTAATGAAACTGGTTTGCAATTCAACATTATAACGGTATTCAGAAGAAACAATACTAAGATGATAAAGTTAAAAGCATCATTTTGCAGATCTAGTTGCAATCACCAAAAAATTATTTTCTATAGAGAACATATATCAGAAAATCTACATTTCATACAACTTCAAAAACTCTCTGAAGAACTTTGAACTTACAGAGACTTTGAAACGTGTTGCTGGTTAAAAAAAAAAACACCTTTCTAAAGACTTTATATAACATTTGGAAAAATAAAAAGCATTCATTTACCTAGAACTGCCATCACTGTGCCATGCTCTCTCTTCTTCTTCGGATGTTCCACCACTGACAGCAACTACTTCGCCTTCCTAAGATATGTTGAATACATGTCTTATTGCATAATTTTATAAAATAACATTTTATGATTACAGAAAATATCAGTGATATCTTATAATATCAGTCATATTGGGATATTTAAAATTTGATTTAAATTAGTTGCAAAGGGTGTTGTGGCTCACGCCTGTAATCCCAACACTTTGAGAGGTCAAGGTGGGCAGATCACTTAAGGTTAGGGGTTCGAGACCAGCCTGGCCAACGTGGCGACACCCTGTCTCTACTAAAACACACAAAAAATTAGCTGGGAATGGTGGCAGATGCCTGTAATCCCAGCTACTTGGGAGACTGAGGCACGGAATTGCTTGAACCCAGGAGGCGGAGGTTGCCGTGAGCTGAGATCGCACCACTACACTCCAGAGACTGTCTCAAAAATAATAATAATAAAATAATAAAAGAGTCAGCTGCTTCTCTTTAAAAAATTAGTTGCAAAATACAGCTTTTACCTTTTTTTCACAAATAAATGAGAATATGTAAATGTATATAAAGACATAATACTAATATTGGATTCAGAGCAATCCTACAGATTACCATTGTAAAAGCCTCATAACGTATCTAGATAAAATGATAACAAATTCCATATTTACATTTGAAATTAATTTTTACTTCTTGAGCCTTTTTAAAACACTAAGCTTTCTCTTCTATAGGTGCTTTGAGAAGGCACATTTATGTTTTATTTATTATAGGCACATTTATGTTTTACTTATTAAAACAGCTGTCCCATATAAAAAAGGATGTTCCACTTCTGGTCTTATTTTATCTAAATGGTAAAGGATTAAAAAATACTTAAACACTCTGTTTCTCTTTGGTAAATATTCATGAGTAAACAAAGAATATTATCTGTGAAAGCATTTTCTTCATAAAATTGGGTTTTTTGATGGCAAAAATGTTGCATGTCTTCCTCACTTAAATAAACTTTATGCTCCAATAACAATAACACCTCATATTTATTAAGCTTTTACTGTATGTTACAAACTATTCTAAGCACTTTGTATGTATCACCCCATTTGGGCTTGACAATGCACTATTGGTGATAGAGAGTTACTTAAATAAACAAACTAAAGCTTTAAAAATTTGAGAATTTTGCCCAAGGCGGCACAACTAATAAGCAACAAAACTTGATTTAAGCCCAGGTCACTTTAGTCCAAACCCTGGACAACATTCTGTAAGAATGGTGTTACTTACTTGCTGGGCATATTCAGATAACTTTTAAAGAGGACAATGGGGTGGATTCTTTTAATATTTAAATAAAATAATATACTTGGGACAAAAGTTTTCCCATTTTGATGTTTTAATGAAGAATGTGAATTATATGTCTATTCCACAGTTATGAAAACTAAGCAAAAATGAAAAAATCACATTTGCATATTTTATTAACAAAAAGCATATTTTATTAACAAATTTAATCACTGCTCGATATAACAAATCTAAGCAAGTGATATGATTTTTCCCACATTTTGTGTGTTACTTCCTTAAAGGGGGGAAAAAGAAACAGAATTATTCCTACATTCCAAATACAAAATACTAAAGTACAAAACATCTGAACCAAAAAAATCAGAATTCTTTCCAATTAATTAGTATACTGTGCCCAAAGTGATACTTTGTTCTCAATGGACTCTTCTAGAAATATATTCTAAATTTCTAAAAGGATGTTAAAGCATAAATAAATTAGTTTGAAGACACTTGAAGGACTTGTTGTAACAGATGTGTTTCTGGAAATACAGTTCTTAAGTTTCTAATAAACAGAATATTTTAAATATTATATAGAAACTTAATATTTAGAGGAAACTCTTTCAAAAATAAAGAGACATTTTATAAGATAAATAATTAGCCCACATGTATTTTATGTTTTGTATGTCTATCCAAATTACCATGTGTCAAATTCATATAATCAGTATATTTCTCTTTTTTTGCCAGAATGAATATATCATTTTGACCTGGCTATATGAGGACCCAAAGCTATTGGAGACTAACTTAAATTGTGGTTAGAATACTCTCAGTTTGAGAGTTAATGTTGCCCTGGATAAAGAGAATATATTTAGAGAATTCTCATATATGCCTAGCATTTCAAAGCACAACATGGCTTCAAAAGTGTATAGTAGTCAATATCTAAAATGATTACATCTCTAACCTGTAAAGAAGGAAGGTGATGGGAAAGGTTGAGAAGAAAAGAGGAATGGAGATGGTTTAACTGCTTAATAAGATTGGTTTATGATTGCAAATTGATTGCCTTCACTGAAATAATATATAATTTAGTAAGGACAGTAATATTTACTGAAATAATGACGCATGAGGAATATTTAAAAATTACACTGAGAAAGCTGTAAACTGGTACAGAGATTAAAAACTAACAAAAATTGTCAAATACTTATTGATTTGTTGTTATACTTACACTACACTACAGCTTCATGGTACCACTTAAAAAGCTTGGCTTTCAAGTAAAACAAACTTGCATTTAATCCCTGCTCTACCTCTTAATAGGTGACTGTATAGTCTAAATATCTTTGAGCCTCAGAATCCTTATCTATAAAATGAGAATAATTAATTCACGAGTTTATTTTGTGGATTTGAAATTATGTGTATGTGTGCCATGCCTAGAAATAGATTTTTAGAAAATAAAAGCTGTATCATAAGACCCCAAAATGCCATATTTAAGCTACATCTACAAACATATCAATAAATGCGAAGAATGAAACTCATATTTAAAAAAATAAGTAAAAATGACATCTAATTTATGAATGTGCTGATATCTTACATCTGAAGAACTACTGCCATTTTCTATCTCTTCTGAGGGTCTAGGAGTCTCTTCCAATGCAGATCTTGTACGATAATTGTGTTGATTTGTCTGTTGCTTTTTGGATTCTCCAAGATCCAGGAAATGCTCATGAGCATGATTCTAGAAAAAAATAAATTAAATTTATTCACAGATTGTTTAAAGAGCAGGATTTTTAGTTTAAAAGTTAAAATTTTTTAATTAAAAAAATTCAAGCTGGGCATGGTGGCGCATGCCTATAGTCCCAGCTACTTGGGAAGATTGCTTGAGCCTAGGAGTTCAAGGCTGCAGGGAGGGATGATTGCACCACTGCACTACAGCCTGGGTGACAAAGTGAGACAATTTATCCTAACATACAACAACAATAAAAACATTTGTTCATATTTAAGATATCACTTAAATGGATGAGGTTATAGTACCAACTCAAATATTTTAACATTCATCAAGTTAAAGGCTTATCATGGTTATGCTGATATTTACTTGCTGATTGATTAGTTACAAAAATGCTGTTTTTTTTTTTTCTAATTAATGACAGACATAAGGATTCATGATAAAAGACTAAACCAAACACTGAACTCTTCTGTATCTACATCAAACCTATAGAAATGATGTAAGAAAAAGGATAATGGGCTATGAGGCATATGTAATAGGCAGAGGCAAATTGGAAACCAAAATGGGGATCATAAAGCTACCCTGCCACTATGAAGATAAGATGCCATGTGGCTGGCTTATTTTTCTTCTGCTGGAATAAATGTGAGAAGTCTTCTGCAGATGAGAATACAACCAATAAACACTAAAAAACTGATAAAGTACAACACAGTGATGAAGACAAACTCAATAAACATTAAAATTTATACCTAAAAAACACAAAAAACTTAATAAAGCTATCTCAAAAGTGAATACAAAGGCCAGCCATGGTAGCTCATGCCTGTAATCCCAGTACTTTGGGAGGCCAATGTGGGAGAATCCTGCTTTGGGGTCAGGAGTTTAAGACTGGCCAGGGCAATGGCAATACCCTGTCTCTACAAAGTTAAAAAATAAAATTTAAAGTTAGCCAGGCATGGTGGTATAAACCTATAGTCCCAGCTATTTGGGATGATAAGGCAAGAGGATCACTTGAGGCAGTCCAAGGCTGCAGTCAGCTAGGACTGTCCCAACGCACTCTGGCCTGGGTAACACAATGAGACTCTGTCTCCCCACCAACCAAACAAAAAAGAGAATCACATCCATGAAATAAATGCAGGGTCTTGTCTTAGAAAAAAACAAAGACTCAATTAGACATCCTTGAAATCGAAAATAACCAATTAAATTTGGGAAAAATAAATGATAGCCAGCTGACCACATAAATAATAACTGGTTATTCCAGTTTTTGCGACCACAGACGCTAAAAATATGTGAGTGTGCATGCACACACATACATATATGTATACATATACATATCATTCCTTTTATTTCTTAAAAAGTCCTCAAAGTACTACTGAATTAAGAGATAAGCACATCTTTTAATTTTAATAGATATTAACATATTCCATCCATAAAGGTAGTAGCAAGCAATACAAACTCTCATCATCATTATATAAGTTTATCTCAGCAAAGGATGCAAAAAAGGTACGCTTTCCACTTACCATGAAAAAGCCAACCAATCAATCAAGCAAAAAACAAGATTATTTCAGAAAGAAATTTTCCTTTATTATACTAACAGGAATTCTAGCATTGTGAGGTCCTACTGATCCCAGGGTATGATACACTCAGTAAAGAAAAAAGGACTACTTGAGTATTTTGAAGAGATGAGTAATAAAACAGAAAAGTGAATTCTAGAGAAGAAGACTGATTTAGGAGTTTTAAAAAACTCAAATGAAAAAAAGGAAGGAACACGAAGCTGGTGAAGAAGGCCAGTTATTTATTTTTCCTTTGTTTCAATAATTGCTTTAGATAGTGACTTGGACCTAAAAAGAAGTTTCACATAGGCTTCCTCAATTTCAGACTCTAAGGCTCTGAAGCTTTCAAGCTAAGATGTTTTTCTCCAAAATAAAAGAAAAGAAAAGAAAAAAAGGAAAAAGCGATATTTGTGATTCCTTCACACTCAGGAAGTACGTATCTCTCTCAATTAGGCCATGACCAATTGAAATCTACTGGGTGCAACAGTTTTTCCAGAGTAGGATGACAGAAAAGCCAATAAGTCAAAACTATTAGGGACAATCTACCTCTCTTAATGAAGAAAATGAGAAATATTATCTATAGCAGCATTAGCTGACTTGATTATCTAGAATAATGAATAGATGCAAGACACCACAAAAACACATAGAAAAACATAACAAAATGCTATTTTTAGACTGTACAAAGATGGCACACAAGATTATGAAGAGCTAAAGAAAGTTCTTGATGAGGCTTCAGTGTAATTTATTAGAATTTCATGAGTATGTAAGAATTGGCACTTTGGGAAAGGGTATGCTACAAAGCAGAAATGGAATTAAAAATTTTAAATAGTAAACAATAGATAATCCAGAGATAACCAAGATTTACTATGTTAATTTTTATCATTAACCTGTTTATAATACCATGTTAAATTACAAAATGGAGCCTTAAAATGGTCACTATACTTAAGAAGCAAATATTAAACATCAAAATAATTAATATGTACCTTTGAGACAGTGGGTATTTTATTCTCTTTTGGAACAGTTAAGTGTTTTCTTTTCTCTTCTGACCTGTAAGTCTTTATTTCTTCTTCTCCCTTTGCAGTTCTCCATTCTTCTTGCCTACTGAAAGACAAAAGCCATATGCATTAATCTAGAATTTTACACATAACTTTCCTCCAAAAGGAATGTTAGGTATCAGGAAAGGAACGCTACTCCTGATGTTTTATTTTAAGATGGAAGCATGTGATAAAGATTTCTAAGTTTAATTTCATAGGTTGTGGGCTCAGGACATCCGGCATTAAATGACTGAAATAATGGAAAGACAAACTCTGTCTACCCCAACTTGATACTACTGGTTCCTGCTATGGTCTCTGGCAAACCAAGTATTAGATTCTGGGAATGTGGTGATTCCTAGGGTAATTTTTCCAAGAGTGAGAAATTGGATTTTTTTTTTTTTTTTTAGGATAGGGCCTATGCTTTGATAATCTTCTGTTCCATATAGATAGCTGGAATCTCTTTAAAAATTCAATACAACAGACCCTGAGGTTACACGGAAAGCCCTGAAAGAACTACACTCTTTCCAGAGACAGGGAGGTCAGGTTTCACCGACTGAAAAAACTCAAACCATCAAGGTGAAACTGAACAACACAAATTGAGGAACACTAATTTTAAACTTTAATACAAAAAATGAACTCATGAGAAGATAATTTTATTTTTTATTTCAATATCTTACAACTTTAAAGTTTTTGAAATGCAAGGGTATTTGAAATTTAATTCTCCCTTAAGATTTTATAATAAGAAGGTAGTTAATACTAAAACACAGTGCAACTATATACTGTTGATATTTCTTTACTAGATGATATTAATGTTATCATGTTACTTAACGGCACAATCTCCATTGTGGCTGGCCATAATTCTGAATGGAAAATAAAATGAGCAAATTTAAATCTTGTGAAAAGAACAGGCTTGGATTTAATTTTTTTGTTCTTAATTTTTTTTTTTTAAATTAAACTTTTTACTGCAATAATTATAGATTAACATACAGTTGTAAGAAATAACAGCGATTATTTGTATCCTTTATCCAGTTCCCCCAAATAGTAACTTTTTTTTTTTTTTTTTGAGATGGAGTCTCGCTGTCGCCCAGGCTGGAGTGCAGTGGCATGATCTCGGCTCACTGCAGGCTCTGCCCCCCGGGGTTCACACCATTCTCCTGCCTCAGCCTCCCGAGTAGCTGGGACTACATGCGTCCGCCACCTCGCCCGGCTAATTTTTTGTATTTTTAGTAGAGACGGGGGTCCACTGTGCTAGCCAGGATGGTCTCGATCTCCTGACCTCGTGATCCCCCCCACCTCGGCCTCCCAAAGTGCTGGGATTACAGGTGTGAGCCACCGCGCCGGCCCAAAATGGTAACATTTTGCAAAACTTTGTATCCTTTATCTAATTCCCCCAAATGGTAACATTTTGTAAAACATGGTACAACATCAGAAGGAGGATGCTGACATTTATACAATCCACTGATCTTACTGAGACTTCCCCAGTTTTACTTCTATTAGTTTCTATTAGTTTGTGTGTGTGTGTACACAGGCATACATTGTTTTACTGTGCTTTGCAGATAGTGCATTTTTTTTTTTCACAAGCTGCAAGTTTGTGGAACCCTGCAATGAGCAAATGCCATTTTTCAACCACATATGCTAACTTCGTGTCTCTGTGTCACATTTTGGTAATTCTTAAAATATTTCTGGCTTTTTCACTACCATTATATCTATTATGGAGATCTGTTGTCAGTAATTTTTTATGCTTCTATTGTAGTTGTTTTGAAGCACCATGAACCTCACCTATATAGAACAATGAACTTAACTGACAAATGTTACGTGTGTTCTGACTGCTCCACTAACTAGCCATTGCCCCATCTTCTCCCTCTCCTCAGGCCTCACTATTCCCTGAGACAGAACAATATTAAAGTTAGGCCAATTAAAAACCCTAACTGATCCAGTGAAAACATCTCTCACTTTAAATCAAAGGTAGCAACGATTAAACTCTGTGATAAAGGCATGTCAAAATCTGAGACAGGCTGAAAGCTATGCCTCTTGTGCCCAACAACCACGTTTTCAATGAAAAGGAAAAGCTCTTGAAGGAAGTTAAATATGCTACTCCAGTGAACACAGGAATGATATGAAAGTGAAGCAGGCTTGTTGCCGATACAGAAATAGTTTTTGCGGTCTGGATAGAAGATTAAACCAGCTACAACATTCCCTTAAGCCAAAGCCTAATCCAGAGCAAGGCTCTAACTCTATTCTCTTCTATGAAGGTTGGAAGAGGGGAAAAAGCTGCAGAAGAAAAGTTGGAAGCTAGCAGAGGTTGGTTCATGAGGCCTAAGAACTACCTGTGTAACATAAAAGTGTAGGGTGAAGCAGCAAGTGCTGATGAAGTAGCTGCAGCAATTTATCCAGAATAACTAGCTAAGATCACTGAAGACAGTAGCTACATTAAACAACAGACTTTCAATGTAGTAACAGATCAAACAGCCATCTAAATGGAAGAAGATATCATCTGGACTTTCACAGCTAGAGAGAAGTAAGGGCTTGGCTTCCAAGCTTCAAAGGGCAGTCTAAATCTTTTCTTAGGGGCTAATACAGCTAGTGACTTCAAGTTGAAGCTAATGCTCATTTATCATTCCAAAAATCCTAGGGCACTTAAGAATTATGATAAATATACTCATCTTGTGCTCCATAAATGAAACAACAAAGTCTAGATGGCAGCACATCTATTTATAGCATGGTTTACTGAATATTTTTAGCCCACTGTTGAGACCTACTACTCGGAAAACATGATTGCTTTCAAAATATTACTGTTCATTGACAATGCCCCTAATCACCCAAGAGCTCTGATGCAGATATACAAGGTGATTAGTGTTCTCTTCATGCCTGCTAACAGAACATCCATTCTGCAGCCTATGGGTCAAGGAATAATTTCTATTTTCAAGTCTTTTTATTTAAGAAATTGCATTTCATAAGGCTATAGCTGCACTAGTTATTCTGCTAACAGATCTGGGCAAAATACATTGAAAACCTTCTAGAAAGGATTCACCATTGTAGATGCCATTAAGAACATTTATGATTCATGGGAAGAGGAAAAGTATCACTGTTAACAGGAGTTTGAAAGAAGCTGATTCCAACCCTCATAGATGATTCCGAAGGCTGAAGACATCAGTGGAAGAAGTTACTGTAGATGTAATGGAAACGGCAAGAGAACTATAATTAGAAGCGGCAACTAAAGATGTGACTGAATTGCTGAAGTTGCATAATAAAACTTTAAATGAATGAGGAGTGGCTCATGAATGAACAAAGAGGTTTCTTGAGGGAGGCTACTCTAGTGAATATGCTTTGAACATTGCTGAAATGTTAACAAAGATTGTAGAAAACTATATGAACTTGGCCAGGCGCGGTGGCTCATGCCTGTAATCTCAGCACTTTGGGAGGCTGAAGTGGGCAGATCACAAGGTCAGGAGATCAAGACCATCCTGGCTAACACAGTGAAACCCCATCTCTACTAAAACTACAAAAAATTATCCAGGCATGGTGGCATGCGCCTGTAGTCCCAGCTACTGGGAAGGCTGAGGCAGGGGAATTGCTTGAAACTGGGAGGTGGATGTTGCGGTGAGCCGAGATCACGCCACTGCACTCCAGCCTGGGCAACAAAGTAAGACTCTGTCTCAAAAAGAAAAGAAAAGAAAATTACATGAACCTAATAAAGCAATGGCAGGGTTTGAGAGGACTGACCCCAGTTTTGAAATAAGTTCCACACAGAAATATTTCATGAGAGGAGTCAAATCAATGTGGCAAGCTTTATTATTGTCTTATTTTAAGAAATTGCCACAGCCACTACAAGCTTCAGCAACCTCCACTCTGATCAGCCAGCAGCCATCAACATCGAGGCAAGACCCTTCACCAGCAAGAAGAGTATAATCACTGAAGGTTCAGATGGTTGTTAGCGTTTTTCAGCAGTAAAGAATTTTCAAATTAGGTATGTAGTTTTTTTCAGACATAATCATATTGTTCAATTAACAGATTATAGAATAGTATAACCTTAACTTTTATACGCACTTGGAAACAAACAAACAAAATCATGTGAGCTGCTTTACTGCACTGGTCTGAAACCAAACCTGCAATATCCCCAAAGTATGCCTGTATCTTAGCAACCTAAATCTGTTCTCCATTCCTATACCCTTGTCATTTCAAGAATATTTCATAAATGGAATCATACAGGATGTACTTTGAAATTATTTTTCTCCACTCAGCATAATTCCCTCAAGATTCATACCCATTGTATCAATATGCTGTTCCTTTTTATTGCACAGTAGTAGTCCATGGTGTGAATATACCATTGTTTAACCATCTACCCACTAAAATACATCTGGGTATCTTTCTGGCTTTTGGGTATTACAAATAAAGCTGCTATACATTTATGTTCAGGTTTTTGTGTGAACATGAGTTTTCATTTCTTTAGGATAAATTCCCAATAGTGCAACTGCTGGGTCATATGACAGGCAGTTCCATGTTTAGGATTTTAGGAAAGTGCAAAACTGTTTCCCAAAATGGCTCTATCATTTTACATTCCCACTAGCAATGCATGAGTAATTCAGTTTTCTCTACATCCTCTCTAGCATTTGGTGCTGTCACTTATTTTTTATTTTAACCATTCTGAGAAGAATGCAGTGATATTTCACTGTGGTTTCAACTTGTATTTCCCTAGTGGTTAATGACATTGATTATCTTTTCATGTGCTTATTTGTCATCTATAGATCCTCTTTGGTAAATGTCTGTTCATGTCTTTTGCCCATTCTCCGGTTGGATTCTGTTGTTTACTATTGAGTTATGAGAATTATTTCTATGTTACTTAGCCCCCTGTTGGGTATGTCATTGGATTCCATTTTAATTAATGGATGAGGCTGACCCATTTCAGAGAGCCTTTTTAAAAGGAAACTTTAGACTACCCACTGGAGAGATTCTTAGGAAGATTCCCATAGGATGAGTACAAAGTTTTAGAGACAAAGCTCCAGGAAGCCCAAAGAAAGAATATCTGTTAAAGTTATGGCCACAGTCTTGCTTGACCATAGGCCAATGAATAGTTAAGCCCAATGATAAAGGAATAAAAGGATGAAGAATATTTGAAGAGAAATAAATCTTCCTCACTCCTCAGGTTCCCTTCCATGTGCAGGAGCCTCAACCTACAACTAGCAACCTTATCTCCTGACTCATTCCTCTCCAGAGGAGGAGTAAATTAGTCAACTGATATGCTCTGGAAGAAAAACCCAGCTTAGCACAGCCCAGCCTTATGCCATTGTGTGCAATTATACATTTGGCCCTGCATCTTAAAGAAGCAAACCACATGTCCTGTCCCACAAGGGGAGAAAAACTGTGGCCCACTGCTATCTGTGTCTGGTGAATATTACTTTTTGTTACTGATATGGTTTTTGTGGAATATTACTTTTTGTTACTGATATGGGTTTTATTTCACGAAATAAAAAGTGATAGTAACAAACAGTGATAGGCTGATTTACTATGTCTTATTCTCCATGTTATTTTTCAATTATTTCAGAATTGGTGTTGAAAAAATGGGCATTATTTATTTGACCCCTTTCAAACCTTAACATTAGAATTAAAAAGTAAACAAGAATCTAACTAAAAATATGCCATGTGAGTTAATTAATTTATGACGGATAACTGGGCATATTTGTCATAAGAAAGTGTAAATGTATACCTTTGGTGTGTATTTAATTCTAAATCCTAACATAAATTCAAAGTATGTCCAATCAAAAAGCATAATCTATATGAACATTAAGACCAAAATTTTAATTATGTAATTACTATCTTCTGAGTTGAAGAACTAGACAATCTTAAATTCAAATTCACATTTTGACCTTCATACTTAGAACACACTTCATACACAGAAATCAGCCTTACTTAAGTTCATATAGGCCTCATTCATGAGTATTTCATGACTGAAGATCAAAAGGAACTGGATATAAACTTCCCTCATGGCATGGTCTAAGAGAATAGAATTTTATTAAATCAATACTTTTAAAGTCATAAATGTATACTTTTAAATATAAATATTTTAATATATATAAAATCTTTTTGTATTTTCCAATTTATTTTTTTTTTGCATCTGAATATCATGTGAATGGCTGGCTAAATCCATTAAAAAATTAAATAATTACAACAAACTTTATAAAATGTATTTTAAGATATAGTTAAACAGGACAAACCAAGACTGAAATATGCTACTCAATAAAACCTCCTATTTGGTCAATCCAAATTTATGATTTTCCTGTTGACCTTAACACGTATCATTCTTATCATTTACATAAATCATTCTAGAAATAAATATATTTTAGAAACTTAATTTTTCTACAGTCATGAATAGTTTATACTGCCCTTCCAGAAAAATTTCAGAGGAATTACAGAGCTGAAAATAACAGCTGTGAATGCTGTTAACTCCAAAATGAACCCAAGGAACTATGGTACATAAAAATTCACAACTTCCCTTACCTGGCTACACCAGCTGATAGCTCGGGTACTACCACCCTTCGACTCCAAGCTACCAGATCCCGCTCTGTGGCTATTTCACTTCTTGGTGCGTTGCTGTGCATTTGCCGTACACCTTCAATTTGTCCACTACGTCTTAGTCCTACGTTTGGTGGTGAATGAACCTCTGAGGTAGAACTTATGGAGCCTAAGTGAAAAAGTTACTATATTAAGTTCTACTTAGAGATATTTCTCCATTAGTTTATAACAGAAAAAAGAGATAAAACACTATCTTCCATAAGAAACTTCATATTGTGGCAAAATAATTAAATTACCATATCAGGAACTAAACCACAGGCAAAAGTGGTTTAATGAAAACAAAACATGGTTATTCAGTTGATTAGATAAGTCAATGAATCATAACTATAGACTATTAAGCCCCAAGGATACAAAATCATTACTTTAAAAAAATGCTAAGTATTTTTGAGAAAACTTCATAAGAAGCAAACTAGACAAACCCAAGAGTATTAATGGTTCATAAATTTGTTTTGACTCTTAAAGTTTAATAATATACAACAATAAGGGTGATGAGATGTTCAAGAATGTGGCTTTGACTATTCTACATGTTTACTATAGAAAATGTGGAAGACATACACATTTAAAAACTCATTATCTCTAACTTGAAATCTCATTATGAACCATTTTCTTAGGTCATTAAATATTCTTCAAAACCATGATCATTTTGGCAACCTAATATTTCATTTTACGGATGTACCATAATTTTTTTAAACCACTTAACACTGTGGGAGATTTAGGCTGTTTCAAATTTTTAAATATTTCACTTAAAATAGAATACCTGCTTACCTCTACTTAAACGGCTGGTATTACTGATAACTGCTTCACCAGAACGTCTCAGGTCTTGCTCCTGTTGTAGTCTTTGAATCATGCTGTCCAGTGGGCTGATCTCCTGGTTTGCTTGCTGACTTAAAACTTGATTCAGTCCTATACAATACCACACAAAATATTACGAATATTTTAGCTACTATTCAAACCATTTTACTCACCAACCTCACTTATGAGTTCAGAATTAAACATAAATGTTGCTTGGGTAAAAGACTTAAATGATCAACTATAAATGATGGGAGTTAAAAAAAAAAAGGAAAGAAAACATCTGTCCATCTTAGTTTATCAAAAATAACGATGAGGATGGTTGCTAACTTTTACTAAGTGTTTATCATGACTCAGATACTCATAATCCGTATGGTAACTCCATTAGGTATGTATAAACAACTCCACTTTATAGATGAGAAAACCAAAATAACTGTTCGAAGTCACATATCTAATAAGTGGCAATAGTAAGGTTTTCCACTTAGATCATGGTTTCTTTTAAAATGACACATCTGATTACCCATTTTCTTAAAAAAAATGTTTACTGCCTCATTTATTCAATACATTATTGACTGTCTACTATATGTTAGGAACTACGCCAGGTACTGAGATCTAGTGGTAAATAAGGGACATGAAGATCCCTACTCTTTAGGGAGCTGACATACTGATGGGGAAAGTAAACAATAACCCAGGAGTTAATACAGAGTATGAAAGAGAGGTGTTGAAATAAAGAAGGTGATGGTGGGTCAGAAAAATCAGAGAAGTCCTCTCGGACAAGGTAGCATTTGCGCTGAGATTTAAATTAGATAGCCACATAAAGATCTAGATAAGGAACACTTCAGGTAGAACGCAAGAGGTACAAACGCTGTGAAGCAGGGAGAAACTTGTATTTTAATCCATCCAAGTTTTCCAGCATTAATTCTTACTTGTCATAGAGGACCACTTGACTTCTGCCCTTCTAAAAAGTAAACACCTTCATGCACTGAAACTTTTGAACACAATATTCCCACTATAAAGATAAACATGACAATCTCTTAACTTACCATTCCAGCACCAACTAAAATGGCAATTCCATGACATTTCCTCTGTGAAATCTTTCCAATTACTTCTGAAAGAATTACCTGCTACCCTCTTTCACTTCCTTAAACAACCCATACATATCTAAGTATTCAGACCAATATAAAACATAAATGAAGTCCAAACCCATTAGTTCCTCAAAAGCATGAACTGTCTCACTTACCTTATCTAAATCTAGTACAATGCTAGGCATTAAAAAATATTCACTCTTGCTGAATAAATTTTTAAAAGGTATATTATAAAATATATGAAAAATATTGCCATGAGTATAAAGAAGGGAGCAATTAGTATCAGCCATACAAGTATATGAGAAGATCTGATCAGCTCAGAATTTTAGGGTGGGCTTAAATGGTAAGAAAAGAGAGCAAGAATATTCTGAAATGAAGTAGTAGTAAGAAAGGTAAAAGGAAAAAGAAATTACATGTATTACATGCATAATTTCATTTATAAAAGAAAACTAAAATTCAATAGGATAAAATAACTTGTTTAAGGTCACCAAAGTAGAAGTAGTAAAAGCAGACAGAAGTAAAAGTTCAAATGTCTTATACTTCTTTCCTGGTTTGCTGTTGGAAAACCATGTTGCAATACTGATGAATAATCTGATATAGCTCAAGTTTACAACTGAAAAAAACACATTTAAAGTATGTTGTATGGTGCCAATACAACAAGCTAATTTATTATTATAATAACTCAAATCTATTTTTCCCTAACTCTGAGAGATTTCCCAGAATAAATTTTATTATCTGGATTTGCAAATAAAAAGCTAAGGTTTTTTTTGAAAAGAATTTTGCTTTTGTTCTGTTTTTGTATTAACCAATTTTAGACTCAATAAGTCTAAAATATGACAAAAAAAGATTTTTACTCTGAATTCTGAGAATCAGAACACTGAAAAATTTTGGGACTCATTACAAAGCCAGTATTATTGCTATGGATTCTCTTATGGATACCAACAACTGGTATCTATTTCATTTTTAAGATTATGCCTATTTTATATGGAAGAAAGAATAATGGACTGAGAATCAGAGCTGAGGTTAGAGTCCCTGTGATTCTATGACACATTACCATTAAATTTTGAATTCTCTCAACCTGCAGGACTGGAATATCAAAGATACAGGATTAAATATTGTTTATGAAAGCCCTTTATAAATTGGTAAATGGATTTAAAAAGTAATAATAATAATTAATTAGCACTGATACTTTAATAAATGAGTCTTTTCCTTATTTCCCTGTGTCTGAAACCCTAAAGTAGCTATCTATTTTGAGGCTTGGGAACAATCTGATTTTGCCAATTCCTCTCCGAGAGACTGAAGACATTTCTCTTAATTTCAGTCCTATGACCAGAACTTCTCTAATACTGAAACTTATCTAATCTGAGTCTGAGTATCTGTCCATACTTCTCGAATACTACTTATTCTTTGAGTTCATGCTGTGTCCACGTACTGAGACACATTAATCTCACAAACTCCAGATAAGTCCACTGGACTGCACTACTCTAGGAGTAGCAGCAGGAATGATTCCTCTAATGCTTCTTCTCACCCTCCATTCTAAGTGGACGTGTCTAATTCCAAGAGGAGCCCCTTCTATCCAGTATGTCCATCTTTATTGCAACTTCATGCTAAATCCTTTAAGAAAAATAAGATGCACGTTTGAGGTTGATTTTTTCTGTGCTCCTTACAGAATCTAATTTCATTATTTAAAAGTCACTCAACACAAAAGCTACTTAGAAGCTTTTGTCGATTGAAGTCTAGAACTTAAAATATTTTCATAAATATTTTTCTAGTCTAAAAATATAGTAGAAGTATTCATAATGACAAAACTGGTTTAACCTTCTTTACAGAACCTTTCCTTATTTTTACTTAATACACTAGTGCTGCATTTCTTGTCAAAAGAGGGAAAGCAGTTTGTAGACTTTGACTCCATTTTAACTCTCATTTAATTCTTCAACACTCCATTATACTTCACTAAAACAGCTCTCAACACTTTCCATGTCAATCCTCTTATAAACCTTTAAAAGTTGGTAACTTTTTAAAACATCTTCAATGTGAACAGGCAATCTACAATCTCTCTCACATCATGCTATTATTCCCTTTAGTAACATTCATCACAATTTGAACTATGTATTTGTTTATTCTAATGAACTGTGTTTATTAATCTACTAACCCATTCCATGAAAGCAAGGATCATGTTTGTTTAATCCACTACTGAATAGCCATGGCTTAGCAGGTGTCAGAGACAGAAGAGATTATCAATAAATGTTGCTGAGTAAGTAAATTAATTCACTTGTTTCACACCAAATACAGGAACTACCTTATTGATCCCTAGGGGTTACAAATGGATAATAAATCAAAATTATTACTGTAAATCGCCCATGTTCCATAATTAACTTGTAATCCTTAAGCATGATCAAAGACCTGTATAAAAGTATAAAACATACTTTTACTTCTTATCCACTTAACAACTGCAAACAAAGTTTTACTCAATTAGCAATTTTAACAGTTCGGTGGGAAGAAGAAAATTTGATTGTCTAAGAAAATGAGCACCTACCTGAGGAAGTTACTCCCATCTGAGGGATGAGTTGCTCCTCCCTGCAATTTTCACGGCCAGGAACTAATCTTTGATATCTTGATGGATGAGGGTTACCATCAACATCAACCAAAAAAGGGGGAGGCATAAGATGAGGTGCTTGCTGAGTCTGTTCATCTAATACAAAATTGTTGGCATCACGAATAAGTGGCCGATAATCACTATGAAAGAACATCTGATCTGCTATCTGCAAAAAGAAAAGTCCATAAAAGACTGGAAAAATAAAAATGTATCATTGTAGAAAAAAAGTCTACATCATTTCTAATAGAAAGCAAACACCTGAATACGAATAATGGTATTAAGCAACAATTTTTAAAATATTATTTTCCTGAATTAATTGTAAATAGGTATTTTAATTTTCTACCTTAAGTATTATGATCAGAAAAGTAGCTGCTTTAAATTTTCTCTGAAACAAGTAAGGGATTATACACAGGAGTCCCCTCTTATTTGCAATTTTGCTTTCCATGGTTTCAGTTACCTGTGGTCAACCTGACTCCAAAAATGCTGTTCCAGAAATAAACAACTCATAAGTTTAACTGTGCACTGTTCCAAAATGCATAATGAAATCACGTGCCATCTCACTTGGGACACAAATCATCCCTTTGTCCAGCATATCCACATTGTCTAGATATGCTACCCACCCATTACTGTATAGGAAAAACACAGTGTGAATAGGGTTTGGTACTTTCCAAGGTTTTAGACATCCATTTGGAGTCATGGAACATATTCCCTGTGGATAAGAGGAGGCTACTGTGTAGAAAAGCTACCACTAAAAATAAGCTATTCAATATTCAATTTTAAATTAAATGGTAACATCAAATCTAGTCATAAATCATTCAACAGTATTTTTACTTCCACAGAGCTACCATGCTTTATCTTAAATCCTTAGGTATACAGTAAGTATGATTTGTGTAATATTACTATAAAAATCACATAAGATTTTCTAAGGGTTAATAAGCATTTTCTCTAAATGTTTTGAGATGATATAAAATTATTAATATAAACTCAACCAGGACATAAATTTTATTATATAAAATTTCACTGGTTAATTTGCAATTTTTTAAACTAAATTATAAACTACTCAATATTTACTATCATAACCTTTTATACCATTCCACCACAAGTAAGCAATTTAATTCTTTTAGTCACTAATCTTAAAGTTGGGGTCTTTAACTGCTGAGCAAAGTGGCAGGGCATATGCCTGTAGTGCCACCTGCAGTTATTTAGCAGGCTGAAATGAGAGGATTGTTTGAGCCCACGAATTCAAAGCCAGTCTAGGCAACATAGTGAGACATTTCACCCCTACTCTGTAAAAAAAAGCCCCCCAAAAACTGGACAGGATCTTTAATAAAAAACATTAACTACAATCAGGTAATATAATACATTTTTAAGAGCCACATGAAAGCCACAGATTTGTACCCTAGATAAGTACGTATTATCTATATTAAAAAAACATTTTACATAATTTCAGAGTCCCACTATGGATAACATCTTCCATCTCCAGTTTATATACCCCAAGTTAAGAATTCCAATCTAGATTGCCCCAGGAGGCTAAGAGTTATTTTTTTCCTGAAATATGCAGATTTTCAAATAATAAGCCCTATTAAAGTGAGATTTAACTGCTGTCTTCACCTTCCTTTCCGAAACTAAGTCTCCAGACTACTTAACACAAGATTCTTCGAATTTTATCCTGAATGTAAAGATGCTGATTCTCACCCACTCCAAAAACATACAACCCCTAAACATGCATTAAAAAAAAATAAGGACATGATATATAGTCATCATACTCTACCTTGTCATATTTGCTACTGGACCCAAAGCCAAAAATTAAAAGATGTCCATGAGAGTCTGTGCATGCAAAATGCTGACCATCAGGAGAGCATTTGCAGTCAAATACTGCGCCATGTCCTTGGCCTTCAATCTGAAATATATTTAACCAACAGTAAGAAAACTACCATTAAAATGAAAAGAATTGGTCACTATTATTACAATAATTTTAAGATAAAAGCATACATCCTAATGAAGTGAAGATTAAGTAAAACAAGCATTGTACAGTAATAAAATTTATGAATATTCATGAAAAGTGCCAGATTAATAGCCTTGAAAAATAAAGTATTCTATCCACAGACCAAACACAATTCAGGAAATAAAAGAATACCAACTCCCCCACCCATAGAATTCTGCTTCATGTTTTAAACTCAGATTTAACACATAATTATGTCTTACACTCCATCTATCTCCGTTCAATCATGCCCTTTCTGCAAAAGCTGACATGTAGCAACTGTACGGATTTTTTGGTAATTCTTGGAAGTAGTAGCCAGAGATCATTGCTCAAATGACACTAGATTTTATTATTTTTGGTAATAAATTCCCTGGTAGTCTGACTCGTCTTTTAAATGGTGAATTTCAAAGGTTAAAGAAAAGGTTTTTTTTACCTGATAATTGTTTTCTGTTTTCCAGTTCCATTAATCCAGAACGAATGGGTTTCCTCCCTGCAACCTGTCAATCAAACAGAGGTGGCCAATCACCACTCTGAATTTTTTGCTCTCAGTGCTTCTTCAGACTATGTTCCAGTTGAAAACTTCTTTAGCAGTGTTCTGAAAGAGGTAAAAATTCTACCCTATCTAAAGCACATCTAGGGACTGAATTTCAGAAACAACTAAAATAGGGAGTTGACTCCCTAACAAATAACAACTAAGGATGATTTTCAACAAATGCTGTTGGATTTCTGGATTAGCAGAATCGGAACACACACACATTATCAGGTAAGAAATACCTCCTTTCTGTTCCGGTATCCACTGATCTAGAACAAATTGAGCTTTATTAGTAATATCCCAGGAAATGCTTGGAAAAGAGAAAGGTAGTAACTTTCTTTCTTTAGTATTAAAAATGTGGCATAAGGATGGATGTACAGTTCACCAAATGCAGAAGTTAAAATTCAGAAGAAGAATAACTGATTTCTCAAGGAAGGTTTGCATTTTGGTAAAAAGAGAAAATATTTCTATAAAAGAAAGGACTTTACCTAAGAAGTTAATACAATACCACAAATGGGACTGCCTCAAAAAGAAAGCTAGCTTTTTCCTTTGGCTTGCTAAAAAGAAGAAATGTGTGCAACAGTGCTTATTAATGCTCTTTTGGATGGTTACAATAATAGAAAAGAAAGAATAACTTTTTAAAAAATGTAACCATATTAGATAAAACTAGGAAAATTATCTAATGTTTAATATACACAAAAACTTAGAAAAGAAAGGAAATGAATCATAAGTGAAACAGGATTATATCTCGAGTGTGAAGAAAGTTGGAGGATGATAAGATAGGAGAAGAAGGTAACTGATTCCAAGTCTACTTTAAAACAATTCAAAAACAAGAAAGAATATAACTATTTCTCCAGATTACCATAAGGGCACCAGGAGCCATACAGCTAGGCATTTGCCAAAAATGAAAGACTATAAGTACAAATTCAGGATTCAAGTCTTTATTTTTCAGTGTTTTCCTAGGCAAATAAAAAAAAAAGTTACATGAACTGTTATAAATAAGCAACCACATGAACAAAGTACACCTCTAAATAGACTTTTATATCAAAAACTAAAAATTAGGGGATTGAAACTGCCTTAGCCATGTGTTGTTAAATGATTTTTTTTTAACTCAGTTCACTCAAAATTTCACAGAAGCCAAGAGAGAGAACAAAAAAGCAACTACTTTATAAATCTACTCTAATAAATGTTTCCAGAAGTATAATTACAAGTCTAAGATTACAATTTGAAGTAGAGTGGAGACTTGAAAGTAGTCCAATTTAGCAATTTCAAAGGAAATCTGATAAATGTTCCTAAGCATGGTATCCTTCATGTGTTGTTTAAACAAACATTTTTTCTTTTTGGGGGTGAGGGTTGCGGGGCAAGTAGGACTGATCAACCCTTGACCCTATTATTTATCAATGTTGCCACATTTACAGTTAGTAGATCTCTGAAATAATCTTGGGGACAGTTGAAGCTTATAAAGCTCTAAAAGAGCAAAGAAAAAATAGCAATCATATTTAAGATGCCTGTGTGTCCTATATAACACATTTCATTGTGAATATGGCAAGACAGTATTAATTTTCTTGGTATAAGGCATCTGTTTAACTCCAAAGTGACTTTTATATGGAGAAAATGAAAGTATATTTCAATCATATCAGAAAAAAGAAAAGGATATTATTTGGATTAACCATTTGTTTACTAAAGGAGGCATTAAAAGAATCTGCTTTACTCATGAACCAGTTAGAAAAGGTGCCTCTAACTTCATCAATTAAAAGACCAACTCTCTATTTATTAATAGATCCTCAGACAATAAACACCCATATCTATAAACTGCAGACTAGGTTTTCCAGACCAGGCTTCCAAACAGTTGATGATATAAAACAGGAAAATATTTTACTTTCTCTATATTAACTAAAAATAGCCTAACTGGTTTTAAAATGTATGGTACGATTAAGTAAGCCAATCAAAAGAAAAGAATTTTATCTTTTTAAACAAGGGTCAAAGTATTTATGAGTAAGAATTCTCAAAGACAAAATTTTAAATGAAGGCACTATTTGAATATTCACATCTACTAGAAAGCAGTAAGGTTTATCTTCAAAAACGAAAAGAAAATACCCTCTCTCACCAAATGAAAGGTATATAAGCCTATCATAAAATTAAATGCACTGCGTATCAAGAAAATGTGTCAACATAAAATTTAATACTACATATAGCTTATGCTAGCTAGCACTTACTGCAGTTGTAGTAAAATAATTAGAAATAGAGTGAAACTAATAAGTAATGAGAAATTATCAAAATAAGTGCATTTTAGATGAACTATTCCTCTAATAAAATCAAGTATGCTTGTTATGCATTCTTTTGGATATATAGAAATAAAGACCACATAAAGCTCATAGACATTAAATATCAATAAGGTTTAGCTGAGATAATCTATGAGACAGTATTTACCAGTAACTGTGAAAACTTCAAAAAGAATAAGAGGAGTAAAAAGAAAATAAAAGTATATTCAGCAATTATTGTATTTTGTTTTATTTTTAAAAGGAGGAGATGGGAGGATCAGATGTGTTAAAATAATGACTCCCTTATTTGAAAATTCTCATACTGACTAAAGAATTCTATAAATACTACCAATAAATGAGTAGTATAAACTTGTTAGGCATTTAGAGATTTATACTAAACTTTAAAGAAATTAAATGATACAAAAACTTATGAGCTAAGAGCTCTGATGAGGACTCATTAAGGAAAGAATACTAATACCTTTTTTGAGGGAAGGTACTATACACAACTAACATAATTTTCCTGAAGCAGAAAGATGAATGATTAGACAGAGGAATGAGGTCGAAGACCCAAGACATCTCTCCATCAGTAATAGGTAAATCACCTAATCTCTGTGGAATGATGGAGATAAATGATCACTAGAATCCAGTTCTAAAATCCTACCATCTGAGGTTCTGAAAGGTATGTTGAAAAAAACTGGACAAATCTGGAGATGAAGTATATTAAAAGCAGAATGCATACTAAAATTCAGGATCTCAATTATATCAATCATGAAGAATATACAGAGAGTGAATATGAGAAGTATATGCTTCTAGAAAACCTTAACACAAAGTAGGAAGGTTAAAAAATATGGGCTATCTTAGGCAGAACCATCCTCTTCTAGAGTTATTTCAATTCTATTAGCAGGGTCAGTATGTCTTGTTCTTTTTTTTTTTTTTTTTTTTTTAAGCACACCGTTCATTAGAAGAAAGCATCTTACCTAGGAAATACTCCAAAATTTTAAATTATGTATGCAACTTTTAAAATACCCTAAAATAATCTTATGAAATGGACTCATATACCAAGAATGAAAAGAGGTGATAAATGGAATTTATGCTAAGAATAACCCTTAAGAAGTCCTTCCTTATGTATTAAAAAAACTTTTAGATTAGAGCTTGCCAACCTAGGGAAAAATATGTAAACTAGATACAAAAAAGACTCAGATGTATATTTGAAATAAGTGTTGGATCCTGGTCAACATGGTGAAGCCCTGTCTCTACTAAAAACACAAAAATTAGCTGGGTGTGGTGGCGCTCGCATGTAGTCCCAGCTACTTGGGAGGCTGAGGCAGGCAGGAAATCACCTGAACCCGGGAGGCGGAGGTTGCAGTGAGATGAGATTGTGCCAGGAGGCGGAGGTTGCAGTGAGCTGAGATTGTGCCACTGCACTCCAGCCTGGTGACAGAGCAAGACTCCGTCTAAAAAAAAAAAAAAATCCAAATTCCAACAGTTCAGGTGTTATCAAATTACTTTAAAATAGTTATTGCATGGCTGTTTTAATCTTGAAAATTCTTTAACTTATGCCAACATAAAAAAGGAAACTGCTGGACCTGACTTGATAAAAATCAGTAGATCAGATTATTACATAAAATGAAAAAAAAATTATTATATAAAAGTGATTCTGAAAAATCAGCTCTAGATTTTCATCAAAAGAAAAATATTACCAAAATAAATATCTTCAAATTTAACATCATTTTGTACCCATATTATGATTTCTCTGGGGAGAGCAATACTATTGATTAGGCCTTCCTTGAGGCTTATTTTCTTTTGGTCTTTTTGGCATATTAGCATGGTGTGTCTTCCTTGACACACCCTCTTAAGGATTGTGACCCCTTTTCCATTCTGCTAAATATATGAGTATTTCCCAAAGTTTACTTCTAAGCCTTCTGCACTTCCTTCTCCTGTCTCCACGAGAAAGTAAACTATATACTATAAGAAACACTTCAACACTTTCTTCTTTTTACTCCTAGCCCCTCTAAGTAGTCTATCTCCAAGTGCCAGCTGGCCATTTCCACATAGGTAGTTCAACGCAATAAACATTATTACAAATGAACTGAATAAAGAAGTCAGTTCTCCCTTATGTCTTTCATATTTCCACTAATAAAACCATTGTTCTCAAGGTCACCCGGGCTTAACACTCTATAAACCCATTTATTAAATCTTTCCTCCCTGTCATCCTATAGCCCAAATCCTAATATAGTCACAAAACACCAAGTCATTTATGTATTTTTTTCTTTACAAATTTCCTACCAACTACCCCTATAATATTTCATGACTAATTAAAGTAGTTGTCCTCACACTTATTCAATTTCATACCTGAAATTGTACTACTGGCAACCAAACTATTTTTCTCTTAGCTTCTCGACCATCCTATAAAATAATTTACTAAAGCCCCCACAAGGTTCATAGGTATTTATGCCTATGAGATCATTTGAAGTCACTGACAGTTCATCTCAATTTGTTTTTCGTCATTATTTCCAAAATCTACTGCAATCAAGCTTCCTAAATATCTAAATTTCTATGAACATGTCTTGACACTTAGCTTTTTATAATGTTCCTCTTGTTTATAAAATTCATTCTCTTTCTTACTGACTCGATTCCTATTTATCTTTCAAGGCATAGTTTCAATTCCTTCTCCTCAACAAAACGTCTCCAATCGTCCACCCTGACAATGATCTCTACATCTTAAGATACAGCAACTGTCTTTTCTCATTTGTCATGCTACTGTTTGAAATTATTTATCAATATTTATCCCTTAAGGTATATTTTGTATATTTTGTCTCCCCAACTTAACTGTAGGCTGACTAAAAAGACCACGTCTTATTCTCCCTTGTGGTCCTCATATTTTGTGCTTAACACAAAAGAAAACACTCAAATATTTGTTAAAATGTTTTCATCTGCATGTTTAAATTCTGTATAATTTCATATACCTTCTCATATAACTATCAAATCTCAAATACCCTTGTGATAGCAAGTCATGGACTATGTCAAAGAATTACTACATAAAAGTAATTTACCACATATAATGCAGTGTGAGAAGCTGGAGAGACAAACTCACATTCATGGCAACAGATTAACATGCCTTTTGTACCAAGATATATATATATAAGAGAGATATAATCTAAAGAATCTTAAAACCTGAAAGTGATAATTACTAAAGTGTATGGTAAGAAGACCGAAAGTACTTCCTTACCCAAAGAAGCTGAAACATAGACTGGAAGCATCAGAGAGTCCTTTTAACACAGAGAGTATAAATATAGGACATTATCTTGTTAGATGATGATAGGAAGAAAGAAGGAAGGAAAGAAGGGAGGAAGGGAGGGAGGGAGAAAGGGAGGGTTGGGTGAGGGAGAAAAGAAAAGAAAGAGAAAGAGAGAGACTCTTCTCCTGATTAATAAGAGATAACACAATATGAGCTGTACCTATTTTGAGCTTCTCTTTCTCCCTTTCCTAGATACATACAGCTACAATTATCTAAAACTAAAGTACAGGTCACACTGAGAACATGTTAACATCAGAAGAAGTATGCATGTACAAAAATTCTGGGTGGTAGATTGGCAGCCTCTGCTCGTTTGGAACGTTGCAAGGAGAAATATATTGTTCTGGATTAGTGGACACTGGAACTTTTTTTTTTTAAAAAAATCTCTTAAGTAAAAGAAAGGTTAAGAGAACAATTATAAAAATAAGGAAAACTTTAATCAAATAAAAACTTATTTGGAATTTACCCATGAAACAACAAAGTAAAGCAAAAATCAAATTCAGTAAAACTGCTTTCTATTAAGAGACATACTATACTCTTTGATTAAAATGAAAACCAGACAGGAGGCAACAAACTACAGCTTTGAGTAATGACAGAAATAGAAAGATATGGAAAGAGAGATAGAGACACAGCTAGGGCTATAGAGAAAAGAAAGAGTAAGAGAAATAAAGCAAAACCGCCAGAAACATGAGGAAAGCTACTAAAAACATGGGGTCTACAAATTCAACTCCAAGCATCTCTTATTTACTATTTAATATTCAAATGGCCTAGTACTAAGAAATGTGAAAAGTCTCTATCTTTTCAAATTAATTTAATATTCATTTAGTTAAACTCGTAGTTAAAACTTAGCTGTCCGGTGCTAATTTAATGGGGAATAAAAGACCATAAAACAATTTATATTTAGGAACATTTAAGGTTATAATTAACTTCTAAACCTGGCGACCTCTTTCACAGAAGGCCCTCAGCTTCAGTCCTGAGAGTTGCACACATTTTCAAGCTATTTCTGGGAATTATTTATCTGCCTTTTAGCATTTAATGGGAGTATAGAGCCTTTAGAGTTTAGAACAACTCTCATCAAAACAAAGCTATTCTGATGTTTACCTCCTGCCAATGCCAAACAAATGTGGGCTTACTAAGTTATACCCAACTATTATAGTTTGGAATATTCTTAATATACACTACTTGCTTCAGTAAAATATCCAAATATATACTACATTTCCTCTGAATACTCAAGTTATGTAAGGACTGTTCAGTTGATTCGTAAAGAAATAAAAGTACTGAAGGCCTAGAATGTAGTTTGTTTGTTTTTAAAGAATAAAGTTGTCTCATAATATTTTCTACAAAATTCTCTTTGGTTTCTTCTCCTGTTCACTTAAAAAAGAAAAACAACAACAACAAAAAGAACCACAAAGGCTTTCCCAATAAGTGCTTTTAAAAGTTTTTAGTTAAAGATGAGACAACAGAAAGGGTAGGGGGAGTACAAGCTACATATACTGTCTATTCCATTTCATGCCCTATGTTAGCCTCTTTTAAAACATCATCTCACGTGTCATATACTTCTTATAAGTAACAAAAACAAACCCAGCACCCACTCCCCAACTGCTTTTATCATTGAGATCCTCTATTAGGAGGAAAGTTAGCAGTAAAAACAAGAAAAATAAACCCCTCAGTTTCTCTGGAGAATACTACTTGAAAGTTGAGAATCCATTTATAAGATTTCAGAATGAAGTAAATTATTTAAACATAAAAGAACTAAATAGCTTTATCTCAATTCCCAATCTCAAACTCTTTAATTTGCTGACAAATTTAGATGGTCCCAAAATAAAGCACAAGAAATTTTTAAAAGTATAAGTCATGGCTTGATACAGAAAAAAATTAGAATACTTATTACAATGATGACTATCAGTGCAATATTAAAATATTAATGTTTTATAATCTTATATTTAAAAATTATTAAAATGTAATTACTATGTATCAAACAGGCATTTGAAAGTTCACCTTTTCACTTGAAAGGCTTTTTAACATAACAGGATTTTTGGCTATTTCTAAAATTTCAAAAAAAGAATTTACATTTCCATAATTACACAAAAAATGCAGTAAAATGCTGATGAATACAAAATACTAAATTATATGTTACATGATTTCCATTATCTTTTGCAAAGGTATAAATTTCCAATGGAAAATTCAATTATTATTCAAAAAGCAGGAGAAATATTAAAGTATTCTTAAAATATACTTGATAAAAACCAGTATTTAAGAAATTTGTACTAAAACTGTTATTCTAAAGGTATAGTCTACATTCCTTATTTTCTAGCTGTAGGTGGAATGGTGAGTTTACTTATCTGTTTTATAAACTTCAGTTTTAACAGTCACATGAAATATTATTTAATCTTAAAAATACTTCACATAACTTTCACCATTTCTAGTCAAAAAAGGAGTATTCCACCAGAATTCTTCATCCTCTAATAGACCAAAGCACTATATATGACTAGACCCTTCACATGGTGCTCAAAAAATATTTACTAAACTGAACTTGTGATTACTACTACAACTTAACATTAGGGATTAAATTTGTATGCAATCAAGTATCGTGGTATTTTAGTAACTGAAAAACTTATTGATTAGCTACAGAGAGCCAAATAGCTATAATTATAGCCAAAACTCAACATTCATGATAGCAAGCAGTGAGAACGCAGGCCCTCCCTCGAATTGTTTCTCTTTATTTTCTTAATAGCAATGCTGGATGCTTTATCTTCCATTTGCCCATAAATAAAACAAGCAATGAAAAGAACAAAAGAGTGAAGAGCAAAAAGAATTAGGGCAATTAGATAACTCATAAAAGACAGACAGGAAAAAAAATCAAGTTAAAGAGTAAGATGTCAAAAGATCCACTCAGATTTATTACCATTATGAAAACATTTCTTCATAGACATATCACTAACTGAGTATTGTTAAAAGTTAGCTATGCAGTAACATTGACAAAAGCTCAAAAAGCCAACCATGACAAGATTTGAGTACAACCAGAGTCATGGGTTTATGCTCCAAGTGCCCGCATAATAGCTGTGTGAACTCAGTAAATTGGGGCAAAGCACTTTATCTCTGTAATGTACAGTTTCTCCATTCCTAAGACCAAGAATAATAAAATCTATCTTGATCATCTTACAAGGTTTTCATGAGACCCAAAGGAGGTAAAATATGTGGGAGCATTTTGGAAACCATTAAACATCATACAAAAAATTAAAGGTAGTATCTTTATTTTAATGAGATGAAGGGTGGCTCACTTTCTGTTTTTTAGCTTTTTTGGTTTATGTTTTGCTCACTGTCTGCAATTCTATGAATACTATCCAATTCAACTTATTACATGTATTTGTTTCTTCTGCTCTTTAGAGTTTTCCTATCTCTTATCCATAAAAAGAACCAGAAAAATATCCTCATCTAACACTCTTATTTAACAATAAACAATTTTTAAGGCAGTAATGTAACCAATCCCTCAGCTAATTTTTAAAAATATACAATATATTATGGCTGACTTCTACTCCTGGTTACATTACTAATTTTTAATGGTCTAAGAGCAAATCACTTAACTCTCAAGGTGCTGCAGTTTTTGTTATCTACTGAAAAGGTAGAATATTAGTGTGACCAACTTACCTGATAAGGGAAAATTCACCTTTATATAACTGAAAAGTTAAAGCGGTATTCAATTATGGGAGAAAAGTTTCCCTCCAAACACTCTACCAATATAATAATGTCCTTTGGAAATACAAAACTACTAAATGAAGCCACTAGTATATATATAGCTCACATATTATTTTTTTTAAGCTATAAAGACAGATTGAGAAATGACTAATTTCCTTATTCAACAGATATTCCAAAAAGGAGCAAATCAGAAACACAAGGATAGAAAAGCAGAAAATATTTTTTACTAGCATATTTACAGGTGGCTTTTTAAAAAAATCTCAATACAATCACAAAGGAAATCCATCCATCACTAACAAGTGCACACCAAATAATTAACACTGTTTTCTAGAAATAGAGGGTTTTACAAACCTTATTTCTTACCTAATGTATTCTAAGGCACAGCCTTAAAGATAGCTAAAGCTATTTCCCTCACTAAAAAATCTGCTATTATATCTGCTTACTCACGACATAGAAATAACTTTACTCTGATTATCAATCAAGCATAGCATCACATTCGTGTAATTTTTTCACAAACCATGTTTCACAACTGTTTTGTGAAATAATTTATTTGGCAAAATAATTCTGACCACATGTACTAATTGTATTGTTTTATGGTTCATTACTAAAGATTTCTATAATTGGTTTTTTAAAAAAATTTAAACATGCTGAAATAGTGGAAACTGTTTTTTCTTTTGTTCTTTGTTGAAAGGTATCTCTAATATACAGAAAGTAGACATTTAAAAAATATGACTACACAAACTGCAGTAGTTGAGGAGACCTTAATACTTCATACAGTAAATAGAAACACTGCTCGGTAAGTTGTATGTGATATATTAAAACATTGTAATTCAAATACTTGGCCAATTATGTTAACATCTAAGAAACAAAATGTGAAGAGAAGAGTATAAACTCAAATATTTAATATACTACCAATTGATTAAAAGCAAGAAATGCTTGATTCTTTGGCCTTAATTTTAAAATCAGTGTACTTGAGTAAAATTCTATTGTGCTAGAAGACTATTAAACAAGTACAATAATACGAGTATTTATTTATAATTTCTTCACATGGTTTTCCAAGTATTTTTTCTTCTCTATATTGTATCTTCATACTTGTGAATTTCCAAAGTTTCACTGCTAAAACTGATAAAACTGTATCAGTTATCACAATGTACAGGCACTGTAATATGCACAATTAATTTTCTTTTAAATTCAGCATGTCAATAAAAGTGTGGAATAAATCATTCTTTATTGATGGGAATTTAAAGTCAAAATAATGAACCAATTTTTAAATGGATTTCCTTTGTGACATGCAGAGTACCTTTGTCAAAAAGCTCCCAAATCTTTAGTAGGTATAAAATGAAGAGAATGATAATTACCATATTGAAATAAGATCGTATTTTGACTCCTCTTGCCAGATCCCACACTATCACGTTTCCATCATGACCAGCAGAAAAGAGAACTCTAGGATCGAACGGGTGTGGTTCAAGAACAAATACCTCATCTTCATGACCCTGAAATATTTTTGAAGTGTCAAAGAATCATAGATATTAAAAAAGAAAGAAAAACAAACATAATGAAATACCAATATGGCACTATTTCTAGAAATGGAGTTTTAAGAAGTATTAAATTGGCAAAAATCTTCAAATTTGTCATGTATATATAATAATGAAACTGAGCTAATATCATTGTCCAGGGCTTGGTGGATGGATCTTTTCATATTAAAAAAACAGCAAATATCTACTATATATTTCCAAGCCAAACCTGTTTAACTGCACTGTTAAAATTATTCCCAATCACTCACAAAGCCGTTACCCCAGCAAGCAAGAGTTTTTAGCTAACATAAAAGACTTTATTCCTCAATGAGAATGTTTCATTCTATAGTCAGCTTCAGTTATATCAAATAAAGATTAGAATTTTTTCTCACCATCAGGACATGAATTAGTTGACCAGTGTAAGAATTCCAAACTTTCAGAGTCATGTTATTAACTGCAGTTATAACTGTATTGTCATGTCGATCCCAAGCTACCATAGTAACCTTCATTTTTGTGATTTTATCTTCTATTCCTTGAAGGTTTTGGCTGAAAGTGAGGAAGTGTTTTACACTGACTATTAAAATACTGACACAACAAAAACCAAAACATATAATCTATAATTAGTATTTATATTCACTAACATAATAACTATCACTTAACAGTAACTGAGAAGTTTGAATCAACATGGAATGATGGTAAAAATCCCTGCACTGAGTCAGGAAATCCAGGATTTCCAGAATTCTAGCACTTCTAAGCCATTAGTAAGATGATCTTGCATAAATATCACTGCTATAACTCTATCTAGATCCAGGAATTCTGTGCCATGCTGCTCACTCTCCATCTTTTACTGTTGCTGTCATCCCCTGCTGACTGTTCTGCTTTCCCATCCATCTGAGATGACTACACACAAATACAAGTGGAGAAAAATATTAAAACCAAAATAACAGCTACAACACGCAGTTTAATTTATCTTGGCTTGAAGAAACCATTGGACATAAAATATTGTCCCTCTGTGATAAACGAAACATAATATGTTCTGGTTTCTGAAAAAAATATTTAAAGTTAAAACTTTTCTTACAGTACTTTTATCATCTCCTTAAAAAAATTAATGCAATGTCCTGAAATATGCCAATGAATCATTTCATAAAAATCAACACTGCTCATCTCCAATTGTACCTCTAGTTATCGCAGAAAAGTAGTAATTTTAACATGATATATAATTTTATAGGCTGAGAGTCACCAACCTGCACTATAACATACTTTAAAAAATCAATATATACATAATATTTCAAATTTGACCTCTTACCCTGCTGGACGAGTAGCCATATCCAACAAAATGCTCTTCCACTCTCTTCGTTTAAATTGCCAAATACGTGCTGTCCCATCACGACTGCCACTTACAAACCTGTATTAAAAGGAATCCGATCCCCCAAAGAAAAATCATACATGCTTTACCAAAATGCACTTTTCCCAGAGATCTTGTTTAAAAAGACAGCATTCATCTTTATTTATGCAGCATTCTAATAACTTCTGAAACTTTATGGGCTTTTTAGAATTTTATATGCAAACATTCCAATTTTCATGGCTAGGTCACAAAATAACATTTTCAAAAGTGATTCAAGGTCACTATGTACTACCCTAGAAATAAAATCGACATTTTCCAAGGAAAAAACAATGATTTTCTTCTCAATATTAAAGAATCTGACTTATTCTACTCAAGGTATTAGAAGTAGCTTTATTTCCTTTTATAACAAGAACATGGGAAAATTTATACAATATCATCAATAAACAGGTCTGCCTTAAATATTATACTGTGATACATTTTCAATCTATACCAAAAGCTTCTCTACATTTTGAAACATATCTGGAATATATAGGGTGATTTAAAAAGCAGTAATTACTAAAAGTGTCCAAGTATACTAACATTATTACAAATAAGAGAAAGACGTGCCTATGCATGTGAAGGCTATATTCACTTTTAAGTATAACTGGTCAAGATCTTTTAGGTAGGTGATTATTTCCTATACAGCTTCAAATAAAATCTGATGACTAAAATTGTCTTTATTTCATAATTTTAAAATTAGAATTAAATTAGACAAATATTTTACCTGTTACTAGTGTTGGAAAACTGGATACTGTCAACTTTGTCCTATATATAAACAAATAAACAAAAAAGTGGGTGCTGAATATAAACTCTTGGACTCACATAAATTATACTCATCTAATTCTTTTCACCAATACTTACAGTATGAAACTCCAATTCTGATATTTTCTCTGGCTGACCTGATCCAAAAAAATAAACCCGAATAATATGATCTGTGCTTCCCGTCGCCAGAAACATTCCACCTATGAAGAATAACAGCAATTGTTAAGAAGTAAAACATAACTTCAAAATCTCTGAAAATTAGATAATAAAATGTAAGCAAAATTACAGTATATACTGAATTAATATTTTACTCCAAAACCATTCACATTTATCCTAAATATATAACACATCTAACTGGAATTTAAGAAAGAAGTTTATGAATATATCTGACTAGAATGAATTTTTCAATATTTATAGAAGTAAAGCTTTGCTCAAAAAATAATTTCACTAAGTGAATATATAACCATACCATGTTAAAATTATCAGTCACCTTCACTAGAAAATATTTCTCTCGCAATTCTGCTGAAATTTTTCTGTTGTCTCATTTCCCATGTGTCAAAATCTTATCAAACTTTTAAGGCCCAACTCCCTCAGTAACTTTTCTTTACAAACTTTGCAATTAAATGAGGCTGCTCTCTTCAGAACTCCCCTAAGACTTTGTTTTGTAGCATATTCATTCTACCTTGCATTACAGTTATTTGTATATGCAGTGTACTCAAGAGTAACACTCTTCCACAGTATTGAAAACAATACCTGTATATAATAAAATATTTAAGTACTTTTGCTAAATGATCTACCCACTAACCCCTTAAAAAAATCAAATTGTCCTTGAAAAAGGAGTAAAAATTCAGAGTATTCTGGATGCATGTATGATGCCTATATTTGTATGACTACTACAAGGAATACTGAATCCATGGCAGTGGCACTGAACATCTAGAAGTTAGAAAATGAACATGTTTGGATATTAGTATGGCAAAGACAGACTCACTTCATTAGTTTGCTATCCCTTATCTCAGGTAATACTCCTATCCACAATTATAAAATGAGCGGAAAAAGTAAAACTGAAAATAAAGGTAGGAGGAACAGGTATTAGACACTATTTGGATCTACTCATGTTTCATTTAATTTTCTTATCAATTTACTACAAATAACCAGATTTTTTTTATAACTTGTTTAAAAATACCCTAACATCCATTCAAAATGCTGCTGCATAAACACAAATCTGAATTGGAATCTTAGCACTGCTATACAATCACTTTTTAAAGTGCAAATAAGAACAATATGTAGCGAATTAACTGATAAAGATGTACAAATATGAATCAAATTTATTTTACTTAACTATAGAATACCTTCAAAATCCATGAAAACATAAACCAGATTTAAAATACCATTCTTACAATGAAACAACTATTTAAACATTCATTCTTTAACAGGGTCGATTTTGAAACTATTTATTCTCTCCTACTAGAACATTATAGTCTTCTTAAAGAAAAACAGTCATGTGATTATATAAACTAAACTCTTGCATAAATGAAATATTTCTAAGTTAGTTTATAATAATTCTCAGTTACTTATTAGCTCTGGCATATGTATAAGAACATGATTGATAATACAACAGTAAATATTTTCCTAAATATTACACACTCCACTATAAGGCTTCTAAATGAACAACTTTAAGTCGAAAATTAGAATGAGGGAAACTTACCAGCACTAAAAGAAGAACAGATCATTTGAACTCCAGGCCGAGGGCGCTCTGTAAATTTTGCAGGTCTTGGGCTGTAATACAAAAAATAAAGAATTAAAAATATCCTAAAGGAACCAGTAGCAGCAGAAATAATCTGTTTCAAAAAATAATCCCAGAAGGACAAAATTAAGAAGCAACAGATGGCTCCCTTCCTAAAAACAACTTAGAAATCATTATGTGTCATAAATCAGAAGATCTTGTAGAAATTCTAGATATAGATTTTGTAGGAGCTCCTTATTACACAACAATACGTACATGGAACAATTCCAAATTCACTGTCACACCAGACATGCAGTTACTAGTTACACTTACTTCTAATCAAATTTAACATGTTCTCAGTTTTTCATATAGAATAGCAACGTACAAACATATAAGGAACTAAGCTATTCGCAAACATGAATACATTAGCAAAATAGGTGCTGTCTGTGCCTTATGTATACCATCAATAACTGAACTTTTTCAGTATTTTACATTAATTAAGCTTTTCCCTTCTTTGACCTACTAATGTGATAAAACATGTCTTTTAAGACCCCAAAAAGTAGGGATATTACATTTAACCTAGTGAAAATCTGAAGATACTTTGACTCTTACGTCAACTACAATGAATGCTCATTCAAAATAGCAGTCTACAGAAAACAGGTTACACACAGCTGTATTTACATTAATTGCCTAACTGTATTACAGATTACATATTTTATATCAATACTACTGATATTAAATGTTTAATGTTACAGTCAACCAATTAGAGAAAATGAAGATTTTTATCATGACACCAGCTCTAATACATTTAACAATGTGTATGTAATGTTCCAATATACTGATTATATTTGAAGCCCTACTTACTGTACATTTTGGCATAGTTCTTCTACACTATTTGATGAAATGCAAAAATAATTAGAGCTTAAGCCTATATAACTTTCACAATATATAACAAATTTAGAGCAGTTTTAGTTTTGTGATCATTTACTGGAAAAAAGTATATACATAAAATATTTCTGAGCTATAGGTTGGTGCAAAAATAATTGCGGTTTTGCCTTTTTTTTAAAAAAAAGCTTTTTACCATTAAAATAATGGCAAAAACTGCAATTATTTTTGCACCAACCTAATATATATTCTGAGCAAAGAGAATTATCTTTTTTACTGATACAGAATGCAACAAAATGTTAAGAATTTAAAAAATAAGTTTGTAAATAGTTTTACATTAGTATTTACAGCAAATTCTATTAATATTCACAGGCTCTAATGTAACAGATGAGCAGAACAAATCTCATTTAGAGAGACAGATATTAGAACATTCTTAAAACCTAAACATTTATTCAGAGCAAAATTAACTGTAATTTAAGTAAATTAATCTGAATTATGAAGGCAACTAAATGCATTGCTTTCATTACTACCTTATGGATTATAGCTCTAGATTTTTTTTAATTTTTGGTACATCTGCTCACATAAGTTCCAAGCAACCATTTACCTGAAACTCATTACAAAAATATGCAAATAGTCCTATAAACTACCATTTTTAAAAGGTTTTTATTTTAGAAAGGAAATCAGTATATTGAAGGGATATCTGCACTCCCATGTTCGCTACAACACTGTTCACAATAGCGAAGATTTGTGGGTTTTTTGGTTTTTGAGACGGAGTCTCGTTCTGTGGCCCAGGCTAGAGTGCAATGGCACAATCTCAGCTCACTGCAACCTCTGCCTCCCAGGTTCAAGTGATTCTCCTGCCTCAACTTAAAATTTTATAAGTTAAATTACAGCCAAATGACAAAAGCAATGAAATTATATTTTAAAGTATTAAATTAGTGTGACAATGTAAGTAATTATGTGTTTGTTTACTTGTTTAGGTTTAAAGCAAATCAGTAAGGTTAGTTTAATGGAAAACACACACACATAGATGCTTTGGAACCTGATGGACCATCATTTGAGTCTTTGTCATTGCTAATGTTACTTATTTTTAGACACTTCTCTTTACACACTGGTGAATTATTTTGATTAACCAATAAATTTAATAAAGCACTACAAGTTACTTTTTTATTGGAGACAGAGGCTCACTCTGTCACCCAGGGTGAAATGCAGTGACGCTATCTCAGCTCACTGCAACCTCTGCCTCCCAGGTTCAAGTGATTCTCATGCCTCAGCCTCCCAAGTAGCTGGGATTACAGGTGTGCACCACCATGCCCGGCTAATTCTTATATTTTTAGTAGAGACAGGAGTTTTACCATGTTGGCCAGGCTGGTCTCAAACTCCTGACCTCAGGTCATCTGCCTGCCTTGGCCTCCCAAAGTGCTGGGATCACAGGCGTGAGCCAACACGCCCCGCCACAATAGTGAAGATTTGGAAGGAACCACAGTGTCCAACAACAGATGAACGGATAAAGAAAATGTGGTACTTATACACAATGGAGTACTATTCAGCCATAAAAAAAGAATGAAATCCTGTCATTTCTAACAACACAGATGGAACTGGAGGTTATTATGCTAAGTGAAATAAGGCAGGCACAGAAAGACAAACATCACATGTTCTCACTTATTTTGGGGATCTAAAAATCAAAACAGTTGAATTCATGAGATAGTAGAGGATGGCTATTATAGGCTGGGAAAGGTAGTGGGAGGAAGAGGAGGGAGGTGGGGATGGTTAATGAGTACAAAACTAATAGAAAGAATGAATAAGGCCTAGTATTTGATAGCACAACAGGGTAACTATAATCAATAGTAGTTATACATTTTTAAATAACTAAAGGAGTGTAATTGGATAATTTGTAATACAAAGGATAAATGCTTAAAGGGATGGAGACCCCCTTTAACACCATGTGATTATTATGCATTGCATGTCTGTATCAAAAGATCTCATGTACCCCATAAATATATACACCTACTACATACCCACAAAAACTAAAATTAAAAAATAAAAAGATTTTATATTTTTAAAGGGAAAAAACAAGTAGCTACCCATAATTTGTTTTTAGATGCATTATTTGAGGAAACATTTTTAAAAAGGGCCTTGGGCCGAGTTCAGTTTCTAGGTCTATCACTTATCAAGAGTGCGACCTTAGGCCAAGTTAACATTTCTGTACCTCAGTATCCTCATCTGTAAAACAGGGGTAAAACGGAACCTATTTCAGAGTTGCTGGGAGAATTAAATGAGTGTGATACATGTAAAGTGCTTAGTACAATGTCCAATATGCTCAATAAATATTAGTATTTTTATTAGGTTCAACAAGTTCTAGCCAATCCTTCAATGACTAACTGCCACTTAGTTTGGCACAGTGGTTAAAAGGGGTTTCTGACATTATACCTCTAGTAGTATTTAAATCCTGGCTCCAGTACCACCTGCTAACAATGTAACCTGCTGTGCCCCAGGTTTTTCCCTTATCTGCCCCAGAGATAATAACTGTACCTTTCTCAAAGGGTTGTTATAGGGATTGAGATAACAAATGTGAAATGCTTAGTACTAGCTTGGCAGACTAAGCGCCTAATAATCACAAATAAAAATTTGTAATCATCATATTATATGCATATTTTAGGATTCCTAGTCTCTTTACACCTAAGTCTAAATATACTTGGACAGCTTCCTCCTACCCAGAGACCTCTGGAGCTAGCTTATGGTTCACTTAGCCACTTAGACTACCCATTTAAGAAACAGCATCTTTGCTCGTGAGTTGGTAATACACACATACAAGTGAATTTATAAAGATATTTGAGTTCCCAAAGTTGAATTGATTCATTCAACTAATGCAGATGCAGGATTTCTAAAGTCATTTCCCCCAGCAGAATATACAAAAGCATTATAGCTAAATACAATTTTTGCCTTTGATTATTAATTAAATCCTATGTGACATAAACAGTATAAATCTATATCCTGCCAAATTTTTGGCAGTTTTCAACTATGTGTAAACACATAAAGAAAATAGGTGTTCCAAGGCTTATATCTAAAGAGCAATGGATTGTTCTTGTTTTTGTGTTTTTAATAAGACAGGATCTTGGCCCTGTCGCAGAGGCTACAGTACAGTGGTGAGATCACAGCTCACTTCAGCCTTTAACTCCTGGGCTCAAGCAAGCCTCTCACCTCAGACCCCTGAGTAGCTGGGACTATAAGTGTGTACCACCATGTCTGGCGTTTGTTGTTGTTGTTGTTTGTTTGTTTGAATTTCTGTAGAGACAAGATCTTGCTCTGTTACTTAGGCTGGTCTCAAAGTTCTGAACTCAAGTGATCCTCCTTCCTTGACCTCCCAAAGTCCTGGGATTAGATAAGAATGAGCCACTGTGCCCAGCCAGAGTACTCATTCTTATGCCTGAACTCTGAATTTAAAAATTTTAAGGGACAAGAATAGGAAAGAATATAGGAATAGGAAAGAATATTACTTATAAATACCTAGAAAAAACTTTGAAGTCCAAAAATAAAAAAATTACTAAGTTGTATATAACAACTCTATTGAACATAATGCAAGCTATTAAAATACATATAAATATCTATGGTAAAATATTAAGAAAACAAAATTATATATATATTCCTAATTATATCTATATAAAAACATTCATGGAGAAAAAATACTGTATTAGGGTAGTGGTTTATATGTGATTCTACATAAAGGTTCTGAAAAAATCATTTATATGGACAAGCTTACTTCTCAAGCATCCAGAAACATGAAATGTTATTGTACTTAGCAATAAAATCCTCAAGAAGCACAAATAAGGTGTGAGTTTAATTCTGTAAAACATTTTCTGTTCCTATCCCAATTTGAACATTGCTAATCACTTTTTCTTCTCTAAAACAATAAGACAGGAAAAGAGAAAGGTATCCCCATCAGGTCCATGAGGAGGTTAAAAAACAGTAGCAACAATTAACAATTAACTATTGCTACTGTCCATATACATCAGTAAAATATTTCAACTTTTATCTATCTACAGAAAGACTTTAAATACGAGGGATGCAACTGAAGTGAAGTCAACTTGCTTTGTCCAAAGAACCATGTTTTAAATCACAATCTTTTTTCAAATGAAGTAGTTTTGTTACTCGAGCTACCATGGCCCCCAAGCTGCCATAAGAACCACTCTACAAGAATGTTCATATACATGAAGTTAAAGAAGCATGTGTTGCATTACAAACAATTATCTAAACACTACTGTTTTTAAAATAACAAAGGCATACATATATTATTTTATTAAATAACTCAACTTGGGTTGCTAATTTATACATAGCAGTCAGAGATAATTACTGATATATACCTTCTAATCTGAATGACTTTCCACCCCGAGTGGCAGAAATGGCCATTTCAACACTGTGAAATCAACTGAATAATCAATTGAATACACTACTTTCTTGTTCAAAGACTATCCATGGAGCAAATACACTATTTCCTCTCCCCACTACATCCACTTAAAAGATATGGTATAGAGGCTGGGCACGGTGGCTCATGCCTGTAATCCCAACACTTTGGGAGGCCGAGGTGGGCGGATCACGAGGTCAGGAGATGGAGACCATCCTGGCTAACACGGTGAAACCCTGTCTCTACTAAAAATACAAAAAACTTATACGGGAGTGGTGGCGGGCGCCTGTAGTCCCAGCTACTCGGGAGGCTGAGGCAGGAGAATGGTGTGAACCCGGGAGGCAGAGCTTGCAGTGAGCTGAGATCGCGACACTGCAATCCAGCCTGGGCGACACAGTGAGACTCCGTCTCAAAAATAAATAAATAAATAAATAAATAAAAGATATGGTATAGAAAGCATCAAAGGGCAGAGAAGTGCTCTAGTCCTGGCCTTGCCAATTTTTAAACATAGTTTTAACTATGGGAAAGTCATTTAACCATTTCAGTGCCCTTAATCCAAAGATAATACTATCCAGCCAACTTGTTTTGATAAACCGAAGTATTAATATGGGCGACCGCACAAATGCAAAATGTTATTATGGGGAGGGAGGGGAATACATCTATCTACCTTGATGCAGTTTAGTGAAACTTCAATGATTCTGTCTCCCTACATTTTCCTAGATCTAAAATAAAATCTAAAGTTTATAGATTCAGTAGCATCAATAATTAAAATTATTCTAAAGAACAGCATTAGAAATTCTTAAGATTAAGTTCTGAGCATCAAAAGCAGCTATTAAAACTATGCAGCACATAGAAAGGAGTGGTAATAAAACAGGTAAATGCTGAAGGAAAGAGCTAGGATTAGGATAAAGAGAAAAAAAATGTGAACATGAGAAACTTTCTTTGAAACATAAAAAAAGGGGAGGAATAAAAATAAAACAGGTTAGTAAAGAGCCAAAAGAGGATTTCTATTATTTACTCAAGGAGAAAAAGTAAATGTATTCCTATTGTCGACTACTTTATACTTTTGCAATTTCACTCATTAAACTAAACACATTTAATCTATGAAATAAAATAGAAACTGACTTTATTTTAAGGGTTCCAGCATCCCAGAGCCAAAAACAAATAGTGCCATCTGCCCCAGTAGAAGATAGATATCTCTTTGAGCCACTGCACAATGGTGAGAACTGAAAAGACAATCACAGAAAAAAAATCTTTACAAGAGTGACACAGTCAAAATAAAATCTACTTTTTGCCATACAAATAGCAACTAACAACAACAGTTAGAAAATGGCAAGAATTTACCAAGGTTATGTTATTTAAAGTCCATATATTTATAAAGAAAGCAGACATACTCCTGTCTTCATTTTAGTTGGCCTTATATACTGGATTATAAAGGTGATTATAAAAGTAACTTCTTAAAATTTAATAACCAAAAGTGACTTCATTAAATTTACTTTACATTATAACAACAACAACAACAACAATGTATAGGGATTAAGACAATTACCTGTAGTGATGTAATAGATGCACTATGGCCCTGAAGAACAGCCAAAGGTGCACAGGTTCGAAGACACCAGACTCGGATCATTTTATCACAACTTCCAGCTGCTATCATGGTATTCTCATAGTTTACAGCCATGTCTGATATTTCAGCAGCATGTCCTCTTAAGGTAGCTAACAACCTCCCATCATCTGTTGCCCATATTTTCACAAGACAGTCATCAGAACCCTTAAAGTAAGAATGGATATTAATAGAATTAACCCCATAAATTTTAATTCAAAATCTTAACACTGATAAATCTACCTGTTCTGTCCACTTCTGAACAAGTATATTTTTAAATACCAAAAAGTGTTAAATACTTGTGTTAGCTTACACAAAGCTCTTTATTAAACCACTTAAAAAGAGCACTTGTGTACTCACCAGCAAATAAGACAAGTGGGATAAGATAATTAATATTTACCTTTGGTTCCCTATCTACTATCAAAGTACCCTCAATGTGGATTTCTGTAAAAGAAATTGAACTTCTGAAATAAAAAAAAAAAAATCATAGCTGCAAAACAAATGCAAGCTACAATGGTGACTAATATTATCTATTTTGTTTTGTAATACAAAACTAAAAGTAAGCTTGTTTGGGGCTTTTTCTCTCAGGAAGCTGTGAGTTTCCTATCACTGATCTTCAGCTAAAAACATGACATTATCTAAAGCCAGTTATCAGAAAAAAATTAATCTCATCTGTATGAAGTCAATAAAAATACATAATTACTTGTTTACTCTGCCATAGTAGTGTAAGTCCAGAAAGAAATTGTAAAGGATATGGAGTTTCCTATGAATATCTATATTTACAAATGAACATTCCCATTTTATATAGCCAAAATAGAGATAGAACATTCAGACTCTATTTTTATTTTTTATTATAATAATTTTAAATATATAAGAAAGTAGAAAGAATAGTATCGTTAATCCCCATATATCTACTTCCCAGATTCAAAACTTAATATTTTTGCCACATTTTCTAGTCTTTAACACAAGGTTAAAAGAGAAAACACACACTTTTGCAAAATTACTGAATATTTTACAGGATACAGTTTTACTAAGGGTTCATGTTAGAATGCTTAACGACCTTCCAATCTAATTCTTAAAGAAACACCTTCATATCTGACATTAGAAAGAACTCAGAGGACCTATGGAGGCATATAATTCAGACAACTTTCTGCATCATAGTGACAATAAATATAACATATAAATCATCATACTGACAATAAATATAACATATTAATGTTTCCAAACAGAGTATGTTAAATGCTGTATCTTAAATCAGACTCTGCCAATGATACCTAAAACACCCCCCAATTAACGATAAAACCAGTTCCTCTGATTAAGCTTTGGAGTAAAATAAATGGGTTACTAACCACTATAAAGACCAGTAAAACTTAACTTTGGTCAACTATCCATATTGTTGTCTAGTATTCTTATCACATACCCTTAACCTCACCTCAGGCTCTTCATCTATAAAATACGGAGGTTAAAATGGATGGCCTTTAAAGTTCCCTAAACCTTTAAAATTAAGCGATTCATGCATTCATTTATCCCTTTGTCTTGTGACTATGTGACAACCACTAAAGATATAAGAATGAGATATAAAGACACAGTATTCTTGTCCTTGTGAAGCAAGACAGAAGAATGTAAATGTGATAACGTCCTATGTATTATATAGGACATATAAACACTTATATGTCCTAAGTGTTTAACCACTGTTAATCAGCAGAGATTCAAACAAGGAAACAGTCTACTTTTTCTGAGAGATGCAGAGGTACGGGGTGGAAAGGAACCCAGAAGTGGTGATGCTTGAATAGAGTCTCACGCAAGAAGAGGCAATGTAATGTAGCTTAGAGGACAGCCTTCAGGGTCAAATGCATGACTTTGGACATGTTACATACACTTCTTGTGCCTCAGATTTCTCACCTATGCGTACCTCATAGGATTGTCACAAAACTAAATGAGGGTGAAGAGATGAGACAGTGTCTGACACATGGTTACAGCTTTATCTTCTAACACTGCTTTTGCTGGTGACAGTATTCATATTCTTATTTTAATAATATCATTATTATTATTTTAAAAAGAGCATTCCATAATGTGACTATAAAGTATGGTCAAAAGCATGAAAATGTGAAACAATGTGAGTAGTTCATAGAACTGCAAGCAGCCTGCAAGGTAATTTAGAGTGTGAGGTGAAGGCATAAGGATGAAAAAGTAAAAAAAATTTGTGAAAGGCCTTTTACGGTTTACTAAGAAAAGTGGTGTGTAATGAGGGTCACTGAAGATATCAAACAGGTGAGTATCAGGATCATACTTGTGTTTTCTAAAGATCATCCTGGCATCAGTGTGAATTAGGCTAAGACAGAAAGGAGACCAGCTGAAAGTTGTTAAAATAGTATGGTCAGGAGAGAATAAGTGGTAACACAAATTATTATAGCAAAAAAGAATAATCAAAGACATGGTTATAACAGCTGTTTGGGGAATAAAAGGGATAAGGAGCACATCACTGATTATCTGTTGGAAGTGAAGGAAGAGCTGTAGCAGACTATGACTCCCAGAAAGCTGGTCTATACGCACATCGGAAACACATTAGGGATTTGCTGAGTAAAAAAAATGCTTTAGGGCATTCATTCAAATTAAGTTCTCTACATTTCACAAATTGAATCAACATATTCACTACATTTGGTTATCTTCCCAAAACTGAAGCAATTTTGGTTCTCACCTGCATTCAGTACACAAAGAATTTTAAGTACACTACAGTAGGTAGACCATATAACAAAAGTAAAATCATGACATCATGTTATGCTTCACAATACTGATACAATTCATATCATTCTTATGAATCTTTGAATAAGAGTGTGTTTTACATTCCACTATAAAGATGCTTCACATATTTTTCATGTTAACAAATAAAAACACCAGTCTTTTGACCAAAATGTCAGTTTTAATGAAAGGAGCAATGGTAATCTGTGACCTAAAATTAACCTCCAGTGACTTTCACCAATTAAAATGTAACAGGAAGTCCTACTATATTCCTACTGGGTTTATCATTTAGTTATCTTACCACTTTAGTATTGCTTGATTAAATTTGCTCTTTTTAGACAAGTGCTGAAAACAAACAAAAATGCATATGCTTCCCTCTGAGTGCATATTATCTCAATTAACCTTTCTTTTCTTCCATCAAATTGCCAGAGAGAGAAATTTTTGACCATCCTTTCACAAAAATCTCTCCATTATCCTCTTCCATGACCCACAGAAGTTTGCTGCCCCTACCCCTAATTCTACCCCTCAGGACTCCCGGAAGATTTTCCAACAGAACTGCAAGCATTCTTAAGCAATTTCTATCTCATATATCATCGCTTGTGATAATTAATTTAACTTTATGGAAATTTGAAACAAAAGATAATCTGAGCATGAATTCAATGAAACTCTTTTAAGATGACTATACAATATACAAGTACTCAAAAATAATTGACTAGAAGAACTGCAGAGGAAAAATTAAATGTATTGGGAAAAAATGTTTAAAGCACTATAAATGTGTTTTATTTTATTATTTATACATTTCCTTATTTACTTTGAGACAGTCTTGCTCTGTTACCCTGGCTGGAGTACAGTGGCGTGATCATGGCTCACTGTGACCTCCACCTCCCAGGTTCAAGTGGTTCTCATGCCTCAGCCTCCTGAGTAGCTGGGATTACAGATGTGCACCACTACACCCAGTTAATTTCTGTATCTTTACTAGAGATGGGGTTTCGCCCTGGTGACCAGGCTGGTCTCGAACTCCTGGCCTCAAGTAATCCACCCACCTTGGCCTCCCAACGTGCTGGGATTACAGGCTATAAATGTGTTTTAAATAAATGAGGAAGAATGAATTAAAAATCGATAAATATGATTATTTTAAAAAAGACCAAAATGTCTAACATAATTTGAACGGATACACTCTCTTTTCCATAAGCCTACCTCTAGTTCCACGAATGTTACTAAGATCAATAAGCCAAAGAGTAAGATATTATAGTCTTTTGACCAAAGAAAAATAAAATGTTAAAACCAAGTTATGGATATTAAAAATAATGTTACGTAAATGGTGAAAAGGGGCAATGACATAAGATATACCTCTTCTAAGGTGTATGAAAGAAAAGGAAGTAGGGAGAGATCATGTAACCTCAGCAAAAACAAAACAAAACAAAATCTGAGGATTAAAAGTGAGAGGGAGAGAACAACAAGCGAATGAACTAAAAAAGTGAAGAAAGTTTGGAAATGCAGTGGAATAAAAGCAGTAAGAAAGGTGGAAAAATTCTGCAAGCAACAATTAAAGACCTGCTAAATTTAAATAGCATGATGTTAGAAATACCTCAACTGACATAGTTTTTTCAGCAAAGCTCCAATACTCAAGGGAAAACTAAGTAGTCATTTCTTTTCAGTAACATCTCAATGTTGCTGGGGATTGCTGCTCGGGCTAGGAATTGGCAAAGTAAGAAAACTTGAAAGTACAAAGTGTAAGTGAAAATAAGTGATTATGCTGGAAATGTTTTACCTAAGAATGATAATTGAGTTTTAAATGCCTGTTAAGAGTTTGTATTTAACCTGCTGAGGTAGTCACTAGACAATTTGTAAGCAGACAAGACATGGTCACTATAGTATTTTAGCCAGATCCTGCTAATGTTTATGTGAGTAATAGATCTGAAGCTACAAGAAGAGGTTTAGGTTAGAGATAGAGATCTGGGTGTTATCAGTTTATACCATAGTAGTCAAAACAATGATAGCAGATGAGATTACGAAGAGAGACCACTTAGTGTAGATTTTTATCTGGAAAACTATGAACAGGTTTTAAGAAATCCATGGGGTGGGTACAAAATTTAAAATCTTTTTTATAATTCATTTTAAAATCAAATTATTGTGCTATTGTTTAATCACAAAGATAAGAGAGTAGTAAATCACTTGTTTCATTTTTCTTTCTTGTTTTTTTTTGTTTGTTTGTTTGTTTGTTTTGAGACGAAGTCTTCCTCTGTCGCCCAGGCTGGAGTATTGTAGTGCGATCTCGGCTCACTGCAACCTCCGCAGCCCAGGTTCAAGAGATTCTCCTGCCTCAGCCTCCAGAATAGCTGGAATTACAGGCGTCCGCCACCACACCCAGCTAATTTTTATATTTTTAGTAGAGGCAGGGTTTCACCATGTTGGTCAGGCTGGTTTCAAACTCCTGACCTCAAGTGATCCATCTGCCTCAGCCTCCTAAAGTGCTGGGATTATAGGCATGAGCCATCACACCAAGCCTCATTTTTCAATAATGTAAAATGGTTATAATTACTGCGAAAGAGTGCTCATTAATATTATCATTTGTTTATATCAAACTTAGCATAAGCTGGAAAAATCTCAAGCAAATCTGTATAGCCCTTAGCTTATTTAAATCCCAAAACAAAATGAGACACCAAATTTACAGGGTTTCTTTTTAAGTCAAGACAATCTTGTCATCAAAGGATGAAGCCAAGGAAGCTAAAAGAGTACATCTCTATACTTGAAAACACAACAGCATAGATATTATTTATGAGAAAGTGTGTTGAGAAAGGGTGGGAATTAAACAAAATTTACATTTTTCCAATCCTAACAATTTGGCTTCAAGTACTCTAAAATTAGCTTAGTCTACTGCCACACCTGAAAAAAACACACATATTATGATAAAGAAATGTGCCTTAAAAACAGTCAACACACTTCTGCACTTTAGGATGAAGGAAGAAAACAGCATCAGATATTTACTTTGTAACCACTGTTATTTCTTCTAGTACTTTTACAGTATGGAGGTAATGGTACCAATTACTTTTCCTTTCAGCATGCAGCTGGATTTCTTACTATAAGCAATTAGTATTTTTTTCTGTATATCCAAAAAAAGTTCTGATTTTGTAAATCCCTTTAAAAACTTCAACATTCTTCAAAATAAAAAGTTTCAGAGGCAAGACTCAAATAAAAACAAATATAGTCATACTTCCTAGATACCGCAGGCTCAGTTCCAGACCACTGCAATTAAGCAAGTATTCCAACGAAGCAAACCACACAAATTTTTTGGTTTCCAAGTGCATGTAAGAGTTACGTTTACATTATGCTGCAGTGTATTAAGTGTGCAATAGTATTATGTCTTTAAAAAATGGGCATACATTAACTTAAAAATACTTTATTGCTAAAAAATGCTAATTATCTGAAACTTCAGCAAGTAGTAATATTTTTGCTGGTGGAGGGCTTTGCCTTGATGCTGACAGCTGTTGGCTGATCAGGGTGGAGTTGCTGAAGGTTGGGGTAGCTGTGACAACTTCTTAAAATAAGACAACAATGAAGTCTGCTGCATCCATTGGACTCTTCCTTTCACAAGAGATTTCTCTGCAGCATGGAATGCTATCTGACAGCATTTTACCCACAGTAGAACTTATTTCAAAATTGGAGTCAGCCCTCTCAAATCAAGCCACTGCTTTACCAACTGAGTTCATGTAATAGTCCACATCCTTTGTTTTCATTTCAACAATGTTCACAGCATCTTGACCAAGAGTAAATTCCATCTCAAGAAACTACTTTCTTTGCTCATCCATAAGAAGCAACTCCTCCCCCATTTAAGTTTAATCATGAGATTGCAGCAATTCAGTCAGACCTTCAGGCTCCACTACTAATTTTAGTTATCTTGCTATTGCAGTTAACTTCCTCCACTGAAGTCTTGAACCCCTGAAAGTCATCCACAGGGGATGCAATCAACTTCTTCCAAACTCCTGTTAATGTTGACATTCTGACCTCCTCCCAAGAATCACGAATGTTCTTAATGGCATCTAGAATGGCGATAATAATCGATTCTCAATTACAGGTGAAACAGGAGGTTTTCGATGTACTTTGCCCAGATCCATCAAATGAATTACTATCCATGACAGCTACAGCCATATGAAATGTATTTCTTAAATAAGACTTGAAAATCAGAATTACTCCTTGATCCACAGGCTGCAGAATAAATGTATTGTCAGCAAGCATAAAAACAACACTAACCACCTTGTATATTTCCATCAGGGTTCCTGGGTGACCAGGCATCTTGTTAATGAACAGTAATATCTTGAAAGGAATCTTTTTTTTTTTCTGAGCAGTAGGTATCAACAGTGGGCTTAAAATATTCAGTAAACCACGCTATAAAAAGATATGCTGTCATCCAGACTTTGTAGTTCCCTTTACAGAGCACAAGCAAAGTAGTTTAGCATAATTCTTATGGTCCTAGAATTTAAAAAATGGTAAATGGACACTGGTTTCAACTTCAAGTCACTAGCTGCATCAGCCCTGAACAAAAGAGTCAGCCTGCTTTTTGAAGCTTTGAAGCCAGGCATTGACTTCTCTCTAATTATGAAAGTCCTAGATGATGTATTTTTCCAATACACAGCTGTTTCACCTGTAATTGAGAATCTATTGCTTAGTGTAGCAACTTTCTTCAATGATCTTAGCTAGGTCTTTTGGATAATTTGCGGCAACTACTTCATTAGCACTTGTTGCTTCACGTTGCACTTTTATGTTATGGAGATGGCTTTTTTCCTTAAACCTCGTAAGCCAACCTCTGCTAGCTCCAACTTTTCTTATGTAGCTTCCTCATCTCTCAGCCTTCACAGAATTAAGAGTCAGGGTCTTGCTTTGGATTAGCCTTTGGCTTAAAAGAGTATTGTGGCTAGTTTTGATCTCCTATAGAGACCACTTAAACTTTCTCTATATCAGCAATGAGCTCTTTAACTTTCTCATCATTTGTGTGCTCACTGGAGTAGCACGTTTAATTTCCTTCAAGAACTTTTGCTTTACATTCACAACTTGGCTAACTCTTTTAACATGCATTCCTCACTCGCCTTAATCTTTTCTAACTTTTGAATTAAAGTGAGAGACCTGAGACTCTTCCTCTCACTTGAACACTAAGAGGCCATTGTAGGGTTATTAATTGGATTAATTTCAATAGGCAGGCCCAAGGAGAGAAAAATGGGGAAGGGCCAGTTGGTGGAGCAATCAGAACACATGCAACATTCATTAAGTTCGCCATAAGGGTGCAGGTCATGGCACCCTAAAAAGACTTACAATAGGAACATCAGAGATTATAGATCACCATAACAGTTATAATAATAATGAAAAAGCTTGAAATATTGTGAGAAGTATCGAAATGTGAAAGAGACAAGACTTGAGCATATGTTGTTAGAAAAATGATGCTGACAGACTTGCTTTACTCAGGGTTTTCACAAATATACAATTTGTAAAAAATACAGTATTTGCAAAATGCAATAAAGGCACAATGAAACAGGGTACGTCTGTATTAGCATTTTTCATAAAGCCTAGGCAGTGTCTAGTAACACATTTGACTTTAATGTTCTCATGAAGAAAAGTTCCACAGGTCTTTATGACGTGGCTTTCTACTGTTAGGCACTTTGGTATTAAAATTATCCTCAAAATCCAGAAAAAAATGGCCTACGTACTGCCATGAAAACTTCAAACAACTTCAGACACAGGGCCATGAATCACTTCAATTCGATGCAGAAACCAAACAGCACCTAAAGTCTATGCCCCCAAATTTTAATAATTTAATGAGTTTCCAGAGGTTAAGCTTCAAAAGGCCTAATTGAACTATTTATTTATTTAAAGAAAAGCTAAGTTTCAGAACAACTTGATAGAGCTCTTTCTGGTATGGCTTATTTACAGATACTCTGACTACATAAATGAAATACAGGCCTTTCTATGCAAGGCCAAGAAGTCAATTTAGGCCCAGATGTTGCAAAACTATGAAGTAGACAATTAGAGAGGACAATTCTGTTCAGTAATAAAGTAATTTACAGGAAGCAGCATAAATGACAAGGAATGGTTGAATTCTCTAAGTGAAATCATGCCCCAAAGAGTTAAAGAAATCAACGACTAACATTGATTAACACTGAATGACTAATATTCTTTGAGTGTGCGGGATGGCAACTAAGAAACAACTTGTCCAAACACTGAAACTCCCTCTACTTATGAGATAGAACTGGCTGAAATCAGTTGGAACCAAGATGGCCAACTGGAGTCTGCACAGAACAAGCTTGCTGACATCATAGCCTGACTATCTACCACATTTCATACTAACTACCCTAGAATTTGCACATGTGACCCATGAGGTATCATAATGAGTTAACTGTGCATGCCCAGGGACATTCCAGACCTCCCCTTTCCTTCCACCAAACACCTACTAATCTCAGAATTCACCCCTACTGAACCTGTAATAAAAATACTGCCTTGAAACCAGCATGAGGAGACAGATTTGAGCTTGACCCCTGAGTCTTCTTGGGAGTTGACTTTCAATATAAAGCTTTTCTTTTCTCAAAAACCCAGTGTCATAGTATTGGCTTCTAGTACACTGGGCAGCAAGCCCCCTCTGCTCAATAACACAAGCAGAAAACTGTACACATTGGGAAACAGTTTACTTCTGTTCAGATAACTTGAGAAACCTTAAAATTAAAATATTGACCTATGTACCTAAAAGAGAGGCATAAATTATACAAAGATTACTACTTTGACATGAAAATAAAAGAAATTATGTGATTTTTTAACTAAAAATATCTTAGAGAATTTGGCATTCCTTGAAAACCTACTGTTATCTGGCAGAGTCAACAAGGAGAATTTTAATTTCTCTTGAGGCTACTTTACAGCTTTTGAGTCAGAGATCTCATCTCTTATTGCCATTAGAATAAGCAGTAGAAATGAATGCCAAAAATGTTGTCTGTATTGTCATATTTACTACAATTTCATTTTCCTATTCAAGCTAAAAAGTAACCTGCTTTTCTAGCAAAACTAAAAATTGCGTACAATTTAAATTTGGTTCAATTTTTTTCTAGGTCATTTATTTTCTTTCTTACCAATCTATCAGACCTGTGTTTCATTTCCCTTACAAATCAACCTAAACCTCAGGGTCAAACATTTCAACACATGTCTGATTTCATTCTCGACCCTTATTCATCTATACCACCAATGACCAACCCGGTGTCAATCTAACCATCACTTGCTCTGATACTGCTACCAGGATGCCAAGAAACATTACGGTAAGGAATATAAGCATACTAATTCCACAACACTACGAATTCATGAATCTCCTATTTACTGGGTAGGCTAAGCATTATCAGCAATCATTTTTCCTGTCTCTATTCAATACTCTTCTATTGCCAAGCTTTATCAGTAATTTCTAGAATCCATAAACAAGACTCTCGCCAGACAGAACATTTCATATTGAAAAGTAGAAACTGTTAATTGTGGACCAAATAACTACCTTTCTAAAAAGTCCACACTGCTATTGTATACATCCCACCTCCTTAAATATCATTACATATCAATAATCTCCTCTCGTATCTTCAAATTTGCTATCTTAGTAGTTTCTTCCTCTCAATCCAGTTTTCCTACAATTTACTGTCCTCTAAATGACCATACTCTGCCTCTTTTCCATTATTATCAAACATGCTAAATGCTCACTATTGCTTCTAAACAACCTCCTATGCACTTAAAATAATTTTGAATTTCAAACGTACAAAAGTTTCAAGAACAGTACAAATGTTTCCCATATCTCCATTACCACCTTTCTTCCCTCCCTCTCTCTCCATATAACATACACACATAACTCCATTACCATTAATCTTTTTTCTGAACCATTTAAAAGCAACGCTGGGCCAGGCGCGGTGGCTCACGCCAGTAATCCCAGCACTTTGGAGGCCGAGGCGGGTAGATCATGAGGTCAGGAGATCGAGACCATCCTGGCTAACATGGTGAAACCCTGTCTCTACTAAAAATACAAAAAATTAGCCAGGCGTGGTGGTGGGTGCCTGTAATGCCAGCTACTCGGGAGGCTGAGGCAGAAGAATGGCATGAACCTGGGAGGTGGAGCTTGCAAGTGAGTTGAGATGGTGCCACTGCACTCCAGCCTAGGTGACAGAGCAAGACTCCGTCTCAAAAAAAAAAAAAAAAAAAAAAAAAGCAAGGCTGCTGACTTGATACCCCATTACCTCTAAATATCGCAGTGTATATTTTTCTAAAACAAGGATATTTCCCTATGTAAGTTGGGAAATCAATACTGATAACACTACCAATAACAATACTGGTAACATCCAAATCTACAGGGCCTATTCAAATTTTGTCAACTGTTTTGTCAACAATGTTCTCTTTTCCTTTTTGGCCCACAAACCCATATACACTATATTTAACTGACATGTCTCATCAGGCTCCTTCAATTTGGAATACTTTCTCAGGCTTTCTCTTTCATGTCCTCAGCAGGTTATAAAGAATACAGGCCTTACAATCTGCAGGATGACCCAAAACCTAGGTCTGTCAATGTTTCTTCATGACCAGATCCAGGTCATATTATCTTTTACAGTAATCCCACAAACAAGAAGCTGTGTTTTTCTCAGCGCATCACTTCTGAGAACACAACGTCAACACATCCCAGAGCTAGTGAAGTTAACATGGTTACATTAGTATTTCCAAGGTTTTTCCCCATAAATTTGCAATGTTTGCTCTTTAATTGATTAGTATCTTTGGGGGACATATTGCAAGATCTTCAAACTAAGATCTTCTACTGGTCTTTATCTGCTAATTAAAAAATAATAATAATAATCAGCCACATGAATACTTTGGAGAAGGGGATCCCAGGCAAAGTCCTAATACAAAGACTTCAAGCCACAAATGGGCTTTCCAAGTCTGAAGTACAAGAGATCAGTGTAACCGAAGTACAGTAGCAGAGAGGAACTTATCTTACAGATATTTGTATGTATTTCCCCTAACAGATGCTAAGTTTTCTGCAAGAATGGACATTAGTCATTTTTATATCTCAAATTGCTTGATTCATTCATCATTTGTGGTATGCCTCCTGTATACATCAGATACTCTGCAAGGCACTACAGATCTAAAAAATAACAACAAAGGCAAAGACAAAGCTCACAACTTAATAGGAAAACAGACATCTGTCATGGCAATGTAATAGGAAAATACAATGTATTAGAAGCACAAAGTTAAGCGGCAGTACTCCACATTCAGAATACAGACTATCATATCTTTTAATTGTCAAGTTTTTGAAAGTTTAGTTTATATTAAGTGTATTCAGTTTTTCAATTCCCATTCCCTCTTCACTGCACTGCAATTTCATTCCTATCCCCAATGCTAAAACAGAACATTTTTTGGTCTTAGTCTGTTGGAGCTGCTATAACAAAATACCTTAGACACTTGTTAATTTGTAAACAGAAAGTTATTACTCACAGTTCTGGAGGCTGGGAAGGCCAAGGCCAAAGTGCCAGTAGATGTGGTGTCTGGTAAAGGCTCTCTTTGTGTGTCAAAGATAGTGCCTTCTAGCTGTATCTTTACATGGCTCCCCTGAGCCTCTTTTGTAAGGGCACTAATCCCATTCACAAGGGCTCCATTCTTGAGGCCTCATCTCCTAAAGCCCTCACCTCTTAATGCTACCACATTGGGGATTAATTAGGTTTCAACATATTAATTTTGAGGGGACAGAAACATTCAGACCATAGCAGTCATCAATTACCTTGACAAACCCAAAGGATGTTTTTCAGTACTAATCTTACTTTAGGTTTCTGCCTTTCATGAAATTCTCATCTCCTGGCTTCTAAGACACCACTCTTCTTTTTTTTCCCCTAGCCTCTCAGGCAGCTTCTCTGTCTCAATTATTGACTCTTCTTTTGTCTGCTTTTTTAAAAGCTGAAGTTTCAGCCTTCTTACATTAGATACATACAAGATAATGTATTCCATTTTCCAAGCTGAATGATTCCTAAACTAAATCTTCTCACCTAAATCTGAGTTCCCACTGCCTACTGGGCATTTCTACTTGACTTTCCACATAGATATCTCAAAGTCAATACGTTTCACCTTCACAAACTTCTCCCCTTAAATTCCTACCACAGTAAATGACAGGACTTTCTAAATCACAGAAGTGAAAAAATATGTCATCCTATACTCTTCCATCTCACTCCCTACATACAAATCAGTCTCTCGAGTCTTACAAATCCTATTTTTAATCTGTCAATTCCATCCCACTGTGACTGTTTAATCCCTGATTTCTTTTATAGATCACTGCCAGAAACTTTTTGCCAATTTCTCTGTATATAGAGTTAGTTTGAATCCATCTTCTACAATAATGCAAAAGGGTTCAATGAAAAGAAAAATTCTCCTCACTCTTCTAACCACATCAATCATTAGCTCTCCATTGCCTTCAGAAAAGAAACCCACTATTTAGCAGGTCACAAAAGTATCTTGATTTTGTACCACACCAATATCGCTAGTTCTTTATGATGAGCCATATTTATTCTATGCCATATCCATTAATACACAATTGCATGTTACATTCTCCCAAAGTCTGTAATTGCCTTTCCCTAAGTCTGCAATATCCAATTCGACTCCTAAATTTACCAAGCTGTTACTTCTCTAGTAAATTTCCCTTACCATCTCCTACCACAAGGTTGGATTAGGTATCTTTATCTCCTATGGTATCTCAGTACCTTGTACACCTTCTGTCAAGGTTTTATCACATTATATCAATATTGTTTGTTTACCATCTGTGAACTCTCCAAGAACAAATACTACTTTCAATTCTATATCCCAACTGCTTAAAACAGTGGCTGGTTCATAAAACTCTGAAGTTCATTAAAGGAATGCATAAACTCATTTTCTTTATTATACCATATTAATTAGAATCAGAGAGACAATTTATGTTTCTGAAAAGGGGGGAAAACTCTGCTTTTTATATGGCGTTCCATGTACTTTTGAGTGCCTTAGTTGTGAAAATTCATTAACTCTGCTTTTCTCCGTTAAATGTCACTTAAGGAAATGATTTTAAAACCAAGTAAAAAACATTAAAAGGCTAAAAGAGAATTAGTGAACAAAATCTGACTTGGCAATTATGCTATTTCCCTCCTTGGGTTTTTCTCATTAAAATAATTGGGAAAGCACCCATTCTTAAAATACTGTCATACAAAATAATGATACATTTTCCTAATACAGAATTTCATTATCAATTACAATGATTTCCTTTTTAATTCTTGTATACCATTTATAAATAAGATTTTATTTGGATAAAAAATAAAAGATAAAATTTACTTAAATCTATAAGTAGCAGTAGGAAAAACCTAATGACTGCTTTCTATTTTGTTCAGTACTAATTATATGCATTATTTCATGTAATCCCACAAAAATCCTATGTGGTTGGTACTATTATCATCTACTCCCCTCTCTCTTTAGGTGATGAGAAAACTGGAGATTAAAGAGATGAGGTAATCTGTCAAAGTTTCACTAGTAGAAGTGGTAAAGCTGTGACTAAAAGCCCTCTGATGTCAAAGCTGATGCTTTTAACCACAGTACTGTATGCCTCCAGCTGTGCCTGTTCAGAAAGGACTCAAGAGAATCCCTTGGAAAAAGCTTTCAAATATATATACACAAATATCTTAGAAATAAATCTGCAAGGTCTTAAAATACCAATTATATAAAAAGGAAATACTGGTTGATCCATTACCAAATTGTTACCTCCAAAAATAATAACAGTATGTTCTCTCACAGGAGTGTTTCACTGGTCAATCATGATCTACTATCTTAAAGGCTGATTCTATCTATTTTCAAGACTGATTTCCATAGGACTAGTTAGCGTCTAGTCTGTGCCTAGTGAAATGCAAAAAACACTCAGCACCCACTTTATTAATGAGCAATATGAATAGTGAACATATGTGTACCCTACCACCACTTGAAGTGAAAATAATAAAAATACAAGAATTTTTCAAAAAAATAGTGCCCTCATATCTTCGTTATTTCTTATTGTAAGGTAACATTCTGAAATCTGTAACTCCAAACCACCAGTAAAAAATTACAAATGAGACTGAATTTAGCAAAACAAATTCTATCACATTCTTAAAAAATAAACATCTTTAGACTTTGGTAAGACCATATAAAATAGTACAGTGCTACTTTTCTTCTCTTAATTGATGTGCTTTCAACTAAAGAAATAACCAACAAGCAGCTTCCTCTTCGCATATTATTCTTGTTCTCTAAATCACATGCCCTTAAAAGAAAGAATCAAATGTCTAGAAAAGGATAGCAATTTTTTTCTGTACAGAGCTGGATAAATATTTTAGGCTTTGCAGGCCATATGTTCTCAGTCAAAACTACTCAACTCTGCTGTTGTAGTGCACAGGCAACCATAGACAATATATAAACAACTGAACATGCCTGTGTTTCAATAAAATTGCATTTATAAGAACAAGTGACAAACTGGGTTTGAGACGCAGGCAGCAGCATGCTGAACCCTGGTTCAAAAAGCTCTTCCAAGTCTGTACCTACCACACTCATGAGATAGCAAAAAGCACACTATTTCACTGCATTCTCCCTAAAAAAATTCCAGGAGATTATATGTCTAATTAATATCAAAACATGTAAAATGCTTCATAAAATATGATAAACAAATGCTTACAATCCCTATCATTTTTAAAGAAAGAATTCCTACAAGGTTCTTTACAATGGCATAACTTTATACTGACCTACTGGCACAATATAGTGCTCCTTTTTCATTATTTTAATTTATTACTGTTTTTGAAAGAATTCTTTCAAACATTAGAAAAATCAAATTTACTTAAGGTTTTTGAGAGGTGAATTTGAATATACCCATATTAAACTTGAATGGCTAAATTAATTTTCGATTACTATTTGAGAGCAAATTACTACTGTAGGTATGTCAGGCACTTCAGCAAATATAGAGATGCCTATTTTCCACTCTGAAAATAATACTTGATACAAGAGAACGTAAAAAGGGAAAATACTGATATAAGAAGTGATGTGCAAATGCCTGAGGTAGATTAGAGCCAAGGGAAAAGAAAAGTATAAAAATGCATTCCTACATCCTGCTATTTAGCTGTTTTACAGATGACTGGGTGTATGGATAGAGGAGAAGTAGTAGGTATAAATAGGTCTCAGTTTACAAGCAAATTTACTAAAAAGAGGAATCTATAATTGTCATAACTACGTAAAATTCACAGCTGCTCTCTTCAAAGACAGGAAAATTTCCATTTAACTTCCACTTCAAATTTTCTTATTTCAAAAGAAATTAAAAACCTTGTGAATGAATGCATACCTTCAGCCCACAGGGTAGTGTTTAATAATAAATATCATCATAATAGTGTAGTATTATGCTTAATGAATGTAGATGTTAAGGCACCTGAAAATCAAATATTTCCAAAAGTAATTTTCTCACTTAAAATAAAGCTCAAAAGCTTTGCTTTTCTCTATTCAACAGGTTACAAGAAACAATAACAAATAAACAAACCCAAAGAGGCTCTATAAACAAAACATCAGATATTTTGAAGAATGAACTGTTAAGAATAACAGGTAATAAGAGTATTAGATATGCTCAGAATTTTTTAGCTTTTTTAAAATCACTATTTTAAGGGAAATTTCTCATAGACAAGCAAGTGATTTTCTACAGATAATATAAAAAGGTATATTCAATAATCTCATACAATTATAAAAAGGCACATTTAATAATCTCTCAACATACTTAGATGTCCTTAGTTCAAAATTAAAATTATTTTATGCCATTTTGCAAAATGTCAAACTGTGTATTTGATATATGTTGAGAACCATACTTATTCATGATGTACAACCATATAATAACTGTGACTGTGCTGCAACATGTCATTTAGAAACTTTCTGAATTTGGATAAAGTCCAAATTTAACTAAACTCTTCTGTTAGAGTAAGTGAAACCACCTGAATTTCCGGTTTCCTATTAAAAGAAAAAAAAGCAAGGTTTTACTTCAAGTTCACCTATAAGCAATATTTCCTCAATTACATATATGAATATAAATAATACTTTAGCAATTACTTACAGTAAATATCCGTCTGCCAGTTCGATCAAAAGTTACACAGTACACAGATGACAAGTGTCCAAGAATTCGTTTATGCATTTTCATGTGCTGATACACTGCAGTTGGAACAAGTCGCTCAAGTCTGTATTTCCCATTCAGCTTCCTTGAAAACAGAGTATCCGCTACCAAGAAAAAGAAGGAAAATAAATGTAATCTGGAAATTAATTTTCTTACATGATCACCTTTTAAGAATTCACATACTCCAATTTGTCATGTGCAGGTAAAAATAAAGAAGCTTTCTGATATATATGGCTTCTAGTTAAAAGTCTTTAAAGTAATGAATAAAAACATTGTTTCACCTGAAATAAGTCAGGCACTATCATTCTCACTTTATAACTTAATTTGTAAGTTAAATGACCTGTCCAAAAATCACAAAGTAAGGCATGAAGCTAGGATTAAAGCTCAGATTTATTTACTCTCTGGCTAGTGCTCTTTAAAAACCTAAAGCATTTATATGTTATTTCCTTAAAAGCTGTCTATGAAATAGTTTTTCTTACAAAGGCACTTAAAACTGGAACCCAGTGTACTTTTCATAAATCAGTAACACTTGAACACTCGAAATCTGACATGCAGAATGATATTTAAAAACATCTTTATAACAAGTGAAGATAAAGGAATACGTCATTTGCATTATTAAAAAATAATAATTAAACTGGGAATCTTGCCAAACACCTGTATAATGATTCCTTCTCTGGAATCTATTAGCTCTCCCTTAGTTCTCCCTTTCAACTCATTCATTCTAATCATTATTCAAGATCTGACTGAAGTTTATCTTCTGTCCCAAAGCTTGATACATTGACTCCAGCTGAAAATGTCCTCTTCCATCTAAATTACTACTGTACTTATTTTCTATACTGGTAACTTATGGACAAAGAAGGTGCTCAATAAATATATGTTGACTGATCTGCAGGCACATTATTAACCTACAGATGATCTTCTAATACAGGCTTTTTTTTTTTTTTCTAACAGTGACTGCCATCTACATTGGGTAATTAGCACTAGGGTTTCTCGGTCGAATTTAGCCCTAAAGAAAACTAAATATATATACAAAATACTACTTAGCCAAGGTACAGAGCCCAGTAATTATGCCCTAAAGTTGATAAAACATAAATATATTGGTTGTATTATGAAGAATCTCAGTATTGCTTATATTATTCACATCCAATAAATGTTTGGCTCACACTATATTTCCAACCACTCCACACTCCCGCTGCCCCCACCCCAAACCCCCAAAAAATCTTTGGGCCTGGTGAGGAGATATATAGCCTTTACAGGTTCCTAAGCAGTAATATTTCAAAGAATAATTACACTATGCTTATATGTTCTTTCATCACAGCAATAATTTTATATTCTGATACAGTATTTCTCTTGCTGTTAGCATGTAAGTTCTATGCAACAATCTACCCCAACACTTGGGAATTTCTAAAACAAGGTTTGACAGTTGTCAATTAGCATATTTAGGCTTAAGTTGGTTATATACCAATTTAACAGAGACTCAATAAGTTTCAATCATAGCTTAGACCCCAGACACATTTTCTTCACGCCCAGGAATGGCCTGGTAAAAGACATCCTCCAATGCTTTGGCTCCAAACTTATTTAATGCAAGAATCACACAAAAACCATAGACATCAATTTTCCTGCCAAATGAGAATTAAAATCATCTTATCCAAACACCAAGGATCACTCACATCTCAGACTCAGCTGTCTGTTGTAAGAAAATAAGTGATGACATGCCACAAAAACATTGATAGTATTACCAAGGTGTACTTTAATTCCCTCTATCCAAAATTTCCAAAATGTCGAATTTTAGGAAACTAACAGTGTTCAGGTGTGAAAATATCATTGTTGGAAATAATATATCAAGACCCATTTCTCGATGATTAAGCATTAGTATATAGGTAAGAATTTTTAAGATAAATTTGTTATAAAGACCATCTAAAAATCGGAGATGATAAAGTATTTTATAAGCAAAAACTACTTCTCTTAAAAGAAAATGTTACTGCTTCTTAAACACAGGTTTTACTGAATCTTTGACCTAAACTGGGATTAAATCTATTTTCATTTTGGAAGCCAATTGAAAAAAAAGAATAACCTTTTCAAAGTTACTTTACAGTCAAATTTTCAAGCAACATTTTCCAGAATCACATTAGGTGAAACATATTTATAGCTAAAACTATATTCCACACTACCCTTTGTAATGCTTAGCTACCAATTAACTATTGGCTATCTATACTATGACTATATTCTGAAAGAAAAGGTACTTAGCAGAGTCCTGGCTCTCAAACATTGACAAACTTGTGTTAACAGCACTAAAAAATAAGACATACAGAAAGAACATACGTAGATTCCCAGGTAATAAGGTGGTGGTTCAAACTTTCTAACTATAGGATTTAAAGGAGAAAATGTAAGTATAGTTCAGTAGTTGTACAACTGAAGAGGTTGAATTTGAGGAAGGCTTGACCATATCAAATAGGTAGATAATTTTTATAAAGATAGAAGGATGAGCTAGGACTCACATTCGATGAACTCCCATTTTTTTATAATACCATTTGGAAAATGTCTATCTCTCCTATCAGATCTTAAGTACCTTAAAGACAAAAATTCTCTTATATTTCTCAAACTTGAGTATAGAGCCTTTTAAATTAAAAAAGTATATAAGTAAATCTTCCTTAATAATAAGATATACAAGATGGTTCAATTTAATTTATAGTTTTATGGCAGAAGGGCAAATGGCAATTATTCACTTTCTAAAGAAATTAATAAGAGACCAATTAATTTGAGTAAAAAGGAAATGTCTCTTGGATTATTGGAAGTCCTTAAATTTTATTAAGCTAGAACATCAATTTTTAAAATGAGCATGGTTAAACAGATAAGGGGACACAAAAGGATAAATTCTTTATATGACATTATAATTTAACCTTAAATCAAGAAGCATATATGACTTTCATTTAAAAGTACATTTATTTTCATAAGTATAGTGATAGAAACTATTCTTAAATAAAGCTTCCCAAAGCAAATCTGTTCTTTTTTCACTTGGCAAATTCTTTTTTATCCTCTAGGATCAGTTCAAATGCAACCTCTTCTAGGAAGATTTCAAAAGCATCCTAACTGGTTGCACTACAACACTGCTCCTCTGTTCAAAACTGCAATGCTCTTCATTTCATTCAGAATAAACACCAACTTCCTGATACATCAGCCTAAGACGGCCCTGCAGAAACTTATCTCCCATTATCTCTAACCTTACCTGCTACTTCTCGCCTTGACCTGCTCCAGCCACTCCAATCTCCTGTTCTTCCAACACACCAGGTGTGCTCCAAACTTAGGGTCTTTGCACTGGCTGTTCCCTCTTCATGAAGTCTTTTTCCACATATGGCTAATTCCCTTATACCTTTTCAAGTCTTTTCTCAGATGTCTGTTACCTTCTGAATAAAGCCTAACCTAACCAGCCCACTGAAAATAGCAACACAGCCCCTGCCATCACCCATAACTTCTGATCCCCTTTTATTCAGCTTTATATTTGCTCTTCATCTATCACTTATTACCAGACCTATTTAATTATTTATTATATTCATTGCTTATTTCCTGCCTGCTCCTACTACAAGATAACAAACTTCACATGGGCAGGATTTTATTTTGTTCTCTGATTAGCCTAAGAGCTGACACAGGTTGGTGAATTAACAAATAAATTACATATTAACAAAAATAATTAGGTTTAGTGGGTACAGGGACTCACACCTGTAATCCCAGCACTTTGGGAGGCTGAGGTGGGTGGATTACTTGAGGTCAGGAGTTCGAGACCAGCCTGGCCAACATGGTGAAACCCCATCTCTACTAACAATACAAAAATTAGCTGGTGTGGCGGTAGGTGCCTGTAATCCCAGCTATGTGGGAGGCTGAGGCAGAAGAACAGCTTGAACCCCGGAGACGGAGGTTGCCATAAGTTGAGATCATGCCACTGCACTCCAGCCTGGGGAACAAAGCAAGACTCCATCTCAAACAACAACAAATTAGGTTTAAGAATTAAAAAAAAAAAAAAAAAGGAAGATTTATCTCACAGATTAAAATATTCAAAATATCTCTAAATAGTGCTTCATTTTAACTGCCCTGCTAAATGAATTTAATTGGGAAATAAGGGGAGAACGTATTCACTTAATTTTCTGAATATAGAGGATAAATGAAATAAAAATTCCAGAAATCACTGTTATCCATTTGAATAAAGTCTGAAGTAAAAAAGGAGCAAAATACTGAAGCATGTCATTTGCAGCAAATCATTCAGAACAGCCTTTGAAATAAAGTATATGTGCTCAAGTCTACAAAGCCAATTAGTAGAGATCAACAAAAGGCCCACAACTTCTTAAACATTAGATGTGACTATGCGCATATTCAGCCCTTGGGTTCTCATCCATTACTTCTTTAGGTGCTAGGATAATAAGTCAAATTCCCCCATAAGTCACTTCTTACTTCACACCTAGTTATTTTTCGAGAACTGATTTACTTATCCAATCATAATACTAATGCATATTCAATTTAGAAAAGAACATAAATGAAAGAAAAACCCATAATTCTATTGTCTATAGCAATCACTTTTAAAATTTCGCAAAGGTTTACCTCAAAAACAGCATTTTAACAGCTATGTTGTATTCCTTAATGAAATAAGAGGTTTTAAGTCTGACAGACCTGTGTTCAAATTTGTCACTATGGAGACTTTAAGCAAGTTACTCGTTCTAAACTTTAATTTCTCCAGTTACATTATTAGAGAAACATTTCCATTTACCACAATATACCTGGCTTTCATATTATGCTGTTCTTTGACACCCCACAATTTCACAAATTTTACACAGTCAATTATATTAATATCTTCTACTGCTTTAATATGAAGTTCTCCTACTCAGCCCAACAGTACAATAAACATCTACTTACATTTTCTTTTACTTTTTTGTAGTTTAGATTTCTCACTTAACTCTTTAATCCATCTACAATTATAATACTCATTATGAGGTCTCTAAAGATTATTTTTTCTTCCTCAAGTAACTATTTGTTCCAGCCTTTCCATTTACTAAATAATTCTTTTCTATTAAATTTTGATTACATTATTGTATATATGGTTATATATACATATGTATTTTTTTTTTTTCTGTGCTGGGCCACTGACATGACTGACAGTCTATTTATATGCCAATACCAAAATTTTAATCTTACAATCAATGATGTTTTAATATTTATTTGGGTATTCCTCTCATAAGTCCACGTAAAAATGTTGTATCTTTATTATTTGTTAATTTTGAAAATAAACAGAAAGTTACAAAATTTTGTTGGAAATGTAAATTTAACTTTACTACCAAACTGACATCTTTCTATCTAGAACATGGTGCTTTCTTCCTGTTGTTGGGCCCAAATTTTCAATGCAGATGATTTTTTAAAAAGATAAACATAATAAAGTTACCTCATTTTCTCTCACTACATCATTTGAACCAAGTTCACAAAGAAAGAAAAAGGTAGCTGCCATAAAAGAGTATCTGTAATAACCTTAGTAAATACATTTTTGAAGGCACTAGAAAAATACATGATAAAAAAAACCCTGCAAATAAGTACTATAGCAGAAATACCATTACCTCCCTACAAAATGTTTAGACTTTTTTCTCCTTTTGCAAAGATCTTTGTAAAATGAACAAGCACACATGATAAAGCTGCAATAAATTACCCAAGATCAAAATTAACCATGGTTAAAAAAGATGACTTGGAAAAAAATGAAAATGACTATGAATTAACAAAATACAAAGGTTAGTGTTTTTTGTTATTATTGTTTTCTAACTGTTAATAACAATATAATATGCTATATAATACCTACTCCAGTGTAGGAAAGCTGTTCCCTCTTAATCAGAAATGGAGGACCACAAAAACAGTGCTTACAACTTCTGCCAACTCATGAAAGCAGAGCCCTGCTGGCAGCCTAATGAAATGCAAGGAAAAGCATGTAGCTGTAGATTCTAAAACCTGGAGAACCAATTTTTATACAGTAGAAGAATTAAGTGAGGAGGCACAAGAATATGTAACTCGGAAGGTATCTCAGTAAAATTTGGGCCTTTTCTGCTGCAGAATTGGGGGTACTCAGACAAGACGCATCAGTATTTTATGAGAAGGTTTTCATTAATTTTACTTAATTCATTTTTTATCCTCTTTTGACTAGTTTTACTTTTTTTTTTTTTGAGACAGAGTCTCACTCTGTCGTACAGGCTGGAGTATACTGGCACAATCTCTGCAGCCTCCGCCTCCTGGGTTCAAGCGATTCTCATGCCTCAGCCTCCTGAGTAGCTGGGATTACAGGTGTGCACCACCATGCCTAATTTTTCTTGTATTTTTAGTAGAGACGGGGTTTCACCATGTTGGTCAGGCTGGTCTCGAACTCCCAGCCTCAAGTGATCTGCCTGCCTTAACTTCCCAAAGTGCTGGGATTACAGGCGTGAGCCACCATGGCTGGTCTTGACTAGTTTTATTCTGTGATTCTAATTAAAGAAAACACTTGGAAGGAAAGCTCCCAGGTTTTCTGTAAATAAAATGCAAAAGTAATTATAATTTATAATTAACAACTACAGAAATGATTCCTAAATTAAAATATAAAAGGGAGTAACTTCTAAATAATCAGTAACAGGTTTCATTTTAATCTCCACCATCTGTATTAATAAAGGCTTTGGCTTTCTACAAATACGATTAATAACTATCACTGTAAAACAACAGTTTGGAACTCCATGACACTAAAATTGAGTAACTTAAGAGTACATGAAAACAAATTCCAAACTGATTTACCCCTCATATGTGCCATCTCCAATTTTAGATGATAATTAGATTTTCCAAGAAAATAATGCTATATTCATGACTAGACATCAGAGAGTAATGTCTATAAAAATGACCCTCCAAGTTCATTAGTTCATTACAAGTCCAAATAGTTGTCTATATATGGTGTTGGTGATTTCAGAATTTCTATCAGATAAATGTATTGTGTGGCATAAAGTATTTAATAAGGCATAAAATTACTTGAAATGTTGCTCATTTTAGAGATCCACAAAAGTGTTTTAATGAAAAGGAAATATGAGGGTAAAAAAAAATTGCTAATCATAATTTTCTAACAGAAGTTACGTTAAAGCCAGGCATCAAACCCTTGAGAAAATGGCTATAAAGGAAGAGGAAAGCAACCATGGTTTAGAGTTATGAGAGGTTTTTACTAGGACTTCAAGAATCTGACGATTAAAAAAAAAAAGTCTTATCTGCTGCAATTAATAATGTGGGTATAAATGTCACCATACAATACATAACAAGGAGAGGAAAAAGGCTACAGAACACTCTTACGACGTGTAGCAAATTTAGAGAATAACAGCTAGTATTTACTGAGTGTTTTACTACATGCCAGGCACTATTCTAAATATTTTACATATATTCTCATTTAATCCTCCCTAATCCTTTGAGGTGGATACTTCCATTATTCCCAATAAGCAGATATTCCTTACCAGTAAGGAAACCAAAGGATAAAATGTAATTTACTAGAGGTGAAGCCCAGGTTTAAACTCAGGCAGTCTGGTGCCAAAGACTGTACCCTTAACTATTATATGCTGCCTATGCAGATCAATATTAGAAAAGAAAGACTGAAAGAAAACATGCCAAAGTATGTACAGCAGTTAAGGAGTGAGACTGATTAATTTTTGAGCTGTTCTGTTTTCCAAACTTTCTCTATAGAGCATACGTTCATTCTAATTTTTTATAACTCAATCTACCTCAAGGAATTCAAAAAAGCAGTAGGAAAACTCTAAAATATCTAAAGAGACTAGCTTAAATTCAAAGACTGACAAAAATAAACCTAGAGATAAAGATGCAAGGAATTTAAATTTATTTAATCATAAAAAAGAAACACTAATGCCTAAGCATATTACAGTGTATGAATGTATATTATGCTATAGAGAATGACAATTGCGTATTTGAAAATGGACTGAAAAAATGATATGCTATAAAGAAATAATTCACATCAGTTTTGATTTGAAAGCTGTAAGATAATACTACAAAGCAGGCCATCAACTTTGTTGTAAGATTTGTTTGTGTAATCTTTCCCACTGAATTTTTAAACAAAAAGAGAAACATGTCAAAGATAGTTCAGGTTCAATTTTGTTTCGGAGGGAATCATATAAGGAGGAATGTTTAATTCACTATAGAGCCACAATGGAAAGACCTGTTATTAACACGGGTATCAAGGAAGTAATGACAACCAAATACTCATAATTCGAGGGCCAGAATTAATCTGGGAAATTATTCAACACAGGTTGGTTTACTCCTACAGTACCATCTGGTCTCTACATCATACTGTACCAGCAAGTAGCAACCAACCAACATAGAAACAGGACAAATAAATCACCGTAATAGTAACTATAATGAATGATAGTCCCAATTTCAGTTAAAGTACAAAGAACTGGGTTGCAATATAAAAAGATAATCTTGTAGTCACCTTTTTGTCTACAAAAAAAGGAGGGCAGGTATTGGGAATAGAAGAGTAAGGGGAAATAGTCACCTGAGCAACATAGCACCCATGATAGCTTCTCTCTTCGCTTTAATACTATAACTAAAATAATCAGTATGCACAGCAGCTACTTTCCAGATTTCTAGATATTCAATTTTGGTGTGTAGTTGCACCTCCTGTTTGAAACATACTATGTTTTTAAAATTTAGCAGATACCATAAAGATGCATAATGTCTGAAAAGGAAAACCCAAATACTAAACTGAAATAAAATACAGAAAATGATGATTCCAAGAAGTAAGCAAAAAATTTCATGAACCAACTACATTAAGAGCACTAATAAAAAGGGTAGATATGATAATTATTAGGAATAGTATTTAATCTTCCTCCTATTTTATTTCCTGGAAACCAGTCTGATGCTAGTTCAAGTAGAAAACACACAATGACATAATGTTTTCAGTTTTAAATATTTTAAAATGTTTACAGTTGTTTTAATAACAATTTATTTTTCTTTTAAATAAACATTTTTTAAGTTAGGTGGTTTTTTTTAATGTCAAACATTTTAATCACTCAATTTTGAGTCAACAAACATTTATAGAGCACCTATATGAGCCAAATATGGGCTAGAGAATAAGAGGGAAAAAGAAAAGACATGGTACTTACCCTCATGGAGATTGCAGTCTAGCAGGGAAGAAAGACATGAAACAAGGACTTACAACAATGTTAAGTGTTATCAAATAGAAGGTATAGGGAAATCTTGAAATATATAGCAAAAGGGTTCTAAACACGTTGGGGCTGAGGGGTGGATATCTGGGAGTCTGGGAAAACTTCTCTGAAAAACTGACATTTAAACTAAGACCTGAAAAATGAACAGCCACAGAATGCTGATGTGAGCGCAGCATATTCCAGGTTGAGGAAACAGCATGTGCAATAGCCTGAGGCTGGAAAGAGCATAGCATTCAAGCAACATGAAGAAGTCAAGATTGACTTGCACACAGAGTAGAGAAAGGGCAAGTGTCAAGAGAAGAGACTGAGAAGGTAGGGGAGCGGACTATATAGAGTGCTTTCTAAGCTAGGTTAGGTATTTTGGACTAAATTCCAGTAATAACGGGTTGAAGTTTTGGGGGAGAAAAGAATGGAGTAATATACATAGTAAGATTTACTTTGGGATAACTCATTGCAGTTTTCTCTTGACCACAATGAGAATGAATTGGAAAGGATATAAGTAAAAGCAAAAGCTAACTTTGCAAAAAAATCAAAGGGTTCTGAAAACAAAATTTCATTTTAGAAAAAATTTAATCAGCTTGACACCAAAATTATCAACACTTTCCCAAGGAATTAAATACCTGATCTCATAAGTATCTGGCACTATATAAAAACTTGAAAAGAACACACCATGTTTCATTGTTTCTAGAGTTCAAATACTGAGGCAAAATTCAAACACCTGCTATTACCAAATCAACAAATGGACAGAGCTGGCACATTAACACATAAAGAATTTCACAGAGAAGGCAAAAAGGTGCTATATAAATGTGACATAAAGTTAAAAGCATAAGATCTGAGGTACATGCATACATATACACACAAAAACAGAGATATAATGTCATTGGTTACTGCTTTTCTAAGCTTCAGTTTCCTCATTAATAAAGTAAGATCAGCTGAGTGTGGTGGCTCACACCTGTAATCCTAGCACTTTGGGAGACCGAGGTGGATCACTTGAGGTCACGAGTTCGAGACCAGCCTGGCCAACATGGTGAAACCCCGTCTCTACTAAAAATACAAAAATTAGCCGGGTGTGGTGGTGCATGCCTGCAGTCTCAGCTACTTGAGGGGCTGAGGCAGGAGAATGGCTTGAACCTGGGAGGAGCAAGTTGGAGTGAGCCGACATTGCGCCACTGCACTTCAGCCTGGGCAACAGAGCGAGACTCAATCTCAAAAGAATAAAATTAAATTAAAAATGTAGGGTTATCTTAAAGAGTTGCTATAGAAAACAGACGAGACAAAATGTTTTGCAAATTCAAAGGTATTTTATACTAACATTGATATGGACTGTCCCTAAACAATCAAATCTTCATGTGCCATAAAAGTTAATTTAACTGAACATAGTTTTCTTTTACTTTTTAAAAGACTTTTGTTGGAGCCCAATTTTCCCCGAGGCTTCCTTATGGAGCTGAACAAATTATTCCTTTGTTTATAAAAATATCTATTCAGCCTGATCTGATCATGGACTTCCCAGGTCCAAAAGATGTCTAAGAAAACACTGAATACGTAACTTTAAAGGATCCCTGAAGAAATTCAAAATAAAAAGTCATGACCTTATGAGAAAATAATATCATAATTTGCTTCACCTACACAGATATGAGTATTCAACAAAATCAAACCCAATAATCACTCTGGAAAAATATGTGATGCAAACTAAAAGGGAAAATGGCTAGTGATTCCTAATTACTACTGGAATTGCTTGCCAGATGGTTTATATGAAGTGGAGGGGATATCCCTCATCACATCTATAACCTAAAAACAAATGTTATCCTATTAGTTACAGAAGAAATTAAAACACAGCTAGCTACAAAAGCAACAATTTAAACTCACCTAAGGGAGTTTCATTTCTTCAAAGTTTTGCCCCCTTTTTTTTGTCAACCATTAATTTCAAAAGAAATTTAAGCAGAGGAAAAAATAAATAAATATATATTTTGTACATCTGATACTTTGGCATAATGAACATTATTTCCCTAAAAAAAAAAAAAATGCTAATACACCTTGCAAGTCTCTCACAGCTAACCTGTTTTTAAGAGGCAAAAAAAAGGGAGGAAATAGAAAGGCAGGGGAGGGGCTAGGGAGAAAATAGTTAATAAAACAACAAAACCTGTGTCAAATAGAAATATGAAGATCATTCAGGGAAAACACTAAAAAACAAAGACCAAGACAAAAAAGAATATAACTGAGTCAACAATCATTAAACCAAAAAAAAAAAAGCGAAGTATAAAACCTTTATAAGACTAAAATTATGACTAGAAAAACAGAAAATGAGCTCTAAAAGTAAAAATGGTTACTGAGAAACAATAGGTTAAAATAAATATATTTAAATAAGTGATGAGTAGATATCTAACTAGGAATAAAGTATGGATTGAGTAAGAAAATGGAAAGAAAAAACACTGAATATAGCATATTAGAAAAAGATAAGTGAACAGGAAAAAAACCCCATATATTATATCCTATAATTTGCTGAATTATATGTAACTGTTAACTTATATATTAAAATTATGTAATCTCATATATTTGTAATATAAAAAAATTCTAATAATTATGTAAGAAATATATGAGGAAAAATATAAACCTAAGAGTCTAAGAAAAAAAAACCTTGATTGAATAAATTTAAGAAATTACCAGCTACAGAAAATTCAAACACAATATTGGAAATATGGCAAAATATAGCACAAGGTGAGAAAGAAGAGTCTTCTCTACAAAGATTTGCATCTAGCTTTAAGTGACTGTTTGCTGTCTTTATTCAAACTAGTCTTCTCAGAGAATCACAAAATTATAAATGTAGACAAGATTTAAGACTTTTTTTTTTTTTAAATGCAAAGGCTTCTTAGCATTAATTGGATGTCTGGGTAGTGAAGCTACTTTTCAAGGCAAAGTTTTTTCCTTACCCTCAAACATGTTTAAGAATCAGGATTCTCAAAACTCCTTATCCTCACACAAAACTGCAGAACTTAATAGCAAACCTCCACAGACAAGTAAAATAAAAATATGGAAATACTTAGGCAAAACACCAAAAACGATGACAAATGAAAGACCTAGAGATAAAAAGTTTACTTTGCTAACATGTCAAATGTAAGAAAAATGCAAACAAAGCAATCAGCAGAAATTGCTTTAATTTAATGTATTACAATCTTTTTCACAAGATAAACATGCATTAAACCAACTTCCAAATTTAATCTTAAAAACCCCTTTAATGTATTTAGGTCTCTTCTTTCCTATCTCCCCTTACTCATGCACATTTATTACTGAAGTATAAGCAAATATAGAATAAACTATATCTGAAAACAGGCATAATGTGGGTATGGAGGTAAGAGAAAGGACAATACTAAAGATTCGCTAATACCTTTGGAAGTAAATGCTGCTATGCCAAGTACACACTCACATCTCTCTTCCACAATAAAAGAATCACAAGCTAGTAATAACAACAGATCAGTGGGATCTTTTGTCTTTGCTTTTGAAAACAGTATTAAAGGAGGTTCTAGAGCACTGGAAGGCAGGTGAACCACTTTGGGTCTCTTGCTGAGACTGAGTTCTAGTTCAATTTTCACAACTTACATCAAAGACCAAAAGGTTCAAAGTAGTTGGGAATTCTAAGCACATAATAAAATAAAACAGGATAAGAAAACACTGAGACAAGCTCAAGTGGCTTCTCAAATTGTATAGGTATGTATTTTATATTCCAAGTGTAATGAACTGATAACTCAGTCTACTCATAAACCTTAATTTCTTAAAAATCAGTTTCTGGTTTGGTGATTTTATCTTCTCTTACCACAAAGCTATTCTTGGATCAAGCTTCTCTTCTTTCTACCAACCTTCATTCCATTTTTGTAATACCTTACCCACCTTTGAACTTTACTTGTCCCATCCCAGTGTATGAATTTCATCAACTACCTACTACTTTTCATTTAATATTTACTAATGCTGAAGAGTTGGGTCTCTAAAGAGCAATAAAACATAATGTCTGTCCTCCAGGACCTAACAGTATAGTAGAGGAAACAAAGGTAAATAAATAGCCATAACCATGTGATAAAATCAATAGTAGAGATAAGTAAAACCACTTAATTCTGCCCAGTTTAACATCTGAGTTTTAAAGGATAAACAGATATTTGTACAACGTACAGAAAACAGAGGGGCATTCCAGGGAGAAATAAAACATGTGAGGAGACAAAAGGATGAAAACCAACATGGCTGATTCTAAGAACTGCCAAAGAGTTGTACTAAGCTAGAGCACAAAGTGCAGGTGAGGACATGGCAGGAAAAGTGGGAAAAGGTCAGTCTTGTGTGACACATTAAAATGGTTGACACTATCATTCAGTCACTCTCAATGGGGGAAAGGAGGAGGCATGACATGGTAATATGTGCACTTCAAAAAGTTTAGAGCAGTGATAATTTTGCCCAGGAGATATTTGGCAATGTCTGGAGACTTTTTAAATTGTGACAAGGGGGTAGTGGGGATGCTACTGGCAATTAGCAAGCAGAGGCCAGGGATGCTAATAAACATCCAACAATGCACAGGAAAGCTGCCTACATCCAGGAATTATCTGGCCCAAAATGTCTCAACAGTGCCAAGGTTAAAAAACCCTGGTTAGAATCTGACTCCTAGGATACATACAGGAATAGACTAGGGGCAGGGGCTCAAGTAGCAATTAAGTTCTGGGAGAGCAGAGGTCTTGTTCTTGCTTATCCGCAACTCCAGACCCTAGCCCAGTGCCAGATATAATTAGAGATATACAATATTTACTCAGCGAGTGAATGAATAATGTAGAACTCCAAGCAAGAAGTACCAAGGCCTGAAATGTGGCTGTGGCAATGATAATGGAGAACAAATTCAAGAAAGTAGAATAAACAGGTATTATTTATTAAACGGACATAAGAAATGAACAGTAAATCTAAAATAAAATTATCTCCAGGCTTCTGGCTTGGAGTAACAAGGTTCAGAGAGTGTCAAAAATTACATTTTAGGTATTTTTAAGTTTGAGATGAATGTGAGATATTCAAGAGGTCCAACAGTTTCCATATGGTTTGAAATATCTAAGAAAATCCAATTTTGCCACAAGCTTAACCTAAAATTATCCTCTGAACTACAGTAAGGAGTCCAATAAAAAATTAACAAACCCTATGTCAAGTACGGTATCCTGGACTGGATCCTGGAATAAGAAAACGTAATTAGTGGGAAAACTTAGTGAGACATGAATAAGGTCTGCTGTTTAGTTAACAGTAATGCACCAATATTGGCTTAGTAGTTCTGAGAAATAGACCAGGTAATGCAAAAGTATAACATTTGGGGAAACTGCATGAGGGGTATACAGGAGCTCTTTAAACCATCTGTGTAACTTCTCAGTAAATAATTTCTTACTCCAAAATTAAAAGTTTATTTAAAGAAAAACTACTACCCCAAATGTGTCAAAATTTTAATATTTGGGATCTATATTAAACGTTTAAATCTACGTACGTATCTTAAGAAAAGCTAAAATATCAAGAATTTTTTCTTACCTCCACTGATACTTGGTAATACCACACTGACCAAGGAAAGAGCAAAGAAAACTTTTAAAGGTAGCCAGACAGAAAATGGCAAAGACTCAACAAAAGAAGAAATAAGTCAGTACTACAAACATTCATATATATTTTTTTCAATCTTCTGAACCATACTGTAACAGCTTGAAATAATGCATTGTACCACTATGCAGGCAACTATTCTGGCAAGAAGACTGATGAATTATTTCTCCCCAACACCATCCTGTTCATTACTTTATAGCGATAATAAAACAAAATATATACCATGGTGAACTCTAGCAAAACACAGACACTAACCTATGACTATGCAAGTTGAGTCATTTTGGTCAGTCTAGCTTCTCTGCAGTGCTTTCAAAAAATATATGTAAATACAATTTTTAAAAGTAGGCAAAATGGGCAATCCACTACAGGTGTTTCTTAAAATAAAGCAAAGATTTTCCTGAAAATCACAATGGAAGAGAGAGAGAAAAAAATTATCTTAAACTCTAAAAATAAAATAGTCTTTCAGAAAGGTACATCAATCACCTGCTTGGCAATTAATTCTGTTACCTAAATGAATCAATTACATTTCTATGCTTGGATGCAAAACCCAAGGTATTTTTGCCATACGTATATATAGGGTTCTGTACCATCTGTTGTCTCCGACATCCACTACGGATCTCAGAATGTATCTCCTGTGAATAAGGGAAGATAAATGTTCCTCTCTCCTTGTCAGCAGTATTTACTAATCTGACCATCAACGACGTGGCCTAAAATATTATATTTGATTTTATAAATATTTGGTTCCCTTTTACAAAAAATGACTAACACCAATTTTCTTGAGTAGCCAAGTGTTATTATTAATAAATTCAGTTTACTGGGAATAAAGCATAGCATAATGGAGTCAAACAGTCTGGGTTGAATCCTGGCTTCACTTCTCACTGCATGTGTGAACTTGGTCAAGTTACCAAAATCTTTCCATGCTTCAGTCTCCTCTGTAAAATAAGCATAATAGTTCCTACCTATAGAACATTTAAGGTTTTAAAAGAGTAAATAAATAGAAAATGCTTAGAACAGTGTCTGGCATACAGGAATTACTCACAAAGCAAATGTTATTTACCATCAATCATTCTTACACTTTCATTACCTACCACAGGCCTGACTGACAATGTACTGAAAGAACAAGCATAACGTGTTCTCCTTATTATGTGGATCTATAGTTTTTCAAAGACAGGATAAACTTTTCCTAAATGGGAAAACTCCTATAATATTTTATCTTTCCCTTCTTGCAGGAATCCTATTATACCACCTTAGAATACTTTTCTAAGTACAAATATACCCTCGTCTCTCAAATTTTTTTGTTGTTTTAATGGTTGTTTATTATAGCAAGATTATATATTGAAATTATTTAAACAGGACAATCTTATGTTTTAAAAAAAATCATAGATGATTACCCACCACGCAGATATCACATACGTTATCTCTGAAAAGTAAGTCAGAGCAAACAATTCAGAATACATCAGAGAGTCAAAAACATGTAAAACATAGAAGAAAGGATAACGAAGCAGATAAAGTGTTTAAGTCCCATAGGAAAGGAGAGAGAAAGGAACACAGAGGTTATTTTAAGATAATGACTGAGAATTTTTCAATGTCAATAAAAGACATTTCCAGAATCTAAGCAAGACAAATTTTTAAAAAATTAACATCAAGACATATCATACTCAAACTGCAGAAAACCAGAAAGAGAAAAAATCTTAAAAACAATTAGAGAAAAAGGGATTGCCTTCAAAGTAGCAAGTTAGATAGTAGATTTAAACCCAAGTACATCAATGATTATATGTAAATGACTAAATGTTCCAGATAAAACACAGATTATCATATTGTATTTTTAAAAGCCACTTTTATATTTTTAAAAGACAAGAAATAAAAGGAAACAAAAAGTTGAAAGCAAAATTATATATATATATATATATATATATATATATATAAAAATGCCAAACAAAAGTCATATAAACTTACGATCTGTATAATAAGTATCCAGAAAAGGAAGAATTAAGTAAGATTTGAACAGGTGGAAGAAAGAAGAGTAACATTCCTGGCTAGGCAGGAACATGAGAGTGGAAAAGAAGCTATGATTGAACTTTGAAGGTCTCTGAAAATTAGGAGTACACTTAGAGAAAGTACAACACTATTAAAATATCTTAACCTCTTTATACTATCTTCAGCAGAAGAGTGACACAACAAAGGTAGAACTGAATAAGGTTACTATTACAGTGTTACACACTATACTGGGAGGGAGAGAGAGATAGAAGACACCATAGGCAAGAAGATTAGTTTGGATGATGCTGTATTAATCCGGGTAAGGCAAGGGCCTGGTAGTAGCAGATGTGAAAGGCATGAACCTAGGAGGCATCTCAAGAAGACATACTTGCATCAGTACTCCCTCTTTGAAACTTTAGCCAAAAAAAGAAAAAAAAAAAAAAGTACTGTGCTCTTAAAAAGATAACTACTTTTGTCTCCTACCATTATAACTAATCTGAATTATATATTGATTCTACTAACTCGACCTAATAATATATACCTTAATATGGAACTTTCGTAAAAATAAAATTCCAATGAGCTAATTGGCCTACATAAGGTGCAATGTGCACAATCCCTCATTATACATGACTTTTTCACTATTAAAACTACTACTAAGAAAAAAAATCTATTTTTTTCTTTTTGAATGCAGATGTACATAATATGAAGTTCTCTAATACCACAGTAACTAAAAAACCTTTTCATTTTCAAAAGCTCTTTACCAAGAGGCTATTAACTACTAGTGAACTCAAACAACTCACCAATGCTGGGTGGGCTACCATAGTTAACTGGTGACTCAGGTGGTCTTCCACAGTGCAACGCAGCCAGAGCAGATCCTTTCCACACAACATGCTTGCAGCCTATTAAACACATGTATTTTTATGCATACAAAGAACACAAAAACAAAAGTGAGATAAATAATGTCTAAATCCTATGAGAAAATTTTCATACTTTTATTTGTGCGTAGTAAAGACTGTCTTCCAGCTCCTAATAAAGTTTGTACTCCAGGAACACTTTGAGGAATTTCTTGTTCAAGAAGAGGTCCTAGTCGATGACATATTTGCAGCAAGTGATCAGGTGCTAAGTGTCTGTAATACTTCACCTATTATGTAAAAGACAAATATAGTAGGTTTCAGTTTATCATTTTAATTTTCAAAATCTTTGAGCAACAATAAAAAAATTCATCCAAGTATAAAATATTTTGTTTTGCGTCTTTGATGTAAAGTAAATCTCCAGAATAATTAAGAATTAAGAACTGATAGTTTGTTATTAAAAAATTTAAGAACACTTAACATCTATGCTGAATTTCATAATTTACCAAAAACCTTACAGAGAGAAAGGCAAAATTCCAACTGCTGCTTTAAATATCTTTCAATCATAAAATAAAGCTACCCACTATAAAAAGTTTGAGCACTTTTGGAACAACTTCAAAATACTGCTTAATTTATACCGGCATTTGAAACCATGACATGAAATGCTAATATTTTTATTAGTCTTTCAGTAAATAAACAATATTCACTATCTAAATAAAATTATATTGGAAAAAAATACTATTGTATTACTTCATAATTAGCTATCAAGTTAGAAAAAAATTTCCACAGTAGTATCTAGTTCAGCTATTCTCAAAGTATGTTTTGGGAACCCCTGGAGGTCCCTCAGATAAAACTTATGAATAACACTATATTAGTTGTTTTTCACTTTTTCTCATGAATGCACGGTGGAGGTTTCCACAGGACACATAACATGTGATGTCTTAACAGACTGAATGCAGAAGCAGATAGGAAAATGTCTCCTCTATTAAGCCAGATATTAAAGATTCACAGAAATGTAAAACAATGCCACGCTTCTCACAAATTTGTTTTGTTTGGGAATAATTATTATAAAAATGTTACTTATATTAAAATAAGATTAGTTTATTAGTATTATTTAATAGGTCTCCAATATGTTAAATGCTAAGTTTCTAATATGGTAAATACCAATAGATTATAAGCTACACAAATAAAGGAACTTCAATACATTTTAGTAAGTGTAAAGGGGTCCTAAGACCAAGAAATTTGAAAATTGTTCCTCAAGTTTACCAAGTAATGGCAACTTTAACATGAATTCCTTTTGATAAGACTGATGTGGGGGGAGGTGAGGATTTAAATCATCTCATTCCATCTTGCAATATCTGCTATACTCTTAACTGCAGAAATCCATGAATGATATGTTTTTAAAGGTAGCTAATACCCATCTAAACTGAAGCCAATAGGAGAAACCTACCTTACTCTTTATCAAAATACACTCCTTCTTTCACAAAGATAACATGGAGCCATACTGCCACCAAATAATCTTTGGTAAGATTATTTAAAACAGCAGTTTGGCATACAGTAGGTGATAAGCCAGTAAAATGAGTATTTTTGGAAAAAGGAGTTCTAATACAGTTTGTATCATATGAATTATACATATTACCTCCTTGTTTTGCAGTCAAAAAGCACACTGACATTGAAGTCTCTGAAAAATCCTGAGATTATTTCCCAAACTCATTTAGCTACAGAATCCCTTTTTTCCCTAATAATATCTATCATATTCACTCAGAACATACTTTAGGAAACACTAGTATGATTAGCTAAATTAAAAAGCATTTAAAAGAAAACTTACCAAAATGAGTTTTTAAAATCGTATACTTTTCTTTAATCTTCCCCAAAATAATTTACTCAAAAATAAAATTTAGAAGTCTAGAATACTTGTAAGGTTGCTTCCAGTTCTAAGCTTGCAAATGATTATTTTAATGTGACTTAATTGATCAAAATTCCTTTTAAAAATTTTACTTTAAAGAAGATGGAAGTTCATTACTTATTAACTTCAGATGTGTGATGATCCTGTTTTAGTATCCTCTGGCAAAATATATTTTCAGGTAGTGAAACTGAAAATCCTTACTGTAATATTCTATCTTTCAATAAAATATTATGAATCCACTCTGACTCAAGCTTTCTTTGGTGATTTAGAATGTTTGAATTTTTCAAAATCAACTTTCATTTTAAAGTTAGAAGAGATACTTCCAGTTCTTAAATTCCTTGTGCTTTCTCTGGCTTTTGAGACTTTATACAAGCTGATGCCTCTGCTGGCAATCTTGTCTTACCTGCTCACCTCTACACCTCATTCTCCTTCATGTCTCAGTCTATGTCTCACTCACTGCCTTCCATGACCTATTTACACCACCTGTGCCCCTTTTTGGACACTTTGTGTTCCCACAGCACATTATACTCCTCGAATGTCCCTTCATCCCTCTAGCACTGTGTAGTACTTACCATATTAATTGTTCTTAATATATTTTGATACTTAGACTTTTAAGAATCTAATGACAGCTACGATCTTCTTCCCTGCAAAAATACACAAGCCCTACCATTATGTGCCCTGTTTTGGGGGTTCATAAGACTCATGCACTATACTAAAATTGCCAGTTTACTTGTCTGTGTCCTGCATAAGGAGAGATTGGGCCATGTTTACCTCTGTCTACCCAATACCTAATGCAGTACTTATAGTTAAGTGCTTAATAAAGTTCTAGTTGGATATATGAAGATTTAAGAATATGCAGAAACGACTGACTTCCCCACTCTCAAAAAACCCAAAACATTTTGTTAGCACCTATCCCAGCACATAAAAATAGATGCAGTAAAATTTTTTTACATGGTATAATTCTTTATTCTAATAGTTTTGGGGTGAGTTTGTTTGTTTTGAGACGGAGTCTCCCTCTGTCACCCAGGACGGAGTACAATGGCGGGATCTCGGCTCACTGCAACCTCCGCCTCCCAGGTTCAAGTGATTCTCCTGCCTCGCCTCCCGAGTAGCTGGAATTACAGGCGCCCCACCACCTAACCTGGCTAATTTTTGTATTTTTAGTAGAGACGGGGTTTTGCCATGTTGACCAGGCTGGTCTCGAACTTCTGACCTCAAGTAATTCGCCCCCTAGGCCTCCCAAGTGCTGGGATTACAGGCATGAGCCACAGCGTCCGGCCAATTCTAACAGTTTTAAAACACTTTTTAAAGAAAGCCTTAGAACATGTCTTCAAACAAATTTTAGACAAAACAGATTAAAGTAAAGGTACTCAGAAAGTATCTTACTTAAGTGGCATCAGGGAACACATATCTCAATGCTTGACTCTCTACTTGCTTCCTCTTAGCAGTCCCTGAGGTACCACCATGAAAGGGTCTCTGGAAAGAACAGTGGAAACAGACTAACAAACAATGCTATTATCCTCTCTTTCCCAAGAATCCTCTTCCCCACCCCTCATTTTCTCAGCAGATGACCTAACCTACTTTACAGGAGAACCTTTTTTAAAGCTGAAGCTTTGTTTCTTCCCTATCAAATCTGTAAACCTATCTACACCTGTACCAATTCTGTCTCTTATTAACACAACTGTCCCTCTTAATAAATATTTAAGATCCAATCCCTCTACTTATGCTTTGAATCCTAACTTCTCTGACTGCACGGAAATCCTACACTATAAATTAGACCTCCACATTCTAGTATGTACACTAACTTCCTCTCAACCAACTCCTTCCCATCTACATGTAAACATGCTCATTTTGCATCCACTTTAGGAAAAAACAAAAATCCTGCCTAACTGCTATTATCCAACACCTCCCCACCCAAATATCCTGGCTACCCCTTTCCCGTTCTCTTCCTCTCCGGAAACATGTTTTTAAAAGAATGGTCCATAGTCCATCTAATTTCGTATCCCATCCTCTCCTCAATCTACTCCACACTAGCTCCCACACTCATGACTTTACAAAAAATAGCTCTTATCAAAAGTTCACCTTCAATTATCAATAACTCCAATAAGCATTTTTAAATCTATACCTTATTTAATGTCCCATAATATTTCACCTAACTGTTGAACACTTCCTCATTTGCAAACTATCTTCTCTTAACTTTTGTGACACTCCTTGGCTTGCTTTCTTCCTCTCCAACCATTCCTTCTCATTTTTCTTTTAGGCTTATACTCCTCTATATAGCCATTAAATAGTGAAGTTCCTTAAGATCCTAGGTACCAGAGTCCAGTTCCAGATCCTCTTTTCTTCTCACTATATACTCTCTCTTTGGACAATTGTTATAACAATGATTGCCAAATTTCTATTTATAGCATAGACTTGCATAGCAAACTTTCTTAAAACAGCTCTCTAGAGCCCCAAAGCATCTGAAACTCAACATATGCAAAACTGAATTGATGGATCCTCATGAAAACATTCCCCACTAAAGTGTTCCCTACCTGGGTGGATGTCAACCCCATTTATCCAACCTTGGAAGCCAGAAACCAAGGAGCTGCATTTTGCACACAGTTCATTCCTTCCTCCTTCCCATCATATTCCCAATATCCAAGCAGTCACCAAGTTCAACTTAATTTTTCCTTCCTATTTTTAAATCCATCTACCTGTATCTCCATAACAGTCCAAATAATCTTTGCAATAAATGCATACCTTTCCCATATGCACTCATGCCCCATTCAAATCTATTCTCTATACTGCAATTAGAATGTTCTTTCCAAAATACATATTGGATCAAGTCACCCCTACTTAAAACACTTCTGATGCTTTCCTCACTCTTTGGATAAAGATCCAAATCCTTAACTTGGTCTATCAGCCCAGAAATGCATGTATGGTCACTTCTTATTTTTCTAGCTTCACCTGGCACATTCCCAGTCCCTTTCCCCAACTCTCACTTTTCACGTTTCAAACACATGGCCTTCTTTCAGGTTATTTACGCATAATCTCTCTCTCCTGTCAGACTTTATCATATAGCATACACTCTGCATTTCCCCACACTTCCTTGCCCAGACAACTCTTCCATGTGTCTCAGATCTTCCCTCTAATGTAACTTCCTTTGTTTTTCTATACTCTACACAATCCAAGTCTGTTTTCTTGGTTGCACACTTCCTGTGACTTTCCTTTATTAACTCAATATATTGGCTTGTGATTATACATTTAAAAGTGTAATTTAATGTTTTTCTACTTCACCATTAACTACAAAAGAGCAGGGGCCATGAATCTTTTTGCTCTTAACTATACCACACACACACACACACACACACACACACACACACACACACAGAATAAACAAAAATATTTTTTAAAATAAAACAATCTTTTCTACTTTTTCTAAACATTCTTTATAAACATATTAATCATATTCATATTCTTCATAAATATTAATCCATTATTTACAGATATACATATGTGATTTTCAGTTTTCAACTTAGTAAGAACCCCATATCTTTAATATAAACTTAAGCTTTTAATTTAAATTAGCTTTTATTTCACTGGTAAATAATTAAAAGACACATTTAAAATAATATAATAATAAAATCTCTTACTATATTGTATATATGTGGTTTCTCAGTAATCTGCCATACAATATTATTTCAGGGGAAAAATAACCCCTCAAGATCCCCAATTTCTGATATACGAGTTACTTTCTGTGACCCTAAGTGCTTTCAAATTCTTAACATTCAAGACATAAAAAGTATGACCAGATTATAAAGTCAGTGTGATAAATTATACTAATATAGCTAACACATATTGGCTGCACACTGAATGCCAGGCCCTATGGTAAGTGTGGTAAGTTTTACATGGAACTACTCATAACTCTGAGAGGTATATACTATCATTATTCCCATTCTATAAAAAAATTATAGAATTTATTTAAAAAGATATTGAGACCTTCCCAAGTTCAAACACAGCACATAAGAGAGTCAAACCATAGCAATCTAACTCTGGACCCTACAATTCATACTATCACACAAATGACCTATTACCTCAAATATGTGTATATATCAATGTGCAAGATATAAGCAAGTCATACAACAGACATTTTGAATAGTTTTCAACAGACATTAAACTGAGCCAGAAAAAGAGAAACATTTCACAGTTCACTTGCACTACTAAGGAAACTAGCATAAAAGCATAAATTCCTATAGGTAAAAGGGAACACTTTAAAAAATTCTAAGGGTAAAAGTAGAAGATAAAACTACAATATTTATAAGATTATACTGCTCTAAACCCTTAATTTAAAATTAGAAAGTAAAAACAGATTAAAGAGTTAATACCAAATTTGTTACTATTTTTTAAATTTCCCCAAGAATGCCCATGTATCAGTAGTGCTCAAAACTTTTTAAACTCATCCACCCTGGTTTTGTTTTTGTTTGTTTTTTAAGGGGGCAGGGGGATCTCGTTCTGTTACCAAGGCTAGGGGGCACAGTCACAGCTCATTGCAGCCTCAAATTCCTGGGCTCAAACGATCCTCCGACCTCAGCCTCCAGAGCAGCTGAGACTATAGGTGCGTTACATCACACCTAATTTTTATTTTATTTTTTTAGATACAGCATCTCTCTATGCTGCCCAGGCTAGTCTGGAACTCCTGGCCTCAAGTGATCCTCCTGCCTCAGCCTCTCAAGTAGCTAGGATTACATGTATGAGCCACCATGCCTAGCTCTCATCCCTTTTTGATGAACAAAACATTTTCTCTCCTCCAATAAGATGCAAGAATGGGCCCTATGGATGCAAATCCTGATGCCATCCCATTGAGATTCACACCTCTACTGGCTAAACCAGGAGGCTAGTCAGAGCTTTTTCAAACTTATGTCCCTTCCACCTCCGTTCTCAGTTGAGTTGCTTGCTATGGGAACAACAATCTTTGGCTAACTGTCCATCCATTTTAACTCTTTTTCATAGTTAAAATTTGAATTAGCCAAAGGTATCCTTTTTTTAAAATATCATGTTATATTATTTAGAGTGCAAGTCAGCAAACATTTGTAACCATCATATGGTAAATATTTGAGGCTTTAAGAATAATATACTATCTCCATTGCATGTTCTTATTTTTTAAAAACAATTCTTTAAAAATGCAATAACAATGCTTAGCTTAATGGCCTTCCAAAAACAGATCTCCTGCACAATTTACCCACAGCAGCCATTAGTTTACCACCCCCTGATCGAAAGAATGATTCATGGTTCTAGCAACGTTTCCATCAGCAAGAACAAAAGAATTCTGTGAAACAGCAGCAACTCTGCTCATTCCTTGTCCATCTTGGCCCAAGTCATAAATCTGTATCATCCCTTTTCCAGATCACATATATAAAGTATTTCTAAAATTATCCATTGCAATTTGAACAAAAGGGTCATCTTCTGAGAATGTGAATTACAGTATGGAAGAAACAAGAAACTGAGCTCTTTGAGAGGTTTATTATCCCGCATTTTTGGCTAAAACAACATTTTCTGATAGTATGCTACTTCACATAAACAGCCATCCTTCCCAGCCAAAAAATTTTGCCATTATCTCAGTGGAAGGTATTGTTAAAAGGCAAGTGTTATCAGTAGGAAGAAAATACAATGGATCTGGAAGCTGCTGCATTCTACCAGACTTACAGTCACTAAGAACTCTACTCAGTTTTTAAAGAAATGGTCAGTAGTTTAAAATGCGAAATCTCACTGGGCATGGTAGCTCATGCCTGTAATCCCAGCACTTTGGGAGGCTGAGGCTGATGGATCACTTGAGGTCAGGAGTTCAAGACCAGCCCTGCCAGCATGGTGAAACCCCGTCTCTACCAAAAATACAAAAATTAGCCGGACGTGGTGGCACGTGCCTGTAGTCCCAGATACTCAGGAGGCTGAAGCAGGAGAATTGCCTGAACCCTGGAGACAGAGGTTGCAGTGAGCCAAGATCATGCCACTGCACACCAGCCTGAGTGACAGGGCAAGACTTTGTCTCAAAAACAAAGCGAAATAAACAAAAAACCCCACGAAATCTCAAGTCACACAGCCTGGGTTTAAAGTTGCTAAGGCTGAGGGTGGGAAAAACATTTACTCTTTCTAAGCCTCAGTGTCCTCATCTGTATGACTGGTATCACAACAGTCACCACCTTGGAAAGTAGTCATAAATTATTAAATTAAACCATATGAAGCAGTTAGTACTGTACCTAACAGTTGGCTGTTACTTTAATTACATTCTATATTACATATTGACCCTTCGTGTTGAACAAAATCTTTGTAAATCTAAATAGGAAAAAAATTTGAGCATGTTTTTAACAACCTTTTCAAAGTGATGTTAGATCAATATATTCATTCCAATTATTTGATTTAGCTGTGAAGACCTAGAAGTGCCCTTCTTTCCTCTAGTATATAATTATTATGAAAATAAGACCCTGCTGTTTGGCACCAGTATCATTTGTCTAACTAGGCTTTCACTTCATCCTTATGTTCTGAACACCTAATTGGTTCTAAAAAAGTCAGTTTTTCAGATCTTCTCAAATCTATTCTCTCACAGTTTTGTCAGATATAAAAGGCTAGTTACACTTCTGCTCTCTATTATGTTTTTGAGTTCTAAAAGGCCAGTTTATTGGAATATAGTTCTTATTTGTACACTACTGTAGCATATAAACAAAATTATAGAAATACAATATATTGTATATACATTAATTATATTTTATTATTTATAATATATAATATACAATATATAAATATAAATTTATAGAAATACTATGTGATAATTACTGTGTAAGGCCTATATTAAAATCCCAGCCCCTAAAATTCTAAAAACATCCAAGCTTACAATTATAAATCTGTTACTAACAGTGTGGGTTAAATTATATCTATAATCTTTAAAGAAAGAATGCATTTTCTGATTTTTTAACTGTAATAGCTTCTCCACAGAAAAACAGAGTACTTACTTTGTGCTGAGTGTTCCCAAAATTTATTTATCTTCATAAGCACATAAGCTTAACTACTCTCCCTATTTCATACATAAAGAAAACTGAAGTTCAAAGGCAGCAGTTTGTCTGAGGGCACACATTTGGAAAATAGGAGAAATAGTAATCAAACCCAGGTCTCCTGATTCCAAGTTTACTGATATTTTTATTATGTTACAGCTTCCTTATTAGAACTTTAGTTTTTCTCCCCATCGACACGTAGATTTGATTAAAAACTTAATAGAACCCATATAAGTCAGTACAAGTCAAGTCCTCTAACCTGGGTAACTATTCTCAGAAGGACCCTTAGATGCCTATTATTTCTTTATAATTATAATAAAATTAATATAGAACCTTATTAAGTGTAAAAATCTTGATGGTCTATTTGCTCAAGTAATTGTGAATAAACAAGCTTCAAAGAATATGTCATATTCAGAATTTACTTAACTGTTAAGAATTCATTTAGATAATAATTCAGTTTACATTATCAATACAAATACCAACACAAATTTGTCATTTAAAGAAAATGCAATACTATAAGAAAAACAAACAAAAAAAGAAAATGCAATACTACGCTTCCAAATTTTATTCATCATAAACCAATTACATCTTGCTAAAAAAAAGAGACTCTATTCAGAATTGAGGTTTCCATAAACCAAAGTAGGGATGCTCCATAAAAAATAATTTAAAATACAACAAAATGACAACATTTAACTGCTTAAAATAACAAATTTTCAAGTTTTGATGTTTAAGTCGTCATATGTGCTAATTTGTGTAATTTTAAAATTCTCTTTAAAGCATTATTAGTAAAACGTTAAACTCAAATCTAGGAATCTGATGAAAAGTTACTGTGTATTAATTTAAGGACGAAACATCCTTTAACTGCTTATACTAAGGCCAATGTAAATAATCTTGAATGACCAGTTTCATTTTTAATGTTTCAGTTTCAAGCACAGTACTCAAAATAACACAATTCTTATACAATGACAGCAAAGTTGTTTCAGACAACGGATGTTTCACTAAGTTGCCTAGAATTTAGTGTCTCTACACCCAAAAACTAAACCAGAGTCAAACACAAGGTATGTATTTCTTGCATTATACTATAACCTTTCCCAAGACAAGTTACATGCCTTTTTCTATTCATGACAGAGACCAAATAGACCATGACACATGACCATGGGTCAGCTGGAGTCCAGAACACAGTCATCCTCCAATCTTCATGGGGGAATGGTTCCAGGAAACCCCACACCAAAATCAAAATCCAGGATGCTCTAATTCCTCATATAAACTGGCACAGTATTTTCGTATAACCTTTACACTCCTCCTGCACACTTTAAATCATCTCTAGATTACTTATAATATCTAATACAACGTAAATGTTATGTAAATAATTGTTACAATGTATTTTAAAAATTTTTTATGTATTTTTTTCTAAACTATTTTGATCTACAGTTGAATTCACAGATGTGACACCCGCAGATAAGGAAGGCCTGCTGTACATGAATTCTTCCTGTGTCTCTTCTGCAAAAAAACCTGCCATAGCCATCTGTACTGTCATGGATAACCTAGGGCTTACCTATACCACACATCTCATTCTCCTTACAATTTAGTTTTAATATAAGAAGAAGCTGCATTCGACTATGTTGCCACCTAAATTTTCTTATCAAAAACTCCTCATCCAACCATCCTTTTCTTACCTGTGATGCCTAAGCTCAAATACGGCTGTTTTTGAGTGTGTAAGGTAAATAAAGGAGGACCTGCCTCACAACTGATGATTGCCTTCTCTGTAGTAACTTGTCAACTTACATTCATCACTATTCAATAAGATAACAGTTTGTGATTTTTCAGTACCCTGCTTTATCAAATTCCATCAAGAAAAAACATGTTATCATTTTCACCAATTTGTTATAAAATACTTACACTCCTCTATATTCCATAGGTCCAATAACATTATTCACTGCAAAGTAATTTATTAACTCACAATTTCCTCATAATTTCATTGACATAGCTTCTCAAAAAATAATAGAAACTGAGAATGTTCACATTTAAAATGTCTTTCTAAAATTTTAAATTTGATTCCTATAATAGCCTTTGCCACTTTTAGATATAACCACAAAAGCAACTTAAATATCCTAAAATTAGCTGTTAAAAATTTTTTTCTAAGTAAAAGTGCATTAAAATAGGAAGTTATTTTAAATAAGTATGTTTGGTATTCTCTGGCAACTAAAGGCTACTTAGCTTAGTATTACAGATATTTTTCTATGAATTCTGAAATTTATACAAGGAAACTACTAGTAAGAATGAAACTAACCTATTTAGTATTACTTGTTCAGAGTAAGTTGTACAAGATACATTTTATTTGTTACAATTCTGTAGTGACATGGTAAATACCCACAAAACTTGAGAAAGGGAAGAATGACTGTCAATTGGTTTTAACTTAAGCTGAAGCTGCATTAGACTATTATTATTATTATTTTCTTATTATTCATCCACAACTTTCCAGATTATGAAAAAAAAAAAGAAAACCAAAAACTAACTTACAAAGAAATTCTGAATCAACTAAAAAACTGAAATCGGTTAGGATTTATTTTACCTAAAGCTAAAGTCTTTCTTGAATTCTGTTTAAAATATATATAAACAGATTGACAAAACAGAAGTCAAGACATCTCTTCTCTGACAGTTTCCAAAAAGAATACAAACTATTGTGATGGTTGTAAATCTCACAAATAACTGTATAGAAGGAGGCAGACGCCATAGCCAAATTCTCTTCATATATTCCTAAATGTCATTTGATGATTACCCAAAGAAAAAAAGCTTTGCATATTCTCTAATCCATTCAGGATATGTCAACCACCCAAATTATTTCTTAATGTTCAGTGTTCCATAAAAACAAGTCACAGTAGAAATCAGTAGCACAATTTTTCCAGAGGTCTATCCACAATGCCTTAACCATGATTTATTTTTGGTATTAAACATTTTTCCTTTATTTTTTAGACCTGTTTCATCCTTGAGTCTATAAAGTAATTATAGTATCTTCCGAAGATTTTTTTTTTCTTTTCTTGAGACAGGGTATCACTGTGTCACCCACGCTGGAGGGCAGTGGCATGGGGCACAGCTTATTGCAGCTTCAACCTCCCTGGGCTCAGGCGATCCTCTCACCTCAGCCTTCGGGGTAATTGGGACTACAGGCATGCGCCACTACACCTGGCTAATTTTTTTTTTTAGTTTTTGTAGAGATGGGGTTTTCCATTTTGTCCAGGCTGGTCTCCAACTCATGGCCTCCCAAAGTACTGGGATTACAGGCATGAGCCACCACACCTGGACTCTTCTGAAGTTTTAATGTGGCCTTTTTATACTGCAGATTCTATGTTCAGAAAGTATATACATACTTGTGCCTGGAATAAAAATGTAAATGCTTTTCTTAAAGAAAACTTTATTATAAAGCTCTAAGCAGAACAACCTTTACTACCACTACTAAAGTTCTGATAATAGCAAACCAAAACCCTTACATAGTACTTGATTCATGCCAGTTATTACTCACAGACCACACAAAGTAGAAGCTATTATTAGCCCATTTTACAGAATGGAAAACAGACTCCCTCAATACGATTCTGCCTCACAACAATCAAATAAAAACCATTATGGTTTGGGAAAGGGACATTCCAGCTCCCGCTTTATGCTCATGCCGCTTTACAACTATTTAAGAATATTAACAATATAGTAAGTATTGCATTTAAAAAGTTTGTAAATGCCTCAAATTTTAAAAAATGGTATAAGCATCAATAGAATAATTCTATATGTAAGAAAGAATGAAGAATGCTCCTTCAGCCTCTCAGCAACATATTCACACCTAACATTTTATTCATCATATAACCCTTCACGCCTAACATATTTTATTCATCATTATAACGACCATATGAGATTAAAGCTGTTTTAGAGACTACCACGCAAAGCTTCTATTTCATTGATACTCTACTAAAAAAGGAAATAGTAACTCTACTACAACTACACACATTTACTTTATTACATGTTCACCCAACCCCAAAAAATTATAATAATCAAGTGTTGAAACTATGTTATCTTCAATATAGAATGGGAATCCCTACTTCTAAAACATTTAATATGATATCTTTTTTTTTTCCCTGAAAGTTGTCTCTAGGTTTTATACCTTAACTTTCACATTAATCAGCACACACTAAATAAATGTATACCTAAGATATATACTTAAATAAATCCTATCCATCATTCCTATTCATCTCTGAATTTGAGACCAACAATAATGAAAACTAGTACTTAAACTATGATGGAAATCATGGTAATTTTGGGGCATTTTACAACGTAGTTAGTGTCTCAAATCATCTTTGCAACAAGAAATGATATTACCACCAAAGAATGGCACTATGAAAAGCATTTATATAATTTTGTAACCTATGTGATTTCTACTTTTCTGTGTTTTGGAAAACTAAGCTCTAAGAATGAAATAAAGCTTAGTTCTTAAATACAATGTACTGCTATTTCTAGTTCAAAATCACAGATTTTCAGATTGAAAAAATTTCAATCCACTTATTTTTCAAATGAGATAACTGGGACAAAGAGAAATTCCATGACTTGCCCAAGATTACCTACAGTTTAACTGTCAGCGGGGCTTAAAACCACAATCCACATCTCCTGACTCCCAATCCTTTCACTTAAAACAAACAAGCAAACAAACAAAAAAGATTTCTAATAAAGTGGAATAATTTTAAGAAAGGCAAGTATCACTATTTTACAAGGAAAAAATTAAATCATTTTAACAGATTGGCAAAACATGAACTAGTTCTTGGGGGGAAAAAAGAGAAGTCTTACAAGAAAAAATGTAATCAAGAGAGTGCCAAATTCGGTAAAATGCTTGAAAATTCTGCCTCTAGATCTCGTAAATATGCAATCATCATTAAGTGACAACTAGAAAGCAGACTTAATAAACTAACTAGATTCACTATTCAAACTAAGAAATAAACAAATGACAAAGCTTTCCTTTCGTCCAAAAAAAGTTTTTTATTCTACAGTTTAAGAATTCTGATACTTGGAAAAAGTGCCCCTTTTCTTTAAAATAAATCTCATATTTTAAAAAATGTAAAATCTAATTAAACGTATACCATAGTACCAAAAACAACTTTTAGCTTCCTATCCAATTCCATTTACTTTGTTAAAAATGTTTTAAATCTTAAGGTAGATGGTGATAATCAGTCATGTTTTATACCAGAGACAGAAACAACCATAAGATACGACCATTTCCTTTCTCAATCACACTTGAAATGAACGCATCAATTTTAACCTGCAAACTTTTAAAACTGCTCTTAAAATTCTACTTTCCTCTTGATTAAAATTCAACCATTGCGATTGTAACTAGACTAACTACAGATGATCAGTGACTATTTTTAAATTCACATCTACAAATATTACACCCCATTTTAAGCAGCAATAATTTGAGGTTTCCTAGAAATTTCAATGCGATGTGATATATGAGTTCTCCCATTTAAAATATTGCTCAGTTTATTAGTTAATACAACAAATCATTTCCAGGTAGAGTAGAAACTAATGACTCAACAAGTAATTTTCAAATCAATGTTAAATAAATTCAACTCGATATACAACAACGTAAAACTTTTTAAGTCAGAATAATTAAAATAGAAAATACTGTACAAGAGACTTTGCATGTGCTGACTTAGATATTAAACAGCGAGATCAACTATTGAACAAAAAAATCCAGTGTTCCAAATGTTTTTAGACCTAACTAAATCTCAACTAAAAAGGTAAAATAAAGTTAACTCACACACCTAGATATACAGTTTGATGGATGAGAAAGCACCTCAAATGGTACCTTGCATCCAGTAGATATAGAGTAAGCAATATGCTGAATGAATGAAAAGAGAAAACGAGTCAAAGAACTCCAAGTTCTAATAAGATTTCTAAACTGTCTGATGAGTATGCCAACGTTCCTGTTCTAGTAAGGAGAAAACTCCAAGCAAGAAAAACCACTTCCATTCAAAATAGGTGAATTTTGAGCATAATACATAGATAGAAAGAATGCTTACTGTATCTTAAATCTGCGATGCAGACTAGGGATAGAAATTCACTTTACTAATAATTCCTCCCCCCACCCTCCCCCCAAAAATTAAATTAACTCAAAATCAAAATTGATAGCTCATTTTTACTGAAAAAAAAAACAAAAAAACAAAATGATATTCCTACGAGGATTAGCCATTACCATAATTTAGCCAGATAACATTAAGCTGCTTCATTTAAAAAATGTAACATTACCAAAAGATTAAGAAAATGCAGCATTCCTCAGTGACTTAAGGTTTGTGGGTTTTTAAGAGATGCACAGATGTAAAAGCAGATGCAAAGACGAGTTTTGTAAAACCTGCCCCATCTTAAAAATGGAGTATTATAATCTTTGCGATAATTTTTTCAAATATCAAGGAAGACATGTAAATTCACTGAAGACTTCTATCAAGTATTTGTAAACCTAAAAATTAATTTCAAATTAGTAAATCTTGGAGTTTACTTCCAGCTCCATTCACTTTGGCCAAGAATTGAATGAAAGTAACCCAAATCACTCCTTGAAAATTAACACACGTTCAGTGTGAAAATGAATACACTAATACACTGTTAAATCTCCATTAGATGTATTAAACCTCAGTACCCTTGCTTATTTCAACAGCCTTGAGCGGTTATCAACATCTTATATTAAACCACAAGAGATTTATACACAAAAGTTAGGAAATACACTACATACCAAAAAAAGCGCCATTATAATCATGTCCTGCTTTCACCTCACAAAAGACACTCATTCTAAGCTCGCTGAAACTTCCTAGTCATTAGAGAAGTTCTGATGAAGTAACATTAGTAATCATAACTATCTCAAAACAGTTACAAAAGCCTCATAAAATCAACACACTACATAAATTTCAAAGGCTTGGTGGGTCCGGTGCGACTGCTTTAACTGCCCCACACACATATTCACACAACGAACCTGTATCAGTTTAGGAGAAAGTGTTACAGAAAATATAGCTCCTTTAAAGTAACTTCCAATCACAATACTGAAGTGATAAATCCACTTCTGAAAAGCAATTTTTAAAGATTCCTAAAATACTCATTTTGACAACCCACAAAATTAAGGTTTTTAAGCTATTAAACAAAATATGTCCCAATATAAACACAACTTTCATAGGCCAAGTTCCATCCCACAGTAAATATGTGGACAAAAATCAAAACTCTTCAGTGTACTCCAATAATAATTTTTAATTAAACGAGAGGCATACCATAAGAATTAAAAAAAGCCTACTAAACTTCTGGTTTTAGGGAATTACAGGCTTTACACTTCTGCAAAGATGTGTTTTAGTAAATGCAAGACGAAGCACTGACCAACTATCATCACACATCAGAATCCTTCCAACAAAAAACCCAGGACTGAATTTAAGGAAAACAAAATAAACGACAGAGGGGGAAAAAATAATGTCTTGCCACGGTACCGCAGCGGCTGGATAGCCTGCTTGTGAAATGCTAATGCCACTTCGGAGCAGTTAGTCACCAGCTATTGTGTAGGGCAGGAGAAAGCCGAGCCGGCCGCGCGTGCAGAGCGAGCAAGCGAACGAGCGAGCGCGCTCTCCCTCTTCGCGCCGCTCCCGCCGCCGCCGACTCTCGCGCGCCCCCGCGCCCGCACGGACGCGCGCGCCGGCCCCTCCTCCTCCGGCCTTGCACTGCACAACACTCATGACGTATCTTTATTTCTAGCACATTAACAAAATATCACAAATAAATTGTCCGCAGCCCCTGCGGCCCCGAAGTACGAGTACCCCCGGCCACTGGCCCCCGCAGACCCCGCGCCGGCCTCCCAACCCTCCCCATGGCCTTTGGAGCTTTCACGTTCTAGGGCCAAGTTTTTGTCTCTGTAAAAAATTGCGGGAAATTCAATTTTTATTCGACTCAGGGAAAAGTTTCTTTGCTCTGCGACGTGAATGTCTCACCAGATTCTGGTAGGTCCTGGGATGCTCCTTCCCGGTCCAGTCGGTGCGCCGGGGCAGCAGCTGCGGGGAGAGGACACCCCGTGAGCCCGGCCCCCGGCCCCTACCCGCCCGCTCCCCTCCCCCGCCCGCCCCGCGCCCCGGCGGGGACCCCGAGCCCCGCGCCCCGCGCCCTGCCGGCGGCGGCAGCGGCGGCGCAGCGGCCCAGAGGCGGCCGCGCGGCGGCGGGACGCGCCGGGCCGCCGCCGCCCTTACCTCCTTCTCGGCCACCTCGCGGATCAGCACCTGCAACAACAAAGCGGGGAGAGCTGAGCCCCGCGCCCCGGGCCGCGGCCCCGCCGCCGCCGCCTCCCTCCCCCACGCCCGCGAGCGGCGAGCGCCGGCCCGGCCCGCGCCGCGCGCCGCCGTACCTGAGCCGCCTGCTGACAGGGTCCATCTTCCAGGAACCGGGCGATGAGGAAGTAGAGCTCTGCGCGGGAGAGAGGGACGGGGAGACACACAGGCTGAGCGGTCGGGCGGCGGGGGGCGGGGGACCGCGGGCGGAATCGCCCGGTGCCAGCGGCCCCGGCAGCCCCCCGACTTACCCGATCGCAGCTCCGAGAGGCCTTTCCTCTCACAAGACATGTTTATGGGTCACTTCAGGGCCGCCGACGGGACACCCCGCCGCCGAGGGGAAGCGGGGACGGTGCCGCCGCCTGCCCTATAGCTGTCAGTGTGTGTTCACGAGCCGAGCTTCGGCTCCACCATTCAAGCAACGGCGGCGGAGGCGGAGGAGGAGGAGGAGGAAACAACAACTCTCAGGCAGCGACTACGGCCGTGGCCGCCTCCGCCGCGGATCCCTCCGCCGCAGAAAGGAGTCCGCCGCCTTCGCGGCCCAGGGCTCGGCCCCGGCTCTGGCCCGCGCCCCCGCCCCCCGGCGCTAAAAAAGGAGTGCCTCCGACCCCTCGTCCCCAGCGCTCCGCACGCGGCACAGTGAGACCCCCACCCGCTCCTCCCCGCAGGGCGTGCGATTTATTTATTTATTTCCAGTCGGAGAAGATGTCGGAGCCCAAGCCGCCGGTTGGCTGGAAGGCGCTTTCTCTGTGGAGGCCGATAGTGGCAGGGAGGGGGCCGGGGACGGTTCCGCGGAGGGATCTGACGCACACGGAGCCGCAGCACAGGCTCTATTCAGCGGCGCTGGCTGGAGCTGAGATGGAAGTTAGTTTCTATGTAGCAGAAATATGAAACAAATGAAGCAAAACTGCCCAGAGAGGGGAAATGCCCCAAGGATGGGTCTCACTCACGCGCGTACACAGACACACACGCAGAGAGCACTCTCACGCTGGGCAAGCTCGGGATCGCGCTACCCTTCCCGAGTTGAATGATAGTGTTTGGTTTCTGTCTCTTGCCATGTGCATGTGTATAAATGCTGCGGATTGGCATCTGTGTAAGTCTTGTCCTGCGTTATTTCTGCAGCCTATGCAAGTGTTGTGTAATTTATTGGAGTGCTGTATATTGCAATAGAGGTTTGGGCTGCTTTTTGTTAAGCACTTGCGTTTTGCAAACCCGTTATTTGCTGAAGCCACCTCTGCATATTTCTTTTATTACTGCCATTGCCTTTGGCGTACGTTTTTTAAATGTTTTTTATTGTTAAACGGGCAAAGCGAACTCTTGATTTGTACTTCAGATACTCTTTTTCCTTATTACAAAAAGGCTAGTGATGGCTAATTAGGTATTTGGAATTAAAGAACCTTAAAGCTTTTTTAAGTGTTTACGAGAAGGGAGAATGTAAACCTGAGGGAAAGGAAAGGACGCTAATATTCATGTCTAACTGATCTGGAGGTAATTTAGTGACAGATCGATAACCTGCCTAAGGATATTGAAAGAGTATACTACAGTTTAGCCAAGGTGAATAGTGATTAAATAATTTAAATAATCTGTGTATCTTGCAGTTGACTTCGTCATGCTAATTAATGGCTTCTAATTTGAGATGTAAACCATTCCTGTTTACAGTTAATCACGGGAAGACTTCTTGAAAACTGACGAAAAGGAGAAAAAAAAATCTTTCGTAAATTAGTATGTAATTACCGATTTTATATGCTAAATCATACATCTGTGTTTTGCTGATGAGGATAAGGGCCTTGTTTTTAAAAAAACGAATATGGGTGAAATTAATGGAAACAATAGAAAAAGCCATTTGTTAGAAAACAAGGACACCAAATGATATTTATCTCCAGATGATTTAAGCACTTTCCAAAAAGACTTGAGAGTTCAATATTTTTTAAGGATTGCATTTTAAAGGGAATTTGGATAGTCGTTCTTTTGTTAACATTTAACAAAAGATTCTCCTTAAAAATGTTAGATAATAAACTGCATTTTATGGGTCTGGTTTAAAAAGGTTATTTGTGGGGAAAGGACCAACAAGCTGTATTGTGGTTTTCTAGATTGTTTCCTCAAGCCTTGTAACCTCCTAGCTCCTTACATTCCTAGTGGGAAATACTTGCTGCAAATGCCTTGGGCTGCACTGTAAGCCCAAGTGTGCTGCACCAGTGTGATGCCCTATACTAAAACATCCAGAAATCATCATACATATGAGGAAGAAGAAATAAAGCCTCAAACCCTTTGGAATAATAGGATATAAAATTGCCTTTTGTAACTGAATCTTAAAAATGGAAGGTTACCATGACTTGTCCTATTGCAACCTGGTTATCAGAATAACTTATTTTTTTTAAGATAGCTATTCTCAAATACTGAACATATTTGCATCTTTAAAGACACTTTATTCTATTCAATTATAGGTAAAGTAGCCTATTTCTAGGTGGTTAGGCTTGAAAAGATAGACTGAAAAGATAGGAAATTTTGTATGCCTTTTTGCAAATTGTATTTACTTCTAAGACCGATGCTGTTTTAGCTTAACTTTTAAAAAAGTGTTCTTCAAATAATTGTAATATTTTACACGATCTTGAAGTTCTTCAAATAAACAGAGTTTAGAAACTAAAAATTATAGTGGGATTTTCTGGTTTTGAAGGCTTGGAATGTATGATTCTTACTAATAGATGTTTTATTCTTGTGATTGAAAATAAACCAAATTATGACATGGAATATAATATTACTCTGGGTAAAGTTTGTGATATATATCTTCTGTGTGTTTTGTAAACATAGAAAACTAGCATGATTATCTCATATATTCTTTTCATTTAGAAGCCACAAAAGCTTTCACCTAAATATGCTACTAGTACTTAGCTCCTTAAAAATTTTTTGGAAAATCCCCCTCTAAGTTTTCTAAACATGATGTTCCTGTCATTTTGATTGATTTTTGACAGTGTTTATATTTCTTTTTCAAATGTCCAATATGCAGATTGTTGTAACCTTCCCTTTGAACTATTGTCTGTTATAAGAAAATATACATTACCTGCTAAAAATTAAAACTTCCCTTCAGCCAAATAAACTATTTGTATTTAACAGTGGATATTGAATTGAATTTTACTAAGTCCTTTAAATGTAACAAATACTCCAAATAGCCCTTTTAATTTTCTTAAACATAAAAAACATTTGTGAATTATAGCATTGACAGTTAACTGTAAGATTTATTAAGTTGTTTATTGTACTTGTTTATGTACAAAGTCTGTAAATATCAAATAGAAAGAAAAGTCTTATTTGGAAGTTCTAGATTTTAGTTCCCAAAGCAATGATCCTTGCAATTTTTTGTTCAGCCAACTCTTTTGCATATAAGGATAGTTCAGATTCCATCTATATCCTTTCCTGTTTGTTTATTTTAACATTTTTATGGGTTTCCAAAAATAAAATATCACTTTAAAAAGATCTCCATGCAGTTTAAATAACAAGGTTAACAAATAATAGTAAAAGTTTGGAAAGCCAAGACCTAACGTTTTTACATAATATAGTCTCTCTAGGAGATATAGAAACTTTTCTTGAAATATAAAAGTTTATGTGAAATTCATCACTTTTCACGTGGCAACACATGAAACAAAATAAATATTTAACAAAAATTTTGTCTTGATCTTGTAAGCTATTATTCCAATAAAATAATCAAATACTATCATTTCAGTTGTTTCAGGAACAAGATGGGATGGTATTTATAAGTACAAAAATTATACATTTATGAAATTTAATCTCCAGTAGTATGGTGAATAATACGTAACTCAAAAAATCTCTATAAGTACAACTTTTAAAATTTCATGTTAAATCTTGCTTTTGTTTTGATGTTACATTTCTTCTATAGCAGAAGCTTTATCCTGTGAAATACAGAAATGTAAAAGTAGAAAACACTGTTCTCTCAAAAGTACTTTAAAAAAAACTACTCATCTGCCCCAAGAACACAATACAACTGTCAAGGATCTTATTTAACAAGCCACACTCCTCACTGTGGCTTGCTCCCCAATATTGTGTGTTTCTGTCCATGCTTATCTGACTTTCTCTCTCTCTTACACACACACACACACACACACACATATCCTTCTTCATAGAGCATGAATATTTATCAGATTTGAAGCACATGAACAGATATACTATTTGGCTGCTCCAAAAAGAATAGAGATAACCAACTTAAGTGAGCCATTCCATTATTTAACAATGTTTTTGTTATTTAACATTAACAGTTCTCCCTTATATCTCACTGAGGAATCTTTTTACTTAAATTAGAGCACGTTTCCTTTTAATGTGTAACAAATATAGCTAGTCCTCAACAATCATGTTATCCCTTATGTATTTAAATGTTAGTAATTCACTCAATCTTTTTTATCCAAGTTAAATAATTCTAGTAGTTTGTATTTTTATAAGTCTTAATTTGCACAAGAAATACACATCTTCATGGGTTTATTTATATAGTTTGTTTTAAATGATCACTTCATGAGTTTTAACAGTACAATTACAAAGATTAAAGGAGAAAAACAATTTTAGAACATATTCCCCTAAGATTTGGAGCAACACAGTGGATGAAGCAGAAAAAGCTGTTCCAGATGGCAGGAAACATAAAGGAGAAGTCTGTAGGCATGTTCTATCATAGGAAGATGTCTGATGGACTGGGAGTGGGCTGAGTTGAACAGAGAACAGTGAAAGAAGAGAAGGTAAAGTGGGGGAGGGGAGGAGAAAATGGGTGCAGAGGCTCTGGTAGTACACTATTATCTATGCGATGTTAAGATGGCATTTGAGAAAAACAGTTACATAGTCACTTGCCTTTATATGTGCCTAAAGCCATAAACTTCAGGAACCCCAAAGAAAAAGCATTTTAGTTATAGAAAAGGAAGGGAAAGTTTTATCTGACAAATAGTGAGGAATCTATACAGAGTAAAAATAATGGATATCAAGGACACCAAAGTAGACACTACTGATGACAAAGAAGAACAGGTGTTTGAAAGAATAAGGACTGAACATTCAGAGCACTCACAAGTCTGACTTGAGACTCATATATAAGTTCTAATTCAAAATTAAGAATAAAGCAACTTAGATTTAACTGTAACCAAAAATACTCTATTTTCTGAATTCCTATAAGAGACCTAATTATACAATCTAATTTGTATATTATTTTTGTTTTTCTTCATATATGGGGATGTGTGTGTACTTGCGAAGGTCCCCCTGACTTATGCCTCTGTTGCTTTATTCTCTTTCACAGATATTCTCATACATGTTTATTGAAACAATGACTAGCTATTACAAAAAAATTAGTTATATCATAGTTAAAAATTTAAAACAATATTGATACCAGGTAGATCTTTCAACCAAGATGTGTGTGCTAAAATTTAAGAAAAGCTTATAATTTGATTTTAAGATTACACCTACAAATCTTGTTACACTAACAGTTTTCATGTTTACACTTGAGTGCCTAAAAATACAGGTGCAGACGAAATGGCTGGAGTGGATTTTTAAATGCTCATCAAAATTTACCAACTGATAATGATTTATAGACAAACTATGATAGCCTTTAGATGGAATATTGTGGTAAGAATATATGTGGTATTTCCCCTTAACAGGTATCAGAAGTAATGCCTCTAAGACATCATTAGAGAAAATCTTTCTTAAAAATGTTGGGTAAGTAGCATCATGTGAGAAGGAAGAAGTATATTGTCTTTTTGTCTTATTATAGTTTGTACATGTTACACTTTACACTTGTTTTTGTCATTCAGTGTTTTGGGTTTTTTGGCAAGTACTTGTGTAAGAATTCCATCTTTCCCTGATATTCCGGCATTTTCAGTTTTTTCTGTGTCTCTGTAAAAGTTTCCTTCTTTTCCATCAGTGAAATGTTAGTTTCCAAAGGTAAAATACGGAAAATAAGATATGTAATTATTTGGAGAAACAATTCCCATGTTATATTTTCAGTTTGGATATATTCTAAGAACTCTAAAAATATAAATATGAATCTATTCTTTCCTCTTATAATTGGGACTGTCACACATTAAAATCTTCAACATCTCTTATTTTCAGGTTTCCTGGTTATTATACAAAAGACTAAAACAATTTAAAGAATTGGTGTCAAAAGGAGGAAAAAACATGTAGCCTGCCTCCCTGTCTTCCTTCCTTTCTTCCTGCCTTGCTTCCCTGCTTCCCTCTTCCTGCTTTCTTTCCTCTGTTTTTCCATAAGGAAAGAAATGAAGTGCTAAGTGGCAAACGTTTGCTGTTTGTGCAGTATGTATTTGCATTTTTGTGTTGCCAAATTTTTCTTATTTCAACATTTTTACCGAAGTCCAGGTAAATGTGGCCCTCTTCAGATGTTAGATTTTACTGAGTTAGAGGAATTACTAAATTTTAAAAAAAGTTTTTGCATTTTTCACACTCCATAAAGTTTTCAGGACTTACATAAACTTAAACCTCTCTATGGTTAATATTGCTTAACTTCACTTCTTTGAGATATTTAGATAACTTGTTTCATTTTCATTTTTAGATCCAGATCGTATTATACCTTAAAAAAATTTAGATCAGTTTGTGTTGAACACACAATGGCAAATTTCCGTGGCACGATAGTGAAGATACTTTCCCCTAAAGCCTATTAACAGGCATTCTTCTATTAGAATAGTAATTACAAAGGTAATTTCCTCTGTTAATCACCCAACTTTTTTCCTGTTATTATTTTATGATCTTTTCCCTTTTTACTACTCATAATATTTTAATAGAAATTTTTTTAATGTTAAAAAAGATGAAAAAAATAAGAACTTCTGTCACAAGTTCTGGTGTTCTGCATTGCTGTGAAGCTGTGTTTTTTTTTTCCTGGGCAAAATTATTTAAGATGACATAAAAACCCAAAGTCAACCTCTAACATCTGTCCTTGGCCCTTATATGTCATTCCTACTACTATAGTATTCTCATTGCAGCGTTATTCCTTTCTCTCTGTGTGTCAGCTGAAGAACCATCATTTAAACACTTGCAGTTTGACCCTCATTATGTACTTTGTTTCAACACATGGAGATGCCCAGCTTACTAGAGGCTGATAATCTGAAGCAGCAGTGACCCCTCTAACCACAACATCTGGAAAACAAAGGTTGCATAATCTGGCTAGTCTCCAGAAATTTTCAGTTATTAAAATCTGACTTTGTTTAACAGCAATAACTCAATTTATTGAATGGATTGCAAGAGATATGAATCAATGGCTATATATACCATTCAAATTTAACTGCAAAGAATTCACATTTTTGAAACAATGAGTATTTCATATAGACTATGTTTCTGTATCTTAACCTAATTGCTTTTAGTACAAAATGTATATATTTTACAATGCTAGCCGGAATAAAGTCTACCAAGTTATTTTTAGCATCTGCAAAACAACATGCTAAAACTTTGTGAAGTAATCACTTGAGTGTGATAGACTCTTGAATTTTTTTTCAAAACACTTTTTGAGTGAGGGTATTATTTTCATATTTTAAAATTAACAGTTAATTTATAACAGATTATTTTTATTTATACAATATTATTAACCATAGAGAGGTTTCAATCAAGTCCTCTAGCCACAAGTAGATTGAAACTTACAAACTAGAGTCACAAGTTGCATTTACTCCAAAAAATTTTTTAGTGTGCAGATTTTTTCCTTTTAGCTTTTTTAGGTTACAAACATGTTGTCATTCATTAAAAGTTTAGTTTTTCTTTTCCTAACATATTTATGCTTCAACACAGTAATATTTGGAGTCTAGAAATCAAGTCATTAACTTTGGAGCGATGTTTCAAACCTTTTTATTATGGAAAAATTGTCAAACATTCAAAAAAGTAAGGAGAATAGAAGGATAACCCCCAGATTTCCAATTCCCAGTGTTCACAATTATCCACATTTCGACATTCTGGTTTTACCTATCCTCCCCAACCTTTCTTACTTGAATATTTTAAAGTAAATCTCATCATTATCCTTGTAAATAATTTGGTGTGCAGTCCAGAAGCAAATTCTTGACTAAGTTCTTTTATTGATTGATTGACTCATTTATTTACTATCTCATATATTAAACATTTGTTGAGCTACCATATTCCAGACACTGGATTAAGCCCTGGGAATTGATTAGCCAGGCAATGTCATTAGCATCCTTATTAAGAAGTTCTCTGATGATTGGAAATGTAAACTGCTAACAAATATCATTCAACTGCTTAAACCCCATCCATGATGCTTCATGAGTCCTGGACAGTCCTTAGTATGATATGTGAGATCCTTCATGATCTGCCCTCCCTCGAACTCTCCACACTCAGTTTTATCCACCAGAGCATAATCATTCTAAATTCTTTCTGTATGGAAATATTTAGTTTTCCAGATATGTCTCCTTTATTTTTTTGCACATACTGGCCTCTCTATAATCTTCATCTCCAAACCAGGCCAATTCCAATGTGGTTTTCAAGAGACAGCCCATTCTTTGCCTCTTTGGGAAACCTTACCCTGTGTCTTTCCTCCCAGCAAACAAACAACTAGGTGTTCATCCTTTGTGCTTCCAGAGAATCTTCTGTATATCTCTACAGTGGTATAGCATTCAGATAGTTTATTGTTTTATAGTGCTCTTCCTCACTAACTAAACTAAGAGGTTTTTTTTAGAATAGTTCCTGAACGTTAGATTTCTGTATTATGTGGCACAATTCAGAACATACAATGGGTATTTAATAAATTCAGTGGGTTTTTTTCCTTGGAATGTGTTGGTTAAATAAATAAACTATGGTCATTTCTGGAGATATTTTAGGGTGGTGCCTAATGATGATTCCAGTTTGCCATAATTTCACAAGATTAACAAAATCCTATGGAACCACTGGTAGTTTTCCCATTGAAGGGAAAGAAACAAAATGTGTGTTGTATTTAAAAGAAACACCAGACTATCATGTGCCATTTCAATATTGGCTCTCTCTTTTCAGTCTTCATGACAGTATTATTTGAATATAAAATGAAGGGATGATTTGATCACTAAAATGAGGTCACAGAATACAAAATAATAGCCCAAAAAGAAGGCCTAACCTAATGAACAGCAATTCCGTTTTTACCCCTTCACATTTCCTCTTGCCACTTGATATGGTTTGGCTGTGTCCCCATCCAAATCTCATTTGAATTGTAGCTCCCATAATTCCCATGTGTCATGGGAGGGAAAAAGTGGGAGATAATTGAATCATGAGGGCAGGTCTTTCCTGTGCTGCTCTCATGACAGTGAATAAGTCTCACAAGATCTGATGGTTTTATAAATGGAAGTTCCCCCACACAACAAGCTCTCTTGCCTGCTGCCATGTAAGACGTGTCTTGCTTCCCCTTCGCCTTCCACCACGACTGTGAGGCCTCCCCAGCCATGTGGAACTGGGAGTCAATTAAACCTATTTTCTTTTTAAATTACCCAGTCTCACATATGTCTTTATTAGCAGTGTGAGAACAGATTAATACACCACTTAACTTTAATATGTCTTTTTTAGTACATTTCTCTTGCATATCTTTTATCTCCATCTTACATCTTATACTTTCAAGAATCAGAGGGAAAACAAGCATGCATGTAAATAGGGTATCTAATAAATAGCATGGTGCATCAGCAAGGCTCCACTACCAAGTGGAAAAGAGCATCTGGGCCATTACTCGCATGATTGTGGCAATTCCACACATAGGATCACAGAATTTTAGAGCTGGAACGTACCCTGCAGATTATCTAGTCCAAATTTCCTTTCAAAGAGGTTAAATGGTTTGTCCAAACTCACACTGTCTTTTCAAATTTCAGTCAGCCCTGAAATGTTTTTGAGATTATTGGTGAAAAGGCAGGATAGCTGAATAGCCAAAAGAGAATAATTTAGTATGGAGGAGTCAACATGATTTCTGCATGAGAAATGATGTTTGTAGGTTTCACTAGAGTTGTTTCAGGGGATAAATAATCATAACTAAGGAGATTTGGAGATAAAGTTTATATTTAAACTTTCAGAAAGCTTTATGAAAGTTCCTATATCAGAGACTACTTAGACAATCCCCATAAGAAATTGAGTTGGAGAGAAATAGGGAGAAATTTTAGTAGTTAACAATATAGACAGAGAAGAATCAAGTCCTAATTCTGTCTCTTACTGAGTGGCCTTGGGGAAATTATTTCACCTTGCTTAACATTTTTCCACAAATAATATAAGAATAAGAATTTTACTTAACTCATAGGGCTGCTGTGAGGATTGAATTAGATAATAACATTGTCTATAATAAAAGCTAACACATATCAAATATTTAGTATGATACATAGTACCATGGGATATGCCAGACACTGTTAACTACTTAATAAATATTACCTAATTTAATCTTCATAAGGCCTGTATAAGGAAGGCAATGTTACCTCCCCCACTTTAAAGATCAAAGAGACTGAGGCAAAGAATGATAAAACATCTTGTCCTAAGTCATGAATTAGTGATTAATAAAGTCAGGAATAAAACCTAGGAAGGTTGCTCCAGAGCCTTCACTCTTAGCCAGTCAATCTCCTGACTCCTATGCTATTAATATGCATAAACCCTTTTCCATGCACAGAACTAGGTACATAATAAGGGCTTAATAAATGTTGGATAATACTATTTTTATACTTTCTCATGTGGACAAAGAAAGGGATGCCTAATATTGACTAAAGGTTTACTCTAAGCATAAGGTATTCTCTTTACAACTAACCTGGAAGGCACACAGAGGCCCAGGGAGGTTCCATGGCTCAACCACAGTCAGAAGCCAGTAAGGACACAACCAGGATTCAGAAGACATTGGTCTTGGTCCAAAGCCCATGGTCTTATTACTACATTCCAACATGAACTCTTATTTGGATCAATACTTTTATTTGTTCTTCCTCTTCTACCAAAAATGTGCTTAGACATATTAGTATGTATCTGCATAAGATATAAGGCACATATACGCATATTATCAATGTTTTATTTGACCTACGAGTGAGCAAAATTTAGTAAAGAGAAAATAAAGAGTAACAAGGGAAGAATTTAGCCAGTTTCTGAAGAATAAACAGCTAATGTCCCCAGAGTCTACACTGGAACCAGTCAATTTTTCATGATTTAGAACATGATGCGGCATACAAATACACGTTAACATGTATTGATTTTCAGTTGACAATATGTTTTTCTCAGGAGAAAAGAGCCAAGCCAATGATGTCAAGTGGCAAGATCCAAGATGAGTTGCTAGACAAGGCATTTTTGAGTCATTTAGATTAGTCCATGCAAAACATTGTCCTAAAAAGTTTCTGTGCCAAAACCCAATACAAAGTGCCAAAAAGAAGAGTACTGGAAACATAAAATATTATCCCAAGGACTGTACATCAGCATTAGATGTATTTTGAAGTACTAGTCACCACACCTCAAAGAATACATAAGGCTTGAAACTATCTAGAGAAAGATAATTAAAATGTTGTAAAGATATAGAAAGTTGACCGCTGGAAAATAGACTAAATATGTTAATGTCTTTGAAAACTGAGAAGGGATGTAGTAAAGTCATGGGGAAAATGGGTAGGACAAACACAAAGTTATTCATCAAAATCTAGAATTCTAGAACCAGCAAGTACCTTGTTTCTGTTCTTATTAACCTCTGAATAGTTCATAATGTATCTCCTGGAAGGAAGGGTATTTTCTACAGGATCATCATATATTTTCACACTTAGGATATTTCACATTAACACTATTACCTAACATATAATCCACATCCAAGTTTCTCCACTGTCCCAATAAGGTCCTTTATTGCCCTTTTTTCCTTTCTTCCTTCCTCTTCTCTCCCTCCCTCCTTCTTTCTTTCCTTTTTCTCTCCCTCCTTCTTTCCTCCTGTTTTCCTCCCTCCTTTCCTTCCTTTTTTCCTCCTTCCTCCCTCTTTCCCTCCATCTTTCCTTCCTTCTTTTCTCCTTCTCGCCCTCCCTTTCTCCCTCCTTGCTTCTTTTTCTTCCTTCCTTCCTCCCTTCCTTCCTCTTTCTTTCCTTCTTCCCTTCCTCCCTCCCTCTCTTTTTCCTTCTTGTCTTTTTGTTTCTTCCTTACTTCCTCCCTTCCTCCTTGCTCTCTCCTTCTTTCTTCCTTCTTCCTTCCCTTCTTTCTCCTTCCTTCCTTTCTTCCTGCTTCCTTCCTTTCTTATTCCTTTCTCTTTTCTCCTTTTTTCTTCCTTTCTCCTCCTTTCTCCTTCCTTTCTTCCTCCTTCCTTTCTTCTTTCCTTCCTCCCTTCTTCCCCCCTCTCTCCTTCCCTCCTCCCTTCCATTCTTTCCTTCCTTTCCTCCTTTCCTTTCTTCCTTCCCTCCCTCCCTTCTTCCTTCCTTCCATCCTTCCCTGCCTCCCTCCCTTATTCCTTCCTTCTTTCCTTTCTTCCTTCCTTCCTCCTTCCCTCCTTCCTTCCTTCATTCCTCCTTCATTCTTCCCTCCTTCCCTCCTTCATTCCCCTCTTCATTCCCTCCTTCATTCCCTCCTTCCCTCCTTTATTCTTTTTTTGACCCAGGGTCCAGTCAGGTATCTCAAGTTGCATTTACTTGATATAATGCTCTATTTTCACTTCGTCTGGAACAGTTGTCCAGAATTTTCCATCTTTGATGGCATCCTTAGTTTTTGAGAGTCCAGGAAAAGTCTTTTGCAGAACATTTCTCAGTTTGAATTTTGCTAATTGTTTCTTCATGATTATATTAAATTTGACGATTTTTGGCAAGAATAAATACTACATAGTTAATGTTGTATCCTGTAAACACTTCTTAAAGACTGGAAGAGAAGAGATTTAGAACTGTTAAAGTCTAACTGTATCCCAGAGTATTTGTTATTTCCAAGAGCAAAGAAAGTAATATCATTGGTTCAAAAGGTTTAAAATAAAAGGACTTAATCTATAACACTTAAATCTGTTAAGAAATTAATGAATGTTTCAGAATACCTCTTCAACTTTTTGCAGGTGACACTATGGGGCCTAGTATGCCTTTTCACAGATATCTCTTGTCATTACTCTGAGGAATAGAAAAGTGACTTTGTTGTACTAGCTTGACTAAAAATGGCATTTTCTAATGTCTCTCTCTTTTTCTCATCACAAAAGCAAATCCCAGTCAGTTAGACATTTGCAACATTGATTCTAAATGCTCTTTCAGAGTGCATTTGAAGAGATATAAAAATCTTTGAGAGAAAAATATTTGTATATTAATATTGTCTAACCTCATAAGTTACTGACATCCTCAGTGATGTTGAGTGTATGGTTATTTCACTTAACAATTCAAAGTCTTCGAAATTGGGGGAAGATATAGATGCACAAAATATACAGAGAATTACTAATTTTTCCAGAATTTCCAAACTGAAATTTATTCATGTTAGTGTTTCATGAAAATATGGTATGATAAAATTAACATGGATTTGGGATGCAGAAAGAGTTTGAAACTTAACACTGCTACTTCTCAGCTACTTGCCTATAATGAAGTCATTTAACTCTTTAAGTTGTATTTTCCACATCTGTAAAATGGAAGTGATAACATTTACCTTCCGGTGTTGTTATAAAATTGATAAATTTTTATGAAGTGTCAGTTTTATATAATTATTGTTATAATTACTGACAAGACAAAAATCTTTGATTTTACCCAAGAAAAGAATGGTCCATCTGGATAATCAAACCAGGTATTTTGTATAAATTAACCAGTTGTTCAATCATATTTACTACTTACTAAATTTTTGTCCAAATGAAAAGTGCCAGACAAGATGTTGTCTAAGTCGTTTGTTCTACTTGATACCAAGTTCCCATCCTTGAATTGGGTGAGATAACCCGGTATGCATATAATAAATTTTCCCATTTGCTTAAGATAGCTCACATTTGGTTTCTGCCACCTGTAAGCAAAAGGAATATAGCTAACACTACCAGTTAAAAGCTGGTTAGTGATGCTACCATAATTAACACCAAAAATGGTCACAGTGGCTAACAATTCTTTCAACAATCAGCTTCATTTTTCATTATAATCGTCACACCAGAAGGTGGGTGTATTAGTCCATTCTCACGCTGCTATAAGGACATACCCAAGACTGGGTAATTTATAAAGGAAAGAGGTTTAATTGACTCACAGTTCAGCATGGCTGGGGAAGCCTCAGGAAACTTACAATCATGGTGGAAGAAGATGCAAACACATTTTTCTTCACATGGTGGCAGGAGAGCGAAGTGCCTGGGGAAGCGGGGGAAAGCCCCTCATGAAATCATTGGATCTCATGAGAGCTCACTCACTATCACAAGAACAGAATGGAAGAACCAGCCTCGTGATCTAATCACCTCCCACGAGCTCCCTCTCCAAACACATGGGGATTATAATTCAGATTACAATTCAAGATGAGATTTGGGTGTGGACACAGAGCCAGACCATATCAGTGGGGTACTCTTAGTGCTTTACATGATCTGATATAGTTTTCAAGCTTCTTTTCAAACCACTCTTCCACTTTGATTTATCTGCTCTAGTTATACTAGAATTTTCTCTATTTTAGATTAAGGTATAATAGACATAAAGTAAAATACAAAAATTTTAAGGGTATGATTTGCTGAGTCTTTATCAATGTATACTTTCATGTAATCAATCACCACCCAGATCAAAATACAGCAAATTTACGTCATCTATACAGTTTCATCAGTACTCTTCCCAAGGTAAGTATTATTCTGAATTTCATCATTATAGATTCGTTTTGCCTGTTCTTGATTTTTATGTAAACCAATCACACAGTATGGTATCCTTTTGTGCCTGACTTCTTTTCCCAAACATACCATTCTGAGATTCATCTATGTTATTGCATGTATCCATAGTTTTTTATTGCTGTGCGGTATTTCATTATATGAATAAACCATAATTTGTTTATGTATTTGTCTACAGAAAGACATTTGATTTGTTTCCAGTTTGTGGCTACTATGAATAACATGGCTATTATGATTAGCCATAATTATATAAATGGTATTTTGTGTAAGTAACTTCGTGGACATATGTACTCTTTCCTCTTGGGTCTATGCATAGCAATGGCATTTATGAATTAGGGACTAGGAATTTTTCAGTTTTAGTAGATAATCCCAAATATTTTCAAAATGATTTTACAATTCTACCCTGCTGCCAGCATTTTACAAGATTTCCAATTGTTCTACATTCTTGTCAACATTTAATATTTTATGTCTTTAATTTTAGCAATTCTGGTGGATGGGTAGTGGGTTTCATTGTGGATCCAATTTGCATTTCTCTAGTGAGAAATTGATGAGCCAATTCTAAATTTGTGCAAAAGTACAAAGACCTAGAGTAGTCAAGAAGACAATGAAGAATAAGATGAAAGTTGGAAGACTTACACTACCAAATTTGAAGACTGAACATAAAGCTACCTCATGAAGATAGTGGGGAACAGAGAGTTCAGAAAGTAAACCGACACATACTCGGTTATTTGATTTTCAATAATGGTGCCAACTATTCAATGCAATGGAGTTCTCCACAATAAATGGTGCTGGGGCAACTGCTCCTCTATATCAAAAAATTAATTTTAAATGGATTATTACAGCTAGATGTGGTGGTGCACGCTGTAGTCACAGCTACTCAGGAGGCTAAGGCAGGAGGATCACTTAAGGCCAGGAGTTCAAGTCAAGCCCGAGCAACATAGTGAGATCCTCCTCTAAGTAAATAAATAAAGAAATAAATAAGTTATTAGACCTAACTGTGAAAGCTAAAACCAAAAACTTTCTTAAAAAGAATATAAGAGATATCTTCATGAACATGGGATATATGAGAAAACAGGACACAGACAGCACTAATCATAAAAAGGATAAACAATATCAAACTTAAGAACTTGTGGTCATCAAAAGACATCATTAAGAAGGTTAAAAAAAAAATAGGCCAGGCGTGCTGGCTCACGCCTGTAATCCTAGCACTTTGGGAGGCCGAGGCAAGTGGATCACGAGGTCAGGAGTTTGAGCCCAGCCTGGCCAACATAGTGAAACCCCGTCTCTACTAAAAATACAAAAATATTAGCTGGGCGTGGTGGCGGGTGCCTGTAATCCCAGCTACTTGGGAGGCTAAGGCAAGAGAATTACTTGAAGCCCGGGAGCGGAGGTTACAGTGAGCTGAGATCGTGCCACTGCACTCCAGCCGGGGCAACAGTGCGAGACTCCATCTCAAAAAAAAAAAAAAAGAAAAAAAGAAGAAGGTTAAAAAAATAAAGCAAGCCACTGGGAAAACGTGTTTGAAACATACATATCCGATAAAGGAGTCATATCCAGAATATATTTTTAACTCTCATAAATTAATAAGAAAAAGACCATCTAATGAAAATTTAAAAAGGTGTTCAATATAATTCTCTTCTTAAAGGTGCCATGATCTTTCTTATACAAGCTGATTACTTCCTCAAAATATATTATTCTATCCCCATCCCCATATTTTAACCCAAAGACTATACTGCATCTCCCATTACATGACCCCACTGCATCCATCCTGCAGTTCCTTATAGCTCTCATGACATTGTAACTATCTGCTTGATACCTGTCCTCCACAAGGAATGAAGGCAAGAATCATGTCTCTGGCATCAGCAAAGTACTTGACTCATAGTTAAATATATAATAAGTGGTTTTTTAAATGTAGGAAGGTTTAAAAGATCTTCATATAAATTGAGAATAATAACAAGCCATTATTAAACAGCAGATATGCTAGGAAAATAAAATAAACTGAATTCATTTTAGGTCAGTGGGAATAAAAAATTAGATGCAACTATATTTTTAACAGAATAAAATTAACCTTATAAGTAATACATGGGACTTATGCGAAATAATCCCTTCTTACTCTGCCCTCAGCAGAAGTGGTGATCATTAATATTATCTGTTTAGCAATTGGAATAACATTTTATGTCTACAGCTAATGGTAAGTCAGGATGAGTGAAGTATCTCCCAAGAGGAAGCTATGGGACAGTTAGAAGTCTCCTGTTTGGGAAAATCAGCCTTATAACATGAATGCCTCATTTCCTGCTTATAGATTAGCAGAAGCCAGACACCATTTCCATTAATTTAGCCTTTATTTATTTACTATTTAATTAGGTACTTATTATGTGTTTATTTATATACTATTTATTATACTTGACTTGAAAAGAAGAGTTTGTTTGCTGTTCTCAGTGACAGGTTGTATTTTCTAAAGAGAGCTGCCAAAATATCTTCCATCCCACATGTTCTTCTACAATGTGACCTTGCCACTCCCTCATCAAAAGCAATGTACCAGTTACAGGAGGTGAAATCTATGTCCTCTCCCTTTGAATCTAGGTAGTCTGTGACTGCTCCAAACAACAGAAAATTGCAGAAGTGATGATATATAACTTTTGAGGCTGAGTCATAAAATGCCATGCAGGTTCCATGTGGTTCTCTTGAAAAGCTCACTCTATGGATGTTCCCTTCTCAGAACACACCTGCCCTGCTGTGAGAGTCCAAATGGAGTGGCCACATGTAGGTATTCCAATGAATACCTGGGCTCAGTCCCAGCTGAGCCCAGTCTTCATGTCATCCCAGCACAAGCACCAAACATGTAAGGGAAGGAGCCTCCAGATAATATCAGTTCCCAACCTTCTGAATCATTACCAGTAATTTGAGTGTTCATGGATATTGCAAAGCAGCAAAACTTCTCTGATGTGCCCTGGACATATGAAATTTATAAGCAACATAAAATGATTATTATTTATTCTCTAAGTTTGGTGTGGTTTGTTATATAACACAGTAATAGGCCAGGCACTGTGGCTAACGCCTGTAATCCCAGCACTTTTGGAAGCCCAGGTGGGCAGATCACTTGAGGCCAGGAGTTTGAGACCAGCTTGGCCAACATGGTGAAACCCCATCTCTCCTAAAAATCTAAAAATTAGCAGGGTGTAGTGGTGCACACCTGTAGTCCCAGCTTCTCAGGAGGCTGAGGCAGGACAATCGCTTGAACCTGGGATGCAGAGATTGCAGTGAGCCAAGATCATGCCACTGCACTCCACCCTTGGCAACAGAGCTATACTCTGTCTCAAAAAACAAAAACAAAAACAAAAAAACCCAGTAATAGTAACTAGTACATTGTTGTTGTTAAATAAATAATTAAGTATATCTGTATTGTTTGGAGTAAGACACCCTTCTATGAAAAATATTTTTGAAATACCGTGACAGACATCTCTAACTCAGTGATTTTCAAAACTCATTTGAGTAACAACACTTCTAAGAATCCAGTGAAAATCTTACTCCTCTTCTCGGAAAAATGCTCTTGGTTGTTAACTGACAGTTTGGCTGTTTCTTACCAGTTGTTTTGATTTATATTAACTAAGAACAAACTAAACACTTAAAGGGCTAATATTTAATTCAGCCACTAGTTTAAATATTTTTAGTCCATTTTTACACTAAAAGCTTAGTATTTTTATCCGGATAAAAATATATATTGTTATTGTACACAACTCTGACTGCACAAATCACTGATTACTCCGACTGAATCAATCAATTTCCTTAAAATTAGGATTTATAGATATAGGACAAACTATTCGGAACTTACAGTGTCAGTCATGGTAACTAATTTCAAATAGTCTTAGATTATCTATGTAGAATTAAATGCAATGGTAGACAGGTGCAGTGGCTCAGGACTGCAATCCCAGCACTTTGAGAGGCTAAGGCAGAGGGATGGCTTGAGCTCAAGAATTTGAGACCAGCCTGGGCAACATGGTGAAAACCCACCTCCAAAAACACACAGAAATTGGCCAGGTATGGGGGCGTGTACCTGTAGTCCCAGTTACTCCAGAGGCTGAGGTGGAAGGATCACTAAAACCCAGGAAGCGGAGATTGCAGTGAACAGAGATTGGACCACTGCACTCTGGCCTGGGTGACATAGACTCTGTCTCTAAATGAATAAATGTAATGGAAAGAAGTAGTTTTGTGATTTTTATGAGATTGCTATCAATCTCATTAGTTACCAGGAATCAGAAATACTAGTCCTGCAACTCATGGGGCAATTTTAATGAGCTATGGGAAGTCTGAATCTGTTTTGTTACTTAGTATGGACTTCTCTTATCTGCAGAAAGGCTTGTGGTGAATAATATCAATGATTATATCCATTCCCAGATCACTGAATTGCCTTTGATTCTTTGTAGAAAAAAAAAGTTTATGTTAATTTCCAGTTGTTCATTGCTAGTATACAGAAAAACAACTGAATTTTGTATACTGATGTTGCATGTATAAACATCAAACTTGCAAAAAAATACTATACTAGTTCCAATAGCTTTTATGTAATTTCACAAAATGTTCCATATAGGAGAATCTGGTTGTTAATAACAGCAATTTCACTTCTTCTTTTTTTTTCTTATCTACATGCCTTTTATTTTTTTTCCTTACTCTAATCTCCAATAAAATGTAGAGTAAAAATGGTGAGAGCAGACATACTGCCTTTTTGTTGATGTTAGAAGAAAAACAATCTTTCACCATTAAATCTGATATTAAATGTGAGCTTTCATAGATGCTGTTTATCAGATTGAGGGCATTCCCTTCTCTTCCTAGTTTGCTGAGAGTTTTTTTTTGTTTGCTTGTTTTGTTTTAAATCGGGAATCGCTGTGGATTTTGTTTAATACTTTTTCTGGACCTGCTAAGTTGATCATATGGTTTTCCTTTTTGGTCTATTAATATGGTGAATTACACTGGTAGATTTTTGAATGTTAAACCAATCTTGAATTTCTGAGAAAACTGGTGAATTAATATAACGAATTACACTGGTAGATTTTTGAATGTTAAACCAACCTTGCATTTCTGAGAAAACCCCAGTTGGAATCGACTTTTTAATTCAGATTGTTAATGTTTTATTACATTTTATAAAAAAAAGTTTATAAAAAATCTATCTTTATGAAAAATGTTAGTCTGTAGTTGCTTCCTGTAAAGTCTTGGATTGATTTTGATTTTCATATTTGAGTAAAGCTGGCCTCATAGAATGAGTTGGGAAGTATTTTTTCCTTTTTAACTTTTTGGCAATTTTTGTAAGATTATTATCTTCCTTATATGCCTAGTTAGGATTTACCTATGAAGCCATCTGAACGTGGTATTTTTTCTATAGGAATATTTTTAGCTAAAAATTTAATTTCTTTAATTAGTATATGACTACTAAAATGATCTCTTTCTTCTTGAGTAAACTAAGTATATGTAGGAAATCTCCTTTTATATAGTTCTATGCCTGGCAACCTTCAGCAACCTCGGCCTCCCTGGACTGCTTGCTATGCATCCTGAACTCAGGGAGACTGCAGTCTCCTCCTGGAGTCCTCCAGTTCTGTACCAGTCTGGAAACTATTTCTAGGCAATAAGCTGAGACAATCAGGTGCTCATCTCATTTGTTTCCATTGTCTTAGGATCACTGTCGTTCATTGCCTAAGTCCAATTTCTTGAAAACCAATGCTTCATACATTTTATTCAGTTTTTGTTTCAGGAAGGAGAATAGATTCAATCCTTACTTCATTTTGGCTGGAAACAGAAGTCCATTCTTAAACTTTAAAAACATTTATCTCACCCAAGTTTGGCCAACTTGTCTCTCTTACTTTCTCCTTATTTTTTTAGTAATACTTTAAAACTTTGATACTTTTTAAAAATTTTATTTTTCTCTCAGGAGGGGTGAGAAGGAAGCTTTCCACTGTTGTATTTAGCCTGATGCTTGCCTTATATAATTTTCACCCATCAGCTTCATTAAAGGTCTTCAGTGTAAGCTATTGGGATCAATTTGACAGTAAGACTTTGTATGATGAATGCATTCCATAATTGTTTAAAAAAAAATGAAGCAAAAGATTTAACTGCTGTGCCTAATTCTTCACCACTGCACTATTCTTTGCAGAAAAGCTTGGAAACAAGCCATATTCTCTTTTGTTTTCTGTTTTTTTTTTTTTTTTTTTTTTGCCAACAGAGTGAGTTGGAATGTCATGAAGACATGTTTTTAACCATTTAATAGAGGAAAAATATAAACTCTTCTACAATTACTTAAGTAAAGCATATATTTGTCTAACAAAAGTATTGTAAATTCAAGTACTAAAATTTGAACATTAGATAAATTGTAGGTTTGACTTTTTAGGGGGCTGTCAGTGATGACAGAATGTTTAATACACAGGGCTTGCTCATCGCTTTTGTGTGCTAGTATGTACCCTTCTGGGGTTGACTACAGACTGACGAAGCTCTTCTCTCCTGTTCTATCCTCCAGCAGGCATTATACCTACTGGTAGTGAGAATATCATATTATGGAAGTTATATAGACTTCAGTGACAGGGAAAAAGCTGTGCTCACAGCAAGTTCACAGCATATTTGACATTGCAAAATAGTTTCTTAACCTGGGACCAGGTACACGGGTGCTTTGGACAGTGTGAACATCTTGAAATTGTTTGCAAATGTTTGTGTATGTGTTCTTTTTCTCTGTACATGGACTCCATAACTTATTTGGCACTCAAAGAGGGGTTTTAAATTACTATGCTAAGAGTCTTCCATGTAGTCTCTTTGCAGAGTAGAGAAACAGAAAAATGAGACCCATTGTCAAAGTGCTATGGAACAACACCCCCCGTAAAATTACCCTCTGAGGGTGAATTAGGAATCCAGATCACTCAGGGCTCAGAGTGGACATTTTTGGCCCAATGATCTCTTGCTGTATCCCACATTATAGCTAATGGTTTAACAACAGGATAATCAGCTCTTTCAGTGGCTTAAAAATTGTAACTATATTGTATTTGGTTTGTATTTCTTTACTTGCGTTAAAAAATAAAAATAAGAATATATTCAGATGAAACTTTTGTTTAAGGTTATAAAACATTTCTAGGACACTGACATAAAAAAAGAGACTAAGTGACTCATTTACATGGTCTACCTTTCAAGGGAAAGCACCTAGATGTTAGTTTACCATATGTCTATGCTAAATCATGAAGCCAATTTGGTAAGATTAAATGCACTGTATATCAAGACTTGAATGATTTTTTAAAAATCACATTACTCTTTCTCACAATAAACTGGTTTTTTTTCTATGTTTTCTTTTTCTTTCCAGCCAAACAGCACCAGATCTCAGAATAGAGACTAATCATTTTGATCATTCTATAATAACTCATTCTATCATTATTCATGTCAGGAAAATGTTATTAGTTCTATGTTATTTCTAATAAACCAGAAGCTCTAAAACAGCTTCTGTTTATGATGAAGTCCACTTCATTATTTTTGACTTGTTCTTATTAAGCACTGTCTTTTTTTTTTCAGCTTTATTGAGGTAAAATTGACAAACAAAATTTGTGTATATTCAAGGTATGCAATGTATGTTTTACTATATGTATGCATTGTGAAATGTTGTGAAATGATTACCACAATCAGGCTAATTAACATATCCATCACCTCACATAGTTACCTTTTTTCCTGTGATGAGAACACTTAAGATCTATTCTCTTGGCAAATTTCAAATAAATAATATATTATTATTAACTATAGTCATCATGCTGTACATTAGGTCTCCAGGACTTATTTTTCTTATACCTGCAAGTTTTTTCCCTTTGACAAACATCTCCCCATTTTCCTCAACCTCGGCCTCTGGTAACCACCCATCTACTATCTTTTTCTATGATTTCACCTTTTTTAGATTCCACATGTAAGTCAGATCATGTGGTTTTTGTCTTTCTGTGTGTGGCATATTTCATTTAGAGTGATGTCAACCGGGTTCATCTATGTTGTTGCATATGGCAGGATTCCCTTCTTTTTCTTGGCTGAATAATATTCCATTGTGTATGTGGTGTGTATGTATGTGTATATACTTACATACATATGTATACATATACACACACACATACATACACACCACATTTTCTTTTCTATTCATCTGTTGACAGGCACTTAGGCTGTTTCCATATCTTGTCTATAGAGAATAATGCTGAAGCAAATATTGGAGTGCAGATATCTCTTTGACACACAAATTTCATTCCTTTTGGATATATACCTAGACGTGGGATTGCTGGATCATATGGTAGTTCTATTTTAATTTTTTGAGGAAACCTCATACTCTTTTCTACAATGTCTGTAGCAATTTACATTCCCACCAACAATATAAAGAGAATGGGTTTCTTTTCTCCACTTTCTCACCAACACTTATTATCTTTTGACTTTTTGATAATAATCTTCCTATCAGGAGTAAGATGATATCTCATTTTGGTTTTGATTTATATGCCCCTGATGATTAGGGTATTAGTCAGGGTTCTCTAGAGGGACAGAACTAACAGGATAGATGCATATATAAAGGAGAGTCTATTAAGGTGTATTGACCCACATGATCATAAAAGTTCCACAATCTGCTGTCTGCAAGCTGAGGAGCAAGGAAGCCAGTCTGAATCCCAAAACCTCAAAAGCAGGGAAGCCAACAGTGCAGCCTTCAGTTTGTGGTCGAAGGTCCAAGAGTCCAAAAGCTGAAGAACTTGGAGTCCCATGTTCAAGGGCAGGAGGCATCCAGCATGGCAAAAAGATGTAAGCCGGAAGACTAAGCCAGTCTAGTCCTTCCACATTCCTCTGCCTGCTTTTATACTAGCTGCTCTGGCAGCTGATTAGTTGGTGCCCACCCAGATTGATGATGAGTCTGCCTCTCTCAGTTCACTGACTCAAATGTTAATCTCCTTTGACAACACCCTCACAGACACACCCAGGCACAATATTTTACATCCTTCAATCCAATCAAGTTGACTCTCAATATTAACCATCACAATTAGTGATGTTGAGCATCTTTTCATATATCTGTTGGCCATTTGTATGTCTTCTTTGGAATATTTTCTATTCAGGCCCTTTGCCCATTAATTGGGTTATTTGCAACTGAGTTGTATGAGTTCCTTATAGATTTTGGATATTAACTCCTTAGTGGATATAATTTGCAAATATTTTTTCCGATTCTGTAAGCTGCCTTTTCATTTTGTTAATTGTTTCCTTTGTTGTGCAGAGACTTTCTAGTTTGATGTAGTCTCACTTGTTTATTTTTGCTTTGGCTGCCTGTGCTTTTGATGGCATATCCAAAAAATTACCAAGGTCACTGCCATGCAGCCTTTTCCCCTATGCCTTCTTCTAAGATTTTCATGGTTTTAGGTCTTATATTTAAATCTTTGATTCATTTTTGGTTTATTTTTGTATATGACATAAGATAAAAATCCCATTTCATATTTTTTTTGCATGTAGCTATCGAGTTTTCCCAACATCATTTTAAAAAAATTTTAGTTCACGGCCGGGCATGGTGGCTCATGCCCTTAATCCCAGCACCTTGGGAGGCCGAGGTGGGTGGATCACGAGGTCAGGAGATCAAGACCTTCCTGGCTAACACGGTGAAACCCCGTCTCTACTAAAAATACAAAAAAAAAAAAAAAAAAAAATTAGCCGGGCATGGTGACGGGCGCCTGTAGTCCCAGCTACTCGGGAGGCTGAGGCAGGAGAAAGGCGTGAACCCAGGAGGCGGAGCTTGCAGTGAGCCGAGATCATGCCACTGCACTCCAGCCTGGGCGACCGAGCAAGACTCTGCCTCAAAAAACAAAACAAGAAAAATTTAGTTCACTACACCTGTAACAAAACTGCATCCAACACCATTTTTTTGAAGAGGCTATTTTTTTTCCCACTGCATATCCTTGGTGCCTTTGTTGAAGATTGCTTGACCTTACATGCATGGGTTTACTTCCGGTAAGCACCGTATTTTGATCTAAATCTTCCTTTGGTTTCATTTCTGATACCTGGGAATGCTTCTTTGATGAAAAGAAAGGTAACAATAAGGTCATCCAGAAAGAAATGTTCCATCATCCATTCATGTTTTTTATTTTTCACGTCATGTCTCAGATTCAAATTACACTTACTTCTCCCTTTGGCAGTTTACCATTTTGATTTCTTTAATCCGATAACTAAGCAATCTATATATCAAAAAAGAGTTTCCCCATAAAGAGTCAGTAATATACCAAAATACAAATATTTCAATAAGGAAGTATTTTATTTTATCGTTGAAGCATTTTATTACACTATTTGGGGATATATTGATACCTGACTTGCCAATTGCCCCATTCAATAAATAGAGCTCCAGATTCTGAGTTTTTTTTAATCGTCTTTTTTTCTGAAAAAAATCATCCCTTTATATAGATTTTTTATAAACTTGTTAACTTAAATAATTATTTAAGTAAGTTTGTTCATTATACCCATTGTGTTGAGTGAAGTATTTTTCACCCAGAAAGGAAATTATCATTTGTCTATGCAATATTAATACAAAACGTCAGAATTCTAAAAGGATCTAAATTTAATACCAGCAATTGTAATCTCAAAAGTAGTATATGATTGTAGGAATTTTAGTGTGTTCTCTTAATTTATGGACCATGATAATAATGACAAAGATGATACAGTCTGGTTATGCTTGCATGTGGCTTCTCTTGACTAATGGTGGGCAGTTGGTGGCACACGGGGCAAAAACAACAAGTTGCAGTATATTAGCATGATATACCAACTATTTTAAGATCCATCCCCGTGGAAACTTAAACAGATCAAAGGATCTGAATCTGATCTGTCAGTATCAAGCTACAATACTCCACGCTGCTTTTTTTTACACTAGGGTCCTGATAAGCAAAGGTATTTAATTACTCTTTAAAAATTAAATATCTTTACATAATGAAACTTTGCTTTACAAAAGGTCATACTGACACTAACATATCTAGGCACAATTATTTATAAAACAAAAATATGAAAGATGCAAGAAAACTATGTGTTTTTGACATATACATATATTCTATATAGGCTATGGAATTCTATTAAATGAGAGATTCTAAAATAAAAAGTTTCAATACTGTTGCAACTCTGAACTAGAGATCACCTAAATATTCTCAGTCAGGTCAATTGATACTGGAAGAAACTCAAGGTTATGTAAGGACCAGTACGTGACTGGCTAAATTTACTATTTGAGTACTAATGATCTTGCCATCTCAGTTATCAGTAGCCTCAAAGCTTGAAGTTTCCTTTTTTTTTTCTGAGACAGGGTCTCACCCTGTCTCTCAGGCTGGAGAGCAGTGGCGCAATCTCAACTCACTGCAAACTCTGTCCCCTGGGTTCAAGTGATCCTCCCACCTCAGCCTCCCAAGTAGCTGGGAATGTGGGTGCCCTCTCGGCTAATTGCTGTATTTTTGGTAGAGAAGGGGTTTTGCCACGTTCTCCAGGCTGGTCTCAAACTCCTGGCCCAGGCTCCCAAAGTGTTGGGATTACAGGTGTGAGCCACCATGCCTAGCCAAGCTTTGCAATTTTTATGGAACTGGGTCATTGAAATGTTTGAAACTTGGAGATTTCTTCTTGTTTCAATCCCAATCAATTTCCAATCTCTATGAGAGTTTTAAAAGAGTCTCTATAGTGGCAGTGAAATTCACTTAATTATCACCAATTGATTTCAATAGACTACCTGGTGGAAACCTCTCATAAGAACTTTAAAAACTTTTCCTAAAAGAAACTTTTAAAATATGATAGCAGAAACTCACAGAACCTTCAATTAACAATGCATGAACTAATCGTGTCCTGGAAGTTTTTGAGAATGAAGAGAATAAACTTATTTGTTGAGCAATTCAACTGGACCCAGGTGTATTTAATCCAACATTATTTTTTGTAGATGCACGTATTTGAAAAATAGCTGCTCTAATCACAACTAGTGGCCTGTTAGGATAGAAAAAAATACATAAATCCCTCAATTTTAAGATGTTAGCAATTTGGCATACTTCAACTATTTTATAGTAGCTTTCAAGAGGGAAAAACAACTATATTAAATAAAGATAATTTATCTTAACTGCCAGTAATATGATTCTTTTATCCATACAATTATATGCCTTTTAATTTCAGCAGCAAATCAGAGTACGAGAGTAAATCTTCTGTGTGTTCCACGTCTAATTTTTCAGAATTATGTTAGGCTATTATCAATTATGAATAATACCATGATAACCCACTGCCTTTCATAATCTATGCTCAAAGCTTGACCTCTGTAGCATCCTTAGATTTGACAGGAGAGTTTCTAGGCATATTGAGGGATACCAGTGTTTTCTCTGTACATCTTATTTGGGTAAAATCACAGGGTTTTATGTAAATTAAAAAATCACTTTTCTTAACAGTTAACTGGAAGCTTTTAACAGGTAGATGTTCAGTGTTTTAGTGAAAGGCTTTCACTTCACAAAAACAAGATGCCAATTTAACTTAAAATTCAAACAGCAAATAACTGAGTTGAACAGTTTCCTTCAATACATAGGTTTGCACATGCACAGACAATGACAACTTACTGTCTTATTTTCCCTGATGGCTGGTAAGTTTTAAAGAAAATATCAGTATGAAATATATTTCAACTCCAGACACATTAAATGTGAAGAGAAAAGACCTCGAATTGAGAAAATAGGGGGTGTCTCAACGACTTTTTTTTCTATTTTGTATGTTAGTCCGAGTCCTCAAATCTTTCATGTTCCTGTGGCACTTCTGAATGTTAGGTGCTGCAGCACATTGAAAGGGTTAAAGGGTTGTAGACTTGAAGCAACACTAAATAATTACAGTCGAATCAAGGGCACTTGTATGGTTAAGATAGTTATAATATCTCTAATCTATAATACCTGTAATACAGTTATGATATCTGCATAATATCTCATAGTATCTATGAAAGCAAGATAGCTGTGAGGCAGTTCACTTGATTGTTCTTTTAATGCTATGTTGCTGATGCCTGTACTCTGTAATATTCATTATGTAAAGTTGTTGTATCTTCCAATGGATGATTTTTTTTCTTTGACATCAGCTTAATGTTACTTTTGCCAGGCTACTTACTCCTGCCTTATGCTTTCCCACTTTACCTACTCAGCTCAGCAGCCCATCCAAAAGACATCACCTTAACCATGTAAACCTCATCTGTAGCAGGTATTAGGTGGGTAGTGAGAGATATATCAATGTCACCACTTTCAGGCAAAAGGAAAATTAAATTGGCTCATGTAATCCAAGGAAGTAACCACATCATAAGTAGATCAGGGATATAGCTAAATCTCAGGAAACTGGAAACATGGAAAGAGGCCCTGGACGAATGTTAATTATGTGGATGAAAGCAGAGAATTGTCTAGAAAGGGAATGTTAGGTAGACACTTCCAGATGTCCCATAGCAAAAAATAAAGTTTATGTATTGCTTATCTTCTGTGAGGACTTTCTGGCACTTCAGATAGGAAAATAGGGGTACAAATACTATGATTATATTCAATAAACAAAATGGTTTATTTCAATGGTGGGTCCCTGACACATTCTGAAATTTTGCTCTCCAATACTAACTTTTGAAGGTTTAAAAAGTCACTAAATATGACAAAATTATGTTGATTTAAAATATTTCTTCTTTGATTCTGGGGTCATTTGCTCCATTTTCTACAGCTTCAAAACCACAAATATAAGTGAGTAGAAATATTTAATGCTTTTTAGTTTTTTGTCTATTTTCTATAAATATCTTGAGACTGGCCTGATTATACAGTCTAAGGAAGGAAAACGGTGTCAGAGCAAATCTTCATTTTATTAATAAAAATCTAAGAAATAAGAGGAAGTAAGAAATGTTGCTTCAAGTAAAACAGAAATAAAAACCAAGCAACTAAAAACAACAAAAAAGAACATATTTTCATGAAAAATAAACTGGTGATGTGGGAGCAGAAAAGAGAAGGAAAATAATCTTGAAATAACCTTTTAAAGTCAGATGTATTCAACTCATCAGAACAAGGAAAAGATGACAATAAAAGTTTAGAGAGTTGATTACACCACAATGTCCACATCAACCCTATTATTATCTCTGTTTGGCCACAAGACTACCAGTGACAGATCTAGAGTCTGAATCCAAGTCCTCCGGCAACAAATTTATGCTCTTTCTCTTGCTCTATGCTGCCTCCCATTCAAGCACATTACATGCTTCCTACATACTTAGAATGGGAGGTTCTACCTCCAGCACTTACTAGCTCAGTGATCATAGGCAAGTTATGGGAACCTCTTTGCACTTTACATTACTCATCTGTGCAGAGAATTATGGCATCTTTCCTGTTGTTATTGAGTTGTTGGAAGAAAAAATATGACAGTGCTTTGTAATAATAAAACTTATACATATAAGGGGATTGTAATAATTAAAATTCATAAAGAAAATGGTTGATGAGATCGCCCAGCCACTGTTATCTTTGAGGACTCATGAAAGCAATAGTTGGAAATAATTTCTCTCTCTTGATTAGACACACTGTGGAGTTAGTGTTGCACCCAGTTTTTGTCTCCTTACCTTAATAAGGATGCTGTGAAGTTAAGGAGTTTGGAGTAGATTAATAATATGATTAAAGTGTTGAATAAATAAGACCCATGAGAAAAGGAGTTTGAATTAATTAGTCTGGAAATAATAACTGCCTTCTAATACATGAAGCATTATTACAAGAAAAATATAGACCATTTCTCTTCTCTGAGAAATGACTTGAAAGTAACTGTGGACATATAACACAGACATAAGAAGGAATTCACTGATAGGGTTGAGAGTTAAATATTAAAACAGGATATAAGAAGAATATTTGGCATCTCCTTTGCTGCTAACTATTCTAGAGAAAAATAGACACATCAATTTGTTATGGCCAAGGAGCAGATATACTTGCAATCAGGGAACTAGAAAACCTAAATAATTTAGATCTTCTTTCAGCCTTCAAAAACTCTACAGTTGTCTGGCTAATTCCCTGATTAATCACAAAAGAGGTAGGTAACAAATTTTTCTAATTATCCTTGTGTAAATATGCAGACTACCTGAAATGTGTTACTATTTTACAATGTATGTAGCTTTCTTTCCTTTTTTTTTTTTTTTTTTAAAGAAAAAGAGAGGAGAGTGAGATAGATGCAGACTCTGGTTCATGGCACATTATCATCATTGATTTGAGCAAAGCAAAAAAAAAAAAAGCAATTTTAAACTGATTTCTTCTTGTTATCATATTCTACTCCCTCCCAAACAGGTAACTGCTCTAATGTGTTTGATATACATTCTCAAATTTATATGTATCTTTAGAAACATGTAGTGTCATTTTTTTGTGTATACTTTTAAATTTACATAAATGGAACCCATTCATTTTCTTCTGTTTTTCACAAAGCATTACACTTTTAAGATCTATGTTGTTTCTAACTACCATGTGGTATTCAGTAGTATGCCTCCACAACCTTATTTTAGTATAGTCCTCTAATAATGGACAACAATGTTGCTTCCAGTTCCCTGCCTTCATAAACAATGTTGTGAAAAAACATATTATCTTACATTCTTTTATAAAATTTTTATCTCCCCCTTTCTCTTTAAGAGTGAGATCAGATAATCATATGATATATGCACAATGACTTTGCCAGATTTTTCTTCAAAATGGCAGAAGCCAAATATGAAGAAATACTCATTTATCCATTAACAATTAATATTATCAAAATCAGCAATTTTTTCCCATATGATGGATGTAAAGTAGTATCTCATTGTTAAATTTATTTTCTATTTACTGAGATAATATACTAATTATCCATATATTTTCCATCTTTCTAGGTTTTTAGTCTTGCTGATTCTAGGAGTTTCTTCCATAGTACCTTTATCATTCCTTTGTCTGTTTCTTATGTCTGTTCAATTCATCTATTTGTCTATTACGACTGACATTTGAATCAGGATTGCAGTTAATTTATAGAGTAAGTTCAGGATAGTTGACATATTTACATTGTTAAGTCACTTCATCTAAATGCAGTTCTCCATTTATTCAGGTCTTATTTAATTTTATTTAGTAAGGTTTTAAATTTTCTCCCTAGAGGACTTAGACATTAATGATATCTAATATGTGGTTTTCTTTCTAGAAGTTGACAGTATTAACTAATTTAACGTACTTGTTCAATATTATCTCTGTTTATGCCCTTTATGTCTGCAATGCTGATAAACTTCTCAAGACATGAAGTATGTTTAACTCAATCTGTGCAGTGTCTACACAACTCCGTGTGAAGATAGATATTGCTATGTACTTTTGATTAAATGATTCCCTATTTTTTATCTTACAAAATGTTTCTAACAAAATGATCAATTATAAGATTTAGTTACTTTTAGAACAAGTAGTTGCCAAATCAACGATAATAGACTTAAGTAGTAAAATAATATAACCCCTCATTTATATTACAAACATTTAATAACTTCCTACTATGTGCCAGGCTACCATATGTTCTAATATGATCCGTGAATGCCTAAAATCCTGAGACCCTTTCAGGGGGTCTATGAGATAATAACTATATCCATAACAATTTTGAGATGTTCTTTTTCTACTGTGTTGATATCTGCATTGATGGTGCAAAAGCAACAGTGGGTAAAATTGCTGATGTCTTAGCATGAATCAAGGAAGTAGCACCAAACTGTACCAATGGTCACTGTGTCTTTGACTGACATGTACTCACAGTAAAAACAAAAACAAAAAATAATAATAATGCCAGTTGTATTTATTAAGAATATACTTGCTGGAGCAGTTTAAAAAATTAATTTTATTAAATCTCAATCCTTGAATTTGAACCTTTTTATATTTTGCAGTAAAATTGAAAGTATGCATGCTGAAGTACAATGGCCATTTTGGGAAAAAAACACTTTTCCCATTATTTGAAAGATGAATTAGCTACTTTCTTCATGGATCATCATTATCACTTGAAAGAACAACTGGCTGACAACTATGATTATTCAGGCTTAGGAATTTTGCAAACACTGTTTTTTTCAAAAAATAAAAAAAGTCTGCTATTTCAAAATAAGCAATTAACAATATTTGATGCCAATAAAAAATTTAAGTTTTCAAATAGAAATTAGGATTTTGGAAAATTTGTATTTCCTACTATAAGCTTGACAGCTTCCCAATACTAAAGATACTTTGATGAGATCAGAACAAATGTGCTTTTAAAATATTATATAATAAAATATGTCAACATTTGAAAACTCTTTATAAACTAGTAAACCAATAAGTTCCAGATGACCAATGCATGATGTTACAAAGTCATGCACAGGTAAAAGATCCATTCAAATCTCAAAGTAGACCAAAAAATTTATGCACAGTGAAAAGGTTAATTGATACAGATTCCATTTTGCAGCTTACCTTTAAGGAATAGCCACTTGTTGACCCTTAGTGTACTACCAAAGATGGTATATACAAGTACTTAAAAAGTCTATAAAATATACCTCCTTTTCCAATTATATGTTGGTGGGAGGACAGATTGTCTTCATATATTTCAATCTAAACAACAGATCACAACAGATTGAATATGGAGACAGATATGAGAATCAACATCTTCTATTAAACCAGACATTAAAGAGATTTGCAAAACAGGCCAGGCACAGTGGCTCAAGCTTGTAATCCCAGCACTTTGGGAGGCCGAGGTGGGCCGATCACTTGAGGTCAGGAGATCAAGACCAGTGTGGCCAACAGGGCAAAACCCCGTCTGTACTAAAAAAACAAAAAAATTAGCTGGGCGCTTGTAATTCCAGCTACTCAGGAGGCTGAGGCAGGAGAATCGCTTGAACCCGGGAGGCAGAGGTTGCAGTGAGCTGAGATTGCACCACTGCATTCCAGCCTGGGCAGCAAGAGCAAAACTCCATCTAAAAAAAAAAAAAAAAAAAAAAAAAAAAAAATTTGCAGAAGAAACAATAATACCACTCTTTTCACTTTTTTTCTATTTTAGAAGATAGAATTACTCTTCATAAAATGTTATTTATGTTAACAATTTAATTGGTTACATATACCAATCATAAACCAACAAAATAATTGTTTTTTTAATGAAGAAATCCATTAATATTTTCCAAATTTCTGCTTTTCAATTTCTAGTAGCAAATCATGGTAGATATAACTTACATATCAAAAAGCTCCTTGGCATCCTGAGTGATTTCTAAGAATGTAAACTTTCTGAGATAAATAAATTTGAAAATCTTTGCTCTAGAAATAGAAGAAGAATGAAAGAGATGAATTCCCTGCCTTCATCCTGGTTGGGGCATGCAAGCGAAGAAATATATAAAGATATGGTTCAGATTGTTTAAGGGCACTAAAAGTAAGGAAGTGATGTGATGCCGAGTACACGAGTAGAGGTGCTTTAAGTGCAATTCTCAGGGAAGTCTTCTCTGAGGAAGTTACAGCTTAATCTGAGACATGAAGAATGCATAAAAGTAGCCAATTAAAGAACTAAGGGAAGAGCAGCCCAGACAGAGAAAGAAAGGATTTCATCAGTCTGAGACAAAAAGGGTTTGAATGTTTGGGAACCAAAGAGGCCCGTGTGCCCGCAATAGAGCAGTCATGCAGAAAGTAGTGCTAGAGGAGGTTGGAGAAGTGGCCAGAGGAGCAAGGGCCTTGATGGCCACCATTTGGGCTAAAATGAAAGTCCAGTGGGGAGCCCCTGAAGGTCTGAAGTGAGGCAATATATAATCTGATTAAGATGTTAGAAACTGACTCTGGGTGCTGTGTGGAAGATGGATTGCTTGCACCTCTCCATCAAACTTGCCTGGCCAAACCCCAAACCTGGTCAAATCTAAATCTCTATTCACTTTTCACCTGTACCTGAGCAATGAAACATGGATGGAGAAAAATCACTGGATCAAGCTGACTGATCTCTCTTTATGACCTAAATCTTCAAGTGGCTTTTAGTCATGCCATATTTTAAAATATAATTTCCCACTATAGTTTTATAATTTCCTAGTTAATTCACCTTCCTACTCTCTTAAATAACTATTTTGCATCTCCTCTTTCCTTTGACCTTGAACATTTGTCTGCTATCCATTTTTTCAGCTGATAATTATCTTGCTTGCTATTTCAACCAAAAGTGAGCTTCCACATCTCTGGTCATATTTGCCAATCTACTACAAACTGAGCCTCCTGCCTTCCCTCCAATTGCAATGGATAAATTGTCTGGTTTACTACCTAAGACCACTATCTCCATCTGAGCTCTGCATTTCCTCTTTCTTGACTACTTGTGTACCTTGCTACAGCAGATGACTTCTGTCTTCCTGAGTCATCAGTCACCATCTGTAGCACTCTAGTTAGGTGTTCACTCCCTTCATTTTACTGAAGTTTCCTTTTTCAAGATCATCAATGACCTCCACATTGTCAGTATAATTCTCATTTCTTAGACTTCATCTCACTCATCTTCTCAGCAGCATTTAACAGAGTTCATTATGCCCTTCTCATTGAAATGCTTCTCTCACTTATCCTCCAGGGACCACCTTATCTTGGTTCTCCTATTTCACTGGCCACCCTTTCTTTTAATAACAGTATTTAAATACTGTACAAATACTGATTAGCTCCAATTAGAAGAGCCACCTGACTTCTCCTTCACATCTTAGACTCATATCCAACAACCACTCAACATCACTATCTAGTTAACAGTTATTTCAAACTTGGGATGTCCCACTGAGCTCCTATTCCTCCCCCAATCCACCCATACAAATCCATTCCACCTGCAGTATTCATGATCTCAGTAACACTATAATTACATTTTTTTTCAAGTCAAAAACCTTGGAATATGCTTGGCTTTTCTATTGTCTTGTCCATCAGTAAAATCTAACTTGTCTATTGCCACAATTCTAGTTCAAGTCATCATTATCTTTTGCCTATACTCTCCTAATTGGTGTCCCTGGTTCTGCTTTTGTCTCTCTACAGGATACTTTATAGCAGCCCAGGTGATTTATCTAAAACATAATTTTAATAATATCTGCTTTAAGTTTTCCAAGGGCTTCCTACTTCACTCTCAATAAAAATAAAAATCCTTGCCTTGACTTCCAATAAATGATCTGGTCCCACGCCACCTCTCTTACCTCCTTTTCTAACAGGCTTCCCTTCCCATCCTACCTCTCAACTCCACTTCAGTAGCACTAGGCTTCTTGTTCCTTGAACAGAGAAAGCATACTTCTAATTTAGGGGCTTTATCACCTGCAGCTCCCTCCATCTGGAATGCTCTTATTTCAGATTTTTGTACGGCTTAGTTCCTCACTTTTTTCAGGGTTCTGCTTGAATATCATCTTATCTTGAGGACATTCCCTTAACACTCTTTAACTCACAGGCAAAGATGGAGAATCAAACATGTGCATTTCCCTTAGCACCCTCTTCAACATCCACTAAATGGCAGTTAATGATTGTATTTTAAGCCTATAAACTCACAAAGACAAAAAGAACAAAGAAGACTCTAATGACAAAATTTTGGAAGGTGGAGAGAAGAGATAACAAAACACACACACATACACAACACACACACACACACACACACACACCATGACTATCCATTCCTCTTACCTAGCTTTATTTTTCTTAATAGCACTTCACCTAGATAAATGTAAGTAAATATAAACACAAGATATATATTGATTTTTACATTTGTTTGTTGTCGCTTCCTTTTTGCTTCCAGAACATAAGCTGCATGACAGCAATCTTTTCAGTTTTGTTTTGGTGTTGCATTCTCAAGCTTTGGAATCATAGCAGAATCAAATTCAGTATAAATTTTTGACTGAATAACTGAGGTGGACTGGATGAGTGTAGTTTGTGTGAGGTGTGGGGTTGTGGGAATCAAGTGTTCAATTTTGAATGTTAACTTGAGGTGTCTATTAGACATCTAAGTGATGATATCAAGTGAAATCCGCATATCTGAGGCTAAGTCATGGCTAAAATTATAAATTTTAGAGTCATCAACATTGGCTCTAAAGAAGATCACCTGGGGGGACTATGAACATGAAAAGAGAAAAAGCCAAGCTCCAAGCCTTGGAGGACAACACCATTTAGAGATCAGGCAGAGCAGAGGTCTTTGAACCTTATAATTATACACTACAATTTGTAAGAAGAAGAAAAACTAATTTAAACTAAGCAATGTGATATGTAGATATTTATCTATAAATAATATATATGTATCTTTGCACAAATATATTATGTACATTACAAAATACACAGACACAGATATTAAAAAAGAATGAGCTGAACAACTTCCAGTTAAAGAGGAAGTATTGAACACATGCATTTTTCAGCTCCCTGCTAAAGGCCCACTACAGTGATAGTAAATGGATTTTAAAAAATAAGGTATAAACCCACAAGGACAAAGAGAACAGCAGACAAACAATACCACCAAAATATAGGAAGCTGTAAAGAAGAAAGACAAATAACAACTGACTCACAGACTCAGGAAAGCTGAGGCTGCAGTGGAGAAAAAGCAGAGATACAACCTGATTTACAATACAGAATCAGCCATGCCCCTGCCCCCTTGCAAAGGCTCAGAAATTGTTTCTGGCACTTCTGCTAGTGGAGGTTAATGTTGGGCAATAATAGACTTAGCTGAATGTCTGTTTGAGAAGCAGATACATCCACAGACACCCCCACCACTCTACACTACCAAGTGACTAACCTCTACCAGGCAGCAACAGCCTGGAGACTTATTTTCTGAAGAGGGTTAAGAGGGGATCTTGCTTGCAGAACAACAGGCACACGTGAATGGGAATTCCAAGTGGAAAGCAGGGAGATTAAGTCAAAGTTAATATCAGAATGCTTAAAACCAAAATATTAAGAATAATTTCTATTTGTTACTAAGGGATGTGGAGGCAAATAAAAAGAACACTATTTTGTTGTGTAGCAATGATTGCCAATGGAATTCACCTACATAAAAAGAATTTTAAAATAATGAACTGCTATATAACATTTTCTTTATTTCTTAGAGCTATTTCAAATATTTATTTCTATTTCTTTTAAAGTGCATGGATTGTTTGAACATTATCTTGGTACATGAATGCAGGCATTTTAAAGTAATTGCATTTGTTGTATCCTGGATTAGAAGCAGGCATAAATATTGATTTCTTCTGTGCTGTGTAACTGATGAAACAGAGTCTACTTTGAGTACCATGGCATCACCAAAACTTATTTCCATATTTCCCATTATGTATGTATATATCTATAGAAATAGTTCTTGGAGATGCAATAATAATATCTTGCTTTTGTAATTTTATACTTTTATGTTTACACACATTAAGTGTACCACATATTCAAGACTTCATTTATAGTAATACTGTTTTTATTCTTGGAAATCACGATGCTTATATTATTATTATTATTTGCCTGGATATCCTTTCTCTTCTTATCTTGCTGAAAAGCTCCCATTATTTTTCAAGAACTACCTCAAATATGACTCTCTCTTTAGGGCTTCCTTGACTCCCCTCAATCGTTAGAGTGCCACTATTAGTATAATATAGTATCTTGTTTGTACTTACATTATGGTAGCCTCTGAATTATTTTATAATTATAAGTCTGCTAATTCTTTTAGCCGAAGTACCATGTCTTACTTATATTAGCACTCTGTTAACCGATCAGACGGGGTACACAGTAGTTATTTAACGAATGTTTAAATGGATGTTTGAAAATTATTTTGTGCTCATTATCTCATTTGATTTTTCCGGATTCAATTAGTCACTAGTTCCTATTGCCCTAAATATTTATTATATCTGTCACTTCTTATCCATGCTCGTGTCTACTGCCAAAAATTCATGTTCCTGCTGTCTGTTACTGGGAATATTGGTATCTTAACCTGATTTTCATTTCTAGTCTCACTTTATTTACCCATCAGAGTGACTTAACCACAAATTTTACCATTTTCTCTCTACTTTAAAACCTTTAAGTGGGCTACATCTACTTTTAGAGATGATAGAGTAAAAGTGAATGTTATTTAACCTACCACTTTAAACATATTAAAACTGGTCAAAACAATATTTAGACATTCAGACAATAAGCAGTATAGGATACTGATCTCTGAGAGCAAGGAGACTAATAGGAGAACACTTTTTAATTTTTATTTTTTTTACAGACAGGGGTTTTGCATTAGTTGCTCAGGTGAGTCTCCTGGGCTTGAGGGGTCCTCATGCCTCAGCCTCCTGGGTAGCTAGAACTACACGCATGCACCACCACACCCAGTTACTAAGTAAGCCTTTTGATTGTCTCATCTTACAGCCTGGAAAAAGTTTCTAGGTCATAGAAAGGTGAGAGAGTGCCAAAACAAAGTCTGGCGTCTTGCTCAGTTGAAGTTACAGAGCTTGGAGTTCAGAGAGAAGAAGGCACCTAGAATTTGTGAAGCAAATACTGAATTGATGAGTTTCAGAGAGAGAGAGAGAGAGAGATTGCAAGTGAGATAGAGCACCCCAGATCTTCCTAGGGTTCTCCACAAGTCTTAAGGCTGCATACTGATCTGCAAATGCATGGAAGGAATTGCCCTAGGCTGAGAAAGAATCCTCAGGAAAAAAATAGGTTAAGCAATTTTTAACTTTACCCAGGCAATTCCTCCTAATACATGGGCATCTATTAGGGTCCTCAGAAGGATAGTGCCTCAGTAATGGGGACAGTTTAACCTAAACTAAAGGTTATGCTACATCTGTTTCATAAAGCTTAAAAGCAAACCTCAAAAGGACCAAATATTAATTCCAAGCAAAAAAAAATCCACTTATTTAAATGAGTACAACAAAATCCAGCATCCAACAATGTAAAATTAATAATGTCAGCATCCAATCAATCATTTCCAAGCATGCAGAGAAGCAGAAAAATGCCACCCATAAGCAGGAGAAAAAGAAACCAATAGATACAGATTCAGAACAAGAGAGATAGAATTAGCTGATAAGGATGTCAAAATAGGTACTACAAATATATTTCATATGTCTAAGAAGGTAGAGAAAAACATGAACATAATGATGGGAAAAATGAAAGATATTTTAAATGAACAAACTAAACTTCTATAGATGAAAAATACATGATCTGAAATGAAAAGTAACTGAATGAGATTAATAGCATATCACACACTGCAAAAAAAAAGATTAGTGTATTTGACACAGCAATATAAACTAACAAAATTAAACAAAAGAGAGAACCCATTGAAAAATATAAACATAAGGTTAGTGAGTAATTAACTATTTTAGAGAGTATAATGTGTGTAACTGGAATATCAGAATGGGAGGGGAAAATGGAAAAAATATTTTAGAAAATAATGGCCACAATTTCTCCAAGTTTGATGAAAATTATACACCACAGATCCAAGAACCTCAATGAGCCTCAAGCAACATAAATGTGTTGCAAAACACATCAAGACACATCACAATCAAATTACTAAAAATTAATGATAAAATGAATATCTTAAATGTACCCAGAGATAAAAGACACATTATGCTCAAAGGAACAAAGATTAAAAAACAGGAGCAGACTTTTTTGAATCAAAAACCTTGCGGGCCAGAAGATAACAGAGAAACCTCATTAAAGAACAAAGAAAACAAAAATGTTTAACCTAGATTTCTATATCCAGAAAAGTATCTTTCAGTAATGAAGACAAAGTTCTTCATTCTGTTAAAGTGTAGCAAGCTGGTGGTGAGGGTTGGGAGAGGTGGGGGTGTGTGAAATGATGCTTTCACATAACAATGAAAGTTTGTAGCAGTGAGTTACAAACCCATAAATTTTCTTGAACTCATTAGAGAGCTAAGATTATAGGACAATCAAGAGGCCTGAAATCCAAAAACAGACCAGCCCCTCCAAGGAGCACAAGAATGTACAAAATGGTTCATCTGTGGCATGAAGAAAAAAAGCATAGGGAAAAAGATGATATGCAACAGCTAAAACTTTAAGAGATTTGTAGAAAAGCTGAGTGTGGGCTAGCATGAGAGTATAGATCCCTGGGAGTTACAAACACAAAGGGAGTTTGCACCTACTTGCAAACTCTTTTCCATTGGTTTCACTCAGGTGCTTAAAAGAAAGATTGGGGCAGGACAAGAGACCAGAAAGAACTTCCTTCAGTGGTTCATGTTCACTGAAGCAGATTGGGCACTAATGTGGAAATGACAAGAAGCGTTTCTGAACCCTCATGAAATAATAGCCTGAAGGCACAGAGGTAGAAGCAGCAAACGTTGGTACTCAAGAACACGGATAAAGTATCATTGTGGCTGGTGGATGGGTTAAAAAGAAAAAATAACCTTACTCATTAAAGAGGGGCAGAAAACAATTCTAGACAACGAGTTTCTATCAAAACTATTCGAGGTCTCTTATTGCTGGGAAAGACTCAGAAAACTCCCTGAACAAGACTCATGAAGTATGCAAGGCAGAGTTTGGCTGACATGGGAGGAGGGACAAGAACATGAGAATGCCCTACCCCAAAGACACAGTCACATGGGGTATGAGTAAGACTAAGCTGGACAAGGACAACAGAAAAACTTCCTGCCTCCTCCCCAGATAGCAAGCACTGAACAGGCTACCAGTAGAAAAGAGTCAAGATTGTGGAGAAAGATCTCCAATGTGGCATAGTTGCACAGGAAGACTTAAAGCTGAGGGTAGATCAAGAACATTGGGAAAAAAAGAAAAACCATTCAGCAAAGCATCTTCAACTCTAACCACAAGGTAAGACTAGAGGAAATTGAAACTGGTGGAGAACTGTAATTATAACAACAAGAAAACCAAAATCCACTTAAATTTCTGGCTAGACTGACTCAACCCCAACACTGATAGTCTAGCAGAAGGAAAAAAAATGCTTATTTCTATGCATGAATAGCATTTATTTCAATTTTGACTGTTCTATATACAATGCCTAGTATTCAATAAAAATTACCAGACATAAAAAGATAAGAAAAAGCAACACATTGTGAAAAGACAAAGCAATTTATAGACTCAGACTCAGAGATATCCTAGAGGTTGGAAATCAGACAGGGAATTTAAAATAACTATATTAAAATGTTAAAGATTTTATTTGTAAAGCTGATCAACATACATGATCACATGGAGAATTTTAGCAGAAGATAGAAACCGTAAAAATATACTAATAAAATACTAGAAATAAAAAAACAAAGCAACACAACTAAAGAATGCCTTCAATGCAGTCCTCAGTCGACTTGATACAGGAAATAATCTGTGAACTTGAAAATAGCTGAATAAAACTCATTTAAACTAAAACACAAAGGGATAAAAAAGGGTGGAAAGAACCATAACAAAGCATCCAAGAGCTCTCATCTAATGTAAAAGTGGTCTGATGTACATGCAATTGGAATTGAAGAAAGAGAAGAGATGCAATGAGACCAAATAAATTCTTGAAGAGATAGTGGTCCAAATTAATTAAAGAAGACAAATATTGATTCAAAAAGCCTAGAGTATTTTTTTGCTCAAGAGTATAAAAAAAACCTCTGCACACATCATATTCAAAATGCATAAAACCAAAAATAAAGAAACAATTTTGAATGCATCAAGAGAAAATACACACATCACATATAAAGGAATAGTGATAATAATTAAAGCCAACCTTACATCAGAAACTATACAAGCCAGGAGACAATGGAGTGACATCTTTAAAGTACTGAAAGATAAAACTGTCAACCTGGATTTTTATATCTGGAAAAAAAGTATCTTTCAAAAGTAGAGGTAAAATAACATTTGTTTGTTTGTTTTTCCTGAAAAACAAAAGCTGAATGAAAGCAGTATGAGCACACTTGTGCTACTAAAAAAATGTAAAAGGAGGTTCTTCATGCAGAAAGAAAATGATACATGGAGAAACCTTGATTTATACAAAGAAATGAGGAGCTCCAGAAGTACTTAAGATGAAAGTAAATATAAAAGGCATTTCCCTTATTTTAGGAAACAGCTGACTAATGCAAAAATAGAAGCAATGTGTTGTGGATTGTGGCACATATAAAGGCATATACAATGTGTGAAAAAATAACATAAATGAAGCGAAAAAGAGAATATTTTGCTGTGAAAGATACTTATACTATATCAAAAGTAGTATAACATTATTTAAAGGTAGCCTGTGGTAAATTTAAAATGTAAGTTGTAAACCTTAGGAATTTTAAACGTTTTTAAAGTGTATAAATAATAAGCCAGTAGTGAAGAAAAATAAAGTCGTAAATTATTTCAAAAGCAGGCAGAGAAAGAGAAGAAAGGGGAAAAATAATAAATAGAACAAATAGAAAACAACCAGCAAGATGACAGATTTTAAATAAATCATATCAACAATCAACCATTAAATTGAACTAAAGTAGACTAAGCTTGTGCTGTTCTATAGAAATATAATGTGAGCAAGGTAAGTAATTTTAAATTTTCTAGTAGCCACATTAAAGATAGAAACAGATTAATTGTATAATATATTTTGCTTAATAGAATGTATACAAATCATTATATGTAACTATACAAATTATATTAGCTATTGTATTAATTATATATAATTATATACATATTATATTAACATATTGCATATATTAACATATCAACAAAGATCAATGAGAGATTCTACATTCTGTTTTATACAAAATCATTAAAATTCCATGTGTATTTTATACTTACAATGCATCTCAATTCAGACCAGTCATACATATTTTAAGCTCTTCAGAGTCACGTGTGGTTAGAGGCTACCTTACTGGACAGTACTGTTCTAACCACGCAAGCTGAGTGACAGAAATTTATTAGATGTAAAAGCAATAACAGACTAAATGCTGTTTACAAGAAATCCACTGTAAATATAAAGACATAGGTAGGCTGAAAGTAAAAGTATAAAATAAAATTAAAATTATGGAAAACATAAAATATGAAATTCTAATTAAAAGAATACTGAATTCGGTACATCGAAGTCAGACTTCAAAATGAGAAAAAGAAACGTTACATAATGGTAAAGGGCCAGTTTATTGCAAAGACATAACATAATGTGTGTCTACCTAATAACAGGTCTTCAAATGCATAAAACATAAAGTGGTAGAACTGAAAAGAGAAACAGACAAAACCAAAATTGTATTTAGATACTTCAACACTCTTTTCTTGGTAGTTGACAGAAAAATCAGAGAGTGATTCAGTAAGAACACGGAAGACCTGAACAGCACTTCACCTAATTGCTATTTATAGAGCACTGCACCTCGAAACAGCAGAACATGCATTCTTCTTCAGTGCACATGGAATAGTCCCCCAAGATAGACCATATGTTAGGCCATAAAACCAACCTCAGGAAATTTAAAATAACTGAAGTCATGAAAAATATGTTCTCTAACCACAATAGAATTGAGCTAAATACTAAGATACCCGGAAAAATCCTCAAATACCAGGAATTTAACACACATATAAATAAAATATGGGTCAAAAAATAAATCACGGGGAAAGTTAGTAAATATTTTAAACTGAATAAAATGAACACACATATATAAACATTTCTGTGACAAAGTATGATTTAGAAGGAAGTTTATAGTAGTAAATGTTCCTATTAGAAATGAATAAAGTTCTTAAATCAATAAGCTTTCACTTTAAGAAACTAGCAAAAGAAGAGCAAATTAAACCTAAAGCAAGCAGTAGAAAGAAAATAATAGAGCTAAGAGCATAAATTAATGAAATGGAAAACAAAAATGTTTTAAAATCAATGAAACCAAAGCTGATTCCTTGAGAAAATGAATAAAGTTAGATAACCTCTAGACAAGCTGATCAAGAAGAGAGAAAATACAAACTAATAATATCAGGAATATAAAAATAGGCATCACTAAGATGATACCTATATTAATAGTATAATAGGGACATATGAATATCTTTATACCTACCACTTAGGAACTTAGATGAAATGGACAAATTTCTTGAAAGATACAAAATATCAAAGCATACTCAAGAAGCAACTTACTTAAATAACTGGAATAGCCAGTGTTTATTAAAGGAAATGAATTTATAGTTTAAAAAGCTGCACACAAAGATAACTCCAGTGGTCGGGCACGGTGGCTCAAACCTGTAATCCCAGCACTTTGTGGGGCTGAGGCAGGTGGATCACCTGAGGTCAGGAGTTTGAGACCAGCCTGGCCAATGAGGTGAAACCCCGTCTCTACTAAAAGTACAAAGAAAAAAAAAATAGCTGGGCATGGTGGCACACACTGTAATCCCAGCTACTTGGGAGGCTGAGGCAGGAGAATCACTCCAACCTGGGAGGCAGAGGTTGCAGTGAGCCGACATCATGCCACTTCACCCCAGCCTAAGCGACAGAGCGATACTTGGTCTCAGAAAAATGAAGGAAGACTCCACAAAATGACTTTATTGGCAAATTACGTCAGACATTTAAAGATGAAATAATACAGACTCTATCCAAATTTGTCCAGAAAATAAGAGAGAAGGGAACACTCCCCTACTCATTTTATAAGACTAGTATTAACCTGGTAACAAATCATTACAAAGACATTACAAAGGACAAAATTCCTACAGACTAATATCTCTCAAGGATATAGGTGCAAAAATCTTCACAATATCAGTAAATTGCATATAGCAATACATATATTTTAAAAAGATAATGCATCAAGACTAAGAGAAATTTGTCTTAGGAATGCAAAGTTGGTTCAACATTTTAAAAAGTCAATTAATGTAATTTACCATATTAAGAAACAATATAGAAAAAAATATTTGACATTCTCAATAGATGAAGAAAAAAATCATTTGGTAAAATTAAATACCCAGCCATTAGAAAAATTCCCAGCAAAATGAGACTAAAGAAAATGTCCTGAATCTGATAAAAGGTAACTAAAAAAACCTACAACAAACATAATACTTCATGGTGAAAGATTGCATGCTTTTTCCTTAAGATTGAGAAGAAAAGGATATCCACTCTTACCACTCCTATTATCATATCAAAAGTTTTAATAAATGCAACAAAGCAATAAATATGTCATAGAGATTGCAAAGAAAAATGTTATTTGTAGATTACATGATCATGTATATAATAAACTCAGTGAACTCTGTAAGTTATAAGAACTAATAAATGAATTTAACAAGGTTGCAGGTTAAAAGGTCAACATAAAAACGTATTTAATTTCTATATGTTAGCAATGAAAAATTGAAAATTAAAAAAATTTAAAACACCAATTCAGTAGCCACAATGTATAAAATACTTAAGGATAAATTCAACAAAATATGTTTACAACCTGTATATGGAAAACTATAAGACATTGCTGAAAGAAAATAAATAAAACCGATATAATTAAAGAGATATAACATGCTTACAGATTAGATATTATTGAGCTGTATATTTTCCTCAAATCAATCTACAGATTTAATATAATTACAATTAAAATCTAGCAAATTTCTTTTTGTAGAAATTGATAAATTATTCTAAAATTTATTTGGAAATGCAAGGCATGTGAAATAGCCAAAACAATTTTGAAAAATAACAACAATGTAGAAAGGCTTATAATTCTTGATTTCAAAATAATCAATAGTGGTATTGGTGTAGCAATTAATGGAACACAGCAAAAATTGAAGAAATGGACTTAAAAATATGTGATCAATTAATTTTCAACAAAGTGGTCAAGATAACTCAATGGGGGAAATGATAATCATTAAACAAATGGTACTAAAATAATAACATTTTATATGGAAATTAATTTTGATCATTTTCTCAAATCATATACAAAAATTAATTAAAAATTGAGTATAGATGTACATGTAAGAGCTAAAACTATAAAACTTCTAGATGAAGACACAGGACAAATTTTTAATGAACTTGGATTTATCAAAGATTTCTTAACTAGGATATGAAGAACACAAACTATAAAAGAAAAAAGATAAATTGAACTTCATTGTAATTTAAAACTTTGCTCTTCAAAAGTCATTGACAAGTAAATAAAAAGTCAAGCACTAAACTGAGAGAAAATATTTGCAAAACACATTATGTCATAAAGGACTTATATCCAGAATATATAAAGTTCTTGCATTACTCAGTAATAAGAAGACAAAAATTGTTTTAAAACATGAGCAAAATATGTAAACACAGGCTTCACCAAAAAGAGGTACAAATGCCAAATAAGTATATGTAAAAATATTCTGCATCATTAGTCATTAGGGAAATGCAAATTCAAACCACAGTGAGGCACAACTACACACCTGCTATAATGGGTCAAATTAAAGACTGGCAAGTACTGATGAAAATGTTGAGCGACTGGAACTCTCATACATTTCTGGACAGAATATGAAATGGCATAGCCACTTTGGAAAACAATTTGCAGTTTCTTATAATAGTAAACATACACTTTCCATATGACTTAACAGTTTCACTCCTAGGATTTGCCCAAAAGAAATGAACACACACTTCCATGAAGAGTTGTACAGCAAAGCTTATAGAAGCTTCATTCATAGTAGTCTCAAGCTGAAAACAATTGAAATATGAGGGGTCTTCAAAGCTCATGGAAAATGTATATCATAAAAAAAACCCAGTGCGTGGATTTCAAAAAAATTTTTGCACCAAAATAAACTCATACTAACCTGCTATTACATGTCTTAACAAGATCTAGTTTGCAGCAATAAGAAGGATAAGACATTGGTTTTAAAAGAGCTCTTATCAAAGCAACATAAATGCTGCTAATATTGAAACAAGAACAAAGATTTAATTTCTGATGAAGAATGGTGAAATCATTGGTGCTTTATACAAAGTTTATGGAGATAATGCTCCAAATAAATCAGCAGATTACAAATGGATAACTTGTTGTAAGGAGAGATGAGATGATGTTGAAGATGAAATCTGCAGAGGCAGATCATCTGCATGTATTTGTAAGAAAAACTCATCCTGTTCATGCCCTAATTGAAGACGACCAATGATTAAAAACATAATAGCCAATACCATAGACATCTCAATTGGATTAGTGTATATGATTCTGACTGAAAAATTAAAGCTGAGTAAACTTTTAACTCAGTGGGTGCCAAACTGGTTGCACACAAATTAACTACAGACAAGAGCAGGTCTTTCAATGGAAATTTTAAATAATGGATCAAGATCCTGAAGCATTTTTTCAAAGAATTGTAACAGGAGATGAAACATGACTTTACCAGTACTACCCTGAAGACAAAGCACAATCAAAGCAATGGCTACCAAGTGGTGGAAGTGGTCCAGTTGAAGCAAAAGTGGGCCAGTCAAGGACAAAGGTGATGGTGACAGTTTTTGGGATACTCAAAGCATTTTGCTTGGTGAGTTTCTGGAAGGCCAACATCTGCTTATTATGAGAGTGTTTTGGGAAATTTAGCCAACATTTTAGCAGAAAAACACCCCAGAAAATTTAACCTTTTCCACCATGACTATGTTCCTGCTCATTCCTCTCATCAAATAAAGGCAATTTTGCAAGAGTTTTGATGGGAAATCATTAGACATCCAACTTACAGTCCTGATTTGGCTCCTTCTGATTTCTTTTTGTTTCCAAATCTTAAAGAATATTTACATGGCACCCATTTTTCTTCAGCTAATAATGTAAAGAAGACTGCATTGGCATGGTTAAATTTCCAGGACCCTCAGTTCTTTAGGGATGAACTAAATAACTGGTATCATCACTTATAAAAGTGTCTAAGTTTACTTGATTGAACTTATGTTTATAATGTTTACATTTTTTATTTTTGTCTTTTAATTCCATTTTCTATGAACTTTTTGAAGCTCCCTTATACCATCAACTTGAGAATGAATGAACAGTTTGTGGCATATCCATATTATGAATGACTACTCAACAATAAAGGGGAAAAACTACTTATACTCGCATTGATGATTCTATAAATTATTATGGTTTGTGAAAGAAGTCACATACAAAAGACTACATATTCTATTATTCCACTATATGAAATTCTAGAAAAAGCCACACTATAGTGTCAGAAACCCAATCACTGTTTTCCAGAGGGTGGAGAGAAAAAATTAACTGCAAAGGGAGTATACAGTAACTTTTCATGGTGATGGGAAGTTCCATGCCATGAATGTGATTGTGGTTACACTCTATGCCCAATTGTCCAAATTCAGTGAAGTATGCACTTAAGCTTGATGAATTTTATTTATGTAAATTATACTATAATAAAACTCACAAAAATGTTTAACAGAGAGAAAACAAACAGTGGGAGAAAAAATCCTTTCAGTACCACTACATTTCTCATAGTAAAGTTGGCTAAGTCATATCAGTCATATGTGTGTGGGCAAGAGGAGGGTTGTCCCAAGGCAATGGGTGTTGAACAGAGGAAATAGGGGACTTTCTGAAATGTCCATAGAGGAGCGACAAAAGGAGTAACCTGGTTCAGGGAGTAGAGGAAGGGTAACTAAGGAACAGCTGAGGGTGTGGGGCCATTTCGAACAAAACTCTTTCATTATTTACATGGTCCTTCATGATCTGGGCCTTGCCTGTGTCTCCAACTCACTTGCCTACCCTCTCTCTCAGTCTGTTTTTACTCTGACTTCTTGTTTAGCTCTTTCTTAAGTTTCTTTGTGCACTCCTCATAGCTCTATGCTGGGCCCTGCTTTTTTTTTTTTTTTTTTTTTCCACTTACACCCTTTGTTCTCTTTAGGTCAATTATCCACTTCCATGCTTTCAATCATTATACCAATAATGACAAAACTAGGAAAAGCCTCAGAGATTATTTCTTTTCTACATAATGTCAAAGTGTATTCTTAGGCAATGAGACTAGCTACTTGAATTGGGTTTGTGAATGGAGACAGGAAAAGAAAGCCTTTATGAAGTTAGGAAAAAGTAGGCAAACTTGAGAGAGAGGAGCAACATTCGGTACTTCAAACTTATTATTCTTCTAGACTTAGTAACACTTCTTTGAAGCACGTAACACACTTGAAATCATTTCTTTAATATCTGTCTTCTGGGCTTACCTGTAATATTTTTGTGGGTCTGTCTTCTTTACATCTGAAATCTCCAAAACCAAGCAAGATGCTTGGCACTTAGTAGTTATTTGATAAATACTTGTTGCCTAACTAACTACTCTACTAATTACATCCAAGCCAAGCAATGTGCAATAAATTATTTCATGTCCCTAGTCTTTTACTGTTTTCTTTCCTTGGAATGCTCAACCCTCCTGATTTCTTCTTACCTACTCTCCAACCCAACTCCAAAAGGAAAATTCCTACTTAAATGTCTCCTTTAGAAAACTTCCTGACTTACCTAAAGCAGAGATTTGTGCCAACACCATCCTTCTGTATCCTTCCCTTCTAGCTAGTTCTTCCTTGAAATGTTTCCATGTCTGTTTTTTCTTCTTAGTTAATTCTGATTCTTCCACACTTGCCATAATAGTTGGCACACAGCAGAACTTTGATCAATATTTGTTAAATGAATGATTTATTTTTCCACCAGTCATGTGATATATGCAGAGTAGCATTATACCTAGGCAATTATTAGGGTTTGTGGGTAGAATGAGCCCCAAATCCCTAATGTGGAAACTGCTTAAAACAGAAAGTAAATCAACACCTACTAAGATGGATGTCAAATCTCAAATCCTTGTAGAAAGCTGTGTTGGAACTTCTAACCACTGCTAAAATTAGATTCAAATCAATAGTGAAGCAACCTAATTTTTATCAAGAAATTTTCCATAAGGAAGATAATAAAGTCATGTCTACAATTCTTTTTGAATTAGAGGCTAGATATATTAGCTTGGAAATAACTAGATGCAAAGTCATGAAGAGATTATGCAAAGTAACTTTTCATATGGCCTAATTTAATCTTGTGTGAAGCAAGTGCCTTTGTTAATTCAACTGATTTTTTTAAGGATTATAGTTTTTTTGTTACTTACTTCTCAGAATTAGAATTAAAATGTAGTTACCGGGAATCATCTAACCATGACCAAAAAAAAAAAAAAGAATTTTATAAGCATGCAGGACAAATAATATGTTGCTGGCATTGTTTACAAGTGTGTTAGATCCATAAATAATGGTTTACTAAAAGTTTAAGGACTTGAAGAGAAATATACAGATGACTCTACTTCTGCAACTTTTACCAACATTCTAGAGAAATGAATGTGTAGCTCAAAATTGAGTCCAAGGTCAATGTATTTAGTCTTTGGCAATGACACTGAGATTTTAAAGCAGAGGGTTTCACTGATGAAAATACAGTTCCAATTTTTTTAAAGGAGCATCTGTAATTTAAAAACACAAACCTCACCTCTTCCTTCCCAGTTATATGTAAGAAGCCCTTTTACAAATAACTGAAAATCATTTTATGTTGAAAAAAGAAGAGCACCCCACCCCCATGCTAACACCACCACCAGCATGCCCATAAGCACAGTTGCCAGCAGGGGCCTCCCCACCCCTCTAAGCAGTCTTACTTCTGCTGCTGCTGTAAACACCTACATGGAGGAAGGCATCCCAGCACTCTCTACCATCCTACTGTAGCCAATGAGTGTGCACCCCTCCATGTTGACACTGCCACTGCTGCTGCTGCTGGCATGTGCAAACAAGGACAGAGCCCACTGCCACCACATTTTTGTTGGCACTACCCATCAGAGTTTAGGGACCAGTAGAGTGGCAGCATCTCAACTCCCCCAGCACAGTGGGTTCCTAGCCTTGAGGAGCCAGAGAACAAAGTCAGGACCCGAAACAAGTCCCTAAGAGTTACAGCCTGCAGTCCAGGAGCTGGGAGCTGAGACTTGGTACCCACTAAAATTTTCCAGAAATGAAGCCAGTGGACTGAATCCATCTTATACCACAATCAAACCCTCAAGCTCATCAAACAGAATAAAAGAAAAAAAAATCCACCCAAAGGACAGCAACTTTAACGACTGAAGAAACACTAGCCCACAAAGACGAGAAAGAACCAGTGCAAGAACTCTGACAACTCAAAAAGCCAAAGTGTCTTCTTTCTCCAAACAACCGCACTCACTACCTCTCCAGCAAGGGTTCTGAACTGAACTGAGATAGCTGAAATGACAGAAATAGAATTTGGAATATGAATAAGAATGAAGGTCATTGAGATGCAGGAGTATGTTGAATCCCAATCCAAAGAAGCTAAGGATCACAATAAAATGATACAAGAGCTGACAGATAAATAACCAGTATAGAAAAGAAAGTAATCAACCTAACAAAGCTGAAAAACATTCTACAATTATTTAGGAATGCAATTGTAAGCATTAATGGGAGAATACGCCAAGCAAAAGAAAGAATTTCAGAGCGTGAAGACTGGCTTTCTGAAATAAGACAGACAAGAATAGAGAAAAAGAAGGAAAATGAATAAACAAAATTTCCAAGAAATATGGGATTATGTGAGGATATCAAATTTGTGACTCACTGGTGTTCTTGAAAGAGATGGGGAGAATGAAACCAACTTGGAAAATGTACTTCAGGATACCATGCATGAGAACCTCCCTAACCTAGCTAGCAAGGCCAACATTCAAATTCAGGAAATGCAGAGAACCCCAGCAAGATACTTCACAAGAAGATCATCCCTAAGACACATAATCATGAAATTCTCCAAGGTCCAAAGGAAAGAAAAAATGTTAAAGGCAGCTAGAGAGAAAGGTCAGGACACCTACAAAGGGAAGCTCATCAGACTAATAGCAGACCTCTTAGCAGAAAACCTACAAGCCAGAAGCAATTAGGGGTCAATATTCAACATTCTTTTTATTTTTATTTTATTTTTTTAAAGATTTCCATGGGTTATTGGGCAACAGGCAGTGTTTGGTTACATGAGTAAGTTCTTTAGTGGTGATTTGTGAGATTTTGGTGCACCCGTCACCTGAGCAGTATACATGTCACCCAATTTGTAGTCTTTTATCCCTCAGTCCCTTCCCATGCTTTCCCCCGAGTCCCCAAAGTCCATTGTGTCATTCTTATGCCTTTGCATCCTGATAGCTTAGCTCCCACTTATGAGTAAGAAGATACGATATTTGGTTTTCTATTCCTGAGGTACTTTACTTACCATAATAGTTTCCAATCTCATCCAGGTCATTAATTCACTCCTTTTTATGGCTGAGTAGTATTTTATTTTATATATATATATATATATATATATATATATATATATATATATATATATATATATATCTATCTATCTCACAGTTTCTTTATCCACTTATTGACTGATGGGCATTTGGGTTGGTTCCACATTTTTGTGATTGCAAATTATGCTGCTATAAACATGTGTGTGCAAGTATCTTTTTCATATAATGACTTCTTTTCCTCTGGGCGGATACCCAGTAATGGGATTGCTGGATCAAATGGTAGTTCTACTTTTAGCTCTTTAAGGAATCTTCACACTGTTTTCCATAGTGGTTGTACTAGTTTACATTCCCACCAGCAGTGTAGAAGTGTTCCCTGTGGACTGCATCCACATCAACATCTATTATTTCTTTATTTTTTTATTATGGCCATTCTTGCAGGAATAAGGTGGTATCGCATTGTGGTTTTGACTTGCATTTCCCTGATCATTAGTGATGCTGAGCATTTTTTCATATGTTTTTTGGCCATTAATATATCTTCTTTCAAGAAATGTCTATTCATGTCCTTAGTCCACTTTTTAATGGGATTGTTTGCTTTTTTTCTTGCTAATTTGTTTGAACTTGTTATAGATTCTGGATATATTAGTCCTTTGTTGGATGTATAGATTGTGAAGATTTTCTCCCACTCTGTGGGTTGTGTGTTTTCTCTGCTAACTGTTCCTTTTGCCGTGCAAAGCTCTTTAGTTTAATTAAGTCACAGCTATTTATCTTTGTATTTATTGCTTTTGTTTTTGGGTTCCTGGTCATGAAAACTTGCCTAAGCCAATGTCTAGAAGGGTTTTTCCAATGTTATCTTCTTGAATTTTTATAGTTTCAGGTCTTAGATTTAAGTTCTTGATCCATCTTGAGTTGATTTTTGTATAAGGTGAGAGATGAAGATCCAGTTTCATTCTCCCACATGTGGCTTGCCAAGTATTCCAGCACCATTTGTTGAATAGAGTGTCCTTTCCCCATTTTATGTTTTTGTTTGCTTTGTCTAAGATCAGTTGGCTGTAAGTATTAGGGTTTATTTCTGGGTTCTCTATTCTGTTCCATTGGTCTATGTGCCTATTTTTATAGCAGTACCATACTTTTCAGTGACTATGACCTTACGGTACAGTTTGACATCAGATAATGTAATGACTCCAGATTTGTTCTTTTTCCTTAGTCTAGTTTTGGTTCTGTGGGCTTTTTTGGTTCTGTATGAATTTTAGAATTGTTTTTTCTAATTCTGTGAAGAATGATGGTGGTATTTTGATGGGAATTGCATTGAGTTTGTAGATTGCTTTTAGCAGTATGTTCATTTTCACAATATTGATTCTACCCATTCATGAGCATGGGATGATTTCTTTCAGCAGTGTTTCTTAGTTTTCCTTGTAGAGGTCTTTCACCTCCTTGGTTAGGTATATTCCTAAATATTTTATTTATTGCAGCTATTGTAAAAGACATTGAGTTCTTGATTTGATTCTCAGCTTGGTCACTGTTGGTGTATAGAGGAGCTACTGATTTATGTACATTAATTTTGTATCCAGAAACTTTGCTGAATTCTTTTATCAGTTCTCGGAGCTTTCTGGAGGATTCTTTAGGACCTTCTAGGTAAACAATTGTATCATCTGCAAACAGCGACAGTTTGACTTCCTCTTTACCCATTTGGATGCCCTTTATTTCTCTTGTCTGATTGCTCTGGCTAGGACTTCCAGTACTATGTTGAAGAGAAGTGGTGAGAGTGGGCATCCTTGTCTTGTTCCAGTTCTCAGAGGGAATGATTTCAACTTTTCCCCATTCAGTATGATGTTGACTTTGGGTTTGTCATAGATGGCTTTTATTATATTGAGGTATGTCCCTTGTATGTCAATTTTGCTGAGAGTTTTAATCATAAAGCCATGCTGGGTTTTGTTGAATGCTTTTTCTGCAGCTATTGAGATGATCACGTGATTTTTGTTTTTGATTCTGTTTATGTGGTGTATCACATTTATTGACTTGCATATGTTAAACCATCCCTGCATCCCTGGTATGAAACCCACTTGATCATGGTGGATTATCTTTTTGATATGTGTTGGATTTGGTTAGCTAGCATTTTGTTAAGGATTTTAGCATTTATGTTATTAGGGATATTGGTCTGTAGTTTTCCTTTTTGGTTATGTCCTTTCCTGGTTTTGGTATTAGGGTGATACTGGCTTCGTAGAATAATTTGGGGAGGATTCCCTCTTTATCTTGTGGAATAGTGTCAATAGGATTGGTACCAATTCTTGGAATGTCTGGTAGAATTCTGCTGTGAATCCATCTGGTCCTGGATTTTTTTTGTTGGTAATTTTTTTTATTACCGTTTCAATCTCACTGCTTGTTATTTGTCTGTTCAGGGTATCTAATTCTTCCTGATTTAAGCAAGGAAGGTTGTATTTTTTTGAGGAATTTGTCCATCTCCTCTAGGTTTTCTAGTTTATGTTCATAATGGTGTTCATAGTAGCCTTGAATAATCTTTTGTATTTCTGTGGTGTCAGCTGTAATATCATCCGTTTCATTTCTAATTGAGCTTATTTGGATTTTCTCCCTTTTCTTGGTTAGTCTTGCTAATGGTCTGTCAATCTTATTTATCTTTTCAAAGAACCACCTTTTTTTCATTTTGTATTTTTGTTTGTTTGTTTTAGTTTCATTTAGTTCTGCTCTGATCTTGGTCATTTCCTTTTTTCTGCTTGGTTTGGGTTTGGCTTGTTCTTGTTTCTCTAGTTCCTTAAGGTGTGACCTTAGATTGTCTGAGCTCTTTCAGGCTTTTCGATGTAGGCATCTAGGGCTATGAACTTTCCTCTTAGCCCCGTCTTTGCTGTATTCCAGAGGTTTTGACAGGTTGTATCATGATTGTCGTTCAGTTTGAAGAACTTTTAAATTTCCATCGTGATTTCGTTTTTGAGCCAATGATCATTCAGGAGCAGGTTATTTAATTTCCATGTATTTGCATGGTTTTGAAGGTTCCTTGTGGAGTTGATTTCCAGTTTTATTCCACTGTGGTCTGAGAGAGTGCTTGATATAATTTCAATTTTCATAAATTTATTGAGACTTCTTTTGTGGCCTATTATATGGTCCATCTTGGAGAAAGTTCCATGCACTGTTGAATAGAATGTATATTATGTGTTTGTTGGGTAGAATGTTCTGTAAATATCTGGTAAGTCCATTTACTACAGGGTATAGTTTAAATCAATTGTTTCTTTGTTGACTTTCTGTCTTGATGAACTGTCTCATGCCATCAGTGGAGGATTGAAGTCTCCCACTATTATTGTGTTTCTGTCTATCTCATTTCTTAGGTCTCTTAGTAATTGTTTTATAAATTTGGGACCTCCAGTGTTAGGTGCATATATATTTAGGATTGTAATATTTTCCTGTCGGACAAGGCCTTTTATTATTATATAATGTCCCTCCTTGTCTTTTTTAACTGCTGTTGCTTTAAAATTTGTTTTATCTGCTAACACAGGAACAGAAAACCAAACACCGCATGTTCTCACTCATAAGTGGGAGTTGAACAATGAAAACACATGGACACAGGGAGGGGAACATCACACATCGGGGCCTGCCTGGGGGTGGGAAGCAAGGGGAGGGATAGCATTAGGAGAAATAGCTAATGTAGATGACAGGTTGATGGGTGCAGCAAAGCACCATGGCACATGTATACTTATGTAACAAACCTGCACATTCTGCACATGTGTCCCAGAACTTATAGTATAATAAAAAAAAACATGTTTTGTCTGATATAGGAATAGCTACTTCTGGTCGCTTTTGGTGTCCATTTGCATGGAATGACTTTTTCCATCCCTTTACCTTAAGTTTACGTGAATCCTTATGTGTTAGTTGTGTCTCTTGAAGGCAGCAGATCGTTGGTTGGTGAATTCTCATCCATTCTGCAATTTGTATCTTTTAAGTGGAACATTTAAGCCATTTATGTTCAATATTAGTATTGAGATGTGAGCTACCATTCCATTCATTGTGCTATTTGTTGCCTGTACCTTTTTTTAAATTGCATTTTTGTTTTATAGGTCCTGTTAGATTTATACTTTAAAGAGGTTCTGTTTTTATGCATTTCCAGGATTTGTTTCAAGATTTAGAGCTCCTTTTAGCAGTTCTTATAGTGCTGGCTTGGTGGTGGTGAATTCTCTCAGCATTTTTTTGTCTGAAAACAACTGTATCTTTCCTTCATTTGTGAAGCTTAGTTTCGCTGGAAATAAAACTCTTTGCTGATAATTGTTTCATTTGAGGAGGCTGAAGATAGGGTCCCAATTTCTTCTAGCTTGTAGGATTCTGCTGAGAAATCTGCTGTTAATCTGATAGGTTTTCTTTTTTAGGTTACCTGGCATTTTTGCCTCATAGCTTTTAAGATTCTTTCCTTTGTCTTAACTTTAGATAACCTGATGACAATGTGCCTAGGTGATTACCTTTTTGCGATGAATTTCCCAGGAGTTCTTTCAGCTTCTTGTATTTGGATATCTAGTTCTCTAGCAAGGCTGGGAAAGTTTTCCTCAATTACTCCCCCAAACATATTTTCCAAACTTTTAGGTTTCTTCTCTTCCTCAGGAATGTTGATTATTCTTAAGTTTGGTTGTTTAACCTAATCCCAGATTTCTTGGAGGCTTGGTTCATATTTTCTTATTCTTTTTTCTTTGTCAGATTGGGTTAATTCAAAAACCTTGTCTTTGAGCTCTGAAGTTTTCTCTTCTGCTTGTTCGATGCTATTGCTGAGACTTTCCAGAGCATTTTGCATTTCTATAAGTTTGTCCATTATCTATTTCATTAAATATTTCTCCCTTCACTTCTTGTATCATTTTTTGGATTTCCTTACACTGGACCTTGCCTTTCTCTGTTGCCTCCATGATTAGCTTAATAACTAACCTTCTGAATTCTTTTTCAGGTAAATCAGGGATTTCTTCTTGGTTTGGATCCATTGCTGGTGAGCTAATGTGCTTTCTTGATGGTGTTAAAGAACCTTGTTTTGTCATATTACCAGAGTTGTTTTCTGGTTTCTTCTCATTTGCTAAAGGAAGGCCTAGGGCTCAAGGCTATTGTTTAGATTCTTTTGTCCCATGGGTTGTTCCCTTGAGGTAGTAGTCTCTCCCTTTTCCTAGGGAGGTGGCTTCCTGAGAGCCAAGCTGTAGTGATTGTTATCTCTCTTCTGGACCTAGCCACCCAGCAAGTGTACAAGGCTCCAGGCTGGTCCTGGGGGTTGTCTGCACAGAGTCCTGTGATATGAACTGTCTGTGGGTCTCTCAGCCGTGGATACCAGCACTTGCTTCAGTGAAGGTGGCAGGGGGGTGAAATGGACTCTGTGAGAATCCTTATATTTGGTTGGTTAATGCACTATTTTTGTGCTATTTGGCCTCCTGCCAGGAGGTGGCGGTTTCAAGAGAGGGTCAGCTATGGTAGTATGGGGAGGAACAGGTGGTGGGCAGGGCCCTAGAACTCTCAAGAGTATATGTCCTTTGTCTTCAGTTACCAGGGTGGGTAAAAGGACCATTAAGTGGGGGCAGGTCTAGGCATGTCTGAGCTCAGACTCTACTTGGACAGGTCTTGCTGCAGCTGCTGTGGGGGATGAAGGTGAGGTTCCCAGGTCAATAGAATTATGTTCCTAGGAAGCTTATGGATGCCTCTACTGTGTCATGTAGGTTGTCAGGGAAATGGGGGAAAGCTGGCAATCACAGGACTCACCCAGTTCCCAAGCAACCCATAAGGCTGGTCTCACTCCCACCATTCCCCCCTGCAACAGCACAGAGTCTGTTTCCAGGAAGTAGATGAGCAGGGCTAACAGCTTGCCCCAGGCTACCTGCCTCCCAGCTGTGAAAGCAAATAGGGCTTTCATTATTCTCCTGCCTGTGGAGTCTGCACACTGGATTCATGCCCTCCCCTGAGTTCTGGCCAGAAGACTTCTCAATCAGTTCAAATTGTTACAAAGTTCAGTTGGAGGTTTCCTTCTTGTGACATTTTCCCAGTGCCTCTGGCAGCCCTCCTCAAGGACCCCTGTGAGACAAGGCAGAAATGGCTTGCTAGGCGGCCCAGCAATCCGACAGGGCTTTTCCCACTGCTTCCTCTACACTTGTATTTCACTTGGCTCTCTAAATGGACTCTGCTCCAGGTAAGGTCAGAATCTCCTTAATCTAGACCTCCAGTTTCCCCAGTGGGGGCATGTGTTCAAGGGTGGACGATCTCCCTTTCCCACTTCCACAGTTTGGCCACTCCACAGTATTTGGGGTGTCTCCTGGGTCCTGCAGGAGCAATCTGCTTCCTTCAGAGGGTCTGTGGGTTCTCTTGACTTTCCTAGTGTATTCCTGCAGTCATGCTGGAGCAAAAGTTCATGATGTCAGCCTGCACACACTGTCTCTCTGTCCGAGTGGGGGCTGCAATGTAGTCCTGCCTCCCATCTGCCATGATCTCAACATTCTTAAAGAAATTTCAACCAAGAATTCCATATCCAGCCAAACTAACCTTCATAAGTGAAGGAGAAATAAGATATTTTTCAGATAAGCAAATGCTGAGGCAATTCATTATTACCAGAACTGCCTTACAAAAGCTTCTAAAGGAAGCACTAAACATGAAAAGGAAAGACCATTAACAACCACTACAAAAATGCACTGAAATACACAGACCAATGAAATTATAAAGCCACCACACAAACAAGTCTGAATAATAACTAGCTAATATCATGATGACAGGATCCAATCCACACATATCAATCCTAACCTTGAGTGTAAATGGGCTAAATATCCTCAATTAAAAGGCACAGAGTTGCAAGCTGAATAAAGAACCAAGACCAATTGGTATGCTGTCTCCAAGAGACCCATCTCACATGCAATGACACCCATAGGCTCAATATAAAGGAATGGAGAAAAATCTGCCAAGCAAATGGAAAACAGGAAAAAGAAGGGGTTGCAATCCTCATTTCAGACAAAACAGACTTTAAACCAACAAAGATAAAAAAGACAAAGAAGGGCATTATGTAATGGTAAAGGGTCCAATTCAACAAGACCTAACTATCCTAAATATGTATGCACCCAACACAGGAACACCCAGATTCATAAAGCAAGTTCTTAGAGACCTACAAAGAGACTTAGAGTCCCAAACAATAATAGTGGGAAATTTCAACACCCTACTGACAGTATTAGACATATCATCAAGGCAGGAAATTAACAAAGATATTCAGGACCTCAACTCAGCACTGAATCAAGTGGGCCTGATAGACATCTACAGAACTCTCCACCCCAAAACAACAGAATACATATTCTTTTCACCACCACATGACACATATTCTAAAACTGACCACATAATCAGACACAAAACACTTCTCAACAAATGCAAAAGAACTGAAATCATAACAACCACTATCTTGGACCACAGCAGAATAAAATTAGAGATCAAGACTAAGAAAATTGCTCAAGACTGTAAAATTACATGGAAATTAAACAACCTGCTCCTATGACTTTTGGGTAAATAATTAAATTAAGACAGAAATCAGAAGTTCTTTGAAACTAATGAGAAAAAATATGCAATATACCAAAATACCTAGGACAGAGCTAAGGCAGTGATTACAGGGAAATTTATAGCACTAAATGCCCACATCAAAAAGCTATAAAGATCTCAATTTAAAGAGATCACAACTGAAAGAACTAAAGAACCAAGAGCAAACTAACCCCAAAGCAAGCGGAAGACAAGAAATAACCAAAATCAGAGCTGAACTGAAGGAGATTGAGACATGAAAAACTATTCAAAAGGTCAACAAATCCTGGAGTTTTTTTGAAAAAAATAATAAAATAGCTAGCTAGACTAATAAAAAAGAATAAAGAGAAGATCCAACTAATACAATTAGAAATAACAAAGGGGATATTACCACTGACCCCACAGAAATACAAATAACCATCAGATAATATTATGAACATGGGCACACAACTAGAGAATCTAGAGAAAATGGATAAATTCCTAGACACATACACCCTCCCAACACTGAACCAGGTAGAAATCAAATCCCCAAACAGACCGATAATGAGCTCCAAAATTGAATTAGTAATAAATAGGCTATCAACCCAAAAAAGCCCAGGACCAGATAAATTCACAGCCAAATTCTACCAGATGTACAAAGAAGAGCTGGTATCATTTCTACTAAACTATCCCAAAAACTGGAGGAGAAGGGACTACTTCCTAACTCATTTCATGAGGCCAGCATCACCCTGACACCAAAACCTGGTAGAGACACAATAACAACAAAAAAGAAAACGTCAGGTCAATATCCTTGATGAACATTAGTGCAAAACTCTTCAAAAAAAACTGGCATACCAAATCCAGCAGCACATTAAAAACCTTATCCACCACAGTTGAGTAGGCTGTATCCCTGGGATGAAAAATTGGCTCAACATATGCGGATCAACAAATGTGACTCATCATTTAAACAGAACTAAAAACAAAAACCACATGACTATCTCAATAGATGCAGAAATGGCTTTCAGTAAAATTCAACATCCCTTCATGTTAAAAACTCTAAATAAACTAGACATTGAAGGAACATACCTCAAAATAATAAGAACCATCTATGACAAATCCACAGCCAACATTTTATGGACTAGGCAAAACCTGGAAATATTCCCCTTGAAAACCAGTGTAAGACAAGGATGCCCTCTCTCACCACTCCTATTCAAGAAAGTATTTGAAGTCCTGGCCAGACCAATGAGGCAAGAGAAAGAAATAAAGGGCATCCAAATAAGAAGAAAGTAAGCCAAACTATTCCTGTTTGCAGATGACATGATTCTATATCTAGAAATCCCCATAGTCTTGGCCCAAATGCTTCTTCAGCTGATAAACAACTTCAGCCAAGTTTCAGGATACAAAATCATTGTACAAAAATCTCTAGCATTCCTATACACCAAAAATAGTCAAGCTAAGCATTCCTATGCACCAACAACAGTTAAGCTAAGAGCCAAATCAGGAATGCAGTCCCATTCACAACTGCCACAAACAGAACAAAATACCCAGGAATACAGCTAACGAGGGAGGTGAAAGATCTCTACAAGGAGAACTATAAAACACTGCTCAAAGAAATCAGAGATGACACAAACAAATGGAAAAACATTCCATGCTCATGGATAGGAATCAATATTTTTAAAATGGCCATACTGCCCAAAGCAATTTATATATTCAAGGCTATTCCTATCAAAGTACCAATGACATTCTTCACAGAACTAGAAAAAAACTATTTTAAAATTCACATGGAACCAAAAAAATAGCCTAACTAGCCAAGGCAATCCTAAGCAAAAAGAACACAGCTGGAGTCATCACGCTACCCAATTTCAAACTATAATACAGGGCTACCGTAACCAAAACAGCATGGTACTGGTACAAAAAGTGACATGTAGAATAACAGAACAAAATAGAGAACCCAGAAATAAGGGTGCACACCTACAACCATCTAATCTTTGACAAAGTTGATAGAAACAAGCAATGGAGAAAGTACTCCCTATTCAATAAACAGTTCTGGGATAACTGGGTAGCCATTTGCAGAAGATTGAAACTGGACCCCTTCCTTACACCATCTACAAAAATCAACTCAAGATGGATTAAAGACTTAAATGTAAAACCCAAAACTATAAAAACCCTGGAAGACAATCTAAGCAATATCATTCTGGACACAGGAACTGGCAAAGATTTCGTGATGAAGATGACAAAAGAAATTGCAACAAAAGCAAAAATTGACAAATGAGATCTAATTAAACTAAAGAAACTATCAACAGCAAAATCAACTGTGAACAGAGTAAACAGACAATCTGCAGAATGGGAGAAAACTTTTGCAATCTATTCATCTGAGAAAGGTCTAATATCTGGCATCTATAAGGAAATTAAACAAATTTACAAGAAAAATATTAATACAAACAACCCCATTAGAAAGTAGGCAAAGGACATGAACAGACACTTTTCAAAAGAAGACATATATGCATGTTCTCGCTTATAAGTGAAAGCTGAACAATGACAACACATGGACACAGGGAGGGGAAAAACACACACTGGGACCTATTGGGGGGTGGAGGGGAGGGAGAGCATCAGGATAAATAGCTAATACATGTGGGGCTTAATACCCAGGTGATGGGTTGATAGGTGCAGCAAACCACCATGGCACACACATTTACCTATGTAACAAACCTGCATGTCCTGTACATGTATCCCAGAACTTAAACCAAAATTAAATTAAATTTAATTTAAAGAAAAGACATCCATGCAGCCAACAAGCATATGAAAGAAAGTTTAATATCACTGATTATTAGAGAAATGCAAATCAAAACCATCTCACACCAGTCAAAATGGCTATTACTAAAAAGTCAAAAAATAACAGATGCTGGCAAGATTGAGGAGGACAAGGAAGGCTTATCCGCTATTGGTGGGATTATAACTTAGTTCAACCATTGTTTAAAACAGTGTGGCTGTTCCTCAAAGACCTGAAAACAGAACTACCATTTGATTCAGCAATCCCATTACTGGGTATATACCCAAAGGAATATAAATTGTTCTATCATAAAAACACATGCATGCATATGTTCATTGCAGCACTATTCACAATAGCAAAGACATGGAATCAACCTAAATAAACATCAGTGGTAGACTGGATAAAGAAAATATGGTACATATACACCATGGAATACTACACAGCCATATAAAAGAATGAGATCATGTCCTCTACAGGAACATGGATGGAGCTGGAGGCCATTCTCCTTAGCGAGCTAACACAGGAACAGAAAAACAAATACCACATCTTCTCATTTACAAGTGGGAGCTAAATGATGAGAACACATGGACACATAGAAGGAAACAAAAGACACTGGGGCCTATTAGAGAGTGGAGGGTGGGAGGGAGTGGATCTGGAAAAATAACTAATGGGTACTAGGCCTAATACCTGGGTGACAAAATAACCTGTACAATAAACCTCCATGACACGAATTTACCTATCTAACAAACCTGCTCATGCACCCCTGAAATTAAAAGTTAAAAAAAAGAAAAAAGAAGAAATAATCAGTATGAGAAAGGCCACAGATAAATGTCTGTAAATTGTCTACAAATTGCTAGACTTTGTGTTCACAGGAGGAGTGGAGCAGGAAGGAACTAGAAGTAGACTGGGTTTTAGGTCTTAGTTGTAATGCTAGAGTCACTCACAGAAAGTTTCACTTTTCTCCTCTTATAAAATAAGCACTGACTACCTGAAGCTTCTTGCATAGAGCCAAAGCCACCTCTGTACTTTGTACATTCAGAAGAGGTTTGACGGTGCTCACAAAGGATTTTTCTTTTCCCTTCATTTCATTGAACTCAGTGAAAAAAAAAATGTTCCTGGGAACATATGACCTATCAAACTAGATTATTTCACTTCTATTAAAATATCTTGCCGCAAATTCTATTATATTATGATGAAGTCTTTCCTAGAATATACATCTAGAGTGAGTACTAAACTGCCATGTGCTTGTGTAAATGCTACCTCGCAATTATTTCCTTATTGTTTTATTCATTTAATATTCATTCAACAAAATTTACTGAACATCTACTAGGTCAAGATATAGTACTGCTTAGTGTCACTGCCCTCATGGAATGTATAACCTAGTGGAAGAAACTTAAAAAATTAACAAGTAAATGATATGATTACAAATTGCTGTAAGTATGATGAAGGAAACAATAGAAAATAAGAGAAAGCATGTGACATGAATTATTTTACATGTTAGTTTCAGGAAGTTATCTCCAAGAGGTTATATTTACATTGAAACCTGAAGAATAAGAAGGAGTTAGTTATGCATAGAGTGTGCATGTGTGTGTGTGTGTGTGTGTGTGTGTGTGTGTGTGAATGTTCCAGACAGATGAGAGGCATGTGTAAAGTCCTAAGGTAGGGAGAAGCTAGGCAGATGTGAGATCCTGAAAGAAGGCCTGTGGATGATACTGTCAAGACCTGAAATTAGAGAGACAGAGGCAGGATTATTCAGGAATAAATAAGACAAAGTAACCAGTCTGGATTTTAGTCTACTGACATGAGAAGCCATTGAAGGATTTTGAGCAGGTAAATAATGTGATCCTCTAATTGTATTGAGTACTGAGAAGATTAGAGAGCACAAAAGTAAAAATCGGGCCAGTTTAGGTCTGTCTTCTTCCCTGAAATCAGATTGAAATAGTGAATAGAGAATAGGTGCTGCCTCTTAGGGCCCATCCTTGGTTAGGGAAGGCACCCAGTACATGTTTTTTGAATAAATGAATGTAATAGTTACAACATTTTATAATATGATGTACTTTTCTATATTAATAACATTTAAATAACTAAACAAAAGTTTAATGCATTAGAACTCCTTGCATTATGAAATTAACAATATCTGTTTTTATTTTTATATCTAGAAGGGTATAAAATGAAAACCACATTCAGCTGGACAAAGAATATGAAGAGTAGAGGGAAGAGAGATGACAATTTTTTTCCCTCTTGCTTATGGCACTATTTCTCCTAACCCAACTCTCTGTGAATGTCTTTGGCTGATGTAAGGAACCTATCGACTAGAGGAACCACATTTTTCTTTTTTTTTTTTTTTATTTATTATACTTTAAGTTCTAGGGTACATGTGCATAATGTGCAGGTTTGTTACATATGTATACATGTGCCATGTTGGTGTGCTGCTCCCATTAACTCTTCATTTACTTTAGGTATTTCTCCTAATGCTATCCTTCCCCGCTCCCTGCGTCCCACGACAGGCCCCAGTGTGTGAAGATCCCCACCCTGTGTCCAAGTGTTCGCATTGTTCAATTCCCACCTATGAGTGAGAACATGCAGTGTTTTATTTTCTGTCCTTGAGATAGTTTGCTCAGAATGATGGTTTCCAGCTTCAACCATGTCCCTATAAAGGACATGAACTCATCCTTTTTTATGCCTACGTAGTATTCCATGGTGTATATGTGCCACATTTTCTTAATCCAGTCTATCATTGATGGACATTTGGGTTGGTTCCAAGTGTTTGCTATTGTCAATAGTGCTGCAATAAACATATGTGTGAATGTGTCTTTATAGTAGCATGATTTGTAATCCTTTGGGTATATACCCAGTAATGGGATGGCTGGGTCAAAGGGTATTTCTAGTTCTAGATCCTTGAGGAATGGCCACACTGTCTTCCACAATGGTTGAACTAGTTTACACTCCCATCAACAGTGTAAAAATGTTCCTATTTCTCCACATCCTCTGCAGCACCTGTTGTTTCCTGACTTTTTAGTGATCACCATTCTAACTGGTGTGAGATGGTATCTCACTGTAGAGGAACCACATTTTTCTAAATGTTATGCCCTGGAACAACTGACAATTTTTTGTAGGTTACTCATACTTGATCTTTATAAAAAGTACCATCATGATGATAAATAATCTGAGTAGGAGTATGATCTTTTGAATGTTTTGTGGAGATAGTAAATATTTCACTTTTAAAAATCCATTAAAGCTATGAATTCCTACTACTAAGTGTGCATGTACAACATGATCTGGACTTTCACTCCACAATCATGCAATCCTGAACCATTGGAAATTTGACATAATTATGTGATTTACATATGGAGGTCCACAGTACTAGCAATATCAGATATATATTTCATGCTATATTTTACATTTCTACGTTGGGTATGTTGACCTAGTTTAAATTATAAAAACAAAGTCTAAATTGGTTCTTAATCCACTACAGCCGTATTTTTTACCAGTTGATTCTCAGTTGCACGTTTTTCTCTTTGGATTTTGAAATGTTAAGACCTTTGCTCTTTTTCTTGGAAAGAAAGAAAATGTTTATAATTTAAAATGTCAGAAGCCACTCTTCTTGCCTTCAAGGCCTGGGATCAAAAACACCAGGATGGGAAGATTAAGAATAAACAAAAGTAGAAGCCAAATGAGATGTTCAGCAGAATTCTGAACAGGCATTCTTGCTCTTTGAACAAACCCCCTGGCACTAATTCAATCCCAAGTATAGTAACTGCTCTGCCCTCTCCTTGATTCTCTCCCTTACCGTGTTTTTGCTCACTAACCTTTGCTACCTGGACTCCTCTTGCTTCCTCTTTTCTCCCCCACAATAACTGTCTATTGTAACTCAAATTGCCTTTGATCCCTAGCTCTGGCTTCTGGATTTGCTCTGCACTTATGTTCATTTGGTTTCACCTTGACTCCTTTTGGTTTCTGACTCTCATTCCTGGGCACATTATTGCTAGGTGCCTGCATGTTTAGCTGCTTCCTCTGGCTGCTTCGTGGCTCCTCCCTAACAACTCCCAGCCAGTCCCAGAGTATGGACCAGAACATTAAAAAGAGGCAAAGTTAATAATCAACAATTTTGGAGACAGATGATGTGCTTAATATAGAAAAGAATCTTAGTTTTTAAAAAGTGTTTTCTAACAAAAGCAAGATCCACAATGACTAAATTCTGTATAGTATGACTGTGAACACTTGATAAGTGAATGAAAAAAACACCATTGTATTTCGGCAGGATTCTCTTGTCTCTTTGCTTATATTTTGAACAAAAGAAAGATTTAGAATATAACAATTTTTGACCTGTAATTCAACTCAAATGACAGAATGTGATAATCAAGTGAATAAGCATTATAGAAATACCCAAAATTAATGGTTGAAGTAATGTCTTGATATGTCAGCTTTATTCATAGCCCAAGCCTTGTCATTTATTTCAAAGCCAAATTTAAAGAACTATGACTAATAATTATAAACATCCTCAGAATATTTAAAAAAGACCTTTCCTTAAACATTTGGTGAGCTTTATCATTATTATTATTTGGTCAGCTCTTTTCCAGCATTAATATTATATATTGAAGGGGACATGTTCATTTATAACACCTCAGGCATGCAAAGTAAAATTCACTTCGATATTGCTGATGCTATAAACATTTTCACCTATCACAGGAGACATGCCAGAGCACTCTGGTCTTTATTGTAAGACATTGTATCATTAATATGGAGACATACTTTAAATCCTTGAAATGGATAGCTTGTTTAGTATGTATTTTGTGCCATGCTATTTTTATTTAATGTTGCATAAATAATACATTACAATATATTAGTTATTCCTTACCTTATGTGACTTCTGCTACCAATGATTTTTAAAATGTAAATAATTGTATATAGTTTTCTCTTAAAAAAACAGAACTCTAACGTCAATGACACCTAAAAATTATAACATACACCCTCCACTATTGGCTTTCAGAACTTTCATTATTCATTGATTTTTTCAGCCATTTATTCACTAGGTACTTACTGAAAGACTTTCTATGTGCCAGGCACTACCATGCAAGGTGCTGAGTACATGGATAAACAAGATATGATTATTCTTTCAATGAGCTTATAGTTTAGATGGAAAGTTAAACAGTCATGCAAATAATTAGAATACAATATAAGATAGCTTAAATATAGTTATTTATAAGTTGCAGATTTCAGAGCCTTCTTTCTGTCTGCAGTTACGGAAAGCTACAGAAAGAAAATAAAATCTGGGCTGAATTTGTAGAATGAACATAGATTGCAGAGGTAAGATATTTAGAAAGCACATTCAGAGAAGGAGCATCTATATTTGAGAAAGCTGGAATCTTATGAGGAGAGACACTGAGGCATATGAATGCACAGGACATGTGGGTAACATTGAACAGTGCAGTGTGGCTGGAATGTGGGGAATATATCAGAGATCATATGTAGATGGAATGATGGGGAAGGAGAGGGAAAGAGCATATTCATTTTTCAAGGGTCTGAAAGTAAACTTGGTCTGAGAAGTGTAGAAATGATATTTCAGTGATTTGATAAATTCTTGTGTAAGAGAAAGGGCAAAAAGGCAAGTGGGAGTGAGCACTATATAGGTAAGGAGATTTTCAAGATGGCTTAAACTCAGCATTATTTGTGATAGAGACAAAAGATTTAGTAAAAAGAGAGAGAGAGACAGAGAGAGAGATGAATGACACAAAAGGTGAAAGAAACAAGTCTACATAGTCTTCAAATCTGTTTCATTTTCCCTGTCATAGGAACAAAGGAAGGGGTGTCATGTTGATGTGGGGAACCACAAGATCATAGCTGCCTGAATTCATGAGTAATGAAATCAAAGGCAGTTGCTCTGGAGAGGTAGCAAAAGCCACAATGAATTTGGCTTTATAAAATAAAAATAAATAAAAATTTTATTAAAACTTTAAAGGTAGTTTTCTTTGGTTACTGCAATATAGCATCACCGACCCTGGCCAACACAAAAATTTAAAAGTCAATACTTAATGGTCATACAAGTCAAAGGAGGCAAAAGAAGATTGATTCAAGGTCATAAGTTAAGAGGCTTAGAGAGAAATAAGACCACTTCTTCTGAAACACATAGGAAAGTTTAGGGAAGGACAAAAATACAGGACATTTTGGAGGCAAAAAATGGGGAAGTTGAAGTAGTCTATTCATAATGGCCAATATATTCTTGTGATATTAGAAATTAAGTCTTCTGTTGAGAAGTTGAACGACAAGATTGAAGAAAGTAAAATTACAGAGCAATTGCTAAGGGAATAGTTATAAGGAATGGAAAGAGTCAGTTAGACAGAAGGAGAAGAACTGCAGAGCAATGATACCAACCCAGCGAGTCTGTAGCATTTAGAGTGGAGACGGTCAACATGATTTTGTCATTTTCTACAGCAGTGATTGCTAACTTGAGAGAAGGAGTAGAAAAAATAAATGCTTGTGCTCATAGTAGGGCTTAGAAAACAAATTACAGGATGAAGAGGCAATCTCCAGAAAGTTAAGCAAGTTTGGGAATGTGTAGTTGAAGTGATTAACAACCCAAATATGTGTAGTGATCAATTTAAATAGGATGAAAGTCAAAAGGAGGCTGATAGAGCAAAAGATTCTAGAAGAAACCAGTGTTTTAATGGAATTAAAGGGCAAATGTAGCAGGACTATAAGTGTAAAAATGTTAAAAACCGGAGGTTATTCTTATATAATGCAGTGGTTGAGCAGGTTGTCTGGGTTTTAATAGCAGTTCTGCCCCTTACTAGCTGTGTGGCATTAGGGAAGTAAGTAACATTTTTTTTTCTTCTGTGCCTCACACTCCTCATGGGAAATTTTAACCTACATCAGAGGGTTTTTGTAATGACTGAATGAGTCAAACACATAAGGCTCTTAGAATAGTGCCTGGCACAAAGTGCTCTTGTGTAAGTTGTTCTAATGGTAGGATTTACACAGTCATGGAGATGAATGTTGAGGTTTAACTGAGATGAAGATGGAAAGAAGATAAGAAATTATAAGATGAGGATTTAGTGGATCTTCAGTGTGGGCCCTGCATATTCTCAAGATTCTAAGGAGAATCAAAAAGAAGATTTTGAGCCAGTGTGGCCTCAGTTGATACAGGGATATCATAAAGTAATGACCATGAAGATGGAAAAGGAGAGTGGCATAACTATGGCATGAGCTTCAAGATCCATAATCTAGCAGTCTAGAAATGTTTTCTACCCTTACAACTTGTCACTGAGACACAGAGGGCATGAGAAAATGAATAGTGTCTCAAGAGTTTTCAGGAAGTTTTTATCAAGAAAAAGTCATGCTTTTGCCTACATAGAGAGGCAGAAAAGAAAGAAAAAGATGCAATTATGCAAAATCAGTGGATATATATGAATGAGGAGTCCTGCAGGCACTTTGGACAAGATCAGTTGTAAAAGACCAGAATCAGTAAGGGGAGATGAAAGTATAAAAAGGTAAGATATTTCCTAAAAGGGAATGAAAGAGTATGAACCTTGAGCCATCATCATGGGTAAGAGATGAGAAGTTAATTTGCTTTTGATTTTTGTTTACCTCAAATTCACAAAGCCATTTTCTTTTCTACGTAGGCCATTTATAATTTTTTAGAATGCATGTATTCTTAGTTTTAATCAGAGCTACTGACTGTGGGGCTCTTATGTAAACAAAGAATAAATACACTTATCACATTTAGGATTATTGAGGAAGAAATAATTCCAAGGTTATTTAAACTATTTCAAATCTTACAAAATGATATTGCGCTTGCTGATACATTTTATGAAGCTGGCATAATGCTAATACTAATGCCAGACAGTAATAATAATGGAAAAATAAAGTAATAGTCCAATTTCACTTATGGATATAGATGCAAAAATCTTAATTAAAAATTAGCAAATAAAATCCAGCAGTGTATCAGCAATGACCTAGTGTAGTTTATTGCAAAGACTGTGTCATGTCAGGAGCTCTTTCAACATCATAATTTATTATACAAGTATATTCATGGATTAAAACCATATTAATCGATATTGAAAAGGCATTTGGTTAAATTCAGCAGCCATTCCTACAAAACTCTAATAAAAAATATGAATAAATGAGAACCATCTAAATACGATAAATGCACTCATGCAAAACCAAGAGCAAACATTATTCCAGGCATTAACTTAGGAGAGTTCATTTAAAAACTATTACATGGGAATTTGGTAACATGCCTGTATATGTAATACCTACTCAAAAAAGGAATGGTGTGGTTCTATGCTAGAAATAATCTCTAGAATTAGAAATGTAAAAAAAAAAAAATCCACTTACAACAGTACAAAAGCATTAAAATATTTTTAAATATATTTAATAAGAAACGTAGGGGACCTATAGGATGAGAATCATAAAATCTTATTGAAGGGCTACAACATCAGCTGAACAAATGGAAAAACACCCAGTTCTTGTACAGGAAGACTTAATACTACAAATATGTCAATTCTGCCCAAATTGTTTTATATATTTAATGAAATTCCAATTAAAACTCTCTGCTCTCAGAAAATTGGATTATTCTACATTTTATATGGAAGAATGAATGTTCAAGAGAAGCTAAGAAATGTAAGAACATGAAAAATAATGATGAGAATCCTTGCCAGATATTAAAATATGTTATAAAGTCTGCATAATCAAAATGGTTGGATATTAGCATAGGAATAGACTAATTGATTAGTAGACCAGAATAAGAATCACAGAATACATGGGAACTTAATATAGGACAAAGGTGGTATTTCATTTCAAAGGGAAGAGAATGGTTTATTTAGTAAATTAGCATATTTCATTTGCATATTAGTAGCACAATTATTATTTGAAAAAATTAAAGTTGAACTACTATCTCACATGATATACAGAAATACTGCATTTGTCTTAAAAGTTAATAAAATAATAAAATTTCAAAAATATAAAATTTAGATAATATGTATAACCTACACAGTAGGGATACTTTTTAAGGCAAGTTAGTAACCCAGAAATTATTAAGAAAATACAAACCCTGTACAAACGCTGGGTTTTTTTTAATAGGAAAAATTATCTGTGCTTGTTAGAATACATTCAGCTGCAAGTACCAAGAAATCCAACTTACATAGGCTTAATAAACCATGAGGGAATGTATGGGCTCACACTGTTAGATGTTCAGAGGCATGGTGGCCTTTAAAAGTGGCTTAACCCAGTGTCTTTATCCAGTGCGTTTCTCTGTGATTCTCTCATCTTTGTCCAATTTTTTGAATTGGCTTCCTCCTGAAGCCTGTATCAAGAAGGCTACAGTAGTTTTTCTGGAAGTGACGTCTATACTTGACAATGGCCGAGAGAAAAAGAGCCAATTTCCTCCAATGGCCCTCTCTTCAAAGTGAGGAAAGAAGCTTTCACAAGATTTCTTCTCACATCTCATTGGCTCCAACTGGCTGCATTTCTGAATCCCCATGGGTAGGGAAATAAATTGATTGGCTTAGGTCTCATGTATGTATAAACAAGTTGTAAAAATATTTAGCTATTTAGCTGTCTTCATGTGGGAGATTTTGTGTAATTTTTACTTTCTGCCTTATATCAAATTGAATTTTTAAAAATAAAATACATTATCACTATAATCAGAAAAATTATAAAGCTATTTTATTGTGGAAAAAAGTTCTTTCATAATAATAGTGAGCTGGAGAGTATGAACTTATATATCGCTATATTGGTTCATTTTCATCTGTGTCCTGGCAGGAAGTCTTCTTTTAAGAAATGTAATCACCTTTTAAAAAAGGTGATTTTTTATATTATTTTTATATTATATATTTGGTCCCCAAAATATTATGTTTGAGAGAAAATTATTCTCCAACAATTTGCAATGAATTTAATAATGTTTATTAAACATTTTAATAATTATAAATAACTATTAAGTGAATAATAAAATAAGTTTAATAAGTTAGATAAATAAGTTACAAAAATCGCATTTCTTTAAACATATATTTTTTAAACATTTATTTATTAAACAGTTCAAGTAACATTTACTTCACATCAAACTTCTCTGCTTAGTCAGAACAATGAAATAATTGACAGACAGGCTGAAATTACATTTGTATCCTAATGGTTATGCCTGTTTTATGCCCTTGAAATAGTAAGTTATGCCACTGTCCTCTGAGTGAAGGAAACACAGTAGTGCCTTTCCATCATGTATCCAAGAAGAATTATGAACAAATTCTTGGGGTAGGCTGAGCATCTTAACAGTGGCAACAGCAGAGGTGTACAGGGTGTCCCCACACTCACTTCCAGAACTTGGTCATCTCAATTTACCAGCGGTTCTTATTTAGGTTCTCATAGCCCAGAAAATTCTGCCAGGGTACTACACATAGTGGGCTATTTTTAGCACTGGGCCTGCCTCAGGAAACTGGAGAACTTGAACACTCATTGACAAGGAAGTAGAAGACAGCAAAGACTTAAGAGAGAAAGATGAGATGCTTTATATTTTCCTCCTGTGATTTTATTTGGCAGCTCATCATCCAGTTAGGAAGGTCTAAGAGATAACGAAGATATAAAGTGCTGAGTAGAGAGATACACACTTGGGAACAGGAAAGATAGCTGGCAGTGGGAAGGAGTGTGAAACATTTTTTACATGGAGAGGAGGAAAAGCTGTGGAATTGGGTTACTTAAACATAGAGAGGGAGTTAAGAGCAAAGAGGCTCTTTCTGGAGAAGTTGATCAAGACCTGAAGTGAAAATCTTTAAAAGTTCTGAAAGAGTGGCTAAAAAATAATTGTAAATTACTTACGATAACTTTCCAGCCATGTGATTTTAAGCGAATTATTTAAACTCTCTGAGCCTCAGTTTTCTTATTTATAAAATGTAGGTATTTAATACCTACCTCACAGGGTTATAATGAGGCTTAAATGAGTGAAATGTATAGAAAATACTCAACATGATGCCTAGAACATGGGAAACACTTATAAAAAGTGGCTATTTTTATTACATTGTTTTACATTTCACGTTCTAAATAAAATTGCTAGTGTTCATAAAGAGGCAAAATAATAATAATAAACTGTATAGTAAAGAGACAGTCTAGCTCTTGCTTCTCATACACATACACTGACACACAAGGAAATAAATTACAGATGTATTCTTTGTGGCATAATTCATATACAACAAGGCAATGCTCAAGAGAGCTATTATACTACATCACTCGGACACTGTCCACCTTTGTTTTGTAGTTATTCAGAGAAGAGGGGAAATCTCTTGAACTATCATGAACATGGGTTAAGTGTAGTATAAGTCTGAGGGCAGACCAAAGTAAATCAATTTATCTCGTTTAGACACTCTGTACTAACTAAATGTAATAGATCCCAGGGGCAAAATTAGATGGAAGATAGGTAAATGCATCAGTATGCACACAATCAAAGAACAAGAAAAAGCAATGTAGTGCATAAGGCCTCCAGTTGATATGTAGCAAGAATTATTAATTAAACTTCAAAACAAGAACATGTAAAATTAATATTAGAAAGATAATTGTGTGTTCTAAGCAAAAGAAAATAACTCACAGGAGGTACTGCTGCACTGTCCACAATTTTAGACTACATGACTTCTAAAATCCTTTTAACTCTCAGTAAAAAAAAGTAGCATTATCATTCCTTTGTATCAAAAAACACCATAGATGTTATCTCTTTTAATGTTGCCTTTTCTTCAACTTGATTTTTTTTTCATTTGGTTTTCCAGTGAGAAGCAATTGATACTGGAAGTCTTGGAATATGGCATTTCATAATTTGCATAACAAATATCAGCTCTGCTCTTCAAGAAGACTGAAGTTTTTTTGGTTTTATAGTATTTTATAAAATTTTATAATTTGTACTTAAAAAATTGTCAGCAACTTTCATTTAAACATCTTATTTTAAATTCTTCCAGTTATCTACAGACACACACACACACACACTCCTTCTCAATGCAATCTAGAAAGGAGCAAATGTACAAGATTTTTTGTCTCCACTATTTTTTCTTTTTCCTTGCAACAATATCCCCATTGACTGTATCCTAAAACTAAAATGAGCAGAAATAAGCTATCATTCTTTTCCCATGTGACTTCTTGAGGGAAGCCTCCAAGCAACTTAAAATTCTCCCACCATTTTTAGGTTTTAGGAATTGGGAGATAGATGGATGGAAATTAAAAAAAAAATCTTCATAGACAAAAGAAGTCTAAGAATGGCTATTGCAGGTTAAGTCCCCCAAAAAGTAAACTCTGAGATAGAGACTGGTGTGCAGAAAGTTTACTGGAGACTTCCTGGGATTAACACTTTGGGAGAAGGGAAGGAAGCAGGAGATAACCAAGGAAAAGATGGGCTGTGATATAGTTGCTATAAGATTTCAGCTAACTCCTGGAATTAGGCCAGCCTTTATTCTGGATGTGAGATCCTTAAGGGAAGAAGCTAAAAATTAGGTAAGAAGGCTCTCTACAGCTCAGGTAAATTCTCAGAGAAAGCCAAAAGCTGGTAGCTGTCAGCAGGCAAAATGCCTAACTCCAGGGAGAGTAAGACCTGTAGCAGTAGAGCAGTAATCTGGGAAATGCAGCACAGCATCCACCACAGAACGTGGACAACAGATGTCATCCTTTGGTCAAGGGCTGGCTGTTAATGTGGGGTGGACTGAGGGTGGAGATAACATTTGATTGGCCCCCTCCCTCATATTCACATTCCTACACCCTTTGCTTTTCTGCCATTTCATCTGCCGTTGTTGTGTTGGCAGAAGGATGAAACGGCCGAGTGCAGAGAACAAAGGGATCAATTCTTTGCTTTTGAGTTTCAAAACTGTAGGCCTCAGCAAGACAAAAGTATTTGGAAAAAGCAGGAAGTGTAAGATGAGAAGCCTTCTCAACCCCTCCCAGACTAGATAAAGATTCCTTGGGCTTTAGTGAGGAGAAAGGTGGAGCGAAAGTAAACAGCACTTAGAGGCCTGTGAATTCCTGGGGTAGAACTTGGGGAGCTGAGAACACAGGAGTGAAGTCAAGACACTCCAGGAATGTACAGACTAGTAGGGAAAACACATTCAACAAATAAACGCAATAAAGTAAATTGACTGATATGATATAACATACAGGAAGGGAGTATAACCTAGCTGAGGAATATGGGAATGGCTCACTAAAAAAAGATATTTAATTGGAAACTTGTAGCATAAGTAGATATTGTAAAGGTAGAGAAGAGAAAAAAAGTGTTTCTGGGAAAAGGAAGACATGAGCAAGCACAGAGGAAGAAAATATGGTGTGTTTTAGAAGTTAAGAGAAGTCGGAGATGATTACTAGAATACAGAAAGAAGAGGAACGCTAGGAAAGGTGGGAAATCCATTAGAAGTTTGGTGATGTAATCAAGAAATAAGACACGGAAAGATTAGGAGGAGCACTGAGAAAGTTTGAAAACAAATGGATTGGAGAGGTATTTAGGAGGCAGCATTGATGAGATTTGGTGATTAATTGCTGTAGAAACAAGAAAGAGCTGTGGCAAAGGGGAAAGATCTAGTGCAATTGCTGGAAAATATCAAAAGTCCAATCTAGGATGGTGACCAAGAACTGTACCACAGCACCAATTATCCATGGGCACAGTATCAGTGTATTCATACATACCTATAAATCAAATTATTTCTGAAGACCTTTTGCCTTTGGTCTTCTCATGCCTATGGAATTATTTTATGCATCTTCATGGATCTGGAGAGAAATAACTACCTCTATGAGTTTACTTAGGGATTCCAGCCATGTGCACTAATTTCCTAGGGGGAAGGGATTTCTTAGAGAAAGATGGAAATAAGAGGGTAGAGAGAAGAAAACGTTTTGGGCCCCAAGGAGGTTTCTTTTTTGAGAGCTCATGGTTATCCTCTCTTGTGAGCCCCACGATTGAATCATTCAGACTCTTTTCTTGAATACCTATTCTGTTAAAGACCCTATGCAAGGCCTTGTGAAGGACCTAAGGATGAACAGCAATTAAGGGGCATCAACTCCATTGGCAGATGCTTCAGGGCTGCCTCGGAGTCATTGGCCCTAAAGAATCACCCCCTAAACCTTGTTGCCTTTATCAGCATTAGTAGGAGGATTAAAAACATAGAACTCAAATTAGATTGGAACCTGCCCAATATACCTTCTTTCCTCTTACATCTTTTGGAAGATATCCTTCTTTCTTCCAAGTGCCAATCTTCCTGCTTCTTGTAAATGCAATGACTGTATCAATTTCATCTGCCTTCTGCTTCAGGTCCCCAAACAGCACTATTTTTTTTCTTTCTTTTGTTTCTCTTTTGTCCCTTGCCCTGATAATGATAATGGCATTGGCTAACATCCCCATCTCTTATTTTGTCCTACATATTTAGTCATCAAGAGTATATATCAACCAGGAATCACACTTGTTGCTTCAGACACTTTGACTCATGTAACCCCCTTCTTTTTTCAGCAAGCCCCATGGTGGCCAACAAACAGCCTTTAAAGAATATGGTCATGAATTTGAACACTGCTTGTTCTCTAACCTCTCGCTCTCTCAATGGCACAACCTCTGGTCCCTCTGGCTCCCTTCTCGACTTTCCTTCCCCTCCTCCAGTTTTCCGTCTTTCTCCTCTCTGTCTCTTACTGGAGTAAGTAATTAAGGGAAGCAGACATCCTTAAGTCAGAGCTGGGCAGAAATTGAGCTCTCTCTCCAACTCACTGAAAATACTTCAGGTCAGTGATCACTGAGATATAAAAATTCTCTTAGAAAAACAAAGTGGCTGCTTAGCCACTTGTTAGGTGCATGATTTTAGGTAAGTTATCTCTCTAGGCCTCAGTTCCCCATATGTATAACCAAACTAATATGTGATTAATGGGTAGAGATAGATTTATTAAAGAAGCCTACAAAGCTTAAAGTTTACGGCCCCTCATCCACCCAGACCCCCTTCTAATGTCCTGTGAAGTGCCACTGTAATTTTGTATTATTTTCTTAAAGATCTATCCTCCCCCAAATCATATAAACTTCAAGCCTCACTGAACACACTAATCCTACCTTTGCCGATAGGATTTTGTGAAAATGAAATAAACAATATATGTAAGTCACTTAGCATAAAACCTGGCAGCTATTCCTGTCACCATTATCATTTTTTAACACTACTAAATTATTTACCTATAGAAAAGATTGTAAAGGGCTTAATCAAAATTTAAAAAGATCAAACTTCAAAAAATATATGAACGAATACAAAATATACATTTTTTCCAATTTTAATGGGATTTTGCAGTAGTAACTACATTTTTCATTTTGAAATTCACTTTTTAATTATAAAAGTAGTACATGTTTGTTATAAAAATTCAAAAAATATAAAAGTGTCTTAAGTTAAAAATTAAAATCACCTTTCTTTTTCTCTCCTCCCTTACTATTGATCCTCCCTCCCATATTATTTTCCTGCTAGGGTAATCATAAATTAATATTTTGGTGTGTATTCTACCATATTTTAAAATGTACTTTACATTTAAAATTATCTTGAAAACAATAGAAAATTATTTTGTTGTTGTTTTTTAAAGTCCCCTCTCAGTTGAAAATTGGCACAGAAGAGCAACATCAAAAAAGTAAGTGATTAGAATGCACACACATGCATACATACATACACATAGTAATGAGGGGACTTTATAAAGTGTGTGAAAATGAAATTAAAAGATCAAAATAAAAAATATAAACATTATTTCTCAACGTAAGACTTATCAAGTTCAAGACAGTTTTGTAAGTAATGATACCAGCTAGTTAATCCATCTCTAAAGAACAGATTATCCTGATAATGTAATCATGTCAATACAGTCTCTTTTACATTATTAACTGAAGAAAAATGAGTTCCATTTAAAGATTCTTTAAGATTTGGAAACAAATAGAAATCAGAAGGAGCCAAATCAGGACTATAAGGTGGATGTCTGATGATTTCCCATCAAAATTCTTGCAAAATTGCCTTTGTTTGTTGAGAGGAATGAGCAGGACCATAGTCACGGTGGAAAAGGACTCTCTGGTAAAGTTTTCTGGGGTGTTTTTCTGCTAAAGTGTTGGCCAAATTTCCCAAAATACCACCATAATAAGCAGATGTTATTGTTCTTTGGCCTTCCAGAAAGTCACCAAGCAAAATGCTTTGAGCATCACCCAAAAACTGTCTCCATGACCTTTGCTCTTGACTGGTCCACTTTTGCTTTGACTGGACCACTTCCACCACTTGCACCACTTTGTAGCCATTACTTTGATTGTGCTTTGTCTTCAGTCTATTGCAGGTAAAGTAATGTTTCATCTCCTGTTACAATTATTTGAAGAAATGCTTTAGGATCTTGATCCCACTTGTTTAAAATTTCCATAGAAAAGTCTGCTCTTGTCTGTAGCTGATCTGGCTGCAACAATTTTGGCACCCGTTGAGTAGAAAGTTTGCTCAACTTGAATTTTTCAGTCAGAATTGTGTAAGCTGAACCAATTGAGATGTCTATGGTGTTGGCTATTGTTTCTACTGTTTGTCATTGGTCCTCTTCAATTAGGGCACAAACAAAATCATTTTTTTCCTTCAAAATTGATGTGGATGATCTGCAGCTGTAGTCTTCATTTTCAAATTTGTCTCATCCCTTCTTAAAAAGGGTTATCAATTTGTAAACTACTGATTTCTCTGGGGCATTGTCCCCATAAACTTATTGTAAAGCAGCAATAATTTCACCATTCTTCCACCCAAGCTTCACCATAAATTGGATGTTTGTTCTTACTTCAGTTTTAAAGGAATTCGTGTTGCTTCGATAGGGGCTCTATTCAAACTGAAGTTTTATCTTTCTGAGTGCTGCAAAACTAGATCCTATTCATACATGTTATAACAAGTTAGTACAAATTAGTACAAGTTTATTTTGGTACAAAACAATTTGAAATCCACACACTACTTTTTTTATAATATGCACTTTCCATGAACTTTTTGATGACCCCTTGTAGATATACAGTAATTTTTGCAAACCGAGAATTTGAAGACACCAGTCCTCTTAAAGATTTTCCTAATTCATAAAAATCACTTAGTAAGTGTTATCAGAAACTGTTTGTTAAATAACAGTATACACATAACTTTAATATCAACATTTGCTGAAGATCAGTGTTTTAGCCTTTCTACCCAGGTCAGGTTGTGAAAGATAATGGAAAACAACCTCAAATAAAAGAAGCCATATATCTCTTTCATCTTTCTGCTTAGGTGTACATGTTATGTATGTAGCTCTTGTATTGAGGAAGAAATAAAAACTAGCGCAGCTTCTGTGTGGATCTTTGTTTTACATTCAAGAGTATACCAAGCATAGAGGAAAGCTGACATATTAACTATTACAAAATTGTTTAGAATATGTGTACAAATATTGCACCAAGTGTTTATTACAGTCATTGTAAAAAGACTTCCTAATAAATTCTTAGGTAAATTTTTGCTGCCATCAGAAATTACATACTAAATACTAAATAAATACTAAATACTGTGTCAGAAATTTTTCTAGTGCTTGATGTGACATTCTACCTGCAAAATATACATTCACCCAGGAAAGAGTTAAATACAATCAAAAGGAGAGATGGGTAAAAAGGGGAAAAAATCTTCAAATATTTATTGAGAAACTTTGTGTCATATTTTTCCAAAAATAGTTATTTTTCAGAGAGAACACAGATGATTATTCTCATGAGTTAATTCTTAATAACTTTTCATCAATATTTACTTAAATGAACAACTTTCATGAACTTTCTAGTTTAATTTATTAAGTGCAATTTAAAAGTAAAGAACAGATACAGTTTATGGTGAAATCATTAACATATGATTTACACAGAATTTTGCATGTACCCATGTATTTATAAAATATGTGTTTGTAGCTTAATATAAATAATGTGGCTAAATTAAGCTACAATTACATATTATTTTCTCTAGTTTATGAATTTGATCTCTACTATTGGTTTACTATTACCTACATAAATAAACCAGTTTAAATTAAATATTATTTTAAGGGAAATATATGTCAGGACAGTTAACAAAGAACCTAAGTTTAAATGCGTACATCTATAATATTGCATATTATGTTTTTATAAGCGTAGTGACAACTTTTAACATTCAAAGAAAGCTCTCATTTAAGTACATAAAATTCCAGATAGATTTCCATGGTAAAATCAAGTTTGGCCTATTTTCCCTTTGTATACATTGTAACACAAATCTATTTTCTCTTGTGCAGTTACATACTTAGTAGGTAACATGCACACACACACACACATACATACATAAATTTTTTTTTCCATATTTATTTTTGCTGTTGGGTTTGTACTCACAAACCATAACAAAAGTGGAACTTGCAAGTCCAACTGCTACTAGAATTTGATTGTAAACAATGAAAACAAACTCTACCTAAGTAAACAGAAAAGAAATCTGTTAGAAGGACATGGATTAGCTCACACAGTCAAAGGGAAAGTTGATAAGTAACCCCATGAAGGACAGGTCCTAGGGTAGTTCCGGAGGTCTAGGAGGAATCAGTGAACAACACCCCCAGAAAGCTCACTGGAATGAATCTGCACTGGCCATTTTCTGTCTCGACATCACTCTACTCAGAATTCAGATATAGGGGAGAGAGTCTGATCTGCACAGCCAGGTGCATGAGGCCACAACTTGACTGGGGCAGCTGGACATCTTCACTGAAATTACCGAGAAGAAAGTTGGCATTTGAGAAGACATAGATTCCCAAAGGAAAAGTGAACTGTTGTTACTGAAAAGAGGAAGTGATTCTGGGCAGGCAAAAGCAGTACATGTTCTTAGATTCTAAAATATGGGATACCATCACTACCATAATATTTACTTTTAATTTCTACCTATGGCTTCAATCATTAATAGTTTATACATTCAAATGGGAGGATATTATAACTAGCAAGGCTTTCATTAAAAATAATGAATTAAAAAGCCAGGACTTTTTAAATTTATCCTATTTATCTCTTTCATTCACCTATTACTGCTAAGCTTTCATGAAGCACGCAAGCCTTATACAGATAATCTCTTTGCACTTGAATAAGTATTGACTACAAGCCAGGAGACCTAGACTCTATTCCCAGTTGCTTCTCTAATGTTCTAGGAGATATTAACTGAATGCTTTTTAGGATTTAGTTTCTTCATTTGTGAAACGAAGGCATTAGAATACATTAAGCTCCGGCTGTAGCATTCATTCTGTGGTTTGGTGATGGCAGGCAGAATTCTCTGCTGTTGGTTTCTGCCACCCTTTCCCAGGGTCAGGCCTTTCCGCAGAGGAGCCATTGGCTTTGTGCTTATAATTCCTGGAGGATGACTACTGGCAGGAGAATATCCAGCTCCTGCTGAGGAGTTAAGATGAGTTCATTCAATCATTCACTGATGCACTCACTCAATGAATCATTAACCAAGCTTACAGTATTCCAAGCATTAGGGGATGCAGGTGAGAGCCGCTACTCTCAAGAAGCTCACAGATTCTGGTTCATAGTAATCCCTAAGTAAGAAACAAGATCTCGTGAATTTGAAGAAAACTGAAGGCAAGAAAGAGTTATATAAAGATCAGTTCATCCAGGTGTGCTAACTGTAGAGAGAGGTTATGTATAAAGGCTACGGAAGCAAGGAAGTGTGCACTCCTCCCATTGCAGGAGGTCAGAGGGCCAGGTATAGTTCTGGAGGACTTAAAAAACAAACAGGAGTTTGAGGCATTTATTTATTCAACAGTTATTGAACACCTTTGTGAAAACCCTGTTGGGCAATGGAGAATGGCTATGGAAATGAACCAGAGTGTATAGAAGATAGAGTGAGAGCAGAGGGAGGATAGGAAAGGAAAGATGTTTTCAACAGAAAAGTCAAGAAACAGCACACCTGCAGTTATGACTTCATAAAAACAGAATAATACTAGCAGCTATGACCTAGTGCTTGCTGTTTGCTAGGCATGTTTCTAACTGCTTTCCAGGTACCAATTTATTTTTGAGACAGGTACTGTTACTATTTCTATTTTTCAGTTGAGAAAATGGAGAGAGTTTAAGAAACCTTCCCAGGGTAATGTGGTAAGAATGCAGCAGGCTTGCGATTCGAACCCAGACAAAGCAGTCTTCGGAGTCTGGATGTTTAATCATCAAGCTATACCACTTCCCTGCACATTTTCAATAGTTGAACAAACAATCATCCAATATAAATTTAGTAGGGTTGATCTATTTTAGACCAAATCAAAATACCGAGCCAGTTTAAAAGAATAAATTAGTACACACAACTATAAATATTCTTCTTAAAATTACACCATCATTTCCTTTTTATAGTCTCTTCACCCCACCCCCAGGATAGATTTTCTCCAAATGCAGGCTTTATGACAGAATCTTTGGCTAGAAATGAACACTTGGATAGAACTGGGAAAAATCTGATCTATTTGGGATTTCTTAGGTTAGAAAAGGAAAACTTCTTTTGAAAATGGAAAAGTGTGTTTATTTTGTTTACAGGAAGAATAGTATTTTTGGTTCATAATAATTCCTAAGCAGAGGCAGGTGAAAGCCACTACTCTCTAGTTTCTCAAGTAACAAAATCTTGTTAATTTGAGAAAACCTGAAGGAAAATAAATAAATGTACTATTGTGGGTCAATCTAATCACATTTCCCCCCTCAGATTTAAAGTGTAACATTATTAAGAGTTATAAAAAGTTGTTATTTGATTACAGAATCTTTTATTTTATTAGTAGCACTCATTTTTAAATACATTATCTGGAGATACATAATCTTGTACCAAGTTTTGGTTGTGATTTTTTGAAACTGGTAACAAGGAACTTAAGAACTAATACTATTACAAATTAAAAAGCATGACATATACACATTCTCACAATAGAGCCACACAGCAAAGTTTGAAGGATCATGTAGAGATAACTTTTTGATCTCTATAGGATTATTTTCCATTAAATAATGAAAATCTTAAGTCTAAAGCCCAAATTTTTCCATCAGAATTCTTTCTAGGCTTTTTCATAACTCACAGAACTGTTTCTTTCCTCTGAATTTCCATGACATACTCTCTTTTTTCAAGGTATTTGGCCCTTCTTTGCCTGAAATATAAAGGACTACTATATGTGTATAATTGTTCTTATGCTGTGTGAAGCATGTTCACTGTGCACTGGTTACCCATTTGTCTGAGTCTGGTGACAAATGCAAGTCTCTCTGGTTTGAGGCCTTTGCTTATGCTGTTTCTTTGGCCTGAAGCACCTTCGCCCACTTGTTCACCTAGCTACTATGCATTCCTTCTTCAGTTCTAACTCAGATATTACTGTTTTCAGGAAGCCTCTTCTGGCACCCCACATGCACTTAGCTGTCCTTCTTCTGTACTCCCATACCTCTTCCATTATTGTGTATGTTCTTTAAGTGCCCGTTGACTTGGCTGTCTTCCTGCGGGATTGTTAGCAAAGACCTCTTTATTACCTATCAAAGAATCTGACACCTAATAGGGGCCAGGAATATGAATGAATTAATATCTAGATCATCAGAATCTCCAAATCTTTTTTTGCCACATATTTTTGGCCATGTTTTTACAAAGATCCACTTTCCTAAATCTGAAACTTAGAGAAAAAATTTCCATGAATTATTTACCCTGATCTCACTAAGTTTTATAATTTAAACTTTTCTTAATTCTCTACCCTGACAAGATGATTCTTAATTTTAATTCAAGGCTCCCTGATATAGTTTGGCTGTGTTCCCACCCAAATCTCATCTTGAATTGTAGTTCCCATAATCCCTACATATTGTGGAAGGGACCCAGTGGGAGGTAATTGAATCATGGGGGTGGTTACCCTCATGCTGTTCCCATGATAGTGAGTAAGTTATCATGAGATCTGATGGTTTTATAAGGGGCTTTTCCCCCTCTTCACTCGACACCTGCGCTTCCTGCTGCCATGTGAAGAAGGACTTGTTTACTTCTCCTTCCACCATGATTGTAAGTTTCCTGAGGCTTCCCCAGCCATGCTGAACTGTGAGTCAATTAAGCCTGTTTCCTTTATAAATTGCCCATTCTTGGATATTTATTAGCAGCATGAGAACGGGCTAATACACACACTCTGTGGGACTAATAGCCACACTCTATTGCATATCTTCAGTGAACATGCTTTTTAGATATTCAGTCTTTTGCATCAAACATTTGAGCAAGAGGAATACCAGATAGCGCTAGGCCTAGTGTCATTCCTGGAGAACATGCCTCCATGGTGCTTCTCTGCGTGCAGGAGGTTGTGCCTGGTCCTCTGCTGCCTCTTGGCTTCCTTTCCACATTTCATCTGAATCTGCTGCTCTGTGGTGCTGGTTTCTTCTCCCTGACACCTTGTAATTGGCCTGGACCTGGCTTCTTGTCTATGCCCTTGCCTCCTGGCCTGGAGCTGAGATGTGCCTGCTGCTTGTCCTGTTCTGATCCCAGCACATTCAGCGCAGGGCATGCAGCTGTCATTATCATTAGCTGCATGGAGCACTTTCACATCCTAATGTTGCTTCCCATTAACTGCCCCTCTGATCCTCACAGCAGCTGGGAAAGGAAGGCACTTGTCATTTTCAAATCCTTTTGTATTTGTAGCAGTGTTGCAAATTTAATAACTTTGTTTCTCATAACCGATTTACTCTTTCTCACCTACTAGATTGTGTATTTTAAATTTAAGGATTCACAATAACTGAGTTTTCTTATGGTTTAGTCTTTTGGGGATACCTCAGTCTCTTCTGGGAAAATGCTAATTATTTAAGATTTTCTCTTCTTTTTTTTTACTCAACTCCAAGACACAATCATGATATCACGTGAAGGGGGTGAGGAGGGTGGTAGCAAAAAGGAGTTTTGGATTCAGATGGTGACCTCGGTGGCCTCTCCCTGGTCTCTGCAGTTGAGTGGCTGGTCTGGTCCCTGGACTTGTGACTGTGGTGGCTGATAGTCCCATTTGCCCTGCGAGTTTTGTAAATACCTACCATTGGACTATTTGCCTATTTGTCTCTCTTCAGGACCTTGTTAGTCCATTGGTCCTTCTGGAACTCTACTTTCCCCAGCAGGATACACAGGCACTTCTGGATCCCCTGCTCACCACAAGCAGGCCAGGAGAGCAGACTCTTTGGTCTACACAACTCTCTCCACCAAGTGCCACTGTTGGGCTTCTCACCCCACTTGTCCTCCCAGAATTCCACAGAGGGAGCAATGCAAAGACTCTCTTCTTTCAGGTTCCCCAGTATATCTAATGCACCACCCTGCTGGCAAGACTTTTGCCTGGAAGAGATGGTTGAGAGTGAGTCTTACTTCCTGCCTCTGTCTCCCTTCTCTTTGCTGCAAATCTTCCCTAGGCCAAAAGAGATGATAGGCTGGCCTCTCCTTCCCCTTTGTCACATTCTTCTGAATATTGAAACCCTCTTGATTTTTGTATTCCAGTTATAATCCTAAAGCCTTGGGCAGAATAACCAAAGGTTACACATTAAGAAAAGTAAAAGAGGAAAAACTCATTAATATGTACCAAAATAATACAAATATTCCCAATACAATATTGGTTTGGAGAAAACATTAACTATAGCAAAATTTCATTAATTTGCACTGAAAGGTGGAGTCAGTCTGGATTAGCAAAATGTTTAAGTTATTGACTATTACTAAAGAAAAATAACATGAAAGTATGTAGAAAGAAAATAAAATATTATTAAAGATAAGAAAGAGACAACTGTTACTGAGCATTTGGAAGGGCTGGGCTCTACATGTTTTGTAGAGTGCTATATATGTTATGCATACATGTTGATATACATACATGTTACACATATATCACATGTATATGTTAAGAGCTTTACATATACGAACCAATTTGTCTTCACAATCTATTTTACAGAAGAGGAAATAACACAGAAAGATTAGCAAGTTGCCCAGTGTCAAGAAGTTCGTAAGTTGTTTTGCTAGGTTTGCCTGACTAAGGCATCCTCATGTATAACTTCCATAAGATTCACCTTTTAAAAAAATAAATTCTATGAAAAAATTAACCAATAAAAGAAAATAATATAATTAGTATATTTTATATAGAAATGACCATTCTTGATATTTTCTCTTATTCACCTAGTATTATATAAAATTTTTCCATTGCTTATTTTTTGAACAAATACTTCATAAATTTTATAATGAAAGGTTTAGCCACTGTTTTACCTAGCTATTCAGAAAGTCCACCCTATAAGGATTTGCCTTAAGGCATTTTACTCTATGATTTACACAGAAATAAACACAATCTTTCCTTATTATATTTGTCATTTAATCTACTTTCTCTATGCCCTTTGTAATTACAAGGTGTCAAAATATTTAGTCAATTCACTAGGAATTTTTAAAAAAACAGTCAAAGATCACTTAGCTTCACTTAACCATACAGCCTCTTGAACTGATTGGACTGACAAAATGTAGAAAAATATGAGCTTTCAGACACTGTATTTAATAATAAGATATTTAGAAACAAAATATATGTTTAAATGACTTGCTTTGGAATAAAAGATATACTATTCAATACAAGCAGACACCTTAGGTAACTTTTGAAAATTGAACTATAAAAATCAAAATTTAAAAATAACCAACTATAAAAGTACTTTAAAATTTTTGAAATAGGTATAATGGCAATAAAAGAAGGACTTTTAAAAACTTTATTAAATCTAGCCCTTAGATTTTTTTTTTTTTTTTGGAGAGAGTCTCACTCTGTCACCCAGGCTGGTGTGCAGTGACATGATCTCGGTTCACTGCAACCTCCTTCTCCTAGGCTCAATCGATTCTCCTGCCTCAGCCTCCCCAGTAGCTGGGATTACAGGCATGTGCCACCACGCCCAGTGAATTTTTATATTTTTAGTAGAGATGAGGTTTTGCCATGTTGGCCAGGCTAGTCTCGAACTCCTGTCCTCAAGCAATCGCCCACTTCAGCCTCCCAAAGTGCTGGAATTACAGGCATGAGCTACTGTATCTGGTCTTAGATCTTTATTTCTAATACCGTTCTCAAATTAAAGGTACCAAGTTTCCTTGAAGAAATGGCTGATTCTAGGACGGGGTCAGGGAATGTATATGATGAGCCTAAAGCATCTTATAGTGCTAGAAGGTAAGAAAGTCCTTAAAACCACACACACTCACAGCAGTAGGGGTATGACAAAGGAACACAGGAGCCGAATGAAAGAGCTAATGGCCAAAGCTGGAACAATTTGAGCAACAATGTAAAGTAGTGTAGAATTATAACCGAAATGTAAAATAAATATCTATGAGTCCATACTGACTAAATTATTGAATAAATAAATAACTAATTGGAGGAAAAGAAACACATCTGTCGTGCAGAAGAATTCCAAATAATTTATGAAAATAGGCAGGGCACAGTGGCTCACTCTTGTAATCCCAGTACTTTGGGAGGCCTAGGTGGATTATCACTTGAGGCCAGGAGTTTGAGACTAGCCTGGCCAACATGGCAAAACCCTGTCTCTACTTAAAATACAAAAATTAGCTGGGCGTGTTGGCACACACCTGTAGTCCTAGCTACTCAGGAGGCTGAGGTGGGAGGATCACCTGAGCCCAGCAAGTGGCGGCTGCAGTGAGCCATGATTGCGCCACTGTACTCCATCCAAGGTAACAAAGTGAGACTGTCTCAAAATAAATAAATAAATAAATAAATAATAAAAATATTCCACCCAAAAGTGATGAAACATAGCTCTCTACTCCTTAAGTGGAGGTTTTGTGTAGTGCTCCCCTTCTAAAGGGCACTGTGTAGAAATGGGGAAAAAAGAGTAGTTTTATAATGGAGACTGACAAACACTACCTCAGCCAGGTGATCAAGATTACATCAACAGTGATAATTAATATGTACAATATATACCTTTGATATGATGTCATAAAAACGGCACTTGACCTCTGTGGTCTCCTTCCCTAAAACCCATAACCCTTTCTGCAATGCACCTCACAAGTACTCCTCAAAACTGTCAAGGTCGTCAAAAGTAAGAAAAGTCTGAGAAACTGTCATAGCCAAGAGGAATCTAAGGAGTCATAACTACAAAGGCAATGTAATATCCTAGATGGGATCCTGGAACAGAAAAAATACATTAGGTAAGAACTAAGGACATCTCAATAAAGCATGGATTTTAGTTCATAATAATGTATCAATATTTGTTTGTTAATTTTAACAAATGTGCCATAGTAATTTAAGATATTAATAATAAGGAAAACTGGATGTAAATTCTCTGTATGATCTTCACATATTTTTCTGTAAATCTAAACCTATTCTGAAATAATAAGTTCATTTTTAGAAAAGAAACTATATGTGAATATGATATTGCACAGCACATTTCTAGATCCTACTACTAGTATTCAGGAAACACATAGGACTGAAAAACATATTACACTACACCATGGGATACACTCAGTAAAATGTAGGTTGTAGAAAAGGCCATAGGACAATCACCCAGTTTCTTCAACAAATAAATTGCAAGAGGGAAAAAAAGAAAAAGTTGAAGATTAAAATAGAATCGAGGCGTATTAACCAATCATAATGTGTGGGCCTTATTTGGTTACTGATTGAAACAAACTGCAAAAAAAATATAAAATTATGAAACAATTGGAAATTTGGATACACACTAAATATTTAATGATATTAAGCAATTCTTGTTAATTGTATTTGGGATTTGATAATACTATTGTGATTAATTTTAAAAAATTCTTTCTTTTTAAAGATATATATTGAAATATTTAAGAGTTAAATTATAGGATATCTGATGTTTGCTCCAAAATAACATGGGGTAGAAGAGAAATCGATGGGAGTAGAGATGAAGTGAGACTGGCTATGATTTGTTAATTGTTGAAACTGGGTTAGGTGTGTGGGGATTCATGATACTACTCCATATGCCTAGTCACATGTTTAAAATTTTCCATAATAAAATGTTAAATAAAATAAACCTACAGAGAGAAAATAACAATCTAATAAGCCTTACTGTATAGTATTCTACTTGTAAATAGTGAAGTGTTTTCCACCTACACACCACCAATTTTCAAAATAGCAGCTTGAAGATAGAAAGTGACATTTAAGCTGCATCTACAGGAAGCCAAAAATCTACTGGTTGATTTGATTAATTCAGACAAAGAGCTAGTCAGTTTAGAAGAGGGAAAAAAAATCAAACTGCTCATTTTGCTGAGTTTACTGAATAGTACTTTGTATAGTAACATGCACATAATAAGTGAATAAGTTATTAATATTTGCTGGTCAATAGATTACTGAATTTAATATTTGTCTGGCACCTTAATGAAGACATGATTTGACTGTCAACAAAAACTATAAAAAAACTCAGAAACAAAGTAAAGGTCACAAGGCCTAGCTCTAGGTAAAACTGTGAAGGGAGCATTTATTTTTCAAATATTTACGTGCAATGAACATCGCTGTAAACACACATAACCTAAGTTGATGATAAGTACCAAAGCATGAAACTATTATTAGATTAAGTTTTGATAAAATTCTATCAAAAGTTATAACAATATATATCTGTGCTGAAGTGGTATTTTAACGATTTACATACTATTTTTTTAAAGCCTAATATAAGGACCCTAATGTATAGAACTCTAAAATTTACAAAGCACTTTCACGTTGCAGTATATCATGTTACCTCATTTTGGAAATCAGACAAAAATAGGTAATATTATCTGTGTTTATCAGGTAGAAAGTAGGCTCTGGGAGGCCCTGTAGTGTTCCCATTGCCAGAAGCAGAGGAATGGAGACTGAAACCCAGGTGTTATGGCACCAAGTCCAGTGCACTTAGCTGTCTCTCAGGAGGAAATTCATAATATGTTCTTACTGCTTCTACTTGGGTTACAGTGGAAAGAGGGTTGACATGAACAAACATCTTTAGGAACACGAATAATCTTCTCTTTTGCCAATCTCTAGTATTTAAATTGTGTTCATAAACTGGTGCTTCCTCTCAATGACTGTATATTATTAATAGTCAATATTCTGGGCAAGGTAATGCTCCATTAGTATTGCATCCTGTTTGTTCAGTGATGAACAGCTGAGATCCAGAATTAAGCTCTGTGAGAATGCTAAATATTCTTCACAACATTATTAAATCTTTTGATGTTGAAAAAATGAATATGCATTAAAGTATACTAAATATTGTATAATAACTTTACAATGTCAATTAATACAAAGTTCATCATTCTGGTCCATTATTTGGCAAATAGTCTTATTCTTCCACAATGTCTTTCTCCAGGACTCTCTGTTCTCCTCATAGATTTAGTCTATTTACTTATCACACGTTCACTGCTGCTTGAATCCATTTTCCAGCCTATTTTATGTGCAAAGAAAACCATTCACAATAGCTTAAGTGACTGTTTTTCTCACCTCATTAATGACTATTTCTCAAAGTATTTTAAACAATGTTTTGGAATCAGTCCATCACTTGCTTTTGCATATAGACCGTATTTTTTTCTAACTTCCCCCAAATGACTCGCCTATGTTTTTAATTAAGGGCTCCTCTTACGGTTTCTTCCTGAGTATCCCCTTTGGAGCTAGACGGATTCTTGTTTTGCACAGCAGTCTGTCCAGCCGATAATAAAAACATAGGCATGCATTGCAATAAGGTTTAAGTGGATTTAATCAGAATGCAGTGTAACAGTTCAAATATGTTCATATTTCAAAGACCATAGAAGAAGTTAACATTATATGCTCAGTTTCGGCAATATGAACAAACCAAATTGTCAAACTGTACCAAGAGAAAATACATGTACTTCCAAAACCATTTCCCTGATCCACTGCAGTTTGATCATGCTGGAGAAAGTGACTCATAGGGTTGTCAAAGTGTATTTTGCCACTTTACCTCATGCAGAATAAGCAGACTAAGAGGACCTAAAATGTCACTTCACAAACACAAGTTGAGGAAACGGACAGAGATAAACTGGGTTGAAAAAAGAATGCCTGTTGGACCACGGCAGAGTGGCAGTGCATGTATCCAGTTTAGCCTCAGAAACTTGGGTAAGAGTCAAAGATGAAGACTGAGGTTTAGGGGAACTTGATCTTTCTGAGGCATTCGCACCAGGGAATTAAGGACCTCCATCATCTGCATATATTATTGGTGATTCATTGCCCTGCTTCACCAAGTGTATTAGCTTTGTATATTAGTGTATTGCTGCAGTAACAAATTACCACAGATGTAGTAGCTTGAAACAACACAGATGTATTAAGTTACAGTTCTGTAGGTCAGAAGTCCAGCAAGAATCTTACCAGATAAAAATCAATGTGTCGGCAGTGCTCTGTTTTTTTCTGGAGGCCAGCTCAGCAGGTCCAATCTCACTGACTCTTCCGTCATCACATCTTTTTCTCTGGCCGCAGCCAGGACAGGGACTCTGTTTTTAGGGATTTGCATAATTAGATTGGGCCCACCTGGCCACTGCAGGATAATTTCCCCATCTCAAAGTCCATAACCTGAATCATATTTATACAGTACCTTTGCCATGTAAGGAACATAGTCACAGGTTCTGGGGATTAGGGTGTGAATTTCTTTGTGAACCATTATCCTGCCTACCACACCAAGTAAAGAGTAGAATGATAGAGACTTGGGGTACAGGCTCTTTCTGGCTTCCATCTTTCAACGTTTCCTCATGTCTTAACCTACTGACTGGATCTGGACCTACCATGAATATACCCCACCATATTTTAACCCTATACTCTTATTGTTTACTGTCAGCTCACCTGGCTTTAAAAACTACATCATCCATAATTTACTCCATATTCTCAACAACAATATCTAGAAGTCTGGAAAATTTATATGAAATAAGTTACTTTTTATGTTAGCTGAAAAAATAAGCATTTATTCTTAGGAAAAATCTTGCATTTACACATCAGCCATCTTCTGGAGCCAGGGGTGGGGGCAAACATTTTTTTCCAAAATTAAACATACTCATTACAATACTATCACAAAGCAGGTCATCATATATTTAACAATGGCGGCCAATTTGGATTCTATTAGATAAATACAATTTGAATCAATGGGTTTCTTCAGAGAAGGACATCCAGCGAATTCTTACCTCCCTTGTAGTTTTTAAATGACCTAGGTGACCTCAAGAGGCCAGAAGATTATCTTATCATGTTCTTAGGTCCAAACGAATAACTGATTCTCTGTTTATTAAAAAAAAATACAGTATCATGCCTGGCGCTGTGGCTCACGCCTGTAAACCCAACACTTTGGGAGGCCGAGGCAGGCAGATCATGGGCCAGGAGTTCAAGACCAGCCTGGCCAGCATGGTAAAACCCCGTCTCTACTAAAAATACGAAAATTACCTGGGCATGGTGGTGCGCGCTTGTAATCCCAGCTACTCAGGAGGCTGAGGCAGGAGAATTGCTTGAACCTGGGAGACAGAAGTTGCAGTGAGCCGATATCATGCCACTGCACTCCAGCCCGGGTGACAGAGTGAGACTTCGTCTCAAAAAAAAAACAAACAAAAAAAAAAAAACAAAAAAAACACAGTATCTTATTTTAAAAGAACAGTACTAATACAAGTTCTGAAGTGAAATTTCTACCAAAATTTTATTAATGAATAGAGTTAGGTTGTTTTTACATTACTTAAAGTGGAGGCAAAATCAGATTTACCTTGAAGCTAATTAAATTTAAGCTTCAAACCCCCTAATTTTATTAGCAGTATTTGACCATGTTTTTCTAAAGATGATCATAAAAATTGCACAGGTTTCAGGCCCCATAAAACTTGGGTTCATTTGCCACTGGCAGAAGGAGTTTTCTGTCTGAATTATGTGTTTAATAATCATAATATTTTCTTTAAAAAAGTACATTCGGTCATATTATTTTACTGTTTTCTATCTCTCGGGTGTGATAAACTTATTTATTCACAATTCCTCATTTCTCTCCCCCTTTCCCATGTTTTCTTGTGGTGCAATCAATTTCCTCGCCCCACTGACTTTGGAATTGCTTTGCCAATGGAATGTGAGTGGATAAGGAGTATGCTATGTCCCTGCAGAAAACTCCAATGATCTTGTGGGGAGTAGCTCTTGCCCCCTCATCTTCTGCCCTTCTCTCTGAGTATTATATGCTCCAAATAGTGGCTGCTGCTTTAACCTGGGTCCCAGAATAAGAAGACATAGAGCCTAGCCACGGTTGCCCCAAGCCCGATCAACCTACTGCCCTCTTATAATGTGAGCGAGAAATAAATGTTTGTGTTTGCACTGAGATTTGGTTATTATTTGTTACTGTAGCAAAAGCCAGGGTGATTGCCATTCTGCTTACTTTTTCATTTCACCATAATATGTCTATCTATCTGTTTATTATTTATCTATCCACACTAGTATTTTCCTGGGTTTGCAGTATGCACATTACACTCTTTGATTGCCTCTAACTAGCATACTTATTGATGGTTGCCAAGGACTGAGTCATTAAGCGCATACCTTCTCTTCCCTGGAGACAGTCCATTGTAAGCACTTTTTTTTTTTTTAAAGTAAATTGGCAGGTATACATGAAGAAGGAAGCTTACATCACTGGGGACTTCCGATCTCAAGCCTGTACTACACGCTCACCATTTTCTGAAAATGCAAAATCCATCTCTGTCTTTTCCTTGAAGTTTTTAAATAAAATAAGTGAGGGGATTTTTTTCTGCCTAATTATTTTTAATTATGCCCCTATAGAATTAGTGCACATTTCCCCCACTTATTTATCTGAAAACACATTATGTGAAGTGAGGCTGTGTCCCCTGATGAGCACTATTTACATTTTAAAGTATCTAAACATGAGTCTCTTCTGCCGATCCTCTCCAATGTGGCCAAATTAACGTCATTTCAATTTTTGCATTTCTGCTAAATTTCCTCAATCAGTAGTAACAGATGTTATTTTTGCATGTGAGTTTATTAAATGTATTATTTCCTTAAACACACAAAATTATGAAATAATCTATCCCTTCCCTGAAAGGTGCTGTGATTCTAAACTATCAACTTTCAGCCAGGCACAGTGGCTCACGCCTGTAATCCCAGCACCTTGGGAGGCCAAGGAGGGCAGCTCACCTGAGGTCGGGAGTTCAAGACCAGCTTGGCCAAATGGTGAAACCCCCGTCTCTACTAAAAATGCAGAAATTAGCCGAGCGTGGTGGCTCACGCCTGTAATCCCAGCATTTTGGGAGGCTGAGGCGGGCGGATCACCCGAGGTCGGGAATTCGAAACCAGCCTGACCAACATGGAGAAACCCCTTCTCTACTAAAAATACAAAATTAGCAGGGCGTGGTGGCACATGCCTGTAATCCCAGGTACTCGGGAGGCTGAGGCAGGAGAATCGCTTGAACCTGGGAGGCGGAGGTTGCAGTGAGCCGAGATCGCGCCATTGCACTTCAGCCTGGGCAACAAGAGCAAAACTCTGTCTCAAAAAAAAATTTAAAAAATAAATAAATAAAAATACAAAAATTTAGCCGGGCGTAGTGGCACATGCCTCTAGTCCCAGTTACTGGGGAGGCTGAAGCAGGAGAGTCGCTTGAACCCAGGAGGCAGAGGTTGCAGTGAGCCAAGATTGCTCCATTGCACTCCAGCCTGGCAACAAGAGCAAAACTCTGTCTCAAAAATAAAAACAAAAAAACAAACAAAAACAAAACAAAACAAAAAAAACTATGAACTTTTTTGACTATATGAGATTTATTACCCTTGAGACATCCTAACACATTTGCAGAAAACCCCATCCTTGGTAAGACAAGCTATCCTTGAAAAACAGCAAGATATTCTCTTATTTTACAATTACTTTGATGGGTTTGACTGAATGTGCATCCCTTGGTCCTGTTTCAAACATTCCTAAAGCTGAATTGTAAAAAAAGCTTTATTTAAAAAGAAGTTTTTCTAGAAGTAACCAGTTGCAGTTATGTAAAACCTTAAATGCTATTTAAAACAACTTAAATTTAAACAAAGGAAAAGAGCAAAACAACAAGTTAATATTCAATAAATTAGGTTTTAAAATAATCCAGGATGTGGAGAATGCCAGAATATTTTTGGGCCTCTTTTTGGTGTGAGTTCAAATTTATCCTTACAGTAAAATAAAAATGTCCAAAACAAGGGAAGAAGGATTTCAAAGCATATCATACTACAAATTTTAGTAGGTACTCAGCAAATGTTGAGAGAATGCACTGGACCAATCTAAAGAAATGTGCCTTTTTTTCAGGGGATAAGAAAATGGAAAAAGATACTTTGGAACATTGTATGGATATTGAAATTTAGGTTAGGTTGATATTTATTTGGATTTAACTGTGAAAAGAACTCATATAATTGCCTGACTATATTATTTCTTATATTAGACTGAATGCTCCTTTAGCAAATAAGACTTTTAGTTCTTTTAGGTCGAGACCAGTGGAGTGCTCAAGGTCACCTGTGAGCACTGTTTCTGAAGCTGACTTTGTTTTGGTGGGAACAGTGCCATATAACCAACCAGGTACAGGGTAGACCATGTCAGCACTGGATATGGGTATCAGGGAGCATTGGGGTGAATCTTAGCTCTGGCATGCACCAGAAGGCTTTGGCCGAGTACTTCTTTCTAAATTTTCATTTCTTCACCTGTAAACAGAGGATAATGATGTCTCCATCACAAGATTGCTGGAGAATTTAACAAAATTCTGGGAGTAAATTGTAGTGAACTGAATGATAGTTCATAAAAAGACAGGCTCAGGTTCTAATCCATAGAGCCTATGAACGTGACCTTATTCAAAAAAAGGGCCTTTGCAGATTTAAATTAAAAATCATGAGATGAGGAGATCATCCTGGATTGTCCAGGTGTGCCCTAAATCCAATGACAAGTATGGCTATAAGAGTGAGGTGGCAATACATTAGACAGAAGAGGAGACAGTCTTGTGACCATGGAGGCAGAGATTGGAGGGAAGTGGTCATAAGTTAAGAAATGTTTACAGTCACCAGATGCTGCAAGAGGCAGGAAATGGAAGCTCCCCTAGAGCCTTTAAAGGGAGTGCAGCTCTGTTGGCACCTTGACTTTTGACTTCTGGACCCCAGAACTTCAAGAGAATAAATTTATCTTGTTTTAAGTCACCCAGTTTGTAATAATTTGTTATAGCTTCCATAGGAAAGTAATAAGTAAAGTTTGTGGTACATAGTAAGTGTTTAATAAATATAAATTTTCTCCTTTTATTTTAACCTGTTATCACTGTCACATGCATTTTTAGAAGGTATACAACAGTTAAAGCTTCACATTTAGGGACTTTGAAGTTATTCATTCACTGAATGTCTACATTTCTATGGTCTTTAATTGTTAAGGGAATACAATACAGGGTAGCTCTTGGAATCTAAATGTGTCAGCACAAAACTAGCCCAGTGTGTATCAATGGGAGAGATAATAAATAGCACTGGGGGCTGGAAAGTTATTTTAGAGGACTGTCTCAAGCAACACAATGTTTCTAGCATCTGTAACCCCTGTCTACTCAATGCCCACCTAATTACTGTGACAACCCAAATCTCCCCACTTTCCAATTGACACCCAGCTGTTTGAGCCTCATTAAGTCCAGCCTAACCTTAGGCCCTTCAGGCTCATTCTATATCTCCTTGGAAGAAAGACTCTCAGCCTCACTCTCTGCTCCCATGAACTTTGTCTAAAGTGGACCACTTAATTGCCTCCTACTTTGTACATCCTGGAGTAGACGACCCCACCCCATCCTGGCCTCTGGGAACCCACCAGAGTGGGCTACTTAACACCCCAGTAAAGAGGAAGTAGGATTTGGAGAGGAATGTAAGTGTTAACAAAAGAGCGCAACATGATAATAAAATATAATTGATATATTTGTATATTTAAAGCTACAAAGATGGTGTATTTTATGCCATCTAAAAATGTAAGATATATTGTAAATTTTCAAAGAATAGATATAACATATTCAAATACTATATGTTCAATTACTATTTTTAAAGTTATGCATTTCCAAACTAAAAAAAAGTGTAAAAGTCTTTAAATATTTATAATCTTTGACCCAGTGGTGCAATTTCTAGGACCCTATCACAAGGAAAAAAGAATTTTATATGTGACCAAAGAACTGTACATAAAGTTATGCCCTAGAATATTGTTTATCATGATACGAATTTAAAGCAACCTAAATGAGGAATGGTCATGTGAATTATAGCACATCTAGATGATGGACTTATATGCAACAATTAAAATGATGTCTACAAAATATTTTTAATGATGTGGAAAATATGTTTGAGAGAAAAAGAGTGGTTTATAAATTTTATTGTATTTAAAAATTGTTTGTTGTATCCAAATAAGAAAAGAAGAAAAATTATCTGTTTGTAGATGACATAATCTTATATGTAGAAAACCCTAAAGATTCTATTAAAAAAAAAACCTGTTAGAAATAATGAACAAATTCTGCAAAATTTCAGGATACAAAATCAACATGCAAAAATCAATTGCGTTTTTATATAGTAACAACAAACAATCTGAAAAGGAAATGAAAACAATTCCATTTACAGCAGCATAAGAAAGAATAACATACTTAGGAATAATTCTAACAAGGAGATACACTCTTACCTGAAAACTACACAACATTGCTGAAAGGAATTAAAGAAGACTCAAATAAATAAAAAGACATCCCAGTTTCATGAACTGGAAGACTTAATATTGTTTTTTAAAAAAATTATTTTTTATTTCAATAGGTTTTTGGGGAACAGGTGGTGTTTGGTTACATGAATAAATTATTTAGTGGTGATTTCTGAGATTTTGGTGCACCCATCACCCAAGCAGTGTACACTGTACCCAATGTGTAGGGAAGACTTAATATTGTTAAGATGCTTATATTACCAAAAGCCATCTATGGATTCAATGCAATCTCTATCAAAATCTCAATGGCATTTTTGCAGAAATAGAAAACGCCATCCTAAAATTCCTATAAAATCTCATGAGATACTGAATAACCAAAACGATCTTAAAAAATAACAAAGGTGGGGCCAGGCATGGTGGCTCACTCCTGTAATCCCAGCACTTTGGGAGGCTGAGGTGGGTGGATCATGAGGTCAGGAGATGGACACCATCCTGGCTAACATGGTGAAACCCTGTCTCTACTAAAAATACAAAAAATTAGCCAGGCATGGAAGCACGTACCTGTAGTCCAAGCTACTTGGGAGACTGAGGCAGGAGAATCACGTGAACCCGGGAGGCTGCGGTTGCAGTGAGCCGAGATTGCGCCACTGCACTCCAGCCTGGGTGACAGAGTGAGACTCCATCTCAAAACAAACAAACAAACAAAGAAACAAAGGTGGTGGTCTTACACTTTCTGTTTTCAAAACATATAAAAAGCTATAGTAATCAAAACAGTGTGATACTGGCATAAAAACAGGCATGTTGATTGATATAATAGAAGAGAGAGGCCTGAAATAAACCCTCACATATATGGTAAAATGGTCTTTGACAAGGGTTCCAAGACCACTCAATGGGAAGAGGTCAATCTCTTCAACAAATGGTTCAAGGGAAACTATATATCCACAGGCAAAAGAATGAAATTATGCGTTTATCTTATGCTATATATGAAAATTAAGTTAAAATGTATTAAAGACCAAGGCATAATAACCAAAACTATAAAATCCCTAGAAGAAAACATAGGGGAAAGTTTTCATGACATTGGACTTGGCAATGATTTCTTATATGTGACACCAAAAGCATAGGCAACAAAACCACAAATAGACAAATGGGACTACATAAAACTTTAAAACCTTTGTGCATTAAAGGACACAATTAACAGAATTAATAAGTGAATGGGAGAAAATATTTGCAGATCAGATATCTGATAAGTGCCTAACATCCAGAATATATAAAGAGCTCCTACAATTCAACAACAAAAAACAACCTGATCAAAAATGGGCAAAGAACTTGAATAGGCATTTCTCTAAAGATGATATACAAGTAACCAACAAGAATATGAAATGATGCTCAACACTGCTAATCATTAGAACAATGCAAAACAAAATCACAATGAAATATCACCTCACATCCATTATGATGGCTACTATAAACAAACAAACAGAAAATAACAAGTGCGGACAAGAATGTTGAGAAATTGTAATCCTGTGCACTGTTGGTGGGAATGGTGAAACTACTATGAAAAAAGTATAGTGGTTTCCTCAAAAAATTAAAAATAGAACTATAATATGATTCAGAAATCCTGCTTCTGTCTATATGTCTAAAATAATTGAAAGGGGATTCTCAAAGAGATTTGCACATCCATGTCATAGCAGTATTATTCACAATAGCCAAGAAGTGGAAGCAACCCAAATGTCCATGGCTGGGTGAATGGATGAACAAAATGCTGTGCAATAGTCTCTTCTTATTTCTGATTTCACTCTTTGTGGTTTCAGTTACCAGTATTCAACTGTGGTCCAAAAAATCACATACAGTAAGATACTGAGAGAGAGAGAGAGAGAGAGAGAGAGAGAGAGAGAGAAAGATACCACATTCACACTCTTTTATTACAGTATATTTTTATAAGTGTTCCATCTTATTATTAGCTTTGTTGTTAATCTGTTATGGTGCCTTAATTTATAAATTAAACTTTATTATAGGTATGTGTGTATAGGAAAAAACATAGTAGACCCGTAGTTTCAGGGATATGCTGGGGGTCTTGAGGCATAACTCCTGTGGATAAGGGAAGACTATTGTGGAATATAACAATGGATTATTCATCTTCAAAAAGAAAGGAAATCTCGATCTTTCTTTTTGGTGTAGTGGCTCATGCCTGTAATCACAGCCCTTTGGAGACTGAGGTGGGCAGATTGCTTGAGGTCAGGAGTTCCAAACCAGCCTGGCCAACATGGCAATACCCTGTCTCTCCTGAAAATACAAAAATTAGCTGGGTTTGGGGATGTGCACCTGTAATTCCAACTACTCGGGAGGCAGAGGCATGAGAATTTCTTGAACCTGGGAGGTGGAGGTTGCAGTGGGCTGAGATTGCACCACTGAACTCCAGCCTGGGTAATAGAGCGAGACTCTGTCTCAAAAAAAGGGAAATCTTGTCATGTGCTACAATGTGAATAAACTGAGAACATTATGCTAACTGAAATAAGCCAGTTACAAAGGCAAATACTGTATAATTTCGATTATGTGAGGTATCCAAAGTAGTCAAAGTCACAGAAACAGAAAGTAGAATGGTTGTTACCAGGAGTACGAGAGGAGGAGAAAATGGAGAGTTGTTCAATGAGTTTCAATATTTTGAGATGGAAAAGTTCTGGAGATCTGTCATACAACTATGAGGGTACACTCAACACAACTGAACTGTATATTTAAAAATGATTATGATGAAAATACTTATTTTAGAAAGCCTTTAGAATGTTTTATAGAACTACATATAATGAAATTATATTAAATATGGAAATAAAGGACCATGGAAAATAGGATGAAAGAAGTCTGAATAGAAAAACATAAAGTTAAGCTGTAAGTATTTTGTCCATAAAATGAATGCTGTAAGGCTTTGTGCTTTTGACTCTAGGCTTTTTAGCAGCCATTGCCAACTGGAGGCTGGTCATGATATTGTAATCTACAAAAATGAATTTATAGTATGAACTTAATTAGGTCATAAATAAACATAAATATATATAAAACCTTAGAAAGAAACATGCCAAAATGTTAACAAAGGTTATTACTAGGTGGTGGTGGTAATATTTTCTTCTTTATACTTGAATATATTCTCTAAAATTTTCCCAATTGCTTGTTGTGAATGAGAAAAGAAAGTAGTTTCTTGAGATGAAATCGACATTTGTTGAAGATACTGTGAACATTGTTCAAATGACAACAAAGGATTTAGAATATTACATGAATTTAGTTGATAAAGCAGTGGCAGGGTTTGAGGGGATTGACTCTAATTTTGAAAGAAGTTATACTGTGGATAAAATAGCAAACAGAATCACACACTACAGAAAAACTTTTCATGAAGAATCAGTCAATGCGGTAAATCATTGTCTTATTTTAATAAATTCCCACAGCCATCCTAACCTTCAGAAACCACCACCCTGATTAGTCAGCAGCCATCAACATTGAGGCCAGACCCTTCACCAGCAAAAAGACTAAGACTCGCTGAAGGTTTAGATGATTGTTAGCATTTTTTAAGTAATAAAGTATTTTTCAATTAAAGCATGTAAATTGTTTTTAGACAAAATGTTATTAAACACTTAATAGATTACAGTATAGTATAAACATAACTTTTTTATGTACTGGGAAACAAAATTTGTGTGACTAGCTTTATTGCAATATTCACTTTATTGTGGTAGTCTGGAATCAAACCTGCAATATCTCTGAGGTATGCCTGTACCATAAAATTTACCTGTTTAAGTGTACAATTCCATTGTTTTTATATATTTACAGATATATATATATATAGATATAGATATCATCACAATCTAATTTTCATTATCCAAAAGAGAAACCTCATAGCTATTAAGAGTCATTCCCCATTCTCCTGCATCTCAGCCTTAGATAATCACTAATCTACTTTCTGTCTCTACAGATTTGCACGGGATGGACTTTTCATATAAATAGAATCATAATATATAGTCTTTTGTAACTGGTTTCTTTCACTAAGCGTAATTTTTTGAGGTTCATTCATGTTACAATATCTATCAAGTCTTCATTCCTTATCATGGAATGATATTCCATTGTGTGGATGCTATGGTTTAATATTCCTACCAAAACTCATGTTGAAACTTCATTCCCATAGTAACAGTATTAAGAAGTGGGAACTTTAAAGAAGGGATTAGGTCATGAGGGTTCCACCCTCATGAGGGGATTAACGCTACTATGGAGGGAGTGGGTTAGTTATCTCAGCAGTGGATTACTGATTAAAAGGATGAGTTTGGCTTTCCTCTGTCTGTCTTACATGTTTGCTTTTGCCTTCTGCTATAGGATTGCCCTCACCAGTTGCTGGACCGTAGTCTTGCATTTCTCAGCTTGCAGAACCATGAGCCAGATAAACTTCTTTTCTTTATAAATTACCCAGTCTGTGGTACTCTGTTATAGCAGTGAAAAATAGACTAAGACAATGGATATACCACATTTCATATTTCCATTCATCAGGAGGCAGACATTTGGGCTGTTTCCACTTTTTGGCTAGATTTTTAAACTGTTAATAGTTTTTTTCTACGTGAAGCCTATTTCTTAAAGGGTCTTCTTTTTGAAAGTCTTATAGCATCATTAATTTATCCCATTTATATTAATCTAAGACATTAAATTACTATTATTTAAAGTTCCCAGATAGCATGAGATAATCAGTTATCAATCATTATCCTTTTAGACAATCAATTATTGTACTAAATTGATGTTATCTCAGTCAAAAAACAGAGACTTGGCATTTTAGTGAGCTCATACAGCTTCAAGTTAAATGTGCCATTTCTGCAAGGTTTTCTGATATAATGAATATAACACACAGTTTCCCATCATTACCTCTGAGGCCAGTGAAGGGCCTGGAGATAGGACCTGAGGTTGCAAATCCCTGTTTCAAATTACAGAAGAGTGTAACAGGCACTTAGCTTTATTGTTTTCAATTACATAAAGTAACAAGGACTAATTTCCAAAGCATTGGCATAAAATGTCCCCAGGGGATTTGGTTTAATGAACAGCTAAAAGTGATCTACAATGAACATATTTGCTATTGTACATAAATGGTGCTTTTAAAGAGCTTTAGTTTTTTTTCTTAGGGAGGGAAATCTGGTTTAGCCTGTTCGTGTGTTGTAATACACAGAAGGAGAACCTTGCATTGCATTCTGTCCCAGTGGTTCCCAGTGGTGCACCGAAGAGCAAGCATAAATCGTCTTTCTCCCTGATGTCTTTTTACCCAGCTTGCACCCATCTCAGGTAGAAGAAGAGAGCTGATCCTGATGGCCTGGTTTCAGCATTTGGAAGGGATTACTTTTTCCAGGGTGGAACTGTCTAAGGCATTTACACATCCAGCAATTACAGGTAGGGTCCCTTTTCTCTGACTCCATCTTAGTTCTTTTTTTCCATCTCCAACAGTGTCCAGGTTCATTGCTCTGACCTGCGAAACAGAAGCAAGGCAAAGGAAATGGCAACACTTCGATTAATTTTGAAAAAAAGAGATGATGTTGATGAGGAAATGGTAGGAAAAATGCCATGAGATGAAGGCTATCCAGAGAGTAACACTCTTTTGTATGCTCCTTTACAAATCTAACTTGGTCTGCCCCTGCCGGCGGGCTAGGTCTACTGGACCCAGGTTTGCATTTGCTAAGAAGATCTGTAGCAGAAGGTCCAGGTCAGCTAACTCGTCTAACAAAGAGTCCCAGACCTCAGTGGCTTAATTTGATACAAATATATTGCTTCCTCACATCACAGTCAATGTGGTTGGCAGTCACGCAGGAGGAGTTCAGGTTTCTTCTATCTTTTGACACCACCATTGACAGCACAAATCCTAGTTGTCACAGAATGAGTGGCCAGGCATAGAAGTCATGTATATCACTGCCACACATCTTCCATTAGTCAGAACTCACATAGCCTGAGCCTAATTGCCAAGGGGCCCAGGAGGAAAGTAAATGGGCTTGGTAAACACTAGGCAGTGTCTCTGCCACACCAGGTCTGGGCTAGGGGATGAGAAATATTTCTATTCCTCTCTGAAGGCCTGATTTTGGTGTCTTTGGAAGGGACTCATTGTCACATTTAATAGTAAATTCTGAGATTTGCCTTTCAATTTAGTGAATAGTAGGGGTTCACTTGAAGTTGAATTGCTGAATATTCCTGATTCTCCATCAAAACATCGTCTCAAATAGCATCTAATAGTACCTGAATCAACAGTTGGAGATTCTGAAAAAGTGAAATTCAAAAGCTTTGCTGGATCCTCTCTAAGTAGATTTTATTTAGTGTTGTAAAGGTCAATAAGAGTGCAGTAGTGTACTAGAGCTTTGGCTCTTTCCTGATTTACACTGTTGAAATGTTTTTTATCACTGAAAAAGATTTCACCTTAAGCAAAAAAAAATGCTACTGGGATTTTCATTTAACCTGTGTGTGCACAGGACACACTGGACTTTCAGGAGTGAAGCCCAGTTGTTAAGAACATGGGTTCTTTGAAGACTGTCTTAGTGTGACCTTGAGCAATTTCCTTTTTTGTTTGTTTGTTTGTTTGTTTGTTTGAGACAGTGTCTTGCTGTGTTGTCCGGCTGGAGTGCTGTGGTGCGATCTCAGCTCACTGCAACCTCCTCCTCCTGGGTTCAAAGGATTCTCATGCTTCCGTTCTGGAGTAGCTGGGATTTACAGGTACACACTACCATGCCTGGCCAAGTTTTGTATTTTTTGTGGAGATGGTGTTTTACCATGTTGCCGAGGCTGGTCTCGAACTCCTGACCTCAAGTGATCCTCCCACCTTGGCCTCCCAAAGTGCTGGGATTACAGGCGTGAGCCACCACACCTGGCTGAGCCATTTACTTAATCCTCTGTGTCTCAGTTACCCTATCTATCAAACTGAAGGGTGAGGAATAAGGATGATAATAATAGTACTTACCTGGAATAAAGTGGATTGCCTTGCTTATCCTATATTCCACCTCCCTCCAGGGGTCCTTCCCCTCCTGCGGAGGTTGAAAAGCTAATATCTGCATTTCTCAAACCCCTTGGCACGTAGGGATTTGGATGTTAGGTCAGTCTCGTCATTTAGATTGGCTTGTTTGAAATTTGGAAGGCAGATGTGGAGGCCATTCTCTCACCTCACTTGGCCATTTTTCTGCTGGAACGCTAGATCTTGGAGGTGTGAGGCTACATCTGCAGCAGGGGTCCAGTGTCCTTTTCCCAGCTTCTTTGGTGCCAAAGGCAGGGGTAGTGGTGGGATCTGCAGCAGCTTCTCAAATCTAGATTCCTGCTCTGGGATGCATTCTTGAATTTACTAGCTCTCAGTGACCTTGAAAGTAGTAGCTTTCCTAGTGGGAGAGTTCTGTATTTCTCTGATAATTACTTTTGGAGGCCCAGCCTAGAACCTATTCCTTCAGCCTTTCCAACAACTTTGTAAACATCTAACTCCTTGTATTGAATCCCAGCTTGCATAAAGTGGTTTCATTTTTTCTGTAATGAATCCTGACAAAATCAGTATCTCATAGTGTTATTGTGAGAATGAAATAATATATGTAAAACACTAAAACCTGGCATGTAGTATTAAATACGTGAGTTTTACTATTATGTACACATATGACCAAGAATGTGAAAGGAACTGTTACAGGATTGTCCAAAGAGTTCCATTTTAAAAGATGAATCTAGCTCTAGCAATATGGCTACCCAGCAGCAAATAAAGTGGAGATTTAGTTATACAAGGTTAATTTGCCCACATTCCCTTTCACATGCTAATTAAGAAAAAGCTGTTCGGCCCTCTGCTGACCCCATTACTTTGACAATTGCCATTTCACCTGGTCCTAAAAGGGCGCAACCTCAAATTACTCTTTAGCTCTTGGGACTCTATGAGAACATTGTGGATAAAGATGAAAATGCACCAAGAACAGAAATATCTTATTAAAACCCTCTTTTTAAAAATCAATTTATTTAATTTCAGGAGCCAGCTAAAGATGAATAACTGTCTATTCTAAAAAAAGTGCTAATATAAAAGAAGAAAATTTTAAACAAAATTGTATTTGGTCACTTTGAAACTTCCTTTATTCAAGATTTTAAAAGCCTAATTTAACATTCATTATTTCATCCTGAAATCCATTCAGTCTGCCTTTCTTATAAATTACCTTTTCAATGCATGCTTTGTATCAAAGCCACAGAATCGTTTCCTTTTGTGGTTCCTTTTATTGAGCTGATATTTTGAATCCAAAGTGACCATTACTTGCCAGGCATGAGGAATTTTCAACAACTCAATATCATTAATGAAATTTGGGTGGCTGTTTTTGGGGATGGCAGATGTTTGTTATGAATGATGATGATGATATTTTTGACAAAAGAGAGACTATGTAACTAGCTTTTTCTGGAAATAATTCAGTTTCGTATTTACATCCTTGTATGACTTAATAAGCATCTTCTATCGTCAAAGAAGGATTGCTGGATACCACAAAGAAGAAAGGTGTGAATACACTTTAGAACCAGGTAGACTCTAATGAGATTCTAGCTACAACTTAAATAGCAATTTTTGGCAAAAATTATTCCCAAATCTCATTTGTAAAATAAGAGTAATCATAGTTTCTCCTTGGATTTTTTTTTTATGATCACTAAGGGAAACATGTATATAAAATACTTAAGAGAGTGCTTGGCCCATAGGAAATCTGTGGAACTACTCCTGACTACAAGCAAGTTGCTTTAGTTTTCTCACTAAAACTTCTTTGCAGAATATTAAGATAACTTTGTTTCAAGACCTAGTAAATGCTTCTAAGTATTATTCTGACTGTTATTACTATTCTTTACAATTAGTCAACTCTCTTTGAACCAGAATATTTCACTGACAGAGTACTCCTAAAATATGACAGATGACAATGGGTTACTGTATTTTTCATAAGTCACTCAATAGTTCTAAAAAATAATAGGTTAAAAATAATAAAAGCTGGAATAAAAATGGCTACAGACCTAAATGCCACAGAATCAGTTCATGAATTTCTATTGTTGTATGAAAAAAAAAGAATTTTTTTTCCAGTTGAGCACCTGTTTATTTCAATCACCAGAGCACGGGAGACTATATCTGAAAACTTTGCTTCTGAGCTCAGCATCTAAACCTACTCCACAGATGGTTTTTATGCTACTTCTAGACAGGAAATACAAACTGTTCACAGAAGTATTAAATATTCTTATAGTCATTATTGGGAACGTTTTATGTTTACAAATGTGACTTCAATTATAACCATGTAGGGCTTTAAAAAGCCAAAGGCATAGGGCCATTGTGCCACTGACATTTTCTACAATGATCATTTGTAGATCCCCATGAGTGTATTTTCATCTGCCTGTGCAAAGATGCTGAGAGTTGTTGAGAGTTCTAAGTATTCTGTTAGTTTTGAGTTACCAAAGCCAAGACCCCTGCCCTGGTCCAAGGAACTGACTGGGTCTTGGAAGTTGAGGAGGGAGTTTCCTTCTAAGTACCCAATGCCTCTTGTCCTTCTAAGGCACGATCCACACAAACCCAGGGAATAAGGACCCTGATCTCCCATAGCCATCACTGGCCATCTGACTTACCTTTCACTTTACCTTAACCTGTTGTTCTGTAACCAGACTCCTCAGTGCTCTGTCAGATAAACGGCAATCAAATGTGATTGCCAAAGTTCTACCTGCTGTTGTCAGTACTGAGGTTTATGACAGTGGTATATCTGACTGCTACTCTGAATGACCTGGAATTACCACATTTGGGGCTCTGTCCTTCAAAATCAGAGTATTTGACCCCAGATATTACAACATAAAAATTAGGTGTAGGTAACGAGTAAAATCCTCCTTTTGTGGAAAAAAATTGTGGTTTTTCCTTCTTTGACATCCCCTAATTTGTAAAAATTTTTAGAGACAGGGTCTTGTTCTGTCACCCAGTCTGGAGTGCAGTGGCACGTACCATCATAGCTCACTGCAGCCTCAAACTCCTGGACTCAAGTTATCCTCCCACCTTAGCATCCCAAGTAGCTAGGACTACAGACATGTGTCACCATGCCCAGCTAATTATTTTATTTTTTGTAGAGATAGGGTCTCACTATGTTGCCCAGCCTGATCTGGAACACCTGGACTCAAGTGATCTTCCTGCCTTGGTCTCCCAAAATGCTAGGATCACAGCCTGAGCCACTGTGCCTGAGCCGTCCCCCAATTTTAAAAATACTTTATGGGGGTATAATTTACATACCATAAAATATACTCATTTTAAATGTGTAATTCAATTACTTTTTGTAAATTTACCCAGATTTGCAACTATCACCAAAATTCAGTTTTAGAACATTTTGGATTGTTCATTGCTAGTATACTGAAATACAATTGATTTTTGTATATTGACTTTGTGTACTGCAATTTTGCCAAACTTTTCAAAAGTAGTTCTAACAGTTTTTTTTTCTATGTGTGTGTTCCTCAGGATTTTCTAAATACAAATTCCTGTTTTCTGTGAATAAAGACAATTTGCTTCTCCCCTAATTTTTAACAGATTTCAAATCCAGTCCGTTTCTGAGAAGGAGATATTGGGAGGAGATGCTGATCTTGGCCATACAGCCCTTGCAGGGTGTCTGTCTGGCAAATCTGGAACCAGGAACCAGGAACCTATTTCTTGTTTTCAGGAATAGGACCTCTCTTTGGAGTTATTTATTTTCTTATAACTGTAGTTATAATTACATGTATATTTTTATATATTTATAACTGATATTTAGCACAGTTAATGAGAGTGTTTTCCTTCTTAGGTTAAAAAAGAAAAGAAATGCAAGACTGGTAATTCAAATGCTTTTGGGTGGCATTTATGGACACAACTATACATATGTACCGGAATTTCTACTAGGTGTTCATTGCCATTGCTTCTTACTCAGCTGAGAAACGAAAGAATTACTCACCCCTCACAAAAAAAATTGTCTCCTTTATTTTCCTTTTTTCTGCGGAATTTGTCAATAGCACTTGATTTGACATCTTCATAAACTCCCTTCGACTTCATATCCATGACCCATTTATTGCTAAATTCTATTCCTTCTCTCTTATCATATTGACACAAAGGGCTTAACTTTTTAAATTATTCTTCTTTCTCTCCTTGGCCACCTGAAAAGCCAAAGCTATTTTCTCCATTGTTAAAGCTATTTAATATTCTTCCAGATAAAATATCAATCTACACATTTACCATTCCTCATCTTGATTAATGTAAACTTCTCCTGTTGGCCTTACTTATAAATCACTTTCACTGCCAAAAATTTCAATTTCATTGCCAAAAATTATTTTCCATCTTTGTTCTTGTAAGAGCATATCTTTACCAGACTCTTCTTTTGTTAACTGCATTCCCCCTTAGGATTTCCATTATATTATGAATCTTGTTTGTCTTCTATGTGTTCTGCTTCCTGTCATCTTGGCTAATGTTTTAACTTTGAGGACTTTAGTCTCTGCGCAGCTATCCTTTTGAAATGTAACTCCTCTACCCATTTCAGAGAGTAGCACTCATACATCCACACGTTGACCAACCTGGGGGTTTGGAAGTCAGGAAATGTGTTCTGTTTTAGTCATCTGTGTGCCCCCAGCACTTAGCACAGGCCTCTGCTTAAAGTTGTCTCTTCACGTTCCCTGATGACTGAGCATCTTCTAGGCGCCTGATGCCCTGCTGCACTCTGGGGACAGAAAAAGGAATTAGAAGCTGTCCAGGGCTTTGATGAGCTCACACTCTAACTTCGAGGATTGTGAAAAGAGCAACTTATTATTCATTGTGATGAAGGCTATGATGGAGGCACAGACAAATGGCTGTGAAAACATAAGGAAAAGACCTGCCCAGGGGTGAAAATTTCATGAAGAAGGTGCCACTGGAACAGGACCTGGAGGGAGTTTTTACCAGAATCGAGACTCTAAGCAAAATGGTTCCATAGCTGTTGAAGTAAAAATGAAAACAAAACAAAACAAAACAAAAAAACCAGTATATTAGTAGCAAATATTCTGGGCTCCAGTTCCATCTTTGCTATTTTCTAGTCATGTGGTCTTGGGCACAACATTTATCTGTGTTCTGATTTCCTTATCTTTTAAATGGGAATGATATGACAACATACCTGTCAACAATTCTGTGAGGATCACATGAAATTATACATGTGCAAATCTAAAACATTATATGAAAATAGCTTAATTTCAATATATGCTATAATATGGTATGAAAGTTTGTATTCCCTATTGGGAAGCCAATCGATAGTATTTGTGGTTAAAAGTTATTTTTATAATATACATTAACATATATAATATAAAATTATTAAAAATTATGATTAAAAAATCAATAACTGAGAAGAGAAAAGCATATTATTTGGAATTTTGGAAGCAAGACACTAGGGGAATACCTGAAAGTGTTTGCTTTTGGGGAGTGAGCTTTGGAGGGCAAGTGTGTAGTAGGCAGGTACTTATGTATCACTTGACTTTTAAAACATTTGGCTTTAAAAAAGGTAAAAGTAAATAAAAAAGAGTGGAGATCCATCGAGAAGGGAGTTTATTTGTGACCTGGAATCCCTTGTTCCATCATACCCCCAAAGAAGAGCACAGATCCTGCCCCTTGAAGCCTGACCTTGTACCCAGATGCTCACTCTGACTTCAGGATGGGAGATTACTGAAGTTCTAGAGCAGTAGGTCCTAATGAGGGATGTACTGTGCCCTCAGGGAAAGTTTTCATCTTCTGGGGAGTCATTATTAATTGTCACAGTGACAAGGGATGGTGAGGTAGGTGAGGGGCTCTGGAGTGGGTCACTGGCATCTCCTGGACAGGAACTAGGGATGCTAGACATCTCGCAAGGTGTGAACAGGTCCACACAGTGTAGGATTGCCCTGATTCTCTCATGACTTTCACATATCCTACTGTACATTCATGTAGTTAAAAAGAAGTCACCTTGTTTAAAAGTATCCAAGCCTAGAATCTACTGTGTTTTAATATATTCACATTGAATTTTCTGAAATTTTCTTGCAGTTTTAAACATGTTTAGTTTAGATCTTTAATAAGTATTGTGTGCACCATTTCAGAAAATCATATCGCCAATAGTAACACCATTTGTAGACTTTGAGACTCCAGTGCAACTGTAGCTGTTGCATCACAGTGATTCCAAGCATACGTAGCAACATATTTATTCTCTATTTCAAAGTTTCAAGTATAAAGGAAGCATGTTGATAATCCACTGAGTAGGTTTTATTTTTCTCAGGTTGTGCATCTGTCTCTTCCATTATGTCTTCTTGTGAAGTCATGCCTAAACATCTACATATTAAAATATACAGTTTATTATAAATTACTTAAAAATTCCTATTCATTTTACAGCTAGAGCAGTATGTGTTGATTTTGAAATTATGCCTGTAGATAGGTTATATTATCTATGAACTTTATTTCAAGATAGTAAAAGAGTTTTGAACAAATATTTATTACATAAGGCAGTAAGTCTGGCAGGGCTTGAGTATAGTTATTTTAGGAAGTCCTGGAAGTTCTTTTTTGTATTTGACCTGGATCCCTACTGTCACTGTTTAGGGCCATTTTCAATTCAGTCACCTTCCCCCTCCCTTTAGAGATGGAAAAGAGCTACTCAGAATCACCTTAAATTTTTCTTTCTCTTTTTAAGTCCAAAGGTGTCAATGATGTAATATTGCCCACTAGGTTTGGCATAGCAAAGCCTTTTCTGGTTATAAATATAATTTTGCATGGTTCACAGTTCAAAATCCACATTTTTTTTTTCTTTTTTTCTTTTTTTTTTTTTTTTTTTTTTGTGGAATCAGCTGCAGGATGGCAGGAGTTTTTCTGCAGTCTTTCAGTGAAGCCTCTCTGGAGCTTCCCCGACTGGTTATGTAGAACTGGTCCTGCTTCCTGATCTGTGGGGGCCCCATGTGCCTCTACCCCAGAGCTAGGGCCCGCTCTGCATTCTACCCTTCACACTGCTAATTCACCAAGCTAATTAGGCTGGTTAAGGGTCTGTAAAGGCAGAAATCTGTTGGAGTTTAGTCTCATTCATTTCTTTCAGAGGAACTTGCAAGGAAGCTCCTGTCAGCTTTTGGAACGGGAACAGAATCTCAAAGGCTTGGCATGAGAAATAGCTGAAGGTGCCAACCTTCCAGGCCAAAGATTCTAGTCACAAAGAGTCTCAATTCAACTTTTTCCCTTGAGGCAAACTTCAAAGTATGCAGGAATCAAAAACTCATATAATGAAAATAAACCAAGGGATAACACACTTAGCTAAGACTTGCTGGAAACACATTTCTCCCACTGTACCTCAATTCTCTCTGCCTCCAGAAAGACCTCATGGTACTTAATTACTTGCAAGGAGGACAGAGCAGGTTTTCTGATGTTCACTTTATTCCAGTTGCGCCAGTTTTATTAAATAAAGTTATGTAGCTTACCACTAGCCAGGCACTGTTCTAAGCACTTTAAAAATGTTAATTCATGTAATCCTCATAACAACCCTAGGAGATAGGCACTTTTATTATTCTTATTTTACAGATGAAGAAACATGTACACATTGTCTATTTTTCTTTGCTGGTAGGTGTTTTTCTTCTTTCCTTTTTTTTTTTTCCTTACATAAGGTTTTAGGACAATGCATAATTTTCTTGTAGAACTTTTTTTTAATGATTGAACAAAATCACAAAATGACTAGAGCAAAGCATAATCTCAAAACACGACGTTTAGAGTTGTGAGTTTTTTGTTCTAGTGAAATATGAGCTACTTAAGGAATTCCATAGAAGGGCATAAACTAAAACCTCTTAGAGATTCATTTGACCATTAGGCCTAATTTAGAAGAATAATACAGCACCAGAGGTTTTAATCTCTTGAATTTCTCATGTTTTATGTGCTCTTGGCATTGCCTAATTTTTTCCCCACTAGTGAACCTCTAGGCTTTTGGGGGGTGGCAAGAGAAGAATAGCATCCTTACAACCTGTGTAAGGCTATTGTTCACACACCAATGCACATATTAAAAGAGCAAATGTCCAACTATGGTCATTCACACTTTGCTTGCACCTATATAGTACCATTTATGTGCAAGCTTTTGTGACAATTTGATTTAATGAATATCCAGCTAGTTGGTTTAAAAAACTATCATAGTTCTAGCAAAGTCTTGAGACTTGTGGTCTGTTAAAATTAGAACCCTCCTGCTGGAGCATTTTGGATTTTGAAAAAGAAAAGTATATGGCATCTTCACTTATTAGATAAATCTTCCATAATATAATTTCCTTAGGGTATTGCAATTCTTACCACCCCTATTTTGGAATTCTGAAGCACATGCCATTTAGATTTGGATTATTTTCAACTATCAATTAGTGGGGAGAGGTGGGACTACTCACCCCTTTAAAGCATTTTTCCATGCCACTGAAATTTTACAGGAAGCTTGGTATTAACTGGAATGTTCAGAGAATGTGGATGTCTGGCTACTTGGATAAGCAAAGAGTTAATGAGAAAGCCCGTTCTGTTAGAATTCTTAGCCTTCTTTGTAAAACTAATTAGCCCACCTAATGGCCTTAGAAAACAAAGTATGTAGTACTAAACATCACTGATTCTTTCTTTTAGAGAACAAGGTATTGGTATGCCTGAGGGTCCTCATTCAGGAGGACCATTATTGCTCTACAGAACTGTAGTTAGAGAACAGAGAGGACAGGACTCAACCTTCATTGCTTCCTGGACTTACCTACTCTGGAATTCTTTTCACTTGTATCTCTAAGTTTTTTTTTTCCTTTCTTTCTTTTTTTTAATCAACAAGATGCACAGGCTCTGGAGCAGCTTGCCAGGGTTTAAATTCTAGTTCTACCATTTACTCATTGCATGATGTTGAACAAGTTAATTCCCTGTTCCTGAGTTTCCTCATCTGTAAAACAGGCAAAATAGTAACACCTACAACAACCCATTACTACTCATGTTATGAATATTAAATATTCACACTAAAGCACTAAGGAGAATGTCTGTGTCTGAAATTAGGCAAACTGCAAAGTCTAATGGGACAGTCTCCAAGACTGTCCTCACTTCTGACACTAACTGCAAGCCTAGGGTGGGTCTCTAAAACCATGCCTAGTTTTGATAATCCACTGAAAGAGCTAACAGAACTTACTGAAAGCCATTACACTGATAACTGTTACAGTTTACTACAGGATACTCCTTAGAACCAGCCAAAGGAAGAGACACATAGGGCCAAATCTAGGAGGGCTCCAAACACAAGGCTTCCATTATCCGCAGGATTTTCTACTCTCCTGGTCTCAATGTGCAACAATACACATGTAATATTGCCAACCTGGGATGCTCACCTTAGCTTCAGTGTCCAGAGTATTTATTGGAGCTTCATTATGTAGGCATGAATGATTGTTTGCCCATGTGGTTAAACTCAGTTTCTAGTCTCTCCCCTCACTCTCCAATGTCACGCTAACACCACATGGCTCAAGGGCCACACCATGGGTAACCTTGTTAGCATAAACTACCAGGAGTTGTCTAGCCCACCATGAATAACAAGACGTTTCTTTCACTTGGAAAATTCTAAGAGTTTAAAGGTTACCTCCCAGAAGCCAGGGACAAGGACCAGACCTCTCTTTGGGTCAGGCCAATTTCTTTATTACGCAGGGTAAGCATTCTCCTAATGTTTATGATTATAATAGTAATTGCCCTCTTTCTCTTATAAGAAGATCAAAGAAAAACATTTTTTCCCACTTCTCTTTTTATTATAAAAATGTACAAACATACAGAAAAAAACATTGTAAGAAACACCAATATAACCACCACACATTTTGCCATATGTATCTATCTAGATGAATATGAGTATACATATGTATGCATATATAATAGGTATATTATGTATGGGTAATATTTTTGGTAAATCATTTGAAAATCAGTTGCAGCTATCACAACCATTTATCCCTCAACACTTCAGCACACATTTCCTGTGAATAACTACAAAACCACTATTATAACTTATAAAACTAACAGTAATTTCCTAATATGTAATATCCAGACTATATTCTAATTAAAGATAAAATATGAGTTAATTGAGGGATCCAGTTAGTTGCCAGACTCCTTTTCCCCAGACACATGCTCATCCTGTATCTCCCCCATGGAAGAATCTAGGGTGGCTTCATGTTTCTTGCTGTTCAAGTCCAAACACTGGTGGCTGACTTTCAAAGCTTTCTATGATCTTGTGGGTCTTTTGTGCATTGCCTATGTTCCCACGTACATTTACGTAACATTTCCAGAGTGCCTACTGTGTGCCAGGCATGGTGCTGATTGCTTTGTGTTCACAGTCTCGGTTCCTACTGCCTCATTCCATCAACCTTCTGCTCAGACATGGTGTCTCCTTATCTTTCTGCAAAAACTGTGTGCATTGATTGTCGAGAGGGGTTATTTTGTCCTCTCAGCCTTTAGAGTTTCCTAGTTCAGTAGTCTTCAAATTGTGTCCCATGGATTCAGTTGATGAACCCCAGGAGTGGCCTTGAGGTTGAGGTGATGGCCAAGAGGTTGGGTCATAGTGTCCCTATAGCTTCCCCTACTACCACTGAGAAAGAATTGTTAGTATTCTACCACTTTTAAAAAAATGATTTTACAAACCATTAATCTAATCCAACCAAATCCTTTTACAGAACAGTGAATCAATTTGCTCACATATCCAAAACTTGGGTTTGGGGAGAAGAACCTACTTCAGGGATATTTGAGTACCCATGCTTACCTTTAGCCTTTGGAAAGGTTGTCCCCTTGTCTGAACAGCCACTCAAACTCCTCTCAGATCCACTCTTATCTCCTTAAAGCATTGGCAACATCTACCCTTTCTTTATCATTAAATCTCCCAACAAGCTGCCCAAGGTGGTATCTTTCTCTGCTCTCCTAAAGCATTTTTAGTCTGAACTGCATACATTTAACATTTAATTCTGTGCTCTGGAAAATATTTTTTCTTTTTTTGTGTGTTTTAGTTTTCTCTCCCTTCAAGGTCAATGGTACTTTGAACTCGGGAGAACGACTTCCACTTTTTAGTCCACCAAACAAATAAACATTTACCGAATAATTACTGTGTACCAGGCACTGGTTGAGGTGCTTTGAAGAACATAAGGATGAATAACTCCTTGCTTCCAGATGCTCAAATTCTATTTGTGAAAAGAGACAAGGAAATAATGTTCTACAGTGTGAATGAAGTAAGTACAAAATATAGGTCAAGAAAAGTGCTGTGAAAATGCAAGAGGAAATGCAACTCATTATAACAGAAAAGATCAATAAAGTTTCCATTTGTTTCTATCCATCACGGGGCACCCTGTAGACAAGTGCTGTTGATTAACAGAGGGTTTTACTCCATCTCAGTTTTGATGAATTAGTATTCAACTTTGCTGGGAAAAAAATCCAGAAGTAGATATGGCCAAAGGCCTGTTTTGCCTTACAAGAACAAAGCCAAAAATTAAATCTCTTTTTGGGGTTGTGATTACTCTTGCAACACAGGGCTCAGAACATAGTAACTGCTTAACACTTGCTTGTTAAAAGCAGCTTGTGGTGCTTTGTACTTACCAGTTTTTAAGAGTACCATTCATTATCAATTTCCTACATTGAATTCCATTAAAGAGCAAAAGCATATTTTAAAATCACCTTATTCCGATTCGATCCTACCTTCAGGAGATTTCAAAAATTTCTCAGGAGAAAAAGCAATTCTTTTGGAATTCAAAGGAGACTCAGCTCCAAGAATAAAACTACATCAGATAATTATTAAGGTCAAGCCCAGGCCTACGATTCCCAACTCTGAGGCTACCTTCCTCTTATCATTTATTCCCCAAAACTATTTTACCTTAAATTCAAATTCCATAGGCAATTTGTGTGACATTCTAGGGTTTTCTAGTACAAAAATATATTAGTGGAAGAGCCACAAGAAATACTCAAGACAAATTATTTCCTGGAAGTACAACTAAACATTAATTACGCCAAACCCAAATTGTCATTTTTGGCAGGCACTCTCTGGCAACCAGATGAATAATACTTTTAAGATGTTATTCATTAAGTTAACGTATTTAATTTCTTGTGGGTTTGTTTATGGCTAACATCTGTTAAAGTCATGGAGATATAGTTCCCAAAATGAAATCCATTAGAGAAACTACATTAAAGGTGTACCATGAAAGAGGTTAGGATTCCATAATGGCTCTGGTAAATGTATGTTTATTTGTGTTACTATGTAATTAATGTTGGCTTCCCCACCCACTATACTCTAAGCACCATAAGAGCAGTGAAACTAACCTTTTCACTACTGCTTCCCTAGTGCCTTGCAAAATGCCTGATACCTAGGTGTTCAATATATTTTTGCTAAATTGATGAACTTGGAAGATAGACTTTGGCGCACTCCTGGATTACTCTTTGCCTAGTAAAATATACTTCTTGGAGATCAGGATGAACTCACAGAAGACACACTAATCAAATTTGCAGAGGTGGGAACAGCTAGGGAAAGTGTAGGTTGAGCCGTAGGAAAATGCTGTTTTTGCAGGTCCAAATGAGAAGAGAAGATAAACCTTTCTTTTGGTTCAACCTAATGTGACCATTTTGAATATTCCTGCTCCTTTTTCTCAACCATCTGAATTTATAAGACTCATTTAAATGCATCACACTTTTAAAAGACATCGGCCGGGTGCAGTGGCTCATGCCTGTAATCCCAGCACTTTGGGAAGCCGAGGCGGGCGGATCACGAAGTCAAGAAATCGAGACCATCCTGGCCAACATGGTGAAACCCCGTCTCTACTAAAAATACAAAAATTAGCTGGGCGTGGTGGCATGCGCCGATAGTCCCAGCTACTCGGGAGGCTAAGGCAGGAGAATTGCTTGAACCCAGGAGGCAGAGGTTGCAGTGAGCTGAGATCGTGCCACTGCACTCCAGCCTGGCGAACGAGTGAGACTCCACATCAAAAAAAATAAAATAAAATAAAATAAAAAAAGACATTTATGTCCTATGACCATAATCTGGCAGGGTAAGAGAAACAGAGTTGTTTTAGACAGGATGCGATAGACATCTTTAGATATTTGAGCAGCTTTGGGGGAAGGATCAAATTAGCTTATATGTGCCTGATCCTAGTTTAACTGGAATCAATAATTGGAAGCTACAAGGAGACAGTTCTTAACTCAGCAATAAGGATGAACTTTCTTTCAGAGCTGTTTGGATGATACTTCTTCAAACCGGATGTATTTAATCAGTCTGAGTAACTCTTTGCTTGATCCTATTGTAAAGAGAAATCTAAGCCACATCAGGGAGAGACTAGATGACCTCAGAGGCTCTTCTCAGCTTTAGAGTTTATGACTTGGCTTCAAGGAACCCAGTGAGACCCATTAATGTAGGTCCAGGTGTATTTATCTCTAAGGGGATATTCTGTATTCAGTTGTTAAATATTATATGATTTAAAAAGAAAGGTATAACAGATCATGGTATAATTTTTCTACAAAAGTGAACTTGGGTCTAGATTAAAAATAAATGTGTATACACAAGGTGAACAAGTACTATCACAAGAATAGGACCACAACCAACAGAAATATTTTCTTAAATTTGTGGTATTAGTGTTTCAAAAGGCTTTAAATCCAAACTAAATTAGATAAAGATTAATTTTTGCATTAATTCCAAGGAATACTTGCCAGAACCATGGTTTATATGTTTGGGCTACACCAAACATATAGCGTCCAATTAGCTTCAGTTGGAGATGGATATAGCAGTGCTAACAACCCTGAGCTTGGTCATTTCCTGTCCATAAAAGACCAAATTCAGTTCAACAAGTATTTACTGAGTCTATTTAATTTGTCATGTCCTAGAGGCACAAGGGAGAATGAGACAATGCAACCACTCCTCAAGGAACTAATGTGCTCCAAGTTTTGGCTAGAAATATTAATACTCCTGTATTGGTCCATTCTCCTGCTGCTAATAAAGACATACATGAACCTGGGCAATTTATAAAGAAAAAGAGGTTTAATGGTCTCACAGTTTCACAAGGCTGGGAAGGCCTCATGATCATGGTGGAAGCCAAAGGAGGAACAAAGGCACATCTTATATGATGGCAGGCAAGAGAAGTCAGAAGCGAAGGTGGGGGGAAAGCCCCTTATAAAACCATCAGATCTCATGAGAACTAATTCACCAACATGAGAACAGGATGGGGGAAACTGCCCCCATGATTGAATTATCTCTACCTGGTCCCTCCCACGACACTTGGGAATTATGGGAACTACAATTCAAGGTAAGATTTGGGTGGGGACACAGACAAACCACATCACTCCCTGAACACTTAATTTGTGCCATTTAACACTTCTAAACACCTTATAAAGTAAGTACCATTTTTAATCCATTTCTAAATAAAAATACTAAAATATAAATAACTGAGTAAATGCTTGTGGTCATATAGCTGGTGAGTAGCCAAGACAAGTTTGGCTTCAGTGTTCACAAGCTTAAGCATTATAATATATTGCCTTCTAAGAGAAGCACAATTCCTTTGCATTGTTCAAGGGATACCCACTGCCTCTGACAAAAAATGTGGTACATACTCATCAGAAGATGGCTACATAGCCCGTTTGTATTCATCCAATGAGTTCAACTGATATTTGTGGAAAACCTACTGTATTTTAGATACTGCACCAGGTGATTTCACAGTGACTATCTCATTCAATCTTAACAGCTTTGTCAAACAGATACTATCTTTATTTTACAGAGAAAACTGAGAGCTAGAACTTAAATGACCTGTCTGGGTTCACACAATTTTTGAGAAATAGTGCTGGGATTTAAGCTCAGGCCTCCTAAGTCCTGTGCTCTCAGTAGGCTTATAAAAGTCATTTTTTAAAAGAAGACAAGTCAGTAGTTGTTAGTATATTTACAAAGTTGTGCAAGCATTACCACTATTTAATTCCAGGACATTACAAAAGACACCCTCCACCCTTTAGTAGCCACTTCCCTTTCCTTCCTCCCCTGTCCCCTGGCAACCAATAATCTAGTTTGTGTCTCTATGGATTTGCCTATTCCAGATATTTCATATATGTGGCCTTTTATGTCTGGCTTCTTTTACTTAGCATTTTGTTTCCAAGGTTTATCTGTGTGGTAACATGTATCAATATTTCATTCCTATTTATGGCTATTCCATTTTATGGACATATTATATTTGTTTACTCATCAGTTGATGAACATCTGGATTAGTTTCCACTTTTTCGTTGTTACCAATAATGCTACTATGAACATTCATGTGCAAGTTTTTGTGTGAACATATGCTTTCAGTTCTCTTGGGTATGTACCTAGGAGTGGAATTGCTGGATCATATGATAACTGTCTTAACTTTTGAGGAGCAGCCAAACTCTTTTCTAAAGAGGCTTCCCATTTTACAGTACCACCAGCAGTGAATGAAGGCTCAAATCTCTCTGTATCTTCTCAGTACTATTTTTCCTTTAAAATTATTGTAATAGCCATCCCAGTGGGTATAAAGTGATTCTTCATGGTGGTTTTCAGTTGCAATTCCCTACTAATGATGTTGACTGTCCTCTCATATTTCATGTGCTTATTGGTCATTTGCATCCATTTTTGGAGCGATGTCTATTGAAATCTTTTGTTTTTTTTTTCTTTGAGATTGAGTTTTGCTCCTGTCGCCCAGGCTGAAGTGCAATGGCATGATCTCAGCTCACTACAACTTCCACCTCCTGAGCTCAAGCAATTCTCCTGCCTCAGCCTCCCTAGTAGCTGGGACTACAGTCATGTGCCACCACACCTGGCTAATTTTGTATTTTTAGTAGAGACAGGGTTTCACTATGTTGGCCAGGCTAATCTCGAACTCCTGACCTCAGGTGATCTGCCCTCGGCCTCCCAAAGTGCTAGGATGACAGATGTGAGCCACCATGCCCAGCCTAAATTACTTATTTTTAATTTGGTTTCTTGTGCTTTTGATGTCATACCTAAGAAATCATTGCCTAATTTAAAGTCATGAAGATATACATGTAAATATAATTTTAAAATTGGGCTTTCAAAGACTTTCTCTTCTCACATGAGGGAAGAGATGCATAATCACAAAGTTCCCTTTATGGCTTTAAGTGAGCCTAAGTCTCTATTTGGTGTTGTAAAATTGGGCTTATTTTCACTAGGGGATAGGAACATTACATTTAAATAAATAATTAAACATTTTCTCCTAAATTAAAATTATTTATGTAAAGTGCTTCTTACAGGACCTTATACACATTCTGGCTATTATTATCCTAATCATTATAACCATCCTAAGATTTTAAATCAATATTCTGCATAAAATAATAAATAGAAAATAATAAAAGTTTGGCATTCATGGTAAAGGGAAAAACATTCAAAAAAGAGACGCATTAGCATGTGATAGCTGAGCTGAGACAGCTTCTCTAAGCCCATTATTTTTGGTCAACCTAAGGGATAGCATTTGTACCTCTAACCAACAGTGATGTCCCCTAAAATTTGGGGATAGAAACCTTCATTTCATACCTGTTTCCAACTTCTTAATTATGTAAACATACATTTAAGATTTTATGGGATGGTTCACCTATTGTTTGACCATTGTATCTTGACTTTTGGTTCAGATTAGCTTTTCACAGAACTTATAATTGGGGATTCCAGGGCCACATGCCCACTCTTGCTGCACCAGAATCCATGGGGTAGCCTCCAGAAAGAATTTTAAGTGTGCAGTAAATTTTAAGTGTACAAATAGTGCAACCCAATTACGGGGGTACCATCTGACTCAAAGTGATTGTAGATTCATAGGGCTTTTATGATTCTCCAGCAAATTAGCAGACAAGTGTCTTAGAGAAGAAGAACCTTTTTCTAATTTTCTATAAATTCACCAAAGGGGTAGCAGTGGGGCAGTGCATGGAGAGTCCCACAGCTTCCATGTAGTTGAAGGTAGTGTGTCCTTATCTTTGGCAGTATATTCATCAAGTCTTCAAGTTCTGGGGGACCAATTTAGGGATCCTGGGTTATTTTGGGTAGCTGTGGTCTCTATGATACCTGCTCGGTTTTTCAATGTGGCCACGATAATATCCATATATTGTACTTAAGTAGACACCAATAGCCTACAGAACCCCTGATCTTTGTGTGTTTGATGCTATTACTGATAGCAATAATAGTAATAATTGATGCTATTAATAGTAATAGCATCAATGGTTATTATGAGCAACAATGATTTAAAACACACTGACTCCCCAACAGAAAAAGACAAAATCAGAATTCACAGAAGAAATCCAAATGACCATTAAACAGAAAAAGTTTAATTTTACTAATAATAGAATACATTTAAAATTAAAAGTGAGGCATATTTTCATTTATTAGACTGACCAAAATGAGTGCTGGCAAAGGTGGAAAGAGATGGTATTCAAATGTTGGTGATGGAAGGGGAAATTGGTACATCCTTTTTGGAGGCAGTCAAAATGTCAAATGTATATTCCCTTTGATTCAGACATTCTGCTTCTGGGAAGTTATTTAGTTGAGCAGAAGAAATACATAGGTAGAAAAACTTTGTATATAAGCATGTTTACTGCAGTATCATTGACAGCACTGTAATATTAGAAATGATCTATTTCTCCAACTACAGATTGAATAAATTCAAAATAGGATACTGATTCATTCTCTTTTAAAAATTATATATATACATATATATGTGTGTGTGTACATAACCCTAACACACACACACATACACACACATGAGAAAGAGAAAATAGAGAAAATAGTGTGCAGTGATTATCTCTGGGATGTAGGAATGGGAGGAAAAAAGATTTTGACTTTTTGCTTTATGTATTATTGTAGTATTTGGTCTTCTAAAAAAAAATCACTGGGATCACTTATATAATTTTTTAAAAAGTAAACCTAGGGAATTTATGATTCACTTCTGGAATGGAAACTAGCCAGCAATATACTTCAACTGAGTACTAACTGTATACTGAAAATATTTTTGTGAAGAGTTCATTGGATACTAGATATTTTTCTTTGCAGTAAAGCAGTTTTTAGCATGTCCAAAACTCATGAATTAAAGTATGTTTCATACTCAGAAGCCAGGTAAACTATGAACAAGATTATTCTGTATATAACATGGTTGATATATGCAGTCAACTAATGACAGACTTGGGACAATGAGGCAAGTTTAAGTTCTTAGGCCCAAAATATAATCTGGAGGAGGAACTTTGTTTTTGTTCATAAGCACAATACAAAAGCATCTAAGGCCCAAAGGAACAACAGCTTCTTTGCAGGAGTCCCTGAGCAGCACAGGCACCACCTGCCATCTTAAAAGATTCAAGTCTTCATTTAAGACAAATGCCCAGAATTCAGCTTTCCTGGAGTGCTTATGCAGTTACCAAACTTCTCAGGTTGCAAACAACAACGAAAAATTATATGTATAAAATAACTCCTCTGTTCCTGGCACTGCTATGTCCTTTCATAGACATAAAGACACTGTTTAAAATTCAAGACTCCAGCCTGGATTTTCTCCTTCCAGTAAGTCAAATACACTCCACATCCCTATTTCTTATCCTAGAAAGGAGCTCTAATAATACCCATGCCAACTCCATTCTCAAACTGATGCAAGGCTGAAACATGCTCATGTTGGGTAAAGCACTTTCAAAGCTGTGAAGTTCTCAACTGAATGCGAAGGATTTTGTACAAATGTGACTTAGTATTTATCATTTCAAAAGTGGGAGATTTTCAAAGTTGAGCCTTAGTTTATGTTTTTTTTTTTTTTTTTTTTTTTTTTTTTTTTTTACTAGCTTTGATTTAGCAGCACTATATCCTATTTATAAGGATTTTTAAAAATTAGTGCTTTATAAAGTTTTATTATACAGTAATCATTGCTGGCCACTTCTGGTATAAAGTGAATTAGATGTAATTCTTCTACATTAGCATTCATAGATGATTTTATTAAAATAGTAACAATGTTAAAGGCCAGAAAATTAAGAAACAATCTTATTTGACTTATTGGAGATACCGCTATGGCAAGGTCTATCAAAATTCTTTATATCTTCTGCAACAATAAAATGAAACACTCCCAAAATGCAGTAAAGATACTAAGAGTCAGGTATTCTGCAGACAAGTAAACCTTTTATTTTAAACCACAAATAGTCAGCAGGTGGCCACAACTATCCATGTTTCATTAAAATCACATAAAACCTAGGTACAAAAGCACCACTGATTATTGCTCTAGAAAAACTGCATGAAAAATTCAAATATGCACAGTAAAAACACCACAGTATGCACAGGACTAAATTTTAAAGCAAGTGCATGGAATGCTGAATCAATCTTACACACAGCTTCCAATATTTAACTGATATTTATTTTACTTGAGGATGATGTAAATTTCCAAAAAGCATGACTATGAGACGATAAAATGTCCATCCTTATATATTTTCGTATGCCAACTAGTAGAGTCCTAAAAAATTAGCATTTACAAAATACTTGGTAAAAATAGCTTTTAAAAGTTGTCCCAAGAGATACATAAAATCAACCCCAATTTTTCATGACAATTCATTCTCCCTCGTTATCTACAGATTCAGTTTTCTGTGCCTGTGAAAAAGAAAGGAAAAAAAAACATATAGTTACTACTGAAACTACTATAAGCAAAGGAAATTCCACCCACCAACACACACAGTTTTGAACATTTGTTTTCTTTTTTTTTTCCAGCTTTACTGCAAAACCTATTTCAACTCTGAGTGAAGAAGACAAGGCAGGAATATATTACACAAACACTTTGTTTCATTTATTGCTTTCTGCTTTTCAAACCACCACAGAAGCCTTACCTGCAAGCTCCCACTCTTCATAATGATTAAAAAAAAAAACCACCACACTACTATCTGATTCTAGTCACTGCAAACATGCAGAATTTTCTACTGTACCCTTAACTCTCACTGTTTCAATCTGCCCCTTTACTGACAGTGTGCTGGGTGGGGTGCCTCTGGAGGTTGAGACATTAACAGTTGAGCGAGAGATGTGGATCTGCAATAACATTACAGGCAATAAAAAGAGACATTAAGAACGTGCTATCACCGGCTGAAGGATTGAGAAATTTCTTTAAAGACACTGATTCAATCAGTGGGAGGTATTTATGGAAAGTACCTCTTCAGCTTTAGTTTCACCATTTTCAGATGGTGCAGTACCTTCCTTTCCAGCTTCCTGCTTTTCCTCCTTCTTCCCTTTAGCACCTCTGCTAATCTTTGCTCCAGGTTCTTTCTAACAGAGGATCAAAGCACAGTGAAAGAGAATGTTAGACACGGTGTGATGATGGCTAAAATCAATCAGCCTCTGTCCAAACACAAGGTGAAGTACAACCGTTACCATCATGGTGGCCTTTATGGAGACACGGGAGCCTAATTTTGCTGGGTTTCAACTGAGTTACACTGCACAAATATGAGTCTCTGTGAAAATGTAGTAACAGGTTGCACAGAAAGTCCAGTGTACTTTCTCTTCTGTGGAAAACACAATGATTCCTCTCCTGGATTTGTTCAGTGGACCTCCCCTCCAGTAAGGGGAGAAGTGGTTCTGCCATGGAGAGAGCAGCTGCAGGACTTGGGGAAGGAGGAAGCAGAGCTGGGGAAGAACCCAGCCAGGGGGTGGCTCTGTGGCTGCTTTCCAATGAACCCCTCACGTGGAGACATGTGGCTTGCATGACTAGAAAGCTGGGAAGGTGCAGGGAAATGAAGCCCAGATGAAGAAAAGTTCCTAATTTTAAGACCAAACAACAAAAGTGAGTTCTGTTTCTGAAATCACCTACTCATGCCACTATACACATAAGTTTTAAACAATTCACATGGGACAATACCAAAGGGCAGAGTGCAGAAAAGCCATTTTGGGTAAGTTCCCTAAGAATTCTGTACCTCAGTTTCCTCATCTGCAAAACAGGATATTTGTATCTACTTCAACAGAGTTGATGTGAAGGTCATATGAGTAAAGCAATCAACCTTATCTGCCATACTATAAGGGCCTTATAAATGCCAATATTACCTGCTGGCATTATTATATTATTATTATTAGACCTCAGACTGGCCTGCGAAATCCAGTTAGATGAAGTCAGAAGCCCCTTCCCAAATTCCTCCCATAGTGGGGCAGTGCTGCCAGGGCCCAAACTCATCCCCGCTGTGTGCCGCATGAACCGCATGTTCACGAGGCTGCTGCCAAACCCCCTTCGGACATGAGGCTTCTCAGAGCAACATCTCTGACTTCCCGTGCCTCACTGACCAAATGGAAAACACACTCCTATTAACGCAGAAAACTGTGCTTTATGCCTTTAAGCAAGCCCGTAACAGTGGTAATGGTTTCAGTTTGGATCATTAAATACGGCCTTTCTTTGAATGATTCTGAGGTAGGGAATTATAATTTATTCATTGTTTAAAAAGCCAAAAGTGGGAAACAGCACTTCTTACCTTAGCAGATGTTTTTCTTGGTTTGGGTTCAGGTTTTGGTGGAGCAGGTTTCTGCAAAGATAATTTAAATTACACAAATACTGAAAAAAAAAAAAAACTATCAGCACCAAAAGAAACACAAAAGGACTAACAAAGACAACTATCCATTTTGACATGGCTTTGGTCATTAAAAAGTATTTCATCCTATTTTCAGCACCAGGTAACAGCATAAAGATCTCTGCATTTCATAACTATTTTCACCCTGGGTTCACAAGGGAACTGCAGGTGAGATTGAAAAGCCGACTCCTTATTCCCTGGTCCAGAATAGCTCTCCGGGAACAGGTCTAAGCTTCTATCTCCAATGTGTCTGCTCTTCCTTTTATCACAGCACAGCAGCAAGAGGAATGACTCAGGCCCATGGCCAAAGGACTCAATGAATTCAGTTGCACTGGCCTTCCTAACAGTCTAGAAATCACAGCACAATCACTAGCAAAGCCCAACTGGTAATGAAGACTGCTGCCTGTGAAGTATTTCAAAATCACTTCCAAATCCTTCCACTTCTAATGTAGATTTCGAGTTCTGTTGCCAAGCTTCTTCCTACTTTTATTCTCCCCAATGCCAGCTCAAGGTGAGAATCTCTTGTCTAACCAGATATGCTGGGCTCATTTGTGTCTAAAGGTTTTTATTGAGAACATCATTATAATGATAAAATGTCTACTGTTAGCTCCCAAAGTTTAAATTTTTCACAGATATTATTAGCCAAACAGTCCCCTAGGAAACTATTTTTCTCTTGCCTCATGTGGTCCTCCTCCAGTTCCCATGAGCAGCACCTGCACACCGTGTGACCATGGACCCTCTGCCACACAATGCTTCAGCCCTGGCCAGCTTCCCAGGGGCCTGAGACCAGGTGGCACATGCGGATAACTGGGGAAAGATAACCATTTTACACCAGGAGTTTTCTGTGGATATTTTAGGGCAAATATTTCTCTCATAGAACTAGAAAAAAGTGTACATCTCTCCTGGCACTAGAAGAATGGTTTTAAAATAGAAAACACTGGCCAGGGTCTCCCCCTATGGAGAAAAATACATGTTCCTCCCTAGTGCCTCTAGGTAATTCACGTTCACACTGAATCTGCCCCTTTTCATCAAGGGCATAAAGTGAAATTGTAGACAGTTTGATTTCAGAAGATTGGCTGTTAGAAATGACCTTTCAAATAAAAAAAGAAAATCGAGCTTGAAAAGTTAAGAAATGTTTTTATTAATCTTCTTATCACCCTAAATCTGCAGGCCAAATACAGCAGCTTTCATGGCTCTTACATTTTCAGAATTTAAAACATTTTGTCATCCTAAGCTTTGATATACTGTATTAATATACATGTTTTCTCCATTTACAGTAAACAATTTCCTTTTATATTATTTTCTGTAGGACAGACCTTTCCCTCTGACCCAGCATTCAAGTGTTTTGATAGGACCAGGAAATGAGGTTTTGTAGTCTGTAATCCTGCTGGCCTCTGAGGAGGCTCTGTTTCGGTAGCACAGGGAATGATCTCAGTGGAAGGTGCTTATATTGCTGGTTTCTGGTGCTCAGGAAAAGCTTTGTTTTAAACTTTGGTTTTCATTTGACTTACAAGGTCTGTTCCCTTAACTGCCTGGAGATTCACAACAGCAACCCCAGCTCTTAAGTCCTCCTAGTGACTGACACCTCTTCCTAATATGGTTTAGCTGTGTCCCCACTCAAATCTCATCTTGAATTGTAACTCCTACAACTCCCATGTGTCATGTGAGGAACCCAGTGGGAGGTGATTGAATTATGGGGGTGGGTCTTTCCTGCACTGTTCTCATGATTAGTGAATGAGTCTCATGAGATCTGATGGTTTTAATAACAGGAGTTTCCCCGCACAAGCGCTCTCTCTCTTTGCCTGCCACCATCCACGTAAGACATAATTTGCTCCTTTTGTCTTTCTCCATGATTGTGAGCCTTCCCCAGCCACATGGAACTGTAAGTCCAATTAAACCTTTTTCTTTTGTAAATTGTCCAGTCTTGGGTATGTCTTTATCAGCAGCGTGAAAATGGACTAATACAGTAAATTGGTACCAGAAGAGTGGGGCACTGCTGAAAGATAATGAAAATGTGGAAGTGACTTTAGAACTGGGTAACAGACAGAGGTTGGAACAGTTTGGAGCGCTCAGAAGAAGACAAGAAAATGTGGGAAAGTTTGGAACTTCCTAGAGACTTGCTGAATGACTGTGACCTTTCCTAAAGATTTGTTGAATGGCTTTAACTAAAATGCTTATAATGATATTGACAATGAAATCCAGGCAGAGGTGGTCTCAGATAGAGATGAGGAACTTGTTAAGAACTGGAGCAAAGGTGACTCTTGTTACGTTTTAGCAAAGAGACTGGCAACATTTTGCCCCTGGTCTAGAGATTTGTGGAACTTTGAATTTGAGAGAGATGATTTAGGGTATCTGGTGGAAAAAATTTCAAAGCAGAAAAGCATTCAAGAGGTGACTTGGGTGCTGTTAAAGGCAATCAGTTTTAAAAGGGAAACAGAGCAGAAAAGTTTAGAAAATTTGCAGCCTGGCAATGCGAAAGAAAAGAAAATCCCATTTTCTGAGCTGAGGAGAAATTCAATCCGGCTGCAGAAATTTGCATGAGTAATGAGGAGCCAAATGTTATGCACAAGACAATGGGAAAAATGTCTCCAGGGCACGTGACAGACCTTTGCAGCAGCCTCTCCCATTACAGGCCCAGAGTTTAGGAGGAAAAAATGGCTTCGTGGGCCTGACCCAGGGTCCCTCTGCTCTGTGCAGTCTAGGGACTTGGTGCCCTGTCTCCCAGCCGCTCCAGCTGTGACTAAAAGGGGCTAAGGTACAGGGGCTATTGCTTCAGTGTGTGGAAGCCCCAAGCTTTGGCAGCTTCCATGTGGTGTTGAGCCTGCGAGTGTGCAGAAGTGAAGAAATGAGGTTTGGGAACCTCTGCGTAGATTTCAGAAGACGTATGGAAACAACTGGATGCCCAGGCAGACGTTGTTGCAGAGGCAGGGTCCTCATGGATAACCTCTGCTAGGGCAGTGCAGAAGGGCAATGTGGGGTTGAAGCCCTCACACAGAGTCCCTACTGGGGAACTGCCTAGTGGAGCTGTGAGAAGAGGGCCACTGCCCTCCAGACCCCAGAATGGTAGATTCACTGTCAGTTTGCACCGTGTGCCTGGAAAAGCTGCAGCCATTCAATGCCAGCCTGTGAAAGCAGCCAGGAGGGAAGCTGTATCCTGAAAAGCCACAGGGGCGGAGTTACCCAAGACCATGGAAACCCACGTCCTGCATCAGCGTGACCTGGATGCAAGAAAAGGAGTCAAAGATCATTTTGGAGCTTTAAGATTTGACTGCTCTGCTGGATTTCGGACTTGCATGAGGCCTGTAGCCCCTATGTTTTGGCCAATTTCTCCCATTTGGAATGGATGTATTTACCCAATATCTGTATCCCCATTTTACCCAAGAAGTAACTAACTTGCTTTTGATTTTACAGGCTCACAAGTGGAAGGGAATTGCCTTATCTCAGATGAGACTTTGGACTTTTGAGTTAATGCTGAAATGAATTAAGATTTGGGGGACTGTTGGGAAGGCATGATTGGTTTTGAAATGTGAGGACATGAGATTTGGGCGGGGCTGGGGGCAGAATGATATGGTTTGGCTATGTCCCCACCCAAATGTCATCTTGAATTATAACTCCCACAGTTCCCATGTGTCATGGGAGGAACCTGGTGGGATGTGATTGAATTATGGGGCGGGTCTTTCCTGTGCTGTTCTTGTGAAAGTGAATGAGTCTGGTGAGATCTGATGGTTTTAAAAATGGGAGTTTCCCTGCAGAAGCTCTCTCTCTGCCTGCTGCCATCCACATAAGATGTGACTTGCTCCTCGTCTTCCACCATGATTGTGAGGCTTCCCCAGCCACATGGAACTATAAGTCCAATTAAACCTCCTTCTTTTGTAAAATGCCCAGTCTTGAGTATGTCTTTATCAGCAGTGAGTGTGAAAACAGACTAATATACTTCCTTACGAGACTCACGTGAAACACTGGCTTGCCTGATCCAAACAGCTGTATTTCTGAACTTGTGAGTGGTCCTAATACCCATTTTTGCTTTGATTCCTTATATTGTATCAGGCACAGATTTGGGTTGAGAATGAAATCCATGCTTTCCTGAAGACCAAAGTAGCATGAAGCTTCTGTAATAGCTAGTATGGGGATATACTAATATAGTGTCAGCCAAAATGCCAATGCCTTTCCCTCTACCTTCTCAGTGGGAAGTCTGGGCTGCAGGAATTTTAACCAAAATCCTCCACTAGAGTCCAGCTAATCTCTCAGGAGAGCAGCAAAAGAGAAGAGCATAAGAACCAGTAAGGAGCACAGGTTGGTGAGGAAGAGCTGAAGGATGTCCACCTCAGAGGCTCAGCCACATCTGCCCATCTCAGCTTGTATCCTAACCCCACAAGAATCTCCTGGCCCACAGAAGGAGACACCAAATAGCAAAGTAGAATTATTACTATTACAAAGATTCTTTAGGTCTGAAATGAGGCTACAGTATATGGACTCAGACAACTTTCAGAACATTCTCATACATACATTCTAAAGTATGAGTTGTGGACAGAGAATCAGAATTCTGTCCACTTCAGCACATCATAGGTACAATCTGAAGACTGGAACTTTGCCTAATATACTACTTTTGTTTCAGAGATCTAGCAATGTCAAACAACATCCTGCTTTATATTCTTCGTTATGGGGCTGGCCACTGTTTTTCTGACACATTTGATCAAGTGAATTGCTTGGCAACACTGGTCAAATTTGCTAGACATGAGGACCCTAGGTAATTTTCAAAAAGAAAATAAGCTCATGGGAAACCATGTTAATCTTCCTTTTGCTGCTTCACTTTGGACAAAGGGAACATGTACTCATAAGAACTAACACTGAAGTGGTTCTAAGGTACTTACCGCTGACAATCTGGCAGACCGTCTTGTGGGCTACAAAGGGAATGGGAAAATATACATATTTTTTGGTGATTATATAAAACGAAGTTGATTTTTAAAAATCTATTCTTAATATACCTTACTTTGTTGAATGACTATAATGTATGATTCCCATCACCTTCTCCAGGTAAGCACAGTGAAACATATCCCAAGTCCCCTGGGCACGATGACACTCAAGAGGAAGTGTTTCTAAAAAGGGGTAGGTATACTGTTCAAATAAACGGCTTCTCCCAACTAAGGGTGTGGTGAATAAGTAAGGGAAATGAAGATCAACTTAGGCTTTATCCCAAATTAAAACCTCTACTTTTATGACAAAATCAACAGCAAGAACATTGAGGTGCTATTTAAGAGCTAGTCTTCAGTCTGACTCCAGCTCCTTAAAAATGGAACTAAAGCTTTTAAGTTAATACAAGAAGAGACTTATGCAATTGTGTAGAAACCAAAATAGCAGGAGTTCCCCATCTTGCTGCTATGTTAGAAATGAAAATGACTACAAATCTTGGCAGTTAACAAGAAAGGCTTCTTTTTACCTATAACAAAACAAACACATTTATCTAGTAGTATATGTTCAAAGGATTTAACCAGAATTAAAAGTGCATTACTTTTTCTTTTAATTTCAAAGTTTAGAAAATTTACAGAGAAACTGTGTAGAAATTGATATTTTGGGGAAATCTTTTTTTCTTCAAGGATATTACAAGTTAACAGCAAATGACCCTGAAAAGAAAATCTAAATTAACAGAACTGTCCTAGGCATTTCAGCAATAACACACAAAATTGATATTCTACTTACCATCCAACCTACGGTGGCTCCCCAAGGGATTTCACATTCTAAAAGCATAACTGCCTTTTTAAAAAAAGTGCCCTAGAAATAAATACTCCATACTTTTTGTCTGTTTTATTCACTGCTCCATCTCCAGTACAGTAGGGTACTGGCCAACATATAGTACAAACTCAGTATTTGCTGAATAAATGAATCCAAGCCTTTCCCTAATTCTCACTGCCTTATGCAGACTTTGCCTCATTACAATAGCTTAAATGTTTCAAATAATTCTTCCTAAGGGGGACAGCAAAAATGGTCAGTAGGAATCCATGCCATAATTATGAGGAATCATGGAATTCTTGAAGTGGGGCTAAGGTCAGTCTAGGTCAGCCAGTCAGGCCAAACTGGAAGAAATATTTCTTGCCATCTCCACATCTAAGAACTTTCTTGCTGAAAATAGCCAGAGAAGCTAAACTCATCTTTCTTTAAACTACAGAAGGAAACGAAGGGCCAGAGCCTCCATGAATACTTTTAACCCTGGAGTCTCGAAGAAAGATCAGAGCTGGACTTAAGGCCAGCTAGGAGAATGTGCTGAGAATGAAAGGCTGTGCAGGTTAAGTGATTGGGTGGGATACACTCACTGCACAGAGTAAAAGCTTGTACAACTCAGCACATAGCCCTGTGAATTAGTACAGGAGGAGTGTGTGTCAGATTCTCCATAGGAACCATAGTGCCTGCTATGGTTATCAAGGGTGCATTCTTGACAGTGCACCCATAAGTCCCTGGGAACCAGAATCCAAATCCTGCAATACCTTTCCCAGCATGGTTAACCGTATTAAGTATACTGAAGGCAACATTTTCAAGTAAACCGGGCAATAAGAGGTATCTTGTGTTTTTTTAATGTACTTTCTGAGCATAGAGGAGCAAAGAGCACCTTCCAATTACCCAACAGAGCTCAGCTTTGAAGCTTCAGTGTGGCCTCAAGGACTATCCATGTCTCATAAACTACAGCAGGCAGAACAATACCTTCCAAGATGAAAGTGACAGTCTCCATGCTAAAGAGAGGTGAAAGAGCCTTATCTGACTCTCTCTCCACTTGATGTCAACTCATGTGCACCATGCTGGTCTTGCCTCACGTTCACCTCATCTGACACGTCTCCATACCTCCTTGCACAGGACCACCTTCTCTTATATTTCTATGGCTCCAATATGTAGCAGGGGCCCTCAATAAGTGTTGAGATGAACAGAAGGGGTAAGCACCAGAAACATACAGCAACTGTGAACTTGTAGGGAGGGGAAGAAGTCCTAGAGCCACTACTCAGTTACTCTTTAGTTTGGGGCCTGAAAAGGGTCCAAACATGTTAGCCATTACTCAAAACTGCCTCCCTATCTGCCATCTAGTTGTCTTGAATAAAATCTCCATGAAGTGAGGCAAAATCATGTGAAAAGTTCCCCAGCTGCGACAATGTTGTTCCTCTCCATGTGAAGACCTGAACATACCAAATAGACTAAGTGATGCCAGAGAGCTCTTTGGGATTTCCAGAGACATTCCAATCTAAGCACTGCTCTACTGGGACTAACAGCTGTTCTGATCCAAAGGACTTAATACCTTTTAAAAATTCAGGTCCAGTACAGGAGTTCCAAAATAAAAAGCCTCGGAAATTAATGCAAAAAAAAAAAAAAAAAAAAAATGCCTAAGCTGTCTAAACCAGCCAGTACCTAAAAATCCTATCTTCTATTATAAAATCATTTTATGACTTGCTACATACAATTTCCCAGCTCTTCTTTCTATGCCATTAAAAAAGACTTTTCTTACATTTTCTTTTCCAGTAGCTATCATAAGAGATTTTCGTTTTCACTGCAAACAGTGGAGGCTGAGATGAACCTTTCACTCAGTCAGCAGTACTGATTATGCATACAAGTATGGACACCTTCCTGGAAAGTTCTATCAGCTTTCACAGCCTTAAAATCTGTAAATTATTGGACTATATTTATTGGATATGAAATAGATTAGACTGCTATTTTTTCCTTTTTAAAACACTAACATGTGAAGTACTCATTTGAGACTCAGATTGTTGGGTGGGACTACGAGGGGAAAAAAAAGCTATTAAGAATTTCTCTTGTTTTTTTTTTTTTTTTTTTAATTGTGAATCCTCAGGAAAAGTGGTCCAGAGACTGCTCCTCAGCACTTCTCTGACATTCGCTATTTCCCTTCCTTGCTTTGTTTTCCTTAATTGCCAATATCCAATTATTTTACTAGCTCTCAGGGAGGGAAGGAGGGCTTTTAGAATGAAAAGTCATCATTGATAAATATGACAAACAGATACGACAAATGTGAGGGTTTGCCACTATGGTATATAGGTGCTGGTCACAGTGGAATTATCCCATAGGCATCATCCCATAGGCATGATCATCCTTTAGGTTGGAGAAAATTCTGGTGAAGCCTATTCTGAAAGACATGAAATCTTCTACTTTAATATCCTGGTTGCAAAAGCAACATAGAAGTCTAATCTCCCAATGACAAAGTACACAGGGATAGCTAGATTCAATAGAATCACTGCACTTTGCTGGATACTGCTTGAAACACATGGACTATTCCTCTGGAATGTGGGAGTATTTTTATTTTTATGAGATGTTGTTGCTCCTGAGCCTGACCATGTACCTCCAAGCAAAACCCAAAAGTCAAGTTGCTTTTAATTCTAAAAAAAAAAAAAAATGCCTAAAAAGAAATTGCCTTTTTTTCAAAACTGGGAAGTAGAAAAGTTTGTACCTCAGAGCCTTGGCTGGGAATAGACAAGACAGAAAAATGGATACTGGATTACCAGATTTTTAGGACTGTCATAAAAGGGCCATAGGGATAGCGGATTTTGGAACAGGAGATGCAGATATCTTTCCTGGTTCTGCTATTTACAAGTTCTAACACCCAGGGAAAATCATGTTTCTCTGAGAACTTTGCTCTAGTTAAAATAGGGATAACATCTGTCAATCTGTCCTCAAAAATAGCACTTCTCTGACATTCACTATTCTCCTTCCTTACTTTGTTTTTCTTCATAGCTAATATTCAATCATTTTATTTTACTCTCTCTCCCACTAAAAGGAAGCTCCATGAAAGCAGCGATTTTTGCTTCTTTTGTTCACTGTGGGATCTGGAGAGCTTAGAACAGTGCTTGGCGCATTATAGGTGCTTATATGTTTTCGTTGAGGAATAATCTGCCTTCCTCTCATTTTAGAGTTACTATATGGACCAGACAAAATAATGGATGTAAAAGGGTTTGTAACTGTTGATTGTAATGACTATAATGTATTATTTTGGTTATTTACTGTCCAAGTCCCCTGAAGTACTATCTTCTGCACAATGCCTTCTAATATGGCAGTGGAAGAGGATTTTCAAAAGAGAATCCCCCTTAGTAACTGTTATCTATTCACTAAAGTCAAGGTGGTGCATACTCAATGACATAACTGGAAAATTCAGTCAATCCAGTGGGAAAGAAAAAAAATCAATCAATCAATACACTGACAGTTTTTACCCGAAACCATCAGCAAACTAACTGACCTTTTCACTTTTTAAATAACTGTGTTGATGTCCTGAAGACATTATCATGAGTTTTAATCTGGCCTTGGCTTAAATGACAGGTAGAGCCTTATCTAGAAACCATTTTTATTAACAACCAAAAATACATAAAATATATAGAAATAATATAAAATAAAATATAAAAATAACAATTAAAAATAAAAACATAATAAAAAAATTAGCCAGGTGTGCTAGCATGCACCTACAGTCCCAGCCACTTGGAGGCTGAGATGGGAGAATCACTTGAGCCAGGGAGATCGAGACTGCAGTGAGCTATGATCTTGCCACCTCACCCACTCCAGCCTGGATGACAGAGTGAGATGCTATCTCAAAAAATAAAATAAAATAAAATAAAATAATATGTATAAGACAGCTGTACAAGCAAAACCACACACATATCCTTTATATATACATTCTCACAAGCTTGATTTACTTTTGGTGTAGTGGGATTGGAAAGACAATCAAAGATTACTGGGTGCCATGGTGTTTCTAGGTTTTTTGACTGACAAATCAATTTAAATGCCAGTCCCTAAGGAAAAACCCAAATGCTTTTGTTTTGGTGTCCAAATCTTAAAAACATTTAAGGTTAGTTATACTTAGCCAACTGTTCTAAAAATCACATTTTGCCATTTCCCAAGAAAATTCAAGCATTTATCATTTTTTGGTTGGTTCTTGCATGTGTGTGATGACTCTGTTTTGGATAACAAACTTCATGATTATTCCAAACTCTGTCAAACAGTGAATGCTAGGTACATGGATGATGGGGACAGACTGTTTTGTTTTGCTTTTAAATTATTTCTTTATAGGTTCTGTTTAAGATTTTCCACTTGGCAGAATGAATTTCCTTGTACAAATCTTGTGCAGGGGTTTTGGTATCACGATAAACTCCTCTGAATTATTAACCACATTATGAATCACCCAATCAAAGAACCTGTAACTAGATATTGTTTTTGTCTCACCCATGACCCCTTTTAGTTGATAAGTTCAAGGGTAACAGCTGCAGTTTTCCACCTATTCTAAAGCCCTGTGCAAACGGAATGGTTGTCATCAAAGTTATATCTCTTTTCCTACTGTTTAGCCCATCTTTTTTTAGAGGTTCATAATAATAACTGTGGATGGTCAAATCCAAGAATCTCTTCCAAGTTTCTAGACTTTTGGAGGTTTCTGAATTTTAAAACAAAACATCTTTGAATCATTGCCTAATTAATTATCCCAATATCCTGAGTGTTCCCAATTTAAAAAAAAGCTTTAATATTTTGACATATTGTGTATCCCTCTACAGTTCTTTTTCTTTTTTTTTTTTTTTTAGAGTCTCTCTCGCTCTGTCACCCAGGCTGGAGTGCAGTGGTGTGATCTCGGCTCACTGCAACCTCCACCTCCCAGGTTCACACCATTCTCCTGCCTCAGCCTCCCGAGTAGCTGGGACTACAGGCGCCCACCACCACGCCTGGCTAACTTTTTATATTTTTAGTAGAGATGGGGTTTCACCGTGTTAGCCAGGATGGTCTCTATCTCCTGACCTCGTGATCCGCCCGCCTCGGCCACCCAAAATGCTGGGATTACAGGCGTGAGCCACTGCGCCCGGCCTATAGTTTTTGATTTTAGAGATGATCCTTCTCAGGCAAAATATTCAGAACCTAAAAAGTGACTTATAATCCACTCACTGGAGCACAGAATTTATGAGATCAACAGTCTTTCATTTTCTTGCTGTGAAAGGCAGACTTTGTTCTCCTTGATGAATTTACCTATTATCTTACTCTTTGCCCAGAAGGAATTCTCAGTATCTGCTTTAACAGAAAGCAGGGCTGACAGGTAGAAACATAAACAACACAGTAAGTGGAAAATGCCTCATCAATATACCCAACTGAAACACACCTAGGCCAAGCGAGACTACATATAGACACTTATCGCTCTTTCAGGTAGTCTTAACAACCTTGATCATTCATATTAAACTTTGTTCATACAATTGTCCGCATTTCATTCAGATGCAGACAATCCTAACAATATTAAACATTTCAATGTAAATAATTAAATATAGGATGTCAAAGATATACTTACCTCCTGTTTAGTTACTTTGGATCCATCTTTGCCCTCTGTATTCTCTGGAGACTAGAAAGAAAATATTTCAGTGAATTGTATTTAAATTGGAAAACACACATTAGAAAAATGTTTTTAAAAAGTTATCTCATTCCCAGGACAAGACAAGCCAACAGATTTTTTTGCAAAGAAAAAGTAAATTACAACAGGGTATGTCTTTTACACACCTACGTGCATGCATGCACACACACGGTAGATAGCTGCATAACTGCTCGACTTTTAAAGCAGAAATGGTGAAAGAACTATGTGATTCCCTGTTCTCAATGTGCATTCACCCTAAGCGACTTTCATTTATCTTTGATGATTCCAGTTAAAGAACAGGGGCCAGAGGTCAGTGGCAGGAATGCCTGGGAGCCACCCTCTTGTTCCATTTGCTTGTTCCAGTCACTCCATTCCTTTAAGATAAGGGCAGGATGCTGGTAAAGCCCAGGCCAACCACAAAAGCACATTTTCATCCCATCCTTGCCTAGCCTTGATTTCTAGCCCATTTCTTGATATGAACTGACAAATTTATCATAGATTACCATTTTTCCATTATCAACTCCAGCATCTCTACTAAACTCCCAGCCTTGGCATGACAGCCAGGCTACGTGCCACCCTCAGCTGATTTATTTCCAGGTTTTGATCCATCCCCTGGGGCAGCACCTGCCTCCTCTTGTAACAGCTCAAACCTGATTCCTTTAAAGGATGTGTATACTATGGGAAAAACATATCTTATATTTTCTTTATATTTTAAAGTAAAATGTACTTTGGATTTATTGGACACTGCACATGTCCCAATATTTTTTATTGGCTAAGAGTTATTAAATAATATTAAAACAACTAAACTACTTAGAAAACTAGACTATTTAACATTTTTAAACTACATAAAGTTAGAAAGTGAATACTCAGTCTCTATGGCACAAATAGGCTGCTGATCTGAATAGAGCTCCTGTTAGAAAAAAATACAAATAGCAAACTGACATTTGACACGATGTTTGGCTCAGCAAAATAAAACAGCTATGTGGTAATGCCTCATCTGATAAAATGAGAACAAAATTCAAGAGATCATAAAACCCACTGTTTGAGGCTAGTGACACTGTAAATTAATATAATCGTTTCAAAGAACAACTTGGCAATATGAAAAAGACACAGAGAATTAATATGATGACCTAGTAATTTTAATTTTGGTACCTGGACTCAGAAAAAGAAACTCTTTGTAAAAATATGGTTTTATTTGTACTATTTCTAATATGGAATAAGTGGAAGCAACTCATGTATCAGTAAATAATAGAGAAATGATTAAGTAAACTATTACTTATTTACATATTTATGTAACAGTGAATGGAATTAAAAAGTTAGGTGATGTAAATACATGAAAAGTCCACATAAAATAAGGCTAAATTCAAAAACTTAGGTCATAAAAATGTACGCAAAACAAAGGTCCTAAGTATATATAAAAGTCTTTAGGAAAGATAAAAGCTTTTCTTCAAGGCAAAGGACCCAGTGACCTTTCTCTATTCCCTAGAGCTGCCCGTTACCCAGAGCCTATCATATGCCCTCTTTCCAGAACCTCCCATGTCATGGATTTCTCTCTTGTTTCCAAATTAACCATCTCCCCTCCTCCGTGGAACCTTCTCAATTATGAAGAAACAGTTTTCTCTTTTTTGTACCCCACTCTCTTGCACAGGAATATTTCGTTTATAGATCTTGTGTTAATCAGTCAGTTGTGGTAGAGATGGCAAAATCTTAGTCTGAGCATATGAAGATAATTCCTAGGTGGACCACTGGTCTTTGCTCACTTCCATGGCTACAAACTCAACCCTTCTGGCCACACAACAGACCCTTGGTTGTCTAGGAGTGCTGGGCTTTCATTCAGACCTGTCAGGTCACTCAGTAGATTTCAGTCTAGGGTACTCTCTACCTATAATTGATAGGCAGTTAAAGCAGCAGTACATAGCTATTATAAGAAAAACTGATGTTAATGACATTATTTTCATATTTTTCTATGCAGTGGATTAGTGACAGGCAATATGATGGAGTTCAATCTCTAAACACCGACCTAATAATGTTTGTATGGGATGCAAATTATTCAAAAAAGAGAAACTTGGAAAGGCACTGCATGAAAAAAGCAGGTACACTGAAAATGTGAATGCCTTCAGACAAATGAACATAAGGCTCTGGATGTAAAGAGCTAGCAAAGCTCGTTTCTCTGGCAATCTACCACAATGGCTTTCTATTAGCAAGCATTTAATACACCTGCAGTCAGGAACAATCAATCTTTACCGGGGATCAGTGTGATACAATGGTATGAATGCAGGATGTGAGCTCAAGACACCTGGTTTGAATCTTGGCTCTATACCTAGAAGCTGTACGATCTGGGACAGTGACTTGATCACGGTGGCTCAGTCTCCTTCATCCATGAATGATAGATGATAATGACAGCTAACTCAAAGGGTACTGCTTATGATCAAGTGAGATACTGGAGAAAGCATTTCATAAACTGTAAATTGTTACACAGAGGTTATGCAATAAAAAAGATCTTTAGTCTTCTAAATTATACAGTATGAAACTATATTCAACAGAGCCTTAAAGTTGAGCACATTTCCTTACATCCAGATTCCCTGCAAACTGGTTATCTGTTTTTGTTGCACAGAGTAACAGGTAGACTATTTTGGAAAGACCTACCATTATAAGCTGTCTTATCACATAACCCTCTCCATCAATTAACACTAAGCCACAGGCCGGAGACAGGAAGGAAGAGAGCATGGTTTTAAGGGATTAAAACAGAAACCCAAAGCTTTTTGTGCCAAGGGATTGCGAAGAATAAAAACATAGAAAGGAGGGAAACAAAAGGCTGGGGGTGGATATAGGGGATCTCAGATGTACTTCAACCTCCTGGCAGGTGGATGTGAAAGATGAGGAGAGTTAGACGGGATGCAGGGACTGCCAAGGCAAAGGGGGCTCTTGCCCCACTCTCCAGGACACAACAGGCTTACACTAATCCAGTTTGAACCAAGAATGGTCAAGAGGGCCCAAATCATGGTCAAATAAAAAGGTCTCATGCACGTATCCACGTCTGCAAGAGACGTTTTAACTTTTTGTTGTTGGTTTCTCATGCCTTTTAAGGAAGCTGCTTATGTGAGGATACTCCTGTATGCTCTCACCCTGTACCAGCCCTAGGCTTTGTTTCTTATCCCTTCTGGCACACCCCAAGAAGGAAAACAATGGGGAGTGGGGAGGGAAGGAATGCTTGCTCAATTAGATTTTAAGACTTAAAAATAATAAACAATATAGGTAACTAACACTTATACAACAATATGATACTTAAAAGAGACACCAAAAACTCAAGGATATAGAAAGCATGAAAATAAAAGGATGTTGAAAAAATATATACTTAGCTAAAATTAATTAAAAAGTAGAAACGACCTAAACATATGTCATCAGAAGGATATATACACTGTGGTATATAATCAAATAATATGTAGCAGTGAACACAAATGAACTACGGGTGTGCACATCAACAGAGATGAATCTCACAAACGTAATGTTGGGCAAAAAAGGGAAGTCATGGCACGATTTTAAATAAAGTTTGAAAATACAAATACAAGAAAAGTCTATAAAGAAAAGCATAACAAATGATAACTGCAAAATCATGACTGAGGTTACCTTTTGCTGAGGAAAGGGAGGGTAATTTGACTGGGAAAGACAAAGTCATTGGTAAGAGTTATATTTCTTAAGCTAGATGGTGGTTTATTATTATGTAAATAATATTTATTTAGATACTACATACGTATGTATGTTTTATATTAAAATGTTTTTGATTCATACAAAATAGAAATTTTGAAGCTAATAAAAGCAGGCTCATTGAAATAAAAAACTCAAAACACGGATAAACTCTAGACCAGACACAGTAGGAACTGCCATAGACTGCTGAGGAATTAAGAATGCAACAAAGAACAACAAAAGGATGAACAAAAGAGAGGTTAGGTGATGTGGTTAATTGAGAAGCTCCACAACTATCTAATAGGCATTTCAGAAGCAGAGAAAGAGGTATCAGTAGGAAGGCAAAGACATAATGACTATTTTCCCAAAGTAAAGTCTTGACTCCCCAGATTGAACACTCACACCAAGGAACAAACTGAAAACAAAACAAAACAAACAAAATAATACAACAGGACATATTGTAATAAAACTACAAAGCATCAAGGAAAATGAGAAAATCTGTAAAGTTATCAGAGTTAAGGCAGATTACCTATAAAGAATTACTTCTCCAACAACAAATACAAATGTATGAAAATATAGAGTACTATTCAAGGAGTTGAGGAAAACTGCCAACCTAGAATTCTATACCTAGCTATCATTCAAGAGTGATGGCAAAATAAAGCCATTTCAGAATACAAACATAAAGAGAGTTCACTTCCAACAAAGCATTTCTTTCAACAAGAATCTATTACTAAAGGTTCAAATTTAGTAATAAGAAAAACAAATCTAGAAGGAAGGAAAACTATGTAAGAAAAAAATGTAAAAAATATACTAATAAATTTAATTAACCACTAATCGTAAACAACATTACCTATTGTGTTTTTAAGTTTCAACAGAAATTCTACAGCAGTTCTTTCCTACAGAAATACAACATATAATTTTAGATTTTCTAATTGCCACATTAAAAAAGCATAAAAACAGGTAAAACTAATTTTAATATTTTATTTAACTGACTATATCTAAAACTTTATTATTTCACCCTGTAATTAATGCAAAAAAAGATTAATGAGATATTTCACAGACTTTTTTGTACTAAATCTTTAAAATCTGGTGTTCGTTTTATACTTAGAACACATTTTTATTCAAATGCTAAATTTTTATCAGGAACATCTAATCTGTATTTAGAATTCATAAAACTTACAGTAGTTTTACCCAGGTTGCTCCAAACATTTATAATTTACCAATCGCTGATTCTAATATCAGTTTTTAAACTTAAGTTGATTAAAATTAAATAACAAATTCAGCTCCTCATTCTTAAGTGTTTAATAAACTCATGCAGCTAATGGCTACCATATAGCACAGCTTTAGACAAAAACAATCATGAAAGATAGAAGTGGGGTCGGTAGATAAGAAGTTAAAGGATACTATGGTCCTGGTTTTGTTCTGGAGGATGATACAGATACAGATTAATTTTAGACTTTGTTAAAATAAAATTTAAAGTTACCATTAAAAAATGTAAGAACAGAAATAGGATCTATAAACTTCCAAATCAGGAGGGGTGGAATAAAACATATTTACCAATAAAAAGCAGGAAAGTAAAAAACAAAGGAAAACAAAGAATAGAAAACATAAAAAGTCCAAATAAATCAGCAATCACAATATACCTAGACATAGTATACCCTTCCATTATAATGACAAGTGACAGAGGGAAGAAACAGAGTAATACATGTACAGGACTACACTTCTACAAATTGCCTTTTTTGTTTTTTTGAGACGAAGTCTCACTCTGTCACCCAGGCTGGAGTGCAATGGCGCGATCTCGGCTCACTTCAACCTCCACCTCCTGGGTTCAAGCGATTCTCCTGCCTCAGCCTCCAGAGTAGCTGGGATTACAGGTGCGTGCCACCACACCTGGCTAATTTTTGTATTTTTAGTAGAGATGGGGTTTCATCATGTTGGTCAGGCTGGTCTCAAACTCCTGACCTCAGGTGATCCACCCACTTTGGCCTCCCAAAGTGTTGAGATTACAGGTGTGAGCCACCACGCCCCACCACTTATACAAATTTTAGAACATGCACAAATCAATATTATGGATGGATGGATGGATGTGTCATAAAGGTATAAAAGCAAGAACTGGAAGAATACACAACAAATTCGTGATGATGGTTATCTTTAGGGGGGATGATAAGGAAAAAGGAACCAAGGGGATGTTTCAAAGGAAACTGAACTTTAATAATTTATTTTCTAAAAAGGCCTGAAATGAACAATGATTTTTAAAAGACTCCAATTTGTGAATTCTCAGTGGTGGGTAAATAGGTATATTATATTATTTCCTGGATTTCTCTGTATTTATGTTTTTTTCTAAATAAAAATATTATCCATACTGGGGAGAAGAAAAAGACTAAAAGCAAACCTACTCTATTAAAAACAGTACCATATCTACTCCCTAATACAAATTACATAACTAGGTTTACTCACAGCATTTTTTCTATTTCTTCAATATCGTATCAATCTGGTTTATATTGCCTCCTCTTCTGTACAAGACATGTAATATAACTGCTTCATTTGTACTGATAATGAAGGCACTGGACTCAGAACTCTTGAAGGAGTGTGGGAGTCGAGATGGGCAGAGGGAGTGTGGATTCCTTCAACAGCTGACCAACTGTGCCATCCCCATTCTTTCTTTACACAAAGATGCCTGGGTCCTGCATGTGCAGAACACTCAAATGTACTGAAGGGATCAGAACTGTATTTTCCTTAAGTCTTTCCAGCAGTCCCTATCAGAAACCAAGGGAAGAAACTTGGAATTTTTATTCCATAGGCCATCCATGAAGAATCAACAAGGTTTGCTGACCTTCTTTCATGTAAACAGTGCTTACCACAACATAAACAGGCACTGTGGGGTGATGAGCCCAATTTTCTCCCTCCAAACTCAAGAAGGTATCAGAAGAGTGTAAGAAAATCCTTACACCCTTTCAACAGCTGCTTAGGAACGGCTTTAGATGGCAGCAGTCTGTGGCTTTGTTAGTGTGGAGAAGGACACTGAGGGAGAGGCAGGAGGCAGAGAAGTTTAACGCTACTGCACTAGGAGTGATCTTCAGCCCATGGAAGACAAGAAAGAGGAGGGCTCAGGATTTTCAGCACAGTGTTGGACCTTTCTTATGTTAAACTTCCAAAAAACCTTCATTGGTACATGTAGTACCAATTCATTGGTACATGTATTGGTACATGTATTGGTACATGTAGTACAAATTCATTGGTACACATAGGCTCTTAGTTACTTAGAGTTTTACTTCTAAGAGTTTAAGTGACAAAGGCTATTGTTTTACGACTTCAGCGAATTAGCTGAAGGCCTACAGTAATTATGAAACTCAAATAACCATTTGCCAGCAGCCCCAGAATAAATCCAATCTCAACTCCTAGGTTATCCATGCTAACGAGGAAAAGCTGATGGTATATATAACAGTGCAAAGAGACCAACAATCATTTCTTTTAACCTAGGGAGTGTATTACATTGAGATAATCTTTTTCTAATTTGCTGGCCAATGTTTTAAAATTATTACTTTTATTGTTTTTTTTCAGTTACAAACTCAAGGCTGGGGAAAAAAGCAGTCCAGTATTAAATTGGTTAAAAAGAAAACCACTATGGCACCAAAAAATTCAAATAACACACCACGAGAAGGTCTGAAATGTGCCTATACCTAACTCTGTCGCTCTTCAGCTAAAATGAACACATAACTACTTAACACAAGGTTAATTCTCTCCACAAATGAGGGCACTGTCCATGAAATTCTTATAAGGTTTCTTGAGTTAAAAGGTAGTCTCCTTAAATTCAAATACTTCTATGACACATTAAACAGACACTGGAAGTTTTACTCAAAGCCACCAAGCGATGTTTAACAATGGCTTGGTTGTTTTTCATTGATCCTGTAGGTGTATGTCTGGGATCCTCTATTACTACATTGCTTTTAAAGTAATCTTTAAATATCCAATACTTGGAATTGAGAGGTCCCTTCATGGGATTAATAATCAAACTTACGTTAAATTTATTTTCCATATCCTCCCCTGCTTGGCTTATCAATTCCAACAGGTGACTTCTATAAACTCAAATTACATTGATTAAGGTCACTGCAGGCTACTATGTCTTTTGTAAATGTTATTTTATTGTTCAAGATAAAAGTAGTAATTAAGAACGCTTCTTTAGAAGACTTTGAACTGAAATAAATAGCAACTCTCTCTTTTCTGAGGACCACTTTGCAGGGAAAATATTTCTCTTGCAATCAGATATAAAAGATAACTAAAAATAAAGAAAGTTGTGTGCCAGTATGTTCAGTGAAACTTTATTAGTGTAAATACACACAATTCAATAATTAGGGTTTATATTTAATATTAAGGAAATATAGGCCAGGCACAGTGGCTCACATCTGTAATCGCAGCACTTTGGGAGGCTGAGGAGGGCAGATCACTTGAGGCCAGGAGTTCGAGACCAGCCTGGCCAACATGGCAAAATCCGTCTCTACTAAAAATACACACAAGGCTAGGTACAGTGGCTCAGGCCTATAATCTTAGCACTTTGGGAGGTCGAGGCAGGCGGATCATGAGGTCGGGAGATGGAGATCATCCTGGCTGACACGGTGAAACCCCATCTCTACTAAATATACAAAAAATTAGCTGGGCCGGGTGGCATATGCCTGTAGTCCTAGCTACTCAGGAGACTGAGGCAGGAGAATTGCTTGAACCTGGGAGGCAGAGGTTGCAGTGAGCCGAGATCGCGCCACTGCATTCCAGCCTGGGTGACAGAGCGAGACTCTATCTCAACAAACAAACAAACACACACACAAACAAACACCCACAAAAAACAATTAGCTGGGCATGGTGGCACATGCCTGTAATCCCAGATACTTGGGAGGCTGAAGTGTGGGAATCGCTTGACCCTGGGAGGTGGAGGCTGCACTGCACTCTAGCCTGTCTTGTCTCAAAAAAAGAAAGAAGTTTAAATATTTTAAACCTCTTTGGTCTGAGCTGTCCCTTTCACTAGAGTTACCTTTTTTTTTTTTTATGTGCTGTGGTTTTGTACAAACATGGCCATGCAGAAAGCACGTGGCTCAATCAGAAGCCTGAATTCCAGTCTGGCTCACACCTGACTTCTCTAGACTTGAGTTTCTTCACCAGTAAAACTAGTTAAGATGGACCTTAAGATCTCACTCACCTGACTAACTTAGCTACTTGTGTACTTATTTATCACACTATAGAAGTGCCATGTGTACATCATGGGAATGCCAAGCACTGGGGTATCAGGAAAGCAAAGGAAAAGGAGCACAGCAGAATAATGAAGATGTGTACTGCAATTATGTGCAAGGCAATGATTGAAATGATTTAATCTTCACCGCAATCTTATGAGGTTGGTAAAACATGATTATATCCATTTTATTAACTAGGAATTGTGGCCAGAGAGGTTGAATAACTTGCCCAAGATTAGTCAGCTGGTAATCTTGCTGGTAAGTATTAACAGAAGAGCTGGAATTCAGCTCTTCTAGGCTGGCTCAAAGTTCATACTCTTATCCACTACACCATTCAAAGTGGTTTGTGTTAAGTGTTCTTAATTTCAAAACTGGGTGCAGATCTGGGATTCTAGAAGAGCAAAAGCCTTCCAGCTTGGGAAATGCTTTAACCTGTAGCCCTAGCCAAAGAACAAATGATATGTAAAGGAGTGCTTCCTATTCTCCATCATTCATGAGCCTCTTGAAATAATAACAAACAATAACCTATTAAAAATAGTTTATGTTGAGTTGAACAAAATTTTAGTATTATTCTGGGTTTTTAAAAAGTCATACGCACGGATCTGGTTGTTTTTATCTCAGTATTGAAACCAAAAACATACACCAAATCATCTATAATTTTTTGTAGTACTTTACATGTTCAGTGTGCTTCCATATGGTTGTTGCATTTGATGCTTTCAATATTTCTGAGATAAACAGGGGCACAGTCTTAATATTTCCATTGTACAGATGAAGAGTAGAGCTTCCAAGACGTCAAGTGACCTTCCCGAGGTAAAAAGTGGCAGAATTCACACTAGACCAAAGTCTCTGTATTGTTATAACAGGGCTCTTAAAAGAGATGTTACCAGATGGTTACTTTATTATTTTCCTGTTTGCTCGGACATACATTAACTTCTGGCAAATGGTAAACACAGTTATGATGTTCCTTGTATTTTTGCAAAACTAATCAGCTGGCTGTAATGTGATCTACATATGGTTGCTTAGGACAAATAAAATTAAAAATTGTAATTAAGGGGTAAAGTAAAGCAATGAGAAGTAGTCAGAATATAGTTTGTTAAAAAATGTATTAAATAAAATACATATGGAACTTAAGGAGCCTTTAAAGCTTCACATTTTGATAACTTCGTCTTTGGTACGTTTTCTCCCATATACATCATGCCTTACTTTTCATACCATGAATTTCTACAATATAGAACTTAACTAATTCTGTCCAATATTATAAAAACATCCCACAGTTTCCACCTAAGAAAGAGACAAAGAGTGAGCAAAAAGTAAAAGAAATAAGAAAACCAATACCTCTCAGGGTAGATTTTGTATTTCATTGTATGGGGTCAAAATAATCAAAATATAATTTTAAAATATCACTTGTACATTTAAAAAATAACATCTGAAATAAAACATTAGTCAACTGGTAATCTAGCACACCTAAATAAAAATCCATCCAGTCCTAGGTCCAGTGGATTTTCCTAGCTATTAAGCTTTTATTCTTCACGAGTTCCAAAAACAAAAGCATCTACTTATTTTTTAAACCCAGTCCCTAAGTAATGACAGCTTAATATTTACATTAAAATCCCTCAATATATTGTATAATATGCAAGCGTATTTACATGTTCCTGTTCACAAGGGAGTATTCCCATTATTCTATATATAGCAAATTGATGAAGACAATGTATCATGGAAGTAGCAAATCCAGCAGTTCACAGTGGAATCTGAGAAAATTATAAAGAGTCAGACTTTTAATACTCTAAACAATCAATATTTAGGTGAGGAAACTGCATATGTGTATCTTGTCTACAACCCTACAGTCCACTAGTTACTGAAATACCTAGAAGATTTCATGGTAATGCTCCTCTCTTACCAAGAACAGAACTGCACCCTGAGGCCAGCCTTAGGGCAGGATCACAAATAATAATGACTTGTTGGGTAACTTTCTACAACAGGCATTTAGAAACCATGGCACCAGCCTATATTGTAATAAAGATATTTTAAACAAATGAACACTCATGTTTACGTAACTCTTGATTCCTCCATGTTTCATTCATTAGGCACTGTAGTTAAAATAAAAATACATGTGGTTATTAGAAATAAACATATACAGAAAGTATTATGGTGTAATAGTTAACAGCAAAATTCCTGAGTAAAAGAGGGCTTGGTTAGAATGCTGGTTCTATCACTTCCTAGCTGTGTGACCCAGAGGAAATTTGTTAATCTCACTAAATCCCAATATTTTCCTCTGTGTTTGAGAAAGGCTGCAGGGTTCACTGGTTAAGATCACAGGCTCTGCAGCCAGACTTCAGGAGTGAAATCCCAACTCAGCCATTCCTTATCACAGGTGCTGTGGGGAAGTCTGTTAACCTCTTGGTGCTTCAATTTTCTCATATGTAAAATGAGAACGGGAAACGGACACACCTTACTGGGTGGTTGGAAGAATTAATATTATTAATGCAAAGTGCTAAAAACAGTCTGACTCATAGAAAGAGACCTCTTTCTTAGCTGTGAGATGAAATTGCTTCATTAAACTGTTGTGAGAATAAAATGAAAAATGAAATTATAGTATATACTTCTCTCGCATTTATTTCTAATAATTTCACATTTTTATTTAAACTAAGGTGCATTATGAATACAAAACACGTATCTCAGGTCTGGTACACCCAGGCATTCAGGAAATAGCTCGATTTTGATATTAATTCAATTTTAATAGTAGTAAGTATATTTGTGTTAATTACTGACATTTCTCTTAAAATATTAAATTTTGGAGCCAATTTCGAAGTTTAAAACCATTTTTCTATCTTCCTACTTCTGAATGTGCATATCATTTACTTTATGTGTGACTGAATATGTATTTGCCTTGGGCATATCTCAATAGCCCTGTTTCTGGATATGCCCACAGGGTAGAAGAATACTGGATTCAATAAATAGCTTGACCAAGAACCCCTACGTGATTTGACTGAATTCTTCTAAGAAGACAGTGAAATGTACAATAAGTAAGTAACCAGTGAAAAGGAATTCAACATTTTGATTTAGTTTGTTAACTTCGACAGTGATTTTTAAATTACTCAGGAGACTAACATCATATTTCAACACTCTAGGTACTATGAAGGCAGACAGCTTAAATGGTGTTTATTTCAGTCACCATTTCCAAATTGTACCCTGCAGGAAAGTGGAATATATTTAACTCTGGTGTAAACAAAAGCAATGTTTTAGGAGAAAAATATAGGAAAAGAGGATCACTTGGTACCTGATCTTCCAAGGGAATTTTAACATTATATGAAGATATTTTTAAACATTTTTTTTTCCATTAGAAAAATCAACCATGTAAAAATGCACAAGATTAAAGCTTCTGTTCTTTCAGAAACACTCCATTTGTTATTTGGTGATTAAACATGTATTTCTATAATTGCAGTGAATTTGACATCAGGGTGGGATCTGCTGGCTCCCTACTACTCACTGCGTGCACCATTTATCATCCCACAAAGTGGAGGCCTAGTGCTTGTTAGAAGCCTGTTATTTCACTGTGATTCTCTTAATAATTAAAAATCTCATAATCACAACAAACATCCATTGATTGTTTTACACATATCAGGCACTGGGCTAAGTTCTTTGAATTCACTATCTCAGTTAATTCTCATAATCAACGAAACAGAGCATATCATTATTCCCATTTTACAGAAGAGGAAACTGAGTCTTAGAGAATTAGGAACTTAGCAGCTAAGGGAGAGGTTAAGGAAGCTACCTTAGATCATATAGCTAATAAACAGCAAATGCCAGAACCATACTAGAGTTTTTCCCACTGTATGAAATAATTAAACCTACTTAGTATGAAATGATTAAACTTATTACTCCCTTCCTTTGAAAACAATTTATTCATCAATTTGTTCTACAAATATTTACACTACCTGTGCTAGGTGCTATGGGGGATGAAAGGAAGATCAGAGCCATGAATGACTTCATGGTAAAGTAAAATTAGGATTACAAAACAAAATTAAATCAAAAATAGGTAATCAATCAAATAACTTGTGCTGATTTAGAAACATGGCGCCAGACAACTTCTGAAACACAACAGGGTGGTTAAAAGCTATAACCCCCAACCCTTTTAACTGAACAACACTCTTTCGCAGTGTTTCTTCTTTGGACATTCAGCCTGGCCAAACCTTTGAATGCTCACTGCTCATAGCTTCTCTTGTGGCTCATTATCACTTTCTGGCATGAATTATAAATACTTGTTTATGTGTTCTACCTATCCCATCAGACAGAAAAATCCTTAAAAACAAGGGTATTTACTCATTCAGGTTGAAAAAAACAGTAATTTTTCATTTAATTTCCCAAGGCGATGGTATCTTGCATAAAGGTGATGCCCAATGAATGTTTAACATGGAGCAAATGAATAATTAAATGTACAGCCCTGCCATTTTGGAGCCTTTACTCAAACATAGATTCCATATCAATATTTAACTCAATCAAATGGAGCAAGCATTTATGGATGTCAGGCCCTTTCATATTCAGACTGGGAAACTCAATATTGCTAAGAAAGCAATTCTTTCCTAACTGATTTATAGATTCAATTCAATCTCTATCAAAATAATGGCAGGCTTTATTTTTGTAGAAATGTATAAAGTGATTCTAAAATTTACATGAAAACATAAAAGACTGAATAGCCAGAAACAATTTTGGGAAAAAATAACAAAAAGTGAAGGACTGACATTACCAGATTTAAAATCTTACTATAAAACCATAATAATCAAGATACCAAGATAGCGTAGTTTTTAAATTTTTTGTAGAGATGACGTCTCGCTATGTTGCCCAAGCTGGTCTCAAACTCCTGACCTCAAGTGATCCTCCTGCCTCAGCCTCTCAAACTGTGGGGATTACAGGTGTGAGCCACTGCTCACCTAGCCAAGATAGTGTAGCACTGGTATAAGAACGACATACAGACCATAAAACATAATTGAGTGTCCAGAAATAAAGTTTTACATTTATGAAGGAGCTTCAACAAAGGTGCGTAGGCAATTCAGTAGAGAAAGGATGGTCTTTTCAACAAATGGTGCTGAGGTAATTGGATTTCTACAAGCAATAAAATGAATTTAAACCCTTACCTCATACCACACACAAAATTAATTCAAAATGGATAACATACCTAAATATAAGAGTTAAAAGTATAAAACCTCTATGAGAAAACATCCATAACCTTGAATTAGGCAAATATTTATTAGATATTAACACTAAATGGATTTCATCAAAATTAAAAACTTTTGTTCTTCAAAAGACACCATTAAGAAAAAAATATATTTTTAAGTCACAAACTGGGAGAATATATCTACGAATCATATATCTGATAAGGGACTTGTATCTCAGACTTATAAAGAACTCTTTCAATAATAAGACAACCCAATTAAAAATGGGCAAAATATCTGAATAGACATTTCACATATGATACACATTATGCTAGTAAACACGTGAAAAGATGCTTATTGTCAGTAGTTATTACAGAAATATAAATTAAAATTCATAAGAATCTCTATAAGCAAAAAATCAACAATACCAAGTATGAACAAGTATGTTGAAATTAGAACGCATGCACTTTGGAAAACAGTTTGGAGGTTCCTTAAAACGTTAAACATAGACGGCCGGGCGCCGTGGCTCACACCTGTAATCCCAGCACTTTGGGAGGCCGAGACGGGCGGATCACGAGGTCAGGAGATCAAGACCATCCTGGCTAACACGGTGAAACCCCGTGTATACTAAAAATACAAAAAAATTAGCCGGGCGTAGTGGCGGGCGCCTGTAGTCCCAGCTACTCGGGAGACTGAGGCAGGAGAATGGTGTGAACCCGGGAGGCGGAGCTTGCAGTGAGCTGAGATCGCGCTACTGCCCTCCAGCCTGGGCGACTGAGCCAGACTCCGCCTCCAAAAAAAAAAATGATAAACATAGACTTTCATACCACCTGCCAGTTCTACTCTTAGAAATCTTCCCAAGAGAAATGAAAATATATGTCCATGCAATCACTTATTTACAAATATTCACAGCAGCATTATTGATAATAATCCAAACCTGGAACAATCCAAATGTCCATCACCTTGTGAAAGGATAAACAAAAATGAGTATATCCATACAATGGAACACTACTGGACAATAAAAAAGAATGATGTACTGATATATGCTACAACACAAACTGATCTCAAAAACATCATGCTGAGTGAAAAAATCAGTCACAAAAGACTACATATTGTATCATTTCTTTTAAATAAAATTTCCAGAAAAGGCAAATCTAGATACAGCAAAAGTAGATTAGTGCCTAGGGCTAGGCTGGGAGTGGGGATTGGCTATAAACTCCATGAGGGACCTTTGTGGAATGATGGAAATGTTACAAAACTGGATTATGACAATGGTTGCGCAACTCTATACTTTACTAAAAATCACTGAATTGTATACTTCGAATGGATGAATGGACTTTATAGTAAGTAGATTATACTCAATAAATGTTTTAAAGGAAATTATACTCTCATAACTGAGAGTGCTGAGTGTCTATATCCCTCAGCACTAGCCAGTAGGTTTTTAATCTTTTTTTAAACCAGATTGGTTATTTTAAAAATTACATCTCATTATTCTTAATATTGTACATTTCTTTGATTTCTAGTAAAACCAAACATTTCTGTCTACTTGAGTCTTCATTATTTTCCTATAAAGATATACATCTTTTCCATAAGGAAATGTGAGATGCTATCTTTTTAAAACAGCAAACCTTTTTCAGTGATATGTGGTACAAATATTTTTTCCCAGTTTTTCATAAATTTAAAAATTTTGTTAACAGTTTTTTTTCCCATATTGAAATATTCATTTTCATGTAGCCAAATTTATCTGTGTTTTCATTTACAGTTTCTGTTTTTGGTGTTATGACAAGTAATATTCTTTTCAAAATTAACTATCACAAACCTTGATCATGGTTAGTTAAGCATCCCCTGTGCTAATAAGCCCAATGCTACTGCTACTGGGCCTTCCATTTTAAGGAAACAGATAAAAACCTAATTTTGAGTTTCAAAGCTAGAGGCAGATGGGCTTTCCTTCCTTAAACCTTTAAGTGTCAAGAGACATGACTGCTTACATGCCACATTCATGGAAAATTGCCTCATTAGAGAATTTCTGATGTGATACACTAGACATTTAAAATAGTTCTAGTGATAAGGAACTGGAAAATATTAATAAAAAGAAAGAGGTAAAAATGTGTTTCCTGTCGCTAATCATGCCAGGACTGTGACTCTAGGCCTCGCTGGCTCATGTCTCTTCGTAGAACATCAAATCATCACATAACAACATGACCACTGCGGGCATTTGTGGATGTCTGGCCAGAACAGTCTAGAACTCAATCACTCATTGTCTCACCACTGAGTCCATGAATGTTATCATTTCCCCTGTAATTCCACTCACCCACCATCCATTATCTAAAAAATACAGGAAACTCACTTTTATTTACATCTCACAAACTTAGAGATAATATGCACTGAAGAACTCTTCACTAAGTGCTGTATTACTTCACAAAATACTATGGCATTTATAAAAAACCACTTGGCTTAATGTAGTTATGACTATCACACACAAAGATACACATAAAACTTACAAAGAAATGTCATCAGAACATTTTAATATTAATTCAGATGATATTATAGCCCTGAAGTTGCAAAACTGAGGCCTGGTCATGTTAAGATACAATCAGGAGACACACTTGAATACCTGGTAACAAAAAATGACTCTGACTTCTTTGTATATTTGAGTCCTACCCACACTTTTAAGACCAGCCTAAAGTTAACTTTCCTTATCTGTCCTACTGCTTGTGGGATCTATAACTACACATTCTGGAACACATACACAGTTTTAATGTTATTCAACTGTTTTGTGCTGCTAGTCTTATCACCTCATTGAATTAAACACAAGTTCCAAGAGGGCAAAAACTGTATGTCCCTACAGCATTACAACAGGGCTAGGATTCCAGATGTTTTCATTGACTTTATCTGTACCACTTCTTGCTCTGCAGAACAACTTACTCAGATGTTCATTAAATAACATTTCTTGATTTCTAGGAAAGGTTGATACAGGGGGCTAAGAAGGCAAAAAAGTACTAGGGGGACATTTTAAAAGCTTATTATATTGTAGAGCAGACAATTCTTTAGTCAAGAAAAATATTGTGTAGTATGTAAATGCTTTGGCAGTTACCCCAGCTTTGAAGATCTTGAAGAGCTATGCATGGATTGTCTCCAGTTCTTTTTTGTATCTAAGCAGGCTTTACCTAATGACAGTGGTTCCTCACATAAGTTCCAGTGAACTTCAGGATTCCATGAGGCTGCTCTAAGACTTGACTGATAGATGGATGGCCATGATCGCCGTGTTTAATCTGAGGTTGTTCCTGCCCAGGTACCAACTGAGGTCGTTAGGCTTCAGGTATAAATGGAAAGCCTTCCTATTAATCAAGGAGAGGTTTTCCATCACCGGAGAACACTCTGATGTCCTCAGGAATGACACACAGGTGCCTGTACACAGTTTTGCCCCTAGTCTCAGGACCATTGGCTAGCTTATGCATGGGGGTTCCCTGCCTTCCAGGGAAATAAAACTGTAGCTGTAATTTTACTGTTATTTTAGTTTTTTTTTTTTTTCCTTCCGTCTCCTTGAGAGAGGCAGACAGGGGAAGTAAGAATAATGGTTTCAGCAGCTCTGGCCCTTGAATAAACAGCAAGGAAGGGTTCCATCGTCAGGGTCCATTATACATAAAGTGTGCACACCTAACCTACTGTTTATGTAAACAATGGTTATAATTCCCAGGAAAAAAAGATGGCCTCCAGCTCACTTACTCTGTAACCCGTATCTTGATGATTAGTTCCTTTGTCTCTACTAGAATTTCCAATCCATCATTAACCCTCAGTCAAAATGCTGAAAATGGTGACATCACTTAATATCCTAATTCTAGTAAAACAGGGCTAGAAAATACCTTCATAAAATTAAGTTTAAATAATAAATCTCAAGTATTAGTGCTCTTAATATGCCATCTGTCTTCTTAAACTGGGAGTACCTTTGGATTTCCTTAATTCCTCTTGACCCACCCTTTCGTAAGTGAGTACGAAATGGGTGAGAATAAGACTTTGGCATCTATAGCATCTGATTAAATCTTTACTAGTAGTTATTGGTTGGTGAGATGCAGGACAATTTATGTCTTTAAGTCCCAGCTGAATGGGGGTAACACCGCTCAAGCTGTTTTCAGGATTAAATGAGATAATGCAAGTCAAATTCTGCACAGCGTGAGGGACACAGTATGTGCACAACAAACTCTAAGACTTTTAAACACTTTCAATTATTTTTAAAAAGTGGGGTAGGAGACAAGTTTCTACCCAATTTTTAGTAATAACATATAAGAAGGGGAAAGCTTTTGAATTTTTAAAACTTCAGTATTTTAAAATAATGCAGTCACTCTCACACACAAATTAGTCCATGGTCTTTGATAAAGCAAGACATTAGGTGTAATTTTGCTTCAAATTTAATACCCACACTCGTTGACACTGTTGGAAACACTGAGGCTGGCGGTGGGAGGGTGCAAAGCACTTGCTTAGGAACCAGCTGAGAAATCCTCACTGATTTCTCAGGGAGGAGGAAACCTTTCCCTTCCCTCCCCGGGACAAGTCGAAGCCCCACCCCGAGGGAGATTTGTGTCCCTGAATGTAGTAGTTGGTGTCCGGGGCCTGCGCAGAAGAGGACAGTCCGCAAGGGGCGGAAGACAAGACAAAAATGACTCCAGTTCGCTAGACGCGCAGAGGGGCGGATAGCGCGCGGACCCCGCCTTCCCCAACCGAGTGTGGGTTCCAGTCGCTGGGGAGGACCTGGTGGCCCCCTGACCTTGGACGAGCCATATTGGACGCCCCGGCGCCGTCCCGTCTTCCACGCTGCCAACTCCACCGCTCCCGCCCCGAACTGCGGGTAGGTCCAGGCCGCCAGGCCCCGCCTCGCCGGCCCCAGCCCTGATTGACACTGGAGTTGGTACATACGGGTCTGCAGCGGAGGCGAGCAGGAGGGTGAGCGCTATTTTAAACATGGCTTTCTCTTTCCCTTAGCCTAGGAGCCACCGCAGCGCACCCAGCCCGCGAGTACAGCCGCATGGGAATAATCCCAACATTTGCCTGATTTATTTTCTTCCCTCTCCTTACGCTTGTACTTGTTTTTCTCCTCTCGCTGTTTTCCCTTCACACTAATTCGCAACCTGGCAGTTTGCAAAGAGGAAACTCCCTTTCGGAATGGAAAGCCGCTTTTGCTTCTTGTTGTTGGGGGTGGAAAACATTCCAGCGAGAATGAGTTCAAAAAGAAGGGAAACCGCGTCACTGGAGAGAAAGTAACATTAAGAGATCGATGAGGACGGAGTGGGTAGGGGGGACAGAGAGAGGAACGTCTGCAACAGGCATCTAAAAACAAGCGTGGAGGAGCAAAGATTCCCAATCCCCGGGTTACTACCGCGCGCGTTCTGCGCGAGCCATTGCAATGCCAGCATTTACTGTAAGCAGAATTTGAAGGCTTTTGAAATCTTTTTTTGGTAAGACTTACCTTTCTCTTCGGCATAATGACTATGTCGGTGAAGCAAAAAGTAAAGCAACGGACTGGAACTGCTGGCGCCGCCGCTGGATGCTGCCTCTGCCTCTGCAGCTGCTCACGCGCAGGGCACGACGTAGCCCGGCCTCTTCGACCTGCACCTCCGCGGCTCCCTCTGGGGGCCCTCTGCTCGCCTCCCTGCTGCTCCAATGAGGAGCCCCGCCAGCCGGCCGCGAGGCCCCATTGGCTGAGGCAACGTTCTAAATTCCACGAGGGCACGCCCACCTCCGCGCGCGGTACGCGCTGTTGTAGTTTCCACTTCACCGAAAAAAATCTGCCTGGCGACTGAGCATGCCCAGTTCAACTAGTAGCCTCCAGGCCACACAATCCTGAAGTTTCATTGTTTCGCTGCTCTCTCTTTGAGATTGTAAGAATAAGAACAGTGTGTGTCTTCATAGGAAGGAAAAAGAGTAAGAATGAATACGTAAACTTTATAATGTAAATATATACACAGCAGGTACCTTATTCATTTCCTACCCATAAAGGCTTTTAATGAATGTTACATGGTGGGAATCTGTAAAGCGTGGGAAGGTACTCTGTACTGGAAGAGCGTGGCAACTTCTAAAGGCCTCAGTTTCCCCCCCTAGATATATAGTGACAACAGTCCCTAAAATCACTTAGCTCTAATTTTCTGAAATCTGTGATTATAAATCACTCACTAATTCAGCTAACTTCAAACTAGATGTGAAGACGAATAGGACATGTTTGTTACGGAAATTAGGAAAAGAAAGAACAAGGCAAAAACTGATTATTTTATATTTGAGACATATATTTGAATGACACCCGTCATGTTACACTTTATGCGTAATATTTCTCAAAGTTCTGCAAGGCATAAAATGAGCATTGCAAAAATATTTCTGAATTCATTTTATGAGACCAGATTTACTCTGATACCAAAACCAGTGAAAGACTTCAAAAGAGAGTTACAGACCAATATCACTCATAAACATAGACACAAAAGTCGTGAACAAAATTTTAGTAAATGAAACTCAACAACATTTAAAGGGACAATACATCATGACCTGTGGGGCTTATCTTGGGAATGCAAAGCTGCTTTTTTAATATCTGAGAATCAATCAATGTAATTGGCAGGATTAATAGAATAAAGGGGGAAAAACAATCCTTTCAGCAGATGCAGGAAAAGCGCTAGTGAATGGGTAAGCAAATTGTGATGAGCACATGCAGTGGAATACTATTCAGCAATAAAAAACAATAAAAAATTTTCCTACATGGATGAATATCAAAAACAAAGTGCTGTACGAAAGAAGTCAAATACAAAAGACCACACTGAATGATTGCATTCATATGAAATTATAGAAAAAGCAAAATTGGGCAAAGTTAGTTTCAGAATCATCTTAGCAGGCAAAGCTCACATCATAGGAAAATGTGTTGAAGCCTTACATTACAAATATGGCCAAATCCACTTTGGTAACACAGAGGCTGCAAATATGTATTAAAAATATCATGTATTAAATATGTATTAAAAAAGCAATGAAGTTTAATATTTCACTTTTTCTTTAGTAATTTTCAGAATACATTAATTGATCTAGTACTCTCCAGAGGTGGTTGATTACTTTCTTTTTTGGAACATCTTTATGAACTCATGGATTTTTACATATTTGGTGTGCATCAGTGTATTGCTATCATTATTATTACCTTTTTAATGCTCCTATTACCACATCTTTAGCCAATGCATACCCTTTCAAATTAGTGCTTGTGTCCTTTTGACATGATCTTAATCATTTTTGATAGATTCCCTGTTCTTGGGCATTCAGTGAATGACAATAGTATACTGAAACGAATTAAGATAAAAACCAATTGCTTAGAGCTAGATAAAAATTTACAAGTTAATAATTTTATCATTAAAATAATATTTATAATGAAGATGTCTTTCAAGATATTAATTTGCCAAATACTTGATAGTTAAATAAAGAAAAAGTCAGTGAAAACATTTTTAGTAAGATATGTGTGAGAAGGATACTGAGTAGCACTTGCAATCTGGACTGGATGGCTATTTTTCTTCATGGAGATGGAAAGGTGCCACAACAAAGGTAGTGCTAAGGTGAATATTTCTCCTCTGTGATGAAAAATAACTCACAAAATTGGCTTCTTTGTTAATTTTTTTTCAAAACCAAACACTCAGATCATCAACAGCAAACAAAATTGTGAATGTTTTTACTGCACACAATAAAAATGCTACGATGAAATTGAAGCTTGCTTGTTGGATGAAGAAAGCTGATTGTGAGGACCTCGAGTTCTTGGAATCTTTAGTTCATTTACAAGTTATGAAAATAACAGCTTCGGTTGAAAAACAACAGCATTGCTTATCTTTCCTTTGATGTAGATTGCACCTGGCTGAGCACTACTCTAGGAAATGAAGTGTTCTCCCTTGTACCTTTAGTAGCCTTCAAGATCTGGGAAAGTCAGTGCAAACCTCTACTGGTGGCCCTGGAGGTAAGAAGAGTAGGCAAAGAGAATGATTTAGCAGGTAGCTAGAATTCTAGGTTAAGAGATAAAGACATCTGGGCAGAAATGAGGGTGTCACATAGAAGACAGTGAGGAGGTCAAGCTGGTAAGAAGTACAGACTCATTTGTTTATCAATATATTCCACTGAGCATTTCTACTACTTTGGAATATCAGCCTCTAAGACAGTAAAAGTAGGATGTATATACTATCTTAGCTAAGGTAGACCTGGATAAATTAACAGAGTTACTGACTGAGACAGAAAGAAAAAAAATAGTGAACAAACTTGTTTTCCAATTCCAGCTCCTCTCCTCTTTTGTCCTACTCAAAACTGTTGGAACTGTACACCTACTTCACATTTTTCAATCAGCAGGGCAAAACCATTTATAGTGTCATGACTATCATTAAGGAAAAGAAAGAGACAGAGACATTGACAGACACACACACGCAAACACACACACAGAGAGAGAGAGAGAGAGAGGGAGAAGGGAGAAGGGAAGGCTAAGAAAAGCAAAGAAAGGGCCAAGCATAGAAAATAGCAGAGTATATATGGTAAAGGTAAGTAATGTTTCATAAGATAATTGTTTCTATTTTCCATATGTGCTCATATAAACACATACACAACACAGATATGTATGTGTGTATGTTGGATTGTGACATGAAATATATTTTTAGTATGGTCTTGGTCAAAAAAATTGAATGCCACTGCTAATGAATGTTGTGGATCTTTGACATTCCGAAAAAAAAATGCTTAATATTAAAATTTTTTTTTTAGAGGTAAGATCTCATTCTGTTGCCCAGGCTGGCATGCAGTGGCACAATCATAGCTCACTGCACGTCAGACTGCTGGGCTGAAGAGATCCTCCTGCCTCAGCCTCCTGAGTAGTTATATAGGTGCAAGCCACCACACCAGGCTTGAGAGGAAGTTTTCAAGGGAAAGAATGACTTGCAGATCACCTCCTTCTTGAACTGTCCCTCTTTTCCTCTTTCAGGCAGACACAGGCAGGGTCCCTTAGGCTTTTGCTGTAAGTAATGACAAATTACTGGAGAAGTCAGATCCAGAATGTACATATTGTTGCTTTTGATAGTTGCAACTGTACACCTACTTTGCATTTTTCAGACAGCAGGGCAAAACAAATGATAGTCATGACTATCATTAAGGCAAAGAAAGAGACAGAGACATTGGCAGACAGACACACACACACACACACACACACACAGAGAGAGAGAGAGAGAGAGACAGACAGAGGGAGAAAGGAAGAAAGGGGAAAAGTGAAAATGATACTGTGTTGCTTCTGATAGTTTGTAATTCCAGATTAAGTTACTAATCTTCCATAAATAGGTCAAAAAATACACAGTGAAGAATTCAGGTGTGTAACAAAACAACATCAAAAACAACAAATAAGAGGTGGCAAAAGAATATTTTGTTTGTATTTTCCAGTCAAGTCTCTACTTTGATTGGGTGCTAACTTTTGAAGAGACCAAGGTTAGTTTTTACAAAGCAACAATAAGAGTCCAAGAACTAACGGTCCCAAATCAAATGAGCTGCCTGATATTAGTGCAGATCCCTAGGCCCCAGTCCCAAGGTATTGAATGGCTAGGCTTGGAAATCTGCATTTTCAAACAAGCTTTTCATGTGTTGCTTACACTATAATTCGGGGACTAGAGTATTTAATAGACTAGGCCCTTGCTCTCAACAAATATTTGCTGAATGCCGGTACTTGGATTCTGATGACAGGTATCTATAAAAGCCTGTGGAGTTCTCAACATACTTCCAGAGCAGGAGCGTAATTCTGTGGGTGAAACTCGCCCCACAGTCCTCACCTCATGCTTTTGCTCCATCTCAGTTTTGCTGGGCACAACCTGTTTATTTCACTTTCTTTCTCTTCTGTAGTTGCAAGGAACCTGAAGAGTGATTAAAAACTGCACACATCCAGATACCTAGAAAAGTGTCTTCTTCTTCCCAGGCAGCCCCTCTAGGCAGCTCCTTGGGCCCCTGGGAGATGAAAATCCCTGATCCCAAATCCTCAAAGGGAACTTACCTTGGCCAAAGCCCATAAGCCACACCCTTTCAAGGCTAAATGTCAATGATTGCATAAGCATACTTCACAACTGCATTAACAGCAAGAGGAACCAGGGCATTCTGTGACCTTCCAAGGAACCCACTCTTTGTTTTCCCAACCTTCAATCAAATTTAATATTTGTGCAGATTCTTTACCCCAGGTATGTTTTACACAGTTTTTCCACCCCTGGTACTTTTCAGGTTCAATCTCTGTGATATTTACCTCTCCTTCTTGCTCCTGCTGCTTAAACTCACAGGAGTGTGATTAATTTGCTCTTTTTAGCACCCAAATGACTATTTGGGAATGAATTAGATATGCTCAGTAGCTAGAACCAGGGATTGGGATACATTGGTTTAGCCATTCCTTTTTGTCAGATTGTTAGCATGGCTGGTGCCAAGAGCCATCCAGGCTCAAGGAGGTGAGAAAGTTAAGGGAAGGAAATCCCCAAAGTTCATGGTGAGGACACAGCAAAATAAGGACTCCATCCCATCCCCTTAGGTAAAAAGCCACAAGCTGCAAGGTGCCAAAGACCAATTAGTAGTTGTTGCAGAGCTCTCCGACTGAATTGCACATTCTTGTAAACTACTGTCAGTGCCAGTACACTCTCAAATGGGACCACACCCTTTTCTTTAAGCTAGTGATTTTGACTACCTATTTTTGGTGTCTTCTGCATTTCCTTCAAATCTCAGAATCCCTGGGAGCTTGTAAGGAACATTTAGTAACCCCATCCCCGTCGCTACCCTCAATGGTCCTGCCTTTCGGAGATATCATACCATTTTCCTTTTCTCAATGAAAGCAAGAAAATGCTGGTTTGGGGAAATGAGAGTCGAATGAATCATTCTGAAAAATACCATAAAGCAACTGGAGATGATTTTCAGGTTAGCTTGGTTAATAACTCTTGTAATTCTCAAGCACTAAGAAAGAGTTAGCCGATAAAATGAGTTTGGCCAGGTCAGAATGAATTCTAGCCACCAGGTCAGAATGAATTCTAGCCACAAGGCAATAAAGTTTTGCCCAGCAGTGGAAAACTAGCCTGCAAATGTGCCATAATCTTCAAGGCTGCTTATCTGCATAAGGCTTTTGTTGTTTTTAAAACACAGAATTGTGCTACTCCCACAAAAAAACTCTCATCCTTTTCTACCTTCTCATTCCCACTCCCACTTCTGCTGTCTGTAATCTTAAGCAAATGGGTTGTTTTTTTCTTTTTTTTTCTCCTAAATAATCCAATTTACCTCTTAACATGTCAAAAAAATTGTTTTAACCATTTTAAAAATAAATGTTTATCAAAAAGTTTGGAATTTGCAGTCATAGGCATGAATTCAAATCTCAAGCTATTGAGCTACCATCACATTACTTAACCTCTTTGAACCCTGGTTTCCTTATTATAAAATGAGAAAAAGAATGTCTATTCAAGGCAGATACCACTAGTTACCTGCCCAATATTCACACTAGCTTTCTTCCTACTAACAGAATTCTGATTTTGGCAATAGGCCTGGTCAAAACAAAACAAAACATAACAAAGCAATCTTTAGTTCCTCCAGCTCCCTGGCAGATAGAGGTTGCTATGTGACACCTCTGGGGCTAATGAAATACATGAACACACAGTCATAAGGTGATTGTGTAAGCAACACCAAATAACAGGACAAACCTAGCCGGGTAGCTAGCTGCCTTGTGCCTTTGTTCTTCCTCTCCTTCCATCCTGGAAGTTGCTAACAATGTCTGGAAGTAGAACAGCCATCTATGTCCAAAGAGAGAAGGGCCACAGTTCATGATGAAAGAGCAGAAAGGCAGGACTTGAGGTCTCTGCAGTGGCCCCAGATTGTCCAGCTGTAGTCTACTGTTAATGTTTGGAAAATAAACACCATGTTTGATCAAGGCACTTTAGGTGGATGTCTGTGATGTGCAGCTGAATACTATCCCTAACTGATACACTGTTTCATGGAACTGGTGTGAAAATTGAAGATGTTAAACCACCAAACTATGGGAATGTGCATATCCCTGAAGGATGATGCTTAACATATTTCATTTGAAGCATGTATATTATACTCCCCCTAAAATGATAAAAGAGAACACAGAAAATTTTTAACTTTTCCTGAATCCCTAAGGGCCTGATTATGAACACTTAGCATAAACCTCTTAAAATTACTTTAAAGTAGGCAGGGATAAACATGATTAAAAGAAGTATTTTATTGTTGCTATAGAACGGGGTGCTCCATAATATGGCCTATTGCTGTGTTTTACCGATGCAAATGCTGGATTGTTGCTCAACTCCATCTCAGTTTTAGTGTGACTCCCTACACTCTAGATGCTGGAGTCCACACTACAGCTGGGGTTCTGATGTAATTTGCATTTGCCTAATTAGAAGCATGAGGTATAGACAGTGGAGGTTAGGAAGAGGCCACACTTTTGCTACATCTGCTGTGTCTGCTGCTTTTTTTCCTAAAACAACATCAGCAAAGATCCCAGGCACCAGCATTGTGGATTCAGAGAGGCATGTCTCCCTGCATTCACTCTGTAGGCATAGACTGTAGCGGTGAGGTGTGGTCTGAAACTGGCAGAGACAGGGGCTTTATGATTGAGAAAGTGTTTTTATTCTTATAGAGTCCCGATACTAGTGGATTCCTGCTTGCAAAAGAGACACAGCTCCTTTGACGACCTTGTTCTGAGTGTGACTTTGGGAGACTTTTCTGAGAGTTCAACCTGCAGTCTATCTCTTTAGTCTTCTGAGCTATCCCATAGTCTATTGAATCTTTGAAACCTTTTCTCCTTAAATTAGGTAGAGTGGGTTCTGTTCTCTACAACTGAATCCAGAACTATGGAGCTTCCTTTAGTGTTGCTTACCAAATATTTCCAGCTTTCAGAGACATACTTGGCTGGGCTCAATGGCTCATGCTTGTAATCCCAGCACTTTGGGAGGCCAAGGCAGGTGGATTGCTTGATCCCAGGAATTCGAGACCAACCTGGGCAACATGGTGAAACCCTATCTCTACCAAAAATAAAAAACGCACAAATATTAACCTGGCATGGTGGCATGTGCCTATAGTCCCAGCTACTCAGGAGGCTGAGGTGGGAGAATTGCTTGAGCCAGAGAGGTTGTGGAGGTTGCAGTGAGATGAGATTGTGCCATTGCACTCCAACTTGGGTGACAGAGCCTGACCCTGTCTCAAAAAACGAAACAAAACGAAACAAAACAAAGCAAAACAAAAAACAAAGAACAACAACAACAAAAACAAAAAAGAGACACACTCTCACTGGAGCTGATTATGGAAACAGATATTGATATGGAGATTGCCCATGTGTTTCTTTCAGTGATCACAGTGAACAGAACAGAACCCTTTGAAGATCCCCCCCTCCAATGGACATAGAGCTGTCAAAGCTAAAAATGAACCTTTTATTTAAGCTGCTGAGATTTGAGGGAAATTTGTTTCCACAGGATTATCTATCTTATCCTGAAATGATATAGAACTTAGATCCTAAGAGAAAGGTGCTGCTTTAATAATAAAACAAACCCTAAAATAAGTGGCATTGGCTTAAGAGCTGGTCAGAAGGAATCAAGCAAACTATTACTGAAGCCTGGAAGAATGGAAATTATTTTTCTAGTGGGGAAAAGTTTGGTAAGACTATTCCCTACAGTAATTTGGAGGCAAAAGGCATATCTAACTTTGGGGAAGAGGTTGAAAACAGATTATCATTACTGTTTATTGCCTATTATTAATTGTATTTAATAAGACATTGTAAGAAAAAGATATATTCAGAGAAGACTTGGTCAGTTTGTAAGGGTAGATGAAAGAGATTTAGAGAGTCTACAAAGTCAAGAACTTATAAGGTTGGAAAAGGCAACTGCTTCTCAGTCTAAAAAATGAAAGGTAAAATCGATCCTTTGAGCAACAAAAGCACATTAAAACTCAGCTTTGTGGCAAGGATCAGATCACTGGTCATGAATTAGGGTATGGTGCCCAGTAATTCCTTCAGTTAGACCAAATGGCCCAGAATGACTTAAATTGGCTCATGGGAAAAGGCGTAGCTGTCACTGCTAGGCTCAAGGAACCTATAATTAGGGGAGAGGGGACAGAGGGAGAAAAGGGAGAGGCAGGGAAAACAGAACTGCTGGGGCAAGAAAACACAGAAATATGGCAAAGAAGTAAATCTAGAAAGAAACATGGGAGTAAGTCAGAAGACAACCAAGGTTAATTTTGTAAGAGTTTTACTGCTAAACAAAGGCTCTAACCTGGATTAAATGTGATTGTTGCAATTTGAGACTTAACATGGCTCTTGGACTCTGCACCATTTATAGGCAGGAAGCAGGGTGCCTATTCAGAGAAGGCTGAAAGAGGACTTTCCCAAAGGGAGAATCCGAGAATCACGGAGATCAGTGGACAGGGGAGCTCCTTTCAGGAAATCCAGCCTATTCAAGGAACATTTCCAATCCTCTGGGTAGGAGGTTTAAAACATCTGCCTAGTCTAATATTGAAAGGCCAATGACTGCTAATGACAGGCCAATGACTGCCATATGTTTCCCATTCTTCTGCTTTTTAATGTGAGTATTTGTTGAAGGTATCTTGACTCTGTTCTACTACTGGATAATGTGTGAGTGGGAGGTGGGAGGGCCAGGTCTCTGGATCAAAAGGAGATATACACAGACCTATTTTACAGGCTCCTTCACATTATCCCCTGACATAAAGACTACCATGCGTCATCCAGGGATCCTGGGTTTTGAAATTGATGCCATCACTGAGACTTTTGAGTTTTCTTCCCTCAGAGGAAAGTGAATGAATGCATTTTGTACATGGGAAGAAAGATGAAGGAAATACTTCATGCCCTGAAGTGAAGACTGCAATTATCATTAGTACTATTCACCAAATATTTCTGCTTTACTGCCTCATGACAGGATTGCACTTCCCCTCCCCATCTTTTAAAGGTAGGCATAACTATGTAACTTGCTTTGGCTAATTAAATGTGAACAGAAGTGATGTGTGTCTTTTCTGAGTATCATTTTTTTTTATTGCAGCAAAAAAACACATAACATAAAATTGACCATCTTAGCCATTTTTAGTATATAGTTCAGTAGTGTTAAGTAAATTCCCATTGTTGTGAAGCCAATCTCCAAAACCTTTTCATCTTGCAAAACTTAAAACTCTATACCCATCAAACAACTTCCCTTTTCCACCTCCTCCAGCCGTTGGTAACCACCATTCTACTTTCTGTGTCTATGCATTTTACTACTCTATGTCTCTCACATAAGTTAAATCATACAGTATTTGTCTTTTTATTGACTCGCTTCTTTCACTTAGCATAATGTCCTTAAAGTCCATTCATGTGGTAGTATGTGACAGAATTTCCTCTGTTTTTTGAGGCTGGGTAATATTCCATTGTATGAATATACCATATTTTATTTATCTGTTCATCCATCAGTGGACATTTGGATTGCTTCTACCTCTTGGCCATTGTGAATAGTGTTGCTATGGTGAGCACCATCATTGAGAACCAGTGCATGATTCACCATACTGCCCCCTTTTTTTGCTGCCATGAGCAAGGAAGCACATGCAAAGATGTGCTTCTCTCCACCTGGGCGTTTGAATTATTAAAATGAGCAGAGCTCCCAACTGACCCAAGATGGACATGTAGAGTGAACGAGAAATAAGCCTTCGCTGTTTTGAAGCCACAGAGATTTGGGGATCCTTTTTCTTTTCCTAGTGAAAACTGATAAGGTTTAAAATTAAAACTTGACTCTTCCAAAGTTTGCAGAGAACTTTGATGAGAGACTCCCATAATGGAGAAGGCTGATGTATTTGAGCCCTATAGTTCTCTTGTGTCCTGCAGTTACACCTTCTTCTTGAATCTGTGGGGGTGGGAGGGTAGGGAGGATGGCCATACCCATAGCTTCTCCTTCTTTAACTGGCCAAAGTCTGGAGAAATCTCAAATCCTGTTTTCTCATTCCTCATCCATTTATCTCATTTTCTGTACACTGGATTGGCAACTTTATTACACGCTGTATTTGATAGGATTAGCTTTGGCTGTAAGTATGAAAACTCCCAAGTAACAGTGGGTAGGAAAATAGAGTTAATATTTTCCCTCACATTAAAAACACAGGGTTGATACAGTGGTTCCACAACTAACTGAGACACACTTTTCTGTCTCATTACTCTTTCACCTTCATTACGCACCTTCTGTATCTTGGCTGAAGATGTCTTATCCACCTTCATTCCTCATATGTTCATTTTGGCCAGCAGGAAGGATAAATGATAAATGCCCTCCCTCTTTAAGGCAACTTCCGGAAGCTGCACATATCACTTCCATTTACATCCCATCATAGAATTTAGTCACATCAAAGGAAGTGGAGAAACATGGTCTTTATTCTGGGCAATGATATTCCCAGTTTTTAGTAAATGACATGGATATTTATAGTGATATTCCCAGTTTTTAGTAATACTTGTGACGAAGAAGAACATTAGTATTGAAGTGTAATTAGCTGTGGTAGGTAGAATAATTTTCCCCCAAAACATCCTAATACTAGAATGTTTCTGTAAATATATTACCTTTCATAGGAAAAAGGATTTTGCATATGTGATTAAGGCAAGGACCTTTAGACAGGCAGATTATCCAGGATTATCCCTGTAGGCCCAATCTAATCACATACATTCTTAAAAGCAGATAATTTTTTCCAAGCTATGGTAAGAAGGGAGCTAAGATGAGGGTCAGAGATTCCATGTGAAAAGGACTCAACTCACCACTGCTGGCTTTGAGGAGGAAGAAAGGGAACCATTAGCCAAGGAATGTAGTTGCCCTTTAGAAACTGGAAAATGCAAGGATATAGATTTTCTCCTAGGATCTCCAGAAAGTAACTCAGCCCAGCTAACACCTAATCTTAGCCCAGTGAGGTCCATGTCAAACTTCTAGTCTATAAAACTGAAAGATAATAAATTTTTGTTGTTTAAGCCAGGAGTCCCCAATCCTCGGGCCATGGGTCCATGGCCTGTTATCTGTTCATTCATCTGTTATCTGTTAGGAACTGGGCTGCACAGCAGGAGCTGAGTGGCAGGTGGGCATTACTGCCTGAGCTCCACCTCCTGTCAGATGAGTGATGACATTAGATTCTCATAGGAGCATAAGCCCTATTGTGAACTGCATATGTGAGGGATCTAGGTTGCATGCTCCTTATGAGAATCTAATGCCTGATGATCTGAGGTGGAACAGTTTCATCTTGAAACCATCTCCCATCCCACCCTTGAGTCCGTGAAAAGATTGTCTTCCACAAAACCAATCCCTGATGCCTAAACAGTTGGGGACCACTGGTTTAAGTCACTAAGTTTATGGCAATTTGTTATGACAGCATTCGAAAAATAATACATTAGCAGCTTCAGCCACAATGCCCTCCACTTTGGCCACCCAAATATTCATACTGTTTTTTTGACACATAGAACATACTCACCTTCTGTCCAAAGCAGAAACCCATCCACATCTTCCAGTTACAGTGTTCAGCTCAAAGTCTAACACACCTCCAGGAAATAGTTAGTCCTTTCCATCAGGTCTGGATGTAGCTAAGTTATGTGCTAACCAAATACCTAATATACTGCAATGAAGTAGAAAGATTCATTCTCTTTTCAGTAACTTTTTTTTAAGATAGAGACAGGGTCTTGCTATGTTGCCCAGGCTGTTCTTGAACTTCCAGGCTCAAGTGATCCTTCTGCTTGGGTCTCCCAAAATGTTGGAATTAGAGGCATGAGCCACTGTGCCCAGCCAAAAACTCATTCTCTAGCACAAAGTTCCTTAATTTGCTCATTTAGCAGCCTTGATGACAGGGTTTCCTCTTTGGGATGATTAGCTATGGAAAACCATTACTTATCAGAATATGCAACTTCAGAAAGATACATACTCTGCCTAGCTTCAGGCCTCTACAAACTGTGACCCACAAAGGGTGGCTATACATGGACATTAGAAACTAGAGCTTCTCCCTAGATCTTTGATCTCATCTAGCATTCTGGCTAACATCTCTTTCTGGACCAAAGAGAAAAGTATTGAATGAGGTTTCACATCTGCTTTTGACCCTAAAAGGAAACTAAAAGAAATTTTAGTTCAAAGGCATGGATCAACTGACTTTACATAAGAAGAGTTTAAAGAGCTTAAGCCCCACAATTTGAGAATCAGCATCATCCCTAGTGTTTGGGCCCATTTGTAAGAAATCAATTTGCTGCTTTTCCCTATATAGAGACCCCCTTCAGAATAAAGTGCCTAGTGTGTCAGTGTCTTTAGCCTGGAGAATTAATCTTCACCTTGGATACTGATCTACCCCTTCTTCTTTCTCAAATGTATAGAATCCCTGTATCCTGTTAATTTTTCTCCTCTATCAATATGGCAAAATTAAAATAAGTAGCATTCTGCTCCAGTTAGAATGTAGAAAGTTATGACAGTCACTCTCACTTTTAACTGGAAAAAAATTGGACAAACTAAGAAAATAATTTTTAAAATGACAGCTGTTAAATACAAAAAATTCTAAAGGAACTAAATTCAAAAGAGGGGTCAAATCCTAGAAATTTATATAAATACATAAGAATGATAGAAATGTAATCAAAGTTTTGAAAAATCACTCCAAAGTATTATTTTTCCAGCTGAAATAAAAATATTAAATTGATTTCTTAAAAACTATTCTTATTCAGTTAACTTTAGGCTTATGCTTGATATGAGAATATAATTTAATGTAATTGCTAGTTTTTATTCAGTTTTTTTAGCACTTGACATAATTAATAATGGATCACATGATTTTTTTCAGCATAAATAATAAAATGTAAACTATTCTTGTTTAATTCTCAAAGCCCAACTCACAAAAGCATGAGGAACAAATATAAACAACATCCACAGGCCAACAGCAACCCATAGCCATGAGCAGGCCACTTCTTGAAATAGGAGTCTGAGATTCAGCCATCAAACAAGAGAAAGTCCTTGATTCACAGCTATCTATGTGCATAGTTTTGTAGCATTGATCTGGCATGTATCTTGTGTACCTTTGGTGAATTCAGTGTCCATGCTGCTCATGGGATACCTCTCTCAAATCCAAAACCCAAAGAGAGGAATTAACTAGAATTAAGAAATGAGATTTTACCAGGTAGGGTTGAGCTTTGGCGGCCCATATACCATTGCAATATTAAGATTTTTTTGAGCATCCCCCAAGAAATAATTTTTGCCCAATTGAGTGTAATAGTGTACTCACTGGGAATGCATAATGTAAATGAATTTAAATCAATGATAGGACATATTTATACAATTAATATTTTGAATGTGTATTTGCAGGACAGAAATATTTTCCTTTGAATTGTATGACTTTTTTTTTTAACATGTAACTTATATTTACAAGAGATAACTCCCCTTTGCCTGCCCCCCCCCCAAATTTCCCTAAGTTGATTACAGAAGTCGGTGACTCAAAACTCTTTTAATAGAAATTCACTTTGAAGCACACTTTTCCTAGGCACTTCAGGGATCATCTTGTGCTATAGTGTCCAGCCCCAGATCTTTGGGTAATTACAAAGGTAGTAATGGGTGTTGTAAACTATTTTTAATATTTCAAAATACCTAGAGAAAGTCCTACTCTTGCTGGAGTTTGTTTCCCTAACGTGCTCAGTCTTTGTTCTATAAAAACAGGACACTAATTCCCTGACATCTCCTTCCCGCCCATTCATGTACCCTGCCTTCTGCCTCCCACAGCTCCCCTTTTTTGTTTGCCACCATTCCTAACCCCCTTAGATATTCGTCAGAATTTTTAACAAAACAAAATTTACTGCTCAGTAAGTGAATTTTTCTAAATATAATATTTTGAAGTACAAGATTTATGGTTAAAAGTTATTAACAGGAGAGCTTAGTAGTGAAAATGTTTCAACTACTGATTTATTCTAACTTTCTACTGAGGTATAAAGAGGTCAAATGCATTTTCCAAGATCATCCAACTGGTTAATAATGGAGGCAGGATTAAGTCCCAAATTTCTGACTAAACCCTGTTATATGTTTCACTACATTATTGCTGTCCTCAGCAGGAACAACGCTAAACACTTGTACCATAAATGGCATGAAGGCCATTTTCTGTGGATGGAGGTTAGTGGTTGCCTTACCCATTTCCCATGGATAAGGCTTGTGAGAGCTAATTTTGCCTACTTGGTGTATGCCAGGGTACTGTCTTCAGCCCAGAGCACAGCAGAAGGCTGAAGTGCAAAATGCTGGTGCAGCATTTTTGACAGATCCTGAAAGCAAGCCTTTGTTGTCTGTGACTGCTGAGTTGTGCTATGATAATTGTGGTTCACAATGATGTCCCTAAGGCACTACAAGTTTTTAGGATGTGATCTGAAGTATCGAAAAGTAGTTATATTTAGAACAGTCTTAGTATTCACTACATATGATGGCATTCTAAGGTGACAATATGGCAACCCACACAATTTATTTAATTGGACTTTAAAATAAGATTCGTGGAATATAATTTAGTAGAAGAATCAAGGTATACAGTCATATTACTTGTTATTATAGTTTATACTTGTAATAGTTTTACTTTTGCCTCATCAAGGCTTTGCTGACTATTATGGTATGGATGTCATTCACTCTTTACCTCTTTGAATTACTCAAGTTCATTAAAACACAATTAATTCATCAATTATGCATTCATTTAATAAATTCATTGTGCATCTACCATGTATCAGACTTGTGCTAGATACAGGGGAGATACTGATGGGAAAAAAAAACTATAAAGTATAGCAACTATAACACTTATAGCACAATAAATATGAAATTACAACTGTGATGAGTGTTATTGAAGGGAAGGTATTCCTGTATCACAGTTTATTAAAGGCAGATTTGATGAAATTGAAGATAATAGTAGAGGATTCCTTGAGGAAGGAATGATTAAGCAACAGTCTGAAGAAGTAGCCTTTAACTAAACAAAAAAGGCAGAGAAGGGGCTTCCAGGCAGAAGAGCAGCATGTATGAAGTCCCTGTGGCATGAATTGGTTCAATGAAATGTAGCCTAGTGCTGGTGAAGTGCAGAGAAGGTTGGAGAATGTTGTATGAGGTGAAACCAGAGTTAGGACCAAGTTATGCATGATTTGTAGGTAGCGTTGGGCATTGTGGCTTCATTCTGAAAGCACTGAAATCATTGAAGGAGGTGGGGTGATCAGATTTATGTTTTGAGAAATCATGTGATAGCATTGTGCAGAACAGAGCAGAGGGGAAGAAAGGAGGTATTGAGGCCTACCAGGAGGTTATTTTAGAAACAGGAGTGACAAATGATACTTTATTTAGACCATGACCTCTCAACAGGGGTGATACTGCCCCCAACAGGGCTAAAATTGGTTCATGGACGGCAAAAAAAAAAAAAAAAAAAAAAAAAACTTAGCTATTACAATGATTTGTAGCCCTATAACTCAACCCTAAATAATGAAACCTTATTCCTTAGTATTTAATTTCTATTACTGGGTTTTGCTGTTGTTTTGGGGCATCACATTAGCAGTATAGAAATTGAATAATTGGAAAATATGCAAAATGTATGGAAGATCAGTGTTACAAAACTATGTGGAATAGATGGCTGTGATTAAAGAACTTTCTAATGCATGATTATTCCATCTTAAAGTCATATTGCAAGAGATGGCCCAAGCATCGCTATGGGCTGCTATTGGCCACCTTGTGGATGTTGTTTATATTTGATCCTCATGCTTTTGTGTGCGCACTGGGCTTTCAGAATTAAACTAAAATATTTTATATTGCATTATTTAATTTGACAAAATTAATCAATTCATCATTCATTTTGTCAAATGTTAAAAAGGAAAAAATGCCAACAATATCTGAAAGGATATCTAGCAGCTAAATAAGTTAAAAGATGTTCTCATACTGAGTAAAGGTCAAAAGTTTGCTAAAAATAATTTTTAAGAAATTAATGTTATTAATAGTTTTACTTTTGCTGAAAAATATGATTTGAATGTTTTTTAAAATTGATCCTATTGTTATCATTATTGTGTAATTCTATATATTAACCATTTGCATCTGTAATTTGATATATTATAATTTATTTAAGCATGTAAATTATATTTGAAGCTACTCTGCACATTGTTTTAAAGTTGAGTTAAATATTGATACCTTTTTAATTTTTAATTTACTTTAACTTGAAAACTTTACTTATTCTTCATTCTGCATTATATATAAAAAGCTTACTTTTTTTTTATTATACTTTAAGTTCTGGGATACATGTGCAGAACATACAGGTTTGTTATGTAGGTATACACGTGCCATGGTGGTTTGCTGGACCCATCAACCCATCATCTACATTAGGAATTTCTCCTATTGCTATCCCTCCCCTATCCCCCGACCCCCCAACAGACCCCGGTGTGTGATGTTCCCCTCCCTGTGTCCATGTGTTCTCATTGTTCAACTCCCACTTATGAGTGAGAACATGTGGTGTTTGGTTTTCTGTTCCTGTGTTAGTTTGCTGAGAATGATGGTTTCCAGCTTCATCTATGTCCCTGCAAAGGACGTGACCTCATCCTTTTTTATGGCTGCACAGTATCCCATGGTGTATATGTACCACATTTTCTTTATCCAGTCTATAATTGATGGGCATTTGAGTTGGTTCCAAGTCTTTGCTATTGTGAATAGTGCCACAATAAGCATACGTGTGCATGTGTCTTTATAGTAGGATGATTTATAATCCTTTGGTTACATACCCAGTAATGGGATTGCTCTGTCAAATGCTATTTCTAGTTCTAGATCATTGAGGAATTGTCACACTGTCTTTCTTCCACAGTGGTTGAACTAATTTACACTCCCACCAACAGTGTAAAAGCATTCCTATTTCTCCACAGCCTTGCCAGTATCTGTTGTTTCTTGACTTTTTCATGATTGCCATTCTAACTGGTGTGAGATGGTATCTCATTGTGGTTTTGATTTGCATTTCTCTAATGACCAGTGATGATGAGCTTTTTTTCATATGTTTGTTGGCCACACAAATGTCTTCTTTTGAGAAGTGTCTGTTCATATCCTTCACCCACTTTTTGATGCGGTTGTTTTTTTTCTTGTAAATTTGTTTAAATTCCTTGTAGATTCTGGATATTAGCCCTTTGTCAGATGAGTAGATTGCAAAAATTTTCTCCCATTCTGTAGGTTGCCTGTTCACTCTGCTGATAGTTTCTTTTGGTATGCAGAAGGTCTTTAGTTTAATTAGATCCCATTTGTCAATTTTGGCTTTTGTTGCCACTGCTTTTTGTGTTTTAGTCATGAAGTCTTTGCCCATGCCTATGTCCTGAATGGTATTGCCTAGGTTTTCTTCTAGGGTTTTTTATAGTTTTAGGTCTTACATTTAAGTCTTTAATCCATCTTGAGTTAATTATTTAATAAGGTGTAAGGAAGGCGTCCAGTTTCAGTTTTCTGCATATGGCTAGCCAGTTTTCCCACCACCATTTATTAAATAGGGAATCCTTTCCCTATTGCTTATTTTTGTCTGGTTTGTCAAAGATCAGATGGTTGTAGATGTGTGGTGTTGTTTCTGAGGCCTCTATTCTGTTCCATTGGTCTATATATCTGTTTTGGTACCGGTACCATGCTGTTTTGGTTACTGTGGCCTTGTAGCATAGTTTGAAGTCTAGTAGCGTGATGCCTCCAGCTTTGTTCTTTTTGCTTAGGATTTTTTTGGCTATTCGGGCTCTTTTTTGGTTCCATATGAAATTTAAAGTAGTTTTTTCTAATTCTGCAAAGAAAGTCAATGGTAGCTTGATGGGGATGGCATTGAATCTATAAATTACCTTGGGCAGTATGGCCATTTTCACGATATTGATTCTTCCTACCCATGATCATGGAATGTTCATCCATTTGTTTGTATCTTCTTTTATTTCATTGAGTAGTGGTTTGTAGTTCTCCTTGAAGAGGTCCTTCATGTCCCTTGTAAGTTGGATTCCTAGGTATTTTATTCTCTTTGAAGCAATTGTGAATGGGAGTTCACTAATGATTTGGCTCTATGTTTGTCTGTTATTGGTGTATAAGAATGCTTGTGATTTTTGCACATTGATTTTGTATCTTGAGACTTTGCTGAAGTTGCTTATCAGCTTGAGGAGATTTTGGGCTGAGATGATGGGGTTTTCTAGATATACAATCATGTCATCTGCAAACAGGGACAATTTGACTTCCTCTTTTCTTAATTGAATGCCCTTTATTTCCTTCTCCTGCCTGATTGCCCTGGCCAGAACTTCCAACACCATGTTGAATAGGAGTGGTGAGAGAGGGCATCCCTGTCTTGTGCCAGTTCTCAAAGGGAATGCTTCCAATTTTTGTCCATTCAGTATGATATTGGCTGTGGATTTGTCATAGATAGCTCTTATTATTTTGAGATATGTCCCATCAATACCTAATTTATTGAGAGTTTTTAGCATGAAGGGTTGTTGAATTTTGTCAAAGGCCTTTTCTGCATCTATTGAGATAATCATGTGGTTTTTGTCTTTGGTTCTGTTTATATGCTGGATTACGTTTACTGATTTGCGTATGTTGAACCAGCTTTGCATCCCAGGGATGAAGCCCATTTGATCATGGTGGATAAACTTTTTGATGTGCTGCTGGATTCGGTTTGCCAGTATTTTATTGACGATTTTTGCATCAACGTTCATCAAGGATATTTGTCTAAAATTCTCTTTTTTTGTTGTGTCTCTGCCAGGCTTTGGTATCAGGATGATGCTCGCCTCATAAAATGAGTTAGGGAGGATTCCCTCTTTTTCTATTGATTGGAATAGTTTCAGAAGGAATGGTACCAGCTTCTCCTTGTACCTCTGGTAGAATTCGGCAGTGGATCCATCTGGTTCTGGACTTTTATTGGTTTCTAAGCTATTAATTATTGCTTCAATTTCAGAGCCTGTTATTGGTCTATTCAGAGATTCAACTTCTTCCTGGTTTAGTCTTGGGAGGGTGTAAGTGTCGAGGAATTTATCCATTTCTTCTAGATTTTCTAGTTTATTTGTGTAGAGGTGTTTATAGTATTCTCTGATGGTAGTTTGTATTTCTGTGGGATCGTTGGTGATATCCCTTTTGTCATTTTTTATTGCATCTATTTGATTCTTCTCTCTTTTCTTCTTTATTAGTCTTGCTAGCGGTCTATCAATTTTGTTGATCTTTTCAAAAAACCAGCTCCTGGATTCATTGATTTTTTGAAGGGTTTTTTGTGTCTCTATTTCCTTCAGTTCTGCTCTGATCTTAGTTATTTCTTGCCTTGTGCTAGCTTTTGAATGTGTTTGCTCTTGCTTCTCTAGTTCTTTTAATTGTGATGTTAAGGTGTCAATTTTAGATCTTTCCTGCTTTCTCTTGTGGGTATTTAGTGCTATAAATTTCCCTCTACACACTGCTTTGAATGTGTCCCAGAGATTCTGGTATGTTGTGTCTTTGTTCTCATTGGTTTCAAAGAACATCTTTATTTCTGCCTTCATTTCATTATGTACCCAGTAGTCATTCAGGAGCAGGTTGTTCAGTTTCCATGTAGTTGAGCGGTTTTGAGTGAGTTTCTTAATGCTGAGTTCTAGTTTGATTGCACTGTGGTCTGAGAGATAGTTTGTTATAATTTCTGTTCTTTTACATTTGCTGAGGAGTGCTTTACTTCCAACTATGTGGTCAATTTTGGAATAGGTGTGGTGTGGTGCTGAGAAGAATGTATATTCTGTTGATTTGGCGTGGAGAGTTCTGTAGATCTCTATTAGGTCCACTTGGTGCAGAGCTGAGTTCAATTCCTGGATATCCTTGTTAACTTTCTGTCTCACTGATGTGTCTAATGTTGACAGTGGGATGTTAAAGTCTCCCATTATTATTGTGTGGGAGTCTAAGTCTCTTTGTAGGTCACTAAGGACTTGATTTATGAATCTGGGTGGTCCTGTATTGGGTGAACATATATTTAGGATAGTTAGCTCTTCTTGTTGAATTGATCCCTTTACCATTATGTAATGGCCTTCTTTGTCTCTTTTGATCTTTGTTGGTTTAAAGGCTGTTTTATCAGAGACTAGGATTGCAACCCCTGCCTTTTTTTGTTTTCCATTTGCTTGGTAGATCTTCCTCCATCCCTATATTTTGAGCCTATGTGTGTCTCCGCACGTGAGATGGGTTTCCTGAATACAACACACTGATGGGTCTTGACTCTATCCAATTTGCCAGTCTGTGTCTTTTAATTGGAGAATTTAGCCCATTTACATTTAAGGTTAATATTGTTATGTGTGAATTGATCCTGCCATTATGATTTTAGCTGGTTATTTTGCTTGTTGGTTGATGCAGTTTCTTCCTAGCCTCGATGGTCTTTACAATTTGGCATGGTTTTGCAGTGGCTGGTACCAGTTGTTCCTTTCCATGTTTAGTGCTTCCTTCAGGAGCTCTTTTAGGGCAGGCCTCGTGGTGACCAAATCTCTCAGCATTTGCTTGTTTGTAAAGGATTTTATTTCTCCTTCACTTATGAAGCTTAGTTTGGCTGGATATGAAATTCTGGGTTGAAAATTCTTTTCTTGAAGAATGTTGAATATTGGCCCCCACTCTCTTCTGGCTTGTAGAGTTTCTGCCGAGAGATCTGCTGTTAGTCTGATGGGCTTCCCTTTGTGGGTAACCCGACCTTTCTCTCTGGCTGCCCTTAACATTTTTTCCTTCATTTCAACTTTGGTGAATCTGACTATTATGTGTCTTGGAGTTGCTCTTCTTGAGGAGTATCTTTGTGGCATTCTCTGTATTTCCTGAATTTGAATGTTGGCTTGCCTTGCTAGATTGGGGAAGTTCTCCTGGATAATATCCTGCAGAGTGTTTTCCAACTTGGTTCCATTCTCCCCATCACTTTCAGGTACACCAGTCAGATGTAGATTTGGTCTTTTCACATAGTCCCATATTTCTTGGAGGCTTTGTTTGTTTCTTTTTATTCTTTTTTCTCTAAACTTCTCTGCTCACTTCATTTCATTCATTTTGTCTTCTATCACTGATACCCTTTCTGGAAGAAAGTAACTGATGTAAATCGCATCAGTTACTGAGGCTTGTGCATTCATTACGTAGTTCTCGTCCCATGGTTTTCAGCTCCATCCGGTCCTTTAAGGACTTCTCTGCATTAGTTATTCTAGTTATCCATTCATCTAATTTTTTTTCAAGGTTTTTAACTTCTTTGCCATTGGTTCAAACTTTCTCCTTTAGCTCGGAGTATTTTGATCTTCTGAAGCCTTCTCCTCTCAAGTCGTCAAAGTCATTCTCTGTCCAGCTTTGTTCCATTGCTGGTGAGGAGCTGCGTTCCTTTGGAGGAGGAGAGGCACTCTGATTTTTAGAGTTTCCAGTTTTTCTGCTCTGTTTTTTCCCCATCTTTGTGGTTTTATCTACCTTTGGTCTTTGATGATGGCGATGTACAGATGTTTTTTGGTGTGGATGTCCTTTCTGTTTGTTAGTTTTCCTTCTACCAGTCAGGCCCCTCAGCAGCAGGTCTGTTGGAGTTTGCTGGATGTCCATTCCAGACCCTGTTTGCCTGGGTATCAGCAGTAGTGGCTGCAGAAGAGCAGATATTGGTGAACTGCAAATGCTGCTGCCTGATCTTTCCTCTGGAACTTTTGTCTCAGAGGAGTACCTGGCTGTGTGAAATGTCAGTCCGCCTCTACTGGGGGATGCCTCCCAGTTAGGCTACTCGGGGGTCAGGGACCCAGTTGAGGAGGCAGTCTGCGCATTCTCAGATCTCAAGCTGTGTGCTGGGAGAACCACTACTCTCTTCAAAGCTGTCAGACAGGGACATTTAAGTCTGCAGAGGTTTCTGCTGCCTTTGGTTTGTCTGTGCCCTGCCCCCAGCGGTGGAGCCTATAAAGTCAGGCAGGCCTCCTTGAGCTGTGGTGGGCTCCACCCAGTTTGAGCTTCCCGGCCACTTTGTTTACTCAAGCCTCGGCAATGGTGGGCGCCCCTCCCCCAGCCTTGCTGCCATCTTGCAGGTGATCTCAGACTGCTATGCTAGCCATGAGCGAAGCTCCGTGGGCGTAGGACCCTCCAAGCCAGGTGTGGGATATAACCTCCTGGTGTGCCGTTTGTTAAGCCCGTTGGAAAAGTGCAGTATTAGGGTGGGAGTGACCCAATTTTCCAGGTGCCCTCTGTCACCCCTTTCTTTGACTAGGAAAGGGAATTCCCTGACCCCTTGTGCTTCCCAGGTGAGGTGATGCCTTGCCCTGCTTCAGCTCATGCACGGTGTGCTGCACCCACTGTCCTGCACCCACTGTCCGGCACTCCCCAGTGAGATGAACCTGGTACCTTAGTTGGAAATGCAGAAATGACTCGTCTTCTGCATCGCTCATGCTGGGAGCTGTAGACTGGAGCTGTTCCTATTTGGCCATCTTGGCTCCACCCCCTTGGCTGGCTTCTTTACCATATGCTGTTTTATCAGCAAGGTCTTTGTGACCTTTCTGTAGGTTGCCTGTTCACTCTGATGTAATGTTATTAAGTTTTACTTTTGCTGGAAAATATGATTTGACCTCCTATCTCATCCTGTGACTAAGAATGACTTAACCTCCTGGGAATTCAGCCCAGTAAGTCCCAGCCTTATTTTTACCCAGCCCCTATTCAAGATGGAGTAGCTCTTGGTCAAACGCCTCTGACATATTTCACCCTTCCTTTTTATAAGAGAACCCTTAATCCTAAGTGTTCTAGAGCAGCAAAGATCCATCTTCTGTAACTTCTTCAGGCTGAATAGGGGTGATGATATTCTTGCTTAACTATTAGGGTCTCTTGTATTTGGGGTAGAGAGGAGCTCAGTCAGAAAGCATCAGTATGGCCACTTATAACTCCAAGTTCCAACAAAAGGTGATATCTGGAAGATTAATAAGTGTTTGATTTAAGAAAATGTTTTGTAAGCTTATCCTGCATTCCTACACAACGAGTACAACAGGAATATATTGCACAACAGTAAAGCAAAGTAAGTAAAATTATCCCAAGTAAACTAAATAACAAGACTCTCCATGAACTGGGCAACTGTTGGAAACAACCTGATGTGGGGTTGCTAGCTGATGCCAATACATACCCAGAAATAGAATACTAATCCAGATTTTTACATTACCGGTCCCTCCTGTTTCTTTTGAGCACTGGCCAGAGATCACTGGTTGGTTCACAGGAATAAGCAGGGTTAGTCTAAATTGCTGGGAAAAAGAAAACTCAAAAACAACTGATGAGACTAGAATCAAATAACAGGTATACCTTAGTTCTTGAAACATAATTTTCCTCTTTCCAGTTTCCCATTTTTACTAAAGACATATCATGGGAAGACCAATTTGCTTTATTATACTTGGCCTGATTATTGGTATAAAGTGCAGCAAGGATACTTATTTTTCATATAAGCTTTTTACATTGGCTTTTATGGAACTTTGTTCCATAAAAGGAATCTCAGATAAGACTGTTTTTAAACCTGATCCTAGCCATGAGTTTTTATCATCAAATACCTATGAACAGGGTAAATTCCTCTCTTCTTGAGGTACCAAGATAACCTGGGGCTCCTGGGCCTGTTAGAAAGTGACATTCTTTACTTACCACAGGTCAGGAACCCTGTACAGGGACTGTGTAGACAAGGTATGAGGCCAGTTTTCCAAAGAGCCTTTTATTGGCTCTATAAGTCAAGTTTGATTCCTTAAAAGAAAGCAAGCCACTCCAGTCAAAGCCTTGGTAAAATAACCAATTTCTCCAACTGTCTTGTTACAAAATAATTCCTTTTTTTGGTAAAGTTTTTTTTTTAAATTTTATTTTACTTTAAGTTCCAGGATACATGTGCAGAACGTGAAGGTTTGATACATAGGTAAACATATATAATTGATACATAGGTGTGACATGGTGTTTTACTGCACCTATCAACCCATCACCTAGGTATTAAGCCCCACATGCATTAGTGGTTTGTCCTGATGCTCTCCCTCACCTCTCTCCCCTGACGGTCCCTGGTGTGTGTTGTTTCCTTCCCTGTGTCCATGTGTTCTCATTGTTCAGCTCTCACTTATGAGTAAGAACATGTGTTGTTTGGTTTTCTGTTCCTGTTTTAGCTTGCTGAGGATGATGGCTTCTAGCTACATCTGTGTCCCTGCAAAGGACATGATCTTATTCATTTTTATGGCTGTGTAGTATTCCATGGTTTATATGTACCACATTTTCTTTATCCAGTCTATCATTGATGGGCATTTAGTTTGATTCCATGTCTTTGCTATTGTGAATAATGTTGCAATAAACATACATGTGCATTTATCTTTATAATAGAATGATTTATATTCTGTTGGGTATATACCCAGTAATGGGATTGCTAGGTCAAGTGGTATTTCTGGTTCTAGATCCTTGAGGAATAGCCACACTTTCTTCCACAATAGTTGAACTAATTTACACTCCCACCAACAGTGTAAAAAAAAGCATTCCTATTTCTCCACAGCCTTGCCAGTATCTGTTGTTTCTTGACTTTTTAATGATTGCCATTCTGACTGGCATAAGATGGCATCTCATTGTGGTTTTTATTGCATTTTTCTAATGATCAGCAATGTTGAGCTTTTTTTCATATGTTTCTTGGCCACATAAATTTCTTCCTTTGAGAAGTGCCTGTTCATATCCTTTGCCCACTTTATTTTTTTGACCTTTGTTAAAGTCTGTTTTGTCAGAGACTAGGATTGGAACCCCTGCTTTTATTTGCTTCCCATTTGCTTGGTAAATTTTCCTCCATCTCTTTATTTTGAGCCTGTGTGTTCTTTGCATGTAAGATGGGTCTCCTGAATACAGCACACCAATGAGTCTTGACTCCTTATCCAATTTGCCAGTCTGTGTCTTTTAGTTGGGGCATTTAGTCCATTTACATTTAAGGTTAGTTTTGTTATGTGTGAATTTGATCCTGTTATTTGATCCTGTTATCATGATGCTATTTGGTAATTTTGCACACTAGTTGATGTAGTTTCTTTAGAGTGTCATTGGTCTTTATATATTGCTTTGTTTTTGCAGTGGCTGGTACCAGTTTTTCCTTTCCACATTTAGTGCTTCTTTCAGGACCTCTTGCATGGCAGGCTTGGTAGTAACAAAATCCCTCAGCATTTGCTTGTCTGGAAAAGATGTTATTTCTCCTTTGTTTATGAAGCTTAGTTTGGCTGGATATGAAATTCTGGGTTGAAAATTCTTTTCTTTAAGAATGTCGACCATTGGCCCCAATCTCTTCTGGCTTGTAGAGTTTCTGCTGAGAGGTCCACTGTTAGTCTGATGGACTTCCCTTTGTAGGCAACCTGGCCTTTCTCTCTGGCTGCCCTTAATAGTTTTCCTTCATTTTGACCTTGGAGAATCTGATGATTATGTGTCTTGGGGTCAATCTTCTTGTGGAGTATCTTAATGGTGTTCTCTGTATTTCCTGAATTTCAAAGTTGGCCTGTCTTGCTAGGTTGGGGAAGTTCTCCTTGATAATATCCTGAATATTGTAGGTTCAGTCTTTTTATGAAGTCCCATATTTCTTGGAGGCTTTGTTTATTCCTTTTTATTCTTTATTCTCTACTGTTGTCTTCATGTCTTATTTCAGTAAGGTGGTCTGCAAACTCTGATAGTCTTTCTTCTGCTTGGTCGATTCCACTGTTGATACTTGTGTATGCTTCACGAAGTTCCTGTGCTGTGTTTTTCAGCTCCATTAGGTCGTTTTTGTTCCTCTCTAAACTGGTTATTCTGGTTAGCAATTCCTCTAACTTTTTATCAAGGTTCTTAGCTTCTTTGCATTGGGTTAGAAATGCTCCTTTAGCTCAACATAGTTTGTTACCCATCCTCTGAAGCCTACTTCTGTCAATTCATCCATCTGATCCTCTGTCAGTTCTGCACCCTTGATGGAGAGACGCTGCAATCATTTGGAGGAGAAGGGGCACTGTGGCCTTTTGGGTTGTCAGCATTTTTTCGTTGATTCTTTCTCATCCTCTTACATTTGTCTAGTTTCTGTCTTTCAGGCTACTGACCCTTGGATGGGTTTTCATGGAGGTCTTTTTGTTGTTGTTGTTGATGATGCTGTTTTGTTGTTGCTTTCTGCTTGTTTGTTTTTCTTTCAATAGTCAGGTTCCTCTTCTGTAGGACTGCTGCAATTTGCTGGAGGTTCACCTCTGGCCATATTCATCTGATTCGCTCCCTGGAGATGTCACTCAAGGAGGCTGTAGAACAGCAAAGATGGTGCCTGCTCCTTCTTCTGGGACCTCTAACCTCAAGTGGCACCAATCTGATGCCAGTAGGACTGCTCCTGTATAGAGTGTCTGACAACCCCTGTTGGAGGGTCTCACTCATTTGGGTGGCACAGGGAGCAGGACCCATTTAATGAAGCACTTTTTCCCTTGGTGGAGGGGGTGTGCCTCACTGGGTGAAAACCCATTCATCTCGGCTGTCTGGATTCCTCAGAACTACCAGGAGGAGAGGCTAACTCTGCTGGTCCGTAGAGACTGTGGCCACCCCTCCCCCTAGGGGCTCAGGCCCAGAGAGATCTGAATTCTGTCTCTGAGCCTGTGGCTGGAGTTATTGGGGTTCTGGTAGGGAAGCCCCAACCAATGAGGAAGGATGGGTCAGTGTTAGATCTGAAGAGGCACTCTGGCTGCAGACTGCCACAGCCAGTGCGTTGGGCTGTGGGGACAAGTCCTGGGACCAAACTGTCCAGCCTCCCTGCCTCCAGCAGGAGAAAATCACAGCCTGGAGCTATAGAAATGAGTGCCGCCTTTCCCCTGCCCAGGGAGCTTAGTGTGTTAGGCTGTTGTGAGCCCCAGTGCTAGTTGCTGCCGCTCCCCCAAGGAGCTCAAATGGCTTAGACAGCAGGCAGCCCCAGCAGGTGCTGGTTGCCCTTCCCCCCAGGAGTTTAGTAGGCTTAAACAGATTCCAGCTGAGAGGCTGTAAGAATCTGCATGTTCCAGGGTTTGGACGCTAGGCCCCGGTCACATGGGTTCCTGAGTGGGATTTTCCAACTTGGGGGTTGCACAGTTCCATAGAAATAGCACAGTTTCCTCAGCTAGGTAGCATGCTCACTCACCACCTCCCTTGGCTGGGGGGAGGGGGTTCCCCTGCCTCTGTGGCTCTTAGATGGGCTGCTGCACCACACTCTTCTTCCTTCTCTCCATGAGTCACGCCAGCCTTCTAGTCAATTTTGATGAGAGAACCTGGATACCTTGGTTTCTGGTGAAGGATTCACATGCTTATTATGGTTTCATTCCACTGGGAGCCTCCGAACACTGCTGCTTCTAGTCGGCCATCTTGGCCCTGAAGGTCCTATTTTTATACCAGATTCTGGATCCCAAAAAGAGGGAATCATTCCATCTCCCATGGGAGTCTTATTTCTCAACAGAAGGGTGGGGATGTTGCCATACCTTCCAGGTGACCAAGAGCTTGCTTTTCTAATTCAAACGTGCAAGGAACCCGGTATCTCCCCATAACTGCCATCAGCCATCCCCAAAAGTATATGTCCTACCTAATTATTATACACAAAACCCTCGCATAACGTGAAGTAATTTCTTATACCCCAAAAGTAAAAAATGTCAGATAATGCAATGCAAAACAGAACAGAGCTTAGATTTTGAGAGGGATGTATCCACTTTCAATTCCTGAGGTTTCATGAGGAAAACAGAGGTTTTTTTTCCCAAAACAGGGTCTGTGGCACCTGTTTTGCCCAAGGAGTCCCAGGTTATTAGAGCTTGAATATAAGCTTTTAATTAAGCTGACTTTTTACCATAGCACTCTTAAAAAAATCCTTTTACATCTCTTATTACCTGACTTTAGGCACATCAAATGGCCAATATTTCTGGCTTTTAAACTTTACCAAAGGTAACCTCCTAGGTGCTCAGAGAAAGGAAAATTCAAGATGGCTCCTGGAGGGGAAGACAATCAACAAACAGTAAAGATCACACAGATATCAAATCAGAAAGGATGCATTCCCTAAGCCAGGAATTGAACCTAAACCCAAGCCACCATTGTAAAATGGTGAAACCTTAGCTGCTTAGCTACAGCATTTGGTGGTTTCTATTGCCCTTCCCAGAAGCAGCCTACAGCAGTCAATTTTGAGCTTGCAAAGTCTTTTAACTGCTCAAGATAATTTTTGGAGCTAACTATGTCATGAATTTCAAAATTCCTGGAAGGCAGAGATTAAGAGAAAGTACTGCCATGTGATTACAAGGTCAAGCTCCCAAGGACACAACTAACCAGTTTGCTGGACTGGCTTGAACAGCTGGCTTATGTGGTCCTAAGCCCATGTTCTATCCTAAGGTACTTCTCTTTATGATGGAGTGACACAGACAGACAAATTCATAGCACAAAGTACAGCATATTCACTACAGCTTCAGACTAGCCTCACAAATCTTTTTTCCATTAATGAAAAGTTTACAGTAGAGATAAACAGTGATTTTCACCATTCATTCAACTAGTTTACACAAAGTAAGAGAAGCCAGAAGCCTGACTGGTAAGAAATTCCTAACTCTTTGCTGGCATACCAGGCTTCTGGATTCCCTTTCCCTCAGGGGCCCTAGCAACCCTCCTTGCCACACTATAACCCTGGGGGCCAAGCTGAAACACAAAAGAAAATCTTTTTTTTTTTTTTTCTGTTTCATGGAATCACAGGCAAAGCCTCTCAATTTTGTAAGATGCCACCAAACCAACTGCATGGGGAACCCTAATTAACATTTTCCATTCTGGCTGGTGCAAAACACATGTGACAAAACATAGATATTAGCCACTCTACTTAGCACCCAAAATTGAAATGGCAAGGCTCAAAGTTGCCCATGGATGGGCCCTGTCATCTTTAATCCATTCAAAGTGGATTAAAGGAGTCTCAACATGTGATCTCTGGGCAAGATGGTCGCTCTGAGTAACAGAAAAGATAGAAAAGGGAAAGGAGAGAAAGAGAGAGAAAATCATTGCCTGCAGTGCGGTGGAGAAGGTAAAGAGCTCAGGGAGACCAGAGAAAGACCCATCCATTACAGCGACACTGAATCAAAAGTTCAGCCTTCTCGGCAGTGAAGGGATCTTTTCCAGCAGTCCCATCAGCTCTCAAGTGTCCCCCTTTGGGGAGAAGAAAGTTCCCCATGTCCCATGATACTACATATGTCTAATCCTGTCACCCATAGCCATCAGCAAAGAGCGCAAGGCAGATTAATCCAAAAAGAATAGTGACTAACATCCCATAGTACCAAATCCATTTTAACCAAGAAGGACTTTACTGAGGTGGGGGACCTCTAACCCCCTAAATCTTAGGAAGGACTGTAAGCCTTCCTAAGTTGGGCCTGGAACCCAAGTTCAGTCAAATATCCTTGTCTTTTATTAAGAGGGGCCTTTAACCCACTCTGTCTTAGGAGGGACGCTAACCCTCCAAAGTTAGACCTCCAACCCAATCCCACCCTTTACCTTAGTACCCCACCACTTACCCAAAGGCAGCCAATTGGTGCTGTAGTCTATCTCCTTTGGGTCAGGAGACTCCTTAATATTTTCCCTTCGTCCTTTGCCAGCAAGATGTTACTGGAAAGTGGTCCCAATCCAGACGCCAAGAAAGGGTTCTTGGATCTCACACAAAAAAGAATTCAGAGCAAGTCCATATAGTAAAGTGAAAGCAAGTTTATTAAGAAAATAAAGGAATAAAAGAATGGCTACTCCATAGGCAGAGGAGCCAAGCTTATTCTTTTTATGTATAAATCACAGCTGTACAGTATACTCATGGTATTAACATTTCATGGGTACAATGAAATGAAATTGAAAATCAAAAACAGAAGAAAATTTGAAAAATTCAAATATATGTGGAGATTAAATAACATACATCTGAAGGACCAATGATTTTCAAAGGAGAAACCACAAGGGAAATTGGAAAATACTTCTAGATGAATGTAAGTGAAAACACAGCATACCAAAACTAATGGGATACAATGAAAGCAGTGAAGAGAGGATTTATAACTGTAGACACCTACATTTTAAAAAGAAGAAATAACCCACATTTTCACATTAAGAAAAAAGAAAAAGAAGAGCAAGATGAACCAAAAGCAAGCAGAAAGAAGGAAGTAATAAATATTAGAGCTAAAGTAAATACAATAGAGAATAGAAAAATCATATAGAACCTCAATGAAACCAAAAGTTGTTTCTTTAAGGGCATCAACAAAATTGATTGTTGATGCCCTTAACAAAACTCAACAAAACTAGACTGATAACTACTTCAAGGGAGAGAAAGAGGGAGAGAGAAGACTCAAATTATGAAAATCAGGAAAGAAAGGGGGGACACTGGTAGCAATGTTCCTCCTTAGTAAAAAGGATTTTAATGAAATATGGTAAATAATGGTATGCTGACAAGTTAGATTACCTAGATAAAATGACAAATTCTTAGAAGACACAAACTACCAACACTGACTCAGGAAGAAATATAAAATCTGAATTCACCCATGACAAGTAAGGAGATTGAATCAGTTATCAAAAATTTTTTATTAAAGAAAAGCCCAGGACCAGATGGTTTTACTGGTGAGTTCTACCAAACACCCAAAGAAGAATTAGCACTAATCCTTCACAAACTCTTCTAATAAATAGAAGAGAAGGGAACATTTCCTAACTCATTCTGTAAGACCACTATTACCCTGATACAAAAGCCAGACAAAAGCATCATAGGAAAAGAAAACTATAGACCAATATCTGTTATGAATCTTCAACAGCATGGTAGTAAACATAATCCAACAACATATAGAAAGGATTATATATCATGACCAAATGAAATTTATTCCAGGAATTCAAGATTGGTTCAACACACAAAACTGAATCAATGTAATACAGCATATTATTGAATAAAGGAAAAAACTCCACATGATCATTTCACTAGATGCAGAAAAAGCATTTGACCCATATTCAACACCATTTCATAACAAAAATACTCAACAAACTAGGGGTAGAAGGAAATTCCTCAAACTAGTAAAATGCATCTTTGAAAATCCCACAACAAACATCATGCTTACGGTGAATGACAGAAAGCCTTCCCCTTAAGATTAGGAAAGCCAAGGATACCTGCTCTTACCACTTATATTCAACAGAAAAAAGGCATCCAGATTGGAAAGGAAGAAGTAAATATATCTATTTGCAGATGGCATGATCTTATATGTGGAAAACCATAAAGAATCCACAAATAAGCTAGCAGAGCTAACAAACAAGCTCAGCAAGTTTGCAGGATACAAGCTCAATGTACAAAAGTGAGGGGTAATTATACATACCAGTAATGAGCAATCACATATATAAGCAATGAGTAATCTAAAAATAAAATCAAGAAAACAATTACACTTAACAATAGCATAAAAAAATACTTAAGAGTAAATTTAACCAAAGAAGCATAAGACATTTACACTGGAAGCTACTGGATATTGCTGAAAGAAATTAAAGAAGACCTAAATAAATGGAAAGACATCTGGTATTCTTGCATTGGAAGCTTAATATTGTCAAGATGGCAATATCCCCTAAATTAATTACAGATATAATGCAATCTCTAACAAAATTCCAACTTCCTTTTTTTCAGAAATAGATGAGCTGATCCTAAAATTTATGTGGAATTACAAGGAACCCAGAATAATAAAAATAACCTTATTCTTGAAAAATAAGAACAAAATTGAAGGATGTACACTTTCTGATTTCAAACCCTACTTCAAAGAAATACTACTTCAAACAGTATAATACTGATATAAATTTAGACAAATAAACCCATACATGTATGGTCAGCTGATTTTTGACAAGGATGATAAGACCATTCAATGAGAAAGAAATGGCCTTTTCAACAAATCGTGCTGGGACAACTTGATATCCACATGCAAAGTAATGAATTTGGACTGCCTTCCTCATGCTATATGCAAAAATTAACTCAAAATGGATCAAATACTTAAATATAAGAGGCAGAATTATAACATTTTTAGAAGAAAACGTAGGCATGCATCTTTATGACCTTTGACCAAGACAGTGGCTTCTTAGATATGACACCATAAGCACAAGCAATGAAAGAAAAAACAAATAAACTGGACTTCACCAAAATTTAAAAAAGTTTGTGTATTAAAAGACACTATCAAAAACAGTGAATAGACTACCCATACTATGGGAGAAAATATTTGCCCATCATATATCTGAAAATAGTTAACTGTCCAGAATATAAGAAGAACTTTTATAACTCAACATTAAAAAAAAAAAGAAACTAAAAAATGAGCAAAGGATTTGAATATTCATTTTTCCAAAACAGATACATAAATGGCCAATAAGCAACTGAAAATATGTTCAACATCATCAGTCGTTAGGAAAATGCAAATCAAAATGATGATGAGATAAAACTTCATAGCCACTAGGAGGCTTATATAAAGTTTTTAAAGGAAGAAAGAAAGAAAATAACAGTGTTGGTGAGGATGTGGATAAATTAGAATCCTCATACACTGCTGGTGAGACTGTAAAATGATTCTACCCCTAGGTCCACACCCACTGAAAAAAAATATGTTCACACAAAAACTTGTACCTGAATGTTTATAGTAGCATTATTCATAATAACCAAAAAGTGGAAACAATCCCTATGTTTATCAACTGATGAGTAGATGAAACAAATATAGTGTATCCATACAATAAAATATTATTCAGCCATAAAAAAGAATGGAGTATTGATACATACTACTACATGGATGAACCTTGAAAACATTATGCTAAGTAAAAGAAACCAGTCACAAAAGACCACTTATTATTTCATGTCTATAAAAGGTCCCAAATGGGAAAATCCATAGTGACAGAACATAGATTCCTTGTTGCCAGGGGCTGGACGAGGCAAGAATGGAAAGTTACTGCTAAGGAGCATGGGATGCCCTTTGAGGATGATAAAAATGTTCTGGAATTAGACAGTGGTGGTGCTTGTACAACTTTGCAAATATACCATCAACCACTGAATTTTAAACTTTAAAATGATGAATTTTATGGTATGTGAATTATATCTCAATTTTTAAAGAGGGAAGAGGTAGACAGAGGAAGGGAGTAAGAAAAAGAGATGCCATAGAAGATGGAGAAAAGGGATCACAACTCAAGGCATGCAGGTGGCCTCTAGAAGCTGGCAAAGGCAAGAAAACAGATTTTCCCCTTGAGCCTCCAGAAAGGAAAACAGCCCTACTAGCACCTTGGACCTTGACTTTAGTCCATTGAGATCTTTGTCAAACTTTTGACCTACAGAACTATACTCATGTTTGTGGTAATTTGTTATAGCAGCAGTAGAAAACTAATACAGTATTTTTGACATGTGTAAGTGGAAATGTCCAGTATGAAATTTCATATGTAAGTCTAGAGTTCAGAAGAGAGATTTGGGCTAGACATATAATAGCAATTTCTAGGTGCTATTTCAATACATTTGTATTCAATACATATGTATGAAAGAATTAATCCACTGAATATCTGCAGGTATCTGAGGTTAATTATTACCTATTATTTACATTTTTAATATCAAGGCACAGAGAGTTTCAATAACTTCCTTGAGGCATGCGACTATTAAGTGGTAGAGCTATGACTCAAATGTGGGGAGTCTGGCTTCAGAGTTGGGTCACTTCTCACAAATAAATAGATTTGTGAATTATCATGTAGGTTATAATTGAAGCTATCTGAGAAACACCTATTAGTAACATGGAACACATCAGTCACATTTGCAAGAGCTCTTTTGGTGGAGTGTGAGGCAGAGGCCAGATTGGGTTGATGAGTGAATGAGGGTTCAGAAAGTGGAGATGTGAGTGTAGACAAGTTTTCTGGAAAATATGTCTGTGAAGAGGGAAAGAGAGATAGCATCATATCAGCAGGAGAATGGGAGTTGAGAAGGGTAGTTTTTCAATGAAAGTCTTGATGATGTGTTAAAAACTGTTCAGAAATTCTGATGGAGGGGGGTGAGTCTGTAAAAGTGAGAAAGAATAGTTATTCCTGTTTAAGAATTCTGAGAAGAAAAGAGGAGGGGGATATAGGACACTGGAATGATTGGCCTTAGATAGGAAAGGGACAGTTCCTTTATTATATCTGAATGGAGTGAAAGGGATGGGTGTAAGCTGATATATTTGGTTTTAAGAAGTTGAGGAAATTTCTGAGGGCTTCTGTATTTTATTCTCTCATACGAAGTAGGAGTCAAGGTCGCCCTCTGAGCGTGGGGGAGGTGGTAAAAATGTAGGCGAAGTCAGTGGCTGTGACAGTGGCACCGCAGCAGAGAATCAGCAGTTTGAGAAGAGTGAAGAAGACTTGAATAATCATTTTGGAGAACAGGAGATTAAGTTACCCAGAGAAACATCGTCATATTTTTGTCAGCCTCAAGGGCTCATTTAAGGATTTATTTGATTTGCTACCATCCTCTTAAGTTGTTCACAAATTACTACACGTCTTAGATTTCTCCTCACTCCCAACAGTATTGTAAAATTCTTCTTCGAATTTCATCTCAATGTCTAGGATAGTGTTGAGAAATATTTAGGAAATATTTTTGGATTAATTAGGGTATTCGATTAATCTGAATACTTCGGTTCCCAACATTTCTAGATAAAGGAAGTTTACTGTAACATGTTTATAAAAGGCAAATAAGCTAGACATCTCCTTTCAAATAGGATTTCAATAGAAATCTTCCATTTTTTTAAAAAAAGGTCGGCTATACAATATCTGTTTTAAAATTAACAAAAAAATTACAAAAAGACCTTATCCCACAAAAGAGAGAGAAAAAAAGTTTGAACCCTCTCATTTTTATTTTGAGGTTAATAAACTTCATTTTATAAATTTATAGATCCATTACTAGTGGAATAAACATTCACATGGGTGTGTTGAGTAGTGAGAACGTGAGCTCTTTTTTGAGGAAGCAGACGGTGAAATGAGACACGAGGGATGGCTCTGGGCAGAGATAAGGGAACTCCTGCCAAACTCCTTTCCTGCTTGTTACTGTCCACAAATATGTGTGTGGTTGCAATCGAGCTTCTTTGAGGCCCTGTTCCATGCCAGAGGCTGATAAAAAAAATGTGACCATTTAGTTACAAATGGAAATCTCACAGCATGTGAAGCATAGCAACCAAGAGAGTCCCAAGGAGATTACCCAGCAACAATCAGAAAGTTAAAAACAAAGCAACACAGTAACCAAAACATAACCCAAACTATAGAGCCAAGGAAAGCAGGAAACATTCTAGGCAGAGCAGAGATGCTCTGTGTCAGGTTCAATTCAACAGTGTCACAAGATTTGTACTTCCTCACTCATATTTAGCAGATGCCTACTGTGTGGCAGTGCTTTGCCAGGGGCTAGGAATTTTAAATTGAGTAAGAAATAGTCCATGTCTTCAATGAAATAACCCCAGCAGTACAGTGTGACAAATGCTAGGAAGAGGCATCAGCAAAGTACCATGGGAGAAAAGGAGATTTGGGGTGTCTGGGGATATGTTTAATTTGAGGTGTGTTGGGACATTCAGTTGGAACTGAACTGATCTCAGACTTCATTTGGCAGTTGGATTTATAGGCTATAGCTTGGAGCAGATAGTATGAATGGTGATATATGATAAGAGTATCTATAGGTTGTAGGCCAAGTGCAGTGGCTCATGCCAGTAATCCCAGCACTTTGGGAGGCTGAGGTAGGTGGACCATTTGAGGTCAGGAGTTCAAGATCAGCCTGACCAGCTGGTGAAACCCCATCTCTACCAAAAATACAGAAAAATTAGCTGGGTGTGGTGGTGCATGCCTGTAGTCCCAGCTACTTGGGAGGCTGAGGCAGGAGAATCGCTTGAACCCTGGAGGCAGAGGTTGTCACAAGCCAAGATCACACCACTGCACTCCAGCCTGGGTGACAGAGTGAGACTCCATCTCAAAAAAAAAAAAAAAAGTATCTATAGGTTGTAGTTGAAGTTAAGGAGTTTGGAGAGAGTCATGAGGGTACAATTAAAATGACTGAAGAGCTCTGGGGAGTATTGGCATTTAATGGAGAAAACAAGAAGAGGAAGATGGAAGGAGGTAGAAGTAAACCAGGAAAGCAACAGAAATGGAGGCAAGAGTGAGCACCAAGAAGTGTCCAATGCTGCACAGCACTCCAAAGTATATGTTGAATTTGGAAAGGAGGAGATCACTGGTGACATTCATTAGCCAGCTTAGAGCCATGAAAATTAAGGAAGGAGAGAGAGCAAATGTAAATACATTCTTGGTATTGTAAAGGAAAATCCAGCAACTTTTCCACTTGAATAGCACACTTTGACACAAGCTTCAAGCAGCTAGTCTAGTAGGCTCTAGTTCAACTCTAAACTCTTTTTCGTCATTTAAATAAGATCTACTTTCAAGCCCTGAGAAGCCAGGAAAGAGAGTATGAAGTGAACTGACACTTGAGTAGTTATCAGGTCCTGGTCTTTTACATACATTATTTCATTTAATACCCACAAAACCATTTAAAGAAGTTATCATTTTTTAGTTTAAGATTCAAAGGAATGATAAAAGTGAGGTGTAAGTTGTAGCATTGCTTACTAACCTCAACTGTTACCACTTTGTTTTGATTTTATAGCCTCAGGAAGACTTAACATTTATCTTATGTTATCTTTACCTTATGCTTATGAGTCTTCCAGGTTTTGAAAAGTCTTGGGCCATTGGCTATCTGTGACCTATCGGAATACTTCTTTTAGGGTCACTCCCACCTTCTCTTGCAAGTTGCATTACAGGAGCATCACCTGCATCAGAGCTTCCTGTGTCGGCGCTCCTGGCTCATCACTTAGCTGATCCCCCTTCTGCAATTCTTAGGGGATCTTCAAACTTCAACATCTATTCTTTTTTGTTTTCTTTGGTTATCAACTTAAAAGATCACATCGCATCTCCCTAAAACCTATATCCAATCCTATGATGATTTTCTTCCAACTGGAAAAATGTACTCTGAGCAACTAATTTAAATCATTCACCTGCCACTCATATTTCCATTTCATATAAACTGCTATTTATGAATTTCAGAAAAATTGAGTGTTATCAATTCCATGAGGGCTTTGGGTGATCACTTGAGCTTTATTATGCACTGAATGTTTGTGTTCCCCCAAAATTCATATGTTAACACCCTGCTTCCCAAATATGATGGTATTAGGAGTTGGGGCCTTTGGGAGGTAATTAGGATTAGATGAGGTTATAAGGGTAGGGACCCTATGAATGAGATTACTGCCCTTATCAGGGTCCTGAAAGAGCTTGCCTCCCCTCTCTGCTCTTCAGTATGTGAGGATAAAACAAGAAACTTGGCAGTCTGCAACTTGGAAGAGGATCTGCACCAAAGCCGGACCATGCTGGCATCCTGATCTCAGACCTCCAGCCTCCAGAACTGCGAGAAATAAGTTTCTGTTATTTATAAGCCATCTATTCTATGATGCTTTTTTATAGCAGCCTGACAAACACCAGGTTCTTGGAGGAAGTGATGGGAATATGGACTCTTGATGCTTTTCTTTAATTTAATGTTTATGTAGTTTTTTGTATTTTAAAATTTATATGATTTACATATTAGTGAGGTCAGTCTACTATTTTAATGTCTAGGAGATGTATTAACTTGTATAAACAGGACCCCAAAATGGTATAGATTAATTGAAGAACCTTTTTAAAGCAATCTATCATTTTAAGGGTACATCTCTGAGAATCTGATTTTTTATAGCATTGTTTTTGAAATAAGAAACTCTCAAGAACTTGTCCTCTTAGCCCACATGTGGACAGCTCCAGGCAGTTTAATCAGGTCTCTGTGTTGCTGAACAATGTACCTTATACAAAATCACATCTGGGGCTAAACCTCAACTCATTTCAATTTCTCAAGCAACATGTGAACAAAACAATATTTACTTTAAATATCACAAGCTGTATGTTCATGTTGACATATAATATTAAGATTAAATCACATAGCCTAAATGCCTACTTTTTATTTGGTTTAAAAGTTCATTTAAATACTATCTTATTTCCTAGAGGCTTAGACTCTTAAACCAGAAAGCCTTTTCTACGTTACACTGTAAAATCAAGCTATTGGATTTAAAAAGTTCACCAAACATGAACAGAAAGCTAACACCACTTTTAAATGATTCTGGAGTAGCATTAAAAAACCCTCAATTTGGAAGGTCATTGAATTCAAATCCAATCTCTTTATGCTTAAAGAGCCTATAAAATAGCTCTTCAGGCATAAAGGTATAATGATTAATGTAAATATTCCTTATACTTAAAAAATTTTGACTTTACCTTCAATCCATTTGTCTTAACCATAACTTCTGGCTCCATTATAAACATATTTAATTCACTTCTAATTGACAATTCTTTTTATTTTTTAAGGGAAACTTGTATATCCCTCCTAAGGTTAGCTTTGTTGTATGATTTTGATGTGCATGGCTACTTTGGGGTGAGACAGGGAACAACCAATATCTTGCCATTCCCATTTTTCTAGACATTGGTATTGAATCTAGAAAGAAAGAAATGAAAGGACTGAAATGTCTGCAAAAAATTCCAAAGTAGAAGTTTTAAGGAATTTTTTTAAATAAAGAAAGTCAGATAAAAATGAACTGGAAAAAATGTATAATTGCTGTGCAAATGGTCATTTTTTGGAAATAAGACAAACTTTCTCCATCAGAAGGAGGAAATGGTTGCATATGGGCTAATAGTTTTGTAGGAAAACTGGCGATTATTACAAGGACAGAACTGCAAAAGTGTAATATCTAGTTTTAGTCTAGAAAGTAATTGGGCTAAGTGAAGCTCAATTCTCTGATGGATTGCAACCTATCTGAGAATATGGCCTCTGTAATACTTTGGGAATGGAATTTTGTGCCAGAATTTAAAAACCTTAGTAAATTGCCAGAATTGAGAGAGAAAGAAGGCTTGGTGTTGGGTACTGTTAGTTGAAAGTTGTCAAGGAAGAAACACAACCAGGTGAAATAAGGAAAGATTTCAAAGGCATAAAAGGAGTAACAGGGAGGGCAAACCTTGACTTTCTTATCCATCACCTTATTGAAGGGTGGTCTAGTTAGATAATGCTAGAAGAGCTGAAAGTGACCTCGAGAACCTCTGCTTCTACCACTTCATTTTTAGATGACAAAATTGAGCCTCGAGAAAAGCTACTTGGTGGTAGACCTGGGATTCGAACCAAGAAACTCTGTTCTCAGTCTTTGGGAAAAAATTATTTTATTTAACATCACCTAACATGTTCTCATTAGTTATTGCTAAGGTATTATAATAAAAACAATGCTGTGGTTGCATGTAAATGTATACAAATGAACATCATCATCATCATCATCATCACTATTTTTCTGAGCATTTGGAAAGAAAACTGTTGCATTTGTCTTAGATAAAAGACTCAGATAATTCCCTAGAAGCCTGAGGACAAGATTCTAGATCAATCCTCTAAACTAGGTTGATTCCTCATCCACTTTCTGACCTCCTACTTTCTTGGTGAGAAATGATTATTGACCCTCCTCAATGAGGGTGTAATGATAGAGCATAGTATTTTGTCCCCTATTGGATGTTGCATGGAGAGTTGGGCTGAAATTCTTCTGTGCAAGTGAGAAGCCATAAAGGGAAGAAAGGGTCAGACACTTCCAAATCTTTGGATTTTCTTAGTTCCTCTTTTGTAAGCCTCAATTGTTGTGTGTAGTCAGCAGGGTCCCAGAGGCAGACCACCACGGACCATCTTGGCAGTACTTGTCAGCAGCAGTGTCCAGCTCCCAGGGACTAACTCAGTTAGTGGTAGCTCTTGTTCCTAGTGACAGAGCCTTCCTGGGGCTGCTCCAGTAGCAGCCAGAGCTCCTAAGGAGAAGCAGCTCTGCCAGTCTTCCAAGTCCCAAGCTCCATCTCCTTCAGCAACAACACAGGTCTCCATTATTCTTTCTGAAGATACCCTTTGTCCCAGTTCCTACTGAATCCAGCAGTGTTTTTCAATCTGTGTGTTTCAGATGCCTGAGAAGTCACCAAATTACTGCAAGAACAAGTGAATTAATATTTACATAAAGTATGTATGTTAATAAGCTGAATAAATGTTAATAGTTACTGTACTTATACTCTGTACTGTACTAAGCCCTTTGCACACATTATCTCATTTAATCCTCATAAAAATGCTATGAGGTAGGTGTAATTATGACCCCCATTTTACAGGTGAGGCAACTCAGTCTCAGAGAGGTTAAGCAAATTGCTGAAGATCATGAGACCAGGAAATGGATAAACTGGTCTTCAAATCCAGGTCATTTAATCTCAAAGTCTACGATCTTAATCATAACATAAGTATGTCTCTTACATATGTGTATTACTTTTTTACAAATGTTTTTGTGTTTTGATTTAAAAGTTATAGATGAAAAGTATTATGTAATTTGTAGTAGATTTTTAAATCTTTGTTTATTTTCACTATTTTCTACACTGAAAGTACCTCAACTGCCATATGATTGGTACATGACACAGTCTTTTTAAAGAGCTCTTTCAAGGATTTTTACTCAAGGCCTTTAAAAAATATAGTAGAGAAAAATGACTTTGTAAGTCAATGGAACATCATATTTGTACCTGACCTCTTAGCAGCATTCTGTTGTTCCTTAAGCAGGGGACCCTATCACTGATTGATCCCTTGAGTCAAATAAGCAATGAGGCACCTCTCAAGACTTTGAGTTACATTCAAATCATCAATTCTGACACAAAAAATTGGAATAGACAAAACATGGTGAAATGAACTTAATTGACTAGCTATTTCATTCATTTATTCACCCATTCAATACATTTTATTGTCTCCTACCAGGCATTGAGTTAGGAACTAAAGATGCAGCCTTCCAAGCAAGAAGTGGTGTTTGTCAATTGCAAGAAAATGTGACACCTGACTAGTTACTTTGCCTGTAAAAACTCTTTTATTCTTTGTTTTTAATATTTATATTCTACATACCCTCACCCTCTAAAAATTTACTTAGCAAATGCAAAACTTAGGAAATATAGGCCAATTAGAGTTTCGCTCTAAAAAATAATCAGGTCCTACTTGGTCTGCTCCCCAGGGCTCTGAAACATCACTACCCATGGGTCACTCTACAGGGACCCTAGTTACCATGGCTGCTAGCTAAATCTTTGAATCCAGTTTTGTGCTTTACTGTGTGGGGGCTCTGCTTGGACACAAAGGAAGGATTACAGAGAAATTTCTCAAAAAGCCTTTAGTTCGTCTTTTGATTCTAAAGAAAAACTATGACTGATAGATTTTTGGGAAATGGCATTTCAAATCTTTAGGTTAGAATCAGAAGACAGGTTAGACAGGAGGAATTTAGGGGGCTTTTGCGTACTTGGAAATCAGCATCAAGACAGCCTTGCTGCTAGCCTCAGGAATAAGGCCTACTTCTAAAAATTGGGTTTGGCCATGGCCTCTGGGCCTGAACCCTTCTTAACCTCAGTCTTTCTTTTTTTTCCTAACATGTCAGCAGTGCTGAAGCCTTGCTAACTGCTGGCAGACTTTTCTAGTGCTGTCTGCTTGTAGCCTGTCCTGGATCCCCCATAATTGGGCACTGCCTACTTGGTCATGTAGTGGTGAATACTCTTTTTTGGCTTACCTTTCACGTGGATGTTGCCCTGCCTATTGATAACCATTTTTCATTCATTCAACAAATATTTATTGCATGCCAGGCATTGTTCTGGGACCTGGAAATATAACAGTGAATAAAATAGACAAAACCAACAACAATGACAACAAAAACCCCTTGCCTTCATGAAGCTTCACATTCTAATAGATAGTGAAGTCTGATGAGCTGGCTTGCTTCCTCATCAGCCACAGCTGGATACTTTCCCCTATAACTGCACATTCTGTTTCCAGGTCCTAATTCTCTATAGTCTGTGGTCCCACTGCAGCGAAGGAAACTGTCCTCTTACAGGATAAAGAGTGTTATATGAAGAAAGGAAACAGGACCAAAAGCAAGTAAATAGGGGTGGCATAAACTTAGAGATAGAAATATGTTCAGGTTTGCAAAAATTCGAGGAACAATAAATAAAACTTTTAAAGTGTATTTAACAAAGAGAAACAAAGATGCAGCAGCCTACTGGGTGTAGTTTAGTCAGCAGTGATCTATTACTGAAAGATTACTTAGAAAAAACCAAGCTCCTCAACCTCAGTTTTACTTGTGTCTTTTTGCAGAGGAGAGTAGGGAGAGGAGTAGGAGGGAAGGAGAGACTCCTTAGCAAGAGAAAGAGAAGCCCAAAGTGGGAGAACATAATTATATTCTAAATAGTTTCCCAACTCTGATAACTTGCATCCCAGTGTTCTGTGGAAGATGTTCAAATTGCATTGCTGATCTAATCTGGAAAGAATGTAGAACTGTAAAGGGTGGTAGAAGTGGCAGGAAACTGGGCATGGTTAAATACTGTTCCCATTTTGAAGAAGTGGGAGATTTTGCATAATAAACATCAGTGACTAGATGTTGGATATTTAAAGGTATATAAACTATTTATTGATAGACAAGGCTTATAGATTTATTTCTTCTGGGACACAAACATGATGTGGCCATAGAGGCCAGTGGCCTCAGTATGCTTAGTCTTGGACATGAAAGCTGAAGTATCATGTCTTGGCTGGATGCAGTCATTCATGCCTGTAATCCCAGCACTTTGGGGGGCCAAGGTGGGAGGATCGCTTGAACCCAGGAGTTCAAGACCTGTCTAGGCAACATGGTAAAACCCTGTTTCTACAAAAAAATACAAAAATTAGCCAGGCATAATGACACACACTTGTAGTCCCAGCTACTCAGGAGGATGAGGAGGGAGGTTTGTTTGAGTCCTAGGAGTTGTAGCCTGTAGCAAGCTATGATCCCACCACTGCAATACAGCCTGGACAATAGTGAGATCCTACGTCTTGAAGAAGGAAAGAAAGAAAGAAAGAAAGAAAGAAAGAAAGAAAGAAAGAAAGAAAGAAAGAAAGAAAGAAAAGAAGAAAGAAAGAAAGAAAGAAAGGTAGGAAGGAAGGAAAGAAAGAAAGAAGGAAGGAAGGAAGGAAAGGAAGAAAGAAAGAAAGAGAAGGAGAGAAAGAGAGAAAGAGAAAAAGGGAGAGAGAGAGATAGAGAAAGAAGAAAAAAAAGAAAGAAGAAAAGAAAGAAAGAAAAAGTGGCATGGTCTCTGGTGGGGAAGAATCTTCTTTATTTGCTGCAGATCTTCACAGAGCTTGTTGTCCAGACCTTTGGCCAGGACTCAGCTGTAATTTCCATCCTTCACGTCCTTCTGTCTGTTTAAGAACCAATCTGGGATCTTGTACTGGCCTGGGTTTGGCATGATGATGATCACACATATCACTTCATGCTCAGTGAATCCTCTAACCTCTTGATGAGGTCAATCTCTGTTTTCCCCAACAACACATGAGCATGTTTTCATCTCACACTCTTAATGGTACTGATGGTAAATTTCTGCCATCCATTGATGTTGGTGTTGAGTGCAGTCGTCCCTTGGTATGCACAGTGTATTGGTTTCAGAACTCCCAGAGGATACCAAAATCCTTGGATGCTCAAGTCCCTTATATAAAATGGTGTAGTATTTGTATATAACCTATGCACATATTCTCATATACTTTAAATCATCTCCTGATTACTTGTAATATCTAATACAACATAAATGCTATGCAAATAATTGTTACACTCTATTATTTAGGAAATAATGACAAGAAAAAATGTCTGTGCATGTTCAGTAAACACAACCATCCATTTTTACCAGGTATTTTTTAATGCAAGGTTGGTTGAATCCTCAGATGTCGAGCCCATGGATACTCTCCACAGCCAGAGAGAGAGTACTGACTGCACTTGCAAAAATTGCTGGAGTATAGCAGGGATTATGAGAGATATGGTAGTAGCATGTAGACCTCCTGTGGGAGAGAAATAGTGGATTTTTTAAAAGTTTGTTTGGAAGCTTCTAGATTAGGATTGGGCAAACTATGGCCCACAGGCCAAATGCAACCCATTGCTTATTCTTGTTAATAAAGTTACATTCCAAGGAAGCCATGCCAATTTATTTATGCATTGTCTATGTCTGCTTTCATGCCACAATAGCAGAGTTGAGAAGATTATCATATGGCCTACAAAATTCTAAATATTTACTTCTTATGTATTGCTTTATAGAAAACTTTGATTCTAGGTAGAAAAAGCACTGGGCACTAGGACTTGAGTTTGCTAGGAACAGTTACGTCCAATGAAACAATAATTTCTTTTTGGTCAGACTTTCCAGACAGAACAGGGAAATGTTATTCACACTGAGCATCTGGTCTTCACTAAAAATTCAACCACCATTTCTTGAGTATTTACTATATAACAAGCATTCGGAATATAAAGATGAAAAATTGTGTGGAACAGGAGCCACATACATAAGGGGATAATTCCAAATAAAGTAGTACTTGCTATGAGAGGAGTGTGTCCAGAATGGTGCAAGAGCTCTGAGGGGGACGTTTACTAAATCTGGGATTTATAGCAAAGGAATACAGTGGGATCAGTGGGTAGAAAATTACTAAGAGGAAACATCAAGGATAGACGGCCAGAGAGTTTCTGGCCAAACTGACTTGATGGGGTTAGACATGAAGAAGACAAAGTGCAAGATGAGTACTAAAGACTAAAGAACAAGCAAGAATTAGGTCTGAGATGAAGCAAGATTCCAAGCAGAGAGATCCACTTCAGCAGTGGCTCATGGCACAAGATAACATGTTTAGTGGGAGAATAAAATTCAGTGTGACATTATTATAAAGTGCAAAGTGGGAAATGGCAGGAGCTGCAGGTTGAGGCCGGGTTCAAAGAAGGAATGTTTTTGCCATGCTGATGAATTTGAACTTTATTATAGAAGCAAAGTATTTCAATATACTGAAGTATTTTAATTGCTGGAGTAAAACTGTCAGATTTGCAACTTAAATGAGCCCATTTGGCAATGATGTGAGACAAAAGAAGAAACAGGGAGCCTGGCTCAGGGGTTACTAATAGAAACCAATCAAAAAGAGGTTAGTGCCTGGACTGGGGCAGTGTTAGTATGGGTTGAAAGGAGGAGCACATTCGAGAAATATAGGATGTAAGATAGGCAAAAATTAGCAACTGATTAGACTTAGTGATGCAAGAATATGATAAATCTAGAGTAACCCATAGATTTCTGGCCTAGACAAGTGATGTCATCAATTGCTGATATGGGAAAGGCAGAAGGAGAACCAGGTTTGGGCATGGTAAAGATGAAGAATTCGGTTCTGAACATGTTGAAGAGAGGAACCTGTAGGTAATCTATTTGGAGATTTCCAGAAAGAAGTTATATATGGTCCTGAAACTTAGGGGGGAAATGGGGCCAAGTACTTGTACATCAGGGTACAAGTAGTGGTTAAAAATAAGTAGAAAAGCATATGGATTAAAAAGCATGGATCCAAGTGGAACCATCAAGAGACCAAAATTTTCCAGCAATGAGAAGAAGAGGAGTAAATTACAAAGGAGACCAAGAAGGAACTGTCAGGAAGAGGACTCATTTCCCATAAATTACTTATGAAAAAAATGAATAAATATGGTCTGGATTAAAGGGCAATTAGACAAATTGGAGCTAGTTGAATTAGCATATCTAAATGCCTAGTGTCATCCTGCAGGGAGGACCCTATAGGAGAGAAGCAAGACCCTTTATTGTATCTGCCATTTCAATCAATGCCATAGGTAAAAGACAGGCTCTTTAAAAGTTTGGATGAAGTGAAGCTGAGAGGAATAGAAAATACACTAGATAAAAGAATTAGATATGATGAGGTCTTGACTTGCTAGATCTTGACTAGCTAGAGCCATAGACTCTATCTAATAAAATAAAATTTTTAAAAGATGAAATTTTCAGTGGCACAAGTACAGGTTGGAGTTAATGTGACTTAGTCATTAACTGCAGAAAGAAAAAATTACAGGAATTAGTTGATAATTAACTTAATATGAGTCAACAGCATGAATTGGCTGCCAAAAAGAGATGAGTTTGTAATGATTTAATTGAAGCATAGTATCCAGAACAGTGGTTCTTGAACTTAACTACACAGTATAATCACCTGGGGAATTTTTGTAACTCCTGCTCTAGTCATTCTCTGTACCAATTAAATCGGAATCTCTGTAGGGGTGGGATCTAGGCATCAGTTATGTTTTAAAAACTCTACAGGTGATTCCAATGTGCATCCAATTTTTGAGAACAAGTAAATAGAATCTAGACTGTTAAATAAAAAAATTCAAAACACTTGTTGAAGGCAGTAAGGCAGACTAGATTCAGGTGAGAAGGGGCATGGCGATAGGTTTAGGGACCACTGCAACAGGCTCTTGCAGTAGGGGAGAGAGATTGGGCTCGACTGTAACTCCAACAAGTAGAAGTGGGGATTTATAGCCAAAGAACACAGTGGGATCAGTGAGTAAAAAATTACTAAGAGGAAACATCAAGGATAGATGGACAGAGGGTTTCTGGCCAAACTGACTTGATAGGATTATTGCTGAAAGCAGACCAGGGTGATACAATATCAAGGGTAGTCAGATATGAAAGGTGTGGAATCTCCCCTAAACAGACTTAGGATTCTTGCTAAAACTAAATTCTTTATTCTTATTTATTTATTTAGAGACAAGGTCTCGCTCTGTCACCCAGGCTGGAGTACAGTGGTACAATCACAGCTCACTGCAGCCTCAACCTCTGGGCTCAAGCAGTACCTCTTTCTCAGCCTCAAAAGTAGCTGAGACCACAGTCATATGCCACCACACTGAGATAAATTTTAAATTTTTGGTAGATATGGGGTTGCACTATGTTGCTCAGGCTGGTCTTGAACTCCTCCTGGGCTCAAGCAATCCACCTTCCTTGGACTCCTGAAGTGCTAAGATTATAGGCCTGAGCCTAAAACTGAATTCTTTAAAGACAGAGAAGGAAGCCCAAATTCAGGCTTACCCAAGCAGAGTAAAGTTTTGGTGAAAGGAGAGTGTTTGTCAAAAACAAGAAATAGAATAATCATTTTTTTTTTTAGGAAAGCAAAAAATGACTTCCCTCCACCCTTCTAGATTCTTTGGCTGGACTAAAAATTAAATTGACGTAAGACAGATTAATAGGAGAAAAACCATATTTACTTATATAGGTATGCACAGGAATCCCACAGAATATGAGATTCAAAAAAGAGTCAGATGGATGAGAATTGCATAGCTTTGTGAGCTACAGAAAGGAATGGGGTCAGGCTTCTGGGGGCTGGTGGTGACACCAGTTATGGGAGGGTGAGCGGAGGAAATGCATGGTGAATAAAGGTTGTCTTGTTATAAGGATAAAAAAAGTCTCTCAGGAAGCAGCCCTCTTCCTGATACAGATAGTTTTACTAATGTAGATTTCCTTTATACATGTAAATTTCTTTTACAACAGGACAGCTTTTCAGAGCTACTCCTATGTCTGCAGTTTCTTAGAATAACGAGCTCAAAATATGCCAGAGAAGTATATTTTGGGTAGCATATTCTGGTCTCCTACAGTCATATTTTGAGGTGGTGTATCCTGAGCCCCAACAATTTTTAGCTGAGAGGAGGGTACATTAGAATCATCTGGGGTAGTGTTTTTCAAAACACACATGGCAGAGTCCCTGCTTTCCAAGGTTCTGATAAGCCTTTTGGACTGGGGTTCTGATGCACCACCCTGTTCCACATAGGATGAGAATGACTGGTCAAGAATTGCTCTATTCGGCACTGTTCAGACCATACCTAATGTCTTTGAGTTTGACTGCCTCTGTTTTAAAAAGCTGTAGATTAAAAATCTCGATTTTGTGGCCACGTGCTTTATCTTTGTTTGGTCCTGTTGTTGGGGGGTGGAGGAGGAGCCAAAAAGTAAAATATTGTCAACAGTAAAATTTTAAAATTTCACATGGTTTTGATTTTCAGATTCTCTTGAAAACTGGTAAGATCTGGCAAATCTGAGCCTACTTTGCTGCTGAAATAATCATTTGGTGCTGAGTAGGTGCTGTCCTCTTTAGGGAAGGCCTTGTACTCTCCAGCCCTTAGTTCAGTTATTTGTATTTCCAGCCAAGCTCCCATAAATGATTGAGTTGGCTATCCCTGCCATATAGACCAAAGGATCAGGCTCTAGGAAAGCAAGCAGGAAGATGGAAAACCTTAAAATCATGTCATTTAAGAAGTGACTTCAAGTAGTTGGGATATTAGATAGAAGAGAAAACTCAGGTGGGTTCTTCGCATTCTTGGAGCACTGTCACATAGCAGAGGAACTGGTCTTCTTTGGGCCAAAATAAATAACTAGAACCACGGGTAGAAACTATAGACAGACAGATCTGGGTTCCATATCCCAGCTACTTTTCAAATAAGCAGAACTGTCTAAAGGGGAAGGGGGTGCGTTTAGAGATAGTAAGTTCTCAGTTATGGAGATGTGTCAGGCTAAATTCCTGACACCTCTGCAGGGAGAGTGCAGGTTTGGGATAGGCACGGGGATGGCAATTGCAGCTGGCTTGTGGGTCTAGAACCTGATGCCATTTGACCAGGGGCCCTGGTGTCTCGAACCAAGGGGCAGTTACTGAATCTGCTTTTTTTTTTTTGAGACCGGGTCTAGCTCTGTCACCGAGGCTAGAAAGCAGTGGCACCATCTAGGCTTACTGCAACCCCTACCCCCTGGGCTCAAGCGATCCTCCTACCTCGGCCTCCCAAATAGCTGGGACTACCGGCATGTGCCACTACACCAGGCTAATTTTTGTATTTTTTTGAGACAATTTTGCTATGTTGTCCAGGATGGTCTTGAACTCCTGAATTCAAGTGATCTTCCCACCTTAGCCTCCCAAAGTGCTAGGATTACAGGCATGAACCATTGCACCTGGCTGAAACTGCTTTTAATAAAGTGTTGGATCATAACTAAAAGGTCATTTTGAGTTCAAATCACCAATCCAAAAATTGCTAGGCAGAGTTAAATGGGACAGGGGTAGGGAGAGCCGTTTGGAGGAGGTGGTGGTGAGAGGGTGATCTGGAGCAGTTCTTGAGCTTAGGAGACTAAATAGAAGGCATGAGGTGGTGTTGGTAAAACTAACCCAAGTCTTTCCATCCTAGGAACAGTTGGGCCAGGAATGCTAAAGAACCAGCTGGCCCTGAGGTGGAATGTGGGGGATACCCAAGCATTATATGAGAATGTGTGCATAAAATGGTAGACAAGAGTATGTGTCGTTCTGGAGTTGGACTTCCTGAGTTCAGAATCCACTATTTAGTCTGTCTGTGCTTTAGTTTGTTTATTTGTAAGATGAGGGAATGAATGCTGCATCATAAAGTAGAATTGTGAGGATCAAGTGACATAACCCATGTAAAATTCTTATAAAAGTGTTTGAAACAATATTAATGACTGCATAATATGCAATTACATAAATACATTATAATATATTGCAACAATTTTATTATATGGCATTTAGGTTGATCCCAATCCTAGTTGTTATTGCAAGTTTGATTGTTTTAATATACTGACAAAAATGCTTAAGAGTCATATTAATTAACATTTGTAAAAAAATAAAATTAGTAATACTTTCCCAGATTAAAGGGACCAGGTAATGCAGAACTCCCTTCCTCTGTATGGCTAGTGATCTAGCACTTAGATGCCAGCTCACTGGTCTAGCACATCATTTAGAAACTAAGAATAATGCGGATCGCGCCACCGCCCTCCAGCCTGGGTGACAGAGCGAGACTCCATCTCAAAAAAAAAAAAAAAAGGAAGGTGGGTCCAAAATGGCCGAATAGGAACAGCTCCAGTCTACAGCTCCCAGCGTGAGCGATGCAGAAGACGGGTGATTTCTGCATTTCCAACTGAGGTACCGGATTCGTCTCACTGGGGCTTGTTGGACAGTGGGTGCAGGACAGTGGGTGCAGCCCACCGAGCGTGAGCCAAAGCAGGGCGAGGCATCGCCTCACCCAGGAAGTGCAAGGGGTCAGGGAATTCCCTTTCCTAGCCAAGGGAAGCTGTGACAGAGAGCATCTGGATACTCGGGTCACTCCCACCCTAATACTGCGCTTTTCCAATGGTCTTAGCAAATGGCACACCAGGAGATTATATCCTGTTCCTGGCTTGGAGGGTCCCACACCCAAGGAGCCTCACTCATTGCTAGCACAGCAGTCTGAGATCGAACTGCAAGGCAGCAGTGAGGCTGGGGAAGGGGTGCCTGCCATTGCTGAGGCTTGAGTAGGTAAACAGAGCAGCCAGGAAGCTTGAACTGGGTGGAGCCCACCACAGCTCAAGGAGGCCTGCCTGCCTCTGTAGACTCCACCTCTGGGGGCAAGGCATAGCCAAACAAAAGGCAGCAGAAACCTCTGCAGACTTAAATGTCCCTGTCTGACAGCTTTGAAGAGAGTAGTGGTTCTCCCAGCATGGAGTTTGAGATCTGAGAATGGACAGACTGCCTCCTGAAATGGGTCCCTGACCCCCGAGTAGCCTAACTGGGAGGCACCTCCCAGTAGGGGCAGACTGACACCTCACACAGCTGTGTACCCCTCTGAGATGAAGTTTCCAGAGGAACGATAAGGCAGCAACATTTGCTGTTCAGCAATATTCGCTCTTCTGCAGGCTCCACTGCTGATACCCAGGAAAACAGGGTCTGGAGTGCACTTCCAGCAAACTCCAACAGACCTGCAGATGAGGGTCCTGACTGTTAGAAGGAAAACTAACAAACAGAAAGGACATCCACACCAAACCCCATCTGTACATCACCATCATCAAAGACCAAAGATAGATAAAACCACAAAGATGGGGAAAAAACAGAGCAGAAAAGCTGAAAATTCTGAAATTCAGAGCGCATCTCCTCCTCCAGAGGAACACAGCTCCTCGCCAGCAATGGAACAAAGCTGGATGGAGAATGACTTTGACGAGTTGAGAGAAGAAGGCTTCGAGCTCAAGGAGGAAGTTCAAAACCATTGCAAAGAAGCTAAAAACCTTGAAAAAAGATTAGACAAATGGCTAACAAGAGTAACTAGCATAAAGAAGTCATTAAATGACCTGATGGAGCTGAAAACCATGGGACGAGAACTACATGACAAATGCAGAAGCTTCAGTAGCCAACTCAATCAACTGGAAGAAAGGGTATCACTGATTGAAGATAAAATGAATGAAATTAAGTGAGAAGAGAAGTTTAGAGAAAAAAGAGTAAAAAGAAATGAACAAAACCTCCAAGAAATACGGGACTATGTGAAAAGACCAAATCTACGTCTGATTGGTGTACCTGAAAGTGATGGGGAGAATGGAACCAAGTTGGAAAACACTCTGCAGGATATTATCCAGAAGAATTTCCCCAATCTAGCAAGGCAGGCCAACATTCAGATTCATGAAATACAGAGAATGCCACAAAGATATTCCTCAAGAAGAGCAACTCCAAGACACATAATTGTCAGATTCACCAAAGTTGAAATGAAGGAAAAAATGTTAAGGGCAGCCAGAGAGAAAGGTCGGGTTACCCACAAAGGGAAGCCCATTAGACTAACAGCTGATCTCTTGTCACAAACTCTACAAGCCAGAAGAGAGTGGGGGCCAATATTCAATATTCTTCAAGAAAAGAATTTTCAACCCAGAATTTCATATCCAGCCAAACTAAGCTTCATAAGTGAAGGAGAAATAAATTCCTTTACAGACAAGCAAATGCTGAGAGATTTTGTCACCACCAGGCCTCCCCTACAAGAGCTCCTGAAGGAAGCACTAAACATGGAAAGGAACAAGCGGTACCAGCCACTGCAAAAACATGCCGAATTGTAAACACCATCGATGCTAGGAAGAAACTGCGTCAACTAAAGAGCAAAATAACCAGCTAACATCATAATGACAGGAACAAATTCACACATAACAATATTAACGTTGAATGTAAATGGACAAAGTGCTCCAATTAAAAGACACAGACTGGCAAATTGGATAAAGAGTCAAGACCCATCAGTGTGCTATATTCAGGAAACCCATCTCACGTGCAGAGACACACATAGGCTCAAAATAAAGGGATGGAAGAAGATCTACCAAGCAAACGGAAAACAAAAAAAGGCAGGGGTTGCAATTCTAGTCTCTGATAAAACAGACTTTAAACCAACAAAGATCAAAAGAGACAAAGAAGGCCATTACATAATGGTAAAGGGATCAATTCAACAAGAAGAGCTAACTATCCTAAATATACATTCACTCAATACAGGAGGTGTATGAATCACCCAGATTCATAAAGCAAGCCCTTAGAGACCTACAAAGAGACTTAGACTCCCACGCAATAATAATGGGAGACTTTAACACCCCACTGTCAACATTAGACAGATCAATGAGACAGAAAGTTAACAAGGATATCCAGGACTTGAACTCAGCTCTGCACCAAGCAGACCTAACAGACATCTACAGAACTCTCTACCCCAAATCAACAGAATATACATTCTTCTCAGCACCACATCGCACTTATTCCAAAATTGACCACATAGTTGGAAGTAAAGCACTCCTCAGCAAATGTAAAAGAACAGAAATTATAACAAACTGTCTCTCAGACCACAGTGCAATCAAACTAGAACTCAGGATTAAGAAACTCACTCAAAACCGCTCAACTACATGGAAACTGAACAACCTGCTCCTGAATGACTACCGGGTACATAATGAAATGAAGGCAGAAATAAAGATGTTCTTTGAAACCAATGAGAACAAAGACACAACATACCAGAATCTATGGGACACATTCAAAGCAGTGTGTAGAGGGAAACTTATAGCACTAAATGCCCACAAGAGAAAGCGGAAAAGATCTAAAATTGACACCCTAACATCACAATTAAACAAACTAGAGAAGCAAGGGCAAACGCATTCAAAAGCTAGCAGAAGGCAAGAAATAACTAAGATCAGAGCAGAACTGAAGGAAATAGAGACACAAAAAACCCTTCAAAAAATCAATGAATCCAGGAGCTGGTTTTTAGAAAAGATCAACAAAATTGATAGACTGCTAGCAAGACTAGTAAAGAAGAAAAGAGAGAAGAATCAAATAGATGCAATAAAAAATGATAAAGGAGATATCACCACTGATCCCACAGAAATACAAACTACCATCAGAGAATACTATAAACACCTCTATGCAAATAAACTAGAAAATCTAGAAGAAATGGATAAATTCCTGAACACATACACCCTCCCAAGACTAATCCAGGAAGAAGTTGAATCCCTCAATAGACCAATAACAGGCTCTGAAATTGAGGCAATAATTAATAGCTTACCAACCAAAAAAAGTCCAGGACCAGATGGATTCACAGCTGAATTCCACCAGAGGTACAAGGAAGAGCTGGTACCATTCCTTCTGAAACTATTCCAATCAATAGAAAAAGACGGAATCCTCCCTAACTCATTTTATGAGGCCAGCATCATCCTGATATCAAAGCCTGACAGAGACACAACAAAAAAAGAGAATTTTAGACAAATATCCCTGATGAACATCGATGCAAAAATCCTCAATAAAATACTGGCAAACCGAATCCAGCAGCACATCAAAAAGCTTATCCATCATTATCAAGTGGGCTTCATCCCTGGGATGCAAGGCTGGTTCAACATATGCAAATCAATAAAGGTAATCCAGCATATAAACAGAACCAAAGACAAAAACCACATGGTTATCTTAATAGATGCAGAAAAGGCCTTTGACATAATTCAACAGCCCTTCATGCTAAAAACTCTCAATAAATTAGGTATTGATGGGATGTATCTCAAAATAATAAGAGCTATTTATGACAAACCTACAGCCAATATCCTACAGAATGGGCAAAAACTGGAAGAATTCCCTTTGAAAACTAGCACAAGACAGGGCTGCCCTCTCTCACCACTCCTATTCAACATAGGGTTGGAAGTTCTGGCCAGGGCAATCAGGCAGGAGAAAAAAATAAAGGGCATTCAATTAGGAAAAGAGGAAGTCAAATTGTCCCTGTTTGCAGATGACATGATTGTATATTTAGAAAACCCCATCATCTCAGCCCAAAATCTCCTTAAGGTGATAAGCAACTTCAGCAAAGTCTCAGGATACAAAATCAATGTGCAAAAATCACAAGCATTCTTATACACCAATAACAGACAAACATAGAGCCAAATCATGAGTGAACTCCCATTCATAATTGCCTCAAAGAGAATAAAATACCTAGGAACCCAACTTACAAGGGATGTGAAAGACCTCTTCAAGGAGAACTAAAAACCACTGCTCAATGAAATAAAAGAGGATACAAACAAATGGAAGAACATCCCATGCTCATGGATAGGAAGAATCAATATTATGAAAATGGCCATACTGCCCAAGGTAATTTATAGATTCAATGCCATCCCCATCAAGCTGCCAATGACTTTCTTCACAGAATTGGAAAAAGCTACTTTAAAGTTCATGTGGAACCAAAAAAGAGCCAGCATTGCCAAGACAATCCTAAGCCAAAAGAACAAAGCTGGAGGCATCACGCTACCTGACTTCAAACTATACTACAAGACTACAGTAACCAAAAGAGCATGGTACTGGTACCAAAACAGAGATATACATCAGTGGAACAGAACAGAACCCTCAGAAATAATACCACACATCTACAGCCATCTGATCTTTGACAAACCTGACAAAAACAAGAAATGGGGAAAGGTTTCCGTATTTAATAAATGGTGCTGGGAAAACTGGCTAGCCATATGTAGAAAGCTGTAACTGGATCCCTTCCTTACACCTTATACAAAAATTAATTCAAGATGGATTAAAAACTTAACTGTCAGACCTAATAACCATAAATACCCTAGAAGAAAACCTAGGCAATACCATTCAGGACATAGGCATGTGCAAGGACTTCATGTCTAAAACACTAAAAGCAATAGGAACAAAAGCCAAAATTGACAAATGGGATCTAATTAAAGAGCTTCTGCACAGCAAAATAAACTACCATCAGAGTGAGCAGGCAACCTGCAGAATGGGAGAAAATTTTTGCAATCTACTCATCTGACAAAGGGCTAATATCCAGAATCTACAAAGAACTCAAACAAGTTTACAAGAAAAAAACAATCCCATCACGAAGTGAGTGAAGATATGAACAGACACTTCTCAAAAGAAGACATTTATGCAGCCAACAGACACATGAAAAATGCTCATCATCACTGGCCATCAGAGAAATGCAAATCAAAACCACAATGAGATACCATCTCACACCAGTTAGAATGGTGATCATTAAAAGTCAGGAAAGAACAGGTGCTGGAGAGGATGTGGAGAAATAGGCACACTTTTACACTGTTGGTGGGACTGTAAACTTGTTCAACTACTGTGGAAGACAGTGTGGCAATTCCTCAAGGATCTAGAACTAGAAACACCATTTGACCCAGCCATCCCATTACCGGGTATATACCAAAAGGATTATAAATCATGCTGCTATAAAGACACATGCACACGTATGTTTATTGCAGCACTATTCACAATAGCAAGACTTGGAACCAACCCAAATGTGCATCAATGATAGACTGGATTAAGAAAATTAATATACACCATGGAATCCTATGCAGCCATAGAAAAGGATGAGTTCATGTCCTTTGTAGGGACATGGATGAAGCTGGAAACCATCATTCTCAGCAAACTATCACAGGGACAAAAAAACCAAACACTGCATGTTCTCACTCATAGGTGGGAATTAAACAATGAGAACACATGGACACAGGAAGGGGAACATCGCACATTGTGGCCTGTCTTGCGATGGAGGGAAGGGAGAGGGATAGCATTAGCAGATATACCTAATGTAAATGACAAGTTAATGGGTGCAGCTCACCAACATGGCACATGTATACATATGCTACAAACCTGCACGTTGTGCACATGTACCCTAGAACTTAAAGTATAATAAAATATAATAATAATAATAATAAAACTAAGAATAAGCTTTGTACCTTGCCAGCAGGAGACATTAACAAAACAAGCATTTCATCACAATTATACAGCTAAGAAGAAACTATTTTTCCAAAATAGATGCAATAAAAATCTTTTTTTTTTTTTTTTTTGCGACAGAGTTTTGCTCCTGTTGCCCAGGCTGGAGCGCGATCTTGGCTCACTGCAACCTCTGCCTCCCAGGTTCAAGTGATTCTCCTGCCTCAGCCTCCAGAGTAGCTGGGATTACAAGCACCCACCACCATACCTGGCTAATTTTTGTATTTTTATTAGAGATGGGGTTTCACCATGTTGGTCAGGCTTGTCTTGAACTCCTGACCTCAAGCAATCCACTTGCCTCAGCCTCCCAAAGTGCTGGGATTACAGGAGTGAGCCACCGTGTCTGGCCTACAAAAATCTTTGGTAGTTTTTATAACTAGTCTCAAAACCTAGTCATAAACAGACAATTAAAACTGATGCAGGAAAATTTATAGATCACTGCATCCAACAAAAGCAAAGTATATATTCTTTTCAAGTTGTATACAAGATATTTACCAAGGCAGACTACAGATTGGGCCATTAAAATGTCTCAATACATTTAAAAGTATTCAGGTTGCACAAAGTATATTCTCTGACCACAATGGAATTAAATTAGATATCAGTAACAGAAAGATAGGCAAAATATCTGTAAATATTTTGCTGGCATCAACACACTTCTCAATAATTCATAGGTTACAGAAATCAAAACAGATATAAGAAAGTATTTTTAACTTATTGAAGATGAAAACACAACATATGAAAATTTGTGGGATGCTTTTAAAGCAATACTTATGGGGAAAATTTATACCACTAAACATCTATGTTAGAAAAGAAGGAAGGCCTCGAATTAATGTAAAGGATGTAGAATTGCTAAAACCATTTTTAAAAAGAACAAAGGTAGAGAACTAACACTACCTAGTTTCAAGACTTATAAAGCTACAGTTAATCAACACTGTGGGATGACACAAACATTGTTATCCGTAGAATACAAAATGAATAAATTAGGGTCCATCAAAATTAATAACTTTTGCTCTTTGAAAGACACTGTAGGGGCCAAGGGAAAACGTCCCCTATTCTCCCTGAAGGTTTGCTGAAAATCAACTGACAAAAGGCAGAATAGGAGAAAAAGCATACAGAATTCATTTTAGCGTGCATAGCACAGGGAAATCTCAGCAGAAGAGTTATCCAATAACCCAATGAGTTACAGATGCTTATATATGCTTCTTCATAGGGGAAGAAAGAGAAAGGGAATGTGGGTGATTTTAAGAGGGATAGTAAATGATTTTTAAGGGAATTCAATGTGATTGGAGAATATGCAATGGCCTAGGACAAAGTCTGTTGGGCCTGCAGAGCAGTGTGACAAAAGTCTGTTGTGTTGAGAGACTTCAGTCTTTCTTTCTGCAGTAGGAGTTCAGTTAAAGAAAACTCAGGGAAGGCAATATTGTTGGTTTTTGGCAGGTCTGGGTTCTAGGTAGATAAGAGAATTTTGGAGATCAACTTCATCCTGTGCTTTGGGAGAGAGGGGGATTTAGAGACTAGGGATGGGGTGGAGGGGAGGTCAGAGAGACCCTGACGCTGCTTTTTTGAGTCTGGCATTTCAAAATGCCATATTTTGGAGTAGCAATTTATGAGCTCCAACATTTGCCTGTCTGAAGCTTCCCTGGAAGTTTCACACACTAAAAGCCGGGTTGGTAGCTATGGAAAGAAAATTCAGTTAGTAGCTGAATAGCAAAGGATCCCATTGAACAAGTCTCTTATTTCTGGGAATAGGCCAGTCCAATTGAACAGTTGTGTCTCATTTTAGAAGATGGCATTGCAGATGGGCTCTCAAAGCTACGTCTGTATATATGATGCAGGCAAACAGATCTTTAATATGAGGCATTTCTATGTAAACAGAAGAAAAACTAAGGTCAGTGTCTGGAGCAGTCTACAAACCAGTCCTAGGATCTGGAGGGCAGTCAGCTAAGAAGGCTAAAGGCAAACTGACAGATTTTATTGGATCATAGTTTGTGTGTAAAGTTTGTCCAAATATAAGTTGTTACAATGATTGTTTTTTAAAGCCAAGTTGACTAGCTTCAACTTGTAAAGCTTCAGGAAAAAGGCAGTTTTAATTTCAATGCATCCAAGTCAGAAAAATGGGAGGAAAATTTGGACCTGTTAATTTGGAAACTTGTAGCCAGGAAAAAAAAAATGAGAATTCGGTCCAAATCATAGGCAAATAATAAAAACTCAAAAACAACGAATAAGGCTAGAATCTAATGACAGATGGACTATAGTTTTCTTCTGAAATATAATTTTTCTCTCTGATTTCCTATTTCTACCAAAGATATTTATGACAAAACTAATTTGTAATTCCTTTAGTTTCATTAATTTGGCCTGATTATTTGTATAAAGTGCAGTAAAAACAGTGATTTTTTTCATATAGGCCCTTTTAAAGTTGGCTTTGCTGGAACTTTTCATAAGTAATCTCAGATTAGACTTTAAAAAAAATTTAGATCCAGGGGATACATGTGTAGGTTTGTTACATGGGTACATTGTGTGAGGCTGAGGTGAACACAGTATCTAGTAAGTAATTTTTCAACAGTTTCTCACTCACTCCCTCCTCCTTTTGGAATCACTAGTGTTTATTGCTTCCATCTTTGTATGTGTGTGTACTCAATGTTTAGTTTCCACTTACAAGTGATAACATGCAGTATTTGGTTTTCTGTTCCTGCATTAATGTGCTTAGGATAATGGCCTCCAGATCCATCCACATTGCTGCAAAGGACATGATTTCATTATTTTTTATGGCTGCATAGTATTTCATGGTGTATAAGTACCAACAACAGTGGATTTTCAATATCCAATCCATTGTTAATGGGCACCTGGGTTGATTACATGTCTTTGCATGTAGTGCTGTGATAAATATACAAGTGCAAGTGTAGAATGATTTTTTTTGGTAGAATGATTTCTTTTCCTTTAGGTATATACACAGTAATGGGATTGCTGGGTCGAATGGTAACTCTGTTTTTAGTTCTTTGAGAAATATCCAAACTACTTTCCACAGTGGCTGAACTAATTTGCATTCACAACAGTGTGTAAGCATTCCTGTTTCTCTGCAACCTCACCAACTTCTGTTATTTTTTGACTTTATAATAATAGTCATTTTGAGGGATGTGAGAGGGTATCACATTGAGGTTTTGATTTACATCTCTCTGATGATTAGTGATATTAGGCATTTTTCATGTTTTTTGGCCACTTGTATGTCTTCTTTTTGAGAAGTGTCTGCTCATGGCCTTTGCCCACTTTTTAATGAGGTTGTTTTTTTCCTTGTTGTTTTAAGTTTCTTGTAGATTATGGGTATTAGTCCTTTGTCAGATGCATAGTTGCAAATATTTTCCCCCATTCTGTAGATTGTCTCTTTCCTCTTGATAGTTTATTTTGCTGTGCAGAAGCTCTTTAGTTTAGTTAGGTCCCAATTATCAATTTTTGGTTTTTTTCATTTTCTTTTGAGGACTTAGTCATAAATTATTTGCCTAAGCCAATGTCTAGAAGAATATTTCCTTGGTTTTCTTCCAGGGTTTTTATAGTTTGAGGTCTTACATTTAAGTCTTTAGTTAAAAATTCAGTCTTGAGTTAACTTTTATACGGTGAGACATAGGGGTCCAGTTTTATTCTTCTGTGTATGATTGGCCAGTTTTCCCAGTGGCACTGTTTATTTTTGTCAACTTTGTCAAAATTCAGTTGGTTGTAGGTGTGAAGCTTTATTTCAAGGGTCTTCATTCTGTTCCATTGGCCTTGTGTCTATTTTTGTACAAGTACCGTTCTGTTTCAGTTACTATAGACTTGTAGTATTGTTTGAAGTTGAGTAATGTGATGCCTCTGGCTTTGTTCTTTTTGCTTAGGATTGCTTTGGCTACCTAGGCTCTTTTTTTGTTCTATATGAATTTTAGAATTGTATTTTTTCCTAATTCTGTGAAAAATGACATTGGTAATTTGATAGGAACAGAGCTGAATCTATAGATTGCTTTGGGCAGTATGGCCATTTTAACGATATTGATTCTTCCAATCCATGAGCATGAAATACTTTTCCATTTGTTTGTGTCATCTATGATTTCTTTCACCAGTGTTTTACAGTTCTCATTGTAGAAATCTTTCACCTTCTTGGTTAGATGTATTCCTAGTAATTTTATTTGTTGTGCAGCAATTATAAATGGGATTGCATTCTTGATGTGGTTCTCAGCTTGATTATTATAGGTGCACAGAAATGCTAGCAATTTTTGTACATTGATTTTTGTATTTTGAGACTTTGCTGAAGTCATTTATCAGGCCTAGGAGACTTTTGGCACACTCTAGGGCTTTCTTGGTATAGAAGCATATCATCAGCAAGGAGAGATAACGTGACTTCTTTTTTTCCTATTTGGATGCTTTTTACTTCTTTCACTTTCTTGATTGCTCTGGCTAGGACCTCTAGTACTATGTTGTGGAGTGGTGAGAGTAGACATCCTTGCCTTGCTCCAGTTCTTAGGGGAAATGCTTCCAGCTTTTGCCTGTTCAGTATTATGTTGGCTGTGGCTTTGTCACAGGTGTCTCTTGTTATTTTAAGGTATGTTTCTTCGATGCTTAGTTTGTTAAGCGTTTTTATATGAAGATATATTGGATTCTATAAAATACTTTTTCTGCATCTGTTGAAATGATCATATGGTTTTTGTTTTTAATTTCGTTTATGTGGTGAATCACATTTATTGATTTGCATACGTTGAACTATCCTTGCATCCCAGGAATAAAGCCCAGTTGATTGTGGTGAATTAACTTTTTGATTTGCTGCTGGATTCTGTTTGCTAATAGTCTGTTAAAGATTTTTGCATCTATGTTCATCAGGGATATTGGCCTGTAGTGTTTTTTCTTTGTTGCATATTTGCCAGATTTTGGTATCAGGATTATATTGGTTTTGTAGAATGTGTTAGGAAAGAGTCTCTCCTCAATTTTTTGGAATAGTTTCAGCAGGATTGGTAGCAGCACTTCTTTGTATGTCTGGTAGAATTCAGCTGTGAAACCATCTGGTGCAGGGCTTTTTCTGGTTGGTTGGTGTTTTATTACTGATTTGATTTTATTACTCATTATTGATCTGTTCAGGATTTCTGTTTCTTCTTGTTTCATTCTTGGGAGGTTGTATGTTTCCAGGAATTGATTCATTTCTTCTAGATTTTCTAGCTTGTGTGCATAAATATGCTCATAGTAGTCTCTGAGGATCTTTTGTATTTCAGATTAGACTTTCAGAAGCCTTTCAGGACAAGGAAAGCCAAACCAAAGATTTGATTCACCCTCAGACTTTGTCACCCTCAGGAATTGGGTGAATCCCTCTCTTCTTGAGGTCCTCGAAATATCTCGAGGTTCCTGGGCCTGTCAGAAAGTGACATTTTTTACTTACTCTAAGATGACCATGTGAACCATATATTTAAGTTATCTGTCTGGTTTTTCCAAGGGTTTCTATTGGCTTCATAATGGCAACCTCAGTTTCTTAAAGCTGGCTGGTCATATCTGAAAATATGACATTCCAGTCATAACCTTGGTAAAATAACCAGTATTTCCAGTTGTGTTCCAATTGTGTTTACAAAAAGAACAGGTTTTCATTGAACTTACACAAGAAACTATCATGCCATGAAATAAGAATATGCAGCAATAGTTTCTGAAATCTAGTGAGATTAGGTAGAGAAAAGGTAAATATTTAAATATTGTATACTCCATTCTTACACTGCTATGAAGAAATACCCAAGACTGGGTAATTTATAAAGAAAAGAGGTTTAATTGACTTGACTCTTTTTTTTTTTTTTTTGGAGACAGAGTCTCATTCTGTCACCCAGGTTGGAGTGCAGTGCTGCGATCTCAGCTCACCGCAACCTCCACCTCTGGATTCAAACAATTCTCTTGCCTCAGCCTCTTGAGTAGCTGGGACTACAGGCATGTGCCACCATGCCCAGCTAATTTTTTGTATGTTAGTAGAGACGGGGTTTCACCGTGTTGCCTAGGCTGGTCTTGAACTCCTGAGCTCAGGTAGTCTGCCCGCCTCGGCCTCCCAAAGTGTTGGGACTCTTTAATTGACACAGTTCTGCAGGGCTAGGGAGGCCTCAGGGAACTTACAATCATGGCAGAAGGGGAAGCAAACATGTCCTCTTCACATGGTGGCAGAAAGGAGAAATGATGAGCAAAGGAGGAAAAGCCCCTTATAAAACCATCAGATCTTGTGATAACTCACTCACTATCATTAGAACAGCAGCATGAGGGTAACTGTCCCCATGATTCAATTACCTCCCATTGCATCCCTTTCATGACACGTGGGGATTATGTGAACTACAATTCAAGATGAGATTTGGGTAGGGACACAGCCAAACCATATCAAATATTGTTTGCAAAAGTATACTTTACCCAATTGTTGTAAAGGTTAAGAGAAAAAAAAGTTTCTTAATTCTGGAAAGCATAACGTAAAAAACAATCAGCAATGTTTCAAACAAAAAAGTTATTAAAAATAATTTTATGGGCCTTTAGCAATTTACGAGTCTAGCAATTTTATGAGTCTTTTTTTTTTTTTTTCCCAGATGAGTTCTGGAAATTTTTTCCCAGTCCAATGATACAATCTCAGAGTTGTCAGAAACCTGTATTTATCAGAGTTACTTTCAATCTTTCCATGAACCTCCCTGAAGATACAACACTTTAGGATTTGCAAATGGTTTTCAGGAAAAAAAAAAAGGCATCAGAATAAAGCAATTAACTGTAAAATGGCAATAGCTAATGATGCAATTGGCAAGGAAATTTGGTTATTTTCAGGGGCCTACAATTTAATATAATAGCCCTAATTGTGACATAACATATATCAAAACACATCAGATTTTTAGGAAGCTCATACAATTTTGGAACACATATGTCAATAACATTTCCATATAACTTTCCTAAAAGGTTACAAATCATTTCTTGGCCGGGTGCAGTGGCTCACGCCTGTAATGCCAGCACTTTGGGAGGCCAAAGCGGGCGAGCATGAGGTCAGGAGATGGAGACCATCCTGGCTAACACGGTGAAATCCTATCTCTACTAAAAATACAAAAAAATTAGCCGGGCGTGGTGGCGGGCGCCTGTAGTCCCAGCTAATCCGGAGGCTGAGGCAGGAGAATGGCGTGAACCCGGGAGGCGGAGCTTGCAGTAAGCCCAGATTTCGCCACTGCACTCCAGCCTGGGCGACAGAGCGATACTCTGTCTCAAAGAAAAAAAAAATAATTTCTTATTACAATGATTTGATATAATTTACCATATCTAATAAGCCTATTTATCATCTCTCTTTTGGATGCTTCAGGAGCCCTCTGTAACATCCCAAAGTTAGTTTGAAGTCAAAAAGACTTAATTTTGATTTTGCACTTTGAGTTTTGGTAAGCATGTCAAATATTTCAAAGGTTTAGCACACTTGATCAAAATAGGAAAGGTTTAAAACTCTTGATTGATATAGGAACATGGATCACTGTGAAGTAATAGGCATTCATTTAACCAAAGTGATAATTAAAAGGTTTCAAAAAGCAAAATTCTTTTCTCTTTGATAGAGAAGATACTCAGTTTTCCAAATAAGCAAAGAACTTAATAAAGACAGCATGAGGCTCACAGATCTGTTTGTCTCTCTCTCTCTTTCTCACCCTCCCCCCTTTTTTTGCAGTTTACTCCAAAGGTGAATAAAAATCTTTTTTTTTTAAATCAATGCTACATGAAATTTTGTTTAAAAGAGAAAACCAAATTCTAGTTTTGTATTAGTGTACTTTTAATACTAAAGCTAGTTTTAATAAAGCCTTATAAGCCAGTCCATCTAATCTCTGTCAGCACTGACCACACAAAATAAAATTTCCATAAACTTTCATAATCTCTTACAATTTTTTAGTTATCTTCCTTTCCCCACTGTTTAAGTCCACTTAGTTTTATCTATACCATTTTTCCTTCATTCATTTATTCTGAAAAAACCTTTAAATAATCTCTAAACTATTCAAAAATCATTCTCTTTCTCAATAAAACACATCCTCATACTTTATAAAATCTTACTTTCCTTTAACACTCTGTATACATTGTTTCCTATATCTAGTAATTTTAACTCTATTTCATTTATAATTTTAACTCTTAGCAACCCCAATTTTCGGTGAAAAACCTTGGAAGTAAGAAATTTTGAACAACAACAATAAGAAAATAAAAAGATAATTCATAGGCTGAGAGAAAATATCTGTAAATCATATATACCTGATAGAGGACTTGTATCCAGAATATACATGAGACACTCTCAACACTCAACAATGAAATTTTTAAAAAGGTAAAAGATCTGAATAGATACTTTATCAAAGGAAATAACTGAATGGCTAATAAGCACATGAAAAGATGCTCAACACCATGAGTCATTAGGAGAACGCTTGTTTACACTACAATGAGATACAACTACATACCTATTAATATGGCTAAAATTAAAAAGAATGACCATATTGAGTGGTTGTGAGGATGTAGAGGAACTGGAAATCTTATAAATGGGAATGTAAAATGGTACAACCATTTTGGAAAATAGTTAGATAGCTTCTTAAAATGTTAAACCTACACCTACCACAGGCTCACAGTCATTTTCCCCTTGTTACCCAAGGTAAAAGAAAGCATATGTTTATAAAAGATGTGTACATGAAAGTTCATAGCAACTTAACTTGAAATATTCAAAATATCTATCAACTGGGGAATGGATAAACAAATTGTGGTCTATGCATACAATGAATTACTACTCAGCAATAAAAGGGAGTAAACCATTGACCCACACATCAACACCATCAACACTGGCAAATACCAAAATAATTAGCTAATTGAAAAACCCAGTTGAAAAATAGTACATACTGCATGATTCCATTTACAAAAAACTATTTAAAAATGCAAACTAATCTATAGTGACAGAAAGCAGATAAGCAGTTGCTTCAGAATGAAGAGGGGGATTACAAGACCTGTAAGGCGACTTCCTTCTACTCTTATATTTTGTGGCAGGGCCTAAGAATTAAACTGACATAAGACAAATTGAGAGGAGAAAAAGCATACAGATTTTATTTAATATTTTTACATGCAAGCAGAATCTTCAGAAGGAAAATGAGGACCCAAAGAAGCCATTAGACCCAAAAGTTTATGTACCTTTTTACAAAAAGAACAATAAATTGTAGGTATGTGACAAGACAGAGGGGTTTGGACTAGGAACAGTGAATTGTAGAACAGTGACTAGAAAATATACGGAGGAAACTAATGGAAGATAAGGGTTATTTTGTAGGTTTGTTTGTATAGGTCCATTTCAACTCTCCCAATCTCTGGTGATAAGAATGTTCTTTTCCTGGTACAGGGAGGGTACCTTTTTCATGGGAAATTTTGTAACCTTTTAGGTAGAAAAGGGATGGTCAGAAAGCCCTTCCTGCATCTGTTGTTTCTCAAGGGCGTTCAGCTAAACTAGTCAATATGTTCAAGTAGCATATTTTGGAGGGGTGTGTTCTGAACACCTTCAGATGCAAGAGGAAATTTGGGGGGGTGTTGGCTATATTCATTATCTTGAGTGTGGTAATGATTTCATAGGAGTATCAAGCTTATCAAATTGTACACTTCAAATATCTACAGTTGATTGTGTGTCAATTGTGTCGAGAAGGAAAAGAAACTTTTTATCTGAGGAATACAAGCCTCAATGATCAGACCCTGAGAGACATTGAAATGTGACAGCAGCCACATCTCACTCCCTCTTGATCTACTTGAAGCCACTTGCTATGTGGGCTGTAGAATGACTGACGCCAAGTAGCTGTAAGTTAACCTAACAATGCCACATGCTGGACTCTATAACTCATATTCTATAGTTCAACCGTGTATAGCCAATCACTAATCAATGTTACTTCTGTAAACCATTGAGAATTCCTGAAAAACAACTTTTGTAATCACCCCCCTCCTGATTCGCCCTTTTTACTTTAAAAACTCAAGCCTCTCCTTTGTTTTCCGGAGCACTTCCCAGTGCACAACCTAGTCCCAAGGTTGAGGACTGCAGCCAGTCCTCATATATAAACCCTCTATATTAATTTTGCCTCAGTTTTCTTATTTAGATCAACAGCCTCAATAAGGTTGGTTTTTAAAAAAGAACAAACTCATGATGCCCCCTTTTGAGTCTGGGCTCAGGTTTTATACATGGCTACCTTTGAGGCTTCAGGTTGGTTATGATGATGGAAAAACCAAATTCTGCCAAAATACTTAAAGAAGTTTAGTCTGAGCCAAGATGAATGATCGTGGCCTAGGAGAAACAGTCTTAAGAAGTTCTGAGAAAGTCTGCCTGATGTGATGAGGTTACAGTTTAGCTTTATACATTTCAGGGAGATAGGAATTGCAGGTAAAATCATAAATCAATACATGGGAAATATACACTGGTTTGACCCAAAAAGGCAGAACATCTCAAAGCAGAGGCCTACAAGTCATAGGTGGGTTTAGGGATTCTTTATTTGGCAATTGTTTGAAAGACTTAAGCTTTGTCTAAAAACTTGGAGTCAGTATAAAGGAATGCTTAAATTAAGATAAAAAGGTCTGTTATCTGTTATGTGATGCTACACACAATCAGGTTGGAAAGTAAGCCACAATATAATGAGTCAAAAAAACCTGTTTAACAAGATTTATGGTTTGTAAGGCATGACTCCCCAGGCCCCTTAGAAAGGAATTTGAGCAAGAAAAAGAAAGGGTCAGAGTTCAGTCCTCAGTTAACTGCTTAGTGTATGAAATACCATGATTTTTGAGCTTTCATCATAGAAACATCTTTGGTGGCTGAAGACAGCCTTCCAAACATGCCCACCCTCTCACTTGGGACTGAACCTACCTGTAGTCAAGGCTCCTCGATCCTTTTTCCCATTTTTGCCACTGAGGTTCCATTTTTGTTACTGCGTGATGCCACCCCAGTTTGGCAACTTCAGAAAGTACAAGAAATCATAAGATTATGAGTCCCATGGAGCAGAAAATAGCCATCATTCCCCTTTGTGATCCTGGAAGTGTCTTACCCAGGACCAGGTGTGTCAAGTATATATTTGTATGCTGAAATGAATTGAGTGGAATCACAATTTTCTTTTTTTTTCCTGTTTGGACTAGTCAAGTTCAGTAGGGGAAAGAGTAGAAAAAGGAATTCAATCTGTAACTGACCGTGAACAATCAATTAAGATAACTCACTATCTTCACTCCAGCCCACAATCTTCTAAACTATGGCTATTGTATTTACTAACAGATTTACTTTGGCCCAGAATTTTTTCATCCAAATAATATTTTTGATCTCTGTGAGAACTGAGGTGAAATCAAGGAAACCCTCATGTATTAAATCTTTAAATATATTCTTTTAATGCAAAGTAGGGGTCAAGAGGAGAGGCATAGGTTGTGGGCCTTGTCCCAGCAAACAAAGCCACAAAGGCATTCACTTTATTCAAATAATTTTTTTTCTCTATGATAACTGAAAAAAATCAAAGAAAGCTTCATATATTAAATTCTTAAAAGTAAGAATTGTTACATTCTTACTTTAAATTCAAAGTAAGGGTGGCCCAGAATTTTATAAGGAGCCTGTAACTCAGGTTACTTTTGCTTTCAGATCCAAGGTGCATGGTCCCATCACAGGTAAACTATCTACTCAAGTTCCTGACCCTTCGCAAGTCCATGACAAATGATACTGGAATGTTTTGGCAACTGAGCGTGATTACCTAGAATCTTGGCCGGCACCTTATGTCTCACCTTTCTACACTGCAAACTCCTAACTCTCTAGTTTATAAACCTATAGTCAGGATAGTTTTCTGGATCTTCTTACTTCCATCCTTAAACTCCCGCTTTACTGCTCCCTACATGCCCAACATATGCTTCTTGACTGTCTACCAGCAACTTCCTTCAAAACAAATAAAACTAAACTAAAGGCAGCACAGGCTAAAATTACTTTTTCGATGGTTCTCAACCTTGGCCACACAGGAGGATCATTTGCAGAGATTTATAAAAAACCTAACCCCCGCCCCCCCACACACATATTCAGAACAATTAAATGAGAATTCCTAAGGGTGACCCCTGAGCATCAGGTTGTTTGTTTAAAGCTCCCCAGAGTAGTCTAAGGTGCAGCCAGTTGAGAACTACTGTTAGGTTGCTGATCAGTGGTTTTTGTATGGAAAGTCAGTGCTTGCTTAACATGTCTGGAAAAACCTAATTGACTGCTTTTGTTTTCCCTTCTACAATTCTACAATTGCATTTTCCTAAAAGGCTAAGATTCCTCATTGGTTATGTACAGGTTATGGCAATTATAGGAATATTTATCCTGTAATTAAGAATAAAATGAAACAATTTCTGTGGGAAATTACATTGTACTGTATAGTAAATTATACTTTTCATTGGGAAATTATGAAATAAGATTTTGGCATTGGCTAATATAGTGTTTAATTTTTGAAACTACATAATTAAAAGATAATTAGTTGAATAGGTAATACCTTGGCAAATTGCAATGATTAAATGATTGCTTCCATAATGTAAATTACCTTCCACCATAGTCAGTGATCTAAAATATTGTCTAAACATGTAGTGGCATTTTAAACATTAGATTATTTTATGAGTAAGTGGCCTATGTTGGTTAATTGACTCCCCGTAATCAATTGTCAGCTGCACTCGAGCAGTCAACCAGAGTTGCAAGGGTCTGTTGGGATTTCTGGGTCTCAGCTGAGCAGGTTGGTGTCCCAATCCTAAGTAACAATGCAGGGGCTGCAAAGACGACAGTGAAGGTGCTTGGGTCTCATTGTTGGTGTACTAGATATTGTCTTTGTTTCTAAAAAAAAAACCTCCAAGTCTCAGTTTCTTCATTAGTGAGAAGGGGGATAATAAAACCACCATACCGGATTGTTCATACAATATGCATAGTAATAAAGCTCTTAGCATAATACCTGGCATATAATTAGTGCTCAAGATTTCTTTGCATCACTGCTTTTTTTTTTTTTTTTTTTTTTGAGACAGAGTCCTGCTCTGTCGCCCAGGCTGGCATTCAGTTGTGCAATCTTGGCTAACTGCAACCTCTACCTCTCAGGTTCAAGCAATTCTCCTGCCTCAGCCTCCCAAGTAGCTGAAGTTATAGGCGCCTCCACCACGCCCAGCTAATTTTTTTGTATTTTTAGTAGAGATGGGGTTTTGCCATGTTGGCCAGGCTGGTTTCAAACTCCTGACCTCAAGTGACCTGCCCACCTCCTATTGCTTTAGGCCCTTTATTTGGCTGGCCATAGAGAAGACCTGTGGAGATACATGGGCATTGGTAATGTCACTGGATTCTGGATGACAGTTCTCGAGGGTGCAAGATGAAATGGCAGGTAGGGGCGAGGCAAGTTTATCAATATGAGTTCCTCCTCCATTGAGGAGGGCTAGGGAACTGGAGCAAGTCTGAGTCTGTAGGGAGAGGTTGTCCTTGTATTCACATTGAGAGAGAGCCTCAATTCCACAAAGCTAGGTTTATAGATCCAAACCCAGGAAGTGATGCCAGCAGATGTAACAGTGGAATTCAAACCAATTTAACAAATATCCCTATATAAATTTGAAGTCTATTTTCTGCTGGCTGTGTTTTTCTTTTTTGCAAAGTTTGTGCTTCCTGACTTTCCCTTTCTCTGACATTACACACACTAACTGAAATTGAGCCAGATGCTCTGCATCCAAGCAGAGAAGAGTGAGGTACCTTATTGTTGTATCACAGAATTTCGGACTCAAAAGGCTCATCTAGAGTTGTGCTTTTAAAAATGGGTTCGCATCTCCTGGATTCCACAGAAGAGACTCAGAGGCTAACACAGTGGAAGGGGAGAGGAGAGCATGGGATCAAACGGACAGGGCTCCACATGCCACCCACCCTCTTCAAATTAAGGAATTCCACTTTGCTCTGTTTTTTATGTTAGGGTTTTTAAAAATAAAATTCCACTTGCAAATAAGGATTCTAATCCAAAAAGAAAAAGAAAAAAACCTTGGCAAACCAGAGAATTAGTTAACTCTTCCGTTTTATAAATGGAGCTTAGAGTGGTAAAGTGCCTTGTTTGAAGTTACACATTTAAAAAATAGGAGAAGTAGGACTGGTAATTAGTACTGCTGATTTTCAGTCTAAGGACATATATCTCTTATATCATATTGCCTCTTAAAAGGTAAAGAAAGGCAGGTTGGACCCATGACATATCTTCTAGGCCACAGCTCTGAACACATTGCAAGAGAAATATTCAAGCAAAGTGAAAGGAAAGCAGCACATTTTCAGCATCTTAATAGTGAAGCTATCATACTGAAGGAAACCATATGAGAAAGGGATATAGAAAGGGCACCTCTTCTCTTCATTTCCCTCTAACACTGGAAGCTTCTATTTTACTGTCGGTTATGCAACATGATTTGGAAAGCACCTTGGAAACCATATAAAGATTTGCATGTCATTACTAGAAATGGGTAGAGGACCCTGTACCACATCAGTTTCATGGCAGATCCTTAGGATAATGTTAGAAAGAAACTCAAGTAGATACGTTTCTCAGTACTGAAGCTTAGAATTCCTTATTTGTGGTATCTCCCTTGTCTGGTACCCAGTTGTAGTATTAATGGGCATCAATATCTGCCAAAAGGGTGTGCCTTACTCAGAGGTGTTTACTGGAATCCTGTGCTTCCCACCAACCATACTCCATGCTCTTCTCCTTTGTCTATAACCCTAGCTTTAGTTATCGTCTACCCTGGTAGTCTCAGCTCAAATTATGATATGATTTCTTTTCAGGAATCTTGATTTCTAGCTTGTGAGGTCTCTCTTACTTCAGCATCCTCCAACATCACCCCAATAAACCTACCTTCAATTAACATACAACTAACTAAAACAGAGTGTTTTGTCCTTGCCATTCCCAGTTCCAAGCAGACTGCTCTTCATAAGTTTCTCTGATAAAAAAATTTTGCCACTGCCAAAGAGAAGAAATCTGCTATATTTGTAGTGCGGGTGAAAGGAATGGGTGTTGAATAAAAAGAACAGGGCAAAGCATCTGCACAAGTAAAAAGAAAAGCAGTCAATTTAAACAGAGAAATAAAACCCGACCACTGATGAGTTTTGAGTAATCAGGACTCATAAAATTATCTCACTCTCTAGTTCATTATGGCTGTGGAGGTAAAGCCATGGAATCACTCCTGGGATGGTATTGCTATTGGAGGCCAGAACACATAGTAAATATATATCCTCATTAGTGCCAAATTGCATTAGGGAAGTTTGCAGGTTGCTACTGCTAAATCTCCACCTAGATTATTCTTTCTTAATTCAATGCCACTCAAAATTATTCTTCTAATTGGGAATGTTAGATATTATTTGTGTATGTGTGTGTTTTGTGTCAAAAGGAATAAAATACAGACAAAAGGCAATCATGTTGTCAATGAGAAGTATTCAATATAATATGGTTTTGGTTGTTTTAACATTACAACCTAACTGACCTGACCTTGGTTATTAGAACAGTTGAATAGACATATATAACTCTGATTTCACAAGAGGATACAAGAATCATTAAAACATAAAATATGTGCATACATCATCTAACTACCTCTCTGTAGTTAAATGTAATTGCAGTTTTCCAGCAAAGAATTTGTGGAGAATTAAAATGAAAAGAAATAAAGGCTTGGGGAAAATAGCAACAAATGGATGGAAAATATGAAATTAATTATCTCTATCTGAAAAATCTGTTTCTTATAAAGAATTAGAGATCTGTTGCACTTCAGAATTATTTACATTTGAGAAAAGTTCTCGCCGTCAGTGGAAGAACATTACATGAAGAGGTATCTTTGGGCACATGAGCCATCTAACATAGAGTTAGAAGAGTCCAAAGAGCTCATCCTGCCTGGTCGTCTGTGTCTAACCAGATGACTACCTCAACTACTTGAAATAAAGTGGTTCTTGTCTACTTTGCAAGATGTTTTTTCTTTTCCTTTTTTCTTCTAAAAATAAGCAAACAACAAAACAGAGGGTCAAGATCTGTTTCTCTCTTTGATTCCTAAGATTTGTTTAAAGAAAACTTTGTTTCAGAAATTACATATTTCAGACACAGTTTTAGGTCTATTTTGTTCTATTCCACATAATATCGATACTAAGACAATGATTGGGCCAGCAGCATTTTACTAAAGTTTTCCCAACGACATTAACCAATCAATTAAATAATTAATTTTTTTTGAGACAGAGTCTTGCTCTGTCACCCAGGCTGGAGTACAGTGGCACAATCTCAGCTCACCGCAATCTCCACCTCCTAGGTTCAAGTGATTCTTATGCCTCAGCATCCTGAGTAGTTAGGACTACAGGCATGTGCCACCATGCCTGGCTAATTTTTGCATTTTTAGTAGAGATGGGGTTTCACCATGTTGGCCAGGCTGGTCTCAAACTCCTGGCCTCAAACAATCCTCCTGCCTTGGCCTTCCAAAGTGCTGGGATTACAAATGTGAGCCACCACATTCAGCTCAGACATTAATTTAGCTTGATATATATATATGGATTAATTAAAGGAGGATTAGTCAGAATAGAAAGCACTGAAAAAGGAAAATTACAGAAGAAAATCTGAGTGGTGCTCATTCAGTTGCCATCCAGAGGAAAAGGAATCTTAGTTGTCAGGCCTGAACTACTCAGATCACATTGAGCATCTTATGTCTGTTTTGAGAACAGTATATCAGGATGACTTAGCTTGTAGTCATTAAACTTGAAATTTAATTGGTCCCTTGTTCTGATTCAACACTCAGGTTCCAACTGAGGTACGAGGGGAGTCGGTGGGCAAGTGGTTGGTAGCTGAAAAAACACTCAAAGAATTGTAGACAGTTTCAACATGGCTTTACTCTCTCTCTGGGCACAAGCGAGCCATATGTGCAGCATCAGCAAGGTATACCTTTTACAGACAATAGTGGCTCTGAGCCAAACACGAGCTCATGTGAGTTGTTACCTAATGTGCCTCATGTGGTGTGGTTACATAACGAGCAAGGTTGTGTGCTTGCACTCCAAACCCACTGAGTCATGCTGCACCAGAAGGCTGCCTCAGCCTACTCCTGACTAAAGCACAGCCATTTCCCTTACACTACACCCCCTAGGCTGAGGGCGTCCTCCAGGCAGGGACACATGCCTATATGGCGGAGCCCTGAGTCCATAACCCACAACAACAATACAGAGAGCAACAGCTCACTACTAGGATCTCAGCTATGATACTTATGACTATTAGGGCCCAATGTACGCCAGAACCTAGGGATGCTCACCATCTCTGCAGGGGGTTGACAGTGAGGCTCTCAGTCACCTTAATCTCCTGGAAGACCCCTTTGCAGGGCTGCTGTTATGTTCTGCTGATTGTCAGGGATAAGGTACAACATTGTGTTCCTAAAAGGGCACAGGTGGCTCCTTGGGCAGCAGTTATGTCTAAGGCCACTTGGTTTTGCAACACCACTTTTTGATCTGATCAACCTCATTCATTAACAGGAGGAGGGACACTCAGGTGTAATTCAGAGCCTGAGCGGTGTGCTCCGCAAGAGCAGTAAATTGTGCTTCTACAGTTTTGACACCTGCTCCAGGGATAGTCATTGCCAAAGGGTAGAAACACCAGGGGGCTCATCACATTCGCAAAAACTGAGAGCACAGTGCCTCCCAGTTATACAGGCATCTGGGCAATGTGGGGAGAACAGTAGCAGGTACATAAGGCCACCCCCAGATACAACATCCACTCCAGTTTGCTGATAGGAAAGGCTACTGTGTCCTCATAGACCCATAAGCTCCCAAGAGGCAAAAAGTCCATTGGGGTCCGACCTTGGTGAGGCCACTTGTTCCACCATACCTTCAGTGTGGTGACACATGTTATGTTTGCACAGGCCGTGACAGGTACCCATCCTGTTACCCCAATGTTGCTCTGTGCACTGCAATGCCTGGGCTTGGGCTACTACATGTTCCCCTACTAGCCAGCCCCACTCATCACGAATGCTACGGTCCAGCCATGGGTCTTGCTGTGTCCTTTGTCCAAAGCTTGCCACATTGTGTTCCAGGCATCAGCCATGGGATCTCAAGTCTCCAGGCATGTCCAGTTCTCTGCAGACACGGGATGTATGTGTCAGGGAAAGCTGTCTGCAGCTGCTGCTGGAAAGGCAGTGCAGGTCCAACAGTTGGAAACATTGGTCACCTCAGCATAGGTGTGGGGTCAGTCCACAATGCAATTGGAGCATGTTAACCTACGGTTGAAATGACAGAGCAGGCACAGGTACTAACAGAGGTAAATCACATCCCTCAGGCAAAATATAGGCTAACTTTCCATCCCTGGATAACAATGCAGCCACCAAGGGCTTTTGCCCTGGGTGATGGTACCACACCTTCTCAAATCTCCATGGTTCCTTTGAATCCTGTATCCATGCCAAAGTCACAGCGTAGCTCATAATAGGCCCATCAGATAGTACATATGTCCCTCAGAGGAGGGCTCCTTCCCTGGCTGTTCCTCTACAAACAGTCAACCTTGGAAGCCATGTATTGAACACTCAAAAAGTGACATGCAAGTCATACTGTAGGCCCTCCCCACAGGGAGCTATGATGGCCAACCACCAGCAGTGGAGAGCTTGGAGGGTCCATGGCCACAGCCAGGTTTTCTGTTCCCCTGCCTTCAGGGTTGTTGGGGCAGGCAACAACAGGTTACCATTTGTCCCCATACCTGATCGGAGGAGGTCATCCTTGGTATGTATCTCCAATTGAATGGGGGTGGTGGCCTAGTGAAACAAAGCCTCCACTGGGGCCGGGCCACCTTTCTGTGGCCATTCATTTAAGGTTTGGAGCACCAGGTCCAGCCTGGAACTCCAGCTCCGCAAAGACAGGGGTTTGACATGCAAGCGTAATCCATTCTTCAAGATCCCATTATATCATTCAATAATACCTCAGCTTGTGGGCTGTATGGCACATGGAATCCCCACTTTATGTCCATTTGCTGTGCCCATCATTGTACCTGTTGTCCAGTGAAATGTGTTCCCCTATCACTCTCAATGGCCAGAGGACAACCATACAGGGAACATAAGTGTTGCAGGGCCTGGATGGTGTTCTGTTGGTTGGCCACCCTGCAAGGGTAGGTGAACAACAGGCCTGTGGCCATGTCTACAGCCGTTAGTGCATGCGTATACCCTCGCGACTTTGGCAGCGGCCCGATGTAGTCTACTTCCCACCTGGTCAAGGGCACTCACCCTATTGTTACTTGTTGTATAACACCGGGCAGCTGCCTCTTTTTAGGATATGTCTGAACACATGCCAGGCATTTCTGACAAGCCTCACAAATGTCTTGCTTGGGAAGGGACAGACCCCAACACTTATTGAATTGTTGCATCAGTTTACCCCCTGCATGTCCCAGTTTCCGGTGTAGCCACAAGGTCACATCTTGTGTTGGTGCTGACTCTGACCATCTGACCTTAGCCAAGGCATCTGCCTCATCATTACTAGGGGTGGCCAAAGGCATATGGCCTGACACATGATAAATAGTTACCTCTTTTTGATGACCTATTTCCCAAAGGTCTTGCCATATGGCTTGGCCTCAAATGGGTCTGTGGCTCACTAGCCAATTCTGTATTTTCCAAGTAGTTAACCACAAGGTTAAGCCTCAGTAGACTGCCCAGCTATCAGTACAGATTACCACAGGTGTCACCTCCTTGGTGATCACCATCCACACTGCTCTGAGTTCAGCCCATTGGCTACTTTGTCCGCACCCAGTTTCAAACCATATGGTGTCAGTACTAGGTTGGACTGCAACAGTGGTCCAGGCAGCAGTAGCACCTCATCTACTGTGTACCATGCCCCCTCAGGAATCCTGGGATGCCCTTCCTTAAATGGTGAAGACTCAGGATCTAGGGGTGCCTCAGGCCGCATGGCCTTATCTTGCATTAGGACTACACGTCCCAAGACCTCTTGCAACTCTGCTGCTATGGGACTTGTACTCAGCTTACTCCACTGCTGCAAGGAGTTGCCCCATTTTGCCAAAGTGGACATCTGTGCTATCCCACTCCAGGTGGTCATTACACATAGACGCATCCATCCTGTTATTGGGTAAGTTGTCCATATGATGACTGCAGCCTGTCCTGTCATGCTCTCATGAGCCCGAAGGCCAGCATATACAGCTGCTAGCTGTTTCTCTATCAATGAATACCGGAGTTCAGCTCCTTTCCATAGTTGGGACCAAAAGCCTACTGGCATTCTTAGGCGCTCTGTGCATTGCCACAAGCCTCAACCAAAACCGTCTGTGGCCACATGCACCTCCAGCTCAAACAGGTGCCCCTGGTTAATTACTTGTAGGGCTTGTGGCTGCTGAATAGCGCACCTGGCTGCCAGTAAGGCAGTCTCAGCCACACCATCCCAGTCCCAGGCAAGAGAGGCATTACTGCTTCTAAATCTGCAAGAGAATCAGAGGTTAACATAATATCATCAATGAGATTATGACATATGGTGCAGCTGTGCATATAGCCCTGTGGCAACACTGTGAAAATCCATTGTCGCTGTCCCATAAAGGTAAAGTATTCCTGGCTCTCTGGAAAAGAATGCATTAGCCAAGTCTACCACATAGTGGTATTGTTCCAATTCCATCATCGAGCAGTCTATCAAATCCATGATAGATGAGACAGCTGCCAAACCTTGTGAAACACTCACCCCCAGAATGTATTCAGGAGAGACATACACAGCGCATAAGCAGGGAGCCAAACGGTGATGCCAAGGTATAGAGATACAGGTTTCACTTTCACTGACCAGCTGCCATAACTGTCAATGTAAGCAGGTTTGCCAAGAAACTTATCCGGGTTCCCATAAACAAGGCTGCAATCTGTGCCAGTATCCACCAGCACCCGCTGTACATCGGTGGGGGACTGGTGGATCACTAATTCCACATGTGGCCTCCAGTCATTTAGTGTCCCCGCAAGCTGGGCACCTTGGCCAGTTCCCTAATCAAGCAAAAAAGGCTCTACATTTCCACTTGGCTGCAGCAAGTCATCTTTGAACTGAAGCGCCTGGGTGGGACCAGGTTACACAGCAATGTCCTTCTCCCCCTTGGGCATTTTCTGGAATTGCTCCTCCAGAGACAACTGTCTCCACAAAGTTAAAAGCACTTCATTGGGTTGCTTATCAATTTTCTCTCAGTCAACCCGGCCAAAATAAAATCTATACATGTCTGTGAGTGTGTCACTCGTTGGCGCCCCCTTTTTACCATGGGGGGACCCCCTGTGGGTGGGGCATCTTCCCCTTCTTTACAGCATGGACCCCTCGGTCCTGCCGATGGCCTTCTGCTTCCCTGAGAGTCACCATAGCAGTGGTCACTTCATGTATGTGGTACCCTATGTACAGGTTGAGGACAGTAGCTAGGGAGTCAAAGGCACTCAGGGGTGCAGAACCCAACACAAGATTCTCCCATGTGGTAGCTGAAGCATTCATCTCCTGGTCCCTGGGTATTCAGGTCAAACATAGCCTGCCGCATACCCGTCTCCCGAATGACTTGCACCAAATCACATAGACTGGTATTTACTCACGGTTTGGGTATTTCACCAGCGTTGTTCCACACAGTCTGTATGGCTGTCCATAGCCACTCAATCAGGATGTGATCACTTTGCCCTTGTGCCAACTGCTTGTTCACCTGCAACCACTGACAGAGGGAGGGGTGAGTCGTGATAGAGGCCAGCTTTTCCATCTCAGAGGCAGAACAGGAGATACTATCTGCTCTCTTGTCTCACAAATGAAGCATCCAGGCAGGTAGACATTCCCCTGGATGCTGGCGGCACTGCTTGCCTAATTCCCACAACTCAGTTGGGGTATAGGCAGTATATGAAGTATGTTGCATTACGGTGGGTGGGGGGGGGTCCCTGAGCCTTCTCTTGGGGCCCCAACAGCTGTTCATGATCTACCTTCTGGTGGACCACTGGGTGAGCCCACAACAAGAGTTCTTCTTTCTCTGTATCAGACCAAGTGGGGATCTCTGGCTGAGACAATGGACCCATGCCTACATTCACAGCAGCCTCTAATTCCTTTTCCAAGCTCTGTAGCTGGGTTTCCAGGTGCCCCACCTCTGCCTGAAGGGCGCTTACCTGCACTGCATCCCTCAGGGACTGGGTGTGTGCTTCTCATAGCACAGTCAAAATGCCCATCCAACTCTACCAGCAAAAGCTCACTCCTTCTCAGTGCTCTGTGCTTCCAGCAGCTTCAGAGCCTTCTCCATGCTTGCAGGGGACCCATCTATCGCCACCCAGGTTTCCACCAAAGCCCATCCAAACAGCACAGCTGCTACCAGGTACCACAACCCACGCTGCAGCCTCATGGCCGACCCGGAATCAGGGGGGACCAAAGGGTCACTCACCTCAGGATCCTGTTCATGAGCCCAATTGTCATGTTCTAACTGAGATCTGAGGGGAGTGGGTGGGCAAGTGGCAGGTAGCTGGAAAAACACTCAAGGAATCGTAGATAGTTTCGACATGGCTTTATTCTCTCTCTGGGCACAAGTGAGCCATATGTACAGCATCAGCAAGGTAGTTGTACCTTTTACAGACAATAGTGGCTCTGAGCCAAGCATGAACTCATGTGAGTACTTACCTAATACACCTCACATGACGTGGTTACGTAATGTGTGGGGGTTGTACACCTGCGCTCCAAATGTGCTAAGTCATGCTGTGCTGGAAGTCCCAGCCTACTCTTGACTAAAGCACAGCCATTCCCCTTATGAATATGTATCAAGATAACTTCTATTATTAATATTTGAATTTCCATGCAGTGCTGCCTGCAACAAGAAAATAAACATTACTCCAAACAAAGAATAAAATTCTAAATTGGAGTCTTACCTAGAACTTAAATGTAGGGGAGAGCAACCTCCAGAAATTCTTTTGGCTCTGGGTGGTGCATGGGAAACAGCTGATACCAGTCCCACTCCCTAACTGTAACTGATGGTTCCAAAGCTCCCCACCTGGCTGGGGGCATGTGCAAATGTGCCTCAGGGAACCAAACACTAAACTACTCAGCCATTAAGTCTCTTTCAGTCATTACTCTCTTTCAGGGAGTACACCTCTGAGGTGCCCCTAGAGTGGGTGAGTGCCCAGAGTTGGTGAATCCTACAGATGAGGAAACACAGTTCTAGCAATTACTGAGAACAGATGTGCCTCTCAGTCTTAGAAGGATTGAGTCCTCCCAATGATTGAGATTCTCTACCTATAAAGTCACCAGACAGGATCTGCAAAGGGAGGGGTCCATATTAATTTCAGATACGTGTGACGGTATGTCTGAAAGAGACCTAGAATCTATTTTTTTCATCCTTAAGATTTTATACCTTTATTTTTTTATTTTTTATTTATTTTTATTTTTTGAGACAGTTTCACTCTTGTTGCCCAGGCTGAAGTTCAATGGCATGATCTTGGCTCACTTCAACCTCTGCCTCCCGGGTTCAAGCAATTCTCCTGCCTCAGCCTCCTGAGTAGCTGGGATTACAGGTGCCCGCCACCACACCCAGCTAGTTTTTGTATTTTTAGTAGAGATGGGGTTTTACCACATTGACCAGGCTGGTCTTGAACTCCTGACCTCAGGTGATCCAGCCACCTCGGCCTCCCAAAGTGCTAGGATTACAGGTGTGAGCCACCATGCCTGGTCTTTATACCTTTATTAATTTTAAAATTTTAAACTTTTTTAATTTAAAATTTTATACTTTTAAAATTAGATTTTTAATTTTAAATCTCTTATTATGGGCAGGGGAGGGGGGTTGTTTGTTGGGAGAGTATTTGCCATTAATAAAGGTGGATTAGCTGGGAACTTCTGAATGGATCTGTTTCAATTCCCTGACAAACAGGTGTTGATTTACTTCTACACTTACCGTCCTCCTACCAAGATGCATGCTTTCTGTTTAAACATATGGTCACACTTTGATGTTTTTTTGGCTTTCACTTATTTATTTTCATTTATATCCTGTCAGAGTTAACTATCTCCAGGGAATATTGGTAGTGTGTTCAATGGAGAGCTAGAGAATGGCTCTGGAGAAAGATGTGTTTAATTAAATTAAAAATTCGCTAACACATGCCTGTGTAAAAGGGGACCAGGTAATGCAGACTGCTTCTTGCTGAAACAAATTTGGGACAATTTAAATCTGTTTCTACTTAGGGCCAGTATATTATAGTTATTTATTCTGCTTACTGTTCTGGGGTTGATATCAGTAAAGAGGGAGAAGGAAAGCCAAGAAAGAGAAAGGAAAAGAAGACTGCACATGCCCATGTCAGAATGTATGATATATTCATTTAAACTGCACTATATAAAACTATAGAGGTATCAGAAGTGTCTGATGAATTAACAAATGCATCGATACCTTTTCAGCATCTAATTATTATGTGGTCTTAATATTTTTTTTTAAAGTTTGACACAAAAAATTATTATAATGCTCAATTTCTTGATAGCAAACCACACTGGTAACCACACTGGTAATCAGGTATAAATTGAAACTCTTGTCATTCAAGTCTGATGGATGCTACGGTGTGCTGCCCAGATACCACCTTCAGCAGGAGACTCTTAGTACCACAGCTGTCCCAAGTGTTGAGGATTGCTGATGGCACGGCTGAGTTTCTTCTCAGGGAACAGCCTATGACTGGTTCACAGCTCTCCATGGAATAGGATAGATACTAGCCACTATTGTAGCAGTACCACAGTTTAACTCTCCCCAAACTAGTCCTCCACCTCTTACTTTCTTACAGGTGTTGTTCCTGAGAGCACTCCCCAATAAACCTTGGCCACGCATAATATCTCTACCTTGCAGTCTATCTAGAGAACCTAAGCTGAGACGGAAGCATAGGTACATTTGATAACATTTAAATTTTTTGTATGTGCATTTTTAAGTGAGATGGGTCTAGCATAGCCTGTGAGGCTTTGGAAACAAAATTAATCTGGCTTCTAAATTGAGGGGATTTTTCCCTTTTTCTTCCAATGGCCTGGAAATGTTTGAATAACATTGGAATCATCTGTTCTTTAAAAATTAAACCCATCTGGTCTTTGTGCCTTTTTTCATGATAGATTCTTAATCACCAGCCCAACATCTTCTACAGTGATTGTCAATTTAAGGTAATTTATATTTTGTTAGGAAATCATTCACTTCCTCTGTGTTTTCAAATTTGTAGCCATGGAATTGCAAGCAGCAACCTCTTATAATTCTTTGAATCATGTCTGTATCTATGTTTTTGTTTCCTTCTCGTTTGTAACCTTGCATATGTTTGCAAGTGACCTCTTGTGCTTGCCATGTGCATTCTCTCTTTAATCAGGTTCACAGAGAGTTTATCTACTTTATTGGTCTCAAAAAAATAAAAATAAAAACAGCTTTCGGATTTATTTATCCCTTCTGCTTTATTTTGGCTTGTTTTGGTTTTCTACTTTATTAATTTCAGCTTCTATTCATATTAAGCCAATCCTTTTTAGTTTCTTTCATCATTCGTTTCCCAATTTCTGGTGATTCGTTTTTTCTCTTTTACCTTTAATAACAAAGACATTTAAAGCAATAAGTTCATTTTGAGTGTAGATTTTGCTGTTCCACTTCATTGCTTTCTCAGTAGTTGGTAATTTCACATTTTATTTTTTATTTTTTTGATTAATCGATTAACTTTCCAAAAGTTAAAACTTTTATAATTTACACTTCATTTTATTGAAGTGTGATTAGGAAAATAACCCTAAAAACACACATTTTTCTTTATTTTATTTTTGGCAACTTTAATTTGTCAAGGTTTCCTTTTTGGCCAAATACAGGATTAATTTTGTAAATGTTTCTTGAATCAATGGGAGAAATACAGTAAATTGAATTTACTGATTTGTATACTAGATGTATTTAACTCTGGGAGACATATGTTTAATTCTCTAATTGTATCAAGTTCTCCTTGCATTTTTCATATTTTTGCTTTACATGCATACTTTGGAAATAAGCATTATGTCTAAAAACAGCAAGGTATGTACCTTAATTTAAAAATACTTTATTGCTAAAAAATTCTAACCATCATCTGTTCCTTCAGTGAGTTGTAATCTTTTTGCTGGTGGAGGGTCTTGCCTCCATGTTGATGGCTGCTGACTGATCAGGATGGTGGTTGCTAAAGGCTGGGGTGGCTGTGGCAATTTCTTGAAATAGGACAACAGTGAAGTTTGCTGCATCATTTGACTCTTCTTTTCATGAAAGATTTCTCTAGCATGTAATGCTGTTTGATAGCAGTTTACCCACAATAGCACTTCTTTCAAAATTGGAATCAATCCTCTCAAACCCTGCCATTGCTTTATCAACTAAGTTCATGTAATATTCTAAGTCCTTTGTTGTTATTTCAACAATGTTCACAGCATCTTCACCAGGAGATCTTGTCTCAAGAAACTACTTTCTTTGGTTATCTATAAAAAGCAACTCCTCATTCATTCAAGTTTTATCACAAGATTACAGCAATTCAGTCAAATCTTCAGGCCTCACTTCTAATTTTAGTTCTTTTGCTATTTCCATCACATCTCTAGCTGCTACCTCCACTGAGTCTGGAACCCCTCAAAATCATCCATGAGGGGTGTTGGAATCAACTTCTTCCAAACTCCTGTTAATTTGATATTTTGACTTCTACCTATGAATCACGAATATTCTCTTTTTTTTTTTTTTTGAGACAGGGTCTCACTCTGTCCCTCAGGCTAGAGTCCAGTGATGTGATCTCAGCTCACTGCAAATTTTGCCTCCCAGGCTCAAGTGATCCCACCACCTCAGCCCCTCAAGTATCTGGGATTACAGGTATGCACAACCACACCTGCCTAATTTTTAATAGACATGGGGTTTTGCCATGTTGCCCAGGCTGGTTTTGAACTCCTGAGCTCAAGCAATCTGCCCACCTCAGCCTTCCAAAGTGGAATTACAAGCATGAGCCACTGCACCCTGCCACGAATGTTCTCAATGGCATTTAGAATGGTGAATCCTTTCCAGGAGGTTTTCAATGTGCTTTGCCCATATTCATCAGAGGAATCACTATGTATGGCAGCTATAGCCTTATAAAATGTATTTCTTAAAGAATAAGACTTGAGAATTAGAACTACCCTTTGATCTGTGGGGTACAGAATGAATGTTGTGTTAGCAGGCATGAAAACAACATTAATCTCCATGTACATCTCCATCAGAACTTTTGGGTGATCAAGTGTCTTGCCAACGAGCAGTAATATTTTGAAAAGAATCTTATTTTCTGAGCAATAGGTCTCAACAGTGAGCTTAAAATATTCAGTAAACCTTGCTGTAAACAGATGTGCTGCCATCCAGGCTCTGTTGCTCCATTGATACAACCCAGGCCAAGTAGATTTATCATAATTGTTAAGGGCTATAGGATTTTTGGAATAGCAAATAAGAATTGGCTCCCACTTATAGTCACCAGCTATATTAGCTCTTAACAAGAGTCAGCCTATCCTTCAAAGCTTTGAAGCCAGGCACTGACTTTTCTCCTCTAGCTATGAAAGTCCTAGATGGTGTCTTCTTCCAAGAGGAGGCTGTTTTATCTACATTGAAAGTTGTTGTTGTTTAGTGGAGCCACCTTCATCAATGATCTTAGCCAGATCTTCTGGATAACTTGCTGCAGCTTCTCCATCAGCACTCTCTGCTTCACCTTGCACTTTTATGTTATGGAAATATCTTCTTTCCTTGAACCTCATGAACCAACCTGCGCTAGCTTACAACTTTTCTTCTGCAGCCTTTTCACCTCTCTTAACCATCACAGAATTGAAGAAAGTTAGGGACTTGTTCTGGATTAGGTTTTGGTTTAAAGGAAAGTTGTAGCGGTTTGATCTTCTGTCCAGACCACTTGAATTGTCTCTATTACGGCAATAAAGTGGTTTCACTTTATCACTCATGTATTCACTGCAATAGCACTTTTAATTTCCTTCACTAACTTTTCCTTTGCATTCACAACTTGGCTGACTGTTACAAGAGGCCTAGCTTTTGGGCTATCTGGGCTGTCAACATGCCCTCCTCACTAAGCTTAATCATTTCTAACTTTTGATTTAAGGTGAGAGAAGTGAGATGCTTCCTTTTGCATAAACACTTAGAGGCTATTGTAGGGTTATTAATTAACCTATTTTCAAATTATTGTTTATTTCAGGGAATAGGAGGGCCTGAGGAGAGGCAAAGAGACAGGGAAAGTGCTGTTCAGCGTCACATGGGCATGGTTTGTGGTGCCCCAAAACAATTAAAATAACCTCAAAGATCTCTGATCACAGATCACAACAGATATAAAGTTAGCAAGATTGTGAGAATTACCAAATGTGACACAGACATGAAATGAGCACATGCTGTTGGAAGAATGGTGTGGACAGACTAGCTTGCTTCAGGGTTACAACAAAACTTAAAGAGAAGTACAATAAAACAGATATGCCTGTATATTTTTGCTGCCATATTATGTGAGGCAGATCTCCACTGAAGTTTTGGGACTGATTGTGAAGTTTGGGACTGATTGTGAAGAATGCTTAAATATTAAGCATTCTTGTTCCTATAAACCACTTGTCACATTTGTCATTCCACACTTGAAAATTTCTCACTGTACATTCTCTGAAGCTTCTGTCAGGCTGTTCTGGCCCTTCTTTTATTGTCTGCACTTTCTTTACCTCTTCTTGTGCAGTGTTGGCCTGCACCCTCAAAATCTTATTCTCTTTGACTGGTTAATAACTTTTGCTTCATTTGCTCCTTCCCAACCATGCTTGGGACATCTTCATTTTTCTCATTTTGTCTTCTCTCCAGGTAATTTTTCTGCAGACCAAAACCTAATGTCACCATCATACTGAAACTCTTTTTTTTAAATTTTATTATTATTATACTTTAAGTTTTAGGGTACCTGAGCACAACATGCAGGTTTGTTACATATGTATACATGTGCCATGTTGGTGTGCTGCACCTATTAACTCGTCATTTAGCATCAGGTATATCTCCTGATTCTATACCTCCCCCCTCCCCCCACCCCACAACAGTCCCCGGTGTGTGATGTTCCCCTTCCTGTGTCCACGTGTTCTCATTGTTCAATTCCCACCTATGAGTGAGAATATGCGGTGTTTGGTTTTGTGTCCTTGCGATAGTTTGCTGAGAATGACGGTTTCCAGATTCATCCATGTCCCTACAAAGGACATGAACTCATCCTTTTTTATGGCTGCATAGGATTCCATGGTGTATATGTGCCACATTTTCTTAATCCACTCTATCACTGTTGGACATTTGGGTTGGTTCCAAGTCTTTGCTATTGTGAATAGTGCCGCAATAAACATATGTGTGCATATGTTTTTATAGCAGCATGATTTATAATCCTTTGGGTATATACCCAGTAATGGGATGGCTGGGTCAAATGGTATTTCTGGTTCTAGATCCCTGAGGAATCACCACACTGTCTTCCACATGGTTGAACTAGTTTACAGTCCCACCAACAGTGTAAAAGTGTGCCTATTTCTCCACATCCTCTCCAGCACCTGTTATTTCCTGACTTTTTAATGATCGCCATTCTAACTGGTGTGAGATGGTATTTCATTGTGGTTTTGATTTGCATTTCTCTGATGGCCAGTGATGATGAGCATTTTTTCATGTGTCTTTTGGCTGCATAAATGTCTTCTTTTGAGAAGTGTCTGTTCACATCGTCTGCCCACTTTTTGATGGGGTTGTTTGTTTGTTTCTTGTAAATTTGTTTGAGTTCTTTGTAGATTCTGGATATTAGCCCTTTGTCAGATGAATAGATTGCAAAAATTTTCTCCCATTCTGTAGGTTGCCTTTTCACTCTGATGCTAGTTTCTTTTGCTGTGCAGAAGCTCTTTCATTTAATTAGATCCCATTTGTCAATTTTGGCTTTTGTTGCCATTGCTTTTGGTGTTTTAGACATGACGTGCTTGCCCATGCCGATGTCCTGAATGGTAATGCCTAGGTTTTCTTCTAGGGTTTTTACGGTTTTAGGTCTAACATGTAAGTCTTTAATCCATCTTGAATTAATTTTTGTATAAGGTGTAAGGAAGGGATCCAGTTTCAGCTTTCTACATATGGCTAGCCAGTTTTCCCAGCACCATTTATTAAATAGTGCTTGTTTTTGTCAGGTTTGTCATTACTTGTTTTTGTCAGGTTTGTCAAAGATCAGATAGTTGTAGATATGCGGCATTATTTCTGAGGGCTCTGTTCTGTCCCATTGGTCTATATCTCTGTTTTGGTACCAGTACCATGCTGTTTTGGTTACTGTAGCCTTGTAGTATAGTTTGAAGGCAGGTAGTGTGATGCCTCCAGCTTTGTTCTTTTGGCTTAGGATTGACTTGGCAATGCGGGCTCTTTTTTGGTTCCATATGAACTTTAAAGTAGTTTTTTCCAATTCTGTGAAGAAAGTCATTGCTAGCTTGATGGGGATGGCATTGAATCTATAAATTACCTTGGGCAGTCTGGCCATTTTTACGATATTGATTCTTCCTACCCATGAGCATGGAATGTTCTTCCATTTGTTTGTATCCTCTTTTATTTCCTTGAGCAGTGGTTTGTAGTTCTCCTTGAAGAGGTCCCTCACATCCCTTGTAAGTTGGATTCCTAAGTATTTTATTCTCTTTGAAGCAATTGTGAATGAGAGTTTACTCATGATTTGGCTCTCTGTTTGTGTGTTATTGGTGTGTAAGAATACTTGTGATTTTTGCACATTGATTTTGTATCCTGAGACTTTGCTGAAGTTGCTTATCAGCTTAAGGAGATTTTGGGCTGAGATGATGGGGTTTTCTAAATATACAGTCATGTCATCTGCAGACAGGGATAATTTGACTTCCTCTTTTCCTAGTTGAATGCCCTTTATTTCCTTCTCCTGCCTGATTGCCCTGGCCAGAACTTCCAACCCTATGTTGAATAGGAGTGGTGAGAGAGGGCATCCCTGTCTTGTGCCAGTTTTCAAAGGGAATGCTTCCAGTTTTTGTCCATTCAGTATGATATTGGCTGTGGGTTTGTCATAGAGAGCTCTTATTATTTTGAGATACAACCCATCAATACCTAATTTATTGAGAGTTTTTAGCATGAAGGGCTGTTGAATTTTGTCAAAGGCCTTTTCTGCATCTATTGAGATAATCATGTGGTTTTTGTCATTGGTTCTGTTTATATGCTGGATTACGTTTATTGATTTGTGTATGTTGAACCAGCCATGCATCCCAGGGATGAAGCCCACTTGATCATGGTGGATAAGCTTTTTGATATGCTGCTGGATTCGGTTTGCCAGTATTTTATTGAGGATTTTTGCATCAATGTTCATCAAGGATATTTGTCTAAAATTCTCCTTTTTTGTTGTGTCTCTGCCAGGCTTTGGTATAAGGATGATGCTGGCTTCATAAAATGAGTTAGGGAGGAGAGGATTCCCTCTTTTTCTATTGATTGGAATAGTTTCAGAAGGAATGGTACCAGCTCCTCCTGGTACCTCTGGTAGAATTCGGCTGTGAATCCATCTGGTCCTGGACTTTTATTGGTTGGTAACCTATTAATTATTGCCTCAATTTCAGAGCCTGTTATTAGTCTATTCAGAGATTCGGCTTCTTTCTGGTTTAGTCTTGGGAGGGTGTATGTGTCAAGGAATTTATCCATTTCTTGTAGATTTTCTAGTTTATTTGCATAGAGGTGTTTATAGTATTCTCTGATGGCAGTTTGTATTTCTGTGGGATCAGTGGTGATATCCCCTTTGTCATTTTTTATTGCGTCTATTTGATTCTTCTCTCTTTTCTTCTTTATTAGTCTTGCTAGCGGTCTATCAATTTTGTTGATCTTTTCAAAAAACCAGCTCCTGGATTCATTGACTTTTTGAAGGGTTTTTTGTGTCTCTATTTCCTTCAGTTCTACTCTGATCTTAGTTATTTCTTCTCTTCTGCTAGCTTTTGAGTGTGTTTGCTCTTGCTTCTCTAGTTCTTTTAATTGTGATGTTAGGGTGTCAATTTTGGATCTTTCCTGCTTTCTCTTGTGGGTATTTAGTGCTATAAATTTCCCTCTACACACTGCTTTGAATGTGTCCCAGAGATTCTGGTATATTGTGTCTTTGTTCTCGTTGGTTTCAAAGAACATCTTTGTTTCTGCCTTCATTTCATTATGTACCCAGTAGTCATTCAGAAGCAGGTTGTTCAGTTTCCATGTAGTTGAGTGGTTTTGAGTGAGTTTCTTAATGCTGAGTTCTAGTTTGATTGCACTGTGGTCTGAGAGACAGTTTGTTATAATTTCTGTTCTTTTACATTTGCTGAGGATTGCTTTACTTCCAACACTGTGGTCAATTTTGGAATAGGTTTGGTGTGGTGCTGAAAAGAATGTACATTCTGTTGATTTGGGGTGGAGAGTTCTGAAGATGTCTATTAGGTCCGCTTGGTGCAGAGTTGAGTTCAATCCTGGATATCCTTGTCAACTTTCTGTCTCATTGATCTGTCTAATGTTGACAGTGGGATGTTAAAATCTCCCATTGTTATTGTGTGGGAGTCTAAGTCTCTTTGTAGGTCACTAAGGACTTGCTTTATCAATCTGGGTGCTCCTGTATTGGGTGCATATATATTTAGGATAGTTAGCTCTTCTTGTTGAATTAATCCCTTTACCATTATGTAATGGCCTTCTTTGTCTCTTTTGATCTTTGTTGGTTTAAAGGCTGTTTTATCCGAGACTAGGATTGCAACCCCTGCTTTTTTTTGTTTTCCATTTGCTTGGTAGATCTTCCTCCATCCCTTTATTTTGAGTCTATGTGTGTCTCTGTACATGAGATGAGTCTCCTGAATACAGCACACTGATGGGTCTTGAGTCTTTATCCAATTTGCCAGCCTGTGTCTTTTAATTGGAGCATTTAGCCCATTTACATTTAAGGTTAATATTGTTATGTGTGAATTTGATCCTGTCATTATGATGTTAGCTGGTTATTTTGCTCGTTAGTTGATGCAGTTTCTTCCTAGCCTTGATGGTCTTTACAATTTGGCTTGTTTTTGCAGTGGCTGGTACCGGTTGTTCCTTTCCATGTTTAGTGCTTCCTTCAGGAGGTCTTTTAGGGCAGGTCTCATAGTGACAAAATCTCTCAGCATTTGCTTGTCTGTAAAGGATTTTATTTCTCCTTCACTTATGAAGCTTAGTTTGGCTGGATATGAAATTCTGGGTTGAAAATTCTTTTCTTGAAGAATGTTGAATATTGGCCCCCACTCTCTTCTGGCTTTAGAATTTGTGCCAAGAGATCAGCTGTTAGTCTGATGGGCTTCCCTTTGTGGGTAACCCAACCTTTCTCTCTGGCTGCCCTTAACTGTTTTTCCTTCATTTCAACTTTGGTGAATCTGACTATTATGTGTCTTGGAGTTGCTCTTCTTGAGGAGTCTCTCTGTGGCGTTCTCTGTATTTCCTGAATTTGAATTTTGGCCTGCCTTGCTAGATTGGGGAAGTTCTCCTGGATAATATCCTGCAGAATGTTTTCCAACTTGGTTCCATTCTCCCCATCACTTTCAGGTACACCAATCAGATGTAGATTTGGTCTTTTTACATAGTCCCATATTTCTTGGAGGCTTTGTTCATTTCTTTTTATTATTTTGTCTCTAAACTTCTCTTCTTGCTTCATTTCATTCATTTCGTCTTCCATCGCTGGTACCCTTTCTTCCAGTTGATCACATCGGCTACTGAGGCTTGTGCATTCATCACGTAGTTCTCATGCCGTGGCTTTCAGCTCCATCAGGTCCTTTAAGGAGTTCTCTGCATTGGTTATTCTAGTTAGCCATTCATCTAATTTTTTTCAAAGTTTTTAACTTCTTTGCCATTGGTTTGAACTTCCTCCTTTAGCTGGGAATAATTTGATCTTCTGGAGCCTTCTTCTCTTAACCTGTCAAAGTCATTCTCCATCCAGCTTTGTTCCATTGCTGGTGAGGAGCTGCGTTCCTTTGGAGGAGGAGAAGCACTCTGATTTTTAGAGTTTCCAGTTTTTCTGCTCTGTTTTTTCCCCATCTTTGTGGTTTTATCTACCTTTGGTCTTTGATGATGGTGACTTACTGATGGGTTTTTGGTGTAGATGTCGTTTCTGTTTGTGGACCCTCAGCTGCAGGTCTGTTGGAGTTTGCTGGAAGTGCACTCCAGACCCTGTTTGCCTGGGTATCAGCAGCGGTGTCTGCAGAACAGCGGATATTCGTGAACTGCAAATGCTGCTGCCTGATCGTTCCTTTGGATGTTTTGTCTCAGAGGAGTACCCGGCCATGTGAGGTGTCAGTCTGCCCCTACTGGGGGGTGCCTCCTTGTTAGGCTACTCGGGGTTCAGGGACCCAATTGAGGAGGCAGTCTGCCTGTTCTCAGATCTCAAGCTGCATGCTGGGAGAACCACTACTCTCTTCAAAGGTGTCAGACAGGGACATTTAAGTCTGCAGCGGTTACTGCTGCCTTTTGTTTGTCTGTGCCCTGCCCCCAGAGGTGGAGCCTACAAAGGCAGGCAGGCCTCCTTGAGCTGTGGTGGGTTCCACCCAGTTTGAGCTTCCCAGTGGCTTTGTTTACCTACTCAAGCCTCAGCAATGGCAGGCGCCCCTCCACCAGCCTCGCTGCTGCCTTACAGTTTGATCTCAGACTGCTGTGCTAGCAATGAGTGAGGCTCTGCGGGCATAGGACCCTCTGAGCCAGGTGCGGGATATAATCTCCTTGTGTGCCATTTGTTAAGCCCGTTGGAAAAGTGAGTATTAGGGTGGGAGTGACCGGATTTTCCAGGTGCCCTCTGTCACCCCTTTCTTTGACTAGGAAAGGGAACTCCCTGACCCCTTGTGCTTCCCGGGTGAGGCAATGCCTCACTCTGCTTCGGCTCACGCTCAGTGTGCTGCACCCACTGTCCTGCACCCACTGTCTGGCACTCCCCAGTGAGATGAACCCGGTACCTCAGTTGGAAATGCAGAAATCACCTGTCTTCTGCATCGCTCACGCTGGGAGCTATAGACTGGAGCTGTTCCTATTCAGTCATCTTGGCTCCACCGCTCTGAAACTTTAATAATTGCATAATGTCCTTCTTTATTTGTAAGTGCCTTTAACCATAAATCAACCTTGTCTGACAGTATACCATCACTCTTGCTTTCATTTCCTTTGCATTTGCTTATTTTTATGTCTTTTTTCACCAAACACATGTGCATTTATATATTTTTTAATAAAATCACAAAGACCCAGTTTACCAGCTTTACTTTTTAAATCCAAGCTTAACATTACATATTTAAACAATTGTCAAAACTTGCTAAGTTGTCAGCATTTATGCACAACTAGAAAACACCCTTAATTTATACTAAGCCAGAAATGTATTACCATTAATGCATTCATATCTATCACTGTGAGATACTGAAAAAATTGAAATTATTTCTATAAAAGGCTCATCCTGGCAATGTTAACTTCATAGCAGGCTGAAACTACTTGGTTTACATTTCAGACACAATGGACAAACAGATCCATGCTGGTGTTAGTGTACAATCTTGTTCAGCAATTTCTAGAGAGTCACTGTTCACCTTGGAGTAGGTTTAATATTAAAGCAAAGTGCATACAGAGATTTACAACACTTTTAAAGATAAAAGCAAATTGGTCCTATTATGTGGTCCCAACAATAAACTCAAAAGTCTATGACAAATAGTAGTTCTGATGAGTTATTTATAAATGCTTCAGATTAGGTACAATATACTGAAAATCAACTTCATTCAACATCTTCAAAATATGTTACTGCTAATCCTCAAATGGTGCTTATTAGAGTTTAACATTTCCATTCTATAGATGCATTGAAGTACGTGTTATCCAAGTGTGGATGATGCTCTTTACCATTTATTGTTAAGGACTTTAACTGGCCATCTTCTTCAACTTCTACTGTCTCTTAACCTCTTCCTAGTAATTTTTCTGCCATTAGCTATTTTAATAGGAGTTGATATAGATTTGAAGTTGCCCATCTCATTACTATCAAATGACTTGGAAATAATGCCTCCATGACCTAGTGACCCAAATGAAATAAACCCTGTTCCAAAAGAACAAAGCCCAATTCCAAAAGATGGGAGTACACTGAAGGCAGAGAAAAATGGCCCCATCCCTCGGCTTCTGTTTCTTTAGGAATCTCTTCAATTCCTCCCCATTCCCTGCAAAAATGCCCCCAAATGGGCCTTCAAAGAAGTCAGATGGAAATGGGTCCCTTCCACCAAAAACTTCCCTGAAGACGGAATGTTAAGCCAAACTCAGACTGTCAAAATGACTTCCATCTTCTCCACTACCATTTAATCCTTCTTTGCCATATTTGTCATAGATGTGTCTTTTTTTCTAGCATCTGGTAACACCTCACACACCTCACTACTCCGTGCTACTTCCTTATTTTCAGGATTATCTGGGTGGCAATTCAGTGCCAGTTTCCTGATATGCCTTTTTAATATGCTGGGGTAGGCAGGTCTGCACGCCTAGAACCTCACAGTAACCCCCATGCTTTAACACATGGTGAGAACAGGTCCGAGGATGTGTGGTGGTGGTGAGTAGCAGGACAGGTGGGTGGTGTGGTCTCCAGGTTCCTCTGGGCTCTGCAGCACTCTGTAGGGCTCCACAGAGCTGCGCTGGTGGCCACAGTGGCTCCTCATGCTTTCCTTCCTCTCCTTTCTCCAACAAACAGGAAGTATGACCTCCTATCTCTTGAGTTTTAATCTTTTTTTTTTAAACCACTTTGTTCTAAGTTGTTTGCAGTTAGGTTTTATATTTTAACAAATTTGACAATCTCTGACATTTAATGGAAGAAACTAGCCCATTTTTCTTTAATGTTATGATTGATATACTTACTTTTATGTTTTCTATTTTACTTTATGTCTTTTTTTTTAAATGTTTCTTCTGTTTCATTTTTCTCATTTCTGCTGATTCGATCAACTTACAATTTGTGCTATGTCTTCCCTTCTTTTTTTTTTTTTTTTTTTTGAGACAGAGTTTTGCTCTTGTTGCCCAGGCTAGAGTGCAATGGAGCTATCTCGGCTCACTGCAATCTCCACCTTCCCAGGTTCAAGTGATTCTCTTGCCTCAGCCTCCCAAGTAGCTGGGATTACAGGCATGCACCCCCACACCCAGCTAATTTTGTATTTTTAGTAGAGACAGGGTTTCACCATGTTGGCCAGGCTGGTCTCGAACGCCTGACCTCAGGTGACCCACCTTCCTTGGCCTCCCAAAGTGTTAGGATTACAGGCGTTAGCCACCGCACTCGGCCATGTCTTCCCTTCTTAATGTAAATATTCAACTCTACTTTTCCATTATATTTGTTTAATTAATTCCATGAATTATTATTTTCTTTTCCTGTACTGTCATTTTTCATGTAGATAATTTGCTTTTACTGGCTGGAAATTTGTACAACTTTATTTTATTCCAGGGCTTCACAAATTTCCCTGGATATGCCTAAGTGTGTGTTCTTTCCTCATTAACCCTGCCTATTTCTCTGCAATTTCTTTTAGTCTGTAGACTTGGGTCTTTAGCTCCCAGAAATTTTCTTATATTATCAGTTTTATAATTTATTTCTTTCTATTTCTATTACATGTTATGTCTACTAAATCTGTCCCCAAGTCTTCTTCTCTGTCCTCTCATGATTTCTATCCTGATTTCACATGAGTGTCCTTTGAGCTATTTCTTCCATAGTCTTTCAGGCCATTTTTTTTTTAACCTCTGGGATGACAATCCTCACCTTCAATTCATGTGCTAAGTTGTTTCATAGGGAAACTATGGCTTGTTTTAGCACCAGAAAATATGTGTGTGTGTGCATGTGTATATCACCTGCATCTTCTTGAACACTTTTCCCTTATGTTTCTCTTACAGCAGTTCTCTTTCACCAGGAATGTTGTATTTGTCCAGAGTGATCTTTGTCTCTCTGGGCTGTGGGCCCTTAGCAGGGTTTTTGTAGGTGTTGTTGTCTCAGACAGAGTCTTGCTCTGTCACCCAGGCTGGAGTGCAGTGGCACAATCTCAGCTCACTGCAACCTCCGCCTCCCAGGTCCAAGTGATTCTCCTGCCTCAGCCTCCCAAGTAGCTGGGATTACAGGTGTGCACTAACATGCCTGGCTAATTTTTGTATTTTTAGTACAGACAGGATTTCACTGTGTCTAGACTGGTCTCGAACTCCTGGCCTCAAGCAATCCACCCACCTCGACCTCCCAGAGTGCTGGGATTACAGGTGTGAGCCACTGTGCCCAGCCCTTAGCAGGGTTTTTACAGCATTAACATGTTCTGGGGTAGCTAATGAAGCACCTAAGCTCCTGGCAGTGTGGTGAGTGATGGATGGTGGCACTCCACCACACAGGCTGGCAATGCAATGGCAGGCAAGTTGCTAGTCTCTAGCTACCAGAAGAAGCCTCCAGGTTCCCAAACTTTTCCTCTAGCCTCAGGAATCACAGGACTTAGCATAACTACTCAGCAAATTTCTTGGCTTTTTTAGGGGTAGGGAGCCAGTGACTTTAATATGTGTCTTACACTACCTTCTTTCCATGGTAAGTGGATCCCTGAGGGGCAAGCTTTTTCCAAATCTTGTTTTCTGATCCTCTTCCTGGGTAATCTGATGTGGGTCTCAGGCTCTTGCCCAGACCCAGGGGAAGCCCTCACCTCAGTTTCTCCCCTGGGTACCCCCAGAACCCAAGGCCATGTTAACACCTAGCCCTGCATTGGTTTAAACTGCTGTTTGGCTCAAAATAGACATGTATCCTGGAGTTGTTAGTAGAAAGGTGGGTAGCAGCAATCATTTCCTAGAATCTTATCTTAGTTTACAAGACATTAATTTTAGCAGAGTAAAACAGGGAAATGTTTTTGTTCAAATGTCTTCCTTTTTTACCCTGTGGCTTAGTGATTTTATCCCACTTTTGTATAAACTGCTTTGCAATATATGCTAATGATGTTTTATTTTCTTGAACTATCAGTGGCCTCAGAGAAAACTGGTCTGACAGCCTATTATTGCCAATGGTAATGCTTTAATTACTTTAAACAAAAATAATCATTTTTGGTAGTTGGCCTCCAGCACTTGATTGATTTATATCAGATAACTTTAAATCACTGATCATTGTGTTTTATTACCTGGGAAAACAGTTTGCACACAGTTTATCTTGGAAGATTCTTCACAAAGTTAAATTGCTTAAAAATAGACATGGCACTTATACCAGACAGTCAGAATGACAGATAGATAGGATATAGATATAGATATAGATATAGATATAGATATAGATATATTGGGGTTGCCAGATTTAGCAAAAACAATAACTAGGGCATTCAGTTACATTTGAATTTTAAATAAACAATGAATAATTTTTTTAACTACAGTTACACTTTGTGTTATCTTATAGCCCAGCATGGAGGAAAACAATGAGGAAAATTAATGGATATTTTAGATTCCATTTTCTTTATTAAAAATCAATTTTATTTCTGGTATATACCAAGAGCCTATCAATTCATTTATTGAAAGGTAATTTTAAGCTATACTATCCTAGAGGCAATATAGTTTTGTGAGCTTTGACAAGCAGAATATGTAACCACCCCCACAGCAATCAAGATACAGAAGAGTTCTACCACTCCAAAATATTTCTTCCTGCAGCCCCTTTGTGATGAGCCCCTCTCTTTAATTCCACCCCAGGCAAGAACTGACCTAATTTTTGTCACTCTGCATTAGTTTGCATTTTCTAGAGTTTTATATAAATAGACTTATATAGTATGTACTCTTTGTCTGACTTCTTTCACTCAGCATAATTACTTTGAAATTCATCAGTTGTTGCATATATCAATAAATAGCTCATCTCATTTTGTTGCAGATAGTTTTCCATTGTATGGATATGCACAATTTGTTTATTCACTCATCTCTTGATGGACATTTGAGTTGTTTGCAGTTTGGGGCTCTTACAAATAAAGCTGCTATGAACCTTAATGTACAAGTGATATATGATTTCATTTCTTTTGGAAAAGATACCCAGGTATAGAATGACTGGATCATATGGCAATCGTATGCTTAACTTTAAATGAAACTACACAACAATTTCCAAAGTATGCTATTTTATATTCCTACCAGCAGTTGTTCCACATCCTCACTAATATCTGGTATTGTCAGACTTTTAAATACTAACCATTCTGATAGGTTCATAATGATGTCATATTGTGGTTTTAATTTGCATTTCCCTAATGACTAATGGTGTTGGGCATTTTTTCATGAGCCTATTTACCACCTTCTTTGGTGAAGAATATGTTCAAATCTTTTGCTTGCCTTTCTCCCGGCATCCCCCCAACCCTCAACACACCAGCCTTTTGACTTACCCATTTTCTCATTATTGGGTTTCAAGATTTCTTTATACTTTCTGGATATAAGTGCTTTAACTAGATATATCATTTGCAAATATTTTTCTCTCAGTCTGTGCCTTGTTTCTTTATTCTCTTAACAGTGTTTTTTGAAGAGCAGAAGTTTTAAATTTTCATGAAGTCCGGTTTATCAATTTGTGGCTTCATGGATCATGCTTTTGATCATTTAAGTCTATATTTCAAGTCAATTTTTGTATATGATGTGAGATGTAGATCAGTGTTCATTTTTTGCATATGTATTTCAATTCTTTCATTACATTTACTGAAAAGACTATCCTTTCTCCACTCAATTCCTTTACACCTTTGTTGAAAAACAGTTGTCTATAAATGTATGAGTCTATTTCTGGATTCCCTGTTATGTTTCAGTCATCTATTTAATGCTAATACTATATTGTCTGAGTCACTGTATCTTAATAAGACTTGAAATTAGGTATTAGTTGTTCTCCAATATTTTTTAGTTTGTCTTGGCTTTTACGTGTCCTTGGCATTTTCATTTGAATTTTATAATCAGCTTGTCAACGTCAATAAAAAGCTTGATAAGGTGTTAATTAGGATTGCATTAAATCTATAGATCAATTTATGGATTATTAATTGTTGATGATGACTATTGCAGTTGTTTCTGTCTAATAGATACTCAATGGCTCTACAAAACATGAGAATCACGACTATAGCTGATTGCTACTTGTTAAGTGCATATCTATATACCTGATACTACCAAAGAAATGTAATCATATACTGTTTTGCCCTTTCCAGTCAAAATAGTACGCTATTGAATATGAAAAGAAATCCCCACCTAAGAAAATCATCCTACCTCCACAAAGATGTATTACAAATTTGTATTTTAAAGTTAACCTGGAGGAAGATTGACACTTGTTGACATATAGAGGGCTAGTAATTTCCAAATGAGAACACCACCACAAAATATACAGAGTTGGGAGAGGGAAACACTGACAAATGGAACAGGAAGAAATCTGATGTGATCAAGTGTGGACATAAGACCTAACCTAGGGAGGTATTAGGTAGCTGTGAAATGATTCATAGTTTGCAACTTGGGTGACATATATTTTTCTATGACAAGAACTTGGAGTGAATTCTCCCTCTCCTCAAGACTGAGATGTCACACCTTATGAGACCCCATATACGAGCTATTGACCTCAACGATTGGACTTCAAAATACATATAAGCCCAAGAGTTTGACAGACACTTGAAGAGTTCAGTCTACTACAGGGCTATACTCTTGTTAGCCACTTGTCTGAAGACTGAGAGCTCAGTCTATGACAGGGCCACACCTGTTAGCCTTTGAGCTAATCTCTGAAACCTCACCATCCAACACCAGCACTGTCCTCTAGCATGGAGGGAACTTATGTGTCTTCACCAACCTTGGTGGTCTTCCTCCATCTAGTTGGTGAAGCCAGCCTCTCTCAAGAACCACTTGCATAAAGGTACACCTCAAACTTCCATTAGACTTTACTTTCCACAGAGGTCTGCCTCCATCATAATCGATCAACTAAACTTTAACAATTTTGGAACTCACTCACTATGTGGTTAATGTACCACGTTTATCAAGCATATTTCCTCGACATTTGTTCTTGCTATTCTCTCCCTCTTTAAGCATTGCCAACCTAAGAAAAAAATTATCTTGGTGTGGCAATAAATCATGTGATTCATGAAATCATACTTTCATCATCTCCTAATTTTACTCACAGAAAATAGGAGGACTTTTTAAAGGCTCAGGACTTTGACAGTGACACAAAAATAGAAAGAAGAAAAAGTCAAGTGGTTACTAGTACAGACAGGCATCTACATCAGAAGGGAGAAGTATGGTATGGTTGTACTTTATGTGTAAGTTTTAAAGGATCTGCCTGAGATGGATCACTGTCTCACAGTACTGGTTTCCTCCTCCTTCCATGATAATAAAATTTTAGCGAGGCACAGGGTGCCTTAGACAATAACTACATTCCCCAGACTCTTTCATATGTAGGTGTGGTTATTTCATTACATTATTGTTAATGAGATATGAGTGAAAATAATGTGTGCAATGTGGTAGCAAGCCATCTTGTACATGGGATGAGAACATCACTCTAGGGCAGTGGAAGAAGATTAAAAAGAACTTGAGTCCTAACCACTTGGAACTCATAATACTGGCTGTGAAATGCTTAATCTCAGACTATTATGTGAGGAGAAATACATTTTTTAATAGGACAAAGGCATGCAAATTTATTAATGTGCAAGCACGTGGGAGTCACAGAAAGTATGAAACTCCAAGAAATACATTTCTAATGTGTTTGAGCCACTGCTAATTTGACTCTCTATTATAGCTGCTGCCAAACTCATATAAGGGAGGATAACTGCTCACTGGGAGGTTGTATAAAAGGGTTCTGTTTAAAGTTTTCTATATTTTAAAGCTGAAATATTGGTAATATGAGCTAATATCCCCCCATAGAATCACAAACATAAAAATTAATATAGTGCATACCTCTGAGAGTCAAAGGATTAACATTCTCATTTTATTGAGAGGGGATATGTCTCCAAAGAGATGTTATAAAATTGATAAAATGTAGATTTTATTTTTTTTAGTCACACAGAGTTGGCTTTGAATAGCTGCCCTACCACTTAGTAATTGTTTAACATCAAGTCATCTTATTTTCCTTAACTTTGCTTTTCTATCTATAAAACACCATCCTCATGACCTTATTGTGAAGTTTAAATTAGATAATATCTAAAGTTCCAGGTTCTAGATACGACTTTAATTATAACCCTCTCCCCTCCCATCCTAGTCAAGATACAGAGACCATCCACTTTGTTGTAATTAATTGAGCAAGTTTGCTGTGCATTGGACATAGCTGTGGTAAAGCTGCCTCTTAATGATGATACACAGCCCATCATCAGTATATTTGGATAAGATCTAGCTGTCTAGATGCTAGCTACATCCAAATGAGCATTGCCTTGGTGCTAACAGTGGAATGAGTATAGAGGTCTTTTAATTCTAAGTTTTATGCTTTACTGTCTTTATCAGTGGTCCCAAACCTGTGTTACAGATCAGGCAGGAAATACAAATGAGGCCAGCTTGGTGAAGTGCATGTGCGCACACTGCAAGCAATGGAGGAATCTACTGCTACTTAGCACCTGAGGATTGGAAATGAGCTTTCCTGTTGCTAATTCCTGTAAATTTGCAAGGGAACCGCATGTCTGAATTTTTATGTGGAGTCTCCTGATTTTCAAATGTTTATGCATTTTTTTTAAAAACAGTGCTCAGGTTGAATAAATATGTCTGACCACCAGCTTATTGCTTCAGCTCTACCTACTGCTCACTTTGACCAGGACTGATTCTTCTCCGCTGCAGCAGGTGCATCTTGAGAAATAACATTCATAATAAATGTGCTTAACATCAGCGTTATTCATTTATCAACGTAGACCTATGTGCTTTGAACTGGTGCTTCTTCCAAATAAGACAGTAAGATTTTAAGTTAAAAATTCAATTATAATAAACTAAACACAGCAAACATACTTCAGTGCTACACTAGTTTAAAGGCTACCTGGAGCTAATTCTGTGTGTGTGCTTTTTTTCCCATTCACTCTGGGGAAGATGATGTAATAAATATTTCTATGTTTATTTGGAGTGTGAAGCCAAATACTCAAATGCTGAGTGCATTTTGAAAAATCAAAATCAGCAATTCAATTATTTTTCTTTATTAGAACAGCCAGGAGTGAGCTTGTTAAGATGGATCTGCTTTGTCGTAGCTTGCTCTGCTGGCAATGTCTAAACGAATTAAATGAATCACGAGTCAAAGAAATCTCACAGGCGGCTTTAATCTCCTGTCAGAAAGAATAGCTAACTGAGTCAAACATCAGTAATTTTTTTTTCTTGGCTCATCTTAGAGGGCTTGTGTTCTTAGCTACATATGTGTGGACTTGCATTTTAATCTTAAAATTACACTTCTACTATATTCTTAAGATGGGGAATTTGGGTATCTTCCATGTTAGTGATTTGCTGGTTCTCAAAGGTTACCCACATAAAAATACCATCTCTTTTCTGAAACTTATAAAAGACAATTTCTTTATCACTCAGTTCTACAAGAACCCAGCCACAGTTATATTTTCAGTTTTGGTAAGCCCAGCAAGTTCCCAAATTTCCATTCTGAGATTTTTCTTTTCTAGTATACATAATAGAAAAGTATATATGTCACAACATGAGTCTCTGTCAAGACCAAATGTGGGTGGAATGTGGTTTTCCTGAGTTTCATGTAAAATTCTCTGAAATATCCTGTGACTGAGAAATTTATGTCAGAGAGTAATCCAGAAATGAGGTCAGCCTTTTCTCTGCTGGGGAGGGCCATTGAGCTATTGAGAATCTGTGTTATTACCATTCCATTCAGTTCCTCTTTTAAGAACTAACTTAATAAGCTCCACTGGGCAAGTCTATTAACATCCCCTTCTACCACGACGGGTCTTTCCAAAGTGGAAAAATAAATGTAGTCAGTAGGTGTCACATGTTTATTTGGTTGAAGGCTATCATGTTGAAGAAACAATTCAGGAGTCTATGATGATACAAAGTGCTACAAAGGAAAGCTAAAGCATTCAGTTTCATTTTAAAGACATCTTTGCTCTTAGAATTTAGCATCATGGGCTGGTGGCTTATTAATTACACACAAAAAATACAACTATACATAGAGCAATAGCCATGTGCAAATATAAGGGTTCAGACACTTAAAATTTCTGGAAAGTATGATTGCCCAGTAAGTACGAACCACTTGCTCACATAAAACTATTGCAGGGCAATAACACTGTGGCTTGAAGCAAGAAATTAAAACTATCCCACCAAATGACTAGCTTAAACGACCTCTATAAGAATAAATAAACCAGGGTAATGAATGTGATGTCTATGTAAATACCGACCCAAATCCCTTACATTTACAGACTGTTTGTCATGTATAGCCATATCGGCACTAGCAAGCAGGAAAAGTCACTATCGGCAAACCAGAAATTGTGAGGTGCACCCAAAGAAAGAAAAAATCAATGGGCTTGGATTGACAAGAGTTGAGGAAACCCAAAATACATTATGTACATGAGGAAACCACTGAGACAATAAGACAAAATCCACTGAAATTCTAAAAATAAAGTGAAGAAATACCAGGAACTGAGCAGAGCACTGGGCAATAAAAATATAATTAATAATTTAATTAGGATAGGAGCCCCAGCAACTGAATTGCAAAAGCATCACTAACCTAAAGCTAAAATCCTCAAGATACAGGCCAAAGAAAACTTATACACCAGCTAGGATAGAATTCTAAGGAGGGTACAGCTGTCTGAGAGAGAAATGCAGTCAAACTAAAGGAATAAAAAAGCCCTGTCCAGGAGGGAGGATAGCCACCGTCGCAGAAAATTCCTTCTTTTTTTTTTTTTTTTTTTTTGAGATGGAGTCTCGCTCTATCTCCCAGGCTTGAGTGTAGTGGTGCGAACTTGGCTTACTGCAACTTCCGCCCCCCAGGTTCAAGCAATTCTCCTACCTCAGCCTCCTGAGTAGGTGGGATTACAGGTGCACGCCACCACACCCAGCTAATTTTTGAATTTCTAGTAGAGACAGGGTTTTGCCATGTTGGCCAGGCTGGTCTTGAACTCCTGACCTCAGTGATCCTCCCACCTTCATCTCCCAAAGTGCTGGGATTACAGGCGTGAGCCACTGTGCCAGGCCAGAAAATCCCTTCTTATTTTAGCAACTGGGAACTCCAGCTAGCCTGCCTGCTCCATGCCCAGGTGCCCTGAAGTGAAGCCTTCTAATAAATAGGTTGCACCCAGTTACATAAGCCCTGCAGTCTACTCTGCCATTCATGGGAGAGAAAACCCATACCAATTGATTACTAGGTAACCAATTAAGCTTCTCACTCATAGATAAGAATGAACAACAAAAGATCATCAAATATTTGAAGAAAAGCAACTAAATGAAAGGAGGACCAATAGGAACAAGTACACAAACTACAGAAGCAGTAGAGAAAATGGAAGGACTGAGAACTTAAAAAATATTCTCATGGGGATATTGTAAAGAAAAGTCAATAAAAGGTTGTTAGGAAAAAGAACAATTAGAGAGCATAAAAGACTTTTAGAAGTTAAAAATGTAATTGCCCTTGAGGATGTAACCAATAAAATTAGGGGCAAACTGACCAAGAAGAAGACAGCATGCAATTCAGCAAACAGAAGCCTCGGCCCAGGAGGGCAGTGAAGAGAGATATTTGGAAAACAACTGCAGAACAGGCCTGAAGAGCAACCAATGCAGAGAGGAACAGAGGATGGATAGATAGATTTCCAGGAGAGACATCTTCAGGAAAATGACAGGGAACTCGAGAATAGGTGGTATGATGAAAAAAGTATATAAAAAAGAGCATCATGTAATAAGGAGATAAGATGTGTTTTAGACTGAATGTTTGCTAAATTCTAACTCCCAGTGTAAGGTATTCGTGGGAGGGGCTAGCTCATGAGAGCAGAGCCCTCAAGATTGGGATTAGTGCCCTTATAAAAGAGGCTCAGAGAGCAACCTTTTCCTTCTGCTGTGGACACAGCAAGACTATAGCTGTCTGTGAACCAAGAGGCCTTGCCAGATACTGAATTTGCTGATAACTTGATCTTGGACTTCCTAGCCTCCAGAACTGTGAGAAATCATTTTCTGTTGTTTATAAGCCACCCACTTCATATTTTATTATAGTAGTTGAAACAGACTAAAACAGAAGCAAAAAGAGAGAAGAAAGAAAGGTGAATAAGAAAGCCATGATCTGAATATTAAAAAGAAAATAAGGCACAATTTTAAACAATTAGTGTAGTATAAGACAATAATCCCTTTGTCTTTGGTTTTAGGATCACTATTATAATTGATTATTAATATTCCTTCTTACAAACTGTGGAATTAAAAAAATACTCTATTGAAGTGGCGATATAAGAAATCTCTGTACCTTATGCTCAGTTTTGCTTTTGCTGAGAACCTAAAACAGCTCCAAAAAGTAAAATCTATTTTTAAAAATCCTGCCAAAGTTGATTGGATTAAGATAACTATTAGTAGAGCTAAAGCTATGTTACAGATATCAAATTTGGGGAAGAGAGGCAAGAACATAGTAACATAGAGGAAGGTAACATAATTCAACTAAATCACTATCTTTCATATCAGGGAGATAAGGAATAGAGGTATAAACATATTACTTGGCATTATGACCAGAAAAAAATTTTTTAAAAAGGCACAAAGAGCAGTTAGGGCCTGTAGGTAGGAACTGAGTGATAAGATGGGAGGGTGTCGCTTTTCCTTTACTATTTGATTTGTTATTGTGTCCATGTACTACTGCCATTAACAAAAAGAAAAAGCTTCAGGAGTAAGTGTAATAAGGAGATGTAAATGTGAGAAATGGATTAAGAGATATGACCTAATAGAATTTCCAGAAAGATGCAATAAGGAAAATTGAAGGGAGGCCCTCCACTAGACGGCTTTAAAATAGTTCTTACAACACAAAACACTAGAGCAGGGGCAGGAAACAATAGTCGTGTTATGGGTTGAATGTTTGTGTCCCCTCCAAATTCATATGTTGAAACCCTAATCCCCATTGTGATGGTATTTGGAGGTACTTTTGAGAGGTGATTAGGGTTAGATGAGATCATGAGGGTGGAGCATCATGATGGCGTTAATGCCCCTGTAAAAAGAGGAGGAGACACAAGATCTCTCTCTGTGCATGCACCAAGAAAATGACTCTAGTTAACTTTATCGATAACCCCCGCCCCCCCCCACCCCCACAAACTAGTGTTTTGAAAAGATCGTGAAAAAAAACTACAAAAGTAAGCAAGGCTGTAAAATTTAAAGAGAGAGGAGACAAATCAACCACATTAGGAATGAGAAAAAACCAAAGTTATACAGCTAAAGGAACTGTTAAAAATGTGATACTGCTCTGCATATTATTGTGCTAATTATGCTGTGCAAGAGCGTAACCAAGAAGAGGACCTTCACCAAGAACTTGACTGTGCTGGCACCCTGATTTCGGACTTCCAGCCTCCAGAACTGTGAGAGAGAGAGACATGTTTGTTGTTTAAGCCACCTAGTCTATGGTACTGTTATGGTAGCCAGGACCCACTGAAACAAGCCCTTAGGCCAAATGCCTAATTTTTTTTTTTATTGAAGTTTTACTGGAGCACAGCCATGTTCATTCATTTGTGTATTGTCTATGGCTGCTTTCGTGTTCTAACCAAGTTGAGTAGTTGTGACAGAGACTGTATGATCCACAAAAGTATTTACTATCAGGCCCTTTACAGAAAATGTTTACCAATGATACTTGCACCAGAGAAATGTAAATGAAGTGAAAAAATGCTATCTGCATGACAAAAGAGAAGAAAACAAATTAGAACAATAAAAAGAATACTATGTAGAAAATATAAAATAGATGGTACAAATAAGCCCAAACATATTAATAATAATATGTATGAGTTAAATTCTTTCAGGCTTAATTTAGAAAAAAAAATCCTGTGATATTGTTTATAAGAAGTTTATCCAGAACAATGTGCCAAAGATACTTGCAAAATAGTGAAAACTGTACCAGTGAAATGTGATCTCTAAAAACGATGCAGTAAAATTCAACTTAATAATGAAAGAATATATTTTTAAAAATTTCTTGGACATTTAAAAATCTCTCTCTAAAAAGCTGTTGAGATTAAGAGGAAATAAAATGCCAACTATTGGAAAATAAAGAAGGATGATAGTAGCAGGTATCACTGCTAATAGGGTGAATTTGAAATAGTTCCCAAAGGAAAAGGTGTACTCCTAGATATTTATCAGGCATCTATGAATTTTTAAACAATAATTAAGCCCCCAATTAGAAAAGAACAGAAAACCAAAAAAAAAATTAAACAAACAGGACCGAAGGAATTAATAAAAAATATAAATCGTGATTATAAATTGTGTATAAAAACTTACTCTAGTTAATTTCATCAATAAAACCCAAACTAGTGTTTTGAAAAGATATTGAAAAAAAACTATAAAAGTAGGCAAGGCTGAAAAATTTAAAAAAGAGAAGATATCAACCACATTAAGACTTAAAAATGACCAAAATTATACAGCAAAAGGAACTGTTAAAAATGATACTGCTCTGTTTGTCATTGTGCCAATAACTTAATAAAATAGATAAAATTGATGATTTTTAAAAATCAGTCAATAAATTTTACATGTCTAATTTTTAGAAAAATACATATTGCCAAAGTTGAATAGAGAAGAGTTAAATAAATCAACTCTGAGAAATGAAAAAGAAAACACAAGTATAAACAGATAACTTTAAGGTAGAAAAAAAAGAATGCAAGAAACAAAATAGCAAAAGCTTATGTATTGATATGGGTAAAAGACAAGAAATAAGCTCTCAGCATGAAACAGAGGAAATGAAAATAAAAAGAAATAAAAACTACTTAGAAATAAAGGATGCAGTAAGAATAGAAACACTACAGAAAGAAATAACCATTTAAAAGATTAAAATGGAAGTGAACAATTTTTTTTTTTAATTGACAAAAATGTTTTCCTGTCTCAACACAAGCCAGATTTTCGTTAATATCTGTGACAAGCTAGAAGAATAGCAGATTCCATATGTTTTTATTATATTTTGGTGTCAAAATTAATTGTTAAATAAGAGCTTCATTAAAGCTGTAACCATCTGAATGTGTAAATGAGCTTGATTACTTTGTATCTTACCCTAGAGTTAACAGAATTTCAGATATATTTGTAAAACATAAATTTACTCTCATACACAAGCAAAACAAAACAGAAGCCTAAATAAATAGGCCATAATAGAATAAATTAAATAGGCAGTCAAAGATCTAGTTTTAAAAGTCTCATGTCCAATGTGAAGAATTCTAGGAAACCTGTAAGGTTCAGACAATCCCTATGATTATGAATTGCTTCAGATCATAGAAAAAGACAATTAAAATAATAAATAAATTTTTAAAAAGATATTTGCTAATGAAGTTAAGCAGACCAAAGTGTAGTAGCTAGAGAGTTTAATACAATGAGGAAATGTTATTTAAAATAAGGGCAGCCTAGAATAAGTTTACCTGGAGGGAGAGATGAGTGAGAATGAAGTGATTCATAACACAACAGAAAAAAATAAATCATTGTGAAAAATTTTTGGAAGAGACAGAAGCAGGGGAGATCAAGAGCTCGTGTGGATGGGTTAGCATTAACAAGGGAGCGGAATATCTTTTGAGAGATTACAATGAGGTAAGAAAGAATTATGAAGATAGGGATTGTGACGGTTAATTTTATGTGCTAATTTGGACAGAATATGGTGTCCAGTTGTTTAGTGGAACACCAGTCTAGATTTTACTGTGGATGCCTTTTTAAAGATGTGATTAACATTTAAATCAGTAGACACTGAGTAAAGCAGATTACTCTCCATAAAGTAGGTAGGCCTCATCCAGTTGGTTGAAGGCCTTAAGAGCAACACTGAGGTCCCCTGAGAAAAAATGAATTCTGCCTCCAGACTGACTTTGGACTTGACGCTGCAATGTCAACTCTTCCCCTGGGTCTCTGGCCTGCTGGCCTGCCTTGCAAAATTTGGACTTTCCAGCCCTACAATTGTGTTAGCCAATTTAAAAAAATAAATTTCTCTCTCTCTCTCTCTCTCTCTCTCTCTCTCTCTCTCTCTCTCTCTCTATATATATATATATATATATATATATATATATATATATATAATATATATAAAATAAAATGATGACAAGTTTCTCACCTTATTCTGTAAGGCTAGCATGATCTTCATACCTTAATTGGACAAGGGTAGTAGAAAAAAGGAAAACCACAAGCCAAACTCAGTTATGAACATAGATACAAAAAACCTAAATAACAAAATTCTGACACATGTTAAAATGAGGGATATATCATGGCTAAGTAAGACCTAGCTCAGTAATTGAAGGATGGCTTGCAATAAAAAAATCTCTTAATGCATTTTGGAAGAAAAATCCCTATTACATCCATTCCTTATCTGAAACAACAGCAGTGGCAACAAAACTAAAACATTATTACTAAGCTATGGCTAGAAAGACCATTCTTCAACTTAAGTATATGCATCAGAGACTACATATATATACACACCATTTTAATATGAAACACTATGATCATTCTTGCTTAAATAAGAAACAAGACTTGGATGCTCTCTCTATATAAACACAGACACAGACACACACACATTGCTATTCGTTCTGTTCCTTTGTAGAACCTTGATAAATACTGTATTAGTCCATTTTCATACTGCTGTAAAGAACTGCCCAAGACTGGATAATTTACAAAGGAAACAAGCTTAATTGACTCACAGTTCAGCATGGCTGGGGAGGCTTCAGGAAACTTAATATCATGGCGGAAGGTGAAGGAGAAAGCAAGGCACCTTTTTCACAAGGCAGCTGGAAGGAGAAGTGTCGAGTGAAGTAGGAAGACTCCCTTATAAAACCACCAGATCTTGTGAGAACTCACTCCTGATCACAAGAACAACATGGGGAAAACCATCCCCATGATTCAATTACCTCCACCTGGTCTCTCCCTTGACAGGTGGGGATTATGAGGATTATGAGAATTAAAATTCAAGATGAGATTTGGGTGGGGACACAAAGCCTGACCATATTAAATACATTGAAATTTAGTCGATATCTGTGGAACACAATATTTCTGAAGGGACTATTACCCAACCGAAGTCTAGACTGATTAGCACCAGGCTGGAAACAGCTGAGTCCAACCAACATCAGAAACTGTTTTGTTGTATCCCCACATTTTAATAGATACATACACACAAAAACATTGCGCACAATCTTAAACAATCACTGTTAACGTCTCAGTGTAATTTATTTACGTCTTTTTTGTATACACGTTTTTAACATGTTGAAGGCACATTATTCACACAATTTTGTAACTTGCTTTAAAATGACTTTTATTACTTTTATATATTCTTTTTTATAAATAATTTGTTACATCTATTCTTTTTTTGTAAATAATTTTAACTTTTCAATTCAGAGGGTACATGTGCAGGTTTGTTACAAGAATATATTGCATGATGCTGAGGTTTGGGGTACAAATGATCCCATCACCCAGGTAATGAGCATGGTATTCAATAGGTAGGTTTTCAACCCTTTCCCTCCCAACCTCCGCCCTCTATCTGTCCCCAGTGTCTATTGTTGCCATCTGTATGTCCATGAGTAACCAATGTTTAGCTCCCACCTATAAGTGAGAACATGTGGTATCTGGTTTTCTGTTCCTGTGCTAATTCACTTAGGGTAATGGCCTCCAGCTGCAGCCATGTTGCTGCAAAAGACATCATTTCATTCTTTTTAACGGCTGCATAGTATCCCATGGTGTATATTACCACATTTTCTTTTTTCCAATCTAACTTTCAAGCTGAGAGTCAAATCAAGAACTCAGTCCTCTTTATAATAACCAAGAAATATATAAAATACTTAGGAATACATCTAACCAAGGAGGTGAAAGATCTCTACAAAAAGAATTACAAAACACTGCTGAGAAAAATAATAGATGACACAAACAAATAGAAAAACATTTCCTGCTCATGGTTTGGAAGAATCAACACCATTAAAAATGGCCAGAATGCCCAAAGCTATCTATAGATTCAACACTCTTTCAATCAAATTACTAGCATCATTTTTTTTACAGAAATAGAAAAATACTACTGTAAAATTCATATGGAACCAAAAATTTAAAAAAGCCCCAATAGCCAGGGCAATCCTAAACAAAAAGTTTTATATATTCTTTACTAAAAATCAGAAAATATAGAAAAGGAAAAGGAACTTTGAAAGCCATCATAATTCCACTGTCCAGAGGAACCATTATTTACGCTTTTGGGTGTAAACTCCAGATTTTTTTTCCTCTTTCAATTGCAACTTTAAAACATCTCTAGTTGTCATAAAATTAAAAAAAAATACCTAAATCCCACATTTCTCCTCTCAGACAAATTGTGTGATATGGCAAAAGAGGGTCTAGTTGGCTCTCCCAACCCTCTCTGGGTGTCAGTATGGTGTCCACACTGAGTTAAGAAGCACTGGGCCCCTCATGGAGACTGCTGGGGAGAAATGAGGTTTTAGCATGGACCTCTAGATTGGAGGCCATGTGCAAGATGGAATAAAGACTTAGAGTGGTCTGCAGAGCCACTGAGAATCCAGCAAGGAAGTAATTAGGTCATTATAATCCTACCCTGTTCTCTATAAACATAAAAGAAGTGAAAAGAAGAGGGAAACTGAGAGATTGAGTGGAAAAGACTGGGTTAAACCTGAGTTTATATTATTGGATAAGACTAAATTTTAATCTGGATTGGGTTAACATTAGATTGCTCACCACTCCATCTCCAGTGAGTAGGTGAGATCTCTTGTAAAGGAAATCAGAGAAATTTTAACAAATAATTAACTACATTTCTATGGACATCTGAGTTGAAGAAAATTTTCCAGTGACTATCCATTTATAATAAAATTTTTACTGTTAAAGGAAAAATTTTAAAAGGAGTGTAATTGTGAATGGGTGGCAAAATTTTATTTAACTCATTAATTAATGAGGGAATCAATAAAATGTTACAACTCATTTCAAAGGAGTATTCAAAGAGAAAACAAATATATAGACATGCTAAGACTTGAAAAATGAATACAAACTGGCAAATTAGGTCAATATCTATAGGGCAGTAATCAGTTGTATTCCCCTAGACAATATTTGCATTTCTATAAACAAAGTCATTTGCATTATTATCAGCTTTCTAGTTTTCTACAATTTACAGACTTGCAAAGTAGCTCAAAGCCCACAAAAGGCTGCAAAACCCCGAAGAGTACACTGGGCAGGACACCCAATATATTTTTGTCTACGTACACTAAAAAACAACCCTATGTCCCCCACCAAACCCCACCTTCCAAGAGTATATTGGAATGGGAAAGTTTAAAGGTAGAAGTTTGGGCATGCCTGAAATGATCTACATTGTAAAATTGGGAGGCATTTAAAGTTAGGAATAGGGGGCAGGATTAGTAGGCAGAATATTGGTCCCCTAAACATGTCCATGTGCGAATTCCCAGAACCTATGAATATGTTACATTATGTGGCAAAGAGGTATTTAAGATAGTAGATGAAACTAAGGTTGCTAATCAGCTGATCTTAAAATAGCGAGATTGGTTTGGACTCTTGGGATAGACCCAAGGGTTCATAAATGTGGAAAAAGGAGTCAAAAGAGGAGGTCAACAATGTGAAGTGAGAACTCTACGCACTGTTGCTAGCTTTGAAGATGGATGCCAAAGGCCAAGGAGGCAGCCTCTAGAAGCTGGAAGGGGCAAGGAAATGGATCCTCCCCTAGAGAATCCTCCAGAAAGGAATGCAGCCCCACCAACTCCTTGATTTTATCCCAGTGAAACCCATTTCAGATTTCTGAACTACAGAACTTTAAGATAATAAATCTGTATTGTTTTAAGCCTCTGATCCTCCTTGCTCTTTCATGTATAAGGACCCTACATAAGGGATCCTACTTATATAAGTCCTTACATTGGGCCTGTGTAAGTAATCCAGGATAATCTCCCCACATCAAGATCCCTAATTTACTCACAGCTGCAAAGTCACTTTTGTTATGTAAGGTTACATATTCACAGGTTCTAGGGATTAGGATGCAGGATGTGGTACATCGTTGAAGGATCATTATTCTGCCTATCACAGAACTTCTGATTCTATTTCAACATTTTTTCTTGTACTTTTGTGCTCTTGCTTTCACATAATACCTTGAGAGAATTGCTTAGTCTTTCAATTCACTAACTTGATCTTTTATGTTCATTCTGTTAGATAATCTGTTTTTAATTTCAGTAATCATGTTTTAATCAAGAACTCCAATCTGTGTGTAGTATGTGTGAACACAACCCCTTGTATCTCTGAAAATAGGATTTTCAGAGATATTTGTTTGGCTATTTTATTCTATTTTCTATGTTAACTCTGTTTTCTTGGGAGTTAAATCTCTTTGTTGGAATTTATGTTTTCTTTGCGCTAGGTTTTTCTCAAATACTTGTTGACTCTTTCATTTCCAGACTGCTTTCAGATGAATGTTTAAATAACATAGTATTTACCTTTAGAGTACATTTCATTTCTTCAAAGTGAAGCTTTTCATTTCTATGGTTGGAATAAAGGTTCTGCTTTTAGGAGCACTGGTGACTGTAAGCAGGGTGTGAGAAAAGCTTCAGTCTCAGGAGGTGATGGTTAAAGCTGTGCAATGGAACATAGCAATTAAGGGGGGCTCCAATACCACATCAACTGGAGTCAAGTCCTGGCTGTGCCGTACACAGCATATACAGGAAAATTTACCTAACCCGTTTGTGCTCCAGTTTCCCTGTCTTTACAATTGTGATGAGTAGTACTTACCTGCATAAGTTTGTTATGAGGAGTAAATGAATCAGTACATCTAAAGCTATGAGAACAGCACCTGGCATATAGTAAGATTTCAATACATGTTAGCTATTTTTTTAAATGTTCGATTTATAAACATGTGCACTAGTGATTTTATTTTTCAGCAAACTCTAGAGTCAGCTGGTCCTAGCCTTTTTTTCTGCCAACCAGCTGCTGGCTGCTGTTTCTCTTAGTCTACACTATCTCTGCTCTTGAAATTATGATTCTCTCACCTCTGACTTTCTCCCATTTCTACTCTCCAAAAGAAGTTAACAGTTTGATTCCCAGTCTACCATAATGTTTCTATTTATACACAAGTATATATAATGCATAATATATAGTGAACTATACATAAAATTCTCTCCTTTTTTCAAACATAAACTAATTTATCTGCAACTTCTTTTTTTCAATCGTTATATTTTAGACATGTTTTTATGTAAATATGGATATATGAGTTTTCTTAAAGGGAAAAAGAGAAAATGATTAATAATTTTATAAATGTTACTAGGATAATAGGTTACATTTTTGGGGAAAAAAATAAAGCTAATTAAAGAATTAGATATAAAATGCCAAATATTATCCAAAGAAAAATAGAAGTAAATATCAAAGAAAAAATTCATTTTGGGCAATAATTGATTTGATTATATAACATAAAAGAGTTCTTCAGGGGGAGGGGCGTCCACCATTGCAAAGGCTTGAGTAGGTAAACAAAGCTGTCAGGAAGCTCGAACTGGGTGGAGCCCACTGCAGCTCAGCAAGCCCTACTGCCTCTATAGACTCCACCTCTGTGGGCAGGGTATAGCTGAGCAAAAGGCAGCAGAAACTTCTGCAGACTTAAACATCCCTGTCTGACAGCCCTGAAGAGAGCAGTGGTTCTCCCAGTATGATGTTTGAGCTCTGAGAATGGACAGACTGCCTCACACGGGTCCCTGACCCCTGTGTGGCCTAACTGGGAGACACCTCCCAGTAGGGGCCAACAGACACCTCATACAGGTGGGTACCCCTCTGGGATGAAGCTTCCAAAGGAAGGATCAGGTAGCAATATTTGCTGTTCTGCAATATTTGCTGTTCTGCAGCCTCCTCTGGTGATACCCAGGAAAACAGCGTCTGGAGTGGACCTCCAGCAAATTTCAACAGACCTGCAGCTAAGGGTCCCAACTGTTAGAGGGAAAACTAACAAACAGAAAGGAGTAGCATCAACATCAACAAAAAGGACATCCACACCAAAACACCATCTGTAGATCACCAACATCAAAGACCAAAGGTAGATAAAAACCAAAAAGATGGGGAGAAACCAGAGCAGAAAAGCTGAAAATTCTAAAAACCAGAGTGCCTCTTCTCCTCCAAAGGATCGCAGCTCCTTGCCAGCAACAGAACAAAGCTGGATGGAAAATGACTTTGATGAGCTGACAGAAGTAGGCTTCAGAAGATCAGTAATAACAAACTACTCCAAGCTACAGGAGCATGTTCTAAACCATCGCAAGGAAGCTAAAAACCTTGAAAAAAGGTTAGACAAATGGCTAACTAGAATAAACAGTGTAGAGAAGACCTTAAATTACCTGATGGAGATGAAAACCATGGCATGAGAACTTTGTGCTGCATGCACAAGCTTCAATAGCTAATTAGATCAAGTGGAAAAAAGGATATCAGTGATTGAGGATCAAATTAATGAAATAAAGTGAGAGACAAGATTAGAGAAAAAAGAGTAAAAAGAAAGAAACAAAGCCTCCAAGAAATATGGTACTATGTGAAAAGACCAAATCTACATCTGATTGGTGTACCTGAAAGTGATGGGGAGAATGGAACCAACTGGGAAAACACTCTGCAGGATATTATCCAGGAGAACTTCCCCAATCTAGCAAGGCAGGCCAACATTCAAATTCAGAAATACAGAGAACACCACAAAGGTACTCCTTGAGAAAAGCAACCCCAAGACACATAATAGTCAGATTCACCAAAGTTGAAATGAAGGAAAAAATGTTAAGGGTAGCCAGAGAGAAAGGTCTGGTTACCCACAAAGGGAAGCCCATCAGACTAACAGCAGATCTCTTGGCAGAAACTCTACAAGCCAGAAGAGAGTGGGGGCCAATATTTAACATTCTTAAACAGAAGAATTTTCAACCTAGAATTTCATACCCAGCCAAACTAAGCTTCATAAGTGAAGGAGAAATAAAATCCTTTACAGACAAGAAAATGCTGAGGGATTTTGTCACCACTGGGCCTGCCTTACAAGAGCTCCTGAAGGAAGCACTAAACATGGAAAGGAACAACTGGTACCAGCCACTGCAAAAACATGCCAAATTGTAAAGACCATCAAGGTGAGGAAGAAACTGCATAAACTAACGAGCAAAATAACCAGCTAAAATCATAATGGCAGGATCAAATTCACACATAACAATATTAACTTAAATGTAAATGGGCTAAATACCCCAATTAAAAGACATAGACTGGCAAATTGGATAAAGAGTCAAGACCCATCAGTGTGCTGTATTCAGGAAACCCATCTCATGTGAAGAGACACACATAGGCTCAAGATAAAGGGATGGAGGAAGATATACCAAGCAAACAGAAAACAAAAAAAAAAAGCAGGGGTTGCAACTCTAGTCTCTGATAAAACAGACTTTAAACCAACAAAGATCCAAAGAGACTAAGAAGGCCACTATGTAATGGTAAAGGGATCAATTCAACAAGAAGAGCTACCTATCCTAAATATATATGCACCCAATACAGGAGCACCCAGGTTCATAAAGCAAGTCCTTAGAGACCTACAAAAAGACTTAGACTCCCACACAATAATAATGGGAGACTTCAATTCCCCACTGTAAATATTAGACAGATCAACAAGACAGAAGGTTAACATGGATAGCCAGGACTTGAACTCCGCTCTGCACCAAGTGGACCTAATAGACATCTACAGAACTTTCCACCCCAAATCAACAGAATATACATTTTTCACAGCACCATAGCGCACTTATTCTAAAATTGACCACATAATTGGAAGTAAAGCACTCCTCAGCAAATGTAAAAGAACAGAAATCACAAAAAACTGTCTCTCAGACCACAGTACAATCAAATTAGAACTCAGGATTAAGAAACTCACTCAAAACTGCTCAACTACATGGAAACTGAACAACCTTCTCCTGAATGACTACTGGGTACATAACGAAATGAAGGCAGAAATAAAGATGTTCTTTGAAACCAATGAGAACAAAGACACAACATACCAGAATCTCTGGGACACATTTAAAGCAGTGTGTAGAGGGAAATTTATAGCACTAAATGCCCACAAGGGAAAGCAGGAAAGATCTAAAATCAACACCCTAACATCACAATTAAAAGAACTAGAGAAACAAGAGCAAACAAATTCAAAAGCTAGCAGAAGGCAAGAAATAACAGATCAGAGCAGAACTGAAAGAGAGAGACACACAAAAAACCCTTCAAAAAAGTCAATGAATCCAGGAGCTGGTTTTTTGAAAAGATCAACAAAATTAATAGACCGCTAGCAAGACTACTAAAGAAGAAAAGAGAGAAGAATCAAATAGACGCAATAAAAAATGATAAAGGGGATATCACCACTGATCCCACAAAATACAAACTACCATGAAAGAATACTATAAACACCTCTACGCAAATAAACTAGAACATCTAGAAGAAATGGATAAATTCCTGAACACATACACCCTCCCAAGACTAAACCAGGAAGAAGTTGAATCTCTGAATAGACCAATAACAGGTTCTGAAATTGAGGCAATAATTAATATCCTACCAACCAAAAAAAATCCAGGACCAGATGGATTCACAGCCAAATTCTACCAGAGGTAGAAAGAGGAGCTGGTACCATTCCTTCTGGAAATATTCCAATCAATAGAAAAAGAGGGAATCCTCCCTAACTCATTTTATAAGGCTAGCATCTTCCTGATACCAAAGCCTGGCAGAGACACAACAAAAAAAGAGAATTTTAGACCAATATTCCTGATGAACATTGATGTGAAAATCCTCAATAAAATACTGACAAACTGAATCCAGCAACACATCAAAAAGCTTACCCATCACGATCAAGTCAGCTTCATCCCTCGGATGCAAGGCTGGTTCAACATACACAAATCAATAAAAATAATCCATTACATAAACAGAACCAACGACAAAAACCACATGATTATCTCAATCGATGCAGAAAAGGCCTTTGACAAAATTCAACAGAGCTTCATGTTAAAAAGTCTCAGTAAACTAGGTATTAACAGAACTTATCTCAAAATAATAAGAGCTATTTATGACAAACCCGCAGCCAATATCATACTGAATGGGCAAAAACTGGAAGCATTCCCTTTGAAAACTGGCACAAGACAGGGATGCCCTCTCTCACTACTCCTATTCAACATAGTGTTGGAAGTTCTGGCCAGGGCAATTGGGCAAGAGAAAGAAATAAAGGGTATTCAATTAGGAAAAAAGGAAGTCAAATTGTCCCTGTTTGCAGATGACATGATTGTGTATTTAGAAAACCACATCATCTCAGCCAAATTCTCCTTAAGCTGATAAGCAACTTCAGCAGTCTCAGGATACAAAATCAATGTGCAAAAATCACAAGCATTCTTATACACCAATAACAGACAAACAGAGAGCCAAATCATGAGTGAACTCCCATTTGCAATTGCTACAAAGAGAATAAAATACCTAGGAATCCAACTTACAAGGGATGTGAAGGACCTCTTCAAGGAGAACTACAAACCACTGGTCAACAAAATAAAAAAGGACACAAACAAATGGAAGAACATTCCATGCTCATGGATAGGAAGAATCAATATCATGAAAATGGCCGTACTGCCAAGGTAATTTATAGATTCAATGCCATCCCCATCAAGCTACCAATGACTTTCTTCACAGAATTGGAAAAAAATTTTTGAGTTCATATAGAACTTTATGAAGTTCCATTAACAAAAAATACCCCTCATAGCCAAGACAATCCTAAGCAAAAAGAACAAAGCTGGAGGCATCACGCTACCTGACTTCAAACTATACTACAAGGCTACAGTAACCAAAACAGCATGGTACTGGTACCAAAAGAGGTACATAGACCAATGGAACAGAACAGAGGCCTCAGAAATAACACCACACATCTATAACCATCTGATTTTTGACAAACCTGACAAAAACGAGAAATGGGGAAAGGAGTCCCTATTTAATAAATGGTGCTGGGAAAACTGGCTAGCCATATGCAGAAAGCTGAAACTGTATACCTTCCTTACACCTTATACAAAAATTAATTCAAGATGGATTAAAAACTTAAATGTTAGACCTAAAACCATAAACACTCTAGAAGAAAAACTAGGCAATACCATTCAGGACATAGGCATGGCCAAAGACTTCATGACTAAAACACCAAAAGCAATGGCAACACAAGCCAAAATTGACAAATGGGATCTAATTAAACGAAAGAGCTTCTGCACAGCAAAAGAAACTACCATCAGAGTGAACAGGCAACCTACAGAATGGGAGAAAATGTTTGCAATCTACTCGTCTGACAAAGGGCTAATATCCAGAATCTACAAAGAACTTTAACAAATTTACATGAAAAAAACAACCCCATCAAAAAGTGGGCAAAGGATATGAACAGACACTTCTCGAAAGAAGACATTTATGCAGCCAACAGGCACATGAAAAAATGCTCCTCATCACTGCTCATCAGAGAAATGCAAATCAAAACCACAATGAGATGCCATCTCATGCCAGTTAGGATGGTGATCAATGAAAAGTCAGGAAATGACAGATGCTAGAGAGGAAGTGGAGAAATAGGAATGCTGTTACACTGTTGGTGGGAGTGTAAATTAGTTCAACCATTGTGGAAGACAGTGTGGCAATTCCTCAAGGACCTAGAACTAGAAATACCATTTGAACCAGCGATCCCATTACTGGGTATTTATCCAAAGGATTATAAATCCTGCTACTATAAAGACACATGCACACGTGTATTTATTGCGGCACTATTCACAATAGCAAAGACTTGGAACCAACCCAAATGTCCATTAATGATAGGCTGCATTAAGAAAATGAGGGACATATACACCATGGAAACCTATGAAGCCATAAAAAAGGATGAGTTCATGTCATTTGCAGGGACACAGATGAAGCTGAGAACCATCATTCTCAGCAAACTATCACAAGGAGAGAAAACCAAACATCACATGTTCTCACTCATAGGTGGGAATTGAACACTGAGAACACTTGAACATAGGGCAGGGAATGTCACACACTGGGGCCTGTCAGGGTGCGGGGGGCTGGGGGAGGGATAGCATTAGGAGAAATACCTAATGTAAATGAGAAGTTGATGGGTGCAGCAAACCAACATGGCACATGTATACCTGTGTAACAAATCTGCACGTTGTGCACATGTACCCTAGAACTTAAAGTATATTAAAAAAAAAAAGAGTTCTTCAACAAATTGGACTATATCCACATTTTAGAGCCCTCTCCTTCTTCCCAGATCCCATGAAATGACAGTATAAACTTTAAAAATAAAACACGTAGCAACTCTGGAAATCTAGGAGGACCCCAACTGCAGGCCAGGACAGCGAGGGTTTCTGGAAAACAGAAAGCAGAGGCAAACAGATCACCGATGAGACAACAGCACTGAGGGACTCATACAGAAGCAAAAGCAGTTCCTCCAAAAGTGAATTTCCTCAGGAGAATTGCAAAAGAATTTTACAACAGAGGCTTAAATCAAAGTGGTAGCTTTCACTTTAGGTTCCATTAGGTTCACAGAAGCATCAAAAAGGCTATGTTCAATATATTCACAACTAGAGATTTCCACTGTGTATTTGATAAAATCAAACAATATTTTAGGAGTTCAAGGGGATCCTAGAAAGGGAGCCTCCTGTAGACACGTCACCAGAGCTGAGTCAGACGCGGCCACTCAAGCATTTATTCCTGGGTAAAAGCAAACATGCAATCTGGTAAACTGAGAATTCTGACAAGGGCGACTCAGATACCTTAGGTGACTAACTGCTGCTTTGGGGTATGGGGATGAGTATAAGAAGTCTTTTTAATAACATTATCACTGAAAATAATAGGCAATATGTATTTAATTAATGATATGCTTTTGTTACTGTCAAACTGATTTAACTTTTTTTTCAAGCCAAATTGTATCCAGCTTTATTAAAGATACTTTCCATAAACAATCATGGTATTTCAGGCAGAACATGGGTAGGCAATCTCTAACAGTATACAACAACTTTCAAACTCCCTTCTTCAATGGACTACCAAAAATCAGAAAGCCACCGTAAAATCCAAAGAAGCCTTCATCTGATGCTCTGAACAGGGAAAGTTTAGAGTGAGGGTTGACATTTCACATTTAGCATGTTGTTTAATAACTTTTCACAAGCCAACCCTGACTTTCAGGAAGTGAAATGAAAATGGCAGAATTTATCTGAAGAGCCACAATCTAGAAACAGAACCACTGATCTTTTGAGGGGTGCCATTTCAGTGGCATCACTGGACAGTCCAGATTGCCTGACACACTGGTAACCAAATACTGGGGGTCAGGTCTCAACAGATGTCTGGGTTTAAGGGAGTTAAGTCTATGCTGAAAGGTGGAAAAGGAGAAGAGGACGTAAAAAAGAATTTGTTTTTCCATACCACAAGGTTTTTGTTCCAAGGTGGCCATGTGTGTCAAAGTCAGGGAATCCCTTCTCCTGGTAGCCAAGAGGAAATCTCTCAAAACTAGAAGAAAAAGGTTTTCCCCATATCAATTCAGCTTTGGAGACAGTTTATTAGTGACATATGCCCCTTCCCCCTAAAACAACAATGAAGTGTTCTGTGTGCTAACAACATAGCTTAAAAAAAAAACAAAATTCTGCATTTTTATAAAACTTGATGAAAATAGTATTTCAAACTGTACAGTCACCAGACGTAGCCAGTTATCAAAAATGCACACACTTCCCCTGGCATCTCCAGCACCTTCAGCTTTCTGTGCCTGGTCTGTTGGCATCTCCATTTTCTGTAGGGTTATTCCCCTCCTTGCCAGCATCAGCTTTCCCCTTTTTCCCTTTTGGTACCTTCTCTCCCCTCTTTGCAGGGACCTTTTTAGTCTTGCGCTCTGGCTTTGGAGGAGGAGGTTTAGCAGACAACCTCGTGGATCTTCTCTGTGGTTCGTCCCTTACCTTGGCTTTATCTCCTTTAGCATCCCCTTCAGCCTTTCTCTTGGGCATGGTGGCGGTGATGGCGGCAGAACGTAGTTGCCCAGCGCGGGCTTTGGTCAGTCCTGGGGTCGTTCTCGCCTCTTCACACTGCTCCTGATTTAACGTTACAACATGTTTTAATAGTTTGTAGAGTTAGTCTCCCCCTCACTTCTCATTTTTAAAACATTCTTAGAGATTTTTGTTCTTTTGTCTTTTTGATATCTTATTTAAAAGTTTACTTATCCCCAAGTTTTAAAAATAATGCATAAAATAAACTCCAACTTGGCTTTTTAAAGGTAGAAAAATAAAAGATAAAATGGCTGCTGGATTCATTTTCTAAAAAGCAGAATATTGTAATATTTTGATTTTTTTCCAGAAAAATCAAAATAGTAGAAAAAATCGTATTTCAGTGAAACATTAACTCTTACATCATTTAAGTTAATTGAATTAGAAGACAAATTAATATGTGAGACATTTATCCTTCTGAAATAAAGTTAAATCCTGAATATGCCTCCTTAATTATTCACATTCTTCCAAAGGTTTAAATCAAGGTGGTAGCTTTCAGTTTAGGTTCCATTAGGTTTACAGAAGCATTGAAAGTGCTATGTTCAGTATATTCACAACTAAAGATTTCCACTGTGTATTTGATAAAATCAAGCAATATTTTAGGAGTTCAAAGGGATCTTATAAGTCCCAGAACCATAAAGGCTTGCCCTGGGTAGTGGATAACCCCAGTTTGTATCAGGTACATTTCTAAATAAATATTTTATTCCCATGTACTTATTTTGAGGGAAATACAATGAAGCAGAATTTTAATGGTGCAAGGTGTGGTGAGAGAGAGTGGGGGCGGGGAGAGAGAGAGAAAATGAAGAGAATGAGATGAGGCTATTTAAAGGTTGCAAAACATATGTACCTCTATCTAGAAAAATATATTATGGAAGCTGCCTTTTTTTGTTCTGGAAAAAAATTTAACGGCTCATTTCAATTATATGAATGAAATGGGGATCATTTTTTTGTGAAGGAAAGGTGTTAAGGTATCATTTCCCTCTTAGGCTTATAAGGCATGGAACTTTAGCTCTGAAGGCAGGTGGTGCCTGGTTTTCTGCCTTAAAAATATTACTCTTGAAGGTTTCTGGTGATGAATAAGTTGCTCAAATTTGCATAAAGGCCAAGGAGACTTTGGGGAGAAATGGGAAGGAGAACCTGAGGCTTTGAGTTTCAATGTCACTACAATGTCTGGTTGCTGAGGTGTCCTAGTTTAAGACCTGTTGGCAGTAAGAACCACAGAAGACACTTAGGGGAACCCTTCTGGAAGAGAAAAAGCTGGAACTGGTGCCTGGCACTCATACCAGAGCCTGGGGTGATGTGGGAAACACTGCATCAGACCACAGCTCATGTGCAATAATCTAAGCATCTTAGGTGAGGGCTGTGCATGCTTCCTGCATTTGTCCATGATTAAACTCCACCACTGTCACTGAAGAGTTGTACCTGAGAAGCCCAGGTCTATCATCTTATGGCACAACCATAAACTGGACAGAGAGGCAGGAGACTGCTTCTTCCTTCCGCAGAGTGGAGGAGCTGCTCTCAGAGCAGCAGTGAGAGTGTGGGAAAGGGCCAATTCAGGTGTTGTTGGACCTGAATTTATAACATATTAGGTTCCTTCTTTAAAAATAAAAGAATACAAAATTCAGAATATAAAGTTGCTAGGGCCCATTCCAGGGACATGAAGGGGCCCTTGCTGTTGAGGGGCCCTGAAGCTTCAACTTAGTTCGTTTCAGATAGGCAGGCCTCTGAGAGGCTTCTCTCTCCATGGTGGAGGCCTGCCCAGGGTGCATAACGGTTAATGCTTTCTAGAGTAGTGCGGTGTGGCAGAGAAGGGGGCCTCGGGTAGATTAATGAGGTGCTTTCATTTTTCTCTCAGTGAAGTTTAGCAAGAAGGACAGATCCCTAGAACTCAGTAGTGAGGAGGGAAAATAGACATTCTTGTCATAAGGAGGATGGGAAGGTGCTCAGTCATAACATTCTGAATGTTAGAAGTTTCCTGTGCTCTAAGCTGGTAAAGCAGGACACACCTATCCATTATATCTTAATGCCTCTGAAGTTAATTATATACTTAATGAATAATGGAAATCAATTGAATTATTGTAACAGCAATCCGTCATTAGTATAAATGTGTTTCCACAATTTTTTTAAAGTGTTACTCTTTCTAATATATTATGGACACTCCTTTTATTTCAGCTGTTGCCTTCATGTGGATGACGTGATTTGCAGCTGAGTGCAGGTCAGCTCCATCGAGTGTGCTCATCTTCTCAAGGCATTATCTCCTTCTCTTTTCTTCCATTTTCTGGTTAATGTAGTCAACACACATCCCACCATCTATCCAAGGCACTGTAAAATAATGAATTCTCTTCCTAGCTTCACCTTATTCCTTTTTACTTTCCTTAGCCGAGGAGTTACTGAGTTCAATTGAATTTATCTCCTAATGTCTTTTCTATTCATTATCTCCTTGTAATTCAATGTCACTTTTGGATTCTAGACTCTTCTCTCATTTCTAGAATATTGCAGTATCTTCCAACTCTTTATTCTGATTTTTCCCTTCCAATAATTTTTCTATAATGCTGCCAGAAGGGGCCCTTCTAAAGCACAAATAGACCATGTCACCAAGTGCACAAAAACCTTCGTTGGTTCCTTATTCCCTAAAACAAGCTCTGATCCATCAAAGCACTATGGAAACACAGCCATTATTGTTGGCAGAGTTTTACTTTTGTTTAATACATTCTGAATGCCTACAGGAAAAATGTCTGAGTTGTAGGTGGAATTCCAAGACCATTTATTTTATTTCTTTCTCTTCTTTCATGTACTCTACATGCAAATACCATTAATTATTTCTTAATTCATTGCTTTCCTTTCTGGTTCTCAGCTCTGTTCTGTTTTTATTCTTTTTCCAGGAGTCTTACCTCTCATTCTAATAGTATTTAGCTTCTAAGTGCTCTTCTCAGGTTTTGTTTTTCATTTTTAAAAAAAGCCTAGTTCTTTATATTAGCCACCCTCTCATTCCATTTCTTTTTGAATGACCTTTCTGTTCCAGAGAGCCATTGGCAATCTGAGTCCCATGAAAATAAGAGGTGGTTTTGGACATGGGGTAGACACTGCTTGTAACTATCTTAAAAAATGAAATAAGCGGTGACCTATTTTCTGAGTTGTAAGTGATTTTTAAATTGCTCATGAAAATAGAAGAGTCTCGGCAGAGAAACCCGATTACTTCGAGTGCATAATGGTGAGAAAGCTTTTGTCTCATGGGATAGTTATCATATGGGATTATAATTCAGCTGTAGTTACTAGTGATCTGTGTAGTGAAATGCAGTTTGAAAACTTCAGTTCATTTTCCAATAGAGAAATGTCAGAATTTAAGCAGGCCCCAAAGGGCTATAAGAAGCTGTGTCTTCTAAAAGAAAATGGGTTGAATGGGCATAACTGGCTTGGTCCTAGTTACCAACAGAATCACTTTCTTGAAGCCTGGTGTGACTTTTCATTTCCCCAATGTACATGCTGTATGTGGAGCTTATAGAATACTCACCAAGATTCAAGTGAACAAGCTAAGGGGGCAGGAAAAAGAAGAGATGTTCTGACCTAATAGATAAATAAATAAATATTTTAAACCTGCCTTGTTTAGATGCTGTCATAATTAATTTTAATGGTCTAATGAATACTTTCTTAATTTTTGTTTTAGGGATATATTGGTTGTATACAAATGAAAAAGTGAAATTACTCAAAATCTTCTTTCCCTCTCTTAATTGCTTTACAGGACATAAAAATTCAGAGAATTGGCAGCATTTTAATTCAACCCACACAATCCAGTTTTAATTTTAATTAAGCCCCAAAATATTTTCGAAAGCCTACTATATGCAAAGTATTATATGCAGTGCTGAAAAGAATGCAAAGCTATTACAAGGCTCTTGTGAGGAAAAAAGAAAAAATGAGAAAATGTATGTAGGCATTGTTTGTAAACTATATAATATTTAAATTTCAGTTGTAATAATTATTATCATTATTATTAAACAGACATCCTGTCTCCTGGAACTCACAATCTTTTGGGGGATATAGATATCCAAGTGATTAGTACTGGGAAGGCTGAAATGAGCATACACCAAATTTTATGAGAATCAGAAACGAGAACAAAGTTAATTCTATTTGGAAAAATCTGGAAGGTCTTCTTAGATGAGAGAGTGTATAGATTACCGTCGAACCTGGAACAACGCAGGGTTACGAGTGCCAGCCCCCTGTGCAGTCAAAAATTCACGTACAACTTTTGAATTCCCAAAAACTTCTAATAGCCTACTGTTGACTACAAGCCTTACCATTAACATAAATAGTTGATTGAGACATATTTTTGTGCTATATGTATTATATACTATATTCTTACAATAAAATAAGCTAGAGAAAAGAGAATGTTATTAAGAGAATCAAAAGGAAAACAAAAATATGTTTACATTTATTTAGTGGATATGGATCATCATAAAGGCCTTCATCCTTGTCATCATGTTGACTAGGCTGAAAAGGAGGAAGAGAAGGAGAGGTTGATCGCACTGTCTCAGTAGTGGTAGAGGTGGAAGACATGAAGGAGGTGAAAGAGGAGGCAGGAGAAGCAGGTCACACTCAGTGTAACTACAGAAATCCTTTGTAATTTCTGTCTAAATTTTTTGTTTTCTAATTTCTCTAAAAATGTCTCTATCTGGTACCAATCCTTCTTCAACCATTTATTTCAGTCTCAGTGCCTCTATCATAGAAGGGTCTAGGCTGTAAAGGAAGTCAAAAGCAGTCTTGAATAATCAGAACAGTTCTGCCAGATTGTCTAATGTCAATTTATTTCCTGGCATTGCTCCTTCTATATCTTCTTCCTCATAATCTGTCACAGGTTTGGAAACACTCATCTCCATCAAATCATCTTTTAATTCTAGTCTGATATCTATTAGCTTTCGATTTTCTCCAAGATCTGTATCTAGAAACCCTTTCCCCCAATCTTTTTTTGTCATATCCACAATCACTTTCATGATTTCCTTGATTGGCTCTGTGATAAATCCTGTGAAGTCATGTACAACATCTGGACGCAGTTTTCTTCACCAGGAATTTATTGTTTCAGGCTTGATGGTTTTCATGTTTTTTTCTATAATAACAATGGCATCCTCAATGGTGTAATCTTTCCAAACTTTCATGATGTTCTCCATGTCAGGGTTCTCTTCCACAGTGTTGATAATCCTTTCCCCATAGAGTACTGTGTGTAATGAGCCTTAAAGGTCCTTATGACCCCCTGGATTTAGAGATGTTGTGTTTGGGGGGTGAGTAGACCCCTTTGATGCCTTTGGCCTTGAACTCATGGGGTTCTGGGTTACCAGGGGCATTGTTCAATTTGTCCACTATCAAAAGAACGTTAAAAGGCTGTCTCCTACTGGCAAGGTGCTTCTTTACTTCAGGAAAAAACACCAGTGGAACCAGTCCAGAAAAAGATTCTCAGTGTGCAGGCTTTATTGTTGTACAAACAAAAGACTAGCAGCTGATGTTTATCTTTTCCCTTCAAATCTTGGGGGTTAGCAGCTTTATAGGTAAAGGCAGTCCTTATCATAAACCTGACTGCATTTGTATAAAACAGTAGAGTTAGCCTATCAATTCCTGCCTTCAATCCTGGCACTCACTTCTCTTCCTTACTAATTAATGTCATTCATGGCATTTTTTCAAAATAGGGCACTTTGGTCTGCATTAAAAATGGGTTCAAGCAAATACCTTTTCTCTTTAATGATTTTCTTAATGGTGTCTGGGGACTCATTTGCAGCCTCTTGTTCAGCAGAAGTTGCTTCTCCTGTTATCTTCACATTTTTAAAGCCAAACCTCTTTTTTAAATTATCAAACCATCCCTTGCTGACATTAAAGTCTCTAGATTTAGATCCTTCACTTTATTTTCCCTTTTTCTCATATAATGACCTCATTTTGTCTTGAATCATATTTGAGCCAATAGGTATGCCTTTCTTATAACAATGCTGCACCCACATAAAAGCTGCATTTTCAATATGAGATAAAAAATGCTTCACAAAAAGTGCAAAGTTTTTATCCTGTTGGCATAGCTGCAGTGACAGTTTCACAAGTTTTTTTTCTTCTTTTTTTTCTTACAGTGGTTCTTCTGCTAGATTTATCATGAATTGACTGGCAACCACAAAGGCAGACCTTAATCTATGGTATCTATATCAAGCAATTCAACTTTCTCTTTTTCTTTTTTTTATTATACTTTAAGTTCTAGGGTACATGTGCACAATGTGCAGGTTTGTTACATATGTATACATGTGCCAGGTTGTTGTGCTGCCCCCATTAATTCGTCATTTACATTAGGTATATTTCCTAATGCTATCCCTCCCCGCTCCTCCCAACCCACAACAGGCCCCTGTGTGTGATGTTCCCTTTCCTGTGTCCAAGTGTTCTCACTGTTCAATTCCCACCTATGAGTGAGAACATGCGGTGTTTGGTTTTTTCTCCTTGTGATAGTTTGCTGAGAATGATGGTTCCCAGCTTCATCCATGTCCCTACAAAGGACATGAACTCAACCTTTTTTATGGCTGCATAGTATTCCATGGTGTATATGTGCCACATTTACTTAATCTACTCTATCACTGATGGACACTTGGGTTGGTTCCTAGTCTTTACTATTGTGAATAGTGCTGCAATAAACATACATGTGCATGTGTCTTTATAGCAGCATGACTTATAATCCTTTGGGTGTATACCCAGTAATGGGATGGCTGGGTCAAATGGTATTTCTAGTTCTAGATCCCTGAGGAATCGCCACACTGTCTTCCACAATGGTTGAACTAGTTTACAGTCCCACCAACAGTGTAAAAGTGTCCCTATTTCTCCACATCCTCTCCAGCACCTGTTGTTTCCTGACTTTTTAATGATCGCCATTCTAACTGGTGTGAGATGGTATCTCATTGTGGTTTTGATTTGCATTTCTCTGATGGCCAGTGATGATGAGCATTTTTTCATGTGTCTGTTGGCTGCATAAATGTCTTCTTTTGAGAAGTGTCTGTTCGTATCCTTCACCCCCTTGTAGATGGGGTTGTTTGTTTTTTTCTTGTAAATTTGTTTGAGTTCTTTGTAGATTCTGGATATGAGCCCTTTGTCAGATGAGTAGACTGCAAAATTTTCTCCCATTTTGTAGGTTGCCTGTTCACTCTGATGGTAGTTTCTTTCACTGTGCAGAAGCTCTTTCATTTAATTAGATCCCATTTGTCAATTTTGGCTTTTGTTGCCATTGCTTTTGGTGTTTTAAACATGAAGTTCTTGCCCATGCCTATGTCCTGAATGGCACTGCCTAGGTTTTCTTCTAGGGTTTTTATGGTTTTAGGTCTAACATTTAAGTCTTTAATCCATCTTGAATTAATTTTTGTACAAGGTGTAAGGAAGGGATCCAGTTTCAGCTTACCACATATGGCTAGCCAGTTTTCCCAGCACCATTTGTTAAATAGGGAATCCTTTCCCCATTTCTTGTTTTTGTCAGGTTTGTCAAAGATCAGATGGTTGTAGATGTGTGGTATTATTTCTGAGGGCTCTGTTCTGTACCATTGGTCTATATCTCTGTTTTGGTACCAGTACCATGCTCTTTTGGTTACTGTATCTTTGTAGTATAGTTTGAAGTCAGGTAGCGTGATGCCTCCAGCTTTGTTCTTTTGGCTTAAGATTGACTTGGCAATGTGGGCTCTTTTTTGGTTCCATATGAACTTTAAAGTAGTTTTTTCCAATTCTGTGAAGAAAGTCATTGGTAGCTTGATGGGAATGGCATTGAATCTATGAATTACCTTGGGCACTATGGCCATTTTCAACATATTGATTCTTCCTATCTCTGAGCATGGAATGTTCTTCCATTTGTTTGTACTCTCTTTTATTTCATTGAGCAGTAGTTTGTAGCTCTCCTTGAAGAGGTCCTTGGCAAATTGAATCCAGCAGCCAACAAAAAGCTTATCCACCATGATCAAGTCAGCTTCATCTCTGGGATGCAAGGCTGGTTCAACATACACAAATCAATAAACGTAATCTAGCATACAAACAGAACCAAAGACAAAAACCACATGATTATCTCAATAGTTCCAGAAAAGGCCTTTGACAAAATTCAACAGCCCTTCATGCTAAAAACTCTCAATAAATATGGTATTGATGGGACATATCTCAAAATAATAAGAGCTATTTATGACAAACCCACAGCCAATATCATACTGAATGGGCAAAAACTGGAAGCATTCCCTTTGAAAACTGGCACAAGACAGGGATGACCTCTCTCGCCACTCCTATTTGATATAGTGTTGGAAGTTCTGGCCAGGGCAATCAGGAAGGAGAAAGAAATTAAAGGGTATTCAATTAGGAAAAGAGGAAGTCAAATTGTCCCTGTTTGCTGATGACATGATTGTATATCTAGAAAACCCCATTGTCTCAGCCCAAAATCTCCTTAAGCTGATAAGCAACTTCAGCAGTCTCAGGATACAAAATCAATGTGCAAAAATCACAAGCATTCTTAGACACCAAAAACAGAGAGAGAGCCAAATCATGAGTGAAATCCCATTCACAATTGCTTCAAAGAGAATAAAATACCTAGGAATCCAAATTACAAGGGATGTGAAGGACCTCTTCAAGGAGAGCATGTGTCTTTATATCAACATGATTTATAATCCTTTGGGTATATAGCCGGTAATGGGATGGCTGGGTCAAATGTTATTTCTGGTTCTAGATCCTTGAGGAATTGCCACACTGTCTTCCACAATGGTTGAACTAGCTTACAGTCCCATCAACACTGTAAAAGTGTTCCTATTTCTCCACATCCTTTCCAGCACCTGTTGTTTCTTGACTTTTTAATGATTGCCATTCTAACCAGTGTGAGATGGTATCTCATTGTGGTTGTGATTTGCATTTCTCTGATGGCCAGTGATGATGAGCATTTTTTCATGTGTCTGTTGGCTGCATAAATTCTTCTTTTGAGAAGTGTCTGCTCATATCCTTCACCCACTTGTTGATGGGGTTGTTTGTTTTTTTCTTGTAAATTTGTTTGAGTTCTTTGTAGATTCTGGATATGAGCCCTTTGTCAGATGAGTAGACTGCAAAATTTTCTCCCATTCTGTAGGTTGCCTGTTTACTCTGATGGTAGTTTCTTTTGTTCTGCAGAAGCTCTTTAGTTTAATTAGATCCCATTTGTCATTTTTGGCTTTTGTTGCCATTGCTTTTGGTGTTTTAGACATGAAGTGTTTGGCCATGCCTATGTCCTGAATGGTATTGCCTAGGTTTTCTTCTAGGGCTTTTATGGTTTTAGGTCTAATATTTAAGTCTTTAATCCATCTTGAATTAATTTTTGTTTAAGGTGTAAGGAAGGGATCCAGTTTCAGCATTCTACATATGGCTAGCCAGTTTTCCCAGCACCACCATTTATTAAATAGGGACTCCTTTCCCCATTTCTTGTTTTTGTCAGGTTTGTCAAAGATCAGATGGTTGTAGATGTGTGGTATTATTTCTGAGGGTTCTGTTCTGTTCCACTGATGTATATCTCTGTTCTGGTACCAGTACCATGCTGTTTTGGTTACTGTGGCCTTGTAGTATAGTTTGAAGTCAGGTAGCGTGATGCCTCCAGTTTTGTTCTTTTGGCTTAGGATTGTCTTGGCAATGCAGGCTCTTTTTTGGTTCCACATGAACTTTAAAGTAGTTTTTTCCAATTCTATGAAGAAAGTCACTGGTAGCTTGATGAGGGTGGCATTGAATCTATAAATTGCCTTGGGCAGTATGGCCATTTTCATGATATTGATTCTTCCTATCTCTGAGCATGGAATGTTCTTCCATTTGTTTGTGTCCTCTTTTATTTCGTTGAGCAGTTGTAGTTCTCCTTGAAGAGGTCCTTCACATCCCTTGTAAGTTGGATTCCTAGGTATTTTTTTCTCTTCGAAGCAATTGTGAATGGGAGTTCACTCATGATTTGGCTCTCTGTTTGTCTGTTATTGGCGTATAAGAATGCTTGTGATTTTTGCACATTGATTTTGTATCCTGAGACTGCTGAAGTTGCTTATCAGCTTAAGGAGATGTTGGGCTGAGATGATGGGGTTTTCTAGATATACAATCATGTCATCTGCAAACAGGGACAATTTGACTTCCTCTTTTCCTAATTGAATACCCTTTATTTCTTTCTCCTTCCTGATTGCCCTGGCCAGAACTTCCAACACTATGTCAAATAAGAGTGATGAAAGAGGGCATCCCTGCCTTGTGCCAGTTTTCAAAGGGAATGCTTCCAGTTTTTGCCCATTCAGTCTGATATTGGCTGTGGGTTTGTCATTAATAGCTCTTATTATTTTGAGATACGTCCCATCAATACCATATTTATTGAGAGTTTTTAGCATGAAGGTTGTTGAATTTTGTCAAAGGCCTTTACTGCATCTTTTGAGATAATCATGTGGTTTTTGTCTTTGGTTCTGTTTATATGCTGGATTACGTTTATTGATTTGTGTATGTTGAACCAGCCATGCATCCCAGGGATGAAGCCCACTTGATCATGGTGGATAAGCTTTTTGATGTGCTGCTGGATTCAGTTTGCCAGTATTTTATAGAGGATTTTTGCATCAATGTTCATCAGGGATATTTTTCTACTGGTCTAAAATTCTCTTTTTTTGTTGTGTCTCTGCCAGGCTTTGGTGTAAAGATGATGCTGGCCTCATGAAATGAGTTTGGGAGGATTATCTCTTTTTCTATTGATTGGAATAGTTTCAGAAGGAATGGTACGAGCCCCTCCTTCTACCTTTGGTAGAATTCAGCTGTGAATCCATCTGGTCCTGGACTTTTTTTGGTTGGTAGGATATTAATTATTGCCTCAATTTCAGAGCCTGTAATTGGTCTATTCAGGGTTTCAACTTCTTCTTGATTTAGTCTTCAGAGGGTGTATGTGTCGAGGAATTTATCCATCTCTTCTAGATTTTCTAGTTTATTTGCATAGAGGTGTTTATAGTATTCTCTGATGGTAGTTTCTGTTTTTGTGGGATCGGTGGTGATATCCCCTTTATCATTTTTTATTGCATCTATTTGATTCTTCTCTCTTTTCTTCTTTATTAATCTTGCTAGTGGTCTATCAATTTTGTTGATCTTCTCAAACAACCAGCTGTTGGGTTCATTGATTTTTTGAAGGGGTTTTTGTGCCTCTGTCTCCTTCAGTTCTGCTCTGATCTTAGTTATTTCTTGCCTTCTGCTAGCTTTTGAATGTGTTTGCTCTTGCTTCTCTAGATCTTTCAATTGTGATGTTAGCGTGCCAATTTTAGATGTTTCCTGCTTTCTCTTGTGGGCATTTAGTGCTATAAATTTCCCTCTACACACTGCTTTAAGTGTGTCTCAGAGATTCTGGTATGATGTGTCTTTTTTCTATTGGTTTCAAAGAACATCTTTATTTCTGCCTTCATTTCGTTATGTACCCAGTAGTCATTCAGGAGCAGGTTGTTCAGTTTCCATGTAGTTGAGCAGTTTTGAGTGAGTTTCTTAATCCTGAGTTCTAGTTTGATTGCACTGTGGTCTGAGAGAGAGTTTGTTATAATTTCTGTTCTTTTACATTTGCTGAGGAGTGCTTTACTTCCAACTATGTGGTCAGTTTTGGAATAAGTGTGATATGGTGCTGAGAAAAATGCATCTTCTGTTGATTTGGGGTGGAGAGTTCTGTAGATCTCTATTAGGTCCACTTGGTGCAGAGCTGAGTTCAATTCCTGGATATCCTTGATAACTTTCTGTCTCATTGATCTGTCTAATGTTGACAGTGGGGTGTAAAAGTCTCCCATTATTATTGTGTGGGAGTCTAAGTCTCTTTGTAGGTCTGTAAGGACTTGCTTTATGAACCTGGGTGCTCTTATATTGAGTGCATATATATTTAGGATAGTTAGCTCTTCTTTTTGAATTAATCCCTTTACCATCATATAATGGCCTTCTTTGTCTCTTTTGATCTTTGTTGGTTTAAAGTCTGTTTTATCAGAGACTAGGATTGCAACCCCTACCTTTTTTTCTTTTGCATTTGCTTGGTAGATCTTCCTCCATCCCTTTATTTTGAGTCTATGTGTGTCTCTGTACATGAGATGAGTCTCCTGAATACAGCACACTGATGGGTCTTGAGTCTTTATCCAATTTGCCAGCCTGTCTTTTAATTGGAGAATTTAGCCCATTTACATTTAAGGTTAATATTGTTATGTGTGAATTTGATCCTGTCATTATGATGTTAGCTGGTTATTTTGCTCATTAGTTGATGCATTTTCTTCCTAGCCTCGACGTTCTTTACAATTTGGCATGGTTTTGCAGTGGCTGGTACTGGTTGTTCCTTTCCATGTTTAGTGCTTCCCTCAGGAGGTCTTTTAGGGCAGGTCTCATAGTGACAAAATCTCTCAGCATTTTCTTGTCTGTAAAGGATTTTATTTCTCCTTCACTTATGAAGCTTAGTTTGGCTGGGTATGAAATTCTAGGTTGAAAATTCTTTTCTTGAAGAATGTTGAATATTGGCCCCCACTCTCTTCTGGCTTGTAGAGTTTCTGCCAAGAGATCAGCTGTTAGTCTGATGGGCTTCCCTTTGTGGGTAACCAGACCTTTCTCTGTGGCTGCCCTTAACATTTTTTCCTTCATTTCAACTTTGGTGAATGTGACTATTATGTGTCTTGGAGTTGCTCTTCTCGAGGAGTATCTTTGTGGTGTTCTCTGTATTTCCTGAATTTGAATGTTGGCCTGCCTTCCTAGGTTGTGGAACTTCTCCTGGATAATATCCTGCAGAGTGTTTTCCAACTTGGTTCCATTCTCCCCATCACTTTCAGGTACACCAATCAGACGTAGATTTGGTCTTTTCACATAGTCCCATATTTCTTGGAGGCTTTGTTCATTTCTTTTTACTCTTTTTTCTCTAAACTTCTCTTCTGACTTCATTTCATTCATTGGATCTTCAATCACTGATACCCTTTCTTCCAGTTGATCGAACTGGCTACTGAAGCTTGTGCATTCGTCCCCTAGTTCTCATGCCATGGCTTTCAGCTCCATTGGGTCATTTAAGGGCTTCTCTACACCGGTTACTCTACTTTGCCATTCATCTAATCTTTTTTCAAGGTTTTTAGCTTCTTTGTGATAGGTTTGAACTTCCTCCTCTAGCTCAGAGAAGTTTGATCATCTGAAGCATTCTTCTCTCAACTTGTCAAAGTCATTCTCCATCCAGCTTTGTTCCATTGCTGGTGAGGAGCTACATGACTTTGGAGTGGGAGAGGTGCTCTGATTTTTAGAATTTTCAGCTTTTCTGCTCTGTTTTTTCCCCATCTTTGTGGTTTTGTCTGTCTTTGGTCTTTGATGATGGTGATGTACAGATGAGGTTTTGGTGTGGATGTCCTTTCTGTTTGTTAGTTTTCCTTCTAACAGTCAGGACCCTCATCTGCAGGTCTGTTGGAGTTTGCTAGAGGTCCACTCCAGACCCTGTTTGCCTGGGTATCAGCTGCAGAGGCTGCAGAACAGCGAATATTGCTGAACAGCAAATGTTGCTGCCTGATTGTTCCTCTGGTAGCTTCATCTCAGAGGGGTACCCAGCCATGTGAGATGTCAGTCTGCCCCTACTGGGGGGTGCCTCCCAGTTAGGCTACTCAGGGCTCAGGGACCCACTTGAGGAGGCAGTCTGTCTGTTCTCAGATCTCAGACTCCGTGCTGGGAGAACCACTACTCTCTTCAAAGCTGTCAGGGACATTTAGGTCTGCAGAGGTTTCTGCTGCCTTTGTTCAGCTATGCTCTGCCTCCAGAGGTGGAGTCTACAGACGCAGGCAGGCCTCCTGAGCTGCGGTGGGCTCCACTCAGTTCGACCTTCCTGGCTGCTTTGTTTACCTACTCAAGCCTCAGCAATGACAGGCACCCTTCCCCCAGCCTTGCTGCTGCCTTGCAGTTTGATCTCAGACTGCTGTGCTAGCAATCAGCAAGCCTCCGTGGGCATGGGACCCTCTAAGTCAGGCACAGGATATAATCTCCTGGTGTGCCATTTGCTAAGACCTTTGGAAAAGTGCAGTATTAGGGTGGGAGTGACTCGATTTCCCAGGTGCTGTCTGTCACAGCTCCCCTTGGCTAGGAAAGGGAATTCCCTGACCCCTTGCACTTCCTGGGTGAGGGGATGCACCCTGCTTCAGCTCACGCTCAGTGGGCTGCAATCACTGTCCTGCACCCACTGTCCAACAAGCCCCAGTGAGATGAACCTGGTACCTCAGTTGGAAATGCAGAAATCATCCTTACACTGGGAGCTGTAGACTGGAGCTGCTCCTATTCGGCCATCTTGGAACTGCCCCCTTAACTTTTTCTGATAATGCCACTTTTTCTCTGCTTCTTGGGAGCACTTCCACCACCACTAGTGGCACTTCATGTTAGTCCCATGGTATTATTCAAGGTTTACGGTATTGCACTAACCACAGTTAAAAAATATGCGAAAGCTGTGAGGGATCACTTTTTATTAGGATATGTAGTTTACTGGAAAGATGAACTGCTCATGTGGAAATGATTAGCATCACATGGTGTCTTAAGCAGATACAACCCTTGAGCTCACCACAGTGGCAAGAGGAGATGGCTATGAAGTTATGACAGTAGTACAGTATATACTACAGTTAATTTATGTAATTATGATTTAATACTGCATCTTTATGTTTGCTTACATTTCTCTCAACTGCAAATGGCGTCCTGTGAGGCTGTATGTGCATAAGTTTTGATACATCTTGACTTTTTATGTAAGATCTGTGTATGTTTTATGGTAGTAAGTGACTAGTAGAATAATATTTTCTAACATTTTTTGCATTCATGACATATCTAACTTTTTCTTAATTTTTTCAATAATTTTTGTCTGTAAGACTCATCTATTTTTTTCAAATTGTCACATATCTGCAGAAATTTTTTCAATAGATTTATTGAAAAAAATCTGCATATAAGTGGACCCATGCACTTCAATACTGTGTTGTTTGAGTCAACCATATTTATTTTATAGAAAATAAAAGGTATGCTAATTGTCTCAAAATTTTACTCATTTACTTGTTTTCATATTTCATCAACATCAGTTTTAAAATGTACCCAATTGAGACAGAAATAATTATTTTTCTGAGTACTTTTTATAAAACTGCCAAGTTGTTTACCTTCATAATGCTCCTTCCCACAAATTGAAGCCAGAAGAGTTTTAAGGATGTGAATTTGTGTTCATTCTGAAGATATTTTGAACCAGTGGTTACACCTCTACTTGTAGAAAGACCACAATCATGTTTCTTTCCATGGGCTTAAAAATAAAAAGAAAGGTTGACAAAAAACACCTTCTGGCCCTACATTCATTTTCCTGTTCTGCACTTGTGCTCTGTTGCCTTCATTAAAGAGAAAAACTCACCAGTCACAACCTCCTCCTCCTCATTGTTGGAGGCAGATCAAATTTATTCCCTACCTTGGTTCACAGGAAATGGCTGTAGAGGATTGTAGATCACAGCAGTTAAGGGTGAGGGTCTGGACAAATCACCTACTTCTTCTTTAAAGCCAACTAACAAAAAGCCCACCTAGCTTTCAATGGAGTTGAAACAGCCTTCTATTGGAAGAAGATACCATCTAGGACTGTCATTGTTAGAAAGGAGAAGTCAGTGCCTGACTTAAAAGCTTCAAAGGATAGGCTAACTCTCTTGTTGGGAGTTAATGCAACTGGTGACTTTAAGTGGAAGCCAATGCTCATTTGCCATTCCAAAAATGCTAAAGCCGTTAAGGATTATGTTAAATCAATTCTGCCTGGGTTCTATCAATGGAACAACAAAGCCTGGATGACAGCACTTCTGTTTACAGCATGGTTTACTGAATACTTTAAGCCCACTGTTGAGACCTACTGCTCAGAAAACAAGACTCCTTTCAAAATATTATTGCTTACCTGGTCACCAAAGAGCTCTGATGAAGATATACAAAGAGATGAATGTTGTTTTCATGCCTGCTAACACAACATCCATTTTGCAGCCCATGAATCAAGTAGTAGTTTTGACTTTCAAGTCTTATTATTTAAGAAACACATTTCATAAGACTATAACTGCCATACCTGTTGGATTTGGACAAAGTATATTGAAAACCTCTTGGAAGAGGTTCACCATTCTAGATGCCATTAAGAACATTTGTGACTCATGGGAGGAGGTAAAAATATCAACATTTGCAGGAGTTTGGAAGAAGTTGATTCCAATCCTCAATGATGACTTTGAGGGGTTCAACACTTCAGTGGAAGAAGTAACTTAAGATTTGATGGAAATAGCAAGATCATTAGAATTAAAAGTGGAGCCTAAAGATGTGACTTAATTTCTGCAACCTCATAAGAAATCATGAATGGATAAGAAGTTGCTTCTTATGGATGAGCAAGTGGTTTCTTGAGATGGAATCTATTCCTAATGAAGATGCTGTGACCATTATTGAAATGGCAACAGAATTTAGAATATTACACAAACTTATAATCAAACATTGGTAGGGTTTGAGAGGATTGACTTCAGTTTTGAAAGTTCTATTGTGAGTAAAATGCTATCAAACAGCATCACATGCTACAAATAAATTTTTTGTGAAAAAAAAAATCAATGCAGCCAATTTCACTGATGTCTCATTTTAAGAAATTGCCACAGCCACAGCAGCCTTCAGCAACCTCCTCCCTGAACAGTCAGCAGTTATGGGCATCAAGGCAAGAATCTCCACCAGCAAAAAAAATTACAATTTGTTGAAGGCTCAGATGATGGTTAGAACTTTTTAGCAATAAAGTATTTTTAAATTACTGTATGCAAATTATTTTTAGACATAGTGCTATTGCACAGTTAATAGACTACAGTAAAGTATAAACATAAATTTTATATGCACTAGGGAACCAAAAAAATTGTGTAACTCCCTTTATTGCAATTTATTGTGGTGGTCTAGAACCAAACCTGCAGTATCTCCAAGGTATGCTCGTATTTCTGACATAAGTTACATTCCTTAGCCCAAAGAGTACTTCCCTATGTGCATGATTTGGAATAAACTTTCAGTCAGTCTTTAATTTCTGAAGACATACAATTCACAAAGTCATAGCTTCAGGCGTGAAAGAAAAAGATAAAGATATACATTAAACTTTGAGGTCTGTTTCATAGCTTAAGAAATAAAGTGCTGTGTCTTCTTTATTACTCCTGAAGGATTTAAATACAGAAATTCATTAAATTTTGTTTTTCAATTCTCTTACAAGCAAATTCTTTATGTGCTAAGTATATATTTAATTATATATTTTACGAGCTTTAGCTATAACATTTGATATCCCTTGTAGTTGTTTAGTGTTACTATTGATACAAATAAAGCTACAGTATTTCATTTAAAATAAGACATCATCAGTTTTAAGACAATTCTGAATTCTGCCATGTGAAATATTTTAAAAAGTAAATCTTAGAATCAGTGACATGATAATTTATCAGCATTTTAATGATACTTACTAGTATAAAATATAAGCTATAGTCTGTAAAGCCCAGGGATAGAGGAATTTGTAAAACTAGATGGATTAGCATCTGGAATTAAAGATATTAGAGACTTTCAATTCTAAAAGCATAAAAAACATTTTATGTTTTATGCACATAACCATGTGCATCAAATAATTGTTAAAGAGACCCACAAATCTTTATCCTTATACTTGTCAGAGACTTTAAGATGGTAACAGCTGAAAGTAAAAATAAGCATTCTTAATGGAACTGAGTTAAGCAACAGCTAATAATTGTCCTTACCAAGTCCCCAGAACCACCAAAGGGAAGGAAATCAAGCTTCTGTCTTCTGTTCTTGAACTTCCCAGATTCACCCTTTAATTTATCATAGGACGGGCAAATTTACCAATGTCCAGTAAAGTGTTTGCTATAGGCAATGTGGGTCTCTATAACTTTTGAAGATTACTGTATTATGTTTTAATTTTAGTATCTCACCACAATTCATGCTGCTTTCAAAATTTAATCACCTCCCCATATCCTGTGAACTCTCTTTATCACTTATGCATTCACCAAAAATGATAGAACATTAATTCTGTGCCAGATACTCACCTAGGAATTGGGGATAAAATAATAAGAAATTTTCTCTTTGCCCTCAAGTGAGCAGTTTTACAGAGGAGACAGTTTCAGTCACACTGTAATGGCACTTCTATGGTTTGTCAATTTCACAGTAATATGAAATAATGGCCCAAAGGAGGAGATAATGATCTCTGCTTTCAGAGTCAATAGGAGGAGCTATAGCAACTGAGTCTTGAGAATGAAAAGGAAGGAATTTAGCAGGGCTCTATGGGGAAGGGATGATGGTGGCACTTCAGGCAAAGTCAACAGCATGGGCACATTTTGTTTTCATGTTTGTCTCATCTACCAGACTTTCTAGAGTGAAGACCTCAAACTTTAGTAATGCCCACCACCCGAGCCAGAGAAAGACAATGTTTATCAAGTATGTTTTTTTTGTTTGTTTCATTTTGTTTTTGTTTTTGTTTTTTCCAGTAAAAATAAGACGAGAGATTGGCTGTGGAGAATATTGAGAATAGTCAGAAAATAGGTCAATGGTTCTCAAACTTTGATAAGCATGAGAATCACTCGGGGTGCTTGTTCCTAAGCACCACTCTCAGAGTTTCAGCTGCAGTAGGTCTGGAGTGGAGGCAAAAAAATTGCACTTTTAATCAGCCCTACCCTAGCCCCATGACTCTGACACAGGTAGTTCACGGAGCACAGAGGTATATAGGGGAAAAGGAATTAGTGCATACTTATGTCCTGGTTCTTATCAACCACCTGCAGCTCAGCAAATATACCTTGAGGTGCACTCCACGTCAGCATCAAAAGCTTTGTAATCAAGGTTAACCTGTGTGGCTCAGACCTGTAAGTTAATTTTCTGGCTAATATGCTGAGAGAAAAATAAATCTGCCTCCTGAGACTTAACAGGTCTTCTAGATTTTAAAATATTAGCATGTTTTTCAAGTGTGGTGAAGCTGAAAGTACTTAAAAAGCTCCAGGATTAGTCACTTCTCTTTAAAAAAAAGTTTGCAGTGGTACAATAGTTACCTTGCAAGATGAAAATTTCCACCTGAGACTTTTTTTTCTATATTTTATAATCATTGATGAGAATTAATGCCAACTCTACCTTTTTTAGACATTGACTGAAACATTTTAAAACTGAGTTGAAAATAATCCTGGGCACGCCTTTAACACCCACTTGTTCTAATTTAACTCCATTTGTCTTTCCCTTACTTACTCTTTATTTTCTTGAGCATTCCAGCTGTTAGCATTAAATCTAATTTTTGTATGTCAGCCCATGTCAAAGCAAGCCTTAATCCTTTTAATGTTAACCTATCACCAGCTCAAAGCTGCTTTATATCATCAGATATAACCACATTTCCAACCCTGAGGGCATGGAGTGTGATTATGTACGCATGCATGCTAGAGCTTCCCTGCAATACTACTTGGTGTAGACTGGAATTCTATATGGGGTGGGTCAGGATTTAATCCCAACCAACGTACTTTGTTTACAGAAACAGAAAAAGGTTTTGTTATAAGGTGGGAGCACTGCAGAAGTATTGGAAAGAGGATTGGCTATCATATTGTTCTGTATATTTTTTAGTCTAAGAGAGATTAAAATGTTGTGAGCAAAGGTATACAGTTAATGACAGAAGTGTTGAAATGGGAACCAAACAGGAAATCTTCAGATCTATAGCCTAACCCATACTTTGTCCCTTTGTCAATGGAGTTATACTATATCATTTACTTTCTTTTCTCCCTTGAGTGATTAACTCAAGCATCTCAAAGCAAAACAAAACAAAACAAAACCACCCTACTGTTTTTATTCCTTTCATTTAGACAATTATTTGGGAGGTAAGGGGAGGTTGTAAAAGAGTCAACTGTGTCTTGAAAGCTTGGAATAATTATATTTTTTTTTCTCCGCTGGTTTCTGACAAGATATACCTCAAATTTAGAAAACTACTCAATGAAACAGGGTATTGTCATTGGCAAAGTTCTGCATGGAAACAACTTGCAGTCAGTCAGGTACAGGTGACTTTTTAAAAATTCTACTAAGGCATTTAACTGTGTTATAGTAATACACTGATAAAGAAATTCTGTCTGTTTATATGGAAGATAAACATCATCACCAAATGCAGGTAGATATTATTGCCATTTTATTTTATATAAAATATATATTTGGTGTAATAGAATTAGAATTTTAGAAAGAGCTTATATCTTAAGTAAAAGAAAGGACAATATCTTGTAAATGAGTGTGAAGAGACATTGTCATAAACAAGTTTGAATGTCCAGTTAAATGTCCACCTTAAAAAGGCAATACATAGCAGAAGAGAATAAAAAAGAAAATTCTCTTTCATTCGTATTATGGATCTCAGCCCTGGGGTTAAAAGAATAAGTCATATTATTTTTTTCCTAGAGTAGCTCACGTCCTAAGGGGGAGGAATAACACAGAAAATGTTAACTACAATGCTACAAGACAAGTGTATTGAATGATAAATCAAGTCTCATAACCACAGTATAACCAAAATCATAGAAACCTATTTAACAGATCTATGTTGGCATATAAAAATTCTATAAAATAGGAATTTACTTGAATTTTACCTGTTAACTTCTGAAATAGACGCTTTTTAAAATAAAGTTTTAAAGAAACTTCAAGAAGCTCTAAGAGGAAAATAGAGAAGAGAAATAAAGAAAAATAGTCTTCATTGTGAAAATGACAAGGTAAAACAACCCCCAGGGAAGAAGCAAAATTCTTTGGCATTAAAACACCTTCCGTGGAACATTTGTCTCAAAAGCTGTTTCCTGAAAAGAAAAAAGTTTCTGTAATCATAAAAGTTCTGGAAAGTGCACAACGTATCTCTTTTAAGGAAATTAAAATTATGCATTAGCCTACTAAATATTCTCAGAAGTTCTTAATAATTTTTGTCTATGTTTGACAGAGGTGTTTCCCAAACTTATTTGACCTCTTTATCCTTTTTTTTTCCCCCTCATAAAACCTGAAAACTCTGTGGAGGAAAAAGAATGGCCTCTAAATCATGATACGGCTTCAGCTATATCTCAGCCCTTGAAAAACTGTTTTTAGACTTGGAGTCTTAATTAGACACTCAAACCTCCCTTCTTCATTCCATATTTTCATATTTACTTTTGGATAGAGATTGCTGTATGCTGCATAAATGCTGTCACCAAGACACTCCTTACTGTAAATGTCAAGTTGATTAAACTTTCATTTGAAAGAATAGTAAAGCAAGTCTGACAATACACATTTCACTTAGCTTGGGCTTTGAAACTACTACATAAATCCCAGGGGGCAGATCTATGATCCTCCAGGCTAAAATAATAACTGTTTAGCTATTATGCCTCCACTGTATGTGAGCTATAAGCCCATCTCACACGATAAGAGGAACAAATGTCTCGGCTGCAAACTGCTTTTAAAGTACTAGAATAAGAGCAGCAAAGACAGGTAAATGAGAACATTTCTATGCACATGCCACATTAATATTGCATTGAAAAGCTGAGTCTGTGTGGACTGTATTTAGAGATACAAACAATGGTTCCTGAAAAGACTACATAAAGTAGAAGATGAATTACTGTTACTACACAAAAGCCTCTGAGATTATGCATGCAATCAGAGTAGTAAAGACTTGGGTAATAACTAGGAAATGACTGATTTTCCACTGGAGACACTTTGTTAATTATTTCAAGGCTCTATAGGCAATTTTAACACCTTGTGAGGCTGTCATTATGATCCATTTACAATAACGGCAATTTCTCTCTGAATATTTGACAGTGCATAAATTAACTCCTTCCTTATGATATATGTTTTCCACAATTATGTCTGGATATTTGAATGCATGTCTTACCTCTTTTACTAAAGTTAAGCTCCTTGAAGGCAGCAGTGATATGTAAATCAGTTTGGTATGGCCTTCAGAAACGGGCCCAGTATTTAGTACAATTTTAATACATTTTGAGGAATTAAATTCTGTAACTAGCCCTTTTCAGTATTTTTTAGTGTCAATATTTTTCATAGAAAGAACTATTTGCCCACTGACTATCACTGAAGAAGTTTCAAAAGGCTAAATTCTTCTCTTATTTTAAAAAAGTGATGATATGCACAAATTAAGGGCTCAATACATATTTGGTATGTATTTTGATTTGATCTGATTCCTTAAAGAAAATAAAATATTAAAATGTGAACTTATCCACTGCAAAGTAAAAAAAAAAAAGACAGGAAAAGGAGAGCGACACGTTCGGGTAAAATGTTCTTATTAATTAAATATTAGACTTAGAATGTTGTTTGCATTACTAATCATCAGCGCTCTCATAAAGTCAAAGTTTTATTCTTTCTTACTATTCAGATGTTTTACTCTCCAGTCATGCTTCACTATCCAGTTACAGTAGCTCTTCTGTGAGTACTCAGTAATAAACTCTGCCATGTTAAGTACTGCTGCTATGGACAAGAGATTTCTCCTGTCTGCCCAGCACAGTGCCTGACACAGGGCAAGCACTCCAGAATTGTTAGTTTAATGAACGACTGAAAAAATAACAGCTCACATTTGTATAGCATGTTTAATGTTGGAACATTTTTGCTACACACATTATTTACTTTTATTTAATTTGTTCATTTTCTCATTCAGCAAATATTACTGGAATATAAAGCAATTGCCAGACAGGAGGTATTAATCATTCAAAGAAAATTAGTCATAGTTCTTGCAACTCAAAGAACACAAAAATCCACTGGGGGAAATATCAAAGCCAAGGGAAATTAGAATTTTTGAGAAAAGTGTCAAAAATTTGTTATGCATTAACAAATATTAGAAATAGCAGTGATTGTAAAATTATTGTACGTTCATTACAATAATTATAAAAATATAAAAGTTATAAATTGCAAATTGTAAACGTTTTTGTAAAATTACTGTTGGCTGACCAAGTTCCCCAGAGGTTGAGTGACTTGCCTAGAGTCACATAACTAAAAGAGAGACAGTTAAGACTGTATCTTGAGCCTTTCTCTTGTAGGATGGAGTTTACTTTGTTGCTCCACATTGAACAAGTGTGAAGGCTGCTCTCTTTGTGCTTCAGGAAACTTAAGGTTGGAGGTGAGCTCAGACTTGAGAGAGTTTTGAGACACAAAGTGACAGACAATTCATAGAGGGAATACCAACAATGAAAAGAAAAAACAAAAAAGGACTTGGAATTAAAGAATTAAGCAAAAACTCTGAGGAAGTGGTTTCCTTGATTGCAGTGGAGGAAAAGAGTGAGGACATTAGGGTAAGAGGTCAGGGGTGGCCTGGAGGCTGACACAGTCTCCTGCATACTAAAGTAAATGATTCAAGTGTGTGTGTTTTGGGGGAGGGGAAAGGGTCAGGGAATAAAATTGTAAATTGTAGCAATAGCAGAGAAATACAATTTTGTCCCAGCTTCCCTTGGACAATATTTATGGTTGTGAAGAGAGACCTTTCTGTAAGATATCTTTCCTACTTCCTGACTTCTAGTCAAACCCAATTCAAATCAGAATACGAGGAAACTACTGAAGATATGAATCTGAAACTCCTGACAGGCTGTAAAAACAGATCTTGAGTATGTTCAACTGCCCATCAGTTATTTGTGGGTTCCTATATCAGAAAACCCTCCCTGTAAAGCAGAAAGCATTTATCCTCCACTCCTACAGCTTGTTTAATAAACTTTAAAATACTTTGTGACATAAAATATATGTGAACAATAAACATCAATTAAAATACTTAGCATTTTCAGCTTACTTTCCTTTCTCTCTACCCATTCCACAATGGAGAATGTAATAAACACAACAGCTTAAAAACTTTCTAATTTATATTATTTCTCAGGCCTCACTGATGTACAGAGTTGAACTGACATTTATGTTGTATAACTAAGTTTATGCTGAGTAAATTTGTTTTTGCTTGGTTTTGAAAGTGACCATAGTACATAACACCATAGTGTAGGGTATTTTGTTTTGCATTAAATGAATATAAATTATTTTCCTCTTTACATATGTATTAAAATAAAAATTAAAAATACTCAAAATTCTTCATGTGAATAGAATATATATAGGGCATTAGAAGTGTGGGTTCTTGTGCTGAATGTATTCAAAATGTATGTGTCACGCTTTGCATAATTTAAAAGCAAAACAAACAGAAAACAAAACCAAAATGAAACAAGGTAGTATAATATAATTTGAAGCTTAGAATGTATAGAAGCCACAGTGAAAATCTCTGAACTTCTGGGAAATCCTAATATCTAAACATATTTTAATGCTTATCTTGAAAGTAATTTTTTTGACTGTAGATCTGAACTGAGCTAGATTGAGAGTGGATTCTAATGTGGCCCATTTATGAAAATAAGCCATATGCTGCTGCATGGTAGAATCTACTTAACTCAAAGAAAATTAAAGTTAAAATAATGTTGATTAAATATTAAAGTAAAAATGATTTTGCTTACTCAACACAAAATGAATTGGGAACCTGAAAAATTTCAGTGGATCGTAAATATGATGAAAATGTTTAATTAACACATTTACTCTTTTTTTTTTTTTTTTTGAGATGGAATCTTCCTCTGTCGCTCAGGCTGGAGTGCAGTGGTGCGATCTCAACTCACTGCAACCTCCGCCTCCCGGGTTCAAGTGATTCTCCTGCCTCAGCCTCCCGATTAACTGGAACTACAGGCATGTGCCACCAGGTCCAGCTGATTTTTGTGTTTTTAGTAGAGACAGGGTTTCACCATGTGATCCGCCCGCCTCGGCCTTTCAAAGTGCTGGGATTACAGGCATGAGCCACCACGCCTGGCTAACACACTCTCATTAAATGAGTTTGGTTATGAAAATTTTTCTTTACCTTAGGCCATTAAGTCCTATCTACCAATTCAAGGGTGAATCCGCCCATTGATTGGACGAATTTTTCAAGATTAAAAAAGCCACTTTCTCTCGATGAACAAATGCTTACTGTGAAACAGCCTTTGCAAAATTATGACAGTAAGAGAAATCTGACATGGCTGACTCTATCTCGCCTCCAGCCTCACAGGTTGGCTGTCTGCTTATTCTTGGGCGTGCGCCAAGCTAACTTTGGGAGAAATTTAGTTTATAGTTTAAATAATAATCACCCTTCCCCAAAACTAAGCTGTTCTTGTAAAACTAATGAAAGGCCACCAAGTTAGGAGGATGAGAGGGGCTTGAATTCTGAATAATTACCAGCCATTATTCTGGAGGTCATAAGATTTGCAACTTTCCCAGTTAAACTCTTGGAGATAACATTACTATCACAGAACCTAAGATTGGTCTTTCAGACACCTTTTCAGGTTTTTGCATTTCTGACAAACGATGGCTCCACCAGGACCTGCCACCCGGTACTGTGGCCCCCACCCAAGAACTGACTCAGCACAAGTGGACAACTTCGATTCCCTATGATTTCACCTCTGACCCAACCAATCAGCATGCCCCCTACCCTATCCCCCTGCCCACCAAATTATCTTTGAAAAACCCCTAACCTCCAAGCCTTTGAGGAAATTGATTTGAGTAATAACTCAGTCTCCCACCTCACATCAATTAAACTCTTTCTTTACTTAATGCCATGGTCTCAGTGAGTTGATTTTATGTACAGTAGACAGGAAGAACCCATCAGGCAGTTACAACTGCATTGCCATAGTCAAATTCATATGATCAATTTCTTGCCAAATCAAGAAACAGACACATATGAGATGAAGCCCTGAGATAACTATTTAAAAACCCACCCTGGCCTTGGAGTCTAGGCCTGCTCTACTCTTCTTTCAGCAAAGAAATATGCTTAAAACTTGTCCATAAAATTTGAGAAAAATATTCTGACTCTTGTATTCTGTTCCAGCTACTGCGATATTATTCTCCTTTTCACTCTGTACTAGTTGCCAGGGCTGCTGTAACAAAATACTGCAGACTGTGTGGCTAAAAAAACAGTAATTTATTTTCTCATAATTCTGGAGGCTAGAAGTCCAAGGTCAAGGTGCTGGCAGGTTTGGTTTCCTCTGAGGCCTCTTTCCTCGTATGTTTACATATGTGTTAACAAATAAATTTGTAGATGTCTGCTTTGCAGATGTCTGTGTTCTTGCTGTGTCTTCACATGATCGTCCCTCTGTCTATGTCTGTGTCCTAACCCCCTCTTCTTATAAGGACACAGGTCATACTGAATTAGGGTCCACCTCAATGACCTCGTTTAGACCTAATTACATCTTTAAAGACCCTATCTACAAATACAGTCACATTCCGAGGTACTAAGGGTTAGGATTTCAACATATGAATGGGGGATTGGGGCACAACTCAGCCCATAACACACTCAGTTATAAGCATTTTTCAAGATTCCTCTTGCAGGCATAGGTGTGGGCTGCTGCAGAGGTGTCAGGACCACCATGGTGAATGTCATAGTCTCCGTTTGTGCAGCTTACTAATGTCCTGTGCCCCGCTAGTGCCCAATTACAGATGTACCACTTTCATCCAACAGTGATGCTACTGAGCCTACCAGACCTATGAACAGGGATTACTGTAAACTTCATTTGGCATCTTTTCCCACTGCAGATACTTATAGTACCTAAAGGTCTGCCAAATTACATGGCTGAAGCAGCAGGGCTGTGTCTTGGGTTGGCTTGCTTTGGGCCCCATTTGGAGCCAGTAGCCTTTCATGTCACTTGGTAATTAGGTCAAGACAGTATTCTTAAGTTCTAAATATGTTGCCCCCAGAACTGATGAAGACTGCCAAGAGCTGTGTATCTTTCTTGATCATAGGAAGGAAAAGATGCAATAACTTTTTCTTTACTTTGGAGTAGATATTCTGGCATGGCCCAGATCACTACACTCCTAAAACTTCCCTGACAGGCCCTTGAAACTTTGTAAGGTTTATTTCCCAAGGCATGGGAAGGAGTATCACTATCTTCCAAAAAGGAACCACTTCTGCAAGCCCAGTGGGTCCAGAGTAGTCTGGCATTTCAAGATCTCAAATGCATTTACCCAGATAGCCCCAGATTTCAGGGTGGCAGTCCTGCCTCATTAGGGCCTTGGCTTTGGCATGGGAGATTTGCTGAGGCTAAGATTTCAACTTGCTCTGAAACTTTGCTAATCTAATTCATTCCTGGCTTTAGTCTTCCTCTAGATTTGCTCTCTAGATATAGGAGATTAGGGTTTATTAAGGAGGCCCTCTGGTTTTCATAATTTGCTTTGAATTGATGATTAATCACACTGATCCTGTCATGAACTATCTTTGACAAATCAATAGCAGTTAGCAACAGCCACCCAATGCCAGTCTTTTAGTTACAATTTCATCCTTATCTCTCAAGCACCAGCAATGTTGCTTCATCCAATACATATTTTCTATGAGCACCCATCTCAGTTCACCATTGGTGAAAATTCTAACAACTGCACCTTTACAGCATGTCAGAGTTCTGTCTACCACAAGTGATGAGGTCCTGCTTGCCAGCTGATGTGTGAATAATCCATCTTTAAATTCCTATTTTACAGTCTACTTTCTAGGGCCACTGCCAGGACCAATTACCTTAGGTTTGGAAACAGACACTAAGAGAGTTGTGTGCAGGCTCATTGGGAAATGTTCTTGGGAGAAACATGTGTAGGGAAGAGAGGAAGGTACATTGGGCATAGAGAAAAACTGGCCTGCAATGCAGTTGTTCCTGAGGTCTCAGCCAATCCTTCAGAAACCTTGGGAACTATGATGGGTGTCAAGTTGAAACATATAAGACAGGGCCAAAGGCCAAAAGCTGATAATGCTGCTGGTAAAGATTCAATGAGCCACTTAGATTTAGACTCTTTATTACCTACATAGATAACAAAAAGAAGAATAAGCCCAAGGTTCCAGTCCCCACAGCCCTTGTCCCACACATCACAAAGGATGGCACTGAAATGAAAGTGGCTGGATGACTGACACATGAATTGTGGGATACCCAGTTGCTGAGAAACCAATTCTAGATTGCAGAAAAGTGGCTTTATCACCTGCAGCCCTGCTTTGGGGTGAATGGGGTAGAAAGTCCCACACTCCATCAGAACCTAGGAGGCAATAAGCAACCAACTCAAAACAGTCTCCCGAGGGAACTAGGGAGGCAAGTGGGAGATGGCCTCATAGTAGCTCCTTACAGGCCTCCCACCCTCTCTTGTTCTGGGAGGATCACAAGGCATTTCTCCAAGACTCAGATATGCTATGGTTCAAGCCTTCACTATATGGATACATAAAAAGTAATCAGGATGCCATGGCACAGCCATTCTCATATAGATAGCCCTTCAGAGTTGTCTCAAATTGAGGGGAGAGGGTCAGGGCTTTATCTCTCCGCATCAGCCACCCCCTGCTTGGGGCCGTATCCTTGGGAGAAGCAATTCCATATCACAGCTTGAGCCATCAGCCACCCATATTCCCAGCAGCTGGGGGATGGTGCCTAGGACGTAAAGAGCAGAGCTAGACAGAGATCCACAGTATCCTATCAATGTTATATTATTTCGAGTCAAACTGCATTTATGATTGTATTAAGATGTTTTCAGAGACAAGAAAGAGAAAACCTGATCTACAGGCTTAAATGATGAGGACATTTATGAAAGTGAAAAAAAAAATGTCCAGGAGGGTAGCCCCAGGATTAGTGTGGTGGTTCAATGAAGTCATTAAAGGCCCAGGCTCTTTCCATTTTTTCATTATATTGTTATGAGATGTTAGCTTTCATTCTCAGATTTGTAACTTCATGGTCACAAGGTAGCTGCTTCACCTCCATAAATCAAGTCCTTGCCTAATTTTGTTTAAAACAGAAAGTGAGGGAGGGAAGTAAAAGAGGGAAAGGAAAGTCTTTCCTAGAAGCCCCCAGCAGACTTCCCTTATGATATATTCACCAAAACTGGGTCATATGACCGTCCCTGAACAACCACTGGAGAAGGGAAGCACCTTGGACCAATCATGATTACCTTCCTAGAGCTTAGTACGTTGCCATTTACCTCAAATCAAATTCTATTAGCAAAGGAGGAAGAAGAAAGTGTTTGGCTATAGGGTGTACTAACCACCTGTATCTGCCACGTTTATTGCCAAAAAGAGTCATCAAAAGTGCTTAGTGCTCTGAAGGTAATGCAAATAATGACCCCTATTTTCCTGCCTCCTGCTCAAAAACTTTCAGGGCCTCTTGAAAGGGCTCGTATTTGCATCTGAAGGCATAGTAGAACCAATAAGATGTAGAAAAGAAAGACATGTCTGTAGGTTAAAGAAAAGGAATAAAGCAAAAATACCCAACTAAAACAACATGAATAGTTCCCCTCTCTTCATGTACTCATGTACCCATAGGTATATGGGCACACAAGTACACAACACATATATACTTAATTTCTAGAAGAAGCACATAACTGCATTGTAGATGTCTCTATTGTTAAAAATAAAGATGCAGAGATTCACAAATGAAATTTCATTTAAAATGAGAGAAAATAACTCTGAAAGGAGCTTTAGTGGTAAACTCAGCAAACTGAAGTGCCGTTGAATAGTGCTCCAACTGGATATTGGAGAACTCAACAATTGGACAAACACAATTTTGATAGTAATTATTGAGATGCATGAACTTTAGTTGTTATCTTCTGAATATTAGAAACATAGGAGATGACACTACGAAAAGCACACACCAAACTTTAACTACAGTCATAATAAATAATACTAAAGACAACACAAAAGAAGCAATAAAAGCTTTATATACTAAACTCCAAGAGTTAGTGAGGTCTGGATAAACTTCATTTTCTTTTCCCTGTTTCAAAATTCACCCTGATACTCTTTGCCTTCAGAAAGTCCCATTGAATGAGCTTCTGAAAATAGCACTTATTTGGCAACTTGACCGTAAGTATAGGGTACAGTAAAGATGGAGTAGTGAATCCCCAAAGACCACTTCCAGGTTTGGTGATTGGCTGGAAGAATTCAAGGGACTCAGCATACAGTTGTACTCATGGCTATAACTTATTACCAAAAATGATATGAAGCAAAATCAGCAAAGGGAAAAAGGCATATGAGTGAAATCTGGAGGAAGCCAGGCACAAGCTTCCAAAAGTCCTTTCCCAGTGGAGATGCACAGGACATGCTTAATTCTTCCAGCAACAAGATAAAACAACACATGGGAAATGTTGTCTATCAGAGAAGCTCATTAGAGACTTAATGCCCAATGTTTGTATTGGACACTGGTCATTTAGGCACCCTCTGCCTCGCACATACCAAAATTCCAGACTCCCAGAAAGCAGCAGGTGTTCTGCATAAATGACATTGTTTGTACAAGCAATTGAGCCTCATTAAAACACCCTTATCTGTGAGGGAGTTATGGAAACACTCTCAAAATACAAGTCCCCAGCTGCCAGCCAAGGGCCAACCTTGCAAGTAGGCCTTTATAAGGAGAGCAGTCTTGGGCCTGCTGTGTTAACTGCACAGATGCAAAAGCAGAGGGTCTGCTTCCTAGAGGCTGACTGGCTGGCTGACTCACTGCTGTTCCTCCTCTGAATTTACCACACTACAGAGAAATCACATGTAAGGGACCTCAGCTGGCTCCTTTAGAACATGTCATTGGCTTGCCATATTGTCCCAATATTTAGCATTTTATCTAGCATCTATTTTGTTGAATCAATAACTAAATGCTGCTCTCCTTTCTTCCCCTGCCCCTTTGCCCTACAGAAACAGTACCAGAGCTTTCCCAAGAAAACCATAGTGACCCTCACAAAAAATTAATAGTGTATCAACCAAATAAAACATATAGTGGGATTGTAAAGCTACAGGGCTGCTCTTCTGGCATGTCTGGTAAGTTGACTCTTGAGTCATTTCCTACAGAGGACCTTCCATCCTGGTCTGAGCAATGGCCCCATTCCTGGTATTAGGCCAGAAGTGGATTGAGTGGCCCAAAGGAGGAGCCCTCATCTGGCTACTCCATTAAATTCTGGCTGCTTAGATTCTAATGCTTGCCTGAAAAGTCTATCCCATTACTTGATCATTATACTTATCCCAATTTCCACTTTGAGCTAAGTAGGACGTGAACAATGTGTCTTTTTATGTGATAAAAAGAAAATATTTTCCTGTTTTAATACCTGGATTCTTTGAGAAAAAATGAGTATGAATTCAGTTAACCCTAAAGTCACTTGCATTAAAAAATTTTTTTATTTTTGTTTTTAGAGTTCATTTCCTTGTTTGAAAGGGAATGTTTTCTGTTGTTCTGTCAAAGGCCTTTGACTGAAGCAGGCCCACGAAGTAACTCTTCCTTCCCTTTATTCCCTTGGGTGTTCCAGGATTTCTCTTTGGGTGACCCCGTAGTATGCCACCAGAGCTTCATGCATGACTTTTCCAAATGCTACCACTGGAATTTGACAGCAGGAAGTGGTCCCTAGAATTTATTAGTATAAAGAGCTTCCAATTATTCATGTCCTCTTTAGTCAAAACAGTAAATATTTCACTTGGCACCAATTTTATTTTATTTCCTTTCTGAAATACGTAGTGAAGACAGAAGCAACAGCAGGAATGGGCTCATTTGGTGTAAGAGACCTCAGGAACTTTCTGTGCTTCAGTAGCTCAGGCTTGCATTTATGTTTCTAATTCTCCACTTCTCTTTCCATCGACAACATTGTTTGTTAAAATAACAAAGGATCCCCTAAGTCTTGCTATCTTATATTATCTTAAAATAAATGAGCAAGAGTCTTTCATTATTTCATAGTTTTCTTAAACCAGTATCCTTGAGAAATAGCAAATGTAAGCAGGCAGTCATACAGATCAGCAATAGTTTGTGCAGATCTGAAAGAAAGAAGCTGCCCTGGGAAGTAGAGAACCGGGTGATCTTTGTCATTGAGCACACCATTACCTGTTTATTCTCCCTTCATACATTTTGATGGCACTGTCCTCCTTTTCTCTCCCACCCTTTCCTAAAGAAAAAAGCTGAACCATTCCCCCATCTGGATGCTGATCAAAACATGCTGTGTATTGCCTTTTGTTCTCACCTTGATGCTTTTTTCTGCCAACTGAATCAACTCTGACCTGATTTGAGTAATTTAATCTTTACTCCATCTCTTGACTATTTGAAGAGCTCCTTAACTGTTCTTTCTTTCTATCCTCCAAGCCAGTTCTAATAATATTGTTACCTACACAATATTATTATTTACTGGCTTCCCACTGCCCTCAGAATAGGCCCAAGCACCTTAGTCTGGCATTCCCAGCTGTAAACAGTTGAGTGCCATGCCTCATTTCACTTATTTATGTTTGTATTAGTTCATTTTCACGCTGCTGATAAAGACATACCCAAAAGTAGAAACAAAAGAGATTTAATTGAACTTACAGTTCCACATGGCTGGGGAGGCCTCAGAATCATGGAGGGAGGTGAAAGGCACTTCTTACATGGTGGCAGTAAGAGAAAAATGAGGAAGAAGCAAAAGTAGAAACCCCTGATAAACCCATCAGATCTCATGAGGCTTATTCAATATCATGAGAATAGCATGGGAAAGATCAGCCCCCATGATGCAATTACCTCCCACTGGGTCCCTCCCACAACACGTGGGAATTCTGGGAGATACAATTCAAGTTGAGATTTGGGTGAGGACATAGCCAAACCATATCAATGTTTTATTTGTTTCTTTATTTAATTCTCATCTCGATCTTGATTGGTTCATTTATTGGCATATTCATTTATTCAACATTTCTTGAATCATCTGTTTTGTTTACTAAACCCAGTAGATTAAAAAATAAAAAAGAAAGAAAAAAGACATCTTTCTTGTCACCAAAAGATTTATAGTCAAGTTAGGGAGACAATTAAAGTGGAGTTTAATAAGTTTAGTAGGGGCTATGATGAGATGTGTACACAATACTATGCACTGAAGAATTAGCAGATAATTCAATTCCCTTGGTCTTTGTAGGTTATAAAAAGACAAAACTTTTCTGTTTTATACCTGGACTTCTTGAGGCAATTGGGCATAAATTCAGCTACTGCTAAAGTCAATTGCATTTAAAAAAATTGTTTTAAGGTTTATTTTCTTGTTTTAAGCAGAACTCCATGTTTGCTCTTGTTCTATCACAAAACTTATCAGGCACCTACAGTAATGCAAGCAATGGGCAAACACATAAAATATCAAATCAAAAAAGAAAATCACAGCAAGTTTCTCAGAGATGCTATTGCTTCAACAATTGGCCGGGTCATTAAGGACTCCCTGAGCACCCAAGCCCTCTGCTAGCTGCCATCAAAATGCCCTTGGCAGAATGCATGGCATACCTTCTGCTCACTCCATTTCCTCGCCTGGAATACTTTCGTATGTAAACCCCTTCTCCTCATTTTTTGTGGCCTAACCTAATTGTACGTCTTCACCTGCTGTGAGATTTTTCCAGGATTCCTGCTCTCACCTTTCCAAAGCCCTACAGCACATTGTGCTTTTCTCATGGGGCAACTTTTCAGTTATTTTAAATGAATATTTAAGGTAATGAAAAATAATTTAAATTACATAGATGTATGTATAATGAAGAGTGAAAGACCATCTTTATCCCAACTCTACTCCTATTTCTGTCTCCAGAAGCAAGTCCTGTCAACAATTTTGTGTGTGTTCACCCAGAGCTTTCTTTGGGCATTTGCACACATGCATGCATGTGTACACACACATATAATAGAAGTTTTTTTTTTAAATAAGTGAAATCATACTCTACATTGTTTTGGAATTATCTATGAGATTATACTTGGACAAACATTCATGTCAGTACATAAATGTGTAGTTTGTTGTTTTCAATGTAATATTTAGATGGACATTTGTTTTCTGACATTCTATTGTTAAAAAAACCTGCTATGCACATTTAAATATATCCTCATGTATGTATGTGACCATTTCTATGGATAAATTTATAAATGGAAAATTTCTAAATCAATGAATATACATATTTTAAATGTTGGTAGATATTGCCAAATTGTCCTCCAAACAGGCTATTCCCATTTAGGCTCCCACAGAGTCTTCAGACCCTCAAATAGTGGCACTTTGCACATGTTTGACCTTCCTTAGTAGATGCTAGGAAACATAATCTTGAGGCAGGAACTACATCTTTTATATGTTAGCGTCCCTGGTGATTTCTAGCATAGAGCAGTGCTTGGCACGTAACAAACATGTTCGATAAGTATTTGTGGAAACAAAATGAACTGTGTAGATGTAAAACACCAGGCTCTTTCTGGAGGCAAAGAAAGCATCATTTGGTTTTGTGGAAGATCTCTGATCTGGCCCCTGTAGATTGGAATCCTATTTCTAGTACCTGACTAAGTACATAGTTATATTAATGGCACAATCTAGTTAGATGCCATCTTACAATGAAGATTTTAAATAAGATACTTTGAGGAGTTAGTAGGAAGTTCTAAGAGTAAAGGCCCTAGACTGGGGCTAAGGAATAAATCATATTAAAAGGCCTGGAGCTCCAGGGTCTCCTCTTGGCACCGTAAGAATGTGGCCAGTAATCCTCAATGCATACGAGGAATGTGGAGGTACAGGAACCTACCAATGGAGCCCAAAAGCCCGAACAGGAAATAGCACTTGCACCTAATTGCTTCAAAGTACAACTTTTGTGCACTTTAAATTGGAAGGTCTGGGTTACAACCCCAGTTCCATGACCTTTAGCACTCTACATACTTTTTATGAAAGTTGCTTTGCTCTTTTGTAAAATGGAAAGAACAATCCTACTGGGCTATTGTGAGAACTAAGAATGAGCAGGTGAAAGGAGCTAGCACAATGTCTGGTACAAAGTAAAAGCCATTTCGCACTGAGCAGGGCACAAAAGAGGACTGCCTCAGCTGATTTAGCACAGACTCACTTAGGAACATCATCTTTAAAGCCTACTTGGGCTGGTTGGCTTGTCCATTTTATGTGTGAGTTTCAAAGGCACCTTCTCAGAAAAACATATCAAGAAACCCAGATGTAATTATTTTTTTACTTCTGTTTTTATAGTTATTAATTTTCTTTTTCGACAGTTAAGATAAACTTCAGTTCTTAACACATAAATCTCATATGGATGTTGTCTTAGTCTATTCTGGCTACTGTAACAAAATACCATAAACTGGGTAGCTTATAAAAAACATAAATTTGTTCTTTTGGCTTAGGATTGACTTGGTGATGCAGGCTCTATTTTGGTTCCATATGAACTTTAAAGTAGTTTTTTCCAATTTTATGAAGAAAGTCATTGGTAGCTTGATGGGGATGGCATTGAATCTGTAAATTAAAGCTGGAGGCATCACACTACCTGACTTCAAACTATACTACAAGGCTACAGTAACCAAAACAGCATGGTACTGGTATCAAAATAGAGATATAGATCAATGGAACAGAACAGAGCCCTCAGAAATAATGCCACATATCTACAACTATCTGATCTTTGACAAACCTGAGAAAAACAAGCAATGGGGAAAGGATTCCCTATTTAATAAATGGTGCTGGGAAAACTGGCTAGCCATATGTAGAAAGCTGAAACTGGATCCCTTCCTTACACCTTATACAAAAATCAATTCAAGATGGATTAAAGACTTACATGTTAGACCTAAAACCATAAAAACCCTAGAAGAAAACCTAGGCATTAGCATTCAGGACATAGGCATGGGCAAGGACTTCAGGTCTAAAACACCAAAAGCAATGGCAACAAAAGACAAAATTGACAAATGGGATCTCATTAAACTCAAGAGCTTCTGCACAGCAAAAGAAACTACCATCAGAGTGAACAGGCAACCTACAAAATGGGAGAAAATTTTCGCAACCTACTCATCTGACAAAGGGCTAATATCCAGAATCTACAATGAACTCAAACAAATTTACAAGAAAAAAACAAACAACCCCATCAAAAAGTGGGCGAAGGACATGAATAGACACTTCTCAAAAGAAGACATTTATGCAGCCAAAAAGCACATGAAAAAATGCTCATTATCACTGGCCATCAGAGAAATGCAAATCAAAACCATAATGAGATACCATCTCACACCAGTTAGAATAGCAATCATTAAAAAGTCAGGGAACAACAGGTGCTGGACAGGATGTGGAGAAAGAGGAACACTTTTACACTGTTGGTGGGACTGTAAACTAGTTCAACCATTGTGGAAGTCAGTGTGGTGATTCCTCAGGGATCTAGAACTAGAAATACCATTTGACCCAGCCATCCCATTATTGGGTATATACCCAAAGGACTATAAATCATGTTTCTATAAAGACACATGCACACGTATGTTTATTGTGGCATTATTCACAATAGCAAAGACTTGGAACCAACCCAAATGTCCAACAATGATAGACTGGATTAAGAAAATGTGGCACATATACACCATGGAATACTATGCAGCCATAAAAAATGATGAGTTCATGTCCTTTGTAGGGACATGGATGAAATTGGAAATCATCATTCTCAGTAAACTATCACAAGAACAAAAAACCAAACACCACATATTCTCACTCATAGGTGGGAATTGAACAATGAGATCACATGGACACAGGAAGGGGAATATCACACTCCTGGGACTGTTGTGGGTTGGGGGAAGTGGGGAGGGATAGCATTGGGAGATATAACTAATGCTAGATGACGAGTTAGTGGGTGCAGCGCACCAGCATGGCACATGTATACATATGTAACTAACCTGCAGAATGTGCACATGTACCCTAAAACTTAAAGTAAAATAAAAAAATAAAAATAAAAAAATAAATCCAAAAATAAAAATAAAAACAAAAAAAACAAAAAACACATAAATTTATTTCTCATAGTTCTGAAACTGGAAGTGTAAGAGCAAGGTGTTGGCAGGTTTAGTGTCCATTGAGGGCCCACTTTCTGATACATAGATGGTGCCTTCTAGCTGTATTCTCACATGATGGAAGGGGCAAGGCAGCTCTCTGGGGCCTCTTTTATATAGGCACTAATCCCATTCATGAGGGCTCCACCCTCATGACCTAATCACCTCGTCATGGCCCTTTTCTTAATACCATCACACTAGATATTAGGATTTCAATGTAAGAATTTTGGTGGGACACAAACATTCAGACCATAGCAGATGGCATGACCACAACAATGTGAAGGGACAGATGCAGGGATTGGGCTGAATGTAATATGCCTCTGTGTTCTAGAATGGGGAGGGTGATAACAAATCAGAGATTCTGTGACCATAAATCATTTCTATGCCTTCAGGAAGAACAGCAGGAAGCACTGTGAGCTGCTTGGGCTCCTGAGCTAAGGAATGAGCTAAGGATTCATTCCCACAGAATCTAAACTGGCAGAGTGGAGACAACCAAAGCAAAGAATAGTTGAATGTCACCAAAACATTAAGAAAATCTCCCATGATATCTTCTTTTTCTCGTCTCACCTTTGTTTGTTTTATTCCTTTCATCTTTCCTTTTCATTTCCACTTCCCACAGTCTCTGTCATCTTTCAGGGCCTAGTGCCAAGCCTTCTTATATACTTCCTAACATTCTTCCTGGGTGGCATTTTTCATATTATGGTTTCCTTTCAATTTGTCTGTTTCCCTCCATAGCCCATTAGTATCTCAATGGTATTGTTTTCACATTTCAACTTCTTTCTCCCATGCCCTGAGCTTTAGTACAACGCCTTGTACTAAATAGTTTTCCAGTAACACTTTTTAAATAATAGATAAATGCAAAGAAAGAGAAATGCAGGCATGGTAATAGTGGGTGGATTTGTGGCCAGGAAAATGACTGTCTCAAAGACTGCTGAAGATGTTCAAGGCACAGTTCTTTCACTGCGCACTCTTTCGCTGAGCAATTCTCAGAAGTCAAAACATAAATTATCTTATAAATAGAGAATAAACATGTGTCAAGGGTTTTATTCAACTCAGTCACTAATGATGGAACCAGCAAAATGCTACAGCTGATTCTAAGAATATTTAAGGCACTGGGGTTTATGTAGTCCTTTTAATAAAAGAAAGTTAGCTTAAGATTGCAATTTGGGTATAAAACTGGTTAATGTTCTCATTAGCTTTAACCTTTGGGATTTTCTTTTCTACAGGATAGAAATCATTTGCATCTCCACCAAATACAAATGTACAAGTGAAGGGAATGTCACAGAATCAAAGCCCTTAATTAATAGTAAAAAGCAAAGTTAAACAATGGTATATTTTCCTAGAAAATTAAATAATTCATGAGTAGGCCTGACAATTATTCATGATGACATTGAAAGGACATGTAGTCATTCTCTTGGCCTTATTTGCAGATTGTGGATAGTTTTTCTTTCCCAATTTTCAGCTCTTTTTACTCTATGCTTTCTCACTGGACCAATTTTCTCCATACCTAATGCTTGGCAATGATTCTCAAATTTATAACTTCAGTCCAGACCTTTCTTCTCAGCTCTAAACTTGCATATTACATCCCCTAAAGATGTAGTTTGGCTCTGCGTTTTTGCCAAAATCTCATGTCAAGTTGTAATTCCCAGTGTTGGAGGAGGAGCCTGGTGGGAGGTGATTGAATCATAGGGGCAGACTTCCTCCTTGCTGTTCTCGTGATAGAGTTCTCATGAGATCAGGTTGTTTCAAAGCGTGTAGCAGCTCCCACTTCTCTCTCTCTCTCTCCCGCCAGCCATGTGAAGATGTGCCTGCTTCCCCTTTGCCTTCCGCCATGATTGTAAGTTTCCTGAGGCTTCCCTAGAAGTAGAAGCTTGTACAAGCCACAGAACTGTGAACTAATTAAAAACCTCTTTTCTTTATAATTTACCCAGTTTCAGATATGTCTTTATAGCCATGTGAGAACAGACTAATACACCTACTGACCAGCAATGCAACTGTGGGGAGATCATTTCACTTCTCTGTGCCTTTGTTTCCTCCTCTATAAAATGGGATTAATAATAATACCTACCACATGGAGTTAAAGAGTAAATGAATTCATATATACAAAGTGCTTTGAACAGCATCTGACACATAAGGGTTTGCTGTTACTATTAATTCTCAAAATCTTTATTTAGATGTTTCAATGGTACTTAAACACTACTTGTCTGAAATCAAATCTATCCCATTCCTTCCTGCAAACCTGCTTTGCTTCCAGTATTCATTGCCACAATCAAGGACACCACCATTCATGCAGTTATAAAAATGAGAAACTAAGGGCTATCCTTTATACCTCTTCTCCTCACTCCTCATACCTAAGCTATCAATAAGTTCTGTCTATTATATTCCTAAGTACCTATTGAATGCATCAATTTCCCTCCATCTCCACTGCTGGCACCCTAGTCCAAACTGCTTTCATCACTCGCCTAAATTACTACAATATCCTCCATAATGGTTTCCCCATAAACATTCTTGCCTCTCTCTAATCACTCTCCACACTGAATGATCTTTTAAGAATGAAGATCTGACTATGCTACCCCTCTGCTTAGAGCCTTGCAAAGCTTTCCACTGCTCTTTCCATAAAGATCCAACTTCTAATAAAGACTCTTGTGTGGCATCATTCCCCTGAGTATATGTGGGCCAGCCATACTGGCCTTCACTTACACCGTGACCATGCAAGGCTTCATAGCTAAGCCTCTCCCTGTGCTGTGTCCCCTGCCTGCAGTGTCTGTCCCCTCTTTACCTTGTTGACTCCCAACTCAAACAGCACCTGCTCAGGGAACTCCCCTGAATCCTCAGATCAGGCCAGATTCTCCTCTAAGCATCATGTATTTTTCCTCTAAAATATTTATTGCCTGTTATAATTATGCACTTAGGAGTGTAATGAATGTCCATTTCCCCTACTAAACTGGAAGCTCCATGAGAGTAGGGGCCAGGGCTGTTTTTCTCAGCATTGTTTACCCTGTGCCTTGCAATGAGCTTGCCTTGTAAGGAGTCTGGTATTTAGGATACGTTTAATGCATTCTTGATGATTGAATGAGAGAACCCAGAGGACAGACTTCAGTGGAATCCTGCAGGATTCTTTGCCCTGTTCAACATATTTATTAGTGATGTGAATAAAATCCTAAAGATACACTCATCAAAATTACAGGGGTTAAAAAAACCCAGAAAAATACAACAGACCCAGGATTCAAAAGGATGTTAAAAGAATAAAAAGTAGGCAAAGTAAAAGGCAAACTTTAGTCAAAATACATTTAAAGACATTCATTTAATTTTTTTAAAAAAGTTCCTGTAGAAAGACATTATAAGGGAGACTACTTGCTAACAATCCATTTGGAAGTAGCCAGGCAGGGGTGGGAAGAGGGAGTGCTTGGGTGAGTTAATAATGTGCGGGCAGTAGAATGTCTGACACTATTTTGGGCTGCATGTACTGAGAAGCTGGCTGTCCTGAAAGTGAGGGAGAATGTGGATGGTGTCCCTTGTGCCTAACAGAGTCACGGCTGACAAATAGTGTTAAATTAGAGGATGGGGAAAAGGAAACACGTACACAACACAGTAGAAAGAACACAGGCTATTTTGTCTGAAGAAGACAGAGGTAATAATTGCTTTTCTTCAGCCCTGTGGTATGATAGCCAATGTTTATCAAGGCCTTACTATAGTGTGTTCCAGGCATTATCTTGTTGAAGCCTAACACTATCTGTATAGTACAGGTATTATTATCTCCATTTTATGGATGAATAAAAGGGAGACACATGGTAAACACGCACAGCTCTAAGTGGTGAAGCTGGGATTTGAACTGGATTCTAGAGCCCATTTCTAGTGAGGCCTACTAGAGAGCCCATGGCTTGCTTAGGCAGACCCCTTATTAAGGCCACCCTCCAGACAAGGGACCAAATATTTGTGTGTGGCTCCAGATCCAGATACAAACTCCATGAATGAAAGAAGGAAGCAGATTTATGTACTATTTAAGGAACATTTTTCTACATGGGAACTTCACAAAATTCTTTCTCAAAGATAGTGAAAATTCTAAGTCAAGTGGACATGCTAAAACCGAAGCTCCATCACTACCTCTCAGAAATGTTGTGGAGAGTGTCCCTGTGTTGTGGAGGGAAGTTTGTTCTAGCTGACCATTAACTTTCCCTCCAACTCTCAGCTTTTAGTGTTGAACGAATTGGTGGTGGTGGGAACCAAACATGCCTAAACCTGGTGTGGCACAATGGGTTATTGTTCAGAAAATACTCACTCAACTTACGCTCCTTCTTGAGATAGAGTATAATTCCTTAGCCTCATTGACTTCAGGCTTGGCCGTGGGACTAGCTTTGGCCAATGAAATGTTAATGGATGTGGTTCATGTAGAGTCTTCAAATGTGCTTGCTCAATTTGGCTCGGCTCATGAGCCCCCGTGATCCACCATAAGGGGCTCCCTGTAGCCACTGCCTCTTCATCCTAGGACTCAGAACCAACAATGTGGAGCAGTCTTCAACCCAACGTGCAGCCTGAAGCCAAGCCTAGCTGGCCCAAGCTTAGATCAGCAGAGCCTGACTTGATCTCCGGACCTATGACTGTGAGAAGAAATGCTTCTTATTGTAAGCCACTGAACAGTGGGGTGGCTTATTATGCTGCAGTATTGTGACAAAAGCTGATTAACAAATGCCTGGTTCACCATAAACAGAGACACTTGCTATATATATTGTGGTATTGGCCCTTTTAAAAGTCATTATTCTCCCTGCTACCCCTCTGCCTTGGGATTCCACCTTATGTGAGTATGTGGGGGCAGAGGAAGGAGATGAGTGAGTGGCTGTTGGCTGATACACTGGCCCTCTTTACACTGCCTTGAACCTAAGGATCTTCAAGAAACTACTGGGTTTTGTTTGATATGTCTTTAAAACAATTTTCAGAAGGAGGCACTGTGCTATAGTCTCAAGGTTCTCACATATACTTGAGACTGTGCTATAGTCTCAAGATTCTCTTTGTGCAGGTTGTCTTATGTCATTCTTGTTCTGCCCCTACTTAGGTAATAATATTTGGGTAAGCCTATCAGAGTATGGAAAGAGCTTCTTTCTTTTAGGGCCTGCAGACCTTAGTGTCCCATATTTGAGTCCATGTTATATTGTTTGCCATGAGAAACTCTTTCACACAGTACCAGTACCACAGTACCAACATCAGCATTTTAACACAAATGCAAAATCCACCTCTGTCTTTGTTTGCCTTCTGTACAAGCAGAAACCAGCCTGAATTACCATAGTGGGCTTGTGAGAGCCAGAGCTGCGTATGAAGATAAGGAGGAAAGGAACTGAATCATGGGCTGGGTGGAAAGGCAGAAGCTAGGCACAAGACAGGAAGGATGAGCCAGGAGATTCCTGAAGGAAGTCACTGGTGCCTACTCTAAGTTATCTATGGCTTCTCCATGATTGGATGGGCCTTTCAGATACTTCTCCTTTAAAGCCTTAAATTCTGAAATTGTTCATGCTGGCTCTCTTTGGTATCCCTTTCATATCTGGGTTTCGTACTGTGTGTGTAAGGAGAAGAGGGAAGAAAGGAAGGTGTCAATGACTATACAAGAAATATCTCATTTACATTTGGAAAGAGGGAGCAAGTAGCAACTCTCAGGACTGCAGGAATCCAGGCTGACTTTAGGCCCTGCCTGTCCCTCTTTTTTCCAGAGGCCCAGAGTAGAGACTTTAACTGAAGAGACAAGAGTGCACTTACATGACTAAAGTAGGGTGTAAGTTATTGGGAAAGGAGGGAAGAAAGCAATCTATGTGCATATGGAAGAAAGGAATGCAAGATAAGAGGAGAAAAAACATGTGCTAGACACCATATGGTACCTTACTCAATTCTCACAGGAGTTCTTTACTAACCTGTCTAATATATAAATAAGAAAATTAAGGTAAAGAGAACTCCAGCAACTTGCTCGATATCTCATGGCTAGTTAATTGGAGGATTAGGAGAACACAGGTAGAACTAGGATTAGAATTCACATCTATTTCTAGAAAGTGGAAGAAAATATGAGTGCCATTCAGACCCAACCCTATAACCAGATGTTCAAATGTTAGGTGACCTGAGATGCCAAAAAATAATAATAATAATAATAATCAACTCCAGAATGGATCCCCCACTGACTTATTCTGATGCCTAAATTTCCAGTATTGTTATTTCCCTTTCATTGGGTTAGATCCATGTGTCTCAAACCAGGGCTTGCACAGCCCAGTAGGTACGTGGCAGTATGCCTGGGATACTACAGGAGAATCATGGTACGTTGTTTGAGAACAGTGGCTTCACTCCAAAATTTGAGAGAAGTTATATCAAAACAAATGCAAATGTTTTATAAGATGCAAATTGACCTAAGTTTAAAAGCTAAAATGCGAGAAATTTCAGATTTACCTTTCACTACAATCTCAGAACCCTAAGCATAGGAATTCTTTCTACTATAAGGGCCACTTTGCTAGAAAAATTTGAGAAGTGCTAGTTTCCAGCACCCTGTCCCCTGGAAGCCTCTGGGAAAATGAACACATGTTGACTATTAGTGGTGAGGGAACATTTACAATCACTGCAAAATGTGAGCTGTTGAGGATAGATAACCCCTTAGACATCACCCAGCACAGAGAAAATACTTGAAGTTATGAGACCCCAGAAGCAGAACTTTGAATTCTGGGTGTATACAAGTCATACTTGTTGAGCAACAGTGGGAAAGTGCTTCAGTGGGACATCAGAATATTGTATGTGTGGGGTAGGGTTACTAAAAGGCCATCTTTTTCTTCATTATCCATTTACTCACCCTGCAAACCTTCAAGAACTTTCTCATGCTCCCTTTTCAGAGAAAATGCTCAGAGATCTATGAAAAGGGTAGCAAACCACGTGAGACCTCATCTCCTCTCCAGTCACAGGTGACTTAACCATAGGTGGATACCACACTCAAGGCAGTGTGTTTGGAATGCATTTGTGTACATGAAAAACCCAGGCATTCTTTAATTTAGGAGTATGAAAGTTGGAGTTACAAACTAACGTTAGTCAGTGTCTGATGGACTTGTGAATGGTATAAAGCTGGAGATCATGGTGGCCACATGCATGCTAAAGCAGTGAAAGTCAGTAGTTTTTGAAAAGATAAAACCAGATGTGCAGAGAGAAGCAATCAGGAGAACGTGCAGTTCTGGGGAGATAAAAACATAACTTTAGTTTCTGAGTTCTGGCCCCTCATGAAGCCTGACTGTTTTGTGAACACTTCTGCACCTTTCCAATGAATTCCATTGGTTGCTTAAGCTGGATGGAGGAGTTTCATTCCTTCCCACTAAAGTTCTCTGACAAAGGTAGAGGGTGTTATCACAAAGAGGGTTAGAACATAAGAAAATGTGGCACATATACACCATGGAATACTATGCAGCCATAAAAAAGGATGAGTTCATGTCCTTTGCAAGAACATGGATGAAACTGGAAACCATCATTCTCAGCAAACTATTGCAAGGACAAAAAACCAAACACCGCATGTTCTCACTCATAGGTGGGAACTGAACAATAAGAACACATGGACACAGGAAGGGGAACATCACACTCCGGGGACTGTTGTGGGGTGGGGGGAGGGGGGAGGGATAACATTAGGAGATATACCTAATGCTAAATGATGAGTTAATGGGTGCAGCACACCAACATGGCACATGTATACATATGTAACAAACCTGCATATTGTGCACATGTACCCTAAAACTTAAAGTATAATAATAATAAAATAAAATAAAATAAAATAACAAAACAAACAAACAAAAAGAACATGATCAAAACCCAACTTTACCTGGGTGTAGCATAACCACAGAATTTATCATCCTAACGGGGACATTTGGGGCGCTGTTAATGATTACTCCAACACAACAGGAGAACAAGGATGTTTGGCCATCCTTCCCAAGTGGTAAAGAAGGGAAATCAGGTATTAATTGTTTGCATTTCCTAGATACTCTTGGCTGCTTACATCTATGCTATTTCATCAGACAGTCACCATAACCGTATCTAGCTTGTCCTCTCAGACCAGCAACTGAATTAGGGATGAATGAATTTACAGGCCACTCAGGAAACTGGTATAAGAGCCAGGATAGGAACCTAGGTCTATCTGACCACAGATTCTGTTCTCTTCTCACCAGGCTCTCTTCTTCCATAACAGTTTTGTCTAGGGCCAAGCTGAGATAAGGCTACAGTACCAGCATCAGCATTCTGGGGCTGTTTGAGAGCAAAGATCAGTGAGAAGAGAAACACATGCAATCACACTAATCTGTCAGAAAACCCACGCCCACCCTATTGATGCAAGGACAATGTCTAGCCTCGTTGCTGTTTGAAACGCCTTTCAGCTGAAGAAGCAAAATGAAAGGAAATTTCCACTAGCAAAGAAGGAAATTGAGGCAATTTTAAGACAATTTAGGAGAAGCCCCATTTTTTACCTGAGTTATTTGAGGAAACAAAAGATTAAGGGTCAGAATTTTTCAGATAATTGCTTGTTTTCCTAGTCTAGCAGGTTTAACACTCAGGCTTTCTTTTTGGAACCTGTATTGTCCTCACCATACAGTGAATACCCACCAACTTCTAGGTAAGACCTGTGTGGCAAAAGAAAGACATAGTGGGAGAGTAGAACCTGTTAGTCTCATTAAGACTCAGGTGAAAAAGTCTCTTCATTAACATTCTAATGAAACCCTGGGTTTCTTTCTGCTGAAATGCCAACTATAACAGGAAAATAATTAGTTCCGAGTTGTATATCCCTTTTCTTATCAGGCACTTCTAGCTCTGAGGACTAATCCAGTCCCAATCAAACAATTACTTGATGATTAGGGCTTCTGGGATTTGCTAACCATGGTGGGGAAGGTGCCAGGTTATTTGTGAGTCAGAAAAAGGGGTAATTACTGCCAACTGCACCCACCTGTTTATCCTTGGTAAGGGGTAGTCTGCCAGGATAGTAATTACATCTTAATTCCAGGCGACAAGACCCAGATAGGCAGTGAGCTCTCCATTCACAATGACCTAGCTTGAAGAAGGCTCCAGCACCTGAGAGGGAGGGCTTTTTATGCCATTAAAGGGTCCCAGCTGTTTTCCCTACCACTACTTTCAGAACCACTGATGATTCTGCCTTTGCATGGTTTGCTTGAAGTATGGGTTTCCAATAAAATCCCTGACTTTGTGAGAAGGTGAAAGGGTGATGGAAGAATTTTGAAGGAAGTTGTAGTATGGGACAGGGAGCACAATTTGGGTTGAGGACCTATTATAACCACTTGGCACTGTGCAGTCTGAGGCCCAAGGTCTGACCTCATAAAGTGTGATCACCTGTGGCTGAGGCCATGTAAAAGGCATGCTGGCCTTGCACTGGTTATCTGGAAGCCAGAAAAATATGTTTGACACAAGGCAACTTATCAAACCTTATAAAATGGAAATGTGAATTTTTATACATTGATGATAATAGAGAAAAAAACTTTTTGAAGAAAATAAGGAAATTGGAGCATGATTGTTTTTTGAAGAACTTTATAATAGTGTAAACCATATTTACACTATTTAGTGTAGTACTCTTCGTATGGTACCACATCTACCCACTATTTTCCTGACATTTTTCATGCTCACAGAATTGCATCATAGCAGTTAGGGAACCTCATGATTTCTCTTTTGAAATCCTTGAGAATTATTTAAATGCTTATGTGATTTTTCTTTGCCTTTCCCGACACAACTCTGAATCCAGAGAAACAATTTTAACAAAATTACCTGAATGCATAACCCCAATATATGTATGCACACAAACTTTTAGTGGTCTGCACTTAGAATACTTTTTATCTACAGAGGAATAGATAAAAATGCCTTTTGGTGCTAAATAATCAGACAGTGTCATTCATTCTAAATGAAAAAACAATCAAGTTGAGAAGAGAGTGGCATAAAACAGCAGCTGAACAGAGAAGTTAATGAATGTGAAGCCAGAAAACCAGAAAAAGAATTCCATCATCTGATATGTGATTATTTCTTATTACTATCTTAACAAACAAATTTTTTTGAGACTCTGTCGCCCAGGCTGGAGTGCAGTGGCGCAATCTCAGCTCACTGCAACCTCTGCTTCCTGGGTTCAAGTGATTTTTGTGCCTCAGCCTCCAGAGTAGCTGGGATTACAGGTGGCGCCACGACACCTGGCTAATTCTTTCTGTATTTTTAGTAGAGACTGGGTTTTGCCATGTTGGCCAGGCTGGTCTCGAACTCCTGACCTCAAGTGATTTGCCCACCTCAGCCTCCAAAAGTGCTGGGATTACAGGCGTGAGCCACCACGCCCGAACCTTATCAATATTTTTACCTTTCTCTTTGGTAAAATCCTTTTTTTTTTTTAGTTTTTTATAATGACCTTCAAATAAAAATATCATTTTATTTAAAGATTTAATAATGGCTTTCTCACAGAACAACTATTAAATAGTTTTTCCTGAGAACTTTCAATTAATTTCATTTCCCTGGAAATCATTGTTTTGAATCTAGTTTTCTTCCAGGTGGTCAGAATGCAAACATTACAGAAATGTTTTTCTTTTGTTCCAATTTTCTACCCTAATATCAACTTGAGCCTTTATAATTGGGAAAATTATATCAACACAGATGAATTTTCTTTAACAAGATAGCATTTTATTTACTTGTTACAACGATATCGTTTAATGATGGTGTCAGTTGCCCTGAAGAACCTGCATTTTGTTTCAAAATCATATGCAGTGATTTCTTTAAAGGGTAGGTCACTGCATTGTCTGGATTTTATGGGTAACTTTTAATTCATTATTTACAAACAATACTTCAAAATATAAATTTTGGTCAAACAATCGAACTGATTACTTCATTGGGAGAAGAGGAAGAAAGGGAAAGAAGGAATAATTAGAGCAAAAATGTAAGCATTTCATAAAGTTATGTCAAGAATTAAAGACAAGTTCAAGTTGAAGTTGAGTAGCTTTAATAGCAGTCCTTTAAGTTTTATTACATCACCTGGGCTGTTAATTTGCTACACCTACTTATACTCTGGTCTTTCTTCAACCACTACCAGCTGGCCAGCAATGCACTTTTGCCCTGGGATTTTTAGCTAAGCAGGTCTTGTTACCTTCAAAACCTTTTTAAAAGTTATGACTAAAAAATATACTTTGTAAATCTTTCAAAAAACAAGGTTTGTAAACACATTGGGTGATATTCCTGTCTTATTTAATGCTTGGTATTAGATATAGGCATCTATTACAATTTTTTAAAATGCTGTCAACTCTCCAAGCACTGCCCTTTCTGCAGCTGTGATTGGCAAAGCCCTGGAGGTTCTGTCACCCAGGAGGCAGGTAGGTACTCCTTAGTAGCGGCTGAATAACACCACATTGAGCGTCACACAGAGGCCTGGATCCAGCCTTCCTTCTTCCACTCAGACACACTGTCTTGTGTGGTAACTGCACCCCATGGAGCCAGATATCCAGGCTTCAGTCATTCATTGAAATACTATCCCATAAAACACCCCCTCTATCTTGCTGGGCTAGGCCCCTGGCTTTGTGCTGTCATGCACACGCTTAACTTCTCTGAGCTTAGGAATTTGCTAAGAAAATCATAGTCCCAGCTAGGTTTCTAAGAAAAATGGTTAGATAGGACAAACACATTTTTTGTTCCATTGGCTTCCATTATTATTATGTTTTAATGCACACATTATTTTAAATCAAATCAGGGATTTTTCAGCCAGAAGAGGATGAAGTTGTTTCTGAGAATGCAGATAAAACCAAACATTAAACTTCAATAAGAAAAACATGCAACTTGAGTTCCAAGTAAAAAAAACAAAACAAAACAAAACTCTAGATGTCTTCAAATAATCTTGGCCAAGATCCTGGGTGTGGGAAGCCAGAGTGTGGTTCAAACTCAGGGATGGATTGAAAGCCTTCCTCTGCAGATTGGACTGACAAGGCTTGTCTATCAAAGAACAGATGCCCAGGGTGGCTCTGGGAGAGCACTGCCCAAGTTCTGGACTTTTCAAGGTCAACTCAGAATCTCAAAGAAGAAATAATATGAATGTCAAGGTTGGTTTCCTAGACCCAGGAGGTGGAGGGTCATGTACACAGATTCACAGGCTGTTGAGATCTGGAAGGTGCTGCCCAATGTTATAGAGTAAGAATCAATCAGGATCAGGATCAATCATATGTTGGGGGATGGGAGAAAACAAATAGTCTGGAGTGTTTTACATTGATTTTTCTTTCTATTTCACAAGTTGGATGGTATCTGCCAAGTTCTTTGGCTGTTTTGTGCCCCACATATGATGAATTCCGGTGTGCAAATATTATTGTGCACTGTGAGAACCAGGAATTGTAATCCAGGCCTTCACAGTGCACAATAGCATACCACATGCAGGGAGTAAAATACACTGCTTCCCTAAAGATGTTAGAAAAAGCACATTAGTTCTGAAGCTATTCAAATAGCTATTCAGAATAGCTGGTTCAAATAGCTATTCTATCCTGACCTCTATGGCTCAGCAGAGAAAGATTCATTTAAAAAGCAAAACAAAATGATCTAAAGCCTGATATTTGAAACTAGGCTATTTTGGGGCAGTATTTACCTGGTTCAAAAGACAATCCACAGTATAATCATTCACTCATAAGGAAGGCTCAAAACAATTAAAACAAATCAGTACTTTTGTATTAAGAATATCTAAAACAGCAGATTTAAAAGTCATGGAACAATTGGAAAAGCTTTGCCATTTGTTTTGCCTACTTCCCTGGTGCTGGTAATTGTGACCGAGGCAGAGAACTCTGGGCAGACAGGGCAGGTCCCTGGCAAACCTCCACCTTCAAGTTGAAAAGCTGAAGCCACCATGGCCCAAAGGAAGAATTTCCATCCCTGTGTGTGCCTGCTCTCTCCTGATTGTTTCTTCCTGAATAATGTCTTTTTATCAATCAAATGTTGCCTTTTCCAAAACTACCTATGGCCTGCCCTGCCTCCCATCCTGTGCCTATAAATATCCCAGACTCAGCCAGCAGAGGGAAGAAGTGGCTGGACATCCAGGTAGGGCGACTTAACTTCAGAGACAGTGGCGGGTTGAGGCAACTTGACTTTGGAAGAGAGAGGCAGAGAGGAAGCTTGGCTTCAGGGGAGAGGGACCTGCCCTTCCCATCCCCTTCCCAGCTTCCCTCTCTGCTGAGAGCCACTTTCATCACTCAATAAAATTCTCCACATTCACCGTTCTTCAGTTTGTCCACGTGACCTCATTCCTCTTGGGCACTGGACAAGAATTTGGGATGCACCACATGAGTACCCAAAAAGGCTGTCACACTGGCCCTTTGCCCTTGCTGGCAGAGGGCAGCCACCGCATGTGACAAAGCAAAAGGCCCACTGAGCTGATAACACACTGCTGTCTGCAGGTGGCGGAGCTAAGAAAGCACTGTGACACACCCTCTGGGGCCTTGGGGTCACAAGGGCCTGCACGGAGTTTGCTCCTGCCAGTGGAGTTTGCTCCTGCTAGCACTGAAGCAGCCAGCTGGTTCCTGCACTTGTTTGCTCGCACGCTCCCTCTCGCAACAGGTGGAGCCTGGTGAACCCAAGTGAATGGAGTTTGCTCCCGCTGGGCCGCTGACCAGCTCTTGCACTTGCTAACTCTGATTCCACACTCGCTTGCTTGCACACTCCCTCCCGAGAGGGGTTGAGCAGAGCAGGCTGAGTAAATGAGGCACCCTTGCCACAAGTCCTATGAAGGGGTTGAGAAAATACCCTGCATCACTGGCAGGCACAGCCAAGGACATGCCTATGCTCAGGTAAGGATTATTTCCAAATACAGTTTGGGTTCAACTGTTTTTCAGACCAAACAGGTTTGGGGAACCCTTTCTTCAATAAGTTTCTGCAGGAGTAAGCAGAGTGATAGGAGAAGGCCTGTGTTGGTTATAACCTACACACTGCACTTTGTTTCTAGGGTGAAGTGTGCCTCTATAGGAGCCAAAAGAAAGAGGAATTTAACCTGCTTCTCAACAATAAAAACGAAGAACTATGAAATATTATAAAAGCTAAGAGATTTTTTCTATAAATCATCAAGCTGTATGTCTCTTGGCATTTACAGACTAACAATTCTTTTATCTGCTATGCATTCTAGATATACGAAACTCAACTTCTGGCAAAGGAGGGGGAGGGAGAAGTTCAAGTCACCCTGCCCTACTCTTCCCTGAGCATTGAAGGTTAACTCTGCCTTGACCTCTATAATTCCATGTTTTGTCCCATGATGCCTGTGTTCACATCCTAATCCCTAGAGCTTGTAAATGTGTTACCCTATGTGGCAAAAGGGACTTTGCAGATATGATTTAGAATTTGTAATGGGGAGATTATTCTGGATTACTCAGGTGGTCCCAATGCAATTACAGGAGCTCTTATAAGGGATAGAGGGAGGCAGGAGAGTCATCAAAAGATACATCACCACGGAAGCATGGGTTACGATGTGATTGCTTCTTGGAAGATGTAAAGGAGCCACAAGCCAAGGAATGTGGGCAGCCTGTAAAGCTATAAAAGGCAAAGAAGTGGGTTTTCCCCTAGAGCTTCTGAAAGGAATGTGGCCATGTCAATACTTTGATTTTAGCCCCATAAGACCCATTTTCTAAATTCTGACTTCTAGAAGTATAAAATAATAGATTTGTTTTGTTTTAAGCCACTAGATTTGTGGTAATTTGTTTCAGCAACCATAGGAAACAAATTCAATGCCTCATCATACATCCATGAGCAGAGGAAGACATTCACAGAATTCTCAGCAACTCTGGTCATTTCGGGCCTGGTCATTCCAGATTTAAGGGTGTTAGGGAATCAGTTACTCACCACTGAGGCCTCATTCAGAGCTCAGGATGGAGCCATTTTCTCCCCCAGCTGCAATGAGCTTGGCTTAGACTTCATGGGATGCTTTTGCTTCTGAATCTGTGAATCAAGGGGGTTGCACAGGTGAGTTTGCATACCTAATTGCCTCACACTCTACTTCTATCCTTCAGACATCAGTACCATTGTCCAGAGAACCTGACATGTTGTATGCAATTTCTGTGTCAGAGTGGACCTGAGAAAGTTCCTGGTGCCTAAATATGGGTTTTGAATCGGCATTGGTGATATCTGCCATGGTGGCATTCTGAATTTGATGACATAAATTGTCCACACGAATTGTCACTGAATCCTTGGTAAGTTTCTCCTCTGGTGGAATATCTAATGAAATAGTTCTCACGTCTACTTGGATCAAGCTATCGTTCATGGCAGGATAACAAACAAACCAGGTTCTTTGGCTCCTCATTATATGATGTGGCCTGATCTAAAGATTACAGCCCTTTCATATTCTTTTAGGATAATATGGAGAAAGTTATGATTGGTCAAAACTCCACCTGCAAGCCTATAGTGGGCTCCTCTTGAGGGAGTCAGGAAAAACCATAACTAGGTGTCCTCAAGGTGACACTATCGGTTGGCTGTCAGAGTCCAAGTCTCTGTTATCACTTCACCAGAACTGTAGTGGCTGAGGAATATATTGGTATTTTTAAAAAGCTCTCTGGGTAATTCTAACACACGGCCAAGGTAGGTTATAAACCACCATTCCAGGACATCTCTATGAGTTAAATGTCATTAATATCTTCATTTAACTGAAGGCAAAATCAAGGCATGGAAAGGTCACTTAATTTGCCCAAAGTCACACAATAAGTAAGGGACAAAGCTAGGATTCAAATGCAGGCTCCAGAGCCTAAAATGCATGGCTTCTCTATTACCTTGTGTAGAACTGAATCCTAAGCACACAGCAGAATTCCTATTATTCAACAAATGCTTGTTGAATGGATAAATGAAGGAATAAATGAATGTCAACACCTATTTGTGATATAGGCTTTCATTAAAATATTGATGGGTATGGGCTTAATATTACCTTTTAATTTACAAAGTACTTTCATACACTGTTTTGCTTCTTGTTCATTCGTGAAACATTTTTTCTAGAACTTAACTTTTAATTCTGAAACAAAAGTCTTGAAGTAAAGAAAAAAATACTAAATGAACAAATAGTAGCATTTTTATCCCCAAGCCAATGAAAAATAATCTTTTTTGAGCGCCACTATATTCTAGGATTTGTAGTATGTAATTTTCAATGTCATAATTTTATTTTAAACAGCTGACTATTTCTCATATTGAGAAATTCATTTTTGGATAGCCCAGAGCTAAATCAACTCAGAGATTAAAATAAATAAATTTTATTTGACTCCACTTTTAAAATACTGATTCAAGAAATGCTTCACTTCCCTAATGTAGCATAAATATATGTTTCATCCTCAGAATCTTCAGGATCTCAACAATGTTATCTTCCTAATCATTTAATGACAAAAAGGAAGTAAACAGACCAGAAAGCAGATTTTTTTTAAAGTTTAGAGCAATTTGTTACATGGTAGCATTAAAATGAAAACTAAAGTAAATCTTTTTCTGTAAAATATAAGTCCAAGAGATGCAAAAGCTGATTTTACCACAAACTGCTTGTGTACTAAAATAAAATGGAAAGTCGAGGAAAAGTAGAACAGTAATTGCAAATTGCCTTTTATATTGTGGTTGAAGGCACTTTCCTGTTCAATAATTTTAATAAAGAAATCCCCCTGGCCATCCCCCTGATCAGTTTGAACATAATTCCAGCATTATACACATTGTTCCCTTGGGCTTATACCTTCATGGTTTCAAATTATGTCTCGTATCCTGCCAAGACTTAGATCAGTCTACCGTAGTCAAATATTAGACTCCAAAGCAACTAGAAATTCATGTTTTCCTGTTTCAAAAACAAAAATCTATTTACAGTCAGCCTATCATTATTTTAATTTTTAAACTCAGCAGTCATTAGTAGAATTATAGACCATTCAGAAAGATAATGTTCAACTTAACTTTGTGGTACTTTCTTCTCCAAACTCTCAGTTAAATACCTTTAGACATTGGTTCCCAGCCTGCAGGATGTAGGTCTCTGTGGCGCCAGGATGTTAATGCAAGGGATTCTTTGCTTCCTGGATGGCTGTTTACTGGATAGCTAAAATGTTACACGCAGAAATGCACTACCATTTTCCAAATATACATAGATGTTAATGTGATTCATAAAATTTCCATTCTTAGTTAATTCACTGTAGCAGTTTTTCATAATGTATTTCCTCCGTCAAGTGACCACTGCTTTTGGGGAGGGATTGTAGTATGCAATATTTCTTGACATCAAGAAGAGGTCCTCATGATTGAAAATTAGAGAAGATACATAGCAAGGGAAATAGACACGTGAATGGTGACCTCTTCTGTTATACAGTATGTAAGAACAGCAGTAAACGCCTCCTCAACTAATTGTCAGAAGACTGTGTACTTCTCCTGGCTCCTTGTGATAGCCCTGAGTAAATAACTCCAAATAGTTCAAGCCCCAGATGTTTTCCATAGACACTTGAAAGTACATATTAAAACTTTTCTCGGTTTGCAGAGCAGAGGGCTGGCACGCCTTCATAGAAGGAATAGTTCTTCCACTGGGCAGTTGTGACAGAATTATATTCATTGCAAGCAAGGCCCTTTCAAGTATTCACATTTGGGATCTTATTGCATATCTAGGGGCATCGTCAGGAAACAGGAAGAATTTTTAAAAAGGATCTAATATAAGTGGATGGTGTAGCTGATCAGTTAGCAAATGACCGTCAACAGTACTGGCTGGAACCCAGCGAAGTGCAGGCTGGAGGCAGAAGAGAGCTGGGCCATTTCCTTGTGTGACAACCAATCTCTGTCCTTGGGATCACTGCTACTATTTATTTGGAATTTATTGAGTCAGCAACTGTTCTAAATTCATTGCCATCATTATTATGTTTAAATCTTGTTACAACCCTTAGGAGATAGCAGATGAAGAAAGAGATTCTGAGACGTTAGGTGGTCTTAAGTTCCCCTAGGTAGGGAGACTCGGGCCTGGAACTCGGATTTTTTTTTCTTTTGAGATGGAGTTTCGCTCTGTTGCCCAGGCTGGAGTGCAGTGGCACGATCTCGGTGCACTGCAAGCTCCGCCTCCCGGGTTCATACCATTCTCCTGCCTTGGCCTCCCGAGTAGCTGGGACTACAGGCGCCCGCCACCACCATGCCCGGCTAATTTTTGGTATTTTTAGTAGAGACAGGGTTACACCGTGTTAGCCAGGATGCTCTCCATCTCCTGACCTTGTGATCCGCCTGCCTCGGCCTCCTGGAACTCGGGTTTAACCTTTAAGCCTATGCTTTAGTAAATATTGGTGGCAAGACCAGTCTCTCAGCAGAGGTGTGAAGTAGGTGAAGGAAACCAGAATATATCACCCCCAAATATGCCTCATGGATATAAAAATTATTTTTGAACTAAAGGTAACTATGAAGCAGCAAATGAAGAGCTCTCTCTATCTTCCCCTTTTCTGCCTAAAAACAGTATAGATATTCTCCCTTATAGGAGACAACTCTTAGCCTAGATACAGTGCCAGGGGAATCTGAAATCAAATGTTACTTCATTAGTTTCTTCTCATGTATTTATCTTCCACATTGTCTGGCCTTCGGAAGCCCCAAACTGCTTTCCTTCATTCTGGCATTTCTCTCTAATTTTATCATTCTTTGTTGAAGATGCTATACAAGCCAGAGTTCCAAGCCACTGCTTTGAGTTACTATTCACTGGGATTTCTCTCATGTGATGTGCACTTCATGAATTATTAAGTTTGCTTATTTTTCTCTTGTTAATCTGTCTTTTGTTACAGGGGTCTGTACCAAGTACAAATTTATGAGACATGAGGAGAATATATATTATCTCCCCAACATGAGCAAAGTTAATCTTCTTCTCTCATTGTTTCCTTCCATTACTTACTAAATGCTCTGGGTACCCCAGCCACCACTTCTATATATTGGGAGCCAGAATAACTTGGTGGCTCAAAGCAAAGGCTTTGGAGTCATACACACTTGAATTCGAGTCTGGATTCTGTAACTTGCCAGCAATGTTATCTTGTACAATTTACTTAACCCATCAAAAACTTGTCCCATAAGGTTTTTATAATAAAATCACATAATACCATCATTCATTCAATAAATTTTGATTGAAAATCCACTGTTTGACAGCAACCTGCCTATGAGGGTTAACAACACAGAGTTCTTTCTTCATAGAGCTCACATTTTAGTTTGAGTCAGGTAACAAAAAATAAAACAAATAAATATATAATTTTAGCAAGAGTACATGCTATGAAAAACATGCAGCACAGTTAAGGGAGTGAGAATGATGGGGGTGAAAGGGATAATACCATAGATATGGTTGTAGTGAACATTAATGTTAAGCTCTTATCATTGGGCCTGACACATGGAAGGACTCACTAACTGTTGTCTATTGTTGTCATTAGGTTCCGTATACTGACCCGGGGGTTTGGGCAGCCCCCTAAACATGGAAGATCCCAGGAAAAATGATTTCAGTGGGTGGCATTTAAGATCCTAAGGGAGGCTGGCATGTCAGTCAATTCAAATGACCCTCCCCTTAGGTGGTGATCTGCACTGCTTAGAGCTGGTCCTGAGTTGTCCCCTCATCTCAGTGAAAAACTGCTGAGTGAATACATCTAATTAGTCACATCTGGAAGAGCTGAAATTGCTTGTTGTTCAGCAACATAAAGGCCCTGTTGTTCTTTCCTGACTAGGATTTTGGTCAGGGTCATTCCAATCTACCCCAACAAGTTTTCCTAAATTTGAATCTCTGGGAGCAAGTGTTGGGTCTCGATTTTTTTCTTTTCAGAAAGCATTAGGCTTTTGTAAATGGGTTCACAAGAGTCTACAAAATCAAGCCTCATGGAGTCCCAAAGTTTCTGTCTTATGTTCCCCCAGAAATAGTGTTTATTGTTGTCATTTACATAACAGAAGGGGCCTCACTTTACTGACTTTTCCCAGAAAAAAGATCTCCTCTAAGATGACTTTCTGCCAGTGCCTAAATGGAAAAGGAGTTTCTCTCCCTTAAAATAAATAAATAAAATATGTCCCAATCTACAAAACCACTAATAACCAGGGAATCTCAGCCTTGTAAACTTTGATGTTGTGCCTCACATGGGTTTCGTTCTAGTAGGTGACTGGTTCTGTCATTTACTAGCTTTGGGAATGGAGCAAGTTATATTACCTGTGGACTAAGCTCTTCTCTCCAGTGAAGCACAGGCAATACTGAATCATCCATGGAGGAAACTAGCTTAAGGCCAAAGGGGCAATAATTAGGATTCTGAAATAAAGAATGAAAAACAAAACAAGATAAGCCTTGGGCAGGAGCAGAGCAGGATCTGGCCTCTAGGCTGACTGCACACAGGATGCTGACAGGACCCTCTCACATCTCTGTTCCTCTCTGAGTGTTGTTTTTATGTATGCAGATATCTTTATCAGGTGGGGACATGGCATGCGGACGCTTGAAGATAACATATTCACAGAACCTCATCAGAGATGTAAGAAAAACTCTTTCCTGTCGATTCAATCAGAAAATCTCTAGGAGAGGACACTGAGGGACCTAGTCGCACATGTGTTTCCCTGGACCAGTCACAGGGACCAGGTTAAAAGGTCAGTCTCACTGGGTCATCTGGAGTCACACGACCTTCCTTATGGCCAGAGAGCAGGAACCCATAGTGACCGGTCCTTACCTTAACCAGGAGGCTGGAATCCAGATGATGCCGTTCCCTGAAGAAAGGGGAAGGCTACTGCCACAGATGGAGTGACATGGTTATTAGCTGTTAACAGACCTCTTAATCCTCACGAGGTTTTTGTGAGAATTCAACTAACAGATATTCAGTGAAGAAATATTTTTTTTAATCAGAATTAGGCTCTAATCTCAAAACGTTAGGCAAAAAAACCCTCTTACTTAGAGGCCAGGCTACAGAACACAACAAGTTTTAATTCCAGCATTATAATAAGTTACCAATTCTGCAGTAGAGAATATGAGGGAAATTTGGCTGATGTTTAAGGGTCATGTTATATGAAAAAATACTTCTCTTTAAACACCCACGTCACTGTGTACACAGAGAGATGCTCACAATATGAGAAGTAATTAGGAACTGAGATTAGCCAAGGGAGAGTGGACTCCTCCACATTTTACTAAACCTATTCCAGGTATAAACTCCACAGTAGTGTTTACTCATTATTAAAACAATAGGTGAATTATTGGAATTGTTAAATGAATATATACGTACATATATACATGTCTGTATATATATACATATGAAATGGGAGAGTTCCCTGACCTCCTTCACGGGACGTGCAACAGGGATGTGGCTTTTCTGTTCGGCCACCACCGTGCATGCTCAAACCCCTTACAGGAGGGGGAGCACTCAGATGGGCAGGTGCAGGAGCCGGGGCAAGTGCTTTTTGGCTCCGGTTCCACGGTAGCATCTAGGGATGGGTGCCTGCAACTCCCGAAGCCCCAGTGGGCATGTTACAGTGCTCCTTTAGCTCTGCCATCCACAGAGGACTTAAGTGATAACCAGTTCAGTACCCACTTGGTATCCGGGTTCTTGTCCAGTGTCCAGGAAGAACAAGGTCCCACATGGACTTGAAGGATGGTGAATGTGGGGGTTTTATTGAGTGATGGAGGCGGCTCAATGGGATGGATGGGATGCTAAATAGGGGATGGGGTGGGAAGATGATTTTCCCCAGAAATTTGGCTGTCCTGTGGCTGATCTGCCCTCCAACCATCCCCAGCTGAACTCTTCTAGACGTTCAGATGCTCCTTCTCTTCTCTCCTTCTCCCTACTCTTTTGTTCTGTTTGTCCTCTCATGGAGCCTGCAGTTTGGAGTTTATATGGGTATAGAATAGAGGTGTGTGGTGGGAAAAAAGGCAAAATTTGGGCAAGGAAACAGGAATACCTGTTCTTATTCAGGGCTGCGGGTTTCCAGACTCGAGAATGGGGCCTTTGCCGGGAAACTACCCACCTCTACTCAGCACTTCTCTGCCTCCTGCCCATATCATATATACACATAATCTAAAAGAAAAAGATAAATATATATGCACTTATACACTTTCTCTTTATTCCCTCCCTGAGCTGGGATATTTGAATACAAGTACACAATAGTACACAATAATACACAATAACATATTACTATTTGAGAAATCACCAAACATGGTGTCTGAAACTTATCAGGAACACCCTAAATGTTAGTTGAATCAGAACCTGAATCTCTCTCCCTCCTAAAGGATGACTTTCACTCACACAGCTATCCTTTCTGCTCCTTGCAGTTTTTTCTGGGAACGGTGGGGCTGCTTCAAAGATTATCAAAGGAGATTTCGAAATTCTGAGTGTCAGAAAAAATAGGAGAAGGATTTTTTAACATGTTTCTACTCATGATTTGGCAGCTTCCCAAAACCACTCTGAATCTGTTCTTATTTCCTTGCAACTGAAGCTTTTCTCAAGTTAAATTTTCAGTTATTACTAGTGGCATTTCCCACATCTCATGCACATATATATTACCCATTTGAATGAAAATAAAGGCACTCCCAACATTCCATTCTATGGGAGGGAAAGCACTCAAATGTGTTGAGTGGAAAAACATGCATTTCCTGTTTGTATTCAGTTAAAACTCAAACAACTTCAGAACAGTATGTATTATAACATAATCATTGCCTGCCTAGAAATGCCTCTATGAACATATCACCTACTTCTAATTCTTTTATTCGGTCTAGAGTATTTGAAGAGAAGTTAAAACTGATATGTACAGGAAAATATTATACATTTAATACAGGAAAGAATCTTGTTGTTAACAATTAGTAGACTCTGTTCTACAAATTTTGCTAGAAAAATGTGGACCCTAACTTGCCCATAAAAGAATCTTTACTAGCTATGATTTTCCAGAGGCATTTATTAATCATTATCTTCATGTGCTTTTATATGTTTGGGTTGTCAGTCTCAGCACTTTCAGAAGAGCTTGGGGATTTAATGAAATAAATGGATTTTTTTGGTCATTTCATGGGGGTTGAAATTCAATTGCCGTATAATGAGCATGGTGTATTCCACTTAATTACTTTTCCAGACTCTTCTGTCTTATACCTGAATCAAGGTTTTTCAAAATTATAATTAAAACATTGAGCGTACGTGACAAGGGAAAAATAGTATTGAGACATGTTTGACTTTGCCTAAAATTACAGAAAAGAACATTAATACTTTAAAAGTATATCTCAGGAACTGTGCTGGGACCTTGACACTGGATTTAGCATCTAAGTTATAAAGGGCCTTGTCAGGAGCCTTCAAGGTGATAGTTGGGATGGGAGCTGGAAAGCTGTGGGTTAAGAATGAATAGGAAATGAGCAAGAGAACATCCTAAATGTAATCCTGTTTCACAAAGCTTGACTTTTTAAAGGGAATGTGCTATGTGGTCTGTAATTTACTTTAAAACACTTCAACAAACAATTTATGTGTAAATACTTATTCTATTTCATTTTAATCCAGACCCTAGGGCAGGTAGTTATTCGAATTGAAAATATATACTCCAGCAATGGTTTTTGGTAGCATTTCATCAAAACGCTAAATTTCAGAGGCAGCTATAGTTGCCTTGGTTTTTATCTCGAACACAAGAGGTTTTGATAATTAGTGAAAAGAATGTGAGAAGTAGGTTTTCATTTGTGAAATTCCAGGTATTGAAGTTATGTGGATGGGTTAGAAATGCTTTAGAGGTGTTCTCACTGTTTCATGAACAAGGTAAAAGAATATGGTGATGCTCCCTAGGCTTGATTTCTGTGCAGCCATGTGTCCAGGATATTGAAAGGAATAAGGTTCCAGAGGAGGAAGGAGGCTGGAAGAGATGGGATACTTCATGGAGGTGGTAGAACAGGTCCTGGACAACAGGAGGGTGCCTTGGGACTGGACATAAACTCTATCATTTGCCTGAAGCCTTTTAGGTCATAACATTGTTGACATTGGAGCCAAGTTTTACTAATTAATAGCTCCAGGCATGTGTGGTTTACTCCACCATGGTCTTCTCATCCTCTCTCCCCATCCTAGGGAAAAGCTTTTCTTTCTTCCAGGTGTTACAACCTTTTCTCTGAAGCAGACCAAGAGAGACTCTTTTTTTTTTTAGACAGAGTTTCACTCTTGTCGCCCACGCTAGAGTGCAATGGCACAATCTCGGCTCGCTGCAACCTCCGCCTCCCAGGCTCGAGTGATTCTCCTGCCTCAGCCTCCCGAGTAGCTGGGATTACAGGCATGCGCCACTGCACCTGGCTATTCTTGAACTTTTAGTAGAGACACGGTTTCACCATGTTGGCCAGGCTGGTCTCGAACTCCTGACCTCATGTGATCCACCTGCCTAGGCCACCCAAAGTGATGGGATTACAGGGGTGAGCCACCGCGCCCGGTCAGAGAAACTCTTAAGACTATTAATGGAATTTATCCTTCTGGTGAGTAATTAAAACTTATCTAGGGTAGGGCTTAGAAAATATCTGTTTATAGTTGTTGTTAATTAATATGTATAACCATGCATAGCATATATTTTGATTAGCATATAAATGCTTTCAGAGTGGTATCTATTGGGTAAATGTGAACCTTTACATTAGCAGACTTTTTCTTTTTTAAAATAACAATATAACAAATTTAAGGAGTGAAAGAGGATGGCAATTAACAAAAAACCAAGATCAGCTACAAGGTTAATGCTAAGATAGACCTGTCAGTAAGGTCAATGAGCTAAGATAGATTGTGATAAAATCAACAGTGTGCAATGACATTTTACTGAACACTTAACACTAAAATTTTGCTTAATTCTTTTACCTACTATATTAACCATAAACTGACTTTTTCTAAACATGCTTTAATCAAAGGTGGTTGAAAGAACTATAACCTAAGGTGAATAAATGGTTTAATTTTTTTCCATCTCTACAAATGTTTGAAGATATTCTAAAGGCCAATATTTTGTTACATTAAGCAATACTGCTGAAGAAAATTTCTATTTGAAGTCTAAACAGTAAAATGCCATTGTCATAGCATAAAATAAACTACATAACAATGGATGCTTCTTTACTCAGGAAGATTAAGTCCATATTTTTCAAGGAAAGTCAAGAAATGTAGTTCCCTACAGTTTGATAACATAACTGGTTATTAGTATCCTCCCCAGTCTAATCATACTGAACGGTATATATCAGAAGCAAAACAAAAGATGCTGAAAGCTTAAGGGCAGGAGTAAGGGTAGAGGAAAGGAAGTCAGTAAAATGATCTCCATGAATGCTCTTATTTCGGTCCAAGGAGTCTTTTCAGTGTTTAAGAGAAAGGCTGAGCCAGTGCCTAAGAGGCCAAGAGCTCCTCATTTAGGAAACTATAGAACAAAGGGAATCTGGAAAATTCTTACCTGGAGTAAAACCAGAATGTAAAGTTTCCTTTTATGTACCATTCCACATGGCACTAAATTCATGGGCATTGAATATTTTTTTAAAAAGTTATTAGGCATAGAAAACAAATATTGAATAAATTACAGTTGGAAAAGGGAATATGCTATACAAGCAGCATTTTAGGATTTAGACATTACGTACAGAGTGAGGGATTCTAAGTGTATCATAATTTTATCAATTCAGAACCAAATATCAGGTCAAAAGACATGTTTTGGAAACTCTATAACCAGATCACAGGAATAAGGAAGTTGTAACATTTGTTCTAGTTACATATACAACAGTTAAATTCGTTCTCTCTTCACCATTCTCTAATGTCATAGGAGCTTTTAGCTTTGAAAAATGCATTGGCTTGGGGCCAGAAATGGCATGGAACGGTGCTGCTCAAAGTGTGACACATGGATCCATATCAGCCTGCTAACTGTTACTAGGTTGTCAATGAAATAAAAGCAGAAATTAAAAGTTAGATTTACAAACTGTTACAGCAATTTGACATAGTAATTTTATACTGGCTAAATCTAATAATAAATAAATGGGCTTCTATTTATATTTGTTTATATTTTCATTTCACCTTTCTAGCAATTTATATTATATTTCACAGAACTATTCTCTTTCGGATGGGAAAAAACCCTGGTTCTTCACCTTAGATAGTTTGAGAAGCATTGATGTAGACCATAACTGAGTGATAATTATTTTAAGACCAGATTTTTTGTTTTTTGGGTTTTGTTTTGTTTTTTTGAGGCACATTCTTGCTCTGTCACCCAGGCTGGAGTGCAGTGGCAAAGTCTTGTCTCACTGCAACATCCCCCTTCCGGGTTCAAGCAATTCTCATGCCTCAGCTTCCTGAGTAGCTGGGATTACAGGCATGCCACCATGCCTAGCTAATTTTTGTATTTTTAGTAGAGATGAGGTTTTGCCATGTTGGCCAGTCTGGCCTTGAACTCCTGGCCTCAAGTGATCCACCTGCCTCGGCCTCCCAAAGTGCTGGGATTATAGGCGTGAGCCCCCATGCCAAGCCAAGACTAGGTTTCGAAGTCCAAGGTCCATACCTCTGTTAAGATATTTTGGATTAAAGAAAAGCTGTGATGACATCTGAGATTCTTTGAACTCCTTTTTCATAGAATACTCATGAATACTTGAGCCCTCCATGAAAAGGAGGGGTCTTATAGAAAAAGTTTTATGAGCTGTTGATTGACTAATTCTACATTTCAGAGTCAAAAATCTATGTCTACTTTGGGTGACTTGTTTCTGCTAAATTTCCTTGAGTCCCTTCTGTCTTCTGATTTCTATTCTATAAAATCATAGCAGTGTCTGATTCCGGGAATGACATGTGGTTTTCATTTTTTCAAAAACAACATTCAGCTTTCCATTACTTGTAATCATTGAAGAGCATAATGCACAGATAGCTAGATGGCAGAAATTTCCAAACTCACTTGTAATTAGCTCTGTAAAACATTTATATACCTTTAAAAAATCGTTCTTCCGAGCTGACATATGTAAAGTTAAAGTTAGCTGGCATTTCTGAGCAGAGCCCAGTAGAAAGCAGTGTGAAGAGCCCAGGCTGAGAAGATTTTTTTCAGTCTGGTTTTTTATTTCATTGATCTCCAAAGTGGGTTATCTATGGGCTGGTAGTTGAGAGTTGCCTGTACATACAGAACTATCTCTTAACTGACTTTAAAACAAAACAAGGAATGTGGCTTCCGTCAAGTTAATGAGGGAGGTACCAACCTTCAGTGAGCCCCTTTAATCAGAGCACAGAATAATAAATGATGATGGGATAATTAGAAAACAATTTAGAAAGCAATGTTATATCTCTACTTATATCAATTGTTGGTAAATTAATTAAACTGTAAGTGGGTGGCAAGGGTTTTTTTAAGCAAACCCCTAATGTAGAAACTTTAAGGAAAAATAATGATAGGACTTTCTCAAAACAATCAACAAAAACTGTGCTCTCAGTTATAATTGAAAACAAGTGAAATAGTGTGGATATTTGTCTCCTCCAAATCTAATGTTGAAATTTGATCCCCAATGTTGGATGTGAGGCCTAGTGGGAAGTGTTTGGGTCGTGGGGCAGATACCTCATGAATGGTTTGATGCCATCCTAGTGGTAGTGAGTGAGTTCTCACTCGATCAGTTCACACAAGAATTGATTGTTTAAAAGAGCCTGGGACCTTTCTCTCCCCCAGCTCTTCCTTTCACTTGCCATGTGATGCCTGCTCCTGTCTGTCTTTCACCATGAGTAGAAGTTCCTTGAGGCCCTCACCAGAAGCGGATGCTGGTGCCCTGCTTCTTGTACAGCCTCCAGAACCATGAGCCAAATAAACCTCTTTTTGTTATAAATTACCCAGCCTCCCAAATTCCTTTATAGCAATACCAACAGACTAAGAAAATCAGAAAAAATTTAAAAAGCATATCTGTGACATGAATGACTTAAAAAAAAAGAGAGAGATAGACCTTTATAAGATACAATTGGAAGTACAAAAGCTATAAAGGAAAGTCTAGATATTGTTTACTCCATAAAAGCATTTTAAAGTCTGTATGGAAAGCAGTGCTTTATAAATAAAGACAAAAGACAAGCAATATGCAGAAGAAAATGTTTGTAACATATAAGACAGATTAAAAATGATCATAGCAAAAACATAAGACATTATGCATCAGATGCTTATAACATATATGACAGATTAAAAATGATAACAGCAAAACATAAGACATTAGACATTATACATCAGGTGCTGTTCAAGACATTTTACATATTAACGCATTTAATCCTCACAAAGATGAATATTACCTAATGAAATAGGTACTATTATTACCCTATTTTGCAGATAAGAAAACTGAGACACAGAAAGGTCTCAGGAAGAAAAAAGACAAGGTGGAATTCGGATCCAGGCAGTATGGATTTAGGGTCTGTTCTCTCAATTACCATATCATAATGTGTCTCTTAAAAAACTTTAAAATGTGAATGCTGTATGCAATGTTAACAATGATGTCGATGATAGCACAGAAGGCAGCTACTCTCACCTACTGCAGGTAAGAATGTAAATTGAACAATTTCTCAGGGTCAATTAGACACGACTTAATGAAAAGCCAGAGAATTCTGTATGAATATTTGACCCAGCAATTCCACTTGTTTTTTATGGTATCAATTTAAAATGGATCTTTATGCATTGACACATGAATTTTATATACCTTTAAAAAATTACACGAAGTTGGTGGCAATCAGAATGTGGGTGCCGGATTCATTTTTGCTTATTTACAGCACTGCCAGCATGTACTAAAGTATTCAAAATATGACCAAATTTAAGCAACCTCAGATAATGGTTGCTGTTTCTCCCCTCCCTAACAAACCATTTTCTGTTCTTGGGTACACAATTGGACTACATATCCCAGCCTTCTTGCAGTTAGATCACATGACTGAGTTCTAGTAATGAATACAATTTCTGGGACAGAGCTTTAAAGAAGGAGGTGTTCCACCTCCAAGCTCTCATTTTTCTTTCACTGACTGGAGGCAGATGATGAATTTGAAGCCCTGACAAAGAGAAGGCAAAATCAGTTTGTGTCCCTGAGTTGCTAAGTGGAGAAGAAACGTCCACCAACCAGGAAACACCTGCCTCCAACTGTTAAGTGAGCAAGAAATAAACTTCTGTTGTGTTTGAGCTATTACACATTTTCTGATCTATTTGTCTACAGGTTAATTTATGTTTAAATATGTTTTAAACTGCCACTGAACTGACTTAGTCACATATTTAAACTTTGCAGTAGGTCTGTGAAATGTGCTTTGTTTCTGGTCAGCATGGACACCCGCTTTAATAGTGGCTTCAGATGAGGCACCTTGTGACAGAGGAGCTCTTCCCCTGGTAAGCCATTTCTCTTGATATGTCTTCAGCTCCTTGGTAACAGCTTGTGATGATGATCTTGCAGACTTCTCCAGCTTTTCTGCTGATACTCAGATTCTTCTTCTCAGCAGGCTGGTTCTTGTTTAGCTAGCTAATGATTTTATTGAACCTTTAAGAATCTTGTGTTTGCCCTCCGTCATTGTTTTGGCCTTAAATTTTCTTATTTTCCACCTTGTCCTTAGTGAAGACTGTAGATTTAAGTGAGTTCTTAGGAGATACCAACTACATTTCTCTGCTTCTCCTTTTTTTGTGGGTGTGGAACTTCTCAGCCTTTTGGACTACGTAATTAAGAGCTTCATTAATCAATATATTCTTCCACATTGTGAATTAATACTCTTCTGTTTGGCCTCTTTGTTCACAGCAGCAACCTTGAAGATGTTGTGGAAGACAATAGCCATTCTTACTTCACTCTGAGGATCACGATGGCGTGCAAGGGTGTGCCAAGCACATTGCTATCTTTGGCCATTCTCTCTCACATTAGTACACCTGGATGTGAATGGCACGTTATCTATGTAAGCAGTGATGGTCTCTATCTGGTGGTAGAAATGACAGAATTACACACAATCAGGACAGCTGAGATTCCATTTACTAGCTCAGTAATCAGAGAATATGTATGACATCCCAGCAAAAAATGTTGAACATGTTCAGATTTCATCATATCAGCACCACAGTATCAGTCTTACTGGGAGGTGCTCGCATTCAGTTCCTGGCTACTGAAGAAATTTTGCAGGAGTTCCAGATAACTTACTTGTCCCATAATAATGAAAACTATTACAATTATGCTAAAGAAGAATACTTAATAACACAGTAAAAATGTTTATGATGTCTTTTAATTTCTAAAGCATGTTATAAAAGTATTACAGTATGATCTCATATTTGTAAGTAAAATATATATTAATTCATTTAGCAAATAAATATTAAGCCCCTACTATGCACATACCAATATAGATATTGGTATTTGTGTGGGTGTGTGTTACAGCAGATTTTAATTTTCTTATTTTGTATTTTCTGATTTATCTACAATGAATTTGTATTAATTTGCTAACAAAACATCACTATTAAAATAAATTTTTTTTGAATTATAAGAAAAGGCTAACATCATAACAATAAGGTTGTATAGAATAAACTGACAACACAGAAGTTATTTTGGCCCTGTGTTCCACAGTGACTCACCAAATATACCCTGCACTGTTTATTTTATTTTTTTCTATTTCACTATTGAAATGAACAGATGCATTTCACGTCACATGGATCTCGTGGAAACATGCCAAACATTTTCTTAGCAACCAAACTCCTGTCTTCTGCACTGTGCATGATTAACTAAAACAGCCTGTTGACGGCTTAAAATAAACCTGCCTTTTCCATTTAGCATTTTATCAAATGAATATAATTTCATTTGCTGATGAATTTAGTTCAGCTTCAAGAGAATTTTTCTTTTCTTCATGGGGAGGCTGAAGAATCAGAACTGTCATACCAAAGAATGAAAAGCAAGCCTAGGGAGAACAAGACAGTCTGATGTTTACATGGGTAAAGTAAAAGTATCTTTGTCAATATTACCAGCACTCTCCCTCACCCTCTGTTTTATAGGGTGGAATGTTGATTTTAGTTCTGCTTTTGCATTATGGTGTTTACGTTGCTTGATTACAAGCATTAATTTAAATGACTGCTGTGGGGATTACTATTGTTATTATACGTGAGCTCTTGTCTTACTTTTGTTTATTTCTAGCACTTGAGTATGCCCTAAAATTTAATTAGATTCATCTCTTAGGATAGTAGACCCTTTGCTGGGGTTCAAAAGTAAAGGGACAAATGGTATAATCCGTCAAGGGAGGAGGGAGGTATATTATCAGCAATGAGGAGAGTCAATGTTTTCTTAGAGGATGTGACTCTGCAACTTGGAATGAATTGATATTCTGTTTGATGAATATAAAATATATCTCTGTGTCTATATGTACATGTAGACACTTTGCATCCAAAGACTATAGGGATATTTGCTAAATAAGGAAGATTTAAAGTTTCTTTAAAGACAGCTTAAAAACAAAGTCATCTATGCAGTTAAACCAGCATGTATCTACAGAATCAATGAGAGGAAGAGGGTTGGACTGAATATTATATAGTCCATGCGATTTCCCCACTATCTTTTACTTGTGTCCTCATTTGGAAATAGTGAAAAACAGCACTAATGGCAAATTGCAACACTATTTAAATTTCCACCTTATTTCCCCCAGAGCAAATTCTTAAATGTTAATCATCATCAGGCAGTCAAGTAGACACTTTAGCTGCACATAGTTTTATATTTTTCCTGGGGAATAAAGGCACAACAAATATAAAACATATTCCTGATAAATCCACTCTTTCTGATTGCTGCTCTGTTTACATTTTGAGAAATAATCTTGATGTATTGCCTTTAACATTAGACATAATCAATATAAGATTGATAGACATTTTACATTAAACATTGTAAAAATAGCTGCTCCCACATTTAATATTCTTCTGCTACAAGTCTGAATTCTTCATTACTTAAGCGAGGTTATGATGCTATTCAGCTACTTTGGAAAATGTCACTATCTTCTTCAGGTTTGTTTTTGAAAGTGTATTAACATTTTCAAAACCTGATTTCTAAGTTGAGAAAAATCCAACTGAAAGATGTCACAATGACTATTTGAGACTAATCCTACTGACGGCATTACTTCCTTTATGGAGGTAAGACTTGATAACTAGCATTCTCTCCCACTAGCCTACAGAGAAGATTCCCTAAAACAATACTGGGAGCTTCTTGCAGGTGCTTAGAGTTTTATTAATTACACTCAGCTGGGCCGAGGGAAACTAGAGATGAAATCTAGGAAATATTCCAGAGTCTGGCATGTGAGCAATCATAAGCAGTTCATGGAAACCTCAGAGTGTCTCAGCTTTCCTGCTTTATATTCATTAATTTCCTTTTCTCATATTAATAAAGGTCAATGCTGTTAGTGCCTATCTTATCCATAGAAAGGAGCTTGATCTTGAACTAATTCCATTATATTCTATTTTTTAATAGAAAACTAAAATCTTACATTTGGGGATGGCTTTGTTGTCAGTATGCTTGGTACAGCTTTGTCTTTTTCTAGTGAATAGCCCTTTACTTTATTCCAAAAGATCGTATGCTTCTTAGAAGCATTTTTATTCTTTAGTTAAAATTACATTTTACTTTTAAAACTCAATTTAAAAATCAGCAGTTATTTATTGATGGCATGATATTAGTTGCTATACTAAATCCTATAGATGAATTAATTCTCACACTGACACTAGGAAGTAGAATCAGGTCTTTCTGATGCTCTATAATAAAGTGAAAAAGAACACACCACACCCACATTAAGAATAGATTAAATGTCTTAGTTAATTAGCCAAGGAAAAAGAAATCTCTCCAAGGCAGGACCAATATGGCCTGACTAACAAGGATTTCCCTGGTCTCTGCTCCCTGAGAAAGTCCACCAGGAAGGTCATATCCACAGATAGTAAAGACCATCAGTGTCTAAATGTCCCTGATAGTAGACCTACCTCCAGCTTTCCAGGCTTCCCAAATAATTACGTCTTCACAACCCAAATTATTTTCCAAATCCCGTGTTCTTATAATTACAGCAGATTTCAGAACATTATACCTTTGCAGTGGTGTTCCTTAAAAATGAGGTACATAAATTCCTTTAATTCTATAGTGAAATAAAAATATAGTTCATTTACAATTTAAGGACTGGGGCAACTAAAATCTGGCCATTTGAATAACTAATTTCTGGTAAAAAGAAGAGGAACTAAAGTATAGAGATTGGTTAATATAGTATTGGAAATTGTCAGGATAATTTGGGAATAGTTCTTTTTAGATCAATGGATGGATTCAATAAGAACATCTTTGACTTATGATTCTAAAATGTGGTACTATATTTTTGCAAATTTCATCTTGAGGAAATACTTTTCTGTAAGATTTTCTCCCTAAAGCTAGATTAGATCTCCAGTGGGAGTACCCGTACTCCCTGGAAGTCTGGAACAAAACAGGCAATAATTTCTCAGCTCTGCAATGGTATACAATGGTTGCCTAAACAAAAAAGGGCAAAGTTGTCTGGTACTTGCATAAATAGATAACTAGAAAGATATAGACATGGGTATGCATGGGTGTGTGTGTGTATATGTGTATGTGTGTGCATACAATTAAGAAGCCTATATGTATATGGATATAAGCTTATAGATATACATACATATAAGCTTCTTAGTTCCAAATATAGTAACATAAAGAATACTTAAGTTATTAGGAAAAGATACTCTTTCAATGCAGGCTCTAGGGTGCACTAATTCAGTTGTTACTATCCATATGTGGGGCTATATAAATTTAAATGTAAATTAATTAAATGTAAATTAATTTAAAATTCATCTTCAGAGCTGCACTAGCCACATTTCAAGTACTCCACATATGGCTAGTAGCTACCATATCAGATAGCACAGACGTAGAATCCTTCCATCATTGCGGGAAGTTCTATTGGACAGTGTTGGTCCAGAAGTTAAGGAAATATTTTTAAAATGCATTTAATAAGGGCTTGTTAGTCTTATCCTTTCAATAAAGTCTTCCCTGAACTAATTTCTGTTGTAGATTACTAAAATGGGCTATTTTATTATGCTGTTCACATAGTTATTCAACTTCTAATTAGAGGTTGATGAAGTTCTTTCATTTACAACAGTATCATTTGCACCACATTTTCCAACTGCATTAAGAAGTTACATGATCTCACAGAAAATAACAAAAGACAGAGAATTTACTCAACAGTCTAGAATATATAAATATAAATATATGTGAGGGGTGTGTGTGTGTGTGTGTGTGTATGTGTGTAAGTTTGTGTTGACTGAAAACCAAAGTTGAGAACGACGTGCTCCCACATTGTAAAGTGAAATGCTAAACATACTACTAGCTGATCTTTGCAACCTTTTCAAGAAGAGTCCAGTTAAGTCCAACAGGGACTTCTGGTCTGCATAAGGAAATCATTAGAGAAGATGTTTTGAAGAAATGTCTAAGAGCAAAGAATTACCAGTGGCTCTCAAAGATTCTGTTTGCAAGTGGCATACTGCTCATATTTCACTTGCCAAATCAAGTCATGTGACCAAACCTGCCATCAATGGGGTGGAGAAGTATACTCTTCTTACAGAGAGTAGCAGCAAATAATTAGGGACAATAGTATACCTGTCACAAGGCCCTTTTGCTAATGATAAACATCTCACTCTCTGTATTAGTTAGGGTTCTCGAGAGAAACAGGACCGGTAGGATATACATATATAAGGAGATTAATATGGGAACTGGCTCACATGATTATGAAAGCAAAGAAGTCCCATCATATGCTATCTGCAAGATGGAGAACTCCAAATTCAGACTGTAATTCAGGTTGGGTCCAAAGGCCTGAGAAACAATAGGAGCTGCTGGTATAAGTCCCAGAGTCAGAAGGCCAGGAACTCCAGTATTTCAGAGCAGAAGACAGGTGTCCCAGCTCATGGAGAGAGAGAGAGACAGACAGAGAGAGAGATAGAGAGAGAGAGGGAGAGAGAGAATTCGCTCTTCCTCTGCATTTTTGTGCTGTTTAGGTCTTCAACAGATTAGATGATGCTGACCACGTTGACGAGGGCAGCTCTTCTTTACCTCAGTCCACTGATTCAAATGCTATTCTCTTTCAGAAACACCCTCACAGACACACCCAGAAATGTTTTACCGGCTATCTGGGCATCCCTTAATGTGTCAGTCAAATTGACACGTAAAATTAACCATGACACTCTGTCTTCTATATATCTTGTTATGATATAGCTGGTTTCTAGACGGTATTTTTATATCTGCTTAGAAAAAGGACCCCTATTTTTAGAACAACTGAGGTATCTGGTTCTTCAACATTTTCAACAATAGACCACTGTGGTTTCTTGGAGTCTCTTATCATCCTTGACCTAGGCTCAGCTTCACTGGTTACCCTCCTACTGTACTCCAAATCTGTAGCATGCATAAAAAGCAGAGAACACTTTGTTCATTACTCTGCCTGTTTTAGTGCCAGAGATCCTGGCCTGTAGTCGGAAATCTGGTAGGGAACAATTTGGACAAATTGAATAGAAGGTGTTATTTATGGCCATGAGGACAGAACAAGAATACCTGCCGCTGGAAAGCTTTAGATTATGATCATGTTTTCTTTCTCATTAGCAGGGTATTTCAAAGGCGGGTGGTGGTCACTTTATTCATTATAAACAAATACCGCTGAGCCTTAACTTTTAGAAGAAGCTTGTATTAATCAACACAGCACCCAGAAATGACACCTGTGAGACAGCTGTTTTTATCTCCATTTTGCAAAAGAGCCAGCAAAACAAAGAGAGGTTAAGCAACTTGCCCAGAGCCTCACAACTCTTAAGTGCTAGAGATGGCATCAGAGCTTGAGTCTTCCTGATTCCAGATTTACACATGGATCTGGTGAGCATCTTCCTACTCATATCAACAAGTAGCATTTGTCAGGTGGTATACTGCATTCGCCAGGCCTCTTGCCAAAGGCATTATCAACATTGGTTGATTTGTCTTTAAAATCACACTGCAAAATAACTATTATTCTTACTATTCTATAGCTAGGAAATTGAAGCTTAGAGGGGTAAATATGCTGTGAAAGATTACACTGCTAACAAGTGCTGGAGCCAGAATTTTAAACCAAGTCTAACTCTAAAGCCACTGTTGCCACTGCTTACTAACCTCTACTGTTATAGCTTTAACGCTTAGCATCTGCATCCAAAACTAGGGGTGCCCTGAAGTGCAGAAAGGCAGTATACCTGAAGTCATACCAGAAAGGCAAGTAAGAAGAATACAATTACTTGAGTAAAAATGCATGGCATTGGATGATGGTGTAGGTTTATGGTGGAAAAGAGAATATTAAAATGAGAATTACAGAAGAAAATCACTTAATCTTGAAATAGAAATGGATTCCTGTCCCTGAAGCTCTTTTGCTAATTTTGCTTTCTCAGACCTAATTTTTGTCTTAAGCATGCTTATTTTGATTCTAATCCAGTTGAAGCAAGCTTATAATTAAAGTGGCATTTACTACATTGGACATTTTTCATACTGATTAGATAGGAGTGTCTAGGGCAGCGAAAGGCCCTTGGGATCTGGGCACATCCAATGTCTTGATCACACGGTAGAAACAGGCAACCAAAATACAGCCTTGGTGGGAGACAGTCTGAGTCAGAGGCATTGTTAGATGATAAGCCAAAGCAGAAGCCAGGGAGCTGAGTGCACCCAGAGATACTCATTGCTGGGAGGCTCTGTGTTCATCTTATTTTAATCAGTTGACCATTAAAAGAGAGAGAATGAAAAATCATTAGGATGACTGAGTCATATGACAATTGTGTGCAACTCAACCATACCTAATACTAAAACAAGAGGTATTCTGATGGAAGTTAGCACACAGATTGACATGAGTTGTCATTTCTGACACTTAGAACCAATCTTTTTCTAAAGAACTCCTACCTCTCAAAATGGTAGGATATGAAAATGAGGCCCTAGCTAGATCAACTCAGTGGAAGCTAGTATATGATTTCTTAACTATTTCAACTGGAAGTATGCACCAGGCTGTCACTGATGTCCAAATAACCCCTGCAATACTTAGACATCCTTCCACAGAAGATTATTCCTAATTCCTGTATTTCTAGAACGATGCCCAGAATTTAAAATAATAGCCCCATGCCTTGCTACTCGTAACTGAGAATGTAAATGTCCTTGGATAGCTGGAAAAATTGGAGAAAAAATGATAAAGGTTTTTCTTCATGACAATCAGTTCTACAGACATCTAGCTCTGCCAGAATGGAGGCAATCATTTATTATTGATTAAGCAGTGGAAGCCGTGGTTCTGGGTTTAAGGAAGACAGTTTTCTGGCCAAGAGGATCTAGAAAGTGCCCTTGGAACAACTGACTTTCCAGGATGTTAATATACTCTATGGCCACTGACAAAAATACGAAGGATTCTGGGCTTGATTTTAAAGGAAGAGTGAATGTTCACCCTCACTTCTTCGAATATTGAGTAGAAAATCAAAGGCTTTTCTCTAATCTTCATTCCTCTCTTTATTCCACTCTTGGAGCCTGGTTGTAAACCTTGGTATCCTGTGCTATGGTGAGTCTACAGATGGATTGGGTTGTTCAGAATCTTCCCTCCTGTAATACACTACTACTTTATATAAAGAATGACCCCAATCACAGGTTCTTATAGATCTTTAGAGGAGAATTTAAAACTATGGGGAAAACAGTAATTTTGTCCCACTACAAACAAATCAATCTGTGATTTGTGTATTGAGACTCCCTCAGAGAGATTTAGGCAATTAAGAATTGGAAACCCTTAATTAGAATGAAAAAGACTCAGTGATGGTAGATGGAGATGCTGATGAGTTCCAGAAGGGCTCTCTGTGTGTTGAGAGTTGGGTAGTCAATATGCAATGTAACATCTAGAGTAGTGTGGAACATTTCATTACCAAACACTGTAATCATGCTCAGGGCTCCCCTGGAGTGGCTCATCATGGGCCCTGACCTCAGGGTCCTATTTCTTCTGGTGTGGTTTGGGGTATATTTAGTGAGTAAATGACCATGCTTTCTCCCAGTGGAACTAAAGAGGGCAGGTTGGATACAACAGCTTCTAGAGCTGGCGCTGGACTTTGTCAGCAGTATGGCTTTTATGATCGTCGATCATAAGCAAAGAAAAACTGTTTCTATCCCTCTCTCTGCCAGGCATCCCTCCAGTGTCTAGGTTTCCCCTCTGCGGCTAAGTGGTATACATAACACCCCTTCTATGTGCCAGGCTATGTCACTGTAAGGCCCTTCTGATAATGATAAACAGCTCACTCTCTGTATTAGTTAGGGTTCTCCAGAGAAACAGGACTATTAGGATATACATACAAAGATATAAGGAGATTAATATGGGAATTGGCTGTAAGCAACTATAAGCAGTGACAGCCTGGTACATAGAAACAGCCTCCCCTTTTCTCTACACTTAAATCCTTCCTGTTCTTTAACAGGGAGCTTGGACTTCACTTCCTGCAGACAAATATCTACATATTACCCTCCAGTTTATTTTTTATTTTGTTTATTTAATTGTGACTTTCTTCATTGTACTGTAACTCCCAGGGTACTGAACATAATTCTAACAGGAAGACTTCAATTAAAATGGAGTAATGGTGAGGTACATCTGAGATACTTGCTATTTTGGAATCTAGGAAAGCAAATGTCGACGGGAAAACAGGAAAGTAGGATTCAACATCTAGACTTTTTAATGGTAAAGATTCCAAAGAAAAGGCTGTATTTAGGAAAATGAATGAATACTGTTTAATTATATGTAGAAATCTAAAAATAAGTGAATGAGTATATACATTGGAGAGAGTGACAGAATTAAAAGTAAGACATCTGCAAAGTGATAGAGGAAATAGAACAGATAATCTGGATATTACAGGCCAAAAGCAACATAAAACATCTAATAATGTTTTTGGTATAGTGGAAAAATCAACAATAATCTGAAATTTTCTGTTCTTTTGCAATATGAACAAATTTTATTTTATTGTTGGATATTCTCTCTGTCAGCTTTCTAAAATGATCTGGATATATTACTGACTTTTCTAACTTTATTTTCCCTGCTACTATTATTTTATGTATTACTCTGTGGGCATCTTATTTTCTTGCCTACAGGGAATAATTTAACCTAAATATTAACATTAGTCATTTGAGCATAGTATTTCACGGACATTTTTATCCCTCTGTTTTTTTAAGATCATCCATTACTTTTATTCTGTTTCCTGTGTTGACGTTTTTCATGCTGTTTGCAATAATTTTCAGTAGGAAAAAAGTTTAAATGCATACAGTGACACTTCCATGAAATGGAATTTTCAAAGACATTTGTTTCTTGAATCTGTTGCTATGATTTTAAAATAGGAATGTTATACCCAGGAAAATATGCAATGTGGGAGCAGGACATATTTTACCACTGTGGGTATGTTCAAATTTCTAAAAATATTTTTGTTTTCTTTCTCTTTTTAAAGTTTGACAAGAAAATATTTGTGCATTCAAAATTTTTTTCCTAGTTATTGAGTTGTTTTATCTCATTGTTCCTTGATGTCATCTCACCTAAGTATATGATTTCAGTGTGTTTTCTGGTTGGACTCCTGAGAGATGGCAACGTCAAGCAGGTTTATTTAGCTGTGTGATGAACAGAACTGCAGGAAGCAAGCAAAGGCTGTTAGCAGAAACCAGGAGGAGATCTTTAAAAGCATGATGAGCTGTGTTACACACACCAAGGGCACAAATAAATTCCACTTTGCACCATTCTCAGAGATATCGCTGGTAGGTGGTAGAGTGTTGAGGAGTCAGAGCGCTAGTCGAGGATCAATGCGGCAGCAGCAGCGTGGAGGTGAGAGAGCCGAGGATGCCGGGAGCCACCTGGTTCCCACGACTGATGGAGCAGGACCACCGCCCTCAGCCTCAAGCTGTTCCTGCAGCTTGGAAACTATCGGCTAAGCTGGCCCAGAGTATGAGAATTTTCTAAAAGCTGAAGGGAGACAGTCCCTTTAGTCCATGGGTATTCCAGTCATTAGATCCAAAGACAAGCTCAGCTTCTATTTCAAAAAAAAAATAGCAGATAGCTGCAGGGTTAGCTCTCCCCGCAATAGCTGTTCACACTGATTTGCTTCATAGATTGATTGCTTTTGCCATTTGCAACCCTCCTGAACAACAGGGGAAAAAAACCCAGTGGCTGGGCCAAACTCAGAAATGATGAACGAACGTGGAAGATACATTTGGTGTCACACTGACTTGCAATGGATAACAGCATTTAAAAGTAGTAACAGCTGGATTCAAGTTTTTAAAATTAGGGCTGTATTATTAATGGAGGAATTGGGACACTGGGAGTCTGAGAGGGAGATTTAAAAGCTTATTTTAAATGAATGGGCTTTCTGCTGTACCTTGGGATGGCAGCCACCAGGTGGACAAGACACACAGCTCTGGCCCCTTGTCAGACAACTTTTACTCAGCTGGATTCAGCGTTAGACCTTGGTATGCAACGAGGACACTCTAACAAGGAGTGGCACAAAACCTCTTTTGTATTTATTGTGGGGATTTTGTAAAGTATATTGGCCAATAAATCTCATACCGTCTTCTTCATGAAGACATCCAGGAGAAATTCCCCACACAGCTTACAGACAGGAAAAGCTATGTTCTCCAGAGAAATGATGCCGTTCCCCTTCATAAACACTAAATCTTGTGACTGCCAGAGTTTCCCTCCTGCCTTGGTCCTGGTGAAGCAAGCGACTGAGTTTAAGATTAGAATGGGACCTTCTGTATACACTGATATTCAATACTCTTATTCCTGGCTTCACTTTGCTTTCTTACCCTTATTTTTCTTTTTCTCCTATTATATGCATTTTTGCAATGAGGAGGAAGATAAACAGTCAGTACACATTTTTTAGTGATAAATAATCATTTAAAATTTTTCCCAAGTGGCAATATAGTTATAAAAGAAAATATCCTTAATTTTTAAGAAATGATGGATGGGAGTGAAATGATGTGCAACTGCGATTTGTTTTAAAACACCTCAACAACCAAAGGGGTAGATAAAGCAAGAAGGGAAACATTTTGAAAATTGAATATAGGTGGGTTTTTTAAACTATCCTTTTTAACTTCTGTGTATGTTTAGGAATTTTAATTAGAAAATGTTTTCCATTTGGATCAAATTTTTGATATAGTAGGAGGCCAAGTTTCTTGTCAACTTGACAGTTATTTCCATCAGAAAATGTTGACTAGTTTTTCACAAATTCTTCTGAAATTGGTTTAACTGTTTTGTTTTTCTCCCCCTGCCTTGTCATTTGAAGCTTCAAGTCATACAATCTAAGACAGAATGAAGGCAGCAAATCTAAACTCCAAGGCTACATAAAGTGTGCCATTCCACAGGTAGAAACACTCACATGTGCTTAGAAACGCTCTGCTTTCCTCCTTGATTACCCAAATTCTCATTCTGAGCTTCTATTTCTCCAGATCTAGACTCGGGAATTTAATATCTGAAGACTCATATAGGGCTGATCTACCCTAACTTGCAAAATTTCATGCATATTTCATACTTACACTCTTCATATGTCAGTGGTGCTATTGTTTGGCTACTTTCTCTATCTGTGTGGTTTCATCACCAGTCTATTCACCCCTATATAAAACTTAAGATTTGAGATAAGAACTGGAATTTAAATGACTTAGGAAAGAATGTATCTTGGTTAGAATATAAGAGTCTGAAAAGTCTGCTGTGGGTGCTAAGCTGGCTACTAAGGGAAATGCTAACAGAAATTTGTCATATGTCTTCAGAGTATTGTCTGGCAACTGATTAAAACAGAGGAAGAGTGAAACAACATCTGCTTCTCTCCACCTCACACTGATAAAATGGTTGAATAAATGCACTTTGCTTATGGCCATGAAGAACACAGGGGACTTCATCTTTCCAAGTGTTTTCATACAATGCTCAAGGCTAATTCTTTTGGTCCTGATGTTTTATTTCTTAGCACCTGCTGGATCAAGAAGCACCCACAAGGATCATTTCTCAAAAATGTCTGAAACTATATCTATTCTGACTATGAACCTTGATCACAATTCAAACCCTTAGGCTACTGTTCTGATTGTTTTCAGCATTACCCACTAACTTTTGCTTTCTATTTCCATATTCTGTATTCTGGGGGCACTTTTTATACAGAGTCTGAAAGTGCTATTCTTTTTTTTTTTTTTTTTTGAGACGGAGTCTCTCTCTGTTGCCAGGCTGCAGTGCAATGGCACGATTTCGGCTCACTGCAACCTCTGCCTCCGGTTCAAGCAACTCTCCTGACTCAGCCTCCCGAGTAGCTGGGACTACAGGCGTGCACCACCACACCCGGCTAATTTTTGTTTTTAGTACAGGCGGGGTTTCACCATGTTGGCCAGGATGGTCTTGATCTCTTGACCTCCTGATGCATCCGCCTCAGGCTCCCAAAGTGCTGGGATTACAGGTGTGAGCCACTGTGCCCAGCCCGAAAGTGCTATTCTTATTATGACCTACAGTGGTAATATTTCACTTAAAAATCAGTGCTATGCCCATTGCTGGTTAACAAGCTTTGGAGAAGTATTAGGTTGAACCATAGAAACTGCCACAACTGTTCAAATATTGAAAATTTTATATGCTTCAGCTCATAGTCTCCTTCACACACATTCTCTTTCATATTTTTTTATAATTTTATTTTTTGTATGACTTAATGGGCACATGCTGATTTCCTGTATGTCGTCAACACTCCTGAGCCATGAGGGTAAGATCAGAGCTGCAGGAGTCCAGACACGTACTTTGTCGCCTGCCAAGTGAAAGACAATGAATGGAGTTATCTAAATTTTTCAGTGAACTTTTTGGTGTCTATGTTGTCTAATTTTATTCCCTTACTTTGTGTTTAAGAAAGATCTAATACCCACAGAGAATACCAAGGCTATTAAAGTCTAAGCAGGTGACCTACCTCAAAGCTTAAGTTCCTGTTATCATAGGCCTCGTTTCTCAAATTTGTATAAATGTACATGTGATGGAAAACCAGAAGATGCTTGGTAAACATGGTCAGTTTTACTCAATGATGAATGGTTTCAGTCATTTTTTTGTATTAAAGGAAACATAAATATACTATGGAGTAAAATGCAAACACTACACGGTTTTTTAAGATAAATTCTGACACTTGAAAGGCATGTTCTGCATTTAGGGCTATTGCCAGCCCCAGAACCATGGGATGAAGTTTTACTCCTTCTGCTGGTAGAGGAAGTTTAGTGGAAGGTTTGAGAACCTGAGCCCTGAGTGTAGGAAATGCATAGAAGTAGCAAAGTCTGAACAACACTGAGAACTACACAGTAAAATTAGCACATAGGATTTATTATCCTTTGTTGAATGAGTATATGAGTATATGATGATGCTGCTGATGATGATGACAATGACCACGATGATTTAAAAAAAAAAAAAACTAATATTTTTGGAGTTCTTACAATGGGCCTAAGTTTTGGTGCACAAGTATTCCAGGGATTGGCAAACTACATCCTGTAGGCCAAATTCAGCCCGCTGCCTGTTTTTGTAAGTAAGATTTTATTGGAACATAGCCACACCAAGTCATTCAGGTATTATCCATGGCTGCTTCCACTCTATTTAATACAAGGGCATACTTGAGTAGTTGCAACAGAGACTACATAGTCTACAAAGCCTAAACTATTTAGTATCTGGTTCTTTACAGAAAAAAATTGCCAATTCCTGTATTAGTGCATTAATTCTCATAACAAGCTTATGAGAGAGATTCTAATATTAACTTCATTTTGCTGATGAGAAAACTAAGGCACAGAAAGGTTGTTTAACTTACTCAAAGTAAAAGAGCAAGTAAGTGGCAGGGCAGTATTTGAATCCATCAGTCTAGTTCTAGAGCCCACATATCTGAAACAACTCACTATAGAGATCCTTCTAGATAAGGGAAAACATATTCAAGGTCACTTTAAAAAGATAGGCCCTAAGTTGACAGCCTCCTAGTATATGCTGTTAATATATCCGTAATTAGAAAAGAAGGTTCCAAATTATGAGGATGGTGAGCAAGAAACTTGGAACATGGAAAAAATAGCACCTGTCTTAGCCAGTTTAGGCTGCTATAATAGGGCACCATAGATTGGTGGCTTATAAACAACAGATATCTATTTCTTATAGTCTGGAGGCTGGAAGTCCAAGGTCAGGGTATGAGATGGTTTGAAAGTTTGTCCCCTCCAAATCTATGCTGAACGGTGATTCCCAGTGTTGGAAGTGGGGCCTGGTGGGAGGTGATTGGATCATGGAGGCGAAGCCCTCAGGAATGGTTTAGCATCATCCGCTTGGTAGTAAATGAGTTCTCCCTTAGTTCTTGTGAGATCTGGTTGTTTAAAAGAATCTGGGACCTCCCCCTTCTCTCTCTCTTGCTCTCATTCTCACACGTGATAACACTGGCTCCCTCTTTGCCTTCTGCCATGATTGTAAGCTTCCTGAGTTCCTTACCAGAAGCAGATGCCAGCACCATGCATCCTGTACAGCCTGCAGAACTGTGAGCCAATTAAACTTCTTTTCTTTTTAAATCACCTGGCCTCAGATATTTCTTTGTAGAAATGCAAAAATAGACTAACACAGGGTACCAGCAAGGTTGGGTTCTGGTCAGGGGCCTCTTCTAGGTTGCAGACAGCTGACTTCTCATTGTATCCTCACATGGCAGAAAGCCAGAGAGGTAATTGGGGTTACTTTAGGGCACTAGTCCCATTCATGAGGGTTCCATCCTCATGATCTAATCACTTTGCAAAGGTCTCACCTCCTAATACCATCACATTTGGAGTTAGGATTTGAACATATGAGTCTGGGGAGAAATATAATCATTCAGTTCATTGTAGTGCCTAAAAACATTACAGCCCCATCCACTTGATGCCCACTCCCCACGTGCCATGGGAAGTTCAAAGAATCCTGAGACATCTAAACAAAGCCCTTAAAAAAAAATTAAAAACCATTAAATCATTAAAACTATTGCTCTAGCCAAAGCTGTCTCTTCCTGAATATGGTTTGCAAATCCCAATTCCATGTTTGTGCATTCCCTAAGTTGTTGTTTTCTACTCTTTGCCCTCCCAATACCCACAATGAAAGTGGGAGGAAATTCAGACATTATCTGAAAGAATGTTAGTAATGATGGGGAGTGTCAGGTTTACACTGGGGTGATCATGAAAATGCCGTTCTTTTAACGTCATAGTCTAGATTCCTAGAAAGCAAAGGTTATGACTACTTAGTGAATTTCTTAAGATCTTGCAATGTGCATGCAAATACATAATAAATACAAGAAATAATCTTGTGTTCAGGCTTCTGTTAACTAGAATGCCCTGTTAATTGTTACTCCATACTTCTATAATAATGGATCTCAGAAACTTGTTGAGGTTGCTTCTTAATTATCCAAAACCTGCGTTCATTATAGTTTTCTCTTTTTAACACAAATACACTTTTAATTGATATCAGATAAAAACTACTCAGAGAAGGTCAGTAATTGTTTTAGCCCCTAATCTGTTAGAGCCCTATGGTGAGCAGCCTTGAGGAGCTGGGTTAACTGGTTATTTTCCCTAGTTTCCATCATCTGCAGTATTAGGAAAAACAAGGCACTGTCTCAGTTTAGGATAAACACATGGCTGGCAACCAAATCCAGTCTCTTACATTCCATGTTTTTTCCTTAGCTCTTCTACATTGTTGACGTAAGCTTTCATGGCATCTTCCTTGGTAGTCCCTTTCAGCTCATTCCAGGCATCCCACTTGGTCTTGCCTTTGAAATCCAACATCCCAGGCCATTCTGTATTTATGTCGCCCACAGTTGCTTGTTTGTAGTGGCCATAGAGGAACACATCTCATCATCCCCTGGCTTGGTCTTAAGGTGTTTAACGTCTTCCACAGCTCTCTCAAACTCAGCCTGAGACATCCTGGCCAGCTTGCAAGGACTCCAGGGAGCCCGTGGAGGAGGAGAGGAGCAGGAAGCAATCATCATAGTTTTAAAATTAAATATGTATACTCTGCCTAATTCTTTTAAAGATGCACTATATATATGTATATATAGTACTATTTTCTTTTAAACTGGTAACAGGTTCCTTAAAAATTGTTGATAGTTTTCTGTCTCTGATAACGGAGATGTCAGTTTACCTTTGGAGCTGGATTCTTTTTCGGGGTGGGTGGGGGAATCCCCAAATTGTTCCTTGTGTGATATACATGTAAAGGAAATAACCACCCATGAGCTGATAAGGGGAGATAATTGGATCTTTGTGAGATCTCGACCAGGGCTCTGGCCCTTTGAGTAGATGGTGTCTCATAGCCCTCCTCAAGTGAGTGTCCAGCTCAGATTTCCACTCTCAAGTTCAGAGTTGTCAAAATGGCCTGATGGGCCTCCAAAGCCCTGGTGAAGATGACCAGCAAAGGTAATTAAGTCCAAAGATAGAATTTGTGATAAGGGAGAAGAGTCTGCATTGGTGACCCTGATTCAGTGTCAGGGCCTTAATCAGATGGAGGAAGCACTCATTCTGGACTTAGTGCACAGCTGATACCAAAACTTCCTTGGACCAGTACCTCCAGCGCTGTGGGTGTATCCTGACGAAAGGACTGAGGTTGTGATTGTATTATATATGGCTGATTCCTAGACAACTTGAAATCAAGGCTATGTGTCTTGTGGGACAACCATGGCTGAGTCTGTGGAGAAAGGGGTAGTTCCCCAAGGAACATATTGGTTATTTTACCAGCAAAAACGCAAATGAATAGCAGGCAAACAAAAACAACTGATTACACCATAAATACTAAAAATGATTTACCCCTTTTATAAAAGGTAAGCAAATGCCTATGCCTTTCTCAAGTTCAAGAATTATTATAACCATGCTTCCATTTCCAAAAGAAGGAAACTGTACCCATAGTGACTGTATAGAAAAAGAAACACAACAGAGGTTCAGAGTCATAGCTGGGCTGACTGCCTGCACACACCCAGCTGTTCTCTTAAAATCACAAAGCCCGTGGAAGTTCCAGACTCTGTTGTTTTGGCCCAAATTACATATTTCAACACTTTATTGTTTGCTTTTGATGTCTGGGTTAGTAATTTTCATGCAAAAAGGACCATCTGGGAAAAACATTTTTTTGTGTCTCGTGGGTTCTTTATGGATAAGCAAAAATGCTCATTATTTAAGCAAAAATGTTTTTAATATGGAGCTGCAATGATGTTGTGAATAAGGAGTTATATCATTGTGCTATCCACTTCTATGCCCAGAAAAACAGAAACACATTGCTTTGTATTCATGAGGAAAGTGTAGAGATCACTGCAAGAAATGTGTTTTAGAAATAGCCCCAAATATTACTCTAGAATACATTCTTTGTTATTAAGCTTTGTTAATAGCATAAGGAAAACAAATGCTTCAGTAAACTTTTTCACATGATCTTTCATAAAATTACAACATTTCTTAATATATTTTTAAATCAAGAAAGCCACATATACAATATTAACTGGGAAAGAATATTTTAAAAAAAACAATTCTTAAAAATAACAGATTGGCATAATCAAATCAGGTGAGTTCTGGTGATTACTGAGAAATAAAACACCTGGATTTAATAAATCTTAAAGCACTTAACCATGTAATAAAGCACAGAGCAATGGAAGAAAATGTGTAAATTTGAAGTCTCATCTGATTTAAAGTCACAAAAATGAGGATCACACAAAATACTCTCGCCTTCCTGGGCAGAAGTGAATACATCAACACTGCAGGCTATGACAGTGTAGTAGCTATTAACCCATTGTGGATAAACAATTAAAAAGCTTGATTACCCAATGTAAGATAATGTAAAGTAGCACTCTTCAAACGAGTCTGGGTATATCAGAGTACATGCCGACTTGCCCTAAGAGACCATGTTGGGTGGGGTCATGGGGGGTGGCTTTAAAGAATCCAGGTTCTTAAGTGAATTAAGTCAAGAACAGGAAACCAAATACAGCATGTTCTTACTTATAAGTGAGAACTAAGCATTGTGGGAGCTAAGCATTGGATACTCATGGACATAAACATGGGAACAATAGACACTAGAGACCACTAGTAATCTACCTATTGGGTACTATGCTCACTGCTTGAGTGATGGGATCATTCATACCCTAAACCTCAGCATCATACAATATACCTATGTAAAAAACCTGCACATGTACCCCCGAACCTAAAATAAAAGTTGAAATTAATAAATAATTTCTTTAAAGAATCCAAGTCCTTACCCTCCATATGTTCTCTTTCCTAAAACACACCTGCCTACAGTATATCCCTCTGGTAGTTCTCCTCTTATCTCTCACCACTATCACCTTTCTCCCAATGTACTCAAGAACAAACCTTTTACTCTTCTTGAATCCAACTACACACATTTTTCCAGGGTGGAAAAAACCCTCATCAAACCAAAGGGTTTAAAATGTCAAAATTGAAATATGATATATTGGCAGAGGAAAAGAAAAGAGATTATCAGTAAGAAATATTGAAGGCATAGGTGTGTTATTTTGTACAAGTGACAAACTTATGAAATAATTTTTTATCAAAGGTTTTTATCTATTTAACTAGAATATTTAACCGGAAACCATGCTAGGAAGTTCCAGTCGGTTAAGATGTGTGTTCTCTCTGCATCTTTATGATTCTCAGTAGTGAGAATGAGCTTGATAATTTGCATTATTAACCTGCATCATGGCCTGTGTCTCAGTTGCATATGTGCATGGTTTCAAGGAAGAAGCGACAAAAATGTCCATGTTTACTTGCATCAAGTTTTTCCAAAAAGGCCATTTATAAGAAAAATCATCTTTATTTTATTTAACAGAGACACGAATCTCCTGCTCACTGTCACTCCTCAGTTATTGTGTTTATTCAACTATTTGATGTTGTTTTGTGATACATAATTTATTTAATAGCAATCATCAATTTACTTTTTGTAAACTCTACAATTACTAGGGACTCAATACCTTCTCTTTTCTTTGCTGGTAATTCCCAGCAGAGTAAACTGGACTCTTTAAAATAAAACATTTACTTAGGTATGGGTGTATGATATCCCTCTGCCCCCTGTAGAGAGGGGACTGGCTCATAGTGAATCCTAGGCTTCTATTGTCCCTTGCTCCCTATCTGTAAGTAATAAGCCTGCTTCATGGAACTTGTATGTGACAGTTCTATCTCACTGGATTCAGACAAGTTGGTAACCAGTGCACAGTGAACCTGTGTCACACTGTTGGCTTAAAACCATCATTTAACTCTCACAGTTCTGCTGTTCAGGAATTTAAGCAGTGCTCAAAAGGGAAAGCTCATTTCTGCAACATGTGCATTGACTGGAGAATCCATGATAGCTTTGCTCACATGTCACATTTCTCTAATGTTTGACTGAAGTGGCTGGGACCTGGCTGATCCTCTCTATCTCTCCCTTCACAGGCTCTTATACTCTGGGGCCTCTTTTTCTGCACATGCTCTCTCTTTACATGGATTCTTTATATAGCTGCTTGTTTCCTCTCTGAGTGAAAACAGAAGCTATATGACATTTGAATGTCTGGGCTCAAAAATCCAAGCATATGACTTCTGCTGCATTAAACTTGTCAAAAAAATCACAAGTTCAGTGCAGATTCAAGGTATGAGTAAACAGATGTGCTCTCTCGGTCAGAGAACTGGCAAGTGCATAAATAATTCTTACTGGCTGTAGTTACATACAATCTCCCACAGTCTGCCCTCTGGCCACAAAAACTCACATTACTTCCATATGCAAACTATAGTCAACTGTTCCAAAGACTCCCAAAGTCTCAACAAATTATAATATCAAATCCTATGCCCAGTATCTCTTGATCTACATTGGGATCATACAGATGTGCATGAAATTTCATAAGTGCAGCTCCTTTTGATATGAACTGTGAAGCAAAAATGCAAGTTATCTGTACCTCCATGCCCAACAATATAATGTTAAGACAGACTAGAATAACCATATTAGACATTCATTTATAAAAGGGAGAAATGAAGGCACAAAGCAGTCACTAGTCAACAGAAATTCTGAATTACAGCCAGGCTCATCTTATCAGTGTCCCCTAATCTGAAGGCAAGGAATGTTTCTTGATTCAGGTTCAGTTTTGCTATATGGAAGTGATTACCTAATCCATTGCTTCTAATAGCTTATACTTCTGTTTGCAGGGCTCTGGGCTCCACCCTCTGAATCATATTTCCTTTGTTCATAGGAAATTTTCCATGCTTGCCATCATGTAGCTGTCCCAGTCTACCTTTTGCAAAGCAAGTTGAGGGCCCAGAGAAAAATGAAATTAAAAAAAAGACCTTTTGTCATATTTCACCTTCCATGTCCTTTTTTAGTTCAAGCTGATATAATACCTTAAGAAATTTAATGTGCTTCCTGTGTATCAAATTCTAAATCCAAAATCCAAAATAAATCTTCTTATAAGTGAAAAAGTCACACATACAAATCTCTTCAAGACAAGACCTTCTCTAATGCAGGCTTTGAGTCAGAGTGTTGTGGAATAATATTCTTAAAATTCTTACAAGCTGTTTTGTCTAGCTGAGAAGGTTGATGAGGCACTGAGTTAAATTAGGGATCTTGTAACTACACTGTTGATTTGATCTTTACACTAAGGCCACGTTTTATTGACAATTCCTGAATTCTATCTTTTTCCTGGGGCTCTTTCTCACTTTTAGAATATTTTTCTAACTCAAGAATGTGGGAATGAGAAAATATTTTATTTTCCTACTCAGCAAGTCCTCAGTTGGAAATATTTTCTCTACATTTGACTTGAAAATGGAATCATTCCTGCTTAGTCAATATCATTTTTGCAATACCTTTTAATATGTAATATAAGAGGCTGTATTAGTCTGTTTTCATGCTGCTATAAAGACACACTCAAGACTGGGAAATTTGTAACCAAAAAAAGAGGTTTAATGGACTTACAGTTCCATGTGGCTGGGGAGGCCTCACAATCATGGTGGAAGGTGAAAGGCACGACTCACATGGTGGCAGACAAGAGAAGAGAGCTTGTGCAGGGAAACTCCCATTTTTAAAACCATCAGATCTCATGAGACTTATTCACTATCACAAGAACAGCACAAGAAAGGCCCGCCCTCATAACTCAATTACCTCCCACCAGGTTCCTCCCACGACACATGGGAATTATGGGAGTTACAATTCAAGATGAGATTTTGGTAGGGACACAGCCAAACCATAACATTCCGCCCCTGGCCCCTCCCAAATCTCATGTCCTCACATTTCAAAACCAATCATGCCTTCCCAACAGTCCCCCAAAGTCTTAACTCATTTTAGCATTAACTCAAAAGTCCATAGTCCAAAGTTTCATCTAAGATAAAAGAAGTCCCTTCCACCTATGAGCCTGTAAAATCAAAAGCAAGTTAGTTACTTCCTAGATACAATGGGGGTATAGGCATTAGGTAAATACTGCCATTCCAAATGAGAGAAATTGGTCAAAACAAAGGGGCTATAGGCCCCATGCATGTCCAAAATCCAGTGGGTCAGTCAAATCTTAAAGCTCCAAAATGATCTTCTTTGACTCCAAATCTCACATCCAGGTCACACTGATGAAAGAAGTAGTTTCCCATGCTCTTGGGCAGCTCAGCCTCTGTGGCTTTGCAGGGTATAACCCCTCTCCTGGCTGCTGTCATGGCAGGCATGAGTGTCTGTGGCTTTTCCAGGTGCACGGTACAAGTGATCGATGGATCTATCATTCTGGGGTCTGGAGGATGGTGGCTTTCTTCTCACAGCCCAACTAGGTGTTGCCCCAGTAGGAACTCTGTGTGGGGGCTCCAACCACACATTTCCCTCCTGCACTGCCCTAGAAGAAGTTCCCCATGAGATCCCTGCCCCTGCAGCAAACTTCTGCCTGGACATCCAGGTGTTTCCATACATCCTCTGGAATCCAGGCGGAGGCTCCCAAACCCCAATTCTTGACTTCTTTGCACTGGCAGGCTCAACACCCCATGGAAGCTGCCAGGGCTTGAGGCTTGCACCCTCTGAAACCACAGCCTGAGCCACAGCCTAGGCTGGACACAGCACAGGTACCTTGGGACCTGCCCACGAAACCACTTATTCCTCCTAGGCCTCCAGGTCTGTGATGGGAGGGGCTGCCATGAAGACCTTTGACACATTGGAGACATTTTCCCCATTGTCTTGGGGATTAACATTTGGCTCCTAGTTAGTTATGCAAATTTCTGCAAGCCAGCTTGAATTTCTCCTCAGAAAATGGGGTTTTCTTGTCTATTGAATTGTCAGGCTACAAATTTTCTGAACTTTTATGTGCTGCTTCCCTTATAAAACTGAATACCTTCAACAGCACACAAGTCACCTTTTAAATGCTTTGCTGCTTAGAAATTTCTTCTGCCAGATACCCTAAATCATCTCTCTCAAGTTCAAAGTATCACAACTCTCTAGGACAGGGGCAAAATGCCACCAGTCTCTTTGCTAAAACATAACAAGAGTCACCTTTGCTCTCGTTCCTAACAAGTTCCTCATTTCCATCTGAGACCAATTCAGCCTGTCCATATTGCTATCAGCATTTTTGGCAAAGCCATTCAACAAGTCTCTAGGAACTTCCAAACTTTCTCACATTTTCCTGTCTTCTTCTGAGCCCTCCAAACTGTTCCAACCTCTGCCTGTTACCCAGTTCCAAAGTCACTTCCACATTTTTGGGTATCTTTTCAACAGCACCCCACTCTACTGGTACCAATTAGTCCATTTTCATGCTGCTGATAAAGACATACCCAAGACTGGGCAATTTGCAACAAAAGAAAGAAGTTCAATGGACTTACAGTTCCACGTGGCTGGGGTGGCCTCACAATCCTGGTAGAAGGTGAAAGGCACATCTCACATGGCAGCAGATAAGAGAGGAGAGCTTGTGCAAGAAAACTCCTGTTTTTAAAACCATCAGATCTCATGAGGCTTATTCACTATCACGAGAACAGCACAGGAAATATCTGTCCCATAATTCAATTACCTCCCACCAGGTTCCTCCCACAACACGTGGGAATTGTGGGAGTTACAATTCAAGATGAGGGGACATCTTGGGTGGGGACACAGACAAACCATATCAGAAGCCAGTTGCACATGCAAAATTTTGCCCGGAGACCAGGCGCAGTGGCTCACACCTGTAATCCCAGCACTTTGGGAGGCCGAGGCGGGCAGATCACGAGGTCAGGAGGTCAGGAGATCAAGACCATCCTGGCTAACACGGTGAAACCCTGTGTCTACTAAAAAGACAAAAAAATTAGCCAGGCGTGGTGGCAGGCACCTGTAGTCCCAGCTACTAGAGGGGCTGAGGCGGGAGAATGATGTGAACCCGGGAGGTGGAGGTTGCAGTGAGCCGAGATCGCGCCACTGCACTCCAGCCTGGGTGACAGAACGAGACTCTGTCTCAAAAAAAAAAAAAAAAAAATTGCCTGGAAACCTGCTTAGCCAGATCCACAAAATCCTTAGGTATATTTTCTATCTTTATATTTCTGCATTTAATAGTTTTTTCAAATGTTTCCTCACTGCTTAATATTGGGCATTCTTCTCCAGCCTCCAATAATAATTTGCTTACTGATCTTCTAACTTCCATAAATAGTCCCATTGTTCTTCCAGTTTTTACCTGTAGTTCAGGGGCTGGCTGGGCTTCTTTCTACATCCCTCCATAGTGTCTCATGCATCAGAGGTTTTTTCTCTCCATGTGGCCACTCTCTCAAGGACAATAAGTGAACTTCCTCACATAGCAGCTGTTTTTCCCTCTGATCAAAAGCAGAGGCTGTGTGAACATTGCAGGCCTGGACCCAAAAGTCCTAGAATGTCATGTCTGCTGTATTCTATTGGTCAAAACAAGTCCCAAGATCAGACCAGATATGGTTTACCCTCATCTCTTGATTAGAGAAGCCACAAGCAAATATGATATGCAAAAAACTCTTGGTCCTTACAGTGGGTTGAATAGTGGCCCCCAAATAAATGCTTATGTCCTAATTCCCAGAACCTGTGAATGTTACCTTACTTGGAAAAGGGGCCTTTGCAGATGTAACTAAGTTAAAGATCTTGAGATGAGGATATCAACCTGTCTTACCTAGGGGGACCCTCATCCAATGACAAGTGTTCCTATAAGGGACACACAAAGGAGAGCCACACAGGCAGAAGAAAAACCATGTGAAGATTGAGGCATATGCAGCCACAAGCCAAGGAATGCTGGCATCTGTCAGATGCTGAAAGAGACAAGGAACAGAATCTCTTAGAGCCTCTGAAGGAAGCACTGATATCTTGATTTTGGACTTCTGGCCTTGAACTGTGAGAGAATCAATTTGTGTTGTTTTAAGTCACCATGTTTGTGGTATTTGGTTATGGCGGTCACAGGAAACTAATATAGCAGGTATGTTTGAAATCACTCTAATACATTATGCTTATATTATTTTTAATGTTCAGATACTCAACATAAATAAGCTTTACAAAAATTTTGCTTCAGTCTACATAAATCGGATATATAGTATTTATTAATAATTTTTAAGAAAAATTTTATTTTTGAAAATAATTTTTGAATGGAATGATTTTATAGGATAATGAATATAAGAAAAATAATTTTCATTTTATAAATAGTTTTCAAAACTATAAATGTTGTCCCAGTGTAGATTTTAAATTGCATACTTACTATACAAATAACTGTCTAAAGCATTGCTTTCTGCAATGATGGAAATGTCCGATGTCTTCCCTGTCCCATGTTGTAGCCACTAGACACACGTGAATATTGAGAACTTGAAATGTGGTTTATGTGACTGAGAATTAAATTTCAAACTTGATTTCATTCAGTTAATTTAAATTTAGACAAATGTGACTAGTGGCTACCATATTGGACAAGTGTTGGTCCAACAAATCCTTTTACAAGTTATGTGGTATATACTTTTTTTCTTGTAACAGAATTTAAGAGAAACATAATTGTATTGCCCACTGGCGGACTGAATTAGTCACGGCAACCACCCGTGGCCACATGGCAAGAAACACATGGCATGCATTAGGTAAAAGGTCAAGATATGTGTAATAAATAAACTATTTACAAATGTGAGCAGGATGTAAAGAAACCAAAGATAGTGTAATATCCTGAGAATAGTAACAAGAAGGTTGTCAATATCTTTGGGCCTAAAGGGATACAAGGAAGCGTTTACTAGGACCCAGAAGGAGATAGCATAGATAGGGTTACCTTGAAAGGGGATGTAATTTTTCAGGGAAGGAGCTGGGAGAATAAATAGCCATCTCTTCTCTTCCTCTAATCTCCTGCCAAGAGGTACTCATTGGTAAAATCCAGCTGGACGCAAGAAGGCAAGCATGCTGATATAGTCCATACAGGTCAGCCTCCAGGCAAGAAGTAAGGTAGAAGAGGATGGTATAGATCTAGAATGGTAAATAGAAGATATCCAACACATAGAAAATTAAAATAAAATTATTATTTATTATAATGTGTTTTTGGCTGATCCAATACAGCTGATGTTTACAGAAATGAGTGACATCGTTATAATTAGACTTTTTCTATTTTGTTAACTTATTTATGTAAATGAGATTTCCACACTCTGAGCCCTGCCTCATTTTAGCAATAAGTGATTCATCCAAAGGTACATAAACTGAAAGGAAGGGAGTGCTCCATTCATTTCAGATGTTTCCAAAAAATATGATAAGAATGATCATATGTTTAATATATTTAAATTAATGATGAGTTATAATAATATAATTCCAATTTAATCCAGGGGAAATTTTTCAATAGCAAGGGCATATAGTCAAAGAATTTTAAAATTTAATTTATATATATCCAGAGAGAGATTATACAGTAATTAATAAAAAACTTTTAAGCATAAAGATATATTTTATTAGGATAAAATTCTACAGAGAATAAAGAATGAATATGTAAGCTGAAGACAAAAAAAGAAACAATGTAAAATTTCTGACTTTTCTGAGTTTTTTTCCACAAATGTATTTTTGTAAATGGATGAAGACAGGCATCAGGTTACTCTGGTAGGTGAGGTATCAGCAAAAATGGCAGAGTATGAATTCCAAAAGTCTGTCCCTCCACAAAAGCCATGCATAAAGTGGCACAACTGTCAGAACCAACTTTTTCAGAACCTAGAATGTAATCAAAAGCTTACAACAACCAGGGGAACACTTAATCAAGAAAAGCAGCCAAATCTCAGCATATGTCCTAGCAATTCCACTCCTGGGTATACACCCAAGAGAACTGAAAACATATGTTCACATAAAAATTTGTACATGAACATTCATAGCAGCATTATTAATAATAAATAAAAGCAGAAACAACCCATCAACTGATGAATGGATAAACAAAATTTGCTATAACTATACCATGAATGTTATTCAGCCATTAAAGGAAATGAAGTATCGATAGGTACTATAGCATGAATGAACCTCAAAAACATTATGCTAAGTGAAAGAAACCAGTCACAAAAACCCACATGTTATATGATTCCATTTATATGAAATGTCTAGAATAGGCAAATCCACAGAGACAGAAAGCAGATTAGTAGTTGCCAAGGGATGGGAGATGAAGGGAATGGAGAATGACTGTTTAATATATATGGGGTTTCTTTTGGGATGATGATGAAACTGTTTTGGAGCTAGATAGAGGTGATGGTTCCACAATGTTGTAAATGTACTAAAAGCCACTGAACCATACACTTTAAAATGGTGAATTTTATGTTATGTGAATTGTACCTCAATTTAAAAAACTGTGGTATTAGGTTCCATTGGATACATTAACAGTATGATGGATTTTTATTTGAAAATTCAGAATTTTCAATATTCTTGAAGTTACCATCTTTATAACAATTTAATCTAGAAAGAAAAAATTTAGATATTACTTAAAAAATGTGTGGCAGGGTAGATTGAATCAAATGAGGCTGGTGATATTTGACTGTTTTAACCTATAAAATGACATTTCATATGATTCCACTGTTCTTCAAATTTTCTAGAAGGTATATGAACAAATAAGTAGATCACTATGTAAAGGATTAGAGAAAGAAGGTAAACTTAGCACTTGTTAACTTGGGGGAAGTCAACTCCGGGTGAGTAAGAATTTTGAGAGGGAATGGAAGCATGAGCAGTGTGTGATGGGGGCCAGCACACAAGCACCCCGGCCCTGGGCCTGCAGCTTGCCTTCCAATGCTCCACCACTTACTGTTATGGAGCGTCAGACAAGTTCATTACCTTCTGTGTCTCAGCTTTCTGCATTGTAGAGATGATACTAGTACTTACCACATAGGGTTGTTCTGAGGATTAAATGACCTAATGTGTAAAAAGAGTTTAAAACAATACTGGTAAATACATGCTGCATTAGCGGGCCTCTGCCACAATAACACTGCATAGCAAACAAGCACAAAATCTCAATGTTATTCAACAATAAGCATTTATTTCCCACTCTGCACCTGTGGATTGGTTAGACTTGCCTCACACTGCAGGTTGGGACCAGGTCTGCTACACGAGTCACTCATCTTCCTTGGACCAGCAGTTAATTAAGGAACATTCTTCTCATGGCAAAAGGAAGGAATACAAGGAAATGTTAATGTCCCTTTTGAAGTAAGGCTTTTTCTTCTTAAGTTTTTTATTTCCTTTTGTTTTGTATGTTCTTCTAAATTCTTGTATTTTTATTGGAATTTCAATAGAGAAAACATTACTATCCATTAAACATTCCTTGGTTGTGAAGCAAATTCATGCTTCAGTCAAAAACACTGGTGTGTCCCATTCTTTGAAACAGTCATCTTCCCTTCTGCACCGAATGAGCTACATGAATCCCATACAACATTGATAAAGAGAGATGGAGAAATATAATTTCCTTGGATTCTGAATTCATTTTGATTATAATTTTCTCTCCTCTTCTTTTGACAAGCCAGTCTTCCGTGCTGTCAGAGCAATTTTGTAGCATCTACTAAAGAGAAATAATTTGGAAAACACATCACATGTGCTAGCTGAGAGATTTATCTTGTCAGGCAGGTGAAGCAGAATTCAAGGGGAATTTGCATCTCTTCCCATAGTTTGGCCTGTATGTTTTATTATCAGAAACCAACAAAGTTTTAATTCCACCTTCTTCTGTTTTCTGGTGAGTAAACAAAGGAAGACGTTTTGATAAAGAGACTTAATGGGAGAAGCTGATGTATTATACCTTTGCAGATAACGCAAATTTATAAGCCTAAGGAAATACATTTATCACTTCCTCCCACCTGAATAGACCGTTTAGCTTGTGAAATTCTGATAATAAAGTAAAGAAAATCAACACTTTTTTCCCCACATAGTACTGCTGTAAATTACATGAAAAGTGATCACATGTGCCTGGCCAGGATGAAAATACCTTGAGATCAAGTCTTTATTATAATACTCATGTGTAGATGGTAGAGTCCTTTTGGCCAAAAAGCAAGAAAGCACCTTTGTTACAAGTACATAACGTAGCTTCCAAACACTAATACTTTTTTCTGGGTTGCAATTCTAATCGGCAAAGATTGAGTGTGAATAATACACTTGATTTTGTTGACAGCTGTTATTTTATTTTATTTTTGGTTACAGGCAGGGTCTTGTTCTGTCACCCAGGTTGGAGTGCAGTGGTGAGATCACAGCTCACTGTAGCCTCAACCTCCTGGGCTCAAGTGAGCATCTCTCCTCCTCAGCCTCCCAAATAGCTGGGACTACAGGTGTGCACTACCACGCCTGGCTAATTTTTTAAAAAATTTTTGAAGTGACGGGACCTCATTATGTTGCCTAGGCTCGTGTTGAACTCCTGGCCTCAAGCAATCCTCTGGCCTCAGCCTCAGCCTCCCAAAGGGCTGGGATTACAGGCATGAGCCATTGCATCTGGCCTCCCAGCCATTCTTTTTAATTGCAGTTTAAATGTTTTACATTGTGATTATATTTCCTTAGAGCGAGGGAGATTTAGCCTAGCCCCAAAATGGAAGGTGTAATATCACAGGAAGTCCTAGCTACTACTCTGCCCTCTGAAGTTCAACTAAAAATGATTATGTACCTTTGATCACATGTTTGATTCTCAGTCTTAAGAAATGTGTGTGTGGGCACTATGCAACCATTCATCATGATACCGATAGGGACAGGGGTGAGAGAAATTCTAGGAAGAAAAGGGCAGGTCCCTGGTGAAGCCCCACTCTCAAGACAAAAAGCCTGAGACTGCAGCCCAAAGTGAGAATTTATATCCCTGTTTTCCTGCTTGAATATTGCCTTTTCCTAAGCCACCCCTGGCCCTGCCCTGCCCCATCATGTGCCTATGAGGACCCTAGACTCAGCCGGCAGAGAGGAGAAGCAGCTGGATGTCAGGGACTATGGCTGGACATCAGAGAGAAGTGGCTCGACTTCAGAGGGACAGCTTGACAGTGTAATTTCAGGCAAGAGTCCAGACAGAGATGGCTGGACTTCTGGACCTGAGGGGAAGATTGCCTACCCATCCCATCCCCTTTTCAGCTCCCTTTCACACTGAGGGTTACTTCCATCAGCAATAAAATTCCCCGTATTTACCATCCTTCAGTTTGCTCATGCAACCTCATTTTTCCTGGACACTGGACAAGAGCTTGGGAGCCATGAGTGTGGATACAAAAGGCTATCACACTGGCCCTTTGCCCTCACTGGAGGAAGGCAGCTGCCTCAGATGAAAAGGCAGAGGGCCCACTGAGCTGTTAACACTTAAGCCATCCACAGATGACAGAGCTAAAAGAGCACAGTAACACACCCTCTGGGGCTTCAGGGGTCTCATGCACTCCCAACTAGATGCTGCAGGTCCTGCATGGAGTTCGCTTGCGCCAGTGCCCAAAAGGGCTAGCTGTGGCTCCTGCACCCACTCACCTGTGTGCTCCCTTCCGCAAGGGGTGCAATGAGGCAGGTCAGAGTGAGTGAAGTTTGATCCTGCTGGCACTGAATTGGTCAGCTGGTTCCAGCACTCGTGCACTCCACTTCCCACCTCTTTTGCTTGCATGCTTCCTCCTGCGAGGAGTTGAGAGCAGCGGGCTGAGTAAACAAGGCATCCCTGTCCCGAGTCCCACAATGGGGTCAGGGAAATATCCTGCTTCCTCACTCCTTTAAAATCTTTAATGACAGGAGAAAATTCTCATGGGAGAATCATACTATTTCTAAGTGAAAAAAAAATAGAATACAAGCTATTTAAATAGTATAATTCCTATTGAGCAAGAAAAAAGTACAGTTATTTGGAAGGAAATACATCTAAATGTTCATAGTGGGGCTTGGAATCATTATTATTCCTCCTCTTGCATTATCCTATATTTATGAACTGTTTACAGTAAATGAGAGTTACTTTTATAACTTGAAAAGTTCCTAAAAATTAGCTCCCCATTCTTGTTCTGTCACCCACGTTGGAGTGCAGCGGCAATATCACAGCTTACTCTAGTCCTAACTTCCTGGGCTCAAGCAATCATCTCTCCTCAGTCTCCCAGATAGCTGGGACTATAGGTGTGCACTACAAAACCTGGCTAATTTTTTAAAACATTTTTGTAGAGATGGGATCTCACTGTGTTGTCCAGGCTGGTCTTGAACTCCTGGCCTCAAGCAATCCTCTGGCCTCAGCCTCCCAAATGGCAGGGATTATAGGCATGAGCCATTGTTCCCAGCCACCCAGGCGTTGTTGAAATAAGCTGGAAAAATAACACTGTATACATTAAAAACAAGATATAAAGGAGACTTTTCTAAACTTCCCAAAATTTCTATCTTCTGCCATAACTTTTTTTTCTTTATTCTCTTCTTGATGGTCTTAGTTAAGGTCATAATTTCAACCACTGATGTTACTACATAAACACCTTGGTCCTAGGTATCCAGCCTTTGCCTTGTCCTTCAGTTCTAGTCCTGCAATACTGACCACTTGCCAAGTAGCTCTACATGGATATCTTGTAAGTATACTCAATATTAACCCCCAAACAAACTCATGAATTGTCCTCCGAGGCCTGCCTGTGCTCCTGCTGACTCTGTTCTTGTTAACGACACCACTCTTTCGGTCATTACGAAGATAATCACACTGTTATTTTAACCCTCCTTTATCTTTCACACATGAACAATGGTCATCATATTTTATCTCAACAATGTTGCTTGAATTTAATTGCTCCTTTCCATTCCCACCGGCAATATCCTAATTATACCTCTGACTTGGACAATGGCATTGTACTTACCAAACACCTCACGTTTATTAACCTTAACCTTCACAGTAGTCCTAAGATGTAGGTACTCTTCTTATCATCTCTATTTTATGTAACTTGCCCAAAGTCATAGAGTTTACAAGCAGAGCTAGGATTTGAACCCAGGCAGTCTAATGTCAGAGATTGTATGCATAATTTCCTGCCACACAGTCTCTAGATCAGTAATGGCAACAACAGCTACTCTTTAATTTTCACTACAATCCCATGAAAGTAGCATTATCCGTATTTTAGAGATTTGGAAACCAAGGCTCAAGCAGGTGAAGAACAGAAACACCTCATGAGTTTAGTCGGCCTACTTACCCACCTGCCTCCATCAGATTAATCCTCTAAGTGCACCCATCTGATTATTCCTTAAATAAGAAAAAAGAAAAAGAGAAAAAATGATGTCCTTCATTGCCTAAGGAATAAAGTCCCAATTGTTCGTTTGGGCATTCAGGGGCTTCCCATGTCTGCTCACTTTCCAGCTTTATCTGCCACTTGTCACTCCAGCTGGGTAGGTCACCTGGCCTGCACTCAGCCATGCCCTCAGGTCCTGCCTCTACTCATGCATGCTTAATCTTCTATTTTCATTTCTCACCACGCATCCCAGTTGTTGTGTATGTATTCTGTGTATATATTGAAAAGGTACATTTGGAATTTTCACTAAACAGCAACCATAGTTTAGGTATATTCTGAAGACTTCTCTGCCATTACAGAGACCCTGGAAAGAGAAAAATCATTTAGTTTTTCCAAAATGGGAAAATAGGCTTGACAGAGCTATCTTCTTGCTCTCTCTCATGCAGTGGTGCCCTATGGTAATGCTGTCAGTTCAACAATGTATATATAAATAATAAAATGTAAAAAAAATGAGGATTGTGATGAGTAGAGTGGAAGCAAGAAGCAGGTTGAGTCCTTTAGCTGTTAACCCTAAAAATGATGGCTTGGATAGTCCCAGCCTAGAGACCTCTTATGCCCAGATGGCTCTTTTGTATTGGTCTTCTGCTGTAGGCTAGAGCTCTGGTTTTAATCTTTTCCTGCTTCTCCTCTAGCTCCTCCACTTCTTCCTCCTCCCTCTTACCCTTCCTCTCCTTCTTCTCAGACCTTTTCGTCCAAGAAAGTCTTACCAGGAGGCTCAATGTGAACAAGAGATTAAAAACAGAGCTGCTCTGCTGGAGGTGGGGTGGGGAGCCTGAAGACTTCTTCATCTGCCTCTCACCACATCCCCCCTCCTGGCACCTGAAGAATTCTGCAGAGACCAGTTTCCAAGGGCTGTGTGGGCAGAGTGTGCATGTTCAGGCATGCATGCCTGTTTGCAGATGGTATGGAGAAAAAGGTGATTGTATTGTTCATAAAAATGTAACTTGCTCAAGTATACGCCCCCTTTCTTTCTAAATTACTTGCTTTGATATTCTGGGTTCCCTAGAACTTAGATTGAAATGTCATCCAACAACTATTTGTTTAGGGCTTGCTGAGCTGCTTTCATACTGTGAGGATTGAGAAATATATGAAGTAGTCCCTGCCCAAGAAATTGCATAATTTAATCGCGAGGCCAAGACTGTCATCTTCCTGAGAGTGACTCCAACATTCTAGATTTTCAGTTTTGATCTTTTGCTTGAACTTTAACTGCCTGTTGGCCTCCTGGACAATCTCTGCTTGATTATCCTACTCTTCGCCTCAATTCGACATCTCTAAACCTGAAACTATGTCCTTTGTCAGGAAACCAAGACGTTTGTAATATCCACATCAGAGTTGTCTGGTAAAGGAGTAAAAACATGGAGGAGCAGTAATAAACAGTGGAGATCATCAAATTGACAAAAGTAACAAAAATAATTGGGGATTGCTAAGAGCTACTGTTAATTATTTGAAGCCTGTAATGTATGAGAGGGAGTAGATGTCTCCTGGAGTGAACATATACCTGCTATTACCTCAACGACCTTAGTTCCCTGCCTTTCATCTTGTCAGCATGTCTATGTTAATATGATTATAGTATTTAAAAACAATTTTTTATATATAAATAGCCTTTAAATTACAAGTCAATAACTATATCTATAATGCAGCCAAATAAATAGAAATCTGTTCTAAAAATGGAGAAAAAACTAACCATGATGGACACTCTAAAAGAAGGCACTATATATAAAAAACAGCGTTTATTACAATTTCTGGGTAGTGACTGGTATTTTGTGGATCCCATAGATCAGGCATGTTCAGCATGGTATGGCCATAGACATGACTGGTATTTTCTTTTTTTATTTTTATTTATTTATTTTTTTGAGATGGAGTCTCACTCTGTCACCCAGACTGGAGTGCAGTGGCGAGATCTCAGCTCACTGCAACCTCCACCTCTCGGGTTCAAGTGATTCTCCTGCCTCAGCCTCCCTGTAACTGGGATTACAGGTGCCCGCCACTACGCCCTGCTAATTTTTTGGATTTTTAGTAGAGACAGCGTTTCACCATGTTAGCCAGGATGGTCTTGATCTCCTGACCTCGTGTTCTGCCAGCCTTGGCCTCCCAAAGTGCTGGGATTACAGGTGTGAGCCACCACGCCCGGCCCATGACTGGTATTTTCAATAGTAATTTTGAATCTGTCTTATCTGTTTACTTTAAAAACAAACCCTTGCCAAAAAAATGTGACTTTATTGTATTTGATTTTGCTGTAGAGAAAAAAAACCAAGGGTTGCAGAGTAGCAGACTGTTGCTCAATGTAAAGGAGAACTCCTAATAAGAGAGCTGCCCAAAGTCAGACTGGTAGTCTAGGAGGGCAATGTGTTTCCTTTTCCAATTCAACGTGACCTGGGATGAAGCACTGCATTCAGAGGGATGTTGAATTGAAAGTCCTTCAAAGTCCTTCCAACTAAACACTTTATGAGCATATGAATGTAAGTTCACCAGGAGGTCAGGGAGGCAAGAAACTAAAATTAGAAGGAGTTTTAGCAGAGGGGTCTTCCTAATGGAGGAGGTCATTAGGGCTTGCTTTGAAGGGCTGCTAGGTTTTTTAGAAGGGTTGAGTAAAAGGCATCATTTTGGGTGGGAAAAACATGATGTCAAAGGTGTGGAAGAGGCTGGTCAGGTGCAGGAGAAGGAAGAGGGCAGTTGATGCTGGTGGGGGAAAGCTATATGATAGAAAGAGCCCCTGGAGAAAGAGTAGGATTGAACTGTGTTTGAGGCTATGGTGAGCTAAGCAAAAACCTGACAGCTGTTCATGTATTATCTGATAAACCTGACAGTTGCCTAAGGACATATGAACTCAGGAGCAGCTCTGAAGTGCAAGGAGGTGAAAGAGCTGTGTGCTGTGTTACAGCTTCTTCTCCAGGCTGAGGAACTGGGTCTTGCCTAACTACAAGGGGATAGCTGCCAATCAGAACTTCCAGTATATCCAAGGCCGAGTAACCTTCTTTTAGGTGTCTCTCTGCCTTGTCTATACTGAGATGCAAGGGCAGCAAGAAAATCTGTAAACATCCTATTAAAGCCAGAACATGACATTTTAAGAACTTTCATTTCACCACAGAGGTGAAAAAAGACTTTCAAAAATATCATAAAGATCCTTTGCTAGTGAACAAATAAGTACAGATCATTTATTAAGGAACTGAAACACTGAAAGCGAGCCAGACATGGAATTGTTTACAGAAAAATACCCTTGAAGTTATTATCCATTTTGTAACTACCATTATAACTATAATTTTAATATACATTATATATCCAAATTATAATACAAAACCATTACAGGATGGTTTACAGCAGTGTGCAGCTGGGAGTGACAGTATATCCTCTGGACTGAAAATGACCCATCTCTGATGTTACTGGACCCACTTGAGCCCTAGGGACAGAGCTGTGCATATTATGGCAAGTGGCCAAGGAAGTATCATGATGGTCCCATCAGCAACCCCAAAACTGTGATGGTTCTACGTAGTTTGCATATTTCTATGTTTCGGCATTATTGAGTTTCAACTGTATAAATCTGTATTTTCATTGTATTACTTAATGAGTACTTAATGAAAAGGGGAAAAAAGCAAAGAATACATTCAGAAAACAGTAGAACAAATTATGTTTCAATCAATTTGTACTTTTGTAATAAAGAGACCTCAAATCCTGAAATATTAACATACAACAGGCGAAGTTCCAAACATTCATCTACTGTCATCCACTTGTCTACGTGTGAGGATAACACTGGTTGTGAGCACAGAGGACTAATCATAAAACTCATCATTTGGGTAATGAGACCTTTAGTAGAATAAGATAACACTTCAGATTTATTCTGAAAAAGACAGAAGACTTTTTGGCTGGTGATACCCAGTGTTGTTTCTATGATATTACCTCCCACTGTAGACTATCACGCCTCTCCTTGGATCCAACCATATTTTTGGATTGACCTATAATTGACTTCGGATTTATTTCAAATAAAATTTCCAAGATATTGCCGTTTTCCCCTTTCTTTTTATTATTATTATTATTGTTATATTTTAAGTTTTAGGGTACATGTGCACAATGTGCAGGTTTGTTACATATGTATACATGTGCCATGCTGGTGTGCTGCACCCATTAACTCGTCATTTAGCATTAGGTATATCTCCTAAAGCTATCCCTCCCCCCTACCCCCACCCCACAACAGTCCCCAGAGTGTGATGTTCCCCTTCCTGCGTCCATGTGTTCTCATCGTTCAATTCCCACCTATGAGCGAGAATATGCGGTGTTTGGTTTTTTGTTCTTGTGATAGTTTACTGAGAATGATGATTTCCAATTTCATCCATGTCCCTACAAAGGACATGAACTCATCATTTTTTATGGCTGCATAGTATTCCACAGTGTATATGTGCCACATTTTCTTAAGCCAGTCTATCATTGTTGGACATTTGGGTTGGTTCCAAGTCTTTGCTACTGTTAATAGTGCCGCAATAAACATACGTGTGCATGTGTCTTTATAGCAGCATGATTTATAGTCCTTTGGGTATATACCCAGTAATGGGATGGCTGGGTCAAATGGTATTTCTAGTTCTAGATCCCTGAGGAATCGCCACACTGACTTCCACAATGGTTGAACTAGTTTACAGTCCCACCAACAGTGTAAAAGTGTTCCTATTTCTCCACATCCTCTCCAGCACCTGTTGTTTCCTGACTTTTTAATGATTGCCATTCTAACTGGTGTGAGATGGTATCTCATTGTGGTTTTGATTTGCATTTCTCTGATGGCCAGTGATGGTGAGCATTTTTTCATGTGTTTTTTGACTGCATAAATGTCTTCTTTTGAGAAGTGTCTGTTCATGTCCTTCACCCACTTTTTGATGGGGTTGTTTGTTTTTTTCTTGCAAATTTGTTTGAGTTCATTGTAGATTCTGGATATTAGCCCTTTGTCAGATGAGTAGGTTGTGAAAATTTTCTCCCATTTTGTAGGTTGCCTGTTCACTCTGATGGTAGTTTCTTTTGCTGTGCAGAAGTTCTTTAGTTTAATTAGATCCCATTTGTCAATTTTGGCTTTTGTTGCCATTGCTTTTGGTGTTTTAGACCTGAAGCCCTTGCCCATGCCTATGTCCTGAATGGTAATGCCTAGGTTTTTTTCTAGGGTTTTTATGGTTTTAGGTCTAACGTTTAAATCTTTAATCCATCTTGAATTAATTTTTGTATAATTCCTTGTGTAAGGAAGGGATCCAGTTTCAGCTTTCTACATATGGCTAGCCAGTTTTCCCAGCACCATTTATTAAATAGGGAATCCTTTCCCCATTGCTTGTTTTTCTCAGGTTTGTCAAAGATCAGATAGTTGTAGATATGTGGTGTTATTTCTGATGGCTCTGTTCTGTTCCATTGATCTGTATCTCTGTTTTGGTACCAGTACCATGCTGTTTTGGTTACTGTAGCCTTGTAGTATAGTTTGAAGTCAGGTAGCGTGATGCCTCCAGCTTTGTTCTTTTGGCTTACGATTGACTTGGCAATGTGGGATCTTTTTGGGTTCCATATGAACTTTAAAGCATTCTGTGAACAAAGTCATTGGTAGCTTGATGAGGATGGCATTGAATCTATAAATTACCTTGGGCAGTATGGCCATTTTCACGATATTGATTCTTCCTACTCATGAGCATGGAATGTTCTTCCATTTGTTTGTATCCTCTTTTATTTCATTGAGCAGTGGTTTGTAGTTATTGAAGAGGTCCTTCACGTCCCTTGTAAGTTGGATTCCTAGGTATTTTATTCTCTTTGAAGCAATTGTGAATGGGAGTTCACTCATGATTTGGCTCTCTGTTTGTCTGTTATTGGTGTATAAGAATGCTTGTGATTTTTGTACATTGATTTTGTATCCTGAGACTTTGCTGAAGTTGCTTATCAGCTTAAGGAGATTTTGGGCTGAGACAATGGGGTTTTCTAGATATATAATCATGTCATCTGCAAACAGGGACAATTTGACTTCCTCTTTTCCTAAATGAATACCCTTTCTTTCCTTCTCCTGCCTAATTGCCCTGGCCAGAACTTCCAACTCTATGTTGAATGGGAGTGGTGAGAGAGGTCATCCCTGTCTTGTGCCAGTTTTCAAAGGGAATGCTTCCAGTTTTTGTCCATTCAGTATGATATTGGCTGTGGGTTTGTCATAGATAGCTCTCATTATTTTGAGATATGTCCCATCAATACCTAATTTATTGAGAGTTTTTAGCATGAAGGTTGTTGAATTTTGTCAAAGGCCTTTTCTGCATCTATTGAGATAATCATGTGGTTTTTGTCTTTGGTTCTGTTTATATGCTGGATTACATTTATTGATTTGCGTATATTGAACCAGCCTTGCATCCCAGGGATGAAGCCCACTTGATCATGGTGGATAAGCTTTTTGATGTGCTGCTGGATTCGGTTTGCCAGTATTTTATTGAGGATTTTTGCATCAATGTTCATCAAGGATATTGGTCTAAGATTCTCTTTTTTGGTTGTGTCTCTGCCAGGCTTTGGTATCAGGATGTTGCTGGCCTCATAAAATGAGTTAGGGAGGATTCCCTCTTTTTCTATTGGTTGGAATAGTTTCAGAAGGAATGGTACCAGTTCCTCCTTGTACCTCTGTTAGAATTCAGCTGTGAATCCATCTGGTCCTGGACTCTTTTTGGTTGGTAAGCTATTGATTATTGCCACAGTTTCAGAGCCTGTTATTGGTCTATTCAGAGATTCAACTTCTTCCTGGTTTAGTCTTGGGAGTGTGTATGTGTTGAGGAATTTATTCATTTCTTCTAGATTTTCTAGTTTATTTGCATAGAGGTGTTTGTAGTATTCTCTGATGGTAGTTTGTATTTCTGTGGAATCGGTGGTGATATCCCCGTTATCATTTTTTATTGCGTCTATTTGATTCTTCTCTTTTTTCTTCTTTATTAGTCTTGCTAGCGGTCTATCAATTTTGTTGATCCTTTCAAAAAACCAGCTCCTGGATTCATTAATTTTTTGAAGGGTTTTTTGTGTCTCTATTTCCTTCAGTTCTGCTCTGATTTTAGTTATTTCTTGCCTTCCGCTAGCTTTTGAATGTGTTTGCTCTTGCTTTTCTAGTTCTTTTAATTGTGATGTTAGAGTGTCAATTTTGGATCTTTCCTGCTTACTCTTGTGGGCATTTAGTGCTATAAATTTCCCTCTACACACTGCTTTGAAAGTGTCCCAGAGATTCTGGTATGTTGTGTCTTTGCTCTCGTTGATTTCAAAGAACATCTTTATTTCTGCCTTCATTTCGTTATGCACCCAGTAGTCATTCAGGAACAGGTTGCTCAGTTCCATCTGAGCTTTGAAGAGAGCAGTGGTTCTCCCAGCACGCAGCTGGAGATCTGAGAACAGGCAGACTGCCTCCTCAAGTGGGTCCCTGACCCCTGACCCCCGAGCAGCCTAACTGGGAGGCACCCCCCAGTAGGGGCAGACTGACACCTCACACGGCCGGGTACTCCTCTCAGACAAAACTTCCAGAGGAACGATCAGACAGCAGCATTCGCGGTTCAAGAAAATCCGCTGTTCTGCAGCCACCACTGCTGGTACTCAGGCAAACAGGGTCTGGAGTGGACCTCTAGCAAACTCCAACAGACCTGCAGCTGAGGGTCCTGTCTGTTAGAAGGAAAACTAACACACAGAAAGGACATCCACACCAAAAACCCATCTGTACCTCACCATCATCAAAAACCAAAAGTAGATAAAACCACAAAGATGGGGAAAAAACAGAGCAGAAAAACTGGAAATTCTAAAAAGCAGAGTGCCTCTCCTCCTCCAAAGGAATGCAGCTCCTCACCAGCAATGGAACAAAGCTGGATGGAGAATGACTTTGACGAGTTGAGAGAGGAAGGCTTCAGACGATCAAACTACTCCGAGCTACGGGAGGAAATTCAAACCAAAGGCAAAGAAGTTGAAAACATCCCCTTTCTTAAGTGTATACACAGGTGGGATTTAGATGGGATGAGGGAGGAGGGGACACTTAAATCAAGGGAACAGCCTGAGTAATGGCAATATATTCATGTATGAGAGAAGTAATAAGGAGAGTAGCCAGACTACAGCAGACAATTTCTCCTAGAGGGGGATTGTGGGAGGTTAAGGAGGAATCTTCTGGTGGCACAATCTTATAGAATAGTGGGTGTGCTCGGTTGTAGAGTGATGGGTGGGTGCCAAAGAGATGTGGAGGAGAAGAAGGTGGCAAAGCTCACAGGTGGGTCTCTCCACTGTGGAGAGAACTGGGTTGCTATCCTGAGTGCAAAGTCAGGAAGCAGTACACAAAACCACCCTTACTTCTGACACCAAATGCAATTCCAGGGTTTCTGGAGACCACTCTCAGTTTCCATAGTTCACTAGAAGGACTCACAGAACTCACTGAAAGCTGTTATATTCATGGTTTTGATTTATCACAGTGAAAGGTTACAGAATCAAATCAGTCAAGGGAAGTGATACATAGGGCAGTGTCCAGAAAAGTCCCCAACAAAGAACTGATTGTTCTCTTCCAGCATATTGTGGACAGCATTAGCTTTCCCAGTAACATTGTGAGGCAATATGCACAAAGTACTGCCAACCAGGGAAGCTCACCCACGGCTTGGTGCCCAGAGTTTTTATTGGGACTCAGTCACACAGACCTGGTTGATCACCCATGTGTTCGACCTCAGTCTCCAGCCCCACCAAAAGCACATTATTAGACTGCTGGCGTGGCCCAAGTCCCTCAGGTAGACAAAGATATGACATTCTAAGGGGTTAGAGAGTACCTCCCAGGGCCCAAGGAAAAAGCCAGGCTTCTCTTTGGGTATGGGCAATTTATTACTATACCCTGAGGTAACATATTTTGTTCTTCATTTTGTCCCCTTTTTCTTTTCTTCTTCTTCTCATTTCTGTCCTTTTCCAAAATTTTTAAGGTATATATCTATGCCCAAACAGTCTATGCCCAGAAGACCCTCTCCTCTGCTGCTGTCCAGTCACTGTCATAGTGACTGGGTTCTATGTACTGAGAACAGGGTCAGTGGCGTCTCTTCATTCTAAGTTTGACAAACGCCGCAGAGTATGCTGGGAAAATTTCCTGGTGCCAGGACCCTGGAGAATGTTATTTGCAAGACAGTTTCCTCCTCAAGTTGAAAAAATACACAAACAAATACAAGTCACGTCAGAAACCAAGTACTAAAAGTCTGAATCCCATGGCAGCATAGGGATTGCCCCTTTCCACTAGGGATAGAGCATGCTGAAGATTTATGCTGGGTCATATAGTCTCAAACAATGAGAGTTCTTAAAAATATTAAATTACCCTAAATAAATTGACTATGTGATTCAGGTAAGGCTGCCTCACAGCCTTAGAATAGGTCCTTTTAAAGCTCTCTCAGGTGTCTTTTTGTTTTATTTGAGATTCCTTTCTTTGCCACCCTGTTTCCTTCAGTGAATGCTCAGCCAGGGAAAGCCTTCTCAGAAAACGAGGAGATTTCACCACCTTGAGTCTTTGATCTTCCTTAATTATCTTTAGAGATTTCTATAAGAGTAGCCTGCCTTAATTTTTTTTTTTTATTCTTTGGAAACATCAGACTGGGTCCAGCTTTGGGCTTATGCCTACATTATAAATGCTAAAGGGCTTTATTTGCAAATAAATTACTTCCCACACACACTTGTCAAACTAAATCATAAGGCACAAAAATAAAAGGACTTGAATTGACAAAAATGATAATTATTCGCAAAGGGAAACCATTTCAAATGTGTTCCTACTTACCCACACCTACTTTTTGATCTTTGGTCCAAAAACCCTCTTAAATTAAGCGTTTTGCTTTCAGTGCACTTATCTCAGAATTGTGGAATGAAATAAATAGGGAACATAAATGGCATTATTTTAAAATAATGCAATTTGTGTCTAGTATGGTCATGTGTGGTACTCTTACTTATTATGCTGAACTGTAATTTAAAATAGTTCATATCCTATATACTAAAAACTAACCCAGGGTTTTCTCCTACATTTTCAAAAATCATTATTATACATTCATATTGTCATTAACATTGATCATGCTGCCAGACAAGTGTTCTGCTTTATATATTTAATTAGATGTTTTATGTTTTATACTTGCACCTTGAGGTAATCTTAACATGAAGGGGACAATTTTGTAACTGCAAAAAAAAAAAAAAAAACCCAACACATATAATGAATAATATGTTTCCTGCTGCATAGAACTTTTAAAAGCCAAAATTCCTGCCTCAAAATGTTTTCAGGCTAAGGAAATTATTAGGAAAATTAAATGCTTTTAAAATGTCAAGAGTGAGTTAGTTCACTTATTTGGTTTGAGTTTTGGTTTGTTTGATGTATTCATGAAACCTGTTCTTATAGATGAGTCTATTTTTGCTGAAGAGAAATTATGAAGGTTTATTAAATAGGTTATTTGTAATCCTTAAAAAATTAAAGATAATGTAAGTGCCCCAAAATAGGAGGCTGGTTGCATAATGATGGAGCATCCATACAATGTGGCCCATAAAAGTCAGGATGTAAAATATTTAATGATATAGAAAAATGTTTACTATATGTTAAGTGAAAAAATAAGATTATAATGTAGTATGCACAGAATACTCCTTATTTGATTAAGAAAAAGTATGTATTCTATGAATAAATAATATATGTCAATATGCACAGAAAACACTGAAAGGATGTTCATACTAGGTTAATAGTGGTTCTCTTTACATAAATTAGGCATGGTTTGGAAGATCATAAATCATTAATTCTTAGAGACAAAGAAACTTTGAGATCACTTAATTCAGTTGCTCATTAACTCACCAGATAACTCATTCCATATACCGATTGATCCAAATATTTGGGAGTTTTTTCTTAACTTGTGTCTGCCTCCCTGTAATTTCCACTAGCTGATCCTATGTCTGCCCTCTGGAGCAGTGGGGAATAAATTCAATTCTTTATACATGACTGCTTCAACTATTTAAAGACAACTCCCAGTTCTTCCTAAATCTTTTTTTCTTCAGGGCGACAGTTTATTCAGTCTTTCTTTATGGTTTCCTGACTCCTCCCATGGCCCCACCATACTTACCTGGAGGCCCGGGAGTTGTTTGCATCCCTCTAAAATGAGTCATCCACAGTAGACCCTGCATTCCAAGTGTTCTTTGGCCAGATAGAAGCCAGTAAACCTCTTTGTTCCTTTGATCTCTGCGTAGCAAAAGCTGTCATTCATATCAACTTAAAGTTAACTAAAACTCTTTCAGGAAGTTTCTGCATAAGCAACTATTAAGAACCATCTGATCCAATCTGAGTTTATTCTATTAATTATTTGAATCCAAAGCAGGACCCATACAGCTACAACAATCTGTTTTTCAGCTTCTGGTCTTTATATTAATCCTTCATATGCCATATTTTACTTGTTTTAGTCCATATCTAAGTCTATCAAATACTGATATGTTTTAGGAAATAAAAAATCTATAACATTTAGTATGGAAAATAAGGACCAGTACAAAATGGCAAAACCAAGGAAAAAAAGAAATTCAATAATATCATATATAGTAGAGTGGTTAGTCAAGAAAAGGACATAAAATATGCTTGCTTTTTCCCTGACTTTTACAAGCAGGCCTCATTATTGGGCTTTCAGCCCTGTACCTACACAGAAGCACTCCCCAATGATATAGCTTGGACAGACCTCCCTACATTTTCCTCTTCATAATCCCATCCAATATTATGGCTTCAGCAATTATAGCTAATTTGTAAGTCCCAAAACTACATATTTGAGTCTGACTCTTGAATGAAATTCCAATGCCAATTTTCAGTTACTTCCTCTGTGTTCTCTACTTGGATGCTCATCTATGCATCTCTAAAAAAACTGAAGTCACCATACTCTCCAAAGTTATCCCTTCTCCTTTGGTTTCTAATCTGTTTGTAATAATTCTGTCCTTCTTGCTGGACAGCTTTGCATTTTAATCAATTAATTCATTCACTCATCAAATATCACTGGGCACCTAAAATCTGTCTTGCACCAATGACTATGTGCTGAGGATATGGTGGTGAATTAAAGTTCTTTCCCACATAGAGCCTCATTCTAGGCTACAAATTGTGTTATATAAGTGCAGTGATTTAAAATAAAATAAGAGAGAGAGCGTAAGAGTGTTTGCTTTCCACATTTAATAAGTCTCCAAGGCCTTTCCCTTCACTTTTAATGTCTCTGGTATTTATCCTTATTCCTCAGATCCCACACTATCCAAGTTCTGCTTTCAATGTGCCTCATTTGACAAATGGCAAAAATGTCTTGGTTTAACCCAGTTCATTTGAAAAAATATGTATTGAGCCCTTACCATATGCTGGGCGCTAGAATTGATACCGATCCCAAAATGATTTCTAAAAAATTTGCAATCTAGAAAGAGGGAGGAAACAAGCATCCAACCCACTTAAATACAAAACAAAATTGATAAACTCAGAAATTATACTCAACCAGCCATGGAAATTCACAAGATGGGGAGCTTCTGGAGAGGACTCAGTTAAAATGCTGCTTGAAGAATGGATGGGACCTTTACAATTTGCATTTGGGGAGGCAAAAGCACTCTCGGCAAAAGACTGGATGAGTCAAGAGAGGAATACCGAAAAGCACAAATGTCCGAATAATAGTGGGTGGTGCCATTTGCTGGGAGCTTAGGTTATTGGTAGAGGAAGCCGAGGTTAGGAAGGTAAACTGGGGCCATTCTGTGAAGAGTTTAAAAGGCTGGTTCAAGGAATTTGTATGTAATTCATTAAACTATGGAAACCTATTTTCTTCTCTTTGGAATGTGCATGACCTTTCTGTTAATCTGTTTGTTTATAAAACATGAGATAACTGCTTTCCACTAACCTAGGATATTGGCATACATGTTGGAACAGTACCTTATTATATGAAAGCTAAGTAAACATTGGTAGATGGTGGTATGAATGTATTTATGTCACAAAATTATGTTTCTGAGCTTTGGAGTATTTTAGGTTCCCATTATTTTGAAATTAGATAAAGGCTGCCAGTGAGACAATTTACAAAGTTCTATTCTCTTAACTTTAAATAATGAAGAAAAAAAAGCATTCTCCTTCAGCATTTATCAAAATTCAACAAACTGGCAGAGTCTAAAAAACACAACAAATGTGACCACAAAATTTTAGTAGAGTATCTTCAGATGTTAATGAATGTCTGAATGAAAATACCATAAATATGGTTTCTTCTAAATATATGTAAATAATTACCCATTTCTAGAATGAAACATTAGTTTCCAAAGAAGTAATTTGTCTTTCTAAACAAAAAAGACTGAATTGTTTAATTTAAATTTTGCATCAAGTTACAAAAGGAAATTCCCATTTGAACTGGTTTATTTCAAAAGCAAATAAACCAGTTGAGGTTTTCAAATATAGAATTATATGTATTGTGTTGATGACTTGTCATAACAAACAACATTCTGGTGTAACTTCTTATTCTGTACATGGACAATCTTCAAAGTATGGAATTGGTAACGAGTATAGTACTTTGTACTATATGGAGTAGATTTGAAACCCAATAAGATTTCAAAATTGGCCAATTTTACCAAGAAAACATGAAGAAAGGTTTCCATGGTTTCAGAGAATCAATAGTGCCCTCTAAAGGAAATCTATGTGAGGTACATTCAATATCTAGGTTTAATTCAGCACTTATTCCACGAAAATGCTACTTAATTGTAACTTATAATAATACAGATTAAAAATTACAAAAAGAATGCAGGCCAGCCCTCGTCATAAGTATCGCAAGTAGCTGTCTACACCAATGCTGGACTGGCTGGCAGAGCCACTTCGGTCCTAGTTGCTTTTGCCCCTTGTGAACTGTTGTTACCATCCTTATGGAAAGTTCCTAGAAAGGGAAAAGGGGATAATTTCCAAGTAGAGGATTAGACATCCTAGGATTTGGAGAGATTGGAACCCCAGAACAGATCCAAGTAGGTATCTTGGGAAAACGTGCTACACTGAAGAAAATATCTGCAGAATTAAATGCTGAGAAAGTCAGCTTTTGCCCAGGGCAATCGCTGAAAACCTGTGTAACGGGAAAGATAGACAAATTAGCTGAATTAGAAGAGGGCAGGCAGTGTAGCCTGGCTGAAACCTATGAGCATGAAAAGAAAAAGTGATATGAAACATTTATGGATTTTTATTTGTCCATCTAATTTTGTGGTTTATGGTTTTGCTTCTGTCCATTTTTCAAACACACACAGATCCATTCACAAATAGCTTGATAATGTCACAAGAAATATTGGGCAAAACCATATATTGCTATTGCCAATTAGGAGCAGAGCAAGTCTTGGCGATTACTATCTGCCTTACAGACATTAAAAAGTCAGTGAGTACAGAAGATTATTAACTCCAGATATTAATGGCTGCAGCAGAGTTACTGTCATAATGAGATGGTTGGGAATGAAAACACTTCATTTATTGTTACCAAAACTACACGTATAGAGCACTGTTTACATTTTTAAAACTTTTCCTCCAGAGTTCAGGTCCAGCTTTATCAGATAACAAAGATCACAGAGTAGGTCAGCACTTAGCATGTACACCTGTAGAAAACTTACCCTGAAATATTGGACAACTTACCCTGACATATTACTATACATATATCACTTCACCTGAGCCTCACAATAACTCATGGGGTTGGCAGAGCAGCTACTATAATAGCAGAGCAAGACAAAAAAAATCTTGTGGAGCATGAGTCATATTATGTGGGAAAATTAATTTTCCAATATCTATTTTTCTACTTATTGATTGGAATATTAAAACACTTGAAGATATACTAGGTTAAATGTTAATGGAAATAAAAAAATCTGCTAAGATGATACCGTGGCATCAACCACAGTCAGCAAGCTGTTCCCCAGCTTTTGGGACAATCCAGGTTAAATGGCACATTTCAGCAGAGAAGCTGTGGTAAGTAGAGCAAGGGGACAGCACTGCACCATCTTAATTAGATGTGACACATTAGTCTGAAGTAATCTGAGAATTAAAGCAAATAGAGCCATCTTTAGCAGGTTCCTCAAAATGAGACCAAAGCTACAAGTTGTGTCATCAGAGCAGAAGGACAGCAGGAGCTGCTGGAAGCAGCTGACTGTTATCACCACATCACATCGACTCACAGGCCTCCTAGGGTGTATTTGGAACTTCACAGGCTACAGTTCAAAGGGACTTTAAATGTTCGTTTAGGTTTTCCTTCCAATGGCTCTTAAAAGAGAAATCCCAGAGAGCAAAGATTCCTTTAAATCTCCAGGGCAGGAGGTAACACAAAACCCCTCCTCCTATAATTTATTATTTTTAGCTAAGAGGCTAATTTAAAGGAGGAGCCAAAGACGTGCTTGTAGGGAGTTTATCACCACCATAGCATGGCACAGTGGCTGGCTGGGCAGGAACCATAGGATTCCTTAGGTCTGACTGCCCTGTCTCCAGTGTGTAATGGAAGAGATATGTGCAGCATTCTCTCAGCATTTTCAGAATTCCCTTCTGGAACCAAGGCCCTGCTCAAGAACAGTGGCTCTAGATGAAGTTTGCTGCTCATAGGTGCTTCTGGATGAATAAGCAAGAACGTTTCTAGCCTGGGCAACAGACACAGCCTAGGTACAAGTGAGTGTTGGAGAAGCTGCCTTCAGTACCCTGGTCATCAGCCACAGCCCTGAGTCTGAGGAAGGGGCTGTTGTGTTCCTGCTGATGCCCACAAAAACTGAGGCTTATCACTGCCACAACCCAGCTCCACTTGTCCTGTTAGCTATTTTTATTATACTGTACTATATGGTCATCAGTACTTGGACACAGACAAAAATGGCACGGACAGAATTCCACGTGGTTAGGCAGGGCAAGTTATTAAAATCCCCAATTGGCTGCTAGCAAAACTAACAGAGGAGTTAAATAACTGGACCTGAGGACACTGCTAGCGAACAACCCTGTTTCCACCCTTTAAGCCAATGCTCTTCGCTTTTCGTCACTTACACACTTTACTTTGGGTCATGTGTCAATGAGGCAATCCAATAAAATAACAAACACTCAAGGGAGGAGAGCAGAAGTACTTCCCCTTAGACTCTCCTCTCTAAGGTCTTTCGGGAGATATCTTAAAATGGTCACTGTCTTCGTAAAAATTTTAGGCTGGAAAGGACAGAATTTTGTTGTGATTTTTAGGTTGACGAAAAGGAGTAAATGTACATCTTTTAGTGTCTCCCATGGGATGTTCAGAGTACATACCCACAGAATCTTTTGGGTGTTTATGAAAACTGGCCAGGATAACAGGGTTCTGCTACGTGTCAGGATGGGGGAGGGTGTTGCTGGGAGACAGGTCTTGAAGGGTACTACATTGATAAAGGAAAGTCATCTGTATGAAAACCCTCTGTCAAGGTGACTGCAGTTATTAAACTATGGAGTCATTCAGGATGTTTCCTGTGAACAATGGAGCAGTTATTCTCATAAATTTTAGTTTTATTTTACTAGATTTAAGCAGCATTTTGGTGTCCAGAAAAGCAGGAGCCCTGGGAAAGTTTTGAAGGTCTTGTGAGATAGGACAAGGAAATAATAGTCAATGGGGCTGTGTACCTAAATGAGCATTGGTCCAGAGTATTCATGGCAACAATAGCTTACTCGGTCTTCTGATAAAGAGAAAGAAACTAAATCCTGAAAAATATTTCTAGAGTCTTACTCATTACAGGGGCAATCAATGGTGTTAGAGAAACTTCAGCCCTAGTTTCTTCTGCCTACTGTGACCTGTTGTCACCATCCTTGTGGAAAATTCCTGGAAAGGGAAAAGGTGATGATTCATGACTAAAGGATTGAACATACTGAATTCTCAGAGATAGGAAACCCAGAAGTTAAGAAGTGTCATTTGGCCTCCATTAGTCTATTTAATCCCAGTAGCTTAAGGTTGTATTAATCAGGAAAACATACTTTTATGAGCATCAAAAATTGGAAAGCTAAAAACGACATTGCTGGAATGTAGGGTCCTGGAAACTATCTTCCTCCCATTTGGGGCATTTTTCTGCTGGCAACCAAGACTGTGGGGACCGGCAAATACAGTTTGCAGCTGCTTCAGGGGCAGCAGGAGCCAAACTCTGGACTCCGGTGTCCAGCGACTGTGGTGATGTTGGCTTTCTAATTCTGGTCTTTTATTGTCTGAGTTGTAGCTGGATGATGCATTCTTGAAGTCAGGTGGCCTCCTGATTGTAGTAGAAAAGTGATTCCCCTGTAGGTGGTCAGCCAGTGTTCTATGAATCACACCCAGAAGCCCAATGTAGAGCCTGCTCCTCCAGTTCTTCCAATTTCATAAGCACCTCACTCCTTGTATTAAATCCTTTCTGTTTAAAGTATCTAGAGGTTTCTGCCTTAGGTACTATGCTGTCTGATGCACAGAGTACTAGGAAAAACAAAAGAGACCTACACTAAACAAGTTCTGTTGATATTTTCATGTCAGTAATAAAGAAATAAAATCTAGGTAAACAAAGAATCTACTAAGGAGAAAAAATCCGAATTAAAGTTATCTGTAACACTTAATACCAAGAGAATTGGCATGGTATCAAATTTGGGAAAAGTGCATGTCCCTAAGATTTATAACCCATAGTTGCATAACACGGACTCTGAGAAGCTTGCAATAAAGAAGTATGCTTAATTTTGTTTGCCCAAGTGTTTCCTAAATTTATTTCAGAATGACAGTCATTATTTGGGAAATACTAATTTATTTAATTATGAGGGAAAAAGTACAGTGTCAATATAACTAAGAAAACATTTGAAACATCAAAAACAAAAGATTGGAATTTACTAAGTGAAGACAGATACAGAAAAAAAACCAGTAAGCAGTAAAACCAACAGAGTTAAAGTCTAAGTAACTGTTAATACAGTTATTAAATTTAGTATGCATATCAAGTAAAAGTCTTGAAAGGGAATGTAAAGTAATAATAATAACAATATGAATTTACATTCCTATAACATTTGAACAAAAACCAGCAAATGGGAAAGGGGGAATGAAGAAAATAGGATAATTTTTATATCTTCCACTGAGAGGGTCAACAGATTTGGGTTATTCTTGACACAGAGAGAAAAATTTAGGAAATAAATAACTGAGTGAACAAGTGTTTAATGATGAGGTAATATAAAAGTACTATGATTAATAACATTCAAATCAATAGACAGAAAAAAACAAAACCTAACAGAGGAAAAAAAAAATCAAGAACTTCAAGTATTAGCTGGTTAATGTTAAACAAAACCCAGCAGTGACAACTCTAAGTGTAACAAGCAAAAAACACTTATGCTGGCTTTTAAAGAAATCCAAATATATGCTCTTTATAAGAACATATCAAAGACAAAACCATATAGAAGGCATAAAATAAATCAAGGGATGAACAAAAACATGAGACATGCAAACCAAAGAGAAGTAGGGGGTCTTGATGTCAACACCAAAATAAAATTCAAGGTAAAAGAAATTACTTGAAGCAAAAGGGAGACTTTTATGTTGCCAAAAATTACACAATAATGACAAAGGGAAGTGATACTATTTTCTCCCTCTGAGTGCTCCCCCTGATAAGTGTTAAGTGTTAAGGTGCACCTCCAGAAGTGCCTCCCCTTAGCTCTCATTTGTTCCTTCCACAGGGTTAACTTATTTGATCAGTGAAATCAGAAAAGGATCATTCTGCATTCGTGGACTACTCTCATTGACACACTCGCTTACCCATCTGAAAACAGCGTGAGTTCTGTGTGGAAACCTCCCTGAATCATACAATGGTAAAATTAAAATCTGGCTTTGGAAAAATTCAGCCCTCCCACCTAAGCCATCCAATGAACAATAAAACAGTGTGCTTGCTATGCAGACACCACTTCAAGATACACTCCCAAGCATGCTCTTCCAATCACATTGTTGTTCCTATCCCTACCATTTAAAAATTCTGGGGCAACTGCCTTTTCTCATCTACCTTTATTTATGACTAAATAAAGTGAGTAAGTAGTGGAAAGTCTGTTTTGGTTAGAAATTCAGTCCTGAATTAGAGAAGTCCCCTAATTCAGTGTAGCATGCAAAGAAGCTAATATTTCATCCGATCCAATCCAATTCGAGTATCTTTCTCAATTAGTTTATAAACTGGAAAGGAAAGAGTTGTGAGTATTTAACACCCTCCAAACCTCCAAAATGGGGACCATTAACTTTATTGAAAATACATTAAAGAAATATATAAGAAGAAACTGACAAAATCACATTTTATTTTCATTTTTATTTGTAAATAAATAGAGAGGGGGTCTTGCTATGTTGACCAGGCCTCAAGTGATCCTCCCATCTTGGCCTCCCAAAGTACTAGGATTACAGGAGTAAACCACCATGCCTGGCTGACAAAATAACATTTTTAAAAGGAAATGAATGCTCTCTTTCAATCTTAAATTGAGCAAAAGGACAAAGAGCAGAACTGAAATTTGTATTCTACAGAGAGTTCTCATTCTTTTCATGTATTCATTAAAAAAAAATCTGCAAAATTGATCATATACTAAGCTCCAAATAGAATCTCAATAAATTTCAAAAAGTAACAATTCTACTTGCCATATTCTCTAACTATAAAAATAAAATCAGAAATTAACAATACAAGACAATGACAAAATAAAATTTTAAATGGAACCGAAATATAAAATAATCTTAACCACCTGGTCACAGAGGTAATTAAAATCACAGTTTAAGACACTGGAATTGTATCAGATGCCTCCTGTGTACCACCTCACATCCTCTTGGTCTCATCTCTGATTCCAGTTATATTTGTGGCAAATATTTCCATATAGGTTGCAAACTGTTTTGTGCACAGGGCAGCTCACCTAAAGAGTTAGTCATACTCAGTACTCATGGATTCTCAAGTAGGATTTGTGAGAAGGAGTCAATGGAGAAATACTTCTCCCCTTTGTCTTTTGAGGAGACAGTTCCAAGACACATTCAGTACAATCCTCAGAATGTCCTTATCAATTCACTAATGAATGCACATATTGGAGTTCCCTCCTTTCCTTGTTTTCTCTGGCCCCTCACTCCCACTTTCTGGGATCACTTCCCCAGCCAACTACTTGTACACAAGCTCTTGTCCCAGGCTTACCTTTCCCTTTCCCTGGAACATAAGTAAGTCAAGTACGGTCCTGAAAAGCGAACCATCAGGGTGGTATCTGGAGCCAAATTTACCAGTCAGATGGCGAAAAGAATTTCACTGTGGTGGGATGACTTCAAATAACAGAGAGATGACTGGGGATGTTACTGCAACAAGATTGCCTATAAGCACTGAATATATTTAACTACAGGATAAAAACTAAAGCAAATGCAGAATAAAGTATCAGAACAGAGTGCAAATGTTTTATGTCTTGGTGTGAAAATTACAAAACTAATAAAAGTTGGGAAGAAAAAGGAGAAAAAATAGCAGCTAAAATAAGTATATTGCTTTCCTTATTTGTAATAGTTTAGAGTTGAAAGGTATCATTTAAAGCTGACAAACCAAGTCGTAGAAATATAAAAATATTTAACAGTATAAAGAATAAGAAAGACAATATTATATTATCAACTAAAATCTATTGTTGAAGAGGAGTCATGAAAAAGAAACACACTAATTTTCAACACTGCTGAATATGGAACTTATAGATACTGCCCAAAGTAATAGAAGATCAAAGGTATTAGGCATGAGAAAAAACCCAACAGACTTTTCTTAATATCAGAAAAAAATACACACACAAAAGAAGATAAACCATATAGTGAAAGATATTTTAAGCACTGCTAAAGCAGAGTACATAAAATAATACGATGGAATAAAGATCAAATGTATCTGAATATCAATAAATGTCAAGCTACTTAACTTACACATTGAAAAAAAGATTTTCAGACTGGATCACAAAACCGTCCAACTCTATGTTTTATACAAGATACACACCTAAAACAAAACAATCCAGAAAGGTTACAAATAAATACTAGGCAAGCATCCCTCAAAATAAAAATAGAATCAAGATCTTAATATCAAAAAAGGTAGAATTCAGACCAAAAAGCAAACAATAATCTACAAAAATAAGGACTTTCTTAAAGCCAAAGGGCACAATTTACAGTGAGGGTATAATTATGAATCTTTTATGCATCAAATAACACTCTTGCATATTAAATAAAACAACCATTACAGAAATTACAAGGAGAAACAGAAATACATTCTACTAACATAATTCACCACATTACATTGAGACAATCATAGCCTATCTGTGGCCACCAAAAAAGCATATGAAAAACAACTGAACAGCCAGTTTTTATTATAAATACTCAAGTAAAATGGGAAAAGATGTATATTTGCCTAATGTAATAAATCTATCTCAGCCCAAAAGTCAGCATCATGCTTAAAGGGAAAAGAGGAGAAGGCAAACCAACTAAAAAATATGTACAAGACAATTATGACCTCTATCACCATTATTATACAATACTGTGCTGGAGGAAGAAGCCAATGCAATTAGCCAAGAGAAAGAAATTAGAGAGCTTTAAAATGGAAATGAAGACTTAAAACTATCATTATCAAAATTATTATGTACCTGGAAAACTAAAAAAATAGCTTTTACTTATACAAATACTAATGAGATAAGATATGAAAGACCACATTAACAATGGCAACACAAAGGTTTAAAAATCTATAGAATCACAAGAAATGTGTAAGACCTATACAAAAACAATAACTACAACAAAACTTTAAAACATTACTGAAGTATAGAGAAGAATTAAACAAATGGAAACATATACTATATTCTTTGATAGGTAGGCCAAACATTATAAAAGCATGGATATAATATTTAAATAAAAGCACCAAAATGTTTTTTTAAAAAGCTAAACAAAATGATACTAAAGTTTATAGGCAAAATGTATACATAAAGGAATGAAAAACTTGAGATGAGTAACAGGTTGGAGAGTCTAGTGTCACTAAATATTAAAATATAATTTACAGTTTCAAACATTAAAATAGGGTGATACTGGCACATGAATAAACAGGCAACCAGTGGAACAGAATAAAAATTCCAGAAATAGATCCAAATACATAAAATAATTTAGTATATAATAAAGGTGTAATTTCTAATCAAACTCAAAGATGGGCTATTTAACAAATGGCATCAGGCTAGGTGGATTGCCACTTGGAAAAAATTAGTTAAAGCTGTATCTCACAGTATATATATGTATAAACTCTATAGAAAATAAAACTTAGAATGTTAGATAAAAATTAGAGAATCCTTTTATAACCCTAGAATGATTAAAAATAAATGACTGATAAATTTTACATAAAATAAAAAAGTAAGCATGGTAAAAAGAAAAAAATACAATAAGCAAAATCAAAAGATAAGAGATGATTTGGAAGAAAAGTTTTCAAGTCACATCACAGGTAATTGACTAATCTATCTAATATATAACTCAATCTTGGAGATAAAGATCAATAATCTAATGGTAAAATGGGGAAAGAATATGAATAGGTAGTTCAGAAGTGTATGGCTCTTAAATGCAATCTCCAATTAAGGGAAAGGCAAATTTCCTTACAAATATTGAGCTATCTATCAAAAGGGCTTAACAGGCACTTACACTGATGAGTGTGTAAATTGGTTAAAACCATGGTGGATAAAATTGTAGTATCTGTTAAACTAACAAATGATATACCTTCTGATCCATCAATTCCATTTCTGGAAATTTCTCCTACAGCTATACTTACACACAAGTAAAACTAATGTACAAAGTCATTTAATGAAGCATTATCTGTAATAGCAAAGACTGGAAGCAACCCAAATACCTATCACAGGAGGACTGGTAAATTAATGCTGGTATATCCATAACAATTGATTAGCATGAAGCTATCTCTTAAAAGTGAAGAGGCTTTCTATGTAATGATATGAAAGGATCACGATATTACTCTCCTAAGGCTGCTGTAACAAATTACCACAAACTGGGTAGCTTTAAAACAACAGAAATTAGAATATTCTTTTACAGTTCTGGAGACTAGAAGTCTGAAATCAAGGTGTTGGCCGGGTCATATTTCCTTGAAAGGCCCTAGGAAAGATGCTTCTCTCTGAGCTTCGCATGGTTGCTGGCAATTCTTGGTGTTCCTTGGCTTGTAGACATCACTCCAGTCTGCCTCCATCTTCACAAGGCATTCTCCTCTGCACTAGGGCTTGATTAAATAACTGGGTACTACAGCTAGTTAAGTTGACATATAGACTAACCATCATAATAAGAAATATAATGAATAAAAAATAAATCAACATACATAATAGTATATAAAATATGCCATATTTACAAGATGGAAATAATGACAATTCATACTGTATTTGCACAAATTTTGGAAATGTCACTGGTTCTCAAGAAACCAATGAAAATAGTTTTTTTTAATATTTATGTACATTCATAACTAGTTAGATTAAGGACAGGGAAAGGAACAAGAATGTATTGTATACCTTTCCATATCATTTTTGATTTCTGAATCATGGAGTGTATTACCTAGCCAAAATGTTTGATTTTTAAAAAAGAACATAAAATAGTAAGATACGTGGTGCTGATACAGAAAAAGAAGGATCATTAGAACAAGATACAAAGTCCAGAAGTGTACACGTACATACATGGACACACACACACACACACACACCAAAAATGGCATTTTGGATGAGCTGGTTGAACTTTAGGTTAATTTTATGTTCTTTTGCTTATCTGTATTGTCTATTTCCTGTATCAGCTTGTTTCTTTTGCATGAATAGAAAAACAATTTAAAATGTCTTTAATACCACTTGGCAAGTTTGGCAGAGGCAAACAATTAAGGATCAAAGCCTTTTTAGAATAAAAAAATTCTCATTTTCCTAAAAATGTTTAAAAATTGATTGCCTCCCCTATTAAAGGAAACATTTTTTATCTTGAAGGATTTGCAGAGAGAGGAGAATGAAGAAGGGCCAGCAACTTAATTAAGTTTGTACAATTCAGATATTTATGAAACTCAAAATTAACAGGGAGAAATGAGCTTTAGGAAAACCATTTCCAAAGTGGAAGCTGTTTGACATGATCATTTCTTTGTTATTGTTGTTTGTATTCATGCTTTTTACACACTGAGTAATCTTGTGCACACACATTGCTACAAATTCCACATATGTATGATTAAGACAAAGATCAATATCTTTGGTGTAGATCTTTCTGTTTGCTAGGCGTGTCCATATGGATATCCCACAACAAATTCATCATGTTTAAAACGGAGCTACTCATGAACTCCTACCTTCTAAATCTGTTTTTCTTATAGTTTCCATTTCAGTCAGTGTCCCTGTCATCTCCTCAGTTACTGGGGGCTTCTTCTCTCTTGCTCTCTCCCACATTCAGTTGATTACCAAGTGGTGTCAATTCTCTCTCATAAATAACTCTATCATTCATCTATATAGTATATGCCCACTGACTTTTCCATTATTTCTTATCTGCAATTCCTAAACTGTTCAATCCATCTTCTACATTAGTATAGAAGTGCCTGTTTCAAAATGAAAATCTTATGTCATACTGCCATCTAAAAATCCTCTTATTATTTCTAGTAAATTGCATTATATAATAGGAGCTCCGTAAATGCTTAATAATGAATGAATTAATGTACAACTGCAAGATGGGCAGGAGTAGAATCGGGCATAGTTATTTTCATACTTATGAGCCATAAAACAATTGCTAGAAAAAATGTCACCCAGATAAAGCCATTTGCTAGTCCTTGACCTCTGAAACAACTATCCATATCACATCAAACTACCGTAGGTGAAGGTCTCTTTTTCTTCATATGCTTCTTGATTTTATTTTACTAAATCAACCAAGGGCAATGGTTGCAATTTATATAAGATTTTGAAATCAATTATACCAATAAATAATAATCATGATAATCATTATAAAATAGCATTTTTGCAGAGCTATAGATACAGTTGAGATGTATTTGCCAATGGTGATATAAAATTCAGAACTTTTTCAGCTTCAAATTCATATACATTGAGCAACGCAAAGAAATACTCTCCCTAAAATAAAAATGACTAATTCTCCATCTCCTAATTGTTATTCAAAACACATTCTTTATAAGTATACCTAAACACATTTTTGCAATACTAAAAGCATCTGGAGATATATAGCACTTACCTTGCTATTAATTTAAATGCAATCCTCAGCTGTATTTTTATGAATTAATAAAAATGTTATTTGGGCAATCTGGGTTTTGCAGTTAATCAAGAGAATTGTATCTTTACGAGAATATCCTAGCAACCTCTCAGCAGGTAAGAAAAAAACCCAGCTGACCATGTACACTGATTTAATTAATGCTGCTGGACTCCATCAAACTTTGCAGTTAATCAAAAAGACACTTAAAAACAGAAACAGAAATTATGCTACAGCTGAAAATGAAAAATACTGGTGAAGGGTACTAAGAGAAAAATTTCATAACTAAATGAGAACTCCTTACTCTGTAGAATGTTTATCAATAAGCACAGTAACAAGAAAATTGATGAAGTTACGACTCCAGTGGGGGTGTCAAAACCAATATATTTATTACTCTAACTTTATAACTAGTATTACTCTAATACTTTATATAAAGTATTACTCTAATACTTTATATAAAGTATTACTCTAATACTTTATATAAAGTATTACTCCATTACTTTATAACTCTGGGATTGCTAGTCCCAGAGCCAAAATTACATTGGGATAATCAGTTTTAGGGATACATTCAAAACTTGCATTGCCACTACATTTTCACTGGCCTGTCAGACTGTCCATTTTCTAGTGGAGATGCATTTTATGGCACCTGAACCTTGGAGAAATATGCTTCTCTCTTCTACATTTGGAAATAGACCTATTTTCATCCCCACCCCTCACCCACTCCGTCATCAGTATTAATATTTTATATGGCCTGATACTTGGCACCATATAAACAGATTACACAGAAACAGGTCTGTTCTATACGAAGTGGGTTTTGTTTTTCTAAGACAAAAAAAATTAAAAAGCCAAAGAAAGACATATGAAGACTTTATATAGCAAACAAAATTCAAATGTGATCGACTGTGTTAGTAAATAAACACTTCTTCTAGATGTATGTAGAAATTCTTGTTTATATACCTTTGTCTTCACATACACTGAGGAGTGGCTACGTGAGAAGCGGGAATACTTAATTCTGTCTCATTTTTCTTTTTTTTAAATATTCCCTGTATATTGGCTAATTTAGATAATTTTACTTTTTTTCCTTTTTTATTATACTTTAAGTTCTAGGGTACATGTGCACAACGTGCAGGTTTGTTACTTATGTATACATGTGCCACGTTGGTGTGCTGCACCCATTAACTCGTCATTTATACTAGGTATATCTCCAAATGCTATCCCTCTCCCCTCCCCCCACCCCACAATAGGCCCTGGTGTGTGATGTTCCCCTTCCTGTGTCCAAGTGTTCTCATTGTTCAACTCCCACCTGTGAGTGAGAACATGTGGTGTTTGGTTTTTTGTCCTTGCGATAGTTTGCTGAGAATGATGGTTTCCAGCTTCATCCATGTCCCTACAAAGGACATGAACTCATCCTTTTTTATGGCTGCATAGTATTCCATGGTGTATATGTGCCACATTTTCTTAATCCAGTCTATCACTGATGGACTAATTTTAGTATTTTTTAAAGCTCAAGCATAGAAACCACTTGACTGGACCATCAAGTACATACACACACACTCCCACATACTTTTCTCAAACTTTCAAAAACCTGAACATTTAAGAAACTTGTTGCATTAAAAAATGAATGTTCACAAAGAATATCAAATTTAAATCACATTGATTTGTTCTTCTTGAGGGAATGCTATAAGAATGATGTTTTGAAGTTTTTCTGAAAGTTTGGGAATCATAGGTTATAATGGAGGAATGCTATATGAACTACTCAATCTTTTTGGTGTTCATTGTTCCAATAGAATTCCTCTTTCGTGACTAGTTCAAATTTTCTGACATGTTAACCATGCAGAACCGACAGTTACAGATCACAACTGGTTCAGTCACAAAATAAAAAAGACAGTGGCTTCTTTCTAGTCCAGACAGTGTGCAGTGTGAGGAGGCAAAGATGAGTCCATATACTGCACCTGCTCATTGTGATCACAAGCCCTAAGTGCTAGATTTAAATATAGAAAAACCTTCCAGGGTAGCCATTTCTGTACATAAAGGAACACCTACTCACCCCAACGAGTAGTACTTTAGAATAGTGGTTCTCAAATGAGCTGCAACAGGACCACCTAGAGGGCTTGTTCAAATACTGATTGCTGGCCCCTACCCACAGAGTTTCTTATATAGTAGGTCTGGGAATACAGCCAGAGAAATGACATTTATTTCATTTATTTTTTTCTTTTTTGAGACAGAGTTTTGCTCTCGTTGCCTAGGCTGGAGTGCAATGGCAGCGATCTCGGCCACTACAACCTCCACCTCCCGGGTTCAAGCAATTCTCCTGCCTCAGCCTCCCGAGTAGCTGGGATTATAGGCGCCCATCACCACGCCCGGCTAATTTTTTCTATTTTTAGTAGAGATGGGGTTTCACCATGTTGGCCAGGCTAGTTGCTAACTCCTGACCTCAGGTGAGCCACCTGCCTTGGCCTCCCAAAGTGCTGGGATTACAGGCGTGAGCCACCGTGCCTGGCAAGAACTGACATTTCTACCAAGTTCCCAGAGGGCATTGCTGCAGCTCTGGAGGTCATACTTTGAGGACTATTGCCTAACGTATAACGTAAATTTATTTAAATGATGCTGAATATGTTCTTCAAGAGGAAAACGTTAGTTACTGTACAGGGAAATGCCACAATTTTCTGCCTAGGATGAAAGAGTGCATGATATTCATTATAAAACTAGACTTCAGAAATATGGGCCCCATTTTTCTATATTCTAGACCCCGGTCATAATGTGTAAAGCATTAACACTAACAGATTTTCCTGGCCTATATTCTTTGGTTGTATTGATCCTATTTCTCTACTGAAAATTATTTTAGATAAAGACTATGAAGGTTTGTCCTGATTACTTGGAGCTCCTCTGTAAGTACTTAGAAGAGTAAATATTACAGGTATCACAGAGATTAGAAGCAAATATTGAGGCTAAATTTAAGACTCTGGGGGAAGTTCTTATAGAAGAACAAAACAAAGCCTTAAATAAACCTTTTTTTCTAGGTGTACTTAGTTTTCAGTAGCTGTGATTGCCTATATAAAAAACTCTTGGGTTCTTTGTATCAGGGTTAAAAAAAAAATCTGACATCTATAATGTCCTGTTACAGACTACACAAAAAGTATGCATAACCAGGATCAATATCAACTGGGACCAGAAATTTGAAATTTGGTATTCAGGTCAGTTAAAGAGAGAAGAAAGACAGTCACCATTGGCCATGGTAGTTAAGGAATCCCCGTAGTTCTACTGGCAGGGAGACCATCCTGAATTCTAATGCTCTGCTTTCAGAACACAGTCTGGGTTCCTGATTTGTATCTGTTACCCTTCATGGAAATGGCTGGTGAAGCAAAACTATGTGTGTAAAACTGCATCTGCCACAGGCTGCTTGTCCACAAAAGCAGCAAAGCATCTCTATGGAATACCTCCGTATGGATCTGTAAAGAAGAGTCCCACTTCAGTCAAAGACAGTAGATTATGAGGTAAGATAACACGTGTAGTTTTTAAGATTCCATACTGACAAGCTTCTGTTGTTTTAAAAAAAAGTTTTGGGTGTTGATACAGAAATTAATGCTAAATAGATAATGATCTCCCTCTAATGACATGCTTCATCATGTTACTTATTCTCTTCTCTCAAAAATACACGATGTCATTTAATCTTCACAATAATCTTGTAAGATAGGATCAGCTCTATTTCACTTCTGGAAGATGTTAAGAAAAGTTAATTATTTGACAAAAGTTGTAATTAGCAATTGGCAAACACTCCAACCCAACTTCTGACTCCAAAGTCAGTGTTTTTACTATTCTACTCTGGCTGCTGAGTTCTAATTTTTATTTTGTCTTAGATGAGGTAGATAGAATATAATCACTTATATATGGATATGTATCTCAAAAATGTAGCATTTAGTATGGAAAATACATATTTGGGTCTCTAAGTCTTTCTATGAATTCTAAAATGTAGATGTCATATCCATCTTACCTACTGTAGCTGATAAATCGTTCACCCTTTAATAATCAATGAACTTCACAGTGCAACCCCATCATATCTTATTAGAGAAATGCCTCGTTCCTGGGAATAAGGAGTGCTGAACAAGTAACCAACTTTTAATGTTTATTCCCTATTATTTTTATTCCATATTATTTTTTGATTAAAATTTTTAATAAAAAAAGAATATTTTTTGTATGTCAAAAATTCCTTCATCAGGGGAAACATGCCTCCTCCATTCCACAAAAATCCTGTTCATTCCATGAAGTAGGTAAGAGTAGGGATCCATCCTTTCCCTGCACAAGACCACCAACCTTAATGCTGAGCACACAGCATTCCTTGGGCCAATCAGACTTCTGCCAGACTAGACTTTCTTTTTGCAGGGGGTGGGAGAAGGGGCATGCCAGATGAAGGAATGATGTGGGTTCAAGGCTACCAACTGTAACAACTGCAATATTATCAAATGTAAAGTTTCTCTGAAAATGAGACCCAGCAGTGGACAAAGTAAGTACTATTATTCGAACCTCCAGATCCAACCACACATTATTAAGCTTTCTGGTTTTGAGACAAAAGTAATTTCCTTATTTTGCTTAAGCTTGTTTGATTTGGGTTTCTGTTACCACTTAAAGAGTCTAGGCTGGGCACAGTGGCTCATGCCTGTAATCCCAGTACTTTGGGAGGCCGAGGCAGGTGGATCACCTGAGGTCAGGAGACGGAGACCAGCCTGGCCAACATGGTGAAACCCTGTCTCTACTAAAAACACACAAAAAAATTAGCTGGGCGTGGTGGCAGGTGCCTGTAATCCTAGCTACTTGGGAGGCTGAGGCAGGACAATCGCTCGAACCCGGGAGGCAGAGGTTGCAGTGAGCCGAGACCGTGCCATCACACGCCAGCCTGGGGGACAAGAGCGAGATTTCATCTCAAAAAAAAAAAAAAGTACTAAAACAAAACTCTTTCTAAAATATTTCTTTAGATTTCTCATATTGAGGCTACTGAATGTAATCTACTACCTGTGTAATCTCATGGGTAACCTATAACATATATCACAATCTATTAGCTGTAACTGAAAATGGGAATAACAGTACTTATTTGGAAAAACTTTGTGAGGAATAAAGCACATAAAAATGCCAACTGCCATGTCTGGCATTCAGCAAAAATAATTGCTCTCCACAATTATTGTCTTTCCAAAACAACAATAGCAGCTAACGTCCGAGTGCTTCTGGTTCTAAGCAGTTTTTCTTGTATTAATTTCGAGTTAATTAGGTTAGATTACTGTGAGGTAGGCACTCTAATTAGCCCTGTTTTATAAAGAAGAAAACAAAGGTGCAGAGAGGTGTTGTCACTTATCCAAGGATACACACAGACATTAAGGGACAGCTGAGGTATGAATTACCTATCACATTATGCAACCCAAAAGTTCCGTGGGTTTGAAAGTTTCTGGATTTTGTTCTCTCTTTGCTGTGAAGCTGTTAACTCCCCTCTCCTTCTTATGTCACTGAACCCGTCTTTAGAAAATCCTTTCAAAGTTTAGTTTTTTTACTCTTCTGTGGGTTAGGAAACAAACTCATCATTCTTACTGCAAATTTATTGATTTATTATTACTTTTAAGTTCCAGGATACATGTGAAGAATGTGAAGATTTGTTACATAGGTATATGTGTGTTATGGTGGTTTGCTGCACCCACCTACTGACTTATCTTCTAAGCTCCTTCTCCTCATCCCCGACCCCTCAACAGGCCCGTGTGTGTTGTTCCCCTCCCAAATTTAATACTGAATAAAGTAAGGAGAGTTCTAAGTGCAGATAAAAAAGACATAATGTATTTAGTACAGAGGTTTTAAGATAATTTGGAGGTTTAAAAGCTTTTTCTGCTTATGTCTTGTGCAAAGTATAGCATTAATGTATTACACATTCATACCTGTATTCTATTTGTTCATTCTTTTTTCCCTACAAGAAACTCATAGTTAGCCATGGTAATAGCAGCTAATGTTTACCGAGTGCTTATAATGTGCCAGGCACCTGCCAAGCATAAACCTAAGTATTTCATTTACTCATAACCACCATAAGAAGTACTATTAAAGACCAATAACAGCTGAGCAAGCTGTGGTCCAAGGACACACAGGGAACAGTGGGAGGGCAGGGATGGAACCTCATGCAGTCTGGCTCACTGTGCTCTTCATCCACTTTGTGAAGACAGGGGCCTGTCTGGTTTACTCTCCACGCTCTCCTGCCATCTAACACAGTCTAGGGCATCCAGAAAGTACTAGTGGTTAATTTTTTAAAATTCTCCTGAATAGACTCGCTTGAACCTGGGAGGCAGAGGTTGCAGTGAGCCAAGATTGCGCCACTGCACTCCAGCCTGGGCGACGGAGTGAGACTGTCTCAAAAACAAAAAAAAAAAAAAAAAAAAAAAAACAACACCCAAAAAACAAAAGAAACAAACAAACAAAAAACTCCTAAATAAAAGGAGAGCAATTTCAAGTGATATAAAAGGAGACTTTAACATAAGAAAGTTTTGTGTAGAAGGGGAAAAACTTTTTAAGGCAGATTCGTTGCAATTTATGGTAACTTCTTTAATCCTAAAAAAATCCGTATTATCCCATAATACAAATTTCCCTTCCCCTTTTCATCAGGCAGATTTACATGCTCTATCCAACTAACAACTAGTCGGGGATACCAGAAGCCGAGTATCTCAGAAAATGAGGTGGAAGAGGATAATCAGAAAAATGGCAAGTCAGCCATGGAATAAATTTGTGTTTATTTCACAATTCAATTTAATCCTCTTTACCCTCATCTTTTTTTAAAAAAAAAAATTATGAGCAATATGTGCCATTACGATAGCCATTAAGGGTGAAAGGATTAATTAAAACTATAATTATCTGATAAGACTAGCGTACTGTCTAACCTGATTTAGAGAAAATTCATCTACTTCAACTAAAAATACTCAACATAAAAAAAGGTATAATGAAACAAAAATTAACCCTGCAGGGCCTGTTTCTATTACATATTTTCTAAGTAGCCTCAGGTATCACTTAAATAAAGAGTCATAGTGCATTTTTAATTTTTATTAGTAACAGTTCTGAGTACAAATAAATTTAATGACATTTAGAAAAAAAAACAATTTACCCTGTAAGGTTTGTTCATAAGGAAAACCCTGTTTTGTACATTTTAATCTCCAATTTTAATGCTTAATATCATAATGCCTTTAAATCTGTAACTTAACTTTAGGTTTAATTTTAATAATTCTGTCTTGTTGCATCTTGTTAAAGAGATTATCAGGTAGAAAAAAAGCAAAAAACTAATTTAAATGACGTGAATAAAAAACTTAACTAAAAAGTTTTAAAAGCCTTTAAAACAACCTGAAAATTAGAATACTTTTGGCAGAAAAATTAGCAGCTAGGAACAAAATTAACATTACATAATATTTTACCAATAACTGCATTACAAATAATATTGTTTTACATATATTAGAATGATTTGCAACATATTATAGTAAATGGTTATACATATCAGACATACAAATCTATTAAGAAAACTTTTTAATATAGTTTAGCACTTTTGAGAGATTCTGTTCCCAATAAATGAAAGGAACACAATTTAGAAGATGACAGGTGGTACATCTTTTAATTGGAGACCTAACCAGGTAAGTCTTGACAAATAGTCATGCAATGAAATTCAATAATATGCATTTATAAGAACTCAGAATAACACAGTAACTCCTTCCCCTCATCAGTATATATGACTGGCGTCAGAAATCATACTACGAGCAAATGCTAGTAAATTCTTGAAAAAAACAGCTCACTTTAGAATAAGTGCCAATCTAAATTTTTTATTCTTCCCAACACACTATTTCCACCACTCTTCATTTTAACAATGTTTTCTCCTTGGGCTGGTGGTATATTACTGCTTTTTAAAGACCAATCATACCCAGCATGATCCAAGGTCATCAACTTCTCTATAAGCTGAAGTGAATTACAAACAGCCAAAAGACCAATGCATTTAAACAGAAAACTATCCACTCTAGTCAACAAGGCAGAAGTCCTATGTCTGAAACACTTCTATTCAAAGTTGCTTTAAAACTAATCCTGTAAGTCCAATAGTATTACACTATTGTTGTCTCCTTGGTTTGAGGACAAGTTCAAATCTTAAAAGCATTAACATTGCCAAATTATATTACTCTGGACATAATTGAACTGAAGATCTTTCTATAATATATTGGGATAAAGTTTTTCTATTCTTTGCAGTTGGTATGTATTTCCACTATTCCTTGCATTTGGCATGAAATCTTACACCCAGTCACTGAGATACAAAGAGTGTAGGAGAACAAGGAGAGGAATTACACTGTAGCCAAGCTTCTGCGGGCTATGACAGAGAGCAACTAACTGTCCTTGCAAACAGAGAAATGTCTTCCGAACTCAACATAATATTCTAACAGAATTGTAGGTAAGTGATTTCAGTAAATACTGAAATTGGGAAATGAGTAGTGTTTAGCTGTGGGTACTTTCAGAGGAATGGGAAATCCCAATGTTGTGACTGCTATCACTCAAGAGTAGCTTAGGACTGCCACGTAAGATAGGGACCCCTGGCCCTATCCATAAAGGGAAGGGCTCCTAAGAAGCACTGGTTCTCCACCATCCGGAGCTACACTTCCCAACACAGACTTTCACCCTTAATTTTCATTCAACAATTAGTGGGAAGACTGTATTTAGCACAGTGAGAATATGATTAAAAATAAATACATAAATAGGAATAAAAGTAGAAAAGGAATACCACCTCCAGTGCAGTTAAACTTGCCATAGCACTGGATGAAGAGTTAAAATCTATTTCATTTTTCAAGACATATTTTTATTTTTGGTTTCATTCAAAAAAGCCTCCTTCATTCTTGGCAAACTATCTATGTGGTGTATGTATGATCTACTTCTTTTTAACTGCATTGTATTTAGCTATTAAAAATCATTCCTTAATAAGGACATTTTAGCATTAAAAAGTCTAAATGTTTATAATAAATACTGTATTAAAATATTTCAATATTTACAATTAGAAAAAATGTATACTCTAGTCAGTCATCTCAGTGCTACTTCTTCAATTTCATCTTCTACAGAATCAGCTGCTTTTACTGCTGGTTTATCGTCTGCATGTTTTAATCGGTGCCTATTTGGATTAAAACTTCTTCCTTCACTGAGGAAAAAGCCTTCATCTTCATCATGTTCTTGATCTCTGCTGCCTTTATTCCCAGGGAGAAAATTTAGAGGGTCAATGTCTCCTTTACTGGAAGCCACAGAATTTGGGTCACTGCTTTTGGAGGAAATGGTGCTGCTACCACTGGCACCAAATAACTGTTCCATCAAATTAGCTTTTTTCTCTTTTCTTGTAATTAAATCTACACCATCTTTACTAAGTTTTTCCATACTGTTTCTTTGGAAATCCAAAAAACTACTTTTTTGACTAAATGGATTTGACCTCTCTGATGTTTTTGCAAACGAAGGCACGTAGCTACCAAATGCGAACTCATTAGGGGAGGCTGGACTTCTAACATTTCCTGAATTCTGACCTTCTCCTTTTGGAGTTGAGAAACTGATGTCTTGCAAATGATGCCCATTAAATAATCTCTCTGAGGATTCAGAGAACCTGTATGTTTTGGGGCTTCTCTCTGGGGAGTGTAGTTTTGATTCAAAATCAGGTAACAATGGCAAAACAGGGTATTTTAGATTTCGAGAATCTTGGAGTTCTCTGTCAATTTCATTCAGTTTAGCAAGTAGCATTTCTCTCTTCAGTCTTTCTTCTTCCTCTCCTTGCAATTTATCCATATTCTGAATTGGATACATTCCTAGTTGGTACCTTCCAGTTTCCCACTCTGGCTTTTCTTCTCTTTCCAGTAAAGATGCCTTTTCTTTTTGCTTTTTATCAAGTTCTTCTCTTTCCCATTCTGTATGAAATCAAATTTTTTAAATGGGATTTTGTAACAGTCAATATTTTTAAATAGGAAAACTATCAACTTTCATAAAACCACCATATTTAATTTGGGTATTATAAATCAAGTGAGAAAAGACATCATAAATTTCATTTCTATACTTGATATTCTGGGATTAGAGAATAATATATTTAATACGTATTGCATTTAAGATTCTCATTTATAAAAAAATTTGTTCTTTGAGATACTGGTGGGGAAGAAAGGTTCTTTGCCTATTTTTTATAACTAATATAATGCTGTATGGTGGGGATGGATGGATGGATAGATGGAGCAAAGACTCTACACTTAAAAATAAATGAAACCTTTCAATGTCATATCCTGAGATAGACTTATGTGGTATTCTGACAGAAGATGCATTAACTTGAATCTAATTAAGAGAAAACTTCAGACAAACCCAAAATGAAGAACATTCTATTTTTAAAAATGGGTCTATATTCATCAAAAATGTTAATCTCTCACACACATTCTCTTTTTCCTTCCCTCTCTCTCTCTCTATATATATATGTAACAAAAATCTCTAGATTAAAGAAGACTGAAGAGATATGAAAACTAAATGCAATTCATGATCTTGTACCAGAGGGAAGAAAATTCTATCAAGAACAATATTGTATCAACTGACAAAATCATAATATGAATGACAGATCAGATAAATGTGTTGTGTCAAAGTTAAATTTCCTGAAGTTGAAAACTACATTAGAATACAGTCTAAGAGAATGTCCTAGTTTGGGGAAATATACATACAACTATTTAAAGGTATGGGCATGACACAACTCACTCACAAATAGTTCTTTAGCTATTCTTGCCACTTTAACTTTGAAACTACTTCCAAATGAAAAAATTAAAAATTTTAAAATATGTAAGAACACCACAAGTATAGTAACTTTAGTAAGTGGCATCTGAATTCTACTTCATCAGAATTTTCTGAATGCAACTTGTCCTTATTCCCTAACCCTAAATAGCAAATGACTTAGAGTGTTCAATTTTTTTCTTTCCTTAATAACATTATTCAAATGTGTATGGCTCCTGATAAGCCATCCCCTACCACTGTATCCACCTTTCTTTGTTCTACCTAAGCAATTCACAGTTAAGCTGGAAGATATTAGAAGACGCTCACTCTTTCTTTCTCAAGGGATGCTGACTTGTCACATGCTTAAACAAACTCTTTTTCTTACCATCCTCCAGCTTTTCAACCTCCTGTTTTACGACATGGAGTTCTTCATCTGTAACAAATTTTTCTTCTCTTTCCATAATTGGGTTTAGAATCCCTGCTTCTCCATGCCTGTCTTGCTTTTGAGATTGCAAGTCCTATTATACGTTAAAAAAAATGCAAGTTCACAAATTATAGAAAAGGGGGGGAACTAAGCAACACAGATTTATCCATTAAACATGATTACCAACTAAGTTAAAAATTAATACAAATTTTCAATTAATGAATCAGTAAATCACAAGTTATCACTCCTTGAAAAATTCTTCAAAACCGCACAGGATTATTTCCGTTAAAATTGTAAAGAAGCATTCATAAGATGTACTAGAACCAGTATAACTGAAGTAAAGCCAAAACGGTACATAAAACCCTGAAGAGACAAGTTTTAGAAGTATCCTTGCTTTGTGCATTTTCACCAAAAATCTGATTAATTCAGTTAAGCAGAAATGACTATTCGCCAACTATGTGCATCAAGTGAGATGCTGTTGAACTATAACATGAGCAGTGACAATATTATGTCCAACCCCCAATTAATATATTTTATAATATTCAAATCAAATAAAAATGTTACAAACTTAAAATTCCTTGTTTCCTATGGTAACGTTCAAATATATGGGTGTGTGATTTTTCTTAATAAAAGTGAAATATCTATTATTAGTAAAGACTTGTCTAGTATCCATTTTCATCTTCTCCCTTTTAGTAATGGAATCCTTTGAGTTTTAGCAGGACAGAGAGCTGCTTAGCTGGAGACTACATTTGCTACCCTCCCTTGCAGCTAGAAAGAACTAATGGAAGGTGAGTGGAAGTACATGTGCAACTTCAGATCACATTTATAAAACCAAATGCTGCTTCCCCTCCATTTCCTTGTTGCCCTTTCCCACAGGGGTGGAAAGCCAGTTCCAACCATACACAAGAGGGCTACACTCTTTAAAATGGAATATCAACAAGACAGGGGGTGACTACCATGAAACAAAGCTGTCTACCAACTGTGAACTACCAACTGACTTCAGTCTATTACAAGAGAGAGAAATTTTTATCTCACTTGAGCCACTCTATTAAGTCTTTTTCCAATAGCAACTTAGCTTGTACTCTAAGCTACCATTTGGTGAGGCCCTTTACAGTGGCAGGCTCAGTCTAAAGAGCTTTATAAATGTCATGATTATTTCCAATTTCATCTGACTAAAAAAGAAAAAGAAAAAAAAATTTCATGATTACTCATTGTCACAACCCTGAAAAGTAATCCACCCTCATTTTATACATGAGAAAGCTGAGGCTCCAAGAAGTCACACAACTAAAATGTTAGAATTTAACTAAAATGAGAGCTAACTCCAAGGCTATATACTCTTATACTCTTTTCACTATACCAGGTTTCTATTCCTTCTGTTGAATGTATACTGTAAAAAGACCTATATTTTAGTCCTTTTAAAGTTAACAATTACTTTGTTATTCCTCACTTTGTGATTTCAAAAAGACAAATCAACATGATCTAGTCTCAATGACAGCACAAATACAGAAACACAACTTAGCGGATACAACTAACTTGTCTGAATTATCAAACAAAAATAAATAAACAAATAAAAAACTAGAATATACACAGAAATCAAATCAGTTCATCCTTTCTGTTTTATACCTCAAGAAGAGACCTCAGGGTCACTGGGAAACTTATAAGGTATAAAAATATACCATTGTATGAAATATGCTAGGTTGCCGATACGTTGTTTTCTTTGGGGTTTAAGTTGTAAACACTAAAGATAAAACTCTCTTAGAGAAAGAGACTTTCCAGTGATTCAGAATGAAGGTCCTTTTAAATGAAAGTCCAACAGAGACCCCTTGAATTCCACTCTAATTTGAACAGGATAAGGTCAGATTCCACTGCAATTACCTTGTTCATTATTCAGTCAGTTAACATGTAAAATTCTCCTATATAGAGGACCAAAAAAAAAAAATTAAACCTAGTCAAATTCTAACAAATCATTTGAAAACTACTATTACTTGCTACTAAAGATAAAAGTACTGAGGGTTTTCCAAGACTATGTCGGTACATAAGAGAAACTTAGAAGGCAAATTCTTCTCTTCTGCCCCCAACCCAGGAAGCACAATCCATCATTCTGAAGCACCTGAAATAGGTGATGTAAACTAAAACACTCAAGCCAAAGGAATTTTAAATTTTATTATTATTATACTTTAAGTTTTAGGGTACATGTGCACAACGTGCAGGTTTGTTACATATGTATACATGTGCCATGCTGGTGTGCTGCACCCATTAACTCGTCATTTAGCATTAGGTATATCTCCTAAAAGCCAAAGGAATTTTACAAAATACACGATACCTCTTTCCCTTCAAAAAGGCTAGTCGCATATTCATATAGATATAGTACTAGCTTCATTACTGAAATTTTAAAATGTCTGATATTGTGTTTTTAGGAATAACTTCAGACCGAGTTTGGTACATAACAATACTGCTAAACTCACCAAAGTAAGATGTCCTGGTTCTTCCCATTTGTTTTCGTAACACATAATTGTTTCTGGAGTTAAAGGATATTCTTCTGGCTTGAAGTCTTCCATGGTTTGTACTCCTTTTGTACACAGGTCTGCAAAATCACTCTGGCATGCAGCTACAGTGAAAATTATTTTTAAAAAATTATTACAATGAATAATGCTAAAATATATGGAATTCAGCTGGCATGTATATATATATATGCATGTGTGTTTGCATATACATGTACATTTATATGCACCACTTCATTTAAATGGAGAATATATATATTCACCTATATATATTCACCATATAAATATAATGCATGTTTTGCTCAGCTTGGTTAATACTCACTATTACTATTTTTGTTTCTAGGATTTACTGGCAATTATATGATTTGGGGAGAATTCTGACTATAAATGCTTTAAATTTCACAACATTTATACTTTAAAATCTTGCAATTCACATAAAAGGGAAATTATACTTTTGTTAAAAAAGAAAGTAAAACTACAAATAACAATACAAAATATTTATAGGTGAAATCAACTGACAGCTAAGATTTACTTTATAATACTCTGGAGAAAAGTAAAAAAACAGATGAAATAAAACTGGTAAAAAGTATAACTGTTAAAGCTACATGATATGTAAATGAAAGTGCATCATATTACTCTCTCTACTTCGGGGTATATTTGCATATTTTCAAAAACATTAAAAAATTATAATAAGGAAATTTCAAAAAGTTATGTAAAACAATTTTAACAGCGTCACTTCAGGGGAAAAAAATGGAGAAAACAGAAAAGGATTTCTGAAAATTATTAGGAAATTTAAATTGCAACAAATACATTTATTTTAAATATATTTCAATGAGGTTCTTTTCCTTCCCTTCCATTTCAGAATTATTGTACTATCACTAAATAATAGCAATAATATCAGTTTTTGAACAATCATATTTACCATACCATTTTTTCTTAATGCAAGTTCTTTCTCTTTATTTGGAGAGGACTTTGGCAGACGATTAGAATATATATTTTTTATATCCAGTTCTCTCTCCTTTTCCTGAAAACAAACGCAATACAATTAAGGAAGTAGAGCCTCTGCTTAAAACAAAACAAAACCCCTCACTTTGTCATCTGGTATTTTCTTACCATATTGAAAGTTACCTGGTTCAGCTTCCTTTTGTAACTACCAAACTATAGAAAGAAATGTCTCTAGCATACTGAGGTTAGGATAGAGCAATAATTTTCCCTAAAAAGTCTAATATGTCCTGGAAATTAAAAAAATTAAGGCAAATTTCATTTTCTACTCATTCTTACCTGATAGAGCTAGTACTGTCTTAACTGAGACACAGAGACAAATAATTTAGTTAGTATCTCTCAAATGTAAGTTCTGAAATATTGATGAGTTAAAAATTAGACCACTCTTTCATACACAGGCATACTTGACCATTTTGGGTCTGTGGCTTTTTCTGAGAATTTGATTAACAAAAAGAAAACATAAGATAATATATAATTTTGCACTATGTTACACAAAATTTTGTGCAAAATTTCATTCTATCTAGAACTCATTGATGACTTCTATGTAGAATGAAGAATACCTGTTTTAACAAAATTAAATAATTTGAATACTTTCTCTAAACACTGTGAAAATGAAGGGCATCATTTGAAACAACTTCAAAAATAATAAATCATTGGGTGATCTGAGGAAAAACACTGAATTATTCAACCATGCAACACAGTGAAGCTCTAGTTCCCATAATTTTCTTCTATGATTTTACAATTTACTTCAGTTACATCATTTCTATTGGTGTATTCAGTGTTTCACCTTTTTTGTTTTTGTTTTTAATTTCACTTTGTTATAGTAATTATACCAACAAACCTTTTCTAAGTGCTAAAGATAATATCAGAATTTTGTAAATTATATTGTACCAACTTACAAATATGAATAGTAACATTTAGTGTTTTAAAATATTTAATTTTCGTCTAATACACATTATGGAAAACAATGCAATTTAAAATACTTACCTTTAATTTGTGATATAGTCGCTGTACCTCCTTTTGAAGAACTTTATTTTCATCATGAGCCTCATATGCCCTTTTCCTTTCAGCAAGCAACTGTCGTTGGAAACTGTTAGTACTCAGTTCAAGGTTTTTCGATAGCTCCTATATGTATAAATACATAAAAAGCAGTCCTTTAAAAAAATTCCAACAATGAAACATAACACATGGCAGTGTCAAAATGATGTTTTTAGTGGTATTGTCCAAGACCTACAAATCAGACTGGGCATAGTATTCATGTACATAAGCTGGGAAACAGATTTACCAACAATTTAGTAAGGTATCAAGCCTGTTATTCCTATCTTTGCTTTTCACAGTAATTTGTAAATAAATTCTTAAGGCTGGGATGGTGGCTCATGCCTATAATCCTGTGCTTTGAGAGGCCTAGGCAGGAGGAGCTCTTGAGACCAGCCTAGACAACAAAGCAAGACCCCATCTCTATAAAATAAGAGTTTAAAAACTAGCTGGGCATGGTGGTGCATGCCTGAGTAGTCCCGGCTACTCAGGAGGGTGAGGCGGGAAGATCACTAGAGCCTGGAAGTTTGCGCCAGTGAAATGAAGCCTTGGTAGACAAAACAAGACTATCTTAAAAAAAAAAAATCTTAAGCACACACACATTGCTTGGGCAAATAAGATACCAAGACAGATAAAATTACACAGCACTACCAAAGCTGCGGAGAGTACCTAGAGTAAAACATCTCTAGATAAAAACAATAGCCATTTCCATCCATGGTCTTCAAACATGGCCCATCAGGTTTATAAAATAATTCATGTTGAAATATTTTCTTTTAAAATAACTTGTCAAGACATCATTTCTAACTTGCGGGCTTTTTTTAAAGCATCTTATAGATAGATAGATAGATAGATAACAAATATAATAAATGTTTATTATAAGTATAAATAAAATAACAAAAAAATAGAAAATAAAAAGCAGTTACAATCTCATTACATTGTGATAATCACTGCCAACATTTTGATGTATATAATTTGAGACTTTGATATATCTTTCTCAGTAAATAAAACCATAAATACCTAAGTCAATATACTGTAATAACACAATCTTTTTCAATGGAATAGTATCGTACTTTACAGATTATCAAAATTTAACTAAATTCTGCTGTTCATTATTAGGGTGCTCCAATTTTTCCTAGAGTAAACATCCTAATACATATAACTTTAATCATGTATTATTTCCTCAGGGTAAATGTTAAGAAATAAAGTGTCTTAGACTTTATCTAAATCAAGAACTCCTGACCTTTGAAAGGTCCCATTAAGCAAATGAAAAGATAAACCACAGACTAGGGAAAATATGTGCAAATCCCCTATCTGCTAAAGCAGGGGTCCCCAACCCCTGGGCTGCAGACTGCTATTGGTCTGTGACCTGGTAGGAACCGGGCTTGCACAGCAGGAGGTGAGTGGCAGCGAGCAAGCGCGAGCATTACCACTTGAGCTCTGCATCCTGTCAGATCAGCAACAGCATTAGATTATCATAGGAGTACAAACCCTATTGTGAACTGTGCCTGCGAGGGTTCTAAGTTGTGCTCTTCTTATGAGAATCTAATGCCTGATCATCTGAGGTGGAACAGTTTCAGCTTGAAACCATCCCCCTCAACCCTGTCCATGGAAAAACTGTCTTCCACGAAATCAGTGCCTGGTGCCAAAAAGGTTGGGGACCGCTGTACTAAAGGACTTGTATGAAGAAATGTATAGAGTTATCCCTCTGTGTCTGTAGGGGATTGGTTCCAGGACTCCTGTGGATACCAAAATCCAGGCATACTCAAGTCCTGCAGTCAGTCCTGTGGAACCTGAGTATATAAAAAGTCGGGCCAGGCGCGGTGGCTCATGTCTGTAATCCCAGCACTCTGGGAGGCCGAGGCAGTGGGATCACAAGGCCAGGAGATTAAGACCATCCTGGCTAACACAGTGAAATCCCGTCTCTACTAAAAATACAAAAAATTAGCCAGGTGTGGTGGCACGCGCCTGTAGTCCCAGCTACTCGGGAGACTGAGGCAGAAGAATCACTTAAACCTGGGAGGCAGAAGTTGCAGTGAGCCGAGATCATGCCACTGCACTCCAGCCTGGGTGACAGAGCAAGACTCCATCTCAAAAAAAAAAAAAAAAAAAGTCGGTCCTCCGCATCCAAAGGTTTCACACACTGCAAATACTTTTATTTCTGCATTTGGTTGTGGAATGTGGAACCTGTGGATATGGTGGGCCTACCGTGTTTATTGAAAAAAAAAATCTTTGCATAAGTAGACCCACTCAGTTCAAACCCATGCTGTTCAGTGGTCAACTATATATTACCTCCAAACATCTGTATCTGTCCCACAAAATTCAGTAACATGAAACCAAAAAGCTCAGCAAAAAAATGGAGGAAATATGTAAACAGATAATTCACCAAAAAGATATCCAGAGACAAATGGGCATATAGAACAATGCTTCAATATCGTAAGTCATAAAGGAAACACAAATTAAAGCCACAATAAAACAATGCTATTTATCTATCAGAATGTCTTAAACTGGAAAAACTAAGCATACAAAATGGCAAGGATGAGTAGCAACCAGAACTCTCATACACTTTTGTTTTGCGGATGTATAATGGTACAACCATTTTGGAAAACAGTTGGGCAGTAAAACATACATCTACTATATAACACATTCATTCCACACTTAGGTCTTTACACAGGAGAAAGAAAAGCCAGTGTCTATACAAAGACTTCTGCATGAATGTTCACAGCAGCTTTATTTGCAATAGCCAAAACTGGAAACAATCCAAATGTCCATCAATGGGATGGATTAATGGATAAACAAAATGTCATATATATGTATACAATAAGGGTAATTACCACTTAGCAATAAAAAAGAATGAACAATTGATACTTGCAACATGTTTGAAACTCAAAATAGTTTTGCTAAAGAAACCAGGAATAAAATAATACATACTATATGACTCCACGTATATAAAATTCTTAAAATGCAAAGTAATTTACAGAAACAAACATTAGATTAGCTGAGGAGTAGTGGGCAGGGATTGATAAAAGGGGGAGGAGTACAAAAAGGCATTAAAACTTTTTATAGATAATAAAAAACAGTAAAAACAAATGTGTAAGTTTTAAAAAATGAAGCTTCTGGGTTGACAGACATTAGTACAATTTCAAGGTTTTGAAAAACATTACCAATATGCCCTTAGAAAAGGCTGTAACAATTTACATTCTCTTTGAAAGTCTAGTAGCCTTTATTTCACTAGATACTTACAATAACAGGAAATTGTTAATTCTTTAATCCATCAGATTGGCCTAAAGAAGGATACAATTATTTTAATTTGTTTTTCTTTGATTACTACTAAAGTTAATTGTCATGTTTATTGCCCATCCATATTCTTCATGAAATGTTTTTGTAATGTAATAAGAATCTAAAAGATAACGACAAAATGAGGAAAAAGCAAACTGAAAAACAAAACAAGCAAAAAAGTTAAGAATTTTCCAGAATTGAAGATATAATGAGAGATGAAGTTGGAAAGAGCATCATGATAAATACCGGATCAGAAAAGAATCATCAACGGATGCTAAATTTTCATGAGGAACAAGATATTTACATATTCTTAAGGCAGCTCCACATAGACTGCTTATTGATTTCACTATAAGAGGAAGAACAGTTAATGTATAAATGTTAGACAAGTTGAGCAACACTTTGGCTAGGAGATCAAAATTAACATTACTAATGAAGGTCAGGCGACATCATGTGGCTCCAGATGTGATACCTTAAGAAGGAAAATAATATCACCTATTCAGTATTCTCACCAAAAATACAAAAACCTCATCTATACACAATGAAACATAAGAGAAATACGAAGTTAAGGATATTCTATTAAATGAAAAGGGGTATGGAGCTGTATGCTTCAAAAAATGTGAATGTCATAAATAAAAGAACAACAGTATGTGGAAATGGTCCAGATAAAAGGAGGCTAGAAAGGTGGACAATTCAGTATAATACTTGACCCTAGACTGGGTCCCACTGGAGAACAGAAAGTACTATAAAAGATACAATGATGGCCAGGTGCGGTGGCTCATGCCTGTAATCCCACTTTGGGAGGCCGACGCGGGCAGATCATGAGGTCAGGAGTTTGAAACCAGCCCGACCAACATGGTAAAACCTCATCTCTACTAAAAATACAAAAATTAGCCAGGCGTTGTGGTGCGCACCTGTAATTCCAGCTACTCAGGAGGCTGAGTCAGGAGAATCGCTTGAACCCGGGAGGTGGAGGTTGCAGTGAGCCACTCCAGAGTGGGCGACAGAGTGAGACTCCATCTCAAAAAAAAAAAAAAAAAGAAAGATATGATTAAGTCAACTGACAAAAACTGTACTACAGACAGTAGATTAGAGGAAATCATTATATAAGTGTAAATCATAGTATAACCATAATTTTACTATGGTTCTATAAAGGGCATAATCCCTATTCTGAAAAAATACACACTGATGCATTTAGGGGTAAAGAGCATGATGTATGCAAGTTACCCTCAAATAGCTAAAAAAAAAAAAAGTATGTGTATATATGCATATGACAGAGAGACCACATGAGAGAGCATGCATGCATATTATAAGACAAATGGGATAAAATGTTAGCAACAGACGAATCTGGGTAAACTGTATAGGAGTGTTCTTTGTACTGTTTTCAGATTTGCAATTCTCTGTAAGCTTGAAATTATTTCCATATAAAATATTAATTTAAAAAATCCTATCCCCCCCTAGATATTTTGGAGCAAAACAGGAAACCATTAAACTCAATGAGAACATGTTAAAAAAAATACCAGGGCTAAAAAATACTTAAGTTCCAAATGATAATAACTGTCAACCTGGAATCCAGCAAGACCCAGTAAAATTATCATTGAAGAGTGAAGATAAAATACATTCAGACAACTACTAAAAAGTGTTGCCACTCAGAAGCCCTCACTTAAACATATATTTCAGTAAGAAAGGAAGTGAACCCTGAAGGAACAATAATGAACAATGGTGACATGCAAGAAATAATGGTAAACTAAAAAATACTATTAAAATATTAAGAAGAATTTTTTTTAAAAATTAAAAACACTGTTAAAAATTAAAAGATTAAGTAGAAAAAGAAACCAAAAAAGCAAAAACAAACTCCCAAATGAGGAATAAATCCAGTTTTCAGTGGTGAAATCTAACAAATTTTAAGAAACAGATTATCTGTAAAAGAGAACAGAAAGGAAAAACTCTATGTCATTTTTGATGAGATTTTTTTATAATCTTGATGTCAATAGTGGAAAAATAAAATTGTACACCATTCCAAAATATGAATATTGTTGCAAAAGTCTCAAACAAATATTAGCAAAAGGAATTTAGCAATGTGTAAAAATTGCATCACAACTAAACAGCACCTATCCCAAGAAGCAAAGAACGAGAGTAGTTTCACATTCAAAACAATCCATGATTTAAAACAAAAACCCTAGCAAGCCAGTAGTAGAAGAAAATTTCCTTACACATAAATACACACACAAATTCACAGAAAAAGATCCAGAAGGATACATACTAAGACACTAAAAGTGGTGACATCTGAGTGGTAAGAATGAGAATGTTTTCATTTTATCTTTTAATTTTTCTCTAATTAAAAATATATATACATGTACTACTTATTTAAAAAAAGCTTCTAAAATATGTTTAAGTAAAAATTAAAATGCTTAGAAAAAATATATCCTACAACTTCAAAAGAGTAGTTACTTCTGAGCAAGGAGAGTAGAAAAAGGATGTTTGGAGAAAAGATACAAGGAAACTTCAGTTTAAGATCTTAATGTCAGCTTATTTTAGCAAAATAAGATCTAAAGCAAAAATAGAAAAATATCAAGTAGGTACATGAATGTTTTAAATATTCTTTTTCTGTATATTCAAAATATTTCATAAAAAATATTAGAAGTACTTTAAGAAATTAAAGAAACAATCAATAAGGAAGAAAATGCAAATAGTAGTTATCTTCGGCTGGCAGGACTATGGATATTTTTGCCCCACTTTTTTTTTTCCTTTTTTTTAAATTTTATTTTATTATTATTATACTTTAAGTTTTAGGGTACATGTGCACAATGTGCAGGTTAGTTACATATGTATACATGTGCCATGCTGGTGTGCTGCACCCATTAACTCGTCATTTAGCATTAGGTGTATCTCCTAATGCTATCCCTCCCCCACTCCCCCCACCCCACAACAGTCCCCAGAGTGTGATGTTCCCCTTCCTGTGTCCATGTGTTCTCATTGTTCAATTCCCACCTATGAGTGAGAATATGCGGTGTTTGGTTTTTTGTTCTTGCGATAGTTTACTGAGAATGATGATTTCCAATTTCATCCATGTCCCTACAAAGGACATGAACTCATCATTTTTTATGGCTGCATAGTATTCCATGGTGTATATGTGCCACATTTTCTTAATCCAGTCTACCATTGTTGGACATTTGGGTTGGTTCCAAGTCTTTGCTATTGTGAATAGTGCCGCAGTAAACATATGTGTGCATGTGTCTTTATAGCAGCATGATTTACAGTCCTTTGGGTAATTTTTTTCCCCACTTTTACTGTAAATTTCAAAACATCTTTAAACAAACACGTTAATAATACAATAAAATTTAAAATACTTAACATTTTTTCCAAAGGACATATCACAGAATTCTGTCTTGTTAATGGAAAGAAATAAAGGATTAACATAATTTAAAATTTTTGCAAGCAAACACAAAGGATAAGTTATTTTACCTTCATTTATTTTTTATTAATTAGTAAAGGATTATAGATTTAAATAACAATATTGCATTTGTTAAAATAAGTCTATCAATGTCAGCTGTTTTAACATCTGTTCAGTGTTGTTATAGCTCAATTCTAAAGATTCAGATCCTTGTGTAAGCAAGGACCCTGCAGGTCTCCAGTCCACCTTACAGTAATACTTTTTTACAGTATTCCTAGAAGGTAGACATTGAATCTGCACAAATACTTCAGGAAGCAGAAAGCTTGATAATGCAAAGCATACTGGTTTCATTATTGGACAATTCCAGTTATTAGGAGGCTCTTTTGAATGAGAGGAAACCAGTTTTCTAGTAATATTCATTAGGTTTGTATTGCCCTCAGGAAATAAATCCATTTCTCCTGCTCCATGTGACAGCCCTTTAAACAATGAAGTAAGTTACATTTTTCCTTATATTTTCTATGATTCTGTGTTTCTTCCACTGTTTCTTTTATGTCAGCTTTTTGACCCCCTGGTTATCCTGTTTGCCTCCATATGTCAGTTTGTTACCTAAAATCTGGTACTTGCTATTAGATGTGATCTGACCAATAAAATTAGAGTTATTATTACCTCTTAGGACAAAGGTATCACCATAGTGGGTTAACTTCTTCCCTTCTGATTTTTTAAGTGGCCATACAATTATAGGTTCATATACTTAAAAAATTACGCTTTAACTTCAATTACTTTTAACCCAGGGCTCCCCATAGTGTACGCATAAAATAGATGGAAAAACTTTGAAGTGAAACAGTTAACCTGACTAAACTTTATCTTGCTTATTTTAGGCCAGATTTTGAGCCTAGGGGGATCAATCTTGATCTTGTCATCCATCAAATTCGTTGGGCCTCCTATTTTTGAACCTGTCAAGAACATATCCATCCATTCATTCTTTTAAGAAACACTAATTTTATGCCAGAGAGTGCCAAATGTTGCAAATAAAAAATTAAATAAGACTTGTTCTTGCTGTTAAGGAGCCTGGTCAAATTCACTGATAAATATGCTGAAAGGAACAGAGCCTAAGATAGCACTCGAAAGCACCCACCTAGAAACCTTCTCTCCAAGTTGACAGCTATTTATTTAACTGCACCCTTTGGGTACAATTACTGATCCAATTGTAAAGCTTTCTAACACTATTTTCAACCAGTCCATACTTCTCCATTAAAATACAAACATGAAAGGCTTACTGAATTTACTATATAGTATCCAATTATATCCACTATATGCTAATAGGTACAATATAGTTATATACTATATTGTATATAGTATATTGTATATTCTATATATTAATATATGGCATATACTATATACATCTATAACTATAACAGAATTCTATAACTGTATATACTATACTGAGTTCTATATAGTTCTCTCTATATAATATATAGAGTTCTCTATAGTTCTCTATGTATAATATATAGAGTTCTATAACTGTATATTCTATAAGTATATAGTATAACAGTATAGTATGTAGTATAGAATACAGATGTATAATATATAGTATATACACATAGGAGAATATAGTAGATATAGCATATTTTCATGCACCATTCTAGCAATCCTAAGCAGGGCAGTGGGGGGAAGAAAGTAAGAATAGTTCTAAGTAAGCAATATTTTCCAAAACATTTAAAAACCTGGTAGAGATTTTCATCAAGCTCACTGATTGATAATTTCTAACACCTACCTCTGTTTACCTCGGAAAACACTGGTATTTGCCTTTTTTCACTTTCTCACTTCTCCTAGTCTTCCTAACTCTCCAAAGTACAATGAGAAAAGCTCTGGAATCACATTTGCAAGGTTCTTCAGTCCTCTGGAGGATAATTCATCTGAATCTGGAGACTGAGCTCATTTAAATGAGCTATCTATGTCTTACTATTTCTTCATCTGCTTTGAGCAGGACAAGACAGAGGCAAACTCATAATCCAATAGTTATGCTTCCTCTGTGCATTACGAGTCTGCCCTAAGTAATGGACCTTGTTCTTGTTCTAATGAAACCTGTTTTCTTTAAAGAAATCTGTTTCCTTTAAAAATCTTAAGCCTTTCCTTACCCTGAGCTTTTGTCTTCCAACATAGATTTTACTCCACAGTATTTACTAGTTAGCAACAAAAATAAAACGGATTTTAGAAGTGATTTCTGCTCAGCAAATGACATATAGAGAATTAGCATGATGACAGACTTTGAAAAAACAATTAGTATCTTTTACAGTTTTTAGATCATTTTATCAGAAGATGCTGATAAAATAACCAAAATTATAATATTTTAATTCCTGCTGTCATTTAAAACTATGAAAAAACACAAAATATACTATTATAAGAGGAACCTATTACTCAGCATTTAAATGTGATAAAATTCCAAGGATTTTACTAAAATGGTAACAAATTAATAGAGCAACAGAAGACAGATTACTGCAATTCTACTCCCACACATGAGCTTCTAGTGACCTATATGATTCTTTTTTGTTTTGTTTTGTTTTGTTTCTTGAGACAGAGTCTCACTCTGTCGCGTAGGCTGGAGTGCAGTGGCATGATCTTGGCTCATTGCAACCTCCACTTCCCAGGTTCAAGCGATTCTCCTGCCTCGGCCTCCCGAGAAACTGGGATTACAAGGTGTGTACCACCACACATGATTAATTTTTGTATTTTTGGTAGAGACAGGGTTTCAACATGTTGGCTAGGCTGGTCTTGAACTCCTGAGCTCAACTGATCCATCTGCCTTGGCCTATCAAAGTTCTGAAATTATAGGCATGAGCTACTGCACCCGGCCATGACCTATCTGATTCTATGTGACCTAGAAGAAGGCAAATAACATCTCTCAGTTTCCTCAACAGTTCAATGTTTGAGTTGGACTAGAGAGTTCCCCATGGAGGTGTTTCAGAGGTTGCTTCAAGTTGTTAGGCATGTGAGTTTCTGAAGTCCCCTTTGTAACATAACTCTTCAGTCACTACCACAGAACAATTCAGTTTTATCTGCTTGCCTGTGAAGAACTGCCAAAATTTGAAAAACCAATAGACCAAATCAGTAGTTTCAAACCTTTTTTAAAAAAACAGTAGAACTCTTGAAGTCCACTGAGCTCAAATTGAAAACCACTGCACTAAATTATTTCCAGGGGCCTTTCAAACTCAAGAATGCTACCATGCTTTAATGTATTTACCTTTAATTCATGTACTTTTAGTATATTTCTCTTTTTCCACTCATATATTAGGTGTCCAGTAAGTACCAAGCGCTGAGCCAGACTCATTATAAACTTTATCCCTAACCCTATTTACGATCACCTGCAAACATATACAGACTGGAAACTAAGGTTCAAATAATTTAAGTGGTGTATCACACATCATAAAGCTGGAATGGTGTATAACCAGAATTTGAAACTGTGTGTGTGTGCGCGCGTGCGCGTGCGTATAAAGTTCCACTCAGAACTTAATAGGTTAAAGGGTAGGTATTAACAGTCTAACTAATAGTCTAATTAAAATATAAGCTAAAATTTTTAAAATTTGACCTTGAATTCTAAGCCAATAATTTGTAACTCAACTAAGTTAGCAAAGTCCATCAATGTTTCTATATTAAAGATGCTTTCATAAAAATGCAAATGCCTAGGGGATGGGAAACAAAAAATGTAAATGCTCTAGAATTTCCTGGAATGATAATAACCACAAGAAAGGCCAATTTAATCCTCCCAAAATGAAGAATTTAACTTTGATCCAAGAACAACTATCATCCAGTACCACTCTTTAGAGTCCTGATATTAACAAATAGCCAAAAATGATTTTAAAATGCTCTACTGACCCAGGGACTTCCTCTTCCAGCCTTTTTCCATTAGTATACTAACATACACATATAAAAACTTACGTTTAATGCTTTGCATCTTTTATACTACCTCAAAACAAAAGCCAACATATATATTAATGTTAAAAGAATAACTTTAGACACATTAGCAGAGTTTATTTGAGCCAATTCACAAACTGGGCAGCAACTAGAACCAGAATAGGTTCAGAGTGACTCCAAGGCTGCCAGATGGTCAGGTAACATTTATGGACAGAAAAAGGGAAATGACATACAGAAAACACAAGTGAGGTAAAGAAACAGGTGGGCTGGTTACAGCTTGGTGTCTGCACTACTTGAACATAGTTTGAATAGTTGGCCACCGGTCACTGGGTGAACTCTGTGACTGGTACAAGAGTATCTAACAGTCTGTTTACATATCCAGTTAGATTATAGGTCACTATGTATGGAGAAACTTTTAGGCCAAACTTAAAATATGAAAGAAGGCAGCTTTAGGCTAAACTTAAATTTAACAGTAATAAGGAAAGGGTTCATCATATTATGATATATCTACACAATGGAATAATACGCAGACTTTAAAAAGCATGAGACTGATTTTTTTCGTGTGTGTGCAAAAATACACATACATATCTATCTAAATATATGTATATAACATGATAATATGTAAAAAGTGCCAAAATATACTTTTCAGTGAAAAAAATGTATTGAACAATGTGTATGGTACACTCCCATCTGTGGTAAGAGAATGAAAAATGGACATTAATATATAGATATGAGATTGCACACATAGCAACAATTTCTTAACAGTGACTGTTTCTTTGGAAGGGGCTTGCAACGCGTAGCCTAGAAGGGAAACTAATGTTTCATTGTCTATCCTTTTGTATTATTTGAATTTTAAGCCCTGTTTTAGTGCTTGTATTACTTTTTCAATGGGAAGGTTATCTTAGATATTAACACAAAATTGCCTTAACAGTTGTTCTACCTAAATGGGTAGTTTCTAAGGACACTGCAAAGCTTATTTTCTGAAACTGTTTTAAGCTTTACACTTCAATCAAAAATATCATAATTTCATTATAAATCTTCTCCCTCCAGAAAAGGTAAAAATATACATAAATAATAAAATCTTTGATTATACAATAAAAATTAGTAGAATCTCAATGAATATTTTATCTTCTAAGCAATTATTCTTTTCAACAACAGGAATTTTTCATTTCTCCAACATTAAATAATAGATATAATAAGGACTTAATTGGGGGGCATAAATATAATTTACCATGTTAAAAACACTTTTTGCATATGAAAGGTTTGAAAGTATGAATTTAGACTCATCAGATTTCAGAACGGAATGTCACCTCAGAAATCATTCCGTTTAATTTCTCAGATGAAACGACTGCAACCTGGAGGTAAGGAGAACTGTACAAACTCAGAGTTAGACAAGAACAGGGCTAACCCAGTTTGACCATTATTCTGTCCTAATTAGCTTCATTTGTTAGATAAATGCAGAAGAGGTAGAAGAGGCAAAGGCAGGCTTCTGGATTTGGGTTTCTGAAGGGTGAAAGGGCAGAAAAACTTTCAGAGCAGCTTCCAAGCCACTAGAGCAAAATATAGCAGGAAAAGATAAAGGAAAGTGATCCTACCTGGCCCAATACTAGACAGTTCACTTCCAGTTCTGAATAAACTAAGAAGAGTAAAGGGAAGATAATGCTGTATCTAGGAAGATAAACTAGGAAGAGTAAAGGGAAGACAATGTAAGTAAAGGGAAGAATTTCAATTCTTACTTTTGAAAGTGGTTTACATGGAAGCAATCAACAAGCAACACTTATAATACACCTACTCGAGGGCAGCTCTAGGGTCAAGAGAATTTGAATACCAATCTCTTATAGTAAAATCTACTGAAAGAAAAAAGTTTATTCAAACTTCCTTTAATAGCTCCATTGATACTGAGCTGTATGATGATACTCAAGCATTCCCCAAAATCTTTAGAAATTTTTAAAAAAGTCTTAATAGTTTCTTTTTGTTTTTCTAACAAAGTAATTCACTCTGTGCCAACTTAATTTAAAAAGAGTTGAATTTTTATATGTACTAAATGTGTACCCTACAGTTTACTAAGGTCCTTTTAATAATAATGTACATAATATCACATTTATGATCTTTTCATAATGCTTAGAAGACAGTTTCCCATTTCATGATTATGGTTTCTTATGATAGTTACCTTTCATGATATTTGCTTTATGACACACTGTTGGTCATAGCTATGACTGATCTGCTATTGCATCCCTGATCAGGAATACAACCCCAACAGTAAGTCTTTCTTATGAGGAGTTAGGACAGAATTGATGCCTTTACTTTCACCCCCTATTTGAAGCCAGTCTCTAGACCACTAAGAAATGGTGCAGTCTTGCAGTCACTAAAAGAAACTGCATATTAGCCGAATTACTAATGAAGTTTCTAACAAAGAACTGCCTATGTTAAGTCAGTGATTCATAAAGAATGATGTGAAAACCCTTAAAGGTCCCTGAGACACTTTGGAGGGTCTTCAAAGTCAAAACTATTTTATAATACTAAGATTATATTTGCTATTTTCACTCATATTGTGTCATGAATATACAATGGGGTTTTCCAAAGGCTCCACTGAAACATATACACGTTTGGAAAGTCTGTATAACTCAATGAACCAGTATTTTCCAAATGACCAATGTGTGATGTAAAACATCCATTGAAAGACGACCAATGAATGTTAGTGTATCCAAATACAAAACGCTCATTAATATGGTTTCATCTTCCTCCATTGCAACTAACCATTAAGAAATCACTTGTTAAGCTTTAGCATAATACCAAAAAACAATATCCAGTTACCTGAAAAGGCTACCAAAATACTCCTCCATTTTCTAACTACTTTAGACATCTGTGTGAGGCTCAATTTTCTTCATACTTATCAATCACAACATAATGCAACAGATTGAAGCAGAAGCAGATATGAGGACCCAGCTGTCCCCTATTAAGCCAGGCATTAAAAAAATTAAAAAATAGAAAATTATGCACTCTTGTCCTAATTTATTTTTGGTTTGGGAAATATAGATTTTTTGTTAAAAGATCTTATAACATATAATGAGCTGCTTATTACTAAGTGAATTAAGACAAATTTTTTAATGTTCTCAATTTTTATTTCAAATGTGCTAAATATACATAAACAAAAGCTGGGGGGAGGTGTCAATAATTTTTAAGAGAGTATAAAGGGGTCTTGAGAGCAAAGGTTTGGAAATCACTACTTTATATAACTAAAAAATGTTTTTCTTCTATAAAAGTTAGCTGTACATGTGTTACGGTTTTATTTAAATATTGCATGGCATATGTATATGTATGGTAGATGCACCTGACAGCAATAACTGAACTTAAGCACACCTTGAGAATGATCCTGTACGGCAGACACACCTGAATGTGTGTTCACAGTTCCAAGCAGTGGCCAACCCAAGAGATTCATTCCTTACCTGTGAGGAACATCTGAGTCCCTGGCCTGTCCCGTGGAATGCTGGCCATACAGGGAGTCCAGACTCTTTGTTTTGGGTTAAAAGAAGTTGCCAGGTGGAGGTTGTTAGGGGGTGGAGGTTAAGTGAAAATGCTATATAAACTGCATGCTTTCTGCAAAAGGTGGCAGTTCTACTGTCCAGCCCACCACCACTGGACCAACCTGTATGCAAGTTACCCTCAGTAAACCTTATGTCTCATTTGCTGGCGCTGGATCTCTTTTTCAGACTCTTGAACCTGGTGCCATTCCTGTGGAAGTTAATAGGTATCCCATGTGACAAAATATTAAATTGAGGCTGATACATTGACAGGACTTTATTCAATAAATTTATTGATATAAAAGCCAAAATAAAGGTATAAAGTCAACTCTAAGTAAGGAAGTAAGTATACACACTGAGGTAACTGCCCTTTGTACGGAGCTCAGGAAGTTTAATCCCATCAAGTATTTCTCCATCCCTGGTCTATGGCCCGGAACTAGAGCAAACCACATCTTACAAGATAGGCTGTAATTTCTGAAGGAGGACAGACAACTGTCATGGTGGTTGTCCCCATAGATACCTTTGGCTGTTTGCCTCCCTAACCAGTTATCCATTTCTAAACTACTCCGTTCGTAAATTACTAAGATTCTGTGCATTCTGTCACTTCCATCAACGAACAAAATAAGCCTGTACCCAACTTACAGGCTGATGTCCTGGCGAAGTTTTTCACAGCTCAGCTAGTTACAGATAACCCTGAAGACACTTCACCCCACCCCCACCACCCCCACTTAAGAAGGAATTGCAACTAGCAAGAAGAATGAGTTGTGGCCTGAAATCCTAGAATGGGACAAGCTATAAACAAATAAACAAAGCTGCTTGCCACAATTTCCAGCTTTATCTTAAAATAAAACAAAAAGTTACAGCAAAAGAAAAAAAAAAACACCACCACATAGACAAGTATCCTTACTAAAGAACATCACAGAACTTAATGATAACGAAGATCTTTACTAAGATTTTACTGTAATTTCAAGGGATACCCAGGATTTTCTTAGGTTTTAGTTAATTTGCAAAATGAAACATCACAATCAAGCTTCTGTTTTTTCCCCTTAATCAGTTAGTGGTTTGACTATAACTGAGTTAGAAGAGAAAGGATCAATAGTGTTGGCTGAAGTAAAATTTGAAAAATAAAATAAGGCACAAAAACAAATGCTAAATTTTGCAGTAAAGTAAGAAACTCAATAGTAAATATTTCAAATTCTGGATTGACTGATGAGATCATGAAAGATGTACATAATGGGTTAAAAACCAGAGGCTGCATTTAGGAAGTATGAAAAAGTAGGTTAAAAAGTAGAGAACAATTACCCTCAGGTGGGCTGCGCTGGCTACACTCCCCCCATCCCCTCAAATAACAAGAGAGCTACTATAGTACAACAGCTGATATGAGGTTATTGGGTTAAGAGAAGTAGGTTTATGGCTGGGCGTGGTGGCTCACGCCTGTAATCCCAGTACTTTGGGAGGCCGAGGTGGGTGGATCACCTGAGATCAGGAGTTCCAGGCCAGCCTGACCAACATAGTGAATCCCGTCTCCACTGAAAATACAAAAATTAGCCGGGCATGGTTGTGTGTGCCTGTAATCCCAGCTACTCAGGAGGCTGAGGCAGGAGAATCGCTTGAACCCAGGAGGTGGAGGTTGCAGTGAGCCGAGATCATGTCACTGCACTCCAGCCTGGGCGACAGAGTGAGACTCCGTCTCAAAAAAAAAAAAAAAAAAAGTAGGTTCATAATAACATATTAAATATTGATTCCAACATAATGTCAATTATAGCAGAAATGAAGCAGTTTAGATGTACCAACCCAACTTTGAGGTATAGAGCAGATAAATCCAGTATTTCTAAAACTTGGGAGTAAATTTATAAAACCAAGTCATTCCTTGGTTTGCATAAAACATTCTTAACCCCTTGTGAAAATAACTTTTACAACAAAAATAAGCTTTGACATTCAAAAATAAAAGTTCAAAAGTAATTTTCTAATTCAGTAAGAATTGAGAGCATTTTAAAATTGCTCCAAAGGAAATAAAATATTTAAGTATAAATCTAAAACATATACAGATTTGTATCCTGAAAATTACAAAATAATGAGGAAAAAAATCGGATTGCCTAAATAAATGGAGACACATACTATGTGCAAGATTGGAAGATTCAGCACAGTAAAGATGTCAATTCTCCACAAACTGATCTATGTTTAATGCAATTCCTACAAAAATTCCAGGAAGATGTTTGTAGATGTAGACAAGCTTATTCTAAAATTTATGTGGAAAGGCAGAAGATCAAGAGTAGCTAAAATAGTTAAAATGTTTAAAATGAGATATAACATGAGAGGAATCAGTCTCTCTAATGTTAAGGTTTATTATGGATGCTGTAGGTAATCAAGAGTGTATAGTAACAACAAAGGAATAGACACACAGATCAACAGAACAGAATAGAGACTATAGAAATAAACCCATAAAAATATGCCCAACTGACAAAAGTGCCAAAGCAATTCAATAAAGGAGGGATATCTTTTTAACAAATGGTGCTGGAGTAACTACACATCCATAGGCCAAACAAACAATAAAGAACCTCAACCTAAACCTCACATTCTATACAAAAATTAACTCAAAATGAATCATGGACTTAAGTGTAAAACCTAAAATCATAACCATTTTATAAAACACCAAGTGGTACACCTTAAAAATAATCAATTTTTATTTGTCAATTATACCTCGATAAAGCTGGGAGATGAAAAAATAGAAGAAAGTCTTTGGGACAAACAGGCAAAGACAATAGGGATAGGTGACGTGTTAGACTTGACACCAAAGCACAATCCATAAGAGATGTATCTGCTAAACTGAACCACATCAAAATTAAAAATTTCTCCTCTGAAAGACACTGTGAAAAGGATGACAAGACCAAGCTACAGAATGGGAGAAAACTTTTGTAAACCACATACCTGACAAAACCCTTGTATCTGGATTATAATAAAGAATTCTCCAAAAATAGATAAAGCAAACAATCCAATTAGGAAATGGGCAGAAAAATGCACAGATCTACAGATGGCACATAAGCACATGAAAAGATGTTCAACATCATTAGCCATTAGGGAAAGGCAAATTAAAACCACAATGAGATGATGCTGCATACCTATCAAGATGGCTAAAACTTTAAAAAGTGTTAACACCAAATGCTGGCAAGGATGCTGAGAAACTGGACCACTTATACACTACTGACGGGACAATAAAAAATGATACCACTACTTTAGAAAAGAGAATGTTCTGATGATTGTTACAAATGGAAAAAACAACAACAAAGAAAAAAATACAAAAAAAAAAGAGAATGGAATGGCAGTTTCTTACAACACCAAACATACATTTATCATAAAACCAGCAAGTGCACTTTCAGGCATATATCCCAGAGAAATTAAAATGTATATTCAAACAAAAATGTGCACATAAGTGGTCATAGCAGTTTTATTAGTCAAGAGCCCAAAACTGGAAACAAACCAAATGTCCTTCAACAGATGTACCATAATACTCCATAGTACATCCATACCATGGAATACTCAGGGAGAAAGGAACTATTGATATATGCAACCATTTGAGTGAATGTATAAGCAAAATCTGCTAATGTCAAAAGGTTAGATACTGTGTGATTCCATTTATATAACATTCTTGAAATGACAAAATTAGAGAAATAATGAGCAAATTAGCTGATGTCATAGGTTAGTGAGGGGAAGGCAGGAGGTAGCTGTGGCTGTAAAATGGTAAAATACAAGGGATTCTTGTGATGGAATTGGTCTATATCTTGATTATGTTGGTAGTCACACGAATCTATACATGTGATGAAACTGCACAGAACTAAATACACACACACGTAAAACTAGTGAAAGCTGAGTGCAGTTGATGAACTCTATGTATCACGACCAATTTCCTGGTTGTAATATTATAGTTACACTATATATTTTTTACAACTGCATGTCAATTTACAATGAACTCAAAATAAAAATTTTAAAAACTTCCAATATGAAAAAAAATGAGGATACAATATGGTTAACTACTTCAAAGACTTAACATTATAGGTGACTGATTTTCATGCTCCCAAGTGAGCAGTCATATAATTTACCTCCACGTATAACTCAGAATCCACAGGCTTCGTCCCACTTCTTATTCCTTCTTTTTCTTCTCCCTCTCCACCACCTGTCAATCCCCTTCACATAAGAGAAAACTGCAGTGTATAGTTGTATATGTGTGTGTATGCACTGCAATTTCATGTTCTCTCTCTATATGTAGTTTTATATACACACTCAGCTATTTATCATATTTATTAATTAGCATTCTGTGCGCTTCGTAATTTTAAAATCCATTATGTGGCACATTTTATGCTTCCCTTTAAAAATAATTAAAATGTCAGTTATTTGTTGTTTACGGTAACTGTTCTGAGTCCCCACTCCTACCCTACTTCATGGGTAAGTGGCTCTTAAAAATAGTTTCTGTTTGCTTTGCACTATGAGCTGATCATTATTGGAATCTACATAATAGGATATCTTCTGTGCACTGAAACAGAAGACAATAGTTGCAAATTTTGGAGGAAAAAAATAGCCGCTTTTTCTGGCCACTGATGTACGGTGCATATTTAATAAGTCCCCGTCCCTGGGCATGGCACTGGTATAATGGGCATGGCATATTATATAGAGTAAGTACCACAACATGCCATGTATTAAAAACATCTGATTAATATACTGCAGAAACCTAATTTATTTGTAGTTCTGAGCTTCCTTTGCTCACGCTCACAGCAAGCATTATTGCCATACTTTTTCGTACCTTTGCTTTCCAAACTGCTTGTCAATTTTAAGCAACAGAACCTGACTCAGGGCTTCTGTTTGATACATATATATATAGAAGGTGGCAACTGACTGCCCTGTGTAAAAATCATGGGATAGGACTCTTTTCCTCTCTCCATTCAGGAAAGAAATACTTTTAAAAGAGCTGCTGTATTCTCAGACTAGTCAGTCAACAGTCTCCCACCCATCCTTTAACAGATTTTTCATTCGGGGGAGGAGGTGCATTCCATGTCCAAAAAGATGTACTGTAATTAATCTTCAATAAATAATGTGCATAAATATAAAAACAGAAGTCATTGTTCATGTGGCATCTCTTACACAGTGGCCCCAAAACGTCAGTTTTATATACTATGGCTATTAGTGTCATTTCCAATTTTAGAGAAACAATCAGATAACCAAATAGAGTATTTTCCCAAAATGACTATGATCCGTCAATCAACATGTAGCTCATTAATGTACACAATCTTTTGCATCTTCCTCTTAAATATAAAATCCAAATTTTCCCAAAACAGTACTAAAAATAGTTTTCATTTCCAAGCAAATACCAAACTGCAATAAGCAATTTTAAGAGAGCACATTAAATGCCCAATGAGAAACATCCCAAGAAAGTACAATTAGAAGCTGTAGAAATTGTACCTTAATTCTTCTCTCGGTGTCATCTAACTTTAACTCTGCTGAAACTAGTTTCTTTGCCAAATCATCTCGTTCAGGTAGGTGTCTAGCTTCAGAGATCTCTTTCAGTTTCTGTAAGGAAAATTTTGTCCTAAATAGTTCACTTTCTGTATCTTTTACCCTTTTCTCAGTTGCCCGTTCTTTCTCTTGAGATTTTCTTAAGCGTTCTTTGAGTGCTGTAATCTCATTGTTATGACGAAATATAAGTTGTGAGATTTCATTTTCGGCATCTTCAAACTTATTCAGGGCTTTCTCCTGTCTGTACTGAAGCCTTTTCAAAGATTTATTTTCTTTTAGCAGCTCAGCTAACTTGACCTGGAGTTCAGATACTTCATTCTGCAACTCATTGATTTTTAGCAGTCTTGCAGACAGAATCCGTTTTGTAACAAGATCAGTATCTTTCCGAAGTGGCTCTCTATTGAGGCTCTGGGAGCGAAATCCCACTCGGACTCCCTTTCTGTTTGGTAGACCCTTAGGGCTTGGTTTCCGAGGGGCTAAAAAAGAAACAGGAATAATGTAAAGTGAAAGCTGTACCAAACACAGTGTTATTTGTTCATCCTAACACAAGTGGGTCCGTAACATTCTTTAGTTATTTTTGTCTTTAAGAAAGGATTTTACAATATTTAGTAAAGTATCAAGTTTTATTTAGAGCTCTAAATAGGTTTCTATTAAGAAAGGTATGCAATATTTTAAGAAAAATGATATCCCAATAGTTTATACGGAATTATTCTACATAGCTTTAAAAGACAGCAGTATCAGGCTTTAACCATTTTTAACTTTTTAGATAAGATGGCAAGTCAGAATTCAAACATGAGCATTATCAGCATCATCAGCATTAGCATGGTGCATAACAAACACTGGACAAAACATTGTGATATTCAAGTCATTCATGCCAAGATATTTGGGATCATTATTTCAAATGTGAAAATGTATGTTTTCAATTTGCATTTTTCTAATGATCAGTGATGTTGAGCTTTTTTCATATGCTTGTTGGCCATAAGTATGTCTTCTTTTGAAAAGTGTCTGTTATGTCCTTTCCTCACTTTTTAATGGGGTACAATGAGATACCGTCGCACATCAGTCAGAATGACTATTATTAAAAAGTAAAAAGAATAACAGGTGCTGGCAAGGTTGTGGAGAAAAAGGATCGCATATACACTGTTGGTAGGAGTATAAATTAGTTCAACCACTGTGAAAGACAGTGTGGCAATTCCTAAGACCTAAAGTCAGAAATACCATTTGACCCAGCAATTCCATTACTGGGTATATACCCAAAGGAAAAGAAATCATTCTATTTTAAAGACACATGCACATGTATGTTCACTGCAGCACTATTCACAATAGCAAAGACATGGAATCAACCAAAATGCTCACCAATGATAGACTGGATAAAGAAAATGTGGCACATATACACCATGGAATACTATACAGCCATAAGAAAGAATGAGATCATGTTCTTTGCAGGTTCGTGAATGGAACTGGAGGCCATTATCCTTAGCAAACTAACGCAGGAACAGAAAACCAGTAACACATGATTTCACTTGTAAGTGGAAGCTAAATGATGAGAACACATAGACATACAGAGGGGAACAAAACACACTGGGGCCTATTGGAGGGTGCAGGGCAAGAGGAGAGAGCAGATCAGGAAAAATACCTAATGGATACTAGGCCTAATGCCTGGGTGATGAAATGATTCATACAACAAACCCCCATAACACATGTTTACCCATGTTATAAACCTGCACATCCTGCACATGTGTCCTTGAACTTAAAACTAAAAAAAAAAGAAAGAAAAAAGAAAATGTATGTTTTCTCTACATTAATTACAACTTTCTCCATCTGGGGACAGGATGACAGCATATTATACAGCGAGATTTGTGGCTCAAATTTATCACTTAACTCTCTGGACAATTCAATCAAACCTTTCCAAGTCTATTTACCCAGCCCATAGAAAGAAGACAATATTATCTACACAACTAGGTTGTTGGGAGAGTTAAATGTTCTACATATTCTCTGTTAGTAATAAGAACATTCCACTTATCGGAGATGGAAAACAGAAAACAGAAGTACAGGTGTGTTTCTAAATGCTTCCTCAGAGGATTTCTTTTCTGTGATGTTCAAATCAAAAACCCTAATGTGAGAAGATGAAAACAAAAATCACATCCTAAAAAATATAAGTATATGAAATATTTAAAGAATACATTTTAAATCACAACATTTCTCAAAAATTTGAAATAATGTTTTTATTTTTACTAAAAGTTCATTAGCCTTAAGCCTCAATATTCAGAGCACCGGCCCTTTAAAAGAGGCATTTTGAAAGTCTGCTAAGAATAATGATCTTTAATCTACATGGTAACTGCATTTTTTTTCCAAGGAGAAAATGCATTCCAGAGTAAAAAAATGAAGAAACACTAGAAGATCCAACCTTTCCTTCCCCATTTCATCAGCCATGGATACTTGATTCCATTATGTAAACAAGTAAAGAATAACAAGTAATTTTTACAATTTAACATTACAAAGTTTCATTAAAAAGATAAAAGATTTTATAGAAGCTGTTTTGAATGTGTACTGATTTGGGATTCCAGCTCTATAAATGACTGAATACATGAAAGGAAGCAGTAATAAAAAGAAATGAGGGAGTGCTTAATTATTGCAACTTTGAAACTATGCTATCCATTATGGTAGCCACTGCCACATACAGCTATTGAGAAGCTTGACAAGTGGGTAGCCCAAACTGGGATATGCTATAATTGTGAAACACACACTGGATTTTGAGCACTTGATTCAAAAATAAAAATAATGCAAAATATTTCATAATGTTTTATACTTACTATCTGTAGAAATAATACTCATATATTATTAAAATTAATTTCATTTGTTTTTTTTTTAACCTGGTTACTAGAAAATATAAAATTACATATGTGGCTTCATTTGTGACCTGCATTATATTTCCAATGGGCAGCATTAGTTGAGAATATAATTTTAAAGTTGAAATGTCCATCATTTCAGTTTTCTTTCCCAACATATGTAGTTAATGGAATTTTGGTATATATACGCTATTATGGGATATATACTCAGCTCTTGGAATGACAGAAACTTTATACATAAAAATAATTATGTATAAAGATGAATGTCAATTGTTCCAAATATGGTTTTTATGTACAAAATTATACCGCTCATAAAACTTCATAGAAAGAGCAACTTGTTTTATATGAAAAGTTAAAGCCTAATAAGAATCAGGATAAAAATTTTTAGTCAGATAAAAAAGGGTTTCCATAACCAACTTTCTGACATCCTAAAACTCTGAGTATAAATTTTTTAGCATATTCTATAACTACAAACTGATCATTAACCTGAACTTACAAATATTTCCAGCTTTCATCTACCTTTTTATTTTCATTTATAAAACTATAAGACAAAATATTTTAAACCATCAAGTGCTAATAAGAGTAAGAAGAAAGATGATTGTTGTATATATCATTCTTCATCTCTCCTTCTTAAGTCACTCCCAAAAAGTGGGTGGAAAATTGCTTTTTCTTCCTTCAGGTGTTAAAAATAATATGACTCTTTTTTTAACATAGTAAAAATAAATTATGCATCCACCAAAAAAATCAAGATATGTTAATATTATTGAAAAAACAAATAATGGAATAATATATAATAAATGAACATGTATAACCAAAACTTATTAAATTTTACCATGAAAAATTTTGATACTGCATGAATTTTATGCAAAAAAAAGTAAAGTATGCTGAAAATTAAGGAAGGGGAAGGAAGAATATGCTATCAAACACGCAAACCCGAAAATTCGTTTAAAATGCTGTTTGAATCACATTTGTTTTGTCCCTAGGTTAGTCTATACTGATTGCAATTTAGTGTTTACAGAAACGTATCAGTTTGGTCTTGTTACTTGGTCTAAGGCAGACTAATTACCACAGATTTTAATTCAAAGGACAGTGTAAAACAGAAAACGGTACAAGTCAAATTGAAGGAAATAATTGAAATTTTCTGGCTGATGCTGGAACTGTTTTTCACAGCTTTTCTCAATTACCTTCTCAAATAAGGTAAGGCTTACAAAGTTCAGACTCCTTAATTGGGTGGCCTCCTAAGTTGTTTCTGGGGAATGAAGAAAAAAATTAAAGTATTCCTTACCAATACTACCCTAGGTATTTCTTGAGACTAACAGGCATTTTCTAAGGTTCAACCTTAAGATCTGTTTTGTTAGTTCTTAATTATACAGCAAAAGTTTAATAAGAGATCATGCTCTCAACTACAAAATTATAACAAGCTCCTCACTGAGACAGATTTGGAGAAAGAGACCAAAATAACAACAACAACAAAGCATTGTACTTACAAAAAAAGAAAAAGAAAAAGGTTCCCAATTGTTATAAATGGTTAGAAGTATGGAAATCCCTGAGGAGCTAGACTGGGGATCCATGAAAGGGTTTCTTTCAAAAGGAATACATATTCTTTGCAGTTTTTAATAAGCGAATATTATTTTTTGAAGTAAAAATTTATAAAGACAAACTTAATTATGTCCTTGCTTAAATCCTTTCAATGGCTAACTATTCGCCACAAAAACAGAGTCAATACATTAGCACAGGATGCAAGGCATTTCATAATGTGGTCCCTTGTTTCCCTTTTCCACCCACAATTTTACCACTCCTGGCCTTGCAATCTAAACTCTCACCATTTTAAGCTACTGCTGTGCTACTTTTATTAATGGGTACTGTAATTACCTCATTTGCCTTATTTTTCTATGCTGTACTTGTAAACCTTACATATTTTGTTACTAACTACAATGGGGTTTTCTTGACCAGAGATTTATTGAGATGAAGATATTTGTAGAATATTACATAGTCAAATATGTATGAAGGCCTATTTCCATTCTAGTAACATTTTAATAACAAAAATGACTTCTAATGATTAATCCAGTTTCCATTATAACACACTTCAAAAGAAAGCAAATTAGACCAAAGGCCCCAATTCCATTCCTAGGTTTAATTTGAATTTTTACAGTAAATACTGTATTACCTACAGTAAGTAATTTTACTCAATCTATTAAAAAGTCCCTTAACCACTTTATGTCGATGCTTTTTCTACTTTCAAAAAATGAAGATACAAAAAGGTACATATGATTTATAAACTTTTTTGCCTTTACAGTACCTCAGAAACCCCAAGACAAGCATTTATTTAGGAAAAAGAAAAAACAAACTGAGAAGGCTTAGCTATGTTTCCTTCTGTATACTGTATGACTTTGAATATAACAAATTTAATAGTACCATCAAGCAACATTTATATATACTTATAAGTATATAACCTATAAAACGTAAATCAGCCCACTTCCATGTATACAACAACATATATACTAATAAAAGAGTATCATGCACACACATTTTCCTTAAGCACTCAAAATGAGTCTTCTAGGTCCACCAGACTCTTTTAAAGAATGCTTACCTTGGTGATGTACTTGGCCATCTGAAGTTTGTCTTTTAGGATTTTTTCTCCTAACACTTGCAGGTGAAGAACTGACCAGCGATGATCGGCCAGAAGACTGTGGCGTTTCAAAATCAGATAAGTAAGAATAATGGTGTTTGCCTGCCTTTCTTTCTTGATCAGTACCTGGACTTCCTGCTCTTTCCCCCATTGTTTTGAAAAATGGTCTCTATTCACATAATTTCACAGATTATTTTCTCCAGAGGAGACTATGACAATACTGAAAAACATTTTCACAGTCTTCAGATCCTGATAATATTCATTTCTGTGCAATCTATTTTCTCCACAATGTATTTGTAGACCACAATTCACATTGGCATCCAGAAGATAAACTTTTTTGCCCTGAAATTAAGGAAGGGGAAAGGAGACTTATCATACAGTCTCTACAGTTTCTACAGTTAATTACAATGAAAGACACTAAAAGCAAAATAATATATAGCTTACAATTTTTAAAAGAGGCTACAATTTATCTATATTTTCACAGATAAGTTACTTACAGTATTTGGAGAAAATACAGACTGTCATAGCCTAGATAGATAATAAGTACCTGACATACAACTACTTCTGAATAAATGTTAACTGAAGTTGACTGTTTAATTTTAAGAGTTATACTAGAGGCAAATGCTGAATTTTAATGGACAATAATGATCAAATCACCAGTTTTTTCTTTTTTAGGCAGGGAGGCAGTGGGAGTGGAAGTAGTGGTGATAGTAAAGAACAAACCTGCTAATAAGAATAAATACACTTTGGGAGGCCGAGGCGGGCAGATCATGAGGTCAAGAAACCAACAAGGTGAAACCCCATCTCCACTAAAAATACAAAAATTAGCTGGGCGTGGTGGCACACGCCTGTAGTCCCAGCTACTCAGGAGGCTGAGGCAGGAGAATCGCTCGAACCCAGGAGGCCGAGGTTGCAGTTAGCCAAGATGGCGCCACTGAACTCCAGCCTGGTGACAGAATGAGACTCCATCTCAAAAAAAAAAAAAAAAAAGAATAAAGAATAAAAATATCCAAGATTGACCACACAAAAAATGTATAACTAAAGTACATTTTTTAAAAACTAAAAGAAAAAATACTTGATGAGAAACATTTGCAAACATGACAAAAAATTGTTATCATCTTCAATACATAAATATATCATCCTTTGAGAAAAATATGAGGTAAAACAATTAAATGGGCAAAATATATAAGACTCCAAAAAGGCAACATAAATTATTAAAGATTTTTCGAAATAATAACACTCAATGCTGTCAGAGTTGCTATCAGAAAAAGATCCCTAGAGTTTTTTTGGAAAAACACTGGCAAAATGTATTGTCACTTTAATTATGCTTTAACCTTTGATACAATAATTTCTGGACTCCAATAAAATAATGCTAAAATTAGGAGAAAAGTTATGTGCAAATATTTAATGTAGTACAGTACTTTTTTTTTAATGGAAGCAAATTAAATGCCTAATCATTGAGGAATAATTAAGTATTTTATAAATCCATACAGCAAAATATCATGAAGCTACTGATAATGTTTACAAAAAGTCTGTATTTAAGGAAAATGCTTATACTATTATCATAAAGAAAAAATTCAAATTAGTGCATACAGTATGATCTCAACTACACACATTCATTAAAAAAATACTGAAAATACTATTATCCCTATCTGAATTCAGAAACTGAAAACATTTTCCAAGCAAGGAATACAAGAACACCAAAATAGTCCCTGCCTGACAACATGGATTTTAGATAATTTTATCTCTCCATTAACATATTCTGGTTTTCTAACACAACAAAATTGGATTACTTTTATAATCCAATTTAGAAGAAACAAACATCTCTGATGAAATTAGTATTAAAAGTATCGTTCTTCTAGTAATAACATATGAAAGGACATGCACAAGGCAGCACTATTTATTGTAGCACTATTGTAAGTAGAAAACTAAAACAATAAAATGACCAATAAGAACTGGTCTTACAAACTATAAACATCCACACAATGAAGTATATGTAATACTATGAAGCTATTAAAGGAATGAAGACTATCTCTGTGTATTGCTCATAGTCTGGCATAATCTCTAGGATATACAGAGAAAAGAAAGATGGAAAAAAGCCTGCAGTATGCTACCATTTATCAAGGAAGAAGGGTAACATACATAATTTTTATATATTTAAGTAGAAGGAGAAATCAAATAATTAAGAAAAATAAAATGGGTTCGCTAGGGTAGGGCTGTCCAACAGAACTTTCAGCCAGGATGGAAATGTTCTATAGTCTGTGCTGTTCAAGATGGTGGCTGGCCACATGTGGCTATCAAGCACTTGAGATGTTGCTGGTGTAACTGAAGAACTAATTTTTAATTTTATTTAATTTTAATTAATTTTAATTTAAGAAGCCACATGTGCTGGTAGTTAGCTTACTAAACAACACTGCTACAGGGGAAGGAAGGAAGCAGAGTTTAGGAAAAGGGATAGAAGCTAGGTTTCTTTGTATATAATTTTTGTAGATTTAACATTGGAAATTACGATTTTTAGAAATGAGATTTTTGAAAAGCAATTCCCATAAATCAAAATAAAATTAGATAAATCAATCTACATACATGGTTGGTGGTAAAACCACACAAATTAACCAGTTCGAATGACTTTAAAACACAATAACTTGACTTTATATTCCTAGTGAGACATAATGACCAAAAAAAATTTTTAAAGCCATTCCAATAATCATATTTTGCTACTCAGATATTTTATTCTCAGACTTATACACATGTACTGTGAAATAAAACAAATGAGTAATTATTATTGGTGCAGCTGGGCACTAGAATTTTCAACATGGAAGAAGTAAATATAAACTAATGTGAGTTTTAAAACTTTGACATTCAAAATTTGAATTATGAGTGTCAGTATGAATTTATGATGGCTTTTATTTATTTAAAAAAAACTTCTTCACTTTGTCCACTGAAAAATCCCAGAAACAAGGAAAAAACTAGGAACATTCCTAGAACCCAGATCTAGTGTCTATATGCCACTTCCCATTGAAAGAACCTAAAGTTCCTTGTGAAATGCCTGATTCCATTTCTGAGGGAGGAAACACACAAAATAAATCTAAGAATATAGCAACCTGGTCATCCTAGAAAGCAAGGACGCTATCAGATACTACTGATGGAGTGTCAGTCAAATGGACTCAGGAGCCAACTTCAAGGAACTACTTGCCAAAGACAAGGCAAATTTGTTATCAATACGAATTATATCAGCAAACGATTTAAACATATCAAAAGTGTTTAAATCCTTGAGTTCATATGATATATTTTACAAAAACCTAATTATTCACCTTTGGAAGATTCTAGGAAACCATCTCATTTAATTAAAAAATTTATATATAAAAAAAATCACACATGCATCTTGCCTATACTCTTAAAAAGCTATTATCTGAAAATAACAAAATATTAGATGGGGGGAAGTATTTCTTTATGGAATTATTCTAGTTAACAAATAAAAAATAAAATATTAAAATGACAGAATTAGACGAGTGACATTTCACAACTCCTAATGAAATAATGAAGCTATATAATGATCATAAATGGCTGTATTGCTACAGAAAAGTAACAGCCAGACACCATGTCTCTGATAGGACACAATAATACTTCTGAAGTAATCTCCCCTCCTCCCCACAAAAATTAAATCTGAATCTACTGAAGCCTGTAAATGTAAATGACACTGAAAGTAGGAGAGAGATCGAGGTACAAAGAAGCAATCAGAAAAAATCCAGACTGTAGCAAACTCTACAGGAAAAACTAGATTCTTTAATGAAGAAATTGCAAGCAGAACAAGAGAGAGGAGAGAAGAGGGTATTTATATAATAAGAAAGTCTCAAGAAACAACCACCAAGTGCAATCCATGGACAGTATTTCACTCCTGATTACAATAAATTGTATTAAAAAATTATAATCAAGAAAATTTAAACACTATTTATTGTTATTAGAGACAGAGTTTTGCTCTGTTGCCTAGACTGGAGTGCAGTGGCATGATCATGGCTTACTGCAACCTTGAACTCCTGGGCTCAGGCAATCCTCCCACCTCCTGAGTAGCCAGAACTACAGGCATGCGCCACCACGCCCAGCCCTGACCACATATTTAATATTAAGGAATTATATTGTTTTAGGTGAGATGTTGATACTGTCTTTTTTTTTTTTTAAAGAATCTTTATCTTTTAGAGATATATGTTCAAATATTTATAAATAAAATTGTCTGGGGTTCGCTTCAAAATTAACCCAAAGGAAAATGGGTAAGGGTAAAGATTATACAAAATTGACTGTGAGTTGATGATTATGTAAACTGATAGAAGACTTTTGAATTAATTATTCTAATATTTCCAATTCTGTATTTGTTTGATATTTTCTTTAGAAGAAATATTTTAAAAAGCAACAAAAAACACAACTTTGATTTTACTTCTGATGTGCCTAGCAATCGCAGTCTCTATCAAAATTAGCAACTGTATCTAAAATCAACAATTCCTATGGCAAGTACTAATATTAAAAATATACATAAATCAGCCTGAATCTTTCACTCTGCAATCAAGTGAAAAAATATTTACACATGAAAAAAATTGTCTAGAAAAAAAGGATAATGATAACAGCAAGTAAGTGGCTCTAGCACTCATTAGCTATGTAAATCTGGAGCGTTTACCTCTCAATGTAAGTCTAACTTTTTAAAATGTAAAATGGTAATATTACTAGTAACTACTTTAGAGAATTCTTGTGAGGATTAAATGGGATAATTCAATAACTATTACACAGTAAGAACTTGGTAAATATCAACAATTATATTAGCAATTCAAACACATATGAGATGCTCAGTAAATTATAACTGATGTTCTTTGTCAACAACTTTCAGTTTAAATTCCAATAATATAATTAAAAGTTGGTTACATGGTAAAGATGAAAATTATTTCTGCTTACATTTGCGTAGCAGAAGTAGCTTCCTAGGAACTCCCTATCCTATCTAAATCCGAGGGGCCCACCAACTTTCTATGGCAAAGGGGAAGAATACACACAGTGTTCTCTCCCTGCCCCCCCTCAAATACTTCCACATAGTTCCATAAAAATAAGTAAATAAAGGAAATATCCAATGTCCCATTATCCAAGTCCTGCTCCCTGAAACAACCATTTTAATGGCTTATACCTTTATATGTACGCTATATCTTAAGTTAGCAATTTTAGACTATGAAAGATGAGTATTTAACTCACCCTTCATTTTATATGATTGCAACATGCAACCACATGTTGGTTATGCATGGTTTTTCTCTTAGAATTCCTAATTGTCTTTTTTTTCCTATTAAGTGGAAAAAACGTTTCTTATATCACTAATATCTACCAGCTTCTTAATCTACCAATAGCCTGAAGTCCATTCCATTCTTCCTCCTAAAGACATTTTCCTCGAATTTCCTATTCTAATTTAAACCAACTACATTCTAGACCTATTGTACTGCTGTCATTCTGGAATTACTTTTATTGAATTCCTGAGTTAGTGCACTATTTCATTTAGACCATGTCATGTTTATTAGTTTCCATCATCATTTTACTGGTCCACATCCTTAAATAATTTCTTCAGAAAGGGTTTATGGTTTAGGAAGTAAATGTTCTAAGTCCTTGCATGCCTGAGAATGTCGTTATTTTACCTCACACTTGTTACTTTTCATACATTCCAAATTCTAGGTTATTTTCTCTCAGAACTTTGAAGACACTGCTTCACTGTCTTAAACCCTCAGCATTGTTTGTGAGACATGTTATAATCATTCTTTTATTCAAAATATATCAGCATTATTTGTGACACATGTTACAGTCACTCTTTTATTCAAAATATATTTCTTGAGCTCTATGTAGCAGTAATGAACAGAAAGTCAATTAATGAACAGAAAGTAAATTCCCTTAGGGAATTTACACTCTAGTTATACTAAAACAGATTCTCATTCCTTTATAGGTTATCTTTTTCCTTTTTTCGCTCCCTAGGTGCTTTTAGGGCTTTCCCTCTTGTTATACTGAAATTTCACAAGAACATAAATACCAGTGAGCCTTTTTTGTTGTGTTGGGACCCTTTCTCCCCCTCTTCCTTTCAATCTGGAAATCTGTATCTTTAAGCACCAGAGGTTTTCTTATATTGTTCTTCAGATAATTAACCTTTTTTTCATTTTCTTTTTGAAATTTCTCCTAGTTAAATAATAAGGCTACTTTTTTCTTCTATTTTCAAAGAGTTTTTTTCAATTTATCTTCTAAACCATCATTTAAAAAATTATGCCAATATCTTCATTTCCAAGAACTCTTTGTTGTTCCGATTTTTAAAATAATTATTCTGTTCTCGCATTACTGAGGTAATATATTTTTTTCTCTGAGTATACTACATAAACATTTTCTGTTTAAAGTCTCTTCTGATCCAAGAATTACCTCTGCTTCATGTAGTGTCAGCTTTTCTGTTTCTTTATCTTGGGCTTTTTATTTACATACTTCTGGTTTTATTCCTTTGAAGATAATTTCTGGTTGATCATTTATACTTAAAAAAAAAGAAAAGAGAAGGAAAGGAAATGAGACCACTCCTAGGAAATCCCCTCGTTTTAGCAGACCAGCTGGACCAATTCCTAGGACCCATCTTTTACACCTGGGCTAAAAACAACGTCTATCATAAATATCCTGTTCACAGGAGAAGAAAGGGGAATAATTAGGAGAGTGGTCATAGCCATCTGGCAGAGGCAACACCCTCCTAGGCAAAAAGTCTTGCCAGCCAAACAAAAATTTCCAAATGTCAATCCCAACTGGAATAATCACAATCCCAGGGACTGGGCCCAAATGCAGGACCTCAGGAAACTAATAATTAAAGGGATCAAAGAGTCCATTCCTAGGACACAAAATGTCTCAAAGGCATTCGAAATTCAACAAGAAAAAGAGGAAATTCCCTCTGCATTCCTGCAAAGGCTCAGAGATCAAATGAAAAAATAGTCCGGATTAGATCCGGAGGACCCAGTAGGGCAAGGCCTCGTGAAAGTTAACTTTGTAACTAACAACTGACCTTGCAGGCCAGGGAGTGCAGCTGCAGGTGTGGGGGCGGCAGGAGCCACAAGCCGGAGCAGACAGCCAAGATAACGGTGGACAGTGTGGGAAAGCTAGCGTGAGTAAACCTTTAATAAAAGAACTAATGTCTGTATTACACAAAGGGAGTCACTGGGGACCCCAGGCTCTGTGTGATGCAATACTTAGGAATTATGGGTGTATAGGGATTTATACCCTCACTAAACAAGTATGTGGAAGTCGTGTAACTTGTCAAAGAGTAAACAAAAAGGTGATTAGAAAACAGGCCACAGGAGGAAGGCCTCCCGAACTAAGACCATTTCAAAGCATTCAAGTAAATTTCACAGAAATGCCCAAAGCAGGAAAACTAAAGTATTTGCTGGTAATCATAAATCACCTTTCCGGTGGGGTGGAAGCCTTTCCCCTTCCCAATAGCCACTGCCAGGAATGTGGTCAAAATAATATTAAAACAAATTTTACGGCTGGGCGCGGTGGCTCATGCCTGTAATCTCAGCATTTTGGGAGGCCGACGCGGGTGGATCAACAAGGTCAGGAGATGGAGACCATCCTGGCTAACACGGTGAAACCCCGTCTCTACTAAAAACACAAAAAATTAGCTGGGCGAGGTGGCGGGCGCGTGTAGTCCCAGCTACTTGGGAGGCTGAGGCAGGAGAATGGCGTGAACCCAGGAGGCAGAGGTTGCAGTGAGCCGAGATCACGTCACTGCACTCCAGCCTGGGCGACAGAGCGAGACACCGTCTCAAAAAACAAAACAAAACAAAACAACAAATTTTACCTAGATTTGGCCTGGTGAAAAATATTAATTCAGACAATGGGAGCCCCTTTACCTCAAAGGGTGTTAAGGGAATTATGGAAAGTTTACAAATTAAATGGAATTATCCACACCCCTTGGCATCCCCCTTCCTCTGGAAAGATAAAAAGAGTAAATCAAACTCTCAAAAAGCTATCACCAAACTAATCTTAAAAACTAAAATGCCCGGAACCAAATGTCTCCCAATAGCACTCCTTAGGATTAGAACAGCCCCAGGAAAAAACTTGGGATTGTCCCCCTACAAGCTATTATATGGGCTCCTATATTTTGGCAGAGCTACAAATCTCCCTACTATGGAAACCAAGGATCAATTCTTAAGAAATTATAAACTGGCCATATCCTCCACCCTGTCACCCCTTAGGTTAAAAGGACTTCTAACTCAAACTCCGCCTCTTAAGTTTGCTGTTCACCACTTCCAGCCTCATGATTTCCACTTCTAGCCTGGTGATTTGATGCTGATTAAAACTTGGAAAGAAGACAAGCTCCACCCAAGCTGGGAAGGACCCTCAAGTGCTCCTAACCACTGAAACAGCCATGCAAACAGCTGAACAGCAGCAGATTCACTCTACTCCAATCAAGGGACTGGTAAAACAGACCCCAGAAGGGAGGGGAAAACAACAGTAAAAAGTGCCTGGGTCACCTAAGGAACCCTTAAAGTTAACTCTAAAAAAAAATCTAAAAAGAAAACATAGGCTGGCCCCATTTCTGGAAGTTAATATGGCTAAAATGGGCTACTATACAAAAAGCAGAACGTCAAAATGGAAACTGGCAGGGAACTCCTCCCTACCCAATCAAGTTGGTAATCAACGTAACCAAGATGGTAGCACCACAAACTATAAGATTTAATACCTGCCCGGTCTTACCTTGTGGGAATTTGAAAAATCAGAGACAGCTCTCACAGGCAAATAAGTATCTTTGCCCTGAACCAGATACAGATTACAGCAGCGCATGACTCCGCCCCAGCTGGGATGATGTATGGTAAACTACCCAATTTCAGGGATGGACGGTAAACACGGGGTGGGTAACTCCGAGCTGGAGACCCTTAAAGAATAAACTACATCTGTCCAAGGGCTCCCTGCCAAATAACTGCCAGAATTTAAAATGCAATCCTATACTCATCACCATTAACAATCCAGCCATTCTAAACCAAGAACCAAAGGAAGCGTCTTGGGTATATGGGTTAAGAGCAGACATCACAGGGAAAGACCCCCTAGGGCAATTCGTTCTCAAAAATCAAAAACTCAACCTCCCATTTGCCTGAGACTACTCCAACTCCAAACCCTAATAAACACTTTAGTCCACCAAATAATAACCCTAAAAGGGTAAAAATAATTGAGGTAAAGAATTTAAGGCAAACCTTAGAAATTGAGACAGGGTACAGGGATGTGAATGCCTGGGTCGAATGGGTCAAATTTTCGGTACAAGCCCTCAACAAGAGTAACCACTACAAGTGTGCTGCGAAACAACCTCAGGCAAAGGTGGTTCCATTTCCTCTAGGATAAAATATCAATCCTGAAGGAATGCGTTGCATGTTGGCTCTATACCAGAACAAGGATGCATAGGAAAATGAAACTTATAAAAGTCTGTCATTGTTCTTTCCTGCATTGCGGAGGTCAAATCCCAGAGCAATTCCCTCGTTCTCTATAGGGAATATAAACCACCCCTCTTGTCTCTCTAGGTGGGGGGCAGAGTTCAATAAGCCCATGGGAGAATTTTCAACTTGTACCCACATCCCAAACATCAGTGGTAAGGCAATGGCAATCACTCAGCTCTCCACATACCCAGTGCTAACGTCATGTGGTATTGTGGGAAAAGGAACCTCCGTAACCTGTTACCATCCGATTGGATAGGGACTTGTGCTTTAGTCCAATTGGCCATTCCCCTCTCCCTGGCATTCCATAAGATACCCAAAAATACACATGGCCACCAAAACCAAAAAGATGTAACAAATTCTTTTAATCCCAATATACATGTTAACTCAATAGGAGTCCCTAGGGAGATGCCTAATGAACTTAAGGCCCGAAACCAAATACTTGCTAGGTTTACGTCAGCACTCTTCTAGTGGTCAACTATTAATAAGAATGTGGATTAGATTAACTACATCTATTATAATCAACAAAGACTCATCAATTATACTCAGATGCCCTCAAAGGGGGTAGCTAGCCAGTTAAATGCCATCAGCCAAATGGCCTGAGAAAACAGGCTTGCACTAGACATAATACTAGCAAAAAAGTGGGGCATATGTGTTATGCTGGGTGGGAAACGTTGTACTTTCAATCTTAACAATACTGCCCCAAATGTAACCATCATGAAAACTTTACAAGGACTAACAACTCTAGGCAACAAACTGGCAGAAAATGCTGGAATTAATAACCCATTTAGGGGTTGGCTAGAAAGTTGGTTTAAAAAATGGAAAGGCATGGTAGCTTCAATCCTTACATCTCTCATAACTGTGGCAGGAGTCTTAACAGCAGTGGGATGTTGTATTATCCCTCGTGTGAGGGGACTAGCACAGAGATTAATTAAAACGGCTATTAATAAGCAAATGCCCATAACTTACCAGCAAAATAACCTGCTACTATTAGAAACCAAATTAAACTCACTCTCCTAGAAAGAAAAAAGTTAACAACTTCTAAAGCAATTCAAGTACCAGAAAGGTTTAAATAAAAATGCAACCAAAGAAAGTAAATAGAAAAGAGGAGAGAATTAGTGAGAAAACATTTTAAATGGTCCACTTTCAAGGCATGATAAATCTAAGCACTGGCAGCCAGCCTGCAAATGTAACAAACCGCAGGGCTCATGCACCTAGAGGGTCACAATAAGCGAACAGAATGTAGAGGAGGGGTCAGCCAATAAAAGGGAAGAAAGTTTAGTTATTGGGAAATCGAAATTTAAGAGAGGAAGGAGATGGGGTAATCCATCAGCCTTATAAGGTATCCTTATAAGGGTAACCTTGTGAGGGGTATAAAACTTAGGCAACATCCAGGAAGATGGTAACCCCGCAGAATATAAATCATGCTGCTATAAAGACACATGCACTCATATGTTTATTGCGGCACTACTCACAATAGCAAAGACTTGGAACCAACCCAAATGTCCAACAATGATAGACTGGATTAAGAAAATGTGGCACATATACACCATGGAATACTATGCTGCTATAAAAAAGGATGAGTTCATGTCCTTTATGGGGACATGGATGAAGGTGGATACCATCATTCTCAGCAAACTATTGCAAGGACAAAAAAAACCAAACACCGCATGTTCTCACTTATAGGCGGGAACTGAACAATGAGAACACTTGGACACAGGAAGGGGAACATCACACACCAGGGGCTGTTGTGGGGTGGGGGGAGGGGGGAGGGATAGCATTAGGAGATATACCTAATGTAAATGACGAGTTAATGGGTGCAGCACACCAACATGGCACACATATACATATGTAACAAACCTGCACATTGTGCACATGTACCCTAGAACTTGAAGTATAATAAAAATATATATATATAAACAAGAAATAATTGGTTAACTCATTTATTTCTAACCCAGGTTTTGAGGGATGTCTCTAAATCTGTGAAGAATATTTGAAATGGTTTGTGCTAACTCAAGTTTAAGAAAGATTATCCTTAGCAAACTAACAAAGCAACAGAAAACCAAATGCCATTATGCCATTATAAGTGGGAGCTAAATTATGAGAACACATGGACATATAGAGGGGAATGACACACACTAGGGACTATTAAAGGGTGAAGGGTGGGATGAGGGAGGAGATTAGGAAAAATAACGAATAGGTACTGGGCTTAATACCTGGGTGATGAAATAATCTGTACAACAAACCCCCATGAAACAAGATTACCTATGTAACAAATCTGCACATGTACCCCTGAACTTAAAAGTTTAAGAAAGAAAACAAAACAAAACAAAACAATATATTCTTTTCTTTGCTAAACTTCTGATTATTTAGGTTCTATTTTGAAATAAGGTGGGTTTTTCTAACCTATGCGTAATACTTATATCATCTCACAATTCATCATTGCATTTAATAAGCAAGTACATCCTTAGGAAATATAACAACCCAAATAACTTAACTTTCCTAGAGAATGGAAACTTAGACACTTGTGAAAATTCACTTGTAAAAAATTAGTCCTTAGTCCTTGTAGAAACTTGTAGCTGCCTGGCTAATTGCACTTCAGAAAAATAGCTCAAATAAGCAAACAGGCAAATAGAATATAAGTTAAATAAAAAAGAAAAGACATAAAAAATTAGACCAAAAAAAAGAAACAAATAACGATGAGGTAAAGGAAGTAATTATTAAGTTTTCTTGTGAAGTATAAAGCAATAAAAACTACTATAGCTCAACAAGATTACATAACAATTTATCACTGGACAGGACCCTAGGAAATCAAGTCTTTCCTTTGCAAAGATTTAGGAAACTGAGGCCCAAACTTACCCAAGTTCACAACTGGTCTAAGATCAGAAAGCTCCGTTAGTAAAACTTGAAACAGACTGTAAGTTTTCTGACTCTTCGTTGAGTGACCTACTCAATATTTCAATAACAATCAGGTGATAACTACCTCATCTTTGAAGCCACCTCCACCTGTATCTATCCCATCCTCTTTACCCTCTCAACTCTGCTAAAACTGAAGAAGCATTTCTGCTCCTTTTTAAAGCTAAACCTTTTACTCATCTTCTTTCCCATACTACCTCTCAATGTCAAGGATTGTGCGTCTGCAATTGTGCCCTCTCTACAGGATCATTCCTATCAATGAAGAGGTGCTAATGAAGCTGATGCTTGATTCCATGTTCTGTTGCATCTGCAACCCAATTTCTCCACTCCAATTTTCCAATAATTTTTTGAAGAGTAATCTTTAACCTAGAATGCTATCACCACTTCTTTCCGACCATTTCCTTTTGAACCCACACTAGTTAGGTTTTCATCCCCACCACTCCACTGAAACAGCTTTTGTCAAGCTCACCAATGACATTCACCTTCCCAAATCCATCAGCCAAGTTTCTTATTTCTTCTTTTGCACATCTCCTCCCACCATCAGCCAATTTTCTGTCGTACTGGTCCTTAACCTCACAGTAGTGTTTGACATAACCAACCATTCCTTCCCTCCTAAAAACTCTCTTTTCTTACTTGCTTTTCCATAGTGATCTATTTTCCTGGTTTGCTTACTACCTCGCTGGCTGTCTCCTGTCAGTCTCCTTTGTTGAATAATCTGCTTCCTCTTCCTGATCTCTAAATGTTGGAATACACAGGGCAGCACATGTTATCTACACTCTCTCCTTAGGTGATTTCATCTAGACTTCAATTAGCCTGGCTTCCACATTCATATATTCACCTTCCTACTTGACAATTCTATTTGGATATCTAAAAATCATTTCAAATTTACATGTCCAAAACTGAAATCATTACCGTCCCTTTTCCACCTCAACTCTTTCCTATGTTTCTGATCTCATTAAATGGTAAATCCATCCACTAAATTACTCATGACTCAAATCTAAAGATTGTCCTGGATTCCTTCTTCCTACATCTCTCATCCAAACCATCTGTAAAACAAGACACTTTAATCTCCATACTATATTCCAGATCTGACCATTTCTTACTGTCCACAGTGCTACTGGTCTAGTCAAAGTCATGTGAGTCTAGTCCACATCCATGTTTCCTCTGTAGAACTTCTGCAATAACCTCCTGATATTCCACTTTCATCCTTGCTTCACGTCAGTTTTTCACATGACAGTGAGAAAAAGCAACTTAAAACAGAAATCAGACCAGCACTGCTCTCCTGCTTAATATACTTCAATGGTCTCCTATGGCCGTCAGAGTCCTTAACCAGGCCTGCAAACTTATACAAGGTCTAGTCCTTCTGTCTACTTCTGTATCCTTACATCACTCTTCCTCTCAAAATCTCCTTTTTCAGGCAAACTAGCCTTCTTCTGTGCCTTCAACATATAAGATTTTTGCCAACAGCCTTAGTACTTGCTGCACTAATTAGAACTTCACAAAAGTGGTTCCTTCTCTTCTTCCTGTTCTCAGCACAAATGTCACCTTCTCAAAAATGGCTCCCTGACAATTTTCTATTAAAGTGAGCCCAGTCACTCTATCCTATTACTATGCTTTATTTTCTTCACAGACCTTGTTACTACTGGAAATAATCTTACATTTATTGTCTTACTTATCCTAGTAAATATAAGACCCGTGAGACAGAACTCTTGTCTGTTTAGTTCACCATAGTAAACACACCACCCACCATTCATTATTTGTGAAATGAATGATTATAATGTTATTTCAAATAGAATATTAAGTTCCATTTTATAAAATTTTCCTTTTTGTTTTAAAGAAAATATTAAATCTTCCCTCTTTTAAAATAATTGCATAAGAATTACTTAAATCTCTAGAATTCCTGAGAGAGAAAAGTTAGCAAATCAAAAAGTTTTCCTCAGAGTCACTGCCATTGCAAAGCTGAAATATTTTTTTCTAGGTTAATTTTAAATAACTGAGAACCTAATAAGGTTTCAAACAAAAGGAATTTCACCTGCAGTTACAACAGTAATTTCTGACTAATGTAATGTAGACATAATACTATTGAATGAATATAATTATTCTTTTTCTTAAAAGGAAAAAAGTGATCTTAGATTAACAGGACACTGAAGATTTATAGTCCATGTGTAGTTCTGCAACTAATTTAAACCAAGAATCAATCAGTTAACAGTTGTTCGTTGCAGGAGGAGGGGGGAGCGAGGGAGTGAGGGGTACTTGTATGTATCCCATTAGTTCCCTCTCGATGCTAATCAAAGAATTAACTAGATAAAAGCAAAAAAGGAAAATTATAAGCCTTGTGCACAATTTCAATTCCTAAAGAACTGTTTATTTCCTAAAGCTGGCTAAACATGCTACTACAGCAATTAATAGGAAGCTACCAAATCTAATACTTGACATTGTTCATCCAAAAGTAAACTCTCCTTTAAAAAAAAAAAAGTAAAAAGTCCCAAACAGTAAAAATTACACATAACAGGTCAAAAAAAAAAAGAAGATAACCTAAAGATCCTCGAGTGCCAGAAGTTTCTTTTATCTCTGATTACAAATGAATCAGAAAACAAATCTAAGCTGTAGAGTCCATTGTATATAAATATCATAATGATATCTAATTCGTCTGACTCTAAGAAACCATCTTAGTTTTAAGAAAAAAAACTGTAAAATCAACAAACCGTTAATTTCCTGACATATCCCTGTGCTCAGCTTCTTTAGATAAAACATTGCTGACTGGCTACCTTTGCTACCAGCAAAAGAGTTCACAAAACAGACAACTAGGCAAATAAAATGTAAATAAACTTCAGTGAGAAAGATATAAATAAGGACATTTCTCCTCCCCGCAAAAAAGATGAGATAAAAGTAAAAACCATATTGCTACATTTGGTTTTTCTCCTTTGTGGAAGAGGAGCAGTTACACTGTAACTGCTCCTCTTCCACAAAGGAGAAATGAAGTAAAGTGTTCCACTTCTTCTAATAACATGTCCCCACGTATTTATAAGCATTTTCCTTATTATACTACTTATCTACATAATCTTGCTTAAAAATCAAACTATTTTTATTTAAAAATAAAACAAAAAATAAAGTTTGGATTTAAAGTATGATCAAATATGATCAATCAGATCACAGTAAATGCTACATTTGAAATGTAAGACATAATCAGCTTATTTTAAACATTTTAAACAATGGATCAAATTAAAACATCTTAAGTACAGTACATATTCCCAAAGTTTAGTCAGTCAAATGAAAACATCCTAAGATGTTCATTCATTCATTTATTCATTTATAAGACATTTACTGAACACCTATGAAATGTCAGGCGCTAGATTATAGATGGAGCTGAAGATACAAAAATGAGTAAAATACAACTGATCCTTTACCGTTAAGTAATTCCCAACCAAGAGGAAAAAAAAATAATGCGACAGTCTATAAGTACTAATGATAAAAGGAAGCAGAGAAAGCTTAGTAAACTCAGAACTAAGATTAGAGGACAGAGGGAGTTTGAGAAGGTTTCTAGAGGAGATAATGCCTAAATTGAGTCTTACGGTATTAGCAGAGGTTAAGCACAATTATAATTTCATGGATGTGTGTGTTTGAAAAGTGGGGGGGTAAATGAGGTTAGAAAAAGAAGACAGTGAAGTACGACCCTGTCTCAATAAGAGGATGCAGCATTTGCAAAAGTAAAAGGCATTAGATAAGCATGGCATATCACCAAACTGCAAATACTTTACAACTGTGCTGTCCAATACAGTGGCTCCTGAGCACCTCAAATGTAGCTATTCAGAATTGGCATATGCGGCAAGTGTAAAATACATGTGGAATTTTGAAAACTTAGTACATAAAACAGACCATAAAATAGCTCTTCTATAATCTTTCTTACATTGACATATGCTAAAATAATATTCTGGATATATGTGACTTAAAAATACATTAAAATTTCACCTGTATTTTATTGTGTGTCTACTGAAAAAAATGGATATAGCTCACATTCTATTTCAAATGGACAATGCTAGTTTAAAAGGATGGCACTGGCTGGGGAGTAGTGCTAAAGTAATAATAAGTGGGACTGGATCGGGTGGAAGATAATATCACAAGAAGAATCTCTATGTCATTAATAAGTTGGTTGGAAACCAAGGCTCTTCAGTAGGGTTAATATTATCAGATCTGACATTTGCAAGGATCCATCTCCAATCTAAGAATTGGAGGGCAGGAAAGCTGGAGGAAGAATATCAATTGGTCTCGATAATCACTGACAGACAGTGTTTTGAAAGTAGTATAACTAGAGATACAGAGTACGGAACTGATTCCAGAAATGTTTTTCAAGTAAGATAAACTACACTTGGTGACAGATTAAATATGAAGTCTGAGAATAGAGAAGAACTTGAGTAAATTCCAAAGTTTTGGGCTTGCAAAATTAGGAGAATGTGGTATTCAAGCAGGACAGCTTTGGCAGGGAAAGGTGATGGGTTCAATATTGGACATACTGAGTTTGGGATGCCTATGGATAGGAAATTTATGTGGAAATACCAAAAATTAGCTACAAAAGTTTGACAGTAACTCAAAAGTTCCAGATCAGAAATAAAAAATTGGGAGAGTGTTAATAAAACACAAATAGTGTAAGCCAAAGGAGAGGAAGAACACAGCCAAGAACACAGAGTAAAAAATAGAAGACGGAAGACTGAAGACTGGATTATTGGGAAAAACAATAATGAAATATGGTGGGCCGAGGAAGAAGATCCCACAAAGGAGTTGAAGAATGACAGGCAGATGAAGAACCCAAGAGAAGGGTAGCATCTTTATTTAATGGGCTTCCATTGTGTCCTACAGAATTATAGTTCCACAATATGTGTAACGGAAGAGATGTGACTCACAAAAGAAGAAAAATCTCTTTTCCAAAGTCACAAACTACTTTTTGATATTTAAAATGATACTTTGTCAACTTAGAGAATCAAAACAAACTATTATTTCCTATAACTTATTTGGATAAACATACTAGCTAACATGGGAAATCACAAAGTGAAATATTTAAAATGGTAATATAGAATTTAAATGTGGAACAACTGGAAAAAAACATAGATTAAAATAACCATGCAAAAGAAAGAGGGAATGAGTAAAGAACTGGAAACATCGGTTTTACCATTCTAAAACACATATAGCCACTCCCTCTGCCAAAAACTAAATGATGACTTCTGATTGCAAAGATATCTCTAATGCAAGTTCTTAACGTGAAGATAAAGGAGGGGAATAAATATGTATGTGCCCAAGTATACTTTCCAAAGAACAAAGTGAACAAAAAAGGGGTTTATATCAGATGAACTGGACCAGGGCTCTTCACTGTTAAACACTATCCCACGGTCTATCTAACGTAAACATCACGTATCTGAGTACCGACTCCAACTCGAGTATGCCAAAAAGGCACTTTCTTTTTTCTTTTATTTCTAACCATCTTTACTCCTCTCATCCCATCCCTGAAGGATGTATAGAAGTATCACAGCCTGGACAAGTACGGCTTTCCACTCTAACCACAGTTTTAATAATAACACATCTATTATTATCCGAGAGCTACCAAAGCCTCCTTTTCCGTCTTGGCCCTTGGCCCTGCCCCTCCTCTCTAGTCTTGAGTCTCCACGGGCCTCCGGGGTTTTTGTTTTGTTTGTTTTAATAACAACCACTTCTCTAGATCCGCTTGCTCCCTTTCTTCTCTTCTCGGTCCCAGGAAGTAAATACCCTTTCCCAGCTCCTCTCCTCCTAACTTCCCAGTCCCCCCAGTGCCGGTCAACCTCCCTTCCTCGGGACCCTCTCAGAAGCCGAGCTCTTTACTCATTTTCCTAGGTCTTCCTTCTCCTCGCGGTCCCTACATCCTCCCCCATCCCTAATCCCTTCATCTTCCCTGCTTTAAGAACCACCCGCAGGCCCCCATCCACGAACGCCCCTTCACTAGCTACCAGACGCTTCAACCCAGCCTCACCTCGCACCTCCACCTCCCCCGCCGTCTCCACGCCCACTTCAAAGCCCACCTCCAACCCGCAGGCTCTTCAGCAGAGCCGATGCGGCGTCCCGCCTCCTTGCCTTCCCTCTTAGGACCAAACTCCCAGCTGGGGCCTCGGCGTCTGACCGCCAAAGAGCGGGTGCCTGGTTCCTGCGGAGGCTGCCGGGCGGGTGCCGAGGTTGCCGAGATGCGGGAGGTTTGAACACAAGGATGGGACAGAGGCGAGGATCGGGGCTCCTGGGTGGCAGCGGCGGTAACCTGGGCTCCAGGGTAACGGAGGCGGAGGCCTAGACTGCACTACGAAGAGACCGCAGCCAATCATGATGACTCTACCCGAGCTCCCATTGGCTTCTGTCTCCAGACGGCCCTTTTTATTGGCTTCAGTGGAACTGGAAGGCGGGACGGCGAGTGCGGGAGAAGGTCTCCATTGGCCGACCGCTCTAGCTGTAGCGGAGACCCCCAAGTAGGGAAATTGGGGCAAAACGCGGAGCGCTCCAGGCTCCTACGGGCTGTGCGGTGCCAGGGCTCGACTGCTGAGCGTCGTGGGCTCCGAGAGGGACGCGGGCGGAGGGCAAAGTGGGTTCATGATATGAATTGTAAAATTGGCGACTGCGTAATGTAAAACACTTAACAATTGCTTAGATTTCCTTTGGGAAATAACTTGCTTTTAAATTGTAAACAAATTACAAACAAACTGCTAGTGCTTCTGGATCTTCTTACCGAAATGGCTGATTCAGGAGGATGCGGGGTGAGTGCACTATTGTTCCTGCCTCGAGATCCTGGCTGTGAATCACCAACGAGCCGTGAGTTTGGCTTGAAAGTGATTTTTAGGTTTTGGAACGGGTTTGGGGTGGAATGGCATCTGAAATATTTGCACACAAGTTTTTTTTTTTTTTTTTTTTTTTTTTTTTTTTTTTTAAGGAACGTTTTGAGGAGCATGTCAGCCTATTGAGCGCTGATGTGTGACATATTTTCTCTTTTAGAAATGGCATTAATTGCGGGAGACAGGGAAGGTAAAAAAAAATCCTCTTTCGTGAGGGCTTTAAACTGCTCCGAGCCATCTGATTATCAAGGTGGTTTAACACTACTCTGGTGTTCTCACTATTGTTAATTTCTCACTGGCCTTTTTACCACCATTCTGTAGAGAATCTAATATTTGAAGGCAAATGCGTTTAATGAATCTTCTAACCATGAAGATTGGTAATTCCTGCTTCTCGCTCAACCTCGTTTTTCCACCTTTGCACTGTTTCAAAGCTTTCATTTTATCCTGTCAATACATTTTACTTCAAGTTACAGACTAACCCACCCAAACAATATTGTGATTAAATGTAATTTTCTGTATGCGAAATACATCTGTACAAGATGGCAGTCATCTGTTAGTGAAAATAAGATGAGTAATCCCTAAATTGCACGGAATTACTTTTCATCAATTCTTTAATCTGTCTCTGCTGACACTGTTAAAATAGCTCACTCGTTATTATGGACTCTGTTAGAATTAACATGTAAATGTATGGGTGGATTACTTATAAAGGAAGTTGCTAGGAAGAATCAGAAAACATACCGTATTTACGTGGACAAATGTCTGTCACAGGAGCGTCAGATCAGGATTGCTGAAGGAGAGCTGAGAATGAAACCACCATTTATTCAGCACTCAGAATGCTCCAGGCAGTGTAATCTCATTCCATCTTCATTCATGACTCCAGACAGGTATTGTTATTCATTGTTTATACTTGAGAAAGCAGATTCAGAGAAGTTAAAGTATCTACCACAAGGTACGAAAGTAGTAAGTAGTAATGCCAGAGTACAAGCCTAGGTCTGCTTCCAAATTTCGTGGTTTCGGATTTAGTGCCTTCATTGTGTTTCACCTACAGGTTAAGAAGTTGTTGGTAAGCAAGAAAATATTTAAGACGCTGGGAGAATCCAAAAAATTGTCTAGTTGTGTGTAACATAGTCTCAGGATTCTTACAGTGTGCAATTTTATTCACCCCCTCATATTCAAAATAACAGTATCAGTTTGACCTTGAAAAAAGACCAAAAAATGTATAAATTTACAGAAGTAAAAACTAGTTTATTGAATTACCATTTTAAAAGGTTACCCCAAAATATGAGAAAGCAGTTTTAAAAGTTTTATGACATTACATGGTTTTATATATTATTTTTGATAGGGCTAGAATTTTCTAAGATACCATTTGACATTTTATTTCAGTACCACACAGGATTCTGCTTTTCAGAAATAAAGGAAACAAAGTTATCAAAACCACATTTATATTTCTGCCACTTGAAATTATAGTTAACAGAAATCAGACTCTTGTTTTTAAAGATTTTGTTTATGAAACAAATTCTGCAATGGTCATTAAGCACTTTGGAGTTTTATTTTTAATATCCTGGGCTTCTTCCATTGATACTGCAATATCTCCAGATTTGCTACATTGCTAACTGAATGTTCATTTTCTGTAGGACTTTGATTGGCTTCTTTATTGCCATATGGCAATGATGTAGATGTTATAATGTAACTAAAATATTCCTACAAATGCTTACTAGTAGGATTATTCTCATTTTCCTTTGGGGAAACTAGTGTCGAGTTTGAATGGTTGGTTAGAAGTTTCAAAAAAGTAATAGGTAGATAAATAGACTCTCTAACTGTAGACAGAGAAATTACAATGACCATAATTTGTAAAGTGGGGGGACATACTATATATAGTATCTTGGAAAGCACATAAGTATAATTATCCTTAGCTAAAGTTCAGTCATCTATTTCATACCATTCTACAAAAGAAGAAAAGCAGTGTCACAATTTTATATAATTTACAGAAATGTGATACATAACAAAAATTCAAAAATTTTTTCTCTAACTTCTTGATCTCATGTTGCTTGGAAATTTTAAATTTATTAATAGATTCTAGGTAAATAGTTGGTTTTAGCATATAACACTAAATTTGAAACAGTATCTAATATGCTGCATGTTTAAGAGAAATCGAATGGATTGGTTGAGTTGGGTGTAAAGAACAGTATAATTGGCCGGGTGCTGTGGCTCATGCCTGTAATCCCAGCACTTTGGGAGGCCAAGGTGGGTGGATCACGAGGTCAGGAGATCAAGACCATCCTGGCTAACACAGTAAAACCCTGTCTCTAATAAAAATACAAAAAAATGAGCTGGGCGTGGTGGCGGGTGCCTGTAGTCCCAGCTACTCGGGAGGCTGAGGCAGGAGAATGGCATGAACCCGGGAGGCGGAGGTTGCAGTGAGCCGAGATCGCGCCACTGCACTCCAGCCTGGGCAACAGAGCAAGATTCCGTCTCAAAAATAAATAAATAAATAAATAAAATAAATAAATAGTATAATTTCATACCTAGAAAGTGGGCTGCTCTGATGAAAACAAATGTAGTCTAATCTGATTGCTATGAATACTTGATTTTGCAGTACAAAAAGCTAGTAGCCTTTGATTATTGCTCTGTTTAAAGGATACAGTTTCTGATCACTTGATGAAATGTACGAGTTTTTTTTTGTTAATGGAGAAAGAAAACTTGAGATGTTTGTAAAAATGTGTATATACTTACAACATAATGCTGGTCATCGATAGAATGAACTACTGATTAACACGGATTAATTTTAAAGACAATATTGAGCAAAAGAAGTCAGACACAAAAGAATATATTCTGTATACTTCCATTAATAAGTGATTCAAAAACAGGCAAAATTCATCTAAACTGGAAAAAATTAGAACAGTTATTGACTGTGGGGATGGAGGTAGGATCAAGTGGAAGGGACTGAAAGTTATTTTTGGAGTGATGTGAATATGCTGTTTTGACTGACGTGGTAGTTAAAGAGAGTTTCCAGCCGGGCATGGTGGCTCATGCCTGTAATCCCAGCACTTTGGTAGGCCGAAGTGGGCAGATCACTTGAGGTGAGGAGTTTGAGACCAGTCTGGCCAACATGGTGAGACCCCCATTTCTACTAAAAATACAAAATTAGCCAGACGTGGTGGTGTGTGCCTGCAGTCCCAGCTTCACGTGAGGCTGAGGCAGGAGAATTGCTTGAACCTGGGAGGCAAAGGTTGCAGTGAGCTGAGATCACACCACTGCACTCCAGCCTGGGCGGCAGAGTGAGACTCAGTCTCAAAAAAAAAGAAGTTTCCTTTATCAAAATTCATTAAAATATATAAAATATGTGTGCTTTTCACTGTATGTAAATTTTACCTCAATTTCTGAATGGCTTAAAAAAAAAGAATGCATTGGTTTGTATAACAGAAAAATCTAGTAGACCTAGCTCCACGTATGGTTGGATCCAAGTGCTCAATGTTATTAAAATTTTTTCTTCTCTTTGTCTCTTGGATGTACTTTTCTACGTGTTGGTCTTATTTAAGGCAGGCTTTCCCTTCCAGGTATGGCCACCAGTGCTCCAGATTTACATTCTATTTACCTCACAACCCCAGTGGAAAAAGAATATCTCTTTCCTGATTGGTCCAGCAGAAATCTTGGTATTAACTCTGACTGCCCACACTTGAATATGAACTATTAGTAAGTACTGTGGCCAAGAGTTTGCTTCGGGAAAGAATATGATAAAGTCACCTTATCTTTCATGTTTGCTCAGAATAGTGAGGTGATTCTCCACAGGAAAACTGGAATGCTGTTACTAGAAGAAGAAATACTGGACAAAGCTAATAGATGTCCCCAAAAGTGATGATAATAATTTTATTCAAATAGGTTCATAGATCAGTCTGGTGGGCTTGTTTTCACATTTTATTTAAGAAAAACTCTTGTAATTACAAGTTCCCCAGTCTGTAAATACAGATGAGATTAACCAAATTTTGTTATTTTTTGACTGCCTCTGCTTTATAGCACCCCTCCCCTCCAAAGACTTCCCCACCAATAATTTCTGGGACTTCCTAGAGAGTGTCTCATACTTACAAACATACCTGCCTCTACTGGTCATCCCACTAGGCAAGATACCAGGACCACTGCTCTGCCAGGCAACAGTCTATCCCTCTTCTCTCCAGGACCCAGCAACTTCTGCTGGTGGCCATCATGAAGTCACTGAGTACCACCACTTACACCAGTGCCAGAGTTGAACTGGAATTGTGCCAGTTATATGCCTTTTGTTTCTCAGATCCTAGCCTGCCTTTTCTATATCCTACTTTTTTTTTTTTTCCGAGACAGGGTTTCACTCTTGTTGCCCAGGCTGGAGTGCAATGGTGCGATCTCAGCTCACTGCAATGCAACCTCTGCCTCCTGGGTTCAAGCAATTCTGCCTCAGCCTCCTAGATAGTTGGGATTACAGGCATGCACCACCACACCCAGCTAATTTTGTATTATTAGTAAATATAGGGTTTCACCAGGTTGATCAGGCTGGTCTCAAACTCTTGACCTCAGGTGATCCACCCGCCTTGGCCTCCCAAAGTGCTGGGATTACAGGCGTGAGCCACCACACCTGGCCTCTATATTCTACTTTAAGGTTCAGGAGCTAGGACTCAACAAACTGCATTTCCCAGACACCCTTGCTAGTTGGCTTATCGGTAGGTTCTGCCAAAATGGGGCATTTAGGGAGAGGTTGGAAGGTGGGAGTTAGGGAGAAGTTCCTTCTCAATGTCTCTGTTCCTGTCAGGCAACAATTGGCTCTAGTCTAATGTGTCTTTTCCTCACTGAATATAAATGAGTAGACTGAATGAATGTGCTTGTTATTTTGTTTGCAACCTACACTATTACTTTATCTCCTCCCTCTCCTCCCACCCCGCAAAACCATATAAACAACAGCAAAAGAAAAAAATCCTCCACAAAACTTCTTACCATCTTACAGAGAACAGCTAACAGTTGGTGACCACACAAGAATTAAAATGTGTTGAAGTATGGTCTTATATTTGCCTGGCACTCTACAGAGTACTTTCATGAAGATGACCTCATGATCTTAAACAACTCTGAGAAATGGAATATAGATGAGGAAACTGACCCTGAGGATAAATCAGATTTGTCTAATAGAAATAGAATGTGAACCACCCACTTAATTTTAGATTTTCTAGTAGTCATGTTAAAATAAGTTTTTAAAAAGTAAAATTAGTTTTATTTAATATTTAATATCCAAATTATTTCAACTTGCAATCAATATTTTAAAGTTATCGATGAGATATTTCACCTTTTTTTGTACTAACATTTTGACACCTAGTATATATTTTGCAGTTACAACACATTTCATTTCAGGCCAGCTACATTTCAAGTACTCAGTAGTCACATGCAGGTTGTAGCTAACCTATTGGACAACACAGGATTAGATTATTTACCCAGAGGTATATAATAGAAAGTAATGGTCCCAGGTAGCCAGCTTCCAAAAAGGAAAATATTGCTGGTCTGGAAACCCAGAGACCTTAATTCCATACATGGCTCTGCCTCTTACTAGTTGTGAAATACAGGATAAGGCATTCTTTTTTAAAGCTTGGTTTCTGGATTTGTTAAATGGCATCAATCAGTTGTCTTTAATCCCCCACCCACTTCCTGCAGCAGAACCCTTTCTCAAGTAAAATCTTATATGGAAACCCCATATTAAAAACAGAAGCATATTTAAAACATAGGAACTGTCTCTCTGTTGAAGGAGAGGAGCCTCCAACAAACACTTCGAGTACTCTACAGACATCAGTATATTGGTGTTTGATTCACATTTTTAGTTTCATAGAATCATCAGTTATTTATAAATATAAGAGGGCCTTTAAGATCAATTATTCAAGTTGTCTTCTTATGTTATTTTTTCCTTACTAAGGCACTCTTCTTTTCTAACAGAACCTTTTAAAGAAATATAAAACAAGATATGGTAGTTAAAATCAGAATTGCCCTGCACAGTTGAAGTGGTTATGAGGAATTAGAACCCTAACAACTCAGCATCTCTCAAATACCATCTTCCATAAGTGGCCCCCAAGAATCCTCTTTCAAACTACCCTGCAGGGGATAGAATACAGTCATGGGTTCTCAGTTCCTGTTTCTGGTTGGGCCAATAAAGCCCCTTCCTCATCCCTCTTTTCTGTCTAACACTAGAGACAGAAATTAAAAACCATGGCTTTTCAGGCTGCTAAAAGCCTAAAACAAAACAGAACAACAACAACAACAAAATCAAGCGGGTTGGACAGGCTTACATCTAGAGCAAGCCAATGGAGTTTTAACAACCAAAGATTAAGCTCAGCTCCAACCCTTCATCAGATAAGGAAACTGAGTCCCAGTGAGGTGCTTAAAAAATCCCACCCCAAGCTGGTGTCAGAGCTGGAATAGAGCCTAATCACTGCTGTGCTGGAGCCAGCTGGTACTAGCTTGCAAAAGCCAATTGTTACATTTTCAGAAATTTTGCAAGCCAATTGATGTCACCCTGGTAGCTCAAAATCAACCACGGTGAAAATATTTACACCACAGAAACCAGCAAATGCTACAAATCATAGCTTCCCCAGAGCCACTGGTTAAACCTTTACCAGCACACCTCCAAATCCAGCATTCCTGTCTGGATCTTTATGTTCTACCCAGCAACCGAGAATAGATGTGCTGCATTTTGATAAGAAACAAAAATTTTAGTTAGTAAAAATCAAAAATAAACCAAAATAGAAATTGTGTCTCTTCATGAGTAACAACACCTAAAATAGCAATTTTTCTCAATATTTACCATTTCCTGTTGTGTAGCAGATACTGGTTCCTTTGATTCTTTAAGTTGTTATTTGGAGTATTCAGCTACTTTAGGGATGATTTTTAACATTACATGAGCCAGGCAAGTAAATGTCTAAAACATTACTTTTAAATGTTTAAACTTTTAAATGTTTTTAATTATTTAAAATTAAAGCCCAAGTATAAAATAAGGAGAAAACAGAAGAAGCTACAGAAACTACTGCTTGAGTAGCAACTGATCTGATGCAGTGTCTCGGTCTCCCTCTAGTTCTATTTCTGGCTAGGAAGGGTATTGAAAGGTCAATGTAAACAAATGCTGAAGTCGTCAAGCTTCTCAGCTGGCCTCATGTCTCCCTGTATTTAATCTTCCCAACTGAACTTCTGACTCATCATCTTAACAATGACCTGTTTCCCTTTGAGAGTTCCTCCCCTTCTCTGGCCGCTTTTCTTTTCGTCCTTTGTGGCGCTGATGCAGCTCCCCTGCAGGCCTGTTTGGGCATGCTTGTGATGTCAGATGCCCGTACTTCAGCTGTCCTTTTGTATCCATGGTGACGGATGAAAAATAAGCTGCTTTTCAGTGATTTGAACTTTAATCCAGTCAAATGATGCATGCTTTATTACTCAGGTGACTTTTCCCAGTACTTTCAGATCACTGAAATCTTGAATTATTAAAGAGGAATTAACATATTTATGTTTTTATCCTTTCTTTAACCATTATTATACCTTGGTAAATTCAAATAATCTGATCTTAGCACCTGAAAATTTTGTCTTCATAATTATAGGAAAATCGTTTCAGAAATGAGATTCCAACAGAAAAGAAACTAAAAGATGTCGTTTACAATTCCCTCTCACTACATGTATATAAGTAACTATTAGGCTAAGTAAAGCATGGAGGACCTGCATAATACTAGGGAAAACGATGAAAACTGTAAAACATTGACAAAGTTGTGTCATCCAAAACGCTGGCCACTTAATACTAGTGGTACTTGAAATTATTAAATAACATTGACTTCAAATCTTTCTGTATTCAGGAAAGAGAAAAGCTAAGCCTGATGGTAGTCTTAGCACCTTGCTAACGTGCTGTCATTGTTTTTTTAAACAACAACAACAAAGGGCAGACTTTTTGCATACAACCTTGGTAAGCAATAGCTTCTAGTTAAAATGTTTCCATTTTCTCAATTTTCATATAAACTTCTGTTTATGAATAACACTGACTTTCCAGGGATGTAAAATTTCCTTACATTTAAAAAAAAATACATAATCAATAGTACAAGTGAAACAAGTGGAGTTGAAATCATGATATCTGGACCAAGCAACAGGGAAGGAAGAACAGGGTAGCAATTTCACGTGTCTTGGTCTAATCCCTAACACCAAAATTATTGGGACTAGAAGCCAGGTAGACCCTAACATTATGACACTATGATGTTACCCAAGATATTGAGGAAAATCATAATATTTGGATGAATTAACAACTTTTTTTTCCAGATAATACAAATAGGGGGGTAAAAATGATTAAGCTTGAAAGTTTCTTCAGTCTTGTTTCTCCCACTTCCTGCTTAGTGGGGTTTTTCCTGCTGCCTCAGAATCGTGGCTACTGCCCAAAGCTGAGAACATTCTCTAAAGAGCCATAAATAATTAGGAGTCAAAACCTCCCACCAGGGCTTATTAAAAAGTGCATAACCAACCTTACTGCCAGCAACCATCACCCTAGGAAACTCCTCTCTTCACTTTTACTTCACCGTAAGAGAGGTCTGTGTATGGAAAGAAGGGAAGAAACCATATTTGGCTTCTTGGAGAGGGTTTTCGTTCTCCCAAGGAGAGAGTGGATGGGGCTAAGAGTAGGAAGTACAAGAAAATAATTCATAGAAATTCATAGGGTGCTTTGAAGAAGAGGAGATTGGCATCTCCCTTCCTGAGGCCTGCTAAGTAGCAACTCTTTTTTTTTTTTTTCTCGAGATGAAGTCTTCTTCTGTCACCAGGCTGGAGTGCAATTATCTCAGCTCACTGTAACCTCCGCCTGGGTTCACTGCCTCAGCCTCCCAAGTAGCTGGGATTACAGATGCGCGCCACCATGCCCGGCTAATTTTTTTGTATTTTTAGTAGAGACGGGGTTTCACCATGTTGGCCAGGCTGGTCTCGAACTCCTGACCTCATGATCCGCCTGCCTCAGCCTCCCAAAGTGCTGGGACCACAGGCGTGAGCCACTGGGCCTGGCCTAAGTTGAAACTCTTTTGTAACTTTGTGTTGCCATTGGAATAAAGCATTTGAGACAGTTCTTGGGAGAGTTTCCCGTTGTTCATGAGGCATCCGTAGAGACTATTCTCTGTTTCTAGTCTAGAAATTTCTGAAGATGGGAGTAGGAAAACCACTGTCACTAAGGCTTAAAGACATAGTATGCCTGAGAAGAGGATAAGAACCAGACTGTCCACAGTCTGGTTCTCTATGACCTTAAAGGACATGGCAAGGACCACTGAGGTTTTGTGGTTCCATGAGTTAGAGGAGAAGCAGAGGAGCATGATCCACCCCAAGGAGCTGCTGGGTAGTAAAGAGCACAACCCAGAGATGAAGCTGGGAGGTACACTACTGGTAGACCTGAGGGAAGCCTTTCTTTTCCTCACAGTGACAGAGGGGTGCTGGGTAAAGCTGAGCATTGCCCAAGGTCACCCACCACACTTGACCTGTCTGGAGGCCACATGAAGCCTTGATGCGCTGGCATCTGACCTGAACATGCTGAACTGGAGTGAGGCCCGTGTTGCCTCCCTACCCCTGACCCAAGGGCCATCGCGTAAGAAGCTGGATCCATTCCCTCTCCCTCCGCCAGAGACTGCTCCCCAACATTAGTCCGTTCTGGCTTCTACTGTGTGGCGGAAGGAAAAGAGGTTGAATCAGAAATGAGATTGAAGTTTTAAACTGGACTATACTTCAAAAACTGAAAGTAATCAGAATATTATAGAATGTGTCCAAAATGTTTCAATGATGAGACTCTGGAGTTCCCCTATGCATAGTTGAAAGCAGTGATTAGAAAAAAAAATGTAATTTTTGTTAATACCCTACTAAGCTGAGACTACTCAATTAACATATAGAGTCCAACTATATACATAATAATAATTACTATTTTTTGAGACAGAGTCTCACCCTGTTGCCCAGGCTGGAGTGCAGGGGCACAATCACAGCTCACTGCAGCCTTAACTTCCTAGGCTCAAGCAGTCCTCCCACCCCAGTGTCTCAAATAGCTGGGACCAGGTGTGCACCACCACACCTGGCTAATTTTTTGTTTTAATTTTTTGTAGAGATGAGGTCTCACTATGTTGCCTAGGCTGGCCTCAAACTCTTAAGCTCAAGCTATCCTCCTGCTTCAGCCTCCCAAAGTGCTGGGATTATAAGCCTGAGCCACCACTCCCAGCCATACGTAATTTTGTATCATGAGTTTTCACTTACTAATTACACAACAATTTTATCATCTTAAAAAAAACTTCATAAGTATCATTTATAGTAGGTTTATATTTCCATTATATATATGCCAAATTTTTAAATCTTTATTATATTGTAGCACACATGTTATTTTTAAACTTTAAGATTTAAAGTATTTGTTCCCTTAAATGTGATTATTATTTTCATTATTAAACATCGACTGATCTTTGGACAAAGAGATTCTGACTACTTAGTTTTTCAGTAGAAAACAGTTTGAGGTATTGCTCAGCCAGCGGGAGTTTTGATTATGTGTGTTTACTATGCTGGCAGCACTACATGTTTTATCCTTCTAGTGTTCGCCAATTTGTTCAGAGCTGAGGGCTGTAGTACTACAGGAAATAACATGTCCTTGCCTTCTAGAATGTAGGTACCACAAGGACGGGAATTCTTTTCTTTTTCATTCTCTACCATATGTCTAGCACCTAGAACAGGGCCCAACGCTGGATAGGCACTAAATAAATACCTTTTAAATATAAATAAATGAAGGTAGTATAAACTAGGAGTGGGACATAATTACTCCTCATCGTCAGCTTTTGCACAGTAATTTATGGAAACCACATAAGTAGATGGTTAGAGCAAGTCTGGATCTAATAGGAGGAACAATGAAAAATGGCAGGGCCTATAGAAGACAGAGATGAAGGGAATGAGGGGGTTTCAGTTCCCTGGCATCAGAGCTAATATCAATATGATCTTATGACTTTGTTCTTATTAAGATATAAATTAATTAATCCAATGAATAAGATATCAAGCTCATAACAAAATGGCTGAAACCAAGCAATGGCCATATAGAGGAAATTATTCGTAGTGTCACCAATGGTAAACTGAACAGTTTCTAATCCTCTGTTTCCCAAAGTCTCCGTGAAATAACAGAAATGCCATGAAATAAATAAAAAGCATTTGTAAAGATTAAAAACACACATTAAGGATGAGGGGCATGGAATGAAGACAGCAGTTCACCAAAAGTTCAAGGAAATTCTGGAAAATACAAACTAAATAAAATCAGACTAAGGGAGCAAACCAAGAAATAAAAACTACAGCCCAAAATTTCATAGGTAAGAGGAATCTTTTTCAAAAGAGGCCCAGAGAAATTCCAAGTTCAGAGGCAACATTTGCAAAGGCCAGTTCAAGATGAGGCTATCATCAATGTAAACATATAATGATGTTTTGGTCAATGGACCACATACTCACCAGTGGTCCCATAAGATTATAATGGAGGTGTACCATTTTTTATCTTTTATACCATATTTTTACTCTACGTGTTCTATGTTTAGATATGTTTAGATACACAAATGCTTACCACTGTGTTACAATTGCCTACAGTATTCAGTATAGTAACATGCTGTACAAGTTGGTAGCCTAGGAGCAATAGGCTATACCATATAGCCGAGGTGTGTAGTAGGGTTAAACAGATGCTCCAAGCAAGCCTAACAACTCTTTTTAAAATAACAAAAATCAGGGAGGAGGAAGCTGGGGAATACCTATAAGTATCCTAATCTCCTCATCTTTTATAACAGTGAGTTAATAGATACTGTCTAAAATTAGTAAGTTAAAAAATAAAATTGAAATATATTATTTTAGATTAATGAGTAACCACCACAAACAAATAAGAATTCTTTAAAAACATTCAGTGGGCTACTGACAAAAATGATTATCTGTAGGGGTAAGGAGAGTTTTACACAGACACGTTTGTGTCATTTCAATTTTTTGTTTTAATATTTCTTTGATTAAAAACAAATTTTTAAATGCACAGTAAAAGAAAAACATGAGGAAATACGCTAAAATCTTAATAGTGATTTTTTTGATTAGTAAGAATTATGGACCAAAAAAATGTTTCTTGTTTTTCTACAGTTCTGCATTTTCCAAGTTCTCTATCTCAAATACTTCCATGGTAAGAAAAAAATAGTTATTAACAAAATGTCATGACCGTGGGTTTGCTGTTAAGTTTCATAAATATAAATAAATAATTTGAAGTAATATTTAGATGAAAGGAGGAGAATTAAAGAAGCCAAGAGGAAAGGCTGGACTTTTGCAGCTACTGGTAACAGGAAAAGGTAGAAGCTGGAACTGAAGGAAGGAAACTGGAACCCATATCAGAAAGGAATAAATTCTGACTGTCTACTGCAATGGAAAGTTTGACCAGCCATGGAGTTTACTAAGCCACTCCTGGATTTTTCCCTAAGGTAATCCTCTGCTTAGGTAGATATATCTGTATAATGAGAGCTTCAGATCCTTTTTTCCTCTTATTTATCACAACCAGATAAAAATCTGACCACCACAGAGATTAAAACGAAAAGAAGAAAAAGATCACTGCTTCCTGGTTTTGACCTCACCAATCATGTCTGCCACCAACTAGACATGATCTTATAGAGTTAGCTTCATGATCACCTGACTACTATTCCTACTTGGTCAAGGAATCAAGGTATTGAGTACTTACGTCTACAGGATGATCACCAAGTATGGTGTGGTTAGTGCAGAGTATGATCAGAAAGTAATAGCCGTCATAGGAGATGCCTTTGCACAGCAGCCTTGGTGGCCGAACTATTAGTGTCCCCAGCAAACCTGTCTCACTTGTATTTCAGTGTCATGATCATGGTATCTGTCTGTCCCCAGCAAACCTGTCTCATTTGTACTTCAGTCTCGTAATCATGGTATCTGTCTCTGTGCCTTTATTTTCATACTTTTCTACCAATGCCCCAGGAAAACTATATTTTCTCACAAAACCAGCGAAGATTTTCTACAAAAGTCAGTGGTCAAGCGTGCAATGTTAGTTGAACATCAAAAGAGCAGTGTGCCAGTCTACTATGGGGAAAGCTAAATAAAAGAAAAGAAAAGAAAGAAATATCCACCATTTCAAGGATCCCAGGTGAAGGCCACTTTCTTGCAATGTTTCCAAGATTTGAAAGAGTTAGTTTTGAAGGACATTTTGTTACATTTTGAAGGAATATTTCTAATACCCCAATGGGCTTTTTCCATTACAAGCTGCAAGGACGTTCTAAACAATGTAAAAGTTCTATTGAATTATAAAACCTCACTCCCAAATTATTTAATATATAAAGAGCAGTAGACAGTATTGCAATATTCAGGGAGCCATGGCTGACTTTGCAGTGGGCTGTCTAAAAGTCATCTGGGATCTTTTTGGTCAAGACTTCACTTCTTAAAGTGAGGTCCACAAACAAGAAGTATCATCAATGCTGTGAATCACTCAGAATATCAGAAAAATTTTTTAAAATAACATAATTTTTATAATTTTAGAAAAGGAGAGGAGGAGACTATTTCTTATAAAGAGTTACAGCCTGCAACGTGGCCCTCCTGCAGGCTAGGAGATATGCCTCCAGCCAAGACCAGAAACAGGCACATTGAAGGAGGAGGGGTTGGGGTAGGAGCTTTATGCTAAACAGTTTGGCTAAACATACATACTCAACTGGTTACAGGAGGAGCTATGAATATTCATGAAGGTGGTCCTAAAGAATTGAACAAACACACGTGTAACATACCACCCATGTTCACTTTGTGGTGGAGACTTAACACTTAAATATATTAGAATTAAGCCCTATATGTAAAAATGCCTTTTCAGGCCAAGCATGGTGGTTCATGGCTTAAATCCCAGCACTTTGGGAGGCCAAGGTGGGTGGATCACCTGAGGTCAGGAGTTTGAGACCAGCCTGGCCAACATGGAGAAACCCTGTCTCTACGAAAAATACCAAAAATTAGCCGGGTGTGGTGGTGGGCACCTGTATTCTTGGATGCCTGGGAAGCTGAGGCACAAAATCGCTTGAACCCAGGAGTTGGAAGTTGCAGTGAGCTGAGATTGTGCCACTTTACTCCAGCCTGGGTGACAGAGTGATACTCTGCCTCAAAAAAACAAAAGTATTTTCAGGACAAAGGCATGTGAGTGTGCAGTCTCTGTAACCTGGCAGGAGCCAGTCCATGGTCAGTGGTCCTCTTATGAGGAGAAAGTTACTGGAATCAGTCTCTTGTCCAGTCAAAGCTGTAGTTACGGCTGGTGGAACAGGGTTCCCGTTCATGTCTGTGAACTGGGTGAGCTGTGATCATTTTAACATTGCTTATCTTTAGGTCAGTGCTTGTTTAGTTGTTGAATAAAAAGAAAAACCTTGTGGCAGTTAGAACACAGTTTGTTATTTAAGTTTAGGGGAGTGTGACTTAACCCTTGACTGGCATGGCCTTTGGTCCTGTTTATAATCTGGGATCTTATTGCCAACAAGATTCTGTTCTGTAAGTCTTATGATCTCTATTTTAACATTGATCTTGGTCAGTTTTTGTGTCTACTCAACTGGTTACATTTGAGTTACCACAAAAGAGGGAGGGTATAATGAGGTGTGTCTGACCTCCCATCCTGTCCTGGCCAGGAACTCAGTTTTAAGGTTCTTCTGGGATCCCCTTGGACACAAGGGGTCCATTCAGTCAGTGAGGGGGCTTAGGACTTTATTTTTAGTTTACAGATCCCAATCCAGACCTACAGAATAAGAATCTTCATTCCAGGTGATTTGTATGCACAGTAAAGTTTAAAAAGCATTGGTTTAGGAGAATCCAAGATTCCTTTGGGAAAGTTCTCAGATGTCAAAATAGGGGCTCTGCATATTATGAATTTCACAATTAACTTCTCAGCATACTATACTGGTTATTTGGTATTCATGTTAAGTTAGATGGTTCTCATCATGCTAAACAGTGCTTCAGATTGCAGTTACTCTAAGCATAAGACCCTATGTCCTAGGGTTTGGAACCAACTCCTTCATTGCTTTGGTGAATTAGACCCTTTTAATTGTGATTGCAGTAGATTAGAAAGGAGTCCATCTCCCAAAGAGTATTCAAGTTTTAGAATGGAAGCTGCTTTTCAGTCATCACTGGAATTTTCCTACGAGAATCACTTACATAATCTACACAACCAAATGCAGAAAGAAAACACAGGGTGAGTTAAGGAACAAAGTTAACATTTCATCTGCTTGGCCTCTGAGCTTGTACCTGCCAGTCCCAATGTTACTCGGATCAAAAATGTAGGATGTTAAGGAAAATGGTGTTTGTATGTTTTGTTAGTAAGAATTAATATGGAAATAATTTGCAAAGACTGGATTCCAGTGAACTTCTTCAAAATCACAAAAGCTCAGCTTTAGGCAAGATACACACATGTTCAGATAACTGGATATAGAAGAAAGAGTTCATCATCTCAATAAAAATAATCCATACTTGTGGCTCCAATTAAGAAACACAAAACTTTAGTGTACATTTTGGTTTCACTTTGTTTCTTTGTTTTTTACCACTTGCATGAACAAGTAAATGATGCAGAAAAACAAGAAGGGTGATTCTTGCAGCCCTAATGAACAGACACCATCAGAACACCAAAGAGAGGCGACTTAATTTTGTGAGACAGAGCCATTTTCCTCCTTTCTGTGAAGTATCTCTGATAATGTACAGTTTTATGAGGAAATTATATGGTCTGGGCCAGGTGTGGTGGCTCACGCCTGTAATCCTAGCACTTGGGGAGGCTAAGGTGGGTGGATCACTTGAGGTCAGTAGTTCAAAACCAGCCTGGCCAACATGGTGAAACCCCGTCTCTACAAAAAATACAAAAAATTAGCGTGGTGGCACATGCCTGTAATCCCAGCTACTCTGGAGACTGAGGCAGGAGAATCGCTTGAACCCGGGAGGCAGAGGTTGCAGTGAGCCGAGATTGTGCCACTGCACTCCAGCCTGGGTGACAGGGCGAGACTCTGTCTCAAAAAAAAAAAAAGAAAAGAAAAGAGAAAGAAAATTATATGGTCTGACCCCATTTTTTAAGGACTCTTCCTCCTGAAGAAATACTACAGTATTATTCATAAGCTATCATCTGTGTCACCATCTATTTCTTAATGATCACTTTTTAAAATTATGTAGTCAGTCGAGCCATGTTGAGAAATTTCAGCTCAAAATATAATTCTCAATGGCCTTTGAAGAGCAGTGGCTTGTCTTTCCCTCTTATTTTTCCTGTTGTGACCACAGTAGGTGTATTAATACCATATCATTATGATGGTTATCTAATGCGTTTAAAAAAATTAAGTAGGAATTTCTAGAAGTTATTTTTATATAAGAAATTCCAGGGGGTAGGGGTGACATAATTTCCAAATCACAAAGTTTTTGCTAAGGGACATAATGTATGCAAAAATATTAATAAGCCTTTCTAAGCTTCTCTTGACAAATCTACTAACAGTCATTTGAGGGTTCTTGTTGCTGGAGTATTCTTTGAAATTCAATAGAGGATTTATTGAGGAGTCTGCAATAGGGAGTAAAGAATGCTGATTTGAAATTTGTAATTCAAATGTACTTTCCTCTAAATCCTAAAATCCAGTCAATTGGAATGTAAGTTAAAAATATAAAATTCAATAGCTTTCATATTGCAGTTCAGTATTGTTAAGAGTACAATACCAAACTGCATTTTTGATCAGACTTTAAGAGCACAGACTTTGAAGTCAGGGGTCAGAGACCTGGGTCTGTCACTTAGAAGTTGAAAATTGGTACGAGTTACTTAAAGTCCCTAGGTTTTAGTTCCCCTATTTGTAAAATGGAAAATATAATGATTACTTCCTCAGTTAGTTTTGAAAATTAAACTAGATAATTTCTTAATAAACCCCACAGCCAATGAATGTGGATATTATTATATTATCATTATATACTTGGCAATATTATTATATGCACAAATATTATTATTACAGATATTCTTATTTATATCTGGCAATATCTAGCTAGATAATGTAAAATAAAAGATATTTTCTTCACAATAGTCATATTTTGTGACCTACATAAAGAAAAAAATCTAAAATTATACCATATCCCTAGAAAGGAAAACGGAATAATTTAAAGGTGCTAAGTCATCCCAAACTGATTTATAGGCTAATTGGCATTTTAAAAACCATGTTTTAAAACTTTTAAAAATGATCTTAAGGCCACATGCAATGGTTCACACCTGTAGTCCCAGAACTTTGGGAGGCTGAGGCAGGCGGATCACCTGAGGTCACGAGTTCAAGACCAGCCTAGCCAACATAGCAAAACTCCGTCTCTACTAAAAATTCAAAAATTAGCTGGGCGTGGTGTTGGGCACCTGTAATTCCAGCTACTCAGGAGGCTGAGGCAGGAAAATTGCTTGAACCCAGGAAGTAGAGGTTGCAGCAAGCCAAGATGGTTGTACTGCACTCCAGCCTAGGTGACAGAGCAAGACTCCATCTCAAAAAGGAAAAAAAAATCTTAAACTGCACTTGGATGCATAAACTTGGACGCATAAACTGACAAACTGTTTGTTTTGTTTTGAGGCGGAGTCTCAATCTGTCGCCAGGCTGGAGTGCAGTAGCGTGATCTCGGCTCACTGAAACCTCCGCCTCCCGGGTTCAAGCGATTATCCTGCCTCACCTTCCGAGTAGCTGGGATTACAGGCGTGCACCACCATGCCCAGCTAATTTTTGTATTTTTAGTAGAGATGGGGTTTCACCATGTTGGCCAGGATGGTCTCGATCTCCTGACCTCATGATCTGCCCGCCTTGGCGTCCCAAAGTGCTGGGATTACAGGCGTGAGCCACCGCGCCCGGCCCAAACTATGTTTTTAAAATGAAAATTAATAATTATGAAGAAAGATGTACCATATCCAAATATTAAAATAATATAGTGCTATGAAATTTTTTTAAATAGTACAACATAAAAATAAAAATATATGATAAAGTAAACTTCCCAAATCAAAGAAAACAGAAAGAATTATTCACTAAATGATTCTGGGACATGTCGTGGGCTTAGGCAACTTTGTTTATAATCTGTACCTCATACTATTTCATCAAACACATAGCAAGTGAATTTAAGAAGTATAAAAATTCAAAACAAAAAGGAAGATAAAATAAAAGCAAATATTTATCAAATTTCTGCAAGAAGGAAACATTCTAAAATTAAAGTAGTGAAAGATGTTACACTCAAAAAAGGTTGACAAATTTGATCTTAAAAATTGCAATTTCTGCTATGACAAAAATGTAAGCACATCTAAAAGACAAGAAACTGAGGAAAACAGATACACTACATGTGACAAAATATTAGTCTAAAACGATAACATAAATTGATTATTAAAAATACAAAGTCTCCACTAAACACATTAACAAAAGTTATGAACAATTACCCAAAGAGAATTTACTATGTTAGCAAAAGTAGGAAAGTCTAACATCATTAGAAAACTTTAAAAAATTATCAACATCAAAGCAGATCCCTCTTTTATTTCTCCAATTGTTTCATATTTCAAGAACAAAAATACTGAATACTGATAATTGTGCAATAAAACAGGAATTCTTATACTCTTTGGGAGTATAAATTGGTTTAAGCTTTTTGTTATTAATACATAAAAAAGTCTTAAAATCACTGTAACCCTTAACCCAGTAGTTCCACTTTTAGAATTTTCCTCCTTAAAGATCTTCCTAAAAACAAAACCTGTAATATACAAGCACACAATTCTTACAGAATTATTTATAAAAATGAAGATATCCTGAGTAGTAATGTGGTTAAATATGCTATGGTACATGGTTTAATTTTGGAAAATAATAACGTTTGTAAAATTTATAATAAGGAGGGAAAATATGTATATGACATCTTTTAAAAAGAAACATATATTAAAGTATAATAAATATGCAAAAACATTAACTGTCTTTGGATAATGGAATATGGGAATTTTAAAACTTCTTAAAATATATGTTCTGATTTGTCTATTCTGAACATATTTGACTTTTAAAAAGTCAAACATGTGATTTCAGAAAAAATAAAGTACTTCTGGAAATCCAAAATATATATATATACTTTTATAACCATTCATGCTTTTCTGCCTACGTGAAAAAACATACAAGATAAAACGTCAATTTATATTTCTTCCCTGACCATATGCACAACTGTAGACTACAAGGTGACCAAGTAGAATGGTATTATATAGATTTCAACAAATTGATTTTTAAAAATAAAAATTTTTTACTTTTAAACAGAAAATTTAAAGAGTTTCTGCAATTTATATTTTTATAATTTTTATAGATCATAAAATTATTAGAAAAAGGAAATACAGAATTATAATTGTCGGTCACATTTTAATTTTTATTAATATTAATACCTATCTGTAATTGCTTTGCCTAATTCATGATAATTTGAGTAGCTCATGACAAGAAAAATTAATTTGTGACTATGAAGAAGATGTTGAATTTTTCAAATTATTATTAAAATAAAAAAATTTAAACTAATTGAGCAGCAAAAAGCATCCAGTATAGGTTTTTAAAAAACATCAGCAATGTGGGGAAAAAATGTGGGGAGCTATTAATAGAGAAATGAAGAAACTGGAGCTATTCCACTAGGAATGTTCCCATCCCAATATCATGTAATAGTCTTCCAAAGGTAATTATGTTTGGAATATTTACATTTGGATTAAATGAGCAGTACAAGAAAGTGCATTATAATTAGTAGTGAATACGCTTGTTAGGATATAACCTTGCCTCAGCTAGCAAATATTAGATGTCCAGAGAATGACTTTTTTCTAAGTAAATTTTAATATTTTATGGGATAGCTATCCATTTTTATGTCTCACTTGGAAGGCATAACTTTTTCCAGATGCTCCCAGGAGAAGTTTCCTTGATTGCAGGGAGTTTGGAACTAATCAGTCTGGAATGGACAGACTATGAGGTATTTTACAGTTTATTATTTTGAACCTCACTGATTCAAGGACTTATGATCATTCAAATCTAACTGAGCTATTGTTTTTCTTGGAACTATCAAGGAAGAAAATGTTCACCATACAAATTAATATCATAAATAGAATCTCCTAAAAGAGAAAACTAATTTAAATACGTTAGCACATTGTTTTGCTGTGACAGTCAAATGAGTTTCACTTGAATAAGTGATATATGTAAGGAAGGAGAAGATACAACCATGGGGAATGAATAACAGATTAAGAGGATGTGTGCAGAGCCTGCTACTGAAACTCCTATAGACAGCTTGGCTCCAGAGAGGGATGGACTGTTGGAGACAGCACAGTTAGGGCACAGGTCATATATACACAGAAGGTCCAGAAGGTCCAGCAACCACTGTAAAATAAATAGGTGATTGCTTAGGATGTTGTATACATTGGATAGCACTAGATCCTGGCATCAAGCCCAGTTTTCTATGGTTATATAAATATATCATATAAATATAATTTTTAACATCCTTTTAGAAAGGGTTTTAAAATCCTGCTTTGAAAGGAGGCAATGTATTTGAAGACATTTAAACAACAGAATACACTAACTATATATAGTCATATATTTTACTTAGAACAAATAAAAACTCTTCATAAGTTCTCTGTGACATAAGAAAGATTGGCCCGGTGCGGTGGCTCATGCTTGTAATCCTAGCAGTTTGGGAGGCCGAGGAGGGCAGATCGCTTCAGCCCAGGAGTTGGAGACAAGCCTGGGCAACATGGCGAAACCCCATCTCTATAAAAAAAAAAATACAAAAAATAGCTGGGCGAAGACATTCCAGTAACATCAAGCATACCTAGTGCTCAAATGTTGGTCTCTGATGCCATTCCCCACAGAAGGAATCAGGGCTTCTAGGAAGAATGGCTGGTTCTAGGGCTAGGGCAGAGTAGGCACAAAATGAACCTGAAACATTTGAATATGCCAGAAAGTAAGCAGCACTAAAAGGAAGCAGGAGGAGGAGAAGAAGGAGGTGGTGGAGATAGAGAAGAGGACATGTCACAAGGACACAGAAGCCAGGCTGAGGGGAACTCCCACTGGTCAAATCTGGGACAATTTGAGCACTGAAATAAGTATAGTAATGTGTATAAATTATTGAAAAGGCCGGCACAGTGGCTCATTCATTCCAGGTGTTCTCTGATTTTTCCACTGTATAGTTACCACTTTTTCCATTAACAACTATGAAGGAATCTGTGAGAATATGCTTTAAGACCTGCAGATAGACCAGGTACAATGTCTCACGCCTGTAATCCCAGCACTTTGGGAGGATGAGGTGGATGGATTGCTTAAATCCAGGAGTACGAGACCAGCCTGGGCAACATGGTGAGACCCCATCCGTCTCTGCAAATTTTTTTTTGTAATTAACTGGGCACGGTGGTTGGTGAGACAGGTGGATATTTTGTGTCTCGCAATATGACTGGAAAAGGACTCAACACCACTCATGCAACATTCCAGCCAGGCATGGATAACCCAAATCTAATAATGAGTAAACATTAGACAAACCCCAAATGAGAAATGGTCTATTAAAGATGTCAATATTATAAAAGACAAAGAAAAACTATGGAAATGTTCCTCCAAGAATAGAGACTAAAGAGACATGACAATTAAATACAATACTTCGTATTAGACTAGATCCTTTACTGGAGGAAACAAAAATGCTATACAGGACATGATTGAGCAGACTGACAAAATTAGAAGGAAAAGTAAAGGCGTTACATCAATGACAAATGTACTGACGTTGATAATCATGCTCTAGTTACGTAAGAGAACACCCTTATTCTTAGAGAATACACATGGAGATATTTAGGGGTAAAAGAACATTATGTATGCAACTTCCTCTCAGATGGTTCAGAAAAAAAGATTTATGTGTAATAGATATATACTACACAAATGTAAAGCAAATGGAGTAAAATGTAAACAATAGGTGAATCTGAGTAATGGGTATATTGTGTTATTTGTACTCTTATTCTTGTAAATTTTTTGGATTTGAAATTGTTTCTAAATAAAAGGTAAGAATAGGAGACAGAATGTGCAAGAGAAGAAGACGAAGGAGGAGGAGAAGGAGGAGAAGAGGAAGAGAAGAAGAAGAAGGAATTTCAGAGGAAACAGTTTTGCCTGTGGTTCAGGAAGGGAATCAATGTTGGGGGTGGGGAGCATACACCATTCTGGGAAACTGAGGGGACCAAAACCTAATAATAAGAAGTAATCTTCGAATATGACCTAAACAAAGTGTAAATTCAGTAAAGGAAGCAGTTTAGACATTGTGATTAGTGAAAGGGGACAAATACAAATCAAAAGGAAAAATAAAGGTTAGCATAACTGAAATGAGGCTAGAAGGATTATTAACCTACCAACAGTAGAAGGATTAGTAACCTAGTAACAGTAGAGTTATTGAACATATAGTAGCATCAGACTGAATAAAGATAACTAGCAGGAGTCAGGTGTGGTGGTGTGTGCCTGTAGTCCCAGGTACTAGGAAGCTGAAACAGGAGTATCCCTTGAGCTCAGGAGTTGGAGGTTGTAATGTATTATGAGCGTGCCTGTGAATAGCCACTGCACTACAGACTGGGCAATATAGCAAGACCTTGTCCAGAAAGACAACAACTAGAAGGACCTATAAGATTATGGCATCGATATTTGTGAAATGGGAAAAGAAACAGACATAAAAATTTAATTTATTGAGTTTATGGGAATTTTGGATGAAATAAATGTTTAAAATATTTCAGTTCACATGGCATATGTGTTAGTATTTTTTCATTGCAAGGAGCAGAAAGTACAACTCAAAATGGCTTAAACTAGCACTGTCCAATAGAAATTGAATGCAGGCCACATATATCTTTAACATTTTCTTGTAGCCATGTTTAAAAAGAAGAGTGGAAGAAATAAAATTAATGTTAACAATACACTCTTTTTTTTTTTTTTTTTTTTTTTTTTTTTTGAGACAGAGTTTTGCTCTTGTTGCCCAGGCTGGAGTGCAATGGCGTGATCTCAGCTCACCACAACCTCCGCCCCCTGAATTCAAGGGATTCTCCTGCCTCAGCCTCCCAAGTAGCTGGGATTACAGGCATGCGCCACCACACCCTGCTAATTTTGTATTTTTAGTAGAGACAGGGTTTCTCCATGTTGGCCAGGCTGGTCTCGAACTCCCAACCTCAGGTGATCCGCCCACCTCGGCCTCCCAAAGTGCTGGGATTACAGGCGTGAGCCACCACTCCCGGCCAACAATACATTCTTTAATAATAAGTAATAAACATTTTTAAATACATTTAATACTCTTAATAATACTAAAATTAATTTAAATAATAATTTTACTATTTTAATAATATCTCAAATATTTTCAACATGTCGTCAATATGTATATAGCCTAGCATTTGGTGGGAGAAGGTGTATTTTGTGTACGTGTTAGAGTTGGGAAAATAGAGAACAATGTATGGTTGTACTATATTGTAAATATGGTTGTAATCATCAATTGACTATCACAATTCTTTCAATTACAGAATAGTTTGTGAACATGGCATACAAATAAAAAGTAGTACTACTAAGTATAAAATTCCAAACATCTTGGGGCTACCTGTTAAAATTCACCCTGTACTCTTGAAAGCAAACGTGCATCTAAATAAACTAAAATAAAGATTTTACTACACTGGACTTGGATCGAGCAAGATATCTTCTCAGAGCTGTTTCATGGTTGCATTTGAGATGACCGCCACTGCCTCTCCACTCGCATACGCTGCCATGAAATTGCCCTTTGCACACCTCTGCTGACAGGATAGAACTGGGCAGTCATGTTTGTGCTTTGGTGATCTTGCCCTTCCAGTAATCTGAGTGGATCACCTATGGAAACTTCACTCAAGCTGAGCCAATCATGTTCTGTCTGTCTAGACAATGTAAACTAAAATACATAGATGGTTGAAATTGGGGTACTGAACTTTGAGTAGAGGCCAGAGTCAGTTTTATGACAAGTCATAGACACAAGTAGAACTAGAAGGTATGGGGAAGGAGAAACTAAGAGGCTTGCAGAAAAGGATCAAGAGTAAGGAGAAGCTAGCCCACAGCTCTCTAGTGTCTACAAGGCCTGATTACTTCCCGCAGTTGCTTTCTGTAGTATTATTTCCTATCTCTACAACAATATATTTTTTTATTAGAACTAGTAGAGTAAGTTTACTAGAGTTTCTGTACCTTCTCACAAACTCAGAGTAAGACATTTGTGTAGTCCTGTAGAAATACTCTCAAAAGCAAGGTGAAGCCATTACACACACACCACACATACACACATATGTATACACATATATAATTTTAGTTTCCTTATTTGTGAAATGGAGAAGATACTTCCTGTATTACAAGATAGTTATGAGTATTATAAAACATCAGTTTAAAAATATCATAAAAATATTAATATGTAAGTGTGCTCTTTAGATCCACTTAAATAGTTTAGTAACTATTAAACAAATTGGTCCCTAACTAACTCCTAGGTCATTTGGAATATTTTAGGTGGAAATGTACTGCTTTAGCTTCTGAGACTTAAAAATCTCAGTGTTTAGGGGCATAGAGATGAGAGTAAGTAACCAGATCAATGTTGGTTTCCCACTATTCCTTAAAAGATAATCTTTATTATGTTTCATCCTCCTTTTCCAATAGAAACACACACACTGACCACATACCTACTCATTCACTTATACTTTCAAGCACAAGAATTCAGGAAGAAATAATAGCAGAAGGCCTTTTCATACTGTCTGTACTGGGATGTCTGATCTTTTGGCTTCTCTGGGCCACATTGGAAGAAGAATTGTCTTGGACCATACATAAAATACACTAACAATAGCTGATAAGTTTTTTTAAAAACCAAAAATCAAAACAAAACAAAACTAGCAAAAAAAAACTCATAATGTTTTAAGAAAGTTTACAAATTTGTGCTGGGCTGCATTCAAAGCCATCCTGGGCTGCATGCAGCCTACTGGCTGTGGGTTGGACAAGCTTGGTCTATATTTTTTGTTTGTTTGTTTGCTTGTTTTTTGAGACAGAGTCTCGCTCTGTCACCCAGGCTGGAGTGCAGTAGCGCCATCTGGGCTCACTGCAAGCTCCGCCTCCCGAGTTCACGCCATTCTCCTGCCTCAGCCTCTCGAGGAGCTGGGACTACAGGCACCGGCCACCATGCCCAGCTAATTTTTTGAATTTTTTTTTTGTATTTTTTTTTTTTTTAGTAGAGACGGGGTTTCACAGTGTTAGCCAGGATGGTCTTGATCTCCTGACCTCATGATCCACCCGCCTCGGCCTCCCAAAGTGCTGGGATTACAGGCATGGGCCACCGTGCCCGGCCTCATTTTTGTATTTTTAATAGAGACGGGGTTTCACCATGTTGGTCAGGCTGGTCTGGAACTCCTGACCTCGTTAACCCCCCCGCCTCGGCCTCCTGAAGTGCTGGGATTACAGGAGTGAGCCACAGCGCCCCGCCTAGCTTGGTCTATATTAAGTCCCTACCATCCATCCCTCAGCCACCTCCCTCACTGACTCTTGGCTTAGTAAAGTGACTTGTTTGACCAATGAAAAAATAGGAAATGTGACACAAGCAGAGACTAGAAAAGTGACTACACATAGAAACTTTTCTCTTGCTGGTTTTGGAACTGTAAAGTAGCCCAGGCTAGTCTGCCACAGGTTGGAGACATGCAGCCCAATTGCCCCTGTAGCTTCAGCCACCCACCAAATATGTGAGTGAGGCCATTCATAAAAAATCAGACCCCAGATGAAAGCAAAATGCAGCTGCATGAGTGAGTCTAGGTGAGACCAAAAAAAGAATATCCACATGTTCAACCAAAATTGCCAGTCTACAGAATTGTGAGCTAATCAATGAATATGCTTTTAAGGGACTATATATTGGAGTGATACAAGCAAAAATTAACTAATAAAAAAATTTGTGTCTGTAAATGGGGTTTTGCCACGACAAATATCTAAAATCTATGACAATGGCTTTAGGACTAGGCAGCTGATGCTGAAGCTGGAAAAGCTGTGCAATCAGGCTATCAGCAAAGACTGGAATAATTATAAAAAAACTGTTAGCAAAGACTGGAAAAATGTTGAGCAAACGATTAGTGGAGGCTGGAACAGAAGTAAGTAGATTGCTATGGCAAGCTGGAAAACTGGTAACTCATACTGAATAGTAGTGAAACAATTAATAAAACTCACCTGTGGTATCTTGGAAAACAAAAAATATATCTAACGACTTGTGTATCTGAAAAAAAAAAAGACAAAACTTCTGGGCAGTACCAACTTTCCTGCTAGCTGAATATCAGAAAGTAGTGTAATAAAATAAATCAGCTGAAAAATGAACGATTACATTTGTAAATAGAATTTAAAAGACAATGACTTTATGCCTGGCAGAGGAAATGTTAAGAACGTAAAACTGCACTGTATTTTATTCTATTTTTAGATTTTTAAAAATTCAATAGCAGTTTGTGCTTTTTCCTTGGGTTTGCAAATTCTGTGTCTTTTACTACTTCTGCTATGATGTTTCATTAGAAAATTAATGCTAAGAAATTTGCCCAGTTACACAGCAAGTGGTAAAGCTAGGATTTGATCCTGAGCTATCTGGCTTCCAAGTTAGTATGCTTTCCAAAATACCTTTCCCTCTTTCCTTTTTTCCAAATTATTTCAGCAAGGAGAGGCTTCCAATTTTTAAGTTATTTAACTTAAAATATATACTATATTTTCATTTTAAAAACTTCTCAAAAATACACAAGAGTTTTACAGGTCTGAATCTTTTTAACATTCAAGATGGTTGATAAAATGATACATTATGTATGAAGGGCTACAATATGCATTCCATTTTTGCAATTAAAATAGGGTGGAAATTATGGTTTGTGCTGTTAAAGGTGAACTTTCTCTTTGATATCTGACCCGTAATATTCTCCTGGTACATCTCCTGCTGCTTCTGGCTCAGTATTTTCCCCTTTTTCTGGATAAGCTTTTTTCTCTATTTCTATTCTGAAAATTCCCATTTACATTAATGAAATGGAATTTCCCCTGGCAGAAGAACACGGAAGAAATGGATTTTCAACAACAGGAGGCTGTAATATCAAACCTACTTAGGAAGGAAGGAATACATTCAGTTAAGATAATTGCTCTTTTTTTCCCCCTCCACAAGAGAAAGAGAATGCTCCTCTTGGAGTGATTTAAAGATTATTTTCTCTGGAATTAGAGAACATAGGTCACATAAATTTAAATACTTTATTCTCTGAATTTCAGTATTAATCTCCATTCTCTTGGGATTTGGAAAAGAGAAAATTCCCTTCTTTTCAGAACATGAATTCAATAACAACTAGGCTCCCTCAATGACCTTTATTCCTGGCAGGAGAAATTTTAAGGATATAAAATGGTACTGCATTTTATTTAATTTTTAAATTTTAAATTTAATACTAGTTTGTGCTTTCTTGAGTTTGCAAATTCTATGTTTTTTTACTATTATTTACTGCCATATTTTATTTAAAAATTAATAATAAATGGAGTTGATGTTTTGTGATTTATCAAATATCTGAATATTACAAAGAGAATTGGAGCACAACTTTATAGTTTATCCTGTTATTTGGTATCACAATGCATACTTTCTCAGTAGAGACGCTATTTATTATCATTTTAGGCAGAAAGGTAATTCCTTGTGTGGGATTTTTCTGAGCATTGCATTAGCTTATTATCCCAGTCCCAACACATTGAATGCCTATATAACCCCACAATCATTGTGGCAAACAATAATGCCTACACACATTTACGAATACCCTTTGGGGATATGGTATAGTCACCAATTGAGGGAGATTCACTGGTACAGTGCATATTTGAGAAATCCAAAATTCTCTACTTCTCCTCTCTAAACTTCCCCCAACAAATTATGGGAGTCTGTATGGGGCATCTTACTCATGCTCATGAAATAATCCTCTCAACTGCCACAAGGCAGCCACTAATTTCCTTCTATCCAGCTGATTATTACTGGTGCTTTTTCCTGCTACATTTCTTTCCAGATGCAGACTGGTGCAACTTACTTCACAGAACTTACCTATTCCCTTCACATTCCTACAGTTCTAGTATTAACTGAGATGAGTGGTATGCCAAGGTTAGTCTTGGGGTGAGGAGGATGGAGGGTAGAGGAGGGTGGAAAGTAGAGGAGGAATGAAGCTGAGAGCTTGCTTCTTTCAGCCCAGAACCGGTGTTCAACATTCTTCTCCCTTAGAATAGTTATTTCCCAAGAGTATCTCAGTACCTACCAGATTCTGAATTCTAGGAGAGCATGGACTTCTCAAGAATGATACCTGGCTTATTACTGGTACTTAAATTCATACACTAAACCTCCTTAATTGAGCAGCAGTCCCTACTGGACCTCAAGTTATACTCAAACATGCCCCATTCAAATAGGGCCGCCTTCAAGTTCTCAGGCTGAGACCCCACTATGATTTTAGCTTTTAAAAACTTAGTTGACATCTCAAGTATGTTCTCACTTCATGCTTCCAGTTATATATATTATTCTATTGTCCCAAACGTAATAGGTCCAGAACAAAAATATTATAATATCTTACTCCACAATAGCTCATAATCAGAACTACAAAGTTTGGAATTTTATCGTTTGTCAGTTGTTTCCATGATAAATTATAAAATCTTTGGAAAACCAAAATTATATTTTACTCCATTTATATATTTTCCATAATATCTAGAACAGGGCCGGGTACATAAAAATCACTTATGGGACCAGTGGTGGCACTTTGGGAGGCACTTTGGGGACGCCTGATCAACATAGTGAGACCCCATCTCTACAAAAAATTTAAAAACTAGCTGGGCATGGTGGCTACTCAAAACGCTGAAGTGGAAGGATCGCTTGAGCCCAGGAGTTCAAGGCTGCAGTGAGCTATGATTGTGCCACTGCACTGTAGCCTGGGTGACAGAGCAAGACTCTGTCTCTAAAAAAAAAAAAAAAAAGAAAGAAACAAATTGCTTATGAATAAATACTTGTTCACTAGTTTTATTAGAAACTTAAATTCTCCCAAGATAGGCATGATTTGTAAATGAGCTAGCTGGGAAGCTGGGATAAAATATTTAAGATTCATTGATTTTGGCTGGTTTCCTATAGGCTGTAATGTTTCATGTTTTTTAAGCAAAATGAAATCTCACTAATTAAATTTTTTAGGATTTATGTCACCAAGTTAATTCATTCCTTAATCTCTCCACACTCCTTTAAAATTACTTACCTCTTACTTGTGTAGATTCAGTCTTTGTTATAGAAAAATTATAATGAATGAAACTAAATCTTCAGAAAAAGTTTATTAAATCATTTTTGTGGAATCTGATAAACTAATTCTAAAATTTATTCAAAAAAGCAAAAGGTCAAGAATATCTAGGAAGAAAAAAGCCAATACACTATTGAAGAAGAAATGTACATATAGAAGTAGAGAGAATTTGCCAGTAATATTTCCAGTATTATTTAAAGTTTCACTAGTATGTTACTGGTACAGGATAGGTAAATATACCAATGAAACAAAAGCAGGAACCTCAGTGACAGGCCTTTACATATGTGAAAGAAGACTGGGCTGCAATTTTAGAGAGGTGTAGAAGAAACGGACAATTTAATAAACAGTGCCTGGAAAATTCATTTTCCACAAGGACCCATGTCATAACCAAAAAATAAATTTCTGGCAGGAATTTACTTATACTTTTTAAAACTTCCTGAAGAAAATAGATTATTTTTGCAAATGTATGTTACAAAAAGATTTAAAAAAGAGGCAGAATCTGCAAAGTAAAAGAGATAAATACAACTATCAAAATTAAAACTTCTGTTTATTGAAAGACACCATAAAAATGTGAAAAGACAAAAGACAAGCCATAGACTAGGAGAACACTTTTCTAACACATGTTAATTAGAATAAAATATTAGTATTCTCTATATTTTTATAACTCCAGTAAAGACACAGAAACCAATAGGAAATGGGCAGCGACTATGGATATCCATTTCACAGAAGAGGAAAAACCAATGACTAGTAACATAAAAAGATGTCCAACCTCATTCATACTTAGAAAAAAGCTGAAATATCATTTTGTACCCAAAACATTGGCAAAAATTTTAAAGCTGACAAATCAGCTTGCTTGTGAAGGTTAGGGACAACAGGAACTGCTAATACTGCTAATGAGGGGTTAAATGGTCCAACCCCCTTTGAGAATAATTTGATTATATTTAGTAAACCTGAAGATGCGCACACCTAACACCCAGCAATTCCACATGTAGGTATACACCCCAGACTATAGAAACTCTCACATATGTGCAAAAGGACACAGGTACTAAAATATTTATTGCAGCACTGTTTTTAACAGTAAAAAATTGGAACCAACATAAAGGACCATTGACAGGAGACTGGAGAAATAAACTGTGGTATATTTATACAATGAAATATTTAAAATATAGCAGTGAAAATGAATAGACTATAGCTTCATGTGTCCACGTGAATGACTCTCTCAGACATAATGCTGATGAAAATGAAAGTGACAGAATATATAGATTGCAGTTTCATGTATATGAAATTCAAAAACATGCAAAACCCAACAAACATATTATTCAGGAATACATACATTTTTATAACTACAACAAAAAAAATTGGAGGAATGATAACCCATAGCTCAAGATAATGATTACCTAGGAAGCAAGGATGGGAGTAAGTTGAGAGGAGTGATGATGCTAGGTGGGTACACAGGAGACTTCAAAAATATGTTAAGAGTCTTCATTCTTTTCTTGTTTTTTACTCTTTTTAAACTAACTTTTTAATTTTCTGTAGTAGGAATTTTATTGTGGTAAGAGTTTTCATTCTTAAGCTCAGTGGTAGGTGGGAGCAGGCTTATTTTATTTTTCTTATCTATATTGTACATACTTATTTTATATTCTTAGTATGTATGAAATAATTAAAAATGAATTTTTTTGTTACTATGCATAATATGTGTCAATGGAAAGAGTCAAACTGTAGAATATTGGAAGAGATTTATTCTAAGCCAAATATGAGTAAGCATGGCCTGTGACACAGCCCAAGAGATTCTGAGAACATGTGCCCAAGGTGGTCCAGCTACAGCTTGGTTTTATGCATTTTAGGGAGAATTAAGACATCAATCAATACATGTACGATGTACATTGTAAGATGTACGATATACATTGGTTCTGTCCAGAAAGGTGGGACAAATTGAAGCTTGGGGTGGATAGTTCAAGGTCATAAGTCAATTCAAAGAATTTCTGATTGGCAATTGGTTGAAAGAGTTATTACCTAAAGACCTGGAATGAATAGAAGGGAGTGTCTGGGTTAAGATATGCAGTTGTGGAGAACAAGGTTCTTATTCTTATCCAGGTAGCAGGCTTCAGAGAGAATAGATTGTAAATGTTTCTTATCAGACTTAAAAAGGTGCCAGACTCTTAGTTAATTCTCTCCTGGGTCAGGAAAAAGACCTGGTAAGGGAAAGAGATTCTCCCAAGAGACAGCTTTGCAAGGGCATTTCAAAGAAATATATTTTGGGGTAAAATACTTTGATTTCTTTCAGGGCCTGCTATCGGTTATGTTAAGAGTCTGTTTTGTTAGTCTTAAGGTCTCTGTGTTAATGTTAATGCTGGTCAATTGTGCCTGAATTCCAAAGGCGGAAGGGTAAAATGAGGCATGTCCAACGTTCCCATCCTGTCTTGGCCTGAACTTTTTCAGGCCAACAACTTTTTTCAGGTTAACTTTGGAATGCCCTTGGGTCAGGGGGGTGCTTAGAATTTTATTTTTGGTTTACATATGTATTAAGCTAAATAACCTTCTTCTGGTTTGTATCCTAATTCTAAAGTGGGTTTCTTTGCCTAACTTGTCCGAATGCATACCTACAGTAGTCTCTTTAATCACAGTGTCTGCTTGGTTCCAATTACTGTCTGTAAAGGGAATTCTGTCTTTATACCTGTATCTTCCTTTGTAGAGAATTTACACCCAAACTGTATAGAGTAAGACTGTCAATGGGAACACGCAGAAAGGATAGTTTTGCTGAAATTGAGGGCTGAGATTACGGATAAATTGAGAGATTTCTACTTTGCTTTGTGCTGAGTAGCAATGGTTTTCATGTCTACAATTTTTAAATAACATTAAAAATAATCCATTTCCCCTTCCTTTTTCACAACTCTCCCCACACTAAATATCTTTAAGAACATATGGTAGTTACAAGGAAAAGCCAAGTGAATATCTGAAACATTAATGTGCCATGCTGCTATCATTACAAGAATAAAGAAAACTGGGAATCCAGAAATCTCCTAACACAACAACTGTTGCCTGCCAATTCTTATATCAAATAAAAATCATCATCTAGGGCAAGGATGGTTGCACGGTGACTAAGCAGGCAGATGGCAGGTGTGAGGCAAAACACTCTGGAGTGCTAGCTCAAATCATTTTGCATTACTCACTGCTGGAAAGATAGGGAATCAAAAAACAAATTGCACATTGGACTAGGAGTAAAATACTGAAAACTCAACTCACAGAAATATAAAAGGTAAAGAAGACAACCACAATTGTAAATGTCATGTTGTAACTTCTAAAGCAAATTCTTTAGGTCTGCCCTGTGATCTTTCTCTGCCTCCATCTGATTTAAGCCTCCTCTATCTGTCCTTGTGATTCACAAGAAGGTAATTGTTTCTCCACTTTACCAACCCTGCCAGAACTGGGACCACCTGTTTCAAAAGTAACCTGGCTGCATTCCTGAAGGCAATGTTCCAAGGCTAGAGATAAGATGTTAACCACCTCCTTGCCTGGCAAGAACCCATGGTGGTTCACTGCCTTAGCAGTGGGTCAGTTCCTGGGAGTGAGCAAATCTAATTTTCATATATTAGATTCAGGGAAAAAAACAAAAACTCAAGCACTCTGTTTTATTTGCATAACTGCTTTACATATTGCTATCATAAAGGAGATTAGCTTTAACGAATATGAATGTAATTATAGAAAAGGGCCCTAGGTGGAGCCTCAGTACTGGTGGCAACAAATGGAAGAACAAATTGAAAATACATCGAAGCCCTCCAAAAATTACATAATTGCATTTTATAGAACTAACCTGTTTGTTGTTATTGTTGTTTCTCCAGCATAGGAAACAGCTGGATATAAAAAAGATGCTTTGTTAGTTAAGAATAAACCTTAAAAGAGCTTTGTTCTGTAATCAAGAATGAAAGCGCATTAATGCTGGTATTCTGTCTCTGATGGAGTTTCTACAAGGCAGTGTGTATGGTAGAGAACTGTCCCTAACCTTAGCACATTCTCCTGAATGAACGTCTCTCCTTTCTCCTTATAAGGACATTGCCACTTGTTTATCTATTTACACATAGTAAAACCATCTTACATTGTAAAAGAAATAATCAGGATTATTTTTAAGATGACTTGCTTTTATTAGATTATAAACACAGAACCTGTAAGAAGTCAAAATCACTTTTTTCTGGTTTTGTTTTGTTCTGCTTTGCTTTGTTTGTCACCACTGACAAATAACCTAGACAGACTTACTAGGTTTTTTTCCCAGCTTTATTGAGGTATAATTGGCAAATAGAAATTGTATATATTCAAGGTGTACAACATGATGATTGGATATACATGCACACTGTAAAATGATTACCACAGCCAAATTAATTAACATATCCATCACCCAACCTAAGAAATTAAACACTGCAAAAACTTAAAATCTATTGGTAACACCCTTTGATCACAGCCAAGTCCCTTTACCTTCATGGCATAGTTAATTTGGTGTTTATGATTTAAGTATATGTATAAAATTGTACTATATACATATATATCATTAAATAAAACATAATGTATCAATACTTCTAAACTTATATACTTGGTTACATACTATATGTGTGTTCTGCAATTTCTTATTTTCTCAGCATTATGTTTGTGAGGTTTACCCATAATGATCTAAGAAGCTCTATTCATTTTTTAAAAAATAAACTCTTTTTTTGGAATAATTTTAGACTTTCAGAAAAGTTGCAGAATACAGAGAATTTCCATACACCATTCCCCCAACCTCTTCTAATTTTAATATCCTACACAACAATGGTACATTTGTCCATACTAAGAAATTCACATTGGTATGTTTTAATTACCTAAACCACAAACTTTATTTGGATATCACCAGTTTTTCCACTAGTGTCCTTTTTCTGTTCCAGAGTTCAATCCAGAATACCACATTGCATTTAGTATTAACTCATTTTTTCTGCTGTATGATTACACTACAATTTATTTCCTCATTATGTTGATAGATGTTTAGATTTCATTAATGTACCTGATGATATCGTTGTATACACATATGATATCTTCGTGCACGTAATATGTAAAGCATGCTCTTCAAAGTAGTAATATCAATTTATTTACAGTCTCACAAATATATTAAATTTCCCACTGCTCCAAATTCTTTCCAACTCTTGGTATCATGAGATTACATTTCTACCAATTTTATGGGTATAAAATGGCATCTATTTTTATTTTATTTTATTTTATTTTATTTATTTATTTATTTTGAGACATAGTCTCACTCTGTCGCCCAGGCTGGAGTGCAGTGGCGTGATCTCAGCTCACTGCAAGCTCTGCTTGCCGGGTTCACGCCATTCTCCTGCCTCAGGCTCCCGAGGAGCTGGGAGTACAGGCGCCCGCCACCACGCCCGGCTAATTTTTTGTATTTTCAGCAGAGATGGGGTTTCACTGTGTTAGCCAGGATGGTCTCGATCTCCTGACCTCGTGATCCGCCCGCCTTGGCCTCCAAAAGTGCTGGGATTACAGGCGTGAGCCACTGCGCCTGGCCTATTTTTATTTACAATTATTCTATTACTAGTGAGATTGAGCATTTTCATGTGTGTTCATGTTAATTGCTATTTGATTTTTTGGTAGGGATTTGTAGACATTTTATATATATGTACACATACTCTATGCTAAATATTTGTTGCCAATATGCATTGCAAATGTCTTCTCTAGTTAGTGGTTTGTCTTCTCTCACTTTTTAAAATGGTGTCTTTAGATGCACAGACATTTTAAATGTTAATGTGGTCTAATTGATTCATAATCTTTTCCTTAAAGGTTTCATTTTCTATTTATTGATATCAAAATCTTTCCCAACTCTGAAAGCACAAAAATATTCTTCTATACTTTATTCCAAAAGTTTGAAGATTTTACTTTGTATATGTTGGTCTTTACTTGAGGCAGATTTTGTACATCATGTGAGGTAGAAATCCAATTTTATTTTTCCCTCTGTATAGATACCCATCATCTCAGCAGTATTTATTAAATGGTTTATCTTTCCCTACTGATCTGCAATGCCACTGATGTTAAATCTCAAGTTTCCATACGGGCCTGGATCTGTTTCTGGATTCTTTGTTCCTTCCACTGTTCTCTTTTCCCTATTCTTTTGCTAATACCACACTATTGTAATTATAATATTTTTATTATTAAGTCTTAATATCAGGATGAGGTCCCACTTTGTAGTTTTTCTTCAAGAGTGACCTGGTTATTTTTGCCCTATGTTCTCTCATTTCTTTGGAAGGATTCTAATGACTCCTTCTTTGTTAAAGTCCACAAAACAAAACAAAAACTTGGTGGAATCTGGAATTGTGATGAATTTGAAGGAAAATTGATATCTTTATGTTCCGAGTATTTGTATCCACATACATGATATATTAGTAGGTCTCTTTTAAAGTATCAATAAAGGCTTATAAATTTTTCTTAAAGTCTGCACAACTATTGGTAAATTTTTGATACCTTATTTTTGTTTTTAAATGTTACTTTAAAAATTATATTGTATAACTATTGCTGATGTAGAGGAATGCAATTGATTTTCATACATTTAAACTTGCTGAATGTATTACTATGTTTAACAATTTGTCATTAGTTTCTTTTGGGTTTTCTCTGTGGAAATTAATTTTTTGCAAATAACACAGTTTCAATTCTTCATTTGCACCCTTTGTATGTTTTATTTGTGTATTTCCTCTTGAATTCTCTAATTACTAGGTACAAGATTCTATGTGTGTCTGTTTGGGTCAGCTATTGCTGTTGTTGAGTAGGAAAAATAATTTTTCTCCTGAGCCCCTTATAGTTCTTAGCTAGAACACCGCTAACAAAAAGCAGATTAAGAGGAGAAAAACAAGTTTATTCATGCTTGCAGAGCACATCATGTGGGAGAATCCTGCCTGAAAAGTAATTCAAAGCAGTTATTTAGAACTCTGACTTAAATTATTAACAGCATCTTCAACAAAGAACAATAAATTTGTGGAGAAATGACAGGACAAAGGAAAGTGGTTTTAGCCTTCCACAGGTGGGAAACTGTGGGAAGGGAATATATGGGGAGAAACTAATGGAATGAGGTTTGTTTGCAGATTCTCTGGTGCCTTCTCTCCAGAAATCAATTCATCAATGAGTTGCTAAGTTATCTCCAGTAAAGGAGAATTTACATCCTGTCTTTGGGCAGAACAGCGGGGGATAGAGAGAGATTTTCCTCTCTTTGTTGCTATTCAATTGCCTTCAGCTCAAAAATAATTTTTATGTCTAGGAAACATTTTTGGGGTAAAATATTCTGGTTTTCTTCTCTGTGTAACAAACTATTCTAAAATCTAGTGGTCCTTCAGTTTGGGGAGAAGAAAAAGTTCTGGAGATAGATGGTGGTGATTGTTATAAAACAATGTGAGTTTACTTAATGCCACTGAAATGTACACTTAAAAATGACTAAAATGGTAAATTTAATGTTATGTACATTTTACTACAATAACAGATCACTTAGTGATGTAACAACAATTTGTTGGTGGTATATCTTATGACTCTGGCATTAGGAATTTATTCAAAGCACAGCAAATACAGGTCTTTGATGTCTGGGGCCCAGCTGGGATGACTCAGATGGTTGGGGGTTAGAACAGCTAAGGGCTGGCTGGACATCTCTCTCTTCTCTCCACACAAGCCCCTCTAGGTGGCTAACTTGGATTTTTTCATAGCATAGCGGTCACAGGGTAGTTGGACTTCTTACATGGCATCTCAGGTCAACCAAAAATCAAAATGAAAGCTGACAGTCCTTACAGATTTGTCCCTGAAGGAGTATGATGTCAATTCCACTGTACTTGATTGATCTAAGCAGTCAAGGGGAAGGAAGAAGACCTACCTCTCAATGGGAAGAATAACAAAGAACTACAGCCATCTCTCATCAACCACAATGTCCATTTAGATGAAGCTTTTTCAGTTCTTTTTTTAAAAAACTATAGTCACCTTGCTGTATAGTAGAACTTTCGAACTTATTCCTCCCACCTAACTGAAATTTTGTGTCCTTTGACTGGTATCTCTTATTTGTTAAAATCCTGGATAGTCTTACTAATGTTTGTCTGACTGATTTATCAGTTTATACGAGAGCTGAGTTAAAATTTCCCATACTATATTGGTGGGTTTATTAATATCTTTTGTAATTTTGTCAATTTTTAAGCTAAGAAGACAGGTTTATACTCATTTAAAAATTTTAAAATTTTCCTGTGAATTGTACTTTCTCATGTCATATAATGATGCTATTTATTCCCAATAATAATTATTTTCCAAGGACAGTCCTGGTTTATGCTTGTGCCCCTGAGAAATTATTGAGTGGACTTTCTCACTCTCAAACATATCCTTTGGATAATAGATCAAGTAACCCTTCAAATATTTTTTTTTTACTTAAAGTTTTTTACTTAAAGTTATTTCTTTCAGATATTAATATAGATATAGCAGCTGCACTTTGTTATATCCTTTTCCATTTTAAACTTTCATGTTACTCAACCCTTAGTTTCAGAAAATTCCCATATAGCTAAATTTTTAAAAATATTTTATTTTATCTATTCTCAAATTGAGTCTTTAACTGGTGAGTCAGTCTATTTTCATTGGTTGTGATTACTGATATTTGGTTGTGTTTTTAGCATCTTCCTTTTTGCTCCCTGTCTTGCATTTGCTTTGTTTATTTTTAATTTTCTTTGGGATATATTAAATGTTTATAAGTTTTTTTTTCCAAAGGAAGTTAGAAATTCTATTTTTGCCCTTTTAGTAATTACCCTTTATTGTTTTAAAACATTGCTATGTAACTAGCAAAGCCAAAGTTAATCACTATGATAGCCTATTCCCTAAACAATGCAAGGACCTTAAAATATCTTAATTCCAAACCCTATCATACAAGCTATTTTTGTCCTGCCTTGTGATTACATATTTTTATTAAAACTTCCTGAATTCAATATTATAAATAATATCATTTTATGACATCTCTTTGTTTAGGCATAAGCACATTTTAAGACTATATTTGAACACAAATACTTCTTGAATCTCACTGTGTTTCTCTGTGTTCACTTTCCTTCTTCCTGTAGTTTCCTTCTTCAGAAGTGCTTCAGTAATCATTTGTTAGTGGTAAAGGCTCTTAGATTTTGTTCATTTGAAAATGTCTACATTTCATCATTATTCTTGTATGGTAATCTTAAATCAGCCATACAAGCATTGGTTAGCAGTCATTTCCTCGTAGCATTCGAAAGATAGTTTATTGTCCTCCTTTTTTGTTGCTGTTGAAAAGTCAGCTTTGGGTCTAATCAATAGTTTATTTTTTCTTGACCTTTTTAAAGATCTTATATTTATCTGTGTATTGCACTTATACTCTAAATCTAGTTTTCTATAGTGTTGTTAAATCAACATTATTGGGGTATAATTTACATACAGTAAAATGTATTCATTTAAAATGCACACGTCGATAAGTTTTAAAAAATTTATAAACCCATGAAACCACCACCACAATTAAGCTCGATAACATTTTCATAACCCCAAATGTTTCTTTGATGCCCCTTCTAAGGCATTCCCCACCCCAAACCTGGCTCCTCCTTTCAGTCGCTATAGATCAGAATTGTTTTTTCTAGAATTTCCTATAAATGAACTTTACGTACCCTCTGGTATCTGGCTTATTTTGCTCAGCATAACGTTTTTACGAATCATCCATGTGTTGCATGTCTCAGTGTACATTTTCTCACAAGATTTGTAGTTTTAGCTTTTACATTTATAAATTTAGTATCCATTTTAGAGTTACTTTTTGTGCATAGTACAAGGTAAAAGTGGAGGTTCTCTTCCCTCTCTCTGTCTCTCTTTTTTGAAAAATAACTTGTCAGTTGTCGGGCATCATTTGTTGAAAAAACAAAACAAAACAAAACTATCTTGTCCCACTGAATTGCCCTGGAATTAATTGACCATATATGTGTATGTATGTTTCTGAACTTTCTATTTTGTTTCAGTGATCTATACGTTTAGCCTTATGCCAATATCACACTTCCTTGTTTACTGCAGCCTTATAGTAAGCCTTGAAATCAGGTAGTGTAAGTTCTTCTCCTTTTTTCTCCTCTTCCTCCACTTCCCTTTCTTGGCACAATGAGCTATTTAAAGTATAAAGGGTTAAAACCTTAGTATTAAACTCTTGGCAAATGTATATTAAGATATATAGCCATATATACTAAACCCTTTACTATGCTCAGGTAAATTTTCTAGATATTTATCCTTAGACTAATCAATAAAATTTCCAAGGAAATCAAAGTATTGTTAGCATTTCCTCCACTGATCTAGTTTAACATACTAGAAAGGTAAAGTGACATTAAAAATTAAAAATGAATAAAGACAAAAAAAATAAAGCTGCTATATCTACATTAAAATCTAAACAAAGGATGTAAGGGGAAGATGGCTGAATAGGAAGAGCTCCGGTCTGCAGCTCCCAGTGTGATCAATGCAGAAGACAGGTGATTTCTGCATTTCCAACTGAGGTACCTGGTTCATCTCACTGGGACTGGTTGGACAGTGGGTGTAGCCCACTGAGGGTGAGCCGAAGCAGGGCGGGGCATCACCTCACCCGGGAAGCACAAGGGGTTGCGGGATTTCCCTTTCCTAGCCAAGGGAAGCTGTGACAGACTACCTGGGAAAATGGGGCACTCCCACCCAAATGCAATGCTTTTCCCAAGGTCTTAGCAACCGGCAGACAAGGTGATTCTCTCCTGTGCCTGGACCGGTGGGTCCCAGGCCCATGGAGCCTTGCACACTGCTAGCGCAGCAGTCTGAGATCAATCTGCAAGGCGGCAGCCTGGCTGGGAGAGGGGCATCTGCCATTGCTGAGGCTTGAGTAGGTAAACAAAGCAGCCGGGAAGCTCAAACTGGGCGGAGCCCACCACAGCTCAACAAGGCCTGCTGCCTCTAGACTGCACCTCTGTGGGCAGGGCATAGCTGAACAAAAGACAGCAGACAACTTCTGCAGACTTAAATGTCCCTGTCTGACAGCTCTGAAGAGAGCAGTCAGCATGTTCTCTCAGCATGATGTTTGAGCTCTGAGAATGGACAGACTGCCTCCTCAAGTGGGTCCCTGACCACCGTGTAGTCTAACTGGGAGACACCTCCCAGCAGGGGCCAACAGACACCTCATATGGGTGGAGGCCCCTCTGGGACAAAGCTTCCGGAGGAAGGATCAGGCAGCAATATTTGCTGTACTGCAAAATTTGCTGTTCTGCAGCCTTTGCTGGTGATACCCAGGAAAACAGCATCCAGAGTGGACCTCCAGCAAACCCCAACAGATCTGCAGCTGAGGGACCTGACTGTTAGAAGGAAAACTAACAAACAGAAAAGAATAGCATCAACATCAACAAAAAGGCCATCTACACCAGCACCCCATCTGTAGGTCACCAACATCAAATACCAAAGGTTGATAAAACCACAGAGATGGGGAGAAGCCAGAGCAGAAAAGCTGAAAATTCTAAAAATCAGAGTGCCTCTTCTCCCACAAAGGATTGCAGCTCCTCGCCAGCAACAGAACAAAGCTGGACAGAGATTGACTTTTACAAGTAGGCAGAAGTAGACTTCAGAAATTCAGTAATAACAAACTTCTCTGAGCTAAAGGAGGATGTTCAAACCCATTGAAAGGAAGATAAAAACCTTGAAAAAAGATTAGATGAATAGCTAACTAGAATAAACAGTGTAGAGAAGACCTTAAATGACCTGATGGAGCTGAAAACCATGGTATGAGAACTACATGATGCATGCATAAGCTTCAATAGCTGATTCGATCAAGTGGAAGAAAGGGTATCAGTGATGGAAGATCAAATTAATGAAATTAAAGTGAGAAGACAAGGTTAGAGAAAAAAGAGTAAAAAGAAACAAAGCCTCCAAGAAATATGGGACTATGTGAAAAGACCAAATCTATATTTGTTTGGTGTATCTGAAAGTGATGGGGAGAATGGAACCAAGTTGGAAAACACACTGCAGGATATTATCCAGGAGAACTTCCACAACCTGGCAAGGCAGGCCAACATTAAAATTCAGGAAATACAGAGAACACCACAAAGATACTCCTTGAGAAGAGCAACTCCAAGACGCATAATTGTCAGATTCACCAAGGTTGAAATGAAGGAAAAAGTGTTAAGGGCACCCAGAGACAAAGGTTGAGTTACCCACAAAGGGAAGCCTATCAAGCTAGCAGTGGATTTCTCAGCAGAAACCCCACAACCCAGAAGAGAGTGGGGGCCAATATTCAACATTCTTAAAGAAAAGAATTTTCAACCCAGAATTTCATATCCAGCCAAACTAAGCTTCATAAGTGAAGGAGAAATAAAATCCTTTACAGACAAGCAAATGCTGAGAGATTTTGTCACCACCAGGCCGGCCTTACAAGAGCTCCCGAAGGAAGCACTAAACATGGAAAGGAACAACCAGTACCAGCCACTGCAAAAACATGCCAAATTGTAAAGACCATCGATGCTATGAAGAAACCACAATAATTAATTGGCAAAATAACCAGCGAACATCATAATGACGGGATCAAATTCACACAAAACAATATTAACCTTAAATGTAAATGGGCTAAATGCCCCAATTAAAAGACACAGACTGACAAATTGGATAGAGTCAAGACTCATCAGTTTGCTGTATTCAGGAGACCCATCTCACGTGCAGAGACACATGTAAGCTCAAAATAAAGGGATGGAGGAAGATCTATCAAGCAAATGGAAAGCAAAAAAAGGCAAGGGTTGCAATCCTAGTCTCTGATAAAACAGACTTTAAACCAACAAAGATCAAAAGAGACAAAGAAGGCCATTACATAATGGTAAAGGGATCAATTCCGCAAGAAGAGCTAACTATCCTAAATATATATGCAGCCGATACAGGAGCACCCAGATTCATAAAGCAAGTCCTTAGAGACCTACAAAGAGACTTAGACTCCCACACAATAATAATGGGAGACTTTAACACCCCACTGTCACTTAGATCAAAGAGACAGAATATTAACAAGGATATCCAGGACCTGAACTCAGCTCTGCAACAAGCAGGTCTAATAGAAATCTACAGAACTCTTCACCCCAAATCAACAGAATATACATTCTTCTCAGCATCACATCGCACCTACTCTAAAATTTACCACATAATTGGAAGTAAAGCACTCCTCAGCAAATGTAAAAGAACAGAAATCACAACAAACTGTCTCTCAGACCACAGAGCAATCAAAGTAGAACTCAGGATTAAGAAACTCACTCAAAACCACACAACTACATAGAATCTGAACAACTTGCTTCTGAATGACTACTGGGTAAATAAAGAAATGAAGGCAGAAATAAAGATGTTCTTTGAAAACAAAGAGAACAAAGACACAACACATCAGAATCTCTGGGACACAGTCAAAGCAGTGTGTAGAGGGAAATTTATAGCACTAAATGCCCACAGGAGAAAGTTGAAAAGATCTAAAATCGACACACTAACATCACAATTAAAAGAACTAAAGAAGCAAGAGCAAACAGATTCACAAGCTAGCAGAAGGCAAGAAATTAAGATCAGAGCAGAACTGAAAGAGACAGAGACACAAAAAAACCTTCAAAATTCAATGAAGCCAGGAGCTGGTTTCTTTAAAAGATCAACAAAATTGATAGACCGCTAGCAAGACTAATAAACAAGAAAAGAGAGAAGAATCAAATAAATGCAGTAAAAAATGATAAATGGGATATCATCACTGATCCCACAGAAATACAAGCTACCATCAGAGAATACTATAAACACCTCTACGCAAATAAACTAGAAAATCTACAAGAAATGGATAAATTCCTGGACACATACACCCTCCCAAGAATAACCAAGGAAGAAGTTGAATATCTGAATAGACCAATAACAGGCTCTGAAATTGAGGCAACAATTAATAGCCTACCAACCAAAAAAAGTCCAGGACCAGACAGATTCACAGCCGAATTCTACCAGAGGTATAAGGAGAAGCTGGTACCATTCCTTCTGAAACGATTCCAATCAACAGAAAAAGAAGGAACCCTCCCTAACTCATTTTATGAGGCCAGCATCATCCTGATACCAAAGCCCAGCAGAGACACAACAAAAAAAGAGAATTTTAGACCAATATCCCTGATGAACATCAATGCAAAAATCCTCAATAAAATACTGGCAAACCAAATCCAGCAGCACTTCAAAAAGCTTATCCACCACAATCAAATTGGCTTCATCCCTGGGATGCAAGGCTGGTTCAACATACGCAAATCAATAAACGTAATCCATCACATAAACAGAACCAATGACAGAAACCACATGATTATCTCAATAGATGCAGAAAAGGCCTTTGACAAAATTCAACAGCGCTTCATGCTGAAAACTCTCAATAAACTATGTATTGATGGAACATATCTCAAAATAATAAGAGCTATCTGTGACAAACCCACAGCCAATATCATACTGAATGGGCAAAAACTGGAAGCATTCCCTTTGAAAACCGGCACAAAACAAGGATGCCCTCTCTCACCACTTCAACATAGTGTTGGAAGTTCTGGCCAGGGCAATCAGGCAAGAGAAAGAAATAAAGGGTATTCAATTAGGAAATGAGGAAGTCAAATTGTCCCTGTTTGCAGATGACATGATTGTATATTTAGAAAACCCCATCGTCTCAGTCCAAAATCTCCTTAAGCTGATAAGCAACTTCAGCAAAGTCTCAGGATACAAAATCAATGTGCAAAAATCACAAGCAATCCTATACACCATTAACAGACAAACAGAGAGCCAAATCATGAGTGAACTCCCATTCACAACTGCCACTAAGAGAATAAAATACCTAGGAATCCAACTTACGAGGGATGTGAAGGACCTCTTCAAGGAGAACTACAAACCTCTGCTCCATGAAATAAAAGAGGACATAAACAAATGGAAGGATATTCCATGCTCATGGATAGGAAGAATCTATATCATGAAAATGGCCATACTGCCCAAAGTAATTTATAGATTCAATGCCATCCCCATCAAGCTACCAATGACTTTCTTCACAGAGTTGGAAAAAACTATTTTAAAGTTCATATGGAACCAAAAAAGAGCCCTCATAGCCAAGACAATCCTAAGCAAAAAGAACAAAACTGGAGACATCATGCTACCTGACTTCAAACTATACTACAAGGCTACAGTAACCAAAACAGCATGGTACTCATACCAAAACAGATATATAGAACAATGGAACAGAACAGAGGCCTCGGAAATAACACCACACATCTACAACCATCTAATCTTTGACAAACCTGACAAACACAAGCAATGGGAAAAGGATTCCCTATTTAATAAGTGGTGCTGGAAAAACTGACTAGCCATATGTAGAAAGCTGAAACTGGATCACTTCCTTACACCTTATACAAAAATTAATTCAAGATGGATTAAGGATTTAAATGTTAGACCTAAAACCATAAAACCCTAGAAGAAAACCTAGGCAATACCATTCAGGACATAGGCATGGGCAAGGACTTCATGACTAAAACACCAAAAGCAATGGCAACAAAAGCCAAAATAGACAAATGGGATCTAATTAAAGTACGGAACTTCTGCACGGCAAAAGAAACTACCATCAGAGTGAACAGGCAACCTACAGAATGGGAGAAAATTTTTGCAATCTACCCATCTGACAAAGGGCTAATATCCAGAATCTACAAAGAACTCAAACAAATTTACAAGAAAAAAAATAACCCCATCAAAAAGTGGGCAAAGGATATGAACAGACACTTCTCAAAAGAAGACATCTATGCAGCCAACAGACACAGAAAAAATGCTCATCATCACTGGTCATCAGAGAAATGCAAATTAAAACCACAATGAGATACCATCTCACACCAGTTAGAATGGCAATCATTAAAAAGTCAGGAAACAACAGATGCTGGCGAGGAAGTGGAGAAATAGGAATGCTTTTACACTGTTGGTGGTAGTGTAAATTAGTTCAACCATTGTGGAACACAGTGTGGTGATTCCTCAAGGATCTAGAGCTAGAATTACCATTTGACCCAGCCATCCCATTACTGGGTATATACCCAAAGGATTATAAATCATGCTACTATAAAGACACATGCACAAGTATGTTTATTGCGGCACTATTTACAATAGCAAAGACTTGGAACCAACCCAAATGCCCATCAGTGATAGACTGGATAAAGAAAATGTGGCATATATACACCATGGAATACTATGCAGCCATAAAAAAGATGAGTTCATGTCCTTTGCAGGGACATGGATGAAGCTGGAAACCATCATTCTCAGCAAACAATCACAAGGACAGAAAACTAAACACTGCATGTTCTCACTCATAGGTGGGAATTGAAGAATGAGATCACTTGGACACAGAGCGGGGAACATCACACACCAGGGCCTGTAAGGGGGTGGGGAGCTCGGGGAGGGGTAGCATTAGGAGAAATACCTAATGTAAATGATGAGCTGATGGGTGCAGCAAACCAACATGGCACATGTATACCTATGTATGAAACCTGCACGTTGTGCACCTGTACCCTAGAATGTTTGGAATTTATGCATTTTCCATTTTTTTAAAAAAGTGGTTTATTTTTATTACTTTCTTTTTGTATGTCTAAATGATGAGATAAAACAGAAGGGTTCAGACTGCTGTATGCAAGTGACATTCTGCAAATATTATGATGTGGGTATTGCTGGTCTTCATTTCTAATAACAAGAGGCCAAATCGGATCTAATTGTCACTATTTTCTCTTTATGACTTTGGTTTCAGAGATACAAGAGACATTGTGATGAGCCATATAAACAGTCTGATGGGCTGAATGCAATTTGTAGGTCTAGTGAATGAAAATAGTCTTGGTTCAAAATCGTAGAATTATGATTTTATGGTCCTCATTTACTTTATTTTATTTTTACTTTATTCCAGCAAACGTTTTATATTTTCTACTTTTTGCCAGCATTTCATTATGGGTATATATTAAGCACCATATGACTTTTTAAAATATTGCTGTAGAGTAGTCAAAGCTCACATGAGACGCCACCCAAGCAGCTGTCATATGAATGCATATCTGTTGTTCAAGGAATGTATGCTTCATGTACCGGTGAGCATGCATTCAGAGGCTTCCAAAGTGTTTCCATTTTAATGGGTAGTGGGGGATGCTAAAGGATTATTTTAATTGTTATTTTTCCAAATGGAAATGTAAAAGAGTCCACTGCCACGTGAATGCAACACTGTAGACCTTCCTGAATGCCTTTCAGAACCCCCTCCATTTGGCAGTGTCTGAGCTCCCCTCCTGTCCTGATAGTCCATGATGCTCACCAGCACCCCCTGGGAAAATGACCCCTTATTTTCTCTTAGGAGGAGAAAGATGTGTAGGTCCCAAGGCCCATGTTCTAGGGAAGTGTGATGCAGATTTGAACCAATTACACATAGAGGGGAACATATGATAATTTGAGGGATCACATCAAATTATCCGGATTGACACCAAAATGAAGAAGTGGTGAGAGCCTGTCAGATAAGAAAAATTTTAAGGACTGGTAATGTCCAGTGTTGATGAGAGTGTGGGGAAATGGATACTCTTTAGTTGGTTTTGCTTTTAAGATAGTTTAGCAGAATCTGTCAATGTTTTAAATGCATGTATCTTTTGACCCAGCAGTTTCTATAGGATTCTCTCTTACAGATAAACCCATACTTGTGAACAAATATACCATATTTCATCGAATCTAAAACACCCTAAATTGTAAAGTGTGCTATTATTTTATGTACCATTAAGAAAACAAAATGTGCTATTATTTTATGTACCATTAAGAAAACAAAACCCACCTTTTTTTTTTAAAAAAAAAAATCTAAACAAAGGATAATTTTAAATAAAAACACATTATATAAAGGGCCATCATATGATTTATTATCCAAGGAACATGTTTGACAGTCAGAAGGGCCACAATGAATAGATTCTTCAAACTTGGATAATTTTTCCATCAATTTAATCTGAAAATTTGCACAGCAGATGATTTTTCAAGCCTATAGCCTTCTTTCTTCTCCTTCCATTTTGTATACCACTAGATTGTTCATTGTTTTAAATGGTGAACTAATTTTTAAATTAAAAAAAAATCTTTATGTCTTTCAAGATAAATGGCAAACTCTTGGAAAGTCAGAAAAAAATTTGTCTAGTCTTCTTCATTTACTTTGTATCTCTAACATTTATGAAAATTATTTGTAAATAAAATAAGAGGCATTGAGATTAAAATTGGAGATAAAGTTGCTGATGTGTTGTTTTCCTGAAGTATTTTTTTTCTTAATTCTGATCTTTGTTTCCCAATACAATCACACTCACACCCTTGCAGTTCAGTTTCCTGACGACTCTCTAGTGTGCCAGATCTGTGTTTCTATGTCAGTGATCTGTTCCCCATCTTCTCCATGAATTCAAATATTGCTCACTCTGTAAGGTCTAGGCCAAGTCCCTAAGAAGTATTTCTTAAGTGTTATACTTCACATTCATTTCTTCCTACCTTGTATCATTGGGAAAGATGTAATTTACTTTTTTGCTTTTTTTTTTTCCTTTTTCTTTTAATCAAGATATAGCTGTAAAGCAAGCTTGTCCGACCTGTAGCCCACGAGCTACATGTGGCCCAGGACAGCTCTGAATGCAGCCCAACACAAATTCATAAACTTTCTTAAAATGTTATAAGATTTGGCCAGGCGCAGTGGCTCACACCTGTAATCCCAGCACTTTGGGAGGCCGAGGCAGGCGGATCACCTGAGCTCAGGAGTTCGAGGCCAGCCTGACCAACATGGAGAAACCCTGTCTCCACTAAAATATACAAAATTAGCCAGGCGTGGTGGCGCATGCCTGTAATCCCAGCTACTCGGGAGGCTGAGGCAGGAGAATTGCTTGAACCCGGGAGGCGGAGGTTGCGGTTAGCCAAGATAGTGCCATTGCACTCCAGCCTGGGCAACAAGAGCGAAACTCTGTCTCAAAAAAAAAAAAAAGCTATAAGATTTATGTATGGACTTCTTTTTTTTTTTTTTTTTTTTTTTTTTGCTCATTAGCTATTGTTAATGTTAGTGTATTTTACATGTGGCCCAAGACAATTCTTCTTCCAATATGGACCAGGGAAGCCAAAAGCAGAAACACCTCTGCTCTAAAGACATTAGTATCAGAATCACCATTTATTTTGAAAATTATTATCTTTACCTTTTACATATGAATATGTTTACTAAATAAAACATATAATTCATAAATCATTTATACTTTTAACAAGTTCTAGCATGTATTAATATATTTTTGCATTAAAATAAATAAAATGGCTTTCTGAGATTGTAAAACAGACTAACATTTAAGGCAACATAAATTTGTAATGATTTCTACATCTACAGTGACTCTGAAAATGAAGTAACATCATGAGAAGAGGAAACCATATGGAATTATTACACTTCTCTTTCCACATGAACAGCCTGGCTATTCTCTGCCCTTCTGTACTAAGGCCTATCCTCTGGAATCATAGGGTGGCCTGGAAGCCTCAAAAGGAAATTCTCCCTTGTGGTCAGAGGGAGGAACTGCTGTCTTCCATCACCCTTCTTCACACTGCAAATATGACTTGGAATAGAGTCCATGCAAAAATAGTTTTATGCTTCTGAATGGGTGCAGGACAAAAAAGGTGTTGTGTGGGCCAATAGTGTCTATAACTGCAAGTTCTACCAGTTCTCAAACTATAGAATGTTTCAGAAATGCCAGGGAGCGGATTAAAAATGTTACTTTAATCTGACTCAGTTCTGGGGGGTAATCCAAAAAACACGTTTTTATCTAGACCCCCAGGTGGTCCTGACATAGGTGGCTGAATGAACTCCCCCCAGTGTGTTGTCATTGTACTTTCTACCTGTCTTTAACATTTTCCTACATATTCAACTGTATTATGATTAAAGTAATCTCTTCCCAACTTTGAGTTTATCTGGCAGAAAATTATAAAATCAGAACTTTTTTCCTCTATATTTTTCCAAAACTTGGAGAATTTTTAGTATAAAAGGAGTTATTCATTTGAGAATATTTAGAAAAAAAGATAATGCAGAAATAGGAAGTAGGGGTGTCTAGCCACCACAGAGAACCTAAGGATGTGAAGTAACTGTGGACCTTAGAATGACAGTCCTGAAGCTGTTACTCCAGTGGACATTGAGTTCTGGTATCCCCAAGAACCTACGTCCAGAGACTAAAAAGCCTAATCATGAGGCTGCAAGGGTCAGTGAAGACAGAAAGTATAAAATGAGCATGGGACAAGGAAAAATGATATGTTTTTAATGCATATGTTAATTTCAACAAAGTAGAACAATTTACCCTGCCAAAATTTTGGAGGAAGGAAATTCTAGAATTTGCTGATAAATATGTGTTAATAAAAGGGTATTTGTTGTATTATATATTACCATTGTAGGGCAGGAAAGACTTTCTTCTACCCTCTTAAGTTCTATGGCTGGTCTGATAATTAAACTGACAAAAGATAAATTAACAAGAGAAAAGCATACACATTTTACTTGATGTCAATATTTTTATGTATATATAGAGGCCTTTGTATATCAGAAATGAAGACCTAAAGAAGCAGATAGGTCTGAGAGCCTATATGCAATTTTAACAAAGAATGATAAATTTTTGAGTTGCAATAAGACAAAGAAAAAAGAAGTTTGGGTTGAGTGTGGTGGCTCATGCCTGTAATCCCAGCACTTTGGGAGGCTGAGGCGGGCGGATCACCTGAGGTCAGGAGTTTGAGACAAGCCTGGCCAACATGGCGAAACCCCGTCTACTGGCCGGGTGCGGTGGCTCATGGCTGTAATCCCAGCACTTTGGGAGGCTGAGACAGGTGGATCACGAGGTCAGGAGATTGAGACCATTCTGGCTAACATGGTGAAACCCCATCTCTACTAAAAATACAAAAAATTAGCTGGGCATGGTGGCACGTGTCTGTAGTCCCAGCTACTCGGGAGGCTGAGGCAGGAGAATCACTTCAACCCAGGAGGCAGAGGTTGCAGTGAGCCGATTGTGCCACTGCACTCCAGCCTGGGTGACAGAACAAGACTCTGTCTAAAAAAAAAAAAAAAAAACTGGGCTAGAGCAGTAAATCATGGGAAAGCAACTAGGAAATATAGGGGGAAACTAATGGAAGAGAAGGGTTATTTTAGTAAGTTGGTATGGATTCATCTTGCTGTTAACTCCCCATCTCAGGTGATAAAAATGTTCTGCTCTTCCTGGGACAGGAAAGGCACTTTTATTCTGGGAAATGTATGCCCTGCTTTGAAGTAGAAGCGGGAAGGTCAGAGAGCCCTTCCTGCATCTGCTGCTTCTCAATTGCCTTCAGCTCAAAATAACTAATATACCAAAGTGGCATAATTGGAGGTGGCATGTTCTGATCCCCTTAACCATTTATTAATTATTTGAAGTGTATAAAAGTATCAATCATATGTCATTATTTAATGAAGAAAAGAACAAATGCTTTGCTTCCACATAGGTATTATTAACAACAATTAATAAAGTGACTGTATCATAAATAAAGAAAAGATTATGACATTGAACCTGAGCACTTCCCAGGAGTATATCTGGGATAGAACCAGGATCAGAATTTGGCAGCTGAAGCAATTGGGTATTAATTCTTATGTCCAAAGTCATATAGCCATTGTGCCCAGGGCTGATTAGCTGCTCACAGGATTCAGAAATGTTTGAGAATTTAAAAAGAATTATAGTTATCTCTCAGTATCTCTAGGGGGTTGGTTCCAAGACCCCCTGCAGATACCAAAATCCAAGGATATTCAAGTTCCTTATATAAAATGATGTAGCATTTTCATATAACCTATACTTTAAATCATCTCTAGATTACTTAAAATATCTAATACAGTGTAAATGCTATGCAGATAGTTGTTTTACTCTATTGTTTAGGGAATAATGACAAGAAAAAAGGTCTGTACATGTTCAGTACAGGTGAAATTATCCTATATATATATATATATTTTTTTTTTTTGATTCATGGTTGGTTGAACCTGTGGATGTGAAATCTGTGGTTATGAGAGGCCAACTATAATTGATTCCAAAACAGAAAGAGAAACTATAAAAGATAAACTAATGAATGATTATTTAATGGTTACAAAATATAAAATTACACTGATTTTATTAATTTACTATTAATAAAATTTCATTCCATTTGTAACTTAGATTTACTCACTTGGCAAGAATTCCCAAGTATGTTTGATGATGTGTGATAAATCAGTCAATCATTCTATAGTACCAATCATAATCAAATCATTGAAGAGCAAAACTTATTAATGTTCCAAAATTTAAAGAAAAACTTGTTTATTATGGTTTATGGATGCAATAGGTTCATTTAAATATATTTGCTAAGTTGAAGAGATTGGGTCTTCAGAGAAAGAGAGCCTGGGTCCCCAGAGAACTTAAAATGGCCACGCTAGGTTCAATATTGTTTAGTGCTTCCATAATTATGGAAAGCATAATTATAGTACAAAAGAGTGGAATAAAAAAAACTACAACATTGGAAAAATATATATTTGTTTTGTTTCATTTTTTGTTTGTTTGTTTTTGGGACAGGGTCTTGCTCTGTTGCCAGGCTGGAGTGCAGTGGCAATCTCAGCTCGCTGCAGCCTCAACCTCCTGGGCTCAAGTGATCTTTCCACCTCAACCTTCCAAGTGGCCGTGACTACAGGCGTGTACCACTACGCCCCACTAATTTTTGTTTTTTTTTGTAGAGACGTGGTTTGGCCATGTTGCCCAGGCTGATCTCGAGCTTCTGGGCTGAAGGGATCTGCCTGCCCCAGCTTCCCAAAGTTCTGGGATTATAGGCGTGAGCCACCTTGTCAGGCTGAATAGTATTTTTTATAGTATGAAAGTAGCATCTGCAAAACCAGTCAGAATGGCGATTATTAAAAAGTCAAAAAAATAACAAATGCTGGCGAGGCTGTGGAGAAAAGGGATGTTTATACACCAATGGTGGGAATGCACTGTGGAAAGTAGTTTGGAGATTTTTCAAAGAACTTAAAACAGAACTACCATTCAACTCAGCAATCCCATTACTGGGTATATGCCCAAAAGAAAATAAATTGTTCTACCAAAAAGACATATGCACTTATATGTTCATTGCAGCACTATTCACAATAGCAAAGCCGTGGAATCAACCTAGGTGCCCATCAATGGTGGACTGGATAAAGAAAATGTGATATATATATATATATATATATATATATATATATATATATGCGCCATGGAATACAGCGCAGCCATAAAAAAGAACAGAATCATGTCCTTTGCAGCAATGTGGATGCTGTTGGAGGCCATTATCCTAAGTAAACAATGCAGGAACAGAAAACCAAATACTGCATGTTCTCATTTACAAGTGGGAGCTAAACACTGAGTATATACGGATATAAAGAAGGGAACAATAGACACTGGGGACTACTAGAGGCAGAAGGGAGGGAGAGGGATGTGGAATGTGGGGGAAAAACTACCTATTGGGTACTATGCTCAATACCTGGGTAATGGGATCATCCATAGCCCAAACCTGAGCATCATGCAGTATACCCATGTAACAAACCTGCACATGTACCTCCTGAATCCAAAATAAATAAATTAATTAATTAAAGTAGTATTTGTTCACTGTGGAATATTTTGACACAAACATTTTTAATCCAATGCAGAGATATCTACTGCAAATAGTGTTAAGTATATTTTTTAAAATTTTTGTATCTACATCCCTAAAACATTTCAAAGTATTAACTATTTCCTAATAATAACATCTGAATACCAGTTTTGCTTTATACTCTACTTACAGATTAATTTATACGAATATTAAGTGAGCCAATATTAAAACCAGAATTAGGCCCTGGTGTTGTGTATATCAAATTACAAAGATAGTTCTATATTTTTAGTCTCAGATGTGAGGATGATTCCCACGACAGCTTCAATTTCTCATCTGTATTCTGAACAACTAAACTACCTTGTAAGAAGACAAGCATATAGAGGAGTATTTTATAATAGTCAAATATCTTTTATCAGTCAGTGTATCAGTAATTATCAACAATCTTTTTGTTTTTTTAAAAACGTGGGGCTATTGATCTAATCTTTTTATATGGAAAAACACACTTTCTATACTTTCCTATTCTTCTACCTTCTCTTCTTTTTATTCAAATTATCTTCTGAATTTTGTTTTGTTTTGTTTTGTTTTAGACGGAGTCTTGCTCTGCGCCAGGCTGGAGTGCAGTGGTGCAATCCAGCTCACTGCAACCTCCGCCTCCTGGGTGCAAGCGATTCCCCTACCTCAGCCATCCTAGTAGCTGGGACTGCAGGTGTGCGCCACTACACCGGCTAATTTTTTTGTATTTTCGTAGAGACGGGGTTTCACTATGTTGGTCAGGATGGTCTCGATCTCCTGACTTCGTGATCTGCCCGCCTCGACTTCCCAAAGTGCTGGGATTAACAGGCGTGAGCCACTGCACCCGGCCCTATCATCTGAATTTTTTCATACCAAAGGAGTTGGTTGAAATTGGAGATTTAATCTATTTGAGCAGATGTATGTATACTCCACTTTATCCAAGAGCTACTGCTCAGAATTCTAGCTCAGATTCATGAACAACCAAAATAACAACACAACTAAATGCCCTGCTGATACCTGTCTAATCCTCACACTGGTATTATTATATAATGATGACGTTGAAAGATTTAAAAATATATATTTAAGAAGAGAAACTCATGACCTCATAGGTCTTTCATGTCTCTAAGTATTTTTTTATGCACAGCCCGAGAAAGTGCTGCCTTTCAGAGATAAAGATAACAACACTGATTCTACTTTATTCCTTCAGTTACTTCTCTAATAGAGATGATAAAAGATATGAAAACAAAAATGTTAGCACAATCCTGGTGTACATATATCCATTAATATGAACACATTAAGGGGCCATATTATATGAAGGCATATCTGGATTATTGTATTTTATTTTGATGTTGCACTTGAAGAGGAGTGTTGACAAGGCAGTGTGATAATACCAGCTCCATTTATCTGATTCAATCCCATAAACCTTTATTGAGGACCTTCCTTGTGCCAGTCCTTGACTAGGCCTCACTAATATAAGGATGAACAAGACAAATAGGGATCCTGTATTCAAAAAGCTCACATTTCAACAGGAGAAATAGATATACAACAAGAAACTGTGAGTGTGATATGTATTACAAAGTGAAAGTAGGAGCTTATATATAGGGGATTTAGCCTAGTCTTAAGACTATGAGGAGGTACCCATAAGGAATTAAAGTTAAATGGAATCTTGAAGTATGAATGGATATTAGCCTGGGGTGTGGGAGGAGGCAGTATTCTAGGCAGAGATGACAGCAGATATAAATACAAAAAGTCAAGATAAAAATGGAAAGATTTCTCATTTGCTTGAGCATAGAATAAAAGGGAGAGGGTAGAAATGAGGCTGGAGAAGTCGGCAGGACCAGATTGTGGGGACACCATATAAGCCACCTTAAAAATTTCAAACTTAGACTTGAAAGACATGCATAACGTCCTTTAATACTTACCACACGTGTATGAGGTAGGTCCTATTATTATTTCCATTTTAGATATGAGGACCCTGAGATTCCAAGAGTTACGTGAATTTTCTGAGCTTCTGTAGCCAGTAAGTAGCAGAGCTCAGAATAAAATTCAGGCTGTCTAGGTCTAGACCACTCTCTCAATTGCATGGATCACAAACTCAAATGCCTTCTGCTGGGCGTAGAACAATTAACAGTGATTGAGATATTTACAAATAGGTGAATTTAAACCCTCTTGATGGTATACTACCTTATTCCAGCTCTTTGGGCAAATGAGAGCCCAGTGTTGCCAAGACATTATAATTTTTCAAGAGAGGCTGGTAAATCTGTATTATCATGGAAATCTTAGTTTAAAATGTTGTTAACTAATGACAATTTTTAAACAACTGTATACCTTCATTGAAGGCAGTGGGGTGGACTACAGACAATACATGACTTTTCCAATTAAAATAGTGAAAATGCTAGAGATATATAAGAACTATCTTTTATGGTACACTGTGTGTTTATACAAGAAGCAGAAACTCATAGAGGCCAAAAATGAAATTAAAGCAGAACCCTACCTAGTGGTGTCAGGGGTGAGGGACAAGGTAACATGGGCCAGCTTTTCTCTATAGGATTCTGCCCAGTCCTAGATATTTTGAAATTCTACCTTGACAGCTACAGAGGCAGCGTTGAGGAAACAGAAGGTAAAGCCTAGTCTATTTGGGTGAAGAGTCTGAAAAGAGACACCTGCATAGACATGGGACCTCTAAGGACCCTTCAGTGAATGGATGAGTAAGCAGTAAGATCAGCAGACCATGAGGAAGCCAGTCAATTTCCATCCTGGTGTGGGGAGGAAAAAAATACATTGCATATTAGAAAATACAATTCAGTCTTCATGGAGGTTTGTAGTCATTTTTCATGGAAGCTGTGTGTTCTGAAAAACCTCAAGAGGAAGATTTAAAGTAGTGCCAATGTATATTGCCCAAGGTAACTGGCAGATATAAACACAAATCCTTCAACAAAAATCTCAAAATAATCAATATAGACAAAGCCATTTACAATCAGCCATCTCAAATGCAAATGAAATTAAGACATGACAGCAAACAGTGACAAGAGATGGCAGAATTAGGCCTTAAAACTTCATCAGGAGGCTGAGGCAGGAGAATAGCCTTAACCCAGGAGGCAGAGGTTGCAGTGAGCTGAGATAGTGCCACTGCACTCCAGCCTGGATGACAAGAGCCAGACTCTGTCTCAAAAAAAAAAAAAACCCAAAAACTTCAGACACTGGAATTATCAAATGCAGATGATAAAATAATGTTTAATGTATTTGAAGAATAGAGAAGCTTGACTATATTAACAGAAATAATAAATATTATAATTTAAAATGTTTTCATTTTGGAATAAAATACAGAATTTAGTAAAGCTGAAAACTACATTGTTGAATTAGAAGACAAATTTGAAGATATTATTTAGAACTGCTTTCCTTTGTCCTGTCATTTCTCTACAAAGTTATTGTTCTTGGTTGAAGATGCTATATGAGCAGGAGTTTTAAGCTACTGCTTTGAGCTATTCTTTGTTGAGGCTTCTCCTGCATGATATGCACTGCACGTATTAATAATAATAATAATTAATTCTCTTGTGAATCTGTCTTTTACCATGAGGATCTGTCCCAACTAAGCACTAAGGATAGGTACAAGTAAATTTCTGCCTCCCCTACAGTGGGCAGTGGCATGGGGAGCCAGAGACACTATGTGTTCCTTCTGCTTGGGCGTGGGTGTCAGATCAACTGGTGCTCCCACAGCAATGGGTAGATGGAGGCTATGCAGGAGCTGGTACTCTCTATGGGAAAGGTCAAGACAGCTGGCAGTGCTGGTAGATGAGGCAGCAGCTTCGGTAGCCATGGAGTTATCAGGAGCTCCTCAAGAGCCATCAGCTGAGGACCCTGGAGGAGTCTTAGCAAATCTGAGAAACTACATTAATCGTGTCCAAAACAACTGGATATTCACATGGGAAACAGGACATCTGATCCTACCTCACATCTTAAAATAAAAAAATTAAGTTCAGATTAAGTAGAGGTCTAACCATGAATGGCAAAACTTTACAAGACAATTTAGGATTATGTGCTTATCTTGGGAAGAAGTGAAGGATTTCATAAACAGATCTCCAAGATACAAACCACAGAGCAAAGATTTCAAAATTTTATAACACTGAGGTTAAGAATCTGCTGTTCAGGCCAGGCATGGTGGCTCACGCCTGTAATTCCAGCACTTTGGGAGGCTGAAGCGGGTAGATCACCTGAGATCAGGAGTTTGAGACCAGCCTGATGAACAGGGAGAAACCCCGTCTCTACTAAAAGTACAAAAATTAGCTGGGCATAGCGGCCCATGCCTGTAATTCCAGCTACTCGGGAGGCTGAGTGAGGCAGGAGAATGGCTTGAACCCGGGAGGTGGATGTTGCAGTGAGCCAAGATTGCGCCATTGCACTCCAGTGTGGGCAACAAGAGAGAAACATCGTCTTAAAAAAAAAAAGGAATCTGCTGTTCATCGGGAGATGTCATTAAAAGAGGGAAAGAACAAACTACAAATTTGGGGGAAATATTGGCTACACATGTAACTGATAAAGATATTCGGCTATATTAAAAGTTTTTACAAGTCAGTTAGGAAAAGACAAATAATCCAGTAGAAAATGGGCAAATGATATTAATAGTATTTCAGAGAAGAAAACAAATGGCCTGTGAATGTATTTTAAAATGACCAAACAATATCTGAAATCAATTAATATAATACACCAAAAAATAAAAACCATATGATCATTTCAGTAGACACAGAAAATGCATTTGACAAAATTCAACACCCTTTATGATAAAAACTCTCAATCAACTAGAAGTAGAAGGGAAATTCCTCAATCTGATTAAGGGCATCTATGAAGAACAGCTTTTGTCATACTTAATGGTAAAAGATTGGTTGCATTCCCCTTAACATCAGGAACAAGAAAAGAATGTTGGTTTTTGCTACTTCTATTTAACTTTGTACTGCATGTTCTAGCTAGGTCAATTAGGCAAGAAAATAAAATAAAAGGCATCCAGTTGGAAAATGAAGAAGTAAAACTACCTCTATTTGAAGATGACATAATCTTGTATTTAGAAAATCCTACGGATTCCACTAAAAAATTATTAGAACTAATAATAAGTGAGTTCAGCTAGGTTGTAGGACACAGATCAACATACAAAAATCAATTGGATTTATAGATAGTAACAATAAACAAACAAAATAAAATTAAACAATTCCATTTAAAATAGCATCAGAAGAACAAAATATTTAAGATTAAAATACTTGTACATTAATAGAAGTATAAAATTTATACTCTGATATTACAAAACCTTCTGGGTTTTTTGGTGGAAAGGTGGCCAAGATCTTGCTCTGTCACCCAGGCTAGAGTGCAGTGGTGTGATCACGGATTACTGCAGCCTCGACTTGCTGGGCTCAAACGATCCTCCCACCTCAGCACCTCCAAGTAGCTGGGACTACAGGCACGTGCCACTGTGCTGATTTGTTAAAAAATTTTTTTGTAGAGATGGGTTCTCACTATATTGCCCAGACTGGTCTTGAACTCCTGGGCTCAAACGATCATCCCACCTCAGCACCTCCAAGTAGCTGGGACTACAGGCATGTGCCACTATGCTGATTTGTTAAAAATTTTTTTGTAGAGATAGGTTCTCACTATATTGCCCAGGCTGGTCTTGAACTCCTGGGCTCAAGCAATCCTCCCACCTTGGCCTCCCAAAGAGCTGGGATTACAGGCATGGACCATTGCAATGTGCCACAAAACCTTATTGAAAAACATTACAGAATACCTAAATAAATGAAAAGACATTCTGTGTTCACAGAATGGAAGACTTAATATTGTAAAGGTGGCAGACTGTATTCCCCAAATTGATTTACAGATTCAATGCAATCCTTATCAAAATTCCAGCTGGTTTCTTTACAGAAATTGACAAGCTGAACCTAAAATTCATATGGAAATTCAAAGGACCTTGGATAGTCAGAACAATCTTGTAAAAGAAGATTCCAGATGAAAATGGAAATCTGGAAAATTCATACCTCCCAATTACAAAACTTACTACAATGCTGCAGTAGTCAAAACAGTTTTGTACTGGCATAAAGAAAAACATATAGGCCAGGCGCAGTGCCTCCTGTCTGTAATCCCAGGACTTTGGGAGGCCGAGGCGGGTGGATCCAGTGAGGTCAGGAATTCGAGATCAGCCTGGCCAACATGGCAAAACCCCATCTTTACCAAAAATACAAAAATTAGCCAAGTGTGGTGGCAGGCACCTGTAATCCCAGCCTCTCAAAAAGCTGAGGCACAAGAATCGCTTGAACCAGGTAGGTGGAGGTTGCAATGAGCCAAGATCGCACCACTGCAATCCAGCCTGGGCACAGAGCAAGACTCTGTCAACAAAAAAAAAGAAGAAAGAAGAAGAAGAGGAAGAGGAAAGAAAGAGAGAGAGAGAAAGAAAGAGAGAAAGAGAGAGAAAAGAAAGAAAGAGAAAAGAAAAGAAAAGAAAAAAGAAAAGAAAGAGGAAGGATGGAAGGAAGGGAGGAAGGGAAGGGAAGGAAGGAGGAAGGAAGGAAGGAAGGAAAAGAAAGACATATAGATCAGTGGGATAGAATTGAGAGTCCAGAAATAAGTCCTCACATTTAGGGTCAATTGATTTTCAACAAGTGTGCTAAGATAATTCAACGAGAAAAAAATAGTCTTTTCAAGAAATGGTGCTGAGACAACTGGAGATCCACATGCAGAAGAATGAAGTTGGACTCATACCTAACACTATATACAAAATTTAAGTCAAAATAAATCTAACCTGAGAGCTGAAATTATAAAATTCTAGAAAGAAAACATAAGCAAAAATCTTCATGACTTTGAACATGGCAATGATTTCTTAGATATGACACCAAAAAGACAAGCACCAGAAGAGAAGAGATAAATTGGACATCCTCGAAATTTAAAACTTTTGTCTTTCAAAGAATACCATCAAGAAAGTGAAAAGACAACCCACCAAATGGCAGAAAATGTTTGTGAATTCTATATCTGATGAGACGTGTATGTAAGACATATTACAAACTCTTACTATTTGACAATAAAGAGACAACCCAATTTAAAAGTGGGCAAAGGATCTGAATGGGCATATTTCCAAAGAAGAAGTACAAATGGCCCATAATCACATGAAAGGATACTCAACATCACTAGCCACAATGGAAATGTAAATCAAAACCAAATTGAGCCATCACTTCACATGGAATTACTATAATCAAAAGACAGATAAATTGGTGAAGATATGGAGAAAGTGAAGCCCTCATACAACACTGGTGGGTATATGAAATGGTGCAGCGACTTTGGAAAATAGTCTAGCAGTTCCTCAAGAGGTTAAACATAGAGTCACGACATGACTCAGCAATTCCACTCCTAAGTGTATAGCCAGAAGGAATAAAAATATATATCCACACAAAAATATGTACATGAACGTTCATGGCAACATTATTCATTATAGCTAAAAGTAGAAACAATCTATGTGTTGTATTTCTTTATAACATTCAAATGATGAATGGATAAATAAAATGAGGCATATCCGTACAATGGAAGATTATTCAGCAGTAAAGAAGAAGGAAGTACTGGTATGCACTAAAACATGAATAAACCTTAAAAACTTTATGGTAAGTTGAAGGAGCCAGTCACAAACAACCACATATTGTATGATTCCAGCTATAGGAAATGTCCACAGTAAGTAATCTATAGAGACATAAAGTCATCAGGGCAGAGGAACTTGAGGGGGACTGAGAAATAACTGCTAATGGGTACAGGGTTGCTCTTGGGGGTGATGAAAATATTCTAAAATTGTTTGTGATGGTTGCACAGCCTGCATAAACTAAAAGCCATTGAACTGTATACTTTAAATGAGTGAATTGTAAGGTAGACGAATTATATCTTAATGAAGTTATAAAAAATAAAAAATAAAAAGTGCTCAACCTCGGCTGGGCGCGGTGGCTCATGCGTGTAATCCCAGCACTTTGGGAGGCCGAGGTGGGCGGATCACCTGAGGTCGGGAGTTCAAGACCAGCCTGACCAACATGGAGAAACCCTGTCTCTACTAAAATACAAAATTAGCCGGGTGTGGTGGCACATGCCTGTAATTGCAGCTACTAGGGAGGCTGAGGCAGGAGAATCGCTTGAACCTGGGAGGCAGAGGTTGCAGTGAGCCAAGATTGCGCCATTGCACTCCAGCCTGGGCAACAAGAGCAAAACTCTGTCTCAAAAAAAAAAAAAAAAGTGCTCAACCTCATTCAATACCAGATGGATGCAAATTAAAAACAATGTTATAGTATTTTACTGTAGGCAGGTGGGAACAATTAAAATTTTGGAAAATACTAAGTGTTAGCATGATCACAGAACAATGAGAACTCTCATCCACTTCTTAGGGAAGTGCAAATTTGGATCGCCACTATGGAAAATACTTTAGCAACAACTTGTATACTCTATGACCCAGCAAATACCCTTTCTTGCACTAAACATGAAGAGACATGTAATAATATTTATAACAGATCTTTTTTTTTTTTTTTTGAAATGGAATCTCACTCTCGTCACCCAGGCTGGAGTGCAATGGTGCAATATCAGCTCACTGCAACCTCCGCCTCCTGGGTCAAGCAATTCTACTGCCTCAGCCTCCCCAGTAGCTGGGATTACAGGTGCCTGCTGCCATGCCCGGCTAATTTTTGCATTTTTAGTAGAGATGTGGTTTCACCATGTTGGCCAGGCTGGTCTCAAACTCCTGGCCTCAGGTGATCCACCCTATACCAGCTCTTTTAATTACAGCAAAACACTGAGTACAACCCAAACGTCTGTCAGCTGTGGAACGGATTCAATTGGCTAGGACGGGGCAGACATCTTATTAATTGTTCCATCAAAACTGCCCACAACAGGGGAGAGGACATTCTGCAAATAGAAATTGAGTGCTATTCGAGCAGGGAAATGGCTAGAAAGAAACACCACTACAACAAGACTAATACCCTCTACACATCAGCTTTTGTTTGTTTTTATTCAATTGGTTCAGAATCCAGAGGCAATATGGGTATGATTACTTAGTGTGGAGTCCTAATTAGCGAAAATGAGTTAGGCTGGTGGGGCTGAGGAGAAAGCAAAACAAGAAAGCAGATAAGCTATGTCGGACTTTCTTCACGGCCTAGGACACATGGCCCTCCTGAGCAAATAACTCACTATCGTTTTGCACCCATCTTATCACCAGACACCTGCAAGTTAGCTCACTGCAACCTTGGCACTATCAGTACTGCACAAAGCTCTCCTCAGCACAAGCATTATTCTATAAAATCCCTAGCAAGTCTTTGTTTCTTTGCAGTCAGCTCCTCTTGTGCTAATTCTGCCCATTGCAACCTTGCAACATATTTTCTTACTTTCTCTAATGAATCTGCCTTTCTTTACCTACAACTGTCTTTTAAAATTTTTTTACTCCCATGCCACTGGCCCAGATAATTGCCATTCACCCACAACATTTAACTCCCTTTAACTCCTGAAAAGCAATGCACCCTATTATGAGCTTAGCCGTGAGCCCAGATTCACAGAAAGAAAGTGAAGATAAAGCAAAATGGGGGCTTGGCAGTTGAGTGTTTTCCAGGGTACAGCATGGGACTCTGTGTGGTGAAGGACACTCTGCCCCTTGCTCTGCGGAGAGGAAAAGTCACAGTAGGCAGAAGGCAGATCAGTCTCCATTTGTCCCTCACTACAGTCTCCTGCCCCACAGAACCAGGCATGGGGACAGAGGAAGCCAATGGACCCTCCATTCTCAATCTGGTTCAGAACCTGCATTTAACCAGGCCCCCACCAGCTCACCCGGGAGCTGGGAGAAAACCAAACTGATTCCTCTCATTTTCATTCCTGTCCCTTTAGGCACAGAATATAGACACTGTCTATCTTCCTTAATGCTGAGAAAAGCACTTATGTCTTTCATCTGAAGTGGGTTCCCAGCTTCTTTTGCCACTAAATCATTTATTTTTTAAGTGTGACATTTACCCAGTTGCCCTTTCTATTAATAAATCCTCACTGTCACACCATCTTCCCAGGTGACACTGATGTCATTGATTTGCTCCCTCACTACAGCTTCTTTTTCTAGCCATGATACTTAAAATCATCTCAGGAGTCCCCCCTCAAGCTCTCTCTCTTCTCCCACCATCAACTCTAAACAAATCTCAGTGTCAGTTGAAGGATTTCATGTCCTGAATCTGCAAACCAGGATCATCTGGCAGCACTGTTTACCTAAAGTGATTAAAACCCATGAATCATGATGTTTATACAAGTTTTTCTTCCTTGTAAAAAGGCAAGAGGCAACGCTATAGACCACAGACGGAAGGAATGTTTTGTTTTTTGAAACTGAGTCTTATTCTGTGGCCCAGGCTGGAGTGCAGTGGCACAATCATGGCTCACTGCAGCCTTGATGTCCCCATGCTCAGGTGATCCTCCTGCCTCAGCCTCCCAAGTAGCTGGGACTATAGGCATGCAGCACCACACCCAGCTAATTTTTTTTAAAAAATGTTTTTGTAGAGACAGGGTTTCACCATGTTGCCCTGGCTGGTCTCCCACTCCTGGGCTCAAGTCATCCACCTGCCTTAGCCTCCCAAAGTGCTGTGATTACAGGCGTGAGCAACCTTGCCTGGTGAGAAGGAGTTTTAAGTGTGTCTGCAGAAATATATATTTTTAATTTAGTAAAGTAATGCTTCAGCAATTCAAGTGTATTTCACCCTTTAAAACAAAGTTAAACCATTTAGTTGATAAATGTGATCAGTTTTATGTATAATACATACTTATTCTCACTTGATATAGTCCTCAGTTGATTCAGCTGAAGAGTTAAAAAGCCTTTTAATTTTCTACCACTTAAAGTTTGTTTGGTCACCATTCATGTCCGTATTTAATAGAGTTAACCTATCATAATATACATCATTCTCTCTGGGGGAATCCCTGAAAATTCATTTTTACTATGAAGGTTATTATATTTATTTTATTTATTTTGCATTGCTTGCTTTTAAGAAGTAGTTGAGATGGCTTAAAAAAATATGCAACTACAATAGTAAAGAAAAAAATCAAGCTCCCCACCCCCCACAAAAAAACCCAGGAAACAAATATGCTAGCTTAGTAGCTACATTGAGCAACAGCTTTAGCTCTGAGCTTCCTAGCCGCCAAAGTAAAAAGGGAAACAGAAACCATACCAACACTTCGAATTTAAAAAATAGATTCAGTTTTATTTTGCAACAAAAGTCTAAAATGAGTTTATCAAAAAGGAAACATTCATTCATTTGAAAATCACTTTTTAAAATGCTTACAATGAGCCAAATTGTGTCTGAAATACTAGGAATACAATGTTAAACATTTCAAAAACGGTCTGTGCCCTCATAGACCTTAGAGTCTACTGGATGAGACAGAGGATAAACAAGTCATCAAATAAAAAATATATAAATTACAATTATAGGAGTGTACAGGGAACTAAGAAAATAACCAGGGTCCAGGAAGACCTCCCTGAGGGGGTGACATTCTAAAAACAAGAGATAAAATGTAGTTTCTGCTTATAGATAAGATTCAGGGAGAACAGGGCCTGGAAGTATTCCTACGAAAGATCTGATTTTCAAGTGCAGAAACCCAAAGTGTGCTTGTCAGTTAATCTGCTTAGGAATGTTACAGAGGGGCAAATTGGAATATAGGCTCCAGATTTGTAATTAATATGCTTAAGTAAGAGCCCACTGAGATAGAGTCAAGGAAGGCACTTAATGTGAGAGTGGCTATAAGTTAGTTTTACCTAAAGAGGTAGCAGAATCTGTTCCAGGAGTCCTTAAGGATACATGCCTACCTATCTGGGCTTATGTGACCTTGTCTCAACTCAAACGTTAAGAAAAATGGTCTAATTTGGGTAACTTTCAGCCTCATAATTGCCTCATACTCCTATTTAAGTAAAAGAGAGACATGTAAGTAATGCAGTTTTATGATGGAAACATAGTTTATTCAGAGTCATATTTAAAGTTTGAATAATTTAAAGACTGAAAACCCAGAAGAAAGTTATCTGAAATGTCCTTATTCTTTTCTAGTCTTCTGAGACAGAGTGGTTAGTAGAGGAGATTGCAAGAGAAGAGGCAGAAAAGGAGGAAAAATGGGAGAGGGAGAAGGGTGAGAGAGTGAGAGCCTCTGCTTAAAAGGAATATGATGTTGAAAAAAACTGACAGGCAGAAAACAAGCCTAAGTGCTGTTGCTATGGAAACATTGTACCATCTGTGTTCTTGCCTACCCTACACCAAAGGGTTATATAACCTAGTAACCAGCTAAAAGTTAAAATGGACCTTACAGTGAAACCAGTTATTTTTATTATTTTTTAAAAGGGTGACTCTAAGTAAAAATAAAACACTGCACTACTGTTCTTTCTGTCTACCTCCAGGAGAAGCTTTCTAAGATGCAAGAACAATTTCCCTTGAGGGCATCAAGAAATATCTGAAGTACTGCAATTGCCCTGATTTTTAATCCTCAAGAGGCTATTGTTTTTATTTGATTTATAACGAGGCAGTGTCACAGCAGTTGATATTTGCTTTCAATTGCAATTGATTTACAATTAAACCAAAGGTAGACTAAAACACAAGGTCTGTCCTCCACAAAGACTTCTCACTTGCCAAAAATAAATCTAATTTTTCTCAAATGTAGGAGCAGGCAAAGGATGCGCCTTTCCAGTCTCCCTTGCACAGAGGTGAGAATATTCTAAACTGATATCACTCACTAGAAGTAGAGCTTTCTTGTGCAACGTCACAGGATCTGGGATAAGAATTGTGGTATCACAGCTGGCAGGAAAATCAGCCCTGAATCAGCCCACCATTGTGGCCCACAATGATATATTAGAAATGCCAGGTCATAGATAAGCAACTTTCAACTACGACAAGCAAGAATTAGGCAGGTGCTGGGTTTTGCCAGCATTTCATCCCCAGACCACTTTTCTTTTTTCTTTTTTGTTTTGAGACAGAATCTTGCTCTGTTACCCAGGCTGGAGTACAGTGGTGCAATCTCAGCTCACTGCAACCTCCACCTCCTGGGTTCAAGCAATTCTCCTGCCTCACCCTCCCAAGCAGCTGGGATTACAGGTGCGCGTTACCACACCTGGGCAATTTTTGTATTTTTAGTAGAGATGAGTTATCGCCATGTTGGCCAGGCTGGTCTTGAACTCCTGACCTCAGGTGTTCTACCTGCCTCGGCCTCCCAAAGTGCTGGGATTACAGGCGTGAGCCACCACGCCTGGCCTGACCACTTTTCAATGTCTGTAGAGAAATACTGTTAGGGTCCCCTGAAAGCCAATCTAAGTCTGTATTTCCAGCCTTCACTCAGTTCTTCTTTGTAAATATCCTGCAGGCACCTCAAAATCCACATGGACAAAGGTTAATTCAACTTTCCCACATCCTATTACATGTTCTACTTTCCCTATTCCAGTTAAAATCCAAGCTAGGAAGTTCAAAGCCACCTTCCACTTTCTCACCTCCAAACACTTTTGCCATGTAGCTTATGTGAGTTGTCTCGATTTAGCTTGTTTTTTTCTCATTTATCAGGTAAGCACCTTTCTTAAATTTGTGGTGAAGGTCAAATGAGAAAGCATGTTGGAGAATGTTCCAAACAGTGCCTTGACAGGAGCAAACGCTCAGGAAACAGTGGTGGTTTCATGATGATCCCTTGCCAGAAGACTGCATGGACTCCTAATCCATCTTCCTGGGGGCAGTACCTCCCCATTTTTTCCCCTTGGTTATTCTCTTCTCTCTTCAGGGCCCCAGTTGTGCACAGTATATAATCATTTGTCTGCAGAACTTTTCCTGTCCTTGCCTCATCATTGTGTGTTGAGTGTGTTGGGGGCAGATAACTTGTCTTTTTAGTTCACTGGTTTCCAGATGGAGAGAAGGCACATCTGAGCACACACAGAAACATGGGGAACCGCATCCCACTACACTAGCAGCTGACTGAGATGACTAGACCCTGGACTTTGAGCAGATGCCATAATAGGATGTGCCCGTGGAGGCGGTTGATGATTAGTGCAGTTTACATGTGAGAGGAATGCGAATTATTTTAGGTAGGAGGTGGAGTGTACTAGATGGTTTCCAAATATGGCTGCATCAGTATCTCCAATCCCACAACTCTTTGCAAGGTGATTTTGCCACTTGTCTCCTTAAAAGGTGGAGTCTAATTCATCTCCCCTAGAATTTGGGCTGGCTTTGTTACTTGCTTTGACCAATAAAATACGGCAGGTCTTATGGCTTCTGCTTAAAGTTTTTAAAGTTCTGTTTTCACACTCTTGAAATGCTCCCTCTAAGAATTCTGCCTTGAGACTGCCATACTGTAAGAAAGCCCAAGCTGGCTATGCGGAGTAACCACATGCTATAAGATCAATATGCTGTGGTTGACAGCTCCGGGTGAGCCCAGCCTGCAGCCCATCTGCTCTAGGGGTGTAGCCACATGAATGATGTCAGAAGAGATCACAGAAGAACCACCCAGGCAACCCACACAATTGTGAGGAAAAAAAATTATTGAACTATTAATCATGTAAATGAATACCTTCATGATCCAGTTTTATTTCAGTTTAGTTTCCCACTCCCTGTTCTTGAAGTTGCTTCAGGAACTATTTAGACAAAGATTAAGAAGATCATAACTTTCTTCACAGAGTATTATCCAAAACCACCTTGAATTTTTAAAGTTGTGGTAAATCTGTAGTCTTTACAGTACATTTTTAAATCTGGAGAATGAATTCAATGAATGCCTAATTTCAAATTTTAAGTGCCAATATGAAATCTGTAGCATGGGAATTCAAGAAGTTGGACAAACATTTTTATTATCAATTGACTGCTAGTGCAGTATTCAACACATGAAAGTCAAAATGTGAGTTTTGCAAAGAAAACTTTGAACATGTGCTGTTAATCTAGTCAGTTTGATTAAACACATTCAAAAGAGAAATTATCCCTGCTGAGTATATCAGGAAACAAACACAAGCGACTGAAGGCATTATGGTAGAGTTAGTTACCAGGAAGCAAATTTTGTCTGGAAATATAACACTCTTAGTAGAAATTTTTACTTTGCTCATTTCTTTCTGAGCATTCAACTGTCAACTTAATTATATTTTAATTTCCAATGAAAATAATCCAGAGGTTTCTAATTTAAAATAATAATATAATGAAATTTTATAGTACTAGTAGATTGGTCATCTAAACGTGGCTCTGCAAGTTGGGAAACTGACACTTAGGGGCAAAAAGGCTCTTTCTAGAGATGGGACATGGCCAGATGGAGTGGCTGACTAAGGAAGCACTCCCAAGCCACCTGGCACCCTGTTGATCTCTGGTGGGAATTGCAAGGCATCCAGCAAGAAAGGACTAGTTGGCCCTGCTTAGCCTCTGTGAATGCCTGAAGTCTTAGGGCAATACTTACATGAGATTTTTAGGTTTGGGGTGGTGGGACATGCATGACTAACTCTTCTTAGTCATAAACACACCTATAGCTACCTTCTTTTGTATTCTTATGTCTCTGAAAAATGTATTTTCTCCATATTGAGAGTTAGATACCCTTCCTGGAAGAATTTAGATTCTTCAACTATGCTTACATTAAATTTCTCGTACTATGGTGAACACTGCTGGGTAGTACAACTGGGACTAACACAGGTACCTCACAGAAAAACTGTTGGGCCCTTGGTGCCTGGCTGGCTGGCTGGCACACCCTTTAGAAGCCACGTGCTTTTTGGTTAAAATGTCACAGGTTACTGTGTCAAGGAAATTTGATCTTTGACGTTTTAGAAATCAAAAACCCACATTCCTACTTGATACAGTAATTTTTGTCATGTAAACTCAGGATAATTTCCTTTTTCTGGTGAGTTTATGTAAATTAACAATTTTTGTGATTTATTTATACATTAAGATCTGGATGGAAAGTCCTGCTAATAATATACATTGTATGAGTAATGCTATTACCTACCAGTGCATTCTTGCTTTCTTTCTTTTTTTTTTAGAAAACAATTTCAGCTTTAGACATTCATTATTTTCAAAATTAAACTTTGGGCTCCAGTTTTGAGATAGACATAAATATTTTTCCCCTGGTTGTTTAAAAGGAAAACATACTTTGCTTCTTTATTAGAATAGAAACACTCCTCCCAGTACATTTTTAGAATCCTTCAGACTTTTAAAGGGATGTTGCTGCTGACTTTGCTACCAGAACCCCATTTGCCTTTTCCCCCAGCAATAGTTTTATGAGAATATAAATAACCTGTTTCACAACGTTCCGTTTCTCACATAAGCCTTGTTTGGTTCCGAGGTCATTGTGATTTCAGTGGTTGTAGTTTGGTTCAGCTGGTCCTACAATTTTCTGCAGTTTGGAGCTTCCTATCTCCCACTGATTCCCTGTAGCTTCAAAACCACAGCCTTGCAATAGAGAATGAACAAATAAGAAAACTAGAAGTCTAGTGGCCAGATCCAGGGATGGAAAGCAGAGCCCTGGACTATTACACTCAAAATGCACAGCTGGGGAAACCACACATGCTGAGCTCCCAGTGTACCAGGCAGAAGGCAGAATTCTGGGCTCTTATTGCTTCCTTTTCTTCTACTTTCATTATCACCATCTCCCTCCCTTCTTTTAACCTACAGTCCTATTGCGTACTTACCCCATAGATCTATGGCATTGTTAGATGTTCCAGCCTTTCTTCAATTCTTCCCTTCCGTGCTGCCCCATCCTAATCCTATGGGGACTGCTGTACCCACTGCAGATGCACTGCCCCTGTATTAGTCTGTTCTCGTGTTGCTATAACTACTTGAGACTGGGTAATTTATAAAGAAAAGAGGCCAGGCACGGTGGCTCACGCCTGTAATCCCAGAACTTTGGGAGGCTGAGGCAGGCAGATCACCTGAGGTCAGGAGTTCAAGACCAGCCTGGCCAACATGGTGAAACCCCGCCTCTACTAAAAATACAAAAATTAGTCGGGCGTGGTGGCAGGCATCTGTAATCCCAGCTACTCCACAGGCTGAGGCAGGAGAATTGCTTGAACCCCAAGAGACAGAGGTTACAGTGAGCCGAGATCGCACCATTGCACTCCAGCCTGGAAGACAGAGCGAGACTCCATCTCAAAAAAAAGAAAAAGAAAAGAGGTTTAATCAGCTCATGGTTCCTCAGGCTGTACAGGAAGCATGGCTGGTGAGGCCTCAGGAAACTCACAATCATGGAGGAAGGTGAAGGGGAAGCAGGCACGTCTTACATGGCAGGAACAGGAGGAAGAGAGCTAAGGGGAAAGTGCTACACTTTTAAACAGGTCTCGTGAGAACTCACTCACTATCACGAAAACAGCAAGGGGGTAGTCAGCCCCCATGATCCAATCACCTCCTCTAACACTGAGGATTACAATTTAACATGAGACTTGCGTGGGGATACAGAGCTAAACCATATCAGCACCCTCCAGTGTTTCTTCAATTGGGAGGAAGAGAAGTAGCAGGAGAGGCCTCCCTGGCTTCCTAGAGGGACAGTCCCCAACAGCACCTGGACCAAGATGTACCAGGATCATCCCTCCAGTACAACTTGCTCCTTTAATCTAGATTCCTGTCTAATTGTTCATATATGAAAGTGTTATTTTCCACAGTGTAGATTCAGCATTAGCTTTCTGTAGACAAGAAACGTGTTTAACTCACTGTGTCGTACAAAGGGCTTGGCACATGGTAACTGTTTCAAGAAGTTCTGACTTAATAGGATGCAGAACTTCCTCCAAAAAGATTACAGTTCAACTGAGGGCAGTAACATGAGGCATTATAGTTTTATAAAGATTCCTAGAATGCCTCAGCAGTTATTATTCAGAGGCAAAAGTGACAAATAAAATTTTTGTTGCATGTTTTTCAGACTTCAACCCAGGAAGCTGGCTTCTCACCCTGCCTATAGGTGAGAACCCCCTGGAATGTTTTCTGAAACTACACATGTCCCACCTGCTTCATTCCCCTTACCACCAATTTTGATTCATTAGATATAGGACACAGTTCGAAACTAGGCAATGAAGTTGCCTAAGTGATTGTCTCATGCCTAGCAAGAGTACACTGGGTACACTGCCCCCACAGAATGCTGAAATGCAGAGCCCTATACTAACAATGTGGCAAAACTAATCCTTCCACACCCTGCAAAATTGCTGGGGAGGCTGTGGGTGTAGCACTCTATGGTCTTAACACATTGCCTCACAGCAGAACTGGAACCAGGCAGGATGGAGATTCAAGTTGATCATTTACACTAAACATACATTGACTGTTGGTGTTAGAGGTGCCTCCTCATTGGTAAGCAACAGAATTTTCCCTTGTGTGATAAGCTCCTTTTACATGCATGACATTGGACACTGAGGTATGTATTTGAGGCTGGTGTGCTGATAGTCAAAGTCATTAGGTATCATTGGCTGCAAAATGAAATTTTCTTAAGAGGAAAATGTATGTAAAGGGAAGGAAGAACGTACTATTTGAAAGATCTATGTTTGACTGTCTATTAGGCAAACATCCAGATGAGTTTGACTGGAAAAGGAGGAATGGTCATGCCTGATGCTGGCTTTGATCCAAGAATGTATCCTATCTTTCCAGACTCAGGGTCCTGACCTGCACCAGCCCTGCCCTCTCCCCTGCTGACAGGGGACTCTCTCAATTAGAGAAGTGTCTTTCTTTCGTTCCTCAGCTCCTCATGTGTCTGTCTGGCCTCATCCATCCCCAGCCCTACAGCATGGGTAAGTCAACAGAACTATCCGAGTTCTGTTGAGCTCAGACAGTTCTGAGTTCAAAAGAACTACTGCCATAGTTCTTTGGCAGTGGCAATTATTATTCGTTCATACACAGTAGATACAATAGCCATACTGATCCAAGCAATACATAGCTATATTCCCATTAGCTGTCAGGATTCCAAAACACCAAATCAGTCCTGTCTCAGCCTGGTCACCTTTATTATAAAGACAGTCATATTTTTAACTAATGAAGGAAATAGGCTTGTGAACACACAGTTAGATGAGGCTGGCTAACAGCCATTGCATTTAACTGACCAAAGAAGGCAGGCCATTCAAATCTCATTTTTCATGTATCCTAACAAATAGATTTATTATGGCATTTTTGCATATGGAAGGCATATTTCTAATGTCAAATTGAAAAATTTTAGAAATATCATTCTTCAACCTGTTATAGTTTTAGAGATATGCTGCTTGAGATAATGCCTGCTTTTCCACACACTGAGTTTACATTCGCTCCTTCAAATATTGCAAGACATTTTGCTGACATTTTTATCTGGAGAAAAGGAAGGCACACTATTACTATCCTATTTGATAGTGGTGAAAGATTCCAAAAAGGCAAATTGGGAGAATGAAATAGAAATTAGATGGAGGCCTCAAGTCTGTGGCTGCCACTAATTAGTCATATAACCTTGCATAGTCTCTTAACTCATTGAGCTCACTTTTCTCAGTCATACTTTTCTTTTCATTCAACATAATTTTTGGAATTATGTGCCATTGTTTAGAGTCAAAAGAGTCTCATAAATAAATTGCTTCAGGACTTCATGCTTTCGGCTTGGAAAGGTAGAGAGGTCTCATACCCTTGAAGCCAAAAGGAAGCTGCACCTGTGCCTGCCTTACGCACAACAGGGCCTGCTCTTATCTTCATAAATGCTCACAGCAGTTCATAAGTCACTAACATGATGAATATGGTCCTTTGTTATAGAAACAGATGTTTCTCATTATTCTTATTAGCTGCATTAAAATAAATCACCCTAGGGTTCAGTGAGGATCAAATCAAAAGGCTTGGACTTCACTTCATGGGAGACAAGTCACTCCAAAAGTAATTCAGACTGGTAGTTTCGACATTCACATTTAGGATCAAGTTTTACCTGATGCTCCTGATCTGGCTCCTCCCCTCTTGCCTCAGGGCAGGCTGAACATTTTTCTTAGTAACTGTGGTCAGTCCCATAACTTACATTGAACGTCCTGGCTGCACAGTCCCCATCCTTGTCCTTCCTGTTGCATATCATCTGACAGATAAAAGCCCTGGGTTTGGGAGATAGAGACCTGGCCATATATGGCACATAGTAGGAACTCAAGACAAAATTGATTCATTGAATTGAGTCTGTATTCTAGTCTTGGATTTGGTGTGTGGTTTTGGGGAGGCGAGGGTCTAAACCTAAGTTTTCCCACATGTAAAAGTAAGAAAGTTAGACTTTGTCATTTTGACTATCCCTTTTGGCTCTAAAATTCTATGATTTTATTATTTTTATATATCAGCTTTACCCTAAACTTGGATCCATAGTCTAATCTTCCTTTGTGGGACCCAGTATACTCTGAACTCCTCCACAAAAGTGAAACTCTCTGAGTTTTGTTGTCATCATTTATAAAGATGTACAACAATATATAGGGCTGTTTTGTGGCTTAAATGAAATAAGAATGTAGGTGCCTAGCAATATTCCTGACACAAAGAAGGTACCCAAAAAATGATAATTGTTGCTATTTTTGTTATTAATGACAGGTTTTCCTCTACAATTTTAGCTAATGAAGGTTAAATCAATTGATCTTAAGTTAACTACAGTATATAACTTTTTTTTTTTTTTTTTTTTGAGACGGAGTCTCACTCTGTCACCCAGGCTGGAGTGCAATGGCGCAATCTCAGCTCACTGCAGCAACCTCCACCTCCTGGGTTCAAGCAGTTCTCCCTCCCTCAGCCTCCTGAGTAGCTGGGATTACAGGAGTCTGCCACCATGCCCAGCTAATTTCTGTGTTTTTTAGTAGAGGCGGGGTTTCGCCATGTTGGCCAGGCTGGTCTTGCACTCCTGACCTCAAGTGATCTGCCCACCTCGGCCTCCCAAAGTGCTGGGATTACAGGCGTGAGCCACCACGCCTGGCCCTACAGTATACAACTTAAGTCTCTCATTTGAAAATTTTCAGTCATAGACTCCAGTGTTGGGCAAATCCAGATTCCAGTAACAACTCAGCCATTTACTAGCTGCGTTACCTTGGATGGGTCACTTAACCACTTAGAACCTCAGTCTTGTTATCTGTAAAACAGGCAACATTATGCCTCTCTTGCTGGTTTTCTATGAGGATTAATTATATGTAAAGAGCCTGGTATAGGAATGGCTTGATAAATACCAGCTATAATGGCAAGTCTGTGATGTTAGACAAGGCTGGACCCAGACTTTTAAAACTTCACTGCCAGGCGCTGGCTCACACCTGTAATCTCAGCACTTTGAGAGGGCAAGGCTGGATAATCATGAGGTCAGGAGTTCGAGACCAGCCTGGCCAACGTGGTAAAACCTTGTCTCTAGTAAAAATACAAAAAATTAGCTGGGCGTGGTGGGGTTGGGGGGCCTGTAATCCCAGCTACTTGAGAAGCTGAGGCAGGAGAATCACTTGAACTCAGGAGGTGGAGGTTGCAGTGAGCCCACATATCACCACTGCACTCCAGGCCAGGCAACAGCGTGAGACTCTGTCTCAAAACAAAAAACAAAAATCAAAAAACCTCACCATCCATGGGAGAGAACAAACATGTGCAATGTATTAAATTCTATTCTCCCAATTATACCCTACAGTGATTTCTGCCAGCATTCCCCATGATGGTTTTATTTTCCCTACCTCACCTTTATCTGGGAACTTCCAGATTATTATCATGGATCTAACAATAAGTGGGTAAGAAAATTTTAGCGGATTCCAAAGGTAAGAATAGTTAAGGCTACCTACTTTCTGATACAGTGCTGCTAAAATACAAACCTGGAGCATCTGTGCAATCCGAACCAGTGAATAATACAAAAATCATTTTGATTTGACTTTGAAATGAAGCTTGGGGTGTTTTGGCAACAATCTTCCTCTCTAATTAAGTTCTGCCTAGGATAAAATCAATTCCCATTTCCTGAGCTCACATCAACTGAAAGCAGAAAGAGGCTGCTCAAAAACCTACTTGGTTTCAGAGAAGCCCACTTTGCTCAGTGTTTAGTATTTGCCACAAAAATCCTTCAGCTATCCACAAAATGCACAGAACCAGACTATGTCTACTGATTAAGTGGGATGTGCACAGAATATTGATTTAATGAATTCAGCAGGCACTGCCCAATCTCATTCACATGCATCTGTATCCTTCCTGGCCACATAAAGGTCAGGGAGCAGCTCTCAGAGACACTCGACTGCTGACCCTGCCATCACCAGCTTGTGGAAGGAGGCTTTCCCCAGGGGCCCTTGGGTTGTCCACTGTGGAATGCCAGTCTTCCTGGGACCTTCATTCCCTGAGGATAGGTGTGGGACATCTCTACAGGCTGGTTAGACCCAAAGACAAGCAACATTCTGTTTAGATCACAGCTGATAAACGATTTGACCAGGCTGTGCTTTTGAGAATCAGAAATGAAAAGAATCTGCAGCTCAAAAGGAGAGAAGTTTTGAAGGGCATCTCTTCATTCTTATTCAAGCATCAAAACCTGCATCAAAATCCAACTGTTCAAGTGCCTGAAGCAGGCCTTTGTGCCTAAAATGTCTGAAATAGGAAAGTCATGACCAAGTGAAGAAAGAGCTACATTTATTTGAGTGAAACAGATTCACTTCTGAATATTATAGGTTATAGTATGCACTATATTAGTCCATAGTTTCTGGGTACATTTTAGGGAAATGAGTAGAGTTATACCCTTTCTCAATACCTGATAGTATTCATACTCTAGAGATAAGGCTTTTGTATAAACTTTAGAAACAATGTTTGTGTGAACTTTGGAAACCCTACCTGTCAGATAATTCGACTTCAGTTACTCCTGAAAAGGAACTCTTTTTTTTTCTTTTTTTTGAGACAGAGTTTCACTTTGTTGCCAAGGCTGGAGTGCAGTGCATTCGGCTCACTGCAACCTCCATCTCCTGTGTCAAAGCAATTCTCCCTGCCTCAGCCTCCTGAGTAGCTGGGATTACAGGTGCCCGCCACCATGCCTGGCTAATTTTTGTATTTTTTAGCAGAGATGGGGTTTCACCATGTTGGCCAGGCTGGTCTTGAACTCTTGAACTCAGGTGATCCGCCTGCCCAGGCCTCCCAAAGTGCCAGGATTACAGGTGTGAGCCACCATGCCCGGCCTGAAAAGCAACATTTTTTGACCTGATTCTTTTAAAGACATTCCGTATTTTCCCTGAAGGAAGGTGAGTTTGGGGCATTAAGTGGTGTGCAGCAGGGGCGGCTTTGACCTGAGTTTCTGGCCCCAGTCCCAGAGCACCTGCCAGTCCCTGTAGTGAGAGAGTCCCAGAGCCCCTACAGTCCCTGTAGTGAGAGAGGAGGAGCGCCCCCGCTGTACTGTGTATTGAGCAGATATTCTTTGCATAGTATTGTGGCTGAGTGATAGTCTGAACCATTAGCTTATGTTTTTTTCCAAAACGTTTTCTGTTCTCTACCACTGCCCACTTCTCATTCTCGTTTCACTGCCTCAGGAGAGACCCAGGGCATGATGGGTAGCAGAAGAGTTTTTAGATTCTCCTGGGTTTGGTTGTCCAAGAACCAAACCCATGGAAGTGGACACAGTTTGAGGAAGAGGCAGAGGCCTGGGGGACACGAGAAGGAGAGCAAGCCTCCCTCTGGATTACAAAAGGGATTTCCCCAGGGCACTGTCCAGGAGGAGAGAGTACACTGCGGACCCTGCTGGGATCTGTACAGAACTGGGCCCTGCTCTGAGGAGGGTCTAGACTTCAGACTTTAGCTGCAGGGTGCTCCTAAGGAGGACACCCTTGGGCCTTGAGTACACAGCTTGGGAGGCAGACATGACAGATGTAGAATCATTAGACTGCCCCGATGTGGTGCTGCCACAGTATTATAGACTAAGTGTGTCCTCCCAAATTCCTATGTTGAAGCCCTCACCCCTAATTGCTAGTATTGGCGTAGAAAAGCCTCTGATTCAAGCTGAGACAAACCCTGAGTCAGGCTTGTTGGTGGGAAAAGGTATATGTTTTGTGGGTCACGGAGGCCAGTGGCCACAGGAGAGGAAAGGGGTAGTTTCAGAAAGGACTGAGACTGAAACCCAGGACAGACAGCAGCCAGGTACACAGAGAAGAGGAGGGCCAAAAGCCACTTTCTGATTTGGTGAGACTCTGGGAGTAGAAACAGAAAGAGCTGTGGAATTGGCCCAAGGCGACCTAGAAGTTTACTCCCTTAGAGGGGGTTCTGCTGTAGATAAGCACTTCTGAGTTCCCTCTCAGGGCTCAGCTTATAGGTTGCCTGCATAAGCGACTGATAAGGCACTAAGCAGAGGAAGCCAGAGGACTCACTGTCAACATCCTGCAGTGGACAATGCCTTTGACACCAGCACTCACACAGTCTTGGATTGATTGGTTGGAAGCATCCCACTGCTTGGGAGGCCATAAGGCCCCTGGGTTATTTTAAGTTTGGGAGACTCACAAAAGATCACACTTCTGAGAGTGGGAGGGCTCAAAAGGAGATTCTGTTTCAGCCAGTCAGTGAGTTGGGCTGGATTACACCATAAGTTTACAGCCTTGACTGAACTTCCAGGCTGATATTGTTCGAAAAAAATAACAAAAGTTCAGCTGGACCATTGTCACCACAGTGATTTCTGTGAAGCCTCTTCTGCGCAGGGTAACTCCATAGCCTGATGCACCTTACTGGTTAATAAACATGCAAGCTTTGGAGGGGCACCCAGAAGCAAATGTGGTTCTACACCTTTACAAGATAAAGCACTTACCAGACAAACCTCTCTAAGCCTCAGCATTCTCATCTATAAAAGGGGAATACCTCCCTCATAGAGTTGCTATAATGATTAATTTCATCACACCTATAAGATGCCTAGCGTACTACTTGATAGGTATTAAATACTCCACAAATTATTGTTTTTACTTTAAGGGTCTTTGGTTCTTTCTGTATGTGAGTTGTAGCACACAATAAACTATACCCATCTAAATGCCAAATAATTTCTAGTTTTATATTTTTTTTCTAACATTGTGTATTTGCTTTTTTTAAAAATCTGCTTTTAAACCACTCCTGCCTTTTTTTTTTCTTTCTTTTTTTTTTTTTTTTTAGACAAGAGTTTTGCTATTGTTGCCCAGGCTGGAGTGCAATGGTGCAATCTCCGCCTCCCAGGTTCAAGAGATTCTCCTGCCTCAGCCTCCGGAGTAGCTGGGATTACAGGCATGTGCCACCATGCCTAGCTGATTTTCTACTTTTTGTAGAGACAGGGTTTCTCCATGTTGGTCAGGCTGGTCTCAAATTCCCGACCTCAGGTGATCCACCCGCCTTGGCCTCCCAAAGTGCTGGGATTGCAGGCATGAGCCACCGCACCCGGCCTAAACCACTCCTGCTTTCTTAAGAATCTTATTTTGTAATAATGTGGGCTGAAGTCACCTTCTTCTGTTGTGTTTGGGAGGCAGTGAGGCCTTGAACAGCTATTAATGACACTTCCTCAGCAGAGTGGCACAGCATGCTCACACCAAATGGCAGGGCAAGAACACCCACAAGAAGAAACAGGAACCCATTTGCATTATAATCCTGCATGTGGCATTTTTAATACGTGCCCATATGAGGTGGATGTTGAAAGGGGTGACTGTAGGAAAGGCAGAAAAATAAAGGGAGGTGAGGATCTGGAGGCAGGAGTAATAAGAATCAATATTAATTGAGATTCTTGGTTATTGGCAGTTCTGTTCCTGGCCCTTTGTACACATTTTTCTCACTTCATCCTAATAATGGCTATGTGAGAGGTGGCTTATGATCCTTGTTCACTGATTAGGAAGATACGTCTCAGAGATGTTAAGTGACTTGCCTGAGGTAACACAGACAGGCTCCGCATCCAGATTTTTCTGACTTCAGAGCTCATTCTCTTACTAGAAAGAACAACAATGCCTCAAGGAGGCTGGTCCAGAGTCTGCACTCACTGTGTTAGGACCATACCTCTTGTTCTTTACAGTTCCATTCAGGGGTAGGACAAGATGACCTCCATGGTCCCTCAACCTGTCACATGCTGCCCTTGTTGTTTTGGGAAGCTCTGCTCAGGGGTTCAGGGAAGAAAAAGAAAGTGCATGGAGTGGTTAGTAATTCATACACAAATTTCCACTCAACTTTTGATTATGAAAAAAATCAGGGCTGGGTGCAGTGGCTCATGCCTGTAATCCCAGCATTTTGGGAGGCCAAGGCGGGCAGATCACCTGAGGTCGGGAGTTTGAGACCAGCCACCAGCATGGAGAAACCTCATCTCTACTAAAAATACAAAATTAGCCAGGTGTGGTGGCGCATGTCTGTAATCCCAGCTACCCAGGAGGCTAAGGGAGGAGAATTGCTTGAACCCAGGAGGCGGAGGTTGTGGTGGGCCGTCATGGCACCAGTGCATTCTAGCCTTGGCAACAAGAGCAAAACTCCGTCTCAAAACAAAAAAAAGAAAAAAAAAAGAAAAGAAAAAGAAAAAATGAAACACTTTCATTCAATGATTATTAACATTTTATCATATTTGATTATTCTGCATTTATCTATATGTACTTCTATCTGGATTTTTGAAATTAAGTAGTAGGTACCTTGAAACTTTATCCCTAAATATTTTGTTCTGCCTCTCCTAAGAATATGGACATTTTCTTACATAATCATAATATTATTATCACACCTAAGAGAATGAACAATCACTCCCTATTTATACTGAAGTTTAATATCCTGTTCAGGTTAGCATTTTCTTCTCTTCAAAAGGTCTTTATACTTTTGTTTTTTGAATCAAGACCCAATCAAGTTTTACCTGTTGTGTTTGGTTAAGCAAGTTAAACAAGATCGGTCCCTCAAACTTTGCTGTGTTTGTTTTGTTTCATGACATTGACTTTTAGAAGAGTCCAGACCAAAGTTTGGTAGATTAAGCCATATTCTGGATTTGTCTGATTGTTTGCTTGTGATGTTAGTTAACTCCCTGCTCTCTCCCAATTTTTCCTGTAAACTGGAAGTTCAATCTAGAGGCTGAATTGGAATTAGGTTAACTATTTTGGCAGGGATACTTCACAGGTGATTTGTACTTCAAATTGCAACAATCAGGAGGCACTTAATGCCAGATTGTCCCACAATGATGACATGAAATATGATCACTTGGCTACAGTGATGACACACAGGTCCTTCCATTGTAAAAGTATGGAATTTCTGTGAAGCAGCCAGCAATTGGTAAATAATCGGTTCCATAGTAACCTTATATTTGATGGTATCAACATCCATTGATATTTATGTAATTATGTAGATTATTTAATAAGTGCAACATGGTAATTTTCTAAATTATAATTTCTTCTTTATTTATTTGCAAGCATATCTATGTAAAGAAGAGCTTCTTACCTATTGGGGATGAATTATATTTCCTTTTAAAAAGCCAGGCTAAGTGCTTAATTCTTTCTCTTTGCTAATTTTCAGAATAAGGAGTTGCTGCAACAGTCACTTTCAAGGGTGGCAAATTAGTTCTTTTGTCTCTCTTTCAACAGTTCTATGGACTACGTGGATTTTTTACTTATTCAATTTTTATAATCAGTTGCAGTCACTGATCTTGGTGTTCAAATTGACCCAAATTTGGCTTCCTCCTGTGTCCTTTTGAGATATCCCCATCATTCTTTGGGCATTTTTTGGCAAAAGAAAATGGCCAGGTTGGGCCAGGCGCCGTGGCTCTTGCCTGTAATTCCTGCATTTTGGGAGGCCGAGGCCGGCGGATCACGAGGTCAGGAGTTTGAGACCAGCCTGGCCAACATGGTGAAACCCCATCTCTACTAAAACTACAAAAATTAGCCGGGCATGGTGGCATGCACCTGGAATCCCAGCTACTCAGGAGGCTGAGGCAGGAGAATCATTTGAACCCGGGAGGTGGAGGTTGCAGTGAGCCGAGATCAAGCCATTGCACTCCAGCCTGGCCAAGGCGGGTGGATCACTTGAAGTCAAGAGTTCGAGACCAGCCTGACCAACATGGAGAAACCCTGTCTCTACTACAAATACAAAAATTAGCCATGCGTGGTGGTATGTGCCTGTAGTACCAGCTACTCGGGAGGCTGAGGCAGAAGAAATGCTTGGACCTGGAAGGCAGGTTGCAGTGATCCGAGAATGCCCCACTGGACTCCAGCCTGGGTGACAGAGTGAGACTCTGTCAAAAAAAAAAAAGATAAACAGTAAGTGTACTGTGTTGCAAAGTTACTCGAAAGTCACCCGTGTGTAATGCAGTTAAGATAATTTGCTTCAGTTTGATTTCAAATTCAGTTTGCTTTAATTTTTCCCTGTAATAAATTTTAATTTTTAACAGGTAAAACATGTTTGAGCCATTATTTGAATTTGAGCCATATAGCTCAAATTCAAAACTATATAAAAAACATGATTAGGAAAATCTACTATATTCATTCATATCTGCTCCACCCTGCCTCTATTCCTCTCCACCTCCTGACCCCTCTAGGTAACCAATTATTTTGTCTCTTTTTGTTTGATGTTTTGTTACACATCTGTATGTATAATTTCCTTCCCTTCTTACACAAAAGACAGCAAACTGTCTTCCCTGCTCTGTGCTTTGTTTTTTTTTCCTCACTAACAATATTAGCAATTTATCCTGGAAAATCCATGTAGTACATACATACCTTCCTCATTCTTTATTGTTACTGTATACTTCAGTCAGCAGTCCTATGCTGTTGTTGTTGCTATTTAGTCTCAAAACAAGTGGTTTAGTTTATATTTTCTTACTTGCCCTTGTTGCCTTTGTTTATACCCTCCTGGTCCTCATTGGTATTTGAGGTTTCTGCTAAGGCTTTCCAGATGGGCAGAGGCAGAGAATGCCAGGTACAGCTGACTCCTAGAGAATTCATCACATCAACTCCACTTGCCTTTGCAGGAGATGAAGATAAGCAGGACCCCCATTGCTGCTGTTTCCCCCATTTCCAGCCCCATCACCCTGAGCTTTTTCAAGTTTAGGTGGGAAGATGGAGAGGGATGAATGAGGGGAGGTGTGTGGCTTTAATACACCTTGGTTTTAGCTTCTGCATCTATTCCTTTTCTCTTCTATAGCAGACATAAGTGGGAATCACTTCCCTCTTGTGCTAATTTAAAGGCAATTTTAAAAAAGAAAAGAAACCTGAGATTTTACTAACATTTAGAAGTCACACCATTTGGTTTTAATGGGAAGCAAAGAAAAATATTGCACAATGAAGCTAGAGCTTCCCTTTTCAAAAACAAATGTTTCTGATCTCTCAGAATAGCTTTAAATGTGTGTATGTGAATTCTCTTTATATTGATTTTTTTTCCTTGCTCATCTCCAAAGGTCATAGCACACATATTCTCCAGTTGTTGTTGTTTTTTTTCTTTCCTGCTGTGTTCCATTTACCGTTCTCATAGAAGCCTGGTTCTCCCTTTTTTTTCCCCTGGAATAATAAACTAATGTTCTTTCTTGCTGGATAATTATTTTGCAAATCTCTTTTACAAAGCTCATTTTTTAGGTTGTTTGTCCTATTTCTGTCCTACTCTTTTAAAAAATGGTGGATAAATTAATTTGGTTAAATTTAAAGATTTTTTTTTTTGCCTGATTTCCTTCCGACCTTTATGAGAGTGAAATGGCAAAAAGAAAATAGTGCAATGAGGTGCGTTTATCAGACAATTGATGCATGTTAGGCGCATGATTATTGCCTGGCTTGTGAATTACTTATGCTTTAGCACATGCAGAATAAATTAACCATGCTCTCAATATATCACCCATTGGTCCTCGGAGGATAACTGTTTCATGGGACTTTGGAGAGTCCTGTGTGAGGGTTGGCATCCTTTTTAACCTTTAAGTCAAGCAGAAGGTGAAGTAATGATAATTTCCCAGCCTGAAAAAAAGGGGAAGGGGTCCTCAGAGAGAAAAAGAACATGTATGGGGAAAGGAGATAAAAGAGTAGATGTGAGAGAAAAGTGGGGAAGAGGGAGAGAAGAGAAGAGGAGAAAGGGAGAGGATTGGGGGATAGCACAGAGAAGAATAAAAAGGATCTAAACTATGTTAGAGACACAAGTCTGATGGAAAGAATTATCTGCTGAGAGTTGGAAGCCATGTTTTCCAATTCTGTTTCTGCACATCTTGCTATCCAGGGAATCTAAGGAATTTGGTGTAAATCAAGCACTTTGGGAAATATAGTGGCTTTTAAAAGTTTTTTTAAGTTTTTAAATAGAGTTGGGGTTTCGCTATGTTGGCCAGGCTGGTCTTAAACTCCTGGTCTCAAGTGATTCTCCCATCTTAGCCTCCCAAAGTGCTGGGATTACAGGTGTGAGCCACCGAGCCCAGCCATGTCTCTTTTTATTAGTAGCTAATAGTTATGAGTGTTGACCTTGTACCTGGCACTTATTCAAACACTTGGCATAGGTTATGTCATTTAATTCTCATCCCAAGCCTAGGAGTTAGGTTTTATCACTATCTCAATTTTGCTGATATGGAAATCAAGGCACAGATGCTGCTATGGTCTGAATGTTTGTGTCCTTCTCAACCCAAAATTATATATTGACACCCAATCACTAATGTGATAGTGTTAAGAGGTGGGGGCTTCTAGATTATTAGGTCATGAAGGTATAGCTCTCATGAATGAGATTAGTGCCCATATAAAAGAGACCTGGAGAGCTATCTAGCCCCTTCTACCCTGTGAGGACACAGCAAGAAGGTGCCATCTATGAACCAGGAAAGAAGCCCTCACTAGACACTGAATCTGCCTTGATCTTGGACTTCCCAGCTTTCAGTACTGTTAGAAATAAACTCATGTTGTTTATAAGTTACCCAGCTTATGGTATTTCGTTATACCAGCCCAAGCTGACCAAAACAGATGTTAAGTAATTCACCCAAGATTGCACCAAGCAAATGATTGTGGCAGTCACTATTTGTTGCCACTCATCCCCCTTTGTCTTTCTTGCTAGCAGAACCCCAGTAGTTTCAGTCCCAGGGGATGAATGATAACAGACCTTAACCCGTCGTGGCTCTCCCATTCTCCTTCTTGATATACACTTTCTAAGCCTCCTTTGCAGATGGCCATGTGACCCAGATCTGACCAGTGAGATATAAGAAGTCTGCTGGAGTACTTCTGGGGAAGCTCTTCCTCCCTGATAAGAGGAAATCATATTTTTTGCTTGTCCTCTTCTTTCTTCCTATTTGGGATGATGGTATAAAGATGCCATATTTGAGGCTGTGGCAATCACCTTGCAACCATGAGGTGGTAACAAGCCCAAGGAAGAGCATCATGCAGAAGATGGCAGAATGGAAAGTGGAGTGTTGGAGGCTTTGAGGACATTGTTAGACTGATGTAATAAACCTGGTTTAACCTCCCTGTACACATCTTGTTATGTGAAAGAATCAAATGTCACTATTGCTGTTGGAAATTTCTCAGATTTGACCAAACCTGCAGCTGCATGTATATCAATTAATATGGGACCAGAAGCAGATTTGGGAAGCAGAAAGCCTGTCTTCATTTTAGGTTGATAGGCTGCTATTTAGTGCTGCAGAATTCATTTCCTCCAGCACCTCCCCTCCACAACCTTGACTACAAAGACAATTGTTACTCTTAACTGAGGAACAGTGGCAAAATGCAGCAAATTGTAAGAAAATAGGCACTGATGAGATTTCAATTTCCTAAACTATTACTTATTCTACTTTACTATCTAAAACCAGAACAGTAATGATACGTGTTGCAAGTAAACTTTAGATCACACCTCAAAGATTCCTTTCAAAGGCCCAAGATTCTGTGTCTCTGCATGGTTCTCACACAACCACTCACTCATGACCTTTGTGCTTCTACCCAGGATTCCAGTTTGTGCTAGCTAAAAGTGTTTCACCCCATCCCCCAACACACACCTCTCTGTTTTATTAATCTTCATATTTCCAGCATGTAGTACAGTGTCTAGTATATATTAGCAACTTGATAAATGAAATTAAAATTGTCTGATATCCTCTGTATTGAATAGCTACTTAAGTCATTGGGTTTTTAGGAATTACCAGGACATATTAACATTTTTCTGGTTTTGAGAGATGATTTTTAAAAATTAATTATTTACAATTTAAAGAAATGCAAATTGCTGAAGAGAAGAAGTTTGATAAGTTACTGATAGAGAGCAAGTGTTCAACAAATAAACTGAATTGAGCAGAATGGTCTTTTAAAAAGCTATGTGTTCTGGGCAAATGTAAACTGGTTAAAGTAAAATAAGGCATTTCACTACATTGTTCTTTGGGCATAAAGAACTTAATGAGCTTTAAAAATATGTCTGATTGCTGGGCATGGTAGCTCACGCCTGTAATCCCAGCACTTTGGGAGGCTGAGGTGGGCAGATCACTTGAGGTCAGGAGTTCAAGACCAGCCTGGCCAACATAGTGAAACCTTGTCTTTACTAAAAATATAAAAATTAGGCAGGCATGGTGGCATACGCCTGTAATCCCAGCTACTCAGGAACCTGAGGTGGGAAAACTGAACCTGAGGGGTGGAGGTTGCAGTGAGCGGAGATAGTGCCACTGCACTCTGGCCTGGGCGATACAGTGAGACTCTGCCTCAAAAAAAAAAAAAAAATGTCTGATTTACAATCGGGGGCAATTAACATGGGAAAGACTAAATGCTGTCAGTGAGTGCTTTGTTTCGTCATAAACTTCATGATACCTGGGTTGGATAAGGGCTTCTGAGTAGGGTATGTTGAATTTACAGGACAGTGTTCCCTGACATCAGTTTAAATCTATTTCCATTTAATGCAAAAATGCTTTCCCCTTGAAAGCTGCTATTTAAACCCAAAGACTGTCATTGCAGTACAGACTAGAGTGATATCTGCAATTTGAGTTGCCTCTGAATGTATTAGATGGAGATGGACACAAAGAACTGAGGAAAAGAAGTGGTAAGCTAATGTTAAGGTGTCTGGTTTTTCTCATCTCTGATTTTACTTTCAGGAAAAATTTGAGAAATTTAAAGGTGAAGACTTAATTGTTCTTTTTAAACTCTTTATGGCTTAAGGTGTTAAAAAGCACTAAAAGCAAATGTTCATAATTTCCATTCAGTAGGCCCCTCAAAAATCACAGGAAAAAGAATAATAAAAATAATTGCTACATAAATAATAACACTTTATGTTTTGTTTAAGCTGACTTTTCCATTTTCTCTAATTGTATCTATATGTAAACATTTTCTTATACTTCCTCTATTGCAATTATTTTAAATGGCCTTTATGCCTAGCATAATGAGAAATTATAACAAATTCTAAAAACTCATTAGCAGTGTATTTATGAGGAATCAAAATAGTTTCTGAATTCAACAATAACCTAAATGCAAACTTTATGTTTATTATAACATGGTAATCATTTACAAAGTGGTGGACTAATAAAACCAATATGTAGAGTATTGGAAATCCCTGTAACTTGTGTTGCCTAGAACTATTTCAGCAATAATCAACATTGAATCTTTATTTTATTATAGTGTTGTCATCTCCTGACCTGGAATGCAATCTTGGAAAAATGTATATATATTGAATACTATATATAGTATATCATATATATATCATCTATATATTATCATAATACATATGTATCATTAATCAAAAACATAAAACTATCTATAATTAATATTTTTGATTAATATATAGATAATATATAACCAAAAAAGATGACTAGGAGAGTCCTACAAGATTAAAAATCAAAATAAAAATAAAGAACAAAAACAATATCTGATATTTTCCTTTAAGCACTAAGCATACTTGTAACAATATGTTCAGTATCATCTTCCCCAATTAGGCCATAATTTCCATGAAGGTAGGGATTGTGTTTGATTTACTGCTGAATCCCCAGCATCTAGTATAGCATCTGGCAGAAACTGAGTGAACATAGCTGCAAGAAATGAACTGCACACAAGGGCTTCAGTTTATCCAGTGGTTACCCTACCAGCATATCTCAAAGCTTCCTTGTTATAGTTGCAGGATGGCAGCTGTGCCAGTCACCTCTCTTCCATCTCTTCTCTTTTTCAGTTTGCTGACTTTTACAGTAAGAATAAGGTGCTGGGGGAATGAAAGTGTTTTCTGTTTTTTGGGTTTTTTTTTTCCTGTCAGATAAAATAAAGAACCCTATTGGTTGAGGGGGAATGTGAACTGATTCAAGAATATGTCCTGGGTGGGCTCCATGGCTCACGCCTGTAATCCGAGCACTTTGGGAAGCCAAGACAGGAGGACTGCTTAAGCCCAGGGTTCCAGATGAGCCCAGGCAACATAGACTCCGTGTCTACAAAAAAATTAAATAAATAAATTAGCCAGGTGTGGTGGCGCATGCTTGTAGTTCCAGCTACTCAGGGAGCTGAGGTGGGAGGATCACTTGAGCCCTGAAGGTCAAGGCTGTAGTGAGCCGTGATCGCACCACTGCACTCCAAGCTGAGAAACAGAACAAGACCGTGTCTCTATTAAAAAAAATATATATATACACACACACATACATATATATACACACACATATATATATACACATATATATATACACACACACACACACACATAATTACTTCCATTCCTTAATCATGAATGTTGAAAGTTCCATTTAATTGAGGGATTGGTTAGTATGGTTTCTGTTAATTAAGATTTTATTTGATCAAGAATAGACAGAATTGGCCTGATGAAACAACATAAAGCAGTAGATAAATTCTCTTTTTATGAAATTTAAGCTGCATTATTTGACTTTATTGCTGCTTCATTTCACAAATATTCTTTTTATCTTAATTATGGCCTCTAAACTTCAATAACATCAAAAAGACTTTGTTAAGTACTTTAATTGAACATGGCACTGTATAAAGAGGCTTATACAAAACCAGATACCTGTTATTTAGAAAGTTAAAATCACACACATGAAACAAATATTTATAGGGTTTATATGCTTTGTGTGAATGCAGGCCCTTCCTTGATTTATTTTGCATGATTAATAATACCTAACACTTACTGAGTCCTAACTATGTGCCAGGCATGGTGTCAAAAAGCACTGTACATACATCATCTCTATTAAGCCTTGCAACAGCCAGGAAGATAAGGAAGATGAGGTATTGGCAAGTTAAACCAGCTGCCTAAGGTCATATAGCTGTGACATTAATGCAGGTATGGCTTCCCATTCCTTAACCCCTCTGGCCTACCCCTTCCCTTAACCTCCTCTCCCACAAATCTATCACCCACTAACAGCCAAAGGTGCTGACTCAGCTTTTGAAGGAGCAACCACTTAGAATAGGAAAGGGATTGTGACAAGCATGGTGTGGGCACTGTGAAGTCCCTTGACAAGTTAAATCCTTGGGGAGTCAGGTAATATTAGTTAAGAACAGGGCAGCCCTAACAGAACAAAATTATCAGTCAGATTCAATTCCATTCTAAAATTAAAATCTGGGCCAGGTGTGCTGGCTAACACCTGTAATCCTAGCACTTTGGGAGGCTGAGGCAGGAGGATTGCTTGAGGCCAGGAGTTCAAGAGCAGCCTGGGCAACATAGCAACACTCTGTCTCTAAATAAGTAAATAAATAAAAATAAAATCAGGACGGGTGAGACTTCAAACTGCTTAAAAGAACTCTTTATTTAATCTGTAGATAAACCTTAATGAAGGATATTTACGTTCCCTGATTCCCTTTATAACTTCTGCCCTTGCTCTCTCCCTCTACCATCAAATTTCCAAAGAGGAGAGATGAAGGATGTATCATTGCCTCTATTACCTCATCGGGTTCCAGTCTTCAAGACACTGCAATCTAGCTTCTGTCTCTACCCCTCTACTGGAAGCACTCTCACAGAGGTCAGTAATGATAATAAACTACTATCATAATAACAGCTAGTGCTTCTTGTGGATTTATTGGGTGCCAAACCCTGGGCTCAGTGCTTTACAATGGAGAGAGAAACCTGGATGCCCATAGGGCTGTGCCTGTAGATGGTGAGTTTAGTAAGCAAACCTGAGTTTACTGGGCTCGGTTTTTAAAAATCAAGCCAACATGCAAAAACCAGAATACTTCAGCTACAGTCCTCATGGTGCCCACCCTATGCACAAAGTGAATATATATGCACTTGGATCTTCCTCACCTCTCTAATCAATATCACCTGCCTGATCCCTAAAGAAGCATGAGTTACTACCCATGCTTTACATAGGTATTCTGGTCAGGATTTAATAGTTGAAAGAAAATAGACGCACTTAAACTAGCTCAAGATAAAGGAGGGGGATTATGAAACAGCAACTCAAGGGCAGGAACCACGGCAGACTTGGATTCATGAAAACTGAGACTGGAAGCAAGACAGCTGTCAGCCTCCTTGTTAGTGTCTCAGCTTCTCACTACATAGTGACTCTATTTCCCCGGGCCACAGACTAGCTTCCTCTTTTTACTCATTTCAGTCCCTTCATTGCCTCAACTTGCTCAAAGCTTCTCATCCCAATCCTATCCCAGCCTCATACCATCCCCCTTTATTCTATTGCTAACTGCCTTAGTCTTTAAATTTTCTAACTATAAATTCCTAAAAGAGGAATTTGAAGGACCTGCATGTATTTTCCGACCTGGTCACATATGTTGTAAATTTCAAGCTGCAATAGGTCATGCCGGGGGAAGAACACAAATGTGGTCCAAATATTCCAAATATCTGTGACCAGGTAGCCTGAGAGTTTCCTTTAGAAGGGCTGTGGGTTGACAGGCACCGTATGGCATAACTTAAATAATATCCTAAAGGTAGTCAATTATCATTAGAATATTGATTGATAGCCATTGTTGATACCCATTTTATAGACAAGAAACTTGAGGCTTATGGAGGTGATGAAATTTGCCAAAGGAGAGTCTCATTTTCAATATAATCTTTCTTGACTTTCAGGCTAACATTCTTAGATAGTCTCTACATTTTGAAACTTAAAATTCTTCTCTTGGTTTCTGTGACAGCATACTCTTTCAGTTTTGTACTATTCTGGTTGCTCTTCTACTATTTTTAATTCCTCATTCTTTTTCCAATTCTTAAGTGTAGGAGATCTCCAAGGGACTCTTCATGGCTCCTTCTTGTCTCTTTCCATGTTTTCTTCTTAGGCAAAATAATAGGCTTCTGTAGATTTAGATATATTCAGACATCATGATTTCTTAACCTGGGGTTCTTGGATCTCCCCTCACCCCCAGCCTAAAGGGACTTGATAGAATTTAGGGGGTTCATGGACTTGAATGAGAAAAAAAATCACATCTTTATCTTTTCACTAAACTCTAACTGAAATTTACCAATTCCTTCAATTATGAAAGTAGTTAAGCCATTGTAATAGCAACAACACTGTGACTTTGTTACCAATAGAAATCACAGGCATTTTCATATTTTCCAATGATTGCAAATATCTCAAAATTTTATCTTTTCCCATTACTACTTCAAAATCATGACGGCCGTTTGATCCACCAATCTTAATATTTAATACATTAATAAAGAATCATACATATTATCATATCAAAATTTTAACATTTTGGTAATTGTTTTGCAGTATAGTTTCCTTTGTAACCTTATACTTTCAAATTTTCTATATTTAGAAACTTTTTTTTTTTGAGAAACCACCGATAGATTTCATCAGACTACTAAAGGGTCCTTGGCACTCCTCTTACTCCCACAAAAAAAAAAGGTCAAGAACCCCTACTTTAAAACATTCTAGCCATATGGTCTACCAGGACTTGTAAAGGGGATAAAGTCCTAGGCAACATGGGAGCCACTTTCTTCAAGCCTAATGACCTGCTCAATTTTCTTAGTCTCATCTTTCAGTTTTGGCTACCCGCTCTATCTGTAGACCTTATTTGTCAGATTGGCATCTAATACTCTCTGTGGTCTGATAAGCTGGTGTTGATCTTGGACCTCTATCTTATATCCTAGATTGCATTCTGCTCTCAGGTACTCTTCCACTTTGTTTACCAACTCTGGGTCTCAACTCCATACCGGCCTTGCTGTTTTACTGGATTGCTAACATATTTTCTCCTGCATACAAGGTCAAAAGGTGAACCTTTTCATTCAGGGTGGAAAAAATAGAGGATTCTTCTTGAAGTATAATTCTGATTATATCCTTCTGTTCCTCAGAATGCATTTGGACACAGAGCGCTTATGAATTTCTCAGGGCACTTTTGGTTCCATGAAACAAAACCTATTTCAGGTGGCTTAAGCAAGATGAGGAACTTACAGATATAGGGATATTACACAGCCCTCAAGAGCAGGGATATAGGAACAGGTTGAACAGGATCAGAGATTGGCAAACTTTTTCTGTAAAGGCCAGATGTAAATGTATTAGGCTTTGTGGGCCATACGACCTCTGTCAGTCTACCATAGACAATACCAAGAGGAATGTGTTCCAATAAAACTTTATTTACAAAGCAGGTAGCCACGTGCATTTGACATACAGGTCATAGTTTGAGGACCCTTAGATTACAGTATTGTCAGGACTCTTTCTAAAACTTAGAGCTATTATCTCCAACTCTTTTTTACAAATTCTCTGTTGTTCTCTTTCTACTGACTAGCTTCTTCAGCTTCTCTGATTCTCATGTTGGAAGCTCTGAGCTTCCATGTCACAAATTCAAGCTCTCTTGTTTTCCCAGTTCCAATTCTGAATCTTTAGGGTAGAAATGTTGCTTGGCCTTGCTTGGCTTAGGTGCTCACTCCTAGATCAATAAGCTGTGGTCAGAGGGTTAGGCCCTGCTGTATGTACAGGGCTTGGGGGACCCTTACAACCTCTAGGATCAGAGGAAAGGAGCAGAAATCCCAAGGAGCTGAGCAGATAACCCAGTGAGAAAGTCCTTTGTTGGCATTCATTCAAACCTACTTTTTCAGCATTGTCCTCTACTAGTTCCCTCATATTCCTTTCTGAAGCAAAACCAACTCCTTGCTGTTCTCCTCACACACCCTGAATAGTCTCACCCTGCATCCTCCCTATCTGCAGACAGAAATTCTACTCATCTTTAAAGTACCTTCTATGGCCACCTTTTTCCTTTACATCCACACAACACTGTATTAGTACAGTGTGTCTTGTTCTGTCACTATTTCTGTATCTGTCTTTTTCTTTCCTAGACAATAGGTGCTCTGCTGACAGAGAAATGACTCGTTCAACTTTTTATCCATTCTTGTACCTTTCACAGAGTAGGCTCTGAGTTCCAATTATTTGAGTTTAACTATATCTTCATAGCTGAATAATTCCAAACTGAAGAAAATGCTGACTTTTATAAAGATTTGCATTTATATAGGAAATACGGTATCTACTTTTAAGAAAATTATTTTCTATTTTATAAACGTGCATTTCCACATTTATGGTAGCAAAATTAAAGTACATTTGCCGAGAGATACTAAAGACAGCAAAACTTCTATTTAAAATTTTAAACACGAAGAAGAAATAAAGTCCCATTAGGAGTGTCTCTTCTATTATTGAAGGAAATTTAAAAAGATTCCTACTACAGAAATGGCTTTAAGAAAAGCAATAGGAAAGGTTATAAATTTGAAATATTCATAACTGTTCTAAAAAATACTTCATAATGATTGCTCTTTGTGCAAGAAATGTATCAAAGAGCCAGAGACCTCATCATCTAATTTCTTACTTTTTCTTAATTAACATTGTTCCCAGACCTCTGCTAAACTCCCGTGTTGAAAGGAAAAAAGTAAATACAGTACAGCAGGGAAAACTGGTTCCTTTCGACAAAACTGAGAGAGAGGCTTGAGCTTTTGTCAAACAGAAAGCACTTGATAAAAAACTATTCCTAAACTATTAGCAACTATATAGAAGCTTTTTATTTAACAGCATCCTCCTGGGAAACTGCGCTGGAATGTGCAGCGGTTCTGAAAAAGGCACAGATTTGGCTGAACTGTAAATATTAGGTGCACAGAGGCGAAGCCATTGTGTAGGGAGGGGTGGGGCAGGTAGGGTCCTGATTTCCAATGTTGATAGAAGGATTCCAATTTCGTTTGGTATTTATTTTTTTCTACTACAATTACAGTTTTGCTGAGAAAAATAAAATATTGGTTGTGCTTCCATCTGGGTTTCTAATTTTCAGTGTGTACAGACAAGAGAAGACCTCTCATTTACCCAAAAGAATCACCTTTCTGCAATCTCCAGTGCTACTGGACAAACAAACGAGCCCAACCCCACCGCCCACACCTCCCAAGCACCCGGCTCGCCGATCCCGCCTGCTTCAGGTAGCTGGGGTTTGCCCGGTACGCCAGCGGCCCTGAGACGATGTGTGCCCGCAGCACGATCGTGTCTGTTGGCATTTCTGGGTGTGGATGCTCCAAACCAATAAACCACAATACAGAACCCAAGCTTGGACTTTGAACCGAGCCCTTTTGCCTAGTTTGCTTTTTCCTCATCAAGCCAGGATCCTTGCCAACCCACCTCACAGCTTCTGCCCGGGCTGTGGCTCCCCTCCAGCCACCTGCGCGTGTTCGGGATAGAAGCGCGGTCAGGAGGGGAGCTCAGTCCACCAGCCACTCCAGGGAGAGACGGAAACTACAAATCCCATCAAGCCCCGCAGCCGGCTCCCTCCTCCTCCCTCTCCTTCCCCTTCAGCCTGCGGCCGGGCGGCGCTGGGCTTTTATCTGCGGACCCGCCGGGAGGGAGCCAGATCCCAGCGATCTTCCCCGACGGCAGCGCTTTACCCAGAGGCTGCCGGCGGCTCGTAGCTGGGTTCAGCTCTGCGTCCACGCCAGCCCGGAGCCCGGGGGGCAAGGGGTCTGTCCCGGGCGCAGCGAGAGGATGGTCATCCGCGTGTTCATCGCCTCTTCCTCGGGCTTCGTGGCGGTGAGCGCGGTGGGGGCGGGCAGTAGGTTGGGGTCGCGGGGCGCGGGTCCTGCGGGAGGCGCGCGGCGCTCGTCACTGCGCGTCCTTGCGCTCAGCCGGTCCGCCCGCGGGAGCCCGCGCCCGGCAGGTGATCCATCACACTCCGACAACAATGAAGAGGGCGGGGAGGAAAGGTGGGTGGGGGACCCCGGCCTCACCCAAATGCCCACCCTGCGTGGCCTGAAAGGCAGACAACGCGGCCTGAAAATGGAGTCCGAGGGAAGCCCCCAGCTCCTGTTGTGTGGCATGGAAATTTGGGGAACGGGTTGTTCAAGAGCTTCGGGGATCCCCCTTCCCCTAGTTTAGTTCTTCCCGATTTGGGACCTTCAGACTGGTTATGTTTTGCACGGGAGCCTTTTCTGCTGCTTTGGTTTGTTACCCTAGCTCCTGAATGAAGCAAGTTTAAGTGGGAATTGCTCTCTGTCCTCCCTTCCCCGCCAGCAAGTGCATTTGTTTAGTTTTATACCTGCGCAAAGAGAATAGTAAAACTAGGTTTGTCCTGTTGTGGTAGGATTGTTTGCTTTCACTGTCATTTTTTTTCTTAGGGTGCCATAAATATTTTTACATCTTTATGTAAATGTGTGTGTATGCACGCATTTTCTTTCCACCTGTAATGCTGTGGAAATTTTATCCTGGGGATCTATGAATTGTGGTTTTCTATTTAATTATTTTTAGCTATTCTCTTTGGTGGATGTTCTTGAATTTTTTTAGAGAAAAAAAATTTTTTTAAAGAAAGGAAAGTTAAATAGCTAGAGATGTCAGAATTTAAGGAAAATTCAGTAGTTAGTATATTTGACAGCCCACTAAGGGACATAGCACATGTGTTTTACATGATTATTGAGACTTGGTTTCCTTAACCAAGAGTTCAGCTATAGATTTAAGAGCCTCCTTTGTGACATATATAATCAAGTAACATCAAAAAGTGCATTGTAGATTGCTTAAATTTGGTCTGGTCAATTGTCTGCCCAGTAGCTCAGTCAGATTGTTCCAAAATTTGTTTCTTAAGTGGGTGGAGTGGAGGATGGAATAAAATATTGTTTGAAAATCCTTGTACACCACTGAAGTTTTTTATTTAAAAAGAAACCAACACGATCATACAAAGCCCCTCCACCCCCATTTGCACTAGAAACAATAGATGGGAAAATCCAACTTACACTTATGTGCAGTCATGTTGGGGTCCTCAGACTTCTGACAGTTTCTGGTGTTTCTAGCTATTTGGGTTGCTTAGTCATGCCTGCCTTTTGTAGATTTCCCCACTGAAGCCACACTTCATGTGTTTGCAAACTGGCACTGTTTCAAGGGTAGATTTGTTCAAATGCACTCCTTACTAAGAATGCTACAAAGCTCTTGGTTTCACCACCGACTTGCATGCTTCAATAATTGTCCCAATAGCATTATATTGATTATGGAAGGAATGGTTTTTATCCCTTCCACAAGAGATAAAGCCTAGGCTACTTTGGAGCAAGTCGGACCAAGTCAAGGTAATGACTTGGCTTACTCTATTAGTAGGTAGTATATTGAGATAGTTTTGGTACTCCACATCTTTGTTTTTTCAGTGCCATTGGCAAATATTTATTGCCTGCCTGCTGTGTGCCTTTTTAACTTTTAAATTTAATGTTTTGTGTTTTGCACATGGAGCTAAAATTAAGAGACTTAAGTTTTAGTGTGGGCCCCAACTAGTGCAGTGTAAGCCTGGTTAAGGTACCTCATCTCTGCCTGAGTTTCTCTTCTGTAAAATGAAGGATTTTCATGGATAACTCAGAATTGCACACTCTAGCTTTAAAGTATTTTGACTTCACCAGGTGAGTAAATATGGATGAATCCTTATAACAGCTTCTTTTGCTTGAACAATATACCTACCTATTAGTCTCAAGGTAATAGGTATACCTATACCTATTAGTATAATACCTATTAGTATAATAATATACCTATTAGTCTTCTTTCCTTGGACATTTTATTGTGAAGGCTCAGATCCCCTCAATGCCCTGCCTCGTAGCATGTGTTCTGACATGGTTTCATTTGAGTTAGAAGACATACACAGTTACCACATGCTTACAGACTATAAACACTAATTATCTATTTTAATATTCTGCTGTTTGAAGACCCAGTCTTTTCAGGTTTTAGAAAATCCTTGTTTGTTCAGTCTCCTCAATTATATCTTATATCAATACAGTTATTCATTGAGTCTCCCCAATTGTAGTTTTATCTCCTATATCAGTACACAGTTTATCTGTAATATCCATACTTTTAGTGATGTTAAGGTTATGTTCATATGTAAGAATAATGATTTCTAAGAACCAGTGAGGATATTTAGGTCAATTCTTGGGCTGGCGAGGCTAATGGGGCCAGTAGCATTAAGCTATATTAAGCTTTAGTGGCGTAGCCATGATGTGTTCCCTCCAGAAGTGTTGGGTTGACTGTTGATAGTGTTTCATTTGGTACCCAACTGTGACGAGCAAGTGCATGGGAGAACAAATAATTTGATTCTTGAGTCAGTTTGGTTTTAGCTGAAGTTTATTAAACCACAAGGAAGGGATGTGACCAGAATTAGACTTAGCCAAGTAAGTCCCAGAATTTCCAAAAAGATGCTCCGCTTCAATCATCAATAGATTTAAACAATCTATTTAGAGAAAATCATCCTGTTTTCTTCTGATTCCCCTAAGCTCTCCAGCTTCAGCAGTTGGAATAACTAACACCAAGGAATGATTCCTCTTTTGTCTTCCCTGGCTCCAGGTGAAGTCAGTTTTTACTAGGAAACAAAAGCAATGCCACATTATTATGCTACAGATACCTGAAAAATCGGATTTCTTATTCAACTGACCATGTTGCTACTCATTCACATTGTATTGTAGGGAAATTTTTTGTTCTCAGTTCTAAGAAAATAATATATTCATAGAAATGTCATTTTAAAATTTAATTTATTCTGGATGTATTCCTGAAAGGGGAAGTCTTAGTAACTTTGTCCAGGAAATATGTGAATATGACTTTTTACTTTAAAAACATTGAAATCCGTCAATTATTTCATTTATTCCGTCAGTCAGTTATTTCATTTACTCATTCAACAAGTATTTTCTAAGAGTCTGCTGCTTGCCTAGCTCTGTCCTTGGTCTTCTGGGAAGCCAGAGAATAGAGGGTGTGATCTGTGTCTCCAAGGAATTCACAGGTAGGAGATGAGTTAGGAAAGGTAGTAAAGTACAGCCTAAGGACACATGCTTCTTGCAGGAACATTCTTACCAGAGATAGAAAAATATAGGAGGCAGAGAGATGCATTGCAGGATGTCAGATAAAGAGGAAATGTGCCAGAAATCATAAAATATGCATGTGACAGCCTTAGGCAGATGGCAGGGAGAGGAACTGGGTTGGATTTGGAGCCTGGGAGAGAGTTCTTGAGCCCATCCTGCTCAAGCTGGAAAGGGGGAGCTTTGGGTGGGACAGGGTAGACTCCTGAAAGAAGACTGAAAGAAGCCCATGGTGACAAACTCTGTAGTGCTTAGCATCTCAGAGATGTCTTTAGTTTCTGCAGCTTGTCTGCTGCCTGGAGCCTTTTGTTTCTCAGGGAACATGGAGCTGCCTGGCAGTGGGGGAGCCCTAGTTGTGTGATTTCAGAAGAATCTTTACCTTCCTACTTGCCTTGACTAACATTTCTCAAAATGTAAATAAAATCTTTTACTCCTCATTAAAGTTCCTGGGCTCTGTTAGAGTTGGACGGAAACCTAAAGATATTTTTAGTGAAGCCCAACCACCTAATTTTTTGGAAAAGGAAATTTAGGCATAGAGATTAAGTGGCTTTTCCGGAAGCCATTTATGTCCAGTCAGTGCAGAGCTGAGATTTCATAGGAAGCCAGATTCCTGATGTCTGAATGCATTCATTCTTGCATTGAATGACTCATATATTCATCAGACAATCACTGAAAACTTACTTACCCAGGTTCTGTATTAGGTGATGTAAGGTGCTAGGTGTATATGATGGTCAGAACAGACATGTACTCTGCCCTCATGGCATAAATCAGTGCTGTCTCTCTCCAGTTCAGAGACTTGAGATGCAAACTGTTTAATCAAGGATAGTGAAGGACTGATGCTGGCTTGGGAGATGTTTCCATGGGGCAGGGTGAAATGAGCTAGACATCAGTATATCCCTGGATGTTGGAGAGCAACCATCACTGGGAGCAAAAGATAGAAAGGTATTGGAAGCAAACTTGGAAATCATGGATAGGACTTCAAGTGAGGGTGGGTGTGGAAGGGAAACACATGGAAACCATGCTCAGAGTTGTCTTGCTGTTTGCAACTGTAAAAAGTGCATACCTACTGCTTTGGGTGATTTATAACTATTTTATACACACAATTACCAGGTAAGGTGTTACATCCCCGTGAATGTATTCAGTGAGGCTTCCCTGTGTAAGGACACCTCAGAAAAGATTTCTACATCTTAAACTGATGAGTTTAACATCAGTTAAAGTCAGGATGTGATCATGTAGAATAGAGTGGGTATTAATTCCTAAGTTACTCTAATAACACGAATGAGAGTATAACTGGCCACTTTAGGATCTTTAATTCATTGGATCATCACTGACACATGGCAGGGTAATTATTAGTATTTATTCCCATTTTCCAGAGGAAGAGACTGAAGCAAGCTGACCAGATTGAGATCATACTCAGGTGGGGGGACCTTTAGTCAAACCCTGGTGGGCAGGTGGCTTTAGAGCTGCTAGAGTAGAAGTTCTTCCTGTGGGCTCTGTAGCATCCTGGGGGAATGAGAGTATCAGAGGTACTTCACATCCTACAGTGTGTGGGACAGCTCCGCACAGAGAACTGCCCTATCCAAAATGCAAGTGGTACCCAGTGAACAGAAACAGGGCTGAAGGACATTGGCAGAGGAGGTTGTGGAGTGAGGTTAGGGAAGAGTTGGGAGCATACAAGTGATCAGAAGAAGCAGGAGTAAGTTGGGGGCCCAAGGAGAGGATGTGGTGGTGATGGAAGGTAAGAGTGAGAAAGTTTGTATATTAGTTCTCTAGGGCTGTCATTAACACAATACCAAAAACTGGGGTGCTTAAATAAAAGAAATTTGTCTCAACATTCTGGAAGCTGGAAGCCTGAGATCAGGGAGTTGGTGGGGTTGCTTCCTTCTGAGGGCTGTGAGGGAGAGTCCTTTCCATGTCTTTCTCCTAGTTTCTGGTGGTTTGCTGGCGATCTTTGGCATTCCTTGGCTTGTAGATGTATCACCCTCATCTCTGCCTTCACATTCATATGGCATTCTTCCTCTGTGCATGTATCTTTGTGCCCAAATGTTCTGTTTTTATAAGGACACAGCCATACTGAGTAGAGCCTACCCTAATGATGTCATCTTACCTTGATTATCTGCAAACATCCTATTTCCAAATAAGGTCACATTTATAGGTACTGGGGGTTAGGACCTCAGTATCTTTTGGGTGAGACATAACTCAACACATAATAGCATGCAACATGAGGATTGAAATAAAAAGACTAATTTATGGAGTTTTTCTCATTTAATTGGAAAGACTGGGCCACATTTCTTGACACTTAAAGGCAGCAGTGGGATATTGAAGTATATGGAACTATAGTCTATGTATGAGGTCTTCTGCTAGAAAATAGGATTTATTAATATCCCAAGTGAAGATCTAACCTCAGTTTTTCTAGTACATTTTAGTATTTCCCAGATTTGATGTGCTTTTAATCCATTCTTCAGTAACATTTAAACTTAAAAATATAATCAAGGATATGAACTCCTTTATGAAATTAGGAGCTGTTTACCCATTTGTATTTGGATACTTTAAGCATTTCAATCTACTTGAAGAAACTAATTTTTTTTTAGCCAAGATAAAATAATTTATTTGAAAATCAAAATGTGGCCGGGCACAGTGGCTCATACCTGTAATCCTAGCACTTTGGGAGGCTGAGGCAGGTGGATCACGAGGTCAGGAGTTCGAGACCAGCCTGGCCAGTATATAGTGAAACCCCATCTCTACTAAAAATACAAAAATTAGCCTGGTATGGTGGCAGGCACCTGTAATTCCAGCTACCTGGGAGGCTGAAGCAGGAGAATCACTTGAACCCAGGAAGTAGAGATTGCATGAGCCGAGATTGTGCCATTGCACTCCAGCCTGAGTGACAAGAGTGAAACTCCTTCTAAAAAAAAAAAAAGAAAATGTATTTCACTTACAATTACATAAGAAAACAAATCGAGCTGATCAAGAACTATGTCTTTGAGTGCAGAGATTGGTGGTGTTTTATTTCCCTGAAATTCTCATTGACCCAGTTATTCAAAGAAAAACATATATGATAATGTTTCAAAATTATATGCTATTAGAAAGAAACATTAAGATAAGCTTTAAATTCTGGAATATACTTCAAATTCTGCAAATATTCTTTTACCCATTATAAGTAGCATACAAACTATTTTTATTAAGAAAATAGAAGAATTAGAAGTTTTTTTAACTGACACATAATTATACATATTTATGGGGTATCTAGTGATATTTCTGTATATATAATGTATAGTGATCAAATCAGGGTAATTGGCTTATCAGTCCCCTCAAATATTATTTCTTTGTGTTGGGAATATTCAGAATCTCTCATAGCTATCTGGAAATATCTTACAATGCTATAGAATGCTAGAACTTACTCCTCCTATCGAGTTGAGAACATGTATTTATCTTTCTGTCCCTGGCTTATTTCACTTAATGTAATGTCCTTGGGTGCATTCATGTTGCCATGAGTACAGGATTTTATTCTTTTTATGGCTGAATAACATTCCATTGAGTATATATACCATATTATCCATTTGTGTGTTCAAGACTTAGATGGATTCCATGTCTTGGCTATTGTGAATAGTGCTGCAACAAACATGAGAGTGCAGATACCTTTTTAATACACTGATTTCTTTTCCTTTGGATAAATTCTCTGTAGTGGGATTGCTGGATCAAATGGTAGTTCCATTTGTGGTTTTTTGAGAAACTTCCATACTGTTCACTATAATGGCTGTACTCATATACTGCTTCCCACCAGCAGTATATGAGGTCCTCTTTCTCTGCATCCTCATCAGCATTTGTTACTTGGGGCCTTTTCGATAATAGTCTAACTGGGGTGAGATGCAATTTCATTATCATTTTGATTTGCATTTTCCTGATGATTACTGATGTTAAGAATTTTTTTTATCTATTTGTTGGCCATTTGTATGTCTTCTTTTGAGAGCTATCTGTTTAGATCACTTATCCAATTTTAGTTGGATTATTTATTTTTTTGCTGTTGTTTGGGTTCCTTGTATATTTTCAATATTAATCTCCTGTTGACACATAGTTTGCACCTTTTCTTCCATTCTGTAGGTTGTCTTTTCACTCTGTTGATTGTTGAGGAAACTAAATTTTGACATATATTTATAATATGAAAAACAAGGTGGTTTGCACATTGCAGGAAGACTCATGTAAGATGGTGTATTGATTTTTTTCTGTTTTTCAATTTTTAAAAATCAAAAATTGAAAAGGAAAAGAGCTATTGATGGTGAAAAACTCAGCAGGCAACAGGAAGCAGTGTGAGGTATTAACTAAACAATATTTCTTCCTTAGTTATTTTTCATCTTTGATTTATAAAAAGTTCTTAAATGAATTGTGTTTTTTTCTATCAAATTAGAAATGGGTGACAGAATAGAAAAAAATCTAGAATCATAGTGAATGTTTCACTTTCTAAAGTAGAAATTAGCATGACTTACTGATCACTATATATGAAAGTTTAAAATACTTTATTATGTGCCAGGTGCAGTGGCTCATGCCTATAATCTTTGCACTTTGGGAGGCTGAGTCAGGCAGATCTCTTGAACTCAGGAGCTCGAGACCAGCCTGGGCAACATGGCAAAACCCCATCTCTACAAAAAATATAAAAATTAGCGGGGCATGGTGGCATGTGCCTGTAGTCCCAGTTACTTGGGGGGCTGAGGCAGGAGGAGTGCCTGAACCTTGGGAGGTCGAGCCTGCAGTGAGCCGAGATTGCACTACTGCACTCCAGCCTGGGTGACAAAGTGAGACCTTGTCTCAGACAAACAAACCCCAAAACCATCACCACCAACAACAAAAATACTTTATTTTGAAATGCATATTTAAAAATGGGGTCTAGAAATTATTATTTCACCTGCTAAATGTCAGTTTTTAAAAAAATCACCCTCCAAGCTCTAAACTCAGGAGACCCTTTTAGGCTTCAGGAGTTTTTCAGCAGGAATTCCTTTAAATGGGTATTATTTTAGCTGGAGAGTTAGTTAGAGATTTAAGTTCTATTTAAGCCACATTCCTGTATTCATTTTTTTCTGTGATTGATTTTATTTTATACTGTTTATCCGTGATGCAAAAAAAGAGGTTAGCCTTAAAAATTTAGTGAACATTTTCTTTCTTCTGTGAAATGGCAAGTGCTTGTTAACTTTTGTGGGGACTCTTCTACTTCAGGTTATATACAGTTGTCTTTTGAGGGTCCTCCTTCTAGTTTTAGCTTAAGAACATATCAATGAGCCTTTCTGTTTAGCATTTTTAGATAGTGATGAATATGTGCCATGTGTTAGTTTTTGGGGGGCACTGGGGTGGCTTGGAGGAGTAGGGCAGGAGGGGAGGAGCTGGAGGTTGGAAGCCTGTACCAGCTAGAAACTGCACAACCCAATTTAAGGCAGTGCAGTTTCCCTTCTGTCTCCCTCTCTTAATAGGCTTATCTGACTTCATCTGTCAGCACTGGCTAGTTTCACAGTGGACTGTGGTAATTTAAAGGGTTAGTATTGCTATCTCTTTTATATTTGATTGGTTTATTTTCTAACTCTAAAACAGAAATAAAGCTTGGAAAAGCACTTAATTGAATGTTTCCCTTCTGGTTCATGACAGCTTTGCAGTGGAATGGAAAGCTGAACTCAGATGCCAGCATCCAGGCAGATGGGGCCCCACCTCCCTACAAACTTAGGCACTTTTAGGCTGGCACAGCCTCTGGGACAATTTGGGAACAATTTTGTTGGTCACCTTTGTTACTATTGACAGCTTATTCCCAAGGGGATCTACTCTTTTGAGCTGGTTGAGTATTTGGCAGAACTCCAAGGGGTTGTTTCCTGGAGCTGACCCCTGAAGTGGAAGGTATCCGGCAGGGTGTGTCTGCTTTGCTGTGGGGTCTTGGTGGGCCCTCTGCCAGCATTGCTTCTCAGCTCTTGGAGCAGACAGGGAACGTTGGGTGCGACTGAGGGCAGGGGGTTCTAACTAATTTAGGATGTGTTTGCCATTTCCTACTGGGTCATGGCCCAAATATGAAATGACTTTTTGTCATCTTCAGTCTAGTGGCTTTGAGAGTGGAGGACTGAGAGTAAGAGACATACAATTAGGTGACTTGATTGACAGGTCAGTTCAGTGGTATTTGGTAAATGCAAATATAGTTAAAGTCAGCAGCTATTGCTACATACTGATCTAATATTAAAAACAAAACAAAGCAAAACAAAAAACCCAAAGAGCAATAAGCATAGCTTTTGAGTTAGCTTGTTTTCCTTCTGCATGTTCCACAAGACGTGGGAGTGTGGTCTTCTTCATTCATGACATTCCCATGTGTATTAAAGCTCAGTGGTTCTCTCACCCTTTTGTGTGTGTGTGTGTGTGTGTGTGTGTGTGTGTGTGTGTGTGTGTGGTTTGTTTTAAATCACAGTCTCTGCTTATCTTTCACTGGTTCTCTTTTAATAATTATGTTCATTAGCGTGGTTTCTTCAAATGGGAATTGGCCACCTTTATAAGCCTGGGCCCTTCATTGATGGGAGTTTAGATTTCACTGTTCTTTTATGAGAAACAAACTGCTTACTAGCCAAAATAAATGTTTGGGTTGAGTATGCGCTGATTTCTTTAATTCTGGAGTCAGTTTATATTCAACCCATGCACCTACCTCTCTGTCCTGGCTATGGCAATCTATCATTAGAGAACAGTGTTATGGTTAAGGCGGGGGCTGAGTCCAAATCCTAGCTCTGCCACTGATGAAAGGCATGACCTTAGACAAGTAACCTTAGCCTCTTCATTTGTGTAAGTGGGATAGGAATGGTATTTTATGCATAGAAAAGCTCTTATGAGCTTTGAATGAAATGAATGATTTTGCATTAGGCATTTAGCTGAGTGCCATGACATACTGAGAACTCAGTGCATGTTACCTACTTTTTCTGTATCATAATCATCTTCAGTAGTAGTAGTAGTAATAACAGTAAAAAAAAATCACAATGACCTTGAACTGTGTAAGTTCCTTAACAGTCCAAAAATTATATACAGTACATACTACTTACTAGGCTGAGAACGCATACAGGTATAATTTTAGGAGAGATTTTAGTAAATTTAAGTGTAAAGGGTTTTCCACTTAAATGTATAAGAACATTATAATTTGAGCAGGCCATTCACCAAACATACCATTAGTTAGAGTTCTGCTGTAATGTTTGGATATTTTATAGGTACATGGCATGTTGTGCACGACCCATTCAGATCATATTTTCACTCCCTATAAAGTGCTTACTACTATGCACATAGTCACTATTCTTTGCTATACATAATACAGTCAGCCCTTGGTATCTGTGGGTTCCATATTTGTGGATTCACCTACCTGTGGATCAAAAATAATCAGAAAAAAAGTGGACAGTTGCATCTGTACTGAACATGTACAGACTTTTTCTAGTCTTCATTCCCTAAATAATATAGTATTACAGCTATTTACATAGCATTTACGTTGTATTAGATATTATAAATAATCTACAGATGATTTAAATTATACCATGTTTTACATAGGTTATATGCAAATACTATACGACTTGATATAAGGGACTTGAGCATCCAAGGATTTTGGCATCTAAGGGACACCAAATATACTGTGTATGTTTTTTTTAGAGCCCTGGCTTGATCTAAGGATTGCTGAATAATGTATAGATTTCATCCCAAATGACAACTCTGACTGTTGGATAGTAGCTGCCTGGAGAGCCGGGAGAGGGGTTTTGGAGCCTTGATTGGGATCAGCAGGAAAACAGTGTGATTGATTGTTGATGCCTGCTCTGGTACCAGAGAGAGGATCAGGACTTATGCCACGTATTTGCCATCCCTGCCTTAAACTTCATGTATTTAGACTCTGTCTTTCAGATTCTTGTAACTGATACAGAATATGTTGAGTCTGTGAGTAACCGGGAAAAGGAATATGAAACACCAAGTTGAATTGATGGATATCCTCTGCAAACATCATGCCTTGTCTGTCACCCCAAATTTGGTGGGGGTTGGGGACAGTGAAGGGCCAGGATTTCTGTGTTTAATGAAGATGAATGGAATTTCCTAGAATCCTGACTGTGAATCTGAACACTGTGAATTTTGAATACCTGTGAAACATAAGTTGGGCTGGCAGATGGGCAGGTAGATGATGGTAAAAGCAGTAAGGGGCTTTGTGGAAAAATGTGGGAGACAGGAGAAGGAAAAAGACACCTGGAAGAGGGGACCCATTGTGCTGAGCTTTGGAACACTGAAAGGGCAGCTGAACAATTACTCTTTATCTGTGTCCAGCAATGTGGTACAATATTTACTTTATGTCATTTCATCTTTACAATTGTCCTACAAACTATGATTTCTTATACTCATTTTACAGATGAGAGTGTTGAGACACAGGGTAATTAAGTAGCATGTCTAGGATTATTCAGCTCAGCGGTAAAACCTAGATTCAAACCCTTTTCTTCTGATTTTGTGCCTGGTACTTTTTATATTGCCCCACATTGCTCACCAGAAGAGCCCCTGACCAAGAGACTGGTGAGAACCTGGGTTGTGCTATCGCAACAAGCATGCTAGAATAACAGTGTCTGAGCTCAAGCTGTAATAAAGAGAGGGAATTGTGCAGGACTCCTGAGGAGTGGTTCCAGAGGTCTCCACTCAGCTGCTGAGCTGATAATTGTAGGCATGATGTCCTTAGATCATGTGATAGCAATGGCTTTGCTTCTTCAGAGACTGATGGAAGCTAAAAGGAGTATGATTTAAAATTGAAAACTAATATTTCGTGATAATAATAATGAGTACCATTCACATGTGCAGGCAGTACTAGGGGGCTTGCATTTGTTATTTGTACTCCTTAAAGTAACTTGGTATAGTAGCTATTCATAATTACCCTGCCCCCTCACAGAAGAGTAAGAAACCCAAACTTTAAACAACTTGCCTTGTCATAGAACCCAAAAGGTTGAGATAGCCAGATCTGTACCGTCTTCCTCCTATAGATATGTCCCAGAGGAAGACTTCAGAAGTTAAAGGAAATGAGAATAGGCAGTGCTCCGAAGAGACTGTTTAATGTTTTGTTGGATGTCCTGAAACTAAATGTATGATTTCCTTCGAATGTGATTCTCTTGCTGTGTGTGATAAAGTTGAATAAAACCAACTTGATGGGTTGAACTGGAAGGAGTAAGATTCGATGGGAGGGCAATAGGTAATACGGGGAAAGAAAGGTTGGCCAGGATGGCTGTAACCCAGAGATGGGGTCATAGGCAGAGATATTTAATATATTGGGGCCTTTTGGGCAACAGATCCATGGGGACAAATGGTTGCTGTGGAGGTGTGCGCCCTCATCCTTTACATCTTGAACCCTAGGTTACTAGGAGAAATGTTCTCTATGCTGATTATGCCCTGTTGTATGCTCTGCACAAAGGTGTTCTTGTGAGTGGAAGGAGTTTATCAATATATTGCAGCCTACTGAGGGAGTTGAATGCAAGAGAGGGAGTAGAAAGGAGGAGGCCAGAGTTGGGTTTGTTGGTGGAAGGGAGGGAATTGAGGGTCTGGGGGAGTGTAGACAGCCTCCATCTGTAAAGGGAAAGATTCAGTCAACACACACTGGTAGGGAGGAGGCCTGCAGGAGTGGTCAATGAAGCTGCTGTTTACACTCTTCATCTGTCCAGTTTAATTGCTCCAAGATCATTGTGCTTTGTTTATTGTCAACCATCTCTCTAATATTAGATTATTTATATGTAAATTATTGAGAGAGCCTCATAAGCTTGGTAGATAGAAGAAATTTGTGTGATACAAGGGCAGTGATGAGTAGAAAGAATGTAGACTCCAGGGGCAGGAAGACCTGGATTTGAATTATGGATCTGATACTCTAATGGGCAAGGTGGCTGAACATGCCTTTTTACTTCTCTGGATCTCAGAAAATCTACTTGTAAAGTTGTTGAAGCTTAATGAAATTGCAGCCATTATTATTATTGAGTGTCATTTAAATTGAAGTTGGCAATAATTTTCTGATTTTTTTCAACTTTAAATGAGCTATAAAGATTTAATTAAGGAAAAAATAATGTTCAAATAATCAGATAATAGGTCCTGAGTTGGCCGGGCGCGGTGGCTCACCCCTGTAATCCCAGCACTTTGGGAGGCCGAGATGGGCGGATCACCAGAGGTCAGGAGTTGGAGACCAGCCTGGCCAAAGTGGTGAAACCCTGTCTCTACTAAAAATGCAAAAATTAGCTGGGTGTGCTGGCAGTCGCCTGTAATCCCAGCTACTCAGGAGGCTGAGGTAGGAGAATTGCTTGAACCCAGGAGATGGAGTAGGTTGCAGTGAGCTGAGATTGCACCACTGCACTCCAGACAGAGTGAGAGTCCGTCTCAAAAAAAAAAAAAAAATAGGTCCTGAGTTAAATGGAACATAGCCTTAGGAATACCCCAAACTGTCATTGTTTATTAAGGTTAGTGTAGGCTGGAAGTCACAATCTGGTTGCAAGTCTGAAACACCCTCTTTCGAGTTAATATACCATTTTAAATTCTTTTGAGCAAATATTTTAAATACTGGGAGTTACCTTTCTTAGACACAAACATAACCTGGATTTCCCATTCTTCTTAAGACATCTGAAGATTACTTGATCCTGGCACCTCACTCCATTGTGGTATCATGGCATCTTGGCATGGATCCACTGGAACTGAGTAGTGATGCCCCCTTGCCTTAGGGCCTGTATCCTTGGTGTCTACACAGCCCCTCATCATTCTCACCATTTTCCCAACTCTGAGCCATTTGTTACTGAGCTTGTATATTCTTTTATCTTATAATAGAAAGTATTTCTTGGCATCTATGTCTATCAAAAGTGGGAAACCATAAGATTATATCGAGAAGGCTATATATATGTTTCAAGAAGAATGGGAGCCAGCAAGTTTGTGTGTGTGTGTTAAAGGAAGGAAATAATAGTTTTAAATGGTTATTAGTTGTTTGCTGGCTTCATTATTTCACATTATTAACTGTCTGACTTCTGTTGGCATTTGAATATTTGATTCTTTGGAGAGGTTGACTACTGTGGGGTTAAAAAGTACCTGTCTATTTGCTATGTGCTTGGTGCTAGCATGGTGTCAGCCTCTAGTCACTCTGTAATCTCAAAACTGCTACTCTGAGGTTATTAACTCTAGGGTAGAACTGCCTTGAAAAGCTTGAAAATAGTTGATCATACCCTAAACCAGGGTTTGTCATCAGTGGCATTATTGACATTTTGTGCTGGACAACTCTTTGTTGTTGGGGCTTGTCTTATATATCGTAGATATAAAGCAGTTTGCCTTATTTCTACCCACTGGGTGCTAGTAGCACCCTTCCTCCTGGTTGCAACTACCAAAAATGTCTCCAGACATTCTCAAATGTCCCCTAGGGGGCAAAATCGCCCCTGGTTGAGAACCACCACTCTACAGTATCAGAGAGGAAATGGTCTCAATCTGAGAGGACTCAGACTGCTTTAAAACTGGAAGGAACTGAAGAGATCGTTTAATTCATCTTCCTCTTCTGATAAGGTATGACCTGTTAAATGACTAGTTCAAGTCTACATTGCTTCCAAGCTCAGGATCCATTGTCCTAATACTTCTAGAGCAGTGTATTATGGAGCTAGCATACTGCATTGGAAGTTGGGAGACTTGGAATCTGGTTCTGGCGTTGCCATTTAATCAGCTTTATGTCTTTGGACAAGAAACTTGGCTTCTCTGGGCTTCAGGTTTTTTGTTGTGTTGTTGCTGTTGTTTCATAATTGAGATATAATTCACATGCCATAAAATTAACTTTTAAAAATTGTATGTCCCAATGTGTTTTTGTGTGTGTGTATGTTTACTATGTTGTACAATAATCTAATTCCAGAATATTTTATCACCCATATTCATGCCTATTAGTAGTCACTCCCCATTCTCACCTCCCTCTAGCTCCTGGCAAGCACTAATCTGCTTTCTGACTCAATGGATTTGCCTCTTCTGGACATTTCATGTAAATAGAATCATAAATGAAACCTTTGATGTCTGGCTTCTTTCACTTGGCATAATGTTTTTAAGGTTCATTCATGTTGTAGAATGTATTAGCACTTCATTTCTTTTTATGGCTGAATAATACTCTGTGGTATGAATGTACCAGAGTTTGTTTATCCATTTATCAGTTGATGGATATTTGGGTTGCTTCTACTTTTTGGCTATGATGAATAATGCCGCTCTGAACGTTTGCGTATAAGTTTTCGTATGAACGTATGTTTTCAGTTCTCTTGGGCATATACCTAGGGGTGGAATTGGTGGTTTGTATGATAATGCTGTATTTTGTGTTTTTGAGGAACTGCCAAACTGTTTTCCAAAGTGGCCATTTCATTTTACATTCCCACTAGCAATGTATGCAGGTTCCAGTTTCTCTGGATCCTCTCCTACATTTGTGATTATTTGTCTTTTTCATTGTAGCACTTTTAGAGAATGCAGTGGTATCTCAGTGTGGTTTTGATTTGCATTTTCCTAATGACTAATAATGTTGTTTTTTTTTAAAGAAGTGGTTGTGGGTATCTTTTTTTTTAAAATCTCTTCTAGCTCTGAATTTCAGATTTTTCTTCTATTCCTTGCGCAGACCATATGAATAACAGAATTGAGTCTTTAGGGAATATATATTTTGGAAATTAATGGGTTAATCAACTCCTATGTATTTATGAATATCTTCTATTGTCCAGTGTTCAGCCATGTTCAGGATGCAGAATGAGTATATGGCATGATCCTTCCCCCCAAACAACTCTTAATCTTGGGGAGCAAAGATGATCATAGAAAATTGGTACAACACAGGCTCATATGGAATATAATCCTAAATGTACTCATCCTATAGGTAAGTCAGGAAGGCAGGTATATCTAGTTGGATGAAGGCAAAGAAAGTCATCAGTGCTAGATAGAAAAATAGCAAATCTTGAATTGGGAAAGTGGCTGTTTTTAAGATTCTAAAAAATTTTACTTATTTAAAAGACGCCAGTGGAAAGTTAAAAGACCTAAATATTTTGTATTTATTGTGAATTGGAACAGATGTTGCTTTCCCTGTTCTTTTTTGTCAAATACATAAATTTGATTTGTATATCCACGCTGCCCTTTGTTTTAGACTTAATGACCCCTTTTTTCCATTTGTATGTATTTCCTGTAGTGTGAGAGCAAGACAAGTGGCTACCCTGTAGTTAATTCCACAGCAGTGTTTTAATAGTGAGCTTGGTTCTGAGAGATAATTAACACAAATGAAATGATTAATAATTCACCTTTGAGTTCTTTTTCCATTAAAGGGAAAAAAATCATCTTGTTAACAAGATTAAATCTTGTGTGTTAGGTTCAGAAACCTAGAAAAACTTCACTGACCTTTCAGAGCTTACAGCTTCAAGGCCTTTTTGGTCTGGCATTTTGGGCCCTATGTGATCTGATTCTGACCTACCTTTGCAACATTTTCTCTCTCTATTCTTTTGGCATATATATATATATATATATATATATATTTGACATATATTATATATAATATATATATAAATATTTGACTTATATATATTATATATATAATATATATATATGGCTTCTTTTTGCTTTTTCTCTCAATTTCCCATCCCTTTCTCATGCTATTTCCTTTGCCTTATTGTGCTCACTTTGCATTGTGTCTAGTAAGATTGCCTCATTTCTTCAAAGCCAGTGGCATTGCTATTTCCTGATGAAGGTTATTCTTTCCCCTCCCTTCCACCTTTGCCCTCCAAACTGAGAGATTTTTTCTTCCACCTCCCTCCATGCTGTAGATTGTGGAATGTCTTCTCCTGGCCTCAATGCAGTCAAGGTTCTTTGAGTTCTTAGTTCTTCACGGTTAGGGACCTGTTCTGTTTATCTTTTAATTCCCCCACGTTTCCTTTTAGAGCACTTGGCACATAGTATTTTATTGAATGAATGCAAAAGAAACACTGTTTCTGTATTTTCCATATCAGAATAAAGCTAATCAAGAGTTTATGACCATGTCAAAGAGGAACGGGATTAGAGTGTAGCTAGAAGTCTACTTTGGAAAACATAAAGGCTGTGAGGGACAAGATTTATTTTACTGCTCTTAAATAAGTGGCAGGAAGAATCTGTGTTATTAAAGATAACTTTATTGTAGAATTCTATTCGATATCAGAATTCTAGAACCATGTAGAATGAAGCAGGAGACCTGGAAGGAAGCAGAAAAGCCACTGAGAGGTGATTAGCTCTTCATTCTACATTCTTCATGGCAGAGGGCCACCCTGTAGGACCACCTCACCCAGAGGACTGTTAATGAAACAGGCAGAAAGTCCTCAAAGCCCAAGTGAGGGAAGTCATAATGGGAAGCTCTGAGAAGTGACAGCTCCCTTCTTAAGGCAGAATTGGAGAATTCCAGAAGCATAGTTTTAGACTGTGTTTGGCATAGAGTGAAACAGCAGACTTACATTTGAATGGACTCTGGGAATGTCAGCACACCACATCAAAGTACAAAAATGGATAATCATGAAGATTCTTAGTCTAGAACAGATTAAATCAGGTTTGGCATATTTTGGTTTGATGTCTTGGCTTTACAATGCAGAAACATATGTGGTATATTTTAGAAAGATTTCTAAATAGAAGTAGTTTAAAATAAAATATAATAATAAATTTGTGTTTGGCAGGGTGAGCTTCAAGTATACAGAAAACCTTAATTTCCAATTCCAGGAGAAAGTAGGTTATTTGCTCCTACCTCTGGCCCCCACATTTGTAGCACCTTTTTTTGCCTTTCATCATCTCTTCTTTTTACCTTTCATTATAATACTTACAGACTTTCTTTTCCCATCATCCTAGGAGCTGTTCTTTTTGTGTTTCTCCTTTTTATGTTTCTGCTGCTGTGCTTCTCTTCTTTGTCTACACATAGGTATAGCATTTTAGCCCCCATGCACTTTTCCCTTTGATTGCCCTGGCTCTATAGGCATGCCTCTGTTAATGCCAATTTCAAATTGAAGTTACTTGTAAGCAAGCTCTGTTTCTTCCCTTTAGACTTTGCACTGCATCAAATTAGAGGCTTTGTTTTGTCACCTGTGTTTCTCTAGTTCCTCGGGAAGTGTCTAGCACAATGAAAGTCCTTGTAAACGTCTGAGTGAACCTCTTGACCTTTTTAAAGGGTTTTGTTTTGTTATTTTTAATGCTAGTTCTTATGTACTCTCTCTCTCTCTCTCTCACACACACACACACACACACACACACACACAGTTACCCTAATTCTCCTTTGTTAATTTCTTCACTTTTTCTTTGGAGTCAAGATGGAATGGAGAATTATATGGCTGAAGATATAGAGAAATTTGAGGTGGAGAGACCAGAATTTGCAGGCACACTCCAAGTTGGACATTCTTCTATTTGGAATGCAGGAATTAGGATCATCTGAGGGAAGGGCAAGTGCCTGTAGAGATTTCAGAAAGATACAAAAGTTCCCAGTGGCAGTTATGTAGGACAGAAATAGCATTGAATCTCCAGCCAAAGTTAGATAGTTGGAGTTTTCAGTAGACAGGGAAGCTAACATTACTCAGTAGCCCAAGGAGGGAGGAAAGTACCGATGAGATGACCAACTCAAGACAGAAGGTGAGTCCATAGAATGCAGGTGTCTTAGTCCATTTGGTTGCTATAAAGGAATACCTGAAGCTGGGTAATTTATAAAGAAAAGAGATTTATTTGTCTCACAGTTCTGCAGGTTGTACAAGAAACATGGCACCAGCATCTGCTTCTGGTGAGGGTTTCAGAAAGCATCTATTCATGCCAGGCATCACATGGAGAGAGGAAGGACATGAGAGAGAGAAGGGAGGAAGGTGTCAGGCTCTTTTTAACAGTCAGTTCTCAAGGGGGAGACAAGAGTGAGAACTCATGCACTGTGGTCAGATTGGCATCAAGACATCCTTGAGGGATCTGCCCCCATGACTCAAAAACTTCCTGCCAAACCCCACTTCCAACATTGACAATCAAATTTCAATGTGGGATTTGAAAGACAAATATCCAAATTATCAGCAGGTGAGGGCATCCAGACTTTCCCTTAAGTATATCAATTTATGCCTACTATGGAAATGTGAACTAATTATATAAGGATAAATAATTATATAAAAATATATAAGTAATATATAAATAATGTATAAATATATAAATAATTATGTAAACATATAATTATATAACTATTAAAATGTAATTCTGGAAATCATCCTGTTCTTTATTATTTTTCAAATGTAAATAGAAGTCGTTTTTATATAATCTGTTAGGATAACTTTTCACACAATTGAGGACTGACTGATACAGAAATGAGAACAACATATTACAAAACACATTGTGTTGCAGAGTGGCATCTACGCACATTGATAAGGACATGGCCTTTGGCTGGAGTCCTGCAATTCTTGTCTATAGAAAATACTATCCTCAGCAGGATTTCCTTCTTACTGTGGAGGATTTTGACTGTTACAGCAATTTTTGCTGTAACTGGTCTTCTACAAAGTATCCTCTAATTAACAGGAGGCACGTGTATGAAGAGTTGTATATAATTTTCAGAGAGAATCTCATCAAATAGTGGCACCGTAAATTCATATTTTATGCTTGGCTGACTTTTTTCTTTAGAAAATAAACATACAATCTTGACAGGAAATGTAAAAACAGTAAAATCCAACCACCCTCATCTTTCATTCCATGGTTCTGCTAACGTTTTATTAAGGCTTTACATCACTAAGTATTAAGGTTTCTTTTTTTAATGCAGACTAAAAGTAGTTTGTTATACACATGTTGATGGAGAAAGTAGTTAGAGCCACTTGCATTACATCAAACGGGAATAAATCAGCTGCTGGGTATAAGCAGCCCCTCTGAAGCTACCTGACTGAGACCCATGGGGGTGCAGATGTGATGTGCACATTGTCTTCATCCTCCAGAGAGGTTGATGGTTGTCAGGGAAAGAGGCACAGACACATGCAACTGTTATTAAACAGTGCAAGGCTGTATATTATTACATGCTAGTTTGTGGTGACCGTGGGTATAAATGGGAGTTTGGTGAAGGAGATGATTCTGGAGGGCAGTGGTTAGATAAATCAGGGTTTCCCAGCCTTGGCACTGCTGGCATTTTGGGCTAGATAACTCATTATTGTGAGGGCTGTTCTGTGCATTTTAGGATGTGTTAGCAGCATCCCTGGCTTCTACTTATAGGTGCCAGTAGTATCCTTCTCCCAAATTCCCTCAGCTGTGACCACCAAAAATGTCTTCAGACATTGCCAAATGTCCCCCAGGAGGGCAAAATCACCTCCAATTAAGAACAACTGGGTAGGCTTAGTTGAGTGCAGTGTGGATTTGAGGCTGAGTTGTGAAGAATAAATAGAACTTGGATAGGAAGTATGGACAATATGGAGGGGATTTTAGTGGAGAAGAACCTTTAAAGTGAAGACTCAGAAGTGTGTCTGCAGCAGGGCTACTCAAAGTGTGGTCCATGAACTTAACTGTGTTACCAGTGTAAGTACTGCCATTGAGGGTAATCATTTAGAAACTTTTATAGCGACTTTACTGAGTAATTTTATCAACTATAGTAATGAAAACTTCAGGTTTATAGCTTATCTTTGTTATTTAATTTTTCTAGAAATTAGTTTCTTGTTTTATAAAAGTATCATTCTGCAACAGATTGGAACATTAGTATAAGAACGACAGCAAACTGGTCCTTGGCCACTGAGACTCTGAGAGAGGCTGTAACCAGATTGGATTTCAGGTGTACAGTAGGACATGAGGTAGGCTAGGTATGGCCCAGATGGAGCATGGAGTCAGAGTGGTTTCTGAGATCTCTCACGGTGCCTGACATCTTAGGCCTGGTACTCAATAAATATTTTCAGGATGAATCAATGCCTGAAAAACCTCCATGCAGAGGAGAATAGACCTAGCAGTAAGGAGGGGGGACCCAGTGGATATTTTGGGTTGGGGGTGACTTTTAGAAATTTTTTTTTTAAAGCAGGAACTATAATCACATCATGTAACACTATGTAACGTTCTATATTTTTGCCTGCTGATATGTAACATAGTTAAGTTTATTACAAACATTATTTCCTAAGACTTATGGTATAATAAGTGCTCCTTTTCAAGTATTAACACTTAATAGTGTTTAATCTACAATGTAACATTAGGTAAATCAATGATAAATGTATATAATGCAATACACTGTGCCACCTTTCCCTACCCTGTGTTAAGGTATTATTAACAAAATCAATTAAGAAAAAAACAAGACAACTATTATAACTGAAACAAGGCTATGAACATCACAGATGCATGTCTGAGTAGATAAACAGCATTTCCCCTTAACATGAAGGTCATTTTGTCAAAGAGACTCCTATATCTTTAGGTTAGCATTGTTTTAGCAGCAGCTAGTCTTCAGGACAAGATCAAAAATTTCAAGCAAAAAAGACAACGAGTTATTCTGAGAAAACATCGATCCACGTTACTAATAAAAGAAGCAAACTGCTGGTTTCACCTTAACATAAAATTGGGTGTGTTCCCTTTCACATGTGATTCATATTTAATATCATTCTGTCTGTCTCTGTGGTTTCAGTCTTTAAATCATCTGATTATCTCCACTTAGGAACCTTTCTAATTGCTTACCCTGGAACCATAATTATTCGAAGGTATAATTTATATATTTTAGAACTTATCATCAAATTATGTGTGTCCTGGCTGTTGGGATTTGTAAACAGTCTAATGTCTGGCGTAAAGTAACTTTTGTGATTATTTGGCAATATTTATAGCTGTCCTTTAAAGAAATAAAGGAGAGTACATTTTGGTTCATTTACATTTTCTGTAAATAGAGAAAGGCCTGTGCCCTTGGCACTGTTTTCATAGTGAAGTTAGTGGGTCTGTGCCTGAATTAGCAGTGAAGTGAGGAAAGAGATGGGGTATGGAAAAGAGTAATTGAAAGGAGCTTAAGAAAGAGTGGGCATAAACACATGAAACCGACAAAGATTTGGAAAGCACCCCAGAGATGGCAGCAGCAGGTTTTGGGGTGGAGAATGGTCTGGCTGTTGGCCAGGGTGACTGAGCCATGTATGTTGCATTGTCCCGCTGGCTAGCTCAAGCTTCTTCACTTGGTGGTGGTCTCAAGGTTCTAATAGTGGTAAGAAGGAAAGCCCCAAGTACTTTTCAGTATTCTGTTTATATCAGTCTTGCTAATCCATCAAGATTCAAGGGATGGAGAAGTAAACTCCATCTCTTGGTGAGAATAGTTGCGTTGTCACAGTGTCAGGGTGTGGATGCACAAGGTAGAGAATTTGTGAACACTTTTATAACTTGCTGTAGTGTATGAAAAAAGAAATAATTTTTTTCATTAATAGTCCAAATCTTAAAAGAATACTCCAAATCAATTGCCACTTATTTTAACATAGCTGATGTGAAGTACTGTGGCTTACAATCCTATTTTATTCATTTATTTATGAAATATGATTGTATTCACTGAAGTTTTGAGAAGGAAAGGTAAGAATATTTGGTGTGGCATTACCACACTGTGATTTATTTTTGCTAAAGATCAAGTGAATTTTCCAGTCCTTTCCAGTGAACAAATGGATGGAATTTGTGTGGGATTTTGTTTGACAATATGTGCATTGTAGCTCAGAGTTCAGAATCTTTGTTTTGATTTTTACAAATGCTGTTTTAGTCCCTGTTCTGTTTTCTTTTCTCATAGTTTCTACTCCTTTACAGATAAAGACCGATGGTGAACCCCCTAACTTGAAATGCTTTTGTTGTTCCATCTCGATCACGATTTTGTTGGGTTTGCTAAGCCAAAGGTGAGCTGAATTAAACCCACCGAATAAATTTATGCTTCATCTTGGTTGTTGTTCTTGGCTGTATTATTCTTTTACTCTCCCTACAAGCTTCAAGAGGTCTAGGAGAAATATTTTGATAGATGTTTCTTTGTCTTCCTCTTAGAGAACTTGATGCACACCTGGACAAAAGGACGAAATAGCAGGTGGGATTGGAAGTGTCATGTACCTGCTTGAGGGGGGTGGTGTTAAGGTTTGATCCCTTTTACTTTTATTCCTCTTCGGTGCAGATATCTGATTCTATTATGGCTTGCCCTGGGAATCTGTCTGAGAACACTGTGGCAGTTCTTCCTTGTCTTAACCTGGTTTACATCCTAGCAGGAAGGTACACTTTAAGTAAGCTATTACTTAATTCATTAAAAGTGTAATTAATCTTATAAAGGGGGAATTAATGACACAGTGAAAATGTTTACACGCAAAACTCTTACCTAACCTGGGTGTTTTTTTTGTGTGGGGGGGTCGGAGATGTGGTCTCACTTTAGCACCCAGTCTAGAATGCAGTAGTGCAATACCTGGGTGCTTTTGTCAGGGAAGATTTACTTGAGAGGGTGACCTTAAAGCTGAGGGCATAAGAGGGAGCATATGAGTTAGCTAGGTGAAGCTGGAAAGAGGTTTCATGGGCTGCTGACTACCTTATGGGAAGTTTTGATACAGGAAGGTTCGTGGTTCCCCTAAACTACTTTTGTACCATGGGTACGATTGAGCAGATGAAGGGAGACTGCATAGGGTTAGTGTAGAGCAGTGGCCCCTTAAGCTTAAGCATTACTTGGGAACTTGTTATATTTGCAAATTCAGTTTTTTTTTTTAAACAGCACTATTGAGATATGATTAGCATACCATTTAAACTATTTAAACTATACAATTCGGTGGCTTTCAGGATATTTGCAGAATTGTCAGCTATCACCACAATTTAAGAACATTTTATTACCCCACAGAGAAATCTCACACCCCTTTAGCAACGGGTCCCCAAGCCCCCCACCTTTCTCACTCCAGCCCAAGGCTACTACTAATCTGCTTTCTGTCTACATGGTCACCTATTCTAGACATCTCATACAAATGGAATTATATGATATGTGATCCTTTATGACTGACTTCTTTCTCTTAGCATGATCTCAAAGTTCATCCATGTTGTACATGTATCAGTACTTCATTTTTATGACTGGATAATGTTCCATTGTTTAAAGATATGAAATGCAGATTCTTGAGCCCCATTCCAGTCTTCCTGAATCTGAAACTCTGGGGGCTATTCACCCCTCCATAATCTGTGCTTTAACAAGCCCTCCAGGTGACCCAGATTCACCCAAGGGTGGAAAGCCACCTGCAGAGGGAGTGGGAGGGGAAGGTAGTTGGAGAGTTGGGCACTTCTTATCACTGCCTGGGCCCGGGTATGGACTTTTTTCTTCATCTTAAGGATAATGAGAAGGTACTGAAAGGTTTTTAAAGCAGAGGCATGAAATCATCTAATTTAGGTTTTTTAAAGAAATTCATTTTAGCTTTTCTGTGTAAAGTGGTTTAGAGGAAATCTAGCTAGAAGAAAATGTAGGAAGCTCTAGAGGAGACATGAGGGTTTGGCATGGGCCAGTGGCAGTGAAAATGGAGAAATATGGATGGTTTCAAGAAAAAATTTGAAAGCAGAGAGGTCATGACTTGCTGGTTAATTGCATCATCAAGGTGAGTCAATGATGATGTCCAGGTTTCTAGATTAAGCTGGTGAATGGGTGGTGGTGCCATCGCTAAGATCTTCTGAATTTTCTGGTTTTCTGATATGTGAGTAAATCTTAGTCACCCATTCTTCCTTCTAGAATCCACTCTTCCAGGCAATTCCTAGAGGAAACATGGGATAACATTTGAGTATATACCATGTGGAAAATACTCCTGGGACGACGTATCACAATACATAAAAGGACCATAAGTACAGTTGGCCCTTCCGTATTTGCAGGTTCCACATCCTTGGATTCAACCATCCATGGATGAAAAATATTCAGAAGAAAAGAACAGTTCAACAATAAAAAAATAAAAATTTAAAAAACAATAAAGGGTAACCACTATTTACATAGCATTCACATTGTATAAGGTATTATAAATAACCTAGAGGTGATTTAGAGTATAAGGGAGGATATGTGTAGGCTATATGCAAATACTACACCATTTTACATCAAGGATTTGAGCATCCTTGGATTTTGGTATGGGGGTTGGGGAGAGCTCCTGAAACTAATTCCCTTCAGATACTGAGGGACAACTGTAACATAAATATGAATGTGTGTGCACACACACTGAACCTGCAGTAACTATATATTAAAATAAAGAACATACATGAGAAAATGGGAAATAAAGGTGTCACCAAATTGTTTAGACTTAGGGGTGTGTGTACAAGTCTTTTGAAGCCTGATGAATTTGCATAATTTAGAGAAAAGAGATGGGGCGAGAGGTTTGAGGTTGCAGTCAATTCTGAAAGGAATGCGCAGCAAGATTAGATTCCAGGGTTCTGAAGATGAGATAAACATGGGAATCGCTGATGAGAGTAGGACCAGGAGACTATGGAACTTTTTTTTTTTAAATCAAGAGCCAATGAGGAGTATAAAATTCTGAAAAGGCAGTGATATACGCTTAAGAAGAACACTCTTGTCTGCTTTTAGATGGGAGAGAGTAGGACAGTAAAGAAATTCTTGGAGGTATCAGCATCAGTGGGATAGGAAAGGGACTGTAGCAATGGGGGAAATAGGTAAGATATAAGCAATAGTAGAATTTCCAGTATTTGGTAGCTGAAGGAGACAGTGAAGAAGAAAGAAAAGGAGATGACTTTGTGGTTACTAGGAAACCAGAAGAGGATGTGGCTCTTGTAGCTGGTGGTGGAGGAGTTGTAGGGAGAAAGGGCTGTGGAAGACGCTGATTTTAGTCTTTTGACATGAACAGGTAATTATGGAATTAAAACTTAAACATAGTTTTGAGAAATAAAGTTATTAAATTTGAGGTAGCAGGTTTTATAGACTTGTTAATTTTTTTTAATTTTTTTTTTTGAGGCGGAGTTTCGCTCTTGTTGCCCAGGCTGGAGTGCAATGGTGTGATCTCGGCTCACTGCAACCTCCACCTCCCGGGTTCAAGCGATTCTCCTGCCTCAGCCTCCTGAGTAGCTGGGATTACAGGCACCTGCTACCATGCCTGGCTAATTAATTTTTTTTAAATTTTAATTTGCTTCTAGTATTATCCTACTTAGCCATTTTTAAATTATACAAATAATTAAAAGCAAATATTGTTTCATTAATGTATGATCTGGAATGTGAAGGGAATTGACTAACCTATTCTGAAAATACAGTTCCCAGTTGGAAAATATGTACAGATAATAATTTGTTAGTAGTGGATTAGATTTAATTCAAGTTAATAGGAAGAAGCATCCAGCCACGGGCAGGGCGGTAGTAACCTCTTTTTGATCGGTTCTAAAATATTCCTTTAAACTGAAGAACAGTAGACTGTAAATTCTGACACCTGCCCAAGTTTCAGTTAAGGAACTAAATGAAGTGATTGGATTTATTTTATTTATTTTTATTATACTTTTAAGTTCTAGGGTACATGTACACAGTGTGCAGGTTTGTTGCATAGGTATACATGTGCCATGGTGGTTTGCTGCACCCATCAACTCATCGTTTACATCAGATATTCTAATGCTATCCCTCACCCAGGCCCCCACCACCCGACAGGCCCCAGTGTGTAATGTTCCCTGCCCTGTGTCCAAGTGTTCTCGTTGTTCAGTTCCCACCTATGAGTGAGAACATGCGTTGTTTGGTTTTCTGTCCTTGTGATAGTTTGTTGATAATGATGGTTTCCAGCTTCATCCATGTCCCTGCAAAGCACGTGAACTCATCCTTTTTTATGGCTGCATAGTATTCCATGGTGTATATGTGCCACATTTTCTTAATCCAGTCTATCATTGATGGACATTTGGGTTGGTTCCAAGTCTTTCCTATTGTGAATAGTGCTGGAATAAACATATGTGTGCATGTGTCTTTATAGTAGCATGATTTATAATCCTTTGGGTATATACCCAGTAATGGGATTGCTAGGTCAAATGGTATTTCTAGTTCTAGATCCTTGAGGAATCCCCACACTGTCTTCTACAATAGTTGAAATAATTTACACTCCCACCAACAGTGTAAAAGCGTTCCTATTTCTCCATATCCTCTCCAGCATCAGTTGTTTCCTGACTTTTAATGATTGCCATTCTAACTGGCGTGAGATGGTATCTCATTGTGGTTTTGATTTGCATTTCTCTGACGACCAGTGATGAGGAGCATTTTTTCATGTGTCCGTTGGCTGCATAAATGTCTTCTTTTGAGAAGTGTCTGTTCATATCCTTTGCCCACTTTTTGATGGGGTTGTTTTTTTCTTGTAAATTTGTTTAAGTTCTTTGTAGATTCTGGATATTAGCGCTTTGTCAGATGGGTAGATTGCAAAAATTTTCTCCCATTCTATAAGTTTCCTGTTCACTCTGCTGGTAGTTTCTTTTGCCGTGCAGAAGCTCTTTAGTTTAATTAGATCCCATTTGTCAATTTTGGCTTTTGTTGCCATTACTTTTGGTGTTTTAGTCCTGAAGTCCTTGCCCATACCTATGTCCTGAATGGTATTGACTAGGTTTTCTTTTGGGTTTTTATGGTTTTAGGTCTAACATTTAAATACTTAATCCATCTTGAATTAATTTTTGTATAAGGTGTAAAGAAGGGATACAGTTTCAGCTTTCTACATATGGCTAGCCAGTTTTCCCAGCACCATTTATAAAATAGGGAATCCTTTCCCCATTTCTTGTTTTTGTCAGGTTTGTCAAAGATCAGATGGTTGTAGATGTGTGGTGTTATTTCTGAGGCCTCTGTTCTGTTCCATTGGTCTATATCTCTGTTTTGGTACCAGTACCATGCTGTTTTGGTTACTGTAGCCTTGTAGTATAATTTGAAGTCAGGTAGCGTGATGCCTCCAGTTTTGTTCTTTTTGCTTAGGATTGTCTTGGCTATGCAGGTTCTTTTTTGGTTCCGTATGAACTTTAAAGTGGTTTTTTTCCAATTCTGTGAAGAAAGTCATTGGTAGCTTGATGGGGATAGCTTTTAATCCATAAATTACCTTGGGCAGTGTGGCCATTTTCACGATACTGATTCTTCCTATCCATGAGCATGGAATGTTTTTTCATTTGTTTCTGTCCTCTCTTATTTCTTTGAGCAGTGGTTTGTAGTTCTCCTTGAAGAGGTCCTTCACATCCCTTGTAAGTTGGATTCCTAGGTATTTTATTCTCTTTGTAGGAATTGTAAATGGGAGTTCACTCGTGATTTGGCTCTCTGTTTGTCTGTTATTGGTGTATAAGAATGCTTGTGATTTTTGCATATTGATTTTGTATCCTGAGACTTTGCTGAAGTTGCTTATCAGCTTAAGGAGATTTTGGGCTGAGACGATGGGGTTTTCTAAATATACAATCATGCCGTCTGCAAACAGGGATAATTTGACTTCCTCTTTTCCTAATTGAATACCCTTTATTTCTTTCTCTTGCCTGATTGTCCTGGCTAGAACTTCCAACACTGTGTTGAATCGGAGTGGTGAAAGAGGGCATCCTTGTTTTGTGCCAGTTTTCAAAGGGAATGCTTCTAGTTTTTGCCCATTCAGTATGATATTGGCTATGGGTTTGTCATAAATAGCTCTTATTACTTTGAGATACATTCCATCAATACCTAGTTTGTTGAGAGTTTTAAGTGTGAAGGGCTGTTGAATTTTGTCAAATGCCTTTTTGCATCTATTGAGATAATCATGTGGTTTTTGTTGTTGGTTCTGTTCATGTGATGGATTACGTTTATTGATTTGCATATGTTGAACCAGCCTTGCATCCCAGGGATGAAGGCGACCTGATCGTGGTGGATAAGCTTTTTGATGTGCTGCTGGATTCAGTTTCCCAGTATTTTATTGAGGATTTTTGCATCGATGTTCATCAGGGATATTGGTCTAAAATTCTCTTTTTTGGTTGTGTCTCTGCTAGGCTTTGGTAACTGGATGATGCTGGCCTCATAAAATGAGTTAGGGAGGATTCCGTCTTTTTGTATTGATTGGAATAGTTTCAGAAGGAATGGTACCAGCTCCTCTTTGTACCTCTGGTAGAATTTGGCTGTGAATCGGTCTGGTCCTGGACTTTTTTTGGTTGATAGGCTATTCATTATTGCCTCGATTTCAGAACCTGTTATTGGTCTATTCAGAGATTCAACTTCTTTCTGGTTTAGTCTTGGGAGGGTGTATGTGTCCAGGAATTTATCCATTTCTTCTAAATTTTCTAGTTTATTTGTGTAGAGGTGTTTATAGTATTCTCTGATGGTAGTTTGTATTTCTGTGGGATCAGTGGTAATATACCCTTTATCTTTTATTGCATCTATTTGATTCTTCTCTCTTTTCTTGTTTATTGCTAGCGGTCTATCAGTTTTGTTGATCATTTCAAAAAACCAGCTCCTGGATTCATTGATTTTTTGAAGGCTTTTTTGTGTCTCTATCTCCTTCAGTTCTTCTCTAATCTTAGTTATTTCTTGCCTTCTGCTAGCTTTTGAATTTGTTACTTGTTGCTTCTCTAGTTACTTTAACTGTGATGTTAGGGTGTCGATTTTAGATCTTTCCTGCTTTCTCCTGTGGGCATTTAGTACTATAAATTTCCCTCTAGACACTGCTTTAAATGTGTCCCATAGATTCTGGTATGTTGTGCCTTTGTTCTCATTGGTTTCAAAGAACATCTTTATTTCTGCCTTCATTTCGTTATTTACCCAGTAGTCATTCAGTAGCAGGTTGTTCAGTTTCCATGTAGTTGTGCGGTTTTGAATGAGTTTCTTAATCCTGAGTTCTAATTTTATTGCACTGTGGTCTGAGAGACCGTTTGTTGTGATTTCTGTTCTTTTATATTGGCTGAGGAGTGCTTTACTTCTAATTATGTGGTCAGTTTTAGAATAAGTGCGATATGGTGCTGAGAAGAATGTATATTCTGTTGATTTGGGGTGAAGAGTTCTGTAGATGTCTATTAGGTCCGCTTGGTGCAGAGCTGAGTTCAAGTCCTGGATATCCTTGTTAATCTTCTGTCTCATTCATCTGTCTAATTCTGACAGTGGAGTGTTAAAGTCTCCCATTATTATTGTGTGGGAGTCTAAGTCTCTTTGTAGGTCTCTAAGGACTTGCTTTATGAATCTGGGTGCTCCTGTATTGGATGCATATATATTTAGGATAGTTAGCTCCTCTTGTTGAATTGATCTCTTTGCCATTATATAATGGCCTTCTTTGTCTCTTTTGATCTTTGTTGGTCTAAAGTCTGTTTTATCAGAGACTAGGATTGCAGCCCCCGCTTTTTTATTTTTTATTTTTTTTGCTTTCCATTTGCTTGGTAGATCTTCCTCCATCCCTTTATTTTGAGCCTATATGTGTCTCTGCACATGAGATGGGTCTCCTGAATACAGTACACTGATGGATCTTGACTCTTTATTGAGTTTGCCCATCTGTGTCTTTTAATTGGTGCATTTAGCCCATTTACATTTAAGGTTAATATTGTTTTGTGTGAATTTGATCCTGTCATTATGATGTTAGCTGGTTATTTTGCCCATTAATTGTTGCAGTTTCTTCATAGCATCGATGGTCTTTACAATTTGGCATGTTTTTATAGTGGCTGGTACCAGTTGTTCCTTTCCATGTTTAGTGCTTCCTTTAGGAGCTCTTGTAAGGCGGACCTGGTGGTGACAAAATCTCTCAGCATTTGCTTGTCTGTAAAGGATTTTATTTCTCCTTCACTTATGAAGCTTAGTTTGGCTGGATATGAAATTCTGGGTTGAAAATTCTTTTGTTTAAGAATGTTGACTATTGGCCCCCACTCTCATCCGACTTGTAAGGTTTCTGCTGAGAGATCCACTGTTAGTCTGATGGGCTTCCCTTTGCAGGTAACCCGACCTTTCTCTCTGGCCGCCCTTAACATTTTTTTCCTTCATTTCAACCTTGGTGAATCTGACAATTAGTTGTCTTGGAGTTGCTCTTCTCGGGAGTATCTTTGTTGTGTTCTCTGTGTTTCCTGAATTTGAATGTTGGCTTGCCTTGCTAGGTTGGGGAAGTTCTCCTGGATAATATCCTGAAGGGTGTTTTCCAACTTGGTTCCATTCTCCCCATCACTTTCAGGTACACCAATCAAACGTAGATTTGGTCTTTTCACATAGTCCCATATTTCTTGGAGGCTTTGTTCATTTCTTTCTACTCTTTTTTGTCTAAACTTGTCTTCTTACTTTATTTTGTTAATTTTATCTTCAATCACTGATATCCTTTCTTCCACTTGATCAAATCGGCTGTTGAAGCTTATGCATGTGCTACGAAGTTCTCGTGCCATGGTTTTCAGCTCCAGCAGGTCATTTAAGGTCTTCTCTACACTGCTTATTCTAGTTAGCCATTTGTCTAACCTTTTTTCAAGGTTTTTAGCTTCCTTGCGAAGGGTTAGAAGATGCTTCTTCAGCTCAGAGAAGTTTGTTATTACCGACATTCTGAAGCCTACTTCTGTCTACTCGTCAAAGTCATTCTTTGTCCAGCTTTGTTCCATTGCTGGCGAGGGACTGCCATCCTTTGGAGAAGAGGTGCTCTGGTTTTTAGAATTTTCAGCTTTTCTGCTCTGGTTTCTCCCCATCTTTGTGGTTCTATCTACCTTTGGTCTTTGATGTTGGTGACCTACAAATGGTGTTTTTGTGTGGATGTCCTTTTTGTTGATGTTGATGTTACTTCTTTCTGTTTGTTGGTTTTCCTTCTGACAGTCAGTTTCCTCAGCTGCAGGTCTGTTGGAGTTTGCTGGAGGTCCACTCCAGACCTGTTTGCCTGGGTATCACCAGCAGAGGCTGCAGAACAGCAAATATTGCAGAACAGCAAATGTTACTCCCTGATCCTTCCTCTGGAAGCGTCGTCCCAGAGGGGCACCCGCCTGTATGAGGTGTCAGTCGGCCCCTACTGGGAGGTGTCTCCCAGTTAGGCTACACAGGGATCAGGGACCCACTTGAGGAGGCAGTCTGTCCGTTCTCAGAGCTCAAACATCGTGCTTAGAGAACCACTGCTCTCTTCAGAGCTGTCAGACAGGGACGTTTAAGTCTGCAGAAGTTTCTGCTGCCTTTTGTTCAGCTATGCCCTGCTCACAGAGGTGGAGTCTATAGAGGCTGTAGGCCCTGCTGAGCTGTGGTGGGCTCCACCCAGTTTGAGCTTCCTGGTGGCTTTGTTTACCTACTCAAGCCTCCCCAGTGGCGGCCGCCCCTCCCCCAGCCAGGCTGCTGCCTCGCAGGTTGATGTCAGACTGCTGGGCTAGCAGGGAGCAAGACTACCAGGGCGTGGGGCCTGCCAAGCCAGGCATGGGAGAGAATCTCCTAGTCTGTCAGTTGCTAAGACCTAGGAAGAGCACAGTATTTGAGTGGGAGTGTCCTGTTTTTCCAGGTACAGTCTGTCATGTCTTCCCTTGGATAGGAAAGGGAAATCCCCCAACCCCTGTCCTTCCCAGGTGAGGTGACGTCCCACCCTGCTTCAGCTCGCCCTCCGTGGGCTGCACCCACTGTCCAACCAGTCCGAATGAGATGAACCAGGTACCTCAGTTGGAAATGCAGAAATCACCTGTCTTCTGCATCGATCACGCTGGGATCTGCAGACTGGAGCTGTTCCTATTCACCCACCTTGGAACGGACTTGTGATTGGATTTAATGTTTAGCTCTTTTTGCATGCCAGGCACTGCACTAAGAACTTTATGAACATTATGACATTTAAATTTCACTGCAGTTCTCTATGCTGAATTATTATCTGTGTTTTACAGATGAGGAAACCAAGGCTTTGGTAGAATAAGTATCTTGGCCAAGGTGACACAGACCCAACCCTTTTTGACTGTTCAGGACTAGAACATTAATAAAGCCAACTGGCCCAATTGAGGTTCAGGCTGCTGCCTTTGGTGTCACTGTCACTGTGTTCAGTCCAGCAAAGCCACATGTTCACAGACCAACCAGTGTCCCACACAGACCTCAGTGTCCCACTTGCAGCAGCCAGAACTACTTCCCATTCATCAGTCATATAAAGGTTTTTGTTAACAGTTTGATAGTTGAAATCATGTTATGTTCCATGATGTCAATTAGCTATTCCAGGAAACCAATGGAAAGACGGAAAGATGTTACATTAAAACAATTCACTGAAATATTTCATTTGAAAGACTTTAGGAGACAAGATTTAGAAAAATCTGTGTAAAGTCCCTGTGTTTTAGTACTGCTAGGTAGCCTACTACTAATAACCATTTGTTATCATTGAAAAAGTTGCCCAGGCATGGTGGCTCACGTCTGTAATCCCAGCACTTTGGGAGGCTGAGGAGGGCAGATCATGAGGTCAGGAGTTTGAGACCAGCCTGACCAACATGGTGAAACCTCGTCTCTACTAAAAATACGAAAATTAGCAAGGCGTCGTGGCGGGCGCCTGTAGTCCCAGCTACTCAGGAGGTTGAGACAGGAAAATCGCTTGAACCCAGGAGGAGGAGTTTGCAGTGAGCTGAGATCGAGCCACTGCACTCCAGCCTGGGCAACAGAGCGAGACTCCGTCTCTAAATAAATAAAAAAATAAAAATTCAGCAAATTTGAAACACCATCTTTACAACACACCTAAATCTCCAATGTTAGAATAATGTTTAAATACATTAGCATAAGTACTCAATATAATTCATACATGCAATAAGATAGCTATGGAGATTTTAGAAACAAAAAATATTCGTAATACAACAGAAACATCCTTCCCCAAAACATTTGTTATTATGGCAACTATATAAAGTCTACTTCTAAATGTGGGCTCCCTGGAAGGTTCTATGAAAAATAAAAGCCTCAGCGTGATGAGATTATGGGTTTTTTAAAATTAAAAAATTTCAAATGGGAAAGATGATTTACCATATTATAAACATGTAAAAAAGAAACCAATGCAAATTGATCAAGAAAACAGGACCAAAAATATTGACTGGTTAAAAAGAAAACCAAAGTTAAAAGTATGAATTCAAGCTTAATAATATTTATTTGTTTAATACAAATATTTGCCCATGTAGTAAGTGCCAGGGACTGTGCTAGTGATACATAGATGGAAAACCACAGCATTTTCTATCATTAAAATTATATTGTTTCAATTTATAACATGTACTAACAGTTTTTCAAAAATTGACCTTTATTTTATAATCTGTCTTTCTGACAGGGATTCTGTAAAACTCAAGCTTCAGTCTTTTGTAAGTCAGCCTCTTTATCCTTGGCTTGGTAATCTGGTATTTGCTTTCTAGTAAGATAAACTGAAATAGAAACTGGAGACACTGTACTTTATGTATAATCTCTCATTTAGTTAAGCAGCATTAGAACATTGCCAGTTAGCAAATGGCTTCTTGGGGGTTACTCTACACCCCTGCCCTGCTCCCCAACAATGAGGCGTACTGCTGAGGGTTTCAGTTAGGAATGTGTTCATTTGCAAGTAACAGAGAACCTGTCTAACATGAGCTTAAACAGAGGTGTTTCAGTCTCTCCTGGTAAGTCTGGAGGCTGAACTTGTCGAGGGCCTGCCTTGCTGGGATTCTCTTGGCCTTTTCTGATGCCTGTCACCTCAACGTGGAAAGGCTGCCCCACACCACTAGCCCTCACATCTGGATGCCAAGCTGGAAGAATGAGGAAGGGCAGGGACAAGGGGCCTTAGCATTGTAATCTGTCGGCTTCAGCAGAAAAGCCAAGCTCTGTCCAGAAGCTCCACCTAGTACACTGAGCTTTAGTTTTTTAGACTTCACAGGGCAGATCATGAATGGCTTTGGTGTAACTAGGCTAATGTCTGCCACAGTACTTTCTGCCATTTGCATCCTCTTTTTTGACAGCATAATCCCTAATAAGGCCAAGGATGGTGTTTTATTTAAAGAATTTGCCATGAAATTAGGTATATTTGAGGTACCCTACTCAATCACTGGAAAGTTCCTGAGGTCTTTGACAAGGGAAAGAGCCTCAGCCCTTTCCTCCCTTGTTAGTTGAAAGGAAGAATCAACTTAGGGCCTTCTACCTTCCTTAATCCAGTCCAGGCCCTCCTTTGTAAGTTTCGTCAAGCTGTTTTAAAAAAAACTTTTCCCTTCTATTTTCTCTCACTGTCTGACTTTTTTCTATTTGAGATACATAAGAGGTCCTAATCAGCCTTACATCTACCCCAAGTCAGAATAAAGAAAGCTGTGTGTTTGAAGTGTGAAAGCAGGTGAAATAAAGAACTGTTGTGTTGAATATCTAAAGCCTTTGAAAGCACTCAGAAGTTACTATATTTTTGACAGAGGCCACATCTAGGGCAAAGATAGAAAAGCTAGTATGTTTGAGTGAATGAAACAATTGAGCAGGTGCCCATTACTGCTTAGGCCTTTTCTTGTTTAATTTTCCAGTGAACCTATGGAAAAAAGATAATTGGGTTCTATTAAAAGAAAAGCTTTATGCAGATTATATTTAACAGAGTTTTACTGAACCAAGAATATTTTGTGAATTGGGCAGCCCCCTGAACCAGCATAGGTTCAGAAGGACTCTGACACTGCTTCATAGTCACAAAGAATTTATGTACAGAAAAAGGAAGTTAGGTACAAAAACGGGAATAATCTAATGGAAGTTAGATTGGTTACAGCTTGGCGCTTGCCTTGTTTGGACACAGTTCGAATAGTTGGCTGCCTTAATTGGCTGAAATGCTGTGATTGGTCCAAGAGTAGGTTACAATCTGTTTACGTATCTAGTTAGGTTACAGTTCACTATGGATGGAGCAACCTTTAGGCTGAACTCAAAATATGTAAGGAGGTAGCTTTAGGCTAAGTTTTTTTTTTTTTAATTGAGACAGAGTCTCACTCTGTCGCCCAGGCTGGAGTGCAGTGGTGTGATCTCAGCTCACTGCAACCTCTGACTCCTGGGTTCAAGGGATTCTCCCACCTCAGCCTCCTGAGTAGCTGGGATTACAGGTACATGCCATGACAGCCAGCTAATTTTTGTATTTTTAGTAGAGATGAGGTTTCACTATGTTGGCCAGGCTGGTCTCGAACTCCTGACCTCAGGTGATCTGTCCACCTCAGCCTCCCAAAGTGCTGGGATTACAGGCGTGAGCCACCGCTCCTGGCCTTAGGCTAAACTTAATTTAGCAGTTTATTTCACAGGTTTGGAAATGGAAGCTAAGAGAGATGCCAAGTAATATCTCCAAGGCTACCCATCTGTCAGGGTCAAAATTAAAACCAGGACAATCTGACTCTAAAATATATACTTCCCCCGGCCCCACCTCCCCCCAGTTTTCCTCATTGTCCTCTGTGGCTCATTTGTCTTCAGATAAACTTGTTTCCCATTATTGTTCTTATTCAATCTCAATGTTAAAAAAACTCTTATTCAAATTGATTATGTCTCTTTATTTCCTAGTGAGTCCCAAGGTTCCAGCATCAGCTAGTGAGTCCCATGGTGCAGCATCAGCTATGTATACCCTGGAATTCAAACATGGCTAGACGTGTCTGGAAGCCTATGGAAGGAATCTGGCAGGGGCTGCTTAATTATATAAGTTAACTGGGATCCTCCCGGGAAAGAAGTAATCCTACAAGAAGAGAGTAGAGGCATGCAAGTTTACTTAGCAGTCAGTGCCACAGAGTAGGGGGTTAAGGCTGAGTCACGTGCAAGGTAATTATTTAGCCTGTCTTCCAATCAAATCCCTAGGGACTCTAGGAGCCAGGAGGTTGCCAGTGAAGGTTCCAAGTGTCTTCACTAAGATTTCCACGGGTCATTGAGTCTTCATGCGGAGTCAGGAGACCCCGCAGCTTACTCCCCAGGGCCCTGTGGGGGTGAGTCACGAGGGCTTGGGTGCAGGCATTGGGGTCCTCAGGAGATTCACAGATCTGGAGTCAAAGGGTAAAGGCTTATCCATTCAGTGGCCAACAAGGCTGCTTCAAAGCACATCTGAGGGAGGAGTTTGCTTCAGAGCTCCTGAAGTTAGTGGGGGGGAGTGGTTGAGGGTAATAGAGTACTAAGGTCGTAATGGGAAGCAGATTCAGGGAAATACCCTGAATCTCAATTGCCATATTTATAAATGTATCAACAATTTAATAAAACCATTTGAGCAAAACAAAACACTTCTTGTTTTGTTATGCACTTGCAACTATTAAAATTAACTGACAATAGAATTTATTTAAACATGCAACCACATACTACTTTCTTTTTCAGTCACTGTCAGAGTTAGAAGCAAAGTCTTTTTTCGCATCAGGGTCTAGAGACTCTTCTGAATTATTTCGGCTATGTACAGTTAGATGTAGCATCCTAAGCACAATGCTTTTCAAAACTGTGCTGCTTTGGGATTGAGAAATACTGTCATTTGATCCACTTTCCTGTTGGGCTAAATGTAAGTTACATTTGTTCCTAAATTAAATTACTCACTTAGTTTGAATAGTTTCTCTTGAACATCACCTGGAAATCTTTGATGTTTAGGACTGGAATAATTCTTGAATCATCCATTCAGTTAATATTTATTGAGGGCCTCCTGCACGCTGGTCCTTCTGCTTCCAGAATTGACATTGTAGAGAGAGAGGTGAGAACAAAAACAAAGAGACATATAAATAAATAAAATTTTAATAAATTTAGGCAATAAAACTTCAGCAAGGTTGTTAGAGAGGGCTCTTTGAAGAGGTGATACTTAAAGGTGAGCCCTCAAGGATAAAAGAATCAGCCCTGTTGTTGGTTGGGAGGAAAGTTCCCTATCTCACAGGCCTTTCTACCTGTGAACGTCTTGTCTAGTCATTAACAAATGTTTAATAAAACTGACAAAATCTCCTGGCCTTGGGGAATTTATATTCTTTTTTTTTTTTTTTTTTTGAGACAAAGTTTCGCCCTTGTTGCCTAGGCCGGAGTGCAATGGCCTGATCTCTGCTTACTGCAACCAGGTTCAAGTGATTCTCCTGCCTCAGCCTCCCCAGTAGCTAGGATTACAGGCATGCACCACCACGCCTGGCTAATTTTTGTATTTTTAGTAGAGATAGGGTTTCACCATGTTGATCAGGCTGGTCTCAAACTCCTGACCTCAGGTGATCCCCCCACCTCAGACTCCCAAAGTGCTGGGATTACAGGAGTGACCCACCGCACCCAGCCAGGGGATTTATATTCTAGTGGGGGAGATGGACAAACAAATACATAGTATCTACAGTCTGTCAGATGCCAAGTGCTGTGGTGAAAAATACAGCAGTGGAGGGGAAGTAGAGAGTTCTGGGGTAGGTGGTAAAAGTGTAAAATCAGGTGGTCAAAGGAGGGCTCACTGAGAAAGGGAACTTTGATCCGGAAGTGAAGATCTGTGATCTAGCTCAAAGGTTGACAAGCCTTTTCTATAAAGGGCAGCTAGTCAATATTTTAGGCATTGGGGGATCACACAGTCTCTGTTGTAACTTCTGAACTCTGCCATTGCAGGGAGAAAGCAGACATAGACAATATGTGAGTGAATGGGTGTTGCTGTGTTCCCATACAGCTTTGTTTATGGACACTGGTGTTTATATTTCATATAACTTTTACATGTCATGGAATACCATTATTCTTTTGTTTTTTTCCCCCAACTGTTTAAAAATATAAAGACCATTTTTGGCTGCAGGCCATGTAAAAATGGTCAGTGGGCTGGATTTGGGCCTTGGGCCATATTTTGCCTACTCCCAATCTAATGCAAGGGATTCTGTGTTCCCTTTAATTGCTTTGTATGGTGTGTAGTAGTGTTTGAATGTTAGGGTGAAATGCACTCTTCGTCCTTTTAGATAACCTGCCTGTTTTAGCTCCAACATGTTGGTTGTTGCTCTATGGAGTAAATTAAGAAAATTCCTCTGTTTATCCAGTGACAAATATTCACTCACATATATTAAGTTTATGTCTTACAGCTCTTATTGCCAGGCTCTACTGTGCAGTTATAGCTGTTATTTTCAATCCTTCATCATAATACAGTATTTCTGAAGTCATTTTAAATAGCAATTAAGAATTGCATTTGGGTGCAAGCTGTAGAAAACTGGATGAAGAGTGGCGTAACTTATTAAGGGTTTATTTGTCTAATACAGAAAGGTGTAGAATAGGTTGTGCATGAAGAGACTGGGGTGGCAGCTACAAAATGTCATTAAGGACCCAGGCTACTGTCTTTCTGCTTGAGCATATATTATTTTCACATATTTATGGTGTTTGTTTTCACATTTGTGAAATGGTTTCTGCACCTCCAGGCACCATATCTGCGTTTCTGCAAGTAAGCAGACTAGAGAAGGGCAAAAGCCTGCTTTGTGTTTTCATTCATTTAAGTGAAGCCTTCCCAAGGACTGTCTGCCTCACATCTCATTGGTCAGAACTGTGTCATGTGATTAACAATAGAGGTGTTTGCGTAAACATGATGTTGTAGCTGAGCACATTGCTTTTCTAAGTAAAACCAGCCTTCTGTATTTAGAAAGAGAGGGAGATTGGTTACTGGGTAAATAACTACCATTGTTTTGCTTCCAAGGGTGTTTAAGTAAAAAAAAAACCAGGTGAGTTGAAGGTACCTTCCACCCATGGATCAAATGACATAGATGAGGTCAGGCACGGTGGCTCACGCCTATAATCCCAGCACTTTGCGAGGCCGAGGCAGGCAGATCACCTGAGGTCGGGAGTTCGAGTTCAGCCTGACCAACGTGGAGAAACCCCATCTCTACTGAAAATACAAAAATTAGCCAGGCGTGATGGCACATACTGGAGGCTGAGGCAGGAGAATCACTTGAACCCGGGAGGCGGAGGTTGAGGTGAGCCAAGATCACACCTTTGCATTCCAGCCTGTGCAACAAGAGTGAAACTCTGTCTCAAAACAAAACAAAACAAAAAAATGACATAGGTGAAAGCAGTGACTGTTGGCCCACAATTTACTTCTCTTCCATTTGCTTAGGAAATTCCTTTTGATATTGATTGTAAGATTCATTTCATTTCAGAAGAGTTGAAATGTGGGGAGAATAAAAAAATTCATTGTGTGAAGGAAATGATTGTGTATGTTATGGCTATTTGGACTCTGGAATTAAGCCCAGCACATGAAGTGCTCTTGATGGCTTCCTGTTACCGCATGGGAAGCCTCTCTGTTACCTGGGCCCCGCCCAGTAGGCTGATGTGTTTCTCTAAGTTCCTGCTTCCTGAACTGCCTGCCCCCGCCACCCTAGGGTGGGTGCTGTTAGTTCCAGGCCATGTTCACCTCTGCAGACCTTACAAACAGGCTGTGGTAGTGTGACACATCTTCCTTCCTGATGCTAGTATCATAAACATCCACTTGAAAACTTCCTTCTACGGATTAACTTTCTCCTACCTTGTTATTTGGGTGATTTGCTATTAGTACTAGCTAATTTTCTAAGGTTTTACCTGTTTTGTTTTTTCATGTCTTCTTTTTAATCATCTGCCCTTTCTTATAAGTGAATCATGGGGGCCAGTGACTCAACAAAATGCTTTGAGTTCTGCTTCATGTCACATTGGGAAAACATGATTTGTATAAAACAGGGCATCTCTGTGGTGTGTACTGCCACCCTCCAAGCTGTTCTGTGGAAGCTAGGGTGCCACCTCTCTCTCATTAAAATATGTTTCTTCTTTTTACTCTTTTGAATATTAACACATTTATTATAATCTTCAAAACATTTTAAAATAAAACTCTTGCTCCCACTTTGTTTCCTTACCCAATTCCTGCTCCTCTAGCCCTTGGATAAGCACTTCTGTTCGTTTCTTACATGACCTTCAAGAATTTTTTAAAACAGTATAAACACAAGCAAATATAAATGCGTTCTTATTTTTCTCCATTTTTTTTTAAAGTGGGCTTAGTCTACATATAGTTCTGCTGCTTTTCTTTTTAACCTACTAATATGTCTTGGAGAGCTTTTCATAACAATGTTAACAGTACATACAGAGCTTCTGTTTTTTTTCTTTTTAAGCTGCATACTATTAAAGTGATCTCTTTAAAACACAAACCTGGACATGCCTCCTGGTCATCAGATTGAAAAAATATAGTATATATACGGGTTTGGCACTATCTGTCATTTCAGGTGTCTTCTGGGGGTCTTGGAATGTATCCCCCATGGATAAGGAGAGACTATTGTGTTTTCATTCCATCTCAATTAGTATGTACTCTTAAATTAAGAAGGTAGGCAACATTTTGAAAACTTTGCAGAGATGGATTTGCAGCTCCTCAAGAGCACATCTGACCCCTAGTGACTGAAGAAGGAAAAGTGAAAGATCAGAGGAATGAAAAGGGTTAAGAAACAGAGTTCAAAGTAAGATGATATTCTTTGTTTACTCTCACCTTAGAAGTGGAGAACATTTTTCTCCTGTGAACTGATGAAAGGATGCTTTCATGGTAGTGGCTACAGCTGTGGAATTTCTGAAGAAGGCTGCTGAGGGGAATAAAAATGTTGCTGCTGTCATGAATCAATGAAATGTCAACATCTCAGATAGTCTATACGTGGTTTTCAGATGGTTTTGGGCAAAGGGAGCTTTTATGACCATAGATGTCAACTTCTTGCAAGGGTGAGGGTGGGGTTGGGGTGGGATGGGGAGTGGTTATGGCCCACTGAGAACTAAGGCACTCTGTCATCTCATAGTCCATTCTTTCCAAGCTACCTGAATTGTGCTCCAGAGTTCTGGGGAGTCTAGGTTGAAGAAACGACCGTGTTAGTGGCCGGGTGCAGTGGCTCATACCTGTAATCCCAGCACTTTGGGAGGCCGAGGTGGGTAGATCACTTGAGCCCAGGAGTTTGAGACCAGCCTGGGCAACATAGAGAGACCCCATCTCAAAATAGCAATAACAACATCAAAGAAACGACTGTGTTGGGGCTGGCTCAGTCTTCCACTGGATATCTAGTGAGTGGACAGTGCATGACACCTACATAAATCACCTCTTTTTTTGTATCAATGACATAAATCTAGTTCAGTTTGGAAGTATATACATACTGTTTCAGATAAGCGTATCTACTTATTTGTTTGTCTTCTCTCTTTAGATAAAGAAGAAGCAGCAAGATGTGGTTAGATTTCTGGAAGCCAACAAGATAGAGTTTGAGGAGGTGGATATCACAATGTCAGAAGAACAGAGGCAATGGATGTACAAAAACGTCCCCCCGGAAAAGAAACCCACTCAGGGCAACCCCCTGCCACCTCAGATATTTAATGGCGACCGATACTGTGGAGTAAGTGGCTAGACTGTTATCATGCTGTTTCTTTTTATTGTTCAGAACACATGCCACCTAGAGTGCAGGTGGGTTTTTCCAGTGAAGACTGTGACTTCTTCACCCAATGCCCATTCAGATCCACATGTCTAACAGAGGGTGAAGTTGAGAAGGGATGTGAGTCCAAGGTCATGGACTGTGTATGTATGTGCGAGGGTTGTGTGGTATGTGAATGTAAGTGCACGTGTGTCTGTCAATCTGAGCTCTGTCTTTGCTTTGGAAACAGAAGTAGGAAGGGAAGCTCTGTGTATGTGTGTATGTATGTATGTATGTGTGTATTATGTTCTAAATTTTGAAGCATTAAAAATAATCATTTTAATTATTAAATTATTAATCAAATTATTTTTTGATTAATACATTTTAGGGGGCAGAGTAGTAGAGGGGGATAATTATCTTTGAATATCCCTTTATGGTATAAATAACTGCTAATAGCTAATCGTAAACCAGAGTTCCATTTCTTATGATAATGAGCCAGAGGGATCATTAAGAATATCAGTGCACCTCATATATGAACATATATCAGGTGCTTTCCTGCTGCATGTAGCATACGAGAAGATGAAAAAGTCACTTTCATCTATTTACCTACTTGCGTACTCCTTAGGTTAAGAAAAATAATTGAGAAACTTCTTTCTAATGAGTAAGTTAGGATTTGCCTTTTGCCATATCTCTAAGTATCTAAGTCAGTGTTTATTTTTGGACCTGTACTATAGTTATTTAAGGACGGTCTAAAGAAGAAGGAGCCACAGAGCTGAGGTGCTTGAGATTAAATAAATAGCTAGGCTGTAATTAGCGTGGAGGAAAGGAATAACAGCCTTTGGTGGCTTCAAAGAAAACAATCCTTTCCCCCACGTGCGTAATGGAGAATGAGAAGTTGTAATATAAAGCCATGTGTAGATTATACAGAGAATTCTTACCTGTAGCATCCTGAGGAGAATCCTGAACATGGCATTAGACTTAAGTTTGAGCACTAGTACTGCCTTATGTCGGCTGGGACACCTTTGGAAAGTTACTTATCTTTTTAAGCCCCAGTTTTCTTATCTTTAAGCAAGGGATAATGTCTGTCTTTGTGATCGTTTCAAAAGCATTTCTTAAGCATATTATATAAAAATGAAAATTGTTATTTTATGGGGTTTTTAATATCATTATTTTATATTTTATTGAGAGAAGTGTGTGGTAACCAAGGGTGTATTTTATTCATGATTACCAAGGATATAAAATGTACTCTTGTGCCTGCAGACCTAAATGAAGTAATACCTGAAAATGTTTGCAAAGTATATAGTTCAAAATAAAATAAAGCTATAAGTCAAATAGTGCTAGAAGGCTTAAAACAAAAATCTAGCAGTTTTCTGTCCCTCGGACTTCGAGGCTTTGAAAATGCTTTTATTCTAGTCTTATGGTTTAGTGGTAGTTTCTGGGTACAGAATTCTAGGTTGGAAAGGATTTTGATGATATTGATTCAGTGTCCTCTGGTTTTCGCTGCTACGATTGAGATGTCTAATGCCATTTTCCTTGATTGTTTATGTTTTTGTCAGTTTACTCTATGAAAAATTTTAATCTCTTATATATACATTCACCACATCTTTTGGTGAATTACTATGGTATGAGCTATTTTTCATTCATTGTGCTGAGTGCTCAGTATGCCTTTTAAGAAATTCTGTGATTGCTGATTACATGTGTTCTTATATTATTTTTCCTGAAAATTTTCTCCCTACTTTTTTCCTTGTTCCCTTTCTCTTGAGTGCCTATTAATTTGGATATTGGATTTCTTACATTGATTTTCTAATACTTTAATCTTTTTTTCTAATGTCCACCTATTCGATTTTTGTTCTTTCTGAAAAAGAACAAAATCCTTTCATTGAATTTTTGTCCTTTTCTCCCCATTTCTTGCTCTGTGATTCTTTTAAATAATGTTGTATTTCTACTAAATGAATACAAGATCTTAACTAAAGATATTAAATATGATTTATTTGAAGTTTTCTTCTGTTAGTTGTGTTGTTCCTGTTTTCATTGATTTTTTTTTTCACTTTGTTTTGGTTATTTTTCTCAGGTGGGGTGGGCTTTCCTTATATGTATGTTCATCCTCGTCTTTTGTTCATGTAAGAGGTGAGACTAGGAAGCTCACTAGAAGCTGCGTGTGTGTCTTACATGAATGCAGCCTTGTTTCCCTGTGGGATGACTCAGTAGCCTGTTAGCATTCTCATTGCAGATATTGATAGTAGTATCTGTAGGTCTTTTCTCAGATGGTGGTTTAATTTTTCTGGAGAGTGGCCTTTCAGTCTCCTGCTTTGGGAATCTCTGCCTGGCTATTGGAGTTCTGGACCTTTAGGGTGAGGGAAATGGAAGGTCTCACTCTCTAGCGTGCAGATTTTCACTTCCTATCCCTATTTTCAGTCTCTCTTCAGTGCCCATGTGTATACATTTTTTTGCATCCCTGAGGCCATGTTTATTAATAATGTATTAATATCTTCTAGCTCCTTCGAGGAGAGTGAGGCACCCTGGGATCTAACTGCTGCTTATACAGACTTTCAAACAATTTTTCTGTTTTCTGCTTTTGCTCACTCACCATACCTTCACAACAGATGATGCCTCCAGTTCCTGACCTTTGATGGAGCCCTACACCTTGCTTCTTGCTGATAGTGCTCCTGCAGACATTGAGTTTTGACCATTCTCTTTTTTCTAAGATCTTTCACCATTTCTCTTCCCACTTACTGCTTATATTGTGGTTTAGGCCTTTAGATTGAATCTCCTAGCTTTATGTCTTTATGTATGTGTGTGTGTGTGTGTGTGTGTGTGTGTGTGTGTATATATATATAATCTTTTTTGAAAATCTTTGTTGTTTTGTTGACTTACTGAGAGAAAGGAGGTAGAGACGTCTTTGTTCTATCATGATAAAAGCAGAAGTGTTCAGTGCTGTTTGAATAGAGGAATATATTGAATGAATAGAAGAATATAATGTAAAATATAGTTAACTTTACTCCTTATTTTTATCTCTTTATGACGTCTAGCTGTCTATGTATCTTTGCCCTTTGAAGTCTGTGGAAATTTTTTCAAGTAGACTATCTGGGAGCTGGCTAGAGGTTTATATTACATATTGATTAAACTGTGCCAGGTCAATGGCATCTTCTGTGCTTGAACGGTGTTAGTCCTGTGGTGGTGGTCACGACAGCTATTGGCGTATGCACTGTAATCATAGTCTCTTCTGGCAAGAGTTTTGAGACAGTGTCGGCTCTTATCAAGGTTAGGTAAATTTGACTTTGACATAAGCATTAGAGGGCAACTAACCACAGGCCTTGTTCATCTCACCTGCTTCTGTGCACCTTGCTTTACCTAGTGATAGTTTCTGACTGGTGTCATCTGGTTGGTTAACCTGTAGAAACCTACCACATTGCGAGTGACACGATCCAGAAAGCTTGTATATTTTTATTCTCTTTCCTGGAATTAGAAAATTATTATTGTAACCTGGGTGAGCTAGGCATGTGAGGCATAGAGTAAACAGCTGCTAAGCTACTTGGTAACCAGTGTGGACAATTGCCTTCTCTCTCATTTAGCAGTTGTATATCTTGCCTTTTGGAAGGAGTTCCCCACTGAATGGAATCTCCCTGGCATGACCAATCAGTTTTTTCTACCCCAGAATTTGAACATTGAGGGGATGATGTAGAAATACGAGGTCAGTTGGAGGTTGTTTGTGGCAGTGAGTGTCCAGGGGTGATGGGGCCAACCATAGCTGTGGCTGGTGTCCTTATGCAGCTCATCTGGGGTGTGACATGAGTGTATTCTTGGCTACCCAGACAGGGAAATTCCTTCTGTTTTCTAAACTGGTCCTCTAGTTTTAATGTGGAGTCTTGACAACTCCTATGATACCTCCATAATTCATAATTCCTCTCCCTCAAAGTTGCTAGTATCTTTCTCAGTTATTTGCATCAAGAACCCAAACTGGCACAACTTATTCTTGTTGATTCCCTGGAGTGGAATCAATCCTTACTGTGAGCAGGATTCTTCCTTCTCTGAGAATGTGGGTGATGAGATTCTAAAGGTAAAGGAGCCAACACTTTGGCTTTTATGATGAATTGTAGTGTCTGATTTGGATTTTAGAAAGCTCTGGGCCTCATGGCCAAGGTTTTAACCCTTTGTTCTCACTCTGTGGAACTGGCATTTGTGCAATGCATCAGAAATGAAAACTCATCCACTTATACTAAAGGAAAATACCTACTCCCCTTTCATTTCTTTTCTCTCTCTCTCTATTCAGCAAACAGATGATTTGGATTTCTGTATATAATTTTTCTTATTTTTATTTTAAATTTTCTTTATTGTGATAAAAACATATAACACTTACTATCTTAAGCACTTTTAAGTGTACAGTTCAGTAGTATTAAATGTATTTACATTGTTGTGAAACAGATCCCTAGAACTTTTTCATCTTGCAGATCTGAAACTATATCCCTTAAACAACTCCCCTTTGCCCCCTTCCTCAGCTCCTGGTAACCACTATTCTACTTTCTCTATATAAAATATCTACTTCAGATACTTCAACTAAGCGGAATCACACACTACTTGTTTTTTTGCAACTGGCTTCTTTCACTTAGCATATCTTCAAGGTTCATCCATGTTCTAGCATGTGACAAGATTTCCTTCCCTATTAAGACTGCATAATATTCCATTGTATGTATGTGCCACATTTTGTTTATTTATTCATCCATTGATGGACATTTGGATTAAATTCACCTCTTGGCTATTGTGAATAGTGCTGCTATGAACATGGGTGTGCAAATATCTCTTTGAAATCCTGTTTTCAATTCTTTTAATTTTTAGAATTATTTTATATTTCTTTTATTTTAGATACAGGGAGTACATGTGCAGGTGTATTACATGGGTATATTGCACTGGGATAGTGAGCATAGTACCCAATAGGTAGTTTTTTGACGCATATCCCCTTCTGTCACCACTCTAGTGGTTCGCAGTGTCAATTGTTTGCATTTTATGTCTATGGGTCCTCAATGTTCAGCTCCCATTTATATGTGAGAACATGCAGCATTTGGTTTTCTGTTCCTGTGTTAATTTGCTTAGGATTACGGCTGCCAGTTCCATCCATGTTGCTGCAGAAGACATGAGTTTATTCTTTTTTTAAGGCTGCATAGTATTCCATGGTGTATATGTATCACATTTTCTTTATCCAGTCCATCATTGATGTGCACCTAGGTTGATTCCATGTCTTTGCTATTGTGCATAGTGCAGTAATGAGCATATGAGTGCATATATCTCTTTGGTATAATGATCCATTTTCTTTTGGGTATATACACAGTAATGGGATTGCTGGGTTGAAAGATACCTTTGTTTTAAGTTCTTTGAGAAATCTTCAAACTGCTTTCCACAGTGGCTGAACTAATTTACCAACAGTGTATAGGCCTTTCCTTTTCTCTGTAGCCCTGCCAGCTTCTGTTGTTTTTTGACCTTTTAATAATGGCCATTCTGACTGATGTGAGATGCATCTCATTGTGGTTTTGATTTGCATTTCTCTGATGATTAGTAATGATGAACATTTTTTTTTCATTTTTTTTTTTGGCTGCTTTTATGTCTTCTTTTGAGAAGTGTCTGTTCATGTCCTTTTAATGGGATTATTTGTTTTTTGCTTGTTGATTTAAGTTCCTTATAAATTCTGGATATTAGACCTTTGTCAGACACATAGTTTGTGAATATTTTCTCCCATTTGTAGGTTGTCTGTTTACCCTATTGATAGTTTCTTTTAAATATATACCTACAAGTGAGATTGCTAAATAGTATGGTAGTTCTATTTTTAATTTTGGGGGGAACAGCCAAACTATTTTCTATAGCAATTGTACCATTTTGCCTACCAACATTACCTACCAACATTGCAGAGAGGTTCTAACTTCTACACATCCTCACCAACTTTTTTTGTTATTTTTTAAATGGTATCTACTCTAATGAGTGTGAGTTGATAACTCATTGTGGTTTTGATTTGTACATCTGATGATTAGTGATGTTGAGCATCTTTTGAATATGTTTGTTAGCCATTTGTATATTATCTTGGAAGACGTATCTATTCAGGTTCTTTGCCCATTTTAAAATTAGGTTATTTGATTTTTTGTTTTTGAGCTGTAGGTGTTCTTTACATATTTGGGTAGTAATCCCTTATCAGCTATCTGATTGGCAAATATTTTCCTCCACTCCATAGGTTGCCTTTTCACTCTGTTGATTGTGTCCTTTGATGAACAAAAGGTTTTAACCTTAATGTAGTCCTGTTTGTCTATTTTTGCTCTTGTTACTTGTACTCTTGGTATCATATCCAGAAAATCAGTTTGCCAAATCCAGTGTCATGGAGCTTTTCCCCTGTGTTTTCTTCTAGGAGTTTTATAGTTTTGGTCCTTGGGTTTGTGTCTTCAATCCGTTTCAAGTTAGCTTTTGTACCTAGTATAACATTAGGATCTAACTTCATTCTTTTGCATGTAGATACCCAGTTTTCCCAATACTGTTGAAGAGACCATCTTTTTTCTCAATGAGTGGTCTTGGTATGCTTGTCTGTTTATTTGACCATACACAGAAGGGTTTATTTTGGACTCTCTGTTCTGTGCTATTAGTCTATATGTCTGTCTCTAGGTAGAATCACACTGTTTGATGACTATAGCTTTGTAATATGTTTTGAAATCAGAAAGCATAAGTCCTTTAACTTTGTTCTTTTTCAAAATTGTTTTGGCTGTTTAGGGTCCGTTGATTTGCCATATCAATTTTAGGATGATTTTTTTTTCTATTTCTGCAAAAACTGCTGTTGAAATTTTAATAGGGATCATGTTGAATCTGTAGATTGCTTTGGGTATTATTGACATCTATAATATTATCTTCTAATCCGTGAGCATGGGATATCCATTTATTTGAATCTCCTTTAATTTTTTTCAGCATGTTTTGTAGTTTTCAGTGTACAAGTCTTTTACCACTTGGTTAGGTTTATTCCTACTTTATTATTTTTGATGCTGTTGTAAATAAAATTGTTTTCTTAATTTTCTGTTTCAATTATTTATTATTAGTGTCTAAAAACACAACTGATTTTTTTGTGTGTTGATTTTGTATCCTACAACTTTGCTAAATTTGTTTATTAGTTCTTTTATTTTTATTTTTTAACTGGTGGTTGGAAATGGAAATTCAGTCAAGTTTCATTTGACTAGGGGCACATTAAATAGTTTGTGGATTAACCCTCAAGGAGAAAAAACACAGTGGCTAATCAGATAGTCAAGACAGATTGGTGCAGTTTGACTGAGGATGCCATATCTAGAGTCAGGCATTAGGTAAAACTGGGGAGAAAAACCAAGTGGGGTGGAAAATGTGGTTGGAGTTAGCCATGGAAAGTTCTGTTTTATAATGAAGAGAGAACAGCTTAGCTGAGAGACAGATGGCAAACTGTTTTTACCGAAAAATAACCTTTATATCATTTTCCATGAGTTTTAATGTTTTAAAACTATTGAGTTAATTTTTTTTTAGATGCTGTTTGTGGAATGTTAGATTTGTGATTTAGCATTGGACGAGTTGCTAACCAAATAAGATTATGTTAAAGCTTTTTACTAGTTTTGTGAAGTAGTGATTTGGGGCTAACTGCCTGCATTCCCCCATATTGCCTTGGTTAATTGAGGCCTGAAAGTAGGCTAGAGACTGATTAGACTAATTTTCAGCAGGAGTATGAAGGGTAAATTACCAGCAGTTGGTATTTATGGTGTCTCCTCTCCTCTTCATTCTTTGTCATGAAAGGAGACAAGGAGATGTGTTAGCATTTTCTCACCATTTGTGGAGGCTCAGAAGCAGAGCCCAAGCACAACTAAGTATATACAGTTGCAGTTGATCTCAAGTGCAGTGTTTATGTAAGACTTTTGGGAACACTATCCTGGGATCAGAAGTGTGTTTGGGATCTTTTTTTAAGCATAAAGAACCTAATCCCATTATTACCAGTTTTACAAATATCCGATCCATATATAAGATTTCACTTTATGTAGTCCCAGCTACTGGGGAGGCTGAGACAGGAGAATCGCTTGATCCCAGGAGGCAGACGTTGCAGTGAGCAGAGATCGCCCCGCTGCACTCCAGCCTGGGGGACAGAGTGAGACTCCGTCTCAAAAAAAAAAAAAATTTCACTTTAAAAAAGATCACTACACTATTATTTTACACACACACACACTACACACACACACATATTTTAAGTGCCCACACACAAACATAAAATATGGTCTTCAACTACGGTCTGACAAAAAGTTACTGGAAAGAGATATTTAAAAGTATTTATGATGAATTAATTGGTTATTCAGCATTATTTTTATTAGTGCTCATTTCCCCGGCACTAAAATCAATATGCAAGTACAGGAAGTTTGACAAATGAGAATGGGAAAAAGGGGGAACAGTCAGTTTTACTTTTCAAAGAAGACTGCAAACATTTGCTTTATATATTGCCTCTTTTTAATTTTTATTTATTTATTTATTTATTTTGAGATGGAGTCTCTCTCTGTAGCCCAGGCTGGAGTCCCAATAATGGGATTAGGTTCTTCATGCTTCAAAACAGATCCCAAATGCACTTAAAATATATGATCACAAGACAACGTTCCCAAAAGTCTTACATAAACACTGCACTTGAGAACAACTGCAACTGCATACACTTAATTGTGCTTGGGCTCTGCTTCTGAGCCTCCATAAATGGTGAGAAAATGCTAACATATCTCCTTGTCTCCTTTCATGACAAGATGATTATTATATGTGTTGCTGATAAAACCGGAGTTGGGTTTCTCAGTACCTGGGGGGGCCCAAAGTCAGAGAAGACTGCCCATCTGCCCGGAACATCCACTTGATTTGAAGATTTTCATCATGTTGCAAGACTTAATATTTTTAATAGCAGAACAAACACTGGTACTGTAAAGACACATGCACACATATGTTTATTGTGGCACTATTCGCAATAGCAAAGACTTCAACCCAAATGTCCATCAATGATAGACTGGATTAAGAAAATGTGGCACATATACACCATGGAGTACTATGCAGCCATAAAAAAGATGAGTTCATGTTCTTTGCAGGGACATGGATGAAGCTGGAAACCATCATTCTCAGCAAACTATCACAAGGACAGAAAACCGAACACTGCATGTTCTCACTCATAGGTGGGAATTGAACAATGAGATCATTTGGACACAGGGCAGGGAACATCACACACCAGGGCCTGTCGAGCGGGGGAGCTGGGGGAGGGATAGCATTAGGAGAAATACCTAATGTAAATGATGAGTTGATGGGTACAGCAAACCAATATGGTACATGTATACCTATGTATCAAACCTGCACGTTGTGCACATGTACCCTAGAACTTAAAGTATAATTTAAAAAAAAACACTGGTATATTATAGGGCAAGATGTCTCATTTCCATTAAGTTTTAAGATTAAACAAAGATTCAAAGGAATTTCACATTTATGGGACCTGCTTCAAAATCTGTCCTTCAATCCTCTAGATCAGGGATCAAGCCACCTGGTAAATATTTTAGGCTTTGAGGGCCATGTAGTTCTCTGTTGCATATTCTTTTCTGTTTTGGTTTTTATTAGTTGTTTTTATTTTGTTTTCCAACCTTTAGAAATGTAAACATCCTTCTTTTTTTTTTTTTGAGATGGAGTCTCGCTCTGTTGCCCAGGCTGCAGTGTAGTGGCACAGTCACCACTCACTGCAGCCAGGTTCAAGCAATTTTCCTGCCTCAGCCTCCCGAGTAGCTGGGACTACAGGCGCATGCCACCATGCCTGGCTAATTTTTGTATATTTAGTAGAGACGGGGTTTCACCATGTTTGCCAGGATGGTCTTGATCTCCTGACCTTGTGATCTGCCCGCCTTGGCCTCCCAAAGTGCTGGGATTACAGGCGTGAGCCACCGTGCTCGGCCGTAAACATCCTTCTTAGCTCACAGTCCCTTCCGTAGTCTGCCCCTGCTCTGGACATTCCATTCACATTTCCCTCTGCCTCTTGGAGTTCTTTAGTGGATATATTTGAGAAACACTGGATTGGCTGTTTCCCAGGTCTCTGTCCTGACAATTGAGTGTGTCACCTGGTAGAATGGAGTAGAACAAAATGATGGACAGAAATTTTGACCTACGTTGTAGGGTATCTGCAGTAATAATGTGTTACTAGAGCTCTGTTTAGAGTCAGTGAGGAAAACAAACAAACAAAAAAAGCAAAAGTCCAAAATTGTAACTGTTAGCCACAGGAGATTGTGCTCTATTTCGAAGATATGGATGCTATTTATTTAGGGCTAATGGCTACATCTACTATATGATACTTAAGGGAAAGCCCTAAAAATCACCCCACACTGATCTTTCTTACCTCATATACCCAGTTGATTACCAAATCCTGTAATTTTTACATCCTCCATAATTCTGCCCTTTTTCTCTCTCAAAGCTCAATCCAAAGGTGTGTTGTTATTACACTTTCTGTAATTAACTAGGACTCTGGTTATTACTTCTTCTCCCTCATGCCCAGCAAACTTGTGCCTTATTACTGCTAGTATGATATTTATCTCATAGGTTTTTTTTTAATGTCTTTGCCTTCAGTTGGTTTCCAAGTACCTTGTGCTCACCTTTACCCTATTTATCTTAGTATCTGGTATCCATTAGATTGCTAGAAACACAGAACATACCTAACAAACATGGTTATATGAATGGGTAAATGGTGTTTTCAGCTCAGGTGTTTTCAGCTCAGGAGGTAGCCAGCCCATTCTGTTGGGACATGCCTTGTCAAGGTTCTGAGCATTTGCTGTACGTGGTTTGAAGTCCGTTAAGCCAGACTGTGCGCATTCCCATTTTATTAATAAAGTTCGAAGCCAGATTGTTAAAAGCAATCTTATTGAATCTACTTTTAAAGTTTTACAATGAAATCTGTTTAGAAAACTAACTCTGTTAGAAGCTCACCTATCCCACAGGTAGCATTTTCTTAGAGAAGTTTATCTGCATTTGAAAATCTGTATTCCAAGGCCTTCTGTCTAAAAGATCAGTTATCTAATCAAGGAGAATGTTCTCCATCAGATGTTTTCCTGTAAATATTCATATGTGGCATCTTTCCAGATACCAGGAGGGGAAAAGTTGAGTAGTAGAGAGGGTGTGATACAAATTCTCCTTTATGGTTGATTGCTGATCAGCTGCATGCCCGGAAGCACAGCAATGTAATTAGATATTCTCTGCTGTTTTATCTTTTCAGTATAACTCTAGCTTTTATTCTTCTGTCTATAAATGTTTAATCTCCTATTTTCACCTTCCTGAGTTGTTTGCCTTCATATTCTACAGTGATGAATTCCTGGGATGTGACTTTCATAAAAATGATGACTTGTGCTGTGAATACTGAAAGCCTTCATCCAGACAGTTTGAGGCCTCTCCAGTTGCATGGCTAGCAGTATATCTTAACTAATAGCCAAACTGGTGGTTTTCTTACTGTTTCAAATTCTCTCTCTTTCTGAATCTTATGCAATTAATGAAGAGAGAACAAAACTGTTAAGACAATCAGGCCATGTTAATATCACTTTGGACACCAAAAGTTGGTTTTCCTCTGCTCTTCTTTCTGCAGCTTCCCTCATTTCCCCAATATGTAGCCTTTTCATGAGGCTCTGCTTTGTCATTTTTCTAAGTTCTTGCCATTCATGTATTAATATCTATATTCCTTGATTTTAAATATTAGACAGTATTTACTTTTTCCTTTGAAAGTTGAAGAGAAATTGACATTCTCATTTCTCCCCTATTTTGATATATGAATACACATACACACATGAATTGCTAAAGTATATGTCATACTCTCTTTTGTAACTATAATAATTATATAAATGTATATTATATGTATATTGTTATAATTATATGAATACTTTTCCTTACAGAACTGCTTAGTGTGAGCAGCCATAGATAGAGGAGGGTATGTAATCCTACTTTACTAAATCCCTGTGGCTTAAGGGAGAATGACACAAATGTCAATATCCAAGGGAACCTCTTAATACATTTTAACCTTTTCATTTCTTCCACTTCACACTTGTCTGGCAAACCTATTAGAGAAATAACTTTTCCGTCTTGTATTTTTCTTCTAATTTGTGTGTCCTGAAAATAACTTTGTTAACATAGTGTGCCTACCTAGTAAACCTTCTGAATGCTTTAATTTTTTGTAAGTCTTTCATTCTTAATTGATCATTTTGTTTAATATAAAAGACTAGATTTAAAACCAAGTTCCCCCAGGAAGTATTGTTCCATTTTCCATATTCTTTGTATTGATTGGAAGACTTCATGTCTGCTAGATTAGATTCTTAAAGGTAGGTTGCTTTGCTTCTTTTTCTGGAAAGTTTTAGGGTTTTCTTGGAGCTTTGGAATTTCATCAGTATGTGCCTTTAAAAAACATTCTGCTCAGCAGTTAATAGGACTGCTCAATCTGAAAACTAGTGTCTTTTTTCACTTGAGAGCAAGTTCTGTTATTTCTTTGCCCTTTTTCCCCCCTCCCTTCCATTGTCTTTCCTTTTCATCTTCAGGATCTTTTTTCCTTTTGGATGAAGTTTTACTCTTATGTTCTAACTTTCAATACTCTTGACTTATCTAGTAATTTCCATCTCTTGGTCTTGATATTCTGCATTCTGAAAGGCATTCGTAACTTTTATCTTCTAGATCTCTAGCCTGGTTTTTAGCTCTATGCTATCCTGCTTTTTATTCTTTTTATCTACTTTCTAATTTGGCAGTCAAACTTAATTTTCAGGAGCTCTTTTGTTTCTTATTATTCCTTTAAAAATAGTGGCTTGTTCTTGTTTCGTGGATGCAGCATTTTCTTTAATCTCTCCAAGGATATTAAAAAGCATTTTTTTAAGTTTTGTATATTCTGTAAGTTATCTCTATGTTCTCCAGCATTAGTTCTAGTTGTTAGTTTTTGTCTTTCTTAGGAGCCAGCTTGGCTTCCCCCAGTAACTCACAGACCTGCTTTCCTTTGAGCAGGAGGGCTAAATAAGACTGTGTAGGAGAGTGGGGGTAGCATGAAGCAGACTGGAACTCCTCAGGTGCCCGTGAAAGAGCCACACCCAGGCAGCAATGGACTTCAGTGCGTGTCCCTCCAGGGTGAACTTCCTTTCCATTTTTCCCTTTCTGTGTCTGATGTGGGGTCAGGGTGACCACAGACTGTGCTGGCCTCTCAGGCCCCTGAAGCCTCACCAGGAGTTTTCAGCATATAGGCAGCGAGTGTTGTTTGGAGAGCACTTCTCTGGAGCTCTGGCCACACTGGGAAAAAAACTGTCTAAGCCATTACAAATGTACTTCTTTTATACATTGATTGCCCTGCCATAGCCTGCTCCAGATTGTTGTGTTCATTGTCTCAGGCTTGTGATTTCTGTGCAAGCTCCTTGGGAAGGACTGTTCTTCTATTGGTTTGGGCTGTGGTTTCCCCTGCTGTGTTTTCTCTACCTGTTTGGTTGTATTTTATGTATTCTGGGTATTTCTTAAAATTTTATGGCTGGTTCCTGTTCCTAGTTTTTTTTCTCCTCCAGTTTAAATTGGCTCTTGGGTAAGAGGGGAGGTAGATGTATTTGCTTGCTTTGTTGTCTTGAACCTGTATGGTCAGAACTATTAAACATGAATTAGGAATTTGAGATTCTCACCTTTGGATTTGCTCATATTTTTGTATTTGGCATAAAAATTGCCAAAATGAAGCTGTTTTAGATAACTGCATCTTGTCTATCCTGCCAGGATTGGAATTGTCTACTGTTTTTTGATTTCTATAGCAAGATTTCATAAAGTAGACTATAGCACTAACAACCTTTATCCACTAAATCAAGAACTTCTGCTTAGAGGCTACCCTTCGGCTTGAAAGAAAATTTGAGAAGCAGCCACTGTTCATTTTAAGCAGCTGCAGCAACTCCTATAGTCTTAAAAAATTGCTTTTTAAAAAATATTCTTCTTTTGGGTAAAACAAATTTACTTGGGCTCATTTAGAACTGGTTGTTGCTATGCCATTTCCTTGTTTTTGTTCCCTCCAGTTTTCTATTTGGTTATGTCCTTGGCATGAAGAAATAATGTGGGCCTTTCACTTAATTGTGATTGACTTAGCTGTGGGAAGCAATACAGCTTATCAGAGTGGCTGCTGTGAGCTTTCCTAACTGTTCTCTCCAGAGACACTGAAAGGGCAAAGAACATTAAGGTGTTTGTCTCAGATGCTTGCTTAGTCCATAATGGTCTAATCGGAGTGCACAGATAATGTCCTTAAGTAAGCCTTGTGGAGGAATGAAACTGTTGTTAACTCTACCTGTTGTAGATTTTATTATGAGCTTAGAAATGTCTCTAACAGTGGTTTTCACTTGAACATAAACAGAAGTATAGGTGATGAGAGATTTAAAAAAAAAAAAACAAAAACAAAAAACCACAACTGTTCAGGTTGCTATATTCTTAAAATTACAGCATTTAGATAAATGTTCCCTTAGTGAGTTCGAGTAGCTTGGTTATGCTATTATCTATACAGTTCAGAGATTTTTCTTTTTGTCAGCAATTGGCAATATAAACAAAGTGAATTTTTTGTCCTTTGTCTTAAATGGAATGAAAATGTACCAGCTTCTGAAATGGGCAATTTTACCTTGAATATGATTTATGTGGTTATATCTTTCTGCAAAGTAAATATTTACTAATCATATTCTGTAATTACAAAAGGTTGATTGTCCTGAAATGTGCAATCTACAGATGTGTATTTACAAAACACTTTAGGGAGAGTGCCTTAGACTATAAGGAATTCAGTGAGCCTATTTGGAAACTTTATGTGAGTTTTAAAAATACAGTGCTTTTAACCTTTGTAGTAGGAACCCTAAGGTATTTTTTAAATATATGTAAGCCTGACAAGTAAAACAAATTTGATAAGAAAGCAGATTTTTTTATTTTATTTAAGAATGCTTACAACCATAAGAATTTGTATCTTAATAGGAAGTAGTTTTAAATTTTTAATACTATATTAATCTTAAATTATTTCACATGCATTTAACTTATCTCTATCATATCTACTTTTTGCTTAAACATGACAAAGAAAATATTAATAGTTTCACTTTATATTTATGTACTTTAGGATTCATCAGGCCACTCAAAAGCTTTTGAATGTTAGAAAGTGAATTTTTCACACAATTCTTTAAAACTGGTAAATAACAGAATAGAAATAGGATTTACTTAATTGTTACTAACATGATATACCTAAAACATGGCGTGTCATTAATTAACAAATGCAATTCATCTATCTACATGACAGAAATTATTGGTAACCTGGTGTCTGTCAGGTACTAGTCTAACACTGACTTTTAAAAATGATTTTCTTTAAATCATTCTCTTTTTCAAGCTAATTACCAAATTTTATATTTGTCATTTGGAAGGAGTTAATTACCTTAAATAAAAATTTCTATTCTTTTGGGTGGATCCCATTCAATTTTTGGATAAGAAGCACCCTGCTGGCAATAGTGATAGGGCACTGAATTAAAGGTTCATAACATAAAAATAACGCTTATAATTATTATGAGAGAAATACAGCTTAAGAGAAATTTTTCTTTTCTAAAAGTAAAAAATGTTGCTATTCTGAGATTTCTAAACATCTGACATTTCTAAATACCTTTCTTGGTGACTGAAACTTTAAGAATGGTTTCAATTTAATATGGACAAATGGATTATTGATAATGTTACATATTTTCTCTGCATGAGAGAAAATGTTACATATACACGGTTTTTCTTTTTAATTGAGACAGGATCTTGCCCTGTTGCTCAGGCTGGAGTGCAGTGGTACAATCTCAAAATTTTGAGGCTGCAGCCTCAAAATCTGTCTATTTTATAGGTGTTGGTTTATATATATGAAACTTGCACTTGAGAATTTACCTTATTTCCAATGTTATGATTTGGGGCATTGGGATCATTTTAAGATTAAGGTTTTTAATTATAAACACTGAAACCTGAAATATAAACATTAAGTCTCATTGTACCTTGCCTTTTGCTCTTTTACATGCACAATATTTTTGTGTTACCACCTAAAGCTTTTGAAAGTAGAATTCATACTACATGTATAGAGATTGAGTGAGGCATTGTTTATGTTTTCTTTTTTACATTTCATTAACTTTTCATTCCTACATTTCACACTGACATTAGAGTTGTTTGTTTTTGTTTTTGTTTTGACATAGGCCCTCCGTCACTCTGTCACCCATGCAGGCTGTAGTGCACTGGTGTAGTCATTGCTCACTGCATGTAGCCTTGAACTTCAGGGCTCAGTTGGTCCTCTCACCTCAGCCTCCCAAGTAGCTGGAGCTGCAGGCACATGCTGCCATCCCTGGCTAATTTTTTAATATTTTTTAGAGACGGGGTCTTGCTGTGTTGCTCAGGCTTGTCTCAAACTCCTGGCCACAGACAGTCCTCACACCTCAGCCTCCCAAAGCTCTGGGATTACAGATGTGAACCACCCCAAATGACCACATAAGATATTTTTAATCACATAGAGACAGATGGTAGCCTTTTAAAACAAGAACAGGGACAGCATTTTGATGATCAAGTTACTAGCCCTCAATTTTTCTCATTAATATCTTTTCCCTTACCTATTCAGTTAAACAAGACAGGGGCAATTTCCAAATAAATATCTCCAGGAACAGGAATACTTAGGCTGGGCTTTACACCTGGGCACAGCTAACAGTCCATTTAGGAGCAACTCTACTGGATTCTCCTTTATTTTGTAGAATTCTGGCGTTCCAAGGGATTTCACTAGTATTCTGATACAGAAAGAAAGAAAGTCTGAGAAGGTTAAAGGAGTTGATCAAGGTCATAGATAATTCATAGTGGTTTGCTGGACATCACATCCACGGTTGACTAAACATATACACCACTCAGTTTTCCAGAAATGAATCTGTGGTTGCATCAGACAGTGGTTGGTGCAAGTAGAAGTATAACACCCCCTTGACTGGGCATGGTGGCTCACGCCTGTCATCTCAGCACTTTGGGAGGCTGAGGCAGGAAGATTGCTTGAGCCCTGGAGTTCAAGATCAGCCTGGGCAATATAATGATACCTCATCTCTACAGATAGGTGGTCTCTTTGTAGAGGGGGTTTTCTCTAAAAAGAGGGGTTATCTCTACAATAATTTCTCTCATGAACATAGATGAATTTTTTGATTTTTTTTCTACAGAAAATGAAACAATAGCTGGGTGTGGTGGTGTGCACCTGTGGTCCCAGCTACTCGGGAGGCTGAGATGGGAGGATCACCTGAGCCCAGGAGGTAGAGGCTGCATGAGCTGTGAACACACCATTACACTCCAGTCTGGGTGACAGAGTGAGACCCTATCTCAACAACAACAAAAAAGATCCTTCTTCTCCCCAAACCTGATGAATTAGAGCTAGGCCATGTAGGGCCTTTCATATTACATTAAGGATTTTAGTCTCTATCTTACAAGGAGTGGGAAGTCTCAAAGGAAAGGATTTAAGCAGAGGGTGAGATCAAATCTGTTTTTTTGTTTGTTTGTTTTGTTTTTGTTTTTTTTTGTTTTTTAAATTTTATTATTATTATACTTTAAGTTTTAGGGTACATGTGCACAATGTGCAGGTTTGTTACATATGTATACATGTGCCATGTTGGTGTGCTGCACCCATTAACTCGTCATTTAGCATTAGGTATATCTCCTAATGCTATCCCTCCCCCCTCCCCACACCCCACAACAGTCCCCGGTGTGTGACGTTCCCCTTCCTGTGTCCATGTGTTCTCATTGTTCAATTCCCACCTATGAGTGAGAACATGCAGTGTTTGGTTTTTTGTCCTTGCGATAGTTTGCTGAGAATGATGGTTTCCAGTTTCATCCATGTCCCTACAAAGGACATGAACTCATCATTTTTTATGGCTGCATAGTATTCCATGGTGTATATGTGCCACATTTTCTTAATCTAGTCTATCATTGTTGGACATTTGGGTTGGTTCCAAGTCTTTGCTATTGTGAATAGTGCCACAATAAACATACGTGTGCATGTGTCTTTATAGCAGCATGATTTATAATCCTTTGGGTATATACCCAGTAATGGGATGGCTGGGTCAAATGGTATTTCTAGTTCTAGATCCCTGAGGAATTGCCACACTGACTTCCACAATGGTTGAACTAGTTTACAGTCCCACCAACAGTGTAAAAGTGTTCCTATTTCTCCACATCCTCTCCAGCACCTGTTGTTTCCTGACTTTTTAATGATCACCAGTCTAACTGGTGTGAGATGGTATCTCATTGTGGTTTTGATTTGCATTTCTCTAATGGCCAGTGATGATGAGCATTTTTTCATGAGTTTTTTGGCTGCATAAATGTCTTCTTTTGAGAAGTGTCTGTTTATATCCTTCGCCCACTTTTTGATGGGGTTGTTTGTTTTTTTCTTGTAAATTTATTTGAGTTCATTGTAGATTCTGGATATTAGCCCTTTGTCAGATGAGTAGGTTGTGAAAATTTTCTCCTATTTTGTAGGTTGCCTGTTCACTCTGATGGTAGTTTCTTTTGCTGTGCAGAAGCTCTTTAGTTTAATTAGATCCCATTTGTCAATTTTGGCTTTTGTTGCCATTGCTTTTGTTGTTTTAGACATGAAGTCCTTGCCCATGCCTATGTCCTGAATGGTATTGCGTAGGTTTTCTTCTAGGGTTTTTATGGTTCTAGGTCTAACATTTAAGTCTTTAATCCATCTTGAATTAATTTTTGTATAAGGTGTAAGGAAGGGATCCAGTTTCAGCTTTCTACATATGGCTAGCCAGTTTTCCCAGCACCATTTATTAAATAGAGACTCCTTTCCCCATTTCTTGTTTTTGTCAGGTTTGTCAAAGATCAGATGGTTGTAGATATGTGGCATTATTTCTGAGAGCTCTGTTCTGTTCCACTGATCTATATCTCTGTTTTGGTACCAGTACCATGCTGTTTTGGTTACTGTAGCCTTGTAGTATAGTTTGAAGTCAGGTAGCATGATGCCTCTGGCTTTGTTCTTTTGGCTTAGGATTGACTTGGCGATGCGGGCTCTTTTTTGGTTCCATATGAACTTTAAAGTAGTTTTTTCCAATCCTGTGAAGAAAGTCATTGGTACCTTGATGGGGATGGCATTTAATCTATAAATTACCTTGGGTAGTATGGCCATTTTCACGATATTGATTCTTCCTACCCATGAGCATGGAATGTTCTTCCATTTGTTTGTATCCTCCTTTATTTCATTGAGCAGTGGTTTGTAGTTCTCCTTGAAGAGGTCCTTCACATCCCTTGTAAGTTGGATTCCTAGGTACTTTATTCTCTTTGAAGCAATTGTGAATGGGAGTTCACTCATGATTTGGCTCTCTGTTTGTCTATTATTGGCGTATAGGAATGCTTGTGATTTTTGTACGTTGGTTTTGTATCCTGAGACTTTGCTGAAGTTGCTTATCAGCTGAAGGAGATTTTGGGCTGAGACAATGGGGTTTTCTAGATATACAATCATGTCATCTGCAAACAGGGACAATTTGACTTCCTCTTTTCCTAATTGAATACCCTTTATTTCTTTCTCCTGCCTGATTGCCCTGGCCAGGACTTCCAACACTATGTTAAATAGGAGTGGTGAGAGAGGGCATCCCTGTCTTGTGCCAGTTTTCAAAGGGAATGCTTCCAGTTTTTGCCCATTCAGTATGATATTGGCTGTGGGTTTGTCATAGATAGCTCTTATTATTTTGAGATACGTCCCATCAATACCTAATTTATTGAGAGTTTTTAGCATGAAGCGTTGTTGAATTTTGTCAAAGGCCTTTTCTGCATCTATTGAGATAATCATGTGGTTTTTGTCTTTGGTTCTGTTTATATGCTGGATTACATTTATTGATTTGCATATATTGAACCAGCCATGCATCCCAGGGATGAAGCCCGCTTGATCATAGTGGATAAGCTTTTTGATATACTGCTGGATTCGGTTTATCAAATCTGTTTTTATAAACATCAGTCTGTCTTCACTTTGAGAGAATGATGGGGTAGAAATAGTGAGATTAGACAAAGGTTGATAAGTTGGGGTGCTGTTGCAGAAGTCTAGCTTAGATCAGGTTGGTAGAGACCAACGTGGAAAAATTGAGAGGCTTAAGGGATATATAAACTAGTGGTTGAGGGAAGAAAGGAGTCCTGTGATGTGTTGATTTTGGAGTTACAGGGCCCAGTAAATAGTGGTGCCATTTTCTGAGACGTCTAGTTTGTGGAGTGGAAGATCATGAATTGTCGTTAAGACCTGTTGTGTTTAAGAGTCTGTGAACAGTTAGTGACTTTTATGGAACCAGAGCTCAGAAGAGAGGTCAGGGCAAGAGATTGTGATTTTAATTAGGGCCATGGCTGTGAATGAGCTTCCCCAGGGAAAGACCTTCGACTGAGTAGAGGCTGAATATGGTATAGAGAGAACAGGTATACTAAGTTACATACAGTTGATATCTTAAAGGATGGAACAAATCTAGCTGTAATTTAGCCCTCTTCCTCCTCTTACCACGTTCAGTATAGTCAACAAATTGTCAGGCAGAGAAAGTATGTTTTGAACAGAATTATTTATTGAACTCTCATGAGGGAATTATTACTCAACTCTTTGGAAATAGCTTCATTACAAAGAATGTAACATTTTCAGTCCATGAGATTTTGCCTGTATTTCATGTCAAACTTTGACCTGTTTTTGTGGCATAGTTAGGATCATATTTTGTCTTACAAGAAATTACAAATTTTCGTACAAATTCCATGAAATCTCTACATCCTAGAGCCATTAGGAACCTCCAGTTGCTCAGCTGATATCTTCTTTACTCAATGTTTCATATAGTTTCTCAGATATTACATGTTGAAATTGAACTCCAACCTTCCCTTCAGATTGTTTTTTCTCGTCTTTTTCATCAAGCCAGAAAGTTCAGAGCCACTTTAATTCTTATTTCTCCCTAATCACCCCCATCAAATCCACAACCAAGTATGATCACTTCTACCCCCAAAATGTATCTGCAGCCTGTCTGCTGCCCTCTGCCGTCAGCTCGGCTGCCACCATTGCTTACTGCAATTGCCAAAGTACTCCCCTTTTTCCCCTCCTTTCCTTTTTGCTGCCCTTTTTTTGAGCCATTCTCCGCACAGTTATTTAGGTATTTTCTTAAAAGAAACTAGATCATTTTGCTCCCTTGCTCAAAACCCTTATATGATTTCTTTTGGTACTTAAGATAAAATTCAAGATCATTTTCTTGGTTTACAAAGCCCAGCATATGTTTATCCCTGTCCACCCTGCCAGCTTCACACTTCACTAGTGCTGCTCCCTGCCCAAGAATGCTCCCATCCCAGTCCTTCACTTGGCTAACTCTATTCATCCTTCAGATGTAAGCTTAAATGCCAGTTTTCAAAGAAGACTTGGCCAAATCGCTCTTTTCAGACATGTTGCTCCTTCTTGGCTTGGTCAAGGAAGGCCTTTCTTTAGAGCTGATCCTAAATGACAGAAGGAGCAGCCTGTGAAAAACCTGAGGCTACTGCCTTCCAAACCACGAGACTCAATTGCTAAAGCTTTTGGAGAAGAGGATCTGTACACAGAACCAAATAATTCAAAGATTTTTTAATCAGACAAGGCATGCGTTGCAGGAAGCGAATCTCTACAAGTCTAGATGCCGTTGGCTTGGCTTAACAATGGATTCATTAGCGCTCAGTGACTCCAGCACACGTGGTGCCCCATACTTGGTTTCCTTTTGGGCAGGATGCACCCTAGAGTACAGAAAGTGTGAATTTCAAGGTCAGTGAAACATGAGCCCAAATATCAGTTCTCTCACTTATTAGCTGTCAAACTTGAACAACATATTTCTTTGCCTTGAGCCAGTCTCTAACCCGGCAGGCTGTGGTGAAGATTTAATAACATAACATTTATAAGACACTTAGCACAAAGCAAATGCCTAAAATGATTGTGATCATCATTTGCTTACATTATTTATCCTTAGGATAAAGTTATCAAATTACCAAATTTTAAGACTGCTTTACATATGATAAATGCAAACTTTTGAAAAGAAACAGTTGAACAGATTGACCAGAATTCCTTGATGCCTTCTTGTGAAGGTAGGAAGAGAAAAATGATTCTATATGTTTGAGGCAAAGGTAAATATTATAGAGAATATAGTTTCCTTTAGTTTTTATTTGATCTTTTTATTCCCTCTAAGGAGATGGTCTCAAAGAATGTGGAAAACTTCAGAAGCAGAATAAGACACACTTTCATTGACACATGGAGACCTTTACAGCTTTGTTTACCCAGTGATTTTTTCAAAACCCTAGATAACAAAATATCAAGAGTGGAATTGGGAGGCAGCCTTCCATACTGAAAACCTAGAGTAAAATCTTAGGTCAGAGTGATTCACAGACAAATGTTAGTTTGGCCCACAAAGGAAAAGGAGTGTGTTCCTATTTCATTTCTGTCACCAAATGTTTTACATTTTAATCTTGTCATAGGTTTTGGGTTAAAAACTTGTTACATTCTTCATCATACTAAAATAAATTTTTACGTGCAAGCAGACTAATTCAGCAGATTTATTTAGCTTTTCCCTGATCTGGACAGAGCAATGGTACATTTTTTACTTCCATAAAGAATTTGTTCAAAGTACCAAATATAAAGATAATTGTTTGCTTTTGTTGGTTTATTTTCTGCTTCCCTTTTTTTCTAGGATTATGACAGTTTTTTTGAATCCAAGGAAAGCAACACAGTCTTTTCATTTTTAGGCCTGAAACCACGGTTGGCATCAAAGGTAGGTAAATCTTTTCTTATTCTTGTTTTAGAATTCATCTCTTTTGAATTTTTCTTAGAGATGTAGAGTGACGGTGTTAGAGGAATGCATATATAATTTCTTAGATTTGGGGGTTTTGCTTCCTCTGATGCATAATTAGAGACTACCCAGTGTTAAAACATACAACAGAGGCTAGTTTTTTGTTTTTCCCCCCAATTCTTCAGTTGTTGCTATAAATTAGAATATTACCTTATTTTTAATTTATACCCCATTCCTCCAAGAATTTAAGGTAGCAAAAACTAGTAGGTGCTTTCTGTTTAAAATTGCAAATTTTTTTACTTTACATTTTTTGAAATAGCAGACTCAGAGTCATATTTAAAGGTGTTTTAAATTTACTTTCATTGGAGAAGAGATGGTCTATAATAATAAATGGTCAACCTTGAAAAAAATCTTCAATTCTTTAATCAAAATATTTTGAAGCCACTTTTTATTAAGTCATATGTCTTTTAGAAAACATAAAGGAGCCAATATTTTCTCATGTTTAGAACTAGAAATGATGTGTGTTATCACAACTTTATTAAGCTTATAGATTCACTTTCAAAAAAGAAAAAACATTTCTTTATTAAGTAAGGTACTATTTTGATATTATTTCTTTTTTTAAAACACACATTTTCTTTCTGATTATGAAAGTAGCCTAGACTCCTTTTTTTGAATTGGGAAAATATTAAAAAAGGGTAAAACAAAGAACTAAAATCACCACCCAGAGCTAACCACATTGACATTTTTTGTGTTTCCTTGCAGTCTTTGTATACATAGTAATTGAAGTTTTGAGTGTTTCAAATTGAGACTGAATTCTAATATGTCTATTTTTAACACAACCGAAATAAAAGTACATTTCCTAGAACTTTGATGTCTTAAAATAGTAGGTCTTTTGAGGCTACCCAGGATTTGTACCATCTCTGGCATACCTGTAGGAAGAAGGCAGGGACCCTCAATAACATAAATTATAGACCAGCATCTGCAGTGCATAGCCAATGTGAAATCGTGCTTTGTTTTTACATCAGTTAGTCCACAGATGGTTGTGGGTGGTTTCCATGCACATGTTTTAAGCAGAGGCAAAACCCACGCATGCCGTATTTAAAGGTTCTTAAAACTGCTTTTATAAAGATGGAACATTTGAATACTTGTTAGGAAAATTAGAGTATTTTTATAACGTATTTCATCCAGAGATATTAAAAGTCCAGATTTATCTTCAAAGAACTGGAAAAAACTAGGATGGAGTAGTCTAATGGATACATAAATCCAGCGGGCATCATTGTCTATGCAAAAACCTTTTAAAAAATACTGCTTGTTCCCATTTTCCCCAAATATGTAAATTCTTTAGAGACTGTGGGCTGACTTCTTTATTCTTCAAAGAAATGTATTTTCTCACCAGTTTCTCAGGAAATCTATGGTCTATGAAATATACATTCTCACATGGCTTTTGGCCACAGTATTAAAGTTGATCTTGGTGTCACTGAAGTTAACTTGATTTCAGGGGACCATCCTAAAGGTAGTGAGGGCCCTGGACACTGCCCCCATTCAGCCCACCGTTTTCAGGGACCTAAATCAGTTATACCTGGACAGGAGTATCTGGGACCAGAGCAGATGTCCATAGCACAAGGTCTGTGCCACTCTCCATGAACCATTTAGGGCTTTAAAAGCTAATAGTAACTCATACTTCATCGTCGTATGAGAGAAGTGAAAATGTCTTCAAGAACAATTTAGCATTTTCTCTCTTCTAATCTTCTATTTTTTACCTTGGTAGTGATTCATCATACAGTCTATAGTCTAAGGCTTTGACAGAGTGTTCACAGGTTTAATGTACTAAAAGATGAAAGCCCTGTTTTCTCTTTTCCTTTCCTACTCCCTGTGTAGTATACACACATAAAAAACATGGCAACAAAGCCTATCAGGAAACATAAAGACATCATTAGCACCTATAATTGCTCTTACTTGGTAGGAGAGGACATTCATGGGCCCAACAGGCCCAGGTGCAGTGTAGGCTCTGACTGGGCTGCCCTCCATAGTGGGAGGGGCAAAGGTAGGTTAGAGGTCTCTAGATGGTGGCCTGCAGGCCACATTGGCCCTGGATATGTTGTTTGTCCTGTGAAGAGGTTTTTTAAAGTATGTAAATATTAGATGGTATGGAATCCCTGGTGGGGGTGGTGGGGGGATCTCAGTTTCCCTTGTAGTTGGCTGGAGCCCACAGTGGCTGGCCCATTGTGATAGCCAACTAATTCTGAGAAAGGGAGGCCATTTCACCGATACTTTTTAGGTAGAAAACCATCAAAGTTAAAATTTAGTAGACCCCAAGAAGGGCCTGTCATAGAAGATTGTACTTTCAGATCCCTAGCTTTCAGGGGTAATATCCAAAGTAGGTAACAACCGGTCAACACTGGGTGCTGACTGGCCAGAGCTTGAGCAGGCCACAGAGGCCCCCTGTGCCAGATGTCAGCTCTTTATCCATTGGCTCAAGGGGGAGGGTGCGCAGGGGTGGCAGTTGGGGGACTGGGGCAGCGACTCTTTACTAACAGATATGGTCGTTCTAGAGTGGTTCTTCATCTTGGGTTGCTATTAATGGGCATCTCTGCAGGCCCTCTGAGCAAGGTAACCCCCCACCCAGCCATACACAAGTGGAACAGTACCTCTGAGAGGAATCTCAGTAGGTCATTGAAAACATGCGGCTTTCTTTCCACTTTTATATTTGGCAGGTCGGGTGGGTGTGATTTAAATCTGGGCTCTGATGCTGAAACCCAGGATTTTCTCTTATCAATCACATGGAGGTGATCTGTTATGATTTCCAACATCTCTGTTCCTGACATTTAAAAAACCCCTGCCAAGGGTGAATTTTCTTGTCGATGTAATGCAATAACTGACTTTTTTTTTTTTTTTTTTTTTTTTTTTTTTATAGGCAGAACCTTAGAGAAGAAGAGTGGAAGATGACGGAGATGCATTTTGAAGCACCCCTGGTACTCAGCACACACATGCTTACCTAATGCATCACTGTGACAAAAGCCACACGCATTATCAGTAACTTTGCTTGCCACGGAAAAGGTGTTTTTGAAAGATGTGGCTATAATGAGAATTGCATGATTGCTTTAAACCAAATCAGGTGGTGGATTTTTTTTTTCTTATTCTATTTGCCTGCAGTTGCCTCACTCACCTGGAAATACCGTCACCTGTTACAGGTGTACTTTCTTAATGACTGAAAGATAAGTGGGTAGCACCGTCAGAGAGAAAATGTTGGATCTGCCCTAGGTTATAGTAGATGCCGGAATTGCGTAAACCCACTTCTCTTTAAGCTGCCTGGATTGCACCTTTGAAATATGTCTGCCAAGTTGTTAGAATCTTTGAATCAGAAGGAAAAAAAGCAGCGCTGGTTGACAAAGGGTGTTGAAGATTTTTGCTGCAGAATCAGTTACAAACATCACAGTTCCCATGCTTTGTAATAACACCTGGTGAAAAAGTTAGATATTCTAGACTTGTTTTAGTAATGGAAACTCTTACCTCCACATATTATCCTACAGATGTTTCCAGAAATCCCTGTTGTAACATCAAGTGATCAGAACTAAGTTACTGGGATGACAATAATTGCTATTTGAAATATATGCTTCTTTATTTCTTGCAAGGGGCAAGTTTCACCCAAATGCCTGAGACTGCTTGAAAGATATATTTTAAGTGGTGCACTAATTAGTGAATATATAGGAAAATTATCTGACGAGTATCTGAAGGCATTTTCAGCTCTAGCAATTTATTTATAATATATAAGTTCATATATTTTTTAATCCAGCTCCCCTAACAGACAGCTGCTGCTTCTATTTTGTGAAGGGACTATATTTTTTGAGAAAGGAAAATCTCAGTTAGATATATTTTGTGAACCCTTGATTAGACATATTAAAATATACCAATGTTGTAGTAAAATTTAATTTTTCCTTTTGTTACTTTTCATTTGCCTCTAATTTTGCTTGCTCATATTTCTGGCCAATGTACAGCCTCATATTTTTCAGAGTAATACAGATACTTGTTCTCATTCCGTATATGAGCACAAGTAAGGTTTCAGAGCAACACACATGAGAAAGAGAGTAACCCGGAATTGTACTTGTCAAGCAAAATCTATACTCCTATTGGAGTGGATGCTGATGAACATCGAACATATCTACTTCATTAGAGCAGAGGCTATTTTTCTGCATTCTTGTCCCTATAACAGGGATGCTTAATTTTTTTTTTAACTTAGAGTTTTAAATTGCCAAACATGGGAACAGCCTTGAATAGGATAAATTTTCAGAGGGCTGCCTAAAATATTTTATTTCTAGCATCCTGATTCTGGACTTTTCATTATAATTCTGAGCAGGAAATTTATAAGAAATTGAAAGAGCAGAAGAATTACAGCCCTGTCACATGTGCCCAGCACTCCGCCCCATGCCTTGCTAAATGTAGACTAAAGAACTTGTTGAATGCTAAGGCTGAAATCCCAACCTGAGATTTGTAGTCCAGGATTACAACCAGAAGGAAAGTATGACAGATTTCTACTTAACTAGAATGGACACATGATCCACAATTTTCTCTTCAAGGGAAGCTGTTGTCAAATTATGGATATTACTGGTTAGTTGTCATTAAGTAAGATCCAGGTCAAATTCCATTTGACAAATCCCAGGGACTATCCAGGAATTTTTTTTTAACTGGATATTGTGTTTGAGTATGTGAGTCTTCTGATAAAACTCAGAATTTCTTTTTAAGCAGTTGTAAAAATTGTCATGTTGTAATTCATTACTCAGCTAACATTTAGTCTACTCTTGCTAGTGAGTGCCAAGAACCAACTTGGTAAGGTTGAGGCTTTGCAAGTTAACTGCTGGGGTTATAGGATCAATACCATACTTGCTAGACAAAGCTACCCAGATTTGTCTTATATTATAATTTTTGAGTTAACCGTAGTATACCTATTATGATTATAGTAAACAGACTAGTGGGTAGTAATGCTAAATTACCATCACAGTTATGTGCCATCTCCCCACCCCATTTTTTTTTTTTTTTTTTTGATCAGCAAAGAAATACAGGAGACCAGTCTCGAGTGGTGCTGTACTTGTTATGAGTGAGGCAGCAGCACAGTGTGTGGCATTTACATGGTACCCAGGCTCCACAGAGTACCAAGATGTTGCCCTCTGGGACCACACTTAGCTCAGAGAATATGGGGTCCTTACTTGTATTCTTTTATCAGCTGATTTTGAAACATATAATAATGATTTTCTTGTTCCCTTCTTTAACTAGCTGCCTTTAGATTTTGATAATCACAGTCTTAAAATACTAGGAAAGAAGTGGATGGGAATTGTAGGCATAGATTTCATATCAAGGGCATTTCAAGACAGAATTTTTATTTCCTGTAGTAGGCTTGCTGGAGCAAAGGAAATGTGCTGCTAAAAATCAACTTATGCCATTTTAAAATTAGATAAAATATGGAGTGCCATCCTGCTAGGTGAGTACAGACCAGAAGAAAATTTAGTTGGGAAAATACTTGTTTTTCCAAATTCCGGTGTTTTATTACAATCAAAGAAGAGGAAAGCAAGGTATTTTTTCACCTCAGATTCTAATATATTCTAGATTTGTTTCTGTTTTATAGATTTAATTCAATACCTCCACATAGATGTTTTTATATTACATGAATTTAATAATAAACTAAACTTTTTTTTGTCTCCCGTTATTGAAAAGTACCAAAGCTTCTTTCTGTTGTGTTTGATTTTACTATAGGGGTTTTGCTTTTTCTAGAGATACTTTTCATTTAACAGCTTTTGTTAAGTGTCAGGCTGCACTTTGCTCCATATAATTATTGTTTTCAGATTTCAACTTGTATGTGTTTGTCTCTTAAAGCATTGGTGAAATCACATATTTTATATTCAGCATAAAGGAGAATAAATTCCAGAAAACACATATTCTGAAAATGGAGTGTTTGTTCCCTGCCATTTTTCACACCTCTCTTAATTTTAGTTCTGTTTAGTTGAGAGGCTGTGATTTTACTCTTGCCTGTGAACCTCATGCATGAAAGCAGCACATTAAATTGTAAAAATACAAACAGATCGTGTGATCATTCAAGGAGCCAGACATGAGGTCCTGCACGAGGGTGTTGGGAGGACACCACAGATTCATCTCAGACAGTGATCAGGACTGAGGATGGAGTTAAATCACTCAGCCCCTGGGTGGGGTGGGGTGGTTCAAATGGATGACTGATCTCCTGAGTACACTGAAGCCACAGGCTGGTGGCCATGTTCTCTGAATTGGGTGCAGAAGACAAGGGCAGAGTGGCTGCGGCCCCTATTACCTTTGTAGCAGCCACATCAGAAAGCAGAAGAAAACAGTATTTCTGAAGGCATTGTTTGAGGTTGATCTCAGCACTGAACGATTTCAAGCCCTACGCACCAGAACAGAAGGAGGGTGGAGGAAGTGATCAGAGGGAACGAGCTGTAGGTTTGCAGAAATGTGTGAAACCAAAATGATCACTGCCTACTTGTGATTCAAATCTTCAGAGTTTTCCTAGTTCTTCTAGAAATACATGTCAGGTTTGTTTGTTCATCCTTTCTGTCAGCATGGATCAAGCCCCTAAAATGTGGTAAGTGTTGTCAGAGCAGGGCAATATCTCTACTCTCAAGTATGAGGGGAATAGAAACAAAGCAGCAGTTTTAGCCAGGGTTCAATGATAGAGTGGAGGTAAATTAAGAGCCTCCAGGCTGTGATTCACCATTTGAGACATTATACATAATTTGTTTTTGTTATAAGCCATTTGAATTTTTAAAAAATTTCATACATGCAATGGAATATAGATATGTATATACACATATAATATATATGCTAAAGTATAAAGAGTAATAATAATGACAATAAACAAACCCCTGTGTGCCTACCACCCACCTTATTGCCTTTCCTTTGAGGTACCGTGTGCGGTTTCCTGAACCTATCTCTATCCCTGTCTGATAGAGGGAACCCCTGTACTGAACTTTGTGTTGACCATAGCCTTCTTGTCTTTCATCACTTTATCTCCATGTATGTATCCTTAAAGAATAATAAATGGAATTAAACTGAATGTATTCTTCTGTCACCTCCTTTTTATGTTCATTGCCATCGGAGTTTTTTCACTGCTAAATATTATTCCATTATGAATATATCACATGTTCTCTTCTCCAGCTGGTGCTTATTGAACTGCATCTTTGTTTGAAATAGAAAAAGGTAATGTTGCTCTGAATATTCTTTTATGTGACTTCTGGTGTACATACTGAAGAATGGATGTATACCTTGAATAGAATTGCTGGTTTATACAATAAAAGCACATCATCAGTTTTAATAGATAAGGCCAAATTGCTTTCCAGAGTACTAATTTATGCTCCCCACCAGTATACTAGAATTTGCAGGACTCTAAATCTTTGCCAATGTTTGAGATTGTCAGAGTTGCATTTTTGCCAAGCTGGGGAGTATAAAATGTTACCTCATTGTGGTTTCATTTTGTAAATTTTTGATTATTAGTAAGTTGAACATGTTTTATTATGGGAATTCTTGTTTCTTTTTCTTGGCAATCCCTCTTCATGTCTTTTGCCTTTCTTCCTATTGAGTTGTGTTTTAATGATTAATTTTTAAAGTTTCTTTATATTTAATATTTAATTGGTCGACATTTATTTAATCATTAAAGTGAAGAGAAACCAGATTTAGAGTAGAAAACTTTTCTGAGGCCATTTCCAGAAATATGCTAAGCATGTGAATCTTTATTCTATTTGGAGAAAATAAAGTTAAATACATATATATATTTTTTTCTTGTGTGCTATTTTTTACCTTGTCAGCATATCAGCCAACAGTTGACTTCGGGAGCTCCTCTGGGCTCTAGAAGGGTGTCTTCTTTGACTCCATTTTAAAGCTCATCAGTTGAAGTTATTTAGTAATAAATTAATTTTATTAATGTTATAATCTAGTTTTCTGCTACAGAATTTCACCAACAAGAAACCTTTATATAGACTGGATGTTTATATATGCACATCTTCTTAGTATGTCACCATATAATGGGCCTAGGGCAATAGGCCAAAATGATGTTACACGTAAATGCACATTAAAAAATTACTTCTTTAAGTAATAGGAGATTGTATTGAACCCATACCCAATTAAATAATCCTTAAGCTGAGTGAGGTAGATCAGCATCATGCTGAATATGACCCAGTGTATTGTGGTGGCAGCATGTTCCTATGTGTAAGCCAACTGGCAGGTAGAAGAACAAGAAACTAGAATGCAGTTGTATCTTCTGGGCCCCTGGTAACTGAGGGCATGACATTTTTGATAGACTGAGGACCCTGGTATTTGAAAGCATATTAACTGAAAACTTGGTGTACAATGAATAGGACAAAGATTTAGACCTTTTTGTAAAATAGCGCTCCACACTGTTGTAATATACATCATTTTTGGCCCTATAATAATAAAATTCATTATAACGAAACTTTCCACTAAAAAAGCTCTAGGACAAGAATCTATCATACTAATGTTATAGAAACGAAAGCTCTGTAGTTTAGAACAGTGCTATCCAGTGTGGTACCAACAAACCCTATATAGCTGTTGAGCACTTGAATTGTGCCTAGTTGACTTTGTGATGTGAATGTAAATATATTCCAGATTTTGAAGACTTAGTGTGAAAGGAAGAATGTAAAATATCTCATTAATAATTTTTATATTGGTTATATATTGAAATAATATTTTAGATATATTGGGTTAAATTAAGTATTAAAATTTATTTTTCCTTTTTGTTAAGGTGGCCACTAGAAAATTTAAAATTACATATATGGCTTGTATTATGTTTCCACTGGACAATACTGTTCTGTACAAACCTCTTTACCTGAATTTACAATAGAGAAATTAATACCTTTAAAAGGCTTTTTGGGTTTTGGCAAAATGTCACCTTCTTTCCTTTGTAATACTGAAAGGAAATGTGAATATCTTCAGGAACATAATTTTCTAATACTGCTGCCAAGATAAATATTTTTCTCATTTTGCTTTTTTGTTCCTCTAGGTTGAAGCACTTTTTGTAGTGAAAGAGAAGGTTATTTTTTTTTCCTGGAAAAACAGAATAATGTTTGTATGTTCTCATAATATGTGACATCTCTTCGTGTGCCCAGTCTGTTGTTACTGAATCATCGTATAAACTCAGTCTCCTGTTGAATTGGTTTCTGTGAACTAATTCATAGTGGCATGTTTGTATTTTTAAAAATAAATTTTATTGTGTATATTTAAGGCATACCACATGATGTTATAAGAAACATATTTGTAGTAAAATGGTTACTATCGTGGAACAAATTAATATATCAATCATCTCACATAGTTACCCATTTTCGCTCCTTGTGGCAAGAGCAGGTATAATCTACGCTTTTAGCAAAAATCCTGAATAGAATATGCTATTAACTACAGGCCTAATACTGTGCCTTTGGATCTTTAGGCTTGTTTATCCTACATATTTGCTACTTTATATCCTCTGACCTACATTTTTCCACCTTGCCCCCCAACCCAGACTTAGTAACCACTGCTTTATTCTCTCTATATTTGACCTTTTTTTTTTTTCCAGTTTATCCATGTTGTGGCAACACGATCTCCTTTTTTAAGGCTGAGTACTATTCCTGTCTCTCTCTGTGTGTGTATACACACCAACACTATAGCTTATCAATACTAATGCAACTGCAATGTCTCTGTGTCCAGTTTCTTGTTACTCTGTCATCTTATAAAGTTGATGTTTCCTGTTGAATTGGTCTATATCTCTGAATTAAATCATGGTGGCATTTGTATATTTTTTTCCTTTTTTTAAAAATGGGAACTTAATGAACCACATGGATACCATCTACAATCTGCAGAACAGTGATGACTATTAATAGGGTTTAGTCCTAAATTTTCTAAAATGTTAATTCTTTGTATCTATAAAACTCAGTTGAGCTTGTAAGAATATATGAATAATCTGGCTAGGTGCAGTGACTCATACCTGTTAATCCTAGTGTTTTAGGAGGCCGAGGTGGGAGGGTTGCTTAAGGCCAGGAATCCAAGACCAGCCTGGGCAACACAGCAAGATCCCTTCTCTACAAACAATAAAAATGTTAGCCAGGTATGGTGGCACACACCTGTAGTCACGAGGCTCCTAGGGAGGCTGAGGCAGAAGGATTCCTTTAGCCCAGATGTTTGAGGCTGTAGTGAGCCATGATCACGCTATGGTACTCCAGCTGGGACAATGGAGCAAGACCCTGTCTTACAAGAAAAAAAAAAAAAAGAAGAATATGTGGATAATTTGTCTTTTAAAAGTTTCATTCTGGGCTGGGTGTGGTGGCTTATGCCTGTAATCCCAGCACTTTAGGAGGCCGAGACAGGCGGATCACCTGATGTCAGGAGTTGGAGATCAGCCTGGTCAACACGGTGAAATCCCGTCTCTACTAAAAATACAAAAAATAGCCGGGCATGGTGATGCACACCTGTAATCCCAGCTATTTTGGAGGCTGAGACAGGAGACTTGCTTGAACCCAGGAGGCGGAAGTTGCAGTGAGCTGAGATCACGCCACCACACTCCAGCCTGGGCAACAGAGCAAGACTCTGTCTCAGAAAAAAAAAAAAAAAAAAAAGGTTCCTTTGGGCATTATTGCCAAAAATTAAAAACAGAACATGTAATTATTAAGGGAAAATTCTTCCTTTCCCTGCTCAAGCTTTTTTTTTTTTTTTTTTTTTTTTAAGACAGTCGCACTCTGTTGCCCAGGCTGGAGTGTGGTGGCACAATCTTGGCTCACTGCAGCTTCTGCCTCCCAAGTCCAAGCAATTCTCATGTCTCAGCCTTCCAAGTAGCTGGGATTACAGGTGTGCCCCACCATGCCCAGCTAATTTTTGTTTTTTGTTTTTTGTTTTTTTTAAGTAAAGACAGGATTTTGTCATGTTGGCCAGGCTGGTCTCGAACTCTGGACCTCAGGTGATCTGCCGGCCTCAGCCTCCCAAGTGCTAGGATTACAGACATGAGCCACTGCGCCTGTCCTGCCCAGGCTTTTTAACCATTTCTTTTTGCTATTCTCTTAGCATAGTAATTCTGGGGGGAAAACCAGTATTATTTTTTCATTATAATTGATGGTAACAGCACTCATTAAGTGGAGGAATTTTTTTGCATAATTTTGTTTGGGATCCTTTCCTGAAATAAGAGTGATTGTGTTATACCCTTGCAAGCCCAGGAGATGCCAGCCATCTCTGTGTGGTGTAGCTACTTCACGTGTTGCTTTGGGTCTCATCCTTTGTCATTCTAATGAATTACTACACACACCTGTGTGAGATTTAGCTTTTGGAGATTTAGCTTTTGGGTTTGCCTGTATTTATCTTGTCTCAGATAAATACAGACAAACATTGTTCATGATAATTTGATTTAGTCTATTGATATGATTATCCCATTTGTTTACATTCTCTTTTATTTTCTTCCCTGCCTATTTCAGGTCATGTACTAATAACATCACTAGGTTGAAATACGGATTCTGGGCCCTGAGACAGCCCAGAGCTTGGCTCCAAGACCAACTCTGAGATCAATAGCTGGGCTACAAGACCAGCAATTTGGCATGGACTTTGTGACCCTAGCCCAGAGGAATCCTTTTCTCCCTCCTTTCCTGTCTTGAGTGGTGAACCACTCTTAAATAATCTGCTCCTAGCCATGTCCTAACCAACTGGTATGGCTAACAAAAGTGATGACAACAGCAATATTTTCACTTCCCAGACTAGGCACCAGAAGGAATAACTCCAACTGCAGCCTCCCTCACTGTACCGTTTTACATACCTAGTAAATGTTTATTATTATGCTGTATCCTAATTGTAGATGAGGAGCTGAATAATGACAGTTTTTCCATCCTAGTCATAAGGGGTCAGTGCAAACAGAATTTTAGCAGTTACATATTTAGTAGGTTAAAATGACTCCAGCGTTCGGACTTGTGGATGGCTTCTGAACAACTGCAGCAGGAAAGCCCTGCCCTATCATTGACCCATTGAGGGCACTAGGCTGCCTCTAAGTGAAAACATTCCAGAGTGACCCAGTTCTCTAGAGGTAACTTTACCCAAACTCCAAAACATGTAACCAGTGAAATCTGCAGTGTGGATGGGCAAGATACTGCTGGAATCAGATAGATGCAGGCAAAATGACAAGTTGATGCTAAAGGAATTTAGGTGGTGGTGGTGTCTACCTGAAAAGACAGCTGTCTCCCTGAAATGCCACATTTTAGAAAGCGAATTTTAAGTGTTGATGAAGACCTGATTTCCACAATGTTTTCACCATGACTGCAAACTGCTTATTAGTCTCCCTGATGCAAATGGCCCTTTTATTGCTGATATTTTTCAGTACCTTATAATTTAATTCCAATATTTTTCTGATTGAAATAGCATCCTTTGCATTAACAAATAAGCTGTCAGCCAAAGCCTGAGAATTTTGTGCTAACAAGTAATTTTTTTTCTTTGTACTTTGGTTTGTGTCTTTTACCTGATGAACATCTGAGAAAGGAGAAAATAAACCTTCTCTTATTTCAGTAAGGGCATAATCACCAGTCACCAGTTTAAACCCAAATATGTTGTTATAAAAAACAAATCCATTATCTCTTATCTTGTATTAAGACAATTTTGTGCAGTATGTTGATACTGAGTATTATACTTGCTTGCATTATATTGTTGAAGGAAGTGTAGTGCTCTGTAACTTACCTGTGAGCATAAATGTTCACTGTTTAGTATCTCAGGAGCTGCTTTTTTTGGTGTTTTTTATTTTGTGCTATTTAATTTGGGTCAGCTTTTGTATTCATTCGTTTTCACGCTGCTATGAAGAAATACCTGAGATGGTAATTTATAAAGGAAAGACTCACAGTTCTGCATAGCTGGGGTGGCCTCAGGAATCTTATGATCATGGCAGAAGGGGAAGCAAATATGTCCTTCACATGGTGACAGGAGAGAGAAGTGCCAGCAGGGGAAATATCAGACACTTATAAAACCATCAGATCTTGCGAGACTCACTCTAACAGGAGAACAGCATGGAGAACCACCCCAATGATTTAATCACCTCCCACAAGCTCCCTCCCCCAACATGTGGGATTATAATTCAAGATGAGATTTGGGTGGGGACATAGAGCCAGACCATATCAGTTATGTAACCCAAAGAGAGCAATTACTTGTATGTCCTTTTTTAAACTTGTATGCAATAAATTTGCATATAAAAACTGACTCTACAGTCAAATGAAATACATGGTTTATTAGTATGTGTTTATCTGATAAATACATGCCCATGTACTGAAAAGTCTAGTTTTTTTCTTACTGTATCACTAGAACTTTGATTCCTGTCATCTTTTCTGCTGACAATTACCAGTTAGAAAGTTTGAAATATTTTTTGTCAGTCTAAGACCAATTAGGAGATAAACATCACACTGTGATTTAAACAGGGGAAGTTAAATATAAAGAAATGCTGAACTCTAATAAAAGACTGACTATCAGATATAAGAAAACTCTGTATTTTTTCTTAGGGGTAAGGGAGACTATCCAAGGAAGGACAGACTTGGAAGGAATGCTGGGCTTCAGACTCCTTGTAAAGTTGTATTTGCAGTCCACAGGATGGTAGAGAAGTTCACTGGGCAAGCAGGAAGCAACCCTCTAGAGTGCAAGCTGGGGCCAGGTGAGCCTCAGCCAGTGGCCAGGCTTGCAGAGAGAAGGGGCACCAGTGAAGACAGGAGGTCTGGAGTACATGGTGTTCACATCAAGAGGGCTGTGTGAGGTTATCACCAGGCCAGACCAGAGCTGCACCTGCCCTGAGAGGCCACGTGTTTTGGGCCGCTGAGCTGGGGCAGAGCTACCTGCACTGCTGTCATACCATGCAGCAACCAGACACTGCAAGACAGTCTCCTCCCTCCTGCAATATCCCTTCAGCACGCTCCACCACAAAGGCTTAACATTGTGCTCAATGTGAAGAAGAAAATTTTAAAGGATTTCTGTCCATGATCACAGAACAGGTATTGAAGCATGAATTTGGAGTTAAGATGCAATAAACTGGAAACTGGTACATGTCATAAAAGGATTCTGTAAAAGAATTCTCTTAGTGACTTTTCATCTGGAATTAGCCATGTTCATTAACAGCAAAAGGTTTCAGTGTTTTGTGAAGTGTAGGTAATTTAAGTGAAAATTTGCATTACAGGAAATACTGATGCCTTGCTATCAAGTATCCAAAACTTCATTGTGGGAAGCTAGCAACTCAGTTATTAACCAAGCTAATGAGTGGCTTATAAGAGATATAACTGACAGGAGGATGCAAGGTTGGGAATATAACATGGGCTTCTGGCCATCCTTACTTTGTGGGTCTATACTCGGTTCCACAAAGCTGTTGAAATTTAATTTAAAGGAAAAAGCATGGTGCTGAAGTGCATACTTACTGCTTATAAAAATGACTTTTCATGTAATCAGTTATTCTGGTGATATACACAAATCTGTTTTTAGAGCTTTGGTCTTAGCCCAGCCCTAGAATTTCTCTTTAATTTCAAAATGATAAATACAAAAAGCCCAATGGTTCTATAAAGGACCTAGGTATTGGCTCTCTTTTTGTTTTTAAGTTACTCCTGTGGCAAATAGGAAATTGAAAAAAAAATTGTCTGTAGCTTCTGACCTATTCATTCACCCTAAAAGGTCTTACTTATAATGGAAGACAAAGAAGGTGATTAGGAAATAGGAGGTGCCAGATCCAATTAAATCCGGTGATTCTGTGCATTCCCAGACTCTCGGTCCATGGTGCCTAGTGATTAAGTGGGTGGTGATAGATGGATAGATGATCCTGCCAGACATCTTCCCTTTATTAACTTTAAGCAAGGCTGAAGTAAAAGAAAAATTAATTTTACTGAGAAAGCAATTGGTTTCAAAAGATGGCTTGTCTAGGACATGTCATTTCTTACCAGTGTCTCTCCGGCTTGATGCTTGAGCCCTTGGTAGGCGCCTGTTTTCTGTTGATTTTCCCATCACTATTTGGGGTTTTTCCTACCAGCAAGACATGTTTATCAAGTCAAGAGTAGCAAATAGGTATTCACAGTACCCCTGCCATTCTGGACTTTGTTGGGAATGAATATGAAAGTAACTTCCAGTGTGGCTCTGTCATATTAGGAGCTTATTATGCAGTGTTTACCTCACTGTGCTGTGGCCAAACCCACAGTAGCAGAGAATCTGTGTTGGCAAGGAGGCTGTACTAGAGGCCTCTGGACCCACTTAATTCATAGGCTCTATGCTATGGATTTTGCAGATGTCTACAAATCAGTGCTTAACATTGGTGTTAGTTCCAGGAGCTAGTTAACCTCACCTCATAACGTCAGAATTTGTTAGGCATTAATATGGAGGCCAGGGACAGATAGGGAGATCTGGGACTATTATTTTACAGAAGTATTAGTTAACTGAACATTCTGGTTTCGCCAACAGCCAAAAGGAAGAGTTACAGCTGGCTTACGATGAAAGCAGACCAAATCATGAGACTATTTATTTTTATTTTATTATGTAACTGCCCACTTATTTCCATTTGATTGATGTTCTTTTATATTCATACACATTTTTTAACCCTTAACTAGCACAGTAAGTTCTGTCACTAATATAACCTTTGGGTTGTTTCCCTGAGAAAAACTCTGGCCTTCATGGGCTCCTTATTAATTTCAGCTCTAAAGTCAGAAATCAACATGAATTGCTTGCCTGACAGAAGTCTGACGGTTTAGCAGTTACTAGATATAGCCCTTAATATGAGCTAACTGCTGTTCAGTATTTTTCTTGGGTAGAGCAAGTGGGTGGATGATAAAAACAGCATGTTCTCTCGTCTTACAATAACCTTGATTGTAGTCAAAGTTCTTTCCTAACAATAACTTTGGTTATATGCAAATCTGTCAGAAAATGACTGCATAAATATTAAATGTAAGATTTGGAAAACATTCATTTTTAGATATATGTGTGTGTGTGTGTGTGTGTGTATGAACATATGTACATATATAGGGGGACATTAGTCTTAATTTTTAGTTCTACTAAGTCTCAGTTTAAAAAAGTGAGAGGCAGGTGTGGTGGCTCACGCCTGTAATCACAGCACTTTGGGAGGCCAAGGCGAGGGGATTGCTTGAGTCCAGGAGTTCGAGACAAGCCTGGGCATCGAGGTGAAACCCCATCTCTATAAAAAATAGAAAAATTAGTCGTGTGTGGTGGTCCACGCCAATAGTCCCGGCTACTTGGGAGGCTGAGTGGAAGGATCACTTGAGCCCGGGAGGACAAGGCTGCAGTGAGCCATGATTGCACCACTGCACTCCAGCCTGGTGAGAGTGAGACTCTTGTCTCAAAAGAGAGAGAGAGAGAGAGTGATGCAAGGACTGTCTTTAAATAAAACATTCCAATTATTCAGGTCTCCGCCTAGGCTATGAAATGTGACCTACAGCATCCATCAGAAGTAAAATGCAATAATTACACATCAGTGTAATAGGAAGAATATCATGCAATGCCATGGCATAAATAAGGACACTCATGAAAAAAGGAAACAATTCTAGCATAAAGAGGAAAAATGGAACTGACGGTTTTTGTAAAAGCTTGTCGCATATTTTCAAATCAAGACAGGCAAGTCTTCCAAATTTAGCAATGTGTAGAAACATTCTCATGAAATCAGAAAAGGGGGTACTGGAGGGCAGGTTTTCATCCTTTCCAAACTCTTCTAAATTCTCCCACCCAGCGTTCATTTCAGATTCAAAATACCATACACTTACATTTATAAATTGAAATTTTAGAATGGGAAAGGACCAAGTGTTAGTGACTAGTGAAGTTTCAGGGTATTTCCAGAACTCTAAGTGCATCTGCCCTTTAATGTTTGCTGCCACTTGCTTTCAAAAACCCAAATCAACTCATAGTTGTTTCCAAAAAATGCATGCAAATCTAGTGGAAGGGAAAATACCGCAAAAAAAAAATAGTGCTGTATTAAAAAAACAATTATTTATGTGTCTGTGGAACTGGGTGCACCTTTAACAAATACTTCTGATAGTCAAGCAAATCCAGAATGTTCTAGTGCTGACATGGGAAACAGAACTAAAGAACAATATATAAAAGTAATCAGGTATATCATTTACTCTCAGTTAGAATTTTGCTCAAAAAACTTGAGTTAGTATGGAGCAGAAGAAAATGGTGAGGTTCTGTGATTAAATATATATATATATAATATATGTATTTGCTGTATAATCTTGAAAAAATACTAAATGTGTGGCACATATGTGTACAGCCGAGTGCCCTTTGATAACAGGACTTGGGTGGTAGCGACACCTAGAGGCCTCATCTCTGAGTATAGTTACAGGGTGGGCTTTGTGTTGCATTTTAACCCTCACCGTGGTAAATAAAAAAACCTGTGAAGATAGCTGTGAAAATAAAATCTACCCTTTAAAAAAGTCTATTATAGTATATGAGATTTATTTATGTTAAATTGGAAATGAAGGTCTGGGGAAGGGGAAGCTGCAGTATTTCAGAAAGTTACTTAAGCGGGTCAGGAAACCTGGGTTCTGGAAGGAGGTGGGCATTCCTCTCCTTTTGTTAGGGGGAACAAGGAGGGGGAGACCTGACGGGGAGCAGGAGCCCATGGCCAGAGGCATTATGCTCCAATTCACATGATTGCAGTGTTCATTCTCAAGGAGTTCTAGAGAATTTTAAAATAAATCATAGACCACATAAGATTCCCTATAGCACCAATCACAGGATTTTGCATTGGTTAGCAATAGAAAATACGCACATAAACATGACTTTGCGTTTTGGTGGAGTGCTGTAGTGCGGAGCACACTGCTGTGCTAGCTGGGCCAGCAGAACGCTGGGGACAGAAGCCATGGGTGTGTGAAAGGTACCTTTCTTGTCAGGTCTGAGAGCCATCACCTGGGGTTCCCTTCACCTGGGCTTTCCATGCTGCTCAGGGAGATAGAACATAATGACAGAGAAGATGAGCCCAGAGGCACTTTTCTATTCATGCGTTCTGCAAAAGAACATTAATCGAGCACCTTATTGGTTTCCTATACCCAAACTTAGTAGCTTAATTAACACAACGAAAATATGTTTTGGAATTCAGGAGGTCAGAAGTCTAAAATGAATCTCACAGACTAAAATCAAAGTGTCTGTAGGGATGCTTTCCTTTCTGTTGACTCCAGGAGAAAATCCGTTTCCTTGCCTTTTCTAGCTTCTAGAGACCGCCTATAAGCCTTGGCTCAAGGCTGCATCACTCTGACTCTGACACTCCTACCTGCATCTTAAAGGGACCCCTGTGATTACACTGGGCCCACCCACGTAATAATCTAGAATAAACACCCCATCTCAAGATCCTTAATTCCATCTGCAAAGTCACTTTTGCATATGTAAGGCGATGCATTCACAAGTGCCAGAAATTGGGACGTGATCTCTCTGGGGGTGGGCTTGAGGGAAGGAGGGCAAAGGCATTATATCCCACTTACCACAAGCATTATATAAGCCTACACGTAACCAGGCACAGGAGATATAAAGTCTCTGCCTCTGATGGGATGGGATTGGGGTCATGCAAATAAATCAGATTTTCCGGCAGTGCAAAAGACTACAGATAACTCAGGAAGAGGCTAGCTCAGCTGAGGCAATCAGTTCACATACCTCAAGCAAGTGATATTTGACTTAAGTCTGACAAATCAGGAAGAGTTAGACAGATGGGTGGAAAGGGAGTTTTAAGCAGAGCAAAGAGCATATGCTAAAGTATAGAAATGTATAAAACAGCTCAGCAGTTTCCATGATTAACAAGATATTGGATTGTGTTGCTGAAAGTGGCAGAAGATGAAACTGTACCTAATGGCTCAACTGTGTTAAGAAAGATTGTTCTTCCTCTGATAATATCTGTTCTGGGCTCAAAAAAGAGGAGGTTGATCTTCTCTTACATAAACATTGCTTCCCAGTGTTCATGGTGTTGGAAATTATGTTCAAACCTGGTCAAACAGCCAAATGTATTTTAATCTACCTTTTTATTAGCCACTTCTAATGATAAAAGAAAAAGGAGCTACAAAGCTAGAATGAAGATAAGCAGTTGATGATCCAATGAAATTATTAAAAGACAGTTTCTAGAGAAAGATGTATAATATATTTTTCATAAGGCTCTTAATATAGTTCTGTTCTCTCACCACTGGCCTCATGAAAATTTTAGTGAGATTTTTATTAAGAAAAAAAGATCACCATGATAAAGACCCAAAGGTGAATTGTTAAGAAATGTGAAACAAATGTGATATTATTGAACCATTTCATACTAACAGCTTGTAAAACATCTATTTCTCTGTTATTAGGGAAATTTTATTTGATTTTTATCTTTTTAATATGGACAAATCTACAGCTGGTGCCTATTTTCCTGAATGACAAAAGATATAAGAAATGTGGCTAGGAAATTGTGAAGGTCAATTAATTCAGTCTCCTGACCTACTCAGACCCCTTGCCTGCAACGTTGGTGAGAGGCGTTTCATAAGTAAAGCACAAAGTTTAATAAATATCTGAAAGCTCATTTTGTGCCAGGCATTGTGCTGGACCTGCAGGAAACAAAGAGAGTAAGATAGAGTTTGCCCTCAAGGAACCACAGAGTGGCTGCAGGGTAAGGGTGGGGAACATATATGTGTAAGCAGCTCCATTATTGTCTATGTCAGATGATATAATTGAAAAGTGTCCAGGATGAAAGTGCTACTAAAACAGTGAAAGGACACTTACCTAATTCTATCTTGGAGAGTCTGCCGGAAAGGTCTTGTTAGAGGAGGTCATTCTTAAGATCAATCATGGATGAATGAATGAATGATCAACCAACTAATTAATCAGTAGAAGGAAGTTTCCTGGGGAAGAAGGCTGGGAGGAGACAGCATTGGTCAGAGGCAATAGCATATGCAAGGGATCGAGGTGGAATAAAGGTTACACATGATAGAGGTATCACAGATGTATTCTGGGCAATGGACTAGATTGTAATGAGCCTGGTATGCTATACTATAAGATTTGAAAATTAACCTATAAACCCCCACTACTCAAAGTGTGGTCCGAGGACCAGCAGCATCACATGAACCTTGCTAGACTCCACTCCAGGCTAGAAGCACATTTTAACAAGATCCCCAGGTGATTCAGGGTCACATTAATGTGTGAGAAGCACTCCTGTAGATATTGAAAAGCATTGATGGATTTAAAGTAAGAATGTGAAGCAATCACATTTGTGTTTTCAGGAAATCACAGAGTTTGGCAGTGAGAAGAGAAGATGAGGTATGGGAGAAGGTGATGTGGGGAAGAATAAAGGCTCAGAGACCATTTAGAAAGTTAATTTATGGATGATAAGAGTTTGAACTAGGGTCATGGCCATGGAGATGTCTTATTAACTCTTGGGGAAATGGAGAGTAAAGGACTCAAATGTTCTAGCTTGGTTGACAGATGCAATTACCCAAAACAGGGAGCTTAATGAAGCTCCTTTTGGACATCCTGAGATTGTTTGAAGCACAGGTGAAACAGTCAGGTGGATAATTTCACCACTGAACAGCACCGTGACTGTGACAATTCAGGAAGCTCTGAAGAACAGAAAAGGAAGTAAAATCTGAAGAAGTAGGAAAACCAGTAGAAAGCATTGTATGGAAAGCCAAGGGGAAGAAAGTCTCAGAGAAAGGTCAGGTCAAATGAACACTAGAGCATATTCTTTAGATTTGACATTCTGGGAGTTTGGGGAGAATTCCTTAATTATTAATGTACCAAAAATTCAGAAATAATTACTGAAATTGAGCAATAGTGAATAGAAATAGAATAGGGCCAGTGGTAGCCAGAGAAATTTACTAAAAGCAATGTAAGTTGGGACACGTATAATTCTAGTAGCAGGTGTTATTTTTAAGGACTCTCATGGAAGCAGTTTAGCCACTTAAACATGAGGATGCTTTGGCAGAAATCTTATAAAAGCCCACTGAAACATGGGGAGCCCAGCAATAAGGTAAAAACTGAGAAAATGGAGATCAGAGATGCTTAAGGCTCTATAAAGATTTTCACAGAAGGAAAACGGATGAAAGAAAGGAGTGAATCTTCTTTTTAAACTGGTCATTTAGAACGACATAAGTTTTGTGCTGTCTCATTAAGAACAGGTATGTGGAGTTAAGCCTTCTTACTGTCTTATACAACTAACAGCTTCTCAGTCAGCTGTTCATGCTACACAGTGTATTGGAAGCTCGCTGCATTTCACTCCCAGGTGTAATTCTTTAGTGTATTAGAAACTGGGGAGGCTTCATTAGGTTCTTAATTAAGTATTAATTTATCATATTCCGCGAGCTACATTGAGCTATTTTTTAAATCACAGTAATTTACTCTTTAGTATCTTCAAAGAAATGTATGCTTCCAGGGATCTTCTACCCAGGAAACAAAGCCACACATATTGAGCACCTGCTATGTTCTAAGCAAATGGCTTTCAAATTTTTTGACTATGAGCCACAGTGAGAAATATATCACATATCAAAACCACATACACACAGACACAACACACTCCAAATAATACAACTATATTAAATGATGTTTACTCTTTTATTGTGCAGTGCTCTTGACACTTCTCATTCAGTTTGGAGGCCCGCACTGCTGAAGGCTAGACCGTGGAACATGATTGCCATGGTTGCTCCACCCTGGCTGGCCCAGTCTCAGAGAGTAGATGGCACCCCTTTTCCCAGCACTCTCAGTTTTCTACAAGGGCAAGTGATTGAGTGGCTGGAGGGAGAGGAATGGGAGTCTGACAGATACAGACTGGAGTTCTTAGTGCCAAAAGGACAAAAAGCTGGATTCCACTTCATTACTACTTTTTGTCCTCGTAGCAATCATTTTACTTCTCTAGGCATGTAGACTGTCTACGAAGACAGCTGCCAATACACTTTTCCACCTCGTACCTACAGACCACTTCCCCCATCAAGAGGGAACGTCTCTTTTCCGTCCCTTAGAATCTGGCTGGCCTGGTGACTTACTTTGACCGGTCCAATGTGGTGGAAGTTCTAATTTTAGGCCTGAGCTTTATGAGACTTGGCAGCCTTTTCTTTCACTGTCTTGGGCTCCAGCTACCATGTAAAGGAGCTCAGGCTAGACTACTGCATAGTGACAGACCACGTGGAGAGACCCAGCCAGCCTCCCCACACGGGAAATCCCAGCTGACATCATGTGGAACTGACCTGCCCAGCCGAGCTGATATATCCTGCAGAATCATGAAAAATTATAATAAACTGTGGTTGTTTTAATCCACTAAATTTTTAGGGTGGTGTGTTTCACTGCACCAAGTAGTGTTTCTCTTCTTACTCCTCTTTCCCGGCAGCAGGCCTCAGAGCTCTGCCCCTCCATGTGTTGGAGGATGGCAGAATGGAGGAGGAGATAATTCAGCAAAGCTCCCCAGGTAATCCTGATACTACCCTCTTGCAGTTAAGGTTAGTTTGGGCTGCAAGTAATAGACAAAGCCCAGTTACAGGGCTTACACAACATGGAAGTTTATTTCTCTGTCGTGCCAAAGCCTTGAAGTACTTTGTAAAGGAACTAGTCAGAAACAGCATAGAGTGCCAGGATTTCTTCCACTTTGGTCAAGAACATGCCTTTCCAACATAGTAATTACATAACTTTATCTGCTCCCAAATTGGAATTTGCTGTTTCAGATTACTAAAGTGATGCTTACTGTTTTACAATTGCCCAAGCTAATTCTGAATATAGGTATTTGAGTTTAGCTTAGAGCACCTTCAGGGAAGCTCTTCAAGTTTAGTTATGTCATTCTAGTCTCAGTTTCACTGATTAAGCTTGAAGAGATTAACTTATGATAAGTAATGTTTTTTGGAGAAACCAAGAAGTCTGTGGTGGGTTAATAACTAGCAGAGATGAACTTAATCATGATTGTTAAGCTTCAGGGTTCCTCATGTGCAATCTTCTTTCAAGTCTAGGGAGGAAGCCCTAGCAATATACTTACATGATCATATGTTTGTGTAAAATTAACCATAAGACCAACTAAGACTGTTGTCTCTTTCCCTTCTGATGTACTCCGTCACCATTTCTCGTGTGTCACTATGCTGGATTGGCCATAGGTCAAAATATGACTAAGGGGAAGTTGAATTGGGAATACTCTGAGTTTGAGAAGTATTTGCGTGGTCTGCAGTCCCTTCTCTGTGTAGAGAAGTAGTTGCTAGGTGTGGAAGAACTTCAGGAATACGCCCACTGCCCTCTGTGCTGACTCACAGCGTCACAGAAAAACCATGCAGGGCCAGAAGTGGAATCGTGCCATGAACACAATCAACAGCAGCTGCCAGTGAAGTGTATAGACATAGAAGAAAAAAGAAAAGTTTGTAATGTGCAGAGCCATGAGCTAGATTGTAGAAAATTCTTCCAATAATCAGTGTGTGAAGTTGTAGACAGAGAATTCAGTTTTCATTGATGTTCTTTTGTCAAAACATAAGTTCTCTCTGGTCAGGAGTATAGACAATAAGTGGCATATGTAATTACAAAAGCACTACACACTTTTTTCCTTTTTTATTGGAATTTTGCGAAATAAAATTTATTGGAATTCCTGTGTTTGGAAGAACAAACCTGTAGCAAATCAGTGAGCATATCTGTATGTGACATGACATATTTTATGCATCCCAATATATTGGGTTGCATCTTAGCAATTCGAATACATGCTGTCCTGACATAGTCTGGTGGTTCCCAACAGAATTACCCACAAAATTGAGTTCTGAGAATGATATGAATTGGTCACTGTGTATGAAAACTTGAAACGCCCTGAAATCTTACAACACATGTATAAAAGAAATTTGATAGAAGTTTCCTACAAATATACAGGCCATTCCCAATAATGAGTTGTGAAGTCAGAAGAAACTTTTCTAAACTATAATTTTTTAAACTATAATTTTCTGAACAATAACTTTTAAAAGTTCAATAAACTATGCTAAAAGAAAGAATAAGTTATTTCTATTTTCTCTCCAAATTGGATTACAAAATAATTTTCTTATGAAGAGGTGATCAAAGGACATACTACCAACACTGTAGAAAAAGATATTACATAGATGTGTTAGACTTTTAATTACAAGAAATATGTTAATTTTTAGATTTGGGAATGTTGTTTTTAAAAATTTATAATTTGATGTGATATATTTTCTCATTCTTACAAAAATTTATTTTCATATCTAACTTTGTATTCTGCATTTTGTGTAAGTTCCAGGACTGATAAAATTTAAATCCACCCCTGAAAACTCGAAGAAAATCTTGATCAATTCAGTTAAATAACTTGTTTTTCCTAAAAGAGTGAGGCTTTATGTTATGATGAACCACTGTGATGCTAGCATTCAACGATAGTGTTCTCTGGACCTGCAGATATATTTCTCCCAGGGCTGTAGGACGCAGGCTCCCAGGTAGTGTACCAAGTGTATATCTAGGCATTGTCTATCTACTGGAAGCATCATTTTGTTAATATTCTATGAATGGTTCTAGTCTCTGATAGAGACAGTTTTATTCTCTGTTGAATTCCACATTGTGTCAGTGAGCAGAGACCCCCTACACCAGGTCCACAGTCAGCCATCTCAGTGGCCTACACTTGCTAGCTAGAGAGCCACCATGCCTTCATTTATGTGGGTTGTATTGGGCACTTCTGACATATGCCATGGTTTCTACCTCTGGACTTACTTGTGCTGAAAACACATGTTCCTTGAATAAAAAGATGGTGCTTCTTTTTTTTTCCTAGCCAAAAAATGAATGTTAATTAAATTATGTTTAACTTTAAATTCAACTACAGGCGTTTCTTTACCCCGTAAATTGTAGACTTTGCTGTATCTACCTCCATTTTCCTGATTTCCTGCTTTAAAATAAACATTTCCCTCAGAGCAATTCAACTTTAAGCAGAAAAGAGAGAGACACTTAATAATCAAGTAGAACGATTACCCAAACTAGTTCTCTTCTTCATTTGCATCTATATTCCCTGGATAGTATCCCAACTCCAAATATGTTAGGTTGGTTAACAAGAAAATGTTTTATGCACCGTCCTTTAATTAGAGTTCAGGAAGTGGTACTCCCAACAGATGAGTAAATGTATTCCTTTATTTTCACATTGTACAATTGTTGAATTTATGGCATTGAAGAATGTACCAAAATTATTCACCACTTATTAGTATTCATTGTAGAAACTGACCTGAACTTCATGATTTAAAAAATAACCTTCTTAAGCACCTGAACATTTAAATGTGTTTTATTTTCATCTGAAAGGTAAACAAATAATTTTTCCATGCTAGCAATTTGTCTTTTCTCTTGACATTTTTTTAAATTTACTTTTGGAAGTTTCTTAGAATTTCTATAATCTAACTCTGATTGCCTAAAGAGCCACATTAAAACGTAATAGGAAGAATTTAATGCAGAAGTTTTTTGAAAAAATGAACAATGGGAAAGCTTTTGGATTCACTTTCTGAAATAAAGCAGTTACCTTTTATTTTTAAGTTTAACCATGGTCCTTCCCTCTCTGTTGGCAGAAATATATCATGTGATATTAGATAACTACGTCTCTATTCTTCATAGAATTTAGTGCATTTAGTAGTATAATCACTCTATTCTACAGAAATTAGCCTAGAACCATGTTTCAACTTCAGTGCTATCAATACTTGTCCATTCTAGCTACTCAAGTGATTGTGGATTGATTAGCAAAAGGTTTAGATGTTTTGGACATCTCCTTAAATATAAAACTGAATAGTTCACATCTTCTCACTATCCATACTAAATTTACTAGTACATGGAAGCGATGAATCATAATGCATAATGAAGTGGTCGTTTAAATATCTTGTTTACTTTTTTCCTAACAAGACCATTTTATTAAGCATGCAAGATCAATCTGATAATTGTTTATTTTCTATTTCATACCTGTAAGAGCCATCTTAATCATGGAATAGGTTTTATTTATTATTATTTTTCCTCCAGTCATGTTATTCTTTTACAAGCATAAGTGAATTTATGTCAGTGTTGACAAGCATCCCCATGTAAGATCAAACTGGCCTTTGGGTGATTCATTCCTAGCCAGTCTGATTTGCTCAAACTGGGGGTCATTGACATGGCAGTAAAAGTCTTCTTTAAAGCATCACCTTTGAGACTCACTGACTCCTAGTAAAAACTATACCCAATGCTAAATCTGTTGGAAAAACTAACAAAAATATTCTTCTTTAATTTATTTAAAAAATTTTTTGCTTTATTGTATGAGCCAAAACTTTTAGGTTTGGTCACCAATTTGAATTGTTAAAATCTGGGTTATAAAAGCAGTGTAAAAACAGTAGCATCTGGCCAGTATGATGGCTCATGCCTGTATTTCCAGGACTTTAGGAGGCTGAGGCAGGAGGATCACTTGACTTCTGGAGTTCAAGGCTGCAGTGAGTTATCATCACACTACAGCACTCCAGCCTCAGTGACAGAGCAAGACCCTGTCTCAAACCAACAACAACAACAACAACAAAACAGTAGCATCTGCCATTAGCCATTTCAGTGAAACGGGAGTCTTTACACTCCTCCTATCATCTTCATGGGCAGGTGGTCATGGACCTTCATGTGTGCGTCCTTCTGATGGTCTTCTCCCACCTTCAGAGCTTCGATTACTGTTTCTCAACAAACCAATGAGGACGTGGTCACCTATGGGCCACTGAGGTTGGTGTAGCCACTGTGTTGCCCTAATTATTACCACACTAAAATGGAAAATGCTACCTTAGGTCAAAAAAGAAGATGAAAAAAAATTTTTTTTAAAAGAGGGTGACTGTGCTGTGTGTTTTCTGAAACTTTCCTAATACTGAAGATAGTGGGTTTGATTCACTGTTAAGTATTACACTTCCTCCACATTTTCTTCAAAAATTCAGAGAGAAGCTCTGGAAAGGCTGTGTCAAGAGATAATAAGACGTATCCTGAGCTCCACTTAGAATGCCTCTCCCTCTGTCAGTCAAGGTTGATGGCTTCCTCAATTTGTTTGGGCTGCTATAACAAAATACCATGAACTGGGTGGCTTAAAAACAACAGAAATTTATTTCTTGCAGTTATGGAAGATAGGAAATTAAATATCAGGTGCTGGAAGATTCAGTGTCTGGTGAGGGGGCCTGCTTCCTACTTTGTAGATGGTGTCTTCTTCTTGTGTCCTCACATGGGGAAAGGCAACACAGCTCTCTGGGGCCTCTTATAATTTTATAAGGGCTTGAATCCCATCTATGAGGACTCCACCCTTATGACCTAATCACCTTTCAAAGGCCCTACCTTCTAATAACATCATCCTGGGGGTCAGGATTTCCACATGTGAATTTTGGGGAATGCAAACATTTAGACTATAGCAATGACTTTAGCAGCAAGTGTCCTCTAAATCTCTCTCCTCTGGAGCCACTTTACCTTTTATTCTAATCCTTTCTTTGTCCAGTAGAGTAGGGAACGTCTGTGGTTTTCCAGTTTTATAGGAAACTTTTTCTGGTGAGCAAGTAACCTGGGCTAGTGCTTGTACTCATTATCTTTTCAAAGATGTTCATCAGGTTCTTTTGTAAGTAAAGCACTGTGATGTGCCTAAATTTACAGCACTAGCTGCACAATTTCCACCTTTATTCCTAGATTATTCCTAGACCCTTGCTATGTCTTACTCTCAGGAGCTCTATTTGATGTTTTCTCTCCTCTCTTGTAAGGACTAAGTTGTATACTCTCTTTCTTACTGCTCATCTCTCTCCTGCTAGAATGCCATCAGAATTTTCTGTTTCCTTTGTGCTTCCGTAACTCTTTCCTGTGCTATTGCTTTGATGAATGCCAATTTCTTACTCCTCTTCTTTATATAAATATGCTAAGTTTCCCCATTTTCAATTGGACAAATCCTTCATCCTGGCTTTCAAAAATCTTCCAAAACCCCCATCCTTTGCTTTCCTTCTCTGCTCCATCTCCAGATTCTCCCCACCATACCCATCTGCTTCAGCCTTGCTGACTGCTCCTTTTTTGGAGTGTTTCTCTCTCCCATCCTATGCATACCCATGGCTTCTCCATTTCCTCATCTGTGATGCCTTTTTTCCCCACCCCTTGCTCCAATCAGTCTTTAAGCTTCAATCCAATTCCCCCTTTCTTCTTTAGGAGGCTTTTCTTGACTACTTCTGCTGACTTTTTACCACATTCTTTTTTGAACAGTTCTATAACTTGTTTCCAGAATTTCTCATTTGCCACTTGATAATCAGAAATAATTTAACACATTTTCTTATTGCTCCAAGGAGATTATACATTTTGAAAAACAGGGTCCACCATTTCTGCTTCTCATCCTTCTGTCCTGCTGACTTTAGCACAGGGCCTTCCAATGAGGGGCACTAACTAGGTGTCTGTTGAGCAAATGGCCTGCAGCATCTGGTGGTGGACTGCTCTGTATCAAAGATGGGCATTTGTTGTCTGCTGCACAGTGGACAGCTTGTCCTTTTCCCCAGGCTGGAGGGGGTGTGACAGCATGTGAGCGGCAGTTGCTAATTCAGTTGACTGCTTGGCCTACTTGGAATTTGCCTGCTATGGGGAGGTCATCTGGCCCCGGCTGCAGCTCAATGATATTCTTGTTAGTTATTTTGGAACACTTGGTCCTCTAACTCCCATGTGAAGTAGTATTGATCTGTCTCCAATATGTATTCAACTTCTTTATCCTACTTATTACCGGTAGGAATTATACCTCATACTTGTATAACAAAGTGCTTTCATGTATACTTTTGCATTTGAACTTCAAAATAACCAGATGAGGAGTGAAGAGCATATGATGTTGAACTGATCTGCAGAAAGCTGAGATGATTAATCGGCTTAATTCACAAAGTTTTCTGTTTATCTGTCCAATTTCATACTATCATCAATAAAAAAAAATTTAGCAGTTTGGGCCAGGCGTGGTGGCTCACGCCTGTAATCCCAGCAATTTGGGAGGCTGAGGCAGGTGGATCACTTGAGGCCAGGAGTTTGAGACCAGGCTGGCCAACATGGCAAAACCCCTTCTCTACTAAAAATACAAAAAAAAAAAAAAAAAAAAAAGCAGGTGTGGTGGCACATGCCTGTAATCCCAGCTACTTGGGAGGCTGAGGCATGAGAATCATTTGAACCTGGGAGATGGAGGCTGCAGTGAGCCGAGATCATGCCACTGCACTCCAGCCTGGGTGACAGAGCGAGACTCTGTCTCATTAAAAAAAAAATTAGCAGTTTGCATTTGATGCAGAGTTTGTTATTTTTTATTTGTTTGTTTTGTTTTTCCTGCTAACTAATTCTCTACTCCTCCTCGTCTCTCATCTTCTGAAAGCTTCTGTTTTGTTCTGGTTTCCCATGAAGCAGGAATATCTTAGTGTAGCCCATTCCTTGCCTCAATGTTTTGTGACACAGGCAGAGTTTCCATAATCCAAAAATTTGAAATCCAAAATACTCCAAAATCAGACAGTTTTTGAGCACTGACTTGATGCTCGAAGGAAATGTTCACTGGAGCATTTTGGATTTCAGATTTTCAAATTAGGGATGTTGAATAAAATGCAAATATTTCAAAATCTGAAAACATCCAAAATCTAAAACACTTCTGGTCCCAGGCATTTTGAATAAAGGATACTCAACCCCTGTATCTAATATGCACAACCCTGCTCTCACTATTGATGATATAGTATAGATGTTGAAAAACTATTTCTATAAAGGGCTAGAGTATAAATATTTTAAGCTTTGCAGGCCATGGGGTCTTTGTCATACTTGCTCAACTCCGCTACTATAACACAAAGTCAGCAATAGATAATACATAAACAAATGAGGTGAATGTTCTAACAAAAGTTTTATAAACAGTGAAATTTGAATTACCTGTAAGTGTTATGGGTCATTAAACAGTCTTTTTATTTTACTTTGTAGAATCATTTAAAAGTGTAAAAGTCATTCTTAGACTGTAGGCTTTGTAAACACAGGTGGTAGGCCAGATTTGGCCTGCAGACTATAATTTGCCAACCCTTGAAACAGTGTATAAAAGTAGAGCCTAGATGTCAGGCAAGGTACTTTAATTAGAGACAAAATGGGCTTGAGCCCAGTTTCACAGCCTATGGAATTTCAAAGCTGTCCCTAAGTTTCCTGTCTGTCTTTGGTGGACAAATGCTCTTATGGCCTCCTGCATCTCCTGGCTCCTTCCTGCTTAGGTCAACCCTCTTTTCTACACCTTGCTAACCCTCCTAGGAAACACACGCTCTCCAGTGAGCTCCTTGATGAAGTCTCCACCCACACAAGTCTTCTTAAAGAAAACAAACTTTACTGAAGATTTCAAAGGAGGAGTTTGTCCCCGAAATCCAGGCAATGTCCATTGGAACTGTGACATTACACTTCCTACAGTGTCATTCTATCACTTCACCTCTTTCTTTTCTCCCCCCAAATAAGATTGTGCTGTTTAAAAGGACTGGATCAACTTTTTGCAAAAGCATTATCTTTTCTCCCCTTTTGAATGTTGGGCAGTCATTTATTCATTCACTCAACATGTGTTTATCGAACATCTAACACAGTGCTGTCAGAAAACTTTCTGCAATGATGGAACTGTGTTCCATCAACATGTGTTTATTGAACGTCTAATACAGGTCTGTCCAAGAAAACTTTCTGCAATGATGGAACTACTCTCTATCTGTGCTGTCCAAGACAGTAGCCACTAGCCACATGTAACTCTCGAGCACTTGAAATGTAGATATAGTTTGGTATCCCTTATGCTTGGGACCAGAAGTGTTTTGGATTTTGGATTTTTTTAAGATTTTGGAGTATTTGCATCATACTTAGCAGTTCAGCATCTTTAATCTAAAAATTAAAACTCTGAAATGCTCCAATGAGCATTTCCTTTGAGCATCATGTTGGTACTCAAAGTTTCACATTTGGCAGCATTACAGATATTAAGTTTTTGAATTAGGATCACTCAGCCTGTAGTGAGACTGAGGAACTAAATTTTAAACTATGCTTAATTTTAATCAACTTAAATTTAAATAGCTACACATGGCTAGTGCTACCACATTGGGCAGCATAGACCTACCATGGGCAGGCCACTTAGATGCCCTTAGAGGCTCTATAAATGCTTGATTCCTAAAACATAAGACAATATTGGGTCTGGACCCTCATTGCCACTGGGTAGGATTTAATTACAACTCCACAGTTTATCCTGGCTGCCTTGTAATCAATAACTTTCAAAGCTTTCACTTTTTACTCCTGTCAAGTAGCTGAAGATAGTACCTGGCTTTTTTGTTTTTGTTTTTGTTTTTTTTTGAGATGGAATTTCACTCTAGTTGCCCAGGCTGGAGTGCAATGGCATGCTCTCAGCTACTTCAACCTCCACTTCCCAGGTTCAAGAGATTCTCCTGCCTCGAGTGATTCTCCTGCCTCAGCCTCCTGAGTAGCTGGGATTACAGGTGCACGCCACCATGCCCGGCTAATTTTTGTATTTTTAGGAGAGACATGGTTTCACCATGTTGGTCAGGCTGAACTGACCTTAAGTGGTCTCCTGACCTCGAACTCCTGACCTCAAGTGATCCGCCTGCATCGGCCTCCCAAAGTGCTGGGATTATAGACATGAGTCACCACGCCTGGCCAGTACCTGGCTTTTAAGTTTCTCTCTTGTTTTTCATACTAGTTGTATGCAAATGCAAAGCTTCTTTTCCCTCAAGAGCACATTCCTCACACAAAGTACATCTTCAGTCATGTGTCCAAATGCTATATCGATTCTAGTTGTTTAATCACTAAGTGCATAGACACAACAGCTGGTCTTCATTCTTAAAGCTCTCCATTTAGGCTGAATATTTCATCTTAAATGCTTTAATAGTTAACATGGGATGATCCATATGGAAACTATCCTATGGAAATATTGGTAGTTTGCCTACAAGATTATTGATCAAGATGGATTAGGAAGGCTGTGAAATAGTGCCAGGACATTTCTCAGAAATGTCGATAGATACTTAATCACTGTCGACAAACATAATCTTTCTTTGGCTATAAAGCCAAACTTTTGGAACTGTAACAAGAATATAATTAACCTGTATATTATTGCAAAGCTGGAATCATTGTTGCCTGGCCACTTGGTACATCCTGCCAGAGGGTGTGATATTCAAATACATATGGATCTTGGGGAAACCTGGATCTACAACCCAAGAGGCTAAATTAGTGTTGGAATTCACTAAAAAATTGTGAGTCAAGACCAAGATGATGTCTAAAAGGGCCAGTATATTCAGGAGACCAGTTCATTCTAGGCTTCCCTACTTGTTTAAGTCCCTTAGCAAGTGATGTGGATGTAAGGTTGTTGGCATCTTCAAGATATGAGGTATCAATAAGAACTTTCCAAATTAAAAAAAGTAGATGCATATAAAACTACTTTGGACCTTGTAATGTAATAACCACTTAACAAATGTTAGTTCCCTTTTTTCCCCTTTGCTTCCTGGCTTTTGGGACTTTAGTCCTTAAGGAGGTACCACCTCTATAGGAGTCCTTCATCAGGGATGCCATGACCAGACCACCTACCTCCATGGAATAGAGGTACCCTAGAGAAATTTGTGGGCAGGATGGAGGGAAAATCTAACTCTGTACAAGCTGCTCCAAGCAGTGTCACAACATAGCAAATGCAATTCCTCTCTACTGTAAGTATTGTAAATCCAGAACACAAAAAACTCTTATATAGAATGTTCCAGGAAACATGAGCTCAAACTAAAAACCACTAAATGCCAGAATACATAAGCCACCATAACCAAGAGTTCGCAGAAACAATGAACTGAAGAATTAGAATATGGATTTTGGAAACATTTGATACCAGAATATAAAATGTTAATGTACTTTAAAATTATTTAAAAGTACTGAAAATATGAATGGGACCAATAGAATTATAATAAAGCCAAGCAAGTTAAAAAAATAAAACTTATAGAAATAAAAATATATAATGATTTAAATCAGAAACTCAAGTGAAATAGCAGTTAGACCTAGCTGAAAGGAAATTTGTAAACTATAAATTAAATCTGAAGAAGTTACTCAAAAAGAATGACAGAGGTAAGATAAAAAAAGAAAGGTCTATAGTAAGGAAGTTTAACTATATTCAGTTAAGAGTTTCAGAAAAAGACAATGGAATAAAGAAAAATGATGTCTAAGAAAATACTGAAAATTTTCCAAACTTGTAGAAAGGTTCAAATTCTCAGGTCCAGGAAACCCAAACAAATCCCAAACCAGATAAATAAAAGTAATTTTTTACTTAGACACATTGATGTAAAGTGACACAGAAAAGTTTATGAATGGTTCTAGAAAAAAAGGACAAATTATGCTAAATTAGACTAACATGTTAACTTTTCAACAAAAATCAATGAAAGCTAGAAAACAGTGAAATAATGTCTTCAAAATGCTGCGGGAAAATAACTACCAACTTTTAGAATTGTATGCTCACAGAAACTATTTTTTCAAACAAATAAAAGCCAAGAATGTTCATTATAAGTGCTGTACATACAAAGTAAAATGCAATGTCTAAGTTAAAGGATAATTTACAAATTGTTCTCTATAACCATATGTTACTTCTATAATCAGAAATCAAAACTGCCACTCATATGTGTAACACTGAGTAAATAATGTTGTAGATTAAGATAAAAGGTATTCTTTCATTTCAAATTTCTATGACCAGTGCCTAGCACAGGACGTGGTACAGGATAGATGATCAACAAGTATTTGTTGACTGACTGAATATTTAACATTATTAACTATTTTCTATCTATTTGACTCTTCCCATTTAAGCATGTCATTTTCTATAGCCATCAAGTATTTCAGGGCTCTGATGTTCATCTGCTAATGGCTAAATTGGTTTGTCTCAGGTAGGAGAACTAATAAGAGCTGTTTTAAATAAATCTAATGTCAGTTCACACTGAATAGTTGCTGGTAATGCAAAAGGGATTTCAAGTCCCATCACATAAGTAACAGGTCATATTCAATTCCATGAGGGTCAATAATATCTATGGCAGTGTAGAACTGGAGGATACTGCTTTGCTGTGGGAACAAAAGATTTTAAAGTATATTTTGGCATAAGCTTAAACAAAACTTTGAAGAGCAATAGATAGTATGGTGAAGAAAACACCTCCTGGTGATCAAGAGAACTGGGTCCTAGCTCTACCCTCTCTGTGACTCCAAGCTGATCACGTTGACAATGAATCTAATTTACATGAGTGAACTATGGCTCTTAAACTCTGTGCTCAAGAAGGTTTCACACTGTTTTCACTCTATAATATTTTACTACAAGAATGATTTTGGTAATAGCTCCATTGTTCCCATCAACAAAAGAGCTACAGCAATATCTTTAGTGTGTTTTCACTGGGACTTTTTGAATCTCATTGTGGTCTGAGTCCACCATTAGGGCTGACTTCACCTTTGGGTATGGGAGGCACTAGGGCCCACGATACTTTTAGGGCTTCATGAAAATGTTTTCATTTTAATGTCTCTTAAAATTAAAAAAGAACATAACAATAATGAATATAATAATAAATGCAGACTGGATTATATTTGTCTTTTTACCAACTCAGTCACAAATATAAATTTTTATTATTTTTTATGGAAGAAAGCAAAGAAGTCATAATACAGCCCTACCAACTTTAGGTTCAGATGTACAGGAATTTATAACACTTCAGATTAGTTAAAACCTGGGAGACACTACAAGAGTCTCTGCATTCTAGGTCCAGAAGTTAGTAGTTAAACTTAGAAAGACAGTTAGATTTTGAGACTTAAATTAGTAAAATGAATGTAACGAATGAGGTCAATAATTTGCAAAAAATGATCTCAAAATATAGGAAACCTCTCAGGAAAAACAAAGTTGGGCTATCTGCGGTAGTAACTGTAATCATTGAGCATTTATTATGTACCAGGTGCTGCACTAAGTGTGTTATGTGCATTATCTCATTCAATGCTCACAATAACCTTATAAGTGAGTATTATTATTATGAACTTCATGTATAGAGGACGAAACTAAGGCTTATAAAGATTAAGTTAACTTGCTGAATATCATGCATTTGTTAAGCGGCAGAAAGAGGATTTGAGCATAGAGTTTGATTTGGGAGAATGCAATAATGCCCCCAACAAAAGCCTCTTGTGAAAGCACACTAAAGCCTCCATGGGATTAGCAGAGCTCTGAAAAGGCAGAGTGAGTCTGCATGAAGTGTAGGGAAGAACAGCAGGGACAAGGTGGACTCCAAATCGATTAAAGCTAAGCTGAAAGGTAAAACTCTAAGGCTAATAGAAGAGATTGTAATTTGTCTCATGACCAAGTATTCGATAAAAACCTCTTAAGCAAGATACAAATCAGTGGAATTCTGTAACCCTGCCGATCAGCATGATTCCCAGGTTAAGTAATTGTCAATGTGCCTTTCATGAGGAACTCCTGAACAAGTTTTAAAGTTAATAATAGACTGACAAAGTTGCAGAAATGCCCTTGGGGAAGATTTTGCTTTTCTAAAATCGAAGTTTTCAGTGGTTGGTGAACAAGAGCATGAAACATTTTGAAATTAGTTGTAATGAATATAAAGATGTGACCATTCCAACAAACTCATGGAAGAGGGGAGCAACAGATAATGGGATATCGGGACTGAAGTAGAGAAGAAAAAAAAAAAGAAACCTTTCTTTAGCCATGCTGCTAAGGGTTCTGAGGATTTCTAGTGCATTGGAACTCATAAATACCAATGTGTGTAATGTTTGTAGCTTGTAGTAAATAACTATGCACAAACTAATTTAGAGTAATTAGTTTATAGTTCTTATTCCATATGGTCTCTATTAAGTTGTTCTTTTCATTAAGTTATGAAAGAAACTTATCAAAGATTTTTTATAATCTTTATTAAGGGTTGAATTAATGAGATTCTCTAGTATTCATGTCTATATCAGATTGACCACATTGTTGTAGTCACCATGTCATTTGTTCTTTGATGCTTTGATATCTTGGTCCTTGATGACCCTGGAGAGACTACTCCTTTCAGGGTTAGCTAATTTCTAAACAACTCACCTGTAATTGCGCCTATCATATTCACACCAACCAATTCAGAGCCGATACCCTCTCAACCACCCAACTTTATTGAGCTCTTACACATGGGACCATTATCCACCTGCCCTAATCACCCAGGGTCAGGTACCAGACAACTGGTACCTATGCCCTAGAGCCCACTGAAATTATTCAAACCAGTCAATTCTAGGCATGGTTACCCTGCCTCACCAGATTCTTCCCACAGGAACCACAATAAAGGCTCTTGTCCACATTTCCCCCATAGCTCTCTCTGCCTCCTGACCAACCCAGGTGCCTCTCCACATGCCCCCCATGGCATGGTGTGCCTCTTTCTCTCTGAATCTCTGAGTATGACAAATTATCTTTTCAATGGCAATTGTTTCCTGATCTGTCAGCCTTGCCATACCTAGATTATAACCTGCCTTTCAAAATAATTGGTCATTATTTTTAAGATTCTGGTAATCTGGGTAGGAAGAACAGGTTAGAAGCTTTCTTCACTGCATTAGTCAGCTTGGGTTGCCATAACAAAACATCATAAACTGGGTGGCTTTAAGCAGCAGAATGTATTTTCTCACTGTTCTGGAGGTGGCAGTCTGAGGTCATGGCTCCAGCACGGTCGGGTTCTGGTGCGGGCTCTCTTTCTGGCTTACAGATGGCCACTTTCTCATTGTGTCCCACAAGGCAGAGACAGAGAGAGGATGCTTTCTGGTGTCCCTTTTTATAAAGACACTAATCTCATCCTGGGTGCCCCACTTCATGACCTAATTAACCCTAATTATCTCCCAAAGGCCCCATCTCCAAATACCATTACATGGGGTAGGGGGGTAGGGCTTCAACATAAGAATTTTGAGGGCACAAAAATATTTGGTCCACAGCACCTCCTCAGCCGGGTTTATTCTTATCTGGGTGTGTGATACACATTATGAAAGAGCCTGGGAGTGTTTTTTTCCATGATGGTTAGAGATGAAAGACACATGATCTAGCAGATGTTCATATTTTGGCCACTAGATGATGAATTTCTGTGGCTGGGTGAAAAGACTGAAACATGATTATGTCAAGGGTGTGGGAGAAAGCAAGAGGGAAGGAGCCATGCTTTGGCGCGACTCCTTTCCTGCTAGTCTGAGGGGAAGCTGAAGAATGCACTGTGGAGAAGTGAAGGTGGGAATGCGCTTGAGAAATTAAAGTCAGGATTACTAATTGACACAAAATAAGGGTAAAAATATTTTTAAAAGAATATGAATTACTTTCATGGACTAGTTGGAAATTTGGAGAATGAAAAAGGAAATAAAATTATATCTTAGGCCATGATGTATATTTGACTTTAGATATTTTAGGAGACAAGAAGCCCTCAGACCCCACTGGTCCTCCCCTCAGCACCACAGAACCAAAGTTCATGCCCTTCCATACCCCCTAAGAGTCAACTGCAGAGAGAAGTTTACTCACTTCCAGGAGAAATCTGGAGAAAATAATGCCTGCTACCATGAAATGGGACATTTATAATTCATCACAGAAGGGATGAGCCTTCATCATTTCTGTAGGAAGTGGAAGTGCCTGTTTCCTCATCTACAAAACTGGGATAATAATAGCACTCACCTCTAAAGGTTGTTGTCAGTTGAGATACATATATATGTGTGTGTGTGTGTGTGTGTGTGTGTGTGTGTGTGTGTGTATACATACATATATACATATGTAAAGCTAAAGCACCGGACATTTAGCCTAGTTGGTTCATTGTGGCTGCTCTAAGTGTTAGCTATTACTACTACTCACATAACATTTTACAAATGAGGGAACTGAGACTTTAAGAGAGACCAAATATCTATCCCAGGGGTTATATAGTTAGTATGTGGCTGGGCTGTGCTCAAATTATGAACCCCATATATACCCACTCAACACTATTCTGCTTCCTCTAATGCAACAGAAGTCATTCACTTTTGTATTATTGCACTGAGACCTGTATGATTCATCCATCAGACTCCCACCTTCCGTTGTTCCAAATCCATGCTTTGTCAAGCAACCTTTTGTGCCTTCCCAAGATCCTGTGTCAGAGGCGTGCTCTGAATGGCAGTGGATGATCAGTCGTTAGAAAGGAATATTCCTGGCTGGGTGCGGTGGCTCACGCCTGTTATTCCAGCACTTTGGGAGGCCGAGGCGGGCAGCTCACTTGAGGTCAGGAGTTCGAGACTAGCCTGGCCAACACAGCAAAACCCCATCTCTACTAAAACAACTACAGAAATTAACTGGGTGTGGTGGTGTGCACCTGTAATCCCAGCTACATGGGAGGCTGAGGCAGAAGAATCACTTGAACCCAGGAGGCGGAGGTTGGAGTGAGCAGAGATCGCACCACCGCACTCCAGCCTGGGGGACAGAGCGAGACTCGGTGTCAAAGAAAAAAAAAAAAAAAGAAAGGAATATTCCTGACATTTCTGTCTATTCTTTGTCGAGTGGGGAGGCATTTTTTTGCCAGTTTGTTTCAGCTTTGTGCCTGGTAATCACAGACATTACCATTACACACATTCACCATTTACCATTACATACGTATTTGTGGGATAAACAAACAAAATACCTCTGTGGGCAATTGAAGGAAAAATTGCCCACCAAATCTATTATAAAATCTATCATGTGTTTGCACCCCAATCTAAAGCAATTTAAAAATCCATTCTTTTTTACGGATAAGTGGGAAAGTCACTTTCACTTTACAAAGTCAATTATTCACTAGAAGATTTCTTTAAAAACTGGACATTGGTTTGTCTGAAATTACACAATAAATATACACGTAAGCATGACTTTTGTTAAGTCTTCTTCCGAGTGCCCTACCTTATATTGCAGCCACATTGACATGGCTTGATAAATCTGTCATCTTGGTTCATGCCTCTGTGCCTTTGCATAGGCTGACCCCTCCCGGAAAGGCCCTTCCACACACTCTACCTGTTGAAACTCTACTTTAATTTCTAGGCCCTTTTCAGGTACCAACACTCACGTGGTAGTTCTGTTGATCAGAACTGATCTTTCCCTGGTATCTTTCTGCAGTTTTTGTTTGTGTTCATGGTAAACACCTCTGCTACTTCCTAATTATAAGCTCCATGAGTAAAAAAGACCTTGGCTAAACTCTTTTTACTTCCCGGTGCTCCATGCCAAATAACTTGTCTTGCAGAGAATGTTCTCACCGTTTCTCCCTAGGTACCACTTACAGCAGAGGAGTAGAGGCCTTCAGACTCTTTCAGGAGGGTATTTCTCTGGAGCTGTGGTTTATCTTAAAAATTCATGTGAATTTTACATTCAGTTCTATCATGTAGTATTAGTAATTTTAATATAAAATTGGTTAAATAGACTCCTATGTAAAATTTAGACTCCAGAAACTTCCCGCTGTTTACGCTCCAATCAGTTAGACTTTCTAACACATGACTCTGGAGAAGGAAGTGAACTCTCTTTCTGTGGTGCAGAGGGGAGGACCAGTGGGGTCTTAGGGCTCCTTGTCTCCTAAGAAATGTTCGCATTTCTCAGTTGAACAATGTAAGCAGAAGCTTTAAAATGTTTGTTGAATTAAACAGTGTAATGTAACGTAAAAAGTATTTGTTCCAAATGCCAAATAATTGAGAAAACATAGTCAAAACAGAGAGAGGCAGCTTATCCCTCAGAAGCCTAGAATAACATATCAGAGTATTATTTTAAATAAGGTAAGGCCTCCAAAATGCATTGTACTCACATTTCCTGATGTTTCCCCTACCTTCTCCAATTCTCATGTTCAACTTGTGATGATTGCATTAACACGCTTGTAGCCAGTTGCTCTGAAAGCCCACCAACAGAATCCCACACAAGGAAAAGTGCCTCCTGATTTCCATTTTGGCAGATATTTTAGCCTATGAGATTTTGGGCCTGTGCTCATTCTCATGATTGTGTTAGTAAAAAAGATGCAGGACTTTATAAGTGACTGACACCTAGCATTAATATCTAGTTGCAAAGGAAGTATAATTCAGTTTTTATTGACATGCTTTACAGAGATTTCTAAGATGGCCTAAGAAAAGAACAGATTAATAAAAAGCCTTCGGAAATAAGTAAATTGCTGAATGAACATGTAAATAAATAAAACACCCCTAACTCTTGCCCTCTGCTAAAATAAATACTAATGCTAAGGGACTTGAAGAAATCATTTCCTAAACAACATTCCTAAACCCCAAAGATGCTAAATGCTTCCCAAAGGAAATATCTCCATGATAAGCTGATCATGGAATGCAGTGTAACATAGAACTGTCTGGACTCTGTATGGGGAAATGTGTTCATGCAAAAACCTGGTGCTCTGCATTATAACCTCTAACAATAATCCAATTGAAAATGCCAAAGTGCATTTTCACCAAGCAAAGACTTCTTCCTTTACATCTTTTATGTATCCTAGCAAGAGCCTTATTAATATTTTTAAAATGGATAAGGGACAGTAGACCAGCACACAGAACCACATGATGGAATTTTCTATCTCCGTAGTAGCACCTCCCTCAATAGCTCTTAAATTCCTCGTATAATGTAGATTTAAATGTCAGCAAAATAAGAGTTAATTGTACATGTACTTGGTGAGGTGTGAAAGAGTGCTTTTATATTTTTTTTCTCCTTGAATATTTGCTTATATTTCTCCCTCCTTGCCTGCTTACAAAACTAACAGACAGGATTTTCTCTAATCTGGCTTTGACAATGTAATGGAATGCCTTGCGTACATTGCCCCTTTTTTTAACGCTTATCAAACAGCGCCGTTCCTTGCATTGGGACTCTCTGAAACAGCCATTGTATCATTTATGGCCTGGCTGTCTTTCCAGTGCTGCCGAGTATTTTCTGTTGCACTTGGCTGAGATTGTATACATGCAGTAAAATCACTGAGCTGAGGAAGAGCTGCCTGCCTGCTGTTCCCGCAAGGCAAACAGCATTCAGAAGGGCAACTCACCAGATTCGATAACATTTCAGTCACACTGTGACGGTGCATACAGGTTTAATCAACTTCACCACAGACATAATTCATGGTGGATCCCTTTTGTTTCACTTATAATCAGAATGAATACACACAGGAAGCTCATTTAGCCCCCACCATTCCTCATCGGCTGCCATGATAAACATCGATTGTATTTTCCAGGGTCAGAAATGATGAAATCAATATCTAACATGGCAAGTTGTATTTGCCCATACTCCTTCATTCAGATTGCTTGACAAATTTTAAACCTCTTACATTGCATTTATTTTAGGGATTAAGTTTGTGAGCTTATAGATTTAAATGTCAGCAAAGTAAGAATTAGTTGCACATGAAACTGACTACATTAAATTTTAAAGTGAAAGTAGGTATTATTAAACCCCACACATAGAAGTATTAAAGGCCGGGTGAGGTGGCTCACGCCTGTAATCCCAGCACTTTGGGAGGTTGAGGCAGAGCGGATCACGAGGCCAGGAGATCGAGACCACGGTGAAACCCCGTCTCTACTAAAAATACAAAAAAATCAGCTGGGCGTGGTGATGGGTGCCTGTAGTCCCAGCTACTTGGGAGGCTGAGGCAGGGGAATGGCGTGAACCCGGGAGGCGGAGCTTGCAGTGAGCCGAGATCACGCCACTGCACTCCAGCCTGGGTGACAGAGCGAGACTCCGTCTCAAAAAAAAAAAAAAAAAAAAAAAGGAAGTATTAAAATATTTTATTGTTATGATCCACTAACTCATTCATTGATTACTTTGTTCATCCTTCCTTTGTCATATATTAATGTAGCACTTAGGATTTTTAAGAGAGCTTGAAAGTAAAAGGTTAGGTATTAATCTGTTTTCTGTTACTACAACAAAATACCTGAGACTGGGTAATTTATAAACAACAGAAGTTTATTTTCTGATAGTTCTGGAGGCTGGGAAGTCCAAGATCAAGGCATCAGTATTAGGGAACAAATGCTGTGTCCTCACATGGTGGAGGAGCAAAAGAGCAAAGGGGCCTAAGCTGGTTGTCTCCAGCCCTTTTGTAAAGCACTAATCCATGCATGAGGTAGAGCCCTCATGACTTAATGACTTCCCCAAAGGCCCCCCTTCTTAATACCCCCACAATGGGGACTAAGCTTCAGCATGAATTTTGGAGACACATTCAAACCATAGCAGGCATTGACATATAAAGGTGACTTCAAATTGTAAAACTTCATAAAAATGTTATATTGGAAGTACTTTTTTGTTTCATTTTGTCCATTCATTCATAAAATGTAAGGTAATTACTGTGTGTGGCCCAAGACCTGTGCTAAGAACTGTGTGGATTTAAATAAGAACTAGCCGCCATTCTCTAGGAGCTCACAGTTCAGTGGAAAAGAAAGAGACACATAAAAAGAAGATAACTGGCAAAGAAGTCACAGATTAGGTTATCTCATCCACAGGAACCTCACAGGTGATCTGCTCCACGGGCCCTGTAGAGGAGGCAGAAATCAGAGAAAAGAGAAATGCCAGCTCTGAAATGGCTCAAGGTATTTTAGGAATGATGAAAAATTAGAGTGCTAGGAACAGGAATAATAAGAAAAGCTACCAGAAAAATGGGAGGAGGAGCCAAAACGTAAAAGGCGATGTATACCATGCTATGGTGCCTAGACTTCATTCAGTCATGGAAAACCATTGGCAATTAAACAATTGTATGTCTAATAAAATTTTTTCACCGTGTATTATATTGTGTTATTATTGTGTTACTTAATACAGTATTATTGTGTTACTTAATACAGTTTATTTTATGGTAAAATTAATCATAGTAATGATAAGTCAGTGGTGCTACACTAGACCTTATTGATTTCCAAAATTCTTATTCTGCTCTTGAACCTCTCTGTGAATGTTTTTAGTTCTTTAAAATGTTGTAAGAACCGTTTAAGACTCAGAAGACATGGGTCCAATTGGCCTTCGGTAGCTTTGTAACCTTACATAGGCTAATTGCTTTCTCTAAGATCTGGTTCCCTATCTGTCAAATAGGTATAATTGTTCCATGCTTCCAAACGAACTCACAGGGTTGTGGTAAAAATTAGGTTAAATATTGCGCATGAATTATTTTTAAGACAGTGGAACACGACACACGAGAAAGGTATTATTATCATTGTCATTATTAATTTTATTTGAGAAATTGAGGTCAACCTGAATTACTTGGCAATTAGTGATCTGAAACAATTTTCTTCCCTGGAACACTAGATATGTAACAGCTAATTTACAAACATGTAGTAGAAATTTCTTTATTTAAACCTCATTTTTTTGATAATTGATGAAAATGTCTTTAGGTGAATTGCCTGAAAATAAGTCAAAAAGAGAAGACACATAGACTACTCTGGTTTGAACAGCCCCCAGGGTCATGCAGTGTGTTATCTGCACAACCATGCACAATGCCTTTGCCAACATAAGAGTTGGGTAAGAGTAAGAAGGGAATAGTGGAAAAGCACAGATTTTGAAGAGATTTGAGCTCAGAATTTTGCAGAGTTGAAAGATACAGGCTGCTCTGCCTATGGAGTAGCCATTCTTTATTCCTTCACTTAATAAATTTACTTTCACTAAAAAAGAAAAAGAAAAAAGGGAGAAAGATATAATTCATTGGCCCCAAAACACACTCAGAGCATGACAAATGCACACTCCCAGCTCTACCACTAATTGGCTGTGGACACTGATCAAGATACTTCAACTCTTGGTGCTCTTGTTTCCCTATCTAGTAAAAGAAAATATTAACAATGCTTGCCTATGAGGCTTGTGGTGAAGTAGAAGTGAGTTAAAATTTGTACTCAACATATGGTACAGAGTAGGCACTTGAAACATGTTGGCTATTATTACAAAGGAATGCCAATTAGACAGCATATTTATCACTGGCAACAATGAATGACAGAGGATAATACACTAATATCTTTAAAGTACTAAAGGAACAAAAATTTCCAGTCCAGAATTTTATTAAGCCTAGATAAATTATAAATGAAAGAAACTATCATCAGAATGAACAGGCAACCTACAGAATAGGAGAAAAATTTTGCAATCTCTCCATCTGACAAAGGCCTAATATCCAGAATCTACAAAGAACTTAAACAAATTTACAAAAAAAAAACAAACAACCCCATCAAAAAGTGGGCAAAGGATATGAACAGACACTTCTCAAAAGAAGATATTTATGCGGCCAACAAACACATGAAAAAAAGCTCATCATCACTGGTCATTAGAGGAATGCAAATCAAAACCTCAATGAGATACCATCTCATGCCAGTTAGAATGGCAATCATTAAAAAGTCAGGAAACAACAGATGCTGGAGAGGATGTGGAGAAATAGGAATGCTTTTACACTGTTGGTGGGAGTATAAATTAGTTCAATCATTGTGGAAGACAGTCTGGCGATTCCTCAAGGATCTAGAACCAGAAATACCATTTGACCCAGCAATCCAATTACTGGGTATATATCCAAAGGATTGTAAATCATGCTACTATAAAGACACAAGCACATGTAATTTTATTGTGGCACTATTCACAATAGTAAAGACTTGGAACCAACCCAAATGCCCATCAGTGATTGACTAGATAAAGAAAATGTGGCACATATACACCATGGAATACTATGCAGCCATAAAAAAGATGAGTTCATTTCCTTTGTAGGGACATGGATGAAGCTGGAAACCATCATTCTTAGCAAACTAACACAAGAACAGAAAACCAAACGCTGCATGTTCTCACTCATAAGTGGGAGCTGAACAATAAGAACACATGGACACAGGGAAGGGAACATCACACACCAGGACCTGTTGGGGGTTGGGGGGCTAGGGGAGGATAGCATTAGGAGAAATACCAAATGTAGATGACGGGTTGATGTGTGCAGCAAACCACCATGGCACGTGCATACCTATGTAGCAAACCTACACATTCGGCACAAGTACCCCAGAACTTGAAGTATAATAAAATAAAAAATTAAAAATCTAAAAACAATTTCTTAATGGTAAAAGTGCCTGAGAAATAAAGATAGAAAACTATTGCTCAAAATAAATAAATAAATGTTTTAAATCACTGAATTGTAAAGAAAAAAATGATATTTTTCATACCAAGCCCTAAAATGTTTACCACTCATTAACCCATACTAAAAGATTATTAAAGGATGGACTGTGCAAAAAGAAACAAATTCAAAAGGCCTGAGTTACAAGAAACAAAATTCATCATAAAACAAGTCTTAATTAGCTATTGACTATACAGGTTCTCCTAATTTTTGTTAACAAAATGTAAAAATTAAAATGAGATGAAAATAACAGGAGAGTTGCTCAATGACTAGTTACAGCATGCTAAGGCCTATGTCCTATACGGTAAGATTAAAATACTGAAAAATCTTAAACATTCTTAGAAAAATATATAGGTAAATATTTATATTTTAAAATTAAGAGTAGTATACTACCCCCCACTGCTAAATTTGACTGGCTAAAAAAATACGGGTAATTTGTAATGCATAAAATATTGGAGGGGAAAACTTAAAAAAAGAAAAATAAAGCAGAAAATACAAAATAAGATGATAGAAACAAGACATTATTGTTTGCAGTAGTATAAATCAGTAAACAATATAACAATTGCCAAAAGGAGAATGGATAAATGTTTGTACAGTTGTTCGATAGTAAACAATAAAGCAGGTCATGTGAATGAACAAGAGGAGCAGGTGTCAGTGGGCTACAGTCGAAGGAAAAAGAAAGTTTCAAAATATACATATGGTATGGTAATATTTATCTAAATTTCTAAAGTATAAAACCACAGGAAGGAAAGGGGAACTGAGATTGGCCAAACCTAACAAATTTGTCCAAAGTTAATATTTTCATCTATTGGTGATTTGTTGTCACAATTTCTTAGACTTTTCCAATTGTTTTATGAAAAACATTGTATGTGTTTATTTGGCATTCTTATTTTTTCAGATTTATTTAAAATTTTAAATTCTTTAAAAATATTTTTAAATTTTTACGAATACATAACAGTTGTACATATTTACAAGGGACATGTGATATTTTGATATAGTATATGATGTGTACTGATCACATCTGAGTAATTGTATATCCATCAGCTTAAATATAATTTCTTTGTGTTGGGAGCATTTCAAATCTTCTAGCTATTTTGAAATATATAATAAATTATTGTTAACTATAATCTCTCTATTGCGCTATTGAATAGAACTTATTCCTTCTATCTACATGTACTTTTGTACCCATTAATCAATCTCTCATCATCCTCTGATGTCTCTTCCTAGCATCTGGTAAACATTTTTCTACTCCTTACCTCCACGAGATCAATTTTTTTAGCTCTCAAATGATTGAGAACATGCAACATTGTCTTTCTGTGATTGGTTTATTTCCTTTAACTTAATGTCCTCTAGATCCATCCATGTTGCTGCAAGTGACAAGATTTTATTCTTTCTTATGGCTGAATCATATTCCATTGTGTATATGTACCACACTTTCTTTCTTTATTCATCCATCCAGTAATGAACACTTAGTTTGATTTCATATCTTGGCTATCATGAATAGTGCTGCAATAAATATGGGAGTGCAGATATCTCTTTTGGATATTTACCAAAAACTGAGATTGATGGATCATATGGTAGTTCTATTTTTAGTTTTTTTGAGGAAGTTTCATACTCTTTTCTATAGTGGTTGTATTAATTTACATTCCACTCACAGTGTACAAGCATTCCCCTTCCTCTGCAATCTTGCTAGCATTTATTTTGTCTTTTTGATAACAGCCATTTTAACTAGGGTGAAATGATAACTCATTGTGGTTTTGATTTGCATTTCCCTGTTGATCTTTTTTTCACACATTTTTTGTCCTTTAGTATGCGTTCTTTTGAGAAATGTCTATTCAGATCTTTTGGCTATTCTTCAATTGGATTATTTGTTCTTTTGCTATTGAATTGAGTTCACTATATAGCCTGGTTATTAATGCCTTGTCAAATGGATGGTTTGCAAATATTTATTCCCATTCTATAGGTTGTCCCTTTACTTCATTGATTGTTTCCTTTGTTGTGCAGAAACTTTTTAGCTTGATTTAATCCATTTTTCAATTTTTGCTTTGGTTGTCTGTGTCTGTTGTTCCCCTCTTTGTGTTCATGTGTTCTCATTGTTTAGCTCCCACTTATAAGTGAGAACATGTGGTATTTAGTTTTCTGTTCCTGCGTTAGTTTGCTAAGGATTATGGCCTACAGCTCCATCCATGTTGCTGCAAAGGACATGATCTCATTCTTTTTTATGACTGTGTAGTATTCCATAGTTTATATGTAAGAAAAGTTTTAGAGACATTGTCCCATGAACCCATTTAACAAACAAGAAAATTAAATCCAAGAAATTAAGTAAATTATCAAAGGTCACATAACCAGCAAATGGTAGCTTCAGGATTAAAGTTCATCTCTCTTGTCGTATACTTTTAACTGTTGGGAATTTGGAGTATGACCCATTGTGCATTTTTAAGAAGTTTCAGGAACATGGGTAATGGGAAAGCAGGATGTGCACACATAGTTCGGTTCTTCTGCTTTCTCTCCTGCTGTGTTCTTTCATATCTTTCACGTCATAAGAAAACCAATACAGTTGAAAAATCAGATAAATACTGAATCTTTGGTAGTTCTAAGTGATCAGATTCTCTGAGAGAATCAAAAACTCATATAATACAAGATTTTTATTTTTAATAATCTGGCACTTTCTCATTGAACTGTCTCATTATAGTCTAATATACAAATCAAACACAAAAAGGAAATAAGGATTTCTCGGGTTATAGTTACGACGATAAAGTGCCAGATTAAGAGCATAATCTCAGTAGGGCATAGAGGCTGACATAATAGGACATCATAAACAAAAACAGAACATAGTTTCCAAATAAGGAGAAAAAAAGAAGATTACTTTCAATTTTTAGTGTAATATAAAAACCTTAAAGACTAGCCTTAAAAATAAGCAGTGTGAACTTCTGGTGCTGGCCAAGATTGAGTAAGCCCAATATAGACCATCCCTCACTGATGATAACTAAAATCTGGACAAAATTTAAAAAGTAACTACTTGAGGACTTTGAAAAGTAAACAATAGCATGTAGATTGGGAAGGAACATCAAAACTTGAAGCACAACCCAACACAATCATGAGCTTTCTGTATTTCTGTATTTCTTTCTCTCCTTAATCTCCCAACTTTGACCTGAAGGTAAGCCAATTCTGGGAACTGCACAGTGGGTGTGGACAACAAAAATTACAAGAGAAACTACCTCTTTCTAGCCAAAAGACTGGGGAAGGGATGCAGCTGAATACTGGGGATCCCCTTTTGCAATGGACTGAATGTTTGCTCCACCCACAAAATTCACATGTTGACATCCTAACCTGTAAGGTGATGATATCAGGAGGTGAGGTCTTTGGGGGATGATTAGGTCATGGAAATGGAGCCTCATGATGAGGATTAATGCGCTTAATAAAAGAGGCCCCAGCTGAGCACGGTAGTGCACCTGTAATCTCAGTTGCTCAGGAGGCTGAGGCAGGATGACAGCTTGACCCCAGGAATTCGAGTTCAGTCTGAGAAACATAGTAAGACTCTGTCTCTAAAAAAAAAAAAAAGAGGCCCAAAAGAGCTGCATTGCTCCTTTCACTGTTAGAGCATGCAGTGGGAAGTCTACAGTGGGCAGCTCAGAAAAGGGCCTTCACCAGAGCCTGATCATGTTGGCATCTGTATCTTGGAATTCTGGCCTCCAGAACTGTGAGAAATAAATTTATATTGTTTTTAAGCCATGCAGTCTATGGAAATTTATTATAAGGGCCTGAGCAGATTAAGACATCCTTCCCTGTATTAGTCTGTTTTCATGCTTCTGATAAAGACATACCCGAGACTGGGCAATTTAAAAAAGAAAGAGGTTTAATTGAACTTACAGTTCCACATGGCTGCAGAAGCCTCACAATCATGGCAGAAGGCAAGGAGGAGCAAGTCACATCTTCCACGGATGGCAGCAGGCAAAGAGAGAGAGCTTGTCAGAAGCTCTCTGACATCTGTGAGATGGCATCTCATTTTGCTTTTGATTTGCATTTCCCTAATGATTAATGACATTGAGCATTTTTTATATGCTTGTTGACCAGATGAATGTCTTTTTTGAGAAGTGTTTGTTCATGTCCTTTGCCCATTTTTAAATGGGGTGATTTGTTTTTTGTTTGTTGATTTGTTTAAGTTCCTTATAGATTCTAGATATTAGACCTTTGTTGGATACATAGTTTGCAAATATTTAATCCTTCTCTGGAGGTTGTCTGTTTATTTATTGATAGTTTCTTTTTTTGTGCAGAAGCTCTTTAGTTTAATTAGGTCCCACTTGTCAATTTTTGTTTTTGTTGCAATTGCTTTTGGAGTCTTCATCATAAAGTCTTTGTCCAGACCAGTGTCCAAAATGGTATTTTCTAGGTCTTCTTCTAGGGTTTTATAAACCCTGGAAGAAAGATGCTATACCTAGAAGCCTAGAAGACTGTGGGTTTTTCTTTTCTTTTTTTTTTTTTTTTTTTTTTTTGAGACAGAGTCTTGCTCTGTCACCCAGGCTGGAGTGCAGTGGTGATGTTGGCTCACTGCAACCTCTGCCTCCCAGGTTCAAGTGATTCTCCTGCCTCAGCCTCCTGAGTAGCTGGGATTACAGGCATGCACCACCACGTCCAGCTAATTTTTGTATTTTTAGTGGATACAGGGTTTCATCATGTTGGTCAGGCTGGTCTCGAACTCCTGACCTCGTGATCCACCTGCCTTGACTTCCCAAAGTGTTGGGATTACAGGCATGAGCCACCATGCCCGGCCTTCTTTTTTCTTTTTTTTATTTTACTTTAAGTTCTGGAATACATGTGCAGAACGTGCAGGTTTGTTACATAGGTATACACCTGCCATGGTGGTTTGCTGCACCTATCAACCCATCATCTAGGTTTTAAGCCCTGCATGCATTAGGTATTTGTCCTAATGCTCTCCCTTACCTTGACTATGGGGTTTTCTTGGTATAGTATCACAACGTCTGCAAAGATAGTTTGACTTCCTCTTTTACTATCTGGATGCCTTTTTTCTTTCTCTTACCTGATTGCTCTGGCTAGGACTTCCAGTACTATGTTGAATGGGAGTAGTGAGAGTGGGCTTCCTTATCTTGTTCTGGTTCTCAAGGTTCTCAGATTTTGCCCATTCAGTGTGATGTTGGCTGTGGGTTTGTCAAAGATAGCTCTCGTTATTTTGAGGCATTTACCTTCATTGCCTAGCTTATTGAGGGTTTTTAGCATGAAGGAATGTTGAATTTTATTGAAAGCCTTTTCTGTGTCTAATGAGATGATCATGTGGTTTTTTGTTTTTAGTTATAGTTATGCTACGAATCACATTCAATTTGCATATGTCGAACCAAGCTTGCATCCCAGTAATAAAGCCTTCTTGATCATGGTGGATTAGCTTTTTGATGTGCTGCTGGATTCAGTTTTCTAATATTTTGTTGAGAATTTTTCAGTCTATGTTCATCAGGGATATTGGTCTGAAGTTTTCTTTTGTGTATGTGTCTTTGCCAAGTTTTGGTATCAGAATGATGCTGGCCTCATAGAATGAGTTAGGACAGATTCCCTCCACCTCAATTTGTTGGAATAGTTTCAGTAGGAATGGTACCAGCTCTTCTTTATACATCTGGTGGAATTTGGCTGTGAATCTGTCTGGTCTAAGGCTTTTTCTGGTTGGCAGGTTTTTTTTTTTATTACTGATTCAATTTTAGAACTCATTATTGGTCTGTTCAGGGATTCAATTTCTTCCTGGTTCAATCTTGGGAGGTTGTATGTTTCCAGTAACTCATCCATTTTTTCTAGGTTTTCTAGTTTGTGTGCATAAAGGTGTTCATAGTAGTTTCTGAGGGTTTTTTTATATTTCTATGGGATCAGTGGTAATGTCCGCTTTTTCATTTGTCTTTATTTGGATATTTTTTTCTTTAATAGTCTAGCTAGTAGTCTATCAATCTTATTTATTCTTTAAAAAAATAAAGTTTTGGTTTAATTGATCTTTTGTATGGTTTTTCTCATCTCCATTTCATTCAGTTCAGCTCTGATTTTGGTTATTTCTTTTCTTCTACTAGCTTTGGGATTGGTTTGCTTTTGGTTTTCAAGTTCCTCTAGGCGTGATGTTAGATTGTTAATTTGAGATCTTTCTGACTTTTTGATGTGGGCATTTAGCACGATAAACGTTCCTCAACATTGCTTTAGCTGTGTCCCAGACATTCTGGTATTTTGCATCTTCATTTTCATTAGTTTCAAATAACTTCTTGATATTTGTCTTAATCTCATTGTTTACCCAAAAGTCATTCAGGAGCAGATTGTTTAATTTCCATTTAATTGTATGGTTTTGAGAGATCTTGGTACTGATTTCTAATTTTATTGTGCTTGTTATCTCAGAGAGTGCTTGGTATGTTTTCAGTGTCAGTCTGAAGGCTCTAGTGGGTAGAGGTTGGGGGGATCACCTGTGCCTAGGATTGCAAAGGTTCATGGCAGAAGTGTGGGTCCCAGGGCATCTCACTCATTCACCATTTTTCCATGGTGGGTACCCTCCCTTGGCTCCATGCCAATCCTTGGTGGGCAGCTGTCCTATCTTGCTCTTCCCTGTTTTCTGTGGGTCACATTGTTTCCTTGATGAATCCCAATGTGCCCTCTGGGATGATCCAGTTGAAGAGCTAGTGTTTACTGGCCACTCTGTCTTTTCTCTGTGAGAGTGGCACACACTAGCTGCTTCTAGACAACCATCTTGGCCCCTCCCCAACCCCCATAATTTTCTTTTAAAGCTAAACAAGCAACAAGCAACTATACAGCCCAGCAATCCTACTCCTAGGTATTTTACCCAAGAGAAATGAAACAAGTTTATACAAAAATGTGTACACAAATGTTGACAGCAGTTTATCTTAATCTTGTCTGTGCTCCTGTAATGAAATGCCTGTGATTGGATAATTTATAAAAAACAGATTTTTTTTTTTTGAGGCAGGATCTCACTCTGTCACCCAGGATGGAGTTCAGTGGCATGATCTTGGCTCACTGCAGCCTCAAACTCCCATGCTCAAGCAATCCTCCATCTCAGCCCCCTGAGTAGCTGGTACCGTAAGTGACAGTACCACACCTGGCAAGAACAGAAATTTATTTCTCAAAGTTCTGGAGGTGGAGAAGCCCAAGATCAAGGTTCCGGTAGGTTTAGCATCTGGCAAGGACCCAGCCTCTCTGCTTTCAAGATGTCACCTTATTGCTGCATCCTCCAGAGGGGACAAATGCTCTGTCCTCACCTGGTGGAAGACTAGAGGAGCAAAAGGGCTGAACCCTATATAAAACCACTTTAATAAGGGCCTTAATTCCATTCATGTGGGAGGATCCCTCATGACCTAATCACCTCCCAAAGGTCTCACCTCTTAATATTATTATATTGGTCATTAAGTTTCAACATATAAATTTTGAGGGACATATTCAGACTATGGCACAGTTTTACTTATAATCACCAAACAATGGAAACAATCAGAATGCCTTTTACCTGTTGAATGGATAAATACACTGTGATACATCTACACAATGGAATATTACTTAGCAATCTAAAGGAACAAACTATTAATACAGGCAAGATGGATGACCCTCAAATGTATGATGCTAAAGTAGGTGTCAGCAAACTCTTTGGTTTGCAGGCCAAATCCAGTAACACCCATTCATTTATGCACTGTCTGTGGCTGTTTTCATGCTACAATGGCAGATTTGAATAGTTGCAAGAGACTATATGGCCTACAAAGACGAAAATAATTATTACTTGGCCCTTTACAGAGAAAGTTTGCCAATCCCTTTGCTAAGTGAATGGAGCCAGATACAAAAGGCTATATTCTCTATACAATCTGGAAAAGGCAAAACTATTGGGATGGAGAACAGATTGTTCCCAGTGGCTGAGCTTGGGTTCAGGGATTGGCTGTAAAAAGGTAGGCAGCACAAGGGTATTTTGGGGTATGATGAAACTGTTGCATATCTTGATTATGGTGGTACTTACACATCTCTGTGAATTTTCAAAGCTAACAGATCAGATATAATGGCACATCAAAAAAAAGGCTTCCTGTATGTGAACAAAAGACTAAATTTAAAAAGTAAGTGCTGTAAAAATGGCACATATATTAGTTTGGACATTTTGGCTGCAAGTTGCAGAAACTGAAATGATTTTTAAGCAGGAAAAAAAAGAGCTGATTCTTTGCTCAGGAAGCTGGAGATGATACTGTGATAGATGACGAATCTAAAGAAAGGGTTTCAGGAACCAGGGCTGAGAGAGGAGACCTGGAGATCACTGGGGCCAGGATTCTTTCTCTTCACCTACCCTCAAGTCTTATGTGCGTGGTTACTCTCTCCTACTGGTCTCCTTATGGCAGGGTACTGATCCTCTGGCAGTCCCAATTTTGTAGCCCAGCTGGAAAGAGAGAACTTTTTTCTTGAGTGTTCATTTATCAATCCAGGGAAGAATGGCGATTGGCCCAGCTGGGTAACAAACTCACACCTAACCCCATCTCTGTGGCCAAAGGACCAGGGTCTATTTTGAAAGGAAGGGGATTAGAAAGCCTGTTGAACAGACAAAATCCAGTAGTAGCCTCAGTTGATGTCATGAGGCATAAATTAACAAAATTAACACAACTAGTATTTTATTTCAAGTTCACATCTATTTATATTTTCACCATTGATTTCTTATCTAGGCAAGCATTGATCTGAAAGACAGGTTTAAGAAATTTTAAAAAGTTTTGAGGCACTCAACCCAAATGGTTTGTGACTTGTAGAAAAGGAAGCTACTCTTCATTAAATATGAAAATATTTATTTCAGTTCCAGTGTATTTCATTAAAGTACTGATATTTTAAGAAATGACAGGAAAGAAATGGCCTAATAACTGTTGGAATAGTCCAAATTAAAAACACTTATTACGTAGATCAAGACCATATTTTATCCCCTTTATGATTTAGCTGTAAGTATCAGTCCTTCAACATTTAAGGATTCTTTTTTAAAATATCAAATCTGGATATTCTTTTGTTAAAAGAGAAAGACGCATAATTTTAAAGATTTTCTGAGGAAGCCATTAATCATGATAATTGCATTTGGCTTACAAATTTTCCTGCCTCTGTGTTAGTGAACTGGAACCAATATTCTCTTTAAATGGTGAGCAGACATACAAAAACCTTAAGGTTCTCTTTTAGTTTCTCTTTTCATGCAGTATATGGCATAACAAAATTCATAAGCCTCCTTCCAAATCAAAAGACACATAAGTTTCTTTATCTTGTTTTTCTCTTTCCCTTTTTGCAATGCTATTGCAAGGGCTCCACCTGAAGGGGTTGGGATACCCAGAGAAAATCAAATACACGCTGATCTCAAGTCCCTAAATTACCAGCCAGTAACAGGAGGAAAAGAGAAAAATAAAAGCTGGCTTCCATTTGCCCAGCCTTCTGGTTCATCGACCAGGGAACCAGCATCAGCTGCTCATTTGCAGGGCTGCACTGATGACTTCTCCCCAGGAGGGAACCACAAAGAGAATCACTTGCCCTCAAACGCTCATGTTTCTGGCCTAGGGAAGCAAAAACAGATGAAGAAATTGGAATATGACTTGCCTGAGAGCAACTTCGAACAATTTTAGAGAGGATTTATGTCATGTAGTCTCAAGTTTTAAAATCTAATTTAATAAATGTACATCTTTACAAAATAACACTGCATATTGGCACCATTTCTATCCATTTCAACTGGAAACGAAAGCTGAGTTTTCCATTACTGCAAATCCTGTTGGTATTGCAGCAGCTGGAAAGAAGAGTGAATTTCTCGTATTGTTTTCCTCTGTGCATTAAAGTTATATTATTACATATTTTTAAATTATCTACCACTCTATTTTGAAACTACAAGTTGAAGTGATGTAAGATACTTAAAATTAAAGCTGAGAATTGAAAAAGTTATTTTTAAGGGAAGTTTTGAAATTATCTCATTAAACCCAAATCACTGCTTTCACATTTAGCAATGCCTACCTCGTACAACAGAAGAAGTGATTGAATAATGGACCTCCTGGTCATTCTAAATTGTGTGGTGGTATGAGGGGCTGATCAAAATCTTTCCTGTTTTCCAGAATTGGAGACAAAAACCAATTCTGAGAACAAAAGGTACTCAGTACCTCTGCATTCTAACACAAAAAAATGAATAGAAGGGTGTCTATGGTTTCTTGATTTATCAATAGGTCTAAGGATTCGTTGATCTCTCCTGCTAGCACCAGACCTCCATTTAAATCTCAGATTCCCTGATTAAAATAAGAAAGCCCAGAGGGATGAGGGACAGGCTGGGAGGGAGGAAAATTTGGGAGGGAAGTCTAAGGAGGAGGGATCTCAATGATTGGCACACCCAGTGCTCACCCAGGGCATCTGACACCCAGAATCAACCATTTTTTTGTGCTCCACTCCTCTATGACAAAATTACTTCAGTAAATAGAGAAATTAATAAATTTTAAATCTTAGTTGAATCTGCTTATGCCCCTTTAAGCTGAATTTTTCTATTATACAGACTTCTAATTTGCTTGGGTTTCTTCAGAGTTCAATGTTCTGTCCTTCTGATTCTGTGGACAAAGAACACTTATAAATTACTATCATATAATTTATAATATATAATGTTGTGTGACTTTGTTCTGGTAGAAAAAGCCAAAGAGGCATTGGTATTACCCAGTCATTCTTTAGTAACTAGACTGAGAATATAAACAATTGGAATGTCTACATAAACAAATTCTTATAAAATATTCAAATGACATTTTTGCATCTGGAAAAGCACTATCATGATCACAAACTGAAATAAGTAATAATAATGGGCAGAAAAGAAATGTAAACATTGTACTGATTTTTGTAAATGTGATCATGATGATACAACAGAAGAAGTGATTGAGTAACGGACCTCTTGGTCATTCTAAAATGTAAACTATTGCAGAAAAAAAGAAAAAGTAATGGTTTAATACATTTTAATTACATTAATGAGTTTTTTGAAAAAAGGGAAAAATGTATGCCTTCATATTGACCTGTCGCAGTAATGAATAACATTACAGTTTCTAGTTTCAAGCCTTAATTTTGTCAAGATGGATCTTCTTTGCATACTCATGTTCAATGATTGTATAGCCAGATTTTTCAATCTATCTTTCCTCATGGTTGATCCAAGAACATTTTTTATTAATTTTAATTTCAAAGCCTTTTTTTCCACACAAAACAACACATGAGAATTTCCCTACAAATAGTAGGGAAAGGTCTTAAGCTTAAGTTCGGCAAAGATTCAAAAAAATCCCATCTCATGATAATACAGAAATTGCAATACTGAGAATGTCATTTTTTCTTTGAGATTTATTCTAGCAGCTTTCAAATGTCTCAATCAAAAAATGTTCACTGAAGTACCTTAAGTAAATTTATATAAGTTTATATCATATTTTGTTAAAACTTTCAAAGCTTTTCTTCTGCTACAAAAATCAGAGACTTTATTTGATCCTTTGCTTTAGAACTAATGTCCATTTCTTGGTAAGAACAATAAAGTGGTTCAATTTTAGCCTTTTTTCTAACACCTAGCAATGTATGACCAGCATCTCCTGTTATTTCTCCTCGCATTCTTCTTCAAAATTTGATTTTTAAAAATATCAATATCCATTTTCTTACATGCTGTTGTGGGAGAAAACTTTTGCTCTGCCACCTTAGGTCTGAATGATCAGGAACCCGAGAATGGACAATAGACAGATTAATAGGAGAAAAATTGGTTACATATGTCAGAGTGCTGTATAGAGAAAGCAGCTCCCCAGACATCTAGGGTTACAGTTTCTGTACCAGCTTAATTAGGGGAGTGGAAGTGGTGTTAGGGCTTCGAAGGATGAAAGATTCTCTGAGGCTTGTTTACACAACTTTTTTGGGGGAAATGTCCTGGCGTCTAAGGTCAGTTACCTACCTAACTGGAGACCCCCTCTGGGAGGTGAAGGGTGTTTGTAGCAGCTGACTCTCTTAAGCTCTGCTTTAGATAGATGACAAAAAAGTTCAGGTAAGATTTCTTTCTGCATCTGCTATAGCTCAGATATTTTCACTTTGATTCCATTTTGGTGGGTTTTTGGTCCCTTCAATGTTTTATGGCATAATTACAGTCTTCTTCATAATTTCTGTGTCTTGATCTTTAAGCAACAACTTTAAAGCTTGTTGGTTTCACTGTACATTGTTCAAGACTGATTTGGGCTGCCTGTAAATATTGCGGGATCTTAGCCTCATCTAAAACTTCAAACTAAGAAAGGTAACGCAGAAAAAACAATTGCATGCAACAGAGAAGAATTTTAAACTAATCCTCTTGGGTCCACATTTTTTTTGGATTGTATAGTATTTGAAGATCAAAATTAACTTTTCATACTTACTTGGACTGTGCAGCTTTATAATGAGCATCCCATTTACTCTGGGAAGGTCTATTTCATTGTCAGGCACATTCTGCAGTGTTTCACATCAATGAGGTAAGAATTAAATGAATGAATAAATTGTTTTCTGAAATACCAAAAGAACTATGTGTAAAGCAATGCCTCCAAGAGAGTGAACGCTGCAAAAATTCAAATAATTGTTTACAGAAGATATGCATAAAGATTGGGAATTATATCTTTGATTTGTGCCTGTCACTACTGTGAGTATCTGTCATATCATTGACCACAAGAGACGATTATGTCTGCCCATCACCATTCAGTTGTTTCAACTTCTCTTCTGAAGGCTCAGCAACAGTCTTCCAGAAATAGAAAAGAAGCCCAAGAATAAAATATTTCCTTTATTTCAACTTTACCATCTTCAGCATGGTCATCTCTGACCACTTTGCACATTGGTCAGTGTTTGAAGCATGGAGAATGCTAGCAGAAAGAATTCCTAGGTATTATGCTTTTAAAAATATCTGCCATTACTAAATGATACCACTGATTTAATGTTTTATTTTCTTGATTCATTCTTTAGTTAACAATTTAATAAGGAAAGCATATTTCAACTCTTTAAAGCTATTATTCAAATTCATTAAAATACTGCATATTCAAACTGAAATTACCATCTACCAACCAGATGTACCATACCTAACATTTTGCACTGCTTTACTCTGTTACATCTGAAACACAAATAAAATCTCCAAGGGGCCACATAGAATAACAGAATGGAAGTTCTCTAATTCTGTTTCCTTCTCTTTCCAATCTCTGTGCTATCATTATTTAATTTTGAGTCACTATTTAAAAGTAGAAATAGGGAGTACCACAATGGTTATGTCCAAATCAAACTTTATTTTTTATAAACTTACTCATCATAAAGAATGCAAATTACTGAATCCCTGTGTGTTGGGAGCCAACTGATTAAAGGAGATTTCTCCAAATTAAGTTCTATATGGAATATTTACTAAAGGATAACAATAAAAATCTATTAATCAGAAGCACATACACACAATAACCAGTTATTATTCAGAACTTAGACCAACAAAAGTTATTTATAGGGAGAAGTATTTTATCACTGACATTACATAGTATTGTCAGTGTGTGGTGATGATAAAAAAGCAGACTGACTTATAGTCAATTTTATTGTTGTTTTTAAATTCTCTACAATTTGCTGCCTATTGCCTGCAAGGGGTGGGCCCTTCCCACCACCCTTGGTACATCTCTGGTCTTGAATGATTTTCTAGCCAAAAGAATCATTTTTAAGGTTTGTGAGCTTGTATAAGAAGAGAAAACTAGTTTCTTGTTTCCTGACTGCTTACTTAGTCATTGAGCTTGATGACCTGCTTCAGTGTTTCCATGTGGGAGAAAGTTGGTATAGCGGCATATCCTGGTGGAAAGGACAGCACTGTCTCCAAAGTTCCAAGTGTGTACCTGTGACTGAGGCCCTCGAGTTGGGCCATGGTGCCTAGGAAAGCTGTTTGGGATAATTCTAGATAATGGAGCTATATCAACAAAAGAATAAGGACAGCGACCTCTTTACCATGGAGGCAGGGTTGTCTCTGTTAACACCATAAAAGGGAAACCAATGTGCTCTGTGTAGCTGCATAAAGACATTTCCATCCTCCCTGACCCAACAGCCCCTCCATGTCCTCCCATCTAAGCCTCCGGAGCTTCAAGCTCATCTGTGGAAGAGATCTTTAAATTAAAGGTGAGATCTTTAAATTAAAGGAGAAACAGAAATTTTAAGTGAAAGAAATTCATTCTTAAGAAAGACAATCACCCTGGTTTAATAACTAAGCAAGTTGACAAGTTATGGAATCAGTCCGATATGTGTTTGAGGTAATCTATTACCTACTTGGAAAAATGCATCTAAGTGGAGTGTCAATAGAGTAGTAAATTTTGGGGGAAAAAAATAGAAACTTTCATTTTTGTACTTGGATATGTTGGAATTCTTTATTGGGCTGTATTCCATTTGCTACAAAATGAGTAAATGCACCTCTGTCCCTTCTCTGCTGCTTGGTGGGAACCTAGAGAGTGTTTTCCGTGTGTGTCTGTGTGTGTGTGTGTGTGTGTCTGTGTGTGTGTGTGTGTGTGTGTGTGGAAATGGGGGTCTCGTTATACTGCCCACACTGGTCTGGAAGTCCTGGCCTCAAGCCATTCTTTGAGTTCAGCCTCTCCAGGTACTGAGATTATAAGCATGAGCCACTGCTTCCGGCCAAGAGTTATTTCCTTAACTGGATTTTGCTCTAGTTGTCCTTCGTTTCCAGGAATTGTGCTGGTCTGGTATATGACTTTCTTTCAGATATTTCCTCCTAACATTTGAGCTTTGAGTTTATCTCCACATCATCTAAGGTTAAAGAGGAGAACAATTCAAAAGGGGAATGAGTTTTGGAGCTTTTTCTAAAGATGTGTGTGCCTCTCACATGCACAAAATTCTCTCTCAAAATTTGAATTAGCCAAAAGCTATCACACAAATCATGGCAACTTGTCTTTCTTCAAATGATATGATTTCCCCTTTTTGTTTTCCAAATATTTATTATATTTTATTTGTTTCCTTTTCAATTGTTCTGTTCCATTTCCTTTGGGAAATACAGAGAAGTGCCCCATAATTTTCTTTTGGACTGGATAATTATAAAGTCCAGATGATTTCTTTTTATGTAAACATCTCTTAAATTGTTAACATACTTAAGTCTCTCATTTAAATGATGACTAGAAATTGTTGAATTTGAGTTATGTATGCTTAAGACATTCCGTCATTAGAATACCAGAAAATCTTTTGAGGCTACTGATTGTATTGGGCTATGAAATTTCCTTCCCTGTGTTTACAGAAACAACAACAAAAAAAACATGCTATTTCAAAAGTATTTTATCTCGGGGCCTATTTATTTCTAAACATGTGCCTATTTATTTCTAAACATGTAGCTATTGAATGCTGTATCTTCTGTGATAAAAATTGTAAACATTTTTTTCTCAACTTTTAGATTCAAGGGGTACATTTTCTGGTTTGTTACAAGGGTATATTGTGTGATGCTGAGGTTTAGGGTACGATTAAACCCTTCACCCAGGTAGTGAGCATAGTACCCAATAGGTGGTTTTTCAACATTCCCCCCCGCCATTCCCTCTTTTAGTCTTCAGTGTATATGGTTCCCATCTTTATGTCCATGTGTACCCAATGTTTAGCTCTCACTTATAAATGAGAACATGCAGTGTTTGGTTTTCTGTTCCTGGGTTAATTCACTTAGGATAACAGCCTCCAGTTGCATCCATGTTGCTGCAAAGGGCATGATTTCATTCTTTTTTTATGGCTGTGTAGTATTCCATGGTGTATATGTCTCATATTTTCTTATCCAATTGCCCATTTATAGGCATCTAAGCTGATTCTATGTTTTTGCTATTATGTATAGTGCTTCCATGAACATACAGGTGCATTTGTCTTTTTGGTAGAATGGTGTAAATATATTTTTAAAAAGAGATACTACACAAATTTTACCATAGTCATTATTAACTTAGAAGGCATTGAACATGGTTTTTAATATTTCAGATGCTAATGAAAATACATGTGCTATAATTAGGAATAATAGAAGAGGATCCAAGGAAAACAAATTTCACGTTTGCCTCACAGGCCAAACCCTATAAGGACTTATAAGGTTCTGGGGTACGTTTGTGTGTTTCTGACTTAAATGCCCAACTGAATTCCCCTCCTGCATTTTGTCATATTTCCGTAAGTGTTACCAGGCCCCTGCTGAACTAGGTCACATAATGCAGCCTCTAGAAATGACAGTCTTTAGAAATACGTAAGAATTTAAGGTGGAAATGAGACTTGAGATAGATAGGGCCAATTGGACTGTCTTTTCACGAACCCAGGGAATGAAACAACTTCTAGAAAGAATATTATCTATATCTTATATTAATAGAACTCCAAATAAAATAATAAAATAATAATAAAAAACAAAATAATAATAATAAAAACAATAAAGTCCTTCATAAGTTTATATCACGTATTAACAGGTTTTAAAATTTATTCTTTTTTTATGACATTCCTGTGAAGTAGCTATTATCATCCCCATTTTATCCATCTTCCATGAGATGGCGGTTGGCCATTTTGAAGTTCACACACTTTAAAAAATTAAAGAGATTTCAAGTATGAACTTCTGATATATAATAAATTTCATATCCTCATTTATCTTGATTTAAGTTTTTAAAAAAATCAAATATCCCCTTCTCTGTCACTCATGTTATATCCTTCTTCTGGCCATAGTTCTAATTCATCTGTTTCTCCTCAGTTGAAGCCAAGTTCCCACAGTTTCAAGAAAAAGGGGAATCTTTTCTGTTTTCATCCCAGGACTCCTGCTGAGACCCATGGAGTAACTATTCTCTTCTCCATCATCTGGCCTCTGCTGTAACAACATCAAATCTGCCCAGGGAAGTTCTCAGAACTCACCAGCGTCTGTTGGTTGGCTCTGTGCCTATTTCTAGCCTTTGGTGGCTAGACTCAGAATGACAGCCAGCCTCCAGTAGTACAAGGTGGAGAATTCCATGAGGGATGGACTCCACCTTGTTCCTCTTTATATTGCCAGCACCTAATACAGTGCCTAGCATGCCTGGCACCTACTAGAGCTTCAGTAAACATTTACTGAATGAACGAATGAATGAGTAAATGAGAAATTTGTATCTCATTCTATTGAGGGAAAAAACTAAAAAACTAAAATGAGAGAGTTAAGCAAATTAGCCAAACTCATGATTGTTAGTGACTAAACCAGTCCTTGAAATCAGATCTATTCACTCCCATTACAATGTGTTTCCTCTGTACATGTAATGTGTGGCCCTGTTGGTCATCTTCTCCATCCCTCTTAATTGCATCCCTAGCAGAGAGATTTCCTTCAGTTTTACTAAGCTCAGTTAGTGGGCCCCCTCTGTGTAATCTCTTGCCCCATCCCCACCCCTTAGAACCTATAATTTCTCCAAAATTGCATTGCTTTCATCATAATGCACCGTGTACTGCACAGTCCCATTTCACCTGGGCAACATGGTGTGTTGTCAGGGAAAAAGCATTTAACCTATATAACCTGCCATAATGTATTCACATCCCTTGCCACAGGAACAGGATAAAACTTTTGTACCTTAGATTAACTATTTTATTACAAAATGACAACAATTGTAAAATTTCAAACTCTTTGGAAGGTGTAAAATGGAAAGTTAAAGTCCTAACTCCCACTACTAATTCTCATCACCTCTTTCCAGATGTGAATGCTATTAACAACATCTTGTGTCTCACCAGGAAGCTGTAGTGCAGAAACAAGCATATATACATATTCTTCCAACAAAAAACGCAATTGGCATTCATACTCAAAAACTATGTTGAATGGAGAAAACAAGCTTCAGAGTGTAGAAAAATAAGAAAGCAAATTAAAGAGGTCATAGCATTTATGCAAATTTTAAAAGGCACAGAAATAATAATATTTTATCCATGTTATGTATGTATGAGAAATATAAAAATAGATACAAACTAAACCCATGTGATTCTCAAGAGGTGAGTAAGGTGCAAGGGACAGGGGATGAAGGACGAAAAGGCTTCAAATTTGTCTGGATTTTTTTTTTTTGCATATACACTCACCATACACACACACACACACACTCTGAAAGAAATATGACCAATGTTAAGAATTGCCCGTTGCAAGAGTAGGTTCATGGATGACGCATTATTATCCGTACATTACTTATTTTAAAATGTATTTCAAATAAGACATTTAAAAGCAAAGAAGAAGTGGTAGATTCGTTGAATACACACCATTCTGCACTGTACTTTTTCCATTTTACTATGTTTCTCAGTTTTTATTATTTTAGCACAAGTAGATCAACTTCATTTTAAAATAGTTACTGTCAATCTAAATAACTAACAGAGAAAAGCTCTCTAGAAAGGATATTTATTCAGGAACATGGCATGGCAATGGGAATATGTGTATCATAGTCAGCTAGCTGTGTATTCAGGGAGGTAAAAGAAGACAGAAGTTTTTAAAGGAAAATGAGGATGATTACATAATTGTTTTGAGATAATTGTCCCTGGCTGCAAGGATCAATAACAAGACTGATGCCAGTTTGAAGTTAAACAGGCAGTTGCTGGGCAGGTGTTCTTGAAGAAATATTTTTTGAGTAAAAACTGCAAGGTTGTGGTTTTTGCAGTCTTTTGTGATAGTTTTTGTTATCAGGCATTTTTCATGAGAAACCTCCCTTCATAGACTTTCCCAGTTCTATTTGTCAGGGTTTAGCTTTTTTTTTTTTTTCTTCAGATGGAGTTTCCCTCTGTCACCCAGGCTGGAGTGCAGCCGCACCATCTCGGCCCACTGCAAGTTCCGCCTCCCAGGTTCACACCATTCTCCTGCCTCAGCCTCCCGAGTAGCTGGGACTACAGGCGCCCTCCACCACGTCCAGCTATTTTTTTTTTTTTTGTATTTTTAGTAGAGACGGGGTTTCACCGTGTTAGCCAGGATGGTCTCAATCTCCTGACCTCATGATCCACTCGCCTGGGCCTCCCAAAGTGCTAGGATTACAGGCGTGAGCCACTGCGCCCAGCTGGTTTTGGTTTTTTTAAGCACAAATGACCTCATTTTGAGTCTGACAATTTTCACATTACATATCACTAAACTAAACTGTACACTTAAAATAGTTACAATGGTAAATTTTATGTTGTGTGTATTTTATCACAATTTTTTATCATTTGTTTTGAGTCTGGGTCTCTCTCTGTCGCCTAGGCTAGAGTACAGTGGCACAATCACCACTCACTGCAGCCTCAAACTCTTGAACTCCAGTGATCCTTCTGCCTCAGCTTCCTGAGTAGCTAGGACTACAGGCAGGCACTACCACACCCAGCTAATTTTTTAACTGTTTTGTGGAGATGAGGTCTCACTATGTTGCCCAGGTTGGTCTCAAACTTCTGGCCTCAAGGCGATCTTCCTGCCTCAGCCTCCCAGAGTGCTGGGATTATAGGCATGAGCCACCACACTTGGCCCACAATTTTTTAAATAGCCAAAACAAGGTTACATGATATTTCATTGTATATCAATCATTTCACCACTGCCCTATAGATGATCATTTATATTGTTTCCCTTGCTTTTTTATTTGCTATTATAAATACTGCAGTAATGAATGTAAACACATTTATATATTGTCACATGCATCCACCCTGGATAAAGAAATTTTCCAAAATGACTTTGACTCACCATAGAATTTTAAATAAATTTAAAAATGACTAGAACTTGCAAAATTTTATATACATCCATTTATAAATGCAGAATTTAGCTAAGGCATTTCATTCATGGAAATTATTTATGCTTTGGGGCAAAACTTCCAGTTTCTTTAACATATTTTTGAGTTTAAAATGTGATTTTATTTAAAATTTCACTGTTTGAAGTTTTTTTAGTGTTGGCTTGAGGTTTAACCCCAGGAGTCAATTTCCAGTTGTTTATATCTTAACAGGATTTAACTTATCAGCTCCTTTTCTAGGATTAAGTTTTTGTTAAGTAAAGAGATGAAAATTGAAGACCGAAGATATTGTATAGGCCAGGAGCAGTGGCTCATGCCTGTAATCTCAGCACTTTGGGAAGCCGAGGTGGGAGGATCACATGAGGCCAGGAGTTCAAGACCAGCCTGGTCAACATGGTGAAACCCTGTCTCTACTAAAATACAAAAATTAGCCAGGTATGGTGGTACACACCTGTAATCCAGCTACTCAGGATGCTGAGAGATGAGAATCACTTGAACCCGGGAGGCAGAAGTTGCAGTGAGCTGAGATCGCGCCACTGCACTCCAGCCTGGGTGACAGAGTGAGACTCTGTCTCAAAAAAAAAATAAAAAATAAAAAATAAAAAAAAATTATGTAGATGTAGAAAACAAATTCACCAAAGCAGGATGCACAATGCAACTTTATTTCCTTCAAAGTTTTATGTAGGACAGACTCATTTAATAAAGGTGTTTTGATATTGACACCAACCTACGCCCCTCAACTCTCAAAGAAAAATTAAAAAATTTTTAAATTTAAAAATTAAAGCAGTGATGACCTTAAAATCCGTGTCAGCTGAGTGTGAAACTTTGCGAGAGATTTCTGGTATTTCCCTGTACATTTTGGTCATGAAATTTTTCATGGGCTGTCTCATTAGAGGCATTATGTTAAATATTTCTCATTTTTAGCTTTTCACATTTCACAGGTATTGTCAAATACAAGAATTAATATTTGACTGGAAATTTGGGTAGATGCACTATATTTAGTGAGGTTTAATCATGTGGCAATGCCCATAAATGGAAGGCTGTGATTCACATTGCCACTGTTCAGGCTTTCCCTCTCTCTCTCTCTCTCTCTCTCTCTTTTTGGAGGAAACACTGGCCAGCATCTCCCCTCTATATTTGTGGGCATTCTTATATTGTTTTAAAAATATGGTGATGAGAATGAGTTGTATGTATTTTTAAAATAGTGTGCAATGGGAAACAAAAACAAAAGCAATCATTCTTGAGATGTCTAAATCTCCCTGAGTTTTGGGACTATGTTCTTAATATCAGTGTGCTCACTCGTCCAAGTTTTCCTCTAGAGGGAGCTTGCCTTCTCTTCCAGACCTCGCCTTCCTTGCCCACAGGGACTGAAGCCTATTTCTTTATTTATGCATTTATTTTCACCTGAGCCATTAGGAGTCTACATATCCTGTCATGTGACTATGCTCAGTAGCCGTAATAGCATGATGGAAGCTGGACATCAGCAGTGAAGAGGAAAAATGGAAAAAGAATCAAGTATGTTAATATTCTTCTTCTGAAGGTGGGGAGGGGTATTGAAGTTATCTTGCTATTTGGAGACAGATATAAGCTTGCTTTAAGAAGCACAAATATGATTTAATTAACAGTCATGTTTTTGCATTGCATATCACTTCAAGGATTTGTATATTATTGTCACTTGGTGATTGAAGAAATAGCTTTACATTTGAGCTCTGATAAATAATAAAAAAGTACAAGTAAGAAAGACAGATTTTAAAGTCTATAGCAAATGAATTGCTTTTTTAAAAGAAAATGGGATATGTGTACTATTTACATATAAATAATTCACACGACATTCAGGTACATATGCATCTGTGTATCATTTTAAATGACAGGCACCAATTTAATGGAGAAGCTAGGGCTCATTAGTTCCCTGAGTAGGATTGATTCTTCATAACTGGAATGGTGCGTACAGCTCTTAGATAATTTGTAATGAATTGAATTTTCCCTCAGCATACTTAATTAGTGACTCTTTCTTTTGCTACTTAAAAGGATATAGACATTTAAAAAGATAAAAGTTTGGAAATTCTGCTAAAATGCTGGAAAGAAATTAAGCCTTCATGTGCATGGGCTCTATGGAAAAAAAAGCATGAGAAAAAAAGAAAATTTCATTTTGGGAGATGGAGATGGTAAGGGTTTTATTTCAAGAGCATCATATGTTTTTAGCCCATATGCAGAGTTATTTGGCAAATTCTACGTGATTTATGTCATCCTGTACCTTCTAGGTGCCTCTTGGCCACATACCTTGGATGACTGACTCTTCAGCTCCCGTAATGGTAAACCACAGGAATACTGGAGGACATTTCTTTCCTTGGGGTTTGCACACAGAGAGGTTTGCTTTTTACTACAGTAACTTATAGATAAGTTCAGTCCAAACAGAAATGCTGGCCCATGTACTGGGAAGTAGACAAACATAGATCTATAAATAAGTTCCTACTATGTTCAAAAATGTGTTGTTCTCATTGACCCAAGACCTGAAATGGTCATTTCTGGCAACCTGTGAAAATAGATGCTGTAGTAATTTTGGTTTCTGTCTCAGTTTTTATTAGAATTAGTGATTATTTCAAAACCCCACTATGGCATCGATTGGATATTTAGGAAAAATCTAGTAATTTTAAATTACATTCTCCTTTGAGGTGAATTCAAACTCTGCCCTGTCTTCTATGACCAACAGCACCTTATGTATTAAACTATGCCAAATATTAAAAATAATAGCTTACTGCTCAGAAAATGTAGAGGAAGCCAGAAAAAGTAGAGATAATTCAGTGGGCTGATAGTGTGATTGAATAGTTAAAAATTCAGTGTCTATTGCCCTTCAGAGAATAATGAATCCAATTACATATGCTCACATCAGATGAAGATTAAATGCTGTGGCCAAGGATGAGGAGTTTGAGGGCTGTTCATTGGTGGGTAACAGTATAGGGGACCTGTCTTTCCACATTAAAATGATTTGGATTAATAGAAAGCAAGTCTACCAGCCTGGAATAGAATAGGAATTCACCATCTCTGAAGTCAAGATATTTAAGAAAAGAAATGTATGACCTGAGCTGAGATGACATTCGCCTTGTCTCTGAATTTTCCAGGATACCATTTCAAGCAAAAAATATAGTCTGAATATATGTAATATATAAGGTTAGTACACAACTTATAATTAGCTTAAAATAGCAACAAAAATTGCACAGCCCTTACTTACTAGCCCTTACTTCTGAGAAAGGAATTCCACTTTCTTTCAGTAGTTTAATTGAAGAAGATTTTTTCATGCCTCCTTTTAAGATGTTTTCTCTGTCAGTCTGTCTTTTCAGATTTACAAGACCTAAAAAGAGGATCTATAATTACTGTTAATAGAACTGTTTAATTATTAAGTGATGTGAGATTCCAACAAACATAAGTTCCCAAAACAATGAAACACAAAAAGCCAATAAAGATAAATTAATGTGAATAAAGTAAAACAAAGATGAGCTATAAGACAGAACAGATTGACCTTGTAGACACATTCTCAGGCTCCTGCTATGGGATGGTGCCACGTTAAATGTCCCACTACACCAAGGCTCCTTACCTACCTCTGCAACATCAGCCACAGCATTTCACATTGTTAACAGCAAATGACGCAGGGGAATATTCGGCATGAGTTTACCAAACAGTGAACATCAGAGTTTTGGATCAGGCCCAGGGGTGTGCTGCTAATGATAGTGGCAGGAGGCAGACAAATTCCTAGGCAGATAGGGGCGTGTCCCTGGTGAAACCTCGCCTCCAAGCCAAAGACAGCCTGAAACCTGAAAACCAACCTGCCAGTTTCGGGTAAAGTCCCTGAATGGAGTGCTTTTTCCAGGCTTCCCATGGACCAGTCAGCAGGCACTCGCCTATCCCATAAAAAACCTGTACTCAGCCACACATTGGGACTACCCGCCTTTGAGTAGGGGCTACCCACTTCACATCCCTTCTCTACTGACAGCTGTTCTGTTGCTCAGTAAAACTCTTCCCCTCCTTGCTCACTGTGGTTGTCTGCATAACCTCATTCTTCTTGGATGCGAGACAAGAACCCGGGACCTGCTGAACAGTGGGGCAGAAAGGGGCTGTAACATTGGTAGCCCTCTTGCCCTCTGCTGGTGCTGGGCAGCTGCCCCATGCAAGAGCAAGTGACGGCAGGGCCAGGCCAGAAGCCACAGGCTGGAAGAGGGCGGTGGGAACAAACATACTGTAACACCCTCTTTGGGGTTCTGAGGTTGCTGCTGTCTTCAAAGTTTTCAGGCACCACCGCATTCCCCTCATCCAGAAGCCAGAGCCCAAGGTGGAACCAGGTCACAGCATGCATGGCCCAACTGAAGGCTGAGCTCAGATCCTGCTGTGAGCACAGGATCTGAACCACTAATGTGAGCCAAGCACATCCTGCTGGGCCAAGTGGGCAGAGCAAGGCCACTGGGCATGAGTGAAACTTGAGCAGAGGCCCTGCCAGCCACGGAGGTCTCTGGCTGGTGAAGTGGCCCTGAAAAAATCCTATGTCAGTAGCAAGCACTCCAAAAAAGTCTTGATTTGTAGTGTTTGTCAGTTTTCATGGTATAAAGACTCCCACAATTAACAAATTCAAGATATGCAAGCAACGTGACAGAACACAGTTTGGGAAATGATAATAATTGGCTCTTGTGAGTTGGCTTCAGTGCACCCCTGACAGGCTATTTCTAAGCCTTGAAGCTTTTATCTGATTAACATGTATGAAAAGTTTTATAACCATTGGCCATTTTTCCAATCTTGTGCTGACCAAGGCATAGAAATAGAACTGTAGAGATGATCTGTTTTTAATACTTAGGAATATACCTTTATCCATTGGAGAAAAAATTCTAGGAAAAATGGCTACACTAGACAACATGTTCTGTTGTAACTGATGGCTCTTAAATCCATTCGCTTAACACATAGCTAACATAATTGTGAAGGACTGAAAACATTTTCTCTAAGGTCAGGAACAAGACAAGGATGCCTACTTCTATTCAACATTGTAATGGAAGTTATAGCCAAAACAATTAGACAAGAAAAAGGAATAGAAGGCATCCAAATTAAAAAGGAAGGAGTATTATTATCTTTATTTGCAGGTGACATGATCTTATATAAAGTCATACATAATCTACAAAAAACTGTTTGAGCTAATGAGTAAATTCAGCAAAGTTGCAGGATACAGAATCAACACATAAAAGTAAGTTTTATTTTTGTACATTAGTGATTAACAATCTGAAAATCAAATTTTAAAAAAATCATCAAAAAAATAAAATACTTAGAGAACCAATTTAACAAAGGAAATCAAAGGGCAAAACTTGTACACAGAAAACTACAAAATATTGCTGAAAGAAATTAAGGAAGGCCTAAACAAATGAAAAGACATCTTTTGTTTGTGGATTGGAAGATTTAACATTGTTAAGATTGCAATATTATCCAAGCCAATTACAGATTCAATGCTATACTTAACAAACATCCTAACAACCTTTTTCTCAGTAATGGGAAAGCTGATTCTCAAATTCATATGGAACTTCAAGGGACCCTAAATAGTCAAACCAATCAGGAAAAATGAAAACAAAGTTGGAGGATTCACAATTTCAGATTTCAAAACTTACCACAAAGCTAAAGTAATTAAAACAATATATTACCACCATAAAAACAGAAATATATATCAACTGAATAGCATTAAAAGAATTGGGTGGGGACACAGCCAAACCATATCAGTGGTCTCGGCACTCTTGTTGAAAATCAATCTGCCATACAAGTATGGATTTACTTCCAGTGGTCTTGACACTCTTGTTGAAAATCAATCTACCATACTGTATGGAATGGTAGATTACTGTATGGAAATCAATCTACCATACGATATGAAATGATAGATTGATTTTCAACAAGAGTGCCAAGACCTATGGAAGTAAATCCATACTTGTATGGTAGATTGATTTTCAACAAGAGTGCCAAGACCACTGATATGGTTTGGCTGTGTCCCCACCCAAATTTCATCTTGAATTGTAGATCCCATAATCCCCATGTGTCATGGGAGAACCTGGTGGCAGGTAATTGAATCATGGGGCAGATTTTTCCTGTGCTGTTCTTGTGATTGTAAATAAGTCTCATGAAATCTGATTTTTTTTTTTTGACAGTGTCTTGCTCTATAGCCCAGGCTGGAGTGCAGTGGTGTGATCTTGGCTCACTGCAACCTCCGCCTCCCAGGTTCAAGCGATTCTCCTGCCTCACCCTCCCAAGTAGCTGGGATTACAGGCATGCACCACCACACCTGGCTAATTTTTGTATTTTTTGTAGAGATGAGGTTTTACCATGTTGGCCAGGCTGGTCTTGAATTCCTGACCTTAAGTGATCTGCCTGCCTCAGCCTCCCAAAGTGATGGAATTACAGGCATGAGCCACTGTGCCAGGCCTGAGATCTGATGGTTTTATAAAGGGCAGTTCTCCTGCACATGCCCTCTTGCCTGCCGTCATGTAAGACATGGCTTGCCTTTGCTCCTCCTTCGCTTTCTGCCATGATTGTGAGGTGTCCCCAGCCATATGGAACTGTAAGTACATTAAACCTCTTTTTCTTCATAGATTACCCAGTCTTGGATATTTCTTCATAGCAGTATGAGAATGGACTGTTACAACAACTTACTGTAAAAGGAATAATTTCCTTCACAAATGATGCTAGGACACATTCGATAGCTGCATGCAAAACACTGAAGTTGAACTCTTTCCTCCCACCATATACAAAAATTAACTCAAAATTGATCAAAGACCCAAATGAAAGAGCTAAAACTATACAACTCATACAGAAAAACATAAGTTTGCTTTTGGCAATAGATGTTTAGATATGGCACCAAAATCACAGGCAGAAACAACAAAAATATAAATTGAACTTCATCAAAATTAATAACTTTGTGCATCAAAAGACACTATCAAGAAAGTGAAAAGACACGGAAGAAATTTTATTTGCAAGTCATGTATCTGAGAAGGGTTGAATATTCAGAATACATAAAGTATTCATATCCAGAATACAAAATACAGCTAAACAACAAAAAGACAAGCAACACAATTTAAAAATGGGCTCAAGACTTTAGAACAGACATTGCTTCAAAGAAGATATACAAATGGCCAACAAATATGAAAAAAAGTTCAACATGATTAGTCATTAGAGAAATGCAAATCAAAACCACAATGAGCTATCACTTCACACCCAGTAGTTTGGCTATAATTTTTAAAAAGGGAAAGTAAGTGTTGGTGAGGATGTGAAGAAATTGAGACCCTCATACATTGCTTGTTAGAATTTAAAATGGTGTAGCCACTGTGGAAAATAATTTAAATGTTTAAAATTTAAACATAGAATTATCATATAACCCAACAATTCCACTTTTAAGTATGCCCAAAATAATTGAGGACAAGTATTCAAACAAATACGTGTATACATATGTTCATGACAGCAGCACTATTTGCAATAGCCAAAAGGTAGAAACAACTAAAAATCTATCAGATGAGGAAAGGATAAACAAAATGTTGCATATACATACACTAGAATTCAGCAGTGTATTAGTCTGTTTTCATGCTGGTGATAAAGACATACCCGAGACTGAGAAGAAAAAGAGGTTTAATGGACTTACAGTTCCACATGGCTGGGGAGACCTCACAATCATGGTGAAAGGCAAGGATGAGCAAGTCACATCTTACATGGATGGCAGCAGGCAAAGAGAGCTTGTGCAGGGAAACTCCCATTTTTAAAACCATCGGATCTTGTGAGATTTATTCACTATCATGAGAACAGCACAGGAAAGACCCACCCCCATGATTCAATTATCTCCCACTGGGTCTCTCCCACAACTGTCAGAATTATGGGAGCTACAAGATGAGATTTGGGTGGGGACACAGAGCCAAACCATATCAAGGGGTAAAAATAAATGAAGTACTAATACATATTACAATGTAGATGAACCTAGAAAATATTGTGCTAAGTGAAAGAAGCCAGTCATAAAAGCTGACATATTGTCTGATTCTATTTACATGAAATATCCAGAATGGGTAAATTCATATAGACAAAGCAGATTAGCAGCTTCCAGAGTCCCGGGTGAGGGGGTTATGGAGAGTGCTTAATGGGTATCTGATTTCCTTTTGGGGTTATAACAATGGTTTGGAACTAGATAGAGGTGAGGTTTGCACAACATTGTAAATGCAGTGAATGGCACTTAGTTGTAAACTTTAAAATGGTTAACCTTATATTATGAGGAATTTTACCTCAATTTAAAAAACAAAAGCTGAAAAAAATCTATTTATTTAGAAATGCAGTAACAGGTTCAAGGCGCAGGCACTGAGAATCTGGGGTAAAAGGGTAAGCACCTCTGAGAGATGGATGAAGGACAACTATTGTTGGACATCAAGGTCAGAGCAGAGAGAAGACTGACACAGGGCTGAGCTGTAGGACTATTAACACAAGACTCCCAAGTCAGCATTGGAGCTTTGCAGAACTGTTACTTATGGATACCCATTAAAGTGCTCCATTCTCAAATAAACACCATTTTCTTTTAGAGGAGCCTCTCTCTGTTATTTAGGTTGACAAAGGATAGGCTGAGATGATTAAAGTAGCTCTGCCAAATATAAGCAAATTCTGATTTAGTAAGAAGAGACTAGGGCCGGGCGCGGTGGCTCACGCCTGTAATCCCAGCACTTTGGGAGGCCGAGACGGGCGGATCACGAGGTCAGGAGATCGAGACCATCCTGGCTGACACGGTGAAACCCCGTCTCTACTAAAAATACAAAAATTAGCCGGGCATGGTGGCGCGCGCCTGTAGTCCCAGCTACTCGGGAGGCTGAGGCAGGAGAATGGCGTGAACCCGGGAGGCGGAGCTTGCAGTGAGTCGAGATCGCGCCACTGCGCTCCAGCCTGGGCGACAGAGCGAAACTCCGTCTCAAAAAAAAAAAAAAAAAAAAAAAGAGACTATGCAAAAGGATTTTGCACGTGGGTTGGGGGCTATTTCTCAGGACCCCAGGAACATTGCCAACTCCTGGACAGCAGCCTCAGAGGGACAGATTTTTAGCTTAATGTAAAGAAGTTCCTAAGAGTCACAGTTTTAAAGGGTGAATAGGTGTTCCTGGTCACTGGGTTTATTTAAGCAACTACTAACTGTCCAATCCACAGAGACTATCAAAGTGTCACAAAATTGGTTCAAGACATCGACCAAAAGGCTTGTCTGAACCTGGGATTCTGTGGCTTTCAGAGTATAAGACACTGAGAACATAACCATTCACTTGAGAAAAAAAAACAAAACCTCAAACATTATCTTACAGATAGACATCTTCAGCAAGTTTAACTTCAAATATAAGAGATATAGCATTTGGTTCTATTTGGGTTTGAATTCTTTTTTATTGTATTTGGGTTTGAATTCTTCACTCCCCTATCTTATGAAGGCTGGCCTTGTCCAGAGGTTTATGGGGAAGAGCAGAAAATACTCATCCAAAACAGCCAAGAACATGTAGGGAAGGAAAAAATATATTTTCCTCACCCATCACTAAATTTATGGCTGAGATACCTATAACAAAAGAAAAGCATACACATTTATGAAACAAAGACCCCAAGACAAGGTTAAACCTGTGTATTTTTATACTTAGGTTTGATGAAGAGTAGACAATTGTAAGAGAAATATAATTAAAGAACAAAACAGTATGATCTAATGATAATGAACTGGGAAGTACTTAGTAAGGCCTGTTTGTTCAGATTCTTTTTGGCATCTGTGTCTTCCTGGGTATAGGGTGGGCACCTCTTGAATGAGGGTCTTAAGACCTGCTTCAGGGAAGAAGAGGGAGTAGAAGGTGAGAGTGACCTTCCTGCTTCTGCTGTTTTCTCAAATGCCAAGGTGCTATATTTTGTAGTAGCATGTCCTGAACTCCATCAAACCCTAAGAACCAAAGGATAAAACAGAGTTGAGCAGGTAAACTGAGTTCCAAATTGAGGGAGAGGTCTCTGGAGGACTGGGGTAGATCTGAGGAAATCTGGACATCTGAGGGAGGAAGGAAGGAGTAACTGGAAGTGAGTCCATAGCAATGACTCGTTGATGAGGGAGAAGCTATGGATACTTGCCTGCAGCAACTTCTCCTTTTAGGAGCCATCCTAGGCGGGCAGGGAGACTTACAGGGCAAGACTGAAAGCTGTGCATTTATACCTCTTAAGTAGCTCTCACTCGATGCCTTTTGACAGGCTGTCTGCTTAATTTATGCTCTTGGGCCTCTAGGTCTCATCTGTCAAATGTCCTATAAAGAACTAGAGTGTTTTGAAGGTCTCTTTCCGGTTCTAAAATCCTAGAGTTTTTAGATTTTTCTCCACTCTGCCTAATTTCTTTTAGATTCCTATAGAACATCGGCTCTCCTTGAGTTTGAAAAGAAGCCTCATGAAGAAAATAGTCTGTTTCTCACTTACTTTGTGAAGTCTTTTTCCACTTGGATTTTCTAGAATTATAAATCATTATACTTTCATTTTTCTTAATTGAAAGGAGTTTTGTGAGCTACATAGAATTTATTTTGAAATTTAATTATGTCTAGATTTAATGTTAGTAAGCTGTTTTTACTCACAACACTCTGACATCAAATCGGTGTCTAACAATTCAATTCCGACACTATCTACCTGGAATTTGTGTCAGATCCCACAAGTTAAAGGGGTCAGTCCTGCATGACTGCCCCAACTTCAGATGCCAATTATAGAAGTCTCGGGCTACCCATACTCCTGATAGACCAGCTATAAACCGGGGGTTCCCACACTATGACTTCAAGTTCGATAACTTGCTAGAGCAAGTCACGTAACTCAAGAAAGTGCTTTACCTACTATTACTGATTTCTTATAAAGGATACAACTCAGGAATAGCCCAATGGAAGAGGTACATAGGGAAAAATATGGGGTGGGTGGGGGTAGTGCCACCTTCCTAGCACCTCAGTGTGTTCACCAACCTGGAAGACCTCTGAACTAGTCATTTAGGGGTTTTTATGGAGACTTCATTACATGATTGACTGAATCTCAGGCCTCTGGTAATTAACCCAATCTCCAGTCCCTCTTCCCTCCCCAGTGGTTGGAGGGTAGGGCTGAAAGTTCCAAGCTTCTTTTCAAGGTTTGCTCTTTTGGATGACCAGTCCCCATTCTGAAGCTACCTAAGGGCCTCTAGACAGCAGTGATCTCATTAGCATGCAATAGACACTCATCACTCTGGAGATTCCAAGGGTTTTAGGAACCAGGGACTAAGACCAAATATATTTTTTAATACCATAATCAGTAAATAGTTAAATATGGAAAACTCTCAATTTTGCTTTTGCCACCAAACAAATTCAAACACGTTCTATGTAGTTTGCAAAGAAAGAATTCATAAAGAAAATAGTTCCTGTATTTTCATAAAGATATTGAATTTTAATTAAATATGAAATTTGGCTTCATATCCTGCATAAAGGTATAAAGCCACATTGTGGAAAATGGCATAATTTAGAAACAAAATCTACCTTGAGCTATTTTACTTAATATCTTCAGCTCTGAACTAAATAACTGCTTAATTCCTTTAGATAACCAAAGAACACTTAAATAGAAATTAAGAAAATTGTTTTTAGGTATTTTCAGTTTGAAGAACTTGCTAAATGGATTTCATTGATCTTCCCTTGAGGAAACATAGAATATTTTAAATCTTATACATTAACTAGCTAATTCAACAATTGGGTCCCTATTATATGCCAGGCTAGGTGCTAAGAATACAAAAGTGAGTACAGCTGGTCTCTACCTTTTAAGGCACTTAATCCTATTCTGCTCCAAGGAGGCAGCAGGGCAAACATGGCTCAGCTGGTTGGTTCAGGAGTCTGATTATCTAGGTCACACCTCACCTCCATTTACCAGCTGCAAAACACTAGAGAAGTTATCTACTACATCCTGAGTTTCAATTTCCTCATCTACGAAAAAGGCACAATCATAGAACCTCAAAAGAGTGTCGTGGCTAAAATAGTTAGGATAATATTTAGAGTATGTGAAATATTTAGAATATATTTGTGATGGGTTTTTTTTTTTTTTTTGGATATGTTAACTTGGTTAAGCTATGGTTCCAGCTATTCAACCTAACGATAACCTAGGTGCTGTGGAAATTGTGTTTTGTAAATGTGAGTCCATAATCAGTTGACTTTAAATAAGGGAGAGCATTCTAAATAGTCTGGGTGGGTCTGATTCAATCAGTTGAAAGGCCTTAAAACCAGGGCTGAGACTTCCCTGAAAAAGAAAACATCCACCTACGGACAGCAGCTTCAGCCTGTGCAGGAGAGTTCCTGATGGCCTGCTCTGTGGATTTTGGATTTCCTTATCCAGTTCCTTAATTGTGTAAGCCTATTCCTTGTAGTAAATCTATATCCATATTTATCTATATATATATTATCCTCTGTTATTTGTGCATTTCTGGTTGAACGCTGGGTGATATAGATGTCAAAATTGTAGTGAATGTAAAGTGCTTAGCAGTAAAAGTCATAAACATTATTTTAAAAAAACAACAATAAAAACAACAATCCATGTTTTGTTATGGTTGCTGGGTTTGGGAACCCTCAAGAAAAAGACTAGACATGAAGACGCCATTTAAACCAAGGCTTACAGTAACAAAGAAAGGACTCTAGGTTGAGGCAAATACAATAGCAAGCAGTAGGTTTCTCTCAAGGGCAGGATATAAGTCGGGGAAAAAATATCTTCTAGGTCTCAGCATGATGGCTTGCACCTGTAATCTCAACACTTTGGGAGGCCAAGGTGGGAAGACTGCTTAAGGCCATGAGTTAGAGAACAGCCTAAGCAATATGACTTGACCCTATCTCTAGAGAAAATAAAAGAAACTTAGCCAGGCATGGTAGCACTTGCCTGCAGTTCCAGCTACCTGGGAGACTGAGGTGAGAGGATCACTTGAGTTCAGGAGTTGGAGGCTGCAGTGAGCTATGATCATGCCACTGCACTCCAGCCTGAGTGACAGAGCAGGACCCTGTCTCTAAAAATGAACAAACAAATGAAAAAACAACCAAAAACTCATGTCTTAGTCCATTTGAGCTGCTATTCCAAAATGTCATAGGCTGGTTGCATATAAACAACAAAAATTCATTTCTCACAGTTCTGGAGACTGGGAAGTCCAAGACCAAGAAGCTGGTAGATTTAGGGCCCATTACCAGATTCCTAGATGGTGCCTTCTCCCTGTGTCCTCACACAGTGGAAGGGGCAAGGCAGCTCTCTGGGCCTCTTTTATTTGGGGACCAACCCCATTCATTAGGGCTCCATGGCCTCATGACCTAATCACCTCCCAAAGGCCCCACTTCCTAATGCCATCTCCTGGGGGGTTAGAATTGCAACATCTGAATTTTGAAGAAACACAAACATTCAGATCCTAGCACACTATTTATAATATAAGGAACAGCTATATAGAATCAAGGTTGGAAATGGGTGGTTCAAGAGAAAAATCCTGTACACTAGTTGTTAGTTTGGCCTGTAGAATGATTTTTTAAAAAGCATTTAAAAATAATTTTTAAAAATGAACCTACAATTTGTTAAAAAATTAAGAGATTTTTGCATAAAATACAGATATCTGGCTTTTTTGAAAACCTGGAAGCTCTGGCCACACTAAGCCCATACTGTCTCTGGGTCATAAACATTTGATGCTAGTCCTTTCTGTGTGGTCTCCACAATGTGCTGTGGAAGACAAGGCACAGCTGCCTCCTGCGTTTGTAGAATCTGCTTGAACCCTGTGGGCATCTATGATACCCTGCCCTAGACAATCTCCTAAAACCTGGCCTTAAACTTTTCTTGACCTTCTTTGGCCCAAAAGCTTCCATTCCTTACTTAGGCAAACTTTTCCCATGATCACTCCCTGGACTGTCTATTCTGAAAGTTTCATTTATTTTTTCTATATTGTCTTAATAATAGCCAACTCCCTAGACTGCTATACTTCCCTTAACGTTTTTGTTAATCTTACTAGCAGGTCACACAATGCCTGAATACATTTCTCTGAGACACAGTCATGATGAAAGAGTACATAGCTTCTACATAGACATTAAAATAGAACATTTTTTCCCTAAACTACTTGTCACCTGGCCACTTGTACAATGCCAGCAGATGACTATGGGTCTGACTTGAGAAATAAAACCGAGGGAGTCAGGCTCAGAAATGAACTGCCTTAAAACGCCCTGTACCATATCTAGTCACGTGACAATAAATACAGACATGTTTCTGATACAGTGGTTTCTGTGTACAGGCACACACTGACAGGTACCTTAAAAAAAAAAATGGGATGACAACATACTTGTATATAGGTACTCATCCTCACCTCTCTCTGTCCAATCTTAGAGGAAAATGTGTCTGCTTTAAAGTAACCTATGATCTGTGTCTCCCTGGCACCTCACTGAAGCCGGGAGTCCTCTCTTGACTGTTTTCCTCCACTTTCCACATCTTCCTCCAATTGGTTCCTTCCCTATAAGCTAGAAATACGTTCACATCACTGCCACTAACAAATCTTTGTCCTTACTATATAGGCCTTTGTAGCTACCATCTTTCTCCCCCCATGAGACCACCAGGCTCCCTGGTAAAGTGGTTAACACTCAGTCCATTTATTTTCTTTCCATTCACTCTTCAACCCACTGCCATTAGCTATCCCTTGTACTCCCCAGATATGCTAGGGAAAAACTTATCAATGCTTTCCTAGTTGCCAAATTAATTTATTATTTTACCCTTCATCTTGGTAAATGTGGCCCCGTGTGTGGCACCTGATACAACATATCCCTCCCTTCTTAAAACTCCTTCCCAGGCTTCAAGACTACTGCTGTCTCCTGGGTCCTCTCCATCTCTAGATGTTGTTTCTCAGTTGCCTTCCCTGGTTTCACTCAAAATTCCTGGGGTTTTGGTGGGGAATTGATACAAGATCCTGATCCCCTCACTTCAGGCTGGGAAATTTAACACAGGCAGGGAAAATCAGATGATCATTCCAAGGAATGTAAGTCTGGAGTGCGGACACATGGGGGTGGGGAGCAGTTGTAAGTGGGTCAGCTGATGGCAGCAGCCTAGATGGCAAGCCACAAATTCTCCCCAGAGACCCTGGAGCTCCCTTCCTCTGTTCTCTCACGGCCTGAGTATTCAGCTGTTTATACTGTGACCTATGCAGCAGGTTTCCAATAAGTTATTCTTTATACAGTGCTTACAGTTACTACATCTGGTTTCTTTTACTTGTAACTAAAGACCTTTAATAGATACCCTAGAGCTTTGCCCTAAGGTATCTTCTCTCCTCTGTGCACATGGGCTTTCTTCCTGGTAGCCCCATTCACTCTCATGGCTTCAGCCACCATCCATATGTTCTTGACTCCTTATTTATATCTTTAGCCTAGAGATCTCTCATGAACTCTCCACCTGCAAATATAATCACTGTACCTAACGATTCTTCTCTTGGGTGACCCCCAGGAACCCAGAACTCAACATGTCCCAAAGTGCACTCATGGACTTTTCCCCGAAATCTGCTTCTCGCTTTTCCATTCTCTAACTCAGTGCCTGACACCACCATCCATTCAGTCACTCCAGCCAAATACCTCTCCTTCTCACTCCCTAATAGATTAGCAGTTGCTTGGTCCCCTCAGTTCCCCTTCTTAATGCCTCTCTTAATTGTTTACCTCTCTCTGCCTCTCCTCCCTATCTCAGGCCCTCAGCACTCCTCCCCTTGACCATTGTGGCAGTCTCCTAACTTGCATCCACTCTCATCTCCTTCTCCCTCTCCATCCATTCACTACAATCCATACACTAGAGTCTCATTTCTAAAGCAGTCTTTGCTCAAGTATCTCCTCTGTTTAAAATCCTTTTTCTCCTATTGCCTAAAAAGGCCAACTACTTAACGTGGCAAACAAAGCCTTTCAGATCTTACTTCTGCCCACTTTGCAGGCAGCCTGATATCTTGATTCCTCTTTCCTCATTGTAATCCCCAAACTCTAGTCATGTTGACCAAGCTGCCCTCCACCAAGACGCCACCCTCCTCATGCCCCCTCCAGCCCTCTGTGCTTCCCGCTCCCTTTGCCTGGAATGCCCTTCCCCACCCACCCAGACATCTGCTTAGTAAACACCTACCCATCTCTTTCTTCAAAAGGTTATCCGTGTTTTTAAAAATAAAAATAGCAATTTTATTGGAAAAAAGAAAGAAAACACAGAGAAGTTTCATGAAGAAATAAAGATGACCTAAAAAGCCTACCACCACTTAGAAACAAATGTAGATTGGAGTGGGGGAACATGTTTCCCTATCCTGGCTTCTCAGCAAAGCTGTGGTTGATGGGTAGTGAACTCGCCAGAGAGGCAGTAAGTGGCCCGGTGGTTGCAAGAGGTTGAGGGCAGGAGGGAATGGGGAGTTAGTGTTTCATGGGTTCAGGATTGCAGTTTGGGAAGACAAAAAAGTTCTGGAGACGGACAGTGGCGATGGTTGCACAAAAATGTAAATGTACTTAACGCCACTGAACTTTACACTGTTAAAAATCATTAAAATGGTGAATTCTCTGTTACGGGTATTTTACCATAATTTTTAAAAAGAGGAAAAAGGAAACAAGACTGATCTCAAGGGGTAGCAGTTTCAGTAACATTTTTTTCTTTTTTCTTTTTCTTAGAAAGGGAACTGGCTGACGTTCATGGTGGGGGAGATGGAAGGAACTGGTAGAAACGAGAAACAAAAAACCCAAGAGAGATTTCATTTTTCACTAGGATGCCAGGTATAAAATAGCACATCTCTTTTAATATTCAGAATAGCCGGAGTCTCCATTTCGTTATTACAATAATGTCTTTATCCCTTCCCAGGTTCTCCCCTTCCATTCTCTACCTCTTTGCGATCAAACTGAGCACCCGGGGGTTTCCCAAACCCAGGGTTACCGGATCCTGAGCATGCGCGGAGGAGGGACAGGGAGCCGCCCACGCCGGGCTCCGCGGCTGCAGTTGCTGTTGTGGCCACAAGGTGGCACTAAGTCTTTGGCGGCCGCTGGCCTTCCCGACCGTGGAAAGTCGGGGCCGGTGGGGCTAGGTAGGAAGAGCACACTCCTGTGAGGTTGCCGGGGGCGGGGCTCCACCTGGACCCCTGCTCTAGAGCTGCTGGCGCCATAGGAAGAGAAGATGTTTGGAGTTCTGCCGTCCTGCCTCTTCTGGAGTCCCGCCGTGGCTTACTCCTTTCAGAGCTTTCTGCCCTGTCCTGACAGTGCCCTCTCTTCCTAGGCCTGAGCTCCAGGTACTCAGCGACCCGAACCTTCCAACCTTCGCACCCTCCCCAGCACACTTTCAGAATCTCCACGGCTGGGTCCAAAGGGGCCCTCGCTGGGCTGCACGTACTCTGGCCGCCTTAGCTCTAACTCCTGCCTCTCTAGGGCTTTTCCCTCTAACCCCAGAGTGTGGAAAATCCTCTATTTTTTCGCACAGAAGGCATGGTGCTTCCTTCAGGGGGCGAACCCCACTAGTTTACCAGAAAATGGACCTAGCACCCTCCCTTCTAAAAAAAATAGGAGGGTAGATGACCAGAAGCACAGATGGAAGGGCCAGACTTTGAAAGGAAGGCCCGATACCTCTATTGCTGAGGCAGAGCAAAGGGAGAAAAGGCAGAGCAAAAGTGGGTAGAAATAAAAATGCTTTTCGAGGGAAGGGAACTTAGCAGGCCTGCGGCCAGTTTTCCTCCCTATTTTCATTATGAGATAGATACAAATGTCATATGTGAAAATGAGAAGGAGAATATGAAGGGCAAAGCCCATGTGTGGTGGTAAAGAGAACTGCAGAAGGAGAGGCCAGGTGGCTGAGCCTTGTACGAGGGCCTATGTGTTGTTGGAAACCAATCGTTCACTCATTTATGTATTTGAGAGATATTTATTGAACATCTGCTGTGTGCTGACATTGTTTCAAGAGGTGAGAATACATCAGTGAACAAAATAGAAAAAACTCCTTGCCTTTGGGAAATATTCCAGTATTTCCTAAATACTAGAAGGAGAGGAGGACTGAAGATTGGGAGGACGCAAGATTAATTAGTAAGCAAAATGAAATGCTGGAGGGTGATATGCTGTGTGGAAATAGACACATCAGGATAGGGGATATCAGAAGTTGTGAGGGACTTGTGACTTAGAATTTAAATAAGGTGTTCAGGGAAGCTCTCATTGACCTCAAAGACTTGAAGGAAGCTGGCCACGTTGCTACGGAGGACAAGCAATCTGGTGGAGAGAACAGCCAGCATAAAGGCTATGTAGCAGGAGTGTGGCTGGCATATCCATGTTGCTCCCAGAGTATATGGGATGCTGCAGCAAAAATAGATAAAGCATGAGGTGGTTTGGGTGAGGCTGTGGAAGCATGGGTGTGGCAGAGGGGTAACCAGGGAAGAAAGTGAAGAAAGTGCTGATAATTGTGGTTCAAGGGAGTGATTCTGTGGTCCAGGAGGGCAGACAGAACTGGGAGGTCCTGACAAGGAAGAAAGGAGGCTGAGTAGGAGTTGTGAGAGTGGGGGATGCTGTGTATAAACATTGGGTGTCTCTGGTAGAATTTAAGATGTCATTGGTGGCATAGTTCAAAATGATGATAAAGGCAAGAGTGTGGCCTTGCGAGCAAGTGATTGAAAATGGGAAGTGGGCTAATGCATGGTGCATACCCCAGTCAACCATAGCCACAACTGTGCTCTTCTGCATGGGGGTTCAGCTCCTATTGAGTAATATAGGAAAGGGCTAAGCTGCAATTTCTCTCCTGCATTACCAACAAATGCCCAGTAGAATTCAGCATTCTTCCTCAAGCACTTAGGGATGCATGAACGCCTGCTAGCAAATATTACAGGGCAAACAAAATTGTACCCACACATGATAGGAACCTTACATTCTCTGCCAGCACACTGATATCTCTTATAAGAGGTGGGTGATTTGGTTCTCCTCTAAGATGGTGAAGCCTGTCTGTATTTCTTTAAATCTTGGTGAGAGGCAGCATGGCGGTGTTGAGATCGAAGCCCAAAGAGGTGTAGCAGAATTTGAACAACATGGTTTGTGAGGCAGTAGCCTCCATTTCTCTTCTATCAACTCTTGATTTGAAAGAAGTGTTGTTGGGAGTGGCAAGATGGAGGATGAAAATCTCAACCCAACAGCTGTATGTAGTGAGACTTTAGTCTAGCTTCCCTTATCTGGGAGTGGCTTCTTTACTTCCTTACTGTACGTTCCCGTATCTTTCTCCACTATAATGCTGGCTATATAATGTTTGCTGTCTTGTGGAAGAGAACAGATTATTCGAAGGTAATGATGAAGTGTAAAAGAATGGGATGAGTGAAAGAGAAATGAAGAACAGTGATGCAGTGATGATTCATTCACTCATTTCCTACTACAACAAATATACATATATATATTTGATACCTATTACATATGTATATATCAGGTGTCTACTAGCAACATGGAGTCATGTTCCGGGGATTGGAGATGCATCAGTGAACAAAACAAAATTCCTGCTATTTGAGACCGACCTTGAGGAAAGACAGAAAATACATAAGGGTGCTTTGTTGTAGGAGTTGAGTTGGAGGGATCTGGGAGATGATCAAGGAAAAAGATGTGAGCACAGGGGGCAGTAACATACAACATGCTTTACTGAATGGCTCTTGGATGGGGTTGCATGAAAGAGGATGTCTCTCCTAGTGAGACCATCCAGAGGTTTAGGGCAAGGGGGCCACTGTTTAGAAGGGGAGAAGAGCAAACAGAAAATCAAGAGAGAGGGGGATTAGAAAGGGGGCTTAGAGGATCTAAGTGATGTCACTCAGCAGTACAGCAGAGAGTCTGGGTCAGAGAGCTCAGAAGGGCCACAGTGTTCAGGGCCTTATAAGTACAAGGCCCCATCTGATCAATGAGCAACAGCTGTTGGGTGAGGCCTCATAGGGTACGTAAAGTAGGCAGGCTCCAGATGGCTAAAAATCTGCTTGTTTGTGCTATTTTTTAAATAACTGGATGTGTAAAAATTTGCATTTGGCATCAGCAGGCTTTTGAGCTGACAATTTAACCTGCAGTGAGGAAATAAACAAGGTAGGGTTCAATACACAGAATCAGTCTTTGGTTCATGAACATAACCTAGGTGCTAAGGAGAGGGAGCAGGGTAGGAAGGCAAAGTAGGGCAGGAGAGGGGCTCTGCTTTTGATGCATTGTCTGAAAAGGCCTTCGTTGTAAGAGGACATCTGAGCAGAGACATGCATGAAGAAAGAGATTGAATGCCCTGCATGATACCTGGGAGAAAAAAGTTTCTGGTGCTTTTGTTTTGTTCTGAGGAGCCACTACAAGGCCAATGAGATAAGAGTGGAGTAAGCCAGGTAGACTGTGGTGGGGATGAGGCTATGTTCTGTAGGGCCATGCAGCTGCATACAATAAGGCCTCCATTTTGAGTGATCGGGGCACTGTTGGAAAGAGGAGAGACAGATTACACTTTGGTTTTAAAGGTGCTCCAGAATGCCACAAGAACAGATGTTACCCATGGAAGGAACAGTGGTGGCATGGACAGAGTGGAAAGTGGCGAAGGTGATGAGGAGTCAAACTCTGAAAGCTTTTCAGGAATAGAGCTCACAGAATATGTGAGGAATTGAATGTGAGGTGGGAGAAGAAGGGTGAAGGAGGCAAGGATAACCAGGATGTTTGGCCCACGAGGCCTTTACTGGCTACATTTAAGTGATCATGATATAATGTGGTGGCTATTTGTCCCCACCCAAATCTAATATTGAATTGTAATCCCCAGTGTTGGTGATAGGGCCCGGTGGGAAGTGCTTGGATCATGGGGGAGGATCCCTCATGAATGGCTTGGGCCATCCCCTTGGTGGTAAGTGAACTCCCACTCTGAGTTCATAGGAGATCTGGTGGTTTACAAGTATGTGGCACCTCTTTCCACGTGCTCCCTGTCTTGCTCCTGCCGCTGCCATGTGAGACACCTTCTTCCCTTTCACCTCCCACCATGATTGTAAGCTTCCTGAGGCCTTCCCAGAAGCAGATGACAGCATCATGCCTCCTGTACAGCCTGTAGAACTGCGAGCCAATTAAAACTCCTAGAAATTACCCAGTCTCAGGTATTTCTTTAGATCAGTACAAGAATGGCCTAACACAGATAGGTAATATAGTGCCAGAAGTATGGATTTTATACATTTAGACCTCCAGGGAGGTGTCTGTGGAGGCAGAATCATGTGAACAAATGCACAGACTGTGGAGCAGGTGTGGGAGTTGGAGGCTGGCTCCTCCACTTCATAGCTGTGTGACCTTGGGCACCTTCCTTGACTTCCTATATCTGTAAAATGGAGGAGCAGTAATTTGTGGAGATATGAAGGTGAACAAATTTGTAATGAATGTATAAAGTGCTTAGTACAGTGCCTGGCACATGCTAAGTACCCAGTAGATGTACCTGTACTTATTACGATTGGTGTTCAAGGAGCCTCAGAGATAGGAATGGTTATTGTCAAGGGACAGATGGAGGGACAATTTCAAGTGAAGTGAATGAGCTCATTTTGGTTTTCAAGTACCCCTAAGAAAACATTCTTCTTTGGCAGGACTGGCTACATAAGTTGTGGGGCCCACTGCAAAAAAAAAAAAAAATGCAGAGAGCCTCCTGCTAAAAAAATCTTTCAAAGTAACACCCACAGAGCGTTACACCAAGCACAGGACCATTCAATGCCAACGCCCTGTTCATCAGAGAGTGCTTCAACTCTATCTTCCTCTAAGTAGGTCTCCACTAGGGGCCTCTAGGGGCCTATGACCACCAGTTCTAGACCAGAGTGGAGTCAGTGGCACAATTCTGTCGTGCACTAGCTTCACAGCCTACTGTGTCATCCCACTCTGACTCAGAGGCCTTCTGTTGTGGCTCTTATGACCACTTGAAAAAGTGGCTTCCTTCCCTCTATGATCTCAAATAAAATGAAATCCTTCTAAATATATGTTCTAAGCTAATAGAAAGACAAAAAGAAGTAAATGAAAGCATCATTCCCTTGAGAAGATAATCTGAGGTGTACACACAGGATAGACAGTTATATCTTCCTTACCATTTGGATAGGACCTGATACATTTGAAAATGCTTCCATAAGCAGGAGTCCTGGGAGATACATGATCTTTTAGAGAACACAGAAGTTCAAAATGTTGACATGGTTTTTTTTAAATCGTTGCATTAGTGACATTACCAGAATTGGACACCTCGTCCCCTTGACTTCTGGTTCTGCATTTTTAAACCAGTGTGCAAGTTTGATAGAATCTAGAAGTGATGTCAGTGTCTCAACTAGGGCTCATGTGGAAGATATTAATTTAAAAGTTAACTTTCTTTTGGATAAAGAGGAGTGGAAAGTTGACCTTTATTTTCTTTTGAATGTGAAAGGCAATTCCATAATAGTAAGTTTTGCTGTATTTTTGTCTGTGTAGTATCTTGTTTGAAATGCGGGTGCCTTGAGATATTGCACTGGGGCTCTCTCTCTCTCTCTCTTTCTCTCTCTCTCTCTTTCTCTCTCTCTCTCTTTCTCCCTCCCTACATCCCACCCCCTCTCTCTTTCTCTCTTCCCTTCCTCCTTTCCTTCCTTCTTTCCATACACCCATCCTTCCTTCCTACAAATGCCTAGCATATGCTATGCATGTAAATGTATTCAGTAAGTCATTTTGGGCATGGAGCCATAGTTTTAGCTAGAGATGCTTTTGCCTCCAGGGGACACTTCGCAATGTCTGGACTTATTTTTGGTTGTCACAGTTGGGGAAAAGAAAATGCTAATATCATCTAGAGGGTAGAGACCAAGTATGCTGCTAAACATCTTACAGTGTTCACCATAGCCCTCCATAACAAAAAACTGTATGGCCACAAATGTCAATAGTGCTGAGGTTGAGAAACACTGCTGCAGAGGAAGAGGAGAAAAACAACATGAAATCAACGATCAAGATTCCATATCCCTGATTAAAAACAGACTAGTTAAAAATAATCCCCAGCATCTGTCCATTTTCTGTTTTGGGACATGGTTCAAATTAGAAGGGCCAAATTAGAAATGATCCTCTGCAAAGGGACTGTTGCCGACAGTATCAGAGATGGCAGCAGAGCCACAGCCGAGGGCCACTCATTGCATGAGGTGAGGGAGGAGTGACTGGATGGTACAATGCTGTTTGTTCCTTTCTGTAGGACTGGTTAATTATTTACCTTGAATAAATGAGTTGAATTCATTTCAAATCAAGTCACTTTTTAAGTTGGCATCTTCTCTAGGGAAGCCAAGATAAGGATCATTCTTCTAGGCAGGGCAAGGTAAGGCTCATCCTTTGAGCATCCCTCATTCCACATAGAATAGGGAGTGCTCCTGTTCCTGAAGCTCCCAGGGTATCTTGCCACAGCTAAAGGAAAACATTAGAAAATCAGCTGTTGCAATTTCAAAGTCAGAAAAGGTCACGAGATGTGTACAGCTTTCACGCTTGTTTTGGATTCAGGGATGTTTGTTTCTTCCTGCCTGCTCTGTATAAGTCCGGACACTGCCACCAAGGCAATCCATGGCTTGGGTTCTAGCTTAAGTTCTGAATGAAGAGATCTCATATGTGCACAAATTACAATAATAAGCAGTACAGTAAATTCACTTTTCCTACAAAAAGAAGAAACATAAACATGAATTATTAACAGTAGTATCATGATTAAAGGAATTTACATTTCTGGGCATACAAATAGTAACTAACTCTTCATCATTCTCAACTACTATTTACTGGTGTTTGCAATTAACATTCATTTTATTTGTGTCCAAAGGAAGGGGGGGAAATAGGTGAAGAGAAGAAGAGAAAGGCATAGAAGAGAAAGGAGGGAAAACTTCATGATGACACAGATTCACATGAAAACAATACAAGATGATTTATCCAAGCAGATGTTTCCCTAATGGCTAGTTTTTTTAATTTCTTTGAGATGTACATTCCTATGTAATTATTTTAAGATTAAAGATTTAAATTAAGATGAATATGAAATTAAGATTAAATTACTGGAAGAGGAATGGCTGCATCAACTAATTAGCTCAGTTTGAATTTTGATATATATTTTTAGATTGCCCTCCGTATGTGGTGTCCCAGTTTAAAACCCTATCTGCTGAGAACACAGGAAACTACCTGTTTCTCTATCTATGACAATAACAGTTTTTATCCAACTTTAAAATCTTTGTACTGATTGGTATAAATATTAGGTTGGTGCAAAAGTAACTGCAGTTTTTGCCATTACTTTTAATGGGGAAAACCACAATTACTTTTGTGCCAATTTAATACTAGCTCATATTGTTGCTGTTTGCATATCTTTATTTTCTTCTGATATAACTATTGCCCATACGCATTTCTTCTTTTATGAATTACCTTTTAATGTCCTTTGTCCACTTTTTCCTGTGTTATCTTCTCTGATTTGAAAGTACTCTTCATCTCATAGGGATTGTATTGATTTCTCCTTTTATGTAAGCTTTAATTATTTTTTCCTCAAGCCATAGACTTATTAATGATACTTTAGATGTGCAACAAAGTTGTATTATATATGCACTTGTTCCTATTCCTTTTGCTTTCCTATATGTTATCAATAACCTGTTAGAAAGCATAATGGAATATTGGCTACTTTCTCCCTTATTTGTTCATATATTCATTCCAGAAGTAGATGGCAAGCTTTCTGCGAGTCAAGGAAAATATGAGATACTGGGAATATAATGATGAGCAAAACCGACTATATCCTCACCTTGTGGAGCTTAAAATCCATCCACAGAGCAACCACCACCACCACAATAATAATAACTTAAACAACAGAAAATCATGAGAAAGAAATAAAAATGAAATGTGCAAGATCTTTATAAAGCAAATCCTAACATTCAGCTGTAGTACATAAAGAACAGACTGCATAAATGGAGATAATTCTATACTCCTGGAAAGGAATAGTTACTCTTATAAGATGTTAATTCTATATCGGAGCCATTATAAAATAATTTAAAAATGATCTATAAGAATAAATATATGAAAATATCTAAGAAAAGTTTCACAGAAAAGAGTAATAGCAAATTTGCTCTGTGAAGTATAAAAGATTATAATTCCTCAGTACTTAAAATGATTGGAAAGAGAATTATTAAATAAATGGTATTAGGTCAACTGGTTAATTATCATGAGAAAAAGCTAAAATAGAACATTACACTTTATGCCAAATTATATTCTTGAAATATTTAAGATTTTTAATGTATAAATTATAAAAGTACTGGAAGAAAATATAACAGAATACAAATGTGTTTTAAGAAGCAAGGAAGGATTAAAAGTATAATATTGAAGACAGGAAGAACAAAATCTACTGTGTAAAAGTTTGACCACATTCATATGTGGAATAAAGATATGCGAATGAAAACAATATGAGCTATTATTTGTACCAATCAGATTGGAAAAGATTGCAACAAAAATATCAAATAAAAGTAGAAATATAGAAAACTCATGTATGTGTATGTAGTGAGGTGGAATGGGAGTTTGCAATAACTCTAATATATAAAACATTCTTTATAATTGTAAGAAAAAAGACAAATTCCTCATAGGAAAATGGGCAAAGGCTAAGGATGGGGGATTCAATAAAAAATAAATACTTTGGTAATAATAAAAGACATGCAAACAGTCTGGCAAAGATTAAAAGGCACAGTGTTGAGTCTGTGGGAAAGGTGCACTCATATGTCCACCACTGAAGTGATTCTAAATTAGGTTAGTCTTTTGGAGAAATACAGCTAGGGTAGTCTTATAAGGACTGAGGTTTATGCCAGGTGAAAGCAAGAAACATTTATTGTCCCACAAGTTCCGTGGGTCAGGAATCTGGGTGTAGCCTAGTTGTGTCCTTGGGCTTAGGGTCTTTTGCAAGGCTGCAGTCAAGAAGTTGGTGAGGGCCACAGTCATCTGAAAGCTCATCTAGAGGAAGCTCTACTTCCCAGCTCCCTGCCGGGACTGGTAGCAGGTCTCCATCCATACATTTGAGGGCATAAATACCAGGAGGGAGGATCACTAGGGTCCATTTTAGAGGCTGCTAACCCCAGGGGATAATTCAACAATTTGTATCAAAAGCATACAAAATAGTGTGCATTTTTTGATATATCAGTTCCCATTTTCTGCTTTATCCCAAGTAAAGAACTGAACAAATGCACAAAGATAGGAATGCAAGCATTTTTAAGATGGATGGCATACAATAGAATAAAATGAGAACAGCCTAATGTCAATAGTCTAGTTTCAATAAATTAGGTTATAGCTATACAACAGAACAACATACAGTGATTAAAAGTTATATAGGTGTGTACATAGCAATAGAGAAAGATGTGGTTGAAATACTCCTGAATTTAAAAATTAAATTAAAAATAATGTTCAAAATGTATACATTTTATAAAGTAGGAAATATATAGAAAAAATCTAGAATGACAGACTCACAAATATTAATGATTATTTCTTTGAAGTGATAGGAATGTACATGTTTTAAGATATTCTTTATTCTGCTTAATCCAGGCAATCTACATTTTCTACAATGAACGTATGATATTGTATAGCAAAAATGAGGCAATACTTGTCATGAAAAGTAAAAAGAAAAACAACAACCCCCTGGCTTTGACTTGCTAATAGTCATGCTGCACTGCTTCTGCTTTCAGCAGCATTGGAAAGTCCTGTCCTCCCACTACCCGCCTTCATCCCCCAATGTCCTGAGGTCTTGCCCAGCTGCCTGACCATGGCATGGCAGGATCCATCAAGTTCAAGACCCAGGCCATTCTCCCTTCCCCTGGGGAAGATTCCTCCTGAGCCTTTCCCAAGGCCTCAGTCACCATCGGGACTATACTAGGCCTGCATCCTAGAGAAGGAAGATTGTTATTGTTTTCCAGGTATAGATGAAAAGCACCAGTAAGCACCTCGCTAACAAGCGTGAAAGGTGGAAGCTGGAGACAACACCACAGCTCTCCGGTGCCTTCCTCTGTCTCCTTAGATTCTTGTGTGATGCTGACTCTTTCCTGTTCTATCAAGATGAGTTCTGCAAGTGAGAGATAGCACTAATTTTTCACTGTCACCACTCTTTTGAAATTTTAAACACATTATTTTTGTCTTTGGAACACAAAGCTCTTGTTTTCTATTAGCAAATGAGAACTAAAATAAATTACATTAAGCTATGCTGTCAAAAGTCCTTTCTGCAAGATTATTTCCACTGAAACATTTAATTGGGCATGGTTTATGCATTGATAATAATCAATATATTCATTCCCCAGTGAACTCAGAATCAAATTCCTCTGTTTGAAGGAATCATTTATGTGTATTTTGTAGGTTCATTAAATAGAACAAGTGAAACCCATAGCTGCACAGTATTACCAACATACTTCACTGAATAAATTGATTCCTTTATTGACTGATGTACTAATTAAATTCATGTGCTATAAAGTGATACAGAAAATAGTTTCATTCTTTTTTCAATGAAATTCTTTCTTCTCAGTTTTAGAAATTAAAACTGGAAAATGTTTATATTTAAGTCAAAGTGCTTTCAAAACTAATCCTAGGGAGAAAGAGAATTCTGAATGTGGCAGGTTGTTGGAAATGTGGAGTTATTCCCTGCTAGGCCTTTCTTATGCTCCAGCCCCCAACCCTTTTATCTGATTCTGAAACTGCCTTAGACATAATTGGGTTTCTTAAGACCTGTTTCTCTCACTGGACACGTTTGTGAACAAAGAGGACTGAACTGGGAAAATAATTAATTTTAATGAGAGAGACACTGGGGAAGTGTGAGTGGCTTCCTCTGTTTTCTTTGATCTAAAATAATGAATGTTCATGCAGCAAATAGAGCAGAAAGATTATAAGCATCTAGTCCTAAACAGAAGTGACATGTTTATACAATCTACTGAAATCTCTTTTTACAAACCATACTCACAGCTGAGTTTGTCCAATCATGACAGAACATCCTGGACCTCTGTATTTTTAATCTTAGTTTGTACAAACTAAGTTGTACAAAATATGCATCATCAAAGGTACACAAGGTTGGGCCCAGTTTCTTCTAGCTCTTCATGCCACAGATGTAGAATTTTCTCCTTTTGGTGTGTAGGGCTTCTTTTCTTTTCTTTTTCTTCAGTTTTTATATGAAAAATATCCTACCTGCATTTTATTCTGACATGTGAAAGGGCTGTGAGCTTCTCTAAGGTGAAGGCAATACCATGTTCATAATCGAATCTCAGCATCTCTCACAGTGCTGTTTTCTGTGGGCTCAGTAAATCTTTGTTGAAATGACTGAACGAATGTGTGAATCACTGGTAAGCCTACCCTGAAGTGCAGCCACTGTGTACATTTTTCTTTCTATAATTCCAGTCTTTTATAAGCATGAGTGTTTGTATTTCTTGCGAGAGGCTGCAAAATATTTACAAGCAAACCCTGACATCTTAGTGGCTCAAGGTTTTTTTTCTTTGATGTATAAATTTAAGGTCACTTTGGGCGAGGTGGCTATCTAGGCAGCTCTCCTCCACGTAGTGGTCCAGGGACCTAGGATGCTTCCATCCTGAGGCTGATGAGGTGAGAGTAGTCTCGATTACTGAGAGAGACCTTCAGCCCCTAGGTACAGGGGCAGGGTTGCAAAATGAACCAAAGAAAAGACAAATATCTATAATAGAGAGAGGAGGAGAAAGACTACACTAGTTTAAAATATTGCCTGGGGATAGCTGTCTTTTTAGAAACTGGGGTCAAGGAGTGTTTTCCAATTCCAGAAAATAGTATGTTCTTAAAAGCCAAGGAAAAAGAAGAAAGAGGTAGAGAGATGTTTGAAATGTGCACGGTCATGTAAGAACAGGTTAACAGATAACTATCTGGTTAGAGTTTTCTAGACTGTTGGCAGAACAGGTTAACAGACAACTATCTGGTTAGAGTTTTCTAGACTGTTGGCATACACTGCTGATTTTAAGTGGAGGTAGCTGAGACTCGCGGGTGGGGGTGGGAGTGAAGCAAAGAGGAAGGTTGGGTGGGTGACCCACGCCCATTAACTGAACCAATAACTGCAATTTATTTTTCTGGTTCCTGGTTCATTGGTTCCTGGAACACATTTACCGTTACTTCCTGAAACCACATTTCATTGAACAAAAGCCCCATACAACATTTTGCCTGAATATTCTCAACTAAGCCTTTATGCCCTTTCCAGTTTTATACAACATGTTAGTAGAATTTCTCTGACCTTGCTAATAGTGAAACGAAAAGTTCAATCATATCATCTCTCTGGCCTAGAACTTAATTTTCTCCTTCAACTAAGGGAAATCCAACCAAATGGTGTCTTTTATTATTGACTGATCATAGTTTTAATCTCACTGAAGAAGCTAAATTTCAGATATTCCTTTTTATGTCAATAAACTAGACTTATTTTATTGTTTTTCATAAAAAATTTTATATAATTATTAAATTCAAAAAATGTAACAACATTTCAGATAAATTTTGGTATTTGTTTTACCTTTGCCTTCTTTTATGGCAAGCAATTTTGATTTTGCATATAGAGCTATAATTTATTCTTTAACTTTTTTTATAATAAACTTAAAACAGGATCAGTTAAAATATTTAATAAGAGTGTGGATGGCACACAGATTGGTAAAAATTCATGAAATTGTAGTTTAAATAAGTAATGTCTGAGAAGTACTGATTTAGCCACCTCAAGAGCCCATTTCTAGGATCCTTAAGGCTGGATATGCACCTTCCACTGGCAAGGTAACAGAAGGTGAATCTCAACCATGGCTGTACCTAGAACCCTGGGGAACTTTCTAAAATGCTGATGACTAGACTCCACTTTAGACTGATTAAATCAGAATATCTGAGTGTGAGGCCCCAGGAATGGGTATTTTTTTAAAGCTTCCAAGATGATTGTTACATGAAGCCAGGGTTGGAAACCACTAATACTAGATGTCGTCAATTCCCTTCAAAACGAGCTTCAAGACTAACTTTTGAAACCTCTCTCTCTATATATACATATGTATATATTCTAAGTTAAGTATACAGTGAAGCTAATAGACTAGTAGGCAAAGAGGAAATTACCTATCTGTACATTTGATTTTGACAACCATTTGACATCTTGTTCTAGGCCATCCCACCCTGCTCAAGCCAAGCTGCCTCCACCCCACAAAGATGCCCTCCTCATCCCAGCCAACCTCTGTAATCTCACTGGGTGCTGTGTAATGAAGAATGGTAGCAGTAATAATAACAAGCTTCCATTTATTGAGCTCTTACTGTGTACTATCTTTTGCTGCAATGCATCAATGAATATTAAGGTACATACAATATTTTGCACAAATGGAAGTATATGTCTGTAGGAAGAAACCTTCATATGTAACTTCCTTATAAAAGAGGAATTTGTATGTGCATTTTTTTAGCTTTTCATTTTGAAACAACCTCAAACTTAGAGAAAAGCTGCAAGAATAGTGCAAAGAATTTTTTCCCTGAACTGTATGAAAGTGAATTGCTGACATGATGCCTCAGCCTCCAAATACTTTATTGTATATTTCCTATGAACAAGGACATTCTTCTATATGACCACAGATACAGCCATCAAAATCAGGAAATTAACACTGATACATTGTTTATCTTAGATTCTATACAAATGTCACCAATTGTCCCAAACATCCTTTACAGCAAAAGGAGCCAGTCCAGAATCACATGTTGCATTTAGTTTTCTCTTTAGTTTTGTTTACTCTGGAAGAGGACCTCAGGCTTTCCTTGACTTCTATGACCTTGATGCTTTGAAGATTACAGGTCAGTTATTTGGTAGAATGTCTCCCGGTTGGGGTTAGTCTGAGGTTTCCTCATGGTTAGCACTTTTACAACATTACAGAAGCCTCACTGCAGTCTTCTCTTTACATCCTATTACATCATGCATGATGTCAATTTGTCCTATTAATGAGGGTGTTAACTTTGCTTAATTAGGGGGTTGATGAGTCTTCTATACTGTATACTGACTCTTTTGCCCCTGATAATTAATAAGAATTTTGTAGGAAGGTATTTTGAAACCATGTATCTATCCCATTCCTCTTCACTCTTTTGATTCATTCATTTATTCATTCATTCATTTATATTATTATGAATTAATGAATTCTTAGTTTATTCAATAGGCTATAATCCATTAGTATCATTACTTATTTTGATGCTCAGATTATCCCAGACTTGGTCAATAAGAGCCCATTCAGGCTGGCTTTGATTTTGGACGTATGCACATCATTCTTTGAGCACTTCCTGGTTTTCTTGCATAACGAGACGTTCAGGTTTGGCTTTTGCTTTTCCTGCCTCTGCCCTGATATCAGCCATTTACCCTAGGGTCTTTGGTTCCTTTTAGTGCATAAAAGTAATTTGGGCATGAAGTGTGCTCATTGATATTGAGGTGTTTCTGTTCCTAGGCCTTCTCAGTCAACCAAGCTAGCAACCTAACATACACACACACACACACACGTACATGCATACACATATATACTTTACATCATACTTATGTCTACAACTATCTCTGCATACTAAAAACCATGAGTTCATATTAATATCCCCAATTCCAATCCAACATCACGAGGTTCATTCTAGTCTTCTCCCTTTTCATGTCTGTAACTCCATTCTCCAACAGTGAGAATACTGTCTCATGTTATCCTAAATATATTTACTAATTTGATCAAAACCCCTGCATGCTACTATTCTCCATACTCTGCTGCTACCCTCTTCCAACCCTGTATACATGAACACCCTCCTCACTTCATTAGGTCTCTGACACTGTCCACTGGAACTTCCTGGGTTTTGATGCCTGGTTCTGAGCTACTCCCAAACCCACACATGCCTTCCTCACCTTACTTGGGCTCTGACACTCTGTGCCAAACTGCCCTGTGCTGTGTGAATGTCCTCCTTATCCCACTCTGATGCCCTGCAGTGGACAGCTGTTACTACCATCCAACCACCTGGACACCCTTCCCACTGCTTGTGCTCTAACACCTGTGCCTGGTCACTGTTTTGTGTGGTCCCCCTTCTTGCTGCTCAGGCTTTTCTATCTCCCTCAGGCCATATGCTGAGGCCTACTTTGCTCAGCCCCCACCTAATGCTATGTAGGTTTTTAATTTTGAAATTTTTTGCCAAATTGCCATACAGAGAGACTATGAATTTACATCCCACAGCCAGTTGAAGAGCACCTGTCTCCCTAACACCTTCTGCTTTTAGATCTTTGCTCATTTGAGAAGTAAAAAATGTATATATCAAATTGTAGCTTAAAATGTATTTGAAGAAAAATCGAATACTTCTTTAAAACAATAGGAATGCATATTTTCATTAAAGTCCAATATTATGATTTTATTAGCACTCTTAATTTTTAATTCTTGAACACCAAACTTTATAAAACAATGCAATTTTCTCAGTTATGTAATAGCATATTTTTCTGTTTAATAACTAAATTGAGTCCCAGAAACATATTGCTGGTCCCAGATTTAATTGAAAGGGATAGCAAATTTTAATTTCTAATGGGACAAGAAAAACAACACTTGAAAAGTCTGCTTTGACTAGAACAGTTGTCAAATCAGTAATTAATTGTTTATACTTATGTCACTTTGCCTGGAAAGGAAAAATTAAATTTAGGAAGATAAAAAACACCATCACATGATAATAATAGAAGGTCTTGGTCATTTGGTCATGTGTCCTAAGTTTTTGGAGAAAGTCACAATGCCAGAGTACCCTGGATTTCAGAGAAGGCCCCAGGCAACATTTCATTATAATTGGTGATGGTATTTACGGAGCATTAACAGTTCACTAGGAGCAGCCTTCTTCGCAGTGAAGCCCTTGGTACACCAGGAACCCAATGGAAGCTCTCTTTCGTTTATACTTACCCAGTAAGTGGCACTAAACATTCATTTAGATTTCTCTATAGATGGCCCATGGCTGGACAGAGCAGCCTGATGTAATTAGCAGACCATTATTTTCCTTTCAGGGTGTGGTAGAGTTAGACTTGTTAAAACAACCTCCAGAATTGAAATGTGATAGATCCCAAGGAACTGTGCCATTTACGTGTACAATTAACAGAATCATAAGGAAAAACAAAACCTTAGTAATAGCTTAAGTTTTGCATAATTTCCTGCATTTCACCAAGTGACTAGAGATTGTCCAAGGCTCTGCATTTTGGAAATCTAGAGGGCATTCTGCAGCCACCATCTGATATCTCAGACTCACAGTGTATGCCAGAAGATTCTCTGGGCTTTCACAAAAAAGAAAAAAACTTCTTGGCTCATTCTATGGAAGGAGTATACTCAAAAGTTTAATTTTGCCAGCAACAAAGATAATACTGAGGACCATCATCACAGCAATACCTCAGTGATCAAGCATTATTGGGTAGAACAAGTTCTTCTGGGTGAATAAATTTTCAGGATAGCATAACTTTCAGGATAACTGGTGATTTCACTTTGCATATTTTTGCTAATACTTTTTCTATCGGTCATCATTAAAGGATTTCTAGAGCTAGAAAGTTTAAAATTCTCATTTTTCAAGTGAGGAAACTAAGGCATTGAGGTTAAGATAGATGCCCTGGAAAACTGAGGCAGGAAGGTCAATACCAGTCATCAACAAGGTTATAGCGTCATCTACTATGATGCAAGAAGTAGGATGGCAGGGTTCACTAAGGTTAATTCTGGGAGGGGTAATTAGGGTCATAGTCAAGACTCAAGGGAATATGGTAAAGATGGGGTGGAGATGGAAGACAGCAGCATTTATTAGGAGAATTTCTGCTCATCCTTTAAGACTGTCTAAAGATTACCTCCCTGTGAAATATTTCCTGGCACCTCCTTCCTGTCTAGAAAGAATAAATGATCCCACAGCTGTATTCCCTTCGTTTTTTACGGAAGCTTTATCATAGCACCTATCACTTCATGTTTTTTAAATGTGTGGCCTAAAGGAAGAAGTGTTGTTGAATGAAATATTTGTATCTTCAACATACCCAGCATCATCTGACATATGGTAGGTGCGCAAGATAGATTCGTTGAGTAGTTCAATAAATATAGGACTGAAAGATAAATGATGAGAAAAGAACACAAGCTATGTCTTGACTTAGGGTCAGTGTTAGAAGTAACAGTGATTGGCTGAGGATGAATACGCATTCAAGGATGACCCCTTCCCTTGGCTCAGGCTGCTTAACTTTTACAGTTGTTTTTGGTTCTATTTCATTTCTTACCATTAGCTGAAACTCCCCCTAAAAACAAGCATATTACATAATGAATACTATGGACAAGCAGAAACTGGATTTATTGATTCCTGGAAAAAATAATTATTTTTTCAGCAAATATTGTTGAAGGTCTATCATGTACCTGGTGCTGTCATAGATTCTGTGAATTCAACACATTTCTTGCCATTGTGGATCTTACATTCCAGTGGGGACCAGACTGTAGAGAAATGATGCATAATACACGGTCAGACTTTGATGAGAATGATGAAGACAAAGCAAGACAAGGGGTTTGAGGGAGGGGGACGGACTCACATTTTAAGAGGTCAGTGGGGAAGAATGTTTCTCAGAGGAGGTAACTTTGAGCAGAGACCTGTTTTATCCTTTGAAACTCAAACCTGAAGCTTTAAGATTCCAGGCTAATTTAATCTAGATGTCATCTTCTGGACTCCCTCAAATCCCCTTTCCCACAGTCATTTTGCTGCTTGACCAAGACCATTTTTAATGTAGTGGTGATGGCCTGTGTTGCCAAGGCCTGAAAGGTATCTCTTTTCCTAAATGTTTCCCATCTGATCTGGCAGGACCCTCTATCCATTTTAGTTTGCCAGATATTTATAAGAATCTGCCACATTCTAGAAACTGGCCAGGCCTTGGAAATGGAACCAAACATAAGACATGGCTGCAGTCCTCAGTGAACTTACATATTAGAGGGGATTGTAAACACACAAACAAATTAGTTGCAAAAAAAGTGTGATGGGTGCCTTCAGAGCTGTAGGCCCATGGGGACAAAACCCAAAGCAGCTCCTGAGCCTAGGGACTTGGAAAGACACTTAGAAGAGGTGATGTCTGATAAGGTTCAGGACATACTACTAGAAAATATGGCACCTTGGCATATTGAATATTTTAAGCTAAAGGAAGTTGAGAAAACAGCAGAAGCAGGAAGATCTCTCTGACCTTCCCCTGCCCTTTTCCTCTGAAGTAGGTCACAAGACTCCCGCACAAAAGGTGCCCTCCCTATAACCAGAGGGAAGCAGCATTCTTATCTCAAAAGACAAAGGGACACAGTGAAGAATCTGAACACACAGGCCTTGCTAAGTTTCTTCTAGCTTACTACACTCGCCACATACTCTTTGCCCTATCATATTTCTCCACAACTGTTCACTCTTCATCAAACCTACTATCAAAAACACTAGGATTTAACTGTTTTTTTCAGGCCATTTCCTTATGAATACTCCTGCACCATGTAAAAGTTAGATTAACCGAATACATTTGTATGCAGTTCTCTTGTTACTGTGTCTTCTGTTACAGGGTTCTCTTGTTAATGTGTCTTTTGTTACAGGTGCCCCAGCCATGAATTTAGGAGGCTAAAAGGAAACATGCCTGAGCAAAGTTGTAAAAGAGAAGTAGGTATTTTTCAGCCTGACATTGGCACACGCTAAGAAAGACAACAGTGAGGGCACCTCATGCATACATGGACTAGAAAGAAGTTCTGTTTGGACCTCCAGTCTTCTGGTTTAGCTCATTCATAGGCTGTGAGGTGGGGCAAAGGAGGCACAATAAGAGATGGGCACCACTTAATTCTGATAAACTGTACACAGCTAAGTTAAGGGGCAGCAATGTAGTTGAGGTTTGGTGATACAGAAAGAGGCTTTCTTGTGAGGGTCATCAAAAGTCATTATGGAGAGTTTGTATGCCATATATATAAATGTTACATACATATTCGTGCATAAACCATACATATTCAGGGAAATAGGCAGCCCCTGAAATTACTAGGAAAACTAACCAGGGAAGTGTAGGCTTCATGAAATGGGAACAAGGCGAGACCAATGGCTGGATGATGGATTAGTTGACTGTTGCGGTAATCTTTGAGTGGTTGATGAGGTTCTGGACCAGGATTATGTCAAGTGAATAAAGCAAAAATTATCCTCATTATTATATAAGACTGTCAGTGCCAAGAACTACATGACAAGACTGGGCGCTTGACTGGATCTGACAAACGTAAGTGAACCACACTCCATTCAGAAGGCTTTGTCTTCTTTTCTCCCCTTCCTTGTCATCTCAGCTCTGAAAAGAAAAATATATCCTGGCTAATGAGTTTCACTTTACATGACATTAACCAGGAATTTTTATTAACTAGCAAATGGCAACTTCCCATTCTACCTCATCCATTAGGCAATGAATTTTAAATTGAAAGAGAGGTGTTTTAGAGGTCTGTTTCACATCACTGCTTTAATTTCTTGTTTGTCAATGTGTATAGATTTCTGGTGCTGCAGAAATGGATAACTGCTGGCCAAAGAACACAGGGATGCCTGTGACTCCCTGTAGGCTTTTGGATGAATGTTTTGCAGGTACACCTAAAAAACTAATTTTCTTCCCTTACACAATAGATGAAAATGAGAATTTAAGATCTAAATACCACTGCCCAATTTTCTGTCCTCTCGCTCCCCCGCTCCAACCCTCTGAAAGGCAACTATGTCTAAGATGAGACTTATTTTATGTGTCAGAACAAAAAAATGCAATTTAACACACTCTGGAATTATTTCAGAAGCAGTAGACTCTTGAATAATTTAGACTTGTCTCTGAGTTTTAAGCACCAATCAAATAATTAGATAAGGTAAATTAAGGAGGCCAGCAAATGTAATTTACCGGTTTCATCACCTATTATACATTTTCAGATTAAGTGTGCAAAAGCACTTAGAGGAGATGTCAGAGATCCTTCCTGAGGGAAGTCATGTGACCTTCTCTACCTCTCACAAATGCTCCTTTTTATATCAAAGGGCCATTTGTTTGCTCTTAACAGCAAATAGCACACTCTATCCTCCAAATGGCCACCTGCACGAGCCCAGCACTTAAGAAAGACTAAAAAGCTGTATCAACCAGTGATAATGCATGGATCTTTATGAGGCTGATGGAAATGAATTATTTCAGAAAACCATCACAGGAGTAACAATTTCTTAAATGGATTAGATTCAGTTGAGGACTATATTACAGCTTCTTTCTATTCTGGAAAAATCTAAATCACTTCAATATTGTCCATAATAAAGTTTCCTAAATAGACCCATGAAATAAAAGGAAGTGCTTACTAACTGCTATGTACCAGCCATCAGCCCAAATTCTTCATCAAACTCTCCATTATCCAAGATCCACTCTACAAGATGCCAAACGGTCTAACTCCCTCCCACACGTCAGTGGGAGACACCAGGATGGGATATTTGAAAGTCACCCAAGATGTGAGGAGGGACCTGTTCTCCATCTTCACTACTCATCCTTTGGAAATTTTCTTTCAGGCCAAAGGAAACATGCCTGAGGAGTGGACCCCAAGCAGCCTGCACTGGGGCTGCCAATGGGAGGGAGCACCTGCCTGGGCGGGAAGGATAAAGTGGGAATATGGGTCTTCTTGTAACTCACCACACCAGTGGTCTGCAGATTTTGTTGTGTATCAGAATCACCCACAAGGCCCCACCCCCCCAGAGTTTCTGTTTTAGTGTATCTGGGGAAGAGCCTGAGAATTTTTATTTCCAACAAATTTCCAGATGATGTCAATACTGCTGGTCTGGGACCACACTTTAAGAACCATAGCATCCTTTTGGAAACTCTCAGGAGGGGGCTGGTGGCTGGCTAGGATTGTACCCTCGTTTCTGTTTCTTTATATCCTTGGGTATTAGTCATCCTTACTTACCCCTCATTGGCTGATTTTGCCTCCTTCCCCTGCCCTCAACACAGTCATTGCTATCAGTAGGCCTTGGCCTCTTCTTCACCCTATCAGAACATCCTTCCTCCTCTTTTCTGTCTCTTCATCTTCCTTTCATTCTCTAAAGCTCAAGTCAAATCCTATTCTTTCCACGAAGATGATTCTAAACAGCTCAAGCTCTCATTTCTCTCTCTTATTTTCCCTGAAGTCTTCCAGTTTTGGTGGTCTGTAGTAAGTCTTAATTGTTCTCAGACTGATTCATGGGGTTTTGTTCTTCAAGTAAATTGTAAGTTCTTGCAGGTAGGGATGGTTCATAGATAAAAGTGGTGATGGTATTTAATATGGTCAATGTTTACCATGTGTTAAGCATTGCACTAACCCTTTTACATGTATTAATTCCTGAGGCATTATCATTCCCCTTTTACAAGTGAGGAAAACTGAAGAACAGATAGTGTATAATATGCATAATATCACACAGGAGCACTTGGTGGGGCCAGTATTGAAGCCAAGACCACCTGAGTTCACTTTAACCACTACCCAGGTGATGCAAGAGTCCCCTAAGCACCTCAGGCAAAGCACTCAGCATAGCACCTGGAATATAGTGGCACGAGCACTCTGTAAATGGCAGCCAGGATTCCAGAATGAAAGGCTGATTCCTGAGTGGTTACTGAGGGAGCTGAGCAGACACATAGCCTATGTTTTCTTATGATCATTTTACTTTGATCAATGCCTTTTGCATTATCCTAAGCACACAGAAATGATGCTTATATGTGTTGCTTCACACATAGCCCAATTGTCTTTGCACAGTGCTATTCACCTTTTATTTTCTTTTTATTTTCATGGGTGATGGCCTGTATTTGAATGAGTAGGATGGAGTTACAAGAGTGTCCCATGTTCACGAAACAGTTTTTGTTTTGTTTTTTGAGATGGAGTTTCACTCTTGTTGCCCAGGCTGGTGTGCAATGGTGCGATCTTGGCTCACTGCAACCTCCACCTCCCGGGTTCAAGCGATTCTCCTGCCTCAGCCCTCCTGAGTAGCTGGGATTATAGGCATGCAACACCATGCCTGGCTAATTTTGTATTTTAGTAGAGACAGGGTTTCTCCATGTCGGTCAGGCTGGTCTTGAACTCCAGACCTCAGGTGATCCGCCTGCCTCAGCCTCTCAAAGTGCTGGGATTATAGGCTTGAGCCACTGCACCTGGTCGAAACAGTCTTTATGCTCTAAGATTTGTCACTCATTTGGGGCCTTAATCAATAACCCCAGGACTTAATAGCTCTGCAGGTCACACAACATGTACCAATTGCCAGATGTGAAAATAGAAAATAAAATATAACACAAAAATTCATATTTACAAATTTTCATTTTCACAGCAATATCTTTAATAGTGAAGCCAATAATGACACCGTGAAGCACTGATAATCACTATAGCAATCTTTACAAACTCTATAATATAGCAGTTAATGTATTGCTATTCTTTTGCTCAAATTCAAATCTGTTTTTTGGCATATCTCTTAATTCCCACCAGATGAACATGTTTATAGGTACACTGAAAGCCTAGAGTATTATTTGGTTAGGATGGCTTCTTTTAACATAAGAAGCTCTAACATTTATATTTCAAAGAATGACACACATTATTTGTCACACATCAAAATTCTGAATATACCAAGCAGTCATGCTTGTCATTATACTAAGTCTTCCTTACAGGTAGTCTATTTATCTAACACACTTTTCTCCCTGAAGCACTGAGGTATATGCTTTTGTATACTTCTATTTGTATTTAAAAGGCAGAAAATAATGTCACAAGCAGGTCAGGCGTGGTGGCTCATGCCTGTAATCCCAGCACTTTGGGAGGCCGAGGCGGGCAGATCACAAGGTCAGGAGTTCAAGACCAGCCTGACCAATATGGTGAAACCCCGTCTCTACTAAAAAAAAAATACAAAAAAACTAGCTGGGCATGGTGGCATGCGCCTGTAATCCCAGCTACATGGGAGGCTGAGGCAGGAGAATTGCTTGAACCCGGGAGACGGAGGTTGCAGTGAGCCTAGCTGAGATCATGCCACTGCACTCCAGCCTGGCGACAGAGACTCCGTCTCAAAAAAAAGAAAGAAAGAAAGAAAAAAGGAAAGAATGTCACAAGCAGAAACCACTTAACTAAAAATCCCAAAGAATCCATATCAATCTATATTACCTTGCACATTGAGCATGAGCACCAACATGCTTAAGTAAACAGATGGACTTTGAAGAAAATGGGTGCAATTAGCAGTGTGGACTGGGCTGATACCTGTACAGGGATGCTGCAGGATGCCCGAGTCACTTTGTATGAGCTAAATGAGAAGGACAGCACCTCTTAAGGACCACAGGTACAAAGGTAGGCTCAAGCCTCAAACTCAAGGAGGTAGCTTGTCCCCACCCCTAGGAAAGGCAGCAGAGTAGTTACACTGGTGGCAGCAATATAGAACCAAAGTGGAAGGTACTTATTTGGGCAAAGTCTTGCTTAAAGATGCAGTGAGTCATGTGCTGCAGATGGCAGGCCATGGTGGTTAAAGCCTCAGCTTTGAGGTGGCCTGGCTCTACCCAGTCAAGCTTGTTGCCTGCAGAGCCCCATTTTTGGCCTCATTTACTAAATTGTTATTAGCAGCCTCTAAGCCTACTGCCTTCCCCATACACACATGGATGGTTCTTTTTCAATTATTGATGCTAATGGGTGAGAGGAATAGGGAAAATAATGAATAATTGACTCCCAACTTCATATTCCTTTACTTAACACTTCCCCAGTCTTCTCCACATCCAAATATCTTATCAAAGTTTCCAGCAAATTTTAACCTTGAGGGATGTACCCAAATGTCCTTCTCTGGGACTCTGAATTCCCAGTGCTTTTTTGTGTGTTGATGTGTTTGCTTGCAGGAATTGCAAGAACCTAGAAACTCCCAGAACCCCTGCCCTGAGGAGACTTGCAGAGTTCTCCCTGGAGGTCTTTAGAAGGCTGGATTCATAACTAGGTCTCTCTTAACCAAAGCATCCAGCCTCCCCTAGAAATATGATAATCTTCAGCTTCTAACAAAGAGGCTTTGCCTTGTGGCGTTTAGCTTCCGGTCAGTTAGCTGTTCTTTCTCCTTCCATCCCAGATCAATCTCAGAAAACCAGGTTAGCTCTAAATGTGGCAACCATTAGGAGCATACTGTCGGTGTGAATTTGTGTGTAAATTTAGAAATATTGCCACTTCCCTCCAAAGCTATTTCTCCCTTCTTAAATCAAGAGGAAGAAAATGGCTAATTTCTTGGTTGAAATCATTTCTGTCATTTTACTATGTACTTGAGACTATTGCAAGCAAATGTATAGATTTTTACTAAACTGTATTGGTTTTTAGAGCTGAAGATTTTAGAAAGCCACTCCAGATCTCAGGCTTCTAAACAAACTGCCAGTGAGATCAAAGCTGCTCTGTCTGGCTCAAGTATTATAGCCCAGGAACCTGAGTGAGTTTTGAGCAAGAAATAATCTAAAACAAAAACAAACAAACAAAAAAATAACTGCCTCTAATTCTGCATAGCAGACACTCACCAATTAACTGATTATCAAATGCTTTTTGACAGAGCAATCTTGCCCTTGGTATAACTTAAATACATTTGTTTATCAATTGCTGTTTGCTTTTTTTATTTTTCATTAATATATGGGAGGTTTTGTTTCTGGGTGGTCTGTTGATAGTTCAACTTCATTGTGACTCATGCTCCCCAGCCCTCCACTCTTCTCCATCTTGGAGGAAAACCAGAAACCTCACTACCCAGTTCTTTTCCTATGTGCCTCGAGGTTACATTTGTCCAGTGAGAGGCACCCCCGTGAAACATCTGAGGCAGAAAAGGAGAAGCCATTTTTCTTTAGTGCCAGCTACAGGCGGTTACTCAGAGCCTCAGCTTCTCAGGGTCCTGCTGAGAAGCACCTGCTATGGGCAACTTGATCACAACAGAAGCCCCAATTTCTCTTGAGATCTCTGCATTTCAGATGCCCTAAGAGCAACCGTCTGACCTTTCCTTACCCAGCCCTTCTAATGGTTGTGCAAGCCTTAATTCCTCTTTCAACTCTCTCCAACTCATCAAAAACCTAGCATGACTTCTGTTTTCTGATTAAATCCTGACTGATACTGGGGCCAGGGATTCATTCTCTTATGCCTCTTTTTCCTCATGATACAAAAGCTAGGGGTATCAGTCAGTAAGCAGTGAGAAAGTACTTATTGAAAGCACAGGGCGGGTGTGGTGGCTCATGCCTGTAATCCAGGACTTTGTGAGGCTGAGGTGGGTGGATCACCTGACGTCAGGAGTTCGAAAGCAGCCTGGCCAACATGGTGAAGCCCCACCTCTACTTAAAAAAAAAAAAAAAAAATTAGCTGAGTGTGGTGGCAGGCGCCTGTAGTCCCAGCTACTTGAGACGCAGAAGCAGCAGAATCACTTGAACCCAGAAGGTGGAGGTTGCAGTGAGCCGAGATCACACCACTGCACTCCAGCATGGGTGACAGAACGAGACTCCATCTCAAAAAAAAAAAGCACATAATTACATAATTTATATTGCAGTGTATTAGGTATAACACACATCAAGATAAAGTCCCCAAATAAAACAGATACAATAATGACCACACATATATAAAATGTATATGTAAACACAATAACTAAAAGTTTGTGCCAAGGAAAGATTGGATCAGGGAATCTTCTGGAGGCAAGAAAATCACTAAGATGTTTCCTTTCTTTCTAAAATCTGCTGGGCAAATGTTCAGCAGACAGCTTTTTTGGACATGCGCTGTCGTCCTTGACTGCATCCATCCTGAGCTGCAGGGCAGCACTGTCACTGTATGTCAGGGACACAGGAGGAGGGAGGCCTGTGAATGAAGAAATGTAGTGTTTAATTTTCTGCTGCTTCCTGAACACTCACAGGGTATATCTGGGAAGAATTTGAGGCCATGAATAGTTCCATTAAAAGGTACACCTATCATTTATAAAGATCTGGGATTCAAGACAGAAAATGCTGACTCAACTGGCTTAAACCACATGGAATGGATGCAGGAACAATCAGAGGCCCCATGATGCCATCCACCCAGGTTTGTCTTGTCCTCTCCTCTGCTGTCCTCAGCATCAGTTCTATTTTGATGCTGTCCTCCCTGTGGAGGCAAGACAGCTGCCACATTCCTAAGTAACACATCTAGAAACAAAATACCATTGGGTGCCAAAAAGGGAGCATGGTTTCTGGTGTTTGTATTTTCAGAAACAGAGAAAACTCTCCCTCTAAACTCCCAGCATTCCACCTCTCTTGCATGTCCCACTGGCTAGAAATGAGTCACAAGCCCACTCCTAAACCTATTATTGGAAAGAGAATGGGGTCATACAAATGGGCTTAGTTCAGCCAGGATTCAGCCCTGGAAGTGGGGTAAGCCCCCTGCTTTGTGCCACATTGGAAAGAGATGAGTGCCTGATACTGGGGCTTTGACAATAGAAAATCAGGAGGGGATATATATTTCTCTAGAAATGATCTGATCAAAATGGTAGTTACTGGCTGCGCACAGTGGCTCACGTCTATAATCTCAGCATTTTGGAAGGCCAAGGCAGGAGGATTATTTGAGCCCAGGAGTTCAAGACCAGCCCAGGCAATATAGTGAGAGACCCAGGCTCTACCCACCAGCCCTCACAAGAAAAAAATTTTCTGGGCATTTGGTATGTGCCTGTAGTCCCAGCTACTCAGGAGGCTGAGGTGAGAGGATCTCTTGAGCCTGGGAGGTCAAGGCTACGGTGAGCTGAGATCATGCCACTGCACTCCAATCTGTCTCCAAAAGAAAAAGAAGAAAAGGTAGTTACTTATTGTAACAGGAAGCAAGGAGGGCCTCAGATTTGTCAGTGTTGTTCATGACAACCACACACTTTCAGAAAGTTTCAGTGGGATTCACACCTTACTTTGCACCACCACACTCCACGGGGCTTGGATGCAATTGTGCTGTATGTAAATGTGTATTGTGTATTCAACTATTCCTGGAATTCTATTTTCAATCCTGATCTTAATTAGAGGGATACTTCTTTACCACGACAAAGTCATGGTCAGAAGAGAAGCTCAACATTGTATTGAGGTCACAGAAATAGAATTCCATTATTGTGCCTAGAGCAAGCTGAGCCACATGGGTGGGAAATTTTAGACTTCAGGATTGAGGGGCCAACAGAAAATATTCAAAAATATGCAATGAATACCTTTCCACAGAATAAGACAATGCCATACATGGCCCAACTTGATCTGGTGTTTTCTCTATGTTATTAGGGTTTTCTGCAAAAGCAAACAAGCAAAAAACAGTGGTTCCATTGTTAACTATATTTGGGAAATGCTGAACTAAACAGGGTAAAACAGGTGTATCTACTTCAGGACCTCTCAGAGTTGTTGACACGGTGCCACAAATTGTGGCTCTCCAAAAGGGGACATTATATTCAGTGTTCCCCAAACATATTTGACCACAGAATACAAAATGGAATATGGTGAGACTGATGTGCAGAATCCACTTTGGGAAAGGCTGCTCAGGCCCTTCATTTTACAGCTAAATAAACTGAGGACCTGTGAAATGAAGGAATGTGTCCAAGCTTGCTCCATTAGCCAGGATTCCTCGGGAAACAAATGGAAGCATCAAGAGAGTTTGAAATTTAAAAAAAATGATTAATGTAGGCAGGATTAGGGAAGCCAACAAGATATAGTGAGACACCCAGGTGGTGGCTCTTGCCACCCCAACCCTAAAGGGGAAAGAGAAGGAAGCTTGTTACTGGAGCTCAGCTGAGAGCTGGAGAAACGGAGGGGCTGCCTGTCAGAACTGTCATGGGGTAGGGAAGAGGGGGATAAATACATGACCTCAGCCTGTCTCTCCTCCTGTCCTCTCCTTTCCCACTGGTGCTGCCCATTGGCCAAATCCATCTGGAAGCCAGAGGGCGGAAGCCTGGTGATGCAGTTTGTAGAGGTCAGCCTCCCAGGCACAGAGCTGAGCAGAGAAGGGTGAGCACATATCTGTGGGGCAGGTGGGGAATAAACAGCACAATTACATAGCTAGTATTTTGCCTTTTTCATTTTTTAAAAAAAGTTTACCTCATATTTTATAAACTTATGTAAGTTGGCTTAATAAAATTTAATGCAATATAAAACAAAAAATGCTAAAAACATAAAGCAATGGTTTTCAAGATGTGGTCTCAAAGTGTGATTTCCAGGGGTTCCCAAGACCCTTCAGATCTGCAAGGTCAATTTGTAATAATACTATGATGTTACCTCGTGTTTTCCTTTCACTCTTTCACAAGCAACCCGTGGGTTTTCCCATGCTGAGTGATGATGTTATTGACTGCTAACGGAATGTGTGCCTGTGCATTCTCATGATTTAAAATTCATCCCATTTTAATTTCTAATGTAGTAGATGATAAACATTACTCAAATAAACACAGTTTCTTTGGGTCCTCAATTATTTTTGATGTAAAGAAACCCTGAGACCAAAATGTGAAAGAACCACTGATGTAAAGGTAGCCAAAGGACAGATGTGTCCAGGTGAGAGGTGAAGCCAGCTGGACTTCCTGGGTCGAATGGGGACTTGGAGAACTTTTCTATCTAGAGGATTGTAAATGCACCAATCAGCACTCTGTAAAAATGCACCAATCAGTGCTCTGTATCTAGCTAAAAGATTGTAAATACACCAATCAGTGCTCTCTATCTAGCTAAAGGATTGTAAATACACCAATCAGCACTCTGTAAAAACGCACCAATCAGCACTCCATGTCTAGCTAAAGGATTGTAAATGCACCAGTCAGCACTTTGTAAAATGGACCAATCAGCACTCTGCAAAATGGACCAATCGGCACCCTGTAAAATGGACCAATCAGCAGGACATGGGCGGGGCCAAATAAGGGAATAAAAGCTGGCCACCCAAGCCAGCAGAGGTAACCCGCTCCGGTCCCCTTCCATGCTGTGGAGGCTTTGTTCTTTTGCTCTTTCCAATAAATCTTGCTGCTGCTCACTCTTTGGGTCTGCACTACCTTTAAGAGCTATAACACTCACTGCAAAGGTCTGCGATTTCACTCCTGAAGTCAGCGAGACCACGAACCCACTGGAATGGAGAAACTCTGGACACATCTGAACATCTGAAGGAACAAACTCCAGATACACCATCTTTAAGAACTGTAACACTCACCACGAGGGTCCAAGGCTTCATTCTTGAAGTCAGCGAGACCAAGAACCCACTGGAAGGAATACATTCAGGACATACAGGTACTTGAAAGGAACTATTCTTCATGCTGGGCACCAAATCTTCTAGTTTATCTAACAGTAAAGTCGATAGGAAACATAAGGGTTAGATGGTAAGTCATCTCTAGAGCCTGAGATGTGACTTGGGTAAGTTTTCTAACAACAAAGTATAAGAAGCCCTTGTGTGGAGTTCATGTATAATGATCTACTTATTTAAAAACGATATATGGGATACTGGATAATAAAACAAAGTATCTTTATTGCAAGAGTGGTGCATCAATTTCCTATTGCTGCATAATAAATAATCACACATTTGATGGCCTAAAAACCATACCCATTTGTTATCTCACAGTTTTTGTGGGTCAGGAATCTGGGCATGTCATAACTGGGTTCTCTGCTCAGGGTCTCACAGGGCTGAAATCAAGGTGGATTGCATTCTCATCTGGAGGATGCAATGGAAATGCTAGGATCTGCTTCTAAGCTCCTGCAGGTTGTTGGCAGAATTCATGTCTTTATGACTGTAGAATTAATGGCAGCTTGCTTCTTCAAAGCCAGCAACAGAAATAAGAGTCTTTACTGCTTCAGGTCTCGAACTTCAGGGAGGGCCTGGACCCTCTTTTAAAAAGCTCACTGATTTGGCCAGGCCCACTGAGGGTAAATGCTCTTTTGTTTAACTAAAAGTCACTTGATTAGGGATCTTAATTATACCTGAAAAAAGTCCCTTCGACTTTGCCATAAATATAATTACAGGAGTGGTATTTCCTTACTTTTGTTGTATCTTATGGTTAAAAGCAAGTTATGATTTCCACCCACATTCATGGCAAGGGGATTAAGAGCATGACTCATTAGGGGTCACCCTATGGTGTATCTGTCAGAGGTGGGGAACAGATTCAACCATAATCAGAAGGGTTTTAATACAAAGAGTTTTAATACAAAGGCAGCACAAGTACATGACTAAACTCCTGAGTGAAGACCTTAGAAGTAATATTCTTTTGGGCAAGATTCCCCTTGTGTGAACAACATTCCAGACTCTCAATCAAAACACTACAGTCAAAATGAGAACACAGAAATATAGAAGCATTGCTACCTTGGACAAATGAGGCAACGACAAAGATGATGTAAAAGGTGAATCAGAATCAAAATAAAGCCGCACCAGGATCCTACAATTCTGCTACTAATTGGTTTGGTGAATTTGGCACCTCTAATCATCATTGGCAAACACTAATCATGCTGTAAAAGCTAATTAGGATTAAGGAGCATTATCCGGGAGGCCAAGGGGAAGTGTATGAGGTTTTAAAGGCCCTAATATATGTCTTTGAATTTGTTAGACTGATATTTTAGTATTTTCCAAAGCTCTCTTCCTGAAAACTGTTGAGAAAAAAAGCTGATAGGATTTTTAAATGAATATCCTACAGATGAGGGGGTATTGAAGGAATTTTCTAGGAATAAACTAGTCTAACTTGGAGGTGATAATTTCCTTCTGTAAAGATGGAGGAGGCCACTCTCAATGCCCATGAAGCAGAAACAATACTTGTAGAATTTATCAGAGGAGCTCATTCATCTAGATGATAAAGGTTACTATTTTGGGGAGAGGGGAACAACTTCAGTGGCTCTCTGTGCTCTGTACACAGTCTGCTCTCAAAACTGTTGATTGAAGATGAGGATGAAGATAGTGAAGATGAAGAAAATGATAATCCTCAGAGAGTTCAAAACCCTACCTCTAAATAGCTGTCTTTGCTAATAATGCCTTGTTACTAACCAGGGCCATGTGACATGAGATACACGACTGGCCTCCAGCTGAGGAAGGTGAGAGAATAGAGAGGAGAGGGGACGCTGCCATGTCAGGGAGCTCTTGGGTGGAAGGCAGACAGCCTCAGAGACAGATTTCACCTAATGTAAATGTTTCCCAGAATGGTTGCTATTTTTGTTCTAAGTAGTTTGCTTATGCCAAAAGTGCATATTTCCCCAACAATCCTCAGGAAATAAGACACAGAAGTCTGTCTTTAATTTTCATGATATCCTGCAATTTAAATCAGTCTGGGTGCATCTGTGTGGTTTTTATTTTTTGGTATTGTTTAGATGTAATTAAGCAAATCAATACACAGGTACTTAATTATATATTAACAGGGCCATTTGTTAACAAACTTAGTTATAGGATGGAATTAAACTGTAGTAAAGATTTAAAAACCTGCAATAAATTCAATTAATATCAGGTCATTACTCAGAATCTGAATTTATAGATATATTACCATCTTGACAGGAATTTATATTGATTGGATATTTTGAATATTAATAAAATATAAAATTTAGTATTAATAAGTGGGACTATGGTACAATTTTAAAAAGAAAAAAACAAAATTGTGGTTTTTCTAGTTCTTTTAGAGTTGAAGGGGTTAATATGTTTCTCTGAGTCTCACATATTTGTATTTGCCTCTATGCCTATCAAAATTTTATAAAAGCTACTCTAAGATTGGTTTTCTTAATTTTTGTTTTTCGTCCATTTATTCGTGTTTATTAAGGAAAACGGTAATGGAGCTAAAGGTAGGTGAGTCGGCTGTAATTAAGGAAGCTACGGTAATTAAATTATTGTACGGCCACCCCTCGAGCTGTCATTTGAAAGGATGAAAGCTTAATTTTTCCATCAACAAAGTCAATTTCATCCAAGCTGTTGTTTAGAATGCCACATGCATTTAAAAATTACATGTTTAAACTAATCAGGAGCAAATGGAATTTAAACCCCTCTTCAAAATAACATGGATAGATTGTAAATTTATGGAGCATTTTCACTATAGAAAATTAAGTCCATTCAAAACATATCCAGGAGTCATCAGGCAAACAGGGCAGTACTGATGTAAACTACCCACTGTGTGAGCTTAAGGCAGAAGGGTCTCTAATAAATTCGAGTAAATAGCAGCTGAACTGGCCTCACCATGGCTTATGTGTTCAACCTAGCAAGGAAAAAGTTAGCATTAATTGGTACACTCTAGGCTCTCTCAAAGGAACAGGCACTTAGAGCAATTAAGTCAGATGCAGAAAAACAGCTCTGCATTGAAAAGCTGACAGCAGGACTCCTGCACAATATACGTAATGAGTGGCTGAGGACTTTAATGGATCGAGGCTTGGAGACTAATGGACAATTAATGTAAAACAGATGACTTCCCTTGGAGATGACAGTCTTTTGAAAGGCGCTTCACCTGCTGCTCGAACAAATGCGGCTAAAGTGAAATGAAAACAGGAACGTGGTCTCATTGAACGAGGCTAGAGCTAGTATTTGTGTCCCTGCTTTCTCCTTGAATAGTTTCAAAAACTAGGTCAGGAATTTAACAATTCCCTGCAGCTGGTGGTGCAAGCCCCCTCTCGTGGCCTCCCGCCATCCAGGGTGGCCTGAGATCACTGACTGTGCCTCTTGAGCCTTTTGAGAAGCTGCCCTAGCTCGCCTTGTTTAACAGGCAAAAAGAAGACAGGACATATTATAGTGTTCCAGCCTCACTTTTAAAATGACAACAAACCACCCCAACATAGAAATTGCAGTAAATACATATTGGAACATCTATTGGAAATTTAAGAACATGGTTTCTTCTCAAATTAGGCTATTTTAATTTTAAATTAAGATAACTGGAGTCCTTCAAATTTAAGCTTTATAAGCACAGACAGGCTCCCTCCTTATGATAAGTGGTTGTGTACCGAAAGCAAATAATTGTTTGCAAAGAGAAACTCATTTCCTATAGAAACAATGCTGCGGTGGCATTTAATTTTCCACGTGATCTTCCTGAAATCTGTTTAACCCAGATGGAAGCTTAACACAAGTCAGCCTGAGCCCTGGGTCCTGGAACAGGGAGGAGTCAGCTACTCCTGTGGGAGAGGGGAAAGAAGAGGGAGACAAAGATGTTTCCCCCTCTTAGTGGGAAATGGGATTGGACTGAGCTATAATTTTGAGTTACAAACTAATCCTTGGCAATTTTCTATCTTCTAACATCCCTTTACTCAACACTCAAGAAATCAGTGCCTTATGTCATTTAAGTCGCTAGGCATTTCACCCCTGCCCCCAAGCCCCCAACTCCTCTCCTCACTACAGATGTACATATCTTAGCAATTCCCTATTTGTTCTCCTGTAATTTTTCTTCCATTTTCTCATAACAGTACATCTCATCTAGAAATTGAGGAAAGCAGCTTGTATGGGCTAATGAACACCTTTGGTTGATGGCCTGAGCACTCCCAGAAGCCTCTGCATATTAAAGAAAGAATTGCTTCTAAACTCACATGCATGTCCCATTGACAGAATTTCTGTAAGAAAAAAAAAAATCAAGTCAAAATTTCAGGTATCTAATTCAAAAAAACCCACAAGTGCAGGAGAAACGTATTAGGATATTTGTTATAGCAATGAAAAGTAGAAACCACGTAGAAGTCAATGAGAAAATGCCTTAAGTGTGATATATTCATATGATGTCAGATTATGCAGGAGTTATGTGGGTACATTAGAAAATTAGCAAACGTCACCCTTTTCTCTCAGCCTGATTAGGTTTCAGCCCCCATGTGCCTGCTCAGCAAGACATGGTTGAACAAGGGTGAGATTTGCACAGCTCAGTTTATAAGCTCTGCCCCTCCCTGCCAAGTGAACACAGAGCCACGGCAAGGGTAGAACTTGTATTAAGGCCACAAATATTAATATATGTAGATTGTATGTTTTAATCCAGAAATTCATGTAGTTGATGTGGCATCTACTAAAAGTTGGGTAGGCAGGAAATACCTATTTTCTTCAAATCAAATTCAATATGGCTGCCATCCCCTATGTCACTGAATTGCAAGAAATTCAATCTTCATTATTTGTTTCCTCCCCTCCTCCCTGGGTTTACCTAAAAATTGGGAGGATTATTTGGTGCCCAGAAAATGAGCAAGTCTCTCAGTGGGTCCAGAGTGCTCTGAATCTTCATTCCGAGGCTCTAACTGAGGCGGCTGGCTCTCCTGGTTCTGCACCAAGCTGCTTCCCTTCAAACAGCATTCTCACCTGAGTAGCAGCTTGACTGGGGGCAGTGCCAAGAAAGGGGCTTTGGGAATGTCCCTTCCTCCCATTTCAAAAGCTTCCATGTTCCCTGGACAAACTCATTGACCCATTCCCGCCCGTGCCAGCCCTCTCAGTGAGCTCAGGTTTCAGGCAAGGGAGGTAGGTTTCCAGGTGGCCAGGAGGAGCAGTTACCTTAATGCAGTGGTTCTCAGCACGTGGGTCCCGTAGTTACAGTTAGAAGGAGAAATACCTAATGTAGATGACGGTTGATGGGTGCAGCAAACCACCATGGCATGTGTATACCTATGTAACAAACCTGCACGTTCTGCACATGTATCCCAGAACTTAAAGTTTATATATATAGGCCAATTCTTGATTCTTGAACTCCATCCCAGACTTGCTGAATCAGAAACTGGGGGCACAGGCAGCATGCTGCATCTTAAGCCTTAAAGGAATCTTAAAGGTCAGGGCTTTCTGCTCTGACCTCACAACAAACCACCCAGAGGGCAACGGTTCTGGCTACCTCCTTTAAATAGAGAAGGGAAAAATAGAGAGGTAAAAGCAAAACAGTCCTCATTCTCTCAGATACCTCTATAGCAGCAAAAAAATAACAAATAAAAAAACCCCACATATATACCTTAATGATCTCTCCCCTCTGATAAGGCACTGTGTAAAGCAAAGTTGAGATTTATAAAGGATAAAGAAAACCTGAACTCATTTGATCCACACGCCACCAACAAATCCTCGCCCCTACCTTCCAGGTTTAAGAATTCAGGAGGCTTTATCCTAAAAAAAAAGCATGCTGAGAAATAAAGGTCAAGTATTTAGACTAGGCTGTTCCACATCTCCATGGAATGAAGAAACGTGTGGACACCCCTGGAATTTCAATTGGTTCTCCTTTTACAAGGATTTTTATACTAATCAAGATGGAACCAGCACATAACTTCCTTATACTAAAGAATTTCATATTAAGAAAATACAATATCCCCCCAATCTATTATATCAGATAAATGCTAATTTTTATCACATCATCTTATTTCAACTTTGTTATAAAGGCTTGATTCATGCAAAAGTGGAGAGTCATCATTTTTGTTCTTAAACCCAATTAAATGTCACTTCCTGATTCATCCTCCTGCTGCTCCAGATACTTCTAACACATTTCAGACCTGAAATTTTTTAAGCTGCTTCTTCTTTTCCAAGTGATTTTAAGAACCTAGCATTAAAACATAATTACATGGCGGAAAAATACTTTTGAAGCTGCTCAGTGTGACTTTTTTTAATAGTGAGTTTTCTGACTTGCATGCCTCAGAGGATGATTTTCTGGGCTGTGTATAACTTGACAGCATCTCTGCGAGCCCATTAGTCACCTTACAAAATTGCATGAACTCTTTTTGGATCCCTGGGGTAGCTAAAACTTAGCAATAAATGAATGGATTATGCTTCATACAATCATATTTTTAAGCTATATATTAACAATCAAGACTGTTGAACAGTTTTTGGCTTTTGAGATTACAGTCACAGTTATTACTCTATAAGACTCTCTTTTTACAGATTCAAAAGATTTTATAGACAAATGAAGACTGAATTGGCCTCCAAGTTTTACTTGAGGAAATCCAGGCTATAGATCAATTCAGACCTTGATGAAGGTCACACAGCGTGGTTTCAGTGCAGCAGGAATTGGACTCACAGTCCCCCACGCTTTCCTCTCACTGCCAATTGTCAGGTTTCAGCCAATTCTTAATTTTTCACTGGCCAGAAAGTCAGGCCATTACCTTCCATCACATGATTGCCACCTAGTGGCGACAGTGGTCATTGATGCTTATGCAGTGACTGGACTCAAAGGCCAGAAAAGAAATAGAATAAAAATTAAATCATCTTTAAAATGTATTGAGAGTCTACTATTCTGTTAGGTGCTTTATTTATTTCATTTAATCCTCTAAACATTATAAACTAGGAATTTTTATCCAAGAAGAAATGAAGCTGAGAGAGATGAAGAAACTTGCCCAAATTCAGGCTGCCTCTATCAGTGGGGCAGGAACTGGATCTTCTTCCCTGGACCTTAGTCCCTGTCCTGTAACTTTGACCTACATATGGTTGGACTCTCCTAGATCTTAGCAGTCCTTTCTGATCTGTGATATTCCTCAGGCTGCAGTGACTGGCTCAGAGAAAGCCAGTAAGACCCACTGACACTTTCACTAATACAGTCCAGGAAGAGGCAGGTACTATTTTCCACTCACACAGATAATGGTAAAAACAGTGTGAGCCTGGAAGCTGTCTAAGCTCTGCAAAGCGGAGCTGGGAATCAAGTCACCATAGAGCAAGAAAAGCTGAGATAGAGAGAAACTGAACCTGGTGACATCCCTTGTGCCCCCAATTCCAGTTGTGTTTGAAGCCATGTGTACTGCTGGGTGTTTCAGTTATGAGCCAATAAATGCCTTTATAATAATAAATGTTAGTGTGATATGAGGTTTCTGAATTTGTACTAAAAAGTCCTGACTAATACCAAGGATTGGTCCTTTTTCGGTTCCTTCTTTTTTCCTACTTTCAGCTGTCAACAAATCAACATTTGCATTGTGCCTATGCTTACAAGGCATAGGTCTGTTTTCCAAAACCTGTTGTCCTATTCTTGGAGTTGTAATACTTAAGTGAAAACATTATTTCAAAATATTTAAATATAATTTTTAAATAATTAAAATTTGGTTCTATATAAAAAAATCAAATGCCTTGAAAAATATTTGATTTCTCATCCTAAGTATCATCTCCACTAGAGCAATCAGGAAGTTTACAGTCTAAAGCAATTATTCTTTCATTAAGGCAAGAATTCAATAGAGCTTTGGGGCTTGTGAGAGAGTCTAGCCATCTGTCCAGGATTCACGTCATTATGGTTGGAGGAGTGTGGTGGGCTTTGTCAAATGAGATGTATTCCCTTGAGAATATCATGCATTTATTCCAGGCAAGGTCAAGACGTATGAATATTTTGGGAAAGGTAGCCCTACAAATCAATATTTTTAAAGAAAATATTTGTTATATATTTTTGGATAATGGGAAAAAATAATTTCTTAAAATTATTTATTGCTTTCTTAATGTTCAGAATAAGAAATTTATTACATGCAATTTTCTAAACCAGACAACTTCTTGGGAAGTGAATTGTTTACTATTTCAGTGACAAAACCAATAACTTGATGCCAGAAAACAGTACCACGCTTACAGTTTGTTTTCCCAATGTTATTGCCTACCCACTTTTAGAGACTTTCCTAGTTGGCTTGAGGATTTGTTTGCTAGTGGCCTGGCTGATAGCCCTCCCAAGCAACATTCAAATACCTATCACAAAACTATTTACCAAAGATGTTTCGGCTCAGCAAAGGAAGTTTTTAGTTGTTTGCTTGTTACTATTTGAGGCTTCCGTGTCAATGAAAGGCATTTTGCAAGTAATGTATAAAACCATGAATAGACCCTGGCTACTATTTTTACTAATGTGATGGTTAATACTAAGTGTCAACTTGATTGGATTGAGGGATACAAAGTATTGCTCCTGGGTGTGTCTGTGAGGGTGCTGCCACAGGAGATTAATATTCCAGTCAGTGGGCTGGGAAAGGCAGACCCACCCTTAATCTGGGTGAGCACAATCTAATCAGCTGCCAGCTCAGCTAAAGTATAAGAAGACAGAAAAATTTGAAGAGAGACTGGCCTAGCCTCGCAGCCTACATCTTTCTCTTGTGGTGGCTGCTTCCTGCCCTTGCACATCAGACTCCAAGTTCTTCAGTTTTAGAAATCGGACTGGCTATCCTTGCTCCTCAGCCTGCAGATGGCCTATGGTGGGACCTTGTGATCATGTGAGTTAACACTTAATAAACTCTCCTTTGTATATATCTCTATTCCATTAGTTCTGTCCCTCTAGAGACCCCTGACCAATACAACAGATTTATCGCAGTGATGTTTTAAAACTATTTTAAAGATTATTGACCAAGGCAGCTCTGTCTTGCTGGCTTCTCCCCTCCCTACAGTGCTCCAGATTTTCAAGTTGTTCTCTGAGAAGCCTCAGGAGGAACCAGAAGAAAGGTTCGAGTGAGGGTCTGTCTACCATTACAACTAACCGTTCCCTCCGTTCTTCCCATAAAACCAGAACAGCTTTGCTCTGAGCTCTTTTTCTGTGTATTAGACTCCTTAAAAGATTTTCTTTCACCAATTCGCAATTGTCTGTTTAAAAGCGACTACCTTCTCAGACTTATGCTAAGGCATTGTGATATTCTACTGAACAAAAAAAGGCACGCACGCTACATTTATGTTGTAGTGGAGGAAATAGTCAATATACAAATAAACAAGAATACACAAGATCATACTGATGGAAGTGAGTTGATAAAGAGGATAAAGTGATAGTGTGATAAACAGTGCTGAAGGGGGCATACAACATTAGAAAAGGTGATGAGAAAATGCCTTGCTGAGAAAGCAATATTTAAATAATTTATTTGATCCATTAGAAGAGTTTAACCAAAGCCGGGACCATGGCTTATGCTTATAATTCCAGCACTTTGGAAGGCCAAGGCAGGAGAATTGCTTGAGGCCAGGGGTTCAAGGCCAGCCTGGGCAACATAGGGAGACCCTGTCTCTACCAAAAAAAAAAAAAAAAAAAAAAAAAAAAAAAAAAGTAGGGCATGGTAGCACATGCCTGTGCTCTCAACTATTCAAAAGGCTGAGGTGGAAGGATCCCTTGAGCCCAGGAGTTTAAGGCTGTAATTGCACCACTGCACTCCAGCCAGGGTGACAGAGTGAGACACCCGTCTCTTAAAAAAAGGGGGAGAGTGAAACAGGAGTAATATGACCCAACATTTTAAAAATCATTTTTGTGTACCTGGTAGAAGGAGTCACAAGGGAGTGAAAGCAGAATAGCCAGTAGGAGGCAATTGAGATCATCCTGGCAAGAAATCATGGCGGTTGGGATTAAGATACTAGCAGTGGGGGCCGGGCGCGGTGACTCTGGCCTGCAATCCCAGCACTTTGGGAGGCCGAGGCGGGTGGATCACGAGGTCAGGAGATCGAGGCCATCCTGGCTAACACGGTGAAACCCCGTCTCTACTAAAAATACAAAAAAAAAAAAAAAAAAAAAAATGAGCCTGGCGCAGTGGCGGGCGCCTGTAGTCCCAGCTACTGGGGAGGCTGAGGCAGGAGAATGGCGTGAACCTGGGAGGCGGAGCTTGCAGTGAGCAGAGATGGGGCCGCTGCCCTCCAGCCTGGGCGACACAGCGAGACTCTGTCTCAAAAAAAAAAAGATACTAGCAGTGGGGATACAGAGAAATGGATACTTCTGGGCGCATTTCACAGGATGACAGAACTTACTGAGGATTTGGAAACAATGCATGAAGTAAAGAAAGGAAACAAGGATAACTCCCAATTTTTCTGGTTTTGAGCAGTTGGATGAATGGTGATGCCTTTTACTAAGATAAGAAACACAGGGAAAGAAACAAGAGTGAGTGGAGACTGTAGAAATAAGGTTTTATTTGGATAGTTTTGGTTTTAAATACCTTATTTAAGCCAAGATGCACAGTAAGCAGTTTTATGTGGAGATGGGAACACAAGAGAAGAGATCAGTCCGTTTAGATCTAGTTGAGAGTCCTAGATCCGAATCACTGGGGAGAAAGAAATCATGAAGACATGGACCCGAGGTTATGTTCCAGGCATTCAAACAATTAAAGTTTGAGCAGAGAAAGGGGAGGTAAGATCACACAAAAATCTAAGAAAATTGATGGATTCTGCTGAAAACAACTCCCACCTCCCAAAAGAGAAAATAAATCTGCAACAATTATCATGGATGTTACCAGCACCAAGCCTCAGGAGTACTCAAAATCTGTTTGGGCAGAAGCAGGAAATCTTGGCCAGTGATTCAAGAAGGATACCAGGAGACTTCAGTGAAGTCTGGTGCTTTTAAGGCTTCAAAGATTATAATAGCTAATTTAGGAAGAACAATCCCATCCCTTAAATGCTATACTCCAGAAAAAATCATGCCATGACCTTGGGTGCCACAGCTATGGCTCATAGTTTGTTTACATTCACATGGTCATCATTCTCAATGGATGCCTCCACACTATGGTGGCTAGATCAGAAAGGCTGTCACCGAGCAATGGCCTCACTGGCCGACACATAGAAGCCAATAATATGGCACTGGCTTTTGGAAAAAGAAAAAAAAAGTTGTATTGCAAGTTGACTGGCAAGGAGACAAGAGCCAAAACCCAAATCTTTCTCCCGCTCTGGAGGTGGGGTAAGCTTTTATAGCGTCTCTAACTAGTCCCAGATGATTCCAGTATAGCTAATCTGCCATGCTGGTGGTGTTAACAACTAGAAGGTTAAAGCTGTCTCTCATTCCACATGCCAGGGCTACATGACTTTCAGTCTTGGCTCTGTGCCACCTGTAACAACTTAAACAATGGTTCATAGGTTTAAGCTGGTTCTGCAGTTACAAGGCCAGACTCAGCTACTCTATTCAAAACTGACTCCTCTTCCATGTCAAACAAGGAGTTCCCTATTGAGCACAGATTAGTAGTTCAGAAAACCCTATGATGAATTCTTCAGGAGCCCCACTCAAATTTCCCGCCAGAGAAGCTCAATTGGAATCATTAGCCATCCATAAGATAAAGTTGAATAATATTCCACCACAATAAGGAAAGAATAAGGACTTCTCCATCCTTTTATGCCCAGAAAATTCTTTGTGCCAAAGAAATTTGTAAATATGCACAAATTTTCTAATTACTAGATCTGCATCCCAAGAAGTACTAGAAAAGGCAGATTTAAAGGGTAAGACCGCAGAGGAGTTTACCGAACCCTTTCCGTATGTCAGTGGGAACCTTCTTTCCTAATACAGTCAATCCTCATTGTTCCCAGATTTCATATTTGTGAATTTTCTACTGGATAACATTTATTTGTAACCCCAAAATCAGTACTCCTGGACCTTTCTCAGTCATTCACAGATATGCCCAGAGCAGCAAACACGTGAGTCACATGTTTCAGCTGAGAACAAACAAGGCAGTACTGTGCCTTCTTGTCTCAGTTCTTATACTGAAAATAAGTGTCCTTTTTGCATCCTATTTGGTGTCACATTTTTTCATTTTTGTGCCTTTTCTTGGTGATTTTGCTGTTTATAATGCCCCTCAAACACAGTGATGAAGTTCTGTCTAGCATTGCTAAGCACAAGAAGACTATGATGTAGCTTATGGAGAAAAAAATGTTGGATAAACTTCAGGCATGAGTCATAGAGTTATTGGCTATGAGTTCAATGTTACTGAATCAATATATATTAAATAAGTTGTCTTTAAACAGAAACACACATAAAAGAACAGCATGTATTGGTCACTTTGCAAAAATGTTTTGACCAGACTCTCAGGGATCTAATCCTGTATTTCTCCTAGAAGCAATGGTTCGGTATTTGGTAATTCAGTATTTGTGGTGACTTCAGAAAACATAGCTACCACAAGTAACAAGAATTAACTGTGTTTATATTATCAAAGGGACACCACTCCACTGAATTTCCCAAAGGAAGACACCTGTATCAAAGTGACAGAGGTCTCCATCCTAATGAAGGCAGAAATGTACCTGAGAACCTTCAAATGGCAGATTCTCTTCCTTATGAAAAGACAAAAACAAAACATCAACAAACAGAAAAATCAACAAAACAAACATTTAAAGCATTGCTTAACTAGTCTCACGCCTATCCTCCTCAGGAAATATACGTGTGTGTGTGTGTGTATGTGTGTATTGTGTATACATATATAAACACACACAATACATACACATAAGAAAAATATAATCTAATATACTATATATTATACTGTGAATAATATATAAAAGAGAAAAAATATACTTTTATAAAAGAAAAAACTAAACACCAACTCCACAGTAAAATTAATAGTACTTGGAACAAATTCTGACGAATCATAAAAATATTAGTGTAGTATACTGAAACCAAGAAATCACAGAGATATAGAGATAGTTATTTTGATACTTAATGTATTAAGAATTAAAACTAAACATAACCCAGATATTAATATATCACTATACTCCTAACCCACATAATTATGTAAAACATTTTCTTAGAATGAGGTATAAAATAGTTCATATTTTTTATTTATTCCCTGGAAGTATTAGTAGGAGATTATTAAATAATGGTACAAACACATGCTCAATTGTTATATAACTATTCATAATCATATTTTAGATGAATATTTAATAAGGGAAGATGTTGACTCTACAACGAATCTATAAAATCATATGCACAGTATGATCACAATTTTTAAAAAGTTATGTATAAATGTCGCAAATATCATAAGGCAAGCCTACAATATTTGAAGATGCAGACCTCGGCTATGACATTAAAGGTAATTTTTGCTTTGTACTGTTCTGAATTTTCTACATTTCTACAACTGTTATTACACTATATAATAAAAAACTATCATTAATTATGATTGCTATAATTTAACAGTTTCGGGGGTTTTTTGAGAGATGGTCTTACTCTGTCACCCAGGCTGGAGTGCAGTGGCATGGTCATGACTCACTGCAGCCTCGACCTTCCCGGGTTCAGGTGATCTTCCCACCTCACCCTCCTGAGTAGCTGGGACTACAGGTGCGCACCACCATGCCTGGATAATTTTTGTATTTTTTGCGAAGATAGAGTCTCACTATGTTTCCCAGGCTGACCTCAAACTCCTGGGCCCAGTGATCTGCTCAGCATGGCCTCCCAAAGTACTGGGATTACAGGCGTGAGTCCCTGTACCCAACCAATTGAACGGATTTTATTGTTCAAGCCTAGAAAGCATTCACAGTTACTTTTATATACAAAGCTACATTTTTATCATTTGACATCTCAAATAATTGATGTTTCTTTAAGTTTTACAAAATCTGAATGAAATGCAACAAGTCACCATCAATAAATGGCATTTTCTAATAGTTAATGATAACATGAACAACTCTGCAGATAAAACAAAAACTCTTCTTGGTTAGAAGCGAGTTGCAATTTTCATGCAGAAAATACATCTTTCCACTGCTGAACATCAAAATAATCTTGTCTTCCTGGTGTACCTTGCCTCTGGCAGACAGAGGAAGGAGACTACCAGATTGCCAAGTAACAGGGAAATACTGGGAGTAGTTAACCTTCTTAGCATATATCATAAATCATGATATTAATGGAAAGGAATAAAATAATAAGCAGATAAAGAGAAAATGGTCTAGACTCATATGGCATGAAGATAAATACCTGCACTAAATTATACAATATCTCAGTATCCAGAACATACCCAGTAGCAAATGGTCTTCATCAGTTGTATGAATGATGTCAATAGGCTAAACAATGTTATTTTTAATAAGGAAATGGCACATATTTTGGCATCTGTTTGAAACTCAGTTGAGCCTCATGCAGAACATTAAAAAAAATTCCTAGTTAATACTAAGCCCTCATTTTTATATTAATTATAAATGCATTAATATGTAAACTTTAGTGTCAATGTTTTAAGCAATAAACTTTAAGATCCTCTGGGTTCATTTCAAGTTTTTAAAAAATAAGCATGGGCTATCTTTCTCTCATTCTTTATTTATAAAAAGTTCATCTAAGAGTTGTAAACCAATCAGTTCTTGCCCATGGATTTTTATTTCTCTGCTACCATTTGTTCATATATGTGCTCTCTGTTTTTGTTTTTCTCTTTAATGGTCTCTGTATGTTGCATTTGTTTTCCCCTTTAGGACTGGTTTTGTCCAATGGATATCCCAGAGACAATTCTGACTCAGCAGGCCTCTGAGTCAGAATTCCGAGGGACTGCAGAAGATAAGAGACCGGCTATTTAGACAGCCTTCAAACACAGATATCATGTGCAGCTTCGAGTGTCCACCTGGCAGTACCTGGTACCATCTTGAAGTAAGATCATAAGGCCAGAGAAAGCAAAAGTAATCACACAGCTTCAAGCTGTAGGGCACCAACACTGCTCTTTCTTGCTCCCACAGTCCCAGGCTTTATCTAGGATCCAGGATCAAGGGTAAAAGACTAGATAACATTGGACTTAATTATATCTTCACACTCATTTTTCAATCCTTTGGGAAAAGGACTGTAGCCATAGAAATAAGTCTGTCAATTGGAAGTATTTGTGCTCTCCGTCCTGGATTTACTAGTTCAGTGATGAACATTAGTAACTGGCATGACTTCTGTGGTGCTGGAGGGAGAAGAGGAGGAGACACATGCACTCATTAGGAGCCCCAGTACTCCTTATACCTAGCCTGTGGTTACTAAACTTTCTGAAACTAAGGTAAGTGATTGTCCTGGGGAAGCAGTAAGTAGCAGTGCCCAACCAAAATCTCAGTCAGGCAGAAGACAACTCTTAGGAAGACGGTGTTTGTACTAGATTTTCAGCTTTGTTTGGGAAAATGTTTATAAACTTTTATAAATGTCTGCATTGACCAACGTTTCTTCTAGGCTGAGGCAGGAGAATCACTTGAGCCCGGGAGGCAGAGGTTGCAGTGAGCCGAGATTGCACCATTGCTCTCCTGCTCTCCAGCCTGGGCGAAAAGACAACTCTTTTTTTGAGATAACTCTGTCTCAAAAAAAAAAAAAGAAAGAAAGAAAGAAAGAAAAGAAAAAATAAGATTGATCTCTAAAATTTTTTTCTTTTCATTTCATTTTAGTTTTAAACTTTCTCGTGTTTTATTTTTAATATGAATTTTAGAATTACCATAAAGAGAAAATATCTCTGTTCAGACTTCAAATACTAGGACAATAATGTCACTTACTTCATTAAGACCAGGATATTTTAACCCCAGCAAAACCGGCAAAGAACCAACAGATTTGCTATGTATGGCCTCTATTGATATGATAAGTAATGCCTTTTTATACTTGAAGAGTCATCAATCATCTTCGGCCTAGAAAAAGTGAAGAAAGGAAAAAAAAGGTCCTGAAGAAATGGTTAAAAAGATTGTTCAAGGCAAATATATATTTAAAAAATATAAGGTTATGGAGAGTTTTACTGAACTCCACGAACTTGGGAACTGGCAAACCATTTTTACTTCTGTATAAGGCACATTCAGGGAACAAATTAGACATTTGTTGAGAAGCTGCAAGACAGGTTAATTAACTTTCTTTTATAGAACAAAAGGCTACCATTTAATGTGAAATCCTCAGGAGGCTACTCTGAATTGAGTGATTCAGGCAGTAAGATTTATTCCGTTTGAATTCCATTCGCGTTTATTGATTCCTTCATCTAAGAAATAAACAATCAAGAAAAAAACATGAAGCAGCTGTAGAGACAGCAACCCGGGTCTTCCAGACTTTACTCTAAATCACAAGAAAGGATGTGGTCTAAATTGCTTCCATTCATATATGCTTCTAGGCTGTTCCTTATGTGAAAAATTACTTATCTTCCAACTTCTTCTTTCATTAAGCTAAGACGGAAGCCTAGTAGCTAGCAATAAAGAACATTGCACTAAACAATTGGAAAAAGATCTTTCCTAGGAGACTAAATGAAAATATGTTGGAAAATATGTTGGAAAAATTTTAGCATCAGCATGAGTTGAGAATGATGTTCTTTTTATCTATGAGATGTTTTTTGGGGGGCTATGCAGACCTGGAGTGCTAGCACTTGCTGGAAATCATAGCTGTAGGGAAGACAGCTATGATTAATGATTCCACAGCACCCCAGGTATATGGAACATAAAATTCATTTGCATTTCCATTTACATAACAAAATATATCTAGTAATAAACAATGCCTTCAACCTTGATCTTTTCCTAAACTAATCCTATTCATTAATCAAACTAAACCATTATTCTAACCCCAAAGGCTTAATATACTGCAAAACATTGCCAGATACAGTGAGGAAGAGTTGATTTGTGATTGTGGTGATAAAAAGAAGAATGGGCTTTTGTTTCCTTTATTTTTTCCGAAGCTTGCTGTTTAAAACACACCTAAAATTCATAATTTAAAACCTTCAATTTCTTCAGTGCGTGATATCTGTTTGTCATTCAAATAGCTACTCTTATGCAAAGGGCCACACATCATAGAAACTGTAGAGGAAAGCCAGTGTTTCCATTTATAAACATGTGAAGACAGATGAGGGGCTGGGAGTCCACCTGGGAATAGAATAACCTAGTATAGAACACGTAAGAAATCTCACTCTGGCTGCAGCCCAAAGGTCTCTGAAATCTTCAATCACATTTTCTTGGCTGACTCATGCATTGCAATATGTTGCCATCATGTTACATATATTTACTCTCTCCTAAATTTTAATTTATCCCTTTACCCTAAGAACTGTTCCTTGTGGTATAAAAAATTCACAGTAATCAATTTTTAATTATTCAGTCTTTTTAAGCTCCACTGACTTTGACAACATGTAAAACAACCCTAAATATTTTTTATCTCTTAGTCTAGTGATTCCACTTTTAGTAATCTATCCTAAGATAATAACTGAATATAAGGTTAAATAAGTTAGTGTGTGTGAGTCTCAGGATGTTTATCATAACATTATATAATAGCAAAAAAACAAAATACAATAATAGAGAAATTTTTAAATTTTTTCAAATCATTTTAAAAATAAAATTTAATCATGTGATAAGATATTAAACTCTCACTAAAAATTATGTTTTAAAAGCTATTTGGGAAAAGTCTTGTTTTCATTTTAACTATAAAACTTCAGACTAAAACAGAATGTTACAAAATTTATTATACGTGAAATATACTTGTGATAAATTTGCAAGCAGCATGCATTTTTTTTAAATCAAAGGAAATACATCAAAATGGTAAACTTGGTTATTCTTGGGTGGTTAATTCTGAATGATTTAAAAAATTTTCTTCTATTCACTACTTTCTAAGTTTTTTTCATTTATTAATGATTAGAGAAAAGATACAAAGTCAGTAACTATAGAATGCAAATGCTTTTTACGTGATTATCACATGCTTTATGCAGTCTAGTATTTACAAGACTATATGAAAGTTTTTTATTCTTTTTATTTTACTAAGAATAAAACTAAACTGTTTCCTGGCTTTTAATTTCCCTAGTATAGCTTCAAGTTTCTCACCCAGGAGGGAGTTGAGGGTAATATATTGCCATCTAGATTTGAATGGCCATCAAAGAAAAATATAGCTAGAGTTAAATTTAAAAACTAAGACACATTAGAAATGTATTGCATCTCAGCAAACTAGGAATAGAGAGAAACTTTCTCAACTTGATAAAGAACATCTACAAAATCTAACATCATATTTAATAGTGTAAAACTAGAAGCTTTAGTGCTAATGTCAGGAAGAAGGCAAGCATGTCCCCTCTCACCTTCCTTTTTAACGTCATAATGGATGCACTAGCTAATGCAATAAGACAAGAAAAGGAAATAAAAAGTATACAGACTGGGGGCCGGGTGCAGTGGCTCACGCCTGTAATCCCAGCACTTTGGGGGGCCAAGATGGGTGGATCACGAGGTTAGAAGATCGAGACCATCCTGGCTAACATGGTGAAACCCCATCTCTACTAAAAATACAAAAAAAAAAAAAAATTAGCCGGGTGTGGTGGCAGGCACCTGTAGTCCCAGCTACTTGGGAGGCTGAGGCAGGAGAATGGCGTGAACCTGGGAGGCAGAGCTTGTAGTGAGCCGAGATCGTGCCACTGTACTCCAGCCTGGGTGACAGAGTGAGACTCTGTCTCAATTAAAAAAACAAACAAAAACAAAAACAAAAAAACCCACAAAAGTATACAGACTGGGAAGGAAGATATCAAGCTGTCTTTATCCACAGATGACATCTTTGTCTATGTAGAAAATCTGAAAGAATCAACAAAAAAAACTACTAAGTAAATATAGCAAGTTTTCAGGATATGAGGTTATTATACAAAAGCCAATTGTTTTCCCAACAACAAACAGGTAGAATTTGAGATTAAAAACATACTACCACTTATATTAACATGCTGAAAAATGAAATACTCAGGTATAAACCTAATAAAAATTCATAAGATTTATACAAGAAAAACTACAAACTCTGATTAAGAAATCAAAGAAGAACTAAACAAATGAAGAGATATTTTATATTCATGGATAGACTCAATTTTTTCAAAATGTTTGTTCTTCCCAACCTGACCTTTAGATACAAATAATCCAAATCAAAATCCCGGTAAGTTGTCTTATGGATATAAACAAATTGTTTTTAGAGTTTATATGGAAAAGGAAAAGATCCAGAATATTCAACAAAATATTGAAGAAAATCAAAGTGGGAGGACTGATAATACCCCATGTCAATATTTACTATAAAGCTGTAATCAAGCATAGTATTGGTAAAAAGAATAGACAAATACATCGGTGGAACATAATAGAAAGCCCAGAAAGAGACCAACAATAATATAATAAACTGGTCTTTCACAAACAAGAAAAGGCAATATGATGGAGATAGTCTTCAACAAATGAGTGAACATCCACATGTAAAAAGTTGAACATAGATTCAGATCTCACAACCTTCACAAAAAAAAAAATCAACTCAAAATGGATCATAGACCTACATGTAAAACACGAAGTATAAAATAAATATCTAGGTTGATGTAAAAGCAATTGTGGTTGTTGCCATTACTTTTAATGGTAAAAACCACAATTATTTTTGCACCAACCTAATAGACTTTTTAGATACCACACCAAAGGCACAATCCATGAAAGAAAGAATTGATAAGCCAAACTTTGTAAAAATTAAATAACTTCTGCTCTGCAGAAGACACTGTCAAAAGAATAAGAACACAAGCCCCAGACTGGGAGAAATTATTTGTAAAGATGTATCTGATTAAAAACTGATATCCAAAATATACAAAGAACTTTTAAAACTCAAGAATAAGAAAATGAACATCTTCATTAAAAAATGGATCAAAGACCTTAATAGACACCTAACCAAATATACACAGCAAATAAACATGAAAATCTGCTTCATATCATATGTCATCAGGGAAATGCAAATTAAAACAACAATGAAATACCACTACCTACCTATTATAATGGCCAAAATCTAGAACATTGACAATACCAAATGCTGACAAGGAAGTAGAACAACTGGAACTCTCATTCATTGCTTACAGAATGAAGACTGGTACAGACACTACAGAGGTCAGTTTGTCAGTTTCTTACAAAACTAAACAATACACTAACTGTATAATCTAGTGATCACACTTTTTGATATTTACCCAAGGGAGTTGAAAACTTAGGTCCACACAAAAACCTGAACGTGAATGTCTACAGCAACTTTATTAATAAATGCCAAAATTTGGAAGCAACCAAGATGTTCTTCAGTAGGTGAATGGATAAACTGTGGTACATGTAGACAACTGAATATTATTCAGTGACAAAGAGAAATGAGCTATCAAGATATGAAAAGACATGAAGTAATCTTAAATGCGTATTACTAAGTGAAAGAAGACAATCTGAAAATGTTACATACTATATGATTCCAATTATATGATACTCTGGAAAAAGAAAAACTTTGGAGACAGTAAAAATAACAGTCAGTGGTTGCAAAAGATTGAGGAGAGGAGGGGATGAATAGGCAGAGCACAGAGGATTCTTAGGGCACTGAAACTATTCTGTATGACAGTATAATGGTGGGTACCTGTTGTAAGTTTATCCAAACCGATAGACAGTACAGTACGAAGAATGAACCCTGTAAAAACTATGGACTCTGGGTGATAATGACTTCTTAATGCAGATTCATCAATTGTAACAAATGTGCCACTCTGGTGGGGAATGTTGATAACGGGGGAGGCTGTGCAGGTGTAGGGGAGCGGGGATGTGGGAAATATGTATCTTCAGTTCAATTTTGCTGTGAGCCTAAAGCTGCTCTAAAAGTTAAAGCCTATTAAAAAAATCGTTGCAAAATAACAAAGTAATTAATGACTTCTCATCCTGAGAAGCAATTTTTAATCTGATGAAATGAAGGAAAGAAGCAACACATGTTAATATATTCATGTTTTTAAAGAGTTCACATAGTCCTCATCTCTCATAACTGCTATGTTATCACATAACCAATGGCAAATGTTTTCCCATGGCAGTTTACAATTGCCCAGAACATATTTCACTGGTTGAAGAAATTAACACATTATTTTTATTTGGAAAAAATTTTAAATGACTCATAATTTTTTGGTAACAATTTTGCACCATTACCAAGTGTTCAGTGTGTCACATCCAGTGTAGAATCCATATTAGTGGAATAATATATGGTGTTTATTTTACCACTTCATTTTGCACATACTCACTCATTATTTCAATTATTTTTTTGTAAAGTGTTTTGGGAAGTAAGTCACATTTGTTTTTTCACTTTCACATTTTTCCAAGTCTTTGTACAACAATGGATTAACTTCCATAATTAGATGATTCCTGTAACATTTATGCCGTTTAAAAACCTCACTGTTCATCATGACTCTGAAGAGTAAAAATTTTTCACTTAAAACTTGACAACTGTAAATATCTTTTAGCACTCCAGAGATAATATTGAATTGCCTTTGTTCTTTAAGACACTGATCCAGTATGTTTGTCTTGCATATACAGTTGGTCCTTCTTATCTATGAGTTCTCTATCAGTGGATTCAACCAACTACAGATCAAATGTATTTTAAAAATAAAAAAGGTAGTTATGTCTGCATTGAACATGTACAAACATTTTTTCTTGTCATTATTTTCTAAACACAGTATAACAACTATTTGCACAGTATTTACACTTCATTAGATATTATAAGTAATCTAGGGATGATTTAAAGTATACCAGAGGATGTACATTGGCTATACGTAAATATTACGCCATTTTATATGGGGACTTGAGCATCCATGGATTTTGGTATCCATAGGGAGTCCTGGAGTGAACACCCCATGGATACCGAGGGATGACTGTAATACAAGTAAGCACAGCTTCCTTGTACTCTGTGTAGTCTTTGCGACTAAGAAATTCCCAAATAGAGTCTTTCAGCCTAAACACTCATCTTATGTAAGCTGTGTCTGTCTCATTGAAAGCAGTTTACAATTAACGCAACATTTAGTGTTGGTCTAGGCTAGTTGAGATCTCATCATAATCTAACCATTTACAATTTTTTCATATCTGTTTGTAATTCATATTTTGTTTATTGTACATTCACTTTAGTTCTCTGCACATACTATTGGGATCACAATTTTGAAAAAGCTATCATTTATTTAACAATTTTGAATAAAATTTTTGCCTTCTGTAACTGAACATAATGAAAGGAAACATGGTACTTAACAAAATCAAGTATTCATCAAAGTGGAGCTGCTGCTGACCATCTGGAGTGTTCTATTGAACTTAAAATTTTTCCTTTTTGCTTTCCTTTACCTTCTTTTTTTTTTGTTTTCCTTTTGAAAGTGTTCTAATTCTCATAAAAACATTTACCTTTTCAGTTGTAATTTTTATTACCTTTTTTTTTGGCTATTTTGATCCTTTTTCTTTATCTCATGACTTTGCCCGTGAAAGATTTCAGTTTCCTTGTGATACAACAACAGATGTTTGAGATTTTGAAGCTGCTGCAAGTCTTCTTTCTTCAGAATAGATTTTTAGCTTTTGGTAGGATACTTCTCTCCATTTTATTTAGATTTTGATAATTCCAATAATTTTGGGAAAACATACAAAATTAATCTGAATATAAGGTTCACAAAAGCACAATTCAAATAAATTTTTAAAATGCTCCTACATTGTATAGGGCTACATAAACTAGTAATCAAATTACTCCTATGATACATACATTGACTTGTTCATGGATAACTGTAGGGATTTTTATCATGGGAATATTCTTTTATTCAGGCCATTTTACTACCTTTGGGGCAATTCATGTGCAGTTTTGATGATCAGTTGGTTTTGCTATATCAGTGTCAATATTGTATGCTTTTTCATCTGAAACTACTGTTGGGATGAGATGCATTCAGGCTAGTATATGATCTCATATAATGGGATGCGTAAAACTTCACACACAGTCATTCTAGATGCATGTGGTGCTGCTATAGTTTTGCTCTATAAATATAAGCATTCTTATAAATCCTCTCTTGCATGACTCCTATCAAAAAAGGAAAAAATGTATAGAGTATTTAAAATGGTGTATTCCAAATTATTTAGTTTGTCCCTGTTAGAACGTCCATTTTGATTAAGCATTGTGGAAAACCAAATCCTCCAATTTTGCATATCTGATAATTGGAAGAAATTTCAGCAGACTAGCTCCAGTTCTACACATCCTAAGCTTTGTTTACCTGAACAACCTGCATAGTTTCAGGGCTAGGTAGATACTGCATGTTCACAGTGAAACATAATCTCTGGACCTATATACTTCATGTTTCATGTTGGATGCATCAGCACCGTGAACAATAGTGGTATTCTTGAAAGTCATTCCTATACCTAGACAACTAACAATAAATAACAATGCCAAAAATGACCATGAGCTTTATATGCCCTATGAAGCAAAAAATAAATGCTTTCCCAGATCAACTCTCTTTGTTGGTATCACCCCAAACCCATGCTATTCTAAAGCCTCTGACACCCAAGAGCAAGTATGACAAAGAAAGAATTGCAGTGGAAAGAGACAATTGTCTCAACTAGTGAAAATATCTTACTTTGGTATATTTTACAAAAACATATGATTATGTGAACACATTTCTGGGTTCCTTCTCAGGGCCTTGGAAATTGTCCATGAAAGTAAAGAGCTCTGAAGTTTAATAAGTTTCACAGTAAATCTGCTTCTACAAACCACCAGCAAGATATATCACAGCTAATTGCAGTTTATTGATTACTCTTGACATATTCCTGCTGATAATATATAACTATCAGAGAATTAATAGTTTACACAATTTAATAATTGTGTCAATTCTTAATTATGTAATTATATGATTATGATATAGGTATTAATAATAAATTAATTACAATGGCTCACATATTTATAGCACATATTATGTAGCAGGTATTTCACCAGAGTTGTTTAATCTTCACATCAACACTATGAGCCATACTATTATCCGCATTTTAGAGGTTGAGGTAAACAGAGGCACAGAAAGGATATGTGATTTGCTCTAGGTCACACACATTTTAGTAGAGGATCTAAAACAATGCCTATATGGAATTCTAAGACAGGCATCCCAAATGCCTCTCTGGCCAGGTAAGTAGGATAAATGAGTGAAGTCCTTGGGTATAATCACACCAGGCATTCATTTTGAGCCTGAGGAAACTGGGAAACTCTTAAATTTAAGAACTCAAGACCCAATTAAAGGTCACTACTGTGAGGCAGTGGGTTGTGGTGCTGCAGAAATACTGGCCCAAATTGTCTGATTTTTCAAGAGAATATAGGAATATGGATTTTTTGGTACATAATCTCCTAATTTAAAAATTTTTAAGTCAGGTAGTGCGTGGTAGCTCATGCCTGTAATCCTAGCACTTTGGAAGGCCAAGGCAGGCAGATCACTTGAGGCCAGGAGTTTAAGACCAACCCGGCCAACATGGTGAAACCATGTCTCTACTAACAATACAAAAAATTAGCTGGGTGTGGTGGTGCCCAGCTACTCAGGAAACTGAGACAGGAGAATCACTTGACCCCGGGAGGTGGAGGTTGCAGTGAGCTGAGATCGCATCACTTCACTCCAGACTTGGGAACAGAGTGACAGAGAGAAACCCTGTCTCAAAAAACCAACATAAAATAAAATAAAATATTTAATTAATTCAAAAAGAAAACAACTGGCAGGTGAAACAAAAGAACCGGTGGTTCTATTTTCCAGCCTCTGCTCTTGGGCCAGGATTGCTCAGCCACAATCAGATCTTTGAAAAACTGCGAAGTGTAATTTGTATCTTTACACCCTTTTTCCATTCCCATTCAAAGTTTCGTGTTTGTTGTTTTAGCTGGTAACACATGACCTAGCATTATGTTTGTCCCAGGGCAGGTGTTTAATAATTAATTGTTATTGAATACATGAAATCAGGTTACTAATATTCCCTAAGTCAGAAGCAGGGCTTGAGCTCTCTAACTGTGTTGCTTTTATGGAAAAAAGTTAATAATATAACAACATTTATCAGTTTATTGCAGGTAAAATTCGGGTGGTGCAATCTATCTTTAGAAACATATATATATATATATTTTTTTTTTCCTCCAGTTGATCCTTGTTGGTCAAGTATCAGATCAACCTAGGAGTAAAAATATATAAAGAGCTGGGTATGGTGGCTCACGCCTATAATTCCAACACTTTGGAAGGCCGAGGTGGGAGGATTGCTTGAGCCCAAGGGTTCAAGACAGCCTGAGCAACACAGTGAGACCCTGTCTCTACAAAAAAAAAAAAAAAAAAAAAAAAATTAGACAGGTGTGGTGGCTCACACCCATAGTCCCAGTTACTTGGGAGGCTCCTGGGATCCTCCTGGGGTCACTTGAGCCCAGGAGGTGGAGGCTGCAGTGAGCCATGATTGTACCACAGCACTCCAGCCTGGGAGGCAGAGTGAGATCCCGCATCGAAACAAAAATACAAACTGTATATATTAAAATAAAAAGTTTACATATATATATGTATATATAAAGAAGGACATAAAATGTGATCAAAGTCTGTAATTGTCACAAATGTTTCAAGTTCAAAATATTGCTGTCCCACTTTAATCTCAGCTCTATGAAATACGTGATTGCTTTTTAAAAGCACATAGCCAGCCAATTCAATAGGATCCCAGAACAACCTTTGCCCCAGTTATCTTGCAGCCCAGAAATCAGTGTTGCTAGTAGCAAAGCTCCGAAATATAACTAATATTCATGTTGTAGAGAGGTATAAATTACTGTAAGTCTAGTAAATTCATTAATTTGATGATTTCCATTATCTTCATTTTATGTATTTTATTTTTCTTTTAAAGTTTTCTTTATATGTTTCATACTTCGATGACCAAAGGATATATACTTACATGTCAAATGGCTGAAACTGTTGTTTCCAGGAATTTCAGTAAGATGATTTTACTTTTATCTGCCTGGTCTGATTTTTCAGCTCATTTGATTTGTGCATATTGCTAAAGTTCATAAATATTGTGCCTAAAGCCAGACTTTCAGATGTGGAGAACAGAGAAAGGCTCACCAGCTCTCCATCCCAAATCTCTCCTGTGCCCAGTGGCCTCCGTCTCTGCTCCTGTCATCTGCATTTGGGTCTGTTATATTTCTTCAGTTCAAGCATGTGATTAGGCACTTCTGGAGCTTTGCCAGACAATGCAGGAGTTTCTGCCTTCCAGTGTCTCATCCCCTAAGGCAGAAAACTCAATCTATTTAGAGAGCTGTTAATTAAGTGAACTACATTTGGCCAGGAATTTATGAGCAGAGAAAATAGGAATGTAAATGATAAGTGTGTCTTTAAAAAAGACTGAGTAAGCTATATGCAAACTTTAAAAACATAAAGCAACCTAACCAAAAGAATCTCTTTTAAAGGGATTTTCCTCGATTCTAGTTTGGTTTTTTTCCTTAACCAAATTTGAGAGCACACACTTGCTTTACAGTGATATCAGTCTCATCCCAAATATGCTTGTAAACTTGGGCAAAATGCAGAGAACTGAGAGGAATGTAAATAATGTATGTTCTCTCTTCAGGGCTGTTCAAGGAAATGCTGTTTACTTAGAAATAGAATTTTTGAAAGTATGTCTGCCATCTGTAGCCCAGATGATGATGAGTGTGGCAATGAATTAAACATTTAGAAATAAAATCTAATGGTTGTTTCTGTTTTTAAGGATGAGGCAACTGTAAAACGGCTTCATTACTCTTAATGCACAAAATAGCTGGAATTTGTTTATGTGCCACGTATCCATAACTTAGAAGATATATAAGGAAAGACATGATGATTGCGGATTTTTTGAGTGTGTCTTGGCACAATTTCTATATAGGTTATCATGCATGAATAATGTGCTAAGACACAGGAACAGTGCCAGAAGTTTGAAAGCATTATCATCATCATCACTTGCTTTTTATAGAGGACTCATACTCTAAGATAGAGTCACCATTTCATGTGTTGCTGCTCACATGCATGAATCTACATCTATCAATTAATTCATCATGAGAATTACCATTTTTATCCAGCATTTGTAAGGAACTTCAACAAATTTACAAGAAAAAAAAAACATTGAAAAGTGGGCAAAGGACATGAACAGCCAGTTCTCAAAAGAAGACATAGATACAGCCAACAACCATATGAAAAAAAGCTCAACATCACTGATCATTAGAGAAATGCAAATCAAAACCACAATGAGATACCATCTCATATGAGTAAGGATGACTATAAAAAAAGGTAAAAAAATAACAGATGCTGGCACAGTTGTGGAGAAAAGGGAACACTGTATACTCTGTTGGTGGGAGTGTAAATTAGTTCAACCATTGTGAAAGGCAGTTGGCAATTCCTCAAAGACCTAAGACAGAAATAACATTCGACCCAGCAATCCCATTACTGGATATATACCCAAATGAATATAAATTGTTCTACTAAAAAGACACATGCCAGGTATGTACATTGCAGCACCATTCACAATAGCAAAGACATGGAATCAGCCTAAATGCCCATCAATGATAGACTGGCTAAATATAGTGTGGTACATACACACCTTGTAATACTATGCAGCCATAAAAAAGAATGAGATCATGTCCTTTGCAGGGACATGGATGGAGCTGGAGGCCATTATACTTAGCAAACTAATGCACGAACAGAAAATCAAATACCTCATGTTCTCACTTATACGTGGGAGCTAAATGATGAGAACACATGACACATAGAGGGGAACAACACACATTGGGGTCTACAAGAGGGTGGAGGGTGGAGGAGGAAGAGGATTAGGTTTATTACCTGGGTGACAAAATAATCTGTACAACAAACCTTCATGATACAAGTTTACCTATATAACAAACCTGCACATGTACCCCTGAACTTAAAATAAAAGTTAAAAAAAGAAAGAAAATTACCATTCTGAAATCTATGAAAAGACATGATTCTGGGCATGATTCTTTACTCAGTGAGATGCAAACAAAACAAAACAAAAAAACCCCATGATCTGATTCCTAAGCACTTCCCATGAAGAGCAGACAGTCGGAAGCATATATAGAAAAGGGTGATGAAAATATTCAATACATTTATAATATAGCCACAAAATCAAGGCACCATGGAAGTATTTTGGTGTGGTTTAAAAAAACAAGAGCAAATTTGGTGTTGTATGGTGGGGCAATATTGGTGGAATCATCACCTTTCATCCAAAGTCAAGAGACAATTTTGGAATGAAGTATAATTTCAAAGGTTTCTGCAATTGAGAAGGTTGAAAAGGAGGCGCACATGACAGAAAATACAGTTAGACAGAAAATGAGGGACAGAAATCAAGTTGGATTGTGGAGGTAGTGAGGCACAGAAGTGGCCTATGGTACCAAATACAAAATATTTAGTTGAAGCAGGCTATTCACCTGCAACTCAAGATATGTAGTAAGGTTTTAGAGCGTCAAAGAATGTCCCAACCTTCTTTCTGATCTCACTCCCTTTTCTTACAAACTTCTGTACTTCTCTGCTATTAACCAAAACAACTAGCTGTTTTAATTAAACAGCACATATTTGTGGTGGAGAATGCTGGCAAAGAACTGGTTAAATTGGTCCTGCATGGGATCTAGGCTAGAGGGGGAAGGTTTTGGTACTGAAGGCAGATTGGAATAGTCTTATTGAGTGGTGTGCTGGAGTCAACTCCTACAGTGTAATAAGAGGAAATGATGAAATTCTCAGGAATTTTGTAAGCCAATTGTTACATACATCTATTATTTAAAAATATATTAAACTTACAATTAAATTATATACAACAAACGTCATAAATACTGGTATTCCTTCACTTCTTTTTTTGCTACATTTTACTGTTATCTGTACTCTTGAGGTAATTTTCTCATATTGTAGCTATCTGATGAAAATACTATTGAATGATGTACTACTGAACATCTCTTTTCAACGCTCGATGACAACATGCTGATAGCATGAAATCAGCTATATCAATAAACATTTGCTAGGACATCACTGGAGCTAGCTACAATGTACCATCTTCAAGAATAGTTCTGCTCTTTACATCAGAGTTGATTTTGCAGGCAAAATAAAATCCCACTAAAAAGTAGATGTGAGAAATCTATGAGTATAAAAGAAGTACCCAAGCTAACATTTCTCTCATTTTGCTGTTGGTGCTTTTTGACTATTCAAGCATTCATTCAACATTGTTGAGCATGTTCTACCACCATGCTAGACCCTCTGGGTACAGTGAAGTATACGATGTGGTACCTGCCCTCGGGGAGCCTATAGCCTAATAGCCCACTCCAGGAGTAATGGATGAGCACAATGCAGATTGACACAGGAGGGAAGCACAGGTGCATGGGAAAACGGAGAAGACAAACTTAAGTGTTGAGGCAGGTGTGAGACTAACACCATAAACAACACGACATTTTGTGCTAGCTAAAATAGGTTGGGGAATCTTATAGAAAGAAAGCATTAAAATGTACATGGTCCTTCAACTCTTAACATGCTTTGGAGAAGGATGGGTTATACTCTAGGAGAAAGATTCCCATACCTCTGCAGCTGGATGAAGTTGAGAGGAACAGGTGGCACCTACCAATGGCAAGACAATGGGAGCCAGGAGGCTTTGCAGTCTGAGGAATGGCCTTACTAGTGAGATGAGCATCCTGGTATTGGTAGTTTGCCCATTTCAGTTGGCCACCGTGCAGTTCTTCCTGGGAACAGCTAGATGCTAGGCTATCTGAGGACATCTATTCCTTTTCGTTCAACCAGACTGAGGGTGTTTGGGCAAAGAGGAAGGAAGTGTATTAAAAAATAAGGAGGCGTAATCTGTGTCTTGAAGTGACCAAAGATGGAAGGAGGATCAAGACAAAAGCCATGCCCAGGTAACAACTATCTTGATTTCATGATTAATTCTCATTCAAATAGCTATTTCTGGGATGTTTATAAATAAACTTGAAAGGTAGAAAAGAAAGGAGATAAGATAGCATAGGGAAAGGATGAGAAACATTGTCACTCAGTTGCTAATAAGATTTTCAGCTGGTGCTTCAGACCAGGCCTGGAACTCTGAAATTGTGATTCAATTCTGATCCAACACCTAGACAAATACTTGTAATATCAGGTAACTGAGAAGTAAATTGAAATGACATTATTAGAAATGAGTGTCTAGGTATAAAAATTTGCATCTCTTTGCTTGAAAGGAGAGAGTTCATCATCTGTATTCATTGCTTTTGAAACTGCTAAATAGAATTCTATATTTCTTCATGCTGAATTGAAGCCTGTAGTTATCAAAATTCTGACAAGTTGAGTTATTGGCTATTTTCAGGGACCATGCAAAAAGTTTCCCATTAATAATATTCACTGTGTACATTGATAGAAGAGAATTATTTATTACAGATGTTATTACAACTTATCCTAAATGCCCTGAAGAAGACTTTTTTGACTTACAGAAAGAAAAAAAAAACATTTACAGGGGGGTTGACAGATAACAAAATACCATTGCCTACAATAAATGGGAAAACATAGCAATGCAGTTCTGTGATAATTCAATTAAAATCTACCACTCTCTCTTTTTGTTTTTCAGCAAGGTTTATCATGCTTACATCTCAGAAAATATGAGGTAAATCAGAAGACCAGAACTCACATGAAGAAATTTGTTGTAAATGCTGATTTATCATGTGGGCTTAAAAGTTTATACTGAGAAAAAATTTTAATAATTTTCTTTATTTCACACTAAAAGTATTATAAACTACCCACCTGAGGTTACAACAGTGTCTCACATGCCTTTAAGAAAAAAAAAGTTTTTAATTTTCTGATTTTAACTATGAAAGAAATGGCTCAGAGGTAAATATGGATTACCACTGTGGAGTATGACAAGTTTTATTTGGCAAATAAGAACCTCAGACTTTCTTCTTGTGGTGGAATTGCCTATATAAATAGTTCTCAAACCTTTTCTATATTTTAATCAGTGAACTATTTTGATAGGTTCATCATAATTTTAGATACATCCCTTCATACGTGATGCTACACAGATATAATTCATACCCCCACAACACACGAAACACACACATATGACCAAGTATGGTGGGGGAAATAATGGTACCTTTAGATGCCACTCATCCATGCAGTTGGCATAGATCACATGGCTCCTATGTGCCAAGTACTGTGCTAGTCACTGGGATAGACACATGAAAATACCTACCTCCTGTCCTTGGGAAGGTATTACTACTATCTAAAGACATAAAAAAGAAAAATCACAATATATTAAGGTAAAAAATCTTGTCAAACAGGTGTGGAGAATAATGCAACAGAATTACCCAGAATCGAAGTATTCACCCTTCCCAGAATGAGAGGAAACTTCACAGAGAAACTGACAAAGGAACAGGATTTTGCCAGGCAAGGAAGAAGGAAAGGTCTGGAATTAATAAATTTCAAGTCATTCTAAAAAATAAATACTATAGAAACACCATGAGAAATTTTCCTGAATACAGTACACAGACTACGTAAAAGACCTTTCTGAACAAGAAGCTATCCTTGAGACATTATTTTTAAAATGTCTGCCTTTGAAAAAAGAGATCATTTCTACCATATTTTCTGCAGTTCCTAATTCACTAGCAGAGTTATTCCATTAGTTACTGCATTCTTTTATGTTCCCTCAAATTGTGCTCTAGGAGTTTTAGGCCAGTGACTTCTTATATTATCTACTTTTTGATGGGATATAGTAACTTTTTCTTACAATTTTGAGAATAAACATTTCAAATTCTCTACAGATTTTTCTCTCATCAGTACCTGTAGAGACATGTCTTTCATCCAATATATTTTATATTTCACTCATTTCCTGATGCCACTTAGTGTACTCTACATGAGAAGTGACTGAACTACTCTTTGGTTCAAGAGCCTCCATTTTGACTTATGTTTCTATAGTATTAAAGTAAAAAGGTGATCCTGGATGAGATAACATCCTAGAACTTGTTTAAAGACCTTGATAAGAAGAATCAGAAAAGTGTTGAGGCTGAGCTTGGTACAACTCCATCTGAGCTGGACTGTTAATATCCCTTACTTGGGTGTAATTGTTGATTGATTACCTAAAACCTTGGGAAAGGTACTGTGGCAAAGATGCTGCTATGCATTTACTAATGCACTTCTTCCTGTTGGACTCACAAAGAGTGTTGGCTTCCCTGGCTCCCCTGGGGTTGGCTGCACCCCTGAGGCTGAGTTCTAGCTATCTGGGTGGAAATGATGTAGGCCATCATACTCCCCTCAACCCTCTGAATTTCCTTTTCCTGCCATAGCTGTCCCAGAGGCTATCAGATGGTATATGTACGTAATGCAGTAGGACTACTCAATGTAGATCGGGCTTCACATAAATGAGAAACGAATGTTTGTGTTGATTGCTTTTGACCAGTTGGAGTGTTTGTTGCCAGAGCCGAGCCTATTTTCTACTTTCTGGCACAGTTATGTGATTGTCTTGTTGGAGTCATAGGGTAAGATCATGGTACGTGAAGATGAAGATGCAGTTTATTCTAAAGGAGCAGGTGATCCCAAAATCAGTCATCCTGGGAAATGATCAGGCCTGGAGTAAGAAATAAGGATTTTATAGAAAACTTTTGAGAGAGAACATTTTCCTTCTCTTTGGGGCCAGAGGTCTAAGGCAGGGAGATTTCTGGAGCATTTCTGACATTGGGATGAATGTAAGGGATGGAGAGTATTTGGGGAGAAAGTCTCCATCTGGGCAGGAGAGAGGGAGGGAGCCAGGAGACAGGCTTGTGCCTAGCCAACAACTGTAAAGTGTTCTCAGTGTTGCATTTCTCTTCCATTTTCCTCAAATCTTCAATAAAGTCTACTTTGAAGTACAGCTTTGTTTCTGCTGTGCTGCAGGAAATCAGGGAAAGACTTACCCTTGCTTCTAACACACCAGTAAAGGAGACAGCAGTGTCCCTGTCCCTGGAGGTTACCAGCAAAGAACCAGCAGGCCCAGCTGTATGTCAGAGAACAGGGAGTAGGAAGAAGAGTTTACAGGGCAGCACTGTAATTGATTTGGTATCCCTCTTTTCTGCCTGAAACAGAAGTAAAACTAAGATGCTGAAGACCAGAAATATTCTATTATTGACGTACCTTTTTGATTTCAGTGCGTTTCGAGCTGCAGTTTCATGGTGCAATTTTCCACAAAGGTTTCTCAATAGGAAAAATGTCATTCTGTCAGCCTTGTTATCATCAGCTCCTGCACTGGCCCTTAAAACTTCCACCCAGGAGTGATACAAGCGACTTCTACTTACCAAAAACAAGTTTCACACATGGGGAAAGGCAAGGCAGAGTTAGGATGTTTGTGTACAGTCTGTTGATTCCTACACACACCACACATTTCCCATGAAGTCCCTTGAGTCCCTTACTGAAGAGTATGTTGTTTCTATTCAATAAACTATCACCAAATTTAAAATGAACTGAACATGCTATTAGCATTCCTGACAAGAGAAATTCTGTAAGGAGGGCTTAGTCATAGGTAGGGAAGATGAGGAGAAAGACAAAAGAAGAAGTGAAGAACGGATGATGAGTGACATATAAGAAGAAAATAATGAAAGAAGAGAAATAAAGGAGAGAGGGAGAAGACTGACTATGAGCATTGCCCATCCTCGCCCTGAATGGCTTTGTTACCACTTTTCTGCTCCTCTGAGTCCCCAGTGTTGCTCATTTCTCTAGGACCTATTTCACTGAACAAAGAGAAACCTCCAGGAAAGAGGAAGCAGAAGAGTAGAAAGAGGTTAAATCACACACATCAATTGGGGCCATCAAAGAAAGGCAACTGCAGGAAAGGAACAAGGATCAATGAGGAGGGAAGGAAAGTGGAACCCACCCATGGAGAGTCTAAAATTCAAAAACTTCTTAAGCTTGAGAAGATACTGCAGCAACATGAAAAGTGAATTTGTTGTTCCAGCCTTTGAAATATCAGATTTCCCCCCTCACTGCATTCTGCCTGATGAAGTTTGCAAAGTTCACAGTCTGAAGATTTTTATGTGTGTCCCAGGGAAGAAGGCAACTGGTTATCCCAGAATAACTACACTGGGGACTTTACATCTTGGTTTGTGTGCTGGATGGACTGTATTGAAATGGGGCCAGCAGGTCAAGTCCCTGAGTCTGCCTCTTTCCATCCATCTTTAGACATGCTGAGTGTCACCCAGCTCCACACAGCCACAGCTTTGGAGGATATGCCAGGCCTGCTGGGTAGAGGTAGCATAACTGTATTCCAGAGAAAACTTACTTTGGCCTATGAGAAATCAGTTAAGTTTTTTGGTTTGTTTGTTTGTTTGTTTTAATGTCTTTACAGCTCCACAAGCCAGGTGTTAAATGTATCATTTTAATGTAAGCTGAGATGTTTTCAGTAGCACTATGCTAGTGGAAAATAACAGGCATCTCTATTAAATGTCAGACTACTTTTGCATAAAAATTATGAAGTTGTATTTGAACCCCAGTGCAAGAGAGCTGAGTCATCTACAGTGATGGTGCACGCCAGGGAAAGTAGCAAGCTGCTCTCCAAGGTGCTGCTTAGACCTTGCTATGGCAGTGGTCGTTACTCATACCATACAGCCTCTATTTATCTTTTTCTTCATGACTTGATTGTGAAACTGTTCAAAATATTTTATAGTTTTCTAAAGAGAGAGCATCAATACTTATAGGCAACTTAAAGCACAGCCAATAGCTTAAGTTCCCTCTCAGTGTTCTGGTGAGTATTTCTCCTTCTTCTGAAATGAATACTTCCCTTTTCTTCCTCAATCTAAAAATACATGATTTCCTCAGAAGCTGTCATATTTTACACACGGCTACCACTAGCTTAATCAATGTGAAAAAATGGCTCAGCTCCATGGGTGCCCAGCTTGGAAAACCCAGTGTCAGAAAGAGGCAAAGGGAATCCCTTCCTTTGGGAAAATCCCTACTCCATGCTGCATGGTGTGGAGAGCAGACAACGTGCTTGGTTTCCATCTTCACATGCCCTCCTGCTGGGCATCTTTGAGAAGTGCACAAATTGCACAATTATACATGTCAGCTTTTACATGGTCTTACATGATGTATCTCCTTAACTACATTTGATTGGCCCAGTGGTGGCTTCTTACATAAGCCACCCTTTTGTATAATTGTTTCCAACTAGACCAAGAGAGTTGGACCATCTCTAACTGGTGAAAGCCAAAATGATGAAGATGAATGCATGAGCTACTGGTGACTGAGTTTCCTACAGTTTGAAAAACAGCCATATGTAATGAGAAAAAAATGAAACCAACATAAACGCAAAAGGAAAAGCAAGAGATCAGAATTTAGTCAGCACTGAAGTTTCTGATTTCAGTTGTACCTGAGACTAGCAACAACCTTGCTCTTCTAGCAGATGCATGTTTTTGTTGTTTAGCCCTCTCTTGAATTCCATCACAGCAACTTGAGAGTCATGAAAAAATGCAGAGCACTGGAAAAGATAACCATGAATTACTGCAGCCAGTGCTTCCCGATGTGGCTCCACCTTGCACAGATGAAACTCGTGAGCAGCTCAATCAGAGAGGGACAACTACAACCCAGGTGTGGCTTGGGTTAAATGATTAAATGAGAGAGACATGTGCTTGTTAAATGATTAAGAGCCAGTAATTCCCCATATCTAGAAGTATGACCTTATGCAACTCTATAGACTTCAGTTTCTACACCTGTAAAATGAGAATTTTAATAGTTCCTATTTCATAGGTTTGTTGAGGGGATTAAGTGAAATAATGCATGTAAATATTTAAGACAGTGCCTGGCACCCACTCTTCAATAACTGTGAGGTCTGATTTTTATTAATTATTTCCAGTGTCATAATGGTGCTCGACACAGGTTAGGCATTAGTAAGTGTTACCGTGCATATACCAATCTAATTTTAGCCCTAACTTGATAGGTAACATTCTGTCTTCTTAGGCAAGTGATTTTATTCTTTTTGAACCTGTTTCTTCATCTGTAAATCAGAATAACAGTAATTTTTTGACACATTAATGGAAAGATAACATAAGGTAATCCACATGAAGAAATTTCATGAACTGTAAAATTCTACTCAACTATAAAAGATAAATGATTAATTTGCATCTAAGTTTGCTTCTTTTCAAAAGTGCCAAGATATCAACATTTTAATGGCTAAAAAAGAAATGAAAATTTTAAAACTCTCTTTCCTCTATTGAATGCAACAGGTCTATATATCCTAAAAATAGAGACTTTTTTCTACTTTGGAATAAATAAAACTATTTTTATTTTGATTTTAAAAATGTGTCATTTAAACATTCTTATTTTTTTCCTGCATTAGCCCTCATACAAAAGTTTTGCTTATCCCTTATGAAGTCTGAGAATTTTGATCTTACTCTAAGGTTAGTCTGGGAAAACAGCAATTTTAAAATTACCAATACGAGGCTAGGAAATGTAGCAAGACCCTGTCTCTACAAAGTTTTTAAAAAAATTAGTCAGGCATGGTAGAATGCACCTGTGGTCCTAGCTACTCAGGAGGCTGAGGCAGGAGAATTGCTTGAGCCAGGAGTTTAAAAGCCTCAGTCAGCCATAATTGCACCACTGCATTCCAGCCTGAACAGAATGAGACCCTGTCTCTAAAAAACATAAACAAAAAAAGAAAATAAGAAAAATCTATTTAAAAAATTAAAATTACAAACGAAATATTTGCATAATGTTTAAAACATTATCCCGCTGCTGGGCTCATACCTGTAATCCCAGCACTTTGAGAGGCCAAGGCAGGTGGATCACCTGAGGTCAGGAGTTCAAGATCAGCCTGGCCAACATGGTGAAACCCCGTCTGTACTAAAAATACAAAAAAATTAGCTGGGCATGGTGGCGGGTGTCTGTAATCCCAGCTACTCAGGAGGCTGAGGCAGGAGAATTGCTTAAACTCGGGAGGCAGAGGTTGCAGTGAGCCGAGATTGCGCCACTGCAGTCCGCAGTCCCGCCTGGGCGACAGAGCGAGACTCCGTCTCAAAAAAAAAAAAAAAAAAAAAAATATATATATATATATATATATATATATATATATATATATATATGACAAATTATGAGAGTAGGAAATTTGGACATAGTGCTACACCATCCGGTTTCCTCTTTCAACTTAGAACATCATCATATATTCTCTTCATACACCCTCTTCCCTTCTTAACTCAAAGAGTTGCAAGGCAGGACCTGAAAGGTAGAGGGTATCTGAATGAGTCCAGGTGTTTGACCTCAGACATTTTCTTTCTTTCTTTTTTCTTTTGAGACAGGGTCTTTCTCTGTTGCCCGGGCTGGAGTGTAGTGGCACAATCACAGCTCACTGTAACCTCAACCTCCTGGGCTCAAGTGATTCTCCTACATCAGCCTCCTGAGTAGCTGGGACTACAGGTGCACACCACCATGCCTGGCTACTTTCTTTTAAAAGATGGAGCCTCACTATGTTGTCTAGACTGGTGTTGAACTCCTCAGCTTAAGTGACCTCCTACCTCAGCCCCCCAAAGTGCTGGGATTGCAGACGCGAGCCACTGTACCTAGCTTGACCTCATCCATTTTCAAGCCTGGTTGTAGACCTATTCAGAGAAGCTACTTAGTGATGTGGTTTCAAGGTTGTGGCAGGATGCTATTGGCTTTCCCTCGCTAGCAAAACCTCCACTTTTCTCAAGTCTCAATGTGCCCAACCCTAGAGGGTAAATCATGGTTGGTCTCTGTCAACTCCTTACTGCTAGAGATGGCAGAATTGACCAAGTTCAGGACAATGAGATGTAAGCAGAGTTTGCTGAGGGCTCTGGGAAAGAGTTTCCTCCCAGACAAAGCAGGAAAGGCCCATTAATCCAGCCCTTTGCCTTTCTTTTCTTTTCTTGAACACTGTTATATGAGAATGTGATGCTTGGCACTTCAGCAGACCTTCAGGAAATCACGATGGGAAGAGAAGCCTGTCACAGAGACAGACTAGGTGACCTGGTAGTGCTGAGCTACTGACCCTCACCCAGAAATGCCCACATCTAGAGTTTCTGTTATGTGAGTAATTAAGTAACATTCTTGGCTAAACTACTGTTAGGTTTTTTTTTTGTTACTTGTAAGAAAAATCACCCTAACTGATAGAAGGCTCTTCCACAAAGAGTTTTACCCTCCTGCTTTTCTCTGCTCCCCTCACAACCCCATAATACCTAGTAAAATGTGGCCAAACATGATGCTACACATTTAGAACCACAGAATGTCAGAGCTGAAAGTCACGTCTCCAATTCTCAGATGATAAAATAAGAAATTTAGAAGTGATTCCTCTTGTTTGAGAGGTTGACCCTTGCCTAGTGCAAATGCCAATGGAAAAAGGAAAAGACGCATCCCCCATGTGAACTGTGGTGTGAATGACTCTCCTAAGATTAGCCTGTCTGTGGACAGAGAACATGAGCCACTAGCAACTAGAGGTGAAGGAGGCTCTTTAAGAAGGGGGAAAGGTATAGAAAGGGAATCTGGGGCTGGGTGTGGTCGCTCATGCCTGTAATCTCAGCAGTTTGGGAGGGTGAGGTGGGAGGATTGCTTGAGCCTGGGAAGCAGAGGCTGCAGTGAGCTGTGATCACACCACTGCACTCCAGCCTGGGTGACACAGAAAGACCCTGCTTCAAAAAAGGAAGAGAGGGAGAGGGAGAGAGAGAGAAAGAGAGAGAGAGAGAGGAAGGGAGGGAGGGAGGGAGGAAGGGAGGGAGGGAGGGAGGGAGGGAGGAAGGAAGGAAGGAAGGAAGGAAGGAAGGAAGGAAGGAAGGAGGGAAGGAAGGAAGGGAAGGAAGGATGGATCTGGGGCTCCATTATCAGTTTCTTCTTCATTTTTCCTAAAGCCAGATCTGAGGAAAATTTTTCCACAATAATCATGTGAAATGAAGAGTGCATATTGCCAAACTGCTTCCAGAAATGTGCAGTGAGTATTTCCTCTAGAAGGCCTGAGTGTTCCAGCCTCACCACACAAGGTTGCCAGTCCCTGCTTTGGCCTCCAGAGGGTCTGTGAATTAATGAGGGGGAGGCCACTAGGTTTATAAAACTTCATGGGAGAGAATTTTAAAGAAACAAAGAACTAAAATAATAATATTAGGAGTATCAGAGACTAATTTCAAAAGTTTCAAGTATTTTCTGAACTTCTGTCAACCCAATTCTTCTATGTCCACGTAGATGCAATCTGACTTCCGTTCATTTTAGTTTCTGGTTTACCAGTTTTTCTTGGAATTTTGAAAATTCCTTCCCCTGTTTTTCCCCTCAAACTTTTATAAAAGCCAAGATTATTTTGATCAGAGAGACTATATTCTTTTAACTTAATTATAAGAGCAATACATGTTTACATTCATGTCTGTCTGCTACATTGCATATCCCTAACTCTACTTAGAAAGTGCATAAAACTTAGTAGATGCTCAATAAATATTTGTGAAATGAACATATGAAGGAATGTAAGCAACTTGGAAATACAAAAAAGAAAAAAATTCAGAGTTTAAAGAAACTCCCTCATTCTGTACATTCATTTGTAGAAAGCCAAATCTTGTTCCACAAATATGTCTTCTATACATATATATTTCATTTATTTATATTTATTTATTTATTTATTTAGAGACAGAATCTCATTCTGTTACCCTGGCTGGAGTGCAGTGGCACAATCATAGCTTACTGCAACCTCAAACTCTTGGGCTCAAGCAATCTTCCTGCCTCAGCCTCTTGAGGAGCTAGGACCACAGGCATGCACCACTGTGTTCCACTAATTTAATTTTTTATTTTTATTTTTTTTGTAGAGACATGATCTCTCCATGTTGCCCAGGCTGGTCTTGAATTCCTGGCCTCCAGTAATACTTCTGCTTTGGCTTCCCAAAGTGCTGGGATTACAGGCATGAGCCATTGTTCCTAACCCCTTCTCTATATATTTTAAGTTGTCCATTTTCTTTCCTGTAAAGGAGAAGATTCTCATTGTTGTTGTTTCCTGAAAATGTATTTTTTGTGGAAAATTTCAATTGCATTATTCTCTACTATAACAAGGGGCAGATGGCATGTAAACTGCTTCCACATATGTACGTGTGTGATAAAAACAAACCTAAGTGCTCTAATTCCCACTACAAGTTTCTCTACTCTGCTATAGAAGACAGTCTAAGACATTTAATAGAGTTTTATAATTTAACCACAATGACTTAAAAAGCTGATGTAACCAAAGTAAGTAAATAAAAAACATACCCCTTTATTTGCTATAACATGTGGTGAATGTAAGATGTGATATATTTTCTTTGCTCATTAGAAGAATGATTTATGGACTGATTTCCCAAGCATTCTCAAGGTCTATTGGAATTGTGCATGCATCTTGGGATGTAAATGAGGGGGCTGTCAATGAAACTTCCTGGAAATGTCCTCATTAGCAATATAATTTAGCAAATGTGATATTGATGTTCCTGCACTGACCCAGGTTGGACACACATGCCATTTCAGTAAGTTATCGGCAGAACTTCTGCTGTGATCAGAGCTGGATGGTTTACACAGAAACACTGGGGGAAAATAATTCAGATAGAATTGAGTTTTAAGTTTCATTGGGCAGACCATTATGAAATTTTATTTCCACTGTCAATAAGGAGCCACAAAGAGATGCCACAGGACTTGAGTTAAAATTGCTCTGTATTTCTGGTCATGGATGCCCACATTATTTGTATACTGATTTGTCCTTAACCTTGGCAAAACTGACCTTGGGAAAAAACAGGAAAACAAAGACATTTGACTTAAGTTCCACTTTTCCCATTTAGCTGTTCATTCAACCAATATGTACTCTGTCTGTGGAAAGGGGAAAGAAGAGCAGGAGGGACTTTGTATTGTGGTTTGAGTGCCGGATTAGCTGCAGTAGAATAGAATATCAGGTACATTGCTAAGGTTTTTTACTCTAATCCCTAGCTCCCTGGACATGTCCAGGGTCTGGAGAAACTCACTGCCATGAAGGGAAGGGCCTTGGATCAGACCCAGTGCTATGCTGGCTTCAGGTCCCAGTGGTGGCCACAGAGGTGCTTGCATCATCACATCCCTAGTTCCAGGTGGCTGAGCACAGAGACAGATTCCATTTCTTTGGGAGAAAGTAAGGGAAAAGAACAAGAGCCTCTGCCTGGTAATCCAGAGAATTCCTCTGAATTTTGTCCAAGACCACCAAAGCATCACCATGAGCTGACAGAAGAGCCCATGGGCTTTAAGTGAACATTGGTGGCGGCCTGACGGAGCCCCTCTGTGGACCAGTGGTGGTGGTGGCCACAGAGAAAGGCTCCTCTACTTATGGAAAGGGGAGAGAAGACTACAAGTCTGCAAAAACCACAACACTATTTGGCATGGGGCCCAAGTGCTTCAAATACCTGGAAAGCCTTCCCAAGAAGGACAGGTACAAAGAAGCCCAGACTGTGAAGACTGTAGTACATACATAACTCTTCAATGCTGAGACACTGATGAACATCTGTAAGCATCAACACCATCCAGGAAACATGGCCTCACAAAATGAGGCACTAAGGACCAATTCTTCAGAACTAAATGAGGCACTAAGGACCAATTCTTCAGAAACAGAGATTTATGACCTTTCAGACAGAGAATTCAAAATAGCTGTTTTGAGGAAACTCAAATAAATTTAAGATAACACAAAGAAGGAATTCAGAATTCTATCTGATAAATTTAACAGAAATTGAAATAATGAAAAAGAATCAAGCAGAAATTCTGGAGTTGAAAAAATGCAACTGACATGCTGAGGAATACATCAAAGTTGCTTAATAGCAGAACTGATCAAGCAGAAGAAAGAATTAGTGAGTTTGAAGACAGGCTATTTTTGAAAATACAGTCAGAGGAGACAAGATAAAAAAGAATAAAAAATAATGAAGCATGCCTACAACATCTAGAACATAGCCTCAAAAAGGCAAATCTAAGAGTTATTGGCCTTAAAGAGGTAGAAAAAGAGATAGGGATGGAAAGTTTATTCAAAAGAATAATATCAGAGAATTTCCAAAGCTAGAGAAAGATGTCAGCATTCAAGTACAAGAAAGTTATAAAATGCCAAGCAGAGTTAACCCAAAAGAAGACTATCGAGGCATCTACTACTCAGACTCCCAAAGGTCAAGGATAAAGAAAGGATCCAAAAAACAGCAAGAGAAAATGAACACATAACACACAACAGAGCTTAATACCTCTGGCTGGAGACTTTTCAGTGGAAATCTAAAAAGAGCCAGGAGACAGTGGCATGACATATTTGAAGTTCTGAAGGAAAAAAAATCACCCTAGAACAGTATATTCAGTATAAATACCCTTCAAGCATGAGGGAGAAATAAAGACCTTCCAAGACAAACAAAAGCTGAGGGATTTTATCAATATCAGAGTTGTCCTACAAGAAATGCTAAAGAGAATTCTTCAGTCTGAAAGAAAAGGATGTTAATAAACAAGAAGAAATCATTTGAAGGTATAAAATTCACTGGTCATAGTAAGCACAGGGAAAACATAAGATAGTATAACACTGTAATGGTGGTGTGCAAATTACTCTTGACTTCACTAGAAAGACTAAATGATGAACCAATCAAAAATAATAACTACCACCTTTCAAGTCATAAACAGTAAAATAAGACATAAACAAAAAAAGCTAAAAACTAGGGGGACTAAGTTAAAGTTATTAGTTTTCCTTTTGAGTGTTTATTTGCAGAATCAATGTTAACTTGTCATCAACTTAAAATAATGGGTTATAAGATAGTATTTGCAATCCCCACAGTAACTTCAAATTGAACAACATACAACAAATACACAAAAAATAAAAAGTAAGAAATTATACCACCAGAGAAAATCACCTTCACTAAAAGGAAGACAGGATGAAATGAAAGAAGAGAAGACCACAAAACAACCAGAAAACAAATAACAAAATGGCAGGAGTAAGTCCTTACTTATCAATAACAACATTGAATGTAAATGGACTAAACTCTTCAATAAAAAAAAGAGTGGCTGAATGGTTGAAAAAACAAGACCCCCATGATCTGTTGCTGACAAGAAACACACTTTGCCTTATAAAAATACACAGAGACTGAAAATGAAGGGATGAAAAATGATATTCTATGCCAATGGAAACCAAAAAAGAGGAGTAGCTGTACTGCAGTGTATCAGACAAAACAGATTTCAAGACAAAAACTGTAAGAAGAGACAAGGAAGGTTATTATATAATGATAAAAGTGTCAATCAAGAGGATATAATGATTGTAAGTATATATGCCCCCAACACTGGAACACTCAGATATATAAAGCAAATATTATTAGAGCTAGAGAAATAGACCTCCAACAAAATAATAGCTGGAGACTTCAACACTCCATTTTCAGCATTGGTCAGATATCCCAGACAGAAAATTAACAAAGAAACACTGGACTTAATCTGCACTATAGAATAAATGGACCTCATAGATATTTACATAACATTTTATCCAAAGGCTGCAGAATACACATTCTTCTCCCCAGCTCATGGATAATTCTCAATGATAGGCCATATATTAGGTTGGAAAACAAATGTTAAAACATTCAAAAAATTTGAAATAATATCAAGCGTTTTCTCTGACCACATGGAATAAAACTAGAAATAACTAACAAGAGGAATTTTGGAAACTATACAAACACGTGGAAATTAAACAACATGCTCCTGAGTGACCAGTGAGTCAATGAAGAAATTAAAAAGGAAATTGAAAAAAAATCTTGAAACAAATGATAATGGAAACACAACATACCAAAACCTATGGGATATAGTGAAAGGAGTACTATAAGAAGAGACAAAGAGGGAAATTTACAGCTATAACTGCCTATATCAAAAAAGAGAAAAAAATCAAATAAATTCCAAACAATGCATCTTAAAGAACTAGAAAAGCAAGAACAGGTTGAACTCCAAATCAGTAGAATAAAATACAAACGATCAGTGAAACAAAAAGTGTGTTATTTTTAAAAAGATAAAGTTGACAACCTTAAACCAGACCAATGAAGAAATAAAGGGAAAAGACCCAAATAAATAAAATCAGAGATGAAAAAGGAGACATTACAACTGATACCAGAGAAATTCAAAGGATCATTAGTGGCTACTATGAGCAACTATAGGCCAATAAATTGGAAAATGTAGAGGAAATGGATAAATCCCTAGACACATAAAATATACCAAGATTGAACCATGAAGAAATAGAAAACCTGAGCATACCAGTAACAAGATTGAAACCATAATGAAAAGTCTCCCAGTAAGGAAAAGCCCAGGGCCTGATGGATTCACTGCTGAATTCTACTAAACATTTAAAGAAAAACTAATACTAATCCCACTCAAACTCTTCTGAAAAATAGAGAAAAAGGGAATACTTACAAGCTCATTCCATAGGCCAATATTACTCTGATACTAAAACCAGACAAAGACACATTAAAAAAAAGAAAACTACAGGCCAATATCTCCAAGGAATATTGATGCAAAAATCCTCAACAAAATACTAGCAAACTGAATTAAACAATACATTAAGATCATCCATCATGACCAAGTGGAATTTATACCAGGCATTCAAGCATGGTTCAACATATACAAATCAATCAATGTAATACATCATATCAACAGAATGATGTATTACAGAATAAAATCCACATTATTGTTTCAATTGATGCTGAAAATCATTTGATAAAGTTCAGCATCCCTTAATAATCAAAACCCTCAAAAACTGAGTATAGAAGGAACATACCTCAACATAATAAAAGCCGTATATGATAGACCCACAGCAAGTATCATACTGAATAGAGAAAAACTGAAAGCCTTTCCTCTAAGATCTGGAACATGAAAAGAATGCCCACTTTCACCACTGTTTTCAACGTACTACTGGAAGTCCTAGCAATCTAATAAGAGAAAGAAATAAAGGGCATCCAAATTGGAAAGAAAGAAGGCAAATTATCCTTATTTGCAGATGACATGATCTTATGTTCCGAAAAATCTAGACTCCCTACCAAAAAACTATTAGAACTGACAAGCAAATTCAGTCAAGTTGCATGATACAAAATCAACACACTAAAATCAGTAACATTTCTATATGCCAACAGTGAACAATCTAAAAAATAAATCAAAGATGTAATCCCATTTACAATAGCTACAAATAAAATAAAATGCCTACAAATTAACTAAACCAAAAAAGTGAAAGATCTCTATAATGATAACTATGAGAAATTGACTCAAGAAATTAAAGAAGACACAAAAAATAGAAAGAGACTCCATGTTCATGGATTGGAAGAATGAATATTGTTAAAAGTTCATACTATACAAAGCAATCTACAGATTTAATGCAATCTATTTAAATGCCAATGACATTCTTCATGGAAATAGAAAAAATAATTCTAAAATTTATACAGAATTACAAAAGACTCAGAATACTCAAAACTATCCTGAGCAAAAAGAGCAAAACTGAGGAATCACATTACCTGACTTCAAGTTACACCACAGAGCTATAGTCACCAAAACAGTATGGTACTGGCATAAAAACAGACACATAGAACAATGCAACAGTATAGAGAACCCAGAAAGAAATCCATACACCTACAGTGAACTCATTTTTGACAAAGGTACCAAGAACATACATTGGGGAAAACACAGTCTCTTCAATAAATTGGGAAAACTAAATATCTCTGCAGAAGAATGAAACTTGACCCCAATTTCTTCAATAAATACAGTCTTTTCAATAAACGGTGCTGGGTGTATTAGTCAGTTTTCGTATTGCTATACAGAACTACCTGAGACTGGGTATTTAATAAAGCAAAGAGCTTTAATTGACTTACAGTTCCACAGGCTGTCCAGAAATCATGGTTGGGGAGGCCTCAGGAAACTTACAATCATGGTGGAAGGTGAATGGGAAGAAGACACATCTTACATGGCCAGAGAAGGAGGAAGAGAGAGAAAAGAGGAAAGTGCTACACACTTAAACAACCAGACTGTGTGAGAATTCACTATCACAAGAATTGCAAGGGGTAAGTCTGCCCCTATGATTCAGTCACCTCCCATCAGGCCCCTCCTCCAACACTGGGAATTACAATTCGACATGAGATTTGGGTGGGGACACTGAGCCAAACCATATCACTGGGGAGACTAGAAGATATCCATATGCAGAAGAAAGAAACTAGACCCCTATCTCTTGCCATGTACAAAAATCAAATAAAAATAGATTAAAGACTTAAACCTAAGTCCTCAAACTATGAAACTACTATAGGAAAACATTTGGGAAACTCTCCAGGGCATTGCCCTGGGCAAAAATTTCTTCAGCAATACCCCAAAAGCACAGGCAACCAAAGCAAAAATGGACAGATGGGGTCACATCAAGTTAAAAAGCCTCCTGCACAAGAAATGAAAAAATCAACAAAGTGAAGAGACAACCCGCAGAATGGAGGAAAATACTTGCAAACTACCCATACGACAAGGATTAATAACCAGAATATATAAGAAGCTCAAACAACTCTACAGAGAAAAATCTAATAATCTGATCAGAAAATAGGCAAAAGATTTTAATACACATTTCTTAAAAGAAGACATATAAATGTCAAACAGGCATATGAAAAGGTGTTCAACATCACAGATCATCAGATAAATGCAAATCAAAACTACAATGTGATATCATTTCAGCCCAGTTAAAATGGATTTTATCCAAAAGTCAGGCAATAACAAATGCTGGTGAGGATGTGGAGAAACAGGAACTCTCGTACACAGTTGGTCATACGAACTAGTACAACCACGATAGAGAATAGTTTGGAGGTTCCTCACAAAAACTAAAAATAGAGCTACCATACCATCTGGCAATCCCACTGCTCTATATGTACTCAAAGGAAATGAAATCATTATATCAAAAAGATATCTGCACTCCCATATTTGTTGCAGCACTGTTCACAATAGCCAAGATTTTGAAGCAACCTAAGTTTCCAACAACAGATTAACCTATAAAGAAAATGTGGTACTTATCCACAATGGAGTACTATTCAGCCATAAAAAAGAATGAGATTCTACCATTTGCAACAACATAGATTGAACTAGAGGTCATTATGTTAAATAAAATAAGCCAGGAACAGAAAGACAACCATTGCGTGTTCTCACTTATTTGGGGGATGTAAAAATTAAAACAATTGAACTCATGGAGATAGAGAATAGAAGGATGGTTACCAGAGGTTGAGAAGGGTAGTCATGGAGTGGGGCAGGGAGGTGAGGATGGTTAATGGGTTAAAAACAATAGAAAGAATAGATAAGACATAGTATTTGATAGCACAACAGCAGGACTATAGTCAATAATAATTTAATTGTACGTTTAACACAAAGGATAAATGCTTGATGGGGTGGATATCCAATATTCCATAACGTGCTTATTTCACATTGCATGCCTGTACCAAAATATCTCATGTACCTCAAAAACATATACACCTACAGAAGTTAAAAATTTAAAAAAATTTTAAAAGACTAATTTAGATGATTATATAACTGACCTGAAATAGAGGAGTTTTATGGATGCTGAGCTAGATATGACCCAAGATATTGTGAGCAAAGACAGTATATGTGGAGAATCAAGCACAGTAAAATGTTTCCAAGACTATTTTTGCAATTTTTCAGTCTGTAAGGACCAGAGAAGAAGGGTATATACTTGTACAGTCACCGACTGAAATGCAGCACCCGTGGATCCCATGTTATATTATACCAAAAAACCTATCCCAGCTGCACACAACAGACATGACCAGGGTAGATTCAAAGGAAAAGAAACAAGGCTTGAAACTCAACACTGCAGCACTTAGCATGGTAGGGCACAGAAATCTCTAACAGAGGGTGCATCTGTCTATAAGACATAGACCCCTGCAGGATAGCCAGTACTGAGATCAGTTTCCCAAGCAGGACTTCCCCTAAACCAGAAGAAACAATCTCAAACACCCATTATCGTAAGTCCAGCAGATACTACCTCTTTAATAACCATGTTTAATGCAAAGGACTTTCTACAGAATCTGAGATTTGGCCCATCAGATGAAGAGCAGAAACTAGGCTGCCAATGAAATGAAAATAAAATGAAACTATAATTCAGAGAAGATAAGCACAGATGCAGCCAGAGGGCACTACAGTTAGTTGTCACCATTTCTTACAGAGTAGTAGACCAGTACCTTAAGTATATAAGTGTATGACTGAGGCTGGGAAGTGGTGGGACCAGGTTTTGCAGTTTTTGTACAGTTTTGAATTGTGCACTAGTTTGAAACTTTGCCATAACTTTTGCTTGATGGTTGACATATTTGCTAAAATTAAAGACTTTCATACCAAATGTGATGAAATTTTTCTAGAACAAAATGTTCAGAATCAGATGGAACAGGATTAGAACTCAGCTATCACAAATCTCATTTGCATAGACCAGTTTGCTTACAGTTCTTTTTCTTTAATTTGGATTAAGAAACATGGGTATACCTTGATCTAAAGGCTGAAACTCAAGATTTAGGAATTTACCAGAACATACAAATGAAAAAGATCACAGACTGATCTTTTATAAGACATTATTTGATGCTTTGTGTTTCAAAGGGATAATGACTCTTATCTGTGTAAGCAAACTTACTGGCTTACAATTGTATTTTAATATTTACCTTCTAGTTTGTAATGGAGAATGTATATTTTTTGAAAGTTTTTTCCCCATTGGTTAAATTAGCATTACTTAAAATTTATTTCTTTTGAAAATAAATACAGGGTAGAAATTTGTGTATATTTAGAGGGTATACGTCTCTCTAAGCCCCCTCGCTTCTGATTTTTCATTGCTTTCTAGTTCCTTTTACTGAAAATACTATGTTGTCAATGGTAACAAACTTTAGTCTCTGAAACTTCCAGAACCAAGCAAAGGAATCTTAATGAATTAAAATGTCAGCCTGCGTGTATATTTTACCTACACTTTAATCAAGAACAAGTCTTTGGCAGTAGAAGAAATACTCGGCCTTCCTAAGACTTATTTACTTATAATGAATACATTTAATGAATGTGCATTCTTCTCATTGATTTCTGACCATAATACCTTTTAATTGAAAATCTCAATACACAAATTAAAACTGAATAGGCTGTAGTATTTTTTATTTTGGGAGTCAGTGTATGATTTGGGAGAGGGAATATGTATCAGCTCCAATAGAGTGTAACCTTTAACTTTCTGGTCTTTTCTCATAAGTTCATTATGGCATTTTGAGCAATGTGATCCCATATTGACCATGTTACTAAGCCCCTTCTTAGTCAGCTTGGGCTGCCATGACAAAATGTTATAGACTGGGCGATGTAAACAATAGATGTTTATTTCTCACAGTTCTGTAGACAGGGAAGTCCAGGATCAAGGTGCCAGAGGATTCAGTTCCCAGAGAGATCTCTCTCCCTGGCTTGCAGTCAGCTGCCTTCTTGCTAGCTCCTCACATGGCAAAGAGAGAGAGAAGGAACAAGCTCTTTGATATGTCTTTTTATAAGGGCACTAATTCCATTGTCTGGACTCCACCTGATAACCTCATATGAACCTAATTACCTCCCAAAGGTCTCATCTCCTAATGCCATCACACTGAGGGTTAGGGCTTCAATATACAAATGCGGAGGGGTGGAAATGTTAGCAGCATAATGCATCTGACTCCTGTGGTACCAAATTATGTTACCAGTAGTGAAGCCAGCAACCTCAATTCCTGCCTCCTCAGAAGAGAGAATTTGACCAAGGGGCTTAGGCAGAATGAGAAACCAAGGCAAGTTTTACAGCAGGAGTGAAAAATTTATTTAAAAGCTTTAGAACAGGAATGAAAGAAAGTACACTTTGAAGAGGACCAAGCAGGTGACTAGAGAGATGAAGTGCATGGTTTGACCTTTTGACTTGGGGTTTTATACACTGGCATGCTTCCAGGGTCCTGTGTTACTTCTCCTCTGATTCTTCCCTTGGGGTAGGCTGTCTGCATGTGCAGCGGCCTGTCAGCACTTGGGAGGGGCCGCATCGCAGTGTGTTTACTGAGATTGTACACCACTTGGGCCTTCCCTTACCAGTTGAGTGTTTCTAGAGGAAGGACACATACCAGTTACTCTGCCATTTTGCCTCTTAATGCATGTGCTTCAGACTACTCATCCAACTCCTGAGATTTTATTGGGAAGTTGCTGATCCTCAGTTTCAGGCTTTTTCTATCTATTGGGAGACTGCCTTTCTCTGGCACTGGCTGTGATCAATTATCACATCAGAATTGATGGGAAAAACTGAATAGATAAACCATACTCTCAAAAGACGCATTGTCAAAATATGTCAAGAAATGAATTTGATTTGGGATAAGTCATTGCTGGTTGCCCTGTTATGGATTAGAGTGGCTCTCTGAAGTAGGCTCAAATTGAGTCCCTTATGGTAGGCTACTCCAGGTGTCTGCTCCAGTGGGACCACCAACTGATGCTTTCAAAGATTTAGCAGTTGCCAAATATGTTAAGACTCTGGGCACTATACTGACTTCTGTTCATGAGTTTGCTTCTAGCAGGACCACTCATCCCACAGATGTAGCCCTAGATCATTTTCAACTGGGAGACTGTGTCCTCCTGAAGACTCTGAAAAAAAAAGGACTTGAACGCTGACCTCCTGCCAAGTTGACAAGGCCATTCAAAGTGCTGTCAAATATTCACTCATCAGTTAAGCTTGCTGGAAGAAAGCCATAGGTGCATCACACTCAGGTCAAGGCAGCACAACCAGAAGAAACCAGGAAAACAAGGGGCTTGGGAGCCCTTGGAGGATCCAAAGCTACTCTTACACAAAAACAGTAAGTGAAATAAAAATGTATGTCCTACCACATTTATTTAAGAATGCATTCCAATATCAAATGGCAAATTTCAACAATGCAAAAACCGCAATTACTCTTGCACCAACCTGAAGCCTGTTTCTCCAATCACCTGTAGGGTCTGATTGATAACTTCGTACCCAGAGGTCCATGCTTCTTTCTTACTCAGCACTGCATTACACATTATGTGCAAAGAAATAATAAGAACCCACAAGCTTACAAGTGTAATTTCTATTGACCAAATGACCTCCCTAGGTTAAGCCACCTGTTGCACTTACATTAATTCCTCCTCTAAAGTAGAGACCCATATTAGTAAAATTATACAACAGGCCACCTGACTTCAACGAACTTTAGAACACCAAAGCAGAATTAATCTGGGCACTTTCAGGGACTGGTTTATAGACCTGTTCTCTGGGATTCCTAGTGGAATTCAGTTAATCCTGGAAAGCATTCTTAAATTGGGCCTTAATATTCTTCTTTTGTCATGGCGGCCTACGTACTAGTAAAACTTACTATGTATTGCATAACCAAAGGTTGCATGAGTTTGACTATCAAAGCAAGAAAGGAGATGCCCATGATCATTGTTCCTAAAAGAAACACTAAGGACTATTTCCTTAGGCGGGTCAAACTATTTTATTCTACAGTCGCCCCTCATCAACCTTGTCCAGCAAGAAATAGGCAGATGAGAGAAAAAAATCCCTTTGTCTGCAATCCCACAAGATTGTGGAATGACCTTTGACAGTGCAGAAATTGTAGTAGTGAAAGGAAGTCTAGCATGACTAGTTCCATTTTGCTCCTAACCCCACCACTGCCCCTAGCACCCTAAACAATGATATCATTTAGGTCAACTGCTTTTGATTATTTCTGCACATAGGCCAAACTAATTATGGGAGGAATTTACAGTTTACCTTTAAAGCAAGGATAATAGTCCCTTCCCAAAACAAACCCCTGAGGAGATAAGGATGGTGTACACACAAGGAACCATGTTATGTTAAAGATTTATAGGAGCATTGTGACCTGACCAAGGACAAGGCAGTTTCACAACCCTCCCTGAGATCCTTGTTGCCACCCAGATGTCTGTGATCATTGATCACCTCTTGATCTCAACCTCCTCCCTCTTCACCTTCCCCAACATAAACAGGGCCTAAAATTCTGTTAACTAAAGATGGTTCTTTAGGACATCAGTACACAATATTCTTGGTTTACTGGCTGTCCAAAATAAAGTCGCCTTCCTTCCCCTAACACCTTGTCTCTTGACTTACTGGCTATTGTGCAGCAAGTGATATGAGCTTGGACTTGTTAACAGTTCAGCAATATATATGAATAAAAACAGAAATTATATATATACATACATATATATATGAGGAGAGGGAATATGTGTAAATGTAGGTGAATCTAGGTAAAAGCTATATGAATGTCAATTGTAATAATCTTACAGATTTTTGGTAGGTCTGATTCTCTTTCAGAATAAAAGTGTATGGATAATTTAAAAAATGTTGAGAGTTCTCTTCTGAGAGGTGTTCAAGTAGAGACTAGATGAATTCCTGAGTAATAGGGATTTTTGCTTGGTTTATAAAATGAGACTGGATGATTTCACTTTGACCCTTAATGTGATGATTAATTTTATGTGTAACTTGGCTAGGCCACAGTATCCAGATATTTGGTCAATCAGCAGTCTGAATGTTTTTGTGAAGGTATTTTTTTTTTACATGAGATTACCATTTAAATCAGTAGACTTTGAATAAAGCAGGTTACACTCCACAATGTGGGTAAGGTTCATTCAATCCATTGAAGGCCTTAGGAGAAAACACTGAAGTCCCAGAGGAAGAGAGAATTCTGCCTTCTGACGGTCTTCAGACTGAAATGGCAACATCATCTTTTCCCTGGGTCTCAAGTCTTCCAGCCTATCCTGCTTATTTTGGACTTGCCATCCTCCATAATCACATGAGCCAAATACTTAAATCAATGGTTTCTGTTTCTCTGGTGAACCTTGACTAATAAGCTTAGATTCTATTTCCAGCTGCCTCCATGCAACTCCTAATATTCTTCGCTGTTTCTTCATCTTCCCAGAAGCCCCTTACCCTCCCTCCCACTCCTTGTGTTCAGGGCCTGATATGTAATAGAAGCTCCTCCCCACTACCAATTATGTAATGCAAGGCTAACTGAGAAGAAGCTCAAGGTGCAGTCTAAAAACCAATATATCATTTGTTATTCTTATTATTATAAGTTTTGCAATTACCACGACTGCTATATTGAACATGTTAGAATCATGGCCAGCCTGAAGCCTAACCTCTGAATGATCCATATCTAATCACAGAGTATCAGTGTCTTAAATGTCACCCCACTCCACTGCTGTGATATATGCCTTCATTAAGATTAAGGAGAAAGAATTTAAATATCAGAGCTGAGCACTGAGCAATCTTGTCATTTCTATTGATCACCTAATGAAAATTTATGGCATTTAACAGTGAAAACATCAGTTTACATAACGATGCTAGCTTCTACCACTGTGCTCATGCCATTTCCAGGAAAGCCTTCATCATATTTACTGTAACAGTGCATTTTTAAGGGTCTTCCAACTGCAGAAAGCACACTATAGCTGAAGAAAGATGGGGTACTTTAGTTCTGCCGTTTTGTTACCAAGTGATGTAAATAAAATTTAGACACTGGTCAGCATGATGAGAACCCAGAAAGTTGAAATGTAGAGACTGGTTTCCTGCAGATGTGATATTTTAGAGCAACCATAAAAAAATCCAAATAGGGAGGATAAATGTAAGGATAGAAACAGTCACAGAGTAATAAACTAACACCTTTAAAAAAAGTAAAGAAGTGTATCACATAGTTGAAATGGGTGAGAATTGTGTCACCTACAGAATCTAATTTATAGTCATCAGAGGAAATAAAAATATTCCCAAGAAGCAACTGTTCCTGGCAAGCTGTTGTGGATGCCACTCCTGGCAACTGTGACCCTGCCATAATTTCAGAAGTTAGACATCATTTGCTAAACAAGAAACTTCCAATTTCTTTTTAAATTAATCATGAGTATGGAAAGGGGAAAAGGTTCACTGTCCTCGATTTTCCAGATTCCTCTGAGCTCCAAAGCACACAGAGGGCAACAGGCATGCTATCTTTTCAGAAAGACACTCTCTGACCTTCTTATCTAAAGCAACACATGCACCGCATGGCTTTCCAGCCCCTCACTCTGCTGTCTTCACAGAGCCTATTACTGCCCGAGAACAGTAGGCTGGCAGCTGGTAAGGCCTACGACCTGAAGCTGGCGGCCTGCATGTGCAGCCTGACTCTGTGACTTGACAGCTGGGGGGCGGGGTGGGGAGGAGGAAGACCTTGGATAAGGTACTTAATTTTCCTGTTCCTCCGTTTCCTCTTCTGGAAAATAGGAATGTTAATAGTGCCTATCTCATAAGATTGTGAGAATTAAGTGAGTTACTATTGAAAGCCCTGGGAGCACTGTCTGGCAAATAGTCATACTCTGTGAAATAAAACAGGTGAGCAAAATGTATTCATTGTTTATCATGTGCCCTATTGGAAGATGAGCCCCACAAGAGAAGCACCTTATCTTACACTCTATTGTACCCTCAGTGCTTATGGCAGTGCCTGGCCCATGGTGGGCCTCAGTAAATACCTGCAGAAGGTAAGGCTGGGAGCACTGTCTGCTTCTTTTGTGCTGCTTTCCTGGTTTCTCTCCTCTCTTACTCAAATGACCTCATTTGGGTGATCTGGCTTATGTGTTTAGTTAGAAACTCATTAAAATATTTTATGCCAACAAATTCTCTAGGAATGTAATCTTGTTAATCCATTCATTCATTAATTCATTTATTAAGATCATATAGTTGAAGGCCTATAGTGTCTCCTGACTCAAATATATGGCCCAGAAACAATACTCAGCGTGTATTTCAACTATAAGATAATGAGATGTCATTTAAATAACCACTCTAGGCTAAGCCATTGGGTACAGAGGCCAGCGGGGAAAAGGGATAAGTTAGGAACAGTCAGGGTTGAGATCAGGAACCAACTTTGCCATTGAACATGCGTGGGAGGGGTGGCCTGCCTTCCAAATCACAAAATAAAAGGGATCCAACCAAGCTGGCAGCTTTATCCAGGGTCTTCTGTGGTGAACAGAGTGCCACAGAGCACCCTGCAGACGGGGTAATCATCAGGTCTGGTCCTAGCTAAATGGAGGGGCAAAAGGACCCATTTGAATTGAAACAAGTCCTTAGTCAGCAACTGAGCTGACTCAGGGTTCAACTCCCAGGAAGTTCACAGTTGAAGTAGTCTGGGCCTGACTAAGAATTCACACGTTCTCCAGCTCCAGACACATGACCTGTATTTTAGAACAGAGTCCAGTGCCAGCAGGAGACTGGAGAACGAATCAGTGACCAGTGTGCACTGCAGTCTGCAGCCATATTGCAGTCTCCATGAAACCCTTGGTTTTGGTCTTTCCTCATTTAGGGGGCTGGGCTTTCATGTGCATTTGAAAGCCAACATCCTTTAGTTCTTGGAAATGTCACTTATTACTTCTTTAGCAATTACCTCCTTTCCATTTTCTCTCTTCCAGAAATTCTTAATTAAATCTATTTCCTAGTTTGATCCTTTAACTTTTTTATTATTTCTTTTTCTGTTTTCCTGTTAGAAATCTGTAGGGGCTTTTGTTTGTTTTGCTTACCAGTCTATTTCCTTAAATTTATCTCCTAGCAATTCTACTGATTTCAGCTTTCAAATGTTAACTTCTAAGATCCTACCAGTTCTTGTTTTATGGATATAGTGTATTCTCATCTCCCTCTGAGGAATGTGGTTATAAAGTGTTTGGGGCTGTTACTTTTCTTGCCTGTATAGTTGCTGAATCCTTTGAGTTCCTCTTTAGTTTTTCCTTTTTTGTCTCTGCCTTGCTTCTCGAAGACTTCCTTGACATCTGTTCCTCTTTGTCAGTCCTTACTCATAAGAGTGAGCCCCTTGAGAGTGGAGTGAAGCTCTGTGTTCAAGGCTAGTCCTTATTTCCTGGTTAGCTTCACTGTGGGATTATGGGTAGAGATGGCCATTTTGTTGAGTGACCCTCAAATACTGGCATCTGTAGGTCTGTTCTCCTGCTCAATCTGTTTATCCAGAGAGCATCCTCCACTCTCCTAGCTGGAGAGCTAAGGCTGGTCACCAGAGAATGGAGGTTGAGTTAGGCAGGGGCTCACTACTTGGTATGTAGACTTTCACTGAATTCCCTGCTTCCATCCTCTTGCCTCACCTCCTCCACTTCTCCCAACTGGTGTTCCTGAATCTGTCCCTTCTTTGGGAACTTCAGAAAGTTAATCAAGTCTTTCTAGCAAATTCTAAAGATCACAAGGAATAGCTTACTCAGTGGGATCATTTTTACAGGGTTGCAAATCAGAACTTAAAGACATTTTTCAGGCATCGCCTTTTGAGGACAATGATTAAAAGGGGCTAAAAAAAAATCATTAAGAGCTTAGTAATAGAACAGCCTGATTGTGCAGGCTAGGATATTCACATGCATGCTCCCAGACACTTTAGGGTATAGGACAGGGCATGGGGTGGGAGTGGAGGGGCAGCCCAGGGACTTCCACGTGTGTCTTGTTTTGGGTTCATAAGAGGAGACTATGGGGTAAATCACTTTACCTTCACTAGTGAAATTAAATTAGAGGGTTAGAGTGTGGGATCTTTAGGTTCCCTTCAGCTCTAAGATCATCTGTTCTATTCCACAGTAATGAAGTCATCTCATTTTTATCCCTGTAGATAGCTAGGATGAATCATATACAGACATAAATTCTACTTCAAGACATTAAGGTGATATGACATGAATGTCACAAATAACAATAACATCTCCCACATCTTGTGGTTTGAAGGGATAAATGAAGAAGCAGTGTTACCTGTGCTTTGCACTTGTAGTTATGTGAGCTTTTCTGTCAGGCATGAAAAGGCAAAGGCTGTAAAATGGTTTCTTTTAAGGCTTGTTAACATTGGAATTTTATATTTCAAAACCTGCATTATATATTTAGGAAATAAGAGTGAAACAAACCAGTGTGGGTGGCTGGGGATGAATTTGAATGTGTAATTATACACATCACTTCTGAAGGGCAGCTGCAGGAAGCATGTTGATACGCTGCTCTGGGGTCTATGAGATTGGTTGCTAATGAATGCTTAGCACACACACATTTACACACACAGACACAGTCATGCATGACCTTGGCATCTGCCCTTGGAAATGTCTGGAAATGCTTTCAACACTGCCTTTGTATACAGTGAAGTGTCCTGGTAATCAGTCTTATGAGATACTGGGAACTATTTCAGCAAAAAATAAAAAAAATAAAGAGAAGGTATTATTCCTCTGGAAAACCTTTGTTCTTCCATAAGATTAGTTCCTTTCCCTCATACCTCCTTGGGATAAGAGTTTTCTCAATTAGAAATGTTTTTATCTGCAATTTTTAAGGGAATGGCTTCCTGGCACCCTTGCAGGTCTCCACACAGGCCCTGGAGGTGAGGCTCAGCTGCAGCCTGACTTGGCTTGGTGAACGAACACCTTGTCATGTTCTCAGGAATTTGGCATGAGTGGCAGTTCCGTGCGGTGCTGTCAAGGCTGTTGCCATTCACCTCCCTACCTTGTGGGAGGTTGTCACAAGGTCATTTCCCATCTGTTTTCCTGGTTCTGGTGAGGTATGGGACTTTCCATCTGTCCCCCTTCTTCAGGAACTGTTGCAGACTATAAAAGTGCTTGGCTGGAGCCTAGAGTTGTTGACTTCTCAGTCACAGGGTGAGGAGTGACCCACTGCTTGTGCTCCCCATCATCTCCCTCCTTGGCTTGGTGTCATCCTGTGGAACAATGGTGGCAGGTAGCTGACACCATGCTGATCTTTTATGCTGTCTATATGAGTTATAGATTGGCTAAATCCATTTTGGCTTGTTGTCTCCTTACCAGCCGAATCTCTAGAAATATGGCCAGCAAAGCTAGCAGCCGCCCCCATGCTATTGCTTAGTGACTGCCTGGCTGCTTGGTAGAAAACTCAACCAGCTTAAGAAAGAAGGGATGTCTCCTTTCCTCACATGCCAAGAAGTCAGGACACAGGCAACTGTTAAGTCAGCGACATGATGTCAGGGCTGATCCACTGCGAAAATTTCTCAGTCATCTTCGTCCTAAGATGGCTGTTCTGGTTCTGGATATCAAATCACATCTGCATTTAAGGCAAGATGAAGCAGTGAAAGCAGGAATCATCATCTGTCTGCTTTATTATGAAAGCAAAAGCTCTCTCAGAAATACTCCAGCAGACTTCACCTTGTGCACCATTGGCCATAACAGGATCATAATACCCTGAGCTTAAAAAAAAAAAAAATAGTTTCTGAAAAAGAGGAGCTAGATCAGCATGATGGGCCTACACTAGACCAGACTCGTCAGAGTACACATTTGGGCTGGTCTCCTTACCTTTCTGAACCAAACATGAGTTTCATTGGTGGGACATAAGAAGAGTATAAGTTGGATAGGCAACAAGTTGTATCTGCCATTTGAACCAGTGTTGCCAGTCCCAGCCTCTTATCCCAGCTCAGTAGGGAAGACCTGTCAGTCGCTGACTCTACTATCTCTTCTTGCTTGCACATCAATTATATCTCATATTTGAACTGACCAGTGAATAACTGGGGCATTGCAAACACAATTTCCAGTTCTTCAGAAACTGTAAATCCAATCTGAAAGAAAACAGTTGAGAGTTGTCACGATCAAGGACTATAAATGCACCAGCACCTGAACTCCTTCCTTTTCTTACCTGACAACATCAAATGTTTAGAAGCAAAATGACATTATGTGAACATTGAGAGTCTGATGCCACCATAAGCTTACCCACCTTTGCAGTATTCCAAATAAAATAAATTTCTTTCAGGTAAGAGTACTACTATATCCCATCTTGTTTAAGTAAGAGATAATTGGGATTATTGCCTGCGTTTGGGAAATTGATACAAGAAAAAGCCAACCTACTTTGTCTGGAGGGTAGAAAGTTATTCAAATGCTAAGATAGGAACTAATCCCTCAGGAGCTAGGCTATGAGAACTTAGCCTACCTTTTCCTTCTCTCCTACCTAACTCCTAAATATCCCTCAAGATGCTGCTTAAAAATAATTTTCTTTTTCATGTGTTTATTATAATGCTTACCACTGGCACACTGGAATTATTTACTGAGACAGTTGTCTTACCCACTACATTAGGAAATTTTCCAGGGGAACAGTTTTGTTCCAAACACTTAGCACAAAGTAGAATGCACAGTAGTAAGTTCTTAACATGTTTTTGTTGAATAAAATCTATTTATACCTTCCTTGATGGCTGTCAAAAAACTATTTAAAACATGCATAATTAATAATGTAATTAAGTTCTATATCTTCATTGAAGCACATCAAAATAAAAAGTGCATTTATGGTCCAAAACAAAGACACAGGTAAAAAGCAAATTCAAACCAGGAAAAATATCTGCAACTCTTATCATATAAATATGATTTATTTCCTTAATATGTAAACCGTTATAAATTGAGATGAAAAAGATCAATCAGCCAAAAGATAAATGAGCGAGGACATGAACAGACAGTTCACATAAAAATGACCCTTAGTGAGATGACACACAACCTTACCCATACTTTTAAAAATGCAAAGAAATGATAAGTGAGAAGCCATTCTCACTTATCGTGTTGGCAAAAATCCAAAAATTCTGTAATATACTCTGTTAGTGAGACTGTGGGAAAGCAGGCACTTTCAACATTTCTGTAGGAACCCAAGTGGTACAGCTCTGAGAGGGGACCATGTAGCAGTTTCCATACAGTATTACAGATGCTTTCACCCTTTAACTCAATTAACCTATAACAGGGAGTTTATCCTATGGAAATCTCTGCACAGTTACAAAATGACATGCACAAGTGATGTGTTATGGTATTGTTTGTAATAGCCTAAGAAACAACCCATTTCCATAAAGAGAGGACTGGTTAAATAAAGTGCAGTATGTCCTCAAAATGGAACACTAGGTGCTGAAAAAGAATGAAGACAGCCTCTCTGTTACATTGTGGGAAGGTATCCAGGATAGATGGCTCAGAAGAAAAGTTCAGAATAGTGAACACATTATGATGCCCATAGTGTCATAAAGAAGAGGAAAAGAATATGTATTTGTTTTGGTTTGCAACTGCATAAAGTACTGGAAAGGTATACTGTAAGGAGGGGGGCTGACCGGGTGGATAGAATAGAAGCAAAACTCAACGTATAACATTTTTATTTTAAAAATCCATGAATTAAAAATAATAATCTACCTGTGAATTATTACTTATTAAAAATTAAAAATTTTAAATCATACACCTTGCACATAGTGTTTACAGCCAAACTGCATGTGTTTAAATTTCTGCCTCACTTACTACATAAGTGAATTTTGGCAAATTTCTTAACCCCTTTCTTTTTTTGTTGATGAGTTAATAAATACAAAGGAATCAAGCCTAAAACACAGTGAGTTCTACATGACTGTAGTCTGTTATTAATACTGCATTTAACAGTAATAATTTTGAAGAACACTTTAACCCTTTAGTGATAAGATTTCCTGAATTCTTCTGATATTCCTAACTTTTTTCCCCCCAAAGGTGGTAAAATGAATGCCAAGAGAAATACAGTAATATCAAACAGCACTGAGCCAGGGCCAGGTACAAATACAGGAGCCGACACTTGGGCATTGCTAGATCATTCCATGTCACACATATGGAAACCCTAAGAAACAAGGTCATTGATTTCTCTTTCTTTTTAACAAATCAAAAAGAGAATATAATAAATTGGATTATGAGGCATTATGAGTGCGCAAAGTGTTGGAAGATGTGCAAGACAGCTATAAAACACAGCCCCTGAAAGTATCTGCTGCAATTCTTGATGAAATCAATAGACGACATCTTTCCTAGATACCCAGAAAACGGGAGTCGCTGTCAGGCTGGGAGTTTCTAGAGAAAGACTCTAAATAAATATGTGGCCACAGGTTCCATAGCACTGCTTGTATTTACAGTTTTGAACACACCCACCCCATGGTTGCTTATTTTAAAAAATAAAAACTCACGGATGCAGAAATGATATAATCAGCAAGGCACTGTCAGTAAATTTGCCAACTCCCTTTGGATGGCTTATGTTGCCTGTTTCTGTGGAAAATGAATTTGTGCACGACATTTTAATGTTTGGATTATCAGGTAACGCCGATTCAAAACAGCACAAAGAAACAGCTTAGGCATTTTTCCTTCTAATCAGAAAAAGCAGCTTACCACATTGTGGAGAAATTGTGCCCCCTGCTGATTTAACTTGATATTAGCGTCATTGGTCTTTTGGGTTGTTTTTTTTTTTTAAAGGTCTGCAGTGCCGCAGGGTAGTGCAGTGTCTTCAAGGTCAGTAATTTACATGTCCTCCTCTCGAGGCTAAGGCAGCCTCTCCTTGCAAATAGGAAGTTTTTGCTTGATCGTGACCTTGGGAAAAAGGAAGCAAAGGAGGAATGACTCCTTTTATGAGCTTTCTGGAGATATTTGTTCTAAGAACCTTCTCAGTATTCCCCGTACCTTTGGTGACTCTGAATAAGGAAAGCGAGCAAGCAGTGAAGAGAGAGGAGCTGGTTGCGGGTGAGCACACGCCCCTTGTAATTAATCTCCACTTCAGGACCAAAAGACAGTAGAGCTCCGTTCACTGATGGAGTTTATTCAGTCTGCGAAAACTATTACCACCAATGAATAGCAATCACGATGGGGCATTCCAGGTGCTCAGATGTCATTCTGTTAACTTGGTGTGAGCTACCCTCTGAAAGGCTCCAGCCCTGGACAATATTGTTGTTAACCAGGGATGTAGCATTAGTAACGGCAGACTCTTTCTGTGGCCCTCATTTTTATCTTGATGCTTTGTTCCCTTCTTTTTTATTGCCTCTCCACCTGGGCTTTTAATGTGTTTTTCCTAGGCTGGTACTTATTTCCAACAAGCTGCCAAGTAATCTCTCTGGAAAAGTCAACGGACTTTTTTTTTTTTTTTTTTTCTGTTCTTTACTTGTGTTTTTCTTTTTCTGTGTATTTTTCTTTGTGTGTTTGTGTGTGTGTGTTTGCTTGCATTTTGCTCGTGTTCTTTGCTTTGTTTGTGTTCTTCTGATAATTGCATCTTTAGGAGAAATTCCTGAATGAACACAGAGAGGACTTTAGCAACGCATTCGGCCTTGGAGAAGATAAAGGAGGAAATTTTCTAAGGTGGGGAGGACCTTTCCTCACGTCTGTCCTAGACAAGGCCACAGGCTGCAGGGCTGCGTCTCTGCCAACTGTGACAAGAACAGCCTCTTCCAGTCTACGGGATGCAATACTTTGTCCAATATTCAGTTAACAGGTAGTAAATATTGTCTTTCCCTCCTCTGTACCTTAAAAGGGCTTTCAGTCTTTCCAAGGGCCCTTTGCTCTTTGGTTAGAGTTGCCAGATTTAGTCAATAAAAGTCCAGGGCACCCAGTCTGGATTTTATTTTAATATGAATTTCAGATAACGATTTTTTAAAAAGTATTTGTATTTGTTGTTTATCTGAAATTCAGATTTAACTGGGCTGTCGTACTTTACCTGGCAACCCTATCTTTGATTGAACTCTGTTTTCACGCTGTTTTCCAGGGCATTCGAAATCTAGCTGAGTGACTGCTGAGCCAGGGCGCGAGGTCCTGGGCCTTGGAGCCCAGGTGGCCTGGGCGGTGCGGCTCCTCGCGCTGCTGCCTCAGGCTCTCACCTCCCTCTAGCGGCCGCCAAGGACATCACACACGCCGAGCGGAAGCCCTGCTGGGCGGTGCTGCCGGCTCCAACCCCGGAAAGGCCACGTCCGAGAGAGCTCACCTACTTTCTCCTGGAGGGGCTGCGGTGGGGGCCTGCACAAGAAAGTGGCCTTACTCCCAATAGCGGAAATGGAGTTTCCCTTGTTTCACTTAAAAATACAATGGAAAAAAATGCCTCTGTACAACAGCCTAAGCTGACAGTTGATGTCTAACCCTGGGCTGTACTCACCACTAAACACTGATAGATGTTGTCATTTTCATGCTAAAGAAACCCCACTCACCCCAAATAATTTGTCAAAGAGTACTCATGTAGACAGCAAGTTTTGGAAGGTGGAGATGCTTATCTGTCTTCTGTGATGTGCCTGTGCCTGATAGCTAGTAAATAAGTTTAAATGAATTGACATTGAAATACACTACAGGCTTGGAATTAAAAACAAAGAAGAAACCTATTCCTACCCTCAGAGAATGACCACTTCATCGCAGAGGAGATGATGGCTGAAGTGCTTATGCTCATCAACGACTGTGGAATTGGGTCTTGGAATTTTAGTTCCTCTGTTAAACTTAGGAAATGGATGGCTGGAGGTCTGCGCCAGCCGATGAGGGATTGATACACCTGAGATTGCTTTACAAAACACTGCTTTTAGTGTTTAATGACACAGGATAGTGTCTACAGCAGTGGCATGGAGCCAGAACATGGGTTCTAGAATCCAGAGATGACTCGCAGGTTCCATCTGAGTTCCTTAAAGGACAGTTTCTGCAACGTAGGTGTTCCATGATTGCTTGTTGAATGAATGAATAGGAGTATCTATCACAACCATGTCCACACTCATTGGCTTTAGTGGAGTCAAGGCAAGGTAGAGATATTAATGACAGAATTCTGGTGATAGGGGCCCCTACCACCAATGGCAGTATTAAGGGGTGATTAGGGAGAAGGGTAGCTTTTAGTCTCTTTCAAGCCACGCAAACAAAGATCACAGAATCTAAGCAAAAGCAAATGTCTTGCTTTACAGTTTCAAGACAAAGCCCCTGGAAGTTGCCCCCTTTTAAATAGATTGTCCCTTAGCCTTGCTACGCAAATACACTGGATCCTGTAACCATGTTAGCCCTTATCTGTAATTTCACAAAGTCGGGTGGCAGGTATTTGCTCAGGAAATTGAGACATTAGGTACTCACACTTTTAAAAATAACACATAAGGAAGGCAATAATAATTACATAAGATAATATGTTCCAGGCTCTATATCTTGTTATCTAATTTAATCTTCACTGTAACCCTGTAATGTTATTATTATTGCCCACATTTTTGCAGATGTGGAAATGTCAGCTTAAAGAAGTGAAGTAACTAGGCGAAGGTCATAGAGACAGCCAATATGCAAATGCACATCTGCCTTATTCAACTCTTTCCAACATACAGCGCTGGTACTTGAGTATATGAGGAGGCCTGTTTGTATACCTCCGAGCAGAATCAAATAGGAAATGTTTGCTAGAAATAAAAAGGAAGCATCAAAGGAAAATATGGAAGGGTCAACCAAAGGGTGAATGGGCTTTGTCCTTTCTTCGCTGGAGGTCTGAGCTCAGAAGCCTGGGTCTCAATAGCTCATTCCTTTAGAAATGAGGTTCTTTACACTTGGACTCAGGGAGGGGAACATCACACACCAGGGCCTGTCAGGGGGTTGGGGGGTAGGGAAGGAATAGCATTAGGAAAAATACCTAATGTAGATGATGGGTTGGTGGACACAGCAAATCACCATGGCATGTGTATACCTATGTAACAAACCTGCACGTTCTGCACATGTATCGCAGAACCTAAAGTATAATGTTTTTAAATTAAAAATATATATAAAAAAGAAATAACGTTCTTTAGATAACAAAGGAAAGGGCAGTGATTCCAAAATCTTTCTCAGCTTTTAAAATGCACACACTTTCAGGCCTTAGCTCCTGGGTATTCTGATCTAGTAGTACTGGGATGGGGCCCTGGAATCTGAATTTTTAGCAAACATGGCAAATTTGAAACCCAGGAGATGTGATGTTATCTGATGTTAATTCCTCCTCCAATCAACCACTTAGGCTAAATTCTTAAGGTAATTTTCTAACAAGTATTTGTATTATTATTTGTATAAGATTATGTTAGGAAAGGAACATAAGGCACTCATTGAATGAACTGGTGTATTTCTAGAGAGCAATATGTCAGAATTCTGATGGTGTTTTCTATGCCATTTCACTGGCATTTGGCAGCTTATAACATAGCCCCAGTGGAGATGTAAACTCCTTAAATCTGGTAATTCCACTTTATATTGGATTATAAAAGGTTATGTGGGGTAAGAACCTCAGACCGTACAAAGAACAGTTAATCTCATGAAAAGAAAAATTTTGGAACCAAAATGTAATAGTGGTTGTTTTAACTCTATGTTCTTTCAGTCATTTAGATCCTCTACTCATTCTCTGAACAAGCATTTTTTAAGTGCTTACCATGTTTCATGCTATGCTAGGAGCTATGAAGAAGGGGGAATAAGAGCTGCTTGGTTTCATTAACTTTAGTGTGATACACCTTCTGAATCCTGTGAATAAAGAGTCTGGGTAAACTAAGGTCAATACATAAAAATAAAACAGATTACAGATGTTCCCACAGTGAAAATGATCACTGTGCACACTGGTGTTTACTTTAATGGACACGTGAATGGGAATGGTGTCAGCACCACACTCTGAGTATCATCAACTGACTCATGAGAAATCCAGAACACTGAAAGGAGGTAGAGAGGCTGTGTTACCTCTTCAACTTTGAGCCCCATCTTGCTGAATCAGAGAGTCAACTGAATAGGATTAATATTAAGACCAAACAAGGACGGTTTCAAGTTGTTTGACTAGATATTTCCTCCTTTCTCTCTTATCATATGTTGTTTTTCCTAATTATTTAACTCTTAGGCCTTCCAATTCTATCCCTCCTTGTTGATTTATACCATCCATACTCTTTTGGGTAATTAAGATTTCCTTCTTTAGTCATCACCCCAGCATATAAATTTCATTATCTTTAACTTATCTTACTTATCTCAGTGTAAGAAACTCATCTAAATACACCTATCCACTTCCTTTTGCAGACACGATCATAACATTTGTAATTTTTCTCGGTTGTAGCTGAATAAGTTACTTAGAAGATGATTTTACATGTTCTTTTTATTTCTTTACTTATCCTCTGTCTACATTTCTGACATGTGCACATGCTCCAATATCTAAGGTTAAATCTTCACTGGTTGGGCAGGTGAGTAGTTGATATACGACTAACAGGCAATTCTCCTTCAGGAAACTCAAGATTGTGTAAGTATGCCTGATTCATCCCTGCTGCTGCAACTGAAACATGTAATAAAAGAGCAACAACAAAGAGAGGCGATGATGACAGCTTAGCTGCAGCATCTTGTTCTCTAGCTCAATAAGCCAACAGGGAAACTATGACCCTGGTGAAACAAGTAGCTCTCAGAATCATTCCAGTCATTCCAAAGAGTGATGTGATTTTTCTTCACATGTTCACAATGAAGATACTATGTTGTTTAATTGATGCTCTTTTTCAAAGTGTGTTCTCTTGTTTCTATATACCTCCCTTATAAGGCTCCATACTGTCATTCAACTTAATTTCTGTTCAACAGAGATTTCTTAAACACCTCCTACATGCTAAGCACTGTGCTAGGAGCTATAAATATCATGAGGTGGATACAGACATGGCTGTCTCCTGGTACATTCTTTTTCTATCATTCAATCACATTCACCTATTTTTAAATATGTTGATAATGAGTCAGGATATAAGAATATAAGGCTAAAAGCACGGGCTCTGATCAGAGAGACTTGGTGATGAGCCTTAAGCTTATCACTATTATGGTGGTCATAGGCTTACTTGCATGTACTACTGAGCCTTTGCTTTCCCATTTGTGAAATAGAGGTCACATTAGTACCTACTCCCCAGAATAGTTTTGAGGATTAAGTGAGATAAGTGCTCCAGTGTCTTGAATTTAGCAGTGTTAAAAAAGTAGAAGTTCTTATTAATTAATAATATGATTTTCCTGAGAATGTAAACACAGACTCACTAGTTCTCTGCCAGAAGGTGAGGCACCTCCTTGAGCCTCCTAAGAAAAGCTTTTGACAAAGGTTGAAACTGATGTGTAATTGAATTCATAACAAGCTTGTTGAATGGTCAACCAGGAAATATTAAGGTGAAGATTTCTCATGTCAAGTGAAATTAAGAGAATATGAACTAGTGCTGTGACCCCCAAGCTCCCTTTCTTTAAAAGACATTTTCTCTGATTTATTCTGAATAAAACAAGTCTGAGAGAGGCTGTGAAGTAATGGTTCTGTGGTAATTAGGTCATCTTCAGAAAGTGCTATATAAAATATTATGCATTATATATTCACAATGCACTTCATTAGCATGTTAAAAATTCAGAGAATACTAGCAGAAAAGAAGCCGGTTTTAATTTCTTATCATTTCCCAAATTCATTTGTCTGTAGGATTCTTTGTTTGTTGAATAGCATCAAGTAGCATCTCAAGGAACACCCTTTGGGAAATGCTGCTGAGAGAAGCTAAGAACTTGCTTCACGATCGTCAAGCACTGAAAAGGATTCATACTTGGGAAACTGGCAAACTGTTTTTCTGACCCTGACCCTTGCCAGTAGTATAATCATGGGCAAGTCACTTGATTTCTTCACATGTAAAACAAAATGATAATATATCCTCCATGGACAGCCATAGAGAGAAGATTCATTACAAAATGCATTTACGGTAGGAACAGAAGTTGACAATAAAAGTTAATATTGTCACAATGTGCATTCTAATTTACACGAAACTCATTGCAAGGAAGCAGATCTTAAAAGTAGTCTTGATACTGGAAGACTGGGAAGAGTTTGGGTGTGCTCAGGACAGAGCTATTGACTAAAGTGTGAGGTATGTGTAGAGAAAGATGAGGAATCAAGGCTGGGAAGACGAGAAAAGGAGGAAGATAATTTGGTGCTGGGGTGCTGAGGACACTAATAGAAATGGTGAAAAACAAATGTGAGTAGGGGTGGCTGAGGGGTAAAGCCAGACTCTTTTCTGACATGCTAGTTTGAAGAGCAAACAAACCATCCAGTTGGCAATTTCATTTATCTAGATCTTAGGAAAGAGTTCAGAGCTTGTGAAACAGGAAACATTAGCATATTATTGTGAAATTTTTGAGAGAAGAATCATTTCTTATTCAGCTCCGTATCTTCTGTGTTCAACCTGGTGTCTGGTGCGTAGTAGAAGGTCTTAAAAGTTTGACAAATGAATTAATCAATGAACAAATTAATTAACTGCAAGTCTAACAAATCAAAGTAGATTCCAAGCCATATAACCGAAGTGGAATAAAACACCAGTTAAATGAATGAAATGATAGCTGAACCCCTGGAATTGGGAAGATCCACAATTAAAGGTGCATGGAGAAAAAGAAGAGGACCAAGGACAAAACAAAGAGGTACAACTTATTTGATGGCTGGCAGGAGCTAGAGAAAACAGAGTCAGAGACTGAAGAAGAAATGAGTGTTTTGCAAAAGGATCGGAAAGAAAGGAGAAGTTGGGTGTCAATGATATAAAATGATTCTGGGAGATCAAGTGGAATGAGACTTATCTTCCGTAAATATCACTTCTTTTAGCTATGCTTTAAGAAGAGCAGCATGACTACAGGGTCCAAAGCCCTCATGCCCGAGATGTGGATGATACAGCCTGTGTAGAAGGAAGACCTCCCACCCGTACCCCACACATACACACATTGTTGGAATTTAAACTTAAAATAAGCTCCATAATAGGAGGAAACCAGAGATCTAACTTGGTTCTTCTCATTTTGACATAGAATGGTTCTTTTTAAGCTTTTAATCATGGAAAATTTTAAACATAGGCAAAGGTAGGGAGAGAAGGGTAATGAACTCCAGTGTAGTCATCACCCAAGTTGGACCATTATCAATTCATTGTCAATTTTGTTTTGTGTGTACCTCCACCCACTTTCCCACACACACACTGGATATTGCAAAGCAACCACCAGATACTGTGTCATTTTACTCATACATATTTTTGTGTTTCTAAAAGTTTAAGGATCAGTCTAAAATTGCAATCACAATAACATTATTGCACACCAAAAAAGTCAAGTTATTTTTTAATGTCACAAATAACCAGTATTCCAACGCCACAAGTTATCTTGTTCAAGGTCTTTTGCCATATATATATATATAATTTGTAATACAACAACTAGCACCAGAAACCAAAATGTCTTTTCCCCAGTAAAAGGAGTGGTGGTGTCATTTAAATTTCCTTGTAGATTAGTCTTTTCTCTGCAAGCATTTCTGCACATATTGGTCACACAAATAAATGATTCATTTGCAGTTTTGATAGCTTTGATAGTTAAATACCTTTGAGGATACTACTTATACTAATAAAAACATTCTTATGGTGCACAATGGAAGCCTTATTAATAGGTGAGGAGGAGAGCCTTTTGGGTGTGGACAACTCTATTGCCAGCACAATCTAGAGTCAGGTCAAGGGGAAAGGATACAGAGTCAGGTCAAGAGGAAAGAATACAGAGGAGAGAAGAAAAAAGAAGAAAAAAAATCTTTGTTTTAGAAACTCATAGCCAGAAAAGGAAATCTGAAACAATGCTTTTTAATTCATACTTCCCTGGAAGAAAAGAAGACACTAAAATAACAGAGGAGCTAGCCTAGAGAGAGCACACAGGATAGGCATGCTATCTAAATTAACTCATTTAATCCTCACAAAAATGATCTAATGTCAGTACTATTATTTTGGAAATTTAGAAGCAGAGACAAATGGAGGTTAAAAATCCCCATCTCCAAAGGAGCATAACAGTATTTTTGCTACCTGGAAAGAAAGGCAATGGTTTTCCTATATATGTCAGGGAGTAACTGGGCTTCTTTTCCTTTGGATAGCAAAGAGCACTTAGACATCAGACACCTCCAGGATGGGCCCCTTTTGAGAGTAAGCTCTGAGGCACCATGCAGATCTCGGGGTCCAAAGCAGAGCACACAATCATCTGGAAAGACCTGGTGCTCATTGAGGAAGGAGGGAAAATGATATCACATCCCCGCCTTAGACATGGAAGAGTTGTGAAATGAGGGTAAAGGGACCATCCAGAAAAGAAGATAAGGAAGAAGCTAGGACACAGCCAGCCAATTCTGCCCACATGCCAGTGAAGTGGAGAAACTGATGCTGTTTATGCTTGTTGAGAGTTCCCATGGTTTTGCAGGAACCAACCCAATGTTTTCTGTGCTTTTTCACCTACTTTCTTATAGTCTATAAGAAAACCTACTACAAAAAACTCCTGCAGGAAGAAAAGAGTTTGTGTGTTTGCGTTGGAAACAGCAGGCTGGAAAAAAACTTGAGGAATTCCAAAGGACCCTAGGAAAAGGCATCCGAAAGGAAGCAACTTGTTGGTAGCTGGTAAAGGGGAGGTAAGGAGGCCTAAGAATGAAAGGAATAAATTATAAACCTGTTTTAAGAGTGAGAGTAGCTTAAGGCTTTAAGATTTATCTCCGGGGGGGAACTTGTTGCTTGACAGTAAGCAATTTCAGCATAATTAAAAGAAATCCTTTTTAGAGTTTATATTCCAGTCATACTAGGCGCAAGGCAAATTGTTAAATATGCTTCTACCCCTCATTTCAAACTTAGACATCCCCTTACCTTTCCACTGTAATAGACTTTCCAGGACTGTTTCAAAATTGAGGTACACACATATACACATGCATGTGCACACATGTATACACTAACATATTTGGACTATGCTATTTCAAACTCGTGGGAATGCCAGGTCACCAATTGTTTCTATTAGAATGGCCCTTGGTAATAAATGAATGACCCTGGTTCTCAGCCCAGTGTTAAATCTTAGTAAAAGATAATGAATAAGGACACAGTTTCCCCTAAGACCTTTATGCTTTTTGCATGATACTTGAACATTCTCATGCTCACATGTATAAAATCAATTTATTATTTAGCTAACTTTTGGTGGCAAGTGACAGAAAAGTTTGAAGTTAGGAAAGGGAATCATTGTATTACATAACTGGTATGGCCAGAGTGCAGTTGACTTCAGTCACAGTTTGATCCAAGACAATGTTAGCAAGATATTTTCTCTCTATTGCCATCTGACATGGTTTGAATGCTCCCTCCACATCTCATGTTGAAATTTAGTTGTCATTGTGATGGTATTAAGAGACGGGGCTGGGAGGCAGAGTAAGATGGTAGAATAGAAACCTGCAACATATGTACCCCCTGCAGGTATGCCAAATTTTCACAACTGTCTACACACAGAAAAGCACCATCACAAGAACCAAAAATCAGGTGAGCAATCACAGTACCTGGTTTTAACTTCATGTTGTTGACAGAGGCATTGAAAAGGGTTGAAGAGACAGCCTTGAGTTGCCGACATCATTCCTCCTCCAGCCCTGGCAGTGGCCGTGTAGCACAGAGTCTATGCACTTCGGAGAGAGAGAGAGTGCAGTGACTGGCGTACTTTACCCTGAACTCAGTGCTGACCTGTCATAGCAGAAAGCAAAGCCATGCTAGGTTCAGCCACTGACTGCACATGGAAGGTGCATTTGGAGCAGACCTAGTCAGAGGGGAATCACACATTCCATAAGTCAGAACTCAAATTTCTTGGCAAGCCTCACCACAGCAGGCCAGAGGGTTCTGGGGCTCTAGGTAAACTTGAAAGACAGTCTAGGACACAGGGACTGCAATTCCTAGGCAACTCCTAGTGCTGGGCTGGGCTTAGAGCCAGAGGACTGGGGTGGCATGTGACCTAGAGAGACACCAGCTGGAGTAGCTAAGGGAATGCTTGCGCCAGTCCTCCCTCAACCTGAGGCAAAACAGCTCACAGCAACAAATGTGTCTCCTTCCTTCTGCTTAAGGTGAGGAGAGCGAAGAGTAAAGAGAACTTTGCCTTGCATCTTGGATACCAGCTCAGACTCAGTAAGATAAGGCATCTGAAACATGCTAACTACAAGTGTAACCTAGCACAGCCCCAGTTGTGGTGGCTACAGTGTAAAACTCCTTCTGTTTGAGAAAAGCAGAGGCAAAAATAAAGAGAACTTTGTCATGCACTTTAGGTGCCAGCTCAGCCACAATGGGATAGAGCAACTAGAAGACTCTTGAGATCCCCGAGTTCAGGCCTAGGCTCCTGGACAGCATTTCTGGACCTGCCCTGGACCAGAGGGGAACCCACTTCCCTGAAAGCTGAGTCTCAGGCCTGGCAGCATTCACCACAAGCTAACTGAAGAGCCCTTAGGCTTTAAGTGAACATCAGTAGTAGCCTGTCAGACCACTCCCCACCCCCATGGGCCAGTAGGATGGTGCCAACAAGGAGAGGCTCCTCTGCCTATGGAAAGGGGAAGAAAAAATGGGAAGAACTTTATATTGTGGTTTGAGTGCCAGCTTAGCCATAGTAGAATAGAACATCAGGCAAATTTCTAAGGTTTTTAACTGCAATCCCTGGCCACTAGAGAGCATCTCTGGATCTGCTTTGGGCCTAGAGGACCTCACCACCCTGAAGAGCCAGCCTGGCTGGCCTTGCCATGTGCTGATTTTAGAGCCCTAGGTCATTGAGTGAACAAAGATGGTAGCCAGGGGGTGGTTACAGCAGGCCTTGGGCAAAATCTTGTGCTATGCTGGCTTCAGGTCTGACCCAATGCAGTCTCAGTGGTGTGGCCACAGGGATGCTTACATCACCACATCCCCAGTTCCAGGTAGCTCAGTGTGCACACACACACACACACACACACACACACACACACATGCACAGAAAGAGAGAGAGAGAGAGAGAGAGAGACTCCATATGAGAGAAAGTAAAGGAAAAAAACAAGAGTTTCTTCCTGGTAATCCAGAAAATTCCTCTGTGTCTTATTCAAGACTGCCAAGGTGGTACCTCTATGAGTCTGCAAAAACCACAGCAAAATTGGGCTTAAGGCCAAAGTCCTTTCAAATACCTGGAAAGCCTTCTCAAGAAGGACAGGCACAAACAAGCCTGAGAAGACTACAATAAATACTTAACTCTTCAGTGTCCAGATACTGAACAACTGTAAGTATCAACACCATCCAGGAAAACAGGACCTCACCAAATGAACTAAATAAAGCACCAGGGACCAATCCTGGAGAAGCAGAGGTATGTGACCTTTCAGACAGGGAATTCAAAATAGTTGTTTTGAGGAAACTCAAAGAAATTCAAGATAACACAGAAAAGGAATTCAGAATACTATCAGATAAATTTAAAAATGATTGAAATAAATAAAAAGAATCAAATAGAAATTCTGGAGTTGAAAAATGCCACTGACATACTGAAGAATACATCAAAGTAACGTAACAGCATAATTGAGCAAGCAGAAGAGAGAATTAGTGAGCTTGAAGAAAGGCTATTTGAAAATACACAGTCGGAGGAGACAAAAGAAAAAAGAATAAAAAACAATGAAGCATGCCTACAAGATCTAGAAAATAGACTCAAAGGGGCAAATCTAAGAGTTATTGGCCCTAAAGAGGAGGTTGAAAAAGAGACAGGGATGGAAACTTTATTCAAAGGAATAATATCAGAACTTCCCAAATCTAGAGAAAGATATTGACAATTAAGTACAAGAAAGTTATAGAACACCAAGCAGAGTTAACCCAAAAGAAGACTACCTCAAGGCACTACTAATCAAACTCCTGAAGGTCAATGATAATGAAAGAATCCAAAAAGCAGCAAGAGAAAATGAAAACATAACATACAATGGAGCTCCCGTACCTCTGGCAGCAGACTTTTTAGTGGAAATCTAAAAAGAGCCAGGAGAGAGTGGCATGACATATTTAAAGTTCTGAATGAAAAAAAAAAATCACCCTAGAACAGTATATCCAGTATGAATACCCTTCATGCATGAGGGAGAAATAAAGACCTTCCAAGACAAACAAAAACTGAGGGATTTCATCAATATCAGACCTGCCCTACAAGTAATGCTAAAGGGAGTTCTTCAGTGTGAAAGAAAATGATGTTAACAAGCAAGAAGAAATCATAAGAAGCTACAAAACTTACTGGTAATGATAAGCACACAGAAAAACACAATATTGTAACATTGTAACGCTGATGTATAAAGTACTATTATCTTAAGTACAAAGACTACATGATAGGGCGGGTGTGGTGGCTCATGTTTGTAATCCCAGCATTTTGGGAGGCCGAGGCAGGTGGATCACCTGAGGTCAGGAGTTTGAGATCAGCCTAGCCAACATGGTGAAACCCTGTCTCTACTAAAAATACAAAAATCAACCAGGCGTGGTGGCAGGCGCCTGTAATCCCAGCTACTCAGGAGGCTGAGACACGAGAATCGCTTAAACCCGGGAGGCGGAAGTTGCAGTGAGCTGAGATCGTGCCACTGCACTCCAGCCTGGGCAACAGAGCAAGACTCTATCTCAAAACAAACAAACAAACCAACAAACAAACTACATGATGAACCAATCAAATATAGTAACTACAACTTTTTAAGGCATAGACAGTATAATAAGATATAAATAGAAACAACAAAAAGTTAAAAAGCAGAGGATTCCTGTAGTCCTAGCTACTCCGGAGGCTGAGGCAGGAGAATGGCGTGAATCCGGGAGGCGGAGCTTGCAGTGAGCCGAAATCATGCCACTGCCCTCCAGTCTGGGCGACAGAGTGAGACTCCGTCTCAAAAGAAAAAAAAAAGCGGAGGATAAAGTTAAAATGTAGAGTTTTTATTACTTTTCCTTTTGTGTGTTTATTTACAGAATCAATGTTAAGTTGCCATCAATTTAAAATAATGGGTTATAAGATAGTATTTGCAATCTCCACAGTAACCTCAAATTGAACAACATACAATGAATACACTAAAAACAAAAAGTAAGAAATTAAATTATACCACCAGAGAAAATCATCTGCACTAAAAGGAAGACAGGAAAGAAGGAAGGAAGGAAGAGAAGACCACAAAGCAACCAGAAAACCAATAATAAAATGGGAGGAGTAAGTCCCTACTTTATGAATAATAACATTGAATATAAATGAACTAAACTCTCCAATCAAAAGACATAGAGTGGCTGAATGGATTTAAAAAAAAAAAAAACCACGATCTCTCGCCTGCTAGAAACACACTTCACCCATAAAGATACACATAGACTAAAAATAAAGGAATTAAAAAAGATCTCCATGCATAGAAACCAAAAAAAGAGCAGGAGTGGCTATATTTATATCAGACAAAATATATTTCAAGACCAAAACTGTAAGAAGAGACAAAGAAGGTTATTATATAATGATAAAGGGGTCATGCAGCAATAGGATATAACAATTGTAAACGTAACATTTCATTCAGATGTTATGTAACATTTTTCTCCACAGCACATGGATCATTCTCAATGATAGACTATATGCTAGGTCATAAAACAAGTCTTAAAACATTCAAAAAATTGAAATAATAGCAAGCATCTTTTCTGACCACAACGGAATAAAACTAAAAATCAGAAACAAGAGGAACTTTGGAAACTATAGAAAAACATGGAAATTAAACAATATACTCCTGAATAACCCATGAGTCAATGAAGAAATGAAGAAGGACATTGAAAAATTTTTGAAACAAATAATAACAGAAACACAACATACCAAAACCTATGGGATATAGCAATGGAGTATTAAGAGGGAAATCTTTAGTTATAGGTGCTTACATCAAAAAAGAAAAACTTCAAAAAATAACCTAATAATATATCTTAAAGAAGTAGAAAAGCCATCACACTACCTGACTTCTAACTATATTACAGGGCTATGGTAACCAAAACAGCATGTCACTGGTACAAAAACAGACACATAGACCAATAGAACAGAATAGAGTGCCCAGAAATGAAGTCATACACCTACAACCATCTGATCTTTGACAAAACTGACAAAAATATGCAATGAGGAAAGGACTCCCTATTTAATAAATGATACTGGGATAACTGGCTAGCCACATACAGAAGGTTGAAACAGGAACCCTTCCTTAATTCATATAAAAAAATCAATTCTAGGTGGCTTAAGGACCTAAATGTAAAACCCAAAACTATAAAAACCCTGGGAGACAACCTAGGCAATACCATTCTGGACATAGGAATGGGCAAAGATTTCATGATGAAGATGCCAAAAGCAATTGCAACAAAGGCAAACATTGACAAACAGGATCTATTCAAACTTAAGAGCTCTGCACAGCAAAAGAAACTATCAGCAGAATAAATGGACAACCTACAGAATGGGAGAAAATATTCACAAACTCTGCATGTGACAAAGGTCTAATATTCATCACCTGTAAGAAACATGAACAGATTTCCAAGAAATAACAAACAACCCCATTAAAAAGTGGGAAAAGGACATGAACAGACACTTTTCTAAAGATGACATACATGTGGCCAACAAGCATATATTAAAAAGTGCAATATCGCCATTCATTAGAGATATGCAAATCAAAACCACAGTGAGATACCATCACACACTAGTCTGAATGGCTATTACTAAAAAGTCAAAAAATAACAGATGCTGGTGAGATTGCAGAGAAAATGATGCTTATATACTGCTGGTGAGAGTCTAAATTAGTTCAGCCATTGTGGAAAGCAGTGTGGTGATTCCTCAGAGAGCTAAAAACAGAACTACTGTTTGACCCAGCAATCCCATTACTGTGTATATACCCAAAGGGATAAAACTTATTCTACCATAAAGACACAAGCAGGTGTATGTTCATTGCAGCACTCTTCACAATAGCGAAGACATGGAATCAACCTAAATGCCCATCAATGATAGACTGGTTAAAGAAAACGTGGTACACATACACCATGGAATACTATGCAGCCATAAAAAAGAGTGCAATCAAGCCCTTTGCAGAAACATGGGTGAACCTGGAGGCCATTCTTCTTAGCAAACTAATGCCTGAACAGAAAACCAGATACCACATGTTCTTACTTATAAGTGGGAACTAAATGATGAGAACGCATGAACCCAAAGAGAAACAACAGAAACAGGGGCCTACCTGAGGGTGGGGAGTGGAAGATGGGAGAGAAGTATAAAAAAAAAAAACTATTGGGTACTAGGCTTAGTAATAGTGTGACAAAATAATCTGTACAACAAACCCCCATGACATGAGTTTACTTATATAACACCCACATATAAAAGTTAAAAAAAAAAGAAGTAGAAAAGCAAGAGCAGACCAAAGCCAAAATTAGTAGAAGAAAAGAAATAATAAAGATCAGAACAGAAATACGTAATTTTGAAATGAAGAAAACAATACAAAAGATCATTGAAACAAGAAGTTGGTTTTTTGAAAGATAAACAAAATTGACATCTTGCCAGACTAGTAAAGAAAACAAGGGAGAAGACTCAAGTAAATAAAATCAGAGATGAAAAAGGAGACATTACAAGTGATACCAGAGAAATCAAAAGGATCATTAGTGGCTACTATGAGCAACTATAGGCCAATAAATTGGAAAATCTAGAGGAAAGGATAAATTCCTAGACACATACAACCTAACAAGAGTGAACCATGAAGAAACCCAAAATGTGAACAGACCAATAACAAGTAATGAGATTGAAGCCATAATAAAAATGTCTTCCAGTAAAGAAAAGCCCAGGGCTTGATGTCTTCACTGCTTATTTCTACTAAACATTTAAAGAAGAACTAATATCAGTCCTACTCAAACTATTCCAAAAAATGGAGGAGGGAATACTTCCAAACTCACTCTGTGAGGCCAGTATTACTCTGATACCAAAACCAGACAAAGACACATCAAAAAGAAAAGAAAACTACAGGCCACTATCTCCAAGTAATATTTATGCAAAAATCATCAACAAAATACTAGCAAACTCAATTCAACAATACATTGAAAAGATTATTCATCATGAGCAAGTGGGATTTATACCAGGGATTCAAGCATGGCTCAGCATATGCAAATCAATCATCAATATAATGCATTATATCAACAGAATGAAGGACAGAAATCATAAGATTTTTTTCAATTGGTACTGAAAAACATTTGCTAAAGTTCAATATCCCTTCATAATCAAAACCCCCAAAAACTGAGTATAGAAGGAATATACCTTAACATAATAAAAATCATATATGACAGACCCACAGCAAGTATCATATGGAATGAGGGAAAACTGAAAGACTTTCCTCTAAGGTCTAGAACACAACAAGGATACCCACTTTCACCATTGTTTTCAACATATTACTGGAAGTCCTAGCTAAAGGAATCAGACAAGAGAAAGAAATAAAGGGAACCCAAACTGGAAAGGAAGAAGGCAAATTATCCTTGTTTACAGATGTTATGATCTCATGTTTGGAAAAATCTAGACTCCCTACCAAAAAACTATTGGAACTGATAAACAAATTCAGTCAAGTTGCATGATACAAAATCAACATACAAATATCAGTAGCATTTCTATATGCCTACAGTGAACATTCTGAAAAAGAAATCAAAAAAGTAATTTCATTTACAATAGCTACAAATAAAATAAAATATGACGGAATTAACCAGTGAAGTGAAAGATCTCTACAATGATAACGATAAGACATTGATTCAAGAAATTGAAGAAGATACAAAATTTGAAAGAGAGTCCATGTTCATGGACTGGAAGAGTAAATATTGTTAAATTGTTCTTACTACACAAAGCAATCTACAGATTTAATACAATCTCTATCAAAATACCAAGGACAGTCTTCACAGAAATAGAAGAAATAATCCTAAAATTTATATGGAATCACAAAAGACCCAGAATACTCAAAGCTATCCTGAGCAAAAAGAACAAAACTAGAGGAATCACATCACCTGACTTCAAGTGATATGAGAGAGCTATAGTCACCAAACCAGCATGGTACTGGCTTAAAACAGACACATACAAAAATTAGCCAGGTGTGGTGGTGTGCACCTATAATCCCAGCTACTCGGGAGGCTAAGGCAGGAGAATCGTTTGAACCCTGGAGGCGGAGGTTGCATTGAGCCGAAATCGTGCCACTGCACTCCAGCCTGGGTGACAGAGCTAGACTCTGTCTCAAACAAACAAAACAAAACAAACAAACAAACAAAAAACCAGATACATAGACCAATGGAACAGTACAGAGAAACCAGAAAAAAATTCATACACCTACGGTGAACTCATTTTCGACAAATGTGCCAGGAACATACATTAGGGAAAATGCAGTCTCTTCAAAAATTGTGCTGGAGAAACTGAATATCTATATAGCAGAAGAATGAAACTTGTCCCCTATCTCCTGCCATATACAAAAATAAAAAAAAAATTGCTTAAAGACTTAACTCTGAGACCTTTAACCATGAAACTACTGTAAGAACACATAGGGGAAAGTTTTCAGGACATTGGTCTGGGCAAAAATTTCTCGAGCAATACCCACAATCACAGGCAACCAAAGCAAATATGGGCAAATGGGATCACATCAAGTTAAAAAGCTTCTGCACAGCAAAGGAAACAATCAATAAAGTGAAGAAACAACCCACAGAATTGGAGACAATATTTGAAAACTACTCATCTGACAAGGGATTGAACACTAGAATATATAAGGAAAAAAACCCTATAGGAAAAGAAATCTAATAACTGATCAAAAAATGGGCAAAAGATTTGAATAGACATTTCTCAAAAGAAGACATACAATTGGCAAACAGGCATATAAAAAGGTATTCAACATCATTGATCATCAGAGAAATGCCTATCAAAATCACAATGTGATATCATTTCAGCCCAGTTAAAATGTCTTTTATCCAAAAGTCAGGCAATAACAAATGCTGGTGAGGATGTGGAGAAAAGGAATCCCTTAAGCACTGTTAGTGGGTATGTAAATTAGTACAACCGCTATGGAGAACAGTTTGGAGGTGCCTCAAAAAACTAAAAATGGAGCTACCATACCATCTGGCAATCCCGCTGCTGGGTATCTAACCAAAAGAAATGAAATCAGAATATCAAAGAGATATCTGCACTCCCATATTTGTTGCAGTACTGTTCACAATAGCCAAGATTTGGAAACAACCTAAATTTCCATCAACAGGTGAATCTATAAAGAAAATGTAGGACTTGAACACAATGGAGTACTACTATTCAGCCATAAAAAGAATGAGATCCTGTCATTTGCAACATGGATGGAACTGGAGATCATTATGTTAAGTAAAATAAACCAGGCACAGAAAAACAACTATTCAATGTTCTCACTTATTTGTGGGATCTAAAAATAAAAACAATTAAACTCATGGAGATAGAGAATAGAAGGATGGTTACCAGAGGCTGAGAAGGGTGGTCAGGGAGTGAGAGAGAGGTGAGGATGGTTAATGGGTTAAAAAAATAGAAAGAATAGATAAGATGCAGTATTTGATAGCACAGCAGCAGGACTATAGTCAATAATAATTTAACTGTACATTTCAAAATAACTAAAAGAGTGTAATCGGATTGTTTGTAAAACAAAAGACAAATGCTTGACAGATGCATACCCTGTTCTCCATGATGTGCTTATTTCACATTGCATATGCCTGTATCAAAACATTTCACGTACCCAATAAATACATACACCTAGTATGTACCAACAAAAATTAAAAATTAAAAAAAAGAGGTGGGACCATTAAGAGGTGATTAGGTCATGAGGGCTGAGGGCTTTGCTCTCATTAGTGGATTACTGTTGTTATTTCAGGGAAGGGTTACGTTGAGACTGAGTTGTTATAAAAGCAAGTTCAACCTTTTCTTGATTGCTCACTCTTGCGCTGTCTTGCCCTTCCACCTTTTACCTTGGGGTGATACAGCAGAAAGGCCCCTCACCAGGTGCCATGCCAAGCTTTTGGACTTCATAGCCTTCAGAACCATGAGCCAAATAAACTTCTATTCTTTAAAAATTACCCAGTCTGTGGTATTCTTTTAGAGCAACGTAAAATGGACTTACACACCATCTCTCAACTATGCATTTTTTTGTGTTAACTTCATCCTAAGGCAGCCTCTCTCCACATAGTGGCAAGAGTGTTTCTCAGTGTCTGCTTTATATTCTACCAGATGAACAACTTTAGCAGAAAGCTCCTCTTCCCCAGTAGTGCCAGAAAGTCACAGGGCTGACTCTGCTTGGCCCAGCTAGGTCTTCATGCCCATTTGTAGACCAATTACTATAACAGGAGTGACAGAATAACCTGGTGAGCCAGAAAGGGGTCACAAGTTCCACTTGAAACATATAAATTGGTGAGGGGGTAGGGGGCAGGGAGAGGAGGATGGGTGAATACTCAGAAGTTACTTAGATTATAAACAAGTGGATGGAAAGGAAAGCTGGGAATACAAAGACAGATTAACGTTTGATAGACAGATGGATTGATAGATGATGACAGACAGAAGATAGATTATTGATAGATGAATAATGACTATTGTCAGCCATTTACACCTTAAACATGACTAGAGTTTTTATGTACACATTTTAATAAGTCTGTGTATCCACTGTTGGTATCTTGAATGGCTTCTTCACCTTCCTTTGCTAAGGGATAGATGTTAGTCTTAGTATTTGAAACATTTCTTCTCTATCGAACCAGGTGGACTAATTTTATTTCCTCCTTTTTTGGATTGCTGAAAGTGCTGAAAGGAAAAATAACAGCCCCAATTATTTCAATCAGGTGAGAGGAAATTTATCATTTCCAACTAAAATGACATTGATTAAAAACAAACATCATATATGTCAGCAAAGAAAGGGTCCCAAGGACTTCGCCAAACATTCTTTCATTGCTAATGTTATACAGTTCACAAAAGTTTGGCTGCCTTCTGCAAGGAAAATTATTTTGTTCATTTATTCACTCACTTATTCAACAAATTGTTTATTGAATATTGAGGCAGATTTATCACAAAGCGAATGAAGCTTAATTTTTATTATTTTATTATATCCTTTTCAAAGGCCTGGAGGAACCCTAGAGATGTGTTTACATGCTTATATATTTTGGTAAAACTTGTAAACGTAAAAAATATTTACAATGCTGGCCATAAAAAAGAACAAAGCCATGTTCTTTGCAGCAACATGGATACAGCTGGAGGCCATTATCCCAAGTGAATTAAAGCAGGAACAGAAAACCAAATACACATGTTCTCACTTGTAAGTGAGAGCTAAACATTGAGTATTCAATGGACATAAAGATGGCAACAGTAAATATTGGGTACTACTAGACGGGGGGGGAGGGAAGGAGGGAGACAAAGGTTGAAAAACTAGCTGTTAATTTAAAAAACAAACAAACAAAAAACTCCCAAAACTAGCTGTTGGGTGCAATGATAACTTCCTGGGTGATGGATTCAACAGTACCCCAAACCTCAGCCTAACATAATATACCCACGTAACAAACCTGCACATGTATCCCCTGAATCTAAAATATAAGTTGATATTATTTTTAAAAAATTAGCTGTAGTAGGTTAAGTGCACTCTCTTTCCACTCTGACCTTCTCCCTGACCACTGAGGGTAGTGTTGAAGAAGCTGTCATCATTTTGGAGATATGGCTAAGGAGAGGATGAGTTAAGGTGTAGTTATTGCTAGCTCTGCTTGTGTAGGAATGGCTTTCAGGGATATTCTACTACCACTGTGCTGGCTTACTGAGTTTTATGACTGAAGCTGTAGAGCAGAACGTTACAACAAGCTTTGAAACATATATTACAGTACCTTTGGGATGGAAAGTAAAACAAAGTTTGTATGAAGCCAAAAGCAAGCCAGAGGAAAATTATTTTAATTTTCAGAAGCATAAAACTGATATAAAAATTATAAGCCAAGGATTCAATACTAGTAAAAATGGAAGTACATTCCTGTTAATAATATGCTTGCTAACACAGAGAACACGCCATACATTAATTTCTTTCTTGATGGTATTTGTACAAGATGTAACTTAACAGAATTTCTGTGATTGTAGCAGTGAGTATATCTGTGTGTGAAGCTGCATATATTATATATCCCAACTATCAGTAATAAAAAGTAAATTTGGATCAACAATGTTATTGCCAGGCATGGTAGCTCACACCTGTAATCTCAGCACTTTGGGAGGCTGAGGTGGGCAGCCTGATTGAGTCTTGAAGTTCAAGACTAGCCTGGGTAACATAGCAAAATCTCCTATCTAAAAAAATTAGCCAGGCATGGTGGCACATGCCTGTAGTCCCAGCTACTCAGGAGGCTGAGGTGGGAGGATCACCTGAGCCCATGAGGTCAAGGCTGCAGTGAGACTGCACTCCAGCCTGAGTGACAGAGTGAGACCCTGTCTCAAAACAAAACAAACAAAACAATGTTAGAGGAAAGACTACATTTTTATTATAATGTGGATGAAATACAAGTATGGAGACATAAAGGGCTAACTCAATTTCCCTCTTGTGAAAGAACAAAGTGCATCAAATTTAAGTGATACAGACTCTAAAGCACTCCACTTATACCATGAGACTCAAGTATATAACGGCAGGCAATGAAAAGCCAAAAAATTGTTGTGGTGGGCTTCATCCTAGAGGACATAAACACAACAAAGAAAAATCCAACACCAAGGAGGAACTTCTCCCTTCCTTCTCCCAGAACACATGGCTTTAACTAGCAGAAATCCAGCATAATGGGATTTGTTCTGAATGAGCAAACAGAAATACTTCCATATTGATTGAAGGAGAGAATGGCTTTGCATGATAAATTGAAATGCCTTTCTTTTAAATAGATTTACTCAAAGAAGAAAAGAGACAGTTTTAGAAAATTTCTGAATTTTCTAAATTAAGAATGAATTGAGAAAAAAATTTATTTGTGAAACTAGGGTGAGATAAATTTGTGTTTGAGACAAAATTTGTCAAACACAAATTTGACAAATTCTGTCTCAAACACAAATTTGTCAAGTACAAATCTGAGACAAATTTTGAGACAAAAGTGTATTTGTGAAAATGGGTTGAGAGATCATGAAGTAAAGAATATTCTTATTGGGGGAACCCACCCCCAATATTTCAACATATGTTCTATGTTCTATTTTCCATAAGTGTTGGCCAGCTGAGAAATAAAGAGAGACAGTACAAAGAGAGGAATTTTACAGCTGGGCTGCCGGGGATGACATCACATATCAGCAGGACTGTGATGCTTGCCTGAGTCTCAGACCAGCAAGTTTTTATTAACGGTTGCAAAAGGGGAGGGGGTGTAAGAACAGGGAGTAGGTACAAAGATCACATGCTTCAAAAGGCAAAAAGCAGAACTACTAGTAAGGGTCTAACAAAGATCACAAGGCAAAGGGCAAAAGCAGAACTACTGATAAGGGTCTATGTTCAGTGGTGCACGTATTGTCTTGATAAGCATCTTAAATAACAGAAAACAGGGTTCAAGAGCAGAGAACTGGTCTGACCACAAATTTACCAGGGCAGAGTTTTTCCCCACCCTAGTAAGCCTGAGGGTACTGCAGGAGACCAGGGCGTATCTCAGTCCTCATCTCAACTGCATAAGACAGACATTCCCAGAGCGGCAATTTATAGACCTCCCACCAGGAATGCATTCCTTCCCTAGGGTATTAATATTAATATTCCTTGCCAGAAAAAGAATTTAGAGATACCTTCCCTACTTTCACGTCTGTTTATAGGCTCTCTGCAAGAAGAAAAATATGGCTCTTTTTGCCCGACCCCACAGGCAGTCAGACCTTATGGTTGTCTTCCCTTGTTCCCTAAAAATAGCTGTTATTCCAGTCTTTTTCAAGGTGCCCTCATTTCATATTGTTCAAACACACATGTTTTACAATCAATTTGTACAGTTAAGACAATTATCACAGTGGTCCTGAGGTGACGCGCATCCTCAGCTTATGAATATAACAGGATTAAGAGATTAAAATAAAGACAGGCATAAGAAATTATAAAACTATTATTTGGGAACTGATAAATTAAAATTTGTCCACATTAAAATGAAATCTTCACAATTTATGTTCCTCTGCTGTGGCTCCAGCTGGTCCCTCCATTCGGGGTCCCTGACTTCCTGCAACACATTCTAATATCAGGAAAGTTTGGTTTGATACTTGAAGAATTAATAAACACATTTTTATGGAGAGATATGAATGTACTTAGAGCAGATGATTTAATACTGTTAAGATGTCAGTTGGCATTCTCCTAAATTTGATCTATAGATTCAACAACATCGCAATAAAAACCCTAGAAGTATTATCTGTGGTCACTGACAAGATGAGTCTAAAATGTATATGAAGAAAATCAAAGAACTTAGAATATCCAAAATAGTTTTGAAAAAGAAAAAGTTAAACATTTGTATTATCTGATTTCAAAACTTACTGTAAATATATAGTAATCAAGACATTGTGGTATTGATGTAAAGATTAACATTTAGATCAATAGAATTAAATAGAGTCTAGTAGAAATTCACATGTATATGTTCAATTATTTTGTATGCTAGGTCCTAATATGACTAAATAGAGAAGAGGGAGTCTTTTTAACAAATACTGCTGGCACAACTAAATATTTACTTGAGGAAAAATAAAAAATTACTCTTATCTCACATGATACACAAAAATTAATTGTAAATAAACTATAGACCTATGGTTTTAAGAAGAAAATATAGGAGAAAGTCTTTGTGATCTTTTGGTATGGAAAGATTTTCTATATAGAACACGAGAAGCATTAAACACAGAAGAAAAAAATCAATAAAATGAACTTGATCAAAATAAAAAACTACTGCTCTTCAAATGCTACAGGCTGAGGGAAATATTTGGAACACATATATCTGACAAAAATTTGTATCCAGATTATTTTAAACAACACTACTTAATACTAAGATAAACAATCCAATGTAAAAATAGGCAAAAGATTTGAACATTTTACAAAAGAAGCACATGAAAGAAGTGCAATATTGTTAACATGAGGGAAATACAAATTAAAGCCAATATGAGATACCACTACAAGCCCATTAGAATGGCTTAAATTAACAACAACATAAACTAATGAAGACAAAACACTGACAATATTGTTTGTGAAGATATAGAGGAAGTAGAACTCTTTTTTTTTTTTTGAGACAGAGTCTTGCTCTGTCGCCCAGGTTGGAGTGCAGTGGCATGATCTTGGCTCACTGCAAGCTCTGCCTCCTGGGTTCATGCCATTCTCCTGCCTCAGCCTCCCGAGTAGCTGGGACTACAGGTGCCCACCACCACGCCTGGCTAATTTTTTGTATTTTTAGTAGAGACGGGGTTTCACCATGTTAGCCAGGATGGTCTCAATCTCCTGACTTCGTGATCCGCCCACCTCAGCCTCCCAAAGTGCTGGGATTACAGGCATGAGCCATCGTGCCTGGCCTGGAAGTAGAACTCTTATACATTGCTGGTGGGAAGGTAAAATGGTATAATCATCTGCAAAAACAGTTTAGTAGTTTCCTGAAGAGGTAAACATGCAATTGCCATACAACCTAGCAGTTCTGCTGTTAGGAAGTTAGCCAAGAAAGATGAAAATATATGGCCACACAAAGACTTGTGCATGGACGTTCACAGCAATTTTATTCATATAGTCAAAAATTGGAAGCAAACTGTCTTAGTCTGTTTAGTGTTGCTGCAACAGAACACTTGAGGCTGTATAATTTATAAAGAAAAGAGGTTTATTTGGCTTATGATTCTGGTGACTGGAAAGTCGAAGAGCATGGCACCAGCAACTGCTCAGCTTCTGGTGAGGTTCACATATTACATCACAGCATGGCAAAGAAGCAGAAAGGTGAGTAGGCATGTGCAAAAGGGACCAAACAGGAGGAGTAGCCTTTATAACAACCCACTCTTGTGGAAACTAATCCATTCTCACAAGAACTAGCCCAGTCTCATGAGAAAAGTGTTAATCTGTTTTAATGACCTAATCACCCTTTCAAGGAACCACCTCCCAACACCGCTATATTGACAAGTAAATTTCAACATGAATTTTGATGGGGATAAATCTCATTGAAACCGTAATACAATCCAAATGTCCCTCAACAGGTCAACAAATAAACAATTTGTGTTTATGTCCACACAATAAAATGTTACTCAACAATAAAAAGGAACAAGCTAGTGTTACACAACAATATAGATAACTCAAAAACATTATACTGTGCAAAAGAAAGTCTATACAAATGAGTACAAAATATATTATTTTATTTATGTGAAACTCTAGAAAAGACAAACCTAATGTACATTGACAAAGCAAATCAGCGGTCCCTTGGAGCCAACTGCATACTTAAAATGGATGCATTCAGTTATGTAAATCAGGGGTCCCCAGCCCCCAGGCTGTGGACCTGTACCGGTTTGTGGCCTGTTAGGAACCAGGCTGTACAGCAGGAGTTGAGCAGTGAGTGAGAAAGCATCACCACTTGAGGTCTACCTCCTGTCAGATCAATGGTGACATTAGATTCTCAGAGGAGTAGGAACCCTATTGTGAACTGCATATGTGAGGGATCTAGGTTGCACTTTTCTTATGAGAATCTAACTAATGCCTGAAGATCTAAGGTGAAACAGTTTCATCACAAAAACATCCTCCCCCACCCACCACAGAAAAATTATCTTCCATAAAACTAGTCCCTAGTACCAAAATGTTTAGGGACTGCTGATGTAAATCATGCCTTAATAGAGTTAAAAATTGAAAAAATAAAACAACCCACGGCGAAGGCAATGAAGATGAGATTTCATTGTCTTTACCTAGAACTCAGTAAGTGGGAAAAAAGAGATAAAAATGATGAAAATGGGGACAGAAAATGTAGGGAACAAATCCTAGAAATCCAATCTTTATATTTAGACTTCTAGGAGGAGATATTCTTTTAAACAAAATTTATATCCTGCATTGAGTTGTATAACCTGGCAAAGGATAGAATCTCAGATGATTTATCTCCCGACTGCACTTAGGTTTGTTTGATCTTTCCTTCCTCCTCTTTCACTCATTGTGGCATCCAAAGATTACTACCATCAACAACATTGTATGAATTCTGGCTTAAATATTTGTTCCACAAAATGAAATTTTTCTTGCTTTAGATTCCCAAGCTCTGGGGAAGAGAAAAAGGTTGTCATTACATTGGACATCCTCTATTCATTTACACAGGACTATAGCAATCATGTAAGCCTACTTTTTCAGAAAGTATATACTACTGAAATTTGTGTGTGTGTGTGTGTGTTTAAATTCCTATCTTAGGACTGAAAAAGATGTGCACATCTCTCTTAAATTTTGAAGAGACTATTCAGCAAAGGTAGTGTAGATCCCAACACTTCCCTTCAAATGGGGTGGACCCACCCTTCCTAGGAATGAAGAATAGTGACAACTAATCTGTGACACAACAATTTGAGTAGGATTCCTAATATTTTCATGAGGAGTAGCCAGGCTTTAGGAAATTTGGCAGTGTTAAGGCGATGTAGTAATTTTGCTGGAGGCTTAGCATAATTATTCAAAACAAGTCCCTAGAATTTCATTCATCTTTTGGATGAAGTCCAGCAGAAACAAGTTGAGTGGTTTTGCCAACCAGAGAACAGTTTGAGTGATTTTTCAGCAATGTTATAAATACTTTCAAGGAACAATGAGATTTTAGGAATGACTTAGAGAAGATGCAGAGAACTTCATTCCCTTAAAAATTACCACTGTTCACAAAAGAGATGTGATGTCACTTATCTTTAATTTTTATACTATTACTTTGTGTTCTGAGACATGGCTCTAACTGAATTTTGTGTCTCTTACTCTTAACTTTTATAATTATTTTTGCTTTTTAAGACTAATGTCAATAAAACTCTCATACTTGTGCCATTAGAGAGTAAGTTGTACCATGTAAAAACTAATAATTAGGTTGATGAATCAGGCATGGCAATGAGTAATTGGGTGGAGCTTGGCAAAATTTTTAGTTCCATCAGAATGGAGAAATTTAGAGAAGGAATTTTATTACCAAAAACAGGAGGGTGGAAGTGGGGTCTTTTTCTAGGTGTTTTTCTTTAGTTTCTAAAGTAAATTATTATTCTATGAGAGCCACATTATTTTAATGTGAATAATTTTTTCAGAGATCATTTATTTGTAAACAGAAATGATTAACTCTTACATCATAGTTTTCCTGTTAAACTAGTGTCTATATACCACAGGCATAACCAACCACAATTGAAAAACATGGTCAATCTAACTCACTGTGGTTTGTCTGTGTAGCCACACCTTGAGATGGGAGCCTGGAAATGCCAGTTTTGCTAGTCTCAGTACAAATTAGCTACACTTCAGAAACAGATCATCTCAATTTCCTACCTCCTTTCTCTCTCTGTGTACCTATTATTTTCCTTTTCCACAAAAGACATAAAAATCTCTCTTTCTTCCTGAAGAAAGAATCTGTCCTGGTAGAAGTTGTCCAGATAATACCCTGAATCTGAAGATTTAGAGATCATAAATTTGAGCAAGAGGAAGAGCCGTGGCCTTGGCCTGGGCTCGGGAGGCCTATGCCCTGCTCCATCTCTGCCACTGTTTAACCGTCTGAGTAGGTGAAAGATGCGCATTCCCTGTTCTCACTTTCTGCACCATCAGAATAAGAGGGCTGGTCTGGATTATAGCTAACATTCTATGAATCTGATTCTTTCTTTGTTCTCGTTTATTCTGCCCTAGCTGACCTCCTCAATGGGTGCTTTAGAGTTTACAAAGCTCTTCCATACTTTTATGTTTTAAAAAGCCTTTCACATTCTTGATCTCATTAGATTTTTATAGCAAGTTGGAGTGAGAAGCAAAGCAGATTTTACTACTTTTGCTTTATAGGTGAAGAAACTGATGCCAATAGAGGATTTTTGACTTGCTCATTGGCTCATGGCTTCTAATGGTTGAAGCCAGGGTTAGGAGCCACACTGTTAGTAAGTCGTTCCCCATTCTATGCAACCACATTTCATGCCCCCCAGTACATAACGGCTTAAAGATGGTTTGGTTCTTCCATTCTCATTTTAAGGATTGAAAACACAAACTCCAATTTGTTTGTGAGCTTCCCTCATTCTGAAGCTTCAGAGCACTGAAAAGTAATTTAAGGGTTGAGTTCAGAAAATGGCCAATGTACATGTGTTTAACAAGAGTTGTTTTAGTCATTGAAATAGGCAGGGCCAGGAGTAAGGTGAAATGAGTGAGGCCTTTGCTTCAGGCACAAAATTTAAGGGGATACAAAAAAAAGTAATCAAGACGAATATTTTAATGTAGTTAAAGTGCAATTTAATATAACTTATGTTAAAAGAATAAAAATTATTGCAAAAATTCCATGGTGAACAACACATTAAAATTTTGAATAAAGATGGGATCAGTAGAGAAAAAGGATAAAAATTACATACATGTAATTACATGAATATAATTCTTCAATCTGATAAAAATGGCTACTATACCAAATCTACGTCCCCTGCCTCCAGACTTCTGATAATGTAAGGAAAAAAAAAAAGCAAAACTATTCGATTAAACTATTATTAATTGTGCCTTCTGTTACTTGCAGCCAAACACACTGAATCAACATTTTTGAGTCTTATTGGCTGACCATACCTATTTCCTACAACTTTATCTTATACCAAGAAGGTGCACAATAAGTATTTATTGATCCGAAAGAAATTTTTAATTAATTGGGGATATTTCAAAAATAAAATGCTGTTAAGTTATAGGTATAATTCAAAATTGCTGGGATAGACATAGACAGGCAGTGTTGAGAGGGCCATAGCAAGTACTCAATAAAGTAATAATAGTAGGTAATGTTTACCAACTATTTGTTATATTTCAGAGAATGTTGATTTTATTTCTAATATCTGCAGCTTTCTCAAAAGGTAGCACTTATTTATCTTTTAGTTCACGGATGCAATCCAAGCTATCAATGTATTCCTGGGATGAATTATATGTCAATGAATTTAGCTACTAGCAGACTATTTAAACAACCATTTAAAAACTTCTACTTTTGCCTAACTTCAAGCCCTTAAACACCTGTTGCAAGACAAGTAAGACATTGTCTCTGCCCTGAAAGAACTTGCCATCTGATGGGAGGTTTATAACCCAATGAGGAGTTTATCTCCCACAGACCTGTTTCCTCCCTGCCTCCTCATCTCCTATTCTTGCCTTTAGTGGTCCAGCTCCAAGATTTTGGAGCTATTAGCAATGGCTTGGAGCTGAGTGGTTCCTGCTTCTATTGTGTTGGGAGTGTCAGCTATGATACTAAGTTGGTGCAAAAGTAATGGCAAAAACCACAATTACTTTTGCAACACCCTGCCCCCAAAATAGCTCTCTGAGTTAGAATTCTGAAAGCCTTTCTTAGAAAAATACTGTTGGTTCTACTTGATGGCTAGATTAAAATACAAATTTTTTTTATTTCAGGTGAACTTTAAGTTCAATAGGCCCTGTGGGTAGGCCTGAGGCTTAATATTTATGTATGACATAGTTTCAGCTGGAAGGTCAGACGAATGAATGATCAACAAATTTTTGGAACACAATACAACAATAACTGGGAGACTACCCATATAGATACTAGGTGCATTGTGTAATATCACAATATGCCTGGGGAACATTCTCATAATAGCAGTTTAAACTAGCAGCAATGAATCCAAACTTGCTTAGCAAGGCAAACTCTGTCATCATTCTTTATGGATGTCAAACATCTATTTAGTTACTATTGCATAAACTAACACTTATAACATGTCAACTCAGCTTGGTCTCAACTAGCTCTTATTTTTAAGATGATTAACATTTTTCTTAATATTCATAGGCATTTATTACATACCCTTGCATTGTGATATGTTGGGCATTTGACCATTTTACCACAACTGCGTACTAAAGGAATGAATTAAAATTTAGTGCACTCTCAAGCACCATATCAATAATCTTAACTCTGCAACATTAACTCTAAAAACTTGTAACTAATAGTAAAAGTTCACTGTATTTTAAATCTTCTTTTAAATTGTACTGTGTTCTTATATTAAACCATAACCTCATTTCCAGTAGAGATGAAACAAGCTGACAAATTACACACTTATTTCAACCTATTATTCTATTTCTTTGACATATACCATGTATAAAATTAGCTTCCAATTGTTAAAGAATTCAGTATAGTCTGAGGGTGATGGCTCGTGACTGTAATCCTAGCACTTTGGGAGGCCAAGGCAGGTGGATCACTTGAGATCAGGAGCTCGAGATCAGCCTGGCAGACATGGTGAAACTCTGTCTCTACAAAAAATAAAAAATAAATATATACAAAAATTAGGCAGGAATGGTGGTGTGTGCCTGTGGTTCCAGTTACTAGGGAGGTTGTGGTGGGAGAACTGATTGAGCCCACAAGGTTGAGGCTGCAGTGAGCCATGGTTATGCCACTGCACTCCTGCCTGGGTGACAGATATTCTGTCTCAAAAGAAAAAACAATAAAAACTAATTAAAAAAAAAAAAACCTGGATTCTAGTTCAAGCTCTGGCTGACCATAAAAACTTGGTCAAATAATTCCTAGTTTGTTCCCTGATAATTTTTCTTTTAATTTAAGAGACAAGGTCTAGCTCTGTTGCCCAGGCTGGAGTGCAGTGGCACGATAATAGCTCATTGTAGTCTTAACTCTTGGGCTCAATTTACCCTCCTGCCTCAGACTCAATTAGTTTATAGAAAAGCCGTATGTTCTGTTAATACTATCTCAAGAGTTTCCAATAGTATCACATCTAAGACTGCACTGGCCACCAGAAATGTTAAACACAAATCTATGCATGTCTAGGCAAGAAAATATATGTATTATTATGAATATGTATTCATACATAATATACTATGAATGTGTATATATATTCATAAAAGTTGTTTGTAAATGAGAAGTAAGGTTTTATGAAGTGGTTCTAACTTTTTCTCACTTTGTCTAGAGCTTGACTTCAGCACCTTTTATCATGTAATTATTAGTTTCTTTGCCAATCTTCCCCACAAGTCAATGGCTTTGTCAAAGTTTTGGGATGTATGTTATTATCTTCCTGAGGCTAACACAATAATTGTTACATATAAGAAATTCTTTAAATATATGTTAAATGAATATATTCAACAGTAAGCTGAGGGTATAAAGTATAATTACCACAAAAATGATAGGTAAAGCTCTTTTTATATTATCTAGGTTTTGGCATAAGTACACTACTTCTTTACTTCTTTTTTTTTTTTTTTTTTTTTTTTGAGACAGAGTCTTGCTCTGTCTCCCCGGCTGAAGTACAGCAGCCCGATCTCAGCTCCCCGCAACCTCTGCCTCCTGGGTTCAAGCAGTTCTCCCTGCCTCATCTTCCTGAGTAGTAGCTGGGATTACAGGCGCCTACCACCACACACAGCTAATTTTCATATTTTTTAGTAGAGATGGGGTTTCACTGTGTTGGCCAGGCTGGTCTTGAACTCCTGACCTCAGGTGATCTGCCAACCTCGGCTTCCCAAAATGCTGGGATTACAGGCATAGCTCACTACTTCTTGACAAGGAAATGTCTTGTTTCCAAAATTATACCACTGTCCCCCAAATAGTTATATGAATTTCAGTTACAATTAGGAAACTTCTGACATAAAATCTGAATATGGAAGGATAAATGTTACATAAATTATTGTAACCTTAATCACCACCGAAGTTGTTCAAAAATAAGTCTTTGAAAGACTTTCAGGCAGTGGTACAATTCCATAGCCATGTCCAGGTATCTTAAGAAGCACGTAAACCATAATGATGTATATAAGAAAACATTTCGGACCAAGCTTAAAGCAATTAATTTATATTAAATATTTAGTAGATCTATGCAAAAAACATTAAATGATATGCATGTCTGCTTTATACCACATATACTCTACCACACCCACAATAGTAAAGAGTCCCATTAGTTCAGTGTGACCGACTTTCTATAAATCCCATGAATAGGAAAATCGGAATTTTTTTCTGGTTGCATATCACATGCTCATTAATTGTCCCTAAGGCCACTGCCTAAAACAGGCTCCAGTCCAGTGGGTAATGAAGGTGATCCCTTTCCTGAACTAAACAGATCATGTGGCACTGTGAATGCCCAAAGCAGGTAAGCCCTGCCTTCCGTGATTATTGATAAATATAAATGAAAATGAAACAAGTTACAAGCCAAAGTAATTACTATGTAGTGTTACAATTATATGACAACAATAAGAAATATTATTATTCTGCCAATAATATGATGGAAACCCTGTAACAATAATACTACTCATTGAATATTTAATATGTGCCAGTTCCTGGGCTAACTGTTTTTATAGCAATGTCTCATTGAATCCTCACCAAAAACTTGAGAACTAAAGCCCAGTTGAGTGACACTGCCCTGGCTTATATAGCCCATAGGTGTCAGAGCCAGGACTTAAACCACAGCCAGCTCACCCCAGAACTCATGCTCCTTAATCACTTAGCACCGACAATGGGAAATGTTAATTAAATACCAGCACATGCTATAAGGATCCTGCCACCTCACTATTAATAACTCAGCAGCCAATTTGCAAAAAACATTCAAGTGGATTCTGTTAATTGCAAACTTATGCTCCTTCCTCTATACAACTAAGGGAACACCTGACCATAGAACACAGTGCAGGGTCACTGAGTAGGTGGCACAGGGAGTATGGCACAATCCAACATGACCACTGTGGCCAGAGAATGCTCCATGTTGGACCACCATTTCTCCTTTACAGACCAAATGTCCACGCATGGTTAGTCCCCTCCCAAGTACCAGTCAAGGGGGTGAGAAAATCAAAGCACAAGCCTCTCCTACACAAGAGTGAATAAAAATGCTGGGAGAGCAGGGCTCAGCTGTACAAAGGGCATACAGGGCCCACACATACAGCTATTACTGTGAAAAGAATAATAATCCTGCAAACTACCTAACCTTCCCCATTACTGCCACATAATAAATTAAGAAATGAAATTAAAACAATTTAACCAAATCTGAGGATGAATGAACTTTTAAGGGGATGCCAAGAAAAATGCAGGGAAATCACATTTATTAAGCAATTCCATGAAGTATACACTGTGCTAAATACTTTGTATGCATTTTTAAATTTAATTTCCAAATATTAATCAAGTTAGAGGTTATATCCCCATTTTACATTTGAAGAAGAAACCCAGAAAGATTAAGTAACTTGTTCAAGGTTGTATTAGTGACAAAGCTCAGATTGAATCCTCATTGGTTCAAGGATGACTTCAAAAACGTTTTCTTTTTTAGGAATATTGAACAGCCTTCTGACTCAAGATGGTAGTGTAAGCTCAACTATTTATTTTCTATCCCTCTCAAGGCTCTGTTAAAAAAATAGTCAAAGATTAGCAAAAATGACTAAACCCACAACAATGGGAAGAATATGAAGGGGCCTCAGCAGATAAAATATTTCAATAATTTTCTGCAAGATGGAAAGTAGGCAATTAAATTATAGACTCATGAAGCGAAGTAGAGGAAACTGCCACCAAGTTATATGCAGAGGCAGCTGTAGTGAAGGCGGTAACCAGGTTTTCCACCACAGCCCCCAAGAAATGCCAGACTGATGAATTGTTTTTGGAATGAGAAGTTGGGTCAAAAAAAAGGCAGTTTGAAAAGCCTGTATACAGAACAAACTCCCAATTCCCTCATCCACAAAATTTATACCATTATAGCACTTAAGCTTTACTTCTTTTATTGTCATTGAAAAAAAGAAAGTTCTGTTAAAAATTATGTTGAGAACTAGGGCATCAGCTAATAAATCAGCTAATAATAAATATCACCTGGATAACTCCATGGACTACAGAATGAATTTGGTGTCTAGAGAATATTGCAAACAACTGGACACACTAGAGATTACACTACAAGCCAGAGAGTAAGCGCAGTCTTTTATTTTTTTTAAGTGGGGAGTGGTTCTTGAGAGTCAAATCAGCTGTATTAAGTGTTTGGTGCTCAAAACTACATTCCCTCAGCCTGCTGCTCATTTCAGTGCTGTAATGGACAGTTCCATGATCACTGGCAGTGAATGTCCCATCTCAAACTAATTTTTGCTGCTTCTCTTTTTGTTTCTGTCTCAGAGTTACTTAGCCTGAAAATAGGCATATCCCAGACATCAGGAGGAGGGTACAGACAATGCTCCTGAGTAACCAACGGGAGACAGAAATCTGTGGATAGATGTCCAGCCTCTCTCATCCTCCAGATATAAGATTCTAGGTGGTCTCTTTATGGTTCCCCAGAGGGTTCGCAGCAGATGTACTTCGTGGCTCACAGCGGTAACCAACCTAGAATATACCCTTTATTGGCATTCCCTCTTTCCCTATCTTACTCCCTTTACTCATTCATTCCAGATTTCTCGAAGCAACGCTCAAATAAACTGTCTGTATTTAAAACCTGTCATCAACTCTTAAGAAACCCCCAAAATAAGAGAGGAGAGGTGTAGGAATCAGGCCTATGCTGAGATCTGTGGATGCCCAAATTAGGCCAATTATTTGGCACTCATCCAAACATTGAGAAACATTTCTTTAACATTTTTTAAAAGTTTGGAGGTCAGAAAACTGCTTCTGCCGTTGCTACCATCACTGATAACATCATATTTTCCCCATGCCAATGAAGCTGATGATAAATGATGAAACATGGGATCCAGCTATTATCAGAGTTAACTGTCTGAGCTATTTGAATTACCTTCTCTCTCCAAAAAACCCACTCACTCAAGTACATTTCATTGGTAGAATATAACCGGATCCAAGGCTGTAGCTTCAAGGAAGGTTGGAAATACAGTTTTTAGCACTCTAGCCCTTGCAATAGTGATATGTGGGAGGGTATAAGAAAGGAGTGGGAATGCATGTCAAGTGCATTGAACAATATTGAACACAGTGTGCTGTGCAGCTACTCAACATCCACAATCTTTTGCCTACATTTATCTTTCAAAGAAAAACCAGAGCAAAACCAACATGCTCCAACCTTGCATATTACAACAGGACTTTTTAGAAACAAAAATACGCTCACTGTCTCCTGAAAGAGAAAATCCAAAGTCTGTTAATTGTATCCTTCTAGTGATATTGTTCATTTCTCTTCTAGTTCAGTTATAATTCCACCTTGATATCTTTTTTTTTTTTTTTTTTTTTTGAGATGGAGTCTCGTTCTGTCGCCAGGCTGGAGTGCCGTTCTGTCGCCAGGCTGGAGTGCAGTGGCCCGATATCGGCTCACTGCAACCTCCGCCTCTCAGGTTCAAGCAATTCTCCTGCAACAGCCTCCCGAGTAGCTGTGACTACAGGCGAGCGCCACCATGCCCAGCTAATTTTTGTACTTTTAGTAGAGACGGGGTTTCACCATGTTGGCCAGAATGGTCTCAATCTCTTGACCTCGTGATCCGCCCGCCTTGGCCTCCCAAAGTGCTGGGATTACAAGCGTCAGCCACCGCGCCTGGCCGATATCTTTTAAACTTAGGGCTAAACTATAAATTTTACCATCAATAATATGCCTTATATCAAATAGAAAGGAATAGAGAGAGAAGAGATTTGGGGTTAATATATACAAATATAAACACCAAGCAGGGGAAAATGTGCAAAACTATCTCAGATCTTGTTCTTGCAACTGGTCACAAAATCATAAGTAGTATGGTTAACCTAATTTTCCACTGTTTATTCCAATTGTCTTTTGCCTCAGTTATTATTTAAACTGGAGAGGATTCTTCACATGGCAGAGAAACCCTAACCTTCATTGCTGAAAGAGTTGAGGCCTCGGTAATCCTGTCTCCTTCTGATTACTAAAGGCATCCATGAAATTTTATCACTGCCCATGCAAATACTTGGAGGCACCAAAGAGGATCTAATTCAAGACATAGACCTCTCTTTTTAACCCCAGCAATCACCACAGCAGATATAGTTCTCTTCTTTGTTGAATGGCAAAAGAATCCCTAAATTTTAAGTGGTCATTTTGACTTTAAGTGAAACCATTATTTTATCTCCCAGTAGAAACTTTCCTTCTCTGGGTACTGAAAATCTCTAAACCAGCACAGCAAAAAGCCACAATGATAAAAACAAAAGATTTCTGCATGTGGGTACAGTATTAATAGTATAAGAATCTGCTTCCAAATCTATCCCTTGGTTCCCAAATCCAAGCATCCTGGCTTGGGGAGAGAGAGATCATACATTGGTGGCTGGTTTCAGAGCATATAGTATACCTTGTAGGAAAGCATCATAGGCTTTCAAACTGTTGTCTGTAAGCTAACGTCATAACATTCTTTAATAAGACATTTCACTGACTTAAAAGCCACATGCTTCAGGGAGATAGTCTATATGGTAGGTTGCAGATAATAGTTAGAGGCTCACAAACACATTTCCTATCTTCCTGGAGACAAACTTAGATTACATTTCTCAGTATCCTTTGCTCTTAAGTGGAATAATTTGAATGAGTTCCTGTCAGTAGAGTATGGGTTAAATTTAATGATAATCACCTCTAAACCTGGGTCATTGACAGCCTACTCCCTCCATGAAATCCTCTGAGAAGCCCTTCGGTAGCTTCATCTCCTCAGCTGAGTGCAGAAAACAAATTGAGGGAGGGAGGCCTGGGATCTCTGAATGACTGTGGACAGAGCCTTTCACTCTGCCCACTATTACACTGTGAAAATGGAAATCGAATTTTTAAAAATTATCTATGTGTTCTGTCATATTAATTATATTAAACCCTTTAATTTGGGGTTGTTATAGTAATTATCTTATCCAGGCTAATACATGGAACAATAACTAAATTCCATATATGTGAAACCATTGCCTTATTTATTTTATTACAAAATGACTTTTGGGGATATGAAGCAATGTTCTGTGGCATAACATCGTATTGGGTAACACATTCAATACATTTACAAATGGATCGTATTGCTGGCAAATTCATTTCAGAGTAAGTGTCATTCTAGTAAGAATGAATTGATCCCTTTCTGTAATGGGAGCGAAGTGGCTGGCTATTCCAAGTCCATATCACAAGGTCAGTCAGCACTGGACTCTGCTGTGGGCAGGTGGGCACTCAGCATCAGTGCTAGCCAGACCAACCTTGCTGAGAAGTCCATACCATTTAAGCCCATGTAAACCTTTCCCTGGTAAATAATACAAATAATACTTGTGTTACTTTCCTGTGGCTGCTATAACAAATTACCACAAAATTAGTGGCTTAAAACAATAGAAATTTATTCTCTTACAGTTCTGGAGACCAGAAGTCCAAAATGAAGATGTTGGCTGGGCTGTGCTCCCTTTGAAGGGTCTAGAGGAGAAACCACTCCTTGCCTCTTCCAGCTTCTGGTGGCTGCCAGCCTTCCCGACTGCATCACCCCAGTCTCTGCCTGTGTCTTCACATCACCATCTCCTCTTTGCAGGTATAGCATTTCCCTCTTTTTTTTTTTTTTTTTTTTTTGAGATGGAGTTTCACTCATGTTGCCCAGACTGGAGTGCAGTGGTGTGATCTCAGCTCACAGCAACCTCCAGCTCCCGGCTTCAAGCGATTCTCCTGCCTCAGCCTCTGGAGTAGCTGGGATTACAGGCATGTGCCATCATGCCCAGCTAATTTTGTATTTTTAGTAGAGATGGGATTTCTCCATGTTGGTCAGGCTGGTCTCAAACTCCCAACCTCAGGTAATCCGCTCACCTTGGCCTCCCAAAGTGCTGGGGCATTTCCCTCTTATAAGAACACTTGGAATGGCATTTATGGTCCACCCAGAGAACCCAGAGTTATCTTCTCTTCTTAAGGTCCTTAACTTAATCACATCTATAAAGACTCCACTTTTCAAATAGGGTGACATTTATAAGTCCCAGAGCCACCATTAAGCACACTACACTGTACTTTGTCCATTTTGTTTATAAACCCAGTGAGCAAACATGGGATGGTTAGGGAAACTAAGGAAGGAGGCTAATATCCACAGAACAGATTATCCCGTCCCTCTGTTTATTAACAGCCTCTTCTGCAGTAGGTGCCTTTGGTGAGCATTTACATGGAACACACACATAAAGTCCCACTCAGAACTGTTTATCACCAATCCTCAATTTTATTCCTTCCAAATCCTTGAGCATCTAGCCAAATCATTATCCGTTACCCAAAAAACTGATGTAAATGCACAACCCTGGGAAGTTTTCGTTCTAGGAAAAGGGAGCAATCAGATGTACTGCCCAAAGTTCTTTCATAAGGAGGATTTTCCTCCCATGCACATTTCAGGGCAACTCCTAAGTGCTGTAATGTTACCACAGTCCATTTCCAGCTGGTGTTTGCATACTATGTGGAATAATTTGTAAACCAGGCTCAATTACTTTCTTTTACAGTTTCTCAATAAGGGTCCCATCATAAATTAGACTTTGTCCCAGATGGTTTAAATACAGAGCCTTTAATGAAAGGATTGCATGTAGAGATATAGGCAGGCATAAAGAAACAAACAAGGGATGGGGAGGTGCAAGAAAACTAGCAAGAGTGTGAGCTGTTATTATTCTCTGGAGGGGCAAGGAAAGAAACAGAGCTCAGTGAGAATTAGACCTATGGAGAAGCTGCTTCCCAGCAGGGGCTGTGGTTGTGGAGGAAGGTATGTAGGGTCAGAGATGCAACACTAAAGTATGAAGAGGGCATGGAAGTGTTCTTCACACTCTGGAAACTTTTGATCTCCCATTGGCACTTGCTATTGATTGAATCCAACTGGAAGACAGCTGGCAAGGGAGCCAAGATGATGTAATCCATATGGTTCAGCATTTCAGGGCACAAAACAGATCAAAATGGATTGGAGGTGTGCAAACACAACCAGCTAACATTTCATAGGAACTTTCATGTGGTCAAATATGTGGGCTGAGGGAGAAATGGCAATGCAGCAAGAGCAGGTGCGATGGTCACCTGAGGCATTGCTCATGCCTCTTACCTGTGTCTTTATGACTTTCTACTTGATGAAGGAGTGCTGCTGTGCATGTCCTAGTTTATGAAATAACACCCAGACCATGATGGGCAGTTGTTTACATGATCATTTTATATTCTGTGGTCAGATACACAAGTCTCTGCCATGACCCAAAAGCAATCCAAGATCTGTTTCTTAACATTTATTTGGAGACTAGGTCAAGGTTTTGCTCTAAAACCTGAAAGGATTGCACTGTAATTCTAAATCAAGGTTTGACAGGGGTCTCTACAGGATTGCTTTCTGCCAAACACTCCAAGCACCATTTAATCTGTTGGATCTTAAATCTCAAATAGCAGAGTAGCATGCACAACAGTTCATAGTTACAAATCATTTTCTTACTCTGGATCCCATTCAGAACTAGCAGTCTTATGGAATACTTGATAAATAGGTCCAAGTAGCACATTTAAAGGTGTGTACGTTGTTTCAGAAGTCCAGTGAGATGGTAACAATCATTGGGTCTTTTTAATAGTGTGCAATTTTAATAGCGATTTTCTTTCACCCACTATTAAAGAGACACAATGATTGTTACCATCTCACTGGATTTTTTCTTTTTTCTTTTCTTTTTTTTTTTTTTTGAGACGGAGTCTCGCTCTGCCGCCCAGGCTGGAGTGCAGTGGTGCGATCTCGGCTCACTGCAAGCTCCGTCTCCTGGGCTCACGCCATTCTCCTGCCTCAGCCTCCCGAGTAGCTGGGACTACAGGCGCCTGCCAGCACGCCTGGCTATTTTTTTTTTTTTTTTTTTGTATGTTTTTAGTAGAGACGGGGTTTCACTGTGTTAGCCAGGATGATCTCGAACTCCTGATCTTGTGATCCACCCACCTCGGCCTCCCAAAGTGCTGGGATTACAGGCGTGAGCCACTGCGCCCGGCCTCACTGGATTTTTGAAACAACATATATACAGCTTTGTATATGGAGGAGGAAATATCTCAACTTGCTATAAACTAATGGACTGCCATAAACTTTATTGATGTCATGGCCTTTGAATTTACATGATTTGTTTTTTCCTCCCGCCTTCTGGCACACGCGTTCCTTACCAAGGAATCTATGATGGTTGCCACTTCCTACTCACCACAGCCAATCAGCATGATGCTAACCATGTAGTGGAACGAAGTGATGTCTTCTGGCATGATGAGACAGACAAGGTTCCTGTGGACTAGATTATTACAGAAAACTGGATAGCTGAGGTAAGATGGCAAAGACATACAGCTTACCCTACCAGGTGAAATGATTTCTGTCATCTCTTTGTTAGAAGGGAGAAAACCACTTTTAACAGATTCATAGCAACAAGTCAGCTCTGAACATTTTATTTGCTTCAGTTAACTACATCTGAAACAGCCATTGAATTTGGAGTTACATGGTTAATAATAATACACTCTCTCCAAGACTCCCCAGTTTCTGCTTGGGTCAAACAGGAGTGTTAAATGGGGGTACGACAAAAAATCATCACCCCTGAATTTTTCAGACCTTGGATGATGACATGGACCTCTGACATTCACCCAGAAATGTGGCAATACTTTTGGTCTACTGTTTCAATAAGAAGGGGACATTTTAGAAGCTTCAACTTGGTCCTTCATACCATAATGGCCTTCATTCCATGGGACAGGGAGCTAATGTGGGAGTTCAGCTGGAGGTTGAATATATCTAATCCAACTATACGTGCAGGAACTGGGAAGGGTATGTTTGAGGACCCACTGAATCACTGTGAGATGAACTCAGATCAAAATTATATTTATCACCTGGCCTCTATAAGCCTCCATTTTGACTGGTGAGCACAGTAGCAATTGGGGATGCCCAATGAGCAGCATCTGCTCAGAGTCAGTGTCCCAGTAATCCTCCCAAAGCGTGCTTATTTTCTTTCCCTTTTGGTGAAAGCTAGAAAGAGGACTGATAGTATATCCTGTGACATCACCAAAGAATATTTCAAGGGAATCCGATGTTCCCTCCATTTAAAAAACTCTGGGTCTGTGTACTGGAACAAGAATGGGAATTGGTGAGGGGCTGTGTCTCTCATTGTAATGACCCAAGTCCGGCCAGTGTTTATCAGATTAGTCAGTTATACTAGTCAAGAAGGACCTTAGTCTATCTATTTCAGTCCTCAGGACATCAAAATAAATTGGCCACCACCATAGATGCCCACAGGCCAAGCTATTCTAATAATAACTCTGGCTCTTTTGCCCATGACTATAATCATGTCTATTTTGTCTCTGGCATTTAAATACTGCCATTTGGCCTCTGCCAATCTGATACTCTAATTCCCACTGAAATTGAAATTAAGGGACTCATTTTAGGGACAGCTTCCTCCCTCCGTCATGATCCCAATCTATAGAAAGTAACCACTACAGAATTTTCCAAGGATGCTGGTGGAACTTACCAATAGATATCTCAAACATAGAGAGGGGCTAGTCAAGTGGGTCACACATGGTAGACCTTCTCCAACACTCCTAACTCCATTAAGTCTCTGGAGTCTCTCCTCCACATTATTCCAAAGAGTTTCTAACATATATCTGAGTTTAATATAGGCTGCCACTGAGTCCCTGATTCAGTTGAACAACTGAAAAACCAGTAAAGCTGCTCCTCACTGTTTAGCTATGTCCTCAAAATAAGAATTTTTGGTAATATATAAGAACTATATCAATAATTTCAGTTCATTCTAAAGAAATGTTTCTCCCTGCCTTAACACGCTGAGAACCTATTCCTACACATTCCTGCAAATGAAAATTAGCCAAATCCTATCATTCTAACTGCCTCCTCCCAGGATAGATTTTGTATTTGTTCTCCTGGGGCATGCTGCGATCTAATTCTCTTTGCAGCTCTGATGGCACTGAAAGGGGAGAAGGCAGGCATAAAGGGGATCAGCATCCCCTTGGAAGGTAACTACCTTGGTTGAGGTCATTATAGTATCTCAAGCAACAAAGGACTAATGTCATCTGATAGGGAAGACAGACTGCTTTTATGAACAGGCATATTCAAAGCAATTTAAAGATTCATGTTCTCAGGTTCATCCAAATCTACCCAAATATCCCCATTCTGTTTCTTTAGGTCCCATCCTTTCATGATCAATGCCACAAATTTCACACAGGAAACCACTGAGGCTGTGAAATCAAGTTGTAATTCTGCAATCCAAAGGAGCAAACTTTAAATCTTGTTTTAAGGCATTTTAAGTCTGCAGCTAAGATATATAAAAGGGTCTCTTGGGCAGGGGGTCAGGGCGGGTCATAGAAGCTGTCTGCAACTTTTTCCTTGCCCTAAGCCAAGAATTTAAAATAAGAGCAAACACTATTTCTGTAAGCTCTTCAGTGCTATAGGAAGCAATCCTTCCACTCAAGTTTTCTCTGTTTCTTATTTGCACCACAATAGTGCAATGCAGCAGCCAGTCTGTCAAAGGCTTGTCTTCAATAGCTATTCCATCCTATGTGGCCATAGGTGATCATTTAGCTATTTGCTTCACGGAAAACAGTATCCCATTTCCCAGTGGTCATGAAGTTATCACTGCCTATAAACTCAACTAAGTCAGATAACCAATGTCATATTGTATTTAAAAGTCAATTTCTTGATCAAATTTTGGTACTGAATACTGAGCTAGGTAAGGTTCATCACATATAATAGATACCACTCAAGGTATTCAAGCAGAAAATCTTTAATTCAAAAGAGTAGATGTTTATAAAATTATTGGTAACTTGGAGGAATAAAAGTCAGGAGGCTATCCTTAATCTTTAGCTTCAAATTCATACAACCACATCTGTCATAAGTGCCATCACCATTAGCACTGTCTGTATTCATAAAATTGATGCCAAGATAGTGGAACATGTTATCCAACTGTTTCCAACACTTTTGTCTGTAGGAGCCCACTTACATAATTGTGCTACTACAGAAAGGTGACACCCACCTCCTTCAGCCTTTGTAAAATTTCACGAGTGCCTCACATTGACAAAACCTAAACTTACGAGGGGATCACATGGGAATCTGAGAAATGTAATTTTTAGTTCCCCAAACTCTGTAATACTGAAGGAGGGGAGAATGAGAACACATCAAAGGGAAAGGAATGGATTCGTAGTGCCCATAAACAGCTACTACACTAACCTAAAGATGACGCCTGATTTCTGAAGTAGTTAATATTTGGGGTAGACTTCAGGATGTAAGCTCCAAATCTCAACTTTTAACGATAAATTAGAAATTTGTTACCCAAATTCATCTGGCTGCTCTTTTTCCTCATGAGTTCCCATATTACTTTTATTTCTGGAGGAAAGATTAGGTACCACTTTACAAGGGCTGGCAGTAATAATTCAAGCATAACAAAAACAAATGTTGAATAAATATAGCTTTGAAAAGCAGCTTTTCTTTTGCGATTATGTCTTTATGACATTTTTACTGAGATCTGAAATCACAATATATTGGAAACCTAACTGTATCATGTACAACTGACAAACCCTAACTATATAATATGCTTATAAAAATTGTAAATGTATTTGATCCCCAGATTTATTAATTAGAACACAAGCCACACTCTCAGGTGAGGTGTGACTGTTGCTAACATAATGCTATCTATCGTATAAGACTCATAATCTACCCACCCTCTAATTACCAAATAGCAAGCTAATCATTATTCTTGCAAGACTGGTTCCTAGGACAGCTTCCTCACAGGGAGGAGAAACTCAGTTGAAATATAATGCATCATGAATGACAAAGAAGGGATTTCAACTGGATGCTCTCTTTTTTCTCCCATGGCAAATTCAATGAAAATAAAATTTAACTGAGAAAAGGGGCAATCTGACTGGCTTCTATAAAATTGTAGAAAAGGGATTCAGGAATACCTAAAGACTGACAGAGTACATGGAATATGTACATGGACTGATGAAATATTCTTTATAACAATCTTGTATTAAATTGAGAAATAATAATTTCAAGATCCTATGTTTTTAGAAATAGCCATATTATTTAAACCTTTCAAGATTTTTTGTATTTAGGATGGCTTTTAATTTGGACATATTCTGTATAGATGTTCAAAAGCAATGTGACCTTCTGATAGCTGCATTATAATTAGATATTAAGTGATGTGTTTCAGCGTGCACTTTTTCTCTCTCAAAGGAGATACTACTTTATTAACACATTCCCTGGGATAACCTCATGTATGAGAATGGAAAAAAAAAAAAATCAAAATCTAAGTTGAGTTTCTATTTAAGACCAGATGGGTCTCCAAGGAAGAAATGAACAAAAATTTGCTCATGTGTATTGATGTGTAAACATGCTTTGTGTGGTAAATTGAAAAAGACAAGAAAAAAAAGGAAAAGGAAAAAAACAACACCCTAATTAAAAGAAAAAGATAGAAGAAAGTTTAATTTCTCAAAGGAAACAGCAAAACCGACATTTCTAAGTCTGAAAGAACACCAAGGGGTGACTGACTCATAGCATTCCCATTGATCATCTAAAGACAGCTCTGGATCCCCTTCTGGCTAAGTCACAAGGCTCTTCCAGTGATACATTCTAAAATCTTACAATCTTCATGTGGCAGTGGTTCTATATATCAATTATTTTAAATTTAGGTTTTTTAATCTCCTCCAGGATTCACAGCCTCCTATGAAAACAAATTCAAAAGGATCTTTGCCTTTCAATTCACAGCTGTGCCTTCCCCTCTGTAATTTATAGGAAAACTAACTTCTAACACTTACATGATTTGTAGTATTTTGAAACAAAAATATTAGGTTGGTGCAAAAATACAACAAAAAAGGAATCCATTTCTACTTCTCTTCCTTTTCACAAATATTCTTGTCATTCAGAAGTTATCTGCCTAAAATACAAAAGACTAAGCATGGATTCTAAATTACACCACTAATAAGGACTTGCTAAGGTCACTTGCCAAAATTACTTGCACGCTGAGTGGCAGGTGACCAATTTCCTTCAGCAGGTTTTATGATTACTGCTCAGATGTTGTGTGTTGTGTGCCTGTGTACAGAGCTCAGTATCAGTCTCTCACCTCTGCTGCCCTATTTACCATCTGGCAGGATGCTGAAATCTGCCACCCAGGTCCATGCTGAGCAGGCCAGCCAGCACACATCCTGGTTAGCTGTAGCTGTTTTTTTCTTAGTAAGCACGGTGTTATGAGTACAGCTGGCTGAGATTATGGCTATAACAAGGAAAGAACTGGGAGAGTGTGAACTCTTCAGTGTGGTGTCTCATTCTGAAGGTGAGAGAGATTCAAAAGTTCTGCTCCAATAGTCAATATATAGTATCTGACTTGTATTGTCAAATAGATAATACAACAAAAATCACTTATACCTCTATGTTCTCTTTCCCATTTACAGGGTAGCTGAGTTGCATATATGAAACAAGCCTGTAAATTAAAATATTCCTAATAAACTAAAAGCACTGCTAGATTCCATGTTCTAAAGTACAAACATAATAATCCATGTTAAAATATTTTTGAATACCTTGAGAGCATGCACAACAAGAGAAAGAGAATGAATTAATAATGTTAAAACTAAAACTAGTCATTTGTTAGTTTCCATCAGCAAAACAGTCAAAAGTAACAGACTTGGGAGGCCAAGGCAGGAGGATTGCTTAAGGTGAGGAGTTCAAGACCAGCCTGGGCAACATAGTGAAATCTCATTTCTACCAAAAAATGAAGAAGTAACAAAGGAAAGAGAAAGAGCTATGGTCATCTATTATAGAGGAAAACTCACATGTCTCAGGTATTTCTAGTTATTGTAAGTATTTAACAAATTCCTTGTCTTCTATGTAAGAAAATGTTACTTTAGTTAGTGACAAAGTTTTACCAAGTAGGAGACACAATCTTTATTCATCAGTTTCTAGATATAAGGCATGCAACATATCTGTGATAATAGAGAAATTATGAAAGCTACTGGAAAAGGCTGTATTTATGACATCTTATAATCATCTTCTATAAAGAAACTTATAGTAAGGACTGAATGATTTAAATGAAAGAATACAAGAACTTCCCCATTTATGTTAAGAATAATTTAGAAGAAAATGGTATGTTTTATGTCTGAATGAAAAGCTCTTCCAAAAGCAGCTAATTTTTAAAGTAAAAATATGCTACTATAGAAAATAAGCTTTTTACCAGAAATGGTAGATACCCAAGTTCTAGTTTGATTTTTTCTATATAAGAAATTAGCAGCAGAAAACAATTTAGAATTAACTAAATCAAATAAACATCTAGCAGACAGTTTACATTATAATAAACTGATTAACAAAAAAAAATCATATTTTTCCCACAGCAGAAGTATATTTATTGTGCTGAAATCAGGTAGCAGGGAATGAATAGCTCTTGGGAACCAGTACAGAATGTTCACAAAGATTTACAAATCTCAGTCATTACACACTGAGCAACAAAACAAAGGTGTTGAATCCTCTTAGATCAAACTACTTTATATGTTGCAAATTTTCTGTAATTCTCATGACTGCATGCCTTTGGGGAAAAAGTATTTAATTTTAATGCACAATAAATATGTTATAGCTTACAAAATATTCTGAAATAGTTTGTACAAACAGCATACATCCTACACATGCAGCTTTGACATGTTGTTGAGATACTTAAGAAATATTCATGCTTTTTTTTGGTCACATTTTGTCTTTCTCTAGTAATCCCTTTGCAACATCCCTTAAAAAATTAACCTATGTAGTAAAACATGATACAAATTCTTTCCTACTTTATTTCCAGTTGTTCACTTATATTACATGAAATACTTCATTTGTAAATAGCAAATTGAATGTTATAGTTCTGACTACTCTCACTTTTATTCATTTTGTGTTTTAACAACACCTTGTAACATCAAGCATTGAATTTAACAATCTTTAGCACCAAGGAGTCAAGAATATTGCACCAAAATGGGTTTATACTTCATACCTAGTTAATAAATAAGATCTTGCAACTTAGTCACAAGGAAAACGTTACTCCAAAATTAAACACATTGAAAGAGAAGGATAGTTTCACAGAAATGTTTGGTGTATGCTATTTGTCATAAAAGCAAAAAAAATACTAGTGGATTTGAAAGTTAACATTAAAATTTACATTAGAAGACTCCTTGATTTTTTAATTAAAATTTATTTAATTTTAAATGTTCTTTCCAACGGAAGAGGTAGGTATATTTCCACATATGAAAAATCAGGAACAGCCATAAATCAAAACAAGGAAAGCCTGATAAAAATCAACATATTCTAACAGCACATAAATGTAACTATCTTATGATGTTACTAATAAAGACATGAGTTGTTTCATGTTTCAATCAGACAATAATCTTAATTTTCATAATATATTTCTGCTACTAACAGGAGTATTCAAATGCTGCCTTTTCATCACAAAAAATTGTTTCCCCACAGTGATTTGTGCCTCAAGTCATGGTGATCTCTGGGTCACCAGACAAGACTTTACTGCAATTCTTTCTTATTTTCACCAACACCATCATCATCAAGCCTCTAAGATTCTACAGAGATCAGCAGATTTTAAAAATTTAATTACAACCAAAATTATACTCTGACTAGAGGTGGAGAGATTTGACCATTCCGGTCAGCAAATGAATTCAAATGTGCAAGTTTAAGTGTATACACATTTTCAGCTTTGGACAAGAAAATGTAACACCACTGATTTCAGTCAGTAGATAAGATAATTAGTAATTTATCAAAATAATTCATAAAGACCGTTTCTGTGATCGTCTAAAATTCAGACCGAAGAATGAGTGACTATAAGATACATGAAAAATCTCATCCTTTAGACAACTGGATGTGAACAGGGGGAGAATCCCCAAAGTCACTTAATGATTGCTTTGGTCTGGAGAATATCAAGGCTAATTTTTAAAAAAAATGTTTAAAATAAAAACTTCATAAATAAAACATCTGGGTATGGTATTAACACTTTACTCAGTCTAAGAGTTACTAGGACATAGAGCACATTTGTCTTTTCTCCCCACCCCCAAGCTCTCCTTTGCTTCTGTTTTCCCTGAAATTTTATATGATATGGGAGTTTTTCCTCACTGTCAACAACAGTTAAGGCCCAGTTCAATTTAATCTCCTTTTGCTTTTCCATTTTTCTGCTTTTTTCCATTTTCTATCATGAGTTGTTTTTCTGATTTGCTCACACCATTTGCTGAAATACCATTCATGGCTGTTTTTCCAGCTTTTGGTTTCTTAGGCTCTTTGTATGTCCGAATGTAGAAGTTAAGAAAGAGAAATATGAAGCTGATTGCATAGGCAATTAGAGCCCAGTGCATCCATTTGGGGAAGGGGCAGTCAGTGTAAAGAGACAGTGCCGTGTGCCCAATGGTCACATGGAATTGAATCTGAAAAACAGAAATGACAGCACAAAACATTTAATCTGAATAGTAAACAACTTTTAACAACATCGGCATCTTCTACATAGCTATCACAGGCCCAAATTTTGCCACACTGTGCAAAATTTATTGTTTTCTGGCTCCCATGGCTAGCTCCTCATTCACAACTCAAATGCCATCTCCTCAGTAAGGACTCTCTGACAAGACTTCAATTTCAATTGGCCCTCCCAATCCCATTAACCAAAGAGCTTTCTGCATTTTTTTTAAGGAGAATTATACCTATTTGAAATTGTCTTCTGTATTTGTTATTTCTTTATTGCCTATCTTTCCACTAGAAAATGACTCTAGAAGGCAGGGCTTTGTCTTGCCCATCGGTGATTCTTGAGTCCTCAGCACAGCATCAGGATCAATGAATATGTGTTGAATAATGTTATCTGATGAAAGGGAATCAATGGCCTAGGAGAGTAAAGTAATAGTATTGTAGGCTCTTCAATTTTGTTTTCCTCCCACATTTTACATTGGTTTCTTTCTATCAAATTGTCAGCAAGCAGATACACATACTTAAAATGAGCTTATCAAAATGGCTCATTTATTTCTTACAGATAGTAGGCAGGTAAATTTTTATTTGAACGAACACTATCCTTTAAAAACTAATATTTTGATGGCCAGGTGCGATGGCTCATGCCTGCAATCCCAGCACTCTGGGAGGCCGAGGCGGGTGGATCAACTGAGGTCAGGAGTTCAAGACCAGCCTGGCCAACATGGTAAAACCCCATTTCTACTAAAAATACAAAAAATTAGCCAGGTGTGGTGGTCCATGACTGTAATCCCAGCTACTCAGGAGGCTGAAGCAGAAGAATAGCTTGAACCCAGGAGGCGGAAGTTACAGTGAGCCCAGACTGCACCATTGCACTCCAACTTGGGCAACAAGAGCAAAACTCCGTCCCAAAAAAAGAAAAAAATAATATTTGGATAAAATTTAGTAGATATTTCAGAATAAATACAAAAAGAATCACTTTCAACTTTAAGAATTTTTAAAAGGAAAAAAGCCCAAAGTGAGATGATTAAAATGAAATAGATTCTGATGTATCAATAAAAGAATGGGTCAAGACATAATGTTAACAAGGGTTAACTTTTTATACAATTAACTTATATGACTAACTGTTGTGGGAACTTCTGGCTTGGAAATACAAACTCAACATCCTGTTTGAAATGGACAATTGTGGTTTCTCTTTTAAGGATAGCATTGTTCTTAAAATATTAATTATTGATTAAAATAATCAGTATTACTTATTTTAAATATTAAAATAATGTATGCCATGTAAGCTAAAAATTTATACTATATTAAACTTTTATAATTTTCCTTGGCAAATATTTTAATTTGAAGAACTTGTGGTTTCACAATGGTTTTTAGAAGCTGCATCACCAAAAAGGGTGTGTATAAGGGTGTGATTGGGTATGGCATCACTCAAGGAGAGCCAGGTGTAGGCTCCAACAAACCAGATAGGACTAATTCACATGATTTTGATCACCTCTTCATTTTCTTAGGTCCATTTACTACTTACTGAGAGAAATGAATTACACAAACTGTGTTAACAGCTTTTACACAAAAACTGGAGGAAGCTTCCTATACCACTCCGGTTACAAATGAATCCTTCGCACCCAGCATTTCCCAAAAGTTGTGCTTCCTGTTTGGTTAGCCAGCTGTTTAGCAACTTAAAGCAAAGATGAATATTATTTCCAAATGTGATTCCACTGATAAAATTGTGCACATGCTATGATTAAAGCAAATTATAATAAATTCTAAAGCTTGAAAAATAGTTACCAGGTTGGCTTTGAATTTCCAGTTTGATTACAGGCTAGTGCCTAGCATCTGAAAGGTACACTAATGCACACACTCAGATTGCCACAAACAGTCTTACTAGCGGGATGTGCTGAAAACTGTCTGGACTAAAGACCACCATTTGAAAATATCTGTCTCTGCTCTCTTAAGGACAGTGTTTTAGAGAATTACAAGGAGTTCTCTTGCCCTTATTCCCTTCCTTTGCCCCACCCCTTCCTTGGCTATGTGCTTTCTTTTCAGCTGTTTAGTCTAAATATATGAGATATGTTAAAGACTGAAAAATGAAATAAAAAACAAAATTTTTAAGCAAGGACAAGATGAAGAAAGGTAATAAAATTTTAAGTTAAGAAAATCACCTGTAGGGAAAAAATACATATTATTTTTCTATTCATACTACGTACTTTGTAGCGTGCTTAGATCTTTAATCATCCTTTCCACAAACATCTTTAGAGAATGTTTTCCTTAGAGGAGTAAGGGCTATGTCTAGTCTTTTAAGCATATTATAAAAACAAAGATTTGCTGGGACCAATAAGTCTATGAATAGGTCATCTAGAGTCAAGTGGGCATAACTGCGATATAGCTGGAGGATAAAGTTAATTTCATAATAGAAAATTGTCTAAAATGACATTGCACTTTAAAATTAATCAAATTTAAACAATTTCAGTATTTTACCAGAAGAAACTTTGGAAGCATTTAACTCACCAGTTGCAACATAGTCAGGTATCGTTTCCACCAAAGATATTTCTGAATCCATGGGCCAAATGCAGTTAACCCATAGTATGAGTACATAATCACATGGATAAAGGAATTCAACTGGGCTCCAAAAAATGCTTTAGAAAAACAACAGGTAATTACAAGATACAGAAAATTTTATTAGGCAGTAAGCCACTGAGATGTACAATAAATGAATACACATTATTTTTTAATATTTAATCTTGAGTACAGATTAGAAATGAAAAATATAAAGTAGTACTAATGAAAAAGTTTTCCCTTCAGATTAAGCTAGATATTTTTAAAGTTTAGATTTGAGGTTTTACCATATAAATAAAAATGTATGTTCAAATGCAAAGGACTTTCACAGTTGTAGGTTTTCAAATGGAGTACTCCAGTGAGCTTAAATAGGCCCTTAGAACTGTTGCCTATGTTACTTTTAATTCTACTATTCTTGCCTTTAGATGTGCCAATATATATATCTGCAACAAAACAGTACTTATTTCTTAGGTTTCTAAATAGTTTAAAATATGACAGCACTACACACATTGAATAATTCATTTAATATAGATAAATCTACAGAGATATTCCAGTCAGTCAAACTCAATGACATTCTTTCTTTTCAGAATATTAATTTAATCAAGGTATAGATGTAATAATAATTAATTTTTGTCATAAAGTGATCTAAGTCAGTTCAGATTTACTAATTTTCTTTTAAAATTACAGAAGTTGCCTTTAACTGTATTGTTTTAAACTGGGCCCCCAATAATATATGTATGAATTCCTAAGCTGCCAATTATCATAATATGACAATGGAAAGCAGCAAGGTGAACTATACTATAATGACTTGTACCCTGGATCCTCCTCAGAGGAATAATCTGCATCAAGCTCAACAATGTGAATCATCCTTAATCTACAGGCATCTGAAAAGACAGGAGGCAGATCTTGGCCAAGCTATGAATTTAGATCCTCTTTAACATTAACAAGGCTATATAAAATTTCCTTTGAATAAGAACCAACAAGACCTATACAGGCTGAGTATTCCTTATCCAAAATGCTCAGGACCAGATGTGTTTCTGATTTCAGATTTTTTTAAACTTTGGAATATTTGCATAGACATAATGATGTGTCTTGGGGATAGGACTCAGGTCTAAATCCAAAACTTCATATACACCTTATACATGTATCCTGAAGGTAATTTTATAAAATTTTAAAATAATTTTATGCATTAAACAAAGTTTGTGTACTCTGAACATCAGAAAGCAAAGATGTCACCCGTGTGGACATTATCTGTGGTTGTTTGGCATCAACATTATGCTGTACATGGAAAAGGGCTAAGAGGGTCTTTTTTCCCTTAGGTATACTGAATAAAGTGTGTTCTGCACTTGTGTTTTGACTGTGACCCATCACATGAGGTCAGGTGTGTAATTTTCCACCTGTGGTATCATGCTGGTGCTCAAAAAGTTTTGAATTTTGGAGCATTTGGATTTCAGATGTTTAGATTAGGGATGTTCAATCTGTATTAGGGCAGGAGTGAGCTATGGGCTAAGATGGAAATCTTCAGATTTGAGGGGCTGTGTCTTGGTATTCTTTGGATCAGAACTACTAGACCCGTTCCCCATCAAAATATTGTTTTCTACCTTTAGTCTTGGTTTATGCTCATCTCTGGGGCAAATCTTTAGGTATTAAAGTAGTCACAGATAAAAAGCAAAAGTTATACTTGCCTCAAATTTTTTAAAAAATGAAATGATGGCTGGGTGTGGTGGCTCATGCTTGTAATCCCAACACTTTGGAAGGCCGAGGCAGGCGGATCACAAGGTCAAGAGATCGAGACCATCCTGGCCAACATGGTGAAACCCTGTCTCTACTAAAAATACAAAAAATTAGCTAGGCGTGGTGGTGTGTGCCTGTAGTCCCAGCTACTCAGGAGGCTGAGGCAGGAGAATCGCTGGAACCCGGGAGGTGGAGGTTGCAGTGAGCCGAGATCGCGCCACTGCACTCCAGCCTGGTGACAGAGCGAGACTCCATCTCAAAAAAAAAAAAAAAAAAAAAAAAAAAAAAGAAATGAACATGGAAATGATTAACCATGAAAGCAAGTTAAATGGTAGATCAAGTCAAAGTCCTAGGTTCTCATTGCTTTCCACTGAACACATATATGCAATTAAACGCAAGCAGTATATTCCTGAAAATGCTCACCTTGTCCTCCTGCAACCCACTTAATTCCAATCCACCACAAGGTAAACATCGTACAGTGATGATACACATGAAGGAAAGAAACTTGGTTGTTTTTCTTTCTCAGAATAAAAAACACTGTGTCCAAATACTCAACTCCTTTAGATACAAAGTACCACCACAGAGCAGCAGCTATCTGTAAAAAGGGAAAGCGTGTTATAAACACCAAAATGACACTATTGTATGGGTTTATACTCATTGTAAGTAAGTCCAAAATAAACATTTGTATATTGCACAAAATGTACAAGGCATGGAATCATTAATGGCTAAGTAGGTTTGAAAAACCTAAGCATCTCTCCATGGGGAAAAATAGAAAAGAAAGAGTCCAAAGCTCTATCTATACAGTGCCAATAAGTTAGAGAACATTTTCTGTCTATTCCATAGGTAGATGTTACATAGTGTCAAACTGCTGAATACAGAGCTGGAAGCACATTCAGACTGCTGTGCTTTTCAACTTGGTAGAGGAACTAAGATGTTTACTTTGTAAAATGATTTTAGTTGTTCATGCTTAGCCTACATTATACTACCTCAGAAAAACTTGCAAGTAAGTTCATGTAGCAACTGGTCTCTACAAGTGTCTGCCTGTCTGCCCACCCTCTCCCCTCACCTCCCTCTCTCCCTCACCTCTCCGACTGCACCAATATGTGCAACAACATAAATATCCAATCACAGCAGTTTGTATTAGGTATTAAATCTTTAAAATAAAAAATTGGAATGAACAAACAAATATTTCCCAGGTCATAAATATAATCCTGCTTACATGAATAAGTCTTTTCTTTTCCTGGGCTCTAATTAAGGCACCAGATGGTACAGAAAGATTACATTACATACTGAGATTAAGGATCCAGTGAGAGGTGACCTCTGTATGTTTTAAAATGTTTTACAAGAATCCTACTGTAACAGTAAACCAAACTTAATTTTTTATGTCAAGTATTTTCTATGATAAGCATCCTATGTGCAAATAACAATTAAGGCAGTACATAACTAAAATCTATTTATAAGCTTTCATGTGTTAGGGCCCTGTCAGATTCATTCACAGACAGGCTTAGGTGTTTTAGAGTTGAAGGATCCCTTTGCATTTTATACCTGCACCTGGTATATGTCATGAGATTTTTGTTTGTTTTGGCTTTTGCATTTGAAAAACAAAATTATAATTTTAAAGTATGGGGAAAGAAGAAACAGAAAGCATATAAGAAACAAAGTATTTACAAACTGAGAATTATTTACTGAATTTACTTGAAAAATATCATTAAAAATGATATGAATTGGTTGAAAATAAGCTTGAAATAGTTAACTACTCCCAGCAACACTATAGTTAATATTCACTATTATATTAGTTCTTTAAAATAAAGTAACTGTCACCATTTTGGCATCGTAACCTTTAACTAGAAGGAAAGATACAATCTCTTATTTCTCCTCTATCTGGACCTCTACATTTGCCACAATTCACATAAAATAACAACAAATAAGTCTGCTTAGTTTGCAAACTGCACTAGATATCTTTAAATAAACTACACCAAAAAGTGATACTTCTTGGCTACGTAACAATGAATACAGAAATGAGTCTCTGCGTAAAATATTCACTCTATTGCATCCCATATTAGAGAGGAGAAGAGAGCACGAGGAAGATTTCAAATGAAATCTGTTGCAAATCTCAGGTTCTTTATCCTCCTAGATTACAGTTCTCATAATAGCTCATTTTTTAAAGACTTGAAAATTTACATCTGTAAGTGAGAGTGGTATTTTTAAACCTTTATCCTAAAAATAGTAATATGTTGCCCCACCCAAGGGTTTTTCTATGCATACTCCCAGAAGTCAGTCAGTCAAACACTTATCCCTGTTCCCTTCCCTACGGCAAGCAAGAAGTCAGCCCTCCAACTGAAGAGATTCTTTGGCAATAGTTATCAGAAGAAAATTTTTCATAGCCAATACATCTGAGTAGTCTCTCATTTTCTCTCAGTCACCTTCTAGGTTTTATTTCCTCCTTAGTCATTTGTTTACATGGCTGCTGTCTGCCTTCTCACCCTCACTAAAATGCCAGCCCCACAAAGGCAGGGCTTTTCACCCCTGTCCCCAGTACCAACATATAGTAGATGCTCAATACATATTTAATGAATAAATAAAACCAACATGACAACCAAGACAGGTGATTTTTCATCAGTCCATAAGTCTTCTAATAGGGAAATGAAGATACGTACATAAAATTGTTAAGTACATTAAACCAATTTTGTCTCCAGTCTTGATGAATACTGATATTTATATATTGTCCACTCCCCATGCCAGGAAACTATTTTTCTCAAGGGAAGCCACTAGATATTATTACTACATATACTATAGGTAACATAAAACATGTTATGTTTTATATGTAATTTCTAGTATGAACCACAGTATATAAGAAGAGTTCAATAAATACGTAATAGAATAAGGTAATCTGTTGTTTCTTTTGCTTAATGTTAATTTTACTCATGTAAGTGAATGGAAAATAAAATATAACATCTTGTTACTAGTGTTTTATTTTTCTGCAAATATAAAAAAACTGAGTTTATGCCAATACAAATTGTTCTATGCCTAATTTCCTAAATATTCCACACTTCACAAAACATTTACTTTTCCTCACTTTCTTAACACATAACTTGGACTCTAAGAGTTTCTACTCTTGAGCAAAAACAAACAAACAAAAATCTAAAATAATGTCTTTAAAATAAACATGAGACTTCTTTGCTTTAACAAGTACTGCATTCTAGTAATTCAATGCATATTCACTCATGCTGCAAAATAAAAAACATTTTTGAGATACAAAAACAAATTTTAAATTAAGTACTTTTTAAAAAAGCATAGTTTTACTGACTCATAACAATCTAGTATAATTTCACTATCATATTAAAGTACATTTTGCCAGGTGTGGTGGCTCACACCTGTAATCTCAGCACTTTGGGAGGCTGAGGCAAGAGGATCCCTTGCGGCTGGGAGTTCAAGACCAGACTGGGCAACATAGCAAGACCCTGTCTCTACAAAAAGTAAAAAAATATCTAGGCATGGTGGGGTACACCCGTAGTCCCAGCTACTTGGGAGGCTGAGGCAGAAGGATCAATTGAGCCCAGGAGTTTGAGGCTGCAGTGAGCTATGATCATACCACTGCACTTCAGTCTGGGGGACAGAGCAAGAAACTGTCTCTAAATGAATGTTAAAGAAACTGTCTCTTAAAAAAAAGTACATTCTATATTTTCACAGACTGGGGCCTATAAAAATCAAACCACTTTTACTGATTAAGAGTATTTTTAATGTACTTACCCTGACTTCATGAACATTATTAGAATAATCCACACTCTGGCAAATATAGCTATATCCCGCATTATATGATCCCATGAATAACTGGAAAAAGAGTAATAATATTTGTAGTAAAGTTTTAGTAAACACAGCATTAAAAACACAATTATATACAAAATGTAGCCTTTCAAATTATTTTAAACACAATATTTTCTTTAAAAATTTCAAATGCATTAAAAATTTCATGCATTCCGATTGCTAGAAGTTACTGTGCATTAATTTGTTCTATAATTAAAATCTAAATTAAAAATCACATGTAAATTTTATACTGAACATTGACTCTATCTATTAAATACTTCACAGTATTAAGAGAAATTTTTATTGCTAGGACTCAGATTTCAAAGTTGTCCTACCTTAACTGGTTTCTATGTTTGATCCAGAGTGGTTTGCATCTAACAAATTAGGTACAGGTATCCAAATAAATTAAAGTGTTCATGAAGTTGAGACTCGAGGCTAAGTTTTCAAGTAAAGAAATATTTCTTTTTCTAAGAAGAGTTATTGTTTATTTTCCTAGCATTACTAGTCAGTTCTCTGGCTTCATACAGAATTTTAATGAGTCTCTTAGGAAACAAATTCTTTATACATATGCAATTTAAAAAATGGCTGTGTCAATCTAGCCTTTAGGATTTCCTTTGAAAATGTTGTGGAGAATTTGCTAGTGCCCAGAAAAGTATATAATGATTAGTAACAACAGCTATATGGCAGTTAATTCATTTTAATTCCAGCCCAAAATACAACATTATGTAATAGGATTTACTTGAAATTGGCATATTTTGATCAGTTACCAAACCAGAAACTACTGAATAAGAATTATAAATAAATAGCTGCTACTGTTTACTGAGTGCTTAATACGTGCCAAACACTATGCAAAAATTATCTTACTTTACTCCGATAATAACCTGAGATGGTAGGTATTTAAGTGGGGAAAACGAGGCTAAGAAAAGTTAAATAACTTTCAATGCCAGAACAGCTAATAAGGGTTACTTTAGAATCCAGTTGGTCTTATTCAAAATTCCACTTTAAACAACTTTCCTATACCTCATGTTTAATATTTTTGTTATTCAAAAGTGAAAAATGTCAAAAATGTACTTTTAGAGTAGCTAACAGTTATGTCTGGGTAAAATATTACAATGATGGTTTTACACATTCTCATTTTTAAATTTCCAATAACCTTGGAAAATTATTAAAGTGATCTTAAAAACATACCTCTCTGAAGATAAAGAGGTTAAGCAAAACCATCCCAAAATTATAGATAATGAGCACTAGACGCATCTGAAAAGGTTCTCGGTCCTTCATCCATTTTGGACCCAGCCACACAAACAGGAGATAAAGAGTGCTTATACTTAGTGTAGGCCAAGGAGACTGCATCAGAGGCCAATTTTCCACACGCTTATCTATAGAGAGAACAAAATACCATAAAATTCATTAATCAGTAAATGTTTTATAAAATACACTTTTTAGGAATCAAGATGTTTCAACTTAATTTCCTAATTTGACTAAATACGGATCACTGTCCTTTGAGTCCCAACAAAAAATACATGGTATAAAAACCAAAGAAACAATACTGACTCCTGCAAGTGGCTTTTGAAAATTATGCTTCATTACTTATGTCACACATTATGTTTTACAGAGACCCTACAGAACAAAAACAAGAAATAAAGCGCACTAAAAACAGAGGTGGTTATCTTGGGATGAAAAGTTAATGAAAAACTTCATACACAGAAAATAAATATGTTAAGGAAACATTTGTCTTCCATATTATACACGTGAAATTTATCAGGGCAGCTTGGAGGCTGCTCTGTGTGTCCACTCCTAAAGCAGGCAAGAATGTAACTGGAGAGGTACGTACGGGGCGATGGTAGCCATTTGCTGAAATATCTCGAGACACTGAAGACAAGAGTACAGGGGCACTGAGAGATTAAGTTAGGGTTAATTACAATTCTATAATGTAAACAGTCACCATATTCAAGACATTTTTCTAACTTTTTCATTGAGAACATGCACCTATTTTATTCCCATGAATAACTAACTTGAATGTTTTTCTCTAGAGCTGTAAATCGCATAACTTACATATGTGTAACTATATATATAAAATGCAACACATTATTTTACTTAAAATGAATTGATTGTCCAGCATATTCAAATACACAACCATAAATCAATTTTATAATGGAATGTTGCCACAAGTAAAACATTTCTGAAACAAGCATGATAATGAAATATGGATGGGATTAACAAAAATTCATCTTTTAACACATTATAAAAATATATTAATATTAATTTTTATATTTCTAAAAGCTAAACAACAGTTGAAGGTTGCAAATCTAATTTCTAGTTTATTCTTGGCAATGCAAAACATTTTATGTCGTATTTTGAAGAAATAATGTATTTTTAAAGTAGTAAAAGAAAATTCAACTTCTTAGAACCAACCTAAATGAATTTAACTTAATTGTTGATCATAATAACTCCCTATTTAAACTGTCATTTTTACTAAAGCCTGTATATGCAAAATGCTTCTGGATTAGTGAACTAGGTATTAAAATACCTTACTTAAAAAATTAATCTGTGTCTATATACTGTCAATAGACAGTAAGATACAAGATACGAAACACAATATTTAATCAAACAATTTGCAAAGTCAGGAAATGACACAACTATGGTTTTAATGAAATCAGAGTTGTTAAGAAGGTGAGCTATTGCTTGATGACTCGAGATATGGGAAAAAAAGGTGATAATGACTTGAAAGAAAAACACATATGGGAACCAGGAAAACAGAAAAACTGATTTTATTTCATAGTTTTAAAAGGAGGTCTACTATTCATAGAGATTATGGCTATATCACTCAAATCAAACACATTTCAGAGTTAAAAATAAACCAATATATTTGAACCACAGGAGAGATGGTAAACTTCTCACAAGGAGGAAATGACTTAAAAGATAGCACGGCTGACTTTTGTTAAAAAGGCGTTGTGCCACGAAGGTCTTATCAGTGACTGTTCACTTTTCTTAATGGCATTTTATCATTTTATGTTCATTATCATTCTATGACCATATCTTTCTATGCTAAAGGCCCCCTATAAAACATGAGGTGTGCATCTACTTAGGTATTTCTTTTTCTATATTATAGAAAAAAAAAGATTTAGACAAACCCCCTATATTAGAGAAGAAACATTTAGACAAACTCTCTGTTCTAGGTCACAGAGAAGGAGTTGCTGTGGTATCCTGTTCTTTTCCACCAACTTTAAGGCAGGCGCTGTTTTTCCCATGAGACTTATACAAAGAGCAAAAGTACTCTGATTAATGCCATACTCCATGTAACAAAGAAAGGAAGATAAATGTATCTGTGAGGAGATTTTAATTCCTAACATCATAGATTATCTCTCACCCTTACCACACACAGAATTCCTACTGACTTCAAAGAAAGTTCTGAGTAGCGGGTAGAAAAAAAAAATTAAAGAAATAGGTCCAAACCTCTGCCAGAAATTAAGAGTAAGTAAAAGTGCTCATTCTTTTTGATGTACAGTGTGGTATGCTGTATCGTTTTCATTCAACAGAGAAATTTAAAGAGAGGACTACCACAGGAGAGAGGGAAAGAGACACTAGTGAGAAGCTGAAGATCTTACAATATGAAACACTAATAGAGGCCAATAGAAGAGTAAAAAAGTAAAGAGAAACAGGAAATAACAGAGGCATCAGAGAAAGCACACAAGACCCTACCAGTAAGTAGACTGGTGACTGGGTTTTTTTTTTTTTTTTTTTTTTTTTTTTAAGAAATGGAGTCTCATTCTATTGTCCAGACTAGAGGGCAGTGGTGCACACATGGCTCACTGCAGCCTCCACCTCCAGGGCTCAAGTGATCCACCTGCCTCAGCCTCCTGAGTTGCTGATGCCACAAATTATAAGTAAATAAAAATGTTCATTCTTTTTTATATATAGTGTGGTGCACTGTTGTTCTCTCATTCAACAGAGAATTTCCAAAAGAGAGAAGGAAAGAGGCACTAGTAAGAAGCCACCATGACCAGCTGACTGGCTGAGTTCTAACACTGGCTCTGCTACTGTGCATAGGACCTTAGGAGCACAATCTATCTTCATTTCCTCCATCTGTAAAACTGGATGGGAAGTAGGTGAACCAGATTAGTGCTTCTCCAGTTTCAATGAGAAAACGAATCACCAGGTTGGGGAGGGGGGCGGGTGGGCATGGTAAAAATGCAGATTTTGAGACAGTGGGTCAGATATGCAGCCCATTTCTTTTCTTTTCTTTTTTCTTTTTTGAGACAGAGTCTCGTTGTGTCACCTAGGCTGGAGTAAAGTAGCACGATCTCCGTCCACTGCAGGCTCAGCCTCCTGAGCTCAAGCCATCCTCCCACCTCAGACTCCCAAGTAGCTGGTCCTACAGGCACACGCCAACACACCCTATTACTTTTTGTATTTTTTGTAGAGACAGGATTTTGTCATGCTGCCTAGGCTGGTCTCAAACTCCTAAACTCAAGCAATCCATCCACCTTGGCCTCCCAAAGTGTTAGGATTACAGGCGTGAGCCACCATGCCCAGCCCATGCAGCCCATTTCTAAGAAGACCACATTTTCCAGGAAGCTCTAACTGATGCTATGCCATTATTCCATGGACCATCCCCTTTTGAGCAGTAACAAACTACATGATCATTTAGGTTTATTTTAACTTCTGAAAATTGTTACTTTTAAAAATAATTATTAGGAGGAAGAATAGACTAATGGTGAGGAAAACTGGATCAAGAAAATTTTAACTGGTCAGGGGACGCATTTTGCATGACCAGAGCACCTGCACATGTTACTATTCCATTACAGCACTCATTACACTGTCCAGTGACCTTCTTTTAAACTGTTTTCTCCCTGAAAAGAGGGGCTGGGTGTTTCATTCTTGTATTGCAAGGCCTATCAAAGTACCTAAAAATATATTTGATGAATAAATAAAGAGTAGATAATTTTTTCACACTATTCCTCTATTCTCTATCCTTTCTGCCAAATCCAAAAGCACATTTGTTGATATTCAAGGTTTCCTCAGTGTCCAAGAACCCTTCCTAGAGCTTTTCCCAGATCCTCCTCTATGCTGGCATAATAACTTTATCCTCAAGTCAACAACTCATCAACCTAGTATTTAGTGAATATATGTGCTCTACAAAGCTCAATGACCTTTTACTTCATTCCTTACTCCAGGGGAAAAAAGCAATGCCCTCACTTCTTTGCCCAACAATGCAAGGCATGCATTCATTCAACAACCACTTAACAAATCCCTGTTTTCAGCCTATAAAAGGCCACATTTTACACCATACCCTTCTCAAATTAGCCCTTCTAGTTCAGCAGGGTCAGAGAGCTTTCAAAAATTCAGCCTCCCAGGATTATCATGGAAGCTACAGTAACTGTCAACCCCTAATCCACAGCATAACAATTCCCAACCTTTTAATAATATTTGGATGAAATTCCTCCATGTCTTTACATGTTATAATACTATACTAGTTATGTTTGTTTTTCTGCATGTATTTGCATTAATATTTCCTTTAGTGCTTCTGATGAGATGCAAATATTCTATATTTCTTTCATATGTTTCCTTTTCCACTAAAAAGGGCTGTGTCACAATAGTGCCATACAACGATATGAAAATTCATCATTACTAACAGTTCCACCTGAGTTTTAAACCAAAAAAAGGTTGGGGGGCTAAAACAGTAAAGGAAAATCATGAATACTAATGCTTCATGTATTTTATGTAAACTTTAAATATATTAAATTATCCATATTTTCATTAACTCGAATGTTTAAAAATATATATTAATATTTTACAGCTAAATTAAATCCTCTCATTTGGGCTATGTATTGAATCCAAATGTAGATTATACATATTAGTGTGACAGGAGATACATTTCTATTATGTTGTCAACATCCTAATCCTACACAGTTATCAGTGGGATTCCATGTCATTAATTCATTAAGAAAAAAGACTGAAAAACTTCGACTAAAATCCTACCTCTCCTACCACCAACTGAAGTCAAACCCTGTCGCCAAATAGTACAAAGATCCAAATATGTTTTATGTAGCATTCTTGGGAATTTCTCTTTAGAAAGTTTTGGTGGGGTGGAGGGGGAAAAAATGACACAAATATAAATGGACTCGTCAAATTTATCAAATTATCAAATTTGTTTATCAAATTATTTTTATATTTTATACTATTAATATGCTTATTAACATGTTTGTACCTTCATGTGTTAATAAATTTGCTCTTATTTTGAGCCTATTAACCATTTTAAGCCTTTCACGTTGTCATGTAAACCTTTACCTAAACTAGAATCATAAAATTTTAGATTTAGAAATGATCCCTTTATCTTAAAAATGAGATTCAGAGAGGTCAAGAGACTTGCCACTGCACGTAAAGCAAGAGCCTCATGTAACCTAGCAGCTGTTGTAGGCACTACTCAATCACCATGTACTTTAATCTTAAGGGAGAGAATTTCCCATCGATTTTTTTCTGAATTATAGATACAAATGCTATATTTTAAGACTATTCTTTCAAGGGAAAGAAAATAAGACAGACTTTTAAAAGTTCCCTCAATAGAAAGAATGACAAGAGTTACTCAAAGGAGCCAAGTCTTATACTTCATTAGGTGCAGCATCTGGCAGACTTGGGCCAGGATCATGAATGCTTCAAAGCCATGACACAGAATAAGGGAAAAAGACTAAAGACTAAAGCCTGGAAAAGAGAAAGAGGCCTCAGCAAATACTAAGAGAACTTATGAGAAATCAGATTTAATCTCCATTTTCAGAGAGAGGAATTAGAACCAACAGAAGTTATAGGAAAGTAAATTTCACCTGAATTCAGGAAATTTCTAACCAGTGGGTCTTTCCCTTTTGTACACAGAAGGAGTTGTCTCCTTTGGTAATGGGTTTCCCATGATAGTTTTGAACAAAATTTAAGCAAACCTAAAGCCAAATATCATAGCAAATTGAGCTCAGGAGCAAAAGCCTTTATTTTAATTATGAGAATTACTAAGGCACATTACACCTTAACCCTTGCGGACCCTTAAAGAGTTAATAAATAGTTTGTAATGAAAATATTTTGAGACTGATTTTTAAAGCTTATGCCAAGAGGGACTGATTTAATGTGTTCAGCAATCATACAATTTTATCTTTATTAAAAGGTTACGTAATAATTATGTAACTATGTGTTTGTCAAAATTCAAAAACTGTTCACTAAAAGGAGTCAATTTTACTATTTGCGTATTATTCCTTTATAAAAAATGAGGGGGCCGGGTGCAGTGGCTCACGCCTGTAATCCCAGCACTTTGGGAGGCCGAGGCAGGCGAATCACTTGAGGTCAGGAGTTCAAGACCAGCCTGGCCAACATGGTGAAACCCTGTCTCTACTAAAAATACAAAAAAAATTTAGCTGGGCGTGGTGGTGTGCGCCTGTAATCCCAGCTACTCGGGAGGCTGAGGCAGGAGAATTGCTTGAATCCGGGAGGTGGAGGTTGGAGTGAACTGGAATCACGCACTGCACTCCAGCCTGGGTGACAGAGAGAGAGAGAGAGACTCCTTCTCAAAAAAAAAAAATAGAGTCCACCTGAAATGGGGTTTCCCTTGAATATCTTCCACCAATAAGTTTTTATTCTTAATCTGATTTTTATCTTAAGATCACATAGCATGGTGGAATAGATGGTAAGTCATATACTCCAAAGTCATATACTACTCCTTTGCAGCAAAGTGATTTTGGCCAGATCACTTGGTCCCTGATCTCTCAATGCTCAACTAGCAGAGGAAGAGACAGACATGAGAATTCAACTGCTATGCAGTGTGATGAGTGTTATGTCAGAGGAGTGTCTTATGAACAGTGGTAGGACAGAAAAGGGGAGAAGGCAGGGTATAAACACAGACATTTGAACTTTTTTTCAAAGAAGAGGAATTTGACAAGCAGACAGGGAGAAAAGTCTTTTTTCACGGGGCAGAATTAGAAAGACCTACAAAAGTTCCCTTAGTACAATGACAAGATATAAGCAAATGAGAATATCTGAATACCCTGAGAGAACTGAATGTATAAGCAGCCCAGAAGCAAGAAATAAAACAATCTGGAAACTAAGCAGACATGATGAAGAGGATATATACAAAGGAAGAGGGCAGGAAATGACTGTGATGATCCCCTAGGAGGTCTTACAAACTACACTGAGGATGCTGGAATTTATCATGTAGATAATGAAGAGATATTTGATTGTTTTTGTTTGTTTGTTTGTTTGTTTGTTTTGGGACTGGGTCTGGCTCTGTTGCCCAGACTAGAATGCAGTGGCATGATCTCAGCTCACTGCAGCCTCCACCTCCAGGGCGTAAGCGATTTTCGTGCCTCAGCCACCCAAGTAGCTTGGACTACAGGTGCATGCCACAACACCCAGCTAATTTTTGTGTTTTTTGTAGAGACGAGGATTCGCCATGTTGCTCAGGCTGGCCCTGAACCCCTGAGCTCAAGCAACCCACCTACCTCAGCCTCCCAAAGTGCTGGGATTACAGTCATGAGCCACCACACCCAGCCAGTTTTGGCTTTCAAAAGATCATGGTAGAGGCAGTGGGGTGTGGACTGAGGGGAAGGGGATATGTCAAGAGGCAGGAAAACCAACTGCATCAGTGGTTCTCAATACTTGTCTACCACTAGACTACCCATGTAAGAATCATGTGCTTGCTAAAATTATAGATTCCCAGGTCCTACTGAATCAAAATCTCTGCGGGTGGGACTGGACACTATGATCTGAGCTCCCCCAGGTGATTCTGACAGGCAGGCAGACTTGGAGACCACTAGGACATAAGAGATGATGGAAACCTGGGTTAGGGAGCTGCACTGGCAATGAACAGGATAGGTAGATACGAAGGTTTCGTGGGTAAAATCTACAGACTCCACGACTGTTGTGGATGTGAGAGAAGAGAGTCAAAGAAAAGTTCAGGATTACTCCCAGATTTCTGGTCTATCTGGCAACACAGACAGTGAAGTCATGATCCATAACAGAGTAAAGGAAGAGGAGCAGATCTGGGAGAAACTGATCAGGTGAATGTTGAACATCTCGCATCTGAGCTACTTTTGGGACAGCTAGGTGGAGGCGTCCAGTAGCCTCTGGAGCTGCAGAGGAACTGCCAGGGCTGTGGACACACAGAGGGGTCACTGACAATGACAATCACACCAGAGTTTGAGGTCACAAGGGAAGGAGCATGTACAGTGAGAGAATAACATGAAAAAGGAATGACTCTGAGGACAGTTGAAGATGAGTGGGTGAAATGGCAGCAAATAAGCCAGAGAGGCAGGAAAAGAGAAAACCATGTCACAAAGACCGAGAAATTTCCAAAAGGAAAGGGTGCAGAACAGAATCTATAGCTGGAAAACCAACTGTTCTTCCTTTTTCTTTTTTTAATGAGGAAATAGTTACTTCATAGGGTTAAGATGTGATAACTAAATGAACCAAAGTATGCGAAGGTTCCTAGCACACATGGATACCACGACGTCATGCATTCCCTTCTGCTGCAGCCTATTCTCTCCCAAATTTACATCTTCACAAAGTATGTCTCATGTCAGAGATAATCTGAGCCCCTCCCCTTAAAAGTCAAGCCCCTCAATGTCTTCCAGGATTTTTCTTCTCAACCTAGAGAGTTCTATATTCTGAATATGGACTCTCAAATCAGACTTACCAGCATTAGACTCTTCACTTACCAGCTGAATAAACCCAAGAAGTTACTTAGTGCCCCTGGCCTTATAGATGATAGTAGGGCTGTTGTGAGGAATAGAACAACATGTATACAGCATCTGACACAGTGTCAGAGTTCAATAATTTTTGGCATTTCATTATTATTGACACTGATCAACCACTAAATCCTCCTCTATCTTCAAAGAGAAAAGTTAAACCAAATTAAATAAAAATTACCATGAATAATTAAACTTAGAAGAGTTTACACTGAGAATAAAAAAACATTTTATGACATAGACTGAGAAGACATTTTATAATTCTGTATTTATTTATTCAGGAGATAAAATACATAAAAATTCTCACTCTGATTTTTAAAATTATTTAGAGAGGCTATTTTTAAAAACTCCTTTTCATGACAATATAAACCAGATTTTAATAAATAATAAAATGCCTGTAATCTAATAGTTTTCAACTAACCCAGGTAACTTCTACTTAATACACAAACAACTATAATTAATACTTACAACAAATTATCAGTATGTTTATTAAAGCAACTTCCTTAAAAACCTCTAATAGACCAATTTTTTTTCTGATTTCTTTTAAAGCTTTTTGCAAATCAGGATCTCCACCAGTCAGAATGAACTATCTTCCCCAAGTAAGCTAAGCTAATAAAGTTTTACTATAATCTCCCAAAAGAAAAAACAGTAATTAAAAAAATTTTAGAACACCCAAACCCCTAGAAGAACTAAAGAAAAGGTATACAAGAATACAGTAGGAAATCATCTTAGATGATGGCAAGGGGAGTCACATGGAGTAGAGGCAGCTTGATACAGGGAGAGGGACAAGACTTGAATTAAAAACCTAAATTCTAGCTCTGTCATTTATTTTCTAGCCCCATGATGATGAACCTGAAACTCAGAGCCACTATTTTCGCATGTGTAAAGTGAAGGTGATAATAAGATTAACCAAATCATTGGCCCTTTTGATTCAGGTAAAATGAGCAACAGTTACTGATCAATATAATACGGTTCCAGAAGACACACAAAATTCCTGTTAGGATAAAAAATAATTAAATCTAAATACATCTAGCATTTGATTTTTACATTAATAACTTAAGCATGTTTAAAACTTCTTCTTTTTCCATAACAGTACACAGCAGTAGATTGCAAAACAAATTAGGAATACTCCATTCCCTTGTTATTCAAAGTAGAGTCCATGCACCAGCAGAAAAGCATCACCTGGAACCTTACAAGAAATGCAGAATCTCAGGCCTCACCCCAGAACTACTAAATCAGAATCTGCATTTTAATAAGATTCCACAGTGACTTTACACATTAAAGTCTAAGGAGCACTGCTCTGGTCTACTCAGAAATGTGAGCCTACTTTAACAGGCAATTAAGTCACAAAATAAAGTTGACTTGATTTCTTCCTAGATTCTATCCGAATAAATCAGCCACTTCCTCATCTTCTAAAACCATCTACATTTGTTTAATCTACCATAAAAAAAGAAGAACACAAGTCTAACAATCGCTAAATATTGAGCAGCTTCAGGAGTATATTCAAGACACCAAGAAGTCTGTACTATACTATTCCCTAAAACTATCCATCCTTTAATTTGTTAAAACCAACAGTTGCAAATTAATTCCTTTTTTTTAAACATCTGGCTACTGATCACCACTAATATACTAAGTGATATTAAAAATCCATTTGCCTTTACTGATTACACAAAAAGGTTACCTATTAGTATGTCACACTGTACACTGCAAGTACCCCAAAGGGTAACTGTAGTCTTTTTCTTAAGGAAATAGTCAATGTCTTCCTCCATTTCTTATAAATGTCACGAGGGCCAATGCTACAGCCCTTGTTCCTTGCTGTATCTCTGTTAACAATGTCAGGTATGTAAGAGTCTTCAAAACATTTGTTAAAAGAAATTTTCAATGAAAACTGTAGACAACGGTTGTCAAGAAGAGTCTTGGAAAGAGCTTATTTCTAACAAACGGAGTAAACTCTATACATCTTAAAGGCCTCTCCTAGGTTCAAATCTAAAATGTGATGCTTAATATATTCCTCAAGCCATGTCTATCAGTGAGGTGAAAAAGGCAGAACTAGAAGAGAAGGGCCCTTCAAATACAACTGGACAAATGAGGCAGGTAATGAACAATCTGAGACACACTCTAGAAACAAACAGATCCTGAAGGTGGTGGGTGAAGAATAGCATGATCAGTTTCCTGTATAGTCAGCATGATTAGCAGGGAAAATTTCTGTTCTAACCCCTATGTACTCAAAAAAGAGGATGGAAGGTTTGAGTTTGGAAGAGCACCTGGATGAATGGGAGGAAAGGGTAGCTTTTGCAGAATGCAGGGGTAGATAAGGCAGAGGCTGGGCTAAAAAATGGCAAAGAAGTCAGAATGTGATGGGCAGACAGGAGGGAACAGAGACCTTCACCAGTGAAAGAGGGGAAAGCTGCAATGTCTCAAGGTATGAGGGAGCAGGTGCCCTGAGAGTCATTCAGCACAGGGTTAAAACAAGATGTCTCCTCTAACTCAGTTCTATAACAGTTACCCAAGAGCCTGAAAGAATGGAGGACAGAGTTAAAAAGCAGAGGGAAAAAGAATTTTCATTGCAAGTTTGCCTGAATAGAGATCATAATAATGGTAGAAAGTGAGAGAAATTATAAAATTTCCTAGAGCAAGCAAAAAATAAGAACAGATTCAGAAGCTGTAAAGGAGAAAAGACAGTTAACACAGATGAGAGAATCAATGTGTGATTCGAGCTGAAGGCTGGTTACCCTGGGATTTAATTTGACAGGGTTAGTATTAGATGAATCAGGTTCAGGGAAAGTCAGTTTACTCACCTGGAAAATGGGGATAATAACGGTACCGAGCCCAATGGAATATGAGGACTAAATGTGATAATACATATAAAACACTGGACACAGTGCCTGACACTTAGTAAGCATCCAATAAATGTTCACTATTATTACTGGGCAATAAAATGGTATTTATTGAATAAATAAGTAGGCTATGTTGCATTATAAAAAGGTCACTGTTGGGAAGGAGAAAGATCTTGATCCTATTCCAACTCTGTTACTTTCTAGCTATGTAGCTTTGAGTCTATTTCTTCATCTATAGATGGTTAAATAATATCTAACTTATAGAGATGATCTGAAAATTAAATATAAGGTGTATCAAATACAGTACTACAGCATCTTAAAATGGTCCTATACTAAATGCTCAATAAATGGTAGTGAGTTTCATCATGTGCAGACGATATCTGGTTTCAAATTCCTGACCTCAATGATCCACCCGCCTCGGCCTCCCAAAGTGCTGGGATTACAGGCGTGAGCCACCATGCCCAAGTGCAGGTGATGTCCAAATTCATGACTTCAGAAAATGGCCTATTCATAAAAGCCAGTTCATAAGGGAAAAGGAGACAATTTCAAGGGAGAAAATATATCTCGAGAGAGAGAGCTGAAGAATGTTGCCTCGTTTCCTGGAAGCCAAGATCAGAATACAAGTAGTTTCCTTCTCTCCTTGTTTCCAATTTTGCTGGGCTTCTCAGAAAAAGTAGTCATAAAACTTAATCTGGGAGTTCCAAGTTCAACCATCCACCCAATGCTGCCAATGAACTCAAAGCTTTAAGAAAATTGAAATGGTGTTTCCCTTTAGCAAAAAAGATGGAAGATACCATTAGAGTGTGTGAGTGTGTGAGTTAATGGGAACTTTAGCCAAAATCTTCCCTTGACTCTAACAGTTCTATAAGTTGAATAGCCACTGGGTAAAATACGGTTAGTCCTGAATGAATTTCATTATCCTTTCACTAACAAGTTTCTAGCTCTTGTATTATGCAATTTGGCAAATACTTTCATAATTCACTTTGAATACACTTTTTTTAAACAATCCTACACCGTCATATGGAAGTTAACCATCTTCTCAGGCTAAATATCGCATTTTGTATTCTACATATATTCACATATTTGTGTATGTATATAGTATATGAATAAATATCACTTTGTAGTTTAATCTCATACACCAGCCTTTATAGCACCTTTGAATATTTAGATGTCTTTCTTTAGATGATCTTTGGTAATATTATGACTTTGTTCAGATTTAGTATTCTAAACAGTGATACTCTGTAGATAACAATAAAAGAAAAGGTAAAATAAAAGAGAAACACAGATTACAGGCCTGATTATTTCTTTCTTGCTTGGCTAGTGTGACGGGAAGACAAGAGCACTGGGCTAGGGACAAAACAACCCATGCACATTCATTTGCACTATAGTGACCACCTACAAAAGTTACGTAACTTCTGTAAATCTCAAAGACTTCTAAATATATGGAAAAAATGCCTTCAAGGCCTATCTCCCAGAGTTATTGTGAAGTTGTTTGTAAAACCATAAAGCAAAATACAAAGCTAAAGTTTTCTTTCTTGTTATTTGCTACTTTCTAGCCACTCGGATTTTTTTTAAGCCAACAGCTATATAGTCTCTTTATAAAGTCATTTTACTTTAAATTGAAAAAATAAAGAAGAATTGACTGTTTTACCATTGAGCACTAAAGAGATCATTTCTACAGGTGCTAATGTATTAATTTTATAATATATGAAATTCTTGCATTGCGGTAAAAAGAAAAGCACATAACATAAAATATACCATCTTAATCATTTTTAAGTGTACAGTCCAGTATCATTAAGCATATCCACATTGTTGTGACTCTCTGGAACTTTTCTATCTTGAAAAACTGAAACTCTATACCTATTAAACAAGTCATCAGTTCTCCTTCTCCCCAGGCCCTAGCAAACATCTTTCTACTTTCTGTTTCTATTAATTTGACTACTTTATTTATTTATTTATTTATTTATTTATTTATTTATTGGGCCAGGATCTTACTCTGTCACCCAGGCTGGAGTGCAGTGGCACAATTATGGTTCACTGAAGCCTTCACCTCCCAGGTTCAAGTGATCCTTCTCCCTCAGCCTTCTCAATAGCTGAGACTAGAGGCATATGGCACCAGGCCTGGCTAATTTTTAATATTTTTTTGTTGCTCATGTTGGTCTTGAACTCCTGGGCTCAAGTGATCCTTGAGCCTCCACCTCCCAAAGTGCTAGCATTATAGGCATGAGCCACTGGGCCCAGCCCGAATTTGACTACAGTAGAGGGTCCATATAAGTGGAACCATAATGCCACATACATAATTATCTTTTTGTGACTAGACTATTTCACTTAGTAACAAGGTTCATCTATGTTGTAGCACATGTCAGAATTTCTTTCCTTTTTAAGACTGAATAATATTCCATTGTATGTATATACCACGTTGCGTTTATCCATTTATCCAACACTGGACATCTGGGTCGTTTCCACCTCTTAACTACTGTGAATAATGCTGCTATGTACGTGTGTGAAAAAATATATAAAATTAGTTAAAAACACACATCTGTGCTCAAGTTTTTGTTTGATAAGTGAATAAAAATGAAAACAGAAAAGCTTGTTTCTTGGAATTCTGCAGTTCAAAATCACAAATGCTTTTATGTGATTATACCTGACAGTGAGTAACTGATTTCCTCAGTGGACTAATGCATTTGTCTTTCAAATTCCAAAAATTTTACTCTAATACAATATAATCATAAATAAAACATCATTCTAAGGTATTTGTTTACAAATGGTAATATTTCATGAAGAAAAATATATGGCAAAAGATTTTAAAAATTTGTATTTTGATTAGTTAAGGAACATACTTATACCAAAACCATTTAGTTTCTTTTGTTTTCTCTTCTGTAAGACCTACACATTTTTATCAATTTTACAAAAATCTTAAGCCATACTTCCAAACTTAAGTAAAAAATGCTCATATATAAAGTGTTTATAATAGAAAATCATTTGTAATGATGTATGTTAAAATTTCACATTTTCTATTGGAAAAATATGAAGACTGAGTTTAGACTGATATCTAGGCTGCTGTTTTAGGAGATGTTATAAGGATTCAATAAACTAAGCCTTAAAGGTTATGTAGTTCAACCCTCTCACAGCACAGGTAGAAATAAGAGACCCAAAGAGTCATGAATAACTTGCCTAAAACGACATAATATGCCATCCTCAAAAGCTGAGTATCACAAAATAAATGTAATATATAATTGAGATAATTTTATTCTTTAATATTATTGCTACTGTTTTCGATAAAATAGTTGGCTCTTGGTTATTCAAGGAATCCAGATAATTAAACAGGTATAGTGTTACAGCAACAAAAGCAATGTTATTTCAAAACAGACGCTTAAATATCTGTATACTTTTGTTGCTCTATTCCTCTACCTATTTCTTATAAAGCAAATTTTAAAAAGTAAAAAGAACTAAATAAGAATCTGTTATTTGTACTATTTAGGCAGTGTTGATAACAGTTTTGCTGGAAAAAAATTTTATTTACTATAAAGAATGAGGTTTCTGAATCCCTGATAAATGTATATTTATTTGAAATTGCTTTACCTATTCCAAGAATAAAGAAAGTGATATCTATATCTAGACTTTTAGAGTCAGGTAGGACCTTACAGATTACCTAATTTAACCCTCTTAATTTACAGAGAACAATGCTGAGAATTGGGAAGGCAAAGGAACTTGTCCAAACTCTCATAGCAAATCAGCAGCAGACCAGGACTAAAACCTAGGTCATCTAAATCCCAGTCCAGAATTCTTCCCATTCACTATACCACACTGCCCTCCTCACTTCCACACAAGGCAATGCTTCTGCACAGACAATGAAGAGAACAATCATATCTGATTTTATATGTCTTGGAATCTTCATTTTTTATCTGTTTTGTGCTTCTAAATGACTTAATGGCCTGATTTACTCATTAAATTTAGTGAACGGCAACTGAATTAATGACCAACTCATAAAAAATATCATTCTTTTAAAGAACTCTCTGGCCGGGCACAGTGGGTCGTGCCTGTAATCCCAGCACTTTGTGGGGCTGAGGTGGGCAGATCACATGACACCAGGAGTTTAAGAGCAGCCAGGGCAACATGGTGAAATCCCCACTCTATGAAAAACAAAAACAAAAACCTTCTGTAATTTAGTGTGGTCTAAAGCCTTATTCATGTTTAGCAACCACAATATATCATGATTCAAAATTATGCTAGATTAAGAGGGTCATCTCCTGATACATATCATATCAACAAATATATGTGATAATCTCTGATGTTGGAGAGAAAGATACAAAGGAGTGAAGTGGTAAATAATAACGAAAGTTTAAACAGTTTGACACTAGGGTCATAGAAGGAATGGCACAGGAAATACGTGAGTAATTACTAAAGACAATGAGCTCCTGTGAGACAACAACTTGCTCCAGGGTACCATAAACAAGAAAGGCTTTGCAAAGGAGGACTATTGTACTGGGTTCTGGTAAAAGGTATCTGGAGAGGTAAACAGGGAAAAGGTGGGTAAAGGCAAGGGGAATGGTGGGATGAGAAACATAAAGGTGGACATGTACACATTTTACTTAAGGGTCAGTGAGTTATCCCAGTTGGCTAGAGCTGCAGGTCTTTGGGCAGGGGAATACTGAAGGATCAAGCGAGAAAGTTAATGTGGACCTTGGCTTTAAAAGGCCATGTGTTTCCTCCCATCTCCTTTCTGAAATCCAAACCCACATGATTTTAAAATATATATTCTAATAGAAAATAAAACAATAGTACCTTCGTTTGTTAACAGGCAAAATGTCCTGATAATGAAGACGAAAAAAACATCTAAAGTGAAAAAAGATAGACTGTTACACTACTCATTTCGGTGTGCTAATATATGCCTAATTCAGAATAATAAGTGGCTTAACAAATGAAAATACTTACGTTAATAATGTTAAAGCATTTACAGGTGACATTATCCACAGGACTTGAGCAAAAAAATAAGAAAACAAATTGAATTTTTAAAGGATGACCAAGTGCTCTGTGGCTCTTAAGTTTACAAAAGTGCCATCTGATATAATTATCTGCATAATTCTTAAAACTTTGTCTTCCTAAGCCAAAGAATCTAAGTTAAAATAGTTAAAACTGTGTCCTGACACCCGTTTTAGAACCTGCATTGTTTACCCTCCTGGAATTCCATCTGCAATAGGATGTTTTACTTTATGCTATCATTGGGGAATGGATAAGAGCATTAGCTATTAAAGTCTAGCAGTCTACCACCAAAAATCAAACTGTGGTGAAGGAAAAGACAATAAAAACCAAACCAAAACAAAAAACCATAAAATGGCATGGACATCCCAGAGGCTTCAAGGAGCTTATGAGTAAAGGATAATTAGGACGTCACTGAAAACAGTGACCAAGGGAGATCCCATGTTAGGAGCTGGTGATGTTTCTTTCTTTCTTTTTTTTTTTTAATTAGCTGCCTACAACTTGGAATCAGAATGTCTTTTCTCAAAGAAACATTCAAAGAAAACTGCATTACCAGGCTTAGCCAAACAAATAAACCTATTTTAGATAATAACATAGATGAAAAACTAAACATTAACTGTGACGAATAATAAAATTAATGTAAGCATACTGTACAATACTTAAAATACATGCTCCTCTGGGACCTAGCAATCCCTAAGACAAACCTGCTTTTACTTCAGCTTATTTGAGCTGAGTTAAACATCCCCTCCCACTAGCCCCCAGCTTCATCAAACCTGGATGACTCACTGGCCTGACCCTTAAGCACCTTCCCAGTTTCCATGGTTTTCAGTCAAGCTGTTCCCCTTGCCTTTGACACCTTTTGCCCTAGTATGCCTCTCCAAATACTCTGACAGTACTCACATCAACTCCTCATTCAAGGGTAGAGGGAAGTAAACTGTGGTGAAACAGCTAAAATATTCTAAAAACAACTGTATATTCCTTTCACTTAGGAGAAGTAGAGATGAGAAGAGCAGGGAAGGACTTTTCTGATCTTCCCTAGGCCCCAGCTAGTCCTGAGTCTGACAGATCACACTGCCTCCAGACCATGATATCAAGGAAAGGGGAATGACAGTGACCCCCTAGACTTTGCAAGATGCATGAGGGCAGTGACCAAGTGTCCTCCTTTCCTTTCCAGAGCCTAGAACTGTGCCTGTACATGGCAAGTAAATACGGAAAGAAATGGTATCATAAGCCTGGCTTCCACATTTCGTCATCCTACAGCTCTCCTCCCTCTTCCTGTACCACTCATCCCTTCTTTCTGACCCCTCCAAAGTTAATTCAAGGACCCAGCAAGTTATGTTCTAACTGCAACTACCAAGTAGACAATTTTTTTCACCAAAATGCAGGGTACTATATCTGCGAAAAGAGGGCCAATGCCAATCATTACCACCCCCAACCAACAGACAGCACCCATACCCTGTGAACAACAGCTATTTAGAAACAAATGGTCAGAAGATACATGGCCTCACAGGAGACACCTGGCTTTACCGTAAGCATCCTACTAACTCTCTAGGGTGTTTATATGCTAAATGTCAGGTATGCAAAAAAGCTATTAAACATTTATTAAAAGCATGAATAAATGAATAATGTAGATAAGTTGGGTATTCATAGATTGGGGAATATTTAGATTCATCAGTTTAAAAAATGTATATACAACTTTTATTAGATGTATACGTTGAGCCTAGGACTCCAATCCTAATAATTTAAATGTACTCATGAAGTGAAAGAATAGAAGAAAAAAACTAACATGATGACATGGAATACCTACTCTAATACTAACAACTAGTATAAAGTCCTACACCAGCCTATACTTTAACATAAACCAACGCTAATTTCCTCGTTCAAAATGTCTACAAATACAGAGAAATAAAAATTATTTTTGTTGTTTTTCTAAAAGTATAGCTCTTTCAAACTTTCAATTCCAATGTACAAAGTGTTAATACTGTAGTAAAAGTAACATTTTTGTTGTTAACATTATTATGGACCATATTTTGTATTTGCTACATATGTGCCTCTGAAAAGCCCAGTTTTCAGACATTGCTTTGGATATGTTTGGATATTTAAAGCACCATTTGATATAATAGCACAAAATGGCATTTAATGAATTAATAAAAGAATGAAAGAAGCATGTAACTACAGCACTAGGAATGAGAGCAGCCAAGGACAAGGAGCCTACCTCATTTCTTGCTCTCCCTCAATAATTTGCATCCTTTCACCACACTCATCACTATTTCTCAAGACCATCTTTCTATCCCGCCCATTTCTGTTTCCCCTTCTTTCCAAACATTTGACTCACCAACTTTTGTTTAACCTCATCTTATAAGCTACTTTTCTATTTTGATATCCCCCACCCAGATTTTCATCAAATTATGCTGAGAGGTGGAATCAGAGCAGAGTGAATGAGTCCAAAAAAAAAAAAAAAAAAAAAAAAGGAACACGAGGGGCATAGAATGAGGGAGAGTAAACGTAAATGGGACACCACAGACTTCAGGTCTATTCGGCCTGGACCTGAAAAATACTCCTCCTCACACAGCAGTACAGCAGAACAGACTATATCCACTAAGCCTCTCTGTTGGTTAAGAAATACCATCTGCCTACATAAGGTAGCTCATTACAGAAAGCAAGGAAGCAGTCTCAGGTTTCGTAAGTGGATAGTCAAAGCATAGGCAAATACCTTCCTTCGGCCTGCTAGTGAGAGGTCACTTGTGTTCTAAGGCTACTCTCACTTCTCAGGCTTGGCCCACAATATTATATTATTTTATATGCCCTTCGAAGCCTAGTAGCAAGCTTTCACATGCGGCAACTGCACAAAATTTCCTGTTTCATTTGTGTGTGTGTGGTTTCTTTTACACAAACATCATCAGGAAGGAATTCACCATCACAGAAAGGTGTATTCTACCTTTGCCCTCAATTTTTCCTTCTGAGACTCAAGAGATGGGAAAGCTCCGGGATAGGATAGGAATGACAGGACCGAGAACTCCTGGGTGTGGCTCTGGCTATATGGAGACTGGAGTATCTCAACAGTGTCTGACTCCTAGGTGTGCGAAGTGCAATTACCTGCTAAAGAACTTGTCTGATGTTCAGCTCTATACAATTGTGTAATGGGAAGCCCTGATGCAACGTTTAAAGAACCGAAATCACAGACGTGAAGGGAAGGGCACATCTTTCCCAGTTTTTGCAGGTACAGTGTAACATCAGTGTAATAGCGCATAGAAACAAAAAAAAAAACTGAAGAAACACTCCATTGAAAACTGCCTTTTAACCATTTTCAGCTGTAATGGCTTATTAAATAGCTTATTTCCCAGTGTCAAAGTTGAGATCTTCTGAAAAAGAACATACTTTTCTAAAGAAGTGAATGCAGTATTAATGCCAAATAATCATTTTGTCTCTCACAAAAATAATTCCAGCATACGTTTTTCCCAAAACATAAGCCCTATGTATCGGACTACATTCATGCTGTAACCACTGTCTAATTTCCTCTAACAACAATGAACACAAAAACTACAGGAGTACATTTTCATTTCGAAGTAGGGAAGGCAGAGTCATAAGATGGAACGTTAATATCCTTCACTGATAGGATGCAGTGTGATACTGCAAAAGGACCAGAAAAATTGACCTCGTAAAATCATTTCTGAAATCCTTTAAACCTTATTTTAGATTTCAAAGACTTTTAAATGCTTTAAAATCAAAAGCAGCGAAGCAAATGAAGAAATAAACAGTACAATGTAAAAATATAATATCACAGTTGGACGCTAGGAAAGCTGCATAAATCAAACAATTGACAGCCCTGCCAAATTAACTGCAACAGCTAAAGAAAAGTTTGCTGATTTAAGAACTGTATATATGTAGGCATCTGGGACAACCTCTAGGTGTTGCTGTAGAGACCCCCTTCCTAAAGACTGATTTCTTCCCCGGTGTTTTGGCCTCCCCCTCCCCCTGACTGCACTGCAGTGCGCAAAGCCATTATAGACAATCACTTCAAACATATTTGCTGTTGAAAATGCCTCGGAAACTAACATTCTTCAAGGTTCAAGGAGCCAAACAATATTATTTTACTTTTCAGTCCGAATTATACTATAGATGAAGGAGCTAGATAGAAGAAAAGATTAGCAGGGTTCTGTCAAAGCGACCAGGAGGCTGAAGAAACCTCCTGTACCTTCAGCTGCCCCTGAAGCCCTCCTTCCTCCCCAGCCCGCTCTCCATACAAAATAGGACTAAATGTTAAAAGGAATCCTGTGCACGGGGAAGAGGGAGGCGAGCTCGGGAGATGTGGGAGCACAGGGTGGGGCGGCTCCTGCGAGGAGCTCCTGGCTGCACAGGCTCCATCTGATATGTCAGCTCCCGCATCCGAGAGCTGATGAGAGATGGAGGGAGCTCAGAAGAAAACCCTGCGAGTGTCGGGGGAGGGGAGGCCTTAACATTCGGATCAGATTAACCAGTGCTCAACCGCAGTGCCCGCGCCGGCCCCTCCGCTGATCCGCAGCATCCGAAAGCCGCAGGGCGCGGGGGCCTGTGGGGCCGGGCCCGGGAGCTGCGAGACCAGGGGCCGGTGACCCCCCGCGGGGGACCGAGCGAGGATGGGGAAGTCAGCGGCTTTACCTGCGATGGACCAGGTCCAGCGGTAGAACTCTACCGTGTCGTTGAGTGCCGTGGACACTACGTTTAGGACACTACCCGGCTCCGAGTCCAGGAGCCCCATCGCGGCGATGAGCGGGCGCTGGCGGCAGGAGAAAGCGGAGACCCAGAGAGAGGGCTGACCCCGGAGGCGGTGGCGGCCGACGGGGCGAGCGGCGGCCGGGAACCCCTCTAACGGCGGCGGCCCGGCTGCGTCTTCTCCTGCTCCTCAAGGCGCCGCGGCGGCGGGGATGCGGCAGAAGGCAGGGCCAAGCGGAAGGCGTCGTCAAGGTTCCCGGGAGAAAGACGAGGAGGTGGAGGAGGCCCAGCCGCCAGCACAGTGCGCTGCACCAGTCTGCAGCCTCGCGCAGCCGCCCCTCCAATCTCCTCAGCCGGCGTCACGTGGCCGCGCGCGGGGGCGGGGGGCCGGCCGCCCCTCCTCCCTCCCTCCCTCCCTAGTATTGGGACTCGCTGGCGTAGGGATGCTGCGCTCAAGGGTGCGACGCCAACTGGGCTCGCGCAGGCGCGCGCCGTCGAGCGGGAGCGGGACACCTGGGCTCCTCCTTGGCCCCTCCCCGCACAAGTCGCCTCATTAGCCTTCCCCGCCCCTGTCCCGGGCATCGGCCCCTGCGGAGGAGTTCACCGCCTCCCCACGGGTGATTTCTTATCCGCCCCGGATACGTCCTGGGAAACAGGACACGGGAAGAATGGGTGTTCTGTGGGCAAAGATGAGGTAGGCGTGGTGCTTTGGTCCTTACCTGACACTCACCTCGATTTCACTTGTGTTCCTGTTTCTTTGACCTCCACCAGCACATGCCTGTCACCATGACAAGAGAAGTGCATGTGTTATGCCTCTGAAGAAGTGAAGGGTATTTGTCTTCCATGCTTCAGCGATGGAGAATAGACTTTGGGGTCGACCCATGAACAAATCAACATATAATTGCATGAATGCTTGCATGTGTTTTGTAGACTCTTTTACTATACATGGAATGAACAAAGCAATATAATTGTGCTAAATTAGGCCATTAGTAGTTCAGAGAAGAGGGAGAACCGAGAGGGGCTTACAGGTGAAGTCCGCTTGAACCTGAAGAAGTTGAGGTGAATCTGAAAAAGATAATCGCTCAAGAGGCAAAGGGCAATTTAGTGTAGAGAGGAAAACAAAGTAATTGTGGCTATTTTGAAAAATTGTTTAGATAAGGTATAGGAGAGCCTACCCTTGAAAAGTAAAAAAAATACAGTACTTGGAATTCATAATTTGATGGTTTCTCACATAAAACAAGATTTTTGAGAATAGTCCTTTCATCTACTTGTTTTTTAAATGTGTCACCTACTTGTTTAACCTTTTCTCCACTTGCTCATTTTGGATGCTACATTTTAAAGACCAGTGAGTCAAGTGTCTTATTGTTCCTGCCCTTTCACACTGTTAATGTGAATACTATCTTTTATCATACTGAAATGATCTATTTCCCAATTGACCTGGTTATATATTGTCTATATTTTATATTGGAAGCATCCTAGATGGTAAGAATTATTTTTGGTTGCTTGATGAGTACCTAACCCAGTGCTATAAACAGTAATTAATAAATATTTATGATGACAAAAATATAACATGTCTTTCAGAGAATAATAAGGATTATTGTGAGTGGCAGGAACTTTATTGCCGAACTAAAGCAAACACAGACTTCTTTAAATGCCCTATTCTTGAAATTAACCAAATAAAATGTTAATTTATTAATTTGTCAAATATATTTGCAAATCTAAAGTTTTCTGGATTGGAATGACAATTTCTCAAGTCTCAATCCTAAATTATGTGTAACAGATTCTAGTAGCTATATAAAAAAAAGAAATCCAGTCAAGTCTCTTCATTTAGGGAGTGGATAAATACCCATTCATTTACAGTGATGATCTAACAAAGTTCGGATTAGTTCGAGCTTCACCTAAAAATTTGATTACTATTTCTATATTGTGGAATCCTGGAGTTTTTAGGGAGAACAGATCTCTACCCATACTTCCATTCACACACGCAAAACTGCAGCATAATACTTAATACAAGGAGAAATTGTTAAAACAGCTTCAGGTATTTCCCTGGTATTTCTTCTACCGTGGAGGTCAACTTAAGTCCCTATTCACTAGGGGGTGCCAGTCACGTATAAGAAAATCATAGATGAGATAACCTTCAGCTGGGAATGGCGGTCACACGGATATCACCGTGTCCACACTCCACCTGTAAGAGTAGAATGTTTATTTACATTTATAAGCTGTCTAAACATATACCAAGAACCAGAACATAAAACTTACCCAATCTGGAACCCTATTACCTGGCATGAATAAGTGGTTTGTAAATACCAGTGACTGCCCAGAACCAAAGCCTACCTTGTTTAGTTGTGCAAAGGGAGGGAAACCCGCATGTCTGCCACCTAGAATAACAGCCATCTAACCAAAATCTTGGTAGCATCATAACAGAGTAAAAGCAAATACAAGCAACAACAGCATCTGCAAACTTTGAGAACAGAGTTCTTTCATGTGGATCAAATGCAAATAGGATACAGTTACCTACAAAACCTAAAGGAGAGGACATTTTATCATAAATTTTTTTGTATAAAATAGCAATATTTTTTTCTTTTTAGAAACAGGGTCTCACTCTATCAGCTAGGCTGGATTGCAGTGGTGTAATCATAGGTTAGTGCAACATCGAATTCCTGGGCTCGAGCTATCCTCCTGCCTCATCCTCCTGCCTCAGCCTCCTAAATAGCTGATAGAGAAGGAGGACTGGCTGTGTTGCCCCGGCTGGTCTCAAATTCCTGCCTGCAAGCAATCCTCCTGCCTTGGCCTTCAAAACCACTGGGATTACAGGAGTGAGCCACCACACCCAGTACAAAATATTTTTAAATGTCCTACAGTCCATACAAGGTTAGCAACATAAATCAAGCTATCCATCTTTTTTTTCCTAGTCCACCTTTCCATGTTGGTAATATTGTCAGCAACCTCTGCTTTCAAAGAAAAGTGAACCTGGAAGCCTGTTGAGTCAGGAGTAAAAAGAAATAACCTAATTAAAGAGTTGTAGAGAAAGACTTTGAATCTTCTAGAAGTAAATTTTGCTACATGGATGCTACTTAGAGAAAATGGAGAAAATTGTTGATAACACTAACTACTATTAGTTCCAGTCTTTTGTTTTATTCTGCTCATTACTCCTCCCCCACGTTATAGCCATCATATAACACAGGTGCTTGACTAACTTGGAATTACAATGTTTTCCACGAGATATGTTTCATTCAAACTTTTAAAGATGTTTACCTTTTTGTTAGCTTGTATGAATTATTTTTATTTTATTTAAATGGACATAGATTATCCTGATAATACATTAGCACAGATAAAATAACAAAAAAAGAAACAAAATGAAAATCCCCCCTATAATTTTGTCTCCCATTCTAAATAAATTTTACATGCCTATATAAGCCTTTTTTTCTTAACACAGATGGTTTTTTAAAATAATGCTACTCTATAATCTGCTTTTTTAAAAATTTAATACATCAGGAATACTTTTCAACGTAATACCAAGTACTTAATATTCCATTATATGGATACACACTCATTTATGTAGCCATTTACCCTATAGATTAGCATTTAGATTGTTTCAAATTTGAACTACTGTATCAATTGGGCTATTAGTATCCACAATATGCAATTTTGTGCACTTGTTTAATAACTCTTAGCATAAATATTTACAAGGGAAATTTCTGGGTCAAAGGTTTGGGACTTTTTTTAGGGGTGGAGAGGTGGTTGTTTTTGTTTTGAGACGGCATCCCACTGTCTCGCCCAAGCTGGAGTGCAGTGGCCCAGTCTCGGCTCACTGCAACCTCTGCCTCTCGGGTTCAAGGGATTCTCATGCCCCAGCCTCCCGAGTAGGTGGGATTACGGGTGTGTGCCATCACACCCAGCTAATTTTTGTATTTTTATTAGAGACAGGGTTTCACCATGTTAGGTAGGCTAGTCTCAAACTCCTGGTGTCATGTGATCTGCCTGCCTTGGCCTCCCAAAGTGCTGGGAGTACAGGTGTGAGCCACTGTACCTGGTCAAAGGGTTTTAAGTTTACAAATTTTGACACATCGTGCCCACTTAACCTCCAGAAATGTACCAATTCACAATTCCACCAAAATTTATGAAAAGGTGCTCATTTCCCCACCCCATTCTCTTTACTGAATGTATGCTTTGTAATCATTACCAGTCTGAGAGGTAAAGATTGATATTTCATTGTTGCTTGACAGATTATCATGTTTATTGCAATTTTAGCCTTCTTTCAGGAATTGCCTGTTTGAATTCTTTAGACATTTTCCATTAGTTGTGTCTACTTTTTCTTATTGATTTATAAGACATCTTCTTATAATAAAGTTATTAACAGTTTGTCTGCATATGTTGCAAATATATTTTCCCAGTTTGCTATTTGTCTCTTACTAAATTTATTATAATGATTTTCAACTAGGCATATTGAATGCTGGGAATAAGTTAGGTTCACCCGCCACCACCTCCACCAGAATCATATATCAGAATGCCTTCTCAGCTTTGCAACCCCTGATGCATATTTCTAAGGTACATATGCTACTCCTTTCCTAAGAATGACAACTACAAATTACTTACATTGGATATTCATTGTTTTGGTGTGACCCAATATGTACACCCAATCTGTATTCTTTACCGGTCAAAGCCATTAGCCCAGTCTCTCTTCACATAGCCATGTTTCAAGGCCATATCCCACACTTTTAGTCATACATTCAAGCATATAGTGATAAGAGGGCCAAACCATGGTGGTTCTGCCCGTTTTTCCTGGCTTGGCTATACCAAGAAAAGTTTTGTCACTCTTAATTGAGTATTGTCTGAGTTGTGATTTCCTTCACTTACTACTCTAACATATCTGTCTTCATGGATATCAACAAACTTTGGTCCAAGAAATCTGGTAATAAATTCCAAGTGTTAATGGGGAATGCCTTTTCACCCTGCTCTCATATTCCTATTACTGAAGAGCAATCTGGTTTCAGGGTAGGAGAAGATAAAAAGAGCCTGAGGGGAAATAAACTCACCATGATAGAGGAAAGAAACCAGCTGTATTTCAAGGACTTACTTTTAAAAACCCAAGACATCAGAAAAATACTTGGTTCTAGGCAAGCATTTAGTTGATTCCAGAAGCTATCTCCTACCAGCCATCCCGATGACCCAGGAATGCTTCTTAAGGAAAATGGTTATATGTGAATAAATGCTTAAAAACTTTCCAGTAAATGAACCATAATTTTATGGACTCAGCAACTTTGCAGTAGGACTCACCTGCCTGTGAACCATACAAAGATAAATGACCCCCCTCTGATCTTGGAGAAACTGTCTTGAACCTGAAGAATCCATACACACTATACACAAAAGCAAATGTGAATAACAACTGAGGGAAAACATTGACTTCTGTAACATCACTTATATATCTGTTCCCTCTTTCTCATCCTTGTCGGTTTCTCCTCTTTTTGTGGCCTGTGAATGTTAAAATTCAATTATTTCTGGCTGCTTTACAAGTTTTTTTTTTTACTTATGTTATCCTTTCTGCCTAAACTATTATGATTGTTATTATTTTTGGCTGAGCACAGGGGACTTTATTGATGGTACACGACAACATGGGGCTCCCTAGGCCCCTCCCTCTTCAAGGGGTGTGCATGGAATGTGTGAGGAGGGAAGATTCAGTGTGGTGGGGAATGAGTGTGCCAGGGACTCCCCAACAGTGAGGGCCTCTTTCTTCCTCCTGTGCTCTCGCTGAGGCTGGTGGTCCAGGGGTCTTACTCCTTGGAGGCCATGTGGGCCATGAGGTCCACCACCCTGTTGTTGTAGCCAAATTCATTGTCATACCAGGAAATGAGCTTGACAAAGTGGTCGTTGAGGGCAGTGCCAGCCCCAGCATTGAAGGTGGAAGAGTGGGTGTCACTGTTGAAGTCGGAGGAGACCACCTGGTGCCCAGTGTAGCCCAGGATGCCTTTGAGGGGGCCCTCTGATGCCTGCTTCACCACCTTCTTGATGTCATCATATTTGGCAGGTTTTTCCAGATGGTAGGTGAGGTCCACCACTGACACGTTGGCAGTGGGGACACGGAGGGCCATGCCAGTGAGCTTACCATTCAGCTCAGGGATGACCTTCCTCACAGCCTTGGCAGCCCAGTAGTGGCAGGGATGATGTTCTGGAGAGCCCTGTGGCTGTCACGCCACAGTTTCCTGGAGGGGCCATTCACAGTCTTCTGGGTGGCAGTGATGGCGTGGACTGTGGTCATGAGTCCTTCCACGATACCAAAGTTGTCAGTGATGACTTTGGCCAGGGGCGCTAGGCAGTTGGTGGTTCAGGTGGCATTGCTGATGATCTTGAGGCTGTTGTCATACTTCTCATGGTTCACACCCATCGTGAACATGGGGGGATCAGCAGAGGGGGCAGAGATGATGACCCTTTTGGCTCCCCACTGCAAGTGAGCCCCAGCATTCTCCATGGTGGTGAAGATGCCAGTGGACTCCATGACATACTCAGTGCCAGCATCACCCCACTTGATTTTGGAGGGATCTGGCTCCTGGAAGATAGTGATGGGATTTCCATTGATGACAAGCTTCCCGTTCTCAGCCTTGACGGTGCCATGGAATTTACCATGGGTGGGATCATACTGGAACATGTAGACCATGTAGCTGAGGTCAATGAATGGGTCATTGATGGCGATAATATCTACTTTACCAGAATTACAAGCAGCCCTGATGACCAGGCGCCCAATACAACCAAATCCATTGACTCCAACCTTCACTTTCCCCATGGTGTCTCAGGGATGTGGTTGGCAATGCAAGAGAAGATGCAGCTGTCTGTCAAACAGGAGGAGCAGAGAGCCCTGCCTAAATTATTTCATGCACTCTCATAGCGTTGGTTACCATCTGCATTCATAACTCTCAGATATATGTGTTCAACCTAGATCTTCTTTCCAGCTCATGTATCTCATAGCTTGTGTGGTTCTCTTTAATGTAACTCAGGCATCTTGAAAATCAACATGTTAAAAACCTATCTCCCCCCCTCCCACAATCTGTTCTTCTTTCATATTTCCCTATTTCCACACATGCCAAAAGTGATCAATGACATTTTATAATATTCTCCCTTCCAACACACATCCAATTCATGACCACCTCCTATTAATTCTGCTTGCAAAATATATCTTGATTTTTTCCACTTCCCTCAGCTCTACTGCATATAATTTAACCGAAAATTCCATCATTTCTCTCCCACCTTAAACACTTCAAACTTCAATCACCTCATTTTTTTTTTTTTTTTTTTGAGACAGTCTTGCTCTGTCACCCAGACTGGAGTGCAGTGGCATGATCTTGGCTCACTGCGACCTCCGCCTCCCAGGTTCAAGTGATTCTCCTGTCTCAGCCTCTTGAGTAGCTGGGATTACAGGCACTCACCACCATGCCCGGCTAATTTTTGTATTTTTAGTAGAGATGGGGTTTCACCATGTTGGTCAGGCTGGTCTCGAACTCTTGACTTCGTAATTCGCCTGCCTTGGCCTCCCAAAGTGCTGGGATTATAGGCGTGAGTAACTGTGCCTGGCCTCAATCACCCCTTAACTGATCTCTCTGCATCCATTTATTTCCTCCTACAATTTATTCTCACACAGTACTTTGAGTATCTTTTAAAATTGCATGTCAGATGATGGCATTTCTCATCTTAAAATCTCTTAATATTTCTAGTACTCTCAGGAAGCTCCAAAGCCTCCACATCTAGAAGCTTAGAACATTGTAAATCTTTCTTCTTGCCTAATGAAAGTGTGATCTAGAATGCCTATCATTCCTTTACCACTTCTGCTTTTAGTATACAGGGAAGCTAATCAGGACCTCCTTCTGTTTCTCCAAAGAGCCAAGCTTCCCTTGACTCAGGGCTTTTGCACATAACTTTCTCCCTCTTGGAATACTCTTTCACAACCTCTGACTAGAGCTAATACCCACTTTACCTTAAATGTATGACCTAGGAAAACTCTGACTCCAATAACAAGGTTAGATCCCCGTTACACACATGTTCACGGTGTCTTGTACTTTTTTGTCATAGTATTTGTATCATTTAGCATTAGATATGATTACATATTACAGAAAAACCCAAAAGAAAAGTGCCTAAAGCAAAATAGAAGCTTTTTATTTTTCACTTCCTTAAAGGATGTCAGGATGTGGACAGACCAAAGTTAGTAGAGATAAAAGAGCCAGTAAAAGGTAAGCACGTAATAACAGACCTTTAAGATACATAAAGCAATATTTGACAGACTAAGAAAAAAATTAGACAAATTCAAGATTATTGTTATAGAATTTAATACCCCTATTATATAATTAATATAATAAATAGGCAAAGATAAATTATAATATAGAAGAGATGTATTACACTGTAAATCATTTGACCTGGTGGAGGCCAAATTCATGGGCATGAAACAATCACAAAGATCTATAATTTTATGGGCTGTTAAATAACTCTTAATAAATTTCAAATAGGAAATAATATAGAACTTGACCACAAGGGGATTAAATGGGAAATCAATAACAATGAAATATCTATAAAAAATTTTAAGGTCAAGCACAGTTGTTCACACCTGTAATCCCAACGTTTTGGGAGGCAGAGGCAGGAGGATCAATTGAGGCTGGAAGTTTGAGATCAGCCTGGGCACCTAGTGAGGCCCTGTCTCAACAACAGCAACAGAAAGTATCCAAACTAATTTATTGAGAGTTTTTAGCATGAAGGGCTGTTGAGTTTTGTCAAAGGCCTTTTCTGCATCTATTGAGATAATCATGTGGTTTTTGTCTTTGGTTCTGTTTATATATTGGATTACGTTTATTGACATGCGTATGTTGAACCAGCCTTGCATCCCAGGGATGAAGCCCACTTGATCATGGTGCATAAGCTTTTTGATGTGCTGCTGGATTCGGTTTGCCAGTATTTTATTGAGGATTTTTGCGTCGATGTTCATCAGGGATATTGGTCTAAAATTCTCTTTTTTTGTTGTGTCTCTGCCAGGCTTTGGTATCAGGATGATGCTGGCCTCATAAAATGAGTTACGAAGGATTCCCTCTTTTTCTATTGATTGGAATAGTTTCAGAAGGAATGGTAACAGCTCCTCCTTGTACCTCTGGTAGAATTTGGCTGTGAATCCATCTGATCCTGGACTTTTTTTGGTTGGTAAGCTATAAATTATTGCCTCAATTTCAGCTCCTGTTATTGGTCTATTCAGAGATTCAACTTCCTCCTGGTTTAGCCTTGGGAGAGTGTATATGTCGAGGAATTTATCCATTTCTTCTAGATTTTCTAGTTTATTTGCATAGAGGTGTTTATAGTATTCTCTGATGGTAGTTTGTATTTCTGTGGGATTGGTGGTGATATCCCCTTTATCATTTTTTATTGCATCTATTTGATTCTTCTCTCATTTCTTCTTTATTAGTCTTGCTAGCAGTCTATCAATTTTGTTGATCTTTTCAAAAAACCAGCTCCTGGATTCATTGATTTTTTGAAGGGTTTTTGTGTCTCTATCTCCTTCAGTTCTGCTCTGATCTTAGTTATTTCTTGCCTTCTGCTAGCTTTTGAATGTGTTTGCTCTTGCTTCTCTAGTTCTTTTAATTGTGATGTTAGGGTGTTAATTTTAGATCTTTCCTGCTGTCTTTTGTGGGCATTTAGTGCTATAAATTTCCCTCTCCACACTGCTTTAAATGTGTCCCAGAGATTCTGGTATGTTGTGTCTTTGTTCTCATTGGTTTCAAAGAACATCTTTATTTCTGCCTTCATTTTGTTATGTACCCAGTAGTCATTCAGGAGCAGGTTGTTCAGTTTCCATGTAGTTGCGTAGTTTTGAGTGAGTTTCTTAATGCTGATTTCTAGTTTGATTGCACTGTGGTCTGAGAGACAGTTTGTTATAATTTCTGTTCTTTTACATTTGCTGAGGAGCGCTTTACTTCCAACTATGTGGTCAATTTTGGAATAAGTGTGATGTGGTGCTGAGAAGAATGTATATTCTGTTGATTTGGGGTGGAGAGTTCCATAGATGTCTATTAGGTCCACTTGGTGCAGAGCTGAGTTCAGGTCCTGGATATCCTTGTTAACTTTCTGTCTCATTGATCTGTCTAATGTTGATAGTGGGGTGTTAAAGTCTCCCATTATTATTGTGTGGGAGTCTAAGTCTCTTTCTAGGTCTCTAAGGACTTGCTTTATGAATCTGGGTGCTCCTGTATTGGGTACATATATATTTAGGATAGTTAGCTCTTCTTTTTGAATTGATCCCTTTACCATTATGTAATGACCTTCTTTGTCTCTTTTGATCTTTGTTGGTTTAAAGTCTGTTTTATCAGAGACTAGGATTGCAACCCCTGCCTTTTTTGTTTTCCATTTCCTTGGTAGATCTTCCTCCATCCCTTTATTTTGAGCCTATGTGTGTCTCTGCACGTGAGATGGGTTTCCTGAATACAGCACACTGATGGGTCTTGACTCTTTATCCAATTTGCCAGTCTGTGTCTTTTAAGTGGAGTATTTAGCCCATTTACATTTAAGGTTAATATTGTTATGTGTGAATTTGATCCTGTCATTATGATGTTAGCTGGTTATTTTGCTTGTTAGTTGATGCAGTTTCTTCCTAGCCTTGATGTTCTTTACAACTTGGCATGTTTTTGCAGTGGCTGGTACCGGTTGTTCCTTTCTATGTTTAGTGTTTCCTTCTGGAGCTCTTTTAGGGCAGGCCTGGTGGTGACAAAATCTCTCAGCATTTGTTTGTCTGTAAAGGATTTTATTCCTCCTTCACGTATGAAGCTTAGTTTGGCTGGATATGAAATTCTGGGTTGAAAATTATTTTCTTTAAAAATGTTGATGGGACATATCTCAAAATAATAGGAGCTATTTATGACAAACCCACAGCCAATGTCATACTGAATGGTCAAAAACTGGATGCATTCTCTTTGAAAACTGGCACAAGACAGGGATGTCCTCTCTCACCACTCCTATTCAACATAGTGTTGGAAGTTATGGCCAGGGCAATCAGGCAGGAGAAAGAAATAAAGGGTATTCAATTAGGAAAAGAGGAAGTCAAAGTGTACCTGTTTGCAGATGACATGATTGTATATCTAGAAAACCCCATTGTCTCAGCCCAAAATCTCCTTAAGCTGATAAGCAACTTCAGCAAAGTCTCAGGATACAAAATCAACGTGCAAAAATCACAAGCATTCTTATACACCAATAACAGACAAACAGAGAGCCAAATCATGAGTGAACTCCCATTCACAATTGCTTCAAAGAGAATAAAATACTTAGGAATCCAACTTACAAGGGATGTGAAGGACCTCTTCAAGGAGAACTACAAACCACTGCTCAATGAAATAAAAGAGTACACAAACAAATGGAAGAACATTCCATGCTCATGGATAGGAAGAATCAATATCGTGAAAATGGCCATACTGCCCAAGGTAATTTATAGATTCAATGCCATCCCCATCAAGCTACCAATGACTTTCTTCACAGAATTGGAAAAAACTACTTTAAAAGTTCATATGAAAACAAAAAAGAGCCTGCATTGCCAAGTCAATCCTAAGCCAAAAGAAATCACACTACCTGACTTCAAACTATACTACAAGGCTACGGTAACCAAAACAGCATGGTACTGCTACCAAAACAGAGATATAGACCAATGCAACAGAACAGAGCCCTCAGAAATAATACCACACATCTACAACTATCTGATCTTCGACAAACCTGAGAAAAACAAGCAATGGGGAAAGGATTCCCTATTTAACAAATGGTGCAGGGAAAACTGGCTAGCCATATCTAGAAAGCTGAAACTGGATCCCTTCCTTACACCTTATACAAAAATCAATTCAAGATGGATTAAAGACTTAAATGTTAGACCTAAAACCATAAAAACCCTAGAAGAAAACCTAGGCAATACCATTCAGGACATAGGCATGGGCAAGGACTTCATGTCTGAAACACCAAAAGCAATGGCAACAAAAAGCCAAAATTGACAAATGGGATCTAATTCAACTAAAGAGCTTCTGCACAGCAAAAGAAACTACCATCAGACTGAACGGGCAACCTACAGAATGGGAGAAAATTTTTGCTATCTACTCATCTGACAAAGGGCTCATATCCAGAATCTACAAAGAACTCAAACAAATTTATAAGAAAAAAACAAACAACCCCATCAACAAGTGGGCGAAGGCTATGAACAGACACTTCTCAAAAGAAGACATTTATGCAGCCAACAGACACATGAAAAAATGCCCATCATCACTGGCCATCAGAGAAATGCAAATCAAAACCACAATGAGATACCATCTCACACCAGTTAAAATGGCGATCATTAAAAAGTCAGGAAACAACAGGTGCTGGAGAGGATGTGGAGAAATAGGAACACTTTTACACTGTTGGTGGGACTGTAAACTAGTTCAACCATTGTGGAAGACAGTGTGGCAATTCCTCAGGGATCTAGAACTAGAAATACCATTTGACCCAGCCATCCCATTACTGGGTATATACCTAAAGGATTATAAATCATGCTGCTATAAAGACACATGCACATGTATGTTTATTGTGGCACTATTCACAATAGCAAAGACTTGGAACCGACCCAAATGTCCAACAGTCATAGACTAGATTACGAAAATGTGGCACATATGCACCATGGAATACTATGCAGCCATAAAAAATGATGAGTTCATGTCCTTTGTAGGGACGTGGATGAAGCTGGAAACCATCATTCTCAGCAAACCATCGTAAGGACAAAAAACCAAACACCACATGTTCTCACTCATAGGTGGGAATTGAACAATGAGAACACTTGGACACAGGAAGGGGAACATCACACACCAGGGCCTGTTGTGGGGTGGGTGGGGGGAGGGATAGCATTAGGAGGTATACCTAATGTAAATGACGAGTTAATGGGTGCAGCACCCCAACATGGAACATGTATACATATGTAACAAACCTGCACGTTGTGCACATGTACCCTAGAACTTAAAGTATAATAATAATAAAAAAAATTTCCAAACTAAATAATAGTTAAAACACAACATACTAAGATGTATGGGATGCAATTAAAGCAAGCTTTAAAGGAAAATAAATACTTTAATTAGAAGAAGAAATTGCAATCAATATTCTAAGCTCCTAATTTAAAGAGCTGGAAAAAAACAGTAAATTAGAATAAAAGTAAACAGAAGAAATAAAATAATGCAGATAAGAGCAGAAATAAAGGAAAAGAGAAAACCGACAGTTGAGTAATTCAGCAAAGCCGTCATTTGGTTCTTTGAAAATAGTAAGAAAATTTATAAATCCTGACATATTCTAATAAAGAAAAAAATAGAGAATAAAAGGATATTATTACAGAATCTATAGGCATTAAAAGGATAGTAAGGAAGTATTATAAACAGTTTTATGCTAGAAGATTTGATGAATTAGGTATAATAGACCAATTCCTTAGAAAATACAACTTATCAAAACTGAAACAAGAAGAAATGTAAAATTTGAATAGCCTTGAAAGAAATTAAGTTTATAATTTCTTAATCTTCTAACAAATAGCTCTATGCTTAGACAGCTTCATTGCCAAATCCTATGAAATATTTAAGGAAGAAATATTACCAGTGTTACACTCAAACACTTTCAGAATAAAGAGAAGGTAACTCTTCTCAATTCATTTTATGATGTCACCATAAATCTGATACCAAAACCTACCGAGGACTTTTCAAGAAAAGTAAATTATAGTCTAATATTCCTCATTAACATACATGCACAAATCCTTTAGTAATGTATCAAATCAAATTCAACAAGATATAAAGAGGATAATACATCTTTCATGTGCATGTACCCAATACCAGTGTCAAAATATGTGAGGCAAAACCTGATAGAGTTGTGAAGAAAAATAAACAACTTCGGTATTAGAGACTTCAACACTAATTTCAGTAATTGATAGGTCAAGCATTCAGAAAATCAGTAAGAGTGTAGTTGATCTAAAGAACACTCTCAGTTACCTTGATCTAACGGACATAAAATATTTCAACCAACAACAGCTGAATACACTGCTTTCTCAAGCTCATGTGGAACATTCACCAAGATAGACCACATTCTGGACTATAAACATACCTTAACAAATCTAAAAGAATAGAAATCATACAAAGAATGTCCTCAGACCACAATACAATTAAATTAGAAATCAACAATGGAAAGATAATTGGGAAAACCAGAAACGTTTGGAGATTAAACAACATATTTCTAAACAACATATGGGTCAAAGAGAAGTCTCAAGAGAAATTTTAAAATATTTTGAACTAAAAAATGCAACTTATCAAAGTTTGTGGGATGCAGCAAAAGCAGTGAGGTTTCCATAGTATTAAAATTAACATGTTAGAAAAGAAAAAAAAGGTGGAAAATTATTAAGCTTCACCTTAGGAAACTGGAGAAAGAAGAGCAGTGTAAACCCAAAGGAAGCAGAAGAAAAGAAATAATAAAAATCAGAGCAGAAATCAGTGAAACTGAAAACTGGAAAACAACAGAGAAAGTCAATATAACCAAAAGCTGCTTCTTTGAAAACATCAATAAAATTGAAATCTCTATCTAGGCTAAGAAAAAAAGAAAGAAGATGCAAATTACTAACATCAGAAATGAAAGAATGGCCATCACTACTACTCCCATGAATGTTAAAAGAATACTATATGAATGCTCTGAACAAATTTATGCCCACCAATATAATAAAGTAGGTAAAATGGGCTAATTTCCTAAAATATACTTATTACCAAAATTCATACAAGGAAGATTAGAAAATATGAATAGAATTATATCTATTAAAGAAACTGAATCCATAATTCATTAACTTCTAAAATGTAATGCACCTTGTCCAGATGGTTTCATCTGTGAATTCTACCAATATTTAAGGAAGAAAGGATACAAATTCTCACAATCTCTTCCAGAAAATAGAAGTACAGAGAACACTTTCTAACTCATTTCATGAGGCCACTATTACTCCAATACCAAAATCAGATAAAGATATTATAAGAAAGGAAAACTACACACTAAAATCTCTCATAAAATAAATGTTAAAATCCTCAATAAAATATACCAAATTGAATTCAATAATGTATAAAAATAATTAAACCTCAAGACCAAGTGGGATTTATTCTAGTTATGCAAGGCTGGTTCAAAAATCATTCCAAATAATTCAAAAAACCACATTTAAAAGTCAGTCAGTATAATCCATCACATCAACAGGCTAAAGAAGAAAAATATGATCTTATCAACTGATGCAGAAAAATCATTTGGCAAAAATGTAACACCCATTCATAATACAAACTCTCAGCACACAAAGGATAAAGGGAACTTTTGTAACTTGATAAAGAATATCTAAAATTGCCTACAGCAGACATCAGTCTTAAGATGACTAACTGAACATTTTCTCTTTAAAATCATAAATAAGGCAAAGTTACCCTGCCCCACCACTCCTAGTTAGCATCATACTGGAATTCCTAACAAGTGCAATAAGATAAGAAAAGGAAATAAGTGTATTTAGACTGGAAAGGAAAAAATATAACTGTCTTTATTCACAGATAACATGATTATCTATGTGGAAAATCCCAAAGGGTTATCAACAACAAAACTCCTAGAACTAATAAGAGACCATAGGAAGTTTACAGGATACAAGGATAATATCCAAAAGTTAATTGCTTTATCAATAATGAACAACTTGAAATGGAAATTTAAAAAGCAATACTATTTACAATAGCACCAAAGAAAATGAAATACTTAGGTATAAATCTAGCAAATTATGCACAGAATCCATACGTGAAAATCTGTAAAACTCTAATGAAATAAATCAAAGGAGATATAAATAAATGGAGAGATATGATATTCTATGTGCACTGATTAGAAGACTAAATATTGTTAACATGCCAATTCTTCCCAATTTGGTGTACACATTCAATGCAATCTCAATAAAATTCCAGCAAGCTATTTTGTAAATATCAACCAACTGATTCTAAAGTTCATGTGAAAATGTAAGAGATTTAGAATAGCTAACACAATACCAAAGAAGAACACAGTTGGAGAATTCACACTACTTGATTTCAAGACTTAATATAAAGCTACAGTAGTTAAGACCTTATTATACTGGGGAAAGAATAGACACATAGAACGATGGAAAGAATGTAGAGCCCAGAAATTGACCAACACATATGTAGTCAACTTATCTTTGACAAAGAAGCAAAGAAAATTCAATGGAGAAAGAAGAGCCTTTTCAACAAATAGTCTAGAACAATTAGATGTCCATGCAAAAACAAAAAAAACAAAACAAAACCTGGAGAGAAAAATTACATCTTTCACAAAAATTAACTCAAATTGCATTATGGACCTAAATGTAGGATGCAAATCATAAAACTTCTGTATGAAAATATCAGCAAAAATCTAGGTGACCTTCATTATAGTGATGAGTGTTTAGATACAACATCAAAAGCACAATCTATGAAAGAAAAAAATTGATGTCATTAAAATTAAAAACTTCTGCTCTGTGAAAGACTATTTATTTGCAGAATTAAAAGACAAACTACAGAACTGAAGAAAATATTTGCAAACACATATCTGATAAAGGGCTTGTATCCAAAATATACAAAGAACTCTTAAAACTCAACAATAACAACAACAGTAAAACAAACAACTCGATTGAAAAAATAATCAAAAGATCTGGACACCTCATCAAAGAAGATCTGCAGATGGGAAATAAGGATATGAGATGCTCAACATCATTTGTCATTAAGAACTGCAAATTAAAATAACAATGACATACCACTACACATTTATGAGAATGGCTAAATTTCAAAAGAAAACCTAACAATTCAGAAATCATGCTCCTATTTATTTACCCAACTGATTTGAAAATGTATATCCATACCAAAACCTCCACATGGTTCTTCCCACCATTTTGTAGTCTGTGGAGGCCTACTGGGAAAAGGACTTCTAAAAGATAAATCTGTTTGGAAGGCTGTTTTCCAACGCCACTTTTGATGGCTGTAAGTGGGATCTCTGGAACCAAAGGGAGCACATGGCTCTTCTTAAAACTGAAGGTATTTGTGTCCAAGATGAAACTGAATTCTGTTTGGCCAAGAGATGTGCTTCTGTGTACGAAGGAAAGAACACAGTGGCTTCTGCCAGCAAACCAAACAAAACCAGAGTAATCTGGAAAAGGTAACTTGTGCCCATGAAAAAAGTGACATCGTTCATAATAAATTCCAAAACAACTTTCCTGCTAAGGCCATTGAACACAAAATCAATGTGATACTTTTAGGTAATTAGATAGATATTAGCAGCTGGGAGTGGGTAAGAAAAGAGAACCAAAAGGCTGTCACTAAGGCAGCCCATGGCCCACCTGAGTTCAGCCCCAGAACTGCCGTAACTCCACCCTAACAGTTGGAGTTTGTGGTAAAGTCTGTGGGCCAACACATCCTGGAGAAGGAGAAAGTAGGGCACAGGTGGAAATTACTTAAAGTGGCACATGCCCAGTAACATGGAACTGTGTCCTCAAGTTCACCCCATGCTCATTATACCATCATTATAATAAAATTTACATGTGTTTTTACAGCCGCCCACCATGGGCTTTTGTTAACAAAATATGAGTAAGAGCATGCACAATTTAATTTTAGCTACATGTCCATATACTGACAATCAAATGACATCATCTTGCTACTCAGACAGAGGCCAAACCCTAACTCCTTCCCACAAAAGCTGCATCAAAGCCCTCTGAGTTTTGTAAAAAGGGACTGATTTCACTTCGCAGAAATCAGCCCACTCTCTCTCTGAGAGTCTATTACTGTTCTTCAGTAAACTCTGCTTTGAGCTTGCATTTTGGTGTTAGTTTGCAATTCTTTGCTCAGTATCACAGGAACCAAGATTACTGGTCCAGAGCTCCAGCTCTGTTGATCTTCTAGGTTAAAGAATCCATTCCAACACAGAATTCCCAGTAACAATACTGTACCCCTCAAGGACTTAAACTAATGAAAAGTAAATAAATAAGTGGATTTGTTCTCTTGTAAAACAAAACAAAATAAAAAATCCTGCACAGAGATGTTTATACCAGCTTTCTTCATAATCACCAAAAATTGGAAGAAACCAAGATGTCCTTTAATAAGTGAATGGATAAAATAATTTTGGCACATCCATACAGTGGGATATTATTCAGCAATAAAAAGAAATGAGCTGTCAAGCCATAAAAAGACATGAATAAAACTTAAATGCATAAATGAATATTGCTAAGTGAAAGAAACTAGTCTAAAAAGGCTACATAATATGTGATTCTAATTATCTAACATTTCTAAAAAGGCAAAGCTCTAGAGACAGTAAAAAGATTGGATACCTTCAGGTACTGGAAAACCTGAGGTTTTGGCACTGGATCAGAACCCCAGCATACTGCAATAGCCCTGTGGAAAAGTGGCCAGAGTCTTTGTTACATGGGTCCCTGATCTCACATTTCCTCACTGGACAGGTTCTCCTGGCCTGGGTCTCCAGCCACCCCACATTGGACTATCGAGCCAGTAGTAGCTCTTCAGCTTCCTGAGACAGAGCTCCCAATGGAAGGGGCAGGTTGCCATCTTTGCTGTCTTCCAGCCCTCACCCTTGCTGTGTCCAGGCTCTGGAGCATCCATGAAACCAGGTGTTGGTCCAGACCCCCAGAGGAGCACCTACCTCATGTAAAAGTGTCTTGTCTGTTCTCCATGAAGGTCCTGGTCCTTACTTCTCACTGGGCAGGGCCGCCTGACCTGGGACTCCAGTACAACCACCATGCCCCCACTTGACTGCTTCAATCAGGGATAGCCTAGCAGTTAAAGGAACACATACAAGCAGAGATGAGAATGAACAAATGCAAGAACTCCAACAACTCAAATGACCAGGGTGTCTTATGTTCTCCAAATGACTACGCTAATTCTCCAACAAGGATTCTTAACTAGACTGAGTCGGCTGAAATGACAGAAATAGAATTCAGAATACAGATAGAAACAAAGATCATAAAGGCTCAGGGGAAAAGCAAAACCCAATTTAAGGAAACTAAGAATTACAAGAAAACAATACAGGAGCTGATAGACAAAATAACAGCTATAAAAAGGAACCTAATTGATCCAATAGAGCTGAAAAATACACTACAAGAATTTCACCATGCATTTGTAAGTATTAACAGCAGTAGACCAAGCTGAGGAAAGAATCTTGGAACTTGAAGATTGACTCTCTCGAATAAGACAGTCAGACAAAAATAAAGAAAAAAGAATGAAAGGGAATGAACCAACCCTCTGAGAAATATGGGACTAGGTAAAGAGGCCAAATCTACAAATCACTGGCATCACTGAAAGAGATGACGAAAAAGCAAACAACTTGGAAAACATATTTCAGGATATTGTCCATGAAAATTTCCACAACCTCATTAGGCCAACAGCCAAATTCAGGAAATACAGAGAATGCCTGCAAGATTCTACACAATAAGATCATCCCAAGACACATAATCATCAGATTTTCCAAAGATAAAATAAAAGAAAGAATGTTGATCAGGAAATACAGCAAACTCCTGCAAGATTCTACACAAGAGGATCATCCCAAGACACATAATCATCAAATTTTCCAAGGATAAAATAAAAGAAAGAATGTTAAAGGCAGCCAGCAAGAAAGGGCATGTCACCTGCAAAGAAAACCCCATCAGGCTAACAGCGGACCTCTCCGCAGAAATCCTATGAGCCAGAAGCGATTGGGGGCCTATATTCAACATTCTTAAAGAAAAATATCTTCAAATAAGAATTTTGTATGCAACAAAACTAAGCTTTGTTAGTGAAGGAGAAATATGATCCTTTTCAGGTAAGCAAATACTGAAGGATTTTATTACCATCAGCCCTGTCTTACAAGAGCTCTTGAAAGGAGCTCTGAATATGGAACGGAAAGACTATTATCAGCCAATACAAAAACACACTTAAGACCAGTGATACTATAAAGCAACCACAGACCAGTGCTACTATAAAATAACCACATAAACAAGCCAGCATAATAACCAGCTAACAACACAATGACAGGATCAAGTCCATACATATCAATACCAACTTTGAATGTAAACAGGCTAAATGCCTCATTTAAAAGGCACAGAGTGGCAATTTGGATAAAAAAGCAAGACTTGGTGGTATGCTGTCTTCAAGAGACCACACACAATAACACCCATAGGCTCAAAATAAAGGGATGGAGAAAAAGCTACCAAGCAAATGGAAATCAGAAAAAAAGCAGGAGTTACAATTCTAATTTCAGACAAAACAGACTTTAAACCACCAAAGATCAAAAAGGATGAAGGGTATTATATCATGGTAAAGGGTTCAATTCAACAAGAAGACCTCACTATCCTAAGTGTATACACACCCAACACAGAACACTTACTTTCAAAAAGCAAGTTCTTAGAGGCCTACAAAGAAACTTAGACTTTCACACAATTAATAGTGACAGACTTCAACACTCCATTGGCAGTATAAGACAGATCATCAAGACAGAAAATTAATAAAGATATTCAGGACCTGAACTCAATATTGGACCAAATGGATCTGATAGACTTCTACAGAAGTCTCCAGCCCCAAACAACAGAATAGGCATTCCTCTTTTTGCCACATGGCACATACTCTAAAATCAATCACATAATTGGACATGAGACAATCCTCAGCAAATACAAAAGAACTGAAATCATATCAAATGCACTCACAGATCACAGCACAGTAAAAATAAAAATCAAGACAAAAAAATTGCTCAAAACCATGTAATTATGTGGAAATTAAACAATCTTCTCTTGAAAGACTTCTGGGTAAATAATGAAATTAAGGCAGAGATCTGTAAGTTTTTTGAAACTGATGAGAACAAAGATACAATATGCCAGAATCTCTGAGACGCAGCTAAGACAGTGTTAAGAAGAAAATTCATAATATGAAAGGCCCACATCAAAAAGGGATAACGATCTCCAATTAATAACCTAACATCAAAGAACTGGAGAAGCAAGAGCAAACCAACCCCAAAGCTAGCAGAAGACAAGAAATAACCAAAATCAGAGCTGAATTCAAAGAGATCCAGATACAAAAAAATTCAAAACATCAACAGATCCAGTAATTGGCTTGTTTAAAAAATTGAAAAGATAGATAGGCTGCTAGCTAGACTAATAAAAAAAAAAGGAGAGAAGATCCAAATAAACACAATCAGAAATGACAAATGAGATGTTACCACTGACTCCGCAGAAATACAAAGAACCATCAGAGACTACTACGAACACCTCCATGCACACAAAGTAGAAAACCTGGAAGAGATGGATAAATTCCTGAACACATACAACCTTCCAAGACTGAACCAGAAAGAAATTGATTTTCTGGACAGACCAATAACAAGCTCTGTAACTGAATCAGTAATAAATAGCCTACCAACAAATAGAAGCCCAGGACCAGACAGATTCACAGGCATATTCTACTAGATGTACAAAGAAGAGGTGGTATCATTCCTATTGAAACTATACCAAAAAATTGAGGAGAAGGGACTCTTCCCAAACTCATTCTATGAGGTCAGCATTAACCTGATACCAAAACTTGGCAGAGACACAACAAAAAAAGAAAACTTCAGGCCAATATCCTTGAGGAACACTGATGCAAAAATCCTCAACAAAATACTTGCAAACTGAATCCAGCATCACAATTGTACTACAGGGCTACAGTAAACAAAACAGCATGGCACTGGTACAAAAACAGACACATAGACCAATGAAACAGAATAGAGAGCCCATAAATAAGGCCACACACCTACAATCATCTGATCTTTGACAAAGCTGACAAAAACAAGCAATGGAGAAAGGACTCCCTATTCAATAATTAATGCTGGGATAATTGGCTAGCCATATGTAGAAGATTGAAACTGGATCCCTTTCTTATACCACATACAAAAACCAACTCAAGATAGATTAAAGATTTAAATGTAAAACCCGAAACTATAAAAACCCTGTAAGATAACCTAGACAATACCATTCTGGACATAGAAACTGCCAAAGATTACATGACAAAGATGCCAAAAGCAATTGCAACAAATGCAAAAATTGACAAATGGGATGTAATTAAACTTAAGACCTTCTGCACAGCAAAAGAAACTATCAACAGAATAAATGGACAACCTACAGATTGGGAGAAATATTAACAAACTATGCATCTGACAAAGGTCTAATATCCCACATCTATAAGGCACTTAAACAAATTTACAAGAAAAAACCAAGCCCTTTAAAAATTGGGCAAAGAACATAAACAGACACTTTTCAAAGAAGACATACATGTGGTCAATAAGCATATGAAAAAAATGCAATATCACCAAGCATTAGAGATATGCAAATCAAAACCACAATGACATACCATCTCACACCAGTCAGAATGGCTATTGGTAAAAAGTCAAAAAATAACAGATGCTGGTGAGGTTGCAGAGAAAATGGAATGTTTATACACTGTTAGTTGGAGTGTAAATTAGTTTGACCATTGTGGAAAGCAGTGTGGCAATTCCTCAAAGAGCTAAAAACAGAACTACCATTCAACCCAGCAATCCCAATGCTGAGTATATACCCAAAGGAACGTAAATAATTCTACCATGAAGACACGTGGACACACATGTTCATTACAGCACTATTTACAATAGCAAAGACATGGAATCAACCTAAATGCCCATCAGTGGTAGAATGGGTAAAGAAAATGTGGTACACATATGCTATGGAATACTACACAACCATGAAAAATAACAAGATCATGTTCTTTGCAGGAACGTCGATGGAACTGGAGGCCATCATCCTTAACAAACTATTACAGGAACAGAACTGCATGTTCTCACTTATAAGTGGGAGCTAAATGATGAGAAAACGTGGACACAAAGTGGAGAACAACACACTGGGTTCTACTTGAAGTTGAAGGTGGGAGGAGGGAGAGGAACAGAAAAAAGCAACCAATGGGTACGAGGCTTAGTATTTGGGTTATGAAATGGTCTGTACAGCAAATGATGTGAGTTTGCCTATGTGACAGGCCTTCACATGTACCCCTAAACCTGTAGTAAAAGTTAAAAATAATAAATAAATAATATAAAAATAAGTAAATAAAAATAAAAATTAAAAAGAGCAAGAAAGCCTTGCTAGATTATATGGATGTTTCATTTATATTTCTCTTCCCTTATTCATATGGTCTTCCTATCAGTGGAAACTATGGAGAGTCATCCCTTCCTGCAGCATATGCATAGGACTGCACAAACTAGACTAAAAAACATGATAGTGGGCCTGTGGAGATCAGTTTTACTGTTTCTTCCTGTAAGTCTCATGATAGAATCAATGGAGTAAAGGTACAGCATAATGAGGGCTATAAATCATAATATAAAGAGGATATATAGAAATTTGAAAAATCTGCAAGGTTTCTCCTTTTATATGTGGATTTTGGTTAATCCTGATTCCTTTCTTTAAAAAGAAAAAAGAAAAAAAAAAGATTTGTGGTTGCCAGGGGCTAAAGGGGAGGGGAGAAAGTTGAATATGTGAAGTATAGTGGATTTTGTTTGGGTGGTGATAATATTCTGTATGATACTGTAATGGTGGATAAATAACACTATGCTTTTTTTTTTTTTTGACAGAGTTTTGCTCTGTCACCCAAGCTGGAGTGCTATGGCACAATCTCGGCTCACTGCAACCTCCGCCTCCTGGGTTCAAGCAATTCTCTTCCCTCAGCCTCCTGAGTAGCTGGGACTACAGGCATGCGCCACCACGCCCAGCTTTTGTGTGTGTGTGTGTGTGTGTTTTTAGTAGGAACGGGGTTTCACCATGCTGGTCAGGTTGGTCTTGAACTCCTGACCTCAAATGATCCACCCCCCTCTCCACTTCCCAAAGTGCTGGGATTACAGGCATGAGCCACCGTGCCCTGCCGACACTATGCATTTCTCACAACCCATAGGACTTTACAGCAAAGAGTAAACCTTAATGTATGCAAAATTTCCAAAATTATTTTGGAATTTGGAGGGTTCCAGGATGAAATATAGACTGTGACAATATAATCTAATTGTATTTCAAAATGTATAGAACAACCTCACTGAAAGGTGTTGGGATAAAATTTGCTGACCTAAGTCCATTTGAAAATGAGTAATCTGTAAGACTAAAAGAGAAAGGAACAGCACATAGGTAATGTACTGTAGTTGATATAGTTATTTCCCACAGTGTTATGAGTCAACAATTCTGATACTTCTGTGTATGTGTACTAGAATTGAACAATTAAGTAAATGAATGGCAAATAGTGGAAGCCAGGTTTCTTACTATTAAAGTGTAAATTTAAAGGTAAGCAAAGGGAGGAGGCTAGGATGATCCCTATTGTAGTAGATTAGAGTTGGACACACCAACATAAACTCCCGTTTGGCTTAATATAGATGCAAAGAGTTTTACATGTAGATGTTTACAGATGTTCCTGAACTTTGATATTCAGATAATCCCATCATAAATTAAAAATATTGTAAGTCAAAAGTGCATTTTCGACTAAGGTATTTTCAGCTTATAATGGGTTTATCCAGATATAGCCCCACTGTAAGTTGGGGAGCATACTGAATGTGCATGATTTTTTGCACCATGATATAGTTAAAAAATCATCATAAGTCAGGGACTGTCTGTAAATACACAGGTCAGTATACACACATGTATTCCTTTGCCCTGTCAGCTGAGAGGGCTAAGAGTAAATGATACTCTACAGGCAACAAGCACACGTCGCATCCAGATTTTGGTGTTTTTTTGTTTTTTTGTTTTTTTTTTTGAGACAGAGTCTCGCTCTGTCTCCCAGGCTGGAGTGCAGTAGCGTGATCTCTGCTCACTGCAAGCTCCGCCTCCCGGGTTCACGGCATTCTCCTGCCTCAGCCTCCTAAGTATCTGGGACTACAGGCGCCCGCCACCATACCTGGCTAATTTTTTTTGTATTTTTTAGTAGAGACGGGGTTTCACCGTGTTAGCGAGGATGGTCTCGATCTCCTGACCTCGTGATCCGCCCTCCTCGGCCTCCCAAAGTGCTGGGATTACAGGCGTGAGCCACCGCGCCCGGCCCAGATTTTGGTTTTTAATACCATTTTCCAATCTAAGTAACCAGAAATCCTTGAAAAAATAACTAGCTCTAGGACTGGGGCAGGACATGTGTAAGAAGAGCCTGGTATAACTTTCTGTAGTTATGCCAGAAAGTAAGGAAGTACTCAGAGAAACCCCCCCCCCCAATTTTATGGATATGGCAAAGGGATACCGCAACCAAAGCCTAAAGCTGAAACATTTTGAGTAGCAAATTAAGGTAGTATTGCACTGTAGCCCAAAATGTAAAACAAATAGCCATGAACCAAAAAAGGGAGGGAGGGAGCGAGGTGGGGAGGGGAGAAGAAAGAAAGAAGAGATAAATTTCCCTTGCCAAAGAATTCAAAATAATTTATGTAGATACTCCACCTTCAAGGAAGTGGAACATAACACCCCATTCCTTAAATGTAGGCTGCACCCAGTGACTTCTTCCCAAAAAGTGCAGTATGAAAAGAGGGAAAGAAGAGTATCTTTAAAATGGATACACCTGACAAATACTACCTCAATCACATGATCAAGGTCAACATCAACAGTGATAAAAAATGTTGATAGTATGTACCCTTAATATGATTTGATGAAAATAACAGTTTACCTCTGTGGTCTTTCTTCCCCAAATCCACAACCCCAGTCTAATCATGTGAAAACATCAGACAAGTTCCCAAAACATTCTACAAATGTATAATTAATACTCCTAAAAATGATAAAGGTCATCCAAAACAAAGAAAGTCTGAGAAACTGTCATAGCCAAGAGGAGCCTAAGGAAACATGAAAACTAAAATAATATAGTTAGTATTCTGGAGGGGATCCTGGAAACGAAAGGAACATTAGGTAAAATCTATGGAAATTTGAATAAAGTACAGACTCAATATTGGTTCAACAATTGTGACAAATGTACCATCCTAATGTAAGATGGTAATAATAGGGGAAAATGTGTGTGAGGTATATGAGAACTCTTTTATCTTTGCAATTTCTATTTAAATCCAAAACTGTTCTAAAAATGAAGATTATTTTTAAAATCATAAATAATAAATTAAAAGTGAAAAAATAGTTATAACCTTTTGCAGTAATTTCAATTCTGGGAATTTATCTTGAAGATAAATAACTACTATACATTTTACTGTAAAGTAGGTTTAATATATATCTTATTATAAAGTAGGTTTATTAATAGCACCTACAGCATACACATGTTGTAAGGCCTTAAATGAGGTCAGCCATATAAAGTAGTATGAGTACTCAATAAATATTGGTTGCTAGTGTTTTTGTTATTATTCAAAGCTGACTCCGATTCAGGCACAATCATCAAAGAATTGACAGTATAGTAAAGATAAGTAAAAAGATTAGTATAATAAAGTGTAATAAGTGATGATAAATGTCTCTTTACTTACTGTATGACCTTGGCAAATGAATTAATCTCACTGCCTCTGCCTCCAGAACCCAATACATGTAGCAATAATGATGGTATTGACAATATTAACCTCCACAACAACCTTAATGACAACATGAAGGCAGAGATCTGATGGGGTGCACTGAAAACAGAAGAATCTCTTCATTTTGACCGGAGATGTCTGTGGCTTACTAGAAAAGGTAATGGCTAAAAGGTATGCCATAAATAAATATTAACAAATTCATTTGTTCATTCAACAAACATTCACTGAGTATCTATGTATGTTGAATTTGCTGTGTACTTCAGGTGCTATCCTTGCCTTGAAGTTTCTCATAATCTAGAGGGAAAGACAGATACAGCAATACATACAGTAATTTCAACACTTTCAACGCAATGAAATAAGTGCAGTGAATGGCTAAGAGCCCAGATGTTAGTCCTCAAAATCTAGCCAGTGTGGGGAGGAAGTAATCATGGAAGACTTCCCAAAGAGATTATCTATGTGTGCCAGTTGAGGATGGAATAACAGTTCCCATAGTGGAGACATTTAAAAACATAACCTGAAGGTGAGAAGTAGCATGATATGTATATGGAATAAGAAGCAGTTGAATGTTGGTCAAGTTTAAGACAGGGAGTACCAGATGATAGAATTCAGGGATAAAAGCCTTGGGACTTCATGTTGAGGAGCTTGGACTTTTCCTATATACAAACAGTTTAAATGATAATAAACCTAACAGTAATCAGATTATATTTGTAGTTTAGATAATTTTGATTTGATGTTTGAAAGATGAATTTGAGCCGGCAACACTCTTTACAGAGAAACCAGGAAGTTTTTGCAATAGTGCAAGGAAGAGTTGATGAGGCTGTGAACAGTCCATCAGATGCTGAGAAAGTGAAGAGATAGATTTGAAAAGTAACTTGTGGAATTTGAAAACCTGATGAGCATGAAGGAGCAGAAAAAGGAGGACTCAACAGGCGACTCAAACGTGTGTCCAAATCAACTGTTGATTATTCTCCTTTCCCTCCCTGCCATGGATGTGCAGGCGATATTCAAATGAGTCTGGGGATAAGGGTGTGGAAGGCCTTATTTGTAGCATTTGCCAATCTTTATGATACATCATAGATACTCCCTCCATGGCTGATTAAGCCAGGTGTCATTTCATCACTGAATGCAGAGTTGGAAGGATATGCTTGCACTCAGCTCACATGAGCTACTGAGAGTCTGTTCCAGCACACCACTGCTACCCACCACATCTAATTAATTATTCAGACCTACCAGTTACACCTCCAACATATATCATGGGTCTGCATTTCTACTACTTTGGAATAAGCCACCATCATCTGCTGCTTGGACTCCTTATGATGAGTCATTCTGCTCCCAGTCTTGTCCCTCTCTACCAGGACTATCAGATCAAGCCAATCAATCCCATACTTGTATGCTTTAAATGGCTTCCCATCATTTTATAATAAATTATTCACCATCACGACCAAGTCTGTGCACATACTGACTCTTGCCTATTCACACCACCTCCCTCCCCAGGCTGTTCTTCAAACACATTGAACTTTTCCTCACTCTAATCCTTTTATTCGTCATTCCCTCTACCTGGAATATTCTGCTCTGAGCTCTTCTAGTCTCAGCTCATGTGTCACCTCCTCAGAGAAGGCTATTTAAATTGAACTCTACTTGTCATCACCCAGTTTATTTCCTCCACAGTACTTATCATTAGCTAAAATTATCTTGTTTGATTAACTAATTCATAAAGCTTATTATCTTTCTACTGGAATGAAGGCTCCTTGTCTGTCTTAGCCCCTCTGTATCTCCTGTGCCTAGCATCTGGTCTGAGACATTGCTGCTACTCAACAAATATTTGAAGAATGAAAGCATAAATGATACTTATAAGGTTTAACTTGGATGATGAGTAGATAGAAATGTAATCAACCGAAGCAGAGAATGGAAGAATAGATCTGAAGAAACAACTGAGTTTAGAACTTAGATTTCTTTGAAATATTAAGCTGAAGAGTTTATTACACTAAATTTACATTCATATTAATTTTATATGCTGTATTGTATATATTAACTTTTTACCTCTCAGTAATGAATAATATTTTAATTGATAATTTCATAATTTTTACAAGATAGCCAAATAAAATTTTGGCCAGGGAGTAAAAGATGAAGCTGATAAGCATTATTACACTTGAATTTTTCTGGGCTTCTTAATTACATTATTGAAATTTAAAAAATTTTTCAATTATAAAATTAGCAAGTGATACAGTTTCACTTTGTGTCCCCACCCAAATCTCACCTTGAATTGTAATAATCCACACGTGTCATGGGAGGGACCTGGTGGGAGGTAGTTGAGTTGTGGAGGCAGGTTTTTCCCGTGTTATTCTTGTGATAGTGAATAAGTCTCCCAAGAGCTAATGGTTTTTTAAAGGGGAGTTCCCCTGCACATGCTCTCTTGACTGCCATCATGTAAGATGTAACTTTGTTCCTCCTTTGCCTTCCACCATGATTGTGAGGCCTCCCCAGCCATGTGGAACTGTGAGTCAATTAAACCTCTTTCCTTTATGAATTACCCAGTTTTGGGTATGTATTTATTAGCAGCGTGAGAACAGACTAATACAGTAAGTGAATTTAATTTTGAACTGAGAGATTTTATCCTTAATCATTTTGAAACCTGTCTTTCTAGCTACTTGGAAAAACACTCAACCTATTTCAACCATTGTAAAAACTTGTGATTATCTGCAAAGAACATTGAGTTTACTTGAAAACTTTAGTAAATGAATTCCAAGAGGTGCTTTTCTATGTATATTTTCTGTATATTGCTATCTACATTACTATATCCAAGGAAGTCAAAAGGAAGAAAGCAATTTAAATGTCTTGTAATTTATTTTAGAGACCTAATTGTGCAGTTTTTTGCTCTTAGTACCTCACCACACTCTTTAAGGTTAGATCTTTTTTTTTCTGTATGTATATACATAATGTATATATATATTCCTACTTCCTACCTCTCCACCACCCCCACTACCACCTTATTTCCCACTACCCCGTCACTTTTGAGAATTAATCAAGAGTGATTTTCCTACCACATTGCTGCTTTCCACAACTTTTATCTTTTCTTTGAAAACAAATACATCAGTGAATTTCCTATCTGGGGGCAATGGGTATTTTTTGGAGAAAAGTTTTTTGTAAAGTGGAAAGTTTTGTCTGTGGCAGAGCATACATAGGATTAAATTTCAGGAGTTGGCAGTGAAGTAAGATCTAAATGATTATAAAATCTTCGCTAGTTATAAAGCAAAGTAGAAAGTGAAAGAAATATTATTCCCTCATGCTCTACCGAGAAGACCATTTTACTGAGAAACTAAATCAAGTCTGTAAATAATGAGGTCTATCTGGTAGAGCTAACTTACTGATCAGCAAACTCACAAATTTTTATTGCCAAAGGCTAATTAAATTCAGCAGGATTTTCTATATTATTAGTAAGTTTTTGCCCAGAATCATTCAAAAGATTTCCAAATAAGAGATGACATGTGAATTAATGTTGGGCACAACAGCCATAAAATTGTGAAATAATTGGTCCCAGTAAATTTCTGGTTGTGTATATTTATGTATTCCATTTTGATCTAGAATAAATAAGGGTAAGACAAAGGAAAACAACATGTTCTGAGCATTTTACTAGATCCTAGCTAGCAGGTTGGATTTTTTACTTATGAGGATTTTCCTTTAGCATTTTGTCTGTACCAGATCATAGATTTTATGAAGAGCAACTAGGAAGGTACTGTGTTATAATGGAACGCGTCCTGGACTAGAAATCCAGAGACTTCAACTCTATTTTTATCTCTGGCCCTAATGTGCGTGGGCATGTACAAGTCTCTAGTCTCTTTATGGCTCAACTCTATCTGATAAATGAAGATAATGCATTCCCTATCTACATCATATAGTTGTTGTGTGGGTCAAATGAGATAATGAATATTAAAATATATTTAAAGCATGGCATTTTTTTTTTTACCACTGACATAGTTCACTACCAAATTTACCTAAAAATGAGTAAGTTCTCCACTGGAAATTGAAAAACATATTTAAAAGATATATTTCTCTTTTCATTAATAATTGAACTTAGTAACCATATGTAATGTTCTAAAATTTACTTGGCATGTATGAAAGGGAAATAATCATTGATAAGTATTTCTTTCCATGGAGGAAAAATTAAAGTCATCTTATGTATTGTATAGTATATTCTCATGTTGAAAGAATTTCTCCCAATACCAAAATAATATAAAAGAATCATACAGGTTTGACCACCACAAATGTATTTTATCTCTGTCCCCTGAGAGCAAATACTTCTCCCGCTTCTTCCTATATCATGTTTCTTCCCCCTTTTATAGAGGCAGTGTCTCACTTTGTCACCCAGGCTAAAGTACAGTGGCACAATCATAGCTCATGACAGCTTTGAACTCCTGGGCTCAAGTGATCCTCTCACCTCAGCCTCCTGAGTAGATAGGACTACAAGTGCACATCACCACATCCAGCTATTTTAAATTTTTTTTGTAGAGATAGGGTCTAACTATGTTGCCCAGGCTGGTCTTAAACTACTGGCTTCGAGCTATCCTCCCGTCTCAGCCTCCCAAAGTGCTTGGATTACAGGCACGTTCTACCACAGGCAGTGTATATTATGTTTTCTATTCAGATATTATATAGAAGGTGAGGGAAATATATACTTCCTCTATCAAGTGGTCTTAGAAGGAAAGCCCAAGAGGTTCTGCACAGCAATTTTCAGCCTCCCAGAAAAAGCTGACATGGACAACAGCCCCCAAAGGATCCTTGATCTGCACCAGCATTGAGGAGGACAACACAAACAGGTGTTCACGTTTTTGAGGAAATAACTAGGAGAGAAAAGAAAGAAGGCCTTAGCAGAGGATTAAGTCCTATAAAGCAGTAAGAGTTATTTAAGGGTAGGGATTGTATCCTATTCATCCTTGTATCTGTGGTACTAAGAACAGTGTCTGGTAATGAATAGCTCAGTATAGATAACAAATATTAAATTGATGAATGAATGAATGAATAGATGGATGGATAAATAGATACCATAGATGTATGCAGAATAATAATGATCATTAGAAATATTTGCATCTTGTATCTAGATTTTTGGCCACTTTGGAAAAACTAGAAGATTGGCAATAATTGACGGAGTATGTGCGTTCCAGGTCATTGCAGTTTGCCAACCTTACCCCATGTACTCCTGCTCTCTCAGACCTGACCTTGCCACTCCTCTCATTCTTGGAACACTGCTATTACTACATGAAGATTCACATTCCAGCCCATCTTCCCTCATCTAGCACAGTCCTGAGAGACCTGGCCCGTCTTGATCCCTTCCTTTTCTAATGCGTTCCTGGGAAACCAGGTTAGTTCTGGGACTGCCCTGATCCAGTATCTTCCTCATACCTGAGCAAGTGCAGCCTCTTCCTTCAGCTGTAATTTTCATAAATGCACCAACAAATGAATTAATGAACAAATGGTATTTCTGTTACTCGTTGTCTGATGTTCCACACTGCACAATGTAGCATGTAATCCCTAAAGATCCACTCTTATGCCTAACCCTCCTTTGGGACCCAAGGAAATGCTGCTTCCAGCCTCTTGTCTTGTGTCCTTTGGAACAAAAGGCAGTTGCATCCATGATGGTTTGTGGATTGCACCACCACCGGAGATGGACACTGCTTCCGAGGATTAGAGTGGTAGAAGTGCTTAGGTAAGAGAAAAGACAAGTTACTTGGACATGTTAACATGTCAAGTTCTTCCTCTTACTATTATTCCTAGTTGTGTGGAAAATCCGTTTTGTTGCTTCTCTTTGTGTGTCAATCTGTGGGTCTGAAAGCCTTCAATTAAGATAGTATTTGCAATAGTTGCACATGGCAACGGAGTAATACTTGAAATATTAAAGAATTCATGTTGTGGTCCAATATGGTAACCTTAGCCACGTGTGACTTTTGGGCACCTGAAATGTGTCCAGCTGAGAAGTGTTATAATTGTAAAATATACTTTTGTGTGTTTTTCAATTTTGAAGACAGTATAAAAAAATGCAAAAAATTTTAATATATAGATTAAATAAAATATATTAAAATAAATACTAACAATATGTTAATGTTTTCTTTTAAATTTTTCTAATGTGGAAGAACTTTTAATGTAAAAAATTTAGAAGTTGTATATGTGGCTTGCACTGTATCTATTGGACAATGCTGATCTAGCTATGACATATATAAAATGTGATATTGATTCTTATATTGAAAACTAGATGAACATTTAATGCTAGAATTGTGAATAGTTTTATTTTTATGAAAATATCTAATGTTTTAAATTTTCAAAAATGAATTTTAAAATTTAACTTTAGATAATGTTGATTAAATTTTTGTATATGCATTAGTTTGTATTTTGACTTTTAGTTTAATAAATAATTTTGAATATAAAAAATGACTTTTTGAAAAAACACGAAAAATAATTCTAATTTTATATTTATTATAATTTTTGCTGAAATTTTGTAATTATAATTAATTTTGCTTTATTTGGTTTAAAGATGGGTCTCACTAGATTGCCCAGGCTGGATTACAGTGGCTATTCATAGGCACAATCATAGCAAACTTCAGCCTTGAACTCCTGCACTCAAAGGGTCCTCCTGCCTCAGCCTCCACAGTAGTTGGAACTACAGGCTGGTGGCACCTTGCCTGGTTACAATTAATTTTTAGCCCTGGCCAGGCATGGTGTCTCATCTCTGTAATCCCAGCACTTTGGGAGGCCAAGGCAGGTGGATCATCTGAAGTTAGGAGTTTGAGACCAGCTTGACCAACATGGTGAAACCCATGTCTACTGAGAAAATACAAAATTATACGGGCATAGTGGTACATGCCTGTAATCCCAGCTACTTGGGAGGCTGAAGCAGGAGAATTGCTTGAACCCTGAAGGTGGAGGTTGCAGTGAGCTGAGATCGCACCATTGCACTCCAGCCTGAGCAACAAGAGCAAAACTCCATCTCAAAAATAAATAAATAAATAAAAATTTTTAGTCCTTTAGGTTAGTACTCTCAATAGAACATAAATTGTCTGAAAGTCTTAATTAACACAACATAATAAGTGATATTTTTCTAATGAAAGTAAGAAAAATAAATGTATGAAATAAATCAATTTATAAATAACTTATAAATTATATTGTTTCATGTTATAATTCAAAAATGATTGGCTTATCAACAGAAATCCCAGCTGAACATGGGGGCTCATGAGTTTAAGACCAGTCTGGATGACATAGTGAGACCCCTCTCTCCACAAAAAATGAAAAAGCTTGGTGTGGTGGCATGTGCCTATAGTCCTAGCTACTTGGGAGGCTGAGGTGGGAAGATCACTTGAGTCCAGGAGTTCAAGGTTATAGTGAGTCACTGCACTCCAGCCGAGGTGAAAGAACAAGACCTTGTCTCAAAAAAAAAAAAAAAAAAAAAATCCCAAAAATAGAGTAATAATTAAATTCAAATAACTTTTCTTTTTTGCCAACTATCAATAACATGAAACTGTAGTGTCAAACATGTATTTCAATTTTGTTATTACAGATGTACCATTATTGCACAGAAGGAGAGAACATATTTAATATTACAGCTCGTTTACATGACATTTAAATATTTAGACAAATAGTATATGGACCTCTATTTGCACTATTGCCCTGGATCTCACAAATGTTAGGATGGATCTTTTCTGATCATAAGCGGGGCCCATGGTAACCAGAAAGTTTTCAGTGAAACAAGATGTTCTCCATGGAATTGCATCACAGCTGAAGCTTCCATGGCTTTTGAGGATCCCTCAGAGCTGACAGTGTTGGTATGGCCTCTCAAGGTCTGTGTGAAACAAAATACAGTCTCTCTCCTAACCCATCTGTATTTTTACTCCTAAGCCTGGTAGGAAAGGGATGGACCTAGGAAATAGGTGGGAAAGAGAATGAACCTGACAACATCCTTGCATATATGTCTCCTTACTTCTGCCCTTTCCTGGGTGAATTAAATAGCCTGGTTGAAAATTGCTGAGACAGATTTAAAGAAGCTCAAAGCTTCTGCAATATATGCAATATAATAGCTGTGGTGCCAGCTTTTGGTAGAAACTGGGTCAAAGGGTGGAGTAGGTAGAAGCGATGCTCTTCAAAAGCTACATCTGCCAACGGAACTACGATCGAAGAGACTTTTGGAGAGTACAAAGGAAAGTTGTAAGCTGAGTTGTTTATTAGGTTGATTCTCATTATTTTAATAATACATGAAAAGGGTCAACCCTAAAATGTATCAATCCAATATGGATAAATACTGTGAATTATACCTATCTATGGACAAGCTTTACTCACCTCTGGAAATTTATGTCTATTTTCAATGACAGAAACTGTAGAGCTGTGAATAACCATTTGATAAGAAATAAAAATGCACTGGGAAGCAAAAGTCCAGAATTCTATTTCTAGTGTTGGTATATCCAAGCCATATACCCCCAGGGCAAATCACTAAACTGGTCTAGGCTTCAATCTCCTACCTGCACACTGCTGAAAGAAAAAATTGTGCTGCCTATCTCATAGACTGATATGAGGATCAAATGGGACCATTTAAGTGAAAGCACTTTGAAAATTGTAAAGTGGTTTACAAATATAAAACATTGTCATTTTTTGTTTCACTCTGTGATATTTCCTTCAGGAAGTTAGGACTGATTACTATTGTTACTATTACCATTATATATTGATATGAGTTTATTTGATGTGATTATATAATAAGATATATATTTTTTAAATGACTATAATTTTGAATTCTAATTCACCAACTATCAAATAGCAAAACTTTGTTAATGTATTGTCCCAGAGATCCTTGTTTTTTAAAACCTCATCTATTTTACTCACTAATATAGGAATGCTGTTTTCCCTTGAATTCCTATTACTCTTTCCCTCACCTTTGATTTTTAAAATTCAAATCGTTTATTTTCTACAAGATACTTATGTTGTCAAAATAAATATTACCATTTTATCATTGTTTGCTTTTCTTCTGTCTCTCCATCCTGCACTCATCTACAGTGATGATGGAGAAGGAGCTTCTTAGTTTTTCTCAGCCTGCTTGATTTTAGAGGAAAGGCACCCTCGTTGCCCCCTTCTTTGCCCCAGAGGCACCTGTGGGTTCTGACAGGACTAGTCCAGTTGTTGGACACTCCCTGGGCAGCCTTTCCCTATCAGATAAAGCAGGGAGTGAGCCTCTGACAGGTACATCTGTCACTATCCTGTGTGTCCATGGCGCAAGTGGAACTCTAATCAGACTAATGTTGTGCAAAGACTTTGTGTGGGCGACGTCTATCCTCCACCCCAGATGAATGACTTACTGCATCTGTGTGCTCAAAGCAAATGAAACTCTTACATACCTTTGAAATAAAAGAGAACAATATGAAAGTATTAGGACATTGGTCCTATCACAAAAGATGCACATTTCATTATGTGAAAAGGAAACTTCAGGCCTCAACGTATTAGATAAAATAAGGTATTTTTTATCGCTAACTCAGGAAAGATTTTGAACCTTTTTGTATTCAGGTGGCAAGTAATTCAGGCCCCTCATAGAAGATACCATTAAAATATAATTTAAAATAGGAAAGAGAAACACATACATATTAGAAAAGGCTTTGACCATTCCTCGCCTTCTATTTAATCTGCAGAAATTATTTTAGAATCTCAGAATGCTATTTAGCTTTATTATCACAGCTCTATGTTAGTAAAGTTAATTGCGTGTGTGTTTTAGTTGTTATAAATGTTCTGTAGAGATTCATGTTAATTACATTTTGAGAAATATTATTTGCAAACAGGTGGCCGGTTACTTTATATTTCCTTTCTGCGGAGTCAAAGGGTGGCATGACGACTAAAGGAGCTGGCTTACTTCTGGGGGCACTCAGAAGGCCACACCTTCAGCACAGGTACTATGAGCCTTCTGATGATTCCCGTCACTGAACGTGGACCAAAGCAGCAGAGCCCCTGAAAATGTCCTGGCATTTCAGCAGAAAACAGTGTGAGCAAATGATTAATGACTGGGGTCTTCCTGAGTCTTAGTGATACATGAGGTGCAAGGTACAGCCTTGGGCTGGTGGAGCCTCAATTACTACTAAATTTCTCAATAGCCTATAGGAACAGGGCATGGAGTTGGATTTCAAGTGATTTACAGATTATAAACAAATATGATGGTTCTTGAACTTTTGAATTTGTGAACTGAGGTTCTGCTATTTTTATGTTATGGCATTCAACATACAAATTTACAAACTGAACAAGGCTTAGAGGTAATTAATTATTAACTCTTAGCTTGAACAAGAGGTTACTTTTCTGCCGACCTTAGAATGGTTAGGTTCACAGATATATAATAACAATCTTCATTTTTTCCCTTGTCCTTTAATTGTAAAAACAGAGTAGCAAAATATACAAATTAAACTTTATTTAGAAAAAGCATCACAATTTCATCATCCAAAAGCAACAACTATTTTAATGATTTATATATCCTGTCATTCTATATACTTGTATAATAACAAGTAACCTGTGTTCTCAGTTTGAGGAGTATCATGGAGGAATTTGAGCAGAATTGTCCGAAGCCCAAATTCCTTCTTGTTCTTGGCAGAGTATCTTGTGAGGTGGTTGGCTTCTGTATTCCCTTTCATGGTCTTTAAGTTGCTCCTGCTGCCACCTCATGGCCTCTGCTGCTGTTGGCTGTGTTTATTGCCAAGGGTGTGGGATGGCTTTATGTGGTTTGAAGGTTTGTTACAGCTGAGTTCATTTGAAGATTTTCTTGTGTGTCAAGATAGCAGTTTCAGCTTGAATCTGGGCCCGTCCAAGCATGTCAAGGGAACTTGTGAAGCCAGCCTATTTTCCTGGAACCTGAAGAGCCTATAGGAAAGAGCTTGAGCTTTGTCTCCTGCTTGGGCCACTAGGCATTTTGAATAAATTGTGAGATACCCTGACAGCAGTCTAATTGAAGGAGGGCTGTAGAGTCCTCTGGGAGAGAACTCATCCTAAGGGTGGAAGGTGGGAGCCATAACGAGCCCCCCAGTTTCTTCCCAGAGGAGAATATGGATTCTGAGTATAACTTTGTGACTGTGATTCATATCTGTTCCCAGCCAAATTCCATAGATTCATGTGTGGGTCCTAGGCAAACTGAGAGCCATAGGTAAAAACTGAAAAAACATTCAGTGAACACTATAAAATATTAAGGCACACACGCACACATAGTGCACTGTTTTTAACGCCTCAGATTAAAAGTTACAAGGGAGAGAGAGGTAACTACAGCAGAGTGTTTGCCATAGATCACCGAGCTTTATTGCTGTGAAATTTTCAGAAATGCATGGAGTGTGGTAAAGTCCTTTGTGGTCAGTGGAGCAGCAGTGGAGGGTTTGCTGAAGAATGGTATGATTGGAAGAACAGGACCTAGAAGAGTAATAGTGATCTTTGGAGGATAAATGTGGTGTCTACAAGGCAGTGAGAGCATTAATAAAGCTAGATTTTTTCTTAATCACAACTGAGACACTCCCTGGGGACTCTCAGAAATGCTGAAGGGGACCAACTTAAGGACTGAGGACAAGCATTATGCAAATAAAGGAAATAAGTCCTGAAATCAGGCAGTCTTCATGTGACCCTGAATGTACCTACAGGCTGGTGAAACCTTGGCAAACTTGCATTTCACTTGCATTTGCCTGGTCCCTCAGAGCAGGCTCTGAACCCACATATGGTGTGTACTGCTACAGTTAACTACTATCTGGTCCAAAGTGTCTGGCCTGGATTTTTTACAGTGTTCCTGGCTTTATAACTCTTGACTGATTATTCTTCTTTCACTTTTATTCAGCACATATTTATTAAGTATGTCCTGTGTGTGTGGAGATACAGTAATGAGCAAAACAAACCTTGATCCAGTCCTTTCAGAAATCTTAGCCTGGTGCACAAGACAGACCAATTCATTGGTTCAACAATTTTTATTAACTATCTACGTTATGGTAGTTAATAAACCATTCAATGTTTTTGGCATAACAATGTATACATAGCAAGGATCTCATTCCAAAGAGCTTATGTGGTAGGGAAGGATAGAAAATAACACATAAATAAATACATGAACAGGATAATTACAGATAGTGATAAGTACTATGAAGGGAATAAGCATGGTGATGTGATGAAGAACAACTGGAATTGGGGACTATTTTAGGTCAGGTAGTTGGGCAAGGCATTGTGGAAGAGGCCACATTTGAACAGGTACCTAAAAGGTAAAAAAAAAAAAAAAAAAGCCAACCACTGAGGATTTGTGGGTAGATGTTCTAGCCAGATGCAACAGTAAGATGAAGGGCTCTTAGGCAGGAAAAATTTCACTGTGTTCAAGGAACTGAGATGAGGCCAGTGAGCTAGAGCTTAGTGAGAAAGGAGAAAAAGTGGAATGAGATGGGCTTGGAGAATTAGAAAGGGCCAAATCAGGCAGGGCCTTTGGTAAACACAGCTTCCTATGTAAGTTACTAGGAAAGCTATGAATGGTTGTAAGCAGGGGCCTATCATGATCCGCGAAACTAAGATGACATGTGATGAGAGCTTTCCTTCCCATTTTTTAATAGCACCCCCACCCTGTGGGCCATTCTTGAGGAACTTAAAATAATTTCCTTAGATCTGGACCTGAGAAAAGGTAGAGTGGCACTACTCAGAAGCTGCCACAAAGCTTACCCTTTACACTAATGTGTGATGTATCTACCTTGACTCAAATGTCTCAACTCCTGCCTACTCTAGGGGACTTTAGATGGGACACTTCCTGAAACACTGGAGTGGCTTTGGTCTCCTCCTGTCTGCTGAAAAATTTCTTAAATGAGACTAAATCTCCAGTTACTGCTTCTCCTAGGAAGTTTATGAAGGTCAAACTTCTGTTGTCCTGCCTTTCTCCTTAGAAACAACCTAATATTGAGAAATTTGGCAAACGTGATTTATTAGAGTCTCAATAACAGTAATGCAACAGGGAAAATGATAGCAATGTCCTGCAGACCTCATAGAACTCAAAGAAGAGTGTTAAGCAGACAAAAAAGACAATTACAGTACTATGTCATAGCTGCATATTCTCTGACATGAACATGTGAACCACTCCAGAGACTCTCAGAAATAGTAGGGAAATGTGATGTTTTCAAAGAATGTCAAGCTGCATTAGCAGGTAGAGAAGAGTGAGTCACAAACAGGCTAAAATATGGAACACCAGTTCATCTTCGAAATATCTTCTAAATATTTTGGAAATATTTGGGGCTGCCCAACGGGATTATTCATTTGTGCTTATTTCACTTTCGTCCATTCACCCATCATTAAACAAATATATACGTGTATGTTCATGTTTGTGTATACGTGTGTGTGTGTGTGCGTATATATAGCTATAACTCTATTATGTGGTGACTGATATATCTATTCTAGTGTACATATGCTATGGAGTGAATGTTTTTGTGTTCCCTAAAACCTAATAACCAATGTGATGGTGTTGGGAGGTGAGGCCTTTAGGAGATAACTGAGTCATGAGGGCTTCATTCTCATGAATGATATTACTGCCTTTATAAAAGAGGTTCCAGAGAGCTTCTTTGCCCATTCCACCATATGAGGACTCAGGGAAAAGGCATCATCTATGAACCAGGAAACAGGCCCTCCCAAGATGCCTAACCTGTTGGTGCCTTGATTTTGGACTTCTCAGCCTCCAAAACTATGAGAAATAAATTTATGTGATTTATAAGCTACTCAGTTGATGGCATTTTGTTATAGTAGCCTGACTGGAGTAACATAATCAATAATACACATGTATGTATATATGTATTATATACATATATATACGTATACATATGTGTATATACATATATACACATATATACATATATACACATACGTATATGTATATATATGTATATAATACATATACTTTTCTAACTATGGTAATTTTCTCTGGTCTGAAGCTGACTTTGATATCAATACAGCCACTTTGTTTTGAATGGAACAAAGTTGGAGAGCTAACAGTAACTGATTTTTTTTTAAAGTCACAGTAAACCAAAACAGCTAAATTTGCTGTAAAGATAGACAAATATATCAGAAGAACAAAATAGAAAGAAAGTACAGGAATAAATCCTTATATATGGAAAAATTATTTTTAACAAAGGTATAAAAGCAATGCAACAGATAAAAGAATTTTCAACAAATGAGATTATAACAATTTTATATCCATGTGCAAAAATAAATTTGGATCATTACTTTATATCCTATATAAAAATTAACTCAGAATGGACCATTAACCTAATTGTAAAATTTGAAACTATAACATTTATAGAAGAAAATCTTTGTAAACTTGAACAAGCAAATATTTATAAGATTTATAAAAGAAAAATTTGGACTTCAGAAAAAAAAATTGCTCTTCAAATGACCCTGTCATCTGAGAATGAAAAGACAAAAAGACAAGCCACAGAATGAAAAAAAAATTTCAAATCACATAACTGATAGTGACTTGTATCCAGATTTTGTATCCACAAAGAACACTCAAAACTCTACAGTAAGGACTCTCAATTATTTTTTAATGTGCAAAAGTTTTGAACAGACACTTCGTCCCCCTCAAAAAATGCCATGGCAAATAAACAGTTGAAAAGATACTCAACATCATTAATAATCAGGATTAGTTAATTAAAAATAAATAAATCAGAATAAATTAAAACCAAAATGAACTACTACACACATATTAGAGTAGCTAAAATTAAAAATGATTAACCACACTAAGTGTAAGAGAGGATGTGGAAGAACTGTAACTTATACACTGCTAGTGGATGGAATGTAGACCAATTACAACTGTGATGGTTAATACTGAGTATCAACTTGATTGGATTGAAGGATACAAAGTATTGATCTTGGGTGTGTCTGTGAGGGTGTTGGCAAAGGAGATTAACATCTGAGTCAGTGGTCTGGGAAAGGCAGGCCCACCCTTAATCTTCGTGGGCACAATCTAATCAGATGCCAGCACAGCTAGAATATAAGCGAGCAGAAAAATGTGATCTTGCTGCTCAGCCTGCAGACGGCTAATTGTGGCTTGTGATCATGTGAGTTAATACTTAATAAACTCCCCTTTATATATATAATATAATATAATACAATATGAATATATATATAATATATTATATAAGCGAGCAGAAAAATGTGATCTTGCTCCTCAGCCTGCAGATGGCCAATTGTGGGAACTTGTGATCATGTGAGTTAATAATAAACTCCCCTTCATATATATATATATATAGTTCTGTCTCTCTAGAGAACCCTGACTAATACAACAACCACTTTAGAAAACAATTTGTCAGTTTCTTCAAAAGTTGCATATACACCTAGCAGAAGATACAGCCATTCCACTCCTAGGTATTTACTCAAGAGAAGAGGAAACATAGTCCTTAAAATAATTTATATGAATGTTCTTAACAGCTTTACTTGTAATCACACCAAACTGAAAACAATCCAAGTGTGCATCAACAGGTAAAGAGTACATAGATGAACAGATCATGATATAACCATAAAGTGGAATACTACATAGCAATACAATGGAATGGACTATTTGTACATGCAACACCATCAATGAATCTCAAAATAATTATGCTGAGTGAAAGAGCCATATGAAAAAGAATACATATTACATGATTCCGTTTATATGAAATTATAGGAAATATAAGCTAAGGTATACTAACAGCAGCCTAGTGGCTCCCTGGAGGCACAAGGGAGAAGATTGTTTGGGAGGGAGAGATAAGAAAAGGACACAAAGAAACATTTTTGAGGGGATGATGGATATGTTCACTATCTTGATTGTGGTTTTAGTTTTATGGCTGTATACATACGTCAAAACTTATCAAATTGTTCAATTTAAATATGTATAGTTTGCTGTATACAATGCCTGAATAAAACTATTTTTAAATTGTGCATAACTTATATATTTATTTTTTCCTCCAAAAAGATACTATTAAATTGACATACATTATTAAGGAACAAACATCATATAACCTAAAACATATGGCTTATAACTTCAACCACAATAACCAGCCTAGTCAGTCCTTTACACACTGCCCTTCTGTTCTCCTTACCCTACCACATGTGCACATAATGCAAAATTCTGTACTTCTTTGTTTCAACCCAACATGCTAGAAAAAAGACTATAAAACTCTGAGCGATGGTTTCCATTGGTGACTCTCCCCCATTGCATCCCCAGCTATAGGTTTTGGTGTGTCAGTCCTGACAGTCTGAAGGTGTTTACAAAATATCTTTGTGATAGTATTCAGTCCTTCATACAGTTCATGGCACAAGGAACTCCAGAAAAGTAGTGACTTGGCCAAGAACTACAGTGAGAAACTAAGTATCTGACCTCTAGGCCTTGGATCTTTTTCTAAGATCCAGAGTCAAGTGTGCAGAGACAGTGTAATGAGGGAACCTAACCTAGTACATCTTCTCTGAGGAAAAGATCTGAAACAGAGACTTGTTGAAGAACAAAGGGAACTAGAGGGCACTGGAGAATGAGGAAGATTATCCCAGGTGGAAGGAACTGTGTATAGAAAAGATGCCTGTTGGAGGAACCAGAAGTCCAGTGTAGCTACAGCATATGTGCTAAAACACAGTGAATAGCCTTGGAAGACTGCTGTAAAATGTAGCTCAAGAGGGAGGTAAGGACCAGATCATATAGCCTCATAGCCTGAATTAAGAATATCATGCTTAAAGAATAGGAAACCACCAAAGACTTTGTCTGATTTATCCCTTTTAAAAGATAATTTGAAAGCAAATAAGAGTAAATGTGAAAAGACAAATTGGAGAAGCATTGCTATCATTCTTGTTAGGAAGAGATTATGATGGCTTCATCAGAGTAATTACAGAGAAAAGGAGAAATGTATGTGGAGTCAAGGAACATAGGAAAATAAATTAAAATAACTCAGTATTAATTTAGGACCTCTCAAAAAGGGAGGAGTTTTGCGGATAGCATTAAAATCAGGACCAGAGGAGTACTTTTGAATTGTTTCCTTTTCAGGTTTGTTAGATTTCTGGTACATTCTTGGCCCATGCACAACATCTGCATAGTGCTTATCTATACATCTGCATAGTAGCTAATAAATATTATTTAGGAACAGTCAGCTCTCAGACACTAGACTTATTCTATTACTCTCCCTAGACATCCCTTGTTATAGACTGAATGTGTCTCCCCAAAATTCATATGTTGAAGCCCTAATCCCAATGTGCCTGTGTTTGGAGTTAAGACCTATAAGGAGGAAATTAAGACTAAATGAGGTCATAAGGATGGGGTGCTGGACAAAAGGACTAGTGATCTTACAAGAAGAAGAAGAGGCACCAGAGACATCTCTCACTTTCCACTGTGACACAGAAAGAGAAGGACTCATGAGGACATGGAAAGACTGGGAGGCTGAGGCAGGCAGATCACTTGAGGTCAGGAGTTCGAGACCAGCCTGACTAACATGGTGAAACCCCGTCTCTACTAAAAATACAAAAATTAGCAGGGTGTGGTGGCACGTGTCCGTAATCCCAGCTCCTTGGGAGGCTGAGGCAGGAGAATGGCTTGAACCCGGGAGGCGGAGGTTGCAGTAAGCCAAGATTGCGCCACTGCACTCTAGCTTGGGCAACAAGAGTGAAACTCCTCCTAAAAAAAAAAAAAAAAAAAAAAGATAGAAAAGAAAAGAAAGAAAGAGAAAGAAAAAGAAAGAAAGAAAAGAAAGAAAGAAAAAGAAAGAAAGAAAGAGAAAGAAAGAAAGAAAGAAAAAAGAAAGAAAGAAAGTTAGTTGCCATCTGCAGGCCAAGGAGAAAGGCCTTACCAAAAACTGGCCCTGCTGGCACCTTGACCTTGGGTTTCCAGCCTCCAGAACTGTGTGAAAATAAATTTCTGTTTTTTAAGCCACCCAGTCTGTAATATTTTGTTACGGTAGCTTGAGCTGACTAATACATATCTTTACCCCAAAGACATTTCTTCCCATGTCTATTTGGTTCATCTGAAATTTTGATTAGTCTAGGTAAACTAAGAAGGGTGATATAGGTTGAATGTCTGTCCTCTCCAAATCTCATGCTGAAATGTAATTCCCAATATTGGAGGTGAGGCATAGTGGGAAGTATTGGATCATGGGGGTGATCCTACATAAATGGCTTAGTGTCATACCCCTGGTGATGAGTGAGTTCTCGCTCAGTTAGTTCATGTGAGATCAGCTGTTTAAAAAGAGTCTGGAACCTCCCCCTTCTCTTGCTTATGCTCTTGCCATGTGACATGCTGGCTCCCCATCACCTTCTGCCATGATTGGAAATTTCCTGAGGCCCTCAGCAGAAACCGAGCAGATGCTGGCACCATGCTTTTCATGCAGCCTGCAGAACCATGAGCCAATTAAACCTCTTTCTTCTTTCTTTTATGTTGTTGTTGTTGTTGTTGAGACGAAGTCTTTCTCTGTCGCTCAGAATGCCACTTGGCATGATCTCGGCTAACTGCAACCTCCACCTCTTGGATTCAAGTGATTCTCTTGCCTCAGCCTCCCAAGCAGCCAGGACTACAGGCGTGTGCCACCACACCCTGCTATTTTTTTATTTTTAGTAGAGACGGGGTTTCACCATGTTAGCCAGGCTGGTCTCAAACTCCTGAGCTCAAGAAATCCATCTGCCTTGGCCTCACAAAGTGCTAGGATTACAGGTGTGAGCCACCGTGCCCGGCCCTCTTTTCTTTACAAATTACACAACCTCAAATATTCCTTTATAGCAATGCAAAAACAGCCTAACACAGAAAATTGGTACCAGGAGTGGAGTGTTGCTATAAAAATACCTGAAAATGTGGAAGTGGCTTTGGGACTGGACAACGAGCAGAGAGGTTGGAAGAGTTTGCAGGGCTCAGAAGAAGACACAAAGATGATGGAAAATTTTGAATTCTTAGAGACTGGTTAAATGATTGTGACCAAAATGCTGGTAGAGATAGGGATAGTGAAAACCAGGCTGAGGAGGTCTCAGATGGAAATGAGGAAGTTTTTGGAAACTGGAGTAAAGGTCACCCATGTTATGCCCTAGCAATGAACTTGGCTGCATTGTGTTCATGTCCTAGGGATCTGTGGAAGTTTGAACTTAATAGACTATTTGGCATAAGAAATTTCAAAGCAGCAAAATATTAAAGAGGTCACCGGGCTGCTTCTAGCAATTTATGATCAGGAGCAAATACAAGCAACCACAGGAGCAAAAAACAAGTGACTTAAAGCTGGAAATTACAGTTAAAAGGGAAGCAGAGGCCAGGCATGGTGGCTCACACCTGTAATCCCAGAACTTTGGGAAGCTGAGGAGGGCAGATTGCTTGAGCTCAAGGGTTTGAGAGCAGCCTGGGCAACACAGTGAAACCCCACCTCTACAAAAATACAAAAAAATAGCTGGGCATGGTGGTGCACCTGTGGTCCCATCTATTTAGGAGGCTGAGGCAGCAGGATTGCTTGAGCCCATGAGGAAGTGGCTGCAGAGAGCTGACATTGCACCACTACCCTCCAGCCTAGATGATGGAGCAAGACCCTGTCTCAAAAATAAAATAAAATAAAAAAAAATAAATAAATAAATAAAAGGGAAGCAGAGCATAAAAATTTGGAAAATTTGCAGCCTGGTCATGTGGCAGAGAAAGAAAAAGCATTTTCAGGTAAAGGAATCCAAGCAAGCTGTGGAGCAACCACTTGCTAGAGAGATTAGCATGACTAAAAAGGAGCCAAGTGCTACTATCCAATACAAAAGGAAAAAGGCTTCAAAGTCATTTCAGAAATCTTCAGAACAGTCCCTTTCATCACAGGTTCAGAGGCTGATATAGTTTGGATATTTTATCCCTGCCCAAATCTCATGTTGAATTGTAATCCCCAGTGCTAGAGGTGGAGCCTGGTGGGAGGTGTTTGGGTCATTGTGGGGGATCCCTCATGCTTGTTGCTATCTTTGCGATAGTTCCTGCAAGGTCCTGTCATTTAAAAGTATATGCACCTCCCTCCCGACACTCTCTCTCTTGCTCCTGCTTTTTCCCTGTGAGGTGTCTGCCCCTGCTTCACCTTCCATCATGAGTAAAAACTTCCTGAGGCCTCCCCAGTAGCAGATGCTGGCACTGTGTTTCCTGTACAGCCTGCTGAACTGTGAGCCAATTAAACCTCTGTTCCTATAAATTACCCAGTCTCAGGTATTTCTTTATAGCAATGCAAGAATGGACTAACACAGAGGCCTAGAAGGAAAAAATGTTTCAGGGGCCAGGGCCAGGGCACCATTGCCCTGCTCAGCTTCAGGATACTGCTCCCCACATCCCAGCCATGCTGGCTTCAGCCTCAGCTCAAAGGAACCCAGGTATAGCTCAGCCCACTACTCTGTAGGGCACAAGCTGTAAGCCTTTGCAGTTTCCACATGGTCTTAACTCTACAGGTATGCAGAATGCAAGAGTGAGGAAGGCTTGACAGCTACCACCTAGACTCCAGGGGATGTATCAGAAAGCCTGGGTGCCCAGACAGAAGCCTGCCACAGGGGCAGAGTCCCCACAGAGAAACTCTGCTAGGGTAATGTTAAGGGGAAATGTGGGGGTGGAACCCCCACACAGAGTCCCCACCAGGGAACTGCCTAGTGGAACTGTGGGAAGGGGGCTGCCGTACACCAGACCTCAGAATGGTAGAGCCACTGGCAGCTTGTATCCAAAGCCTGGAAAAGCTGCAGGTACTCAGCTCCATCAGAGTAGTTGTAGGTGGCTGCACTCTGCAAAGTCACAAGGTCAGAGCTGCCCAAAGCCTTGGGAGCCCATTCCTTGCACCAATGTGCCTGGATGTGAGACATGGAGTCAAAGGAGATTATTATGGAGCTTTAAGATGCAGTGTATTCCCTGTGGCATTTTAGACTTGTGTGGGGCCAGTTGCTTCTTTCTTTTGGCTGATTTCTCTCATTTGGAATGAGAATGTTTATACAATGTCTGTACCTCTATTTTGTCTTGAAAGTAAATAACTTGTTTTGATTTTACAGGCTCGTAGGTGGAAGGAGATTGTCCTTGAATCTCAGGTGAGAATTTGGATGCTGCACTTTTGATTGAGTTAATGCTGGAATTGCTGGAATGAGTTAAGACTTTTGGGGACTACTGAGAAGAGGATAATTGTATTTTCTGACATAAGAAGGACAAGAGACTTGGGGGACCAGAGGCAGAATGATATAGTTTGGATGTTTGTCTCCTCCAGATCTAATGTTGAAATGTGATACCTAATGTTGGAAGGGGGACCTAGTGGGAGGTATTAGATCATGGGGGCAGATATCTCATAAATGGCTTAGTGCCGTATCCTTGGTGATGAGTGAGTTCCTACTCAGTTCACATGAGATCTAGTTGTGTAACAGAGTCTGGGACCTGTCTGCTCTCTGTCTTTCTTCTGCTCCTTCCATGTGCCATTCTGGCTTCTCATTATTTTCCACCATGACTGTAAGCTTCCTGAGGCCTTCACTAGAAGCTGAACAGATGTTGGCACCATGCTTCTCATACAGCCTGTAGAACCGTGAGCCAATTAAACTTCTTTTCTTTATAAATTACCCAGCCTCAGGTATTCCTTTATAGCAATGCAAAACTGGGCTAATAATAAGGGATATCAACTTACCTCTTAAGAGAGTACATCGTGGGAGAGCATTTTAATTTACATTTTTATTTTCTATTTCTCTGTCTTGTTTTACTTTTGGTCCTCTTATCCAGATCTGTGACCTGGGGGCATGAAGAATGTAGAAATGGTGACAGTGGTGTGCAGTTAGAGGACTTATTCTAATGATTAGGCAAATTATTTCAATGAGATCTCATTTCTTCACTCTGTAGTTTTTGGCAGAGATGTTTTGTTTATTAGCTACTCTGAACTATCTGGGGACCTGTCTTGATAGCTCGTTCCTTGAAATGTGTCAAAAACTATTTCTCTCTGATGGTTAATCATAGAGAAATAATGTCTATTTTCACATCTATCTAAAGAATTGTGATATAAAATCTAGGATTAAACTTTAAAGCATTTTATCTAGACTTCCAGCAGACATACTCACTTCTGATGAGTTTCCACTCTAGATCCATGTCTGAGAATACTTTCAAAATGTACCCGAGATCAGAGATCAAAGGCCATTTACTCACATAACCAAACACTCTGAAGTCTGTTTTCAGAGACCTGTGCCATGTTAGGTGTTTCTGATTTTAGTGTTTTAGTAATGATAGCACGATATATCTTTTTCCTTATTTTATTTCTATCCTATTTGTGCCTTCATATTTAAAAAGGGTTTGGTGAAGGCAGTGGATAGTTGAAGCTTGCTTTTTTATACATCTGAAAATCTCTACCATTTTCTGGGAGTTTTGATCATGTACATTAATGTGATTATTAATATAGTTGGATTTAAATCTACCGTTTTGCTATCTTTTTTCCATTTTCCTATCTGTTCTTGTTTACTTTTTTCCTCTTTCTCTGCTTCATTAGTATTAAATGAATATTTTTTGTTTTCTGTCTTTTGTTCACTTAGTAGCTGTGTTTTTTTTTGTTTGTTTGTTGGCTTTTACTTGTGTTTGTTTGATTTTAGTGGCTACTTTAGGGTTTCTAGTAACACTGTCCAATAGATACATAATGTGAGCCACATATGTAATTTATATGTTTTCTAATAGCCACACTTTTTAAAAGTTAAAAGAAGCAGGTGAAATTAAAAGTAATATTCCCAAATTATTGTAATTTCAATTAATAATAATAATATTAATAATTTGCAACAGTATATAAATATTAATGGTAAATTTTATTCTTTTTACACTATGTCTTTGAAATCTGGTGTGTATTCTATACTTACAGCACATTCATTTTGGACCAATTACATTTCAAGGGCTCAAGAGCTACATGTGGCTAGTTACCATGATAGAGAATGGAGGTTTATAGAGTTCACCTTTAACTTATCACAAGTAATATACCAATTTATGTAGAGTAGAAAGAAACCTTAAATAATATTCTTTCATTTTCCTCCTCCCAGCACTGGTGTGAGTGTTGTCATGTTTTACTTCTCTATATGTTATAAACCTGACAGTACATTGTTATCATCTTTTGCTTTAGTTATCTCTTAAAGAGATTTCAAAAATAAGAAAAATATCTTTTTACATATCCACATATTTACCATTTCCAGTATTCTTTATTCTTTTATGTAGATTCAGAATTTTTCTGCCTGAAGGCTTCCTTTAATAATTTTTGTGGTGCCATTCTACTGGTGATGAATTATTTCAGCTTTTGTATGTCTGAAAAAAAATCTTTATTTTCCCTTCATAATGAACAATATTTTTGCTGGAAATAACAATTCTAGGTTTATAGAATTATTTTTTCTTTTTCTTTCAGCATTTTAACCCTTTTCCTGTTTGCCCCAAGAATACATGCCTGTAGCTGCTGTGTTTACCCTGAGATAAATTTGCCACAAAATATCTCACTTTTATTATTTTTGCATCATTCTAGTACATTGACTTTGGAAACAAAGACATCATTCTACTTACAACATTCTGGGCCAGGTGAGGTGGCTCACACCTGTAATCCCAATACTTTGGGAGGCTAAGGCAGGCAGATCACTTGAGGTCAGGAGTTCGAGAACAGCCTAAAAATACAAAATTAGCCAGGCATGGTGGCACACACCTGTAATCCCAACTACTTGAGAGGCTGAGGCAGGAGAATTGTTTGAACCTGGGAGGCAGATATTGCAGTGAGCCGAGATCGCACCACTGCACTCCAGCTTGGGCAACAGAGAAAGACCCTGTCTCAAAAAAATAAAAAATAAATAAAATAATAACAGTATTACAATATTCTGTTTTTAGTACTGGTGTTTTGTATTTCCATTTACAAAACATAGTAATTCTCAATTGCTGAAAATGTCAAATCCTATAAAACACAGCATTTCTACGTGTGATGTTAACATCATTCTCAAACAGTTGTTGGCTGAAGATTGATTTGATGAATCCAATTTTTTCAAAACTGACAATACTGATGATTCAGACAATTCTGATGTTAGTTACGTTTAGAAATAACTCCAAGAGCAGTTTTTAGATTTTATTTTCACATTGAAAATCAGTCAGATTTGCTTCAGCCTCAAAAAGCATGTTTATGTAAAATTAAATGAGTGATGGCAGGCAACTGTAGTTTTTTTTCCTAAATGGGAAAAGGGTTAAAGATGTCACTCCATTGTTGCCCAGCTTACATTGTTTCTGGCAAGAAGTCTACTGTTCTTATGATTGTTCATCTATATCTAATTTGTACTTTTCCTCTGGTTGCTTTTAATATTTTCTCTTTATCATTAGTTTTGTCCAATGTAATAATGTGCACAGGTGTTGTTTTCATGAAGTTTTTTGTGTTTAGAATCTGTTGAACTTCTTCAATTTGTTTGTTTATGGTTTTCAACATATTTAAACAAATTTTGGCCATTTTTTCTTCAAATATATTCTTCAATTCTCCCTTCTTTCTTGTGAAAACTCCAATCACATGTACATTATGCCACATTGTTTTTCCACAACTCACTGAAGTTCTTTGTATTTTTGTTTCTTTGCTTCTCTGTGCCTTATTTTGCATAGTTTATTATTGATATGTTTTCAAGTTTAGGATATTTTGTTTTCCAGACTGTAATCTGCTATTAATCCTATCCAATATAATTTTTATTGCAGGTATTGCATTTTTCATCTCTATACATTTGTTTTTGGTCTTCTCATATATTCCATATTTCTTTTTAACATGTTTACACTTTCCTCTACTTTCTGGAACATATGGAATACAGTTATAATTACTGTTTGTCTATTAGTGGGTAATCTGTGCCACTTCTGCATCTGTTTTAATTGACTGATTTCCACCCCCACTTCCTCATTTAGATTTACATTTTCCTGCTTTAAGTGCCTAGTAATTTTTTAATTAGATGCCAGACATTGTAAATTTGACCCAGTTGGATTTTCTCATATTTCTATAAATACTGATCCTTTTAAGGTTTGCTCTTAAGCTTTTATAGACTGGGCCATTGCATGCTGTAGGGCTAATTTTGCTCCAGTTCTAAGGCAATATCATGAGTCTTCTACTTGTTGCTTTGTGAACAAAAACTATTTCTTGTCCTTTATGAGCTCTTGACATTATTCCCTTTTATTCTTTCCCCTGGTTGTTATCTTCCTCTGGTCTTGTGATAGTTTCCACATACACTTGCACTTACCAATACAGAGCTGGAGACTCAAGGACATTCTCTGCAGATTTCCAGAATTCTCTCTCTGTTCTGCTCTTTTTCTCTGGTACGCTGTCCTGTGAACTTCACCTGCCTTGGCCATTCCAGACTATGAACTCCATCTTCCTAACTTTAGAATACCAGGCAATGCCTGGGTTCTCCCTTTGTACACTGAAGCTTGGAAACTCTCACCAGTAAGTAATCTGGAGGCAACATTATGACTCACTTGTTTGTTTCACTATTCTTAAGGATCACTGTACTGTATTGCCTGATGTCTGATGCTTGAAAACCATTATTTCATTTATTTTGTATAGTTTTTGTTGTTACTGTTGTTTCAGAGAATAAATCTGAACCATGTTTCTTCATCTTGGCTAGACTCTAACTGTGTATTTGATAATTTTATTATTTTTAGAAATCTAAATGTACAGACTTACATTTATCTCTATAAATTGCATATTATCAACTTTGTCCTTTTAAAGTATCTTCTAATTTTGTCTTTTTTTAATTCATATGAAAAGTTAAGCATTATTTTTATATGTTTGTGACACAGATAAGATATGTAGTTTAGAATAAAACCACAGACAGAGTTCTGAGACCTTCTACTAGGGATCAACCTGAAGTTCTCAAACTATTAACAAGTGATCTTGGAGAAAAATGATCCAGAGTTGCAGAAATACTTCACATTAACCATATGGGAATTACTTGCTCCTTTCTTCCACAAAAGCAGTAAGAGAGCCTTTATCATTTTATTTGCCAAAGTTAAGATAGTCTGTATTTATGGCCTTCCCTTTTCTAAATATACAAACAATCAAAATCAGAACTTAGTATATTCTATATAGCCTGCTCTTAATGCATTTACATTGGCTTCTAGAGATCTTTGCTTCCAAACAGTTCGGTAATTGATCCCAGAAGGGGTCTAAAATTCTAAAATCTACATTGAGATTATAGAGATTAATAGCTTCCAAATTCTACCTTTTCCAAAAAGGTAACACTTGTCCATCCATTTCTGGCTTTCTATCATTGCTTCTACTTATTATGACTTTTCAGAGATTGCCAGCAATGTTTCTGGGATTATATTTGCACGTTTTTTTTCAATATCCTGCTTATTTTCTTCAGGATATTGTGGTATATTAACCAACTACGTGAGGCTCTCTCTATATAGCAGAGACTGAAAATGTATGGAGATATATATATATATATATATATATATTTTTTTTTTTTTTTTTTTTGAGACAGAGTTTCGCCCTTATTGCCCAGGCTGGAGTGCAATGGCGAGATCTTGGCTCACCACAACCTCTGCCTCCCAGTTTCAAGTGATTCTCCTGCCTCAGCCTTCCGTGTAGCTGGGATTACAGGCATGCACCAGCACGCCTGGCTAATTTTGTATTTTTAGTAGAGACGGGGTTTCTCCATGTTGGTCAGGCTGGTCTCGAACTCCTGACCTCAGGTGATCTGCCCCGCCTCAGCCTCCCAAAGTGCTAGGATTACAGGCATGAGCCACTGCACCCAACCTGGATACATTTAAAAAAAAATTATGGCCAGGTGTGATGGTAATCACAGACCATCACAATGCTTCCCTGCACTTTGGGAGGCCGAGGCAGGTGCATTGCTTGAGCTCAGGAGTTTGAGACCAGCCTGGGCAACATGGCAAAACCCTGTCTCTACAAAAAATACAACAATTAGTCGGGTGTTGTGGCATGAACCTGTAGTACTAGTTACTTGGGAGTCTCAGGTGGAAGGATGGCTTGAGCTCAGGAGGTAGAAGTTGCAGTGAACCAAGATCACACCACTGCACTCCAGCCTGGGTGACAAAGCCAGAGCCTATCTCTCTCTCTCACACACACACACACACACACATACATACACACACACTTCATTTGTGTCAGAGAGTTTGGATGGAATTTAAATGTCTTTCTTATATAGCCTGTCCTGTATTTATTTTTAAGATTGTCAGTCTGACTGCTATTCTTCATATTGGAGAAAAAAGAAAAATAGGAACTGAGAATCCTACTTTTCTTCTGCTGTTTGTTAGCATAGTTTATTGCCTGCATGATTAAATAATACCTGATGTCCAAGTAGTGGTCCTAACTCGTCACTGCTGTTTTCCTTTGTAGAACATAATCTAAGCTGTCATTGCTGTTTTTCTTTGTGATCTATGAGGTACGTTGGTACCTCTCCTTGGCATTATTTTCTTTTCTTTTGGGTATGGCTTGGTCCATTCTGTGATAGTTAGCTTTCCTGACAGTATTCATACAGGTCTCAACATTCTTATGGGCTCACGTCACTCCTAAATGCACTAAAATCAGCATACACTAGTAATGTTTTATCCAGAATAAACCACCATAAAGCAGCACACAACTGATTGCATGCTGTAAGAACTGGATTTATTATTGATCAGAAATTTAACTTTTGTATATGCACAAAATAAATTCATGTATAATAATTAGTTTCTAAAATCAAAGTTTGGGCCTTACTGAGCTTGTGTAACAATGACCTCAATAATTGAAAAAAAAATTCCTTGGAGGGGATTTAAATAAATAAGTAAATAAATAATGGAATAAAAAAGGCAGCTGTGCTGACAGAGAAGTCAAAGATCAGCAAAAAAGTTTCATGATGATAATGACAAAGTTAAACATTCGAAACTTTTGTTTATGTGACAAAAATGTGAAACTTACCATCTTACAATAAGTCATAATCTTATGGCTAATTTTATTGCTTTGTGAAAGGCTTGACTCTGAAAATGAACAAGTTTATTCACTGTCAGATGCAGCTGATTTAAAGCCAAATGAGAAACTGTGATGCAAGAAGTATACAAATGTGTTAAATAAAATAGGATTCTTAAATACTCTAATGGTTGTAAATATTAGTATTTAGCTAACATTTATTAAGTGCCTACAAATGTACCAGGCACTGTTCTAAGCACTAAGGATGCTGTAATGAACAAAGTAGACAAAAATTCCTGTATTATGGAGTTTACATTCTAGTGGGGGTAAAGTTTGGAGAGTCAGAAAATAAACAAGATAAATAAATAGGTCAAATAGGTAAAACTGTAGGATTTTACAGATCACCGCTGTCCAGTGGAAACACAATGTAAGCTATATATGTAATTTTCAATTTCCTACTAGCCATATTAAAGTATAAAAAGAAACAGGTGAAATTAAATTTTCATAAACTTTTTATTTTTGAATAATTTTTAATTTACAAAAAAATTCCAAGTGTATTAAATAGTACAGTGAATTGCTGTATACTGTTCATTGTTTTTCTGTTAAGATCTCGCATTACTGTGATGCATTTTTCAAAACCAAGAAACCAACATTAGTGCATTTTCATTAACTAAACCTCAGACTTTATTTGAATTTTACTAATTTTTCAATTAATGTCATCCTCCTGTTTCAGGATCCAGTTTATGATATCACAGTGCATTTAGTTGTCATGTCTTCTTAGTCTCCTCTGTGATGGGGTGGTATTAATTTTAATAATATATTTTATTTAACTCAATATAGCAAAAATATCATTTTAACCTGTAATTGATATTTTTAAAATTATCAATGTTTATTACTTTTTCTTATTCAGTCTTCAAAATCCAGAGTGTATTTTATACTTAACAGTACATCACATTTCATACTCAGACACTTTCACTGGAAATACTTCATCTGCATTTGGTTCTCACAAAATTTACAGTTGAAAAAGTAGGTTCATATACTTACATTGTTCCAAGTATACTTAAAAGTCTTCCAATAAATTCATGACTAATGCAAGTTTAGAAAAAAGAAAGCAAAAAAAATTACTTTAAATAGTTTAAAAATAATCCCATTAGATATCAGTTTTCAAATTTAAATATAAATTTAATTAATCAATTAAGGTTAATTGATTTAAAAATTCAGTTCCCAGTTGCACTAGACATACTCAAGTGCTCAATAGTCACAGACCATCACAAGGACTTTTGATTTTATTCCGAGCTAGAAAGGGAGCACTGAAGGGTTTTGAGCAAAGTAGTGACATAATCTGATTTAAGATGACTTTGCTATGTCAGAGAATAAATTGAGGTGAGGCAAGGGCAGAAGCAGGGAGACCAGCCAGGAGGCTACTGCAGGTAACATCAGTTAAGTGATGCAGATGCCTTGGACTGAAGTGGTGGCAGTGGAGGTGGGGAGAACTGGTAGGAGTCCAGGAATCTCTTGTGCCAGCCCTGACTCAATCTGCTTATGAGTTAGATAAGGGATCAGGGATGACACAAAGGTTTTGGGGCTAAAAAATTTAAGACAATGAATTTGTCTTTTATAGATTTTGTAAAAAAAACAGGTTTGGGTAGGAAGATCAGGGGCTTGGTTTTGGACATTTTGAGTTCAAGATGCGTATGAGACATGTAAGTGAAGATGTTAATAAGTAGGCAGTGGATATCTGAGTATGGAGTTGAGGAGAGCTCAGCTAATGATACACATTTGGGAGCCATCAACATATAGATGGTATTTAAAAATAGAAGACTGAAGGAGACCACCAAACGAGAGTACAGAAAGAAGTGTTAGGGTGAGGTCATCCAGCAACAGTATTTTAAGGAAAATGCAAGCTTTGTGATCAGGCCGCAAACAGATCAACGAGAATTGGAGGAATAATAAACTCTTTCCAGGCAGAAGCATTAGATGCAATGGTGCAAAGGTAAGTGATTAGCCAACCATGGTATAGCAAGTCATTTTGCTCTGCTGAAGCAGAAATACTAGCTAGCTGACACAGAAAGATGCATTAAGTGATTGAGAAGGGCTCTCACGCTAGCTGGGTGGCTATCCAGAGCTGGGAATGTGAGGGTTCTAAGGATAGCTTTGGAGTTAACAAGTGACAGCTGCAGTTAGTTTCCTATACATACACAAAACCAACCCGTCCTACCACAGAATATATGTCATAATGCTGGCACAACAGACACATCCCTTTTAGTTTTGCAGACGAGGAGTAACCGTTGCCCTGGACCACAAAGCCACTTAGCGGCAGAGCCTCGCACCCGCGAAGATTATTACTAGGGAGATGTTTTTACCCCTGAGGACACCTGAGCCCTTAAGTGGGGCAGGCTTCGAGGGAGGGGGGCCGATAAGGCGACTTCAGACAGGGCAATCACGATGGGCGCTTGAGTTCTGCGCAGAATTTTGACAAGGGGGAGGGTCTTGGCTTGAAGACAGAGCGTGGAGTCATTTAAGGATAATGGAAGGGCATAAGCAGAAGCTCAAGGATAAAAAGCACTGAAATTCTTGAGCTGGCGGCAGGGCTGAACGTAGCTCAGTGAAAGATCCTTTCTTGCCACATCCTCTCTAAGCCAGGCTGTGAGAACCGCGGGAAACGAAGGAGAAGGGTGGCGGTGGGGTCAGTAAAGGGCCGGCCCAAGGTGCATCTTTTAGGTCCTGATGCTAGGAGCAGCCGTCCCTGCCCCTATATTCCTCTCACTGGGTAGGTTTGCTCGGGAGTGGCTACCTCCCAGGCAAAAATTCGGCCTGGTTAAACTGGAAAGACCAGGAAAGCCCGCCCACGGGCGTCCGGGGAACGCCTGCAAAGTGCCAGCACCCTACCAACCCAGGCGCCGCACGGGTGGGGTCGCGGCCGCAGGCTCTTCCGGGGCGGGCCTAGCCTGACGCAGGAGGAGGGGCGGCCCCCGTCGCACAAGAACCAATCACGACTGTCGCTTCTACGTGGCTAGCATTGACCAATAGGAGACCGTAGTGATAGCGACGGGGAAATTCAAACGTGTTTGCGGAAAGGAGTTTGGGTTCCATCTTTTCATTTCCCCAGCGCAGCTTTCTGTAGGTAAGTTCTGTCTTACCGGTGCACCGGCGCACTGAGGAACAGCCGCAGCCGGTGTAGGGGCTCATTGTTAGCGCTGGTCGGTGAGGGGTGGGGCGAGGTGGGGGCAGCTCGGAGCCAGGTATGCGACGCGGCTAAACGAGCTGGAGGGGGAGGGGATGTCTCACTGCCTCAGCGGGTCTGGCCGGTGGGGTGATGCAGGAGGTTTTGTTGAGGAAGTAAGAAGTGGGTGTGGCCCACGCTGGAAAGAAGGGGTGGTGGGGTACCTGCGCACAAGATCGTTTTCCAAAGGACAGTCTCTCTTGTTTTGGGGGTTAGAACTGGGAAAGAAGCGGGTGGCCGTGATCTGACAGTTATCTTTCAAACCTGACTTAAGAGGTGGAGTGATACCTTGCTGCAACTTTATGACTTTTTTTCATTGTTAAACCTGAAGACGGGGCAGCATTGTTATCAGTGACACTGAGTTGGTGTTTGAGAGTCACAAAGATACGATTAACAATAAGACTGCAGACACTTTATTGAACAAACACCACCACCATGCAGATAAGCAAGTGCTCAGTACCAGTACAATAGTTTCTTAGTGTTAGATTAAGGTAGCAAATCGTGATTCTGCTAGATATGCACAAGAATAAATCTGCGGATTTCCTAATTATCAGTAAAGCCCCATCATGTTTATATTCTGCTTTGAAAGCACTTGCACTGGAAGATTTACTCAAGTAAAGCAGGCGAATAAAGGAATTGTTATTCCCATTGCCAAACGAATTCTTTATGTCTATGTCACTACCAGAATCCAAGCAATCTTTATGTGTATGTCGCTACCAAAATCCAAGCAAACACTCTATCATATTTTTTTTAAGTGACACTAAATTTGCAGATTTCTACAGTGTGACGTCATTGATGTTATATTGGGGGAAAAAGTATACTTGGCCTATGAAACCTTGGTGAATAAATTACAAAGATGTGTACCTTGTTGTTGTGCACTTACCTCCATTAATACTAGCCTAATAATAGCTGCATTTAGATGTGTTCACAAAACGAATGCTTTAGTCGTCTGGGTTCTAAAAAGCTAGTGCATTTTTTTCTTTGATGCTAGTTAAAGTAGGAGTTATGACTGTTCAGTTTTTTTCTTAGAAATGGAATCCGAGGATTTAAGTGGCAGAGAATTGACAATTGATTCCATAATGAACAAAGTGAGAGACATTAAAAATAAGTTTAAAAATGAAGACCTTACTGATGAACTAAGCTTGAATAAAATTTCTGCTGATACTACAGGTGAGTTTTTCTTTTCTTTTAAGTTAGTAACTGTTTGTTGGGTATCCTCTAAGGTAAAGATATAGTACTAATCACTTTATTTATAATTTACTCATGTGTTTATTGTCTTTCTCCTCCATTAGAATGCAGGCTACATGATGGCAGGGTTTTTGTCTGTTATATCCACAGAACTTTGAATGGTGTCTGGCACATGGTAGGTAGGCACTTAAACATTTATTGAACAATGATTAATGGGTGAAAATGCCCAGAGTTTAATACTCTAGCTCTTCTAAAAGTATTAGCTCAGAAGCCTGATTCTTTACTGTATTTCAAATGGTTGGTCATTTGAATGGTGACCTTTGGATAATTTTCTTACATCTATACTAACCTTTAAATAGATGAGGAATTGAAAATAAATGGAAGAACCTGTGATCTAATCATGGTGGCTGACTGTTCACTTTGAAAAAACCTAGAAAATGATAGTTTTAGTGTTAAGCAAAATCTTAATGGAGTATAATTGTGCTTAATTATGTCACTAACAAAGGTTGTACATCAAGGCAATTGAGTATTTTAAGTACTGAGGAAGATTCAAAGATGCTTAAAACCATAGTTTCTTTCTAGATGAGAATTTATATATTCACTATGCTACATTGTAATGCATGCTGGGCATCATAGGAATACTAGCATGATAAAACACAAATGTTTTATTTGTTGATTAGAGGAAGAATAGGGTACTCAGGCATGAGGAATGCATCTGCAAAGCCACAGATGGCAATGTGTGTTTTTTAGACATTTCACAGACTAATTTCTTAGGAAAGCAATAGGAGGTAAAAATAGAAAATTAAGGTCAGACCAAATTAAATTTAAAACGACAAAGCAAAGTTATGCATGCACTATATTTTAGTAGAAAGTAGAAACAAATTTTATTTATAAAAGTAAAGATGTAGGCTTTGTTGAAAGTGACTGAAGTTAATAGAAGGAATAATAGCTTCTCTGGAAATCTGAATTTAATATTGCTTAGTAATAACCAAAATATCCTGAACAGAAGACTGACATTCAAGTTATCTTTTTAAAAAACTAACACTGAAGAAAGTAAAAAGTACATTTCAGTGTGAACATTTTGTCTGAAGGTTATTCTTGCTGTTTCTGTTGGTTGGGGTTCCACAGAGAGAAACCTGACAGTCACAAGAGGTCCTATAAATTCCAAAGGTCTAGACCACGGTAACTATGAGTTTGTTGGACCAAGAAATTATCAGGGCCTCTAGCAGAAATTTAGGTTACTTGGAGAGAAGAAAATGATTGTCTCATTTGTTTATTTTTTGTAAAGCTGGTTTGGTTTTACAAGTAAGTATGAGGTATACAGAGATAATGTTGAATGGTTAAGGTTGTAAAGAAGGTTATGTTAGGACTGGAGCAGTAGGTTTAATGAATAAATCATTGATGGGAGAATTTTCTAAGTTAATTAGTACAAGTGGCAGTGGGAGAGATTTAGTTTTCTATGGATAGGTAGGATGCTAAAATTATAGTTATCCTGCAACAGCATAAAATTTTCTTAAACTACATACAATTTTTAAAGGCTACTTACAAAAAAACTCACTTATTTCCAAATGTTTTCTTTCCTTCAAAATATATAGCTTTTGGATAAAGTATACCTTCATAAAAGATAAATACACGATAAATAAGTTACTTGTATTTATATGAACTTTTACAATTTTAAAAAGTATTATAAGGACTTTATGTACATTGATACTGACAGTACAAATGTTTGACTATATTTTGAAGGAAAAATGCAATTTGGCATTTGTTTTATGTCTTTTCTTGTGATATATTTTGTTCCCCTTATTTAGATAACTCGGGAACTGTTAACCAAATTATGATGATGGCAAACAACCCAGAGGACTGGTTGAGTTTGTTGCTCAAACTAGAGAAAAACAGTGTTCCGCTAAGTGATGCTCTTTTAAATAAATTGATTGGTCGTTACAGTCAAGCAATTGAAGCGCTTCCCCCAGATAAATATGGCCAAAATGAGAGTTTTGCTAGAATTCAAGTGAGATTTGCTGAATTAAAAGCGTAAGTATTAGCATTTTAACTATGTTCAACTATGTTACATAATATGTAACTACACTGCAAAGAGAGAAAATAAAAAACATGGCAGTATTGTGAGAAAATATTAATTTTTTTACCAAATACTTTTGCTTATAGTTAACAAGAGACTAATGTAAACTCTTTTCTATGCACGTTTCCACAACAGTTTACTTATTTTAAACTGCCTAAAAAGATTTTTTTAAAATAACTTATTAGTATTTAATTTTACCCACAGAAAAAAGCAATATCCCATGTTTTTTGGAAAATTGAATGAAGCATTATCAAATTTAAGTAGCTATGTTCTTTTTCTTAAATTTTGACTCAAATCTTTTATTACAGTATTCAAGAGCCAGATGATGCACGTGACTACTTTCAAATGGCCAGAGCAAACTGCAAGAAATTTGCTTTTGTTCATATATCTTTTGCACAATTTGAACTGTCACAAGGTAATCTGAAAATGTCAAATTCAAATTTTAAGTAAAGGATAACTTATTACAACTTACTTCCTAATATTAAATCATATATATGAAGTGGAAATTTGAGGCAAAAGACATTAAAGTTGATCAGATGAGAATATGGGGAGAAAATGCCACCTAAATGTAAATGCAGAGAATATCTGTTATACTAGCTTTTCCATGTATAAAGAGTAATCCAGGGAAATGAGCATGAACATTGTGTATGTGCTACTAGTTAGATTCAGGAAACATCTAAAGGAAAGTAGCTGCTTCACTGAGTATTTGTAGGAAGAAGGATATCAGATATTTAAGCTAGAGCTTTAAATATCTAGAGCTTACATAAACTTTTCTTATGCTATGGTTTCATAGCACCAAAATGTACATTAAAGTGTAGCTATGTAACTTGGTGGTCAAGTAAACTATATATCTGTGTGTGTGTGTGTGTGTGTGTGTGTGTGTGTGTGTGTAGCGTTAATTGGTAGTTCTTTAAAATAAAAAAGTAAACTGCTGTAGAAACTATTTCTTGCTCACTTGGTTCTTCATAGTCTGGATTTTTTTGGGTAGGACCAAGACAATCTCTTCCTAAGACATTTTTAACCTGGCCATTCCTTAGTCTTTTCTCATTTTCCAGGGCCTTTGGATACACCCTCAGTCTGCCCTCTGGCCAGGTGTTTCCATTCTCCCACTGCCTTGTTTCTGCTACAACTGTGATCCAATTTACTGCCAGTGATAAACATATTAACACTATTGGAAGAATCCCCATGATGGTTTCCATAGCAGGGATTGGTCACTGGAGAGTATTCCCCAGGATTGAGCCTGGAGAAAATAATTATATGACTCAGAAATAATTTGAGAACCCTGAATTGTTACCCATTCAGATGATTTCTGAGTCCTAGTAATTGTCTTCTCCAATATGTCCTTTGCTCTATCAGGTTACTTTTTAGAACTATTATCCCTTTCTTCTCTAGAAAAATGGATTCCTCCTTGCTTGTTAGAGAAAATTTGGCAAGGCTTCTTTCTCTCCATTCTGCTTGAAAATTTCTTGAGGTATTGTGGCCTCTCAATAACAACCATAAATTTTACATGTTTAGAACATGTAAATATTGAAACTCTTAAATTGAGTTATCTGTAAAAAAGACGAACTTTATCTATACCACTTTATCTGCAATGTGGTAGTAATGCACAGTGATGCAATGTGGTCAAATGCATTGCACAGTAATGCAGTGTGGTCAAATTATGATTATTTTGAGCACAGTTGATGGCTTGGCTGTCAGGAAATAATGCAGCATCCCTGAAGTCCTATGCAGAGTCTGGTGTGTGAGTATTTTTATAGGGATGGAGGACATTTCAGTTTTTACCAGATTCTTAAAGAAATCTCTGATCTCAATACTAAGCTATCTGATTAATTAAGCTTCTTAAGCCTTTCTCTCTTTTCTTGTGCTAAAATACACAATACATGAAATTCTACCACTACTTAGTAAATGTAGATGTAAGCACTATCAAAGATATTTTTAAAAATTTATAAACTACCAGAAGCTAGAGATCATCTCTTAAGCATTTTTATACGCTAAGTACCAAGTGCATAGCATAGCTCAATGGCTCCCATAAATGTTGATAATATTCTGTAAGATATGTGATGTATACATTTAATATTTATATGTCAAATGCTAGGGGTAAGTTTACCAATTTTTTTGGTAATCTGTCCATACTCAGAAAGGTAATTATGATAGTTCCTCAGTTATTCTGCATTCTTTTTCAGGCTGGTATAGCTGAGTGTGACAGCTAAAGATTAATCTGTATTTATTATGTTTTTCCCCGAAAATCCTTTTGATGGAAGATGCTCTTTAACAAAAGATGTCATCCTTCCCTTAACTAAATGTCATTATGAATGATACTTATTATAGCATGTTGTAAGAGACTGATGCTCTTGGCACTTTTGTAACATCTAGAATGCCCTCCTGTTTCTAACTGTTGTGATTGGCCTTTGCTGTCCCCTGTTGGTAACTGCTTTGTTACACTTCTGTTACTTCTGAAAGTGGACAGTGGTGATAAACTAATGCAAAATTACGTCAGCTACATATTGCAAGGAAACTATTTGGTATGCATTGTTATCAGAAGAGAGTTGGTTATCTGCATAAAAAGTGAGAGATTGCTTACTTGCCTATGAAATAAAATACATGAGCCTTGGAATAAATATTTTTGCTTAAGTCTTTTTGATTTTTTTTTCTAGGTCCTGATGAATACGTATCTGGGTGGTCTGGGTGGTGGGCATTTTACTGCCTAAAAATGACAATTATCTTTTGCTTTGTTAGGTAATGTCAAAAAAAGTAAACAACTTCTTCAAAAAGCTGTAGAACGTGGAGCAGTACCACTAGAAATGCTGGAAATTGCCCTGCGGAATTTAAACCTCCAAAAAAAGCAGCTGCTTTCAGAGGAGGAAAAGAAGAATTTATCAGGTAACTATTAAGGTATACTAATACTTTCTGTGGTAGGTAGTACTTCAAATAAAGATTCGGGATAATAATTTATAGAAAAATATTATTTATGTAGAATGGTTAAAATCTAAGATTAAATTGTAAAGGAGGTAAGACTGAGAAGTAAAAAAGTCTCTACAACCCCATGCAAATTTGTCTTTTTTGCTAACTAAACTTTCGTTAACACATGAAAAACAACTCTAAGCAAGAGAATTTTTTTTTTTTTGCTTTTGGAAATAGAGAATGTGCTTTTACCCTGGGGAAATAGTTATATAATTTAAGAGAATTTGAAGAAGTAGTTAGATAATTATCTTGGTATCATCTTCATGTCTGCATATCTTACTTGGGGACAAGTATTTCCTATGAATTGACTTTTAAAATATTCTTATTTGTAAGATCACTTTTTTGTACTTGTCTTATTTCTTATAAATTTAATCATAGTTTCAAAATTTTTACAGCATCTACGGTATTAACTGCCCAAGAATCATTTTCCGGTTCACTTGGGCATTTACAGAATAGGAACAACAGTTGTGATTCCAGAGGACAGACTACTAAAGCCAGGTTTTTATATGGGTAAGGAAACGGAAACAGTTTTTAAATGTTCATCTTCTATGTAAGTACATCTGTGTTTTTTAATGTAATTACATGTATCTGCATATATGTTTTCATGTGTGTGATAATGTTTAGCAGTAGAGTAGAAATACATATTAATATTGTTCTTTGAAAAATTGGGGGTATTTTCTTTCTGTTTAGAGAGAACATGCCACCACAAGATGCAGAAATAGGTTACCGGAATTCATTGAGACAAACTAACAAAACTAAACAGGTAAGTTACTTTCAATCTGCTTGATTAAGGTGGTGATAGTCTTTATTTCCTAGTTGGTTATTTAATCTTTCAAAATATTTTTAGTCATGCCCATTTGGAAGAGTCCCAGTTAACCTTCTAAATAGCCCAGATTGTGATGTGAAGACAGATGATTCAGTTGTACCTTGTTTTATGAAAAGGTATGTTGAGTTTTAATTTTTAAAATTTGTTGTCCGTATGGGAAGATTAATGGCAGAATGGTCTTAAAGTCTTTTACTGAGTAATAGTAATTATGATTAAATTTTTATTCAGTTTTAGAAGATAATCTCTAAATGTTGTCAGGAACAAAGGAATGAGTGGAGAAAATAACTTTGTTTTGCTTTTTCACTCATTAAAAATATTCATTAAAGGAGCTTTAAAAGGAAAAAATATTAAGTCAACATTAAGCTTAAAAGACTGATATTTGAGGATTTGTCACTTACGGGTAGGCTGTCTGCTAAGAATCTCTTCCTGTTTTGTTTGAGAGTCTCCATAACGGGTAGAAGGAGGTCTGGGAACAAATATTTGCTCCAGATAGTTCAAGGGGAGAATCGCTGTCAGTGGGATAGATGATTATTCTTTTGCTTGAGTCTAGTGCTTCAAGAAGTGGGACAGGTTAGGTACAGATGAATTACTGTTCATCACATCCAGTGTGTTCTCCTTCCCTCAATTTGCTTGTTTATTCCCTGTTAAGAAATGGGAATGTAGCCTGTAGCTCAGCTAAAGGAGAGTTATTTTGGCCTATTCTTAATTCTGACCAACATTTGTAATATTTATATTGGAAAAGGCTCCTTACAGTCCAGAGAATCATTTTGCAAATAAACTTTAGAAATACGATTGTTTTTCATTACTATCTTTTATAATTACATTTCTATTATATTTAGACTTGACTAAATATTGACATTAAAAGAACATTTTGTTTGTCAAGGTTAAGCTTTAAAGTCTTATCACTATGATTTCATCTTGTTCATCTCTATTTCAAATACCTAGCTCAAGAATAAAGGAGATTTTCTTCCGCTCCAAAAAATTAAAAACAAAAACAGAAAAACTGCAGCCATTTTCTTGGTTCCTGTTATCGATAGACAATGCTAGGTACTGTGGAGGTCCACAGAAGTGCTATACCCTGGTTCTTATCCTTTAGCTATTTGTAATTGGAAATGTAGTTTCATCTGTATACTTTGCCTTTCCCACAGTCTAACCCTAACTCCAATTGTTACTGATTAGATAATGAAGAAGTAGGCGATCACCTGTGTCACTTTTGTCATTGCCCAGCACGTAATTTTGTTAGCTAAGTCACTTTTGTATTGGAATTATGTCACTCTAAAAAATGTCTTTTTAAGAGATTTTTTTCAATAAAAAGTATGTATATTATTAAAAATCCAACTTGAGATGAAAAAATACATTGAAAATTTTTTTTTTCAAATTTAATGTTAAAATTATTTTGTTTCACGGGTAAAAGACAAACCTCTAGATCAGAATGCCGAGATTTGGTTGTGCCTGGATCTAAACCAAGTGGAAATGATTCCTGTGAATTAAGAAATTTAAAGGTATTTTAATTCTATATCATTATATAAAGCAAGGGTTCCTGATCTGGGAGGATCAGTATTCATGGAGCTTTTTCTGGGGAAAGGGTTTATAAATAGTTCATGTATCTCCAACAGTGTTCCACATACCCCAAGAGCTGTGGGACTACGAGTGGGAAGTTGGTGCAGAAGTCCTAGACTATGTTTCTCCAAGATTAAGGTGGTAGAGCAAGGATCAACAATCTTTTAAGAGAATCATGAAGTAATATTTATTATGCACGTGTTTAAGCAGATAGTTGGCCTGGGTTTGGGAATACGTGACTGGGGGAACTGTTGCCCCCAAGTTTTGTTTTTTGTTATGTTTAATCATATGATTTTGGTAAGACATCTTAAAAAAAAATGAGAGAGTAAATTGAGTTAGGGCAGAGGTGAGGACATAAATAATCCTGACCTCCTGACATGGCAGAGCAACTTTGTGTGGACTTAAAGGAAATAATTTTAGTTCCTGGTACACTGTGATTTTTAGTGGTTATACTATTATTATAATTGAGTTAAACCCCTGGCATCATGATGTGGGTCTTTTCAATTTTATGTTCTTTGTAATGCCTCCCTCTTTCATGACCTATGCTTTAAGTATTAATTTTTCCTAATCCTGGCTGTCCTAGAGAACAGTGCATAATTGTGTCAAAAAGATTGTTCTCTGGATTTAGAGTAACTACTCTCTTAAGTTATGCAGTTACTAGTTTTGACTTATTTTTGGTGATAAAATAGCCATCACAGTAACAAAATACTTAAATCTTTTTTCTTGTCATGAGGCATACTCTATGTTGAATTCAAACTTTCTAACCCTTTCCATCTTTAAGTGAAATATATTTTAGCAATTGATTAATACATCCACTGAAAGCAAATTGGCCAGATTTATGGTTATGACCCTTCCCATTTCTCTAATTAATAATTCAGGCAGTTAACCTTTGCTGGGGGTTTGTGAGTCTACATATAATTATAATAGAAAATTTTATGAGCAATCCATGTATAGATAAGACTTTAGTATATTGAACAGTAAGACAGATTAGTAGTACTACTATTTATGGGACTTTATTTGATTTTCTTTTTCATGTAGTCTGTTCAAAATAGTCATTTCAAGGAACCTCTGGTGTCAGATGAAAAGAGTTCTGAACTTATTATTACTGATTCAATAACCCTGAAGAATAAAACGGAATCAAGTCTTCTAGCTAAATTAGAAGGTAAGAGTAACAAAATCAGTAGACTTGTATGTTTAGTTAAGAAAACCACTTGATAGCTTAAGAAAGCAGACTAGCCACCTAAGAATTATGATGTGAAACTGTGTCTATGTTCTTTTATCTTGAATTTCCGTTCAGTTATATAGGGTATATGAAAAGTACTGAATCCGCAGCAAAGGAAATTTATTTACCTAAAAGGTGCATAAAAGAAAGAGTGGAGGGAAAATGCAATGGAACTGAGTTTTTTTTCTCAGTTGGCTTGACAAATACTTTCTGGAAGGGATACAAAAGCTGTTTTTATATGACAGCTCTCATCTTTTATCAAGCGTTTGGTTTTCTACTGCATGGGTACTGTGATACATGTTCTAGGGATATATAAGTGGATAAAACAGTGTCCCAAGGAGGTTGCAGTTCAGTGTGGAAGATACACAGAGATATATAAATGCAATGCTGAATAGAATGTGGAGATTGTCATGAGAGCCACATAAATGAAATGCTATGAGAATTCAGAAGAGGGAGAAATTAAGGAACTAATTTGGTTTAGGAGAAATAAGGAAATATTTTGTGATGATGGTGAAGTTTGAAGAAACAAATTAGGATTTAAATGGGAAATAATAGAGTATTTCAGATGAAGAGGATAACACAGACAACGAGTAAAATGTTTCAGGAACAAGAGACTGTCTAGTTATGCTGCAGACTGTAACATGGGTAGTGTGCAAATAGGAAATAAGACTAGGCGGACTTTGAATGCTATTAGATTTTTTATTTATTTTTAGAATGCAGGGTACCATTAAAGATATTTAAACAGATCATTAATAGGATGATCATTGTCCAGATAGAGGTTGCCAGATTGGATGTATTAATTTTTAATTTGTTTTAATAGGACTGAGGAGGGACTTTGGGACAAAGTGAGGCTTGCCTTTGCCAGGGACTTTGCTGAAAGTCCAATATCCCAAGAATGCCTCAGTCCCAGGCAAACGGGGACACACACAAAAAAACATTATTTTGGTTGGGAACAGATTCTTATTCCTAGCGTTTGGTGGAAAGTGTTTACATTTCATATTTTCTTGGCATCTATTGTAACTGGTATGATTGAGAAAATCATCTTTATCAAATATGCTTGTTAATAGTACTCTCAATACCTAATTTAATGTTTTAAATGAATGCTTGTTGTCTACACTATACCAGTAATACTTTATTAATATAATAAAGCATATAGTCAGAACACTGCCCAAATCACAAGAGTGCTGCACAATGAAATAACACAAGTGACTGCATACTTGTAACCAATAGCCAGATCAAAAAATACAACATTACTAACACCTCAATAACCTCCTTGATCCTCCTCCTAAATACCTCTCTCCTTCCAGATGTAATCATTATTCTGATTTCTAACACCACAGAATGAAATAATACAGTGTGTATTCTTGTATTTGCTTACTCACTGTTGTTTATGGAACTCATCCATGTTTTTATGATATATAGTCTGTTGATTTTTATTGCCGTATACTATTTAACTAGTGTAAATATAGTATAATTTGTTTATTCACATGTACATGGATAACAGTTTTTTGTCTAATGAATAATGCTGCTATGAATATTTTGGTGTCTTTTGATTCACATATGTACAAATTTCTATTGAGTGTATTCCAAGAGTGGGATTGTTGGGTTACAGGATATGCATGTGTTCAGCTTTGGAAGATGGTGCCAAACAGTCTGAAAAGTGGTTGTGCTAACCTTAGACCAGCAATTATGTTGCTCCTGCTCCTGTTCTTTGCAATCATTGTATTGGCTTTTAATTTTAGGCATTCTGATGCTATCTAGTGGTATCTACCTCGTTGTGGTTTTAATTTGCATTTTGCATTTCCTTAATGTCTACTTTTGAACATCATTTCATATATTTATTGGCCATGTGGATACTCTCTTGTAACATACTGCAACTCTGTCACCCAGGTTGCAGTCTTGCTAATATTTCTGTTGGTTTTTCTTTCTTTTTCTCATTGATTTTTAAGAGGTATTTATATGATCTAGATATAAATCATTTGTTGGAATATGTGTTTGTAAGGGAAAACGCATAATTATTTTTCTTTCCCTTTTTAGTTTCTTAGCTGAGACACTCTCCTGAAAATGCAAGAACGATTAACAATAGAAAAACAAGCAGAAGTTTGTTAACATGTGCTCTACCCATCACCTGGGCGGGTTCAGTTCAGAAGTATTTCTTTCTCTCCAAGCAGTGGATTTGCTTAAATGGTATTTTAACAAAGAGCCATAAATCTTAAATATTGGCAAGACAAAGGAGAGAACAGTTCCAATCTTTAAAAGCAGGAAAATGTGGAAAACTAGTAAAATCTATTTCCAGATTCCTCTGGTGCCTGCTAGTGCTTTCTGGGCCAAAAAGCAAGTGTTGTCTCCAGTAAGGAAAGATTTATATCCTGCCATCAGGCAAGATATTTCCATATTTTTTAGATTTATCATTTTACTTTTCACCTTCTGATTTATATCTTTCCTGAGTTTAATGTTTACATATGTGTAAGATCAAGTGTCAGGGTTCATTATTTTTCCCCATAATGGATATCCAGGTGACCTGGCACCATTTATTGAAAAGATCCTCCTTTACCTCACTGACCTGTTGTAAATTAGGTGATTCTATGTATGGTGTCTGGCTTTGGATTCTTTTCTGTTCTATATTCATTTTTGTCTTTTTCTTTTTTTGAGACAGGGTCTTGCTCTGTCACCCAGATTGCAGTGCAGTGGTGCAATCACAGCTCATTGCAACCTCCGCCTCCTGGGCACAAGTGATCCTTCTACCTCAGCCTCCTAAGTAGCTGGGACTTCTAGGCATGTGCCACCATGCCCGGCTAATTTTTAGTTTTTTTGTAGAGATGGAGTCTTGCTATGTTGCCCAGGCTGGTCTCAAACTCCTGAGTTCAAGCAATCTGCCCACCTCAGCTTCCCAAAGTGCTGGGATTACAAGTGTGAGCTATCACACCAGGCCTAATGCTCTCTTAGTAGCTGCACTAAGTCTTGATATCTGTCAGTGTAAATTTTTCAACTTTGTTGAAAATTCACGACTATTTTGGCTATTCCTGGCCTTTGGATTTCCATATAAACACTAGAATCTATCTTTTGGTTACCACTTTTAAAACATGGGATTGTGATTGATATTTAACTGAACCTATAAAGAAATTTGGGAGAAACTGACATCTTTACAATTAAGTTTTACAGCTCAATAACCTAGCATATCTTTTCATTCATTTAAAGTAATGAGATAATTATTTTCTGTGTAGAGACCTAGTGTATCTTTTGCTAGGTTTATTCTTGAATATTTTTTTAATGCTGATCAGATATTCTTGATATTTTTTGATGCTGTGATAGTGAATGGTATCTTTTTAAAAACCTTTTCTAGCCTGAGCAACAAAGGGAAACCTTGTCTACAGAAAAGTTAGCTGGGTGTGGTGGTATGTACCTGTGGTCCCAGCTATGCAGGAGGCTGAGGTGAAAGGATCACTTGAGCCCAGGAGGTCGAGACTGCAATGAGCCATGATCACATGATCATGCCACTGCACTCCAGCCTGGGTGACAGAAGAAGACCTTGTCTCAAAAAAAAAAAACTTTGTTGTTAGTTTATAAAAAATATAATTGATTTTTACTTATTTATGCATTGCTAAATTTACTGAGTAATTCTAATAGTTTTCCATGCATTTTTTGGATTTTTACAGGTACACAGTTATGTTTGAAAATAGTATAGCTGGCCGGGCACGGTGGCTCACACCTGTAATCCCAGCACTTTGGGAGGCCGAGGCAGGCAGATTGCCTGAGGTCAGGAGTTCGAAACTAGCCTGGCCAGTGTGGTGAAACCCCATCTCTGCTAAAAATACAAAAAAAAAAAAATTAGCCGGGTGTGGTGGCAGGTGCCTGTAATCCCAGCTAATCGGGAAGCTGAGGCAGGAGAATCGCTTGAACCTGGGAGGCGGAAGTTGCAGTGAGCTGAGATCCTGCCATTACACTCCAGCAGCCTGGGCAATAGAGCGAGACTCCGTCTCAAAAAAAAAAAAAAAAAAAAAATATAGCTTTTTTCCTTTTGAATCCTTTTAACTTTCTTTTCTATGCCTTGTTATAATTGCTATGACCTCCAGTATAACAGTGAATAGAAAGGGATGATAGGTGCCATTCTTGTCTCATTCCTTATTTTAAGGGAAAGCTGTCAATATTTTATCCTTAGTATGATCATTACTGTAGAGTTTTGTCCCTACTTTTTGTCAGATTGAGTAAGTTCTGTTTTATACTGAGGCTACTAATAATAGTTTTTTTTGTGTGACTGGGTGTTGAATTTTATCAGATGTTTTTTCTGCATCTATTTAGTTAATTATATATTTTCCGTCTCTATTCTGTTATTATGGCAAATTACATTGACTTTCAAATGTTAATCAAACTTTGCATTTAGGAATAAGCCCAATTTGGATATAATTTTTTATCTCCTTTGTCTATCAATTGCTAATATTTCGTTTAGGACTTTTGTATCCATTATAATGAAAGGAGTGGAACTGTGTATTTGTAGAATGTTAAATATATTGTTGAGGCGTTTTGTTTATAGACCCTTTGAGAGAATAAATTACAAACTAGCATAAGGTGAAATTTTTATGTTAAACTAGAGGTCTTGTAACTGACTTAAGTCCGGCTGCTTGCTACTCAGAGGCAAAAAAGACAAGAAATGAGGTGTGATGAAAGGAAAGCAATTTTATTAACCAAATGCTAGCAGTTGGAGAATGCCCAGGCTCTTACTTTCAAAAGACTATTCTGTAATTTCTGAAACATGCTTTCCCATAAGATAATTTTTTCTTAATTGGAAATGACCCAGACATCTCATAAGCATCAATTATTTAATTCAAAATAATTTGAAAGTCCACTACAGGCATTTATCTCATTTACATGCCCTGAGCTTTTTCCATTTTTAAGTTTTTCTAGATTACTTCTGAAAACTGAAATGTTATACAAAGCTAGTCATTATTTGAAGTTGTTTCCCTGTTAACCATTTTTACAGTCTGAGTAACAGGTAAACAACCTAAGTAAGAATCTTAGAGTTAAATATATTTTGCCGATAACTCAGAAGATTGAGCTGTTTTCATTGAACCACCAATCTAAATTAAATTAGTCTTACTTGTCAAAAAAAATCACACAAAGATTAGTCTGTTTTTGACTGTGTTTATAGTCTTATAACCTTGATGTCAAACCCTGACATCTTAATATATAGACATAGACAAATATAAAACCATTTGGTCAATAAACTCAGACAAAAATGTATGCTGATAATTCTAAAGACATTTTATTTTTATTAATAATTTTAAAATCACTTTTATTTACCAAAGATTCATATGAACTTGAAAAGCATTAGGACTTACTTAATTTATGAGTACTCATTTACTTATAAGCCAATTTGGTAGCATGCTAGATTCAACATATACATGTATGTACATATAAACATGTCTAAACATGTATACATACAGGCACAAAGATCCAATAGCTTTTACCTCAGAATCTAGCCATAAGATGACAATACAAACTCACCACTTTATAAAAGACAGCTGATCCTAATTATTTTTCTGATGAAATTGGAACCTGTTCACATGGCTAAACCTTGTTTGCCCTGATAGGTAATCTAAGGAAAGCTGTCAACCAAAATTTGGGTAAAAAAGTCTCTATGGCAATTTCGTTTTAAAAACCTCTTTTATCCTTTTTTTCCCCTTTTTTCTTCAGTTTCAAATGAGTTACTAATGATTCTGTTATAATCATAACTGGCTGACCTGTATAAGAAAAATAAAAAAACAAAATCTCCAAGTGAGATAAAACAGTGAGTTTTATCTCAACTCAACTAGCTTAATAACAGCACATTCAAAGCAGGCAGAAAAGAAAAGAGAAAATAGAGAGCTAGCTTTAGAAGACTGTTTAATTTTGTAGTTAAAGATTAACCATTTGAGCTCTGAATTTTTCTTACTGGAATTTGCCCATAGTTTTAAAATGTGCAGAAAAACGGGCCATAATGTGTAACCAGCTGGAGTCCCAGATAGTCCAGGAAAGAGCTCACATGCTTTCTCCCCTAACAAAGCTTGACGCAGATACAAGAAATATTCTGGAGTCCAAAAGAGGATGACAAAAATCAGAGGCCAGGTTGTTGGAAACCATTTCTTCCCTAGCGGGGAGAGGAGCAGCCTATCTTGCTGCTTTCTAGTCTTGCTGGGCGGGACGGAGACAGTTTCAAAGCACCCTTGGAAAGAGGGATAACGCTAAACAGAGACACAAATACAGGCGGATCCAATGCAGATGGAGCATTCCAAACCCATCCCCAAGAAGGGGAGACTGGAGAAAAGTCCTGAGATCTTGTCTCAAATCCAGACAGCACTGCAGAGTGACCTGCATTGGGTCCAGATGGCAAAGAGACCCAAATGGCACCACAGATGACCTATACTAGGTCCAGATAACTAGAAAGTGCAGATGGCTAAGATGGAGGATTTCCCAGTACACTCTGGTTAATTTATCCAACCCTTGAATTCTGTTGACCTCCAAGATGCCACTTCCCTTTCACTAACTGAGTGTTACAGCAGCTGATGCCACAAAGGGAAGGGAAGGAAAAATCCTTCAGACAAGGGTGGTCTCCCTAGCTGCTGGGAGTTCCTTAAGGTCCCAGCTGCAGGGTCAGCTAGCCATGAGCAGCTGGCATTTGCAAGTGGCTCCTGCGTTGGCCTGGTAGCCTGAGTGGGTGAGCCTTGGCCTGCTCCCACAGCCAATTGCTCCACTTGTTGGAAACCAGGCGTACAGGCTGAGCCCCTCAAAACACACAGTTCCTCACACAGGGCACCACATTTGTAACTGACTCAAGTCCGGCTCTTCACAACACAGAGGCCAAAAACATGAGAAGTGAGGTGTGGTGGAAGGAAAACAGTTTTATTAATCAAATGCTAGCAGCTGGGGACTGGCCAGGCTCATGCCCTCAAAAGACCATTTCAACTTTTTGGGCTGAGTGAAGGGGTTTAAAAAGGAAAAGGTGTGGAAGAGATGCAGGAGTGGTGCAGGTCTGAATGTCTTGTTGTGATAGTTATATTGAGTAATTGCCCATCTGGAGGTATGGTTTGTGTCATCTTGACTTCAGCTGGGTAATGCTAGGCTAACTGTTCGAAACTCCCCCCATGCAAGAGGAGTCTGCAACTCCATCTCTGCTTGGTTTGTTTCAAAACTGGCCCCTGAAATTTCTAAGCAAGTACGTAATTAGATAAGTGAACACTGTTCATGGACATGCCTGGTGGGAAAGGGAGAAACTAAGGGTTTCAAAGTATGCTTCCAGGCTGAAAGCAAAAAGGAAAAAAAAATGTTCTAAATTGCATTTTGAGGGTTGGATACTCGGTCTATGAAAAGTGATGAATTAGCTTCTCTATTAGTAAGACTTTATAACATCTATATGTTTTTAAATTTTTACTTATTTATTGGTAAAGAAGCATTTAAATGTGGCAAGGTCTCTGACAAAGTTCTTAGTAACAATGTAGGAAGATGACTATAGTGCAACTTTGTGAAATTGACTTGCTAAAAGCAAATTGTTAAGCAGCTGGCTTAAAGCTTTTAGTTTCTCTCCCTCCTTGATTGTTTTTAAGAACTAAATACTCATATAGTTTGTAATATGTTCTGTTGTTTAGGCTTAGTTTATTATGATCAAATATTCTTGCTTTTTAATGACAACAAATACAATTTCAGAAACTAAAGAGTATCAAGAACCAGAGGTTCCAGAGAGTAACCAGAAACAGTGGCAATCTAAGAGAAAGTCAGAGTGTATTAACCAGAATCCTGCTGCATCTTCAAATCACTGGCAGATTCCGGAGTTAGCCCGAAAAGTTAATACAGAGGTAACTTTTCCACTAAAGTACAATATTGCTTTTTTGTTCATAATGCATTTCCGAAGGTTGATGATCATATTAAATGTTTTCTTTTATTAAATGTGTATGATATTTAGTAGAATAGTTTATTTAAAGGTTTTTAAAATCATTTATAAAGTGGTGATCAGTAGCAGTCATACGTTCAGTAAGTCAGGCTAAATTATTTTCTATCTTCGATAGTGTTTCTAGATTGCCGATAGACTGGTGCTATGGGCCAAATCTAGTTCTTAGCCTGATTGTGTAAATAAAGACTTACTGGAACACTGACACACTCATTCATTTAATGTCTATGGCTGCTTTTGCATTATAAGAGCAGAGTTGATTAGTTGTATTAGAGACCACTTGGCCTGCAAAGTTTAAAATGTTTACTATCTGGTCCTTTACCGAAAACTGTATGCTGATCTCTGAACTAGCGCAGTGCTGTCCCAAGCACTTAACAGTTTCCTGTGGTCATACTCATTGATAAAAATAGAAAAATATAGCCTAGACAACGTACATGAATTTGTAACATACTGAGTCATCATTCCTGGTGGCTTTTCGGAAGGAATGATCAAGTAGGATACTAAAGAGCTATAGCTGCAGTTCATGGCCATAGTTTCCTTACCATTTCTTTTCAGTGACTTGTAGTAAATATAGTAAAGGCTTTATTAATTCAGTGGTTCTCAAACATTTGGCCTTTTATACTCTTAATTATCAGTGCCCCTAAAGAGCTTTTGTTTATGTTGATTATATCTATCTCTATTTACTATATTAGGAAGTAAAGCCAAGAAACTTTAAAAATGTTTATTAATTTATTAAAAATAACTGAGGGCTGGGCACGATGGCTCACGCCTGTAATCCCAGCACTTTGGGAGGCCAAGGCGGGCAGATCACGAGGTCAGGAGATCGAGACCATCTTGGCTAACATGGTGAAACCCTGTCTCTACTAAAAATACAAAAAATTAGCCGGGTGTGGTGGTGGGCGCCTGTAGTCCCAGCTACTTGGGAGGCTGAGGCAGGAGAATGGTGTGAACCCAGGAGGCGGAGCTTGCAGTGAGCAGATATCATGCCACTGCACTCCGGCCTGGGTGACAGAGCGAGACTCTGTCTCAAAAAAAATAAAATGAAATAAAATAACTGATAAACTCATGTGAATATAAATGTACTTTTATGAAAAATATGTATTTTCTGAAACAAAATAACTACAGTGGGAAGAGTAGCACTGTGTTAGAGTTTTTACAAATCTAATGATTGGCTTAACAGAAGACTAGATTCTTATGTCTGCTTTTGCATTCAATGTATTTCATTATTACATGTCATACAGTCTCTGGAAAACTCCTTATATACTCATGAGAAAATAAAAGTGAGAAAGGTAAATATTGTCATAGTAAGATCTCTTAAGTAGTAGATGTAGATAACAAATGCTAGATGATAAGGATCCTGATAGGTTGAGTCATAGATTGTATCAAACCAGCATCTCCTCTTTTTTTTCTATTTGAAAATTGTACACTAATAGGATTGTAAGGGAACTGAAAACCATATGGATCATTAAAGAAATGCAAAGCAAAACCATAATTAGATACTACTTCACACCCACTAGGACGGCTGTAATTCAAGAGACAATAACAAGTGTTGGCAAGGATGTGGAGAATTTTAGAACCTTCATATGCTGCTAGTGGGAATGTAAAATGGTGCAGTCATTTTGGATAAGAGTCTGGGAGTTCTTCAAAAGGTTAAACGTAGCTTTATATGATCCAATAATTCCACTCCTAGGTTTGTAGTTAAGAGAATTGAAAACATACATCCACACAAATATTTGTACATAAATATTCATAGCAGCATTTTCATAATTGCCAAAAAGTGGAAATAACAAAATATCCAACCGATGAATGGATAAAGAAAATGTGGTACATCCATACAATGGAATGTTAATCAACAATAAACAGTAATGAAGTACTAGTACATGTTACAACATAAGTGAACATTTACAACGTGCTAAGTGAAAGAAGCTCACCACAAAAGCCCATATATTTTATGATCCCATTTAGATAAAATGGTCAGAATAGGCAAATCCATAGAGGTGGAAAGTAGATTAGTGGTTGCCAGGGGCTGGGAGCAGTGGGGAGTGGGGAGTGATTGCTAATGGGTGTGAGTTTTCTTTTTAGAAGACGAAAATATTCTAAAATTGGATTGTGGTGATGGTTGCACAGCTGTGAACCACTGAGCAACTAAAAACCATTGAATAGTACACGTAGAAAGAAAAAGTATAGAATCTAGGCAGTTTCTTGTGGATACTGCTTGTCCAGCAGTCCCTTCAAGGGAGGATTGTTTTTGTCTCACATCTCACTTACCATATGGCTGTGTGCTCTCTGTTCTGTGTCCAGACCATTTCTTCCTCTTTCTTGCAAAAGGCCTGCTCTTTTGATACTTCTGACTTACTCTCATCTCTGAATGTCCTGGTAACTCCCCATCATTCCTTGAAGATACAAGGCTCTGGATCAACCAGATCCCAACAACTGTCATTGTTTTTGTTGGCTTCTACACCCCTGTGTATTACCAGTCCTACAGCTGGCCTTCATTTTTCTAACTTCTTCGTGTCTCATGACCATTTCCTTAATTTTACTTTAGCCACCTACTCCTTATATCCTCAATTCTGACCTCCAAAATCGCAGATGCTAACATTCCACTCTATGATCGTGATCTTTTTCATTTTCCTTGTTCATTAATCTTATTACAGCAGTTCCTCAGTAACATCTTTACCACTAATCTTAAAATATGTGCGTGCTTGTACGTGAGCACAGACACACGAAGTCTTAAATGAGAGGGAAAATTTATCCTGGAAAAAAAATTTCTTGGCCAAGACTGAAATGTAGAAAGTAGGATAGATTTAGTCATTGTAATTCTCAAGTGCGTAATGAGGACCAGTGTGTTGAAATTATAATAGATAAACCAATATAATCCAAATTATCTGCAAATATTTTCTAATAACTAAAGCTGTCCTGAAATTGAAGTGAACCTCTGTAGACTAGTGAGTGCTTAGTTACTAAAAGTATTCAAGCAAAACTTGGTTCTCTATTTAATTGAGATGTGCTACAGCAGGGGTTAGCAAACTTTATGTAAAGGGTTAGCAGGCTTTCCAGGCTAGATGGGCTCTGTTGTAGCTTTTCACCTCTGCCATTAGAGCATGAAAATAAAAGCCATAGACAATATGTAAACAAATTGGCATAGCCATATTCTAATAAAACTTTGTTTACAAAAATAGGCAGGCAGCAGGCCACATTCAGCCTGAGCCTGTAGGCTGTAATTTGCTGATTTCTGCTGCAGCGGATGTTCCTTCATCATTGTTTGGGGTTTGTATAGGATGAATCCTATAGGTTCTTTTTTTTTTTTTTTTCCCAACAATGCTTTTGGAAAAAGAATTTCTACAGGTTCTGTCTCTTCTTATGGAGGACACAAGATAGGCATTTGTCATTCCACATTTTGCTAAGTAATTAGTATTTGTCTACATTTGAGGAGAAGGGAATAGAGTTTTATTGATTAAAGAAAGGCTGATTTTCAGAAACACAGGATACTATTTTAGATGATAAGAATTTAATACTTGTTACAATAGCTCTGATGGAAGAGAATGTTAAATTCTGTTTTAAGTAATTTTGTGTGCCTTCCCTGTACTTGCCATCAGTTTGAGCAGAATGCACTAGGCTTAAGAATTTGGAGTAAAATAACTACACTAAAAAAATTATTGAAAGTCTAAAATGTATATATATGCCTATCTCTTTTAGTATGCCTTTGTATATCATATGTTATTATTTTATTTTAAAAGTTATAATATTTGTAAAAACTAGTGAACAGGCAACTAATTTAAAAACTAAATCATGGTGTTCTTTATTTTGTTTTAGCAGAAACATACCACTTTTGAGCAACCTGTCTTTTCAGTTTCAAAACAGTCACCACCAATATCAACATCTAAATGGTTTGACCCAAAATCTATTTGTAAGACACCAAGCAGCAATACCTTGGATGATTACATGAGCTGGTAATTACTTTGGCCCCTTGCTTGATTGGCAGGGTGGTATGATAGAATTAACATGGGCTTCTGGGCCAAATAAATCTGGGATTAAATCCTGCTCTTTTACTTTAAAGACTTTCCATCTTCATATTATTTTTTCAGCATCAGTGTTTTCATCTATAAAATGGAAAGGGGGAAGTGGTTGCAATAATGCATATTTTTAAGGATTGTTGTGCATGTAGTTTCTGTCATATCGTAATCTGTACCTACAACCTATAAATATTCTAAGGATGTAAAACGTCTTGATAATCATGTATTGCCATACAGATATCTCTCTATTAAGAGAGAGATTTTAAAGGTTAGCATTCTTAGAGCAGATAAAGAGTAGATGAATTTTTTCACATAAGTGGTGTTAATTGGAAAGTGATAGCTTCTGGAAGAGATTGGTTTTTACAGTTCATGTAGTTCTGGAGGTATTCAAAGGTGTAGTATTTGAGTGAATAGGAATGATGGATAAGTGAAGAAGTTCGATGATGAGTGTGCTGATAGGGAACACAAGGGATACTACAAAAGAAAATGAATGACATTTCAGAGAAAGGAAATAAAGGGATGCGATACATTATAACCATCAACCGGTGGCTATATCTTTAATGTCTTAGGGGATAGCTTAAATCCGTGTTGTCTTTTGCGTTTCATTTTCATAATGTAATCCTTGATCTTAATTAGAACTGGTCTTAAAGATTTTATAACCCAGCCTCTTACCTACTTAATATAGTTTTACTATATATTGCCTCATTTTATTATATGTAGAATATTCTAAAGAATGATTGCTAACTAAAATAGCGATAATAGATATTTCTTGTGATACTAGGTTAATTATTGTTAACAAATATTTGTGGAGCTCTTTTGTGCCAAGCATTGTTCTAGGTGTTGAGGATATATTAATAGCAAAAAGGCAAACAAAGCACAAATGTATACTGGACAGATTTAAGCTCAAAGGCCAAACTCCTGTGATGTAATTGGCTTTCTGATATTTCTAGCAAGCCATTATAGAACATTATTGTTTAAAAAAAAACTCAAAATCTATGGCCGGCCACAAGCTGATGTTTGCTAAATTCATATAAAATAACCCTAACCACTTTGTATTTTAAATGCCATCTTTTCAAACAAAGATTTCTTGTCTGCATACAAATATTTACTTTCAGAAAGAATTCCCCAAAATTAAATATCCGGTGGTGGCATATCTGGAATAAGTGTCAGCTATATCATGAAAACTAACTTGGGTTCTGTTTGATGTAACACTTTTAAGTTTATATCAGTCTAAAATACATGAAACTGAATCAGACTTATTTGTTAAATTGTAATGTTTTAAATAAAAATATATATATATTTCCTAGTTTTAGAACTCCAGTTGTAAAGAATGACTTTCCACCTGCTTGTCAGTTGTCAACACCTTATGGCCAACCTGCCTGTTTCCAGCAGCAACAGCATCAAATACTTGCCACTCCACTTCAAAATTTACAGGTTCGATAAGCTTTATATATGATGGTATATGTTAAGATACAGTCCGTTTTACAGCTTTTATTTTTATAGCATCTAGTTATCAAGAAAGGTCTTAAGAACTTGGCCATTCTTATTTCCACTAGACAAAACTTTTCTGATATTCTAATAAGAGTGTGCCTTGTGGCTTTGAGAGGTTGGTTATTGAAGAAGCTTACGAAGCTACTCTTAATAACTAGGCCAAAGGATCCAGTTTGAATAGCTGGATAAAATTTCTCTTATGAATCAAGGTTACCTTTTATTTTTTATTTTTATTTATTTATTTATTTATTTATTTATTTATTTTTTGAGACAGAGTCTCGCTCTATTGCCCAAGCTGGAGTGCAGTGGCGCGATCTCGGGTGACTACAACCTCTGCTTCCCAGGTTCAAGCGATTCTCGTGCCTTAGCCTCCCGAGTAGCTGAGATTACAGGCACGCACCACCACACCTGGCTAATTTTTGTATTTTTACTAGAGACAGGGTTTCACCATGTTGCTCAGGCTGGTCTCAAACTCCTGGCCTCAAACCATCCGCCCGCCTCAGCCCCCCAAAGTTCTGGGGTTACAGGCATGAGCCACTGCGCCTGGCCAGCGTTACTTTTTGTTGTGTTTTGTCAGCTGCTAGTGAGCAGCTTCATTTTGTTTGTTAGTATACAATTCATTTGGAAATGTAAATTTTCAAAAATATCAGAATAGCAATATGAGGTACTGCTAGAATGTATTATACTAATAACTAAACTAAGAGGAAAGATTTTTTGCTGATGAGGCAAAAGTTGGTTTCTAGTAACTGTCCTAGAGGCAGCTTAATACTGGTAGAAAACATGGGCCTTGGAGACACTGGGCATGAATCTTAGCCTCACTACTTACAGTCTGTGTGATCTTTTGCAAGTTACCTAAATTTTCGGTGCCCATTTCATTATCTATAAAATTAGTAAAGCTAACTACCTCCTAGGATGGTTGTGAAGATTAAATTAGTTAATATAGACGTAACTCCTAATACAGAGCATGACACTTAGTAAATCAGAAATGTTAGTAGCAATTGTTATTTAAATAAAACAATAAAAAACCCATGAGTAATTAACTATAAAAATCAACTGATAAAAAAATTAGCTGACAGAATAAGAACAGTGGTTGTCAGGGAAGGGAGGAAGAATGGGGAGTTACTGTTTAATGGGTATAGAGTTTCAGTGGTATTTGCACCACCATCCATCACCAGAACTTTTTCATCATCACATACTGAATGTACTTAATGCCACTGAATTGTACCTAAAAATGGTTAAAGTGGTAAATTTTGCATTATGTATAATTTGCACAGTTTGAAAGAATAATGGACAAAATAATGAGCTGACAGTAGATACTAACTGGAAAGAGGTGATAGTGTTTTAAGGATTGAAACAATATAATAAATTACAAAGGAAAAACAAAAATGATCCAGTTTGTTCATGCATTGATTCAAAACACATTTATTTAGCTATTACTAGTGTCAGGCCCTGTTTGAGTTGCAATCCAGAAGACGAGTCACAGATGACAAGTGAAGGGGCTTGGTGGAGCCTTCTAGAAGAGGCCAGTGTCAGAAGAGAACTGAAACGAGGCCACAGTGTGGCTAGAGGTCAGGAAGGGGAAGGAGTGAGGCCCAAGGTTTGCTGGGCCCTTAAGTTTTACCCTAAGAGGGTGGGAAGCTTTGGAAGAGGTTGAAGCAGGGAAGTGAAATGATCCAATTTGCATTTTGGAAACTCTAACCACAGTGAGTAGGGCATACTAAGGGGGATGCGGGAAGTCCTGTGGAGGAAACCAGAGTTCACATTAGTGTTGAGTCAGAAATAAGAATTACTTTATTCTAAAAACTGTCAGCAGCCGTGGAGAAAGGACATTGAACTGCTTTCTTCCCTTGGCAATGTTCACAGTTTTAAATATGAAAGGAAGAAGACAGAGAAGGCACAAAAGGAGGAGTGGGGAAACCTTGATGAAATTACAACACATACATGTTTAGAAGCCCAATACTTTGTTACAGGAAATATATATAGACAATGTATCTCAATCCTAGAGGTGAAAAAATTAGAATACTTATCTTTTTATTTAAATAGGAGATTACATGAGAGATTCTACCATTTGGAACCTAAAGCAGGCCTTAGTTAAATTGAGGTTTATTCAGACCTTGTTTAACTTGGTTAATCAGCTAATCAGGAGGTCTTTTTGTTTCACCTTCTTTATCAGCTCAGAATAAGTCCTCTCAGCACTCCATCTGTTCAAAGCATTTATAGGTACACAGAGAGATCCTCCAATATAAGGGAAGGAATGATGGGGCTGGTTGTATAGTACATCAACTGAAAGTTTGCTGGGGAAGACGCTGAGGTTCTGAAAAATTAAGTAACTTGTTGAACATCACTCAGGACAAAGTTGGGGGCTGTATTAATGAGTTCTTACACTGCTATAAAGAAAAGAGGTTTAATTGGCTAATGGTTCCACAGGCTGTACAGTAGGCATGATGCTGGCAATCTGGTTGGCTTCTGGGGAGGCCTCAGGAAACTTTCAATCATGGCAGAAGGTGAAAGGGAGCAAATGTCACATGGCTGGAGTGGGAGGGAGAGAGAGAGTTGGGGGCAGATGCCACATACTTTTAAATGACCAGATCTCTTGAGAACTCTCAGAGAAGCACTGAGGAGGAAATCTACCCCCATGATTCAGTCACCTCTCACCAGGCCCCGCCTCCAACATTGGGAATTACAATTTGACATGAAATTTGACAGATCCAAACCATATCAGGGACATTGCTGAAATTTGCATTTGTCTCATTGACTTTGGAGCTCTTAGCACCTTAGCACATTGCTTCCTTTATAATATAACGCTAAATGAGAAAGAAGAATACAGATATAGCCGGATGGTAGTGGCATGCCTGTAATCCCAGCTACTCGGGAGGCTGAGGAGAAGAATCGCTTGATCCTGGGAGGCAGAGGGTGCAGTGAGCCGAGATCATGCCACTGCAGTCCAGTCTGGGAGGCAGAGTGAGATGCTGTCTCAAAAAAAAAAAAAAAGAAAAGAATGCAGCTATAATTATGTGTGTGTATATGTACATATGTAAGTAAAGAGGTATAAGGAAAAAGAATAGAAAAGAAAAATGAAAAATATAATTTTATATTTTATTTTTATATATATTTTTAAGCTTATAAGTTTGCAGATTGCATATTAAGTGGTTTTTTCCTCCTTAAATTTTCTTTTTAAGTCAAAACTAGTTAAAGGGGGAGACCTTGGAAGTTTGTCTACATTATTTTTTAAGGTTTTTTTTCTTTGATTAAGTAGAGCAAGTCCTTTTAAAAATATTGTAACATTTCTAATTAAGATTTAAGATAATTTCAAAATGGGGAGCAGTTGACTGTACCAAATGTAAGCTAGTTTCTTAGGTATATTGATTAACTTTTATTTATATATTTTACTTATTTAGGTTTTAGCATCTTCTTCAGCAAATGAATGCATTTCGGTTAAAGGAAGAATTTATTCCATATTAAAGCAGATAGGAAGTGGAGGTTCAAGCAAGGTAAGTATCTTAAAATATTTACGAAATAAATAAAAATATTTTAAACTTTCTGTTTTTTTGTCTTTTTACCTGTGAGGGCTGCTTTTCCTTTACTTCTAGGGGCGATGCTGCCCTTGAGCCAAAAAGCCATCTTAACACCTGCCTTTCTCTTCCCGCTGCCCCTCACATGTGACATATCCTCTTTAGATCTCTTATTCCCAGTCTTCTGCCTTTCCTTTCAATGTCCTGTGCTTCTAAACTTCTTCTTTAATAACAAAAACATTGACATGGGGTAGCGAATGACCACTATGTATTATCACAAAAGAATCAGAAATTTCTGAGTCAGAATGTGATGTAAATTGCTAATATGTTTAGAATCATTCAGCAAGGATTTTTACTAATGGATTTTGTTTTCTTTTGAGTTATTCATTTCAGAAACAGAATTCAGTAACAAATGAATTTCTGGAATTAGATTATTTTCTAAATTTACCTGAGTTCTAAATTTATATCGTTTTACATCTCTGGATAGAAGGCATCTTAAGCATTATCTAAATTTACCATCATTAATTGTCATTCAATTAAATCTACTTCCATTAGATTTTTGCCTTCATCACTCACCAGAATAACTGTAATCAAGAACACTAATGACCTCCATTTTTTTGCCAAATCTAATTCTTAGCTTAGATTTTGGATTACTTAGCATTTGGGACAACTGATTTTTTTTTTCGCAGTGAAGCTTTTTTCCGCACTTGGTTTGTGTTTTTCTCTTCTCAAACTGTCCATACCTATTGTCTTCTTCGTGTTACTGATCTCAGTGAAGCACTGCTCCGGGCTTAGTCCTCAGCATTCTTTCATCTTTTTCTTAAACTCATTCATTGGTGTTCTCTTTCAATCTTGTGGTTTCAAATAACATGTGTATGCTGACAATTCCCAAACTTGTATTTCCAGCTCATACCTCTCCTTTGAATTCCAGACTTGTATATTCAACATCGCTTCTTAGTGTCTACCAGGCATTTAAAACAATATGTCCAAACACAACTCTTGCTCCATAGCTTTTCCCATTTGAGTAAATGGCAGCTTCATTCTTCCAGTTGATTGAACAAAAAATTGGTGCCTCTTACTCTCATACACATATCTAGCCAATCAGCAGATCTTGTTAGTTCTACTTCAAAGTATCTCTAGAATCTATTTCTCACATCTCCAGCATTATTATTTTGGTCAAGGCAACTTTTGTATTTTCACCTAAATTACTTTAATAGCCTCCTAAAGGAATTCATTTACTCAGTCCTTGCCCTCCTGGTCTATTTTTTTAAATTGTATATTGACAAATTAGAGTTGTATATTTTTATGGGGTACAAAGTGGTATTAGCTTTTTAAATACAATATGAAATGATTAAGCTAATTAACATCTATTACCTCAATTATTTGTGTGTAATGAGAACATTAGCAATTGACTCTCTGCAATATTGAAATGTATAATATCCAATTATTATTTTCAGCATGCTATGCTAATCATCTAAAAAAAATCAAACTTGTTTCTCCTATTTGAGGCTTTGTATCCCTTCACCAACATCTCCCCATTTCTCTCAACCTCCAGCCTTTGGTAACCACCATTGTCAAAGGTAGTATGAGCTCTGCTCTATGAGTTTAATTTTTAGATTTCGCATATAAGTGAGAACATGAGGTATTTGTCTTTCTGTATTTAGCCTATTTCAGTTCCTCCTGGCTTATTTTAACATGACATCCTATTTTCCTCTAGATATCCTCATGTGTCTTCTCAGTTAGGCCTTCCTTGCCCACACTGTAAAACTTCAACTCCCACCTTTCAATCACCAGTGTTCTCCATTCCCCACCGGTTTGTTTTTCTCTGTATCTTACCTTCTAACATGTTCTGTAATTTACTTATTTGGTTTGTTGTTTGTGTCCCTCTGCACTTGAATGTGAGCTCCATGAAGATAGGGATGTTTTTCTGATTTGCTCAGTGATATTAGCCCCTGCATCCAGAACAGTACCTAGAACAGATAGGGATTGAATTTATTAGTTGAATTGAGTAAACTGTCTGTCCTCAGCTCTTTTGCTATTGTAAGTTGTTAAGGATGACACATTAAACAGACATTGTTGGACTCATTTTAAGTTTTACTGTAATTTCCTAATCCCACTAACAATAATTAGAATTGCATAAGGCTGTCTTATTAACTTACCAAAAATAAGGTATGTGCATTACCATGTGTATCAACTCTTCAATAAATATTGGTTTCATTATACATTTCCTTTTATCAATCTATTTGAATTACCTAATTTAATTGCTTTCGTAGAAATTACTTGGTTAATATTTATTATTTATTTGTTTTTTGGCTATATTTTAGTAGTATCAAGGTATTGAGACTTAATAGAGGTATTTATTTACTTGTATGTTTTCAGAGAATGTAGAGTAGTCTTAATGGCATTTTAACATTTTTTTCCTTGGAGTATAATGAAGGTGTAAGCTTACTTAAGTCAAGGGCCAAGTGATAAAGCAATGGCTGGCCCATATTTTCTGAATTCAATTAAATTATCATTTAAGTTAATTATGATAGAGTTGAAAAAAATCAAATGCCTCAAAGAAAGTAACATGCTTTATGAAACTAATACCATTTATGCTTTGCCTGTTTCAGAGTTTAGGCAGTGACCAACTTTTAAGGAGGCTATTGAGAGTATCTAGAACAGTCATGGGGTAATGAGAATGGTCAAGACACTGGTAACTTCCCATAAAACTAACAAATCACAACTCTGACACTATCTCTATGAAACTGAAATAAGGCTTACCTAAACCGGATTGCAAGAGTTTTGCCAGAACAGAGACAGTGGGGGCAATAATAAACTCATTCATGCAAAAATTGCTAAATCTAGGCACAATAGAGAAAACAACATCTGTGAATTGAATTGACTCTGTATCATAGCCTTTAGTCATCCTTAACTTTTTTATTTTTCCTTGAGACCGTGTCTCACTATTTTGCCGAGGCTGGACTCAAACTGCTGGGCTCAAGCAATTGTCCCACCTCAGCCTTCTGAGTAGTTGGGATTAAAGGAGCAAACTACTGCACCAGGCTTGTCCTTAACATTTTGGAAAGTCTTTTTCTTTATGCTGTTTCCCTGTTTAGGGCATCCAACAGATTGTTATATATATCTGAAGTTTAAACTTTTCTTACATGTTGATATAGAAACTTTAGATTTATACCTTTAAATTATTGAATGCCCATCATCATAGGTCATTGGGAATGGACTGTTACTCTGCTATCAGAATTATTTTTCTTCCTTCTACACTCAAAATAGGCCCAGAAACTTTTAATGTTCATGTCAGTATTTCCTTTAGAATTTTCTCAACCTAAAATCCTAATAAATTTAGAATCATTGTGTGATAGTGTATAAATAGTATATTCTAAACTTCTCTTTGTTCTACTCTGTAGGTATTTCAGGTGTTAAATGAAAAGAAACAGATATATGCTATAAAATATGTGAACTTAGAAGAAGCAGATAACCAAACTCTTGATAGTTACCGGAACGAAATAGCTTATTTGAATAAACTACAACAACACAGTGATAAGATCATCCGACTTTATGATTAGTAAGAATTCTTTTTAAATTTAAAAAGAAAACTTTTTGCCATAATTCTTCAGGTAAATATTTAGTAAACTTTAATATAACCTAGCCATTTATTGTTTTGTTGCTTTTATTTGTTTAATTGCAGTGAAATCACGGACCAGTACATCTACATGGTAATGGAGTGTGGAAATATTGATCTTAATAGTTGGCTTAAAAAGAAAAAATCCATTGATCCATGGGAACGCAAGAGTTACTGGAAAAATATGTTAGAGGCAGTTCACACAATCCATCAACATGGTATTTAACAGTTTTTTTATATTTGTAAGGTTAAAATCTTTGTTAATAGTGTCATCTTAGAGAAATATACCTATAATTTTAGGGCATTGGTTATTGGTGTCTTTAACGAGATCAACTAAATAATTAGAAGTTTATTTAAAGATAAAGGAACAAAACCATTTCTTAAAACACCGTTAACCCAAAGGATATAGGACATCAACTCAAGTTCCGACATCTGTAATACAAAATGTATTTTTCTCAGTATTAACGTAGTCTGTCATCCTTATCTCCAAATACTTGGATTATAGCAGGTCTAAGACTTTGGGGTTCAGGCATCCTGAAAATATGAGATGTTTACTTTATTCATTCTCCTAATCATTTTGTATTGTATGCCCTGTGTGAGAAGTTGGTTTTTTTGTTTGTTTTTTACTGTTAGGCCTACCTTCTGGGTTGGTTTTTACTTGTCCTTGGTTCTTTTTAGGGTTTTTCTCTGCCTTTACCTTATCCTATATATTTTTTTGTTCTTAATAACTGTTATCCTAGTTAATTGTAATTTATCTCCTCCTCATCTCTCTCTCTTAAATTATCTTAAAAGATAATTCACCAGTGATCAAGATCAGGGCTATAGGGGTGGAGATGTCAGGAGCATTAGGGTCTTACTGTCTGGCAGTATAATTTGTGATGCTCTCTAGTGGGCAGTGAATCACAGTGGTTAAGAGGATAGATTCTGAAGCCAGACTGTCTGGCTTCAATTCTAACTGTCACTTAGGCTGTGTGACCTTGTACAAGTTACTTAAACTCTCATTGCCTTAGCTTCCTTGCCTTATAGTGGGGATGATGATAATACTTCAGCATTGATGTGAAGATTAAATGATGCAGTACTGTATAAACAATGAACTTAGAACAGTGCCTGGCACATAACAAGTGCTATGTAAATATTTGCAGAATATATAAAAAAATTATTGAATTGGGTTCACTAATTGAAGGAATAAATACAGCTTGACCTGTAGACTGTGAATTTTTTGGTCCTTAGAATGTTTTGCATTGTTTAATATTACAGTGGATTTTTATTTTAAAGGCATTGTTCACAGTGATCTTAAACCAGCTAACTTTCTGATAGTTGATGGAATGCTAAAGCTAATTGATTTTGGGATTGCAAACCAAATGCAACCAGATACAACAAGTGTTGTTAAAGATTCTCAGGTAAGACTTAATGTTGGTTCTCTCACAGTAGAGTTCAATTCTTTTTTTACCTGTGAAGTATTATATTGCAAATGAGTGTTATATTTTTAATCACCTCATTCTTCAAAGGATTTGAAGTCTTTTAATAAGAATAGATTTAAAAATATAAACCATGATCATTGTAATGTAGAATAGAAAGTCAAGATCAAATAGTAATATCTCCAGCAATTGTGAATGGTTTTCCTATAGCTGAAGTAGAGAAACAGTAATACCTTCCTTGGAAATCACTTGGTCGTGATCAAAAATTGACCTGAAAATTTGGCTCAGAGTTTCCTTGTAGCAAAGAGGGAGTTGCAGTTATATGTTTTTCACTGTCTATGAGGTAAGATCATTTTTATTCTTCTAGAGAAGCCGACCTTTTCCTATCACTGAAATTGGAAAAAAAATTCTTAAGTGGGCCTTCATATTGTAAATGCCATAAGTATTATAAGCAACATTTTTATAATAGATATTGCAACAGCAAACTAAAAGACGTTGTTCTATAAAAACTAAAGCAATGGCACCAAAGTATATCTAAAAGATATTCTTGCTTGGAACCAAGATGATATGTTCCATGTTTACAGATTTTTGATGTGAGTCCACCTTAATCCCAGGAGTAAAATAGACTTTGTTAGGAGGAATGATGGACGACATGCCCTATTTGACAGTCATGTCTCTTTGTATCAAAAGTATGGCAGATCAATGAGTTGTAAATCAGCTTGACAATATCTTCCATGTCAAGGCCCTAAAGTAGATATATTCTGTGTTTAAAGCAAACCATGTATTTTAGAAGAAAATGAGCTCATTGTAAGGTTGGCATATCCTACTGTAGAAACTCAGAGGACTACTGTGAGACAAAGCTAGATGGTATTTTTGTTTGTATATTGGTGGGCTTATTTAAAAAATATATTTTTTTAAAGTTGAGTATGTTACAACAAGAAACGAATGGTAAGTCCCTCAATGGCCTCAAAGTTTATGGCCATTAATAGGATTTTAGCCTGGAGAGTTTTTAGGGCAGGCTTTACTAGTTGCCCAGTATAATCATAGAAAAAGCACAGCATTCTGAAAGGAGTCACTTTGCTGATTATGAACCCAACTCGTTTTGCTGCAGTTGTGAAGAAATTTGATATATATATCTTAACGTTGTCAGCAGTTATTTGAAATTTGCAAGGATATCATTGAAATTTATAATTACCCAAGTTTCCAAGGATCTGGCATTTGTATTTTTAAGAATCTAAAACTTAAAGTATAATAATAATAATAATAATAATAATAATAATCTCAAAAAAAAATCTAAAGCAGAATTAAATATTTTCATTGATTTGTGTTTTCTCTGACTTGGCATATAGGTTGGCACAGTTAATTATATGCCACCAGAAGCAATCAAAGATATGTCTTCCTCCAGAGAGAATGGGAAATCTAAGTCAAAGGTACTGAAAAGATTATTTACATCACAATTATCTGGCAACAGTAGGGAATGCACTATTTTCTGAATAAACTTACCAGATAACAATTTCTTTAAGTTCTAAAACTTTTTAGGCCATTACAGAGACATTGCTGGTTTTTTTCGTTTCCAATTCTTACTATTTTTCACCACTTATTCGTTTGTGAATTCTACATTTCCAAGTACAGCTGGAGAATGTAATTGTTTTCTGGCCTGCCACTGGCTACTTTTCCACTGACTTTATCTCGCTACCTCGATGAGTTTGCGTTAGCCTCATGGGTGCCCTTTGTCCGGGGCTCCTTTTGCCTACCTTGATGCCTTGGGCTCCCAGGCTAACCCTTCTTTCTCTACATCAGTGTAACCAAGTGGGTGCAAGCACACATTGTCCCAGGGACCTGTATTCATTCAAGTCATAGATCTGCCTCTTCATTAACAACTGTCTTTGGCCAAGTGACTTGCCTAGTTTCCCTGTCTCTAAATTGTGCCTATAGACAGTGCCTATTGTAAAATAAATTGAGGATTAAATGGGAAAGAATATATAAAGTACTTAGTACATTTATCCAGCTCAGAATCATTGCTTGATAAATGTGTTTTTATTTACTAAATTTTATTTTCCTCCTTAGAAAATCTGGCTTGTAAGTGTTTTTCAAATAACTGGCATACAATTTTGCCAAATGTTTTCATAAAATTCTTTTTATATTTGTTTAGCCTCCACTCTTCTAAAACTTAAATTTCTTGTGTTTTTATTAGACTTTCTGTGGTTTTGTTCTTCTTAAATAAGCAGTTCCTGACTTCATTTATCAACTCTATTTTCATTTGCTTTACAACTTGAGTACTTGTGATAACCAGAAACTTTTCTCTATGATTAACCATATTTATGGTTTATCATTTAATGCCCATGACAATGTACTTTTATAATTTCTATATCAGAGTTGAGAAAACAGACACATAGCATTACCAGTTAGTAACACATCTTCAAGATATGTTAAAGGTAATATTAATTTCATATAACTAATTATTTACTTGAAATAGCTGAAATGATTGGAATTGTGTAATTGGCTTAGATATAACTATTCTATTTAAAAGAATTGCTAACTGAATTAGTTTTTTACTTTGAAGATGTTTTAAAGCTTGTAAATACTTGAGGATTTTGGACACAAGCTCCGCATAGTTCTATAGTATATGTGCTTGGGTTTAAAGTTGTATTGCTTATTTATTATTTCCAATGGTCTTGTCTGAAGGGTTGCATAATTTAAGCAACCTTTGAAACTGTATACATACTTTGTACTTATATAAAAATTTATTATAATCCAGTAATTCTGGGGAAAACAAACTTAAAACTTACATTTTTTAATTTTATATTTTCACAAGTTGGGAAGAATTTAATATTTTGTCTTAATTGCAATATTTTAATTATGAGGTTATAGAAAGATTTAAAGTAAAGCTCATATCTTCTGATGGAATAACCAACTGAAATGAAAACTAGAAAAAGATGTTTTGTCATGTTAACATAATGTAGTACACATTCATTGAGATTTAATTATGATTTTAAATATGTATATTTAATATATATGTTTTTTCATTTTATATGAAAATAACAGCAACTTTTTTGTGTTTGTTTGTTTTTTTCTTAGATAAGCCCCAAAAGTGATGTTTGGTCCTTAGGATGTATTTTGTACTATATGACTTACGGGAAAACACCATTTCAGCAGATAATTAATCAGATTTCTAAATTACATGCCATAATTGATCCTAATCATGAAATTGAATTTCCCGATATTCCAGAGAAAGATCTTCAAGATGTGTTAAAGGTAATATTAATTTCATGTAACTAATTATTTACTTAAAAGAAATAGTTGAAATAATTGGAATTATGTAACTGGCTTAGATATAACTGTTCTATTCAAAAGAATTGCTAACTGAATTAGTTTTTTTACTTTGAAGATGTTTTAAAGCTTGTAAATACTTGGGGATTTTGCAAAAGTGCCTTGGGAGAAATAATCTTGTCATAATACTTTAGTGGGATATCTAAAAAGTAACTTTTATAATATAATGTAATCTGGAAAAATACTTTATCAATATCATATATGAAAACCTGCTTTGTTTTTCTTTTAAAATATCTTTGTTTTAATAGTGTTGTTTAAAAAGGGACCCAAAACAGAGGATATCCATTCCTGAGCTCCTGGCTCATCCATATGTTCAAATTCAAACTCATCCAGGTACTACTTCTTTAAAAATTTGTTTATTACTAGATTGGTAGTATAAACAGTCTGTTACCTATTAATATAACAAAGACAGAATCTAAATTGGCTACCCTTTGTCAGCCTGCCTTTTTCCTTAAGGAAGTTCCATTATTATAAATAGTAAAGTAAATAAACTTTTTTTTCTTTACTTCTGGTATTTATTTTTACTTATTCCAGATAACGGGTTATAATCAGTGATAAATTATAAGAATATCACTTTGTGCTATTAAACAAAATGTGTATTTACAATGGACTTATATTTTTCTTACTGGTACTAGTGTATTATTGATTTATTTTATAGTTAACCAAATGGCCAAGGGAACCACTGAAGAAATGAAATATGTTCTGGGCCAACTTGTTGGTCTGAATTCTCCTAACTCCATTTTGAAAGCTGCTAAAGTAAGTATGTCTATTCTTTACATTAATTTTTACTGTTTTATATAGTGAATTCGACACTTAAGGAAACAGGTAGTCTGAAGAAAAGTTGGTCCAATCATCAGATCAGTTATGAAACATGTTTCTACATTTAGATACTTAACATGTGCATTTTGACAAATATCGATTTACTTGATTTATATTCTTCTTCTGCATACAGTACAGTTCAAAGTAGATCATCACATAAGGTGCATTCAAAAGATTGCTGTCACGTCTCAACTGGAATACATTTAATATAGGAATATAGTGTGTCTTTTAATTCAGCACCATTATTAATACAGCTTTTGAATTCATTCCTTTTAGCCAGTTTTTTCCTTAGAGACATTACATGTAATGGCTTTTTTGAAGCTGTACACAGCAATCAACACAATTCTCAAAGCACAAGTCTCAAGCTTTTTAGCTTCCCAATGTCCATTTATATCTATACCATGATTTTTCAAACACCTAGTTATTTCTAGAACCCTGTGAATGCTTATTGACCAACTGATTTAGCCAACAAGCAGTTACTAATTATGTATTTCAGTTACAACATTATCATAAAATTATGGGAACCTAAACTATCAATACTCGTAGCTCTCTGGATACATATAAAATCCATCTAAGTTGCCAAGAACTTGAATACATTTTTTGAAGGAATTTACTATATATTCACTATATTTGCATTTATATGATATGAGGTACCTGTTTTCTTAAATTTTCTCAAATGCTAATGGCTAAATCAATGGATTTAGTAATTAAAAGTGGACCAAATTTGTTTTGTAATTGCTCTGTATTTTGTATCTCCATGTTTTAAGTTTATACTAATATATTATTCAAAGCCTCTTATAGCTATAGTTGAGGTGGATTATTTTTATAACTGAAGTTGTATGTTCCTTGAGGGCAAAGATGTCTGCCATCTTCATAAGTTAGATGTTAGCTGAGTCTTAAATCATTTTTAAATACATGGATTTTAATATATATCTAATTATTATATTTATATAATTTGTAATGTCTTCTATTTATTAGCTTATTATCATCTGAGAATATAAAGTTTCCTAATAAATATATTTTGTATAGGAATTTACCTAAGACTGGCTTTATTTAAGAAAAAGTAAAGAGATAAAGAAGGCCTTGAAGGCTCATATGTATGTTTATTAGTAGCTCTGTTATATTTCTCTCATAGAAAGATTGAGTTATATCTCATGATAGGTAATGCTTAAGGCCAAGCTTCGTGTTTAAAATTCTTTATTATCTCTAATAGTTTATAAAATAATTTCCCAACTGTAAGAACAAGAGAGAAATAAATGTATTATATTTAGAATACATCAAAATACATCTACTGATGTGACAGTACATTTAACTAAAAAATTGCAAAACAGATTTGTGTTTTTTAATTTCAGACTTTATATGAACACTATAGTGGTGGTGAAAGTCATAATTCTTCATCCTCCAAGACTTTTGAAAAAAAAAGGGGAAAAAAATGATTTGCAGTTATTCGTAATGTCAGATACCACCTATAAAATATATTGGACTGTTATACTCTTGAATCCCTGTGGAAATCTACATTTGAAGACAACATCACTCTGAAGTGTTATCAGCAAAAAAAATTCAGTAGATTATCTTTAAAAGAAAACTGTAAAAATAGCAACCACTTATGGCACTGTATATATTGTAGACTTGTTTTCTCTGTTTTATGCTCTTGTGTAATCTACTTGACATCATTTTACTCTTGGAATAGTGGGTGGATAGCAAGTATATTCTAAAAAACTTTGTAAATAAAGTTTTGTGGCTAAAATGACACTAACATTTCAAAGTTGTAAGGTTGTTTTCTTTAAGCAAATGTATTGTTGGCATGGCAGCAAAATTCTTAATTAGTAAAAAGTAGATTAGGGAAGATGTGAGACTAGACCTTAGTAAATGAACTTTGAAAAACAAATCCTGAAGGGTTTGAATTCCAAAATAGACTTCCTAATTATTTCCGGCACCGATAACAGTCTATAATTTTAGGACTGAACTTGGCTCTTTCAGATATTCATAACGTCTGTTGTTTTTGGTATTTAGAATATCATGCTGGATTCTGTGTTGTAAGCTGTATAGGGCATGCCCTCACTGTATGACTTGCTAGGTAATGGATAATTGTAAATGTGGCCCCAGAGTCTCTTGACTGAATCTGATAGCTTAAAGTATCCTCACATAGCATCCTTTTCTCAATTTTTAAAAAAAGATTTTAAGAGATTTTATTTTTTATAGCAGTTTTAAGTTCACAGCAAAATTGACCAGAACGTACAGAGTTCCCATGTATCCTTTCCCCACCCCACCCCCACACATGTATAACTTCCCTTGCTATCAGCATCCACCATATCAACATTCCACACCACAATGGTACATTTATCACAGTCCGTAAACCTACCTTAACATATTATCACCCAAAGTCCATAGTTTATATTGGGGTTCACTCTTGGTATTGTATATTCTTTAGGTTTTGATAAATATTTAATGACATTTATCTACCATTGTAACATGATACAGAATAGTTTCACTGTCTTGAAAGTCCTCTGTTCTTTGTCCCTTCATCCTTCCCTCTACCCTAATGCCTGGGAACCACTGATCTTTTTACTATCTCTGTAGTTTTACTTTTCCAGAATGTGACCGTCACGTAAGTGGAATCATACAGTCTATAGCCTCTTCAGATTGGCTTCTTTCACTTAGCAACATGTCTTTTTATGGCTTGCTAGCTTATTTCTTTTTAGCACTAGTTAATATTCTATTGTCTGGATGTTCCACAGTTTATCTCTTTATCTGCTGAAAGATACCGTGGTTGCTTCCAAATTTGGGGAATTGTGAATAAACTTGCTATGTGCATGCTTTTGTCTGGACCTAATTTTTTTTAGCTCTTTTGGCTAAATACTCCTTTGGGACCAAGGAGTTTAACTGCTAAAATCTATGTAAGAGTGTTTAGTTGTGTAAGAAAGCACCAAACTGTCTTCCAAAGTGGTTGTACTGTTTTGCGTTTTCACCAGCAATGTTTCAGAGTTCCTGTGGCTCCATATCCTTTCCAGCATTTGATGTCTGTGTTTTGGATATGGGGCATTCTAATGGGTTGGTAGGGGTATCTCATTTTAATTTGCATTTCCCTAATGACATGATTTTGAGCATCTCATTTCTATATGCTCATTTGCATCTGTGTATCTTCTTTTGCCCATTTTTAAATTGGTTCATTTTCTTATTGAGGTTTAAGAGTTTTGTGTATTTTGAATAACAGTCCTTTATCAGATGTCTTTTGCACATATATTCTCCCACTTGTGGCATTTCTTCTCATTCTCTTCATTCCCAAATTTGTAACTATGGTTATTAGTTTTCAGAATTATTGGTTTTAAGTTAATGTAGTGTAATAGGTAAGTAGTAAGCTTAAACAGGAATTCTGCAAACCACACTTATAGAGAAAACATGGTAAAAATTCAACTTGGAAGTCAGGCATTTGTCTACATGTGTTCATTGAGAATACTGTTGATTTTTTTCTTTTTAAAATTATCTTGAAATTTAATGTGCATATAAACAATTTTTTTTAATACTTGTTTAGAGTTAGAAATTCTCTTATGGGGAAAAGCATCGTTTTGTCTATTGCTTCAATGGGTTCTTGATGAAAGTGTCTTGTTTGTTTTACAATTACTAACCTATAGTCAGAATCAGTTAATGTTTTGAAAATACATTTTTAGGAAAGCATTGGCTACTTTTTGCCCTTGGAGTTTTCATATCAATTTTATCAGTTCATTAAATTCCACACACAAAATAATCATGTTGTGATTATTTTGTGTGTGGAATATTATCTTTGTCTTTGTACTAGTCATGGTACTTGAGGGAAAAAAAGCAAGCATATGAGGTTTCCTATAATGGCGTCTTCCAAAGATGGATTTCCAAATGCAGAGAAGATTTTTGCTTGCTTATACCAGATCCCAGAGGCTTACCTAGGGCTAGAATATTCCAAGTTCAAAGCTTGAGGTTCTCAGAACCAGGTGATGCAAAATCAGGTTAAAATCCACTTGGTTTATTTCTAGAGGACACTTGTCCAGGGAGGTCAGCCCTTCTGGTTCCAGCTTAAAGCAAATGTCAGGTGTGTCTTTCCTCCTTAGGAAGTTCCTGGATTTTGAGTCGTTTATCATACTCTACCAGGTTGCCAAACCTATACCTCAGTTTCACAGATGTTTCTTCTAAAGACAAATGCTCTGTTGTGCTTACCTCTCTGGGTTCTCATCTTCATTAATGTTTGGATTCCATAATTTCCCACTAATTTGAAAAACTAAAATTCATGCCAATTTATATTCCCACTATCAGTATTAAGAACTCATTGGTCTACATACAACATCTTTTATACTTAATATTGTCAGAATTTAAAGGTTTTTGCTGTCTCATAGGTATAAAATAGTATTTTTGCAGTGTCTTTAATTTTTTGTTTAGCAATGAGGGTGGGCATTTTGCCATATGTTTATTGACCATTCTTTTTTGTTTTTTTTTTTTCTTTCTATCACTGAAAAGCCAGGTTCTTACTCTCTGGTATTCATATGTTTCATGTCATATTTATTTTTGTATTACCTTTTTTTATTTCTTTATAAGTGTTCTTTGTATTACAATTACCTATAGTCAGAATCAGTTAATGTGTTGAATATACTTTTAGGAGAGTATCGGCTATTTTTGGCCCCTTGAGCATTCATATCAATTTTATCAGTTCAGTAAATTCCATACACAAAATAATCATGTTGAGGCCAGGCATGGTGGTGGCTCATGCTAGGAATCCCAACAATTTGAGAGGTTGAGGCAGGGAGAGTCCTTGAGGCCAGGAGTTTGAGACCAACATGGGCTACATAATCAGATCCATTAGTTGCAAAAAATGAAAATAAAAAACAATTAGCTGGGTGTGGTGGTGCAGCATATCTATAGTCCTACCTTTTTGGGAGTCTGAGGCAGGAGGATCAGTTGAGTCCAGGAGTTTGAGGCTGCAATGAGCTATGATTATGCCACAGCACTCCAGCCTGGGTGACAGAGTGAGCTCCTGCCTCCAGGAGGTAAATACAAAAAATACAATAAATAAAATAATTTTAAAAATCATATCGAGATTGTATTTATAGTTTCATAGAACATTTAGGTCATTTAGAGATAATTGCCATTTTATGATATGAGTCTTCCTATCAATGAACATGATATAGTTCTCAATTTATTTAGGTCTTCTCTTACAATTCAATAAACTTTATACTTTTTTTATACAGGTCTTTCACATCTTTTGTCGGCTTTATTACAAAAGCTCTGTTGCTGTTGTAAATAGTATCTTTTAAAAATTACCTTTCTTAATTTTCTGTTCTTTTATAGCACCATAATTGGTTTTTTAATTTAATTTTATTTTTGCAATTCATCAGGGAGTGTAATTGATTTTTGCGTATTGAACTTAACAGCTAGCCACCTTGCTAAGATTTTTATTTTCCTAATTAACCTAAAGGTTCCAGGGTTTTCTATATAAATAGTCATCACATGTAGGATCATCACATCAGACATAGGGGTGCTCCATTTGTTTATTACTAAATTATGTTCCTTTTTCTTCTTTCTTTTTTTGAGTGCACTAATATATTTTAATATTGAATGAAAATAGTGATAGTGCTAGTTGTTGATTTTAAAGGAGATGATTTTAGTGTTTCACTATTCAATTGGTTCTTGCTTGAGGTTTTTGGAATACACCCTTATTCATGTTAAGAAAGTGTCTTTCTATTTTACTGAAAGGTTTTTTCTAAGTAAAAGAAGGTTATTATTTTTATCACTTAGTTTAATTCATCTATTGGGATAATATATTCTTCCCTCTTTTAAATTGTTAAGGTAGTGAATGGCATAGATTGTTCTAATGTCAACTCTCTTGTGAATTCTGGAGTAAGTCCAACTTTCGTATTATCTTTTTAATATGCTAATGTACCAGCTTGCTCTTACTATGTAAAGAACCACTTCAAAACTTAGTATTTTAAAACAACAGGTATTTGTTATTTTTCAGGATTATCTGAGTTGGTTGTTTTTTATGTTGGAGCTGGCGCAGCTGGTCTGCTGATCCAGGATGGCCTCACTCACGAGTGGAACTTCAGCAGGAATAACTGAGATGACTGGGATCATCAGGGTCTTGGTATAGATGGGGTTCTCTGGAAGCAGATTCTGGGATGGAATTTGAGGTGCAAGATGTTTATTAGGAACCAATACCTGTGAAAGAAAAGGAGAAAAAGGATTGTTGCAGAGGGAGAAGTTGAACTGTGATGCAGGCTTCACGAAGACTTGGCACACTTTGTAGGGAGCTCTGGAGTGAACATTGCCCATGTGTGGTGTCCATTGTCAGGCTGAAATGGCCAGTCTTTATACACACACCTCATTCACAAGGGTGTGACCTCTGCTGCTGAGGTGGACCCTGAGGAACTGACAGCTGAAGACTGCTGACCACCTTTCCTACAGCTGGACAACCAGACCTTCTTTGAAGGGAAATTGGGCAACAAATCTCCATGTCTACCACAGCCTTCTCTCCAGGAGGTTAACCCTGACTCGTTGTTCCTATGGTGGCAGAAGGGTTTGTAGCATAAAGATAGGGCAAGCATAATGTGCAAGTACATTCCAAACATCTACTAACCTTTTATTTGCTAATGTCTCATTGGCCAAAGCAGTCAGATAGTCAATATCAGATTCAAAGCTTGGACAGACAGACTTCACCTCTTAATGGGAGAAGTGACAGTCATATTGTAAAGGAGTGTGCCTACATGGACAGGAAGAATTTGTAAGTATATTTTTGTAATTGCTAAACTCCTGGATTCATTTTTCTAATATATTGTTCGGAATTTTTGCATCTCTGTGAATGACACTGGCCTGTAATTTTTCTTTTACATATTGATTTTCGGACTAGTTTTATAGAATGATTTGAGTAATATTTCTACAAAAAGTATCCTCTAGGAGAGTTTTGTAAAATTAGAATCATCTCTTCTTTGCAAGGTTGGTAAGATTTACCTGTAGAACTATTTAGGCTTAATTTTTTTCTTTTGGAAATATTTTTACTGATATTATGGATTCAATTTCTTTAATAGCTATATAAAAACCAAGCTTTTGATTTCATTTTGAGATATTTTTGCTGTTTGATAGAAATTTCTCCATTTTGTCAAAATTTTTAAGTTATGTGGGGCAAAAGTTATGCACATGTTCTCAAATTAACTTTTTTTTTTTTTTTCTAGTGGGAGAAGGAGGGTATTTATTTGCAGGCACCAAGCAGGGGGGCCCCGACGGTGCACACTTAAGTCCTGACCTCCCCGATGGCTGGCAGGTCAGGGTTTTGGTTTTGTTTTGTTTTTTTTCATTTTTATTACTATTTTTTAATATTATACTTTAAGTTCTATGGTACATGTGTACAACATGCAGGTTTGATACATAGGTACACATGTGCCATGTTGGTTTGCACATCCATCAGCTCGTCATTTACATCAGGTATTTCTCCTAATGCTGTCCCTCCCCCAGCCCCCCAATCCCTGACACGCCCCAGTGTGTGATGATCCCCACCCTGTGTCCAAGTGATCTCATTGTTCAGTTCTCACCTATGAGTGAGAAAATGTGGTGTTTGGTTTTCTGTCCTTGTGATAGTTTGCTCAGAATGATGGTTTCCAGCTTCATCCATGTCCCTGCAAAGGACATGAACTCACCCTTTTTATGGCTGCGTAATACTCCATGGTGTATATGTGCCACATTTTCTTAATGCAGTCTATCATTGATGGACATTTGGGTTGGTTCCAAGTCTTTGCTATTGTGAATAGTGCCACAGTAAACATACATGTATATGCGTCTTTATAGTAGCATGATTTATAATCTTTTGGGTATATACCCAGTAATGGGATTGCTGGGTCAAATGGTATTTCTAGTTCTAGATCCTTGAGGAATCGCCAGACGGTCTTCCACAGTGCTTGAACTAATTTACACTCCCACCAACAGTGTAAAAGTGTTCCTATTTCTCCACATCCTCTCCAGTATCTGTTGTTTTCTGACTTTTTAATGATTGCCATTCTAACTGGTGTGAGATGGTATCTCATTGTGGTTTTGATTTGCATTTCTTTGATGACCAGTGATGATGATCATTTTTTCATGTGTCCGTTGGCTGCATAAATGTCTTCTTTTGAGAAGTGTCTGTTCATATCCTTTGCCCACTTTTTGATGGGGTTGTTTGTTTTTTTCTCGTAAATTTGTTTAAGTTCTTTGTAGATTCTGGATATTAGCCCTTTGTCAGATGGGTAGATTGCAAAAATTTTCTCCCATTCGGTAGATTGCCCATTTACTCTGATGGTAGTTTCTTTTGCCGTGCAGAAGCTCTTTAGTTTAATTAGATCCCATTTTTCTATTTTGGCTTTTGTTGCCATTGCTTTTGGGGTTTTAGTCACGAAGTCCTTGCCCATGCCTATGTCCTGAATGGTATTGCCTAGGTTTTCTTCTAGGGTTTTTATGGTTTTAAGTCTAACATTTAAGGCTTAAAACCATCTTGAATTAATCTTTGTATAAGGTGTAAGGAAGGGATCCAGTTTCAGCTTTCTACATATGGCTAGCCAGTATCACCAGCACCATTTATTAGATAGGGAATCCTTTCCCCCTTTCTTGTTTTTGTCAGGTTTGTTAAAGATCAGATGGATGTAGATGTGTGGTGTTATTTCTGAGGCCTCTGTTCTGTTCCATTAGTCTGTATGTCTGTTTTGGTACCAGTACCATGCAGTTTTGGTTACTGTAGCCTTGTAGTATAGTTTGAAGTCAGGTAGCGTGATGCCTCCAGTTTTGTTCTTTTTGCTTAGGATTGTCTTGGGAGTGTGGGCTCTTTTTTGGTTCCATATGAACTTTAAAGTAGTTTTTTCCAATTCTGTGAAGAAAGTCATTGGTAGCTTGATGGGGATGGCATTGAATCTATAAATTACCTTGGGCAATATAGCCGTTTTCATGATATTGATTGTTCCTATCCGTGAGCATGGAATGTTCTTCCATTTGTTTGTATCCTCTTTTATTTCATTGAGCAGTGGTTTGTAGTTCTCCTTGAAGAGGTCCTTCACATCCCTTGTAAGTTGGATTCCTAGGTATTTTATTCTCTTTGAAGCAATTGTGAATGGGAGTTCACTCATGATTTGGTGTTCTGTTTGTCTGTTAATGGTGTATAGGAATCCTTGTGGTTTTTCCACATTGATTTTGTATCCTGAGACTTTGCTGAAGTTGCTTATCAGCTTAAGGAGATTTTGGGCTGAGACGATGGGGTTTTCTAAATATACAATCATGTCATCTGCAAACAGGGACAAGTTGACTTCCTCATTTCCTAATTGAATACCCTTTATTTCTTTCTCCTGCCTGATTGCCCTGGCCAGAACTTCCAACACTATGTTGAATGAAAGAGGGCATCCATGACTTATGCCGGTTTTCAAAGGGAATGCTTCCAGTTTTAACCCATTCAGTATGATATTGGCTGTGGGTTTGACATGAATGAATAGCTCTTATTATTTTGAGATACATTCCATCAATACCTAGTTTATTGAGAGTTTTTAGCATGCAGGGCTGTTGAATTTTGTCAAAGGTCTTTTCTGCATCTATTGAGATAATCATGTGGTTTTTGTCATTGGTTCTGTTTATGTGATGGATTATGTTTATTGATTTGCATATGTTGAACCAGCCTTGCATCCCAGGGATGAAGCTGACTTGATCATGGTGGATAAGCTTTTTGAGGTGCTGCTGGATTTAGATTGCCAGTATTTTATTGAGGATTTTCGCATCAGCGTTCATCAGGGATATTGGTCTAAAATTCTCTTTTTTTGTTGTATCTCTGCCAGGCTTTGGTATCAGGATGATGTTAGCCTCATAAAATTAGTTAGGGAGGATTCCTTGTTTTTCTATTGATTGGAATAGTTTCAGAAGGAATGGTACCAGCTCCTCTTTGTACCTCTGGCAGAATTCGGCTGTGAATCCGTCTGATTCTAGACTTTTTTTGGTGGGTAGGCTATTAATTATTGCCTCAATTTCAGAGCCTATTATTGGTCTATTCAGAGATTCAACTTCTTCCTGGTTTAGTCTTGGGAGGGTGTATGTGTCCAGGAATTTATCCATTTCTTCTAGATTTTCCAGTTTATTTGCGTAGAGGTGTTTATAGTATTCTCTGATGGTAGTTTGTATTTCTGTGGGATCAGTGGTGATATCCCCTTTATCATTTTTTATTGTGTGTATTTGATCCTTCTCTCTTTCTTCTTTATTAGTCTTGCTAGTGGTCTATCAACTTTGTTGATCTCTTCAAAAAACCAGCTCCTGGATTCATTGATTTTTTGAAGGGGTTTTTTTTGTAATTTTTTTTAGAGTCGGAGTCTCGCTCGGTTGCCCAGACTGGAGTGCAGTGGTGCAATCTCGGCTTACTGCAAGCTCTGCCTCCCAGGTTTACGCCATTCTCCTGCCTCAGCCTCCCGAGTAGCTGGGACTACAGGCGCCCGCCACCACGCCCGGCTTATTTTTGTATTTTATTAGAGGCAGGGTTTCACGTATTAGCCAGGATGGTCTCGATCTCCTGACCCCGTGATCAGCCCACCTCAGCCTCCCAAAGTTCTGGGATTACAGGCATGAGCCACTGAGCCTGGCCTTTGAAGGGTTTTTTGTGTCTCTATCTTCAGTTCTGCTCTGATCTTAGTTATTTCTTGCCTTCTGCTAACTTTTGAATTTGTTTGCTCTTGCTTCTCTAGTTCTTTTAATTATGATGTTAGGGTGTTGATTTTAGTTCTTTCATGCTTTCTCTTGTGGGCATTTATTGCTATAAATTTCACTATACACACTGCTTTCAATGTGTTCCAGAGATTCTGGTACATTGTATCTTTGTTCTCATTGGTTTATTTCTACCTTCATTTCGTTACGTATCTAGTAGTCATTCAGGAGCAGGTTGTTCAGTTTCCATGTAGTTGAGTGGCTTTGAGTGAGTTTCTTAATCCTGAGTTCTAGTTTGATTGCACTGTGGTGTGAGAGACAGTTTGTTATGATTTCTGTTCTTTTACATTTGCTGAGGAGTGCTTTACTTCCAATTATGTGGTCAGTTTTGGAGTAAGTGTGATGTGGTGCTGAGAAGAATGTATATTCTGTTGATTTGGGGTGGAGAGTTCTGTCGATGTCTACTAGGTCTGCTTGGTGCAGAGCTGAGTTCAATTCCTGGATATCCTTGTTAACTTTCTGTCTTGTTGATCTGTCTAATGTTGACAGTGGGGTGTTAAAGTCTCCCATTATTATTGTGTGGGAGTCTTAAGTCTCTTTGTGGGTCACTAAGGACTTGCTTTATGCATCTGGGTGCTCCTGTTTTGGGTGCATATATATTTAGGATAGCTAGTTCTTGTTGAATTGATCCCTTTACCATTATGTAATGGCCTTCTTTGTCTCTTTTGATCTTTGTTGGTTTAAAGTCTGTTTTATCCAAGACTAGGATTGCAACCCCTGCCTTTTTTTGTTTTCCATTTGCTTGGTAGATCTTCCTCCATCTCTTTATTTTGAGCCTATGTGTGTCTCTGCACGTGACATGGGTTTCCTGAACACAGCACACTGATGGGTCTTGACTCTTTATCCAGTTTGCCAGCCTGTGCGTTTTAATTGGAGCATTTAGCCCATTTACATTTAAGGTTAGTATTGTTATATGTGAATTTGATCCTGTCACTATGACGTTAGCTGGTTATTTTGCTCGTCAGTTGATGCAGTTTCTTCCTAGCATTGATGGTCTTTACAATTTGGCTTGTTTTTGCAGTGGCTGGTACCAGTTGTTTCTTTCCATGTTTAGTGCTTCCTTCAAGAACTCTTTTAGGGCAGGCCTGGTGGTGACAAAATCTCTCAGCATTTGCTTGTCTGTAAAGGATTTTATTTCTCCTTCACTTATGAAGCTTAGTTTGGCTGGATATGAAATTCTGGGTTGAAAATTCTTTTCTTGAAGAATGTTGAATATTGGCCCCCACTCTCTTCTGGCTTGTAGAGTTTCTGCTGAGAGATCAGCTGTTAGTCTGATGGGCTTCCCTTTGTGGGTAACCCGACCTTTCTCTCTGGCTGCCCTTAACATTTTTTCCTTCATTTCAACTTTGGTGAATCTGACAATTATGTGTCTTGGAGTTGCTCTTCTCGAGGAGTATCTTTGTGGCGTTCTCTGTATTTTCTGAATTTGAATGTTGGCCTGCCTTGATAGATTGGGGAAGTTCTCCTGGATAATACCCTGCAGAGTGTTTTCCAACTTGGTTCCATTCTCCCCATCACTTTCAGGTACACCAATCAGATGTAGATTTGGTCTTTTCACATAGTCCCATATTTCTTGGAGGCTTTGTTCATTTCTTTTTATTCTTTTTTCTCTAAACTTCTCTTCATGCTTCATTTCATTCATTTTGTCTTCCATCACTAATACCCCTTTCTTCCAGTTGATCTCCTCAGTTACTGAGGCTTGTGCATTCGTCACATAGTTCTTGTGCCGTGGTTTTCAGCTCCATCAGGTCCTTTAAGGACTTCTCTGCATTGGTTATTCTACTTATCTATTCGTCTAATTTTTTTTCAAAGTTTTTAACTTCTTTGCCGTTGGTTCGAACTTCCTCCTTTAGCTTGGAGTAGTTTGATCTTCTGAAGCCTTCCTCTCTCAACGAGTCAAAATTATTCTCCATCCAGCTTTGTTCTGTTGCTGGTGAGGAGCTGCGTTCCTTTGGAGGAGGAGAGGCACTCTGATTTTTAGAGTTTCCAGTTTTTCTGCTCTGTTTTTTCCCCATCTTTGTGGTTTTATCTACCTTTGGTCTTTGATGATGGTGATGTACAGATGGATTTTTGGTGTGGATGTCCTTTCTGTTTGTTAGTTTTCCTTCTAACAGTCAGGACCCTCAGCTGCAGGTCTGTTGGAGTTTACTGGAGGTCCACTCCAGACCCTGTTTGCCTGGGTATCACCAGCGGTGGCTGCAGAACAGCGGATATTGGTGAACTGCAAATGCTGCTGCCTTATCGTTCCTCTGGATGTTTTGTCTCAGAGGAGTACCCGGCCATGTGAGGTGTCAGTCCACCCCTACTGGGGGGCACCTCCCAGTTGGGCTACTTGGGGCTCAGGGACCCACTTGAGGGGGCAGTCTGCCCGTTCTCAGATCTCCAGCTGTATGCTGGGAGAACCACTACTCTCTTCAAAGCTGTCAGACAGGGACATGTAAGTCTGCAGCGGTTATTGCTGTCTTTTGTTTGTCTGTGCCCTGTCCCCAGAGGTGGAGCCTACAGAGGCAGGCAGGCCTCCTTGAACTGTGGTGGGCTCCACCCAGTTTGAGCTTCCCGGCCACTTTGTTTACCTACTCAAGCCTGAGCAATGGTGGGCGCCCCTCCCCGAGCCTTGCTGCCACTTTGCAGTTTGATCTCAGACTGCTGTGCTAGCAATGAGCAAGGCTCCGTGGGCGTAGGACCCTCCAAGCCAGGTGCGGGATATAATCTCCTGGTGTGTCATTTATTAAGCTCATTGGAAAAGCGCAGTATTAGGGTGGCAGTGACCCAATTTTCCAGGTGCTGTCTGTCACCCCTTTCTTTGACTAGGAAAGGGAATTCCCTGACCCCTTGCGCTTCCTGGGTGAGGCAATGCCTCGTCCTGCTTCCGCTCACGTACGGTGCGCTGCACCCACTGTCCTGCACCCACTGTCTGGCACTCCCCAGTGAGATGAACCCAGTACCTCAGTTGGAAATGCAGAAATCACCCATCTTCTGTGTCGCTCACGCTGGGAGCTGTAGACTGGAGCTGTTCCTATTCGTCCATCTTGGCTCCACCTAGCAATTTGTATTTTAACAAGCCTTCTGAGGAGAAGCCTCTTAACCACTGAGGAATATTATAAGCGGATTCATCTGCTAAATATATATATATATATATATATATATATTTTTTTTTTTTTGAGACAGGGTCTCCCTCTGTCACTCAGGCTAGAGTGGCGTGATCATTGCTCACTGTAGCCTGAGACTCTTGGGCTCAAGTGATCTTCCCGCCTCCCTCCTGAATAGCTGGGACTACAAGTGCACGCCACCATGCCTGACTAATTTTTAAATTTTTTTGTAGATATAAGGGTTCGCTTTGTTGCCCAGGCTGGTATTGAACTGCTGGGTTCAAGCAATCTTCCTGCCTCGCTTCCCAAAGTGCTGGAATTACAGGCATGAGCCACTACACCTGGCTCGGAAATCTTGAAGGGCTCCCCATTCTCTACAGGATTAAGTTCAAACATAATCCTGGACCTGGCTGGAATTTTCAAGGCCCCCCAGAACTGTATTAGCTTTTGTTCTTCTGCATTTCCTTTGCACCAGTCGGATTCCTTGTTCTCTAATGTTCCTGCCCTCCCAGGACACCTCCTTCCATGCTCTTCATACTTACTCATATACTATACATCTGCAGCAGCATAAGCCAAGGCTTACTTCCAAGCCCAGCCCAGAGTTTTCTTCTTCTTCTGAACTTATTATTGTCTTATGCATTTATATGGTCTAATGCATCATTTAGCACCTATTCACTTTACCTTGCAATGAAAATCATTATTTTATGTCTGTGGATCTAGATTCCCCATAGGAATAGGGTGTCTAACAGATATTCTTTCCCTTTTGTTTGTTTCTTTTAATCAAAATGTCACCATTTTTAAAAAATCAACATGTTTGAGCATTTACTGTTTACAAAGATGTTTCCCAAACATGCCTGGTGATAGGAATACTTGGGTACTTGACCAAACCATGGATTCTCAGAGCCCTCCACTGACGATTCCAAATTTAGAAGGCCTATGGTAGGGCTTTGGGAATCTATATTTTCCACAAATGCACCAGGTATTCTTATTATCGGGCCAGTTTTGGAAACACTGATATAGGGTATAAGGAAGTAATCGGGTATTGTGAGTGTAATACAAAGAGATTTAATGTTATAAAACATCAAGAAGCATATAATCTTTATGGGGAATCTAGAATGAAAATCTTTTTTATCCTGTCTGACTCTGTGAGCTGAGAGGTTTTGACATTCATGAATCACTAAGAGCCAGGGAATTTTCTCCCTGAATCCTACATTGCAGAATTCCCTAAGAGGGCAATCTTGTTTTTAAAATGGTGTCATTCAGACCAACCGGTGTCATTTTGTAGATAAAGAAACTGAGCCCAGAAAGTTTAACAATTTGACCAAGAGTAGATTGCTGTTTATTGTCAGAGATGAGTATAAATCTGACTCAACATTCTATGCCTCTTAAAATATATATATATTTTATTATATATATTATAAATATTATATATGGCTGGGAGCGTTGGCTCACGCCTATAATCCCAGCACTTTGGGAGGCCAAGGCCGGCAGATCATGAGGTCAGGAGATTGAGATCATCCTGGCTAACATGGTGAAACCCTGTCTCTACTAAAAATACAAAAAAGTAGCTGGGCATGGTGGCACACGCCTTTAGTCCCAGCTACTCAGGAAGCTGAGGCAGGAGAATCGCCTGAACCCGGGAGGTCGAGGTTGCAGTGAGCCGAGATCGCACCATCGCACTCCAGGCTGGGCAACAGAGCGAGACTCCGTCCCAAATAAAAAAAAAATGTATATATGTGTATGTGTATATAAATTATATATATATATATAAAATATATAGCTTTTAAAAACAAATATATTTTTAAAAAGTCATGTCTTATGAATATTTTATGTAAAGACAAGAATAATACATAACTTGATCCCAAACTTTAAGAAGTGATATCTAATTTTTTTAAAAAAGTGTTAATAACTGAGATAAATGGAAATAATGATGTAAAAGCAACTATCACAGTGACTGGAGTATACTTGGCATTAATATCTGTCTATTCTCCTGGTCTTTGAATTATGAATTCAGACCCTAACCTGAAAGTTCATTCATTTTCATTGTTTTAATAATTAAGCACATTCATTGGCTTTAGAATTATTCAGATTAGAGTTTGAATCCTGGTCCTGTTACACACTGTGTAATTTTGTTCATAATTATTTAATATCTAATATTAATACTTAATAAATATGTTCATAGTTATGTATTTATCTCTTTAAGCCTAGGTTTCCTTACCTCAAAGTGGTAATAATAATGCCTTGCATGATTGCCCTGAAGATTAAACGTAGTTTAGTGATGCTTGGAAAATGCTAAGCGCAATGTCAGACATTTAGTACGTACTCAATTAATGAATTACTGTATTATTGATTTTCAGCAACACTTTAGTCTGAAGAGTACCTTCTTATAAAGAGGAAATAATGGAAAGAGTGATACCTGAGCCAACTACCTGACTGAATCCTAGAACCACCACTTAATACTTGTGGGATCCTGGAAATGTTATTTAACTGCTCCATGCCTCAGTTATTACCTCTATTTTACAGATGAAGACCTTGTACCTAACTCATGGGGTCATTGTGGAAAGTGAATAAGTTAGTATATAAAAAGTGCTTAGCTCAGTGCCTGACACAACATAAATATTCAATAATATTTGTTATCGTTAATTATCTCTTTCTATGCACTTACTGGCCTTCATATTTTCTAACTCTGAAGAGATTATCTCTTTCTGTTGGCAAGACTGAACTGAGAACACTCTTTTCTTTTTGTCTGTCTATTTCTAGGACACTTTTAAGTTTGTCATTCATCTCTGCATTTCTGCCTCTTAAGGTTGGAGGACCCTTTGCTCAATGGTCAGAAAATAAACAATTAGGCATAAGAGAAATGGCCAACAGGAAGGGAACAGGAAGAACACTGGCAATATATTAGTTTAGAGCAATTTTGAAAATTAAAAAAAAAAACTAGAGAAAATAGTAGAAACTACCAAAAAAAGAGTTAATAATGATCTAGAAGACTAGAAACTATGCTAAAATCCCTTGAAACTAGTCCCCTTTTCCTAACATGAGAAGAAAGTAATGTAGCATCTTTCTACTAGCCCAGAGATAAATTCTTTTATCCTTCCTTTCTTCCTTCTGGATTTTCCATAGTTAGCTCTAGAAATTCTCATTCTGGTCTACTTACCTATTGATACAATCCTGTCCTCACTAGTCCTTTAGGTGAAGCTCTTGCCGCAATCATCTTTCCAGAGCATTGCACGTACTGCTTCCCATTTTTGTGTGCACTGCAGCAGACACTAACTGCCTTCCCAGTAGCCTTTCCCCATCTGTCCAGGGGCAGAGATCTGCTTCTGCAGGAGTATCCATCACTTCCCTGTGGGATTCAGACAAGGCTGGCTCTATTCCCAGTTCAAGCGGTCAGTCCTGATTGGCTTAAATGCATCGTGGTGGCCTCATTGTCCTGCCAGTGATTGGTTTAGGCACGGGCATATTTCTTAATTCTAGCCAATGAAAGATGAAGAATAGTATGCCAGGGGACTATAGGAAATAGATTTTTATTCTTAAAAATAAATTCATGGGAAGTAGTCCCTACTCGATGTAGTTATGCCTGCATTTGATATCATGAACTGCGGTAGCTTTCCTGCAACTATGAGGAGAACTAAGAGTAGGAGGGCAAAGCAAAAGGATGAAAATATATATATATATATATATATATGGATCCCTGGTGATGTAAAGCATGAAGTGATCCAATCCTGAAGCCATCTTACCTTGAGAGTTCTTGTTAGATAGGATAATAAATTTTCCTTATTATTTATGCCAAGTTGAATTGTATGTTATCTGTTATTTGTAGTTACAAGTACCCTAAATACATACAAAGCCTTGTTCTGCACTGACGAAGGCATTTCTTCTCTAGGTCTCTAGAACTGCAAGTTCTACCATGTTTGTGAAGCAACCCAGAAAAGTCCCAGTTCAGAATAATTTTCCTCTCCGCTGAACTCCTTTATTGACTCAGTTTGGCGTTTCCTTCCCTCCCTCTCTTTCTCTCTCTCCACTGTCACCACCTCTCTTTTTCATCCTGTAAATGTTAAGACCCTAGATTAGATCTTTTTGGTATTTGCAATTTACAAGCATACCACCCAAAAAGCAGAAACACTTGAACATATCTTCTATAGTACTAAAGTTGGAAGGAGAACAATTTTGGTCTTTCTAGTCTGCACATCGGTTTGTACTTATTTGTGTGATTGGCAATATATTTTAATGTAAAGAGTGTAGATTTTGGAGTTTATAAACCAGAGTTTGACTCCAGGCTTCTCATTTACTAACTGTAGGTTTCATGTAAATTGCTTAACCTTTATAGATGATTTCTCATATATAAAATATGGTTAATAATACATTGCAGCATTAAATAAGGATTAAATGGGGCAACACAAGTAAAATGCCTAGGATATAATGGACACTCAGTAACATCATATGTAATAACTATCCATGTGTATCTATATACACAAATTTTTCTTTATTTATGATTGCTGAAGAAGAAAATATATGCAAAGAGGACAGTGAGCAGTGGGCAGTGGAAGAAGTAGAGGGTCTGATCAGATCTGGAAGACATTTAGACACCATTTCCTTAATATTCTCATTGTACGGATGAGGAAACAGAGTCTCAGAAGTTTTCTAAGATTTGTCCAAAGTCCTACTTCTCCTTGCTGTATTTTTATGTATACAGATTAGCTTCTTTTCCCAGAACATGTGATTCTGATGATTAAGATATATCTACTTCGAAGCTTTGTTTCTTCTACCAACATTAGAACTTGGGTCAGTTGGCAAAGAGAGAAGTGTCAATAGAAACACTTTCAAGACCAGGCCAAGTAGAATTAGGTTAAGAGAGTACTTGTCAGGGAGATTTGAAAAAAATCACATCATTCTTCCCAAGAGATACAACGTGAAACTTGGGAATGTGAACTATTAACCAATGCAAAGAATAAGGAGTGATGGGGATAATCTCCATTCTAATTTTGATATATTATCATAGATGTTATAATCTCAGAAATTCATTTAGTGTTGTGTTCTTCATCCATACATGGCTTTGTTATCTAAGTGATATTTTCTCCGTTATTTGAAAAGTCACAATAAATGAAAGAAGAAGAGTAGAAACAAGGAAAAGAAGAATGTTCAAAGCTTTGTTCACCATTAAATTTAAGTCAAACACCCCACAGGACCTTGACTTGCTCCAACTCATGACACTATTGAAATTTACTCAAAAGAATACTCAGTCTTTTTTTGTGTATGTGATCCAGGATTAGCAGGATTTGTAGATAAAACAGTGATTCGACTTTGTGTTCATTTGCCTGTGTATTCAGTACAGCAAGTGTGCCTGTGTTAGGAGACAGAATATATTCCTAAACTCAGAAGGCATGACATAAACATTATGTCCTGAGACCAATCACTGCTAAGGTAGAGAAGGGAAAGAAGCCCAAGTAGGTCTTGGGTCCCCAGAAGAGAAGTACAGGAGTCTTGGCAGCTGACATACCTAGTCACGGGGTGGCTGTTGCGAGAGTAAATCACAGTACATGATTATGTAGGTGAGCCAAATACATGAGGGCAGGAGACAATATTCATGCTTAAGTTACAAAATCACCTCCAGGAGTCAGCCAGGAATCTTGCCAATCTTCATCTTCCTTCCTTCCCACTATGCACATCCCAGAAAGACTAAAAATCAAGGGAACTGGGCATTCCTGTAATTCAGCCTCTTGTCTCCATACTCTTTCCTGTCTTGTACTCTCCAGACTCACGTATATACTGAACGTTCTTCTATTATCTTCCTTATTTGAAATACATATTTTTTCTTTTTAAACTCAACCATTTAAATTCTTTTACTTAAATTTTTTCTTTGCTTCCTTCTTCCTGTCTTACGTTAGATTATAGAGGTCATATTTCAACTATTTTATTACAGTGAAATATTTTTGTTTAAATTGTTTTTCAATAATGGTAAGTAGAATTGTTAAGGTTGTCTTATGTGAGACTAAACAAATATTCACAGAGAAATGATCATCCAGTTTCATGAAGGGACACATTCAAGAATATTTATGACAACACATTTATAGGCTAGGACTTGGAGGTAATCTTTGTATCTGTCATGGTGGAAATGGGAAAGTAATGTGGGAAATGCTATCAACAATGGTCTAGATGTTCATGTGCGGCCATGCATAGATCTTAAAGATAGTGCTAAGGAAGTAAGAAACAGAGATAACTCTATAGCACAATAAGACTTAAGTAAATTAAAATAAATGCACACAAGAAAATATGTGTTTTTCAGAGAAATGCAAATAAAATGATATATGTCAAAAATTAAAATGCATGTATATTTAAGGGGAAGACAATGGTAGTGGAGACAGGAATAAATTGATGTCAAAATAAAGAGAAGGCATTTGCTTGTGTCAGCAATAATGCTCCATTTAATGTGATAATAATGTGATGAGTATGGATGAACTCAACTCTCTGTACTTGAGGTTTCAAATAAAAATAAGAATACCTTTATTAAGGGGAATTCTCTAAATGGGGTAGTTGAGAGATGTTTCTGACTAGGCTGGTTTGAATCAGAAATGCTGTTTCCATAAAGGGGCAGACTTGATGCATCCCAAGAATTGACTTATCTAAAGTCAGATAAGTAACATCTCCTACAGCCAGTAACAACCTTCTTATCTGGCAAATAGATGTAAATATCAACATGATTGTCATCCTGGCAGGTATTGCTGAGGGCCATGCAGTTTGCATCGTTGTACATAGATATCAAATGCTTGTCCAAAGTAATTTTTTCAGCATTCTATGGGGAGTAACACCTTACATTTGTACACTTTATATTATTCAAAGCACTTTATTTACAATCCCCTTTGATTCTCCTAAAGTTGGCTGAGTCAGATATTATTATACACTTCACAGATAAAGACTGTGAAACACAGCATAGCTCAGTGATTGTCCCAATGTCACACAAGTTAGTAGATCTGGTCTAAAACCCATGTCTCTGGAGGAACTGTTATGTTTCTTTTCTCTCTCCTCATGAGAATATACAGCTAACTGGGTCATGTCTCTTTTTGCTCTATTTCCAGAAAGTTCAGAGCCAGATTTGAAGCTCTTGTGAAAGAATTACAACTTCTTATCATCTGCATATTTATGTCCTTTTTGCATTGGTCTTAAACTTTTACTTTTTTCTATTTTTCCTGGTCATAATTATTTATTTCTACTTATATTTCTACTCTTATATTATTCTAGAGCCACTATAGACTACACTGGACAATTTGTAGAAGAGACGGGAGTATAGATAAATGCATGAATGTAAAGAAAAGGAAAAAAAATCCTCACAACACTAAAATAAAGCATTGCTTCTTGGGAAGAAGATCAGATAATTAGCTGTAATGAGCCTGGCTACATTTAGAAAATCTCTGTGTTTGGATTATATATGATTTAATTAGTATTTGGACAACTATGATTAATGAGAGGACAAATCTCTAGAACACTATTGAGTAAAAAGGATGATTTTAGATTTTAAAACTTAGCAAATCAAAATGACCCTAGTTCAGTATGCCTCATTGTGTTACAGGTAAAGAACAGCCATCCAGTGAAATCAACTACTCTGGAGCGGCCTGGTTTTTGAGCATGAAATTAAGACACTGAGTGTGACTTCTGTCCTCCATTTGTTATATGGATTGTCCTTCATATTGGATCATGTGTCCTCGACCCACCTGTCCAGCTTCATCCCTCTCCTGCCACTTCCCATCTGGCATCTGACATTCCACCGATTCACAAACTTCCTAGCTAATACCCACACTGAGTCCTCTGATAGATTCCCTTTCACTACTTCCCCTTACATGCCCAGTTCATGTCATCTCTCTTAAGAAACTTTCTTTGATTTCGGCTCCTTATTGATCAGATTACTCAATCAGAAGCCGTCTTCTCTATGCTTCATAAGATTTTGAAAATGCCACGATTATTATTGGCTTATTTGTCTCCCCTGATAGATTGTGAACTCCTTAAGTTTTTGGCTATTACTTGGTCATCTAGGCCCTGATGTGGCCTATTATAGTGCTTGGCTCATATGAGATACCCAGTTTATCTTTCACAATGAGCGAACACAGCTGGTTGAAAAGATGTCCAATGAGTTGCCACATGCACAGGTCAACAAGACATTTCACCAGGTCACAGTCACATGCTGTTCAGGAATGCTTTCTTTTGGTTTGATCTCTACTCCCTGGGCTCCCAATTGTAACAACTTACTGCCTGTTGTTTTTGGCCTCACTTTGGTCCCATTTTTTAATTTTTATTTTTTGAGACAGAGTCTGGCTCTGTCACCTAGGTTAGGGTGCAGTGGTATGATCTTGGCTCACTGCAACCTCCACTTCCTGGGTTCAAGCGATTCTTCTGCCTCAGCCTCCTGAGTAGCTGAGACTACAGGTGCTCTTCATTGCTATGCTAATTTTTGTATTTTTCATAGAGACAGGGTTTCACCATGTTGGCCAGGATGGTCTCAAACTTGTAACCTCAAGTGATGCTCCCACCTCAGCCTCCCACCTTTATTTTTTATTTTCCTAATGATTAAGGTTATTTTTAATTTCAAAGCCTAGCTGCTTGCTTTAAGAGTTATTTTTTGATTGCCACTATTTAATAAAAGCATCTCATATTTTATCTGGCAAAAGATGCAGAGGTCAACCTGATAATCATGTTAAAGGATATATAGGTTTTTAGGATATATAAACATCTATATTATATGAAATATGTCTGAAAGTACATATGGTTGGCCTTCTATATTTATGGGTTCCACATCATGGATTCAACCAACCACATATTGAAAAAACTTGAAAAAATTAACTTATAAAAAATCACAATACAATAAAAATACGAAATTTTAAATACGATATAGTAATGACTTACATAGTCCTTACATTGTATTAGGTATTTTTTTTTTCACCAAAACAATTTTTATTTCCAGTGTTTAATTGAATATGCACACAGGCATGACACAGGTTTGGATTCATTAAGTCCTCATGTAGAATTGTATTCTTCTCGATAAAGAAGCCAGTTCCATCCAGGATCCACTATCTACACACCTATGTTACAACATTTATATCAAATCTGGTATCTGAAGAAAAGATACACATTTAATATGTTCATTTAAGTTACGTATTTTACAGAAAGATTAAAAATTCAAGTCACACAAAACTCAAAAACTGTATTAAAAGTTTGAATATAAAATTCAGATCCACCTGGAATGACTAAAGAATGGAAGTTCTGTATCCACCTGTGTTAAAACTGGTAAATGTAATGAAATTTGTTACCAATAAAACGCATTCGTTTATTCAATGTAAGTTATCTAATTTTAACAATATGGCACCCTAAAAACCAACTGTGTTTTTATGATGAGGCACTTTTGTTAGTGATGAAACCAAAAGAACAAATTTGCTGCACACTGATGCCAGCGATTTTCTTCAGTGATTTTGGGTATATGCTATGTAGTAAGTTGCAACAAATACCTTGCTCATTTGTATACAACTATCCGATATATTTTAAAATATATATATATATGTACTTCTGGCTGTAGTAATGCACTGTAAAGCTATTTCACAGTGCAAAATGATGAAACCAGCCCAAATGAAGGCTGCATAATAACAATTCTGATACAAGAAAATATTGACAGAGTTACTGGAACGTGTAACAGTAGTTTTTTTACTTGCTAGAGTGGACATACCCCCAGTTTAAAGACAGGGATGAAACTCTGCTTTATTGCCTGGGGTTTCAGATAGTTTATGAGGTTGGGCATTCGCTGCAGAACTAGCATTTTTGCTCACGTTCTGGAAGCTTTCTCCATTTATTTGGTCAGGTGACTGTGGTGGTATGGAAAGAAGGGGCCTGTTTGTTGAAGCCAAGATGCTGGAAGAACTGCCTGTGGGGCAATGAAGAGACAAAGGTGTGTCGGTCGTGGCTATTTCCCGTGTGCTTGGCTTCTCTGTCTGGGGATCTCCGATTTCTCCTCTGCTAAGGTCAGAGGTACTGGTGCGTAGGCGTTCCCTGGCCAGCCAGTCTGAGATGGAAAGGTCCTGGGCTGAGCATTTTGGTTTTAATCGATTTACAGCTGAAAGTTCAGATTCTCTCTCCCCGCTCTGCTCATGCACTTTCCAAAAATTCAAAACGCTGATTTCAGTAGCATCTCTGTGCCCTCCTAGTGTATGTCTGCGCCGGATGCTTTTCCTTTTAGCAGTCTCGGCATTCACTTTGTGATTCCCTACTCCAAACATGTCATCCGCAGGGGCTCTGGGTCTCAGTTTTAACCGATCTGCTGTTTTCGTTTTCCATGTGGGTTCCTGTTTTTCGGATTCGCCTCTGGTGGGTGTCAGTAAACTCCCAGTTGACTTTCCTTTTTTCATAACATCAAACACTTTAGTTAATGAAGGTGCTTCTTTCTCATTCTTGGCATCTCCTAGACTTCCACTATCTGACTTGAATCTAGCTGATTTTTTCCTGGAAAGAGTATCACATTCGATGAGTTTATGGGAACTGAAGAGCTGTCTCCGGCTATCTAAACTTGATGTTAAACTTCCCTCGGTGCAACTTAATTCACTTCCTTCAGAATTTCTCCGGCTGCTCTTAGTCACTTCTTGCAGTTTTCCTCGGAAAAGCCTCTCTGAAGTCAAGGCTGTGGGGAACACGGGAAACTCACTCTCGCTGTCGGTTTCCACAGGCCGCCCTTTGCTGATGAGTTCGCTTCTCTCGTCATCTGCCTCGTCCCCCTTGCTCTCTGCCGCGGATTGCACCTCAGGGCTCAGTCGACTGGAGTCCAGGCTAGTCAAGTATGCAGCAGACGATGTGGTGGAATAATCTGAGGTGATGGTGCTGACGTTGGCCAAAAACTCGCTGTTTCGTTTCTGGACTGGTTGATTTCTTCATGGAAAACCTTGCCAGGGAGGCCTGGGAAGACGTGCTGAGCAAAGTGCCAGAGTCAGAGCCTGTCTCTTCAAGGTGGGAGGACTTCTGTGCCAGAAGTGACCTGGGGCTGTCTTTCAGGATGGCAAAGCGACAGCTGAGAGTTGGTGACTTGTTGTGTTCTGAGTTGTGTGGTGATGAGGGTTCTTCGGAAGGCGTGCTCTCTTTTCCTAGTGATATCTTTTCATCTTTTGTCGTGCTGGGGTCTTTCCTAGTGCTATTTTCTTTGGCAATGATGATCTTCTGTTTTCTGCCCAGTGTCTCACTTTCTTTTTTGGACTCCTCTTTAGTATCATTGTGACACTGTTCCACATTTTCTTTCTTAAAAAATACATTGTCCAGTTCATCTTCTGAGCTGCTAGGCTGTGCTTTTTCTTTTGGCTTCTTCCTCTTGCGACTAGCAGCTGCAAAGATGGAGGACACGAGCAGTTCCCTGCTATACTGATCCTTTCCAGATCCCCAAGAACCCTTAGATTTTGTTGAGTCACTAGTAGCTGAATCTGATACATCTCCTGGGGAGACTCCTGTCCTTCCAATGTTGGTGAGTAAATGATCTATGTTTGGCACTGGCTGGGAGTCTACTGTGCTTTCCTCCTGCACTGTTGTAAGAGGCTCTTCAGCACCTTCTTCTGTGAAAAACCAGTCATGGTGCTGGATGAGCGTTTCTACGATCTTGTACTGGTCAGGCATGTGGGTGACCATATGGGTCATGTTGTCTTCTGATGTTCGAACAAGGGTGGGACCAAACACTATTGCTAGGTTTCCTGGTTCCATCTTATTTTTTTCTGAATTTTCTGCCACTGTCTTCAGATGAGCTGAAAGGAACTTAAGTGTTTCATAATGATGTTCAGGCAAATCGTGAATTAGTCTTTTTAATGTTTTCAGACGATCTAGAGGCTCCTCTTTACGATTGGCTTCAATAAAATCAGCATATTTATCATTTGTGAAGAGAGACTCAGGGAGTTTTCTGGAGAAGCATTTTAGTAAACTGCTTATCACATTCAAATCTCACCATTTATCATCTTGTATATCAATATCAGCCATTCCCTTGTTGAGTTCTTCTTGCATACTTGAGATGGCTGCATTATTTCCAGGAACTCTATAAATACGTGTATATTCAAGACCTCTTTCTTCAACTAATTTGCAACATATGTCAACTATTAATGGAATATACCGATTAGTATGAGCTGGTGGGCAGTCATCTAGTCGGACGCCGAAAGTTCCTGTAGCAGTTGGCTTTCTCTCAAATGTCTTTCTCATGATACTTGGAATGCCTTTTCTCCATGTGCTTTCGTCTTTTGGGGGACTGGTATCATCTTTACTGAGAAGTTTCCTTTCTGACTCTTCCTTCGGAGAGTGTGGGCTTTGAGTCTTTGGCTCTGATTTAGCACCAGGCAAAGTTTGCCTGATGCTGAGACTCTGACGAGGTGTTTTTGGCAACTGTTCTGCTTTGCTCATCAGATTGTTGTATTCTTTTATTGTTCGACTAATTAGATCCCTGTTAGTGACTCCAGTGTCCTCTTCGTTTAGGTTGCTGCTCTCCTGGATCGTCTTGATCCAAGCTAACATATCATCTCTGTCTTCAGCCTGAAACAGGCATTCACAGTCGGACGTGGTGAGTCGAAACACATTTTTCCTCTTGGTCTCACTGTAAGAGATGTCTATCAAGCAAGCATTAACACTGATGGGCTGCTCTTCCTCAGACGGAGTCGTCTGCTCTCTTTTATCTTTGTACAGGTAAAGTGAATGACCCCGAAGGACAACGTACATCTGTTTCCATGGCCAAATACTTCCACCAACTCACTTGCCGTTATCGGTGACAAGGGATCGGAAATGGAGCCACCCTTCCTTGGCAGCATCACTGAAGGCCTCTGAGGAAGAATCTTTTCTGGACCCAGAGTCTTCTGATGACTTTTGGCTGTCTGCGACCTTGATTCCCTTCAGACTAGATACATGCTTAAAGGACAATTTTACATCTTCTCTGTAATCATCCAGACCCTCATCATATGATTTTGATCTTTCTGTCTTTGAGTTGGGCTGAGCATTCAGGCTATGAGGGCCAACAGATTCGTGGTCATGTGAGAGCTGACGGCAAATTAATGGAACTGAAGTTGTGAGGCTAGGAGGAACTGTTGCTATGCAGGGGACCTGAGAGGTAGAGGCTGATATAACAGCAGAAGCAGGGATATGTGCAATATCATGATCAATGCTAGGGCTAGTTGGTTCATCTATAAATGGGACGGAAGCCAAAGAATCGCCAGGCGGACTGGTACTCAAGGCTTTTCTTTCCTCCATTCTTTTTATGTGGACCTCTCGACGTGCATCATGGGCAGCCAGCAGGTAGTGTCTGACCTGGTCTCCTGGTCATTTACTGCCAAGATGTAAGACTGATGCCTTAAAGGCTGCGGTGTCTGGTGTCCAGATGGAGGTTTTTCCCTTAGGATGACAGCTTCTTTATTATCTAAAGTATCTGATTGCTCAATTTCAGCCTCTTGTAAACTTAAATCTTGATTCCTTTGACTGACAGGTAGTTCTAAATCTGAAGTACCAGCGTTTTCACTCGACTGAGGGGCAGGCTTGGCAGAGGCTCCAGATAGAGGGGGATTTCCCAGTCTCCACTTGCTGATCGGAGGCACTGTCAGTCCTTACCCATGTCTGCTGATTCAACAGACTGTTCTGATGCAAGTGATTTACTGGTCTTTGGTCTTTGATAGAAACAAATGATTTCTGGTTAAATGATGGTTTTGTGACATGCGTGGAAGGAGCTTTCAGAGAATTACTTCGGACTTTCACAAGAGGTGACCTGTCTTGTGAAATACCCCGAGGCAGTGACATTCCACAAGCAGTCTGAAAATTTCTGTTTGACTGCAGTGTTTTTAGATCTGGTGGAATTTTTTTAAACTGCGACACAGATCCCACTCCTCTACCACTCATTCGCCTGTTATCAGAATTAACAACACTTGGAGCCACAGTAAAATTGGAACCTCGAAAAGATTTATGAATTTCTTGCTGCCTAGGTCTTTCATAAATACCTCGTCTATCATCCTGTTCAGTAAACCCACTCCACTTGTAAGTCTGTTTTTTCTCTCCGTTGGAATCAGGTATTGGAGTTCCAGAATTGACATTTTCTAAGGTTTCATCCTGTCCCTCAATATAATCCCATGAACGAGTTCTATGATTACTAAAACTAACAGATGGAGACGTCAGTGCTCCTTGAGATGCACTTCTTGGACAATACTTCATTAGCACAGAATCTTCCAGTCTTTCTTGGGACACACTGCGTTGCCGTATCTGGACAGACTGGGGCACTCGATCATGAGAGGTGCTTCGACGTCGTCCCTGCAAAGTAGTGCGGTTAGGGACGACCTGGTTATAATCCATCGTGCTTTGAGATGCTGCTCTTAAACTATCTAATCTTTCTTGTATTGTCCGACAACCTATGTGCAATCGTCTGTTATCAATATACTCTTTGTAAGTTTTATAGTTTTTCCAGTCTATGTGCTGATGGGAATTTGGCAAATAGTGATTAACAGATACAGAGGGAGCCTCCACAGCTTGAGATCTGCTGCTTGAGATTCCATCAGAATGTCCACTGTAATTTCCAGATTTAAGTAAAATTCCAGAAGGTTCCAATGATCTGGAGCCTGCGGGCTGATGAATTAGATGAGTGGTGGGAATTGATAATGGTGGTGATGTGGTTCTTGACACTGTTTTTAAAGAGGTCTGCTCATTCACGCCATACCTCACTTCTTCAATTCTATGTGAAGGACCTGTATGGTTGTTTCTGTTGGATAACAAATCTACAACCTTCTCAGAAGGCACAATGACAGTCCTTACACTTTCATTGCAAACACACACTGCTGTGTTTGATTTTGCAACATCTGTTGGTGATGGAGGCACTTGTATTTCCATTCTATAGGCCCTACCAGGTTGTGTCAGTACTGGTGTACTGGTTTGCTGTTTGCTCAGTGATGAGTCAGGAGGAGCTATTTCAACTGGCTGTGCCATGGCTGATGGGGCAGATGGCAGCCAGGGATAGCAGATTGGTGGAGGTTCAGGTATATTGCGGGCATTGCCGCTATAAGCTTCGTTGCCTTTCAGGTAGGCATCTTGAGAATATGCCACTTGGAGAATGTCTTCATATTGTGGCATAACACTAAGTTCCAATGTTGTATCACTGTTTTGAATTAAAGAAATTACTTGGGAATAGGTTTTGCCAATAACACTTTCTCCATTGACTTTTATAATTTGGTCACCTGTACATAATCCAGCTTCAAAAGCAGGTCCTCCTTCTTTAACTTGCTTAACAAAATGGTATCCATTGGGTCCAAGCGGTTTCTTTGTTTTCCTTGAGGTGTTTCCTGTTTCCAAAGTAATGGCTGAGAGACTGACCAGCTGCACAGAGCTTCCATCAATCTCAAAAGTCTCCTCTGTTTCCATTTTCTTCATCCTTATATGAAAATTGAATTGCAGACTCTGGGGGATAAACAATAAAATGTCTTAATGTAAAACCAAAGTCTTGAGATGTTCTTTTCAACGTAACTGTTTTGGGACCTGGCCAGGAGAATGTTTCATCTTTGGACAGTGATACAGTTTCACTTTGTTCTTTTCCATCTTTATTTTTTTAGACTTCGCAGGCCTTGAACTTGTCACCATCTCCCTCAGGCAGACCAGTCCAACGCGTGGCCATCATTTTATTTCAAATGACAAAGAAGGGACAAATCCTTTGGAGTCCACATTGGAGGTCGGGGGGAATGCCACCACACACCCAAAGGGGAAGAATTCCACAAGCAGGCTCCGAGGAGGGGCAGGGCTGGTGAAACAGACAACGTACCAGGGAATAAATGTTTTCAGGAAGCGCCTTCAAATGCCTCGCTGATTTCTCGTGACTTCAACTGACTTCGCCTTCTTCTTCCATTTCTGGAGACTTCAAAACAAAGGCGACAGGTCTTCTTGGCAGCCAGTGTCGAGGCCAATTGCAGAAAGCGGTCCCCTTCTTCCCAGTGCCACTCCTGAGTCCTGGAAAAATCCGAATGGGTCGTGAAGGTTCGAGTGTCAGCTCCTAGAGAGATCCCTTCCCGCCCGCTCGGGCCTGGCAGCCAAAGTGCAGTGGCGAGCTGAAGCAGGGACGCTGGCCGGGCGCCGGGCCCGGCCGGGACGCTCTAGGCCGCAGTGTATTAGGTATTAAAAGTAATCTAGACATGATTTAAAGTATTTGGGAGGATATGCATAGGTTATATGCAAATACGATGCCATTTTATATAAGGGACTTTAGCATCTGCAGATTTTATCTGTAGAAGTCCTGGAACCAATCTCCCATGGATACCAAGGAATGATTATACATATATATGTATTATATATGTGTGTGTATATATACATATATGTGTATTATATATTATATATAATACATATATGTACATATACACATGTATATTATATGTATATGTACATATATGTATACATATATAATATATAATACATATATGTATATATGTTCACACAGTATACTGATATAGATGTATATGTATGTATGTGTATTTTTATTATACAATATGATTTCTATGATAAGCTCTTAAGTGTCAAAATTGAGCTTTAGCTGAACCTTTAAGTTTCACTCTCTTAATATGAAATAAATTTGAATCCTTTACAGAAAACCTAGAGATAAATACCAGTTTTTAAAAAGTCATGCTTGTTATTATGCATGTGTGCATCCCTTCATTATGCAAACATTTATTGACTCCAGAAGTAGAATAAATGCTGCGATACAAAAATAAGACAGACAATATCTGTGTCCAGAAAGATAATGGGAGCACAGCAGGAGCTGATGGTAGAGTTGGGTGTAGAGTCCAGACATGAAGGACTGTGTATATCATGCTAAGGAGATGGTTCTTTTCCTGTCACCAATGGGGAATTTTTAAAGCCTTTGAAGCAGGATAGACACAAGATCTTGTCTCTATTTGTACTTTAAAATGTTCTAATTCTTTGAGAAAAATGGAATAGTGGAGATATAAACCAGTAGATTATTGCTAAAGGCCAGGAGGGAGGTAGTGAGAGCTTAAACTATGGCAGTGGATAAGGGATGGAGAGGAAAGGATAGATTAAGTAAATAAGTAAAATAAACAGAATGGTCACTGTAAGTGAAGAAGATGGAAAAGGGAAATGCCTAGGGCAGTTACTGGTTTCTAGCTGGGCATTGTGGGAGTGACATTTATGGGAAAAGGGAACACAGAAGACCAAAATGAAATAAGAATTCATATGTAAAAGTAACTACCTCACATAAGTAGTTATGTGTGAAAGTAGAAATACTGTCACTTATCATCATTATTTAAAAGTCAAGGTCCTGAAAATAACACTTTAAACTACACTTAATTTGACTGTAAGAGAGTGTATAATGTTTCTTTAGTCAGGCTATGTGTTTTGCCTTTCTATTCTTGGACACAAATATATTGTTGAAGTCAGAAGTTGAGGCTGAAAAATGGCTTGAGTCTAACTCTTCTGAATTTCAGCGTGCTATGCTGCTGTCTATGCTGGTTACTATCAATATGGTGACCACTGGGTCTGGTAATGCACCAAACTACTGAAAGTGCAACTGGTTAGTTAGAAGTAATAGAATTCCTCACTGCCCCCCGCTCCACCCACCCACACACAAACTTAATGATTTAAAGCTTTGCCAGTCAACCATTTTGCAAATGTAGGTTATACAAAAAATCCAAGTTGAATAAGTGTATGAATGGCCAATACAAAAAAAGATAGTAATGGCTAAAATGTATTGAGCCCCTACTATATGCCAGGTGCTATTCTAAATATTCTCAATTAACCTTCACAAGTCATGGAGTTAGTGACTACTATACTCCTCATTTTGAAGATGGGGAAACTGAATCACAAGCTTACCCAAGGCCATCTGCAAGTAGGTTCAAGCTAGTATAATATAATACCAGATCCTGAACTCTTAACCGTTATACTAAAATGTAGTGAATAATGACCTCCTAATAAAGAGTAAAAAGGGGTTGAAGTCCCCAGCTGTTATTGTTTTGGGGTCTATCTCTCTCTTTAGATCTGATAATATTTGCTTTATGTATCTAGGTGCTCTGATGTTGGGTGCATATATATTTACAATTGTTATATTCTCTTGCTGAATTTATCCCTTTATCATCTTTTAAACTTCATTGTCTCTTTTTAGAGTTTTTGACTTAAAATTATTTTATCTGAAATAAGCATAGCTACTCCTGCTTGTTTTTGGTTTCTGTTTGCATAGACTATCCTTTTCCATCTCTTTCACATTCGGTTTATATGTGTCTTTGCAGATGAAGTGAATTTCTTGTAGGCAGCACACAGTTGAGTCATTTTATATCTTTAAGGTGGGGAATGTAATTAATTTACATTCAAGGTTGTTATTGATAGGTGAAGATTCATGTCACTATATTAATTGTTTTCCAGTTGTCTTGCATATCCTTTGTTCCTTTCTTCCTTGTTTATCATTGTGGTTTAGTGGTTTTCTGTAGTGATAGGGTTTCATTATTTTCTCTTTGTATATCTGCTCTACCACTGAGTTTTATACTTTTGCGTGGTTTCATGATAGCCATCTTTTCACTTTAAGATGTAGGACTCGCTTAAGGATTTTTGCAAGACTAGGATAGTGGTGATAAATTCCCTCAGTTTTTGCTTGTCTGGAAAAGGCTTTATTTCTCTCGTGTCTGAAAGGTAGCTTTGCTGAGTATAGTGTTCTTGACTGGCAGGTTTTTCTCCTTTCAGCACTTCAAATAATTCATCAAATAATTCATTTTCTTCTAGTCTGTAAGGGTACTGCAAAGAAATATGCGTTAGTCTAATGGGGATTCCTTTATGTGTGACTTAATGCTTTTATCTTGATGTTTTTAGAATTCTCTTTGTCTTTGACTTTTGATAGTTTGACTATAAAGTGCCACAGGGAGTAGATTTTTAGACTGAATCTTTTTGGAGACCTTTGAACTCCTAGATCTCCTAGATCTGGATATCCATATCTCTCCCCAGCTTGGAACAATTTTAGCTATTATTTTATTAAATAGGTTTTTCTACACCATTTTCCTTCTCTTTTCCATCTGGAACTCCCATAAATGAGAACATTTGTTCACTTAATGGGGGGTCCTATAAGTCTTGTAGCCTTTCTTTATTCTCTTTCATTCTTATTTCCTTTATTTTTTCTGGCTGGGTAATTTCAGATAACCTATCTTCAAGTTCAGAGATCTTTTTTTTTTTTTTTTTTTTTGAGACAGAATCTTGCTCTGTTGCCCAGGCTGGAGTGCAGTAGCACGATCTCGGCTCACTGCAACCTCTGCCTCCTGAGTTCAAGCGATTCTCCTGCCTCAGCCCCCCGAGCAGTTGGGACTACAGGCACATGCCACATGCCCACCTAATTTTTGTATTTTTAGTAGAGACAGGGTTTCACTATATTGGCCAGGATGGTCTTGAACTCCTGACCTCGTGATCCATCCACCTCAGCCTCCCAAAGTGCTGGGGTTACAGGCATAAGCCACTGCTCCAGGCCTAAGTTCAGAGATTCTTTTATTGGCTTGATCAAGGCTGCTGTTGAAGCTCTCTATTATTTCTTCAATTCATAGAAATCATTAGCTGCAGTATTTCTCTTGGCTTTTTCAATGATTTTTATCTCTTTGTTGAATTTATCATTTGTATCATAAATTTTTTTCTGATTTTGTTGAATTGCCTGTCTATATTTTCTTGTATCTCATTGAGTTTTCTTAAGATCACTATTTTGAATTTCTTTTCCAGCAGTTTGTTGATTTCACTTTCATTGGGTCTGTAACCAGATAGTTATTATATTTCTTTGGTGGTATCAGATTTTTCTTGCTTTTTAATGTTGTGTGTGTGTGCTCCTATGTTGATGTCTGTGCATCTGGTGGAAAAATCACCTCTTCCAAAACTTCTAGAGTGGATCTTGTAGAGAAAAACTTTCATCTGCAGTTGGGTTTTGGTGTGCCAGTTTGGAAGGATGTAGTGATTCTATTTTCAGACAGGTACAGTGCAGTCAAGAACACTATACCCAGCAAAGCTGCCCTTCAATAGCTTCTGCAGCTGTTCAAAGTCAACAATAACTGTGAGCACCTCAGTAGCATAAGCTGTAGAAGTTTGTGGGATGGCAGTGGCAGTGTAGGTTGTTAATAGCTCCTCAGTGTCAAGGGCTTTTGAAGTCCTCCTTGTTTTCTCTACAATGAAGAGACTTAGAGGAGGGAATCCTTCTTGATATCAAGTGTGACATGGCTTACTATTAATAGCAGCTGCAGTGGCATTGGATTCCAGGTGCAGGTGCTTGAGGCAGCTGTGGGGCCAGGATCCTAGGTTCAGAGTCTCACAAACCTATAGTGATACCTGGGTCTTGGGGTGCAGATTCATTCTCTGTAGCAGGGTTGGAAGACCAGGTAGCCTACAGGACCAGAATCTATGACTCTGAGGCACAACCTAGCACTGCTCACGGAACTGGATTGTAGCTACAATTCCTATCTTTTGGGGGCAGGGCACAGCACTGGCCCACCTCCAGGGAAGAAGGGGTGCTGTGGATGTTTGGGCCTTTGGAGCAGGGTATGGCTGCAATTTGGGTGTCTGACCCAATAAGGCTCAGTGTGTCAACTTGGGTCCCAGGGGATGAGGCACCATATAGTGACTCTAGACTCTGGAATGGTGGGGCTCAGCAGTATCCTGACTCTATGAGGCTACATGCAGTGGCAGCAGGTACCCTAAAATGGGGGAGCACAGCTATCATTTGGGCCCTGGGGTATAGGGAAGAAATAGCACAGCAATGATTCTTCTTTCCAAGGAGAACAGTGTTTCAGCAGCTCAGACACTAGAGAACTAATTATGCTCCAGGGAAGCAGGGTCCTAGAGTTTGGGCAAGGTTTCTGAGTTCACTCATTGCTCTGTTTCCCTGGCATGTGGTGTGTGCTATGTCACCTCAGCCCTGAGATGTGCAGCTGCTAACAAACAGCTTGGCAAGGCACCACTTCCCCAGGGGGCAACGTGCTGTTTCAGATCAGGCCCAGGTGGTGTGACTGTTTTGGGCAGCCCAAGCACCACTTCCCTGAGATGCATGGCACTGCTTTAGCTTAGATACTGGAGTGTGTGACTGCTGTGGGTGGCCAAGACACTGTTTCTTGGGATGCAAGGAGCTGCAACAACTTAGGCACTGGGGAGGTGGGGCTCCTTTGAGTGGCCAAGGTACTGCTTTCCCAGGAGAAGGAGTTCCGCTTTGGCTACAGCTCAAGGAGGAGGAAGGAGCAGGTGGAGCAGCTCCACATCTGCTTGGTCTCACAGGAAAAAGTGTAACAGCTGCTCACAGCTTGACATGGGGATGTCAGGCCACCGGCCTAGGGTGGTTCGGTGGTAGCTTAGTCTCAGGGGTGAGAAGAAGCCATGGCTATTTGTCTTTGGAGAAAGACACACTTCTGTAGTAGTTCCAGTTCCAAGATGGCACAGCACAGGAGCCACTGGCCACAGTGGGCAGGGACAGGGTTAGCTCCTTCTCTGGAGACAGCGTAAGTATATAGACCCCAGGAAGCTCCCTCAGCTGGACTTAGTGCCGGTGAGGACTGTAGGGGACCAAGGTCTGTAGGTGTCCAAGGTGTTGATGGGTGTTCCTGGGATCATCTTCATCTCTAACTGATGAAGATGAGTCAAGTCCTGGTGAAATACTATGAAGTATTTGTCTGTAACTTTTGTGTTACGTTTAGTCCTCTTCACTGTCAAACTCTCCCTTTTCCCTCAGCTTCCTTAACTCTTCCTCATTTTCTAAGGCTCTCTCTCAATTCAATCAAAGATCTGAGATCATCATTTACATTTTAAAACTCATTTATATTAGCATATTAATTCTCCTAGATTTAATCCCTTTTTATATTTCAACAAACGATTTATTAATGTTACGTTACAATGAGTGACAAAATATTTGTATCTAATTCTAGACATTGAGAGTTAGATTCTAGAATGAATCGTTGGAATAGAAGAAAAATAACGATTTTGTTTTCTCATAATTGTAAAACTGTCGTCTTAGTCTAGGCACAGCTAGTGCAACATTTTCTTCAATCTCACGGGCTCCATTCCCTTTACTACTTGTAATACACTTGGGTCACTCACAGGAGAAAGACACTGTCAACATCAGTAGTTAGCAACATTTTCAAAATGCATTTTGTTGTCTTAAAAGTTATGCTGTTATTTCAGTAATCTCATACAGTCTTATTTACTTCTGTGCATAAGATATGAGTTCTCAACATTCATGTAGGTGAATATTTCCCATGTTTTTTGAGGATTCCCAAAAGACTTCAGGAAGTTCCCAAAATAATTTCAAGTGTTTAATTTTTTCACAATAAAAGAAAGGAGCAATGTCAATCCGTGAGAGTCAGACCAGCAGCTTAAGAAAGACCCTCTTCATAGCGCAGTTTCTGGTGCATGAAGAGACTAAATTAGCCTTCTTGCTCTCAGTTCTTAGAAGAATTTGAGAGGAATAAGAGCAATAACTACCTGTATCATTTCATAGCCTAAGAACAGAGAAAATAGATGTCAAAAAGATAGATGTTAAAAAAACAGAAGCCAATTCCTTTCATCCTAGGATGTCTGAAAAGGAGAGATTCTATGGAGCATGGGTGCAGAAAAGAAGGAGTTATGCCTATGAGAAAAAATAAACTCTGGGCACAATCACTCAAGGCCAGAGAAACAACCACTAAGAGCAATTAGCATCAGTTTCATTGTCACCAGGAGGGCACATACCTGAGAACCTGGGACAAAGCCTGGGACAGAGCCTTTAGCATTCTTAGGCTTACTGGTGCTGTGGTTCAACAGTCTTTGACGGAATGGAGAGAACCAGAGACCACCACCATTATGTGTAAAAAGGATACTATTGCAACAACAAGGCTGCAAAAATCAGCTACAGTTTAGGTTGTACACCATTTGAAATCCACCCTGTACTCATTTGAATCCACTTGCTTTCTTGTGAAGGGCTTGAGAAGTGCAGAGACACCTTAAACATGTGAAGGTGACTCTTTTGAAAGGCAGAAGAGGAACTCTTCATGAACTCTTTCTACTCATTAGTTTTCCTATCACTTCACCATTAAAACTAGAAAAGAAGCTGCAAGCTATCTCAGCTAGCTTCTTATTTGGACACAATACCAATACTATAGACACAACTGAATGAATGACCAAATCTTCCTGATTCTTCCATTGCACAGGGTCAATATGTGTCTTCGACTAAATAGCTGTGATCTTGTTCAAAAAAAGCATGTAAACACAGGGCTTGATTTTGTTAGCCTCTATCCCAGAAAATTCGTCGATCACTCCTTGGCTTTTGTATAATTCAGTGACTGGCTTTGCCACATCTTTGTACTGTCTTAGCCTTGCAGCAACTGCTTTGGGTTTATCATCCTCATGCTGGGCTAATGGTTCACCAGCGATGTCATCAATTCCACATATACGAGGTGGATTAAATTCCAGGTTATATACCCTTCCGCTAGGAGAGGATCTTTAAGTGTTTCAAATGGAATGTTTAACGTGATCACTAGATTCACTTCACAGATTTTGTCCAGGACATCAGCTTGCCCTGATGTCCTAGGAAAGCCATCTAGGAGGCAGTGCTGCCACATCTATTCTCCAACTCCAACATCATTAGGCATGTGATCACAGGTCTGGAACCAAAAGACCTTTCTCTATGTACTGCTTGGCCATGTCACCAACTCTGGTGTTGGCCTTGATGTTCTCCCGCAAGCAGTGGCTACTAGAGAAATGTTGGAGGCCTAAGTTCTGGGCAATCCTCTCGCACAAGGTGCCCTTGCCCTAGGCAAGCAGCAAGAGGATGACTGCACAGGAGTCTGGAAGCCATTGCCTTTGCTAGGAGGGGGTGGCCAAATGCACAGCCCAGATAGCAGTCCCAGAGGGAGCCCCAGAGAGTTTTGTTTCTTGGCTTCTACCTCTGGCACCTTCTGCTCACACTGGGACTTGCCAGCCTTCCGCCCTTTGGCAGGAGGCAGAACTCCAGGAGGCCACCAACAGACCCTGCAGGGTGACCTTTTATTTTCAATTCTTAAAGAGATTTCAGAAAATTAGGGCAGGTATGGTAGGTAATTTTGTAAGAGTAGAGATGCCTTTTTCTTAGGCATAAAATCACACTGTAGGAGCACCTGATACTCCAAGGATTCAAACCAAATCCTCTTTCTCCTCACAATAATGTAAGCAACAAGGCAAAATTAAATAGGCAGAGATTAATTTACTCTTGAAGGAGAAGAATAAAAGAGTCTCTTGCCTGACCCAGGCATATGTATACACACACACACACACACACACACACACACACACACATATATGTTTCTATTGCTGAGTGCCTTTAAAACCTTAGTTATCGCCAACCCTCCGATTCTCAGAACTAGTAGTACGCAGGAGAAGGCAAGAACTGAGGACAAATGTCCCAAAATCCCAAAAAGAGTATGACCAAAGAGACTGACAAGATAGAAATGCAGAAATAAATTCAGGGGAGCCTAAACTAAGAAGAAGGTGGGGAAAGTGTCAAAAGCTTGTGAATCCTAGCTACTGGAGTACAGGCTGTTTGGCATTTAAAATAGGTGTTTGTGATGGATAATGATAAATATGGGGTATTAGAAAAACATTATTAATGTTTATTTGAGATATTGAAAATTAGTAAAATTAAATGAGCAAGATTGTAAATAAGGTTGAGCATATAAAGGAATTCTAATTACCTTTAGGGTTAGTCTATTTACCCTAACCTTAACCCTAACTGTTTTTGCGAGCTGCTTACAAAATCAGAAAATCATTTATGTGAGCTGCTTACAAAATTATTTATGTAAGCTGCTTACAGTTTTAGAAATAATGGTATATGGCTATGCGGCATAATAATGCTTGCATGTATCAAGTTAACCTGTGTTTTTTGTGTGTGATTTCAAGAGGAAATCCTATTTGTGCATGCTCTATGTAATTTATTATTCATGTAACATGGCTCTTTACTCACCAAATGAAGAAGCATAGCAGAAATTCCTCAGAACTTATTTAAACACAGAAGTAATATATCTGTAATGCTGGGCATTGTTCTGAACATTATATAAGTATTAGCTGATTTAGTCCTTACAACAACAATCTTCTGTTGTACTATTAATCCCATTTTATACCTAAGAAAATGAGGCATAAAGAGGTTAAATTACATAGACAAAGCAAAACAATGAGTTAATGGTGGTGAAAAGAGTATTTGAACCCAGGCAGCTTGTCTTTGGTATCTTTGCACTGCTGTAAGGTTGAAGTGTCTCTGGATTGAACGAAGTATCTGGTTCCTTTGTCCTCAATGAGGTAGAATCAGCAATTGGAGGTAGGAAATGGGTTGCTCTAGAACTGAACATCAGCTGAACATCAGGGTGGCTCAACAGAAAGAAAGGAGACAAAAGTAATGTAATAAAAGCCAACAGATTTCAAAACAATCAAAGTATTCTAGAATCAATTTTTGTACATTTCTCTTCTGTAGAAAGAGTTAATTACTACTGGGAAATTTTGGGTGTTATTTAATAGTTACAAAGCTGTTTCTAAGAGAAAAGGCTTGAAATCCCATTAGGTAAGTCAATCCAAGTTATTCTTTAGCTGTCTTTAGTCCAAAAACACTTTATCACAAAATAAAACAGTAATAACCATGCATACTAGTGACCCTGAGTCAACAAGAACCTTCCCCCACACACATATAAACAAACACACACACGAATATGTACACATTTATACAAGTTAAGACATGAAAGAAGTATGTGATCCACTTTAAACTATTTCCGTTAATATCAAGTCAAAGAAATTGATGTTTTGATGCATCTTTGGGTAAACATAATGAATGTGAAATTCCTGATTCCTTCTATGTGACCCTCTGAACTGAATGTTTATAAAGCATAATATAAAATATTTTAGTCTAATAAATTCACCTGCACCAATCTATTCAACTTCAAAAACTATTGTCTACTATTCTTTCATCATCTGTACCTCTATCCCCACTCTACCCCTCCTTGATTATTATTATTTATAGTTTTTCTTATATACATTGTATATATACATTGAATGAAATATATACACATACACACACACACACACACTGATAGAAATGTGCAAATCTTAGCAGCACAGTTTTGACTAATGCATATACACACGAAACCCACATACTTTTTTTTTTTTTTGAAACAGGGTCTCACTCTGTCGTCCAGGCTAGAGTGCAGTGGCGTGGTCTCGGCTCACTGCAGCCTCTGCCTCCTGGGTTCAAGGGATTCTCGTGCCTCAGCCTTCTAAGTAGCTGAGACTACAGGCATGCACCACCACACCCGGCTAAGTTTTGTTTTTTTAGTAGAGACAGGGTTTCACCATGTTGCCCAGGCTGGTTTTGAACTCCTGACCTCAAGTGTTCCGCCTGCCTAGGCCTCCCAAAGTGCTGGGATTACAGGCCTGAGCCACCATGCCCAGCCCCACATACTTATTATAATATAGAAGATTTCACCAGAAAGTTCCTTTGTGTTATTTCCTCCATCTCTTGTGGTAGTCAGCCTCTAAGATGGCCTGCAATGATTACCACCTGTTAATATTATGGCCCTGTGTAATGTCTTTCCACATTAAATAATGTTGACCAGGGTAACAATAAGATACTGTGGAAATGATGGACTTTCTCTTTTGTGATTGGTTTATAAAGACATTGCAGATTTCTGGTTTTTTTTTTTTTTTTTTTTTCTCCGTTGCCCAGGCTGGGGTGCAGTGGCATGATCTTGGCTCACTGCAACCTCCAACTCCCAGGTTCAAGCTATTCTCCTGCCTCAGCCTATGGAGTAGCTGGGATTACAGGCATGTGCAACCACACCCGGCTAATTTTTGTATTTGTGGTAGAGACAGGGTTTCGCCATGTTGACCGGGCTGGTCTCGAACTCCTTACCTCAGGTGATCCACCTGCCTCAGCCTCCCAAAGTGCTGGGATTACAGGCACAAGCCACTGTGCCTGGCCACCATTGCAAATTTCTCTAGGGGAAGCCAGCTGCCAAATTGTGAGGGCACTCAAGTAGCTTTATGGAAAGACCCATGTGGCAAGAAACTGAGGCCTGCTGTCAACAGTTAGCAGGGAACCAAGACCTTTTGCCAACAGCCATCTTGGAAGTGAATAAACCAGCCCAAATCAAGTCAAACCTTGAGATGAGTGCAGCCCTGGCCAATATACTGACCTTAGTCTGAGAGATCCTGAACCAGAACCATTGGGCTATACCAGTCCAAAATTTCTAACCCACAGAAATTATTTGATAATAAATTCTTGTTATTTCAAGCTGTTAAATTTGGCGTGTTTGTTATGTAACAACAGATACTACTAAATCCCTGCTATCTCTGCTCTGATTTTTTCCTTATGATTAAATTTGCCTACTTTTGAATGTCATATAAATAGAATCATACTATGTTTTATTAAAAATAAAATTATGTAATTTAATTCTATTCTTAATAGTTTGAGCTTTTCCCTGAAATTTTTCTAATGAAATTTTTTGCTCACTGAATTGCAAAAGAGCAGCAACCAATGGAAAAGCACCTCTTAATTGCCCAGCAATTTCTTATTTGAGTGTGCATATATGTACACTCAAATGTGTATGTGTTTAATTATTTAGACTTTTAAACATATTTTCTTTTTCTTTAAGAGAAACAATTTATTTAAATCTGTAGGAATGACTCTTTTGAGATGTCTCACATAACCTGGTTTCCATGAGGACCTATCTCAGGGCCTTGAACCTAGCAGGTGTTCAGTAAATATACAGTAAATAAATACGTAACTAAATCAATCAGTTATTGCCATCAATTCTGATTGCCTGAGTGAAAGAGGTTCAGACTGTGTGATCCTTCCTACTTGATCTGCATTTTGTCACTCACACTTCCTAAACTTTCACCTATGTTACAAATCCTACAGGTAGGTGTCCAACAGGGCCAGCCTGAGCCTTCTGTAGCAATGAAAAGCAGCTAGGACCGTGTCTTGCATCATTGTGGACTTAAAGCACATACCCTACTTAACACCTGCAGGCTTTGGCTGGTAATTCTGTCCCCAGGAATGTCAAGACTAAGTCACAAAGATGTACAGAAGACAATGCCTCTTTTCTGAATACAATCTCTCTTTTACCAACCTCTCTGAATAATACTGTTACTCGTTTAGGAAAGAATATGTGATGTGTAATTCCAAACATAGAAAAATGTAGATGCATTTTATCTACAGCCAGTATACTGTGTGAAGACTATTCTATAATGAAAATTTTGAAAGAAGACTCTAGTCTGTTGCTTAGATGGTATGGAATTATAGAATCTGGCATTAGCGATGATAACTTCTTGGTAGTCCTTGGGCCATCTTTTCTCACACATTTGGGAGACTAGGTCAAATAGAAATGTTTATATTCAGTTACAGATGAATCATGAATTCAAAACATTGGGAAGATGGGCTTCCATAGTCATTCTTAGAAAGCCAAGTTCACCTTGTTCTCTTGTGCTGATTTTAAAAAATCTTTTTTTTTTAATGTTGTGTGTGTGTCTGTGTGTGTGTGTGTGTGTGTGTGTGTGTGTGTAGAGAGAGAGAGACAATATTTTGCTATGTTGCCCAGGCTAATCTTGAACTCCAGGCCTCAAGTGATCCTTTCAGCCTCTAAAGTGCTTGGATTACAGGTATGAGCCACCACACCCAGCCCTATATCTTTTCAAAAATATGTTTATCTTTCTTTTATTAAACAAAATTTAGGCTTGTAATCTCAGCACTTTTGCAGGCCGAGGCCAGAGGATTGCTTGAGGTCAGGAGTTCGAGAACAGCCTGGGTGACATGGCGAAACCCGGTCTCTACCACAAATACAAAAATTAGCCAGGCGCAGTGGTGCATGCCTGTAATCCCAGCTACTGGGCAGGCTGAGACATGAGAATTGCTTGAACCCAGAAGGCGGAGATTGCAGTGGGCCAAGATTGTTCCACAGCACTCCAGCCTGGGCAGCAAAGTGAGACTGTCTCAGAAAAAAAAAATTATATAGCTAAAAGTGGTTCATACTCACTGAAGCCGTCGCTAGGAGAGTGGAATGCCGAAAGCAGATAACCAAGATGTAAATTCTTAAGACTCCAAATATGATGGGACATGCCAAAAAGACAAAAGAGCCAACTTGAAGGGGTTCCCATTGACTAAATCTGGGACAATTGGAACAAAAAAAAATAATGATGATAGTTATAATCCATGAATAAAATAAGAATCCATGCTGATATAAATAAATCGTTGAACAAATATATAAATGAAGGATTATGAAAAGCCATGTTTTAAAGTAGAATTCTTAGTAACATGCACAGATTGATGGAAATAGAAAAATCATTATTTGGCAAACACCACAGTAATAATTGTTTTAAGATCAAGATTCATCAATGCGTGATAAAATTAGTTCCTGAAAGTATTTACATAGTGTCGAAGAATCTTCCTGCAAGACAATTAGTTACAAGGAGAAAAATAGTAACTTTACAGTAGAGAAACCAGGCAGATACCACTTTAACCAAATGATCAGTTAGTCTCAAAGCTGAAGAAACACATTGATACCATGTGTCTTCTAATAAGCCCCAAGGAAGAGGACACAAAATCATTTCTGTTGTATTCTTGCTAAAAAATGCATAACCTGAATTTAATCGTAAGCAAACATCAACAAGCCCAAGTGAGGGATATCCTACAAAACAACAGGCCTGTACTCCTCATAAATGTCAAGGTCTTGAAAAGCAAAGGTAGACACAGAAATTATCTGGATCAGTGCTTTAGAACTTTAGTATATATCATAAACACCTGGGACAGCTTGTTAAAAACACAGATTGCTGGCTGGGCGTGATGGCTCACACCTATAATCCTGGCACTTTGAGAGGCTGAGGTGGGAGGACTGCTTGAGTCCAGGAGTTCTAGACCAGCCTGGGTAACACAGCATAGTGAGACCCCATCTCTAAAAAATTTTTTTTTTTTAGTTAGCAGGGTGTGGGGATGTGAGCCTATAGTCCTAGCTACTCAGGAAGCTGAAGGTGGAGGATCCTTGAGCCCAGCAGTTTGAGACTGCAGTGAGCTAAGATCCCACTACTGCATTCCAGACTGGACAACAGTGCCAAACCCTGTCTCAAAAGACAAAACAAACAAAACACAGATTGCGAACCCCCCAAACCCCACTCAGAGTTTCTAATTAGTAGGTCTGAAAATCTGCATGTCTAACAAGTTCCTAGGTGACAACACATGCTGGTGAGCTGGGGATCCCCCTCTTTGAGAACCAGTGTTCTAGAATGTGCAAGCTATGGCCCATCAGCTACGTTCAACCTGTCAATTGTTTTTCTAAATAGAATTGTACTGGAACATAGCCACACCCGTTTATGTATACTCTATGGCTACTTTTAGCCAAGTTGAGTAGTTCTCGTAGAGACTGTCTGCCCTAAAGAACACACAAAAATATTTACTATCTGGCCCTTTATAGAACAAGTGTGCTGAACTGTGTGTTCTATAATCTAGATTAACTAAGCAACATGACAATGTATGTGTGATCCTGTCTTGAATTAGAACCTATATAAGAAAAAAGGATATTTAATGAGACAATTGTCAAAATTTGAATAAGGTCTGTAGACTAAATAATAAATTTTATCAATATTACTTTTCTGGTTTTGGTCATCATACTATGATTATATAAGAAATTAACATTTCGGCCGGGCGCGCGGTGGCTCACGCCGGTAATCCCAGCACTTTGGAAGGCCGAGGCGGGCGGATCACGAGGTCAGGAGATCGAGACCATCCTGGCTAACACGGTGAAACCCCATCTCTACTAAAAATACAAAAAATTAGCCGGGCGTGGTCGCGGGCGCCTGTAGTCCCAGCTACTACTCGGGAGGCTGAGGCAGGAGAATGGCCTGAACCCGGGAGGCGGAGCTTGCAGTGAGCCGAGATCGTGCCGCTGCACTACAGCCTGGGCGACAGCGAGACTCCGTCTCAAAAACAAAAAAAGAAAAAAGAAAAAAAAGAAATTAACATTTTTAGAACCTGGATGAAGAGTATATGGGAATTGTTTGTACAATTTTTATAATTTTGTGTAAGTATAAACTTATTCTGAAATGAACGTTTAGAAAAAAAACCTAAAACAGAAAAAAAAAACAATTTTTGTCCCTTATAAGATTATATTACATAGGTAATTGGGCTGAAACTGTGTTAACAAAGTGTATTTGAGCTATGAATGATTAGTTACCTCAATCTGAATTGCTCCCTGAATAGTGAGGAAAATTACACTAATCCCCCAGTTACAGAACAAGCTTCAATCTATGGCTAAGTAATTGATTTTGACTTTTACCCAGATGTAGGAGACATTCTCTCTGCATTTCAGAAAAAAGAAGCAGTTGACACCCAATTGACCTCTCAACCACAGCTCTTGGTCAGGAGATATTGCTTGTCAGGAGCAATATATATATATATATATATATATATATATATATATATATATATACACACACACACACACACACATACACACACACACACATATATATATGCACTATATATATACACACACACATACATATATGTGTATATGTATATATATGTGGTATGTGTGTATATCACATATATATGTATACACACACAGACATATATATATGCAGGAGGATAGAAAAGAAGTGGGTAGAATTCACATCTATTCTAAAATTAGCTCACAGAAATATGCAGGAGCAGAACTGTACCTGACTGGCTCATAGTAAACATTTTCTATTATCAATTGCTCTCATTGATACTATCATTGTGCTTGATTTTGTTGTAATGAAACTCCCAGATTGTCAGCTAGTGTCTTTGTAAGGACCAAAGAGGTACTGTTTGGGACACATATCAAGGTGTGCCTACTTCAGGCAACTGAGCAACATGGAGATTCTGGAGTGGGGAAAAATTTCAGCTTCAAGTACACCTTGTTACCCACAGACTTCTCTGTAATCCATTCTTGTGTTCTTTTCCCACTTCCTCTAGCAGACAGATGGCAAAGAGGAATTCATTCTAATTTTCTTTTTTCCTCTAGCCCAGACCTTTTAAACTTGGTGCAGATTCTTTCTGGGAAACAAACAGATCTGTGATTTGTCTGGATTAAGTAAATAGCTTCAACAATTTCTAATCTCACATAATTTAAAAATAACAAATTTCTTTTAAAAGAAGCAGGGCAATGTGCAATTTTTCCCCTTTTACATGACTTTTTGCTTTTAGTTTGCACTAGCAATTTCTTCACTGAGGTCTCAGGCCTTGTACTTAGGCCTGCCATAGGCACTGAGCTCAAGGAAAAGCTCTTTTGAGGAATAATGGAGCTCCCACTGCTCCTGCACATGCTCCCTCCTCAGGAAACTCAGAGTTCTCTTTCCTCCTGATGAGGCTTGGTGGGTGACCTGGTGCTGAGTTTCTGCCCTCTTGAAATTTTATGACCAGTGATAGAAAAGAAGTGGGTAGAATTCACATCTATTCTAAAATTAGCTCACAGAAATAAGTTGGGGAAAGCTGGTGAAGTCTCTAGACGCATATTCCACCCGCTACAACCTTATTTCTCTTAGATAGATTCCTACTAATTCCCCTTTTGCACATTTTCTTTAGTCCTTACAATATTAATACTAATGTCAGGTAGGCATCAGTATCCTCATTTTCTAGGTAAGGAAATGAAAGCTTAGGGATAAATAATTTGCCTTGGAATATATAGCTTGTAATTCTCAGCTTGTTCATATCTAGCTTATTTTTGCTTCATTTATTTATCAGAGATTGCAGGTAATATAACAGGAGCACTCTTATGCTTACTGAACAAGGTCTATAAGGAAAGCCTTTCTAATCATCCAACTCTGTTTTCAAATTCCCTTTTCCACACAGATCAAAACTTATAACAATACACACACACACACACACACACACACACACATCTTATGCAATAAATGATGCCAATACCAGCTCCTCCACACCCCAAAGATTTAGGGAAAGTCTAACTTTGAGCCTCAGCAGCCCCTTCTTCCAAATTCACACTTTCTCCCATGACAGTCTCACTCATCTAAGCTTTTCTTTAGAAGAAAAAGCATCCTGCCATGTGGCTAAGGGCAGGGGCTGTGTTTTGGTAGAGAGGAGCAGAGATAACCTTTTATCCCAAGAGTGGGTGCTTTTGTTTGGTGGGAGAGTTGGCTGGCTGACTGCTCCATGTCCACTTTGACCTGATATGGAACTTGCAAGCCTTGGAAGCTGTCAAGGGTGCCAAACAGTTGCAACTTCTTTGTTGGATCAAGGGTATATCCACATTTCACAAGGGAGTACTATATTGCATTTCAAAATAATTTTCTCAACAAACTTATTTTTTTGTCTATTAATTTTAATTTTTAAAAGTAAATGTAGGGATTGAGGATGTTGTGGTGTGATAATGGCAATGTGGTTATTTAAGAAAATATAAGTTTTTAAAGAGATGTATACTGAAATGTGTATGGATGAAATGTTGTATTAGCTTTAGCATACTCTAGCAACAATAGCAATGAAAAAACCAGACAAAGCAAGTAGGAAAAAATCTTGATAATCACTGACTCTGGTTGTTGGATAAATTGGGGTTAATTTTACTGTTGGTTCTACTTTTGTCTATATTTTTGACATTTTTCATACTAATAATTTAAAAGAAAATGTGAAAGTGTGAGCCTGTAAGAAGATGTGTAGAGAAGGCAACAGTGTCATTTCCAACTTCTACTTTTTTGAGTATGTTTATTTTATTCTTTATAATAGAAATGTGAACTTACTCTCTGAGTCTCAGTTTTATTCATCACTTGTTTTACAGTCACCTATATTTTTAGAAAGTGGTAAATGGGTCGTGAAATCCAACAAACAATGAGAAGGAGTGTAATTTCTAAAAGATTGAAACCCTTTATTTGGGTCTCTGTCCTGTTGCTTAGAGCAGAAGTTAAAGTAGTTGTTTAAGCATTAAATAAAAAGCAGATGTTTACGTAAAAAAGAACAACTAAAAACAGGTATAAGAAACACTTTGGTGTTTATTATAAGTGATATAATAATAAATAATGACATGATACATAAGAGTATACAACATTAACAAAAATTATTTTAACAGAATATTATAAATATTGATGATAATCCTGTAGGTTATTATAATTTTCAATATAAAACATATAATAAATATTGATATCCCACCGTCATGTTGATAGCTCTGTGGACAATTAAGGAAGCCGCAGTAAGCCTTGTGATCCCCAGCCTTCTTTCAGGTGATGTATTAAGTCAGATTAAGCTGGGTTATGCTGTGGTAACAAATCTCGCTTGCTTACCCAAGATCTGTGTCTTTCATGTTACAAGAGCTTGTGAAATAGACATCAAAGCAAGTATGTTTCAGGTTGCCACTGCAGAGGAGGAGAGAACTGGAGGGTCATTTGTCCCGAAGTAGGATGTATTCCTTTTACGTATTTGCCCACGGCTATTCAGTGAGCAGTAAATGTCTCTGCCACAGGTGGGTATATGACAAATGTAGCCCCACCCTAGATCTGAATCTGCTATCACTTCTGGCTGGGAAAATCCAAAAAGGCTTGGGAAAGAAGTATTGTTTTTTTTTTTTTTTTTTTTGAAACGGAGTCTTGATCTGTCACCCAGGCTGGAGTACAGCAGAATGATCTTGGCTCTGTGCAACCTCCACCTCCCGGGTTCAAGTGATTCTCTTATCTCAGCCTTCCGAGTAGTTGGGATTACAGGCGCCCGCCACCACACCTGACTAATTTTTGTATTTTTAATAGAGACGGGGTTTCACCATGTTGGTCAGGCTGGTCTCGAACTCCTGACCTCAAGTGATCTGCCCTCCTTGGCCTCCCAAAGTGCTGGGATTACAGGCGTGAGCCACCTCGCCCAGACTGGGAAAGAAGAATTGTTTCTGTGGGATCTAGATTGAACAGTCTCTAGAGAAGCAGTGCTGGGAGTGACGAGTCACACTGCAGATAAAGGAAGAGCACAGAAATAATAAAGGACTAAATGTTTTAGAGATTTATTTTGCTAAAAAGGACAGGCTCTTTAGGAAGTTCTGTGAATAAAGACTGAAAATCTTTGTTAGTTTGTAGAGAGTCACACATACCATGCTAAGGGATTTATACTATGGACAAACTTACTGAAAGTGTTTGAAACTTGAACTGATACTATGGAATAGGAAGGGATAGTCTAACCATGCCATGCTATGGATAAGGGTTCCCCAATCCTAGGAAAGTAAGGACACTTGCCCACAGCCATATAGCTAATTAGTAAAAGAACCAAGTTTAACATCCATTCTCTGATTCTAAATTCAGATTTGTCCAGCTACCCTATGATTTGGGAAGATTAATGTGGAAGTGGTGCACAGCATGGATACCATGGTGGGGAGGCCAGAAATGGGGGGCCCAATTTAGAGGATATCCTTTTTTCTAAATGAAGGAGGAAAGACTCTGAATTAGATCAGTTATTAGAAGAAACAGATAATTATGTGATTGGTGTTAGAGGGTCCTTTCTCATTCCTTCATAATTCCATATACAAGAAATTCAGCTAAATTATACTCCTACCTCTGATGAGATTGGGAGGAAAAAATGAACATGTGTAGCTTCACATCACATTATCTCTCCTTATTTTCCTCCTCTGCTGTGCAGTGAGGAGGGACTGTGGTGGTCAAACTTAGCTTTGACTGCGTGGATGAGTTTGATTCTGTGTCAGGGAGGAGAGTGTTAGTTAGCATGCTCATGTGGCCATAAAACAAGCCACATTTTTAAACTCACTATTATCAGTAAGAAAGCTATTACCTAGTTACCATGTGTGTCTTTCATGAGTCTTATTTCTCAATTGGCTCTGAACTCAGGAGAAGAAAGACTGGTTATTTATTATCCCCTTCAAATAGTACTGAAAGGAGTAGAGGCTGTAAAAAGAGAATTATAGAATTTTAAAATGAAAAAAACGAAACAAAACAAAACCTCAGAAATCATCCAGGTCAACACCTTCTATTTAAACAAAGAGGAACTGAGTTCCAGAAAGTTTGACATACCTGCATTTAACTGTTGAATCGACCTCAGAGATCTTTCTCCTACTAGATTATGGATTAGATGGTAGTGGGAAAAGAACAAACTACAAATAGAAATAAGAAACTAGCAGCATGAGCAGCAGGAAAATGGAAATGTCAGCCCGGAGCTATTAAATTGTTTAAGAGATTTAGTTTTCTTCAGGAAATTTTTCTGTTTTGGTAACCAAATGTCTTGCTAATTCATTTATGCTTTCCACCTTTAATGGTATGTATTGAAAGTCCTTCCCCTCCTCCATGTCACATAAACATGTACTGAGAAAATACAAGTAAATATAGAGAATGCAAGTAAACTTACATGGCATGCATAGAAAATATAGATAAATACTTATGGCTTAATTTTTTAATAAAGATTTTAATCTAACTGGAATTTTGGTATATGGTTTGAATTAGGTGTTTAAATATTCATATCAAAATATTATTTACTGGAAAATCCATCCTTTTCTTATGATTTAAAGTGCCAGCTGTATCATATACCACCTCATATATGCCTGGGACTATTTCTGAACTGCCCTTTTTGTCCATCAATTTGTCTGGCTGCATCTTTGACAGTTCCACTCTATTGTAGGCAGTATTGGACTTCACATGAAAATCATCATAGTCAGCATGGGAAAAGGTCAGGCGTTGGATTCCAACATATGTGGGTTTGAATCCTGGCTATATCACTTATAGAGGTATGTCCATAACTAAGTGAATGGACCCTCTTTGAGCCTCAGTTTATTCATCTGAAGAGTAATAAGAATTACTCCTAACTGACAGAATTGCTCTGAAGACCAGAGAAAATACATATAAAGTGCTTGCTACTCTTTCCTGCACAAAGAGAAGAGCTACCATTATCATTGGCTTCTGAATGATGGGGAAAGAGATGAGGTTTATGAGGGACAGAGAGAAGAGGAAGCCCAAGAACAGTGCTTTGAAGGATACTTTATTTAGAAGAGAAGAGGGAGGCAGAGGAATCTGAAAGAAATAATGGAATGTTAGAAGAGGGGAAAAAGAAGTGTCAGGCTAAAGAAGGGGGAAAAAAAAGATTAGTCAATAGTGTCAAATGTCTTGCATCAGTCCAGAGAGATGAATGCTGAGAAGAGGCTAGTGTTTAGAGTGTCACCTTTTACTTCCTTTAAGATGACATTTTCAGGGTTATGCCTGGGCTGAAGCCAGGAAAGTGTCATCATGGTTAACTCCATTTTCTTGTTCTTATTGGCCTGTTTATTTTAACTGACCTTATGTGTATCTGTATGTTATGACTGTTTGTGAGAAACCAAAGTCAATTCAACATCAGCCATCACCAACCTGAGAGTCTTCAGGACCACTGCTACAACTCATCCCCCAACCCAATAAAGCAAAGCCCAGGTTTCCTAAGACGACATTTATAACCCTCATGATCTGAGCCTAAGGACTATCTCAACTTCATTCCCTGTCACTGTTTGTTATGTATCTTTTGCCCCATTCCAAAGGAACCTGTTCTTACACACTGCTCTGCCTTTTCTCAAGCTACTGTTTACCTATGTGGAATGTTAGCTCCCTATATTCAAGGCCCTGGTCCAATGCCACTGTTTTCACATGGCCCTCCTTTTCTTGGCTAAAAGAAATATTCAATGTTTCATTTTCAGTCTTTCGAGACCAGCCTGGCCAATGTGGTGAAACCCCATCTCTACTAAAAATACAAAAAAAAAAAAAAAAAATACACACACAAAAAAATTATCCAGGAATCATGGCGCATGCCTGTAGTCCCAGCTACTCAGGAGGCTGAGGCATGGAACCTGGGAGTCAGAGGTTGCAGTGAGCCGAGATCTGGCTACTGCACTCTAGCCTGGGCAACAGAGCAAGACTCCGTCTCAAAAAAAAGAAAAAAAAATGTAATGGGAATTCTCAGGCCCTATCCCTCCAGTGGTCTAGAGTAGAGTCTAGGACTTTGTATTTTGACCTGCATTCTAGCTGATAATGATGCAGTAGTAAGGGACCGCACTGAGAAACATTTTTGTATTTAATTTTTTTTTTTTTTTTTTTTTTTTTTTAGAAATGGGTCTCACTCTCTTACCCAAGCTGGCTGGAGTGCACTGGCGTGATCATAGTTCACTGCAGCCTTGAACTCCCGGGCTCAAGATATTTCTCCTGCTGCAGGCTTCTGAGTAGGTAAGACTACACACACATGCCACTACACCCATCTAAGTTATTTTATTTTTATTTTGTAGAGATGGAGTTTGCTATATTGCACAGACTGGTTTTGAACTCCTGGTCTTCAAGTTATCTTCTTGCCTTGGCCTCCCAAAGTGCTGGGATTACAACCCTGAGTAACCATGCCTGACCCATTTTTGTATTCTTTAAGGGAGTTATTTCTTTCTACTTTGTATTACACACTACATGTTTTGCAGAATGGTCTCTGGAACAACTTGCCTGTATCTGTCCTAGCTTACACATGTTTCCGATGAATTGAATTTCTGTGCACCAAGGGTTTTAAAGTTGGAAAGGGGCTCTATGTTGGTTGGTGAACCACATCCAAAGAGGGAAGCAGCATTAATTATCCATCTTCCTCTCCTCCCAGCTATGGCTCCAGGGTAGGACCTTAACAGGTGCAAGAATGCCTCTTGCTCAGCATGACAGACATTGGTGATGACTTGAGTCACAAAGATGGTCACATAATCATCTGAACAGGAAGGAAAATCCTGCTATAGTGTCAGTGGAATTGTGTAAGTGTAATTGTGTCAGTGGAATTGAGTTTGGGTGAGCCAGTCCAGAAACTATTCTACATAACTTTTTTACCTTGGAGATGAAGACTTTTGAGGGAAGGATTTGTGTCTGGTTTGTATTAGTCTTCACATAGTATTCAACACATTTCTGTTGAATGAAAAAGAGAGTAAATATATGCTACTTTGATCTGGGAAAACAAGCACATTAGTACTCTGAAGCCAATTCCAAGATGGGTTGGGAGGGAGTGACTTTGATTAAATGACTTATCCCCACATGTGCTCTGTTCTTTTTTTGTAAATGGAAACTTGTGATGCCTGTCTACTATATATTTTACTTTTTTAAAAAAACCATAAGGTATGTTAAGCCTCTTGGCTATGTGTATTTCATAAACATTTTGCATTATTAATAAGCTTTTACTTACAATTCAGTTATGTCTGCTAAATTCAATACTGTAAATCCACATCCAAGTTTATAAAGAATAATAAATTTGATGATTGCTTCTTGCATTTTGCTTGAAAAGGGTTATTCTAGCTATTTCCTTAATCATACTTCTTTAGAGAAATTAAGGACCATGGGAGACCAGGTAACATAATTTTCAAAGAAATTTCTGTCAAGTCTTGTTTCGAACCCCATTTTCTGCCCTGAGCTTCAGCTTTCTTATCCGTAAACTGGAGTTAATACCTGCCTCTTAGGAGAGTGAAGATAAAATAAAATAATGTATGCAATGTGTGGGGCTTGGCCTGTTATTATTTGGCAGATGCAAAGGCAGATACACTGAAAGGCTGAAATGGAATTGCTATTGGAAAGTGAACTAATCAAAAGGCACCTTGAAATCTGTACATTGATTTAGAAAATTTAAATTGCAACTTTTCTTAAATATGTAGTATGCAAATCATTGTACAATTGTATTCTGAAGAATAGTAGCAAGTGGTAATAATTTTTATTATCTCATGCCACCTGGTGTCTTGACCAAGTTACTACAATCCGTAATTGTGACTTTTTTGGGCGGGTGGTGGGGTTTGTTTTCTTCTGTTTTCCAGAGAGATAAGGCATCTTCCATAATTATGAATTCTTAATAAAAACAATCCTAGTTAATATTACTAGACTTTTCTTCTGGAACTGGCACATATACATCTTTTACATGTGTTTACACATGTAAATTAATTCAACAAATACTTATTGAGCGATTGGTATGTACAAGTAACTTGTATGTATCATGTGATTTTGTCATCATGACATCCTTCTAGGTAGTTTTAATGTTCTCTCCATGAGACTTGACGGGTTAAATGATACACTCAAGGTCATTCAGCTAGAAACAGAGCTGGTATCTAAACCAATTACTTATCTCACTGTGTCTATTATAGCATATAACAGTTAATTTACACTAACTTATTTGTACAGCCAGTTTTCTTTTACAAGATGATCCTTTGAATATAGCAACCCTATGAAGAATCTTTAATAGAGTTGCTTTCTTTGGGGCTGAATGTTTATTCCATTTTAATTTCTCTTTTAAGTTTTATCTTTTTGTTATATCTTTTAGTTATATCTCTTTGAAAGACTTTTTAGTGGTTGCTGTAGGAATTGTAAGGAATTATTGCTCTAGGGGTCTCATTCTTAACGTATCACTTCTACTTAGATTTAATATCATATTACTTCATGCAAACTGTAAGAACCTTGGAGAGTATAATTCCATTTATACTCCACCCTTTATCCTATTATTGTCTTATATTTTACATGTAAATACATTACAAACCCCACAACACAGTGTTATAATTTTTACTTCATTTATTTTATTTTTTTATTTTTGTTTAAAGATGGGGTCTTGCTATGTTGCCCAGGCTGGTCTTGAACTCCTGGGCTTAAGCAAACCTTCCACCTCAGTCTCCCAAAGCACTAGGATCATAAGAGTGAACCACCACATCCACCTATAGTTTTTACTTTAAATACTCATTTGTCTTTTAATGGAATTAAGACATGAAAAAAGATGATACCTTTTATATTTCCTCACCTACTTATGGCTTTTGATCCTTTTCACTCCTTTCATCTAAAAATCATTTCCTTTCTTTCATTTCTGGTCTGGTAATTTGATTCTTCTCTTTTTCTCTTGGTCAATCTAGCTTAAAGTTTGTCGATTTTTTTTGATGTTTTCAAAAAACCTAGCTCTTGTTTCCTTCCTTCTGATTGCTTTAGACTTAGTTTATTCTTTTTTCCCCCCGGTGTCTTAGGCCAGGAATTTGGGTTATTGGTTTGAGATCTTACTTCTTTTTAAATCAGGCATTTACAGTTGTAAATTTTCCTCTAAGCACTACTTTAGTTACATATGTTTTAATATGTTGTATCTTCATTTTTATCCATCTGTAAGTATTTTCTAATTTCTTGTATCAGTCTGTTGTCACACTCTTATGAAGAAATACCTGAGACTGGGTAATTCATAAAGAAAAGAGGTTTAATTGGCTCACAGTTCTGCGGGCTGTACAGGAAGCATGGCCGGGGAGGCCTCAAGAAACTTGCAATCATGGCAGAAGGTGAAGGGAAGCCAGCACATCTTATGTGGCTAGAGCAGGAGGAAGAGAGATGGGGGGAGGTGCTACACACTTTTTAAACAACCAGATCTTGTGATAACTCACTGTCGTGAAAGAACAGCACCATGGGGGGAAATCTGCCCCCACAATCCAATCACCTCCCACCAGGCCCCACCTCCAATATTTGGGATTACAATTTGACAAGAGACTTGGGCTGGGACACAGACCCAAACCATATCATTTCCCTTTGATTTATTTTTTGACCCATTTGATTTGTAATTTAATTCTTTATTCCATTGTGGTCAGAGGACATACTTTGCATTATTTCTATTCTCTTTTTCCTTTTTGTTTTAGAGATGGGGTCTCACAATATTGCACAGGCTGGAGTGCAGTGGCTATTTACAGGTGTAATCATAGTGTACTACAGCCTGAAATCCTGGGCTCAAGTGATTCTCTTGTCTCAGCCTCTTGAGTAGCTAAGGCTATAGGTGGACACCACCATGCATAACTCTTTCTATTATTTTAAATGTATTGAGGTTTACTTTATGGCCTAACACATACTGTATCTTGGAGAAGGTTCTATATACACCTGAGAAAAACATATAGTCTGGTGTTTTTAGGTGGAGTGTTCTATAAATACCTGTTAGGTCTAGTTGGTTTACAGTGTGTTTAAGTCTTCCATTTCCTTGCTGATTTTCTGCCTCGTTGTTCTACCCACTATTAAAGTGAGTTATTGTAGTTCCAACCATTGTTGTAGAATTGTCCATTTCTCCCATCATTTCTGTCAGTTTTTGCTCCGTGTATGTTGGTACTCTGTTGTTAGGTGCATATATGTTTAAAATTGCTTATATTTTCCTTATGAATTGACCCTTTTGTCTTCATAAAAGTATCCTTCTTTATCTGTAGAAACCGTATTTTTGTTTTAAAGTCTATTTTTTTCTAATATTAGTATAGCCTCTCTACCTTTCTCATGGCTGGTGCTTGCAAGATATATCTTTCTATTCTTTTACGTTTAAGTATTTGAATCTAAAGTGTGTCTTCTGTAGACAGCATTTATTTGGATCTTGATTTTTCATCCAGTTTAACAATCTCTGCTTTTTATTGTCTATGTTCTTTTTTTACCTCTGTTAAAATGATTACTTTTTCCATTTACCTCTGTTAAAATGATTACTTTTTCCTTTTTCAGTCTGTTGATATGGTGAATTGCATTGCTTGATTTTCAAATGTTAAATCAACCTTACATTCCTATGAATTCTTATGTCCATTTGGCCTTGTTATACTGTTATTTTTATATATTGCTTTATTATATTTGCTTTTTTAAAGATTTTTGCATCTATCCTCATGAGGAATATTTGTAGTTTTCTTTTCTTATAGTGTCTTTATCTGATTTTAATATTAGGTTAATATTATCATAAAATGAGTTGGAAAATATTACCCTCTCTTCTATATATTGGAAGATTTTTTTATATAATTGGCATTATTTCTTACTTAAATGTTTGGTAGAATTCACCAACGAAGCAATCTGGGCTTGAAGTTTTGTTTGTTGGGACATTTTAAGGTATAAATTTAGCTTCTTTTGTAGATTTAGGACTATTCAGATGATCTTTCTGCTCCAAATAAAGCTTTCTCTAGACTCCCTCTACCTGTGTGAGCCAAATGTTGTCTGTTTATTTTTCATTTTCCCATAAATTTTTAGTTTGTAGATGTCTCTGTCCTAACTATGCTGTATATGTAAAATGTGTGTGTTTAATTTGCTCCCCTTTACTCTTTCTTTTTAAAAGAGAGGATATAAGAATATTCAACTTTACCACCATTTTCTACAGAAATTCCTAAGTATATTTAAGTAGTCTTCTAGTGGCAATTTTCCAGTCTATGTTGAAGAATTCAGAGGAAGTACTTTCATAGTGGGTTTTTTTCTTTTCTTTTTTTTAATGACTAGAGGGACCACATGGGTACTTCCTGGGCAGGATAACTATATAGTCATTAGGTCTTTTTTTGGCTTCCAAGCATCAATTCTCCCTTTGGTTGGTAGCAGTCCCTTGAGTTATGTCTGGGAAATCTTTTTTACTTTGTATATAGTCTTGGTCAGTAGGATACCCTACTGTTCCTTAGTCAAGGGATAGTAATGAACTAATCTAAGCTAGTCAGATTCTCTCTCCTAAAAACTGAATCTTGAGCAGAATCACATAAAGACATTGGAGCCAATTCATCCTATGAGTTTTAATATTCTCACACATTTCTAAATTAACTCCTGTTACCTGAATCTCTGGGGCCATCCTGGTTTCTGTTCTTTCTGAGGCTGCTTTTTTTCTTCAATTTTTGTGGGCCATCCTGTATTTTGAAAAGTAATCATAATTCTGTGTAAGTTAGCAAGAAGTGATTTCAGTAGTTGTGACCTAATAACCCTACTTAATAAAAGAGTGAGTGGGGAAAGGTGGTAGCTGTTCTTTTCTGGACAGAGAACACAGTGTATATAAAGGCTGTTTGTTGTTTATAGGGTTTGTGTGATATGTGGACTATTTGTATCAAAGACACTGGATGGGGGAAAGCTTATTAGAAATGCAGATAGTCTACCCTAGGCCTACTGAATAAGAATTTCTCAGCGTGGGGCCTAGAGAATCTAAAATTTGAACAAGTTTCTCAGGGATTACTCTGAGAAATAAATTTGAGAAACACAGCATAAGACCACACATTTTGAAATATGAAAAATACAGACTGGAAAACTTTAAACTGCTTAAACTCAGCTTAGTCAGTTTAATCTCTTTGATCCTGTTTTCTCATCTGTAAAGTGACTGTAGCAAGACCTTGTCATCAAGTTGTTTTAAGAGATTAAAATGTGCATAGAAAAGATTTTGGTGTTTCTTCAGTAGAGGAGAGTTGCATCAGTTTTAAGTGTTTAGATTCCAAAACCTAAGTGCAAGATAAAACTTGTGACTAGCTAAAATTACAGTTGACAACAGTTTAAATCCACAATAATAATGTGTAGCTACATTTATGCATCATGTTGTAGAAAAATGCACTTTTAGTAACTATATTACTGAGAATGTTTCCTGAAGAGTTAGGATATGTTAGAATAGCTGAACACCATGTAAAGTAGGTTTGTGATTAGAAGCCATGTTCTATTTTTAAAAGATAAAAATATACACTGTTAAATTGTTTCTCAGTCATGCTCCAGGTGAAACAAGTATGGAAGAAGGACAGGTGATTCTCCATGTAGTGTCATTCCAGTAACAGCTTATGGATGCTCTAGTTTCTGAAATGTTACTACCTGATGAGGCACAGGAAGAGAACTAGAGAAATGGCTACCAGGTGCTAAATTCTTCCACCCAAGAATGCCCGTCTGTACTTGTGGTCAAATTCATTGACTGGCAAATCAAGACACATTGCTATGCCTGATTTCAGGTGGCTAGGGAAGTTCAATCTACCTGAGTTCCTAAAAGCAGAGGGAATAGAAACATTTGTATCAACACTGTTTTCCACATGGGGTCTGGATATTAGCATGTTTGAAAGCTCCCTAGGTGATCCTAACGTGAAGTCAAGGCGGAGCACCACTGGTCCAGGGCTTACACTGTTTGAAAAAAAAAAGGAAAGAATCAATTGCTCTACTTAAAGTCTCATGTGAATTTGGGTAGGTTAAATGTGTGCATCATGTGACATAGGCTGACTTCTATTTTACCTGTGTTTAGGAGTGGCTTTACATGGTGAGGAAATCAAATTGTCAAGGGTCTTTGGTGGTGACCACTGCCTGTCTGCCCCTTTGCTCTTCTCTCTTTTTCCACACTGGTCACCACCTGGTGTTCCCAATAAAGTTTGTGATGGAGGTAAGGTAAGATATGGGTCTCAAATTTCTTTTGTCCCAATATTCACAATTATGTAAGCCATAGTTTTAATTAAGCTTTGAGAAACCTAGCAGTACTCATAAATTACCTGGGGAAGTTTTAAAAAATCACTACTGCCGGGCTGGTATGTATTTTTACAGATGAGTAGCTCTCTCTAAAACACTGTTATACATACAGGCAGATATTAACATTTGTAGCCGTTTTCTGAGCCATTGATTGTATCTAAATCCTTCCCCTGGGCTGAGCCCAAACTTCCAATAATGTCACTTTTTGATGCCCTTTCTTCAGTGACTGGCTTACACGGCTTCTGTCTACATAGCATGGTTCAAAGTGCTTGGAAGACTGATCACAGTGCATCTCAAGCCCCTGCAGGAGATAAGAAGCCAGAGAGAAGTTGCCAAGATGCCGAGGAAGGGGAAGAAGGAATAACTCACATGCTGGATGGGACAGCTGGCTTAGACCAGGGGTTGGCTTAAAATAATGTTGATTGAAACACTGTCTCTGGCACATGCAAGGCTCTCAGTACACACTAGTGAATAGTAGAATCAGAATTCTTAAAATTAGAAGTACGCTAAACCACCTGTAAATGAAGCATAAATCCTCCCAAGAGGCTCCCTCAATAGTGTTCATCCATTTCGTGCTTGACTATTTCAGTAATAGAGAATTCATTACTTCCCATGACAGTCTACTTAATAAGAAGCTCTTTATATTACACTAGAATTTGCTTCTTCCTGTTTCTTATTCTTCCCTCCGGAGCTAAATAGTAAATTTAACCCCTCTACAAGGGAGCCCATCAAACTTTGAGGGAGAGTTAATACATCACTTTTAAAATCTTATCTAGACCAAATATCTCTAGATTTTTAACCCTTCTCCAAATGACTTTAGGTCATATTTGAAGAAATCCACAAAACACTTTATAAAAACTCTTTAACCATGTAAACATCCTCCTAATAGTTTATCAAAAGCATCCATAGTTTATCAAAAGCATTCATCCAGTTAGCTTCTGTTCCTGCAACCAAGTCTCTGACTGTTATGCCCCTGTCCCCTGAAAGATATGTTGAGCTTGACACTCCCCTACCCCCAAACCCAGTACCTAACCCCTGGCCCTCAGAATTTAAGCTTATTTGGAAATAGGGTCATGGCAGATGTAATTGATTAAGTTAAGATGAGGTTAGATTGGAGCAGTGTGGGCTTCTAATCCAATATGACTGGTGTCCTTATAAAACGATAGCTGTGCAAAGATATGGAGACGGCATGTGGTAACAAACGCACATACTGGATTTATGCAACTGCAAGCCAAGGGATGACAAAGAATTCCAGAGAACCAACAAAAGGGAAAAGAAGAATTTTCCTACAGGTTTCAGAGGGCGCATGGTCCCACTGACACCTTGATCTTGGACTTGATCAGAATCGCAGACAATACGTTCCTGCAACCAGTTTGTGCTGCTTTGTGACAGCATCCCTAGGAAACAAATACATTGGCTTTGAGTATATTCTGGACTTTCTTTTGATTCCAACAGGATCATTCCACTTAGTAATTCAGTGAAGTAAGGAAAATCAGGGAGCTTTTCCATTATCCCGAGTCCTTAGTTGAAACCGATTTCATATGAACAGAGTCTGTGAACTAATACACTGGATGTTAAACATGCTGTAGGGGGAATGAATCTCTTCATCAACATATTTAGATGGGCAAATATAACTTTATTTTTCTGTAATTTAATTTTTAAATAATAGTGCTACTGATATATAATTTACATATCATGAAATTCATCCTTTTAATGTACAATTCACTGGTTTTTAGCATAGAGCAAAGTTGTGCAACCATCAACATTACTTAATTTTAGAACATTTTCATCACTCAAAAAATAAACTTTAGGCCGGGCGCGGTGGCTCACGCCTGTAATCCCAGCACTTTGGGAGGCGGAGGCGGGCGGATCACGAGGTCAGGAGATCGAGACCATCCCGGCTAAAACGGTGAAACCCCGTCTCTACTAAAAATACAAAAAATTAGCCGGGCGTAGTGGCGGGCGCCTGTAGTCCCAGCTACTTGGGAGGCTGAGGCAGGAGAATGGCGTGAACCCGGGAGGCGGAGCTTGCAGTGAGCCGAGATCCCGCCACTGCACTCCAGCCTGGGCGACAGAGCGAGACTCCGTCTCAAAATAAATAAATAAATAAATAAATAAATAAATAAATAAACAAACTTTATATCCATTAGCAGTCATTCCCTACCTCCTGTCTCTGTTGATTTGTCTATTCTGGACTTTTTATAAATGTAATTGTATAATATATAGTATTTTAAACTGGCTTCTTTCACTTAGCGTAATGTTTTCAAAGTTCATCCATGTAACACTACTTAATTACTCTTTATTGACAGATAATATTCTATTTACAGATATATCAGTTTTGTTTAACCATTCATCATTTCATGGGTATTTGGATTGTTTCCACTTTTTTGCTATTATGAATAGTGCAGCTACGAATATTTGTGTACTAGCTTTGGTGAATACACCTTTTCATTTTTCTTTGTTATATACTTAGGAGTGGAATTGCTGGGTCATAAGATAATTATGTTTAAAAAAACAAAAAAGGAAGAGAAATAGAAGAACAAAATTAAAAAGATAACTGTGTTTAACATTTTGCGGAACTGTTTTCCATAGCAGCTGCATCATTTTACAGTCCCACCAGTGATGCACAATGGTTCCAGTTGCTATACAGCCTCACCAACACATGTTATAGATTTCTTTTTATTTTAATCATCCTAGTGGATATGAAGTGGTATCTCATTGTGGTTTTGATTTGTATTTCTTTAATGACTATTGATGTTGAGAATCTTTTCTTATGTTCATTGGCCACTTGCATATCTTCTTTGGAGAAATGTCATTCAAATCCTTTGTCCATTTCTTTAAATAGGCTATGTTTTTTAGAGCAGTGTTAGGTTCACAAAAAATTTGAGAGGAGGGTACAGAGAATGTCCATATGCTTTCCCCAAATACAGAGCTTCCTTAATCATCAACATTTGCACTGCAGTGGCACATTTGTCACCATCAAGGAACCTACATTAACACACAGTTGTCAACCAAAGCCCATAGTTTACATTAGGGTTCACTCTTGGTGGTGTACGTTCTATGCATTTGGACGAATGTATAATGACATATTTATATGTCCACCATTATAATATCATACAGAATATTTTTCCTACCCTAAGAATCCTCTGTGATTTTCCATTTATCCCTTCCTGCTCCCAACCCTTGCAACCCCTCATCTCTTTTATTCTCTCCATAATTTTGCCTTTTCCAGAATGTCATATAGATGGATTCATATAGTATGTAGCCTTTTTAGATTGGCTTCTTTCACTTAGTCATATAAATTTAAACTTCTTCCATGTCTTCTGATGGTTAAATATTTTTTTTTCTTTTTTTTCTTTTTTTTGAGAGTCTCACTCTGTTGCCCAGGCTGGAGCACAGTTGCGTGATCTGGGCCCACTGCAACCTCTGCCTTCTGGGTTCAAGCGATTCTCCTGCCTCAGCCTCCTGAATAGCTGGGACTACAGGTGCACACCACCACGCCCAGCTAATTTTTGTATTTTTAGTAGAGACGGGGTTTCACCATGTTGACCAGGCTAGTCTCAAATTCCTGACCTCAGGTGATCCGCCCGCCTCGGCCTCCCAAAGTGCTGGGATTACAGGCATGAGCCACCACACCCAGCTTAATATTTCTTTTTAGTGCTGAATAATATTCCATTAAGTTTATTTGGTTGCTTCCAAGTTTGGGCAATTATGAATAAAGCTGCTGTAAATATTCTGCACAGGTTTTAATGTGGACATACATTTTTAGCTTATTTGGGCAAATACCAAGCAGCACTACTGCTGGATTTCATGGTGAGAATATGTTAGTTTTATAAAAAACTAAACTGTGTTGCAAAGTGGCTATACCATTTTGCATTGCCACAATCAATGAATGAGAATTCTTTGCCCATTTTCTAATTGGGTAATTTTTCTTTTCTATTGTTGCGTTTAAGACTTTCAATCAGTATATTCTAGACACAAGTCCTTATCATTCTGATTGCTGGGTCTCCTCAAGTTCCCTGGATCTTGTTGCCATAGCTGCATCTCTCTTGGCCACATGGGAGAAGCATCCTGCTGTTTCAAATGCCATGACATGCTGGGTAGCCTGAGGATTTAGTGATACTTTTCTAGGTTCATCTACAAAGGAGGATACCTACAGGTCTTTCTAATCTATAGCTGTACCTCCATGGAAGGTGAGACAAACCATCTCTTATACTGGTATGTGATTTACAATCTTTTCTTTTAGCCCTAAGCTTTGTTTCCTAACTCATTCAGGTTTTTGAGGTTTAATACTCAGAAACCAGTCTGTAGAATTCAAACTTTTCTCTCAAATTATTGTCTCTGCTATCAAGTTTAAAATCTATTTTAAAATTCAAAAGCAATAATTTGATTTCTTTTTTTTCTGCCTCCATGATACCTCTGTTTGAGTTTGAAAGGAGGCAGATGCCAGGATGTAATACTGCAAAACTATCATCTTGCTATATAAAATGGTCGTCTAAAAGCAAGCTGAGACTAAACAGGTACAAGTTGCACAGGTAGTGAAGCTCAGTGAGAGCAAGTGATGCAAGAGTCATTCTGAAGGGTGAAGAGCAACTTTGCTTTGTATTCCAACTCCATAGTCATGGGTTCTGCAATTGGAAATAGCTTAAACAAAGAGGGGAATACATTTTAAGGATACGGTGATGTCTCATAGAACCCCAGGACCAGAAAGCAGTTAGGCCTTGGGAATAAATGGAATCAGGAACTCAAATATAATCACACTCTTCACCTTTTCTGGTTCACGAAATTACTGAAAACTCCCATTTTTTGCAGTTCCTAGTGGCATTTAAAGATAATCTGATCTTTCTTTCTAAACTACACTTCCAAAATTCCCAGAAAAGGACAGTTTCCCAAATTGAGTAAATGTGGCCAGGGCAAGGGGAATGGAGGAAAGTCCCACTGTAATAACATAGACATTTTCATGGTTACCAGGCAAATGGTGTGGTAGAGATGGGGAAAATTTAAAAAATCAGTTTGCAAAACAGGTGAATCTGGCAGGTGCTCTGTTTGTTTTTCCTGGCTGCATGTAGTTGAAAGTTCAAACCTCTTAGACCTTCAAAATCTCCCTTTAATCTGTTTTTCCTACTTTTTCTGTTAACCCTGTATCATTCCCTACACCCTGAATCTAGAAGCACCAAGCTATTTTCTCTTCCTGGAATGCACTGTGCTCTTCATGCCTATCAGCCTTTATACAGGTTTCTTCTTAGTTTGGAATGCCATTTTCTCCCTAGTCTGCCTGGTAACTTCTAGTCATCTTTTAGGTCTAGCTCAGAGTTATATCTGGAAACACTTGACTTTCAAATAAGAGTTTATTGCTCTTTTTGTGTTTCACTTTGTTTGCACTATTCTAGGACTCCTATCACATTGGATTGTAGTTGCCTAATCTGTCTCTTTTCTCTACCACCTTGGACATTTTAGAAGTAAAACTATGCCTTGATCTTATTTGTCTCAATGGTGGCTTGTCATTGGGTTGTACGTAGCAGAGGTTCAATAAAATTCTCATCAGTTATTATTTTTCTCTTTTTCTCCCCGACCTAAATAATCTCAGTACCCCCAGCTCCCTAAACTATCAACAAATAGAAAAAAAGCTCTATTCATTTTTATCCTTGTTCTTTACTCTCCTTAGTTTAAACCCAAATTTGACTATGTAAATGTAATTTCATTTTGTTACCCCTTCCTTCATTAAAACAAAAATACCCTTCATGCACATGCAAAACACTCTACCCCACACTATTAAAACAGCAGAAATGAACACTAACAAAAGCCAAGATAAAAAATTTCCCCAATGTTGAATTTTTGGACTTAGTGTGGGGGTAGGAAAAATGGAGACATAATTCTGGTTCTCCCTTTGGCAGTTTTCAATTGCTGTTTCTTAATCTCAGTCAGAAAACACATTTCTCTGCCTCTCCTTTTGCCCCATTTCTACCCTCTCCTCCCTTGCCCCTGTGCAAAACCAAAGATGGGTTAAGAGGCAAGGCATAATGGAAGAGGAATGTTCTTTTCCTCCACTCCCACTTTCTTCTTCAAATTCTGTTTTGGGACCATCCTTCCCCACCCTCCCATTTTCATCTGATGGACACACTGTCTCTGTTGTCTCTTGTCATATTTGATTTTATGATATTTCATGTTTTATGTGCTTTTTTTTTTTTTTAGTAAATTCATGGACAGAGAATGTATCCTGGTAAACACTTAGATTAAAACAAATTTACATAGTTGATTACTATAAATGAAAATTAGTGACTCAAATTCTCCAGGTTTCTAAGCTACTTAGACTAAGCCAATCAGGTAATTTTTGCTACTTCTGGGCAAAATGTATCTGAATTCCTATTCAGTGGATTTGCAGGATGAAATCTAAGTTTACCTCTTTCATCTCTCATTTAAATGTGGAAAAACGAAATCAATAAAAATCTATATATGCTTATTAAGCATTTTAAGGAGGGTGTGAATAAGGAGTGAAAGCTTTGAGCAGTGACTACAGCAGTTTTTCGAAAGTCAAAACAATAACCAATGCCAATCAGTAGCTCTCTTCACCTCTCACACAATAATAGAGACAGGACAGGATAAAAAAGGGTTACATTTAAAAAAAAGTATGGATGTTAAACCATTGGAAATGGCACTGTAAATGACACCGGAAAAGATCGCCTCCAGGCACTGTGTGGAACTTTGCAAACTCGGGTCCTCACCCGAGGACCGCACGGCCGACCTCGGGGAGGCTCCACCCCAGAAACTATTTCATTGGCGCCACCTCTAGCCCACACTTCCCCTCTTCCGCATGCGCACAAGGAGCAGAAGCCGACCAGCTCGTCACGTCGCCTTCCCCGCCCCTAAATTTCCAGTTCCGATTGGTCTGTTTCATGGGACCGCCCCTCTGGCCCGACCAATGTGGAAGCCTCCTCGGGTGCTCCGCCCTCCCCGCAGGCGGCGTGCGGCTGCATAGCCTGAGAATCCCGGTGGTGAGCGGGGATGGCGGTTGTAGCGGCGGCTGCCGGCTGGCTACTCAGGCTCAGGGCGGCAGGGGCTGAGGGGCACTGGCGTCGGCTTCCTGGCGCGGGGCTGGCGCGGGGCTTTTTGCACCCCGCCGCGACTGTCGAGGATGCGGCCCAGAGGCGGCAGGTGGCTCATTTTACTTTCCAGCCAGATCCGGAGCCCCGGGAGTACGGTGAGCCCTGGGACTGCCCACTCGGTCCCGCTGCAGCCCGGACTCCCAGGCTCGCAGGCGCCCGCGAGGGGCAGGGGCCGGCAGGCTGCAATCCTTGCATCCCAGCTTATTAACTTCCTGACTCTCTGGAACCTCCTTGCCTCAGGGTCTAACTGTGGTTCACTTCTTGCTCTATTTTTGTGACTGTTCAGCCCTCGAGACGCAGTCCCCCCTCCCCCGCAACTTTGAGATGGGTGAGAGGGCATACTGCCACCTGGAAGAGCCTGAGGGTGGAGGGGTGGTGCCCAGGGAACGCCTCCCTTTTCTCTGTCCTCCGTCCTTGCTTTCTCAACCCAGGCCTTAGGTGTTGTTCCAGCCTGGCCAGGACTGGGCCACTAGCTTAGGTAGAGGCATTTAAAAGATATATATATATGTTTATATATATATATTTTAAATGTATATTATATATATTATATATAAAATATATATATGTATATAAAATCAATTCAGTTACTCAGTCCCTTGGTTTCTTCTTACATACAGAAATTGTGTGTATGTGTGTGTGTGTGTGTGTGTGTATATATCCACACACATATATATATGTGTGGATATATATACGCGCATATATATGCATATATATGTGCGCATATATATATATATGCATATATATATATGCACACATATATATGCATATATATATGCATATATGTATATATGTCCCTTGGTTTCTTCTTACCTACAGAATTCTGAGTAATTGAACTGATTTTCCCAAGGTCACAGAACAGGTCCTTCCTAGAGATGTGAAAGAATTCAGACTTTCTACTTGAGCTTAGTACTGAGCTTGTCCTGGGCTATGCTGCCACTTAGCCAAGGAGGTGAAGGGGATGAGAGGAGGAAGCCATAGGAAGGGCATGTAGCAAACTCCTCATAGTATGACTGTTGCATGATTTTTACCATTTCTGCAAGTTTCATGTAATGTCTCTCATCAGAATATCAGATCCAGTGTCTCTCTTCAGAATATCAGGAAACTGTAGGGAAACATGTATTGCTTCCTTGTCTAATAACTTCTCATGTGCATGCTAGAGCTGACATTTTTGGAAGTGTGTCTTGTGGATAAGAATGAACAGTTATTGAGTGCTTACCAGGGTCAGGTGCTGTGTGTATGTTTCATCATCTCATTTAAGGGTTAGGACAACCTTAAAAGGTTAGTAAAGTTTTTATTCCCATTTTGCAGTTAGGTTAATGGAGTCTTGAGACAGTTTGACCAAGATTACACAGGTAAGTTAGTGGTAGCTCCAAAGCTCCAGCTTTGGAATCTAATTGATCAGATTCCAGAGCTTCCATTCTAAACAATGTACTAAGATGCGTGTAGATATAATTTACTTGGAGGGCGTCCCAGTATTGTGAAACAGTAGGTACCATAAAGGTTAATAGTAGGTGTTTTTTTTTTTTTTTCCACCACCAAGATGAGCCCTCAATTCTGTCTTCAAAGCAAATTCTGTCTTCAAAGCAAAGAAATTTTGGTCTAATACTTGAGAAATAGTCCAACTTTCCATAGTTGTAAACTTACTAAAATCTAAGTAAAATGATATCATGTTATCATGATATATATCATGATATATATAAACTTGTTCTTATTTTAAAAATAATACAAACATATTAACAGATAATTTGGATAATGGATAAAAAGTAAAAAAAAAAAAAAAAAATCTGCCGGGCGCAGTGGCTCACGTCTGTAATCCCAGCACTTTGGGAGGCGGAGGCAGGCGGATCACCAGGTCAAGAGATCGAGACCATCCTGGCCAACATGGTGAAACCCGGTCTCTACCAAAAATACAAAAATTAGCTGGGCGTGGCAGCGCATGCCTGTAGTCCCAGCTACTCGGGAGGCTGAGGGAGGAGAATCGCTTGAACCTGGGAGGCAGAGGTTGCAGTGAGCTGATATCGTGCCACTGCACTCCAGCCTGGTGACAGAGCAAGACTCTGTCTCAAAAAAACCCCAAAAAACCAAAAAACAAAAATCACCACCCACTGCAGTAAATATTGCTAACATTTTGGGTGTATCCTTACAGGTATTTCCTTTTAGTTTCGTATTTTCCATACTTTTAGTTTTAATACAAATACAACTTATTTAGTCGGAAGAATTATCCTACAATTCACTGGAGTTTTTATAACCTTCTTGAGAATTTAGAAGAACTGTTCCATGGAGTAGAGATGCTACAAGTCTTTTACAAGTTAAATTCTTGACCCCGGAATCAGATTGTCCTAAGTTTGATCTTGCCTTGGCTGTCTATAACTTTGGAGTTACTACTTATCCTCTGTAAGCCTCAGTTTCTTTATATGTAAGGGGTTAATAATAATACCTACTTCAGAAGGTTGTTGTGAGGGCTACATAAAACAATGTCTATAATATACTTAACACTGTTTGACAACTGAGAATCAAGCATTCAGTCAATAAGTGGAACCTTTAAATAATTACCATTATGTTTTTGTTGTTAAAATTTTGCAATTTTGTAAATAATGCAGATACAAGCATTTCATGCATATGGGTTTTATGTATCTGAGATTATTTCTTTAGGATAGAGTCCTGAATACTTTAATGGATTTTAAGTGCATAGTTCAAATTTATACCCATTTATACCCCATAATATGTATAATAGTGTGAGTATTGGATATTAATGCTAAAATTAGGTGTGTTCATGTACACTCTTGGATATTTTGTGCTAACTGTACTTTGTTTTAATTTTTGTTTCATTTCTGTTGAGGAATATTTTCCCATGTTTTTGTTAAATTGATTTATTTTTACTTAAGAATTGAATATTAGATGTATTTACATATTTTTAAAAGTATACTCAGTATTTTTCCTATCAATACTATCTACGATTATTGCATAGCTGCTCTTTTCCAGGTGTTGTGTTAGACATCAGTTTATAATCCTCACAGTAACCTTGTGAACTAGACAATATTATGCTCATTTTAAAGATGAGAAAATTGAGGCTCAGAAATGTTAGTACTTACCCAAGTCTGGTAAGTAGCAGAGCCAGAGTTTGAATCCTGATGTGTCTTACTCCAAAGCCTCCCACACTACTTATATACTAAGATTTTGTCTGTTAAAAAATATTGAAGAACATACTAACTTTCTGCTTTTCACATGTCCTGCAAATACTTTTCACTCTTTTATTTTGGTTGTTTTGACATATAAAAGGTACTGCTTAAAAGGAGGTAGTCAGATTAGACTCTGAGTTGGTGACACTTATGCTGCTTTATGCTGGCATGTTTGCTCCCTTTATTACACTGTGTTGTTCTCTGAGAACAGTTCATCCTGGCTTCTCCATGCCCCTGATTCTTGGGCATTGTATGGATGTGAGTTTGTTTATTCAGTCATTCTCTGCATTTTTATTTTCTCCTGGATGCCATACTCTCTGCTAGCTGCTAAGGATGTGATCATGGACCTGTCGGAGGGTAATCTGAACCTTCGTTTTGGACACTTGGTATCCCCTATCTGCCAGGAAATTCAAACTTTTTGTAGTTTTTTCATCCAGGATTTGGCTATACACAAGGAGGTCATCCATATACTGGAGTATACTCCCATTTCTTAATTAATTGCAGACCCCTCAGATTCCTCTCTAAGGCCCAGGCAAAGCAATGGGGGCTATCCTGAAAACCCTGAGGGAGAACTGTCCAAGTGTATTATTGTTTTTCTCTGGCATTAGGATTTTCCCATTCAAAGGCAAAAAGGTATTGGGATTCTGGGGCCAGAGGAATGGAAAATGAAGCATCTTCTAGGTCTAGGACTGAGAACCATTTAGCATCCCTTGGCACCTGAGCCAGGAGGGTATATGGATCTGCCACCAATGGGTGGACCTACCAGTGGGTCTTAAGAGCCCAGGGGTAAGTAATACCTTAGCTGTGGATGCTTGGCCTTTCCTTGCTTCCAGCTTAATTGGGTATTGTTTTTGATTGGGAAAATAAATAGCTAGGGGTCTTTAAGCTGTATTTTGGCTGGCACTGCTGTTTTAGCCTTCCTTGGTTTTCCAGTATACCATGCCAGTGTGTTAACCTGTTTATTAATGTGGTCTGGGACAGTGTCTGTATTTTTGACTATTAGCAATTTCACCAGATGATGCTTAAATTGTAGTAGTGCCCCTATTTTAACCATAATATCTCTTTTTAACAGGGGGCCTGGGCAGCTTGATACTACTAGAAATTACTGTTGGAAGATTTGTTTCTCAATTTGACAAATCAAAGGAGGAATAAAGGATCTTACTTGTGGCTTTCCTTCCATTCCCATAATGGTCGTGGACTGGGAGGAAAGTTTTCCTACATAAGTAGTAAGGAAAGAAACTGAATTTGTATTGAAAAGAAACTGAATTTGGGTGCCCATGACGTCCAGAGTTACCTGGGGGCTCCTCAGTAGTAATTACGATGTTCCTGAACAGGGGCAGTGAGGAAGACCCTGGGTCGCTTCAGTCTTCATCTAATTTCTCTTTTGCACTGCTAGAGTTTTGCCTTATTGAACCCCTTGGTGGGAGCAGGGCCAGTCAATCTTCCAGTGCCAGGGGTTGTAACTGATGCTCTCGCATTTTTGGCAGGGGACTGGCAGGGGCTTAATATAGTCCTTTATCCAATTCTCGTTTTTCTTGCATTTGAAGCAAGAGTCTTTGTTGTGCAGATTATCAGAGGCAAGCCAAATCAACCAAATTCCAAGTGGCTGGTGTGCTCCATCAATTCCTGCAGGCCTGAAATAGGTAGCCTAGGAATTCCAAATAAATAGAACACATGATGACTTGTTGGAAATTCGCAGGAAACAAAATAACTATTCTCAGAACCAAATAAAAGCCTTCCACTAGAAACTAAAAAATGTCTATGGTTTTATATATATGCATACACAAGTAAAACCCAAAGGAGAACAAATAGCAAACAAATGAAAATTAGAAGCAAAAACAAATAGACAGGAAACCATCTCTAAATTTTTCCTACTTAGTCTACCCGGGGGGCTACAGTGTTACCCAGAGCCCCCCAGAAAACCACATAATGAATATTTTATTCCTGATACACAACTCAATATCCTTAATTCCACCAGTATCACCATACATACTGTGCAATGAAGAAATTCACTCTAGGCACATGACCAGTAAGTACTCCAGTGCCAGCTTGTTTAGTAAAGTTATACTTAAGTCATGTGAACTTGAAAATTGCTTAGACTTATTTACTTAATTTATGAGCGCTCCTTTAATTATAAGCCAATCTGATAGACACAACATATAACAGTAAGTGTACATACAAATAAACACATCTAGACATGTATACACAAACACAAATGAAGATCCAATAGCTTTTTACCTTGGAACTCTAGCCATGAGATAGCAATATAAGTCCACTGGTTTTACTGTTTGACCCAATGGGTAATCCAGTGAAGGCTGTGAACCAAAATTTCAGGTCAAGCAGTTTCCATGGTAGTTTGATTTTTAAAGGCCAAACCTCCCCAGACTCCAAACACTGGGGCCAAACAGCACCAAAGGAGAACACCACATGCTAACCAGGCCAACCCTACTTAGAACAGCAGCACAAAAGCCTGGATACATGCACCTCCATCCCACCTTCCCATTCAACAGCAAACTCCAGAATTCCAAGCAATACTGGGCCAAACAGTATTGCAAAAGAATATCAAGTTTACTGAATCCTTATTTCCCATTACTATATCAAACACACACAAACAATGACTGCAGCACAGTCCAACTGCTGCAGCAACAAACAAGCCCCAAGAGTGTCCAGACTGTCCCATTGTCACCTGTGAGAGAAAATTCCAAGGAGGCCTTTGTGCTAGACCTCAGAACCTCTGCCGAGGGCGTCCCCTTTGGAGAGGTTCAGGTCTGGAGTTGGATTCCCCGGGGTGTTCCCCTTTGGGATCCAATCTTAGAGTGTCAGACGTCTCTGACCTTAGTTAGGCATGGGTGCTGCTTTGTATGTTTTCCCTCCAGAGGTGATGGCGTACTATGAAATTTGTTTTGTCCCTGGATGAAAGCCTCAACTTCTAGCATACTTATGATTTGATAAGACCATGCTTTCCCTTGCTTCCCGTTCCACTAGAGTGTTAGCCATGAACTTTAATGATAGGAACCGGAGGTGGGTGCATTTCTTTTGTCCTTAGCAAGTCAGATAGAATAGGAGAAAGGTCAAAACTCCTAAGAGACATCATTGTTTGCCATTACTGGTTAACCTATAGGATAATTTGGCATAAGAACCCTGTAGGAGAATTTAACATAAGAAAACAAAGTTTAAGTCACCTGAAACGTGTGAATTCACCCTGGATGAGCTGCCATGGCCAACTGCAACACACGTAAGGATCATGGACTATAGCTGGAAAAGATAGAAAAGAGTCCTCTCCTTCCCCCTCCTGGTATGGGCAGCTATCCCCCTTGGCCTTCAGGTAACACTGGAAAGTGGCCCTGGCCAGTTGCCCACAATTATCAGGGAGCTACTAGGAAATGGCCACTGAAAGACTGAAAAAGAAAAAAAGGAAAGGACTCAGGCCTCTCACCCAAACTGGGCGGTGGTGGTCAGGTGCTTCCACATAGAAAACTCTTGGTTTCACTGGAGTGTGGCCCCGGCCAGAAACCTGCAGTTGCCTCTGTGCTTAGGCATTGTGCGCTGAAGGGCCCAAGTTGGAAAGGGAAAAGAGAAAAAAGCATTCCCCTGTATGGAGCAGAGAGGAAAACGAGAAGAAAAATAAATCTCCAATTTTGGGCTTACCTCCTGGCTGGCTTTCCAAAATACGTTACTGGTGGAGGATGTCCAGGTTCTTGGCATTTTGAACAAAGAATTGGACAAAAGGCACAAAGAAAACAAGGAAAAAATGAAGCAACAAAAGCCGAGATTTATTGAAAATGAAAAATGCACTCCACAGGGTGGGAGCCGGCTGGAGCAAGTGGCTGAAGATTGCAGGTTACAGAATTGTCTGGGGTTGGTCACTTTCCGCAACCAATCAGAAGCTGAAGTTACAAATTTACACCCTATGCAAATGTCTAATTGGTCATAGAAAGCAACCATTCAGAGGCTGAAGTGAAGTTACAAAGTTATACTCCTATGCAAATGAAGACTTGGCCCATGACTAGCCTGATTGGTTGTGGGAGGGGATCAATCAAAGGTACTTCGAATTTTTTCATCTGCCACGCAGAAAAGGGGCAGGAGGGTTGCAAAGGGAGTGGCTTCTGGTCCTTTTGTTACTTGGGCATGGGAAGTTGGGGTTGGGGTTTTCCTTTTGATTTAGTTCTAGGAAGTCAGCATGAGTTGGCCTTAGGTTCCCTGCCTCCAGACCCTATTCTGCCTCAAAGGAAAGAAATGGCAAGCTCTGGAATAGAATATAGTAGTGCTAGATTTTTTTTTTTTTTTTAATTAAATACAGGGTCTCACTCTCTTGTCTAGGCTGGAGTGCAGTGGCTCAATCATGGCTCACTGCAGTCTCTACTTCCCAGGCTCAGGTGATCCTCATACTCAGCCTCCAGGGTAGCTGGGACTACAGGCATGCACCACCATGCCTGGCTAATTTTTTGTAGTTTTTGTAGAGACAGGGTTTCACCATGTTGCCCAGGCTGGTTTTGAACTCCTGGGCTCAAGCAGTCCTCTTGCTTTGGCCTCCCGAAGTGCTGGGATAAAAGGCATGAGCCACCACGCCTGGCTAGTGATGCTAGATTTAAGCTATATTTTGGAAGTAGGATTTGATAGGTTGGATGTGAAGGATGAAAAAAAGGAAGACATTGTGAAGATACCTCACTGGTTTGTGGCACGGGAACCTGGGTGGAGGGTAGTGCCGTTTGCTAAGATGGAAAAGATTAGTTTTGGGAGCCGACACAAGAATTCAGTTTGTGCTTGTTGAAAAGCTCAAGAAACTCAAGTGGAGAACTGATGACTGTTGGATATAAAAGTCAGGAGTTCAGAGGAGAGGCCTGGCTGGGTTGGAGATAACCATTTGGGAGTCACCAACATATAAAGGGGGTTTTAAAACCACTTAGAGATTGAGTAGAGGAACTAGCTTAAAGGAAGGGAAGCACCATTGTTTCTTGACAGAAGTTACCAGGTGCCCTGAGATGGGGCAACCCAGGGACTCTAGACCCAGTCTCTTCAACTTTACAGTTTTGTTCCTGTCACTTTTGTTGTCTTTAGTTGACCCTTCCTCATCCTCTGCCAATACCATTTACTTCCTTTCTTATCATGGATATGTGATACACACTGGTACCTTACAAAGGCAATTGCCTTTATGGATCTTTCATTTCATTTTTTTTAAGAGAAGGGGTCTTGCTATGTTGCCCAGGCTGAAGTGCAGTGGCTATTCACAGCCACAATCATCATGTAGTACAACCCTGAACTCTCCTGGGCTCAAGTGATCCTCCTGCCTCAGCCTCTTGAGTAGTTGGGACTATCGTCACGTACTACTGTGCCTGGCCCATTTACATTTTAATACAAAATGTTCTGTCCCTGACATTTGGGTTCTCCCTCAGTCTTATTTTATGAAGTAGATGCTGGCTAACTCTTAGTAGAGTTTAGAATAAGATAGAGGTACATACCTGGTCAATAGAAAGGGATTCCTGGAGAATAGGGTATCTGGATGGAGGGTAGAGGTTTTGTTGGGGAAAACAGGTAGTTTCTTAGTATCCTGTTATTTCATGATGTGAATTAGTGCCAGATTGTTTCATTGACATCATTCATCATACTTCACCAGGCATATACTGATTGTCACTTGTGTGTTACGCACTGCGATAAATGCTGGGGTTTCTTTTTTTTTTTTTGAGACAGAGTCTCGCTCTGTCACCCAGGCTGGAGTGCAGTGGCGCGATCTTGGCCCACTGCAGGCTCTGCCTCCCAGATTCTCACCATTCTCCTGCCTCAGCCTCCCAAGTAGCTGGAACTACAGGCGCCTGCCACCACGCCTGGCTAATTTTTTGTATTTTTAGTAGAGACGGAGTTTTACCGTGTTAGCAAGGATGGTCTCAATCTCCTGACCTCATGATCCACCCCCCTCGGCCTCCCAATGCTGGAGTTTCTAAGGAATATGAGGATGTGCTGTAACACACAGGTCTATATCAATAACTAGGCAGTACAGAGGAAAGCCAGTGCCGAACGTATTGGCACAACCTTCACTTTCTGCAAGTAGTCCCTAATTTTCTGTATCATAGCTGTATATTTTTATGTGTTTGGGTCTAAGCTATAAATCCACTCACTGACCGTGTGCTCTGCTCTTGGCCTTATTTATTTCTGGAGATTGCTGACATTTGCCCTTTTCCTCAGATGCTCTATCCCTGTGGGAGGCTTCTCTTTCCCTTTAACACTGCTGCATACTGCATAGTTATTAAAGACCTACCCCATCAGACTGTTGATGCAATAACACCTCTCATTTGCCCCCCTCCTGCAGTTTGTCTTTGAATGTGACATTGGTAGGTCTTTTTTCTTAGACATTTCTTTCTCTTTAAGTTGTTGGTTAATATTTTTCTTTTAGTTTCCTTAAACGTTTATTGAAATAGTGTTTGCATGTGTTCATTCATTCATTCAACAAATATTTATTTAGCACCTATTACATGTCAGGCCCTGTTGTGAGCACTGAAGACACAGCTCTGATCAAAAGCATTTAAGGATACCAGTCCTCTTGGAGCTTATGTTCCATTATGGTCTTTACATTCTGCCTATATGTCACCTCATTTTTTCAGCAGTGCTGATGACCTGCATATTCATGATTCTTTACTTAGTACAATTTCAATTAAACAACTCAATGCCAGCCACAGAGCCCTGTTTTAACAATAGGCAACCATTAACTTGCATCCTTGATATAGAAGAAAGTGTGCTGCTGTATTTTGTTGTTGTTTGTTTTGCTATACCTTTTTATCTTGAAAAAGAATTACCAGTCTGGTTTTAAAATGTAGCAGTCATTTATTAGTACTGTGTGATTGCATAATTAGGTAACTGTGCTTAATAAATTTTTAGTGATGTATATAGATTATTTTTTAACAGTCTTACCAGCAGTACAGCTTTGGTTAGCACATGCTATAAGTAGGTTTATCTTACTATGGCAGACATAAGCATAGTCTATGAATAGTCTTTGATGTAACCTCTAGGAGAATAAATAACTCTAAGGAAAATATATATTAAAAAAAATTACCTGTGAATAACTTGTGATTTCTTCTTGCCTTGTCCACAAATCATGCTGTAACTTTAAAAAAGAAATGAAAAGTAAATGCTGCTCCATTAAAATTTGTAATTTAAAACTTAGAAAAGTATCTGGTAGAATAGCAATTAATCCAAAACCCTAAAATTTTGAATCTGTTTGAAAAACTATTCAGGAGTGAAAGTTTAGGTATTCACATGGAAATAATTACCTTTAAATACCCTTACTGGTAAATTATTTTATACAAGACGAATAGATTCTTTGTGGTTATCAGACAATAATTGAAATGTTTACTTTGTATGATTTTTATTATTAAAGTCTTTGCTTCCTCCCTACTAATAACTTGCTGAGCATCAGTGCAATAAGATATCATGTCATTCAGTATTAATCTGAATGTTCAGCAGACTTGAAATAAATAGCAACTTAGATATTTAGACATTTTGTTGGGAATAGGCCCCCAAATCTGGCCATAAACTGGCCCCAAAACTGGCCATAAAGAGAATCTCTGCAGCACTGTGACATGTTCTTGATGACCATGACACCCACGCTGCAAAGTTGTGGGTTTACGGGGATGAGGGCAAGGAACACCTGGCCCACCCAGGGCGGAAAACCGCTTAAAGGCATTCTTAAACCACAAACAATAGCATGAGCGATCTGTGCCTTAAGGACATGCTCCTGCTGCAGATAGCTAGCCCAGCCCATCCCTTTGTTTCCTGTAAGGAATACTTTTAGTTAATCTATAATCTATAGAAACAATGCTTATCACTGGCTTGCTGTCAATAAATATGTGGGTAAATCTCTGTTCGAGGCTCTCAGCTCTGAAGGCTGTGAGACCCCTGATTTCCCACTCCACAACTCTATATTTCTGTGTGTGTGTGTCTTTAATTCCTCTAACACCGCTGGGTTAGTGTCTCCCCAACCAAGCTGGTGTCAGTACATTTTTATTCTGGCTAGGTTCTTAGCTATGGAAATCCTCATAGACAAGTCAAGATCTTACTTTATGAAATGTATGCAATAGGAGAGTCAGTGGGATGTCACTGTGATTGGGAAAAATGTTTACCCAAGACTATTATCTTCTGAAGCTGGGCACCAATATATACTTGAAGAATATTTATAAAATCGAGAAGGATTTAAGGAAAGTACAGGCCTACCTCGGACATATTGTGGGTTTGGCTCCAGACCACTACAATAAAATGAATGTTGCAATATAGTGAATATTACAATAAAGTGAGTCACACAAATGTATTGGTTTCCCAGTGCATATTAACATGTTTACATTGTACTGTAGTCTAGTAAGTGTGCAATAGCATTATATCTAAAAGATCAATGTACATACTTTAATTAAGAAATACTTTATCGATAAAAATTGCCAACAATCATCTGAAACTTTGGCAAGTCATAATCTTTTTGCTGGTGGAGGGTCTTGCCTTGATGTTGATAGCTACTGACTGATCAGGGTAGTGGTTGCTGAAGGTTGTGGTGGCTGTGGCAACTTCATTAAAAAAAAAAAAGACAACAATGAAGTTTGCTGCATTGATAGAATCTTCCTTTCATGACAGATTTCTCTGTAGCATGAGATGCCGTTTGATAGCATTTTACCACAGTAGAACTTTTTTCAGAATTGAAATCAATTCTCCCAAACCCTGCCACTTCTTTATCAGCTAAGTTTGTGTAATATTGTAAGTCCTTTGTTGTCATTTCACAGTGTTCATGGCATCTTCATTAGCAATGGATTTCATCTCAAGGATCCACTTTTTTTTTTGAATTCATAGAAAGTAATAGATTCCATCTCAAGGCTCCACTTTCTTTGAGTTCTTCAGGTTGCATACGTAAAGAGCAACTCCTCATCCATTGAAGTTTTATCATGAGATTGTAGCAATTCAGTCACATCTTCAGGCTGCACTTCTAGTTCTCTTGCTATTTCTACCACGTCTGCAGTTATGTTCTTCTCTGAAGTTTTGAATCCCTCAAAGTCATCCATGAGGCTGGGCATGGTGGCTCACGCGTGTAGTCCTACCACTTTGGGAGGCCAAGGCTGGCGGATCATCTGAGCTAAGGAGTTTGAGACCAGCCTGGGCAGCATGTGAGACCTGGGCTCTACTAAAAATACAAAAAAATTAGCAGGCATGCTAGCGCATGCCTGTAATCCCTGGGGTGGCTGTGGTGTGAGAATTGGTTGATCCTGGGAGGTGGAGGTTGCAAAAAAAATAAAATGAACGAATGAATGAATGAATAAATGAAGTCATCCATGAGGGTTGAAATCAATTTATTTCAAACTCCTATAAATGTTGACTTCTTTTTTACTGTTTTTTGAGACAGAGTCTCACTCTGTCACGCAGGCTGGAGTGCAGTGGCATAATCTTGGCTGGCTGCAACCTCTACCTCCTGGGTTCAAGTGATTCTTGTGCCTTAGCCTCCTGAGTAGCTGGGATTACAGGTGTGCACCACCATACTGGGCTAATTTTTTGTATTTTTGGTAGAGGATGGGGTTTCGCCATGTTAGCCAGGCTGGTCTCGAACTCCTGGCCTCAAGTGATCCGCACCCCCCTTGGCCTCACAAAGTGCTGGGATTTCAAGTGTGAGCCATCACGCCTGGCCAATGTTGACATTTTGAAATTTCATGAACCATGAACATTCTAAATGGCATCTAGAATAGTCCTTCCCAGAAGATTTTCAATTTACTTTGCCCAGATCCATCAGAGTAATCATTTATGGCAGATATAGCTTTACAAAATGTATTTCTTAAATAATAAGACTTGAAAGTAGAAATTATTCCTTGATCTGTGAGGCACAGAATTGATGTATTAGCAGGCATGAAAACAATGTTAATCTTTTTTTTCCTATTTTTTTTTTCATTATACTTTAAGTTCTAGGGTACATGTACACAACGTGCAGGTTTGATACATAGGTATGTGCCATGTTGTTTTGCTGCACCCATCGACTCATCATTTACATTAGGTATTTCTTCTAATGCTATCCCTCCCCCAGCTTCCCAATCCCCGACAGGCCCTGGTGTGTGATGTTCCCCGCCCTGTGTCCAAGTGATCTCATTGTTCATTTCCCACTTATGAGTGAGAACATGTGGTGTTTGGTTTTCTGTCCTTGTGATAGTTTGCTGAGAATGATGGTTTCCAGCTTCATCCATGTCCCTGCAAAGGACATGAACTCATCATTTTGTATGGCTGCATAGTATTCCATGGTGTATATGTGCCACATTTTCTTAATCTAGTCTATCATTGATAGACATTTGGGTTGGTTCCAAGTCTTTGCTATTGTGAATAGTGCCACAATAAACATACATGTGCATGTGTCTTTATAGTAGCATGATTTATAATCCTTTGGATATATACCCAGTAATGGGATTGTTGGGTCAAATGGTAATTCTAGTTCTAGATCCTTGAGGAATCTCCACACTGTTTTCCACAATGGTTGAACCAATTTACACTCCCACCAAGAGTGTAAAAGTGTTCCTATTTCTCCACATCCTCTCCAGCATCTGTTGTTTCTTGACTTTTTAATGATTGCCATTCTAAATGGTGTGAGATGGTATCTCATTGTGATTTTGATTTGCATTTCTCTGATGACCGGTGATGATAAGCATTTTCTCATGTGTCTGTTGGCTGCATAGATGTCTTGTTTTGAGCAGTATCTGTTCATATTCTTTGCCCACTTTTTGATGGGTTTGTTTGTCTTTTTCTTGTAAATTTGTTTGAGTTCTTTGTAGATTCTGGATATTAGCCCTTTGTCAGATGGGTAGATTGCGAAAATTTTCTCCCATTCTGTAGGTTGCCCGTTCACTCTGATGATAGTTTATTTTGCCGTGCAGAAGCTCTTTAGTTTAATTAGATCCCCTTTGTCTATTTTGTCTTTTGTTGCCATTGCTTTTGATGTTTTAGTCATGAAGTCCTTGCCTATACCTATGTCCTGAATGGTATTGCCTAGGTTTTCTTCTAGGGATTTTATGGTTTTAGGTCTAACATTTAAGTCTTTAATCCATCTTGAGTTAATTTTTGTATAAGGTGTAAGGAAGGGATCCAGTTTCAGCTTTCTACATATGGCTAGCCAGTTTTCCCAGCACCATTTATTAAATAGGGAATCCTTTCCCCATTTCTTATTTTTGTCAGGTTTATTAAAGATCAGATGGTTGTAGATTTGTGGCATTATTTTTGAGGCCTCTGTTCTGTTCCATTGATCTATATCTCTGTTTTGGTACCAGTACCATGCTGTTTTGGTTACTGTAGCCTTGTAGTATAGTTTGAAGTCAGGTAGTGTGATACCTTTAGCTTTGTTCTTTTTGTTTAGGATTATCTTGGCTATGTGTGCTCTTTTTTGGTTCCATATGAACTTTAAAGTAGTTTTTTCCAATTCTGTGAAGAAAGTCATTGGTAGCTTGATGGGGATGGCACTGAATCTATAAGTTACTTTGGACAGTATGGCCATTTTCACAAACAGATTCTTCTTATCCATGAGCATGGAATATTCTTCCATTTGTTTGTGTCCTCTTTTATTTTGTTGAGCAGTGGTTTGTAGTTCTCCTTGAAGAGGTCCTTCACATTCCTTGTAAATTGGATTCCTAGGTATTTTATTTTGTTTGTAGCAATTGTGAATGGGAGTTCACTCATGATTTGGCTCTCTGTTAATGGTGTATAGGAATGCTTGTGATTTTTGCACATTGATTTTGTATCTTGAAACTTTGCAGAATTTGCTTATCAGCTTAAGGAGATTTTGGGCTGAGACGATGGGGTTTTCTAAATATACAATAATCTCATCTGCAAACAGGGACAATTTTACTTCCTCTTTTCCTAATTGAAAACCCTTTATTTGTTTCTCTTGCCTGATTGCGGCTAGAACTTCCAACACTATGTTGAATAGGAGTGGTGAGAGAGGGCATCCTTGTCTCGTGCCAGTTTTCAAAGGGAATGCTTCCAGTTTTTGCCAATTTAGTATGATATCGGCTGTGGGTTTGTCATAAATAGCTCTTATTATTTTGAGATATGTTCCATCAATACCTAGTTTATTGAGAGTTTTTAGCATGAAGGGCTGTTGAATTTTGTCGAAGGCCTTTTCTGCATCTATTGAGATAATCATGTGGTTTTTGTCATTGGTTCTGTTTATGTGATGGATTACGTTTATTGATTTGCATATGTTGAACCAGCCTTGCATCCCAGGGATGAAGTTGACTTGATCGTGGTGGATAAGATTTTTTATGTGCTGCTGGATTTGGTTTGCCAGTATTTTACTGAGAATTTTTGCATTGATGTTCATCAGGGATATTAGTCTAAAATTCTCTTCTTTTGTTGTGTCTGTCAGGCTTTGGTATCAGGATGATGTTAGCCTCATAAAATGAGTTAGGGAGGATTCCTTCTTTTTCTATTGATTGGAATAGTTCCAGAAGGTGTCGGGGGAACCCACCCCCAATATTTTAACGTAGGTTCTTTCTGTTTTCCATAAGTGTCATCTGGCTGAGAAATAAAGAGAAAGAGTACAAAGTGAGGAATTTTACAGCTGGGCCGCCGGGGGTGACATCCCATATTGGTAGGACCATGATGCCCACCTGAGGCTCAAACCAACAAGTTTTTTATTAAGGGTTTCAAAATTGGAGGGGGTTTAAAACAGGGAGTAGGTACAAAGATCACATGCTTCAAAGGGCAAAAAGCAGAGCAAAGATCACATGCTTCTGACCTAACAGGACAAAAGGCAAAACAGAACTACTGATAAGGGTCTATCTTCAGCTTTGCACATATTGTCTTGATAAACATCTTAAACAACAGAAAACAGGGTTTGAGAGCAGAGAACCAGTCTGACCACAAATTTACCAGCTTGGAGTTTTTCCCCACCCTAATAAGCCTGAGGGTACTGCAGGAGACCAGGGCGTATCTCAGTCCTTATCTCAACCACATAAGACAGACGCTCCCAGAGCGGATGTTTATAGGCCTTCCCCCCCTCCCCCCCGGCCCCCCCAGGAATGCATTCCTTTCCCTGGGTATTAATATTAATATTCCTTGCTAGGAAAAGAATTTAGCAATATCTCTCCTACTTGCATGTCCGTTTATAGGCTCTCTGCAAGAAGAAAAATATGGCTCTTTTTGCCTGACCCCACAGGCAGTCAGACCTTATGGTTGTCTTCCCTTGTTCCCTAAAAATTGCTGTTATTCTGTTGTTTTTCAAGGTGCACTGATTTCATATTGTTCAAACACACATGTTTTACAATCAATTTGTACAGTTAACACAATTATCACAGTGGTCCTGAGGTGATGTACATCCTCAGCTTACGAAGATAACAGAATTAAGAGATTAAAGTAAAACAGGTGTAAGAAATTATAAAAGTATTATTTGGGAACTGTTAAATGTCCATGAAATTTTCACGATTTATGTTCCTCTGTCATGGCTCCAGCCAGTCCCTCCATTTGGGATCCCTGACTTCCTGCAAGAAGAAGGAATGGTACCAGCAACTCTTTGTATCTCTGGTAGAATTCAGCTGTGAATCCATCTGGTCCTGGACTTTTTTTGGTTGGTAGGCTATTAATTATTGCCTCAATTTCAGAGCCTGTTATTGTTCTATTCAGAGATTCAACTTCTTCCTGGTTTAGTCTTGGGAGGGTGTATGTGTCCAGGAATTTATCCATTTCTTCTAGATTTTCTAGTTTATTTGCATAGAGGTGTTTATAGTATTCTCTGATGGTAGTTTGTATTTCTGTGGGATTGGTGGTGATATCTCCTTTATCATTTTTTATTGCATCTATTTGATTCTTCTCTGTTTTCTTCTTTATTAATCTTTCTAGTGGTCTATCAATTTTGTTGATCTTTTCAAAAAACCAGCTCCTGGATTCATTGATTTTTTTGAACGGTTTTTTTGTCTCTATCTCTTTCAGTTCTGCTCTGATCTTAGTTATTTCTTGCCTTCTGCTAGCTTTTGAATTTATTTGCTCTTGCTTCTCTAGTTCTTTTAATTGTGATGTTAGGGTGTCAATTTTAGATCTTTCCTGTTTTCTCTTGTGGGCATTTAGAGCTATAAATTTCCCTCTCCACACTGCTTTAAATGTGTCCCAGAGATTCTGGTACGTTGTGTCTTTGCTCTCATTGATTTCAAAGAACTTCTTTATTTCTGCCTTCTTTTCCTTATTTACCCAGTAGTCATTCAGGAGCAGGTTGTTCAGTTTCCATGTAGTTGTGCGGTTTTGAGTGAGTTTCTTAATCCTGAGTTCTAATTTGATTGCACTGCGGTTTGAGAGACAGTTTGTTGTTATTTCTGTTCTTTTACATTTGCTGAAAAGTGCTTTACTTCCAGTTATGTGGTCAATTTTAGAATAAGTGTGATGTAGTGCTGAGAAGAATGTGTATTCTGTTGATTTGGGGTGGAGAGTTCTGTAGATGTCTATTAGGTCCACTTGGTGCAGAGCTGAGTTCAGGTCCTGGATATCCTTGTTAACCTTGTTTCTCGTTGTTCTGTCTAATATTGACATTGGAGTGTTAAAGTCTCCCAATATTATTGTATGGGAGTCTCTTTGTAGGTCTCTAAGGACTTGCTTTATGAATCTGGGTGCTCCTGTATTGGGTGCATATATTTAGGATAGTTAGCTCTTCTTTTTGAATTGATCCCTTTACCATTATGTAATGGCCTTCTTTGTCTCTTTTGATCTGTGGAAAACAACGTTAATCTTATACATCTCCGTCAGAGCGCTTGGGTGACCAAGGCGCATTGTCAATGAGCAGTAATATTTTGAAAGGAATCTTTTTTTTTCCTGAGCAGTAGGTTTCAACAGTGGGCTTAAAATATTCAGGAAACCCTGATATAAATAGATGTGCTATCATTCAGGGTTTGTTGTTTCATTGAAAGAGAACAGGCAGAGTGGATTTAGCATAATTCTCAAGGGTGCTAGGACTTTCAGAATGGTGAATGAACATTGGCTTCAACTTCAAATCACCAGCTACATTAGCCCCTTACAAAAGAGTCCACCTGTCCTTTGAAGCCAGGCATTGACTTCTCTTTAGCTATGAAAATCCAAGATAGCATCTTCCAATAGAAGCTGTTTTGTCTCCATTGAAAATCTTTTGTTTAGTATAGCCACCTTCATCAATGATCTTAGTGAGATCTTCTGGATAATTTACTGCAGCTTCTCCATCAGCACTTTATGCTTCACTTTGCCGTTTTATGTACTGAGATGGCTTCTCTTCTTAAACCTCATGAACCAAGCTCTGCTATCTTCAGATTTTTCTTCGGCAGCTTCCTCACCTCTGTCAGCTTTCATAGAATTGAAAAGAGTTAGGAACTTGCCCTGGATTAGGCTTTGACTTAAGGGAATGTCGTGTGTGATTTGGTTTTCTATTCAGACCACTAAAATTTTCTTCATATCAGCAATAAGGCTATTTTGCTTTCTTATCATTTGTGTGCTTACTGGAATAACAGTTTACATTTTCTTCAAGAACTTTTCCTTTGCATTCACAACTAGGCTATTTGGTGCAAGAAGCCTAGCTTTCAGACTCTCTGGACTTTCAGCATGCCTTCCGTACTTAGCTTAGTCATTTCTAACTTACGATTTAAAGTGAGAGATATGCAGCTCCTCCTTTCACTTGAAAACTTAGAGATCACTGTAGGTCTAATTTTCATATTATTATGTCTCAGGGAATAGGGAAGCCTGAAGAAAGGGAGAGATAAAGGAGAATGACTGGTCAGTGGATCAGTGAGAACACATACAACATTTATTGAGGTTACTAATGTAATTGTCTTGGGGTGCCATGGCAGAATGTCAGAAGGCTGTGGCACCCCAAGACACTATAACCTCAAAGATCATTGATCAGAGATCATGATAACAGATGTAATAGTAATGAAAAAGTTTGAAATATTGTGAGAATTATGAAAATGTGATTCTGATGCTGATAGACTTGCTAGATACAGGGTTGCTACAAAGTTTCCATTTGTAAAAATTGCAATATCTGTAGGGCAAAATAAAGTGAAGCACAGTAAGACAAAGTATGCCTGTATCTATTAAGTGTTATAGCCCTAGCCTGAAGAAAAATAAATTTTTAAGTAATCATGGACATGTGGTATGATTGTATATCTTTTGCCATAAGTGATATAAAATAATATTTGAGTAAATTCGTATTATCTCCACCAAATATAAGAGTAGAAACAGGCTATGATTGTGGGCACAGAGGGCAGAGGACGTATCTGACTGGGGATTGCCAAGACCTGAACCCTGGGCATTCAGTACTGTTGAAAGGATCAGAGAGACATTAGATGCCAGAGTAGGCAGAACGTCAGAAGTCTGGAGTATCGGTGGATAATGGAAGGAGGAAAGATGTCATATGTCAGAACCTGCTGTGGAGCAATGCCAGGCTAGGGAAGAAAATGGGTCTCCAGGAAAAGGACAAGTGACCAATGTCCCATGGTCAGACAGTTGAAGGCAACAGCAGTAGCTGTTGTGACCCACACTGGGAATTAGATCTTGACTGTTGGGACACACTAGGCTAATGAATAGCATGGAGGTTAGGTGGGCAGTGATCAGGGTAAGCAACAGGTATCGAAATGATTTGTTATCAGCATGCTGTGGGTTAAGGCGACTACCAGCGTGTAGATCAGGCACTAGGATAAAGAGTGGGCCTTTCGATCGGGAGATTTAGGCTGAAGCCGTTCTGTGCTCTGAATTGTAATTTTGCAGAGGAGTTGACTTAAAGTTTTGGGATGACTGTGGGCATTGGGCAGCACCTGAGCTTGAATCGAAGCTCTAATGTCATGATGTTTCTGAATTCTAACATTTAGAACTTTATCAAATGAAGCTTTCCTATACCATTCAGAAGAGTACTAAGGTGAAGATAGAAGGACATGGACAGAGTCCAGAACCTAACAATGAATAGCTAATATTTATTCAGCACTCACTGTGTCAGGTACTGTTCTGAGTGTATTACATGTACTGCTTCATTTATTCCTCCTAAAAAATCCATTTAGGGAATGGACACTGGCTCACAGATATTCTATTTAAGTAATAAGACAATAAGAAGGACTAAATATGATGTGGTTAGGCATAAGATTATGGTATGTTCCAAACTCCAGCAGTTCCGGGTACCAAAGTTTATCTTTACCCTTCCTTATTGTTTTATGGTCCATGACCATTTGCTGTTGACGTATTTAGCACATGCCACTGGTCATGCACATTCCTTATGGCTTAGGTTCCTAACACCTGTCTGTGCTTCTTCCCAGACCACTCACTTTGACGGGTCTCCCTTTCTGACTTTCCATAGGTCTTATTGTCTACACGCATTTAGTCACTTGGTTATATTCCTTCTTCCTGTTTTATACTTTTACAAAAAATTGTTTAATATGGGTAAATTTTGCCCCATTAACAAGCTTCTCCAGGTCTGTATTGCTTTTGTATCTTATAGTATTATTGTAAATAATTCAGCAATTTGCATAATATCTTTCTTTGTACCTTGATTTTAGTCAAGTTGTAATTAACTGTTAAGAAACTGGTTGTTTTTATGTATTTTACAACACACGAAATGATTTTTTTTTTGATTTTCACAGGGCAAACTCAGAAAATGAATCTTTTCCAGTCTGTAACAAGTGCCTTGGATAACTCATTGGCCAAAGATCCTACTGCAGGTAACCCTGATATGTGCCTGAATTGTGGTAGCTGTGTTAATTCCAGAATTGAAGATTTGCTTAAAATATTTATGTGGAGCTCAATGGTTAACATTGTATCTACCTGACATTTTCAAAGGTATGATTGGGGCTAAATAATCAAATTGCAATATTAGTCCACTTATTACCAGTTAGTTCTCATGTATATTTAACATCAAGTCAGCTTTCTCTTACAGTGTGTGTGGTCCTGATATTGTATTAATAACTTCTGGATTAAAACCTGCTGTGTACTCCTGTTTCTTTGGCACATAGAAGAAAACAAAATACCTTTTCATTCAGCTATTTATTTATAAAATGAAGACTTGATTTTATGCTTCCCTTTGGAATACATTGTCATTCAACTTGTAATATGTTTTGGAAATAATTGTAATATTTATATATAATTTTATAAGTATCTTAATCTTCATCTTATTAAATCATTGATACAAAACCAATTGTTCTTCCACTGTATGTTTTCAAATTTGATTGGCTTTACTTCATATATGTATATACATATATATTTAACATATATCTATATATACAGTTTATATATGTGTGTGTGTGCATATATGTTGACTATACATTGGGCTTCCACCTTCCACCTGATAATCTGTAGTTTTAAGGTTAAATGAAAAACAGGTTATTTTTTAGGGAGAAGTGGGAGCTGGACTAAAGGATGATTAGATCTTGATTTGTTTTGAATGCTACTTGCGGATGATTGAACTAGAGAAGTAAATTCAAACATAGAGAAGGGTGAGTTTTTTCTTGGGGTCGATAAAAACTGGTTAGGTACGTTTATGAGACTAGCATTCAGCTCTATGAATACCCCTTATTTTAAAGCTCCTGCCAATTTCCACCTACACCATTCTTTGCCTTGCTTACTGTGTCCTTCGTGCTTGCCTCCTTTCTGCTTCACACAGTCTAAATCCCTTTCCTATTTGTGACTGTTCCCTTAGCTTGGAATGCTCTTCTGATGGCTTACTTACTGTATGCTGTGTCTCAGGAAAAACCACAGGCCTGGAAGTCTGGAGCATGAGTCATAGTTCTGCCTCTAGCTTTCTGACTTGGCCAGTCAATTTACCACTTCTCTGGTCTCGTTTTCTTCATGGATAAAACAAATGAGATTCTAGATCAGTGGTTCTTTCTCAACTGGGGATGATCTTAGTCTCCACTCCCACAACTCTGTTTACATTTAACAATGTAAGTGAAGACACTTTTTGTTGTCTCAACTGTGTGTGTGTGTGTGTGTGTGTGTGTGTGTGTGTGGTAACTGTCATCCAGTGGGTAGAGACCAGGGTTGCTGCTATGTATCTACAGTGCACAGGACAGACCCTCACAACAAAAGAATCATCTAGTCTAAAATGTCAATAATGTAGAAGTTGAGAAACCTTGATCGAGATCTATGGTCCATTTATCTTTTGTGATTTAAAATGTAAACATTTAAATTACTTATTTCTCATTGTTAGTATTATTTAGAGATTATTAAATAAAATGTATTATTTAAATACTGTTTTTCAGTAATATTTGGTGAAGATGTTGCCTTTGGTGGAGTCTTTAGATGCACTGTTGGCTTGCGAGACAAATATGGTAAGTAAATACCTATATGAATAGTATTCTGATAGAACTTTTACTAAAAGATCTTAAAAATACAAAATATGCCTACTAAATTTTTTGTCATATCCCCATTGTATGGATGAATTCCTTTTCATTTCCAACGCCACCCGCAGAATCCTTTGGCCTATATTTTCTCAAATGTCTTCTAGTATCCCTCTGATCTAGTTCATATTACACATACAGTGTAAATGATTCCAAAATAATTGTCATTAAATGTATATTATTTATTGTGTCATTCTTCTGTCCAAGAACCTTTGGTGTTTTATTGCTAGCTGCCTGAGCCAATTTCAATTCCATTGCCTCCAGTTGGAGATTCTGCCTGTTGGGTCTTTATTAGCAAACTTTATCTTTTCGGGAAGAGAGAGAGAGAGAGAGGGAGAGGGATTTAGTTTTTAAGGAACTGGCTCATGTGAGTTTAGTTTTAAGGAACTGGCTGGCAAGTCCATAGGGCAAACTGGTTGACTTGAAACTCAGGCAGGGTTTCTGTTTTAGCCTTGAGGCTGAATTTCTTTTTGCTCGGGAACCTGCAGTCTTTTCTCTTAAGGCCTTAAATTGATTGTATGAAGCCTACCCACATTATAAAAGGTAATCTGCTTTATTCAAAATCTACTGATTTAAACGCTAATCACATCTAAAAAATACCTTCACAACAACTTCTACACCTGTGTTTGACCAAATATTAATAATTGGGTGCCATAGCCTGGTCAAGTTGACATATAATGAACCATCACATTATCCTTCTTACATGTTTTATCCCAGCTGATGTCTTTAATTGGCATGTGATTGATTTCTGCCCATTGCTTTTATTAATTTCATTTGACTCAGTTAAAATAATCAGAATGCATTTTGGTCCATCTTTGAATTCCCACTCTTCTGACTTGCAGTGTAAGGAATGTGTTTTGACCTCCTATTGTTAGGGATACCTTTGAAATGCTTTTGACATTTTATTTTTTGTCTTAGTCTTACCTGATTTAGAATTCAGCAAAGCAGTTCACGTGAGGGCTGGCAGGAGCTGATATCTCCCTCTCTTCTTTCCTTTGGCATTGCTCTATATTGCTTGTGTATTCATACGGGGCAAGAGGAGTGAGGGTCTTTAAAATTTTTTTTTAAATTGTTGTCTCTTTTTCTGTTCCACTCTTTCTGAGGTTATGTTATACTTAAATCCAAGAACCCATACATGTTCCATCTCACTTATTGGGAACTTCCAGCTTAGTCTTTTCTTTTCCATTTATAGCAGGTTGAGTTTCTGGATCCAGTCCGTCTGCTTTCTCCTACTTCTAATACCTGCTTAGAGCTTGAGGTAGTTGGGCAAAAGATTATTTTTCCTGATCATTTAGACTCCTGCTACAAACTTTTAGATCTTTAATAAACAGTTAAAAATCTTTACACATTTGATTTCAAAAGTAATGCATATACATTGTAGAAAATTTGGAAAATATAGAAAAGCATAAAGAAAATAAAAATTGCTCATGTTTTCAGAGATAACTTGGAGATAACCACTGTACACGTCTTGGTATATATACTTCTAGACTGTATTTGAATATGTTTGTATATATTAACTAATATTTCAAACACAGAATTATACTTCTGTAACTGAGTCTTCTCTGTATCCAGTATAACTATGCTGTGGAGCAGTGTCTAGACCTCACAATTCCATCTTGCCTGACTCAGTGTAGTAGCATGCCATGTGCTTTCTGAATAGCTAATATTTATTCAACTCACTGCGTCAGGTACTGTTCTGAGTGTATTACATGTACTGCTTCATTTATTCCTCCCAAAAAATCTAGGGGTTTGTGTAGGCTGTTGAGTCCTCTGCTGCCTGTCTGCCCAGGTTCTCATCCATAACACTCTGCTTACCCCTTCTGTCTGGGGCATTTTATCGATGCCATCTGCTGCTCATACACTGGTGACTCCTGAATTTCTGTCTCTAGTTCAGACTTCCGTTCTGAGCTTCAGATCTGTGTATTCAGTTTCTACTGCACATCTTCACCTCAGTGTTCCACAGTCACTTCAAACTCAGCATTTCCACACCTAAGGCTGCTACATGCACCCAGCAAATATATGCCTCCTAGTGCATTTCCTATTTTGGTGAATATATCACCATCCATTTAGTTACCTAAGCCAGACACTGGGGAAATTCTAAGTGTCTTCCTTCTTTCTAGTTCCCCACATCCAGTGAAGTTGTATAATTATATCTAATCTGGCCCCTCCTTTCCATTCTTACTGCCCTGATACTTAAGATCTTTCATTTTTCTCTGCCTGCAGAGTTTTATTTCTTTTCTTAGCAGTCACCACTCCTTTAGTCTTACCCTCCCTCCAATCCATTCCCTATCTTGTTGCCAGTGTGATGATTTTAACATGCATATTTCTTAGCAGGACATACAAAATACTTTTTTTTTTTTTTGAGATGGAGTCTCGCTCTATCGCCCAGGCTGGAGTGCAGTGGTGCGATCTTGGCTCACTGCAGCCTCTGCTTCCTGGGTTCAAGTGATTCTCCTGCCTCAGCCTCCTGAGTAGCTGGGACTACAGCCGCATACCACCATGCCCTGCTAATTTTTGTATTTTTAGTAGAGATGGAATTTCACTGTGTTGGTCAGGCTGGTCTCAAACTCCTGACCTTGTGATCCACCTGCCTCGGCCTCCCTAAGTGCTGGGATTACAGGCATGAGCCACTGCGCCTGGCTACCAAAGACTTTGAGAACTACTTAGGTAGCTACCTGACCTCATCTGCTTTTATTTTTATTTTATTTATTTTATCTATTTTTTAGTTTTTACTCTACAGACCTAGGAACTTGAGCTTTTTAAAATTTTTATTAAAACTAATGTTGAGTTACTGGTTGTTTCTCTTAAGCCCCCTGTTGTTTTTTCTTCTCTCTTCCTTTGCACTTGCTATCTGGGTCTCTCTACCCTGTCTGATTACCTGGTAGACTCCTATTTCTTCTTCAGAAGATTCCCCTGTGAAACTCTTCCGGACCCTCCAAGCAGACTCAGGCAGTTCTTTATCACTATTCACGCTGCACCTTTTAAATCTTGAAAGTTGTACTGTAATCCATAACTCCCACCAGAAAGTTGTCAAAGGCAGCAGATCTTTAAGCTGTTCCACAGAATGGATCCCTAGGACCTAATATTGTATCAGGCAGTATTTATGAAGTGCGTGCTGTTGAGTGAATTTACCCTTTGCTCTCACTTAGACAGTGTCCTACTGTCTCAGGAAGGGGATTTCCCTCTCTCACATTAATTATTTAGGTTGGTCTGATTTTATTTTCCTTAAAAAATAGGTTAAAATGGGGAGAAACTAACTCTTAACTTGAAAAAGTCCAGTGCTCTTAGAGGGTACCTGCAAATTTATGTTTCCTGTCATGGCAGGAGGCTGAGCTAACTAATGGCTAAGTAACTCTTTTAGCTTTATTGTCAGCAGCTGCTGTGAATTTTTACAATAGTTTTAGGGCAGTGAAGTTACACTTTATTAATTTCAGGTTGAGGATGTTGATCAAGATGAAAAATTAAATCGCTGATACTTTCTAATGAGAGTAAGTGAGCTTCTGTTTTCAGAAGTGAAGAATAAAGGAAAGGGTGAAGAGAAATATATTAAAATACATTTTTCTTGCATATTTAAAAAGTAACATATACTTAAAAAATTATCTGCCCTTTTGAATATAGGGCAGGAATTTTTAGCTATACAGAAGCATAACTGTCTGCTTAGGATTTTTAAAGGATAATTTGTATTTAAAATAACTAAAAGATTATGTTGATATAGTTCAATATAACAATCAAGTCACACTGCATTAAATGACATAGCAAAGAAAACCCTTGTGCCAGATCAGTTCGCTTTCTGGGGAGTGCTGAATGTTGAGTGGGAAAGGATCAAGTCAGCAGGTGGCAGCCTACCCTTTGAAATGAGAACATCCCTGTTGGCATTGTGCCAGCACTTGAACTGCTGCAAAGCATTTTATATTCCATCAGAAGGCGGAATTTGAAGGATTGTGGGTTACTGACATACGTTGTAAAGCTGAATACTACTTGATATGACAAAGAAGGAATTGCATAATTAGAGGCAATGCTATAAGAAAAGGAAGAGAGGCATAGAGCATTTTGTATTCCAGACGATCCAGATGAGTGTGGATTTAGTACCACTAAACTGCTTCTCTTCCTTGTCCTTTGATAGAACAAAATAGTATGAGTGCTTTGAAAATTAGAAGAAAGAAAATAGTATGTCCTCATCAACATTGCATTCCAAATGGCAGCTTTAACCACTGTACGTAATGAGATGTATTGATTAGGAGCAACAGCTGGACCTCTGGGGAAGCAGGGAGTGGGAGAGGGCAGTTAAAGGTAGTTGATTTGTAGGGTATGTGTGATTTTATGTTGAATGCCACACATGCTTTCTTTCTTTCTTTTTTTTTTAAGACAGAGTCTTGCTCTGTCACCCAGGCTGGAGTGCAGTAATGCGATCACGGCTCACTGTAACCTCTCTCTCCCAGGTTCAAGCAATTCTCCTGCCTCAGCCTCCCAAGTAGCTGGGACTACAGGTGCCCACCACCACACCTGGCTAATTTTTGTATTTTTAGTAGAGACGGGGTTTCATCATGTTGGCTAGGCTGGTCTCGAACTCCTGACCTCAGGTGATCTGCCTCCCTTGGCCTCCCAAAGTGCTGGGATTACAGGCGTGAGCCACTGTGCCTGGTGTCACACATGCTTTCATTCATATAAGTAATGAGACAGATTCCTCATGGCATATAAAAAATCCATTCGTATTGTCATTCTCTGAGAGAGAGAGAAAGAGAAAGAGTGTATGTGTGTGTGTGTGTTATTAAAATAAGATTTTGGTGTGTCAGGTTTAAGGTATGTTTGTAACATTATTCTATACTGATATAACTTGCCTGGTTGTGGTTCTTAGTGTATATTTGGCCCACTTATTGGAGGAAATTTAGGTGAGGAAAGGAATAGCTGAGGACCTCCTGAATTAGTCTACAGGCCTAAACATGTGCCTTTTCATGGGACTTGATGTTTTTCCATTACTGTATCCATTCCTTTACACCACAGGTGTGGCCTGTCATAGCAGCTTGGGAAAACTAATATAACCACTTACTTGTTTTCTTATGTAAACATCACTGAAATTGTATAACCAGATACTTTAATACACTGAAGTCAGGTTGGAAAACTAGGACAGGCATGCGGTGAAGGCAAGTTTTTGTCTATAATATATCAATATTTGGGAGTTGACTTTGGGCCTCAGTATCCTCATCAGTAAATTGAAGGGAAAGGACTAGGTGGTCCTCTGGGATTCTTCCAGAGCATACATTTAGGTAAGCTTTATGGTTTTATTTGTTTTTAAAAAGAGGAACACAGTTTTTTCATGCTTTGATTCCCTTTACATTTAGAGGTTTTTTTGAATATAGTTGTTATAGCATTTTGGAACCATGGGGTACCTTAGGCATTTAATTTAATTTTTTCTTAAGATGTCCCTTTTCCAGCGTTTTGTTTTATTTTATTTATTTATTTATTTATTTATTTGAGTTGGAGTCTCACTCTGTCACCCAGGCTGGAGTGCAGTGGCGAGATCTCAGCTCACTGCAACTTCCATTCCCCAGGTTCAAGTGATTCTTGTGCCTCAGCCTCTGAGTAGCTGGGATAATAGGCATACACCACTATGCCTGGCTGATTTTTGTATTTTTAGTAGAGATGGGGTTTCATCATGTTGGCCAGGCTGGTCTCGACCTCCTGACCTCAAGTGATCCGCCAGCCTTGGCCTCCCAAAGTGCTGGGATTATAGGTGTGAGCCACCACACTTGGCTGCTTTTCCAGCATAAGTTTTAAATTTAGGGGTGTTAGCAAAATCTTTGCTCTCTTATATATTTTTTGTGAATTATGAAATTAATGTCTTTAACAGAGAAAGTGATCTTCCATTATATGTTCTTGTTGCAAAGAACGGGTTATTTGGGTGATACTCATACTCTTGGATTTAGTGTCAGGGTTCCATTGTAGAATGGCAATCTGTGAGATGGGGGTTTGGTTTCTGGGTTGTTGAAACTAATTTTATGGAAGAAAAAAACAGGATAAAATTCAGGAAAATTCCTTAGGGAAATTGAATATGTAGAGGATTTATTTCCCCTATTGAAGTATACATATTTATGACATACAAGCAGATTGAATACCAGATATAGATTGTGAGATGTCTAACAGGAATTTGGAGTGAAAACAGGTATTAATAAGTTGGTGTAAATCTGGTTTCCTAATATATTTATTAAAAATATTTTTAAAGGATTGTTAGTAGCTTTAAATTGCTCTTGATATTACAAAGTTCTTTTGTTTTCCAAAGGTGCACATGTTGGCAGAACTAGATGAACATGTTTAATATGCCTTTTTTTCCCCACAGTGCTTTTTTCACAAACATTAATTTATTTCTAAAAATTATGGTCAAATATATATAACATTTACTGTTTTAACCATTTTTACAGTTCAGTGTTATTAAGTACATTCACGTTGTGGTGCAATTATTACCACCATCCATCACCAGAACTTTTTTCATCTTACAAAACTGAAACACTATAACCATCTAACAATAACTCCCCATTTTCTCTCCAACAGTCCCTGGCAAGAACCCATTCTACTTTCTATCTCTATGAATTTGACTGTTCCTTATGTGAGTGGAATCATTTAGTATTTGTCCTTTTGTGACTGCCTTATTCATTTATAATAATGTCCTCAAGGTTTATTGATGTTTCAGCATGTGTCAAAGTTTCCTCCCTTTTTAAGGCTGCATAATATTGTGTTGTATGCATATACTACATTTTGTTTATCCATTCATTTGTTGATGGATGTTTGGGTTGCTTCTGCCTTTTGCCTATTGTGTCCTAAGACTGCTATAAATACTGATGTGCAAATATTTGGTAGTGTCACTGCTTTTTTAATTCAGAAGAACAAAGTTGGAGGACTCACAGTTCTTTTTTTCAAAACTTACTGCAAAGCTGTAGTTATCAAAACGGTGTGACAGTGGCAAAAAGACAAACATTGATGAATGGAATAGAATAGAGAACCCAGAAATAAACCCTTGAATATCTAGTCATTAATTTTTGACAATGATGCCAATACCATTCAACAGGGGAAAGGACAGTCTTTTCAACAAATGATGCTGGGAAAACTGGATATTCACATGCAAAAGAATGAATTTGGACCTTTATTTAACACCATATACAAAAATGAACTCAAAATAGATCACAGACTTAAATGTAAAACTATAAAACTCTTAGAAGAAAATGTAGGGGAAAAGCTTCGTGAAATTGGATTTGATAATGACTTTTTAAATATGGCTCTAAAGGTATAGGCAACAATAAAAATAGATAAATTGGACTGCATCGAAATTAAAAATATGTACTTTGAAGGACACTATTAACAGGGAAAAAAGGCAGTTCACAGAATGGGAGAAAATACTTGCAAATCATGTATCAGATAAGAGATTAATATCCAGAATATATGGAGAACTTCTAAAACTCTACAAAAAAAACCCCAATCAATTAAAAAAATAAGCAAAGGACTTGCATAGACATTTCTCCCAAATTGATAATTTATATATAAATTACCAGTATATAAATTACCAGTGAAAAGATGCTCAACATCATCAATTATTAGGAAATGCAAGTCAGTATCCCAGTGGAATACCACTTCGTACTCATTAGGATGGCTGTTATCAAGAAAACAGGAAATAACAAGTGTTGCTGAGGATGAAATTGGAATCATTGTGCATTGTTGGTGGGAATGTAAAGCGACACAGCCACAGTGGAAAACAGTACGGTAGTTCCTCAAAAAATTAGAATTTCCATATGATGCAGCAATATGCCTTTCTTTTTATCTCATTTAAAAAATCCAGCTGAATGAGTTAGCATAGAAAATGGAATGGAAATATTGATGCATGCTTCATTTACTTTAGTTTTTCTTATTTATTACTTTGATGACCTTTTGTGATTTTTCCAAATAAGGATTTTAGACACTACTAAAATTAGAATGGGTACAAACGGTCACTGTATTTTACTTTCTCTAATTTATAACACTGACCTCTCAGAACTTTAGTTCTATATGACGTGGATATAGACTAGATAAGAATTTCTCAGCCTGTCAGCACTATTTATTTATTTCTCTATTTATTTGTTTAAGAGTCAGGGTCTTGCTCTATTTCCTATACTGGAGTGTGGTGGTACAATCATACTTCACTGCAGCCTTGAACTCTTGGGCTCAAGCAGTCCTTCCGCCTCTCACAGTATTCTCACTGTTGGCTTGTTGACCAGTGGCTTAACAAATACCATTTAAGAAAATAAGATATTTAATATATTTTGTAGGATATCAGAGCTGGGGAGAAATGGAGGGTATATCTAGTCTAGTGGTTTTCAACTGCTGGTGATTTTGGCAATGTCTAGAGATATTTTTGGTTGTCATACCTTGGGGGGTACCACTAGAATCTGGTGGATGGAGACCTAGAATGCTGCTAAACATGCACAGGGCAGCCCCACCAAATAACTGTCCGTACCAAAATGTCAATACTGTTGAAGCTGGCTGGGCATGATGGCTTACAGTTGTAATCCTAGTGCTTTGGGAGGCCAAGGTGGGAGGATTGCTTGAGGCCAAGAGTTTGAGACCAGCCTGGGCAACATAGCAAGATGACCCCACCCCTACAAAAAATTAAAAAAAAAAAATAGCTGAGCAGGGTGGCACACAGCTGTAGTCCACCTGCTTTGGAGGCTGAAGCAGGAGAGCCCAGGAGTTTGAGGCTGCAGTGAGCTGTGATCATACCACTGCAGTCTAGCCTGGGTGATAGAAGGAGACCCAGACTCTAAAAAAAATAGTGCAGCAAGGCTGAGAGACTCTGATCTATTTCCATGTAATGTGGACACTGAAATTCTGAGAGGTGGAGTTGCTCAGTGGCAAGTGGTCTAGGGCTCACGCTTCCTAAAACCCAGTTCTAGGATTTTTGTACTATATATTTTTCCCTCATTTATAAATGAACAGCTAATTTATGTAAAAACATAAAAATAAGGAATTCTTTTTTTTTATTATTATTATACTTTAAGTTTTAGGGTACATATGCACAATGTGCAGGTTAGTTACATATGTATACATGTGCAATGCTGGTACACTGCACCCACTAACTCGTCATCTAGCATTAGGTATATCTCCCAATGCTATTCCTCCCCCGTCCCCCAACCCCACAACAGTCCCCAGAGTGTGATGTTCCCCGTCCTGTGTCCATGTGTTCTCATTGTTCAATTCCCACCTATGAGTGAGAATATGTGGTGTTTGGTTTTTTGTTCTTGCGATAGTTTACTGAGAATGATGATTTCCAGTTTCATCCATGTCCCTACAAAGGACATGAACTCATCATTTTTTATGGCTGCATAGTATTCCTTGGTGTATATGTGCCCCATTTTCTTAATCCAGTCTATCATTGTTGGACATTTGGGTTGGTTCCAAGTCTTTGCTATTGTGAATAGTGCTGCATGTGTGTGAATAAACATACGTGTGCATGTGTCTTTATAGCAGCATGATTTATAATCCTTTGGGTATATACCCAGTAATGGGATGGCTGGGTCAAATGGTATTTCTAGTTCTAGATCCCTGAGGAATCGCCACACTGACTTCCACAATGGTTGAACTAGTTTATAGTCCCAGCAACAGTGTAAAAGTGTTCCTATTTCTCCACATCCTCTCCAGCACCTGTTGTTTCCTGACTTTTTAATGATTGCCATTCTAACTGCTGTGAGATGATATCTCATTGTGGTTTTGATTTGCATTTCTCTGATGGCCGGTGATGGTGAGCATTTTTTCATGTGGTTTTTGGCTGCATAAATGTCTTCTTCTGAGAAGTGTCTGTTCATGTCCTTCGCCCACTTTTTGATGGGGTTGTTTGTCTTTTTCTTGTAAATTTGTTTGAGTTCATTGTAGATTCTGGATATTAGCCCTTTGTCAGATGAGTAAGTTGTGAAAATTTTCTCCCATTTTGTAGGTTGCCTGTTCACTCTGATGGTAGTTTCTTTTGCTGTGCAGAAGCTCTTTAGTTTAATTAGATCCCATTTGTCAATTTTGTCTTTTGTTGCCATTGCTTTTGGTGTTTTAGACATGAAGTCCTTGCCCATGCCTATGTCTTGAATGGTACTTCCTAGGTTTTCTTCTAGGGTTTTTATGGTTTTAGGTCTAACATTTAAGTCTTTAATCCATCTTGAATTGATTTTTGTATAAGGTGTAAGGAAGGGATCCAGTTTCAGCTTTCTACATATGGCTAGCCAGTTTTCCCAGCACCATTTATTAAATAGGGAATCCTTTCCCCATTGCTTGTTTTTCTCAGGTTTGTCAAAGATCAGATAGTTGTAGATATGTGGCATTATTTCTGAGGGCTCTGTTCTGTTCCATTGATCTATGTCTCTGTTTTGGGACCAGTACCATGCTGTTTTGGTTACTGTAGCCTTGTAGTATAGTTTGAAGTCAGGTAGTGTGATGCCTCCAGCTTTGTTCTTTTGGCTTAGGATTGACTTGGCGATGTGGGCTCTTTTTTGGTTCCATATGAACTTTAAAGTCATTTTTTCCAATTCTGTGAAGAAAGTCATTGGTAGCTTGATGGGGATGGCATTGAATCTATAAATTACCTTGGGCAGTATGGCCATTTTCACGATATTGATTCTTCCTATCCATGAGCATGAAATGTTCTTCCATTTGTTTGTATTCTCTTTTATTTCATTGAGCAGTGGTTTGTAGTTCTCCTTGAAGAGGTCCTTCACTTCCCTTGTAAGGTGGATTCCTAAGTATTTTATTCTCTTTGAAGCAATTGTGAATGGGAGTTCACTCATGATTTGGCTCTCTGTTTGTCTTTTATTGGTGTATAAGAATGCTTGTGATTTTTGTACATTGATTTTGTATCCTGAGACTTTGCTGAAGTTGCTTATCAGCTTAAGGAGATTTTGGGCTGAGACAATGGGGTTTCTAGATATACAATCATGTAATCTGCAAACAGGGACAATTTGACTTCCTCTTTTCCTAATTGAATACCTTTTATTTCCTTCTCCTGCCTAATTGCCCTGGCCAGAACTTCCAACACTATGTTGAACAGGAGTGGTGAGAGAGGACATCCCTGTCTTGTGCCAGTTTTCAAAGGGAATGCTTCCAGTTTTTGTCCATTCAGTATGATATTGGCTGTGGGTTTGTCATCGATAGCTCTTATTATTTTGAGATACGTCCCATGAATACCGAATTTATTGTGAGTTTTTAGCATGAAGGGTTGTTGAATTTTGTCAAAGGCCTTTTCTGCATCTATTGAGATAATCATGTGGTTTTTGTCTTTGGTTCTGTTTATATGCTGGATTACATTTATTGATTTGCGTATATTGAACCAGCCTTGCATCCCAGGGATGAAGCCCACTTGATCATGGTGGATAAGCTTTTTGATGTGCTGCTGGATTCGGTTTGTCAGTATTTTTTTGAGGATTTTTGCATCAATGTTCATCAAGGATATTGGTCTAAAATTCTCTTTTTTGGTTGTGTCTCTGCCTGGCTTTGGTATCAGGATGTTGCTGGCCTCATAAAATGAGTTAGAGAGGATTCCCTCTTTTTCTATTGATTGGAATAGTTTCAGAAGGAATGGTACCAGTTCCTCCTTGTACCTCTGGTAGAATTCGGCTGTGAATCCATCTGGTCCTGGACTCTTTTTGGTTGATAAGCTGTTGATTATTGCCACAATTTCAGCTCCTGTTATTGGTCTATTCAGAGATTCAACTTCTTCCTGGTTTAGTCTTGGGAGAGTGTACGTGTCCAGGAATTTATCCATTTCTTCTAGATTTTCTAGTTTATTTGCGTAGAGGTGTTTGTAGTAATCTCTGACGGTAGTTTGTATTTCTGTGGGATCGGTGGTGATATCCCCTTTATCATTTTTAATGCGTCTATTCGATTCTTCTCTCTTTTCTTCTTTATTAGTCTTGCTAGCGGTCTATCAATTTTGTTGATCCTTTCAAAAAACCAGCTCCTGGATTCATTAATTAAAAACCCTTCAAAAATAAGGAATTCTAATGAAACAAAGGTCATGGGTTTTGATTAGTCATGAAATAAGAGGCTAGCGATCAGAAACCTATATTAAAAAGTTTGAAAAAAATCTATTTTTGTGATTCTCTTGTGAACGAGATTTTCTGAGTGCATTAGGTTGTTCTGGGGTTGGAGCTACTTCTGTAACCATTGTTTTCAATTTAATTGATTACACAATAAATGTTAGAGCTACCAACAGGTGTTCTCTTTGACATTTTAAGTATCAGTCAGAATGTAATGACCTTAAGCCAGTTTTTCTCAATCTTATTTGACAATGGCATGCTTTTAAAAATGTTCAAATGTGAGCACCAATAGGGGCTTGGAAGATAGGCTTGGATTAAAGTGAACAAGGAAAAATGGGATTATAGATAATTATTGTCAGAAAGTATAAAATTGATTCATGTATCTTTTAAGCATCACAAGAATTAGAAAATGAGACCATGTGTATTTTATTAAGAACAATATGTATTAGAAAAGTAAAAGATCTTTGTTTTATATTTTCATTATCAAATATGACATCCACATCCTCAAGCCACACATCCACGTAATATGAAAGATGTTGCTAAATTAGTTTCCCAAACCTGATTCTTAGTCTTCTGAAAATTCTCTTCTAGACTGGTGCCTTTAACAGGGGGAGGAACCCAGACATTTTTTTCCCTTCAGTATTTAGAATTTCTTGAATGAGTACACCCTAGATATTTTAATTGTTTTATTTTTGACAGCTCAGTTTCTAATTTTTGCACATCAAGACCAGTGAATTTTCATTTCTTATGTATTTGGAGTTGCTTGTTTTTTGATTCAGATATAATTTTTGGATTACAAGCCTGTTCTTTTGCTTTAAACTTCCCATTTCAACCATAGATCTTGAGGAAATCTATGTACGTAGTTGAAATTTATTTTATTGAGTAATAAGTGTTAGATTATAAAATCAAATAAAATACAAATATATATTGAAATTTTAAGAGAGTTTAACATATAATGTTATCCACTAAAAAGATGAATTATGTTAATCCTAATATGAGTTATAAATACTGTCTATCTATTATTGCTCAGGTTGAATGTCAGGTAATGTGTGACTTGCTGCCATTCCTAGGTATAGCTGACCCATACGTAAAGGTAGAGTAGAACATAGAACTATTAAGTACTATAGCTATATATTTAGCACTTTTCTTTCAGATCTAATAATACCTTTTAGAAGGCCATAGGAGTCCCTTTGGGACACAGGAATGGGAATAAAAACATATAAAAATAATACAAAGTTGGGGATTTTTACACATTTGAAAAATACAGTAGTGCTTACTCTGACTCTCTCTATTCATGCTTTTGATTACCATGCTGCAATATTGGCTGTGTTGGGGGAGGAGGAGTATTGAAAAACATTTTGCTTTTGTGTTTCTTTGACCTAACTTTAAGACTATTAAGTTTATTTATCTTTTGTCAGAGTCATTTTTCTTTTCTAAAGAAAAACCACATGCAGTGAAGGAATTAAAAATGGGCCTGCTGCCACTGCTATTTTGGAGATTCTTAGATTAGCTTAGATCAGTCCAGTTATGAAAAAATTTTTTTCTCTTTCAAACAGTGCCGCATATTCCTTGATTTCAATTTCTCAGAAGTCTGGGAGATTATCAGTGTAACATTTCTACCAAATTTCTCAAAATTAAAAAGAAATCCAGTGAAGAGTATCAATAAATACAGACAATTTAGATTCCTAAAATTATCAGGGCTGAAAAAGGATCAGTATAACAATTTTATGGAGCAGTTCAGATTGGTCAATATCTGGGGATGCTTGGATTCTCCCATCCTGTTTTGTTCATCTTAAAACAGATCACAAAGTCCGTTAAATTTCAACTGCTCCTCTTTCTAGGAGTTGCATGTGTGATAGCCATAGCAGCTGTATGGCAACTTCACGTTGACACTGTGCTCAGACATTGAGTTGATATTGTCACTTACCTGAAGTCACTTAACTGTCTCAGGAAGTTTGAATCTAAATGTGTAGGTTATTACACAGCAATACATTCTGTGCCTCTAATTCTGTCTTGGAAATCCACTGTTATCACCTTTAATGCAGTTATAAAGTCACATAATCATAAAGTTCACTAGGAAAAGTTATTTTCCAGTCAGACTAGGAGGAGCCAATAAAAACAGCTCTACGTGGAGGACAGTATTAATGTCATTTGCCAGATATTTGTTGAGTGAGACTGCCTATGCAAAAGTCATAGAGAATTAGAGCACAGTGCTTTGTTTTCTGTTCCCATTTAACATAGATGAGATTTCTCAGTTGCTTTGATTGGCAGAGTTGATGAAGGATCAGTTAGGTAAAGGTTGGCAAATGTCATGTGCTAAGAAATCACTTGTGAAGCTTGTTGGACAAAAAGTTTTCAGTTTCCTGGTGAGCAGCTACACCCAAAGGCGGCTTTAGCAGTGAAATGCTTGACCTTCTCTTGTGGCATCCTGCCATCCTTCCCCTCTAGATCCTCTGGCCACCAGCCAGAAGTGGTGGCATCTAGCCAATCATAAATTAGTCAGAGGATTCTTATTCTGTAATACTGGCTCTTGGAAACTCTAGTATCTTTAGTAATAAGGAATTTCTTCTCCGTTTCTGGGCATGCTGTTCATTTAACCCATCTTTTCTGTTTTCTGGTCTTTGCCAGCTTGGAGTCTAGCAGAAACAAAGAAACTTGTTTCTAAGCCAAAAGGAAACACACAAACCTAGTAGTATATCCTTAATCAATATCCTATAGACAATGAATTTGAGCATTTCTTTCTTTAAAAAAGTGGATGTTCCTCAAAACTCAAAAGGAAACTCAAAATCACTTCAGGAACATCTTAATTCTGTATTCAACGGCAGAAATACAGCATATTAAATGGCATAAGCCCACTGGATTTATTCAGATCTAAATTAAGCATTGATAGGATGGACCTGAAAAGGAAAACTTATCGTGTTCTTAACAAATTCATAAGTCCAGTAAGGCAACTTAGGTATTTGCATGAAGAAGGCACTTTTTCTTTTGTCAAATAAAGATTCTGCAAAGTTTCTGTCCAAGAACTTTTTAGCTTTTATAGTATACAATATGTCAGAGAAAGTTACAACTCTGATTACAATGCATAACTGTTTATATGAAAAGAGAAAGTTTGATATCTTGACATACATTTAATGCACTAGTTGTGTTCTCTGTAATGACTGAATTCATCCTGCAGTTTGATGAAGGTGAATCGGGAGGGGAACCTGGATCTTGGGAACTTCCAACCTACCCAGCCTCTTCTGATATCTCTTAGACACTTGTAAGCAGAATTTGAGCCAAATAGTCTCAATGAAGCATTCCCTTCATTCATTTCTGGCCAGATTAACTTAATTCACGCTCATTTCTAGCTCACCCTCTTTCTTTCTTAAAGCATGAAGTAGAAGGTAGTTCATGGCTCAGCTTAAACTCCCATTACATTGAAAGATTTCAGTAAAGTAAAATTTCAGTAAAATTTGTTCCCAATTTTACCAGTCTGAGTGATCCTAAGCTGCACAGTATTCATTTTACTAAGGGAGCAACAGCCAAGTTACTGCACAGTCTTCCACTGTTTAAATTGTCTTGTAGCAGTATAGTGCCACTGCTGTTGTTTTTTCCATCCCACGTTTCATTTTCCCTAGAATATCTCCATGTTCCAGGGAAGTACAGGATCAGAGAATAGGCAGCGTTCTTTCTGAGAGTTGTACGTAGTTACATAACGTATCAGGATTTTCTTGTTCAGTTTTATCTTTGTAGATCCCCTTCTGCTATTGTTTGTGTCTGTTTTGGTTTCTAATTTCTGCCAAACTGCTAAGGGATTTGATCCAACTGTTAGCATTTGATGTGTTTTTTCCCTTCCAGATCACATGGACTCTATCTTTCTGTTGTGAATCTCTCTTGTGGAGGCTTTAGCAGTTAGTTGGGCAGGGTCTTGCCTTGCCTGTCCTCTTCTTTATTGTGCACAGCCATGAGTGGACTGTTGTCCATCCTCTGGAGCATACACACAAAAGCCTGTGTTGATGGTGCAGTAACAACATATGGATCAGTGGTCCTTGCCTTTGCTAACATTGTGGTATCAGGAGTGCTTGAGGGGACTTTCCCCCAAACCACCTCATCCATACATCAAATCTAAGTAAAAACAATGGGCTTGCTATGAACATGTAAGTTTAACACAAGCCCACTGGCTTTTGTTTCCAACTAGAATGGTTCTTTAAGCTGCTCTTATAGATATTTTGGAGCTTCTGCTGCCTGGCAACTCAACTCTGTCAGTTTCATTTAGTTGGGTCAGTTTTATAGTTTCTGCAGAACTGGAAGCTGGCCATTTAAAATAGCCTTGGTTCCACTGACACATGTGATGTGATTGCTGGACCAACTGTTCACAAGTTGTGAAGAGATTACAAGACAGTAGTGGGCTGAAATATGCTCAGTAGAGAAAGGCTGGTGTTGACTGATACCATTACCACATTGACCAGTGGGTACAGGAAGTAGGTAGTTACTGTTGAAGTATAATAAACACCACCAGGCTTTGTCTAGGCTAAGGCACTTCTTTAGTATGCCCTGGGATCTCTTGGGTTATTTTCCTGGTTACAGAGACCAATTTATTAGCTCTAAGAGCTTGTTGGAGATGCCATCCTAGGAAGGTAGATGCCTTCCAGTTGTGTGTATGTGTGTATATATGTGGAATAAATATTTGAAATGGGTTTCAGACAGCTACAACACTGTTTGCTTCACAGCACTGCTTCCCTACCTTGCCCATATGCTGCAATACTGACATGCCAGTCTCACCCCAGAGATTAGGAGTTACTGGTATGGAATGTGGCCAGGGTGTTGGAGGTTTAAAAGGTCCCCAAGTGATTCAAATGTGCGGCCAAGTTTGAGAACTACTGCTCTGGAAGGTACTAAAATTTTAAAGATGTGGTCCCTGCCTTTAAGGAAATCATAGTATACATAGGCCAAAGCAAAATTACATGGAAGTAAAATAACAGTGTAAGAATGAAATAACAATATAAAATGATAAAAATAACGCCTGGTAACTTCGTTTCTTTTATTTAGGCTAGAATTTAAATGACAGAATTAAATTGTGCATTGAGAGTTTTGATAGAAAATGGCAACTGAGACTTCTGGAAAAAGAAGCAATTGAACATAGGCATCTACTTTTGTTCCTCCCAAAACCCCACTAAAATATCAAGGGATCTTCTTTTGTCAAGGCCTAAATCCGCAGGGATGGGGAGAATGGGACTGGAGACAACCTGAAGAAAATGTTGGAAGCTGGAAGGTAAAGGACTTAGGAGGCTTGGAAAAACAGAATCTGGAGTGAGCAGTGGGGCAGCCAAGAACCAGCCTGGTTTACATTAAAGAATTGCCCAAAGGCTTAGGAATTGGCAACATCAAGTACTTCTGGGAATAGGGATGAATGGAGTGGGGCTTTAGAATAGGGAGAATTGGTTGAAAATCTTTTTAAGAGCCCCTCAGATCTCTAGCTTCCCTCTACCACCTGGAAGAATCTGGAGGTTAATTCTCCAAGGAGAATGTATTAATAAAATACATCTAGAGAGAAGGAAGGCTGGGAAATGTAGTCTTTGTTCTGTGTGGACATGTGCTCAGCTAAAGCTCTGGGGTTCTGTTACTGCGGGAGAAGGGGAGAATAAATACTGGGGGACAATTAGCAGTTGGCACTATGCTTACATACACACATACTTGCTACATTAATATAATAATATTGATAATGATATTGATGGTGATAATAGTAGCAGCAAAGTCTTAGAGTGCTTTTTACATGCCCAGCACTGTTCTTAGAACTTTACATATATTAACTCACTTAATTCTCAACAATCCTGTAAAGTTAGTTCTATTCTTATCCCACTTTGCAGATACAGAAACTAATGTACAAAGAGGTAAAATAACTTCCCCAGGTTTCACAACTGAAACCAGGCCTGAGACCTCATCTTTCTGTGATTAAACCTGACATTGTGATTAAGTTTGAAGAAACTGATTGCTAATTAATGTTGTTCATTGTATTGGTTTTGTGTTCTCTTTGAAGAAAATAGTAGTGATATATGTGCTCAATAAATATAAGGAGTTATTGCTATTTTTATAAAATTATATGTTTGTACAAATTCAAGTTGCATTAGATTACAAATAATTTAACCTTTGATGTCTATTAACTTTTTATGTTTAAAAAAGGTTCATACATTTTGAAGACAATCAGAGAAGGTGGTAAGTTGAGTGATTAAATTGTAATTTAAAACATAACTGTGGTCACAGTGTAGAGAAGCTGAGACTAAAAGCAGGGAGACGGGGGTGAGATGATGCCTGAGTCCAGGCGTTGTGACCTTCGGTGTGCGTCAGAGGCCCCTGGAATGCTTCTTAGATCATAGAATGCTGGATTTCACCCTCAAGATTTCTGATTTAGTAGGTTTGAGATGGGGCCCAACAATCTTTACTGCTAAGAAGTTTCCAGAAGCAGCAGCTGCTGCAGGTCTGAGAACCACAGCACCTATCTGAGAGGTAATGAGAGTCTAAATTGTGGTAGTGGAGGGAAGGGATAGGTGATGAGGCATCAGTCAGGGAGAATTGACAGGATTGTGATTCTTTGAAGTTGAGGTGAATGGAGAGGCAAGGATCCAGAGCAGTGGTGAGGGGTTACACATTGAATGAAATTCCTGTTGGTTGTTACAATTAGGAGGCCATTGGTACTTGCTGACCTCAATAAAAGCAATTTTCATGGAAAAGTAGGGTCAGACATAGATTAGAAAACTGAGATTTTGAGGAGATAGGTTAAATCCTGTAATATATTGTAGAATACATTTAGATTTCTTTAGTTCTGAAATGCTTGATTATACTCTGTATCCCAGCTTATTTTAGCAGGCCATCTGATACTGACCAAACTAATGCTTCCATTGTCTTCATGATACTTTCTGGCTTTCCACTCACCTTTTGCTTAAAAGTGGTCCTGACATTTTTAAGAAGTGTCCATATCTACTTTATTTCAAGTGAAAGTCATCCTTCTGCATATATGCTTATTAGTTTCAGATCAGTGTAGAAACCTTTCTGCTTGCATTTTCTTCTGTATGGTGACTTTTGAGCTCTTTCTCTTAGATCCTGCTTTTGGGTCCTCAAAACAGCTCAGATTTAAGACGTCAGAGCTGTCAAGCTCTGCTGGTTTTACTTTGGGGTTTCTTTCACTATTGTTCCCATTGCCACTATCATAGTTCATGCTCCCAGTACTTTTGATCTGAATGATTATAGCAATTATCATGAGTCTTTGTTCTCACTCTCCTTCCTAGTCTTATTTAATTTAAAAATATCTGTGAGATTGATTTTCCAAAATAAAGCTCTGATCATAACACTTCTTTGCTTAAAATCTTCTCAGTGTTTAATAGTAAAGTCCAAATAAGCAATGGGGAAACAATTCCCTATTTAATAAATGGTGCTGGGAAAACTGGCTAGCCATATGTAGAAAGCTGAAACTGGATCCCTTCCTTACACCTTATACAAAAATTAATTCAAGATGGATTAAAGACTTAAATGTTAGACCTAAAACCATAAAAACCCTAGAAGAAAGCCTAGGCATTACCATTCAGGACATAGGCATGGACAAGGACTTCATGTCTAAAACACCAAAATCAATGGCAACAAAAAACCAAAATTGACAAATGGGATCTAATTAAACTAAAGAGCTTCTGCACAGCAAAAGAAACTACCATCAGAGTGAACAGGCAACCTACAAAATGGGAGAAAATTTTTGCAACCTACTCATCTGACAAAGGGCTAATATCCAGAATCTACAAAGAACTCAAACAAATTTACAAGAAAAAGACAAACAACCCCATCAAAAAGTGGGCGAAGGACATGAACAGACACTTCTCAAAAGAAGACATTTATGCAGCCAAAAACACATGAAAGAATGCTCACCATCACTGGCCATCAGAGGAATGCAAATCAAAACCACAGTGAGATACCATCTCACACCAGTTAGAATGGCAATCATTAAAAAGTCAGGAAACAACAGGTGCTGGAGAGGATGTGGAGAAATAGAACACTTTTATACTGTTGCTGGGACCGTAAACTGGTTCAACCATTGTGGAAGACAGTGTGGCGATTCCTCAGGGACCTAGAACTAGAAATACCATTTGACCCAGCCATCCCATTACTGGGTATATACCCAAAGGACTATAAATCATGCTGCTATAAAGACACATGCACACATATGTTTATTCACACACATGCAGCACTATTCACAATAGCAAAGACTTGGAACCAACCCAAATGTCCAACAATGATAGACTGGATTAAGAAAATGTGGCACATATACACCATGGAATACTATGCAGCCATAAAAAATGATGAGTTCATGTCCTTTGTAGGGACATGGATGAAATTGGAAATCATCATTCTCAGTAAACTATCACAAGAACAAAAAACCAAACACCACATATTCTCACTCATAGGTGGGAATTGAACAATGAGAACACATGGACACAGGAAGGGGAACATTACACTCTGGGGACTGTTATGGGATGGGGGGAGGGGGGAGGGATAGCATTAGGAGATATACCTAATGCTAAATGACGAGTTAATGGGTGCAGCATACCAGCATGGCACATATATACATATGTAACTAACCTGCACATTGTGCACATGTACCCTAAAACTTAAAGCATAATAATAATAAAAAAAAATAGTAAAGTCCAGTTTTCATAGCTTAGTATAAGACTTTTGTTTCTAGCTTCAAGTTTTTTCCCCCATATTCTTGGCTGCACCCACACTACCCACCAGTTGTCCCCAGTCTTCTCTGCCTGTCTGCCTTCCTTATGCTGCTCTGTCCCTCAGAAGGCCCTCTCTTTCCACTTCAAATCCAACCTCTATTCTGGACCCTGCTCATCTTCTTATAGCCCTTGCTATCTAGAATTCCTTTTAACTATTGTCTATTTCCATCTAGTACTGTACCTGTAACTCAGTATACTTATTTTCAACCATGTATTTACTTATATATAATATTCACCTTCTTGTCTCCCACGATGCCCATAATAGTGCCAAACACAAAGATTGGTTGAATGAATGAAGAATGGGAAACCAGCTAGGATATAGTGCAAATAAAGGAAATAAAATGATGATTCATTTAACTGATACAGTAAATATATTGCATATCAGTGAATGATGTCTAATGGAATTTTCTAAAGCTAATATGAGTGACAGTAGGAACCTCTTTTAAGTATAGTCAATCAAGTTTGTCATCTTTTTTTTTTTTTTTTTTTTTTGTGAGATGGAGCCTTGCTCTGTCATCCAGGCTGGAGTGCAGTGGTGCGATCTTGGCTCACTACAACCTCTGCTTTCTGGGTTCAAGTGATTCTCCTGCCTCAGCCTCCCAAGTAGCTGGGATTACAGGCGTGCACCACCACACACAGCTAATTGTTGTATTTTTAGTAGAGATGGAGTTTCACCATGTTGGCCACACTGGTCTTTTTCTCCTGACCTCAGGTGACCAGCCTGCCTTAGCCTCCCAAAGTGCTAGGATTACAGGCGTGAGCCACCACACCCAGCCTCATCTTTTTTGATTGTTCAGAAATCTTTTTTATTTAACTTCTTAGCTTTTAATTGAGTCCTAGATATTTCAGTGAGCTGAATACTGTCCTTAATATATGTGAAATGTCACTGTTATATTATGCCATTTTTAATAAGCTTGTTAAGCATCACTTGGATGATACATGTGCATATATGTGTACTTATTCACACATGAATTCACATGTATTTTACCTAAGATTAATATGGGCCAACTGTGTTTTCTATACAATGGAATATTATTAGATGGACTAATGGATTCACTAGCCTGATTAATGATCTGTACCAGTTAATTTCTGCGTTTTGATACATCTTATTGATGTGTTTTCTGATTCTATTTTTATTTACTCATTGGAGTGTGAACTAGAAAAATACTATACACAAGTAATTAGATTGTAGAAGTGATGTGTAAGATTTGTTTGTTATAATTGATTTTAGATGCAGAAACATTTAGAGCTAGCATAAGAAAAGTTGATGTAAGTTATGAAAATTAGAAAACATTTCAGATTTAGAATATAATGATATTATTTAATTTTTAAAACTAACTTTTTTTTTTTTTGTTTTTTTGTTTTTGGCCAAACATTAATCATTTGGGGCTTTTAAACTGTATTGCATTTGGGACCGCCTGTATGTGGGCCTTTAGTTAGTTCCAGTAGCAGTGAGACTCAGATATTTTGAAAGAACAATATCAGATATAGTTAGTGAATATTGCTTATTTTCAGGTTAAAACTGATTCTTCATTCTCTTGAGCTTTCTTTTATTAATAGGTCCTCAGTTTGGACTTAGAATTCATTTAATGTCAACCTTCTCTTGTTTACAAAGGGGAAAGCTCATTTATTTTTCATGCTTTGTCATATTGTTCCCTTTGTTTCTGAGAAAAGGGCACCAGCCTATTTAGATAGAGCAGTTTAGGCTATTTATAAAGCTAGGCAGGTTAATTGAAATTGACAGCTTGGTAATGTCCTCCTTGGTGAATGACGCACAAGGGTTTTAGATGATGTTGGCATGCTGTTTTCACTTATAGTCAGGAATCAGCTGGAGGAATTTGTGTGCTTTGAGCTCTGGTGTTGACGTAGGTACTGGGTACAGATATGTTTTAGGAAACATCTCATTTCCATATAAATGAAGGAAGATTAAAAAGAAAAATTTCAATGGCTTGCCCTTAAATTGAAGCTGGTATCACAAGGATGATGATAATACTTCTTTTGATTTTCTGGAAAAACAGCTTTGGTTGTATTCAAGCACTGTGGAGTCGTTACAGGTTTATTCAGAAATATTTTTGTATTCTTTTTTTTTTTAATCTGTTTATTCAGCATCAGCTATGTGTACATTAATTTGAAAAACTACATTTTTATTGTGTATTCCTCCAAACTCCAACTTTAATCTCTTAGGTTTTAGATTGCTCCATTTAAGAAATTTGTACAGGTACATAAATAAACTTGATTTTAATAAAAGATAGAAGACTGAAATAGTTTTTCTTTCTTACATGACAAGACTGTTATTCTTTCTTTTTTAAGGACATAGTAAATATCAGTTTGCCTGAAATGAGTTTTTGTGTTTTTCTCTTCAAGTGTCACTTAAAGGAGAGGCTAACAAGCTTAAATAGTCACTTAAATGAGAGTTTAATTTAAGCTTAACTGGTTATGTAGTCATATTCCCTGACACCCAAACATTTAGGTCATAATCATTTGTTTCATTCATGACAGGGTGATTTCCAAAGTACAGACATTTTATCTCAGAATCACATTGAGCATGCACGGAAGCAAATTTTAGCTTACATAAAGTTAAGAAACACTAGTAGTTGATTTATTATTAGTTGTAATATATCTTCTATGGGCCCATAGCCTTATCAAAACTAGCACTGACAATTCCTGAAGATATCTGGGGCTCTTGGCATGGTGAGTTGGTCCTGTACTTCCAGGTTCATGCTGGTACCTTTGTGGATCATCATGTCTGTCATATGGACCTTAGTCAAATGTTATGGCAAACAGCACACAGCATATAGCTCAGGGACCCTTGAGGGGGCTAGTGTAGAGTGAGGGCTTTTAAGTGGAGGCTTGCTTGAAAAGAACTGTGATCTCTTAGGATCAGTTGCCCCTCATTTCCAAGCAGTGCTTGGAGGGCTTTGGGCCCCCTTGGTTGGGTTCAATCCTTGACCTGTGTAGTCTGTAAGTTGCTGTAGATACACAGCTGCAGCAGTAACATTGTTCTTTAATCCAGGAGTTGCCTTTGATCTTCAGCCCTTCATTCTCACTCTTGGGGTCTCTTTTTTGCAGAAGGTGAGCCGTGGCCAGGCTTCCTGTTTATAGCCTCCCTCTGTTCAGTGGTAAACCTCAGGATTTTTGGATGAAGATCTTTGGATGTGTGCCTCCTTGGTGCCCATTCATGGTCTTGCTAATGGAACAGGATTTGGGTTCATAGTTTTGAATTGCCTGTCACAGCCCCGCTGTCATGGCTGAACTTCCTTCCCCACCCCACCCTTCATCCCAGATAGAGAGATAATGCTTATTGTTGAGTGATTCAAGGTACTGTAGACATCTTCCAGCTGGAGTGGATAGAGTTTGAGGATAGTGGATAGAGTTTGAGGATGAGCACAGTACATGCCTAGTGAGATCTTCCAGCTGATGGTCTGGGATCCTTAAAGACCATGCAACGTCCTCAGTACTTCTCAGTGCCAATTGTCAGGGGATTTTTGGCTGCCACGTGCCTCTCAACTAACAACTATTAAGTCCTGTTGGTTCTATAGTGTTTCTCAAATTCTTTCTTCTTCTTATTTTCCTCAACACTATCCTGATAATAGCATTATACATCTTATAAAATGCTTTATGGTTTGCAGAGCACTTGAATGTGCTTTATCTTATTTGATCCTCAGATCAGCTCTGATTGATAGCCAGGTTAGTTATTTTTATCCTGATTTTGTGGATGAGGAAACTGAAGCACAATCCAACACCACACAACTGGTAAATGGTGGAACCAGATTTAAACCCATGTATCGTGATGCCAGAGCCCATGCTTTTAAGCACTGTAGTAACTTGCTTATATACACCAAACTTTCTATCTTTATCTCCCACTACTGTTTTTAATCCTCTTATACTTCAGCCTTCTTGGTTTGCTTCCCAACTCAGAGTTTGCCCTTATTTCCTGCCTTTGGTCACACTTTACCTTCTACCTGTGCCTGTCGAAATTCTGCCCATTCTTCAGTGCCTAATTCAGTGTCTTCTTTTTCATAAAACTTTGTATGAGTCCTCCAAGCCCAAAAGAATTCCCCTCTCCTCTAATAGCATTTTATTTGTATGTCATTTTCTTACATCATAATTATATTTGACTTATCGCATTGTAAGTTGCGTGAGGACAGATGGTGTTTTATTTATCCCTTTATCATTTGTAGCAACTAACTACAGTGCTTTGTACATGGTCAAGTACATATGAAACAAATTATATCAAGTGATATTTTTTACTGGGTCAGAATCAGAGCCTCTGGTGGTGGCAAGAGGTGATTTGAGAGAGCTTGATACTATCTCTTACAACATCTATCTAATAAGATTAGGAAGGTATATTTGAGAGACTATTATCTTCAGTTTGCTCCCCCTCCTAGGACACAACTAATTCATTAAAGATCTTATCTAAGTTGTGACAAACAGCACTTTGTTCATCTTAAGATAATTTCATTCCAATGTTCCATATTTTTAGTAGTCTCTAATCTAGTAATTGATAATAGTAATTGAATTTCTTGGCAAACAAAAGAAGACCTAAATTTTAGGTATCAAAATTATTTTTATTTTATACTTTAAGATTTCTTTTATAATGTATTAAAAAGTAAAAGTACTTTTAAAAATTTGTGCCCAACTTCAAGAGCATTTTAATTTTTTTGATAACTATGATAATTCAGATAATTTGTTGAACTATAAGATTGATATAGTAAGTTTGAAATTTCACTTGAATCTGAACTGATTCGAGGGCTTCTATCTATTTAATTGTTTCCTTTCCCCATACCCATTTCTTTAATAAGTGGATTATGTAAAAACAGCTTGGCACCTTGTTACCAGTAACATCTTAGTTTTACCCACAAGTTTGGAGATTTTACACTCCCTTTTTGAGATAGAAACATGTATAAATTTCCACAGAGTAATAGTGGAACAGTGTTAACAGTGCTATCTTGATATGCAATTTATTATTAAATCAAAGTTTGAAGTAGCCCTTTTTAAAAGGACTTTAAAAACATATTCCTGATTAAGGAAGTTTTCCTGATCATTTTTATTCCTGTTTTCTTAACATGCTTTTTATTTTATTTCATTGTTGGTAGCTAGGTCATGCACTGTGACAGTTTTATAGTAGCTATCTTATTTGCATAGGTTTTTGGAGAACATATGATGGAATTTTAGGACATTGTCCTCAAAGACTTATTACATTCAGATTAGCTATTTAAAACTGTTTTGTATTTGTGGCTGTGGTGCCAGATAACAAGGTCTAATTTAATATATTTTAGCATTTGTGACTTGAGTAGTTTGCAAGAGACAATGTAGGAAATAAATTTCTCTAGTAGAAAGAAAGGGAAGCAATTGTTGATTCGGGTATCAAGCTGCCAGTTACTGGCTATTGACTTTGGGCTAACCACTTAAGTAACAATTCGATTTCCTTATTTGAAGACTATGGGGTTAGTGGGAAGGTTTTCAATAGCACTAGGATTTTGTCATTTTGTAATTAGTTTTTCTATGTGCTCTTTTCATACCCAACCATAGTTTTTACAGATCATTGAATTATCACATTGATTCTATCACATTAATTCTTTTGTTCTTAATTTACTTAAAGAACACGTTTTTACCCCTTGTGGGATTACTGGTAAATATAACATTGAATTTCTTTTTTTCCCCAATAGATGCAATATAGGAATGTACTTATATTCTCCTTAATTTAGAAATTCATTTTAAAATAAAAGATTAATTTACCTCATAATAATGCAAAGTTGTTTTTTTTTTTTTTTTTAGGTTTTCTTTTTTTGAGTGCTTGGTTGTTTGGAGCTTAGTTGTTTTTTTGGTGGGATGCGTGAGAGATTTCTAAAATAGTGCTTTTAAACATTTGCCACAGCTCCATGGATAGTTTGTTTTAAAAAATACTTTCCCCCCCAACTTAGTCTTAAGTAGAATTTTTCTTCTAAAATTGAACAGTGGAGTCAATTATTTTATTTGTCCACCTTCTCCCTGCCTGGGGTACTGTTTCTTTAACTGGTGTTAACCAACCCTCTGTGTCCATGAATGTATTCTGAGAGTTCTCACATTTTCTATGAGATTTAAAATTTGGGGTTTTACTGTCAACGATAATCTTGAGAAGGTAATATAAGCTTTTTCTGGGTCATCTGAATCATTTGCCATGCAACTAGATACTACCACATGGTAAAATTAGTGTTGGTGTTTATTATTGTGTTCATGGTAATGTGAAGGCCAACTACTTCATATTATCTGAAGTGTATGAGGCTTTCACTGAGATTCAAATAACAAACAGTGCTAGGAGCATCCCTGCTTGCCACACCCAAAAGAACCTGCATTATAGAGATAACATTCAAGTTGTAGGCAGAAGAAAGATTACATTTTTTAATAGAGCAACTTGTAACAATCATTAGAAGTAAGTGTATCAGTAAGTACAAAAAGAATTTTCTATACTTGCTTCTAGTGATAATTGAATAAGGCACACATATAATGCAGAATTCAATATGGCTGTGATACCAACCATATCTTTAAGTGACTTCCTTAAATTAGTGTTCAAGGACTGCTTGTTAGTGGTTTTGTTTGGAACGAGGTCTGATTATCCTTAACTGGTTAAGGAAGCCATGAGGTTATCAGTACTGTTGTGTACAGTGCATTTAGGTGAATAGGTATTCTTTTCATTAGAATGATTAAAGTAAAAACAAAAACAGAAAGAGATTAAATATATTATCAAACTCAAAGCTTTGTTGGTGTTGACATTTCAGCAGAAAACCGTTGTTCATTATGCCATATTTTTTACTGTTAATTTGAATTTAATTGGTTAGGTAGTTACTTTTGTATTTAATTTATAAATTTGTTTTGGCTTTGTCTTTTTATCAGGGTAATAAATGCTAAGTTTTGTTTTGTATGTATTAAAATAACATATTAAAAGTGGTTTAAGTTGGCATTAGGAGTGTAAGAACACATTTTTCCCTTAAAAGTTGTATATCTAGTACTTGGTTTGAGAAACCTCAGTCTATGATACTGAACATTATTGTATCATAATCATGATAGCTAACCTTCAACTAGATGTTTTCTATTTCATTTTCTATGGGTTGCTTAAAATTGTGACTTTTCTCCTTTTCTGTCATTAAAAAAATTAATTTCTCTAATACATGGCTACCTAAAATCATGACATAATCCACTGATCTGTGTGTGGGTAGTTGCATATTCAAAATATTGTTATCTGGCCTGATTTTTAGTTTCTGTGATTTTTGACTGTCATTTCTATTTTAATATTACTATTTTGGGTTCATTTTTCATTCATTCATACATTGAACAAATGTTTTTAAAATTCCACTATGTACAAGGGATTGTTCTAGGCACTGGAGATTATTGGGTGAGAATTTTTTTTTTTTTTTTTTTTTTTGAGATGGAGTTTTGCTCTTGTTGCCAAGGCTGGAATGCAATGGCACGATCTTGGCTCACCGCAACCTCCGCCTCCCAGGTTCAAGCAGTTCTCCTGCCTCAGCCTCCGAAGTAGCTGGGATTACAGGCATGTGCCACCACACCTGGCTAATTTTTTTTTGTATTTTTTTTTTTTTAAATAGAGACAGGGTTTCTCCATGTTGGTCAGGCTGGTCTTGAACTCCTGACCTCAGGTGATCCGCCCACCTCGGCCTCCCAAAGTGCTGGGATTACAGGTGTGAGCCACTGCGCCCGGCCAAGAATCTTTATATTTGGGTGGGCCTATAGTCTCTCTTCACTGTCAGATTTTCTAATTGTTTAAATGAAAAATTTCATGTTTATATTACATAGTACATATCTATTTCAACTAAACTAAATCTGTCTTGCTGACATATCTAGATATCTTAGTACTTGGTGTTACCACGTCATGATTGCCATAGACATAAATGTCTCTTTAGTCCAAAATGATGGGTCTTTTAAGCTTGTTCATTCAAACGATATTACTGAAAGACTGGTAAATTCAAGAGGTTGTAGTAGGCACTATTGGACTACTGATGAAATGAATGAGACAGTCTGTGTTCTTAGCAGAGGAGCTTAGAAATTTTAATCCAGTCACTGAACCCTTGAAACTAATTTGGGCTTTGCTGTGTGTTGACATTGTTGTATCTATACCCAGAATTGCAGACTCATTGATTACAGAGGGGCTTTTGCATTTAATAAACATTCATTCAGTAAGCATTTACTAAGCACATACATTTGTTTCTGGTTGATTTTTATCTTCTTTAATTTGTCTCTTAGCCATTACGATGACCCAGATATCTTGCCTTGGAGTGTTCAGAATAATAGGGTAGAATCTGTAGGACAAGGTTCACAAACAGCTATTTCTAAACAATGCTTCTTGGAGGTAACAATTTGAAGAATATTGTTGTAGGATAATTATAATTATAGGTAAACTTCCTAAATCTGGAAACCTTGGAACCTGTCATATTCTAGAACCATAAAAATAGTGCTGCTTTAAAGCAAAAGCAGAATTAGATAGAGGGAGATGTCCAGAAGAGATGCAAGACCAATGACAGCCTTGGCCAACCCTGTGGGATCTGTGCAATCAGAATGACTCTTTTGCCAACTAGTTGTCCCTAGTTGGGCTGAAATGACCAGGCCTTTGTACTCTCACACTGATCAATCAGTGGATGGGAGATGCCAAGCATGACCTCAGTCTAGGAAGTTCACTGCAGATAAAACAGACCCTAAAGGGTGTGATAGCTGAAGTGCTGATATCTGTCAGCCAACAGATTTCTTAGTAACCAAGGCAACATGGTGGGTGATCTTCACAAATGGGTGATCTGGGCTTCATGCATCATAGTGTTCACCCTAGGCAGTAAACTGTGACGATTACCTTGATGACAGGATTGCTTATTCAGTGTTCTTTTTCATTTTCTACCTCTGGATCATGAGTAGCCTAATTTACGATGCTAATATGTGGTGGATTAGGTGTGAGTAAGGGGAACACCATTTTCCCTTTACTACTTTCAACTTAGGTGTTAATATTTGGTAACTCTAATAATAAGGTGACTATAACCCTTGGTTTACCCAGGTTAGTCCTGTTTGCCTAGAAATACCCAGTTTAAGCCTGTTGAAAATCAGTTAGCTTAGGAGAAATACCTAATGTAAATGATGAGTTAATGGGTGCAGCACACCAGCATGGCACATGTATACATATGTAACAAACCTGCACATTGTGCACATGTACCCTAGAACTTAAAGTATAAAAAAACCCAAAAAAACAACAAAAAAACTATCTTCTCAACTAGTACAGAGACTAGATTAAAAAAAAATCAGTTAGCATCTAACATCTGTTAATTATTTTTAGTAACTCCTCACAGTCTCAGAAGTATCCCAGTTTGTATCCCAATACAAGATAAACTGTATTGTCATTCTACTTAGTAATTTTTTAAATTTGCGTGCATATTCATTATTTAAGCATTTTTCTGGCCTGTCTAATGAATAGAATGTTCTGTTTTCCATTTTTTAAGAGGCAGAAATGGTCTTCTGGATTAGCTTTGTATTTTTGCTTTAGTTGACCCTAAAACAAATGCGTTTTATCTTTATCAAATTTTTCATCATCAAGCTTTAATATATTGTGAAATCACAACATATTCTATCAAGTATACTATGACTGAAATTACTGGATGTATTATTTATTTCTGTCTCCCACTGTTACAATTGTGTCTATAATGACTTTTATTTCCCTGGTTTATTTTGTAGCTTAGTCACAAATATTTATGTTCTTATTTATCTTTCTGCTCAGAGACTGGGACCTGAGCTGTTTCCCTGATGGAGTCAATCATTTTCCAGAAGGATATTCCGACCTATTCAAATCTAGGTCCTGAGGAAACACAACTTGCTTAGAAATAGACAGTTTTAAATCTGCTTTTACAGAAATCTTTTACAGAAATCCATAATGGAAAGAAGAAATTTAATTTTATCCCAGATAGATTTAATAACTTGCAGATCTACTTTGTTCATAGATAAACTCTAAAACTAATTAAAGCTTCTGAAAAATGTCTAGGGACAGAAGAAACAGATTCTTAGTGATTCCTTTAACCTATCAGGAGGTAATAGGCTGTCACCTTAAGTCATGCTTTTTCGTTTTCTTTTTTTTTTCTCATTCTGTCTCCCAGGCTGCAATGCAGTGGTGTGATCTTGGCTCACTGCAGCCTCTGCCTCCTGGGTTCAAGCGATTCTCCTGCCTCAGCCTCCCAAGTAGCTGGGTTTACAGGCATGCACCACCACACCTGGCAGATTTTTTGTATTTTTAGTAGAGATGGGGTTTTGCCATGTTGGCCAGGCTGGTTTCGAACTCCTGGCCTCAAGTGATCCGCCCACCTCAGCCTCTCGAAGTGCTGGGATTACAGGCCTGAACCATCACACCGGCTTCTTTTTCTTAATTGTTTCTCTGCCCTCTTTTCCCTATTTTTCTGGTCTATAGTTGTGGCTGAATGTTAGATAGGGAATAGGGTTCACTGGTGGACTCAATTTTACCCATTTCTAATTGCTTAGCAAGAGGAGTCACCTGCTGATTTTAATATGAAGTTTAGTATTGTGTAATGGACAATATCTTTAACAGATGGTGTACTGCCAGTGATGTAGAACTTCTTAATCATGCTCCCTTTACAAAAGAAGAACACTATTAGAAAGCGATGGTATGATTTTATACTTGATCTTCAACAAGTGAGAAATTGATAAGTCAAATATACAGTCAGCCATCTGGCATTCCACACATGTTTTCATTGACTTGGGAGATCATGGAGTTATACAAAGCAGGAGTAGCACAATATAAGAAAATGGCATGTTATAGAAATATTTATTTCTTTTATTTTAGTTATCTATACTATTGATCAGCAACAAGTTTATCAGAAATTTTCATTTTATTCAGCTATCTGAGTTTAGAAAGAAGTAATTCAGATGGTATTTACTTTTTTTTGCCCAATCAAAGCTGCTAGGCATTGAGGAACTGTTTCAGAGTGGGCATAGTTTTTTCCTTCACATGAGGTCAAAGCCACTAACCACTGAATTAAACATTTGCTGAGCTTGGTTTGCAGCACTTTGATTGATATAGATTCCTTCTTGCAACTTCTTTGAGCCTCCGAAACTTACTGTGTCATTATAGACCCCAACTGCCTTTAAAAGATAGGAATTTCAACATCCTACAATTTAGTCATCATTTGGATGAATGACTTAAATTATTATATATTTTAGGAATATTAATTTTTTATACTACCTGAGCTAAGCTGTGTGAAATTATTATCTTATGACATACACACTATTTAATATATTGAATTTCAGAAAGTTGGTTCCAAATATCAAATAGCTGAGTAGAAAGTAGAAAAAGACAATCCAGTTGCTGAGAATGGGGCAGAAAAAAAAAATGTGATTTCTAAATCCAAAGAAACTAGCTCCCCTTATCTAATTTATCCTTTCAAACTAAAAATATGTTAAATGCTGTCAGTGTGCCGGGTAAGTAAGTGCTAAGCACTGACACTCCCCCTCCTTGTCCTTATGGACCTCAGGCTGATCCTCTTTGTTCCCAGCCTGGCTCACTGTCACTCTCTCCAGCATTCCTGTCAGTGTCCACATGGATGGTCTTTTCAATATTCTGGCTTCTCAGCTTCTTATCCTTTTCTTCTCTGGTGATCTTATCCTCCATCCTACATCAGCTTTTCATTCTTACAGCCATACTCTTGTCATTAGCAATAACAGTGGTCTCTGCATAATCTCAGTTTGAAGCATCCTCAACTCTGATTAGCATTTTGAATCTCACTGTAGCTCACTGCTTCTAGTACCTCCATTCCAACAATCTTTTGACCTTATTGATTCTTAAAAGCCACGGATTTTACCACCTTGTTGCTGTCTTTCATTTCCCTGATTACCTTTCTTTCTTTTACATCCAGTTTAAATTTCATGTCAATATTTGCTTGGCAAAATCTAATTCTAGTTAAATCCATCTCTCTGTGTAAATCCTGAGCTGAATGTCACTGGAGCAAAACATGCCATGATGCAACTGGTCTTTAAGTTCAAGGCTGGGAAGTTCCGGGGCACTCATGTTGCCTGCCATCATGCTGCATGTTCCGGGTCCATTCGGTCTTCCATTCTCCCAGATGACTATTTCATACTTTTTTCCCCCTCCTCAAAACAGCTTCTCCCATCCTTATTGTTAGGTAATAATTTAGTTTTGCATTTTACTGAAAGGATAGATGCCACTAATAAGAACTTGGATAAGCTCTTATCACTGCATATATCCATGTACCACCATCAATGCCCATATGCCTTCTTTCCTCCTGCACTCTGAAAGAATGTAAGGGTTCCTATCAACCCCTCCACAGTAGATCCCTTCTTCTCTTGTCACCTTTTCAAAGACACGGTTCCAGTTATTATTCCTTCTCTCCATTTTATTAATTTTCTCAAAATAATCAGTGTTCTCTTCTCTACTGATCATTCCCATCAGCCTGCAAATATGCTGTTATTTTTTCCATCTTAAAAACCTGTCTTGCTGGGTGCAGTGGCTCACGCCTGTAATCCCAGCACTTTGGGAGGCTGGGGCGGGTGGATCACCTGAGGTCAGGAGTTTGAGACAAGCCTGGCCAACATGGTGAAACCCCATCTCTACGAAAAATACAAAAATTAGCTGGGCGTGGTCGTGGGCGCCTGTAATCCCAGCTACTCGGGAGGCTGAGGAAGGAGAATCACTTGAACCCAGGAGGTAGAGGTTGCAGTGAGTGGAGATTGTGCCACTGCATTCCAGCCGGGTGACAGAGCGAGACTACATCTCAAAACAAAAAAACCCAAAACTCTCTTGACCCCATATTCCCCTCTAGTGACTGCTCCCTTTCTCTTCTCTTCTCTCTCTCTCTTTTTTTTTTAAGACAGAATTTCACTCTGTTGCCCAGGGTGGAGTGCAGTGGTGCCATCTCAGCTCACTGCAGCCTTGACCTCCTGGGTTCAAATGATCCTCCCACCTTAGCCTCCTGAGTAGCTGGGACTACAGGCACGTGCCACCACACCCGGCTAATGTTTTTATTGTATTTTTTGTAGAGATGGGGTTTTGCTGTAGGGTCTTGAACTCCTGGGCTCAAGTGATTCTCCGAAAGTGGTGGGATTACAGGTGTGAGCCATAGCGCCTGGCTTCTTCTCTCTTTTATAGCACCGTTTCTCCATATAATTGTCACTACTCATTGTCTTCAATTTCTCTGCTTCTATTCTCTATTCTCACTTGAAGTCACTGCAATTAAGCTTTTTTTTTTTTTTTCTCTTCTCTCCTACTTTGCAGAAACGGTCATGTTAAGGTCACCAATGATAAAATCCTCAGTCCTCATCTCACTTTTTAATAGCAGTATAGACACAAGTTAATCACTCTTTTCTTGGAAACACTTCCTTTTGGGACAACACATTCTCCTCCTGGTTTTCCTCCAAACTCTGGCTTGTTTTCCTTCTCAACTTGGCTGATTTATGTCTCACCTGCTTGTCTTGTTAACATTGGAGTATCCAGGCTACAATCTTAGATCTCTTCTTTTCTCTCTATTTAAATTTACTAGGTAATCTTATCCCATCCCTTGTTATTAAATGCTGTCTTTATGCTGAAGACTTCCAACTTATATCCAACAGTCTAATTGATAGCTCTACCTGAATATCTGAGGGCATCTCAAAGTAAACATCTCCAAACCTGAGCTGCTGATCTCTCACCCAACATGCTTCTTCACAGTTTTCCCTTTCTCAGTTACTGGGAACTCTGTCCTTCAGGTTACCCAGGCCAAAAGACTTTGAATCATCCTTAGTATTGCTGTGACTCATACTGCACATCCATTTCATCAGCAAATCCTTTTAGCTCTATCTTTAGAGTATATCCAGAGTCTCACACCATTTCTCCACCTTCTCTGCTATTATGCATTGTTATCTCTTACTGGGATTATTGCAGTAGCAGATAATCAATCTTGCTGTGTCCACCCTTGCTATTGACAGGCTATTCACCAAATACGAGTCAGAAGGATCCTGTTGAAATGCAGCTCAGAGAATGGCATGACCGTACTCAAGAACTTCCTGTTTTTCTCACTCACCTGCTCTCTGACTCGCTCTCACAGTAAAAGAGGGTTTACAATGTCCTCCAGGGCCCTGCTTGATCATCTACCCATTCCATCCTGTAACTCCTTGACTTTATCTCCTACTACTCTTTCTTTTACTCTAGACCAGGCAATCTGGACTCCTTGCCCTTCCTCTGATATATTAAACATTTTCTTACCCCATGGTTTTTGTACTTGATGGTCGCTCTGCCCAGAATATTTATTCTCTCAGATATATGCATGGTACACATCCTCATTTATTTAAACCCTTTGCTTAACTGTCACCTCTCAGTGGGGTCTTCCCAATGTCCTTAAAAATCATAGTAGTTTCCCTCCCTCCATCACCTACTCCCCTGGTTCATCATCTAACAAACTAAATATTTCCTTCATTTATTTTGTTTTTATTGCATTTCTTGTGACTAGAATGTAAACATTCATGAGGAATGTTTTCGTTTTGTTTGCTGCTGTTAGGAAAGTGTCTGTATAATATTAAGTAGTTTAAAAACATTTGTTGAATAAATGTATGAATTATTATAGTCTTTTCAGTGTTATAATTTTTCTATTACACATAAGAAATGGAGCCTTAGAGTGTTTAGTAATCCGTGGAGGTAACACTTAAACCCAGGTCTTTCTTGGCTCATAGTGCAGTCACTCATGTATTTTTTCATCTATCAGGACACTTACAGGGTACTACAGGAACTTTACATTGGATGAATTGCATTATAAGATAGAGGAAGTCATCAATATTGTGTGTCTTATTTGTGCTCTTCTCCTCAATCAGTATCTGGGAGAAAATAGAAACCGATTTTTAACAGTTCATGTTGAAGCACTTTTTGCTACATCATAGAAACTTGTCAGAGAGACTTGTTAAACTATTTCCTCAAATCAAACATGTTTTGGGGTAAGAGAGTTCTGAGAAACTCACTTTTTTCTGCTTTCTATTGGCAACAAGGCTATATTTCTTACCGAGATGAAAAATATCTAAATCCCATGAACTAGCAAGGAATCAATAAGAATGCTGCTAGTTTGGTTAAGGTGGTTCAGGTATTCCAGGGCTGTGAATTCCATGGGAGACAGCTGGAATTTACGTTCATTTTCTACCACTGAGTTTTTGGTTCACTGGAATCATAGATTTTCAAAGATTATCAAGCTACTCACAGTCAAATAGGGAATTGATGAGGAATAGAGGTCACAATTTCAGAAGATAGTCACAGATCATGATGAGTATGAATCATGCTTTCAGTTTTTGCAGCTGCTTATAGCCTGGCAAACTACAGGATGTGTCTGGTCGGCATTTCCCAACACCTGCCCCATGTTTCGTTCATATTCAAAGGAAATGATTAAGCTAAAAGTGAATTCTATATATGAAAAAGAACTGGTATCCTTGGATTATGGAAGTGAAATATGAATACCAGGTTTCTCCCAAAACATTTGGTTACATGGCCAGACTGTGGCTATTGTCTTTGTCCACCCAGAATCCTGAAATTATAATTTCTAATGAAATTCTGGCATGAGCTGAGAGGTGGTGAAACGTCAAGTGAGAATTGAATTATACGCTAATAAAATTGTACCTAGTGGTTCGAATGGATCGTCTAAAGGGTTTATCAAACTTCTCTAATTTGAAGGGTCTCAAACTCCAAAATCTGCCTCCTTGTTGGTGGGCACAGCTCTTTTAACTGGGAGAGATTATTTGCTGCTGGGCTTTTGGAGTGTCCTGTGGGCACAAGTGTTGGCAAGGATTTGATCAGTTTTTGCACAGATTTTGGGGCTCCTCCATGCTGTGCCCTTCTTTTAGGGATTTAGTCTCTCAATTTTCAACCACTGGTAGCCACAGACTATTTTCTGACACCTCAGATCAACCAGACTGAGTCTATTTGTTTGAATTTTAGCTGTCCTGACTCATAGACTGGGGAGTCCTTTTGCAGGACAAGGCTTATGAACGTCATGGTCATCCACTGGGCTTAATTTCTTTCAAGAGTCAAGACTCCAGTTTATGCCTACTTTTGGCCCTTCAATGCCTTTAAATAGTTGTTTGTTTTATTTTGCCCAGAGTTTATAATCATTAAATGTGGAAAGGATAGTCTGAAAAACGCAACTCTGACATTACGTTCAGAACCTCAATAAGATATTTTGTATAGTTTTTTCATTATTATTCAATTTAAAATACCACTTTCTAATTTTCATTATAGTTTCTTCTTTGAGCTGTGAGTTACTTAGCTATTTATTAAAAAAAATTTCTAGCCAGGCCCGGTAGCTCATGCCTGTAATCCCAGCACCGTGGGAGGTCGAGGCGGGTGGATCACCTGAGGTCAGGAGTTCGAGACCAGCCTGGCCAACATGGTGAAACCCCGTCTTTCCTAAAAATACAAAAATTAGCTGGGTGTAGTGGTGGGCGCCTATAATCCCAGCTACTCGGGTGGCTGAGGCAGGAGAATGGCTTGAACTCAGGAGTCAGAGGTTGCAGTGAGCTGAGATTGCGCCATTGCACTCTAGCCTGGGTGACAAGAGCAAAACTCCATCTCAAAAAAAAAAAAAATTCTAACATAAGAATTTTTTGAATGATCTTTTTATTGATTTCTAACTTAATTACACTATGGTCAGAGAATATATGTAATTTTCATCTTTTAAAATTTGTTGAGATTGGATTTGTAGTCCAGTATATGGTCAATTGATGTCAGTGTTTTCTGTTTAATTGAAAAGGATTTGTATTCTTTGCTTCTGGGTGCAGTGTCCTTTGTATGTCAGTTAGGCCATGTTTGTTGAACATGTTTAAATCATCTCTATTTTTCACACTCCCTCCTTTTTTTTGGTATGCCTTTTTTGTCAGTTATTAAGACTAGTACATTAAAAAATCATCTCCCACTATGTGGTGATTTTGTCCATTTGTCCTTTTAGTTGTGTTGCTTTTTTCCATTTATTTGGAGCCCATTGTTAGATAAGTATAGATTTAGAATTATTTATTTCTTGTGAATTGAACCCTTTAACAGTATGCGTTTTCCCTCTTTATCTCTGGTATGTTTTTTTCCTGAAAGTCTACTTTGCCTGCTATTAATATAGTGACATCAACTTTCTTTTGGTTAGGTTTTTTATTGTCTATTTTTTCCTTCTTTTTTCTTTTTTTTAACAACCTTTCTCTGTCTTTAGAGTTTGTGTTTCCTTTCAAATAGTTGGGTTTTCCTTTCTTTTAAATTAGTGTGACAGTTTTTATTTTCATTGAAACATTAGATTACTTACAATTAATACAATTATTAATTGGATTTAAATAATTCACCTTACTATTTTTTTTTAATAGAGACAGGTTTTCACTATGTTGGCCAGGTTGGTGTTGAACTCCTGGTCTCAAGTAATCCTCTTGCCTTGGCCTCCCAAACTGCTAGGATTACAGGTGTGAGCCACCGTGGCTAGCCATACTCTTTATTTTCTGTTTCCTCTACCTGTTCTATACTTCTCCATCCCATTATTAGTTTACTGAATTTTTAAATGTATTATGCATGACATTACTCTCATTTGCCACATTAACCTTTTTTTCTTTTCTATTTTAAGGAAAAGATAGAGTTTTTAATACCCCATTGTGTGAACAAGGAATTGTTGGATTTGGAATCGGAATTGCGGTCACTGGAGCTACTGCCATTGCGGAAATTCAGTTTGCAGATTATATTTTCCCTGCATTTGATCAGGTAAGTGAATGAACATTTCTAAGGTTGTTCATTCATTGAAATATTCAAGTATTGCCGCTACCCTTCCACCCACCCTTACCTGCATTCTAAACATTTTATTATCCTTTTACTAATGTATTACAATTATAATTTTGTTATGAGCATATATTTAAAGATCTAATAGAATAGTTTAAGCAGATAGATTGGGATTGGGTGAAGTGGCTCACATCTGCAATCCCAGCACTTTGGGAGGCCAGGGTGGGAGGATCACTTGAGGCCAAGAGTTCAACACCATCCTGGGCAACATAATGATAATGAGAACCCATATCTACAAAAACTACAAAAATTAGCCCAGTGTGGTGGCACATACCTGTCATCCCAGTTACTCTGGTGGCTGAGGCAGGAGGATAACTTAAACCAGGAGTCCAAGGCTACAATGAACTGTGATCGCAGCACTGCACTCCCTGGGTGACAGAATGAGACCCTTTCTCAAAAAGAAAAGAAGAGAGAAAGAAAGAAAGAGCGAGAGAGAGGGGAGAGGGAAGAAGGGAGAGGGGAGAGAGGAGAGGAGAGAGGAAGGGAAAGACAAGACCCTGTCTCAAAAAGAAAGAAGGGAAGGGAGGGAGGGAGGGAAGGAAGAAAAGGAAGAGAGGGAGGGAGGGAGGGAGGGAGGGAGTGATGGGATCCTGTCTCAAGAAAGAAAGGAAAGGAGGGAGGGAAAAGCTCATTGTGCTATGGGAAAGGAAGGAAGGAAGGGAGGGAGGGAGGAAGGAAGGAAGGGAAAGACTCATTGTGCCATGGGAAAGGAAGGAAGAAAGGAAGGAAGGAGGGAGGGAGGGAGGGAGGGACGAGACCCTGTCTTAAGAAAGAAAGGAAGGGAGGGAAAGACTTATTGTGCTATGGGAAAGAAAGGCAGGCAGGCAGGAAGGAAGGAAGGAAGAGGGGGAGGGAGGCAGGGAGGGAGGGAAAGACTCATTGTGCCTTGGGAAGGGAAGGAAGGAAGGGAGGGAGGGAGGAAGAACGGAAGGAGATTGGAAGGGAAGGACTCATTGTGCCATGCCCCGTCTTTCTTTCTGACCCTCAGATTGTTAATGAAGCTGCCAAGTATCGCTATCGCTCTGGGGATCTTTTTAACTGTGGAAGCCTCACTATCCGGTCCCCTTGGGGCTGTGTTGGTCATGGGGCTCTCTATCATTCTCAGAGTCCTGAAGCATTTTTTGCCCATTGCCCAGGAATCAAGGTATGTTCATTTATGTACTTTATTTGATTTCTATTTGATGTTTCCATTTTGATTCATTCTATTTAATATCTATGCTTATCTAGAGGAAAGAAAACAAACAGGATTCTTGGAATTTATGTGAACTTAACTGTATTTAAGAAGGGGAGGTTAGCAGTTCTTTTAAGTATGCTATCCAATGCCCAGTTTTACAGCAAGTTCTTTTTGAAGGAGGACTGGTTTTATAAACTCTGGCATTGATTAATTTTATAGACTTCAAAGAATAAGACCAAGAACATAGTTGGTTTACCTCCCCTCTCTTTCAAAGCTTTATATTTCTTTCTAACTTAAGTCTTTCTCACTTAACTGATGATGGGGTGATTTTAATAAATCTTTTGTTTAGTCTGTATTTACCTCAAAGTCACAGGGATAACACTTTTGCTTTTAATGTATTTCTTACTTGTTAAAAAGACTAAGAGAAGACTGTTACCTAGATTTTTTTTTTCTGTTTAAAGTTAGGTAATACTTGCTCAACCAATTAATTTTGAAGCATCTCCTTTTTATAACCTGTCTTTCACAAAAGCTTAGGTCTTTTGATGGTAAAAATATTTTGAGTTTTTTATGTCTTAATTTTTTGTATTATCTTTTCTGTTTCTGTTTACTGAATAAGCTTTTCAGGGGATCATTGTAGAAACCCATAGATGTGTGAATCCAGAGATGTATATTTGTTTTTTGACCACATGAATTGATTGTGAGCATGTGTCTATGTTTTATTCTTTTTTTCTTATTTGTTTTTTCTACCAGATCAAAGTTATAAGCTTATCTTAGTTGAGTAGATGTTGCCTGATTTTTGAATGTGAGCTAGAAGTTGTAGACTGGGAAAGAAGCCATGTGCGAGGCAAGTTATTTTTGTGCTTGAGCTAAACATTAATTCACATTTAATATTTATAACATTATATTGTTTTTAAGAACAGATCTTTTCTGTCTGTCCCCTGCCTTCTCTTTTCCTCCTTCATTTTCTTTCTTCCTCTTCCTTTTTCCTTTTTTTTTCAGCTGAAATGAAAATATACTTAAAGTACAAAAGGCTAATATGAAGAAAGCAGATGAAGGGAACTTAAAAAGTAGGAACATAAGATAAAGACATTGTGTGATATGGTTATTAATGTGTTCAGAGGTCCAGAACAGAAAATAAAATTTTTTATACAGAAAATAGTGACATTTTTGCTGCTCTTTTATTTTTAAAATAAAACCCTTCAATAAAAATGGCATAAAAATGGCTTTGAAAGCCAAATATAGTTTGCCTCAGGGAATCTTAAGTCTTTGTGGTAAGTTCAGGTTTATTTTAATAACTCTTCCTATATAATATTTGTCTTTAAACAATTATAATCATTTAAAATTAGACAAAGTTTGTGATTTAAGTCAACATTAGATAGAAGTTAAGAGCTTGAGCTTTGGTATCAGTGGGAATTGGGTGAGACTCTTTGATCAAGCAAGTCGTGTGACCTTAGGCAAGCTACTTGTTCTCTCTAAACCTCAGTGTCTATTTCTAAAATGAGGAACATTATAATAGCTACCTAGTGGGGTTGCTATGAACAGATGAATTAATTCACAGAGTGCTTGGCCAAGTTTACACGTGTACTTCCTACTGTCATTATCATCTTCCTTGTCATCACCCTCATTCTCGAGAAGGTCCTGGAGCCCTTTCCTGTGAGTGGAAGTGTGGACTATCCACACTTTTGTTTTTGCTTTGCTATATAACTGGACACTATGGTGCCTGGACTGTAAAACTCAGTGGACTAATTTTTCACTTATGAAATGAAGACCATATTTTTTTTCATGGGAAAAGAAGATTTTGACATGTTAAAACTGGAGAAGAGAGTTGCATGTACTTTGAAAGTAGAAACAGATTATTAGTAGAAGAGATTTCTTCATAGATAAACACAGGTAGATATTAACAATATTACAGTTTTTTGCTTTGATGAATGATCTTTGCATATTCTTTTTATTTTTTTTATATAGGCAAGTTTAGCTTCTTAAGAGTAGTATCTTAGTTAACAGAACATGGTAGACATCTGATAAATATCTGTTGAATAAGAGGCATTTTTATTTTTATATAATATGTAAACTTAATAAGTGATAATTAGGCTTAAAATAAATAGCCAATATCTATTTTTAATTAGTAACAATTGATTATTTAAATATCAGCCCTTCTTAGCAGCGAGTTTACTGGGATATATTTTTACTAAAATTGTCTTAAAAAAATCTGTTTTTGCAGGTGGTTATACCCAGAAGCCCTTTCCAGGCCAAAGGACTTCTTTTGTCATGCATAGAGGATAAAAATCCTTGTATATTTTTTGAACCTAAAATACTTTACAGGGCAGCAGGTAAAGATTTTCTTTATTTTATATTTGTGAATATCTTTATATACTTTGTTTTTTATAGCTCTAAAAGTTATATCTTTTTTTTCTATATGGTTGATTTATATTTTCCTTGTAGAAAGAATCTTGATTTTTTTGGTATTTAGTTTGTCCTCAGGTGTAAATTTTATGTTTGGGAAAAATTCATCTAGCCATTTTATATTTTGATTGTGGAAACAAAGAGGAAATCTGAAGTGGTAGCAACAATAAAGGGACTATGTTTAACCACATAGTAGGTGCTTAGTAAATATGGATTGAACAGAAAAGTAAATGAGCTCATTTTACTAAATAGTATATGTTTCCTTTTAACTAAAGTGACCATAAAGGTCTTCCTTCATTTAAATCAGGATACCTTTGACTGTGAAGGAGGTGCTGTTAACAATTATGCTGTGCTGTCAGGTCTATGCTGGGATGACTGTGTAAAGCAAACTAAGGTGTTTGGTCATCCTCTTTTTAGCTCAAAATCCTGATTTTATAAACATACATCTGTGACTGCTAATTTCTTCACTGTAATGGAAATTTTAAATAGCAAATGATTTTTTTCTGTCTAAAGCATTTTAATCACTCCTGGAAGCTTCTTCCTCACTCTTCACAATGGATCCATTCTCCCTATGCCAAAAACAGCCACTTTCTGATTGCCATCAGATTAGGTGTACATGTGTTTGGGCTTCATATAAATCCATGCACACTGCATATGTTCTTTTGTGTTTGCTTTCTTTTACTCAACCTAATGCTTTTGAGATTCATTCATGTTTTTGCTTGTATCAGTAGTTTATTCACTTTTCTTTGCTGAGTAGTAGTCCATTGTATGAATATCTGTTGTTCATTTCTATTACAATAATATTACAATTTTGTACAATATTAGAACATTTCTACTTAGTAAGGAACATGGTCATTATATTGGATGAATATTCACTGTTCATTTCTATTACAATAATATCTTACAACTGTACAATATTAGAACATTACTACTAAATAATGAACATTGTCATTACATCATACGAATATTCATTGTTCATTGATAGTATTATTACTACTAAGTAATAATAATTTTTCTTGTTATTCTTATTTTTCTAAGTATTCTAGTTACTAAGGAAAGTAGCTTGGCCCTCTTCATCAAGGTAATTTTTTGTGAATAGTATTAGCATATTGCAACTATGTTTCTGGAGCCAGCCTGCCAATAAATGCTTCTTGGCTGTGGGGAAAAGAACACCCAAAAATCTGAGGCGTGTACAGTATTGTTTAATAAGTAGCATTTCATTGTATGAATAGATCACAATTAATTCATGGCCCATGCAACTGGGCTTCTGTTTCAATGTATCCATTCCTCTGTGATGAGTTTTTCAAAGTGGATGTGTCATTTTACACTTTCATTGGAGATTTTTCAGAGTTCCTGTTGCTCTTAAGTTTAAAAACAGATTTTAAATTGACTCTAGATTTATATGGACTCTATTATAGTCTGTATCCCATTATGTAATAAAAATGAATGTAAGAATTTAAAATTTTGAAGTGAATAGGAAAATATCAATGATATATTGTGAATAGCTTTTTGATGAAAAGGATTTCTAATACTTTGGATATCCTGTGGCTATTATAGTTATAATGCCAGCCAGCTGTTATAGCCAATCAGTAAAGAAATTTTGCAGTATTTAATAAATGGCAACTGAGTAAGAAAGATTTGAAAAAGTAATATTTACTTTGCTGCAAATTTTGAAACCAGAATTGGTCAGGCAAATACATTTACAGGATTCTAGCTAAGAGAATGCACTTGAAAAATTTGTCCTAGGCTTGGCCCTGGGAGAGATTATGAAAGACCCTGATGAGGTTCAGTATTCAAAAGGTTTCCAGAAATTTCCCCATGCTTGATCATGTATCATTTCAAGGATTCTAACTCTGAATCCCTTCTTGACTCCCAGGGGCTCAATAGAGGTCACAGTGATATTGGCTCTTTCATAGCTAGAAAGCTTCTCTGCAGAAGAAATTAGGATAGGAAAAAAGGGCTAACCACCAAAGTCTTCATATTAGTCTTCTCTAGATGGTTGTCTAAGTTGTTCTCTGGGCCAGCAGAATAATCATCACTGCTAGCTTATTAGAAATGAAAATTGTCAGTTTTTATCCAAGACTTGCAGCATTAGAACCTCTGGGAGCAGAGCCCAGCTCTCTTTGTGTTAGTAGCCCTATAGATTATTCTGATCCATGCTCAAGTTTGCGAAACACTGCCTGAGGTCAGTTCTGAAACAATAGCTGATGTTGCCTGTGTCCATTTATCTTATTTTATTCTTAGTTCTTATATAGAGAGGATGCTTTTGACCTATGGTTTTCTTAGATTTGACCTCTGGTTCAGTATCACTATGACTATATTTTGGTTTCTACTTTTCCTTTTTTTTTTTTTTTGGATCTTCTGACCCTGATTCTGTAATTTTCTAGCCCTGTGTCTCAGATGTACTTTACACTGGTGGTGTAAACTCCAAACATACAGTTGTTTGGAATGATATAAAAGGAATGGTGCATTGTGATTCAGCATTTGATTGAGGAGGCCTCTGGAAGACATTCTGTATTGAAGGAATCAAAGAGACAGTTAAAAGAAGGTGCTTTACATTCATTTCAAAGACCAGAGCAGCCTGACAATTTCTAAGTGGTAGTATACTTGCAGTATCCATAAGTAAAAATTTAATAGATTGACTTTTTCCCCTACATCCCTTCTTTTTAAATTTCTTGTGTACATTTGGGAATAGTTAAAATTGAATGGATGAAAACACAAAATTGTACATTTAAAGTTTTTTAGAAGAGTTCATATTGGGACTCATAATGGTTCATGGATGGACTAATAAATATGGATGTAGAATTATTATAAATACTGGCTGACATTTATATAAAAATAATTGGGAGTTAATTGGGAGCTACATTTTTACATAATGGTCCATTAGGTTAATTATGCAGTACTATCGTTCCTCAGTATACTCAGGGGATTTGTTCCAGCCCCTCTACCCCAATACCAAAATCCAGAGCATACTCAAGTCCCATGGCTGGCCTGTGGAACGTGCATGTACAAAAAGTTGGCCCTCCATATATGTGCCTTTCATAGGCCATGAATGGTATATTTTCCACCCACATTTAGTTGAAAAAAATTTGCGTATAAGTGGACCCCTCCAGTTCAAACTGTGTTGTTCAAAGGTTAACTGTAATCTTAACCAAATGGAACATAGTCAAGTATAAGTAAGGATACAAAAAGAGGTAAGTGAATGCCAAAGCTGGGCTTTTTCCCTAAAGTTATCTTCCAGGTCCTGGACACATTGATCTTCTGCTTTGATGATTCTATAGGGCACTGAGGATGGGAGATAAAGTACAGAGCTCACTTTAGGTAGAGACTTTGCTAGGAGCCCTTGATTAAAGCCTGTGGGACCACATCTGCAGTGTGAGGTGCAAACTTTGGAATAGTCTAAGGTAATATTTACAAAATCTATGCATTTAAGACCTTGTATTTTATTTATGGAATGGTATCTTAAACACATAAATACATTTATGAATTATGTAATTCCATAAAGTTAGATATGTTAAGTTATGCTAATATAAGGCCTCAAGTAATATGGAAATTTATTTATCTCTAATATAAATGTCTAAGTTGGCAGTCCAGGGCTAGTGTGATAGTTCCTCAGTCATCAAGGTACCGGGCCTCTTCTCTCTGGTTACTGTGCTGTCTTCAACATGTAGTTTTCAGTTCCTGGTCCTAGGTAGCTGCACCAGCTCCCAATGCCACATATGTATTTCAGCTACCAGGAAGGGAGGAGGAGGAAAGGAAGGTATTCTCCTTCTCTTTAAAGAATAACTTGAAGATTGCACACATTAAATTTCGCTTCCCACGGGTCACATCTAATCATATGGCCATGACCACACCTAACCACAGAAGAGGCTGAGAAAGCTAGTCTTTGGCTTAAGTGCCTAACTAAAAATGTTATTATTACACAATGACAGGAAATGGATATTGAGGGACAACTACCAGTCTCTACCACAATTACTTGCATGGTTTCCAAAAGAAGCTATAAATTTTAAGGAGGGAAGAGATCTGTTTGAAATAATTCAGCTGTTTACCCTTTGACTCATAGTCCACTTCTAGGAATCCATTTTGGAGATACATTGGCAAAAATTTGAAGAAAATGTTACTGGTCATTGCAGTGCCCTTTAAACGAACAAGAACTGGAAACAACACATTTGCCCATCACTAGAGGATTTTAGGTTAGTTGAATAAGCTAAGCTCCATCCATCTGATGGGTTACACTGCATTGTTTAAAGGAAGGAGACAGATCTCTTTATATTGTGGTAATAGTCAGGGTTTGATTGGAGACCAAAACTAGAAGAAGCAAAACTGAAAGATATAAGAAATATATTCTAAGCATCTGACCATTTGCAGCTGTAAAAACTAGTTAAACAGTTTAAGAAAGATTGTTGCTTCTGTGTTTGATGCTATAACCTGAAGTCCACGGGGAAGACTGTGAGGAAAGGAAGATGGAAATAAAGTAGGGGGGAACAAGAACAAAATAGAACTTGCTACAGTGGATTGGAACTTAGGTCCATCTCTCACCACCTCCAAGGCTTAGTGTAGGAAAAACGTTGGCTGCTAGGAGACCGGGTAGGCGGCTGTTTGAATAGCCTGTTTATATGATATCATGGAGAAGGCCTGGATTAGCAGAAGGAAATGGGTTAGAAATTTTTTTAGATTATATGAAATATTTGGTGTCTAAATGAATTTAAGGAGGGGAAAGGAGAAGGAGGTGTTAAGAGTAAGTGTAGAATAAGATTTTCTTTTCTGGTATTAATGGAGGAATAGTAGATTAGATAACCTGAAATAAATGGTGTGTGATTGTGTGTGTGCTGATTTTAAATATATACTGAGCTGGCATGAAAATTAGAACGCTGCAGAGTTCAAAAGCAAAGTGGAGCTCAGAATTCTGGGAGGTAAGTGAATGCCAAAGCTGGCTTTTTCCTTATAGTCATCTTCCAGGTCCTGGACACATTTAACTTTTCTTTGATGATTCCATGGGGGCACTGAGGACAGGAGATAAAGTACAGAGCTCACTTTAGGTAGAGACTTTGCTAGGAGCCCTTGATTAAAGCCTGTGGGACCCATTCACAGTGTGAGGTGCAAAGGTGGCAGGATGGAAACTTACCTGTCTTGCTCTATCCTCTTGGAGAAGAAAAAAAAAATCTCTTCTGAGAGTTTTTATCACAAGATGAACCTTACACAGGATTACAATTTGAGTATGTGCTAGTAGTGCGGTCTGAAAGCACTTAAGCAGATAATTAAAAGTGATTCTGTGTGGATGGTGTCCATGAAAACTGTTGGAAGGAAACAAAATCCTCTCTGGAGTCACTTCAACTTAGGTTAGCAACAACCCAGATACTCCCACAGATAAAGCTCCGAGTAAAAGATAGAATCCCTTTGAGCGGAAACAAGAAAAGGAAGCTATAAACCCATGTAGACTTTAAATATTAAAACTATTTTATAAGAAATGCAAAATGAAGGCCACGTGTGGTAGCTCATGCCTGTGATCCTAGCACTTTGGGAGGCTGAGGTGGGAGGATCGCTTGAGCCCAGGAGTTTGAGACCAGCCTGGGCAATATGGTAAAACCCTGTCTCTACACAAAAAATGCAAAATGTAGCCAGGTGTCATGGCATGCGCCTGTGGTCCTAGCTACTTGGAAAGCTGAGGTGGGAGGATCACCTGCGCCTGGGGAGGCTGAGGCTGCAGTGAGCCATGGTGGCACCACTGCATTCTAGCCTGGATGACAGTGAGACCTTGTCTCAAAAAAAAAAAAAAAAAAAAAAAAAAAAAAGCAAAACATGGGTTTCATATTAAAAAAAAGGAGACACTTGAGAATACAAGAAGGTGACAAGCAAAGTTGAAGAAAAACAACAGAAGGTTTAAAAAGAAAAATATAATAAAAATCTCCAATGGTTTAAGCCCAGAAATTTATAAACAGATAACGGGGGAATTGATAAACTGGAAGATAAAACCAAAGCAATAACCAGAATATAATCTAGAGAGATAAAGAGAAAGGAAAGAGAGGTTGAATGTAGAGGGATACTGAGAAGGTCTAAATACATCTAAGGAAACAAACATGAGTGTTTTTCCTAATAATATTTATCAGCAAAATTTTGCTGATAAAAAAGTGATTCCCTGGCATATTTTTGCCATTTTGCCTCATCAGAACTAAACCAGTGCAGTAGGAAATATTTCAGGGAAGCATCAACTACTGCCTGCTTTTCCCTCCTGTAGTACTATCAAGGTAGAGATGTTATTTTCTCAAGTCTGGAGTAGTAGTCCATATATAATCTCTAAAATAAAGTAGGTAAAGGATACTAGGTAAAGGGTTCCTTAGGAAGCTAAAGGTAGGCATCAACAAGTTAACTTGTCAACTTTAAAAACAATTTACCTGTAGTGTATAATTTTAATCTGTATCCATATCATTTATATTACTAAATCCTGTTTAAGAATGATTCACTTACAGAGGTAAATGCAAGGCTTTTGCTTATGGTTGCTGGGCAGAGCTCTCACTCACTGGTTAACCTGGGCACCTCTGGGTTTCTTCTTTTCCTTGTAGAACATACTCTTTCCATGCTTACTGCCCTTATCTTACCCAATGTGGTTCTGAAGGGGCTGACAGTCATCTCATCTGACCTGCATGATCTCAGGACATGGCCATGTGCCTCTATCTCAGCCATTCTGATTTCTTTTCTGGTATTTTCTACGTGGAGTCAGAGTTTAACTTTCTATGGGTGGTTTGCCTGGGATGATGGGAGACTGGGGCTCCAAATTACTCTTACTCCTTTAATCTTCCTTTGATTAGTAAGCTTCTTTCACATCTCTCCATTTAATCTCATTTTAAGTTTAACATACTTTGAGTTTCAGTCTCCTGTAGATGTTACTAATAGGTAATTTTGACGAATACATAATCTTGGCTAGAGAAGAGATGCCTCTTTTAAGATGAAAATATCCTTCGTTAATAGCACAATAAACTGCAGCTGTCATGATTTAACACAGATACTTCTTTTGTCTTAATAGGTGAAGTAGGAACCCCCTCTATTTACTCATAATCATATTTCATAAGGTTGCTGAGAGGATTTAAGTGAGATTATCCATGTGTGTACCTGCCTAGTCTTTAAGTACCATTAGAACACTTATGTGCTAGACGCTGGGCTATCTTGTGTAGACATGGGGACTATGTCATTTAATTCTCACAACCAGCATATCAGGTAAATTCTGTCATTATTGCCATTTTATAGATGAGGAACCTAAGGATTAGGGAAATTAGACAACTTGCCCAAAGTCACACAACCAGGATTGGGCATGTTTGGCACAGATGGTGACTTTTAAGAAACTTGCTCAAGCTCACAGAAATAATGAGCGATGGATTTAAGTTTTAAACCAAGACATTTTGACACCAGAGGCTGCCGTCTTTCTAATACTACCCTATTTTGCATCCCACCTAATTATTATTGAATGGAGGACATAAATGAAATATAACTTCCTCCAGTGTCCTAGTTTCATGTCAGGAAATAGCTGTCTAGTTTTTAAAAGTTTCCCACATAATTAAAATGATCTTATTTTTTATTTTTTCGAGACAGGGTCTCCCTCTGTTACCCAGGATGGAGTGCAGTTGTGTGATCACAGCTCATGGCATCCTCAAGCTCCTGGGCTCAGGTGATTCTCCCATCTCAGCCTTTGAAGCAGCTGGGACCACAGGCATGTGCCACCATGCCTTGCTAATTTTCGTATTTCTCAATTTTTTTGAGTTTTTGAGAAACTCAATTTTTGAGTTTCTCCATGTTGCCCAGGCTGATAAAATGATCTACTTTTTAACTGAATGGAAATATATACAGTTGGCGCTTTTTATCTGTGGGTTCCAGAGCCATAAGTTTAACCAACCATAGATTGAAAATATTTGAAAAAATAATTACACTGAACATGTACAGGCCTTTTTTCTTGTCATTATTCTCTAAACAATACAGTATAGCAGCCATTTACATAGAATTTACATTGTATTAGGCATTATAAGTAATCTAGATATGATTTTAAGGATAAGGGAGGTTGTGCATAGGTTCTATGCAAATCCTGTGCCATTTAGATCAGGGTTCTGAGCAGCTATGGATTTTTGTATCTTCAAGAAGTCCTGAACCAAACCCCCATGCATACCAAGGGATGACTGCACTATTCATAGCCATGACTTAAGGTAGTACATCCCTATGTAGTATATAGTCCAAGGTTTGAATATATATATATTGCATTAATTTCTCCATTGGCATAGGATTAATTTGCTTCTTTGAAAGTTATAAAAACTACATGTCACAGTCTGGTCTGGTTACAGGTAGGGGGTTTGGGAACCTTTGCACCTTGTAATCATTAGTCATTAAGGGACCTAGTCATATGTCCCCAGATAGAGGCAAAGGCAGCTGGGAAATGTAGTCTTCCTGCATTTGGGCAAGAAGAGATGAGGTCGTTTGGCCCCTGTGCAGCATTGTGCCAGTCACAGTTCCTGTTGATCTCTCTGACTCCATCATTTCTGGGCCTGATCTCTCTGACTCCATCATTTCTGGGCCTGTGCTCATAAACTGCTCTCTGTGCAAACCTCTGGGCTGTGGTGACTCTCCCACATGTCCAGCCTTTAGAAATGATTTCTTTCAATTCAACCATTAACTTTATAAATCGTACAGATGAAAATAAGTCATATATTCTTTATGCAGCAATTTTCTTGAATTTTATTTCTCCTTATTTTGAATATGCAATCAATATATATAAAACTTTAGGTTTCCTGAACATAGAAGGAGAAAGTAACCTAATAATATTTTCGATTTCCTGATTATTTATTGTAATTATGACATTTGAGTGCAATGAATCTTTTTAGAAATGGAGAAGGATGTTTAGAAAAGGTAGATAAGGCAGAAAAATCCAGCTGGTGTAAAAAATGTACAAAATAGTGATGATTCAAAAAGAGTGAGTCAGTGTGACATTATCACATATAGGCATCTTGTGAAGAAGATATTCTTTAATGTCTTTTGGTTTTACTTAATTGAATGACACATGACATCAGTGATATTGAATTAAATATGATTTTCATCTGTGATTCTTCTAGTGGGAAATCAAGACAGACTAAAAGACTAAAATCCTTGTATTGTTTGTCTTGTTTCTAGGATTTCTGGATAATCCAAAAATACGTAAAAATAGGACATAATGATATTGAGGAACTTTTTTAGCAGATGTACTAATTGTGTATGAATTCATATATTTTGAAGAGACGAACATTATTTAAAGTAGCTTTTTAATGGTAGAAGACTTAAAATATTTTTTGCCAAGTATCAGTGTACGTAAAGAGAGAAATTAATATTTTGTATTTTACATTAAGCAGATTAATTTGTGCGGGTTAGTATATTTAATGCTAGGTACACTCACAAGAGTAAGTTGGATCCATTAGTGGGAGAAATTGAATTCATTTGTTAGATTTTTAAATTAGTTTCTAAATTGAAATAATACACATAATTTAAAAAGTCAAATGATAGCTTCTAATAAAAAATAGCAGTTCCTTACCTTACCCTTCACCAAATCCAAGCATCTTTCCCCACAGGCAACAACTTTCAACTCTTTTAGTTGAAAGAGTTGAACTCCAGACTTTAAGAAATGCATTTTATTTATAAATCATCCAGTCTTAGGTATTCTGTCCTAGCAAAACGAAGTGGACTAAGACAATTAGGTTTGCTAAATGTCAGCTGGATCCTTAACTACAGTGAGGTAGTTCTGATACCCTCTTGAGTTTATTTAATTTCTTCTTTTTAAATTAAAAATGTATACAACTGCTGAAAATCAGATAATTTTATTTTGTTGTACACAATATTATAATTAAGGCATTGGTTTACAATGGCTTACCTTATTTTCTTAAAAATATTTATTTTTCTCATTATAAAGGTAACACATACTCTGACTGTCAGCCATCGATGCTTAACAGGCCACTCCTGAAACTCAGTGGCTAAGTCAACAATGTTCTTTATATAGCTCATCTGCAGGTCAGCATTTAGGCCGGTCACAGCTCAGCAATTCTGGTCTTGTCTAGGCTTCCTCATAGGTCTATAGTCAGTTGTAGGTCAGGTGTGGGTTGGATTTGCTGATTTTAGTTGGGCTATTTCACCAGTTGTGGCTGATAGGCTTTGGTCTATCTGTCCCTTTATCACCCTGCGGGCTGGCTCAAGCTTGTTCACCTGGTGGAAGCAGAGGTTGTAAGGCCCTTGAAGCATAGGCTTGGAGTTGACATACTGTCACTTCTGCCATAGTATGTTGGCCAAAATAAGTCACAAAGTCAGCCCAAGTTGAAGAGGAGGACAAATAGACACCATCTCTTCATGGGAAAAGATGCCTACTCATATTGCAGAAGGGTGTGAATACAGGGAGATTTGGATTCTGTCTATTGCTTAATCTTTTATATATGTTTGTACTGAAAAGTACAAACAAAGATAAAAGGAACTCATAAGTCCATCCTCTAACTACTGTTGACTTTTTGTTTTATATACTGTAAGACTGTTTTATCTATACTTTTAAACGTATATTATTAATTTATTTCAGTTTCCATTTGATTACAAGTCATGTTTGTTTATTTCATATTTCTTCTATGAAGTGGTCAAGTAGATTTCTATTTTGTTCTTAAAATCGCATGGTAGCATTTCTTGTAAATCTACAGTTCCAGATATCTAAAGCCGGCAGGACTTCAGCTAATAGGCAATTATTCTATTTTGTGATGAGAAGGCCCTGACTTAGTATTGAGTAGCAGGAAGAATCAAAAGGTGTTCAGTCAACTGACAGTGCAATTGCCTTTGAATTTGTTTGTATATCTTCTGTGACTGAGTTAATAAACTGAACTATTCATGGAATAGGACCCAGTGGGATTTTCTTATGCTATGGTATATTTTTAATATTATTCACTTTTCAGGCTAAGTTTGACCGTAAGCAGATATCTATTTTTGATCATTAGCTTTAAGGTATTTACATTCTCAATGACTAAGCTTAAGCTATGTGGTAGAGTGATTTATTTTTGTTCCTGAATAAAATTTTAATACCATGAGTCATGTGTTTTCTTTGTAAAAAGTTCCAGCATCACAGAACTATATAGCATAATATAGTGAAAGTTCCCTTTTCCTACTGGCTCACTTTGAACTCCTTTCCTTAAGCCTTTTTCTGTGCTTTTATATTTACATACATATGTGAATATATAGAATACATTTACTTCCATGTAAACAGATTTTGTATGTGTAACATAAAAATATTGTATTATAAACATTGTTTTGTAACTTGCTTTGCAAATTATTTTCTATCCATTTAGTCAAGTATGTGAGTGTATAAAATGTACACACACAAATAATACAAATAAGAGCATGTTACAAATATTGTATAACTTGCTTTTTTTACCAATATATTTTTGATATATTTCTGTATCTATTCACATAGGCTTAGCTGGTTTTTATATTCATAAAACCGTATTCATTTTATAGTCATAAAATTTCTTCACATGTACCTTCACATGTATCCTTTCCCTATTATGGAACAACGAATTGTTTCTAAATTCTGGTTATTTTAAAAAATGTTGAAGAAAACATCTCTGCTTGTATATATATGTGTATGTAGAAGAAGAAAATTACGCTTGTGTTCTTTATTGTAAATATTCTACAACCTGTATCTCTTAATCCCTTTCTTGCTTTCTCTAAGCCCCATATATTCAATTTAGCCCTGAGTAATGCATGATTGACGAAGCCAGATGCTGTGTGTCTAAACAGCAGTTAATGAAAAACTATGGAAGGATAGGGAATCATTACCACAGGTACTGTGGGGCGGCAAGACTCAATAAAGTAACTGTTACTAAAATCTAAAAATGAAAACAGGAAATATTTGTCAGACATTTAACTTGGCAATTGTAAGAGTGAAAACCTTGTGTTTTTATTCACTTGTGTATCAGAATTTGCCGTTTTTTAATTAAGAGTTATTTTTTAAGAGCAATTTTAGATTCACAGCAAAATTGAGAGATAGACATGGAGATTTTCCACATACCCACTGACCTCAAACAAGCATAGCCTTCCCCATTGCCAACATCCCCATCAGAGTTGTACATTTTTTACAATTGATGACCTATGTTAACACATTGTCATCACTCAAAGTCCATGGTTTACATCAGTGTTCACTCTTAGTGTTGTACCTTCTGTGGGTTGTATGATGACATGTATCTACCACTATAATATCTTGCAGAGTATTTCCACTGTCCTAGAAATTTTCTGTGCTTCATCTGTTTGTCTCCCCTCACTTCAACCCCTGGCAAACACTGATAGCTTTATTGTATCCATAGTTTTATCTTTTCCAGAATGTCATATAATTGGAATTATGCAGTATGAAACCTTTTCAGATTGGCTTCCTTCACTTAGTACTATGTATTTAAGATTCCTCCATGTCTTTTCATGGCTTGATAACTCATTTCTATTTAATGCTGAATAATACTCCATTGTTTGGAAGTAACACAGTTTATTTATTCATTCACCTGCAGAAAGGTATCTTGGTTGCTTCTAAGTTTTGACAGTTATGAATAAAGTTGCTGTAAACATCCATGTGCAGGTTTTGGTGTGCAAATAAGTTTCAACTTATTCATCTGGTAGTAATTGTTTTATAAATTTGGGAGCTCCAGTGTTAGATGCATATTATTTAGGATTGTGATATTTTCCTGTTGGAGTAGTCCTTTTATCATTATGTAATATCCCCCTTTGACTTTTTAAATTGTTGTTGCTTTAAAGTCTGTTTTGTCTGAGAATACCTACTCCTGCTAGCTTTGGTTTCCATTTGCATGAAATATCTTTCTCCATCCCTTTACCTTAAGTTTATGTGAGTCCTTAGGTGTTAAGTGAGTCTCTTGAAGACAGACAGTAGATACTTGGTTGGTAGATTTTTATTTATTCTGTATCTCTTAAGTGGAGCGTTTAAGCCATATACATTTAACATTAGCATTGAGATGTGAGGTACTGTTTTATTCATCATGTTGTTGCCTGAATACCTTTTTTTTAAAGTTGTCTTTTTTTAATAGGCCTTGTGAGATTTATACTTTATAGGGAGGTTCTATTTTGGTATATTTCAAGGTTTTGTTTCAAGATTTAGAACTCCTTTTAGAAGTTCTTGTAGTGCTAGCTTGGTAGTGGAGAATTCTTTCAGCATTTGTTTATCTGAAAAAGACTTTATCTCTCCTCTATTTATGAAGGTTAGTTTTGCGGCATACAAAATTCTTGGCTGATAATTATTTTATTTAAGGAGGCTAAAGATAGGACCCTAATCCCTCTTGGCTTGTAGGGTTTCTGCTGAGAAATCTGCTGTTAATCTGAGAGGTTTTCCTTTATAGGTTACCTGATGCTTTTGCCTCACAACTCTGAAGATTCTTTCCTTTGTCTTGACTTTAGATAACTTGATGACCACGTGCCTAGGAGATGATCTTTTTGCAATAAATTTCCCAGGTGTTCTTTGAGCTTTTTGTATTTGAATGTCTAGATCTCTAGCAAGGACAGGGAAGTTTTTCTCTATTATCCCCTCTAATAAGTTTTCTGAACTTTCAGATTTTTCTTCTTCCTCAGGAACACCAATTATTCTTAGGTTTGGTCGTTTAACATAATCCCAAATTTCTTGGAGGCTTTGTTCATTTTTCTTTGTCTTTCGGTTAATTTGTAAGCCTTGTCTTTGAGCTCTGAAGTTCTTTCTTCTACTTGTTATAGTCTATTGTTGAAACTTTGCAGTGTATTTTTTATTTCTCTTAGTGTGTCTTTCATTTCCAGAACTTGTGACTGTTTTTTCTTTATGATATTTATTTCTCTGTATACCTTTTCATCCATATCCTGCACTGTTTTTTTTTAAATTTTCTTTAAGTTGTTTTTCTACCTTTTCTGGTACCTCCTTGAGTACCTTAATAATCAACCTTCTGAATTCCTTATCTGGCAATCAGGGATTTTTTTCTTCGTTTGAATCTATTGTTGGAGAGCGAGTGTGATCTTTTGGGGGTGTTACAGAACCTTGTTTTGCCATATTACCATAATTGCTTTTCTGGTTCCTTCTCATTTTGGTAGTGTTTCAGTGGAAAGAACTGGAACTCAAGGGCTGCTGTTCAGATTCTTTTGTCCTGTGGGCTGATCCCTTGATGTGATGTTCTCCCCTTCACCTGGAGATGGGACTTCCTGAGAGAGCTGGACTGCAGTTCTTGTTATTGTCTTTCTTGCTTTAGCCACTCAGCGGGGCTGCTGGGCTCTGGGCTGATGCTGGGGAATGTCTGCAAAGAGTCCTGTGAGGTGATATGTCTTCATATCTCCTAGCTGTGGATGCCAGCACCTGCTCCAGTATAGGTGGCAAGGGAGTTAAGTGTACTCTATGATAGTCCTTGGTTGTCGTTTTGTTTAGTGTGCTGGTTTTTTCGAATGCTGGTTATGCCAGCAGTGAAGTTGTTATGTGGACAGACTTAGAACCTCTGGTTAGTCAGGATGTTGTAGATGGTAGAATTAGCTGTTTTCTCCTTTTTTGGAGCAGGGTTATTCTGTTATGTCTTGAGTTGGTTGGCCTCTACCCAGGAGGTGGTGCTTTTAAAAGAGTGCCAGCTGTGGTAGTAGAAGGGGGATACAAGTTTGTTCTTTGTTGGCCAGGATGAGTACTTGGGTTCTTCAGGCAATGGATGGGGCTTTAGAGTTCTCAAGGGTTTATGTATTTTGGCTCAGGCTACCAGGGTGGGTAGTGAAAAACCATGAGGTGGGGGCAGGCCTAGGCAGGTCTGAGCTCAGACTCTCCTTGAGCAGGGCTTGCCGAGGCCACTGTGGGTGATGTTCCGGGGCATTACAGCTGCCTCTGCTGTGTCATACTGGTCGCCAGGGAAGGGGGGAAAGCCGGCAGTGACAGGCCTCACCTAGCTTCCACGCAGCCAGCAAGGCCAATCTCACTCCTGCCATGCCCCACCAACAGCACACGTTTATATTCAGGCAGCTGGGGAGAGCGGATAGATCTTGCCCCAGACTACAAGCCTTCCTGCTGAGAAAACAAGCAGGGCTCTCAGGCCTTGCCCTTTTCCGTCTGCCTGCACCATCAGCTGTGGCTTCTGTGCTTGTATCTGCAAGTTATATGTGCACTTCCCATTTGCCCCCTGGACTCTGCTCAGGAAAATTTGTACTCAGTTGAACGTATTATGAAGTTCAGCTAGAAGCTTCTTTCATCCTATGGCCCCTCCCTAATTCCACTGGCTGCCTTCCCCAAGGACCCCTGTGAGATAAGTCAGGGATGGCTTTCTCTGGTTTGAGCCGGGAACTGGGAGTGCCTACAGGGCGCTTCCCGCTCCTTCTTCTACTTTGATATTTCACTTGGCTGCCTAAATCCATTTTAACTTCAGATGAGATTAAATTCTTCTCCTGTGATCTGGATTTTTAGGTTCCCCAGTGGGGATGTCTGTTCAGAGGCAGACTTTTCCCCCACTCACACTTTGGGAACTTACAGTTTTTCAGCTGTCTCATGGAGTTTGCAGTGTCAAGCTACTTCTTTCAAAGTAAGTAGCCTGTGAATTCTTTTGGTTTTCCTGGTAGGTTCCTGTGGTGGTTCTTGGAGGAAAAGTTTACAGTGTGAGTCTCCACACACTGTTCTGTCTGTCCAAATGGGAGCTACATGTTAGTCCTGTCTTGTATCTACCATTTTCTCCATGTTGGTAATTTAGATCTTTGTATTTCCTCTAGCTTTTAAAATTTTAGTAGTATAAAATTTTCTTTGCAGTATCATTTGATTAAATGTGTTAATACATGTATTTGGAATCATGCCTGACACATAGTAAATGCTTAATACATTTTAATGGTGTTATTAAAAGTTGTTGCTATTATTATCATATAAAAATCTCCTATGATTTATTTTAATATTAACACTTAAACCTAAGCTTTTATTTAGAATGTTGGGGGCATGAGAACTAATTAGAAGAAGTATTCTAACTCAGTAGAGAGGGTAGGGGTAAGGGTCTGTAAAACATTAGCAAGTGGGGTCAGCTGATATTTAGCCAGTTTCAGAGTTAGTCTAAAACTACCAACAGAGTAAACAGGCAACCTATAGAAGGGGAGAAAATATTTGCAAACTATGCATCTAACAAAGGTCTAATATACAGAATCTGAGGAACTTGAACAAACTTACAACCCAAAAACAACCCCAAGCAAAAAAGTGGGCAAAGGACATGAACAGACACTTTTCAGAAGAAAGACAATCATGTAGCCAACAAGCATACGAGAAAATGCTCAACATCACCCATCATTAGAGAAATGCAAATCAAAACCACAGTGAGATACCATCTCACACCAGTCAGAATAGCTATTATTAAAAAGTCAGAAATTAAGAGATGCTGGTGAAGTTGTGGAGAAAAGGGAACATTTATACACTGCTGGTGGAAATGTCAACTGGTTTAGCCATTGTGGAAAGCAGTTTTGTGTTTTCTCAAAGAACTTAAAAAAGAATTACCATTCAACCCAGCAATCCCATTATTGAATATATGCCCAAAGGAATATGAGTCATTCTACCATAAAGACACATGCACGTTTATGTTCACTGCAGCACTATTCACAATAGCAAAGACGTAAAATCAACCTAAATGCCCATCAATGATAGACTGGGTAAAGAAAATGTAGTATATATACACCATGGAAAACTCTACAGGCATAAAAAAGAATGAGATATGTCCTTTGCAGGACATATCTGGAGGCCATTATCCATAGCAAAACATTATCCACTATAGCTGGAGGCCATTATCCTTAGCAAACTAACACATGAACACAAAACCAAATACCACATGTTCTCACTTATAAGTGGAAGGTAAACATTGAGTACACACAGAAAAGAGAACAACAGACACTGGGGATCTACCTGAGGGTGGAGGGTGGAAGGAGGGTGAGGATCAGAATAATACCTATCACTGAGGTTGGTGGATCGCTTGAGCCAAGGGTTTGAGACCAGCCTGGGCAACATGGTGAGACCCCCGTCTCTACAAAAAAAATACAAAATTTAGCCAGGTGTGGTGGTGTACTCCCATAGTGCCAGATTCTTGCGAGGTTGAGATGGGAAGATCACTCGAGCCTGGGAGGTGGAGGTTGCAAGTGAGCCGAGATTGCACCACTGCACTCCAGCCTGGGCGATAGGGTGACACCCTGTCTTAAAAAACCCTCCAAAACCCCAAAACCCAAAAAACAAACTACCAATCGCTTACTATGCTTATTACCTGGGTGATGAAATAATTTGTATACCAAGCCCCCCTGACATGCAATTTACCTATATGGCAAACCTGCACATGTACCCTTGAACATAAAATAAAAATAAAAATAAAAAAAGGTTTTCTGAAAAGAGAGGAATTGTTTTTGCAGTTTAGTAGCCATTGATGGGGTGGTTCAGATTTAGCAAGAGAGGTGGATAGAAACAGTTGCTGGGTCTGTGGTCATATGAGGGCCACTGTGGTACATTTTTAGTCTTTCTGAGACTCTTACAGATTATTTAGAATTATTTACAACATATTCTAACATATTTGGGAGTGTATTTTATCATTTTAAATCAAGCCATAATCTTCCACTTTTTGACTACAGGCCATTCCTAATGTGTTTCTCAGAATGTGTGCAAAGTCAAATATCTGGAAGTCAAATATTTACTTACATTTAATAAATAGATTTCTTTACCAAGAGAGCTAAAATAAAATTCTATTTAAACTTCACCTTTTATACACGGTTGTCAGTAATATAGTTTCCAACATTTTATATATACCTTTAATTTTTTTCTTTTTGAATTGATCAGTTCAAGTGACTTAAATGCACTGAGCATCCAGCTGAGGTTAAAAATTTACTGTGTGCAACATAGCAAATAATTTCTCACTTGACCCTTACTTATTCTCTTTGGTGATAAGAGTGTTTTCACTTTTCTGTTTTTTACTTATAAAGTATTAAGGGCAAATAAGAATTCTAATAATATAGAAACATTGCTATACAGGCAGTGACATTAACAATGCCCAAACTGAACACTTGACTAGCAGAAAGGGTGTTGAGCTTCCATTCTTACAGCTAGCTTATCTTCAGAATTTCAAATTTAGAATAAAAGGCATATAATAAGCCCTTTAGGAGTTTTCATCTACACTATATATATAACTGTGTGTTGAGCATAAGTTGAAAATATGAAAATTTAGGTCTGCCCATACTTAGAGGCAGATAGGTAGAAAACACTAAACTCTTAAGGCCATTAGGTATTTAGTAATTTTTATGTACAGTTACTTTTTAAAGCTAGAAATAAAGTTGTAGGCTTATAAAAATTACAGTTGAGAAAATTTTCTCAGTAATATATATTTTAGAACATTTATTAATTTTATTAATACCCTTTCAGCATCTCTCAGTGTTGAACTTGAATTTATGAATTCTAGCTAATTTATATATCTTTAGCACTGAATATAGCTAGGGTATGAAGTGATTAATATTGGACTACAAATAATAGTTTCTGGCTATGTAAATAAACTTGGAGTTCTTCATTTTTTGTAGTATTAATGCATGATTTAATATGAAGGAATTTATGTTCAAGAAAAATACAGATTTCTAATGGAGGAGTGATATATAGTAATGCACTGAGGCAGATGGTGGATGATAAGTATGTATAGATCACACCTGCTTTATGGAATGTAAAGCTTGATTCGTGTGTAAAAAATTAATTTGAGAAAATGGTAGGGAATGGCTGGGAGTCTGTGAGAGAATTCTAGATTTAACACTTTGATTAGTCTCAGGAAAAACAGCCATTATATAATCTTAGGTTATATTTTCTATTTTTAAACAAATATGGCAAGCATAACACCTCCCTTTTTAAAATACACAGTTTTTGCAATTTTTCAAGACTTAGGGAAAGGATCAAGCTTGATATATGTTTATATTTAATACTTCTGAAACCCATTTTGGGCAGATTTCTATCTACTATAACAGTGGTTATGAGCTTGGACCGCTGAGTGGCCACACTATCTATAACCGAGTTCTTTAATATGTCTTTGCCTGTTTTCTCATCTGTAGCATTGGGATAAATCTAGTAGCAGTCACATTGAGTTGTAAGGATAAAAGGTGATACTTTAAAGGTGCTTAAACGTGCCTAATATGTTGAAAGGGCTCACTAAATATTAGCTTTTCTCATTATTGTTAATATATTGGAGTTTTATTTCATAAAAGGTGACCTTTTCATCTAAGTGCTATTTATAATTTAAATCTCTGTTAGGTCTTTGTTAGTTGTCTGTCATCCTCACACTTGCCCTTCTGTGTTTTCTTCTGTAATTCATGGGTTGGAAGCAAGTAAACTGTATTTTCCTCACCCCTTTGCTAGCTGAGTTTCATTAGAGGGTGGGAGGAAGGTAGAAAGGACGCCACTGAGGTTTTTGAGGCACCTTTGGTAGTGGCAGTTGAGGAGACTTCGCTGTGTTGCAGTGACCGTTGTTCCACAGTGTAGATGGCAGCGATGTTGGTGGCAGGGCATTTAATAGGGATGGGTCTGCTCAGCAGCAGCCAATGGTGGTTCCAGCACTGATAGTGGCTCCTGTGGGCTGTTGGGTCCAGCTCAGAGATGGTAGCAGCTTCCTGATCCCTGGTTTGCATTGTTTAACCATTTGTTACTCTAGCCCTTCCAAAGTCTTTGTAACAGATTCCCTGAATTAAATTAAATTTTTCTGGAGAGGTTGCCCTCGAGAAGAGGGTGCTCATCAATAAAATCAACAGTTGTCATTTAATGTTAGATATGCAATAAGGAATTTTGCAGTCTAATAAATATAGCATGTATTCCCCGTATATCTTTCTTACCTGAAAATAATTGTGTTTTGTCAGTGTGTCCCAGTGACTTTTTCTGTCTCCTCTGCATTTAGGAAGTCAGTGGACACAGCTAGTGCTTGGTGTCTAGGGGGAATTGTTGCTCCTCATGGGTAATATTGGATTTATGAAAACTGAGGGACTTACATTACCAAAAGCATGATGTGAAAAATATATTAAATATATACTAATATTTCAATGATTTAAAGTCATCTACCCAATAGAAGCCACTATATTTCATTGATTCTAAGCTACCCCTTCCCCCCCTCATGTTTTAATATCTCTGGTATTGGATTGTGACTTAAAAACAGTAGCATGTTGCAGTCATCTCATCCAGTGGCCAGTAGTTGCTGTTATCTGCTTATGTGCCAATATAAAAATCATAATACAGCTTAGAATAAAATTCCAGAGACACCAGAGAAGGTGTCTCTTTTGACAAGTTGAAGACTCTTTTGACAAGGAGATGCTAAATGGTTGTGGTGAGGTAGAAGGGTGGGGAAGTGGGAAATCACAGTAGTTTAACAACCCTTGGAAGCAGGAGTCTAAAGTAGGCTGTGCCTAATTACTGAGCTAGCTTGAGAGCTTAGCATCAATCTTTCAATTTTTTAATGAATTCATTTAAAAAAGTGCTGCATCACTGATGTGCTTGGTGACACAGAAAATGAGATTCTCTGGAGAAATGTGGACACTGATATATGTCAAAGAGTGAGGGAGAAGAATTACATTTGGATTTCTTCATGAATTTTAGGAATTGATTAAACCAACTTATTTTGCTTATGTTTTGTTTTTATGTCTGTGTCAGTGTGATAGATAATAAAAACCCATATCTAATTAAGTCTTTTTTCTTTCAATAAGAATAAAATAAAAGTTCTAAAAAGTGTATCAGTTTAATTAGCAGTTTTTTTTCTAATGGTTCATACAATAATGATGCCCTTTATTGAAATATTTTTTTCTATCTCTGTATAATTCTTTTTGTTAGGTAATATTTTTTCCCTTTTAAACTCTATGTGCTGATGTAGAATGGCTTTAAAATATCGCCCTTTTATTCAGTGTTCAATTTTTTTTTTGCGCCAGTTTTCCAATTTACCTTGTAAAATTGACACCCTATGAACAAAGTTTATTCTATATGTGTAGCTCCTTGCTATAGAAAATGCATTGGAAAATATTTACCAAAGGAATTCAAATATATTAAACATGAAAGACAAACAATTGCCAGTAAAACTGGTGATAGGAGAACTTTTGCTACACTATTAAATGCTGCATACCAGAGAGTACAGTATACAAACAAACAAAAAACCCTAAGGGTAATTGCAAAGATTGAACAAGTTGTGTTATAAATGTGGCCAAATTTTAATGTGTTGTGTGTTAAATATACTGATGCATATTATGGAATATCAGTCTCATCAAAGCTTCTTTTTTTGTTTACATTAAATGAGACAGGGAAATGTAATGAAGTTAATTTGGAAATTTTATAAGAAATATGAAGGTGCCTTATCATATCATTACTTTTGTGATTTATATTTGCCAACTTTTTTTTTTTTTTGAAATGGAGTCTTGCTCTGTTGCCCAGGCTGGAGTGCAGTGGTGTGATCTCAGCTCACTGCAACCTCCATCTCCCAGGTTCAAGTGATTCTTATGCCTCAGTCTCCCGAGTAGCTGGGATTACAGGCACGTGCCACCATGCCTGGCTAATTTTTTTCTATTTTTAGTAGATATTGGATTTCACCATATTGCCCAGGCTGGTCTCGAACTCCTGACCCCAAGGTGATCTGCCCATCTCGGTCTCCAAAAGTGCTGGGATTACAGACATGACCCACTGCACCCAGCAAATATTTGGCAACTATTTTGAAAAGATTCCTAATTTATCTCATTATGCAAAAGAACTGGAAATGTGAGACTTACCAGTTAATTAATTATTGAAGAAAAAAATTAGACTGCATTTGAGTTTAAGTGGGTCCAAGACTTTCTGTTTCAAGTTAATATTGCTGTTCATTTAAAAATAACAGGTGATTTTTTTTTAATTTTCAGTGTTACTCAGTGATAATAAGAAAACATTATCCTCTGAAACAATAACAGTATAAAACATTTACGACCTTAAAATCATGTTTTATATGTACAAGTATCTCAGTTTAAGAAGTCTCCTGGCCAGGCGTGATGGCTCACGCCTGTAATCCCAGCACTTTGGGAGGCCGAGGCTGACGAATCACCTGAGGTCAGGAGTTCAAGGCCAGCCTGGCCAACATGGCAAAACCCTGTATCTACTAAAAAATAAAAAAACTAGCTGGGTGTGGTGGCGGGCACCTGTAATCCCAGCTACTCAGGAGGCTGAGACAGGAGAATTGCATGAACCCAGGAGGTGGAGATTGCAGTGAGCCGGGACTGTGCCACTGCACTCTAGCCTGGGCAACAGAGCGAGACTCTGTCTCAAAAAAAAAAAAAAAAAAAGTCTCCTGGTTACATGAAAGATATTAGCTGATTATGACTTGATATATTTAGACTGTTGATTGGTCATTGGTTTTCATTTAGTGGTCAAGAGTGTCTAGCAAAATGCTGACTGGCATATGCAGACACTGAATTTACATCTTCACATATTCATGTCTCTCAATATTCAGAACTCAGTTAAATTTATCCAGGAAGATAAGGAGGTCATAAATAGAATACCAAATGTGGTTTTGCTTCTTTTACAGTTAGAGAGCTTTGTTAATATCCTCATTTTCTTCATTTGTACTAGCATTTCCAAACAGAATTTGTTTCACAAGGAAGTATCAATGTATAGTGTCTCTGTCAGGCCTTGCATTAAGCCCAGTTTCTCATAGTCGGTTTTCAATGACATTTCTAATTTGGTATACTTTCTGTTATATCACAACTTATTTTCCCAGCCATCTAAGGGAGACTTGTTAAGGTGGGTCAACCTCATTTTTGTTTTTGATTTTAATATTAAAAATTTTGTTAAAATTTTTATTTCGAAATAGTTCAAACAAAAAGATTGCAAAAATAGTATGAAGAATTCATATGTACCTTTCACTCAGCATTCCCCCATGTTAACCTCATACATAACCACGGTAATATTGATCAATACCAGGACATTAGCATGGATACAATACTATTAACTGCTCTGTTCACTTAATTCCAATTTCGTTAATTGCCCCACTAATGTCCTTTCTTTGGACTGAGATTCTATCCAGAGTCTATTTATCGTTCTTTCTCCTTAGTTTCCTTTATTCTGGGGAAGACAGTTCCTTTGTCTTTTTTGTCTGTCATGGTCGCCACATTTGGTCAGCTCTTTTGTAGACTGCTCCTCAAATTGGATTTGTCTGATGTTTCCTCATGATTAAACTCAAGTTATGTCTTTTTGGCAAGAATATTATAGAAGTGATACAAGTGACAGAGTGTCCATTTCAGTGCATCATATGAGATGATGTTTACTTGTTTTTACTCTTCTGTTATGAATATGTACCCCACTGCTAAGAATGCCAGCTTTTAGCCTTTGTGCAGCTAATTATATTTATTTTTCAAGATTTGCCTTTTTAAAATGGTTTTCTTTATTTGCTGCACTTCATTTGATCTCTCACTTCTTTGCCTTCCTTTTGCCATAATACTCAGTAAAACCTTGTCATGCTTATGGCTTGAAAGTCTATATTGTGTTGTGGGAGCCTCACCCACTGTTGCTCCCAGGAGTCCTCTCTGGTTTATTCCCTTGGGACACTGAGACTTATTATACCAATTTATTTTGTCCAAACATGCTCTCAATAATCACTGTGGGTTAAGTACTACCAAAGGTTGGCACTTAATTATTATTTTATTTATTGAAAGTTAATTTTATCTTCTAATTAGATGGTATCTTCTTGCCAGCGTGGACAATTCTACAGATTTTTTTTTTGATTACTTGGAGACAGAAACAAATATTTTTAATAGTATCTTGATTTAGTCTTTCTAATATAGACTGTTAATCTTTAGATTTTTCGATAATTTAAGGTGAAGGGGGAGGAAAAGATTGGGTACAACTGTGTTTAGGGAATAATTTAAAAGTGATTACTAGAAGAAAGTGCACTTAGTTTTCTTGTTCATATATTCTTTCTTATCTCTAGCATCAGTGCTAAAAGTAACAGTTGGTATAGAAGTGAAAATTGTCAAAAAAAGACTGATTAATAACCTCAAAGCTGAAAGGAGATTACTAATTCAGAAAATGACAGTTGTAATATAGAAATCCAATATTAGTTTATAGTTGATTATCAGTTTTATACAGAAAATAATAGTGAAAAGAATAACTCTTTTTTTAGCCTTAATGACTCTGTCATTGAATTACTTCAAATTGTGATGATATTTTCTTCCTAAGAGCTGATTAATTTAATGTGTTCACACTTTGTTCCAATAATGGTCCTAAGATTACAGGTGGAATACTGGGACACAAAAATAACACAATATTTTGTCAGAGATGACCAAACTCATTAGATACAGAGACAAAGCCAGAATTGGGTTTCTGGTTGGGTAGATTTACGCCCCTCCTACCTTTCCCCATTAGACTGAATTTTAACAAACCAGACAGGCTTTCTCAGGTATGGAGACTTCAAATATGCTGCTGTAATCAGACAGCATGAGCTAACATATTTTAGGAATATACTTGACTTCATTTTAAATAGAGAACATTTATGTTTTCTCACTATTTCATGTGTAATGCAATATGAATAAAGCCCTATCCGAGTTTCATGTTTGTGGGGAAACTAGCATTACTGCAGATTAGTGACAGGGCAGAGAAATGACCTTATTATCTCTGTAATGGTAATAGTGTGCTTCACAGGGAAACTTGTGTTGTTAAGAGTGAGTTGTTATTTTGTTGCAGATGCTTTCTGCACAAGTTATTAATATATTGAATCAGAAGGATTGGAAAGTGCTATCTAGGGACTTAGGAATATAATTTATAAGTTTCAGTATTCACCTTTACTTGAAATATGTAAATCTGATTTTGTAGATGTATACACAAGCATAAACATGGTTTCACGCTTGTGTATACCTTTTCTTTCTTTATGGAATATACTCTCTATTTTTCTTGTGTCAAGTACCTCTGTCTCTAAGACCCACAGCAGTTGTATCCTCCGTGATGAAACCTATCCCTGTAACCGAGTTGTTGCTTCCCTTTAGATTCCCAGAGCAATTTGTTCCCATTGCTATATTATGATTTTATTTGTTGGCTTATAAATCTATTTCCATCTTTGTAACTCACAGTTGAGCGTGTGCTTCTCAATGGCAATTCAGTTTTTCAATTCATATTCCAGCATCTTGCATGATGCCTGCATATATTGAGTATGCAGCAACTATTCAATGAAAAATGTATATTAAACTTGGTATATATATATATTATTTACACACCTCACCTCTTCCAAAAATGTGTTTAAGATGGATTATAAGCTATATAGCAAATTAGAAGAAAACTGGGAGAAAAAAGGAGGAGGATGGGAAATAGAATGGGGCCAAGGATGAGCAAATTCACAGCATGAATCTCTAAGTGAATGTGTAGTATGAATGAGTGCTTTTGCATGTACACGGAAGTGTATATGTGGAAACTTACAATATACATTAAAAAAATCTATCCTGTTTGATATTTGCATTTTTACAATTTTGGCCTTGAAAAGATTTCTTATTTTTCTGAGTTGTTCATTTTGTCACTATTTATCTGATGCTGAAGTGTTTCTCTGAGGAATGCTTATTAGTCCTAAGATTCTAATGTAATCAGCGTGTGGTGAAATAGAGCGGTGTCAGTTAGTCCCACTTCTGTGAAAATAGGAATCTGTAATATGACTCTGTGTGGTGCTCTTTAGCTTCTGAAGATTCGTGCTCTAACTCCTGTCACCTGCTCTCTTCTAGAAAGCACATAGCCGTGGGGTAGGAATGCAACAAAGCTAACTTGGAATAATAACCTTTTCCTGGAATAAATATGTTTTAAATTAAATTTAACTAAGAAGTATCTATGAATTCTAGCTTCTCTCAGGTGACTTGTTTGCCAAATTTAAATAAATGGACATATTAAAATTAATTCTTATTCTCCTGTTCTCAGGATAATGTTTAAGCAAATCTAAGAGGAGGTTTTTTTTTCTTATTGTAAGTATGGTGTTTTTAAAATAGAGAATAAAACTTTGTTTGCTTTGTTATTCCTTAGTTAATTGTTAAAATAATGAGGCCTTATTATTTGGGGTAATTTATTTAAGACAATAGAGCAATTAATTGCTCATTGGCAACCTGACAAAGGAAATGGGCCAAGATGCCAACCCATTTCTTGTGGTCTGCCAGCCCTTAGAATTGTGTGTTCCAGGGATTTGCTAATCACCAGCTGGTAACTGATTTACAAGGCTGGAAAGACAGGAGGACTCTTGAATCATGGCCACTTACAAGTAAGATGGAATGTGTACTGGCTTTAAGCCTTGTCTACTGGCATTCAGATGTTGCTGCCAGGGGAAAGACTTGATGATGGCAAAGAGCCTGTGTGCTATCTTTGGTGCATTTTTCCGATGTCATCAGCATTGTTCTTGACCCTCACTTTGGTTTAACAATTAAGACCTGCTAAGTAGAATATACTACTTCAGTGATATGTGTGTGCCTCTCTGTCTATTTGTCCACCCGCCCGTCCATTGATCTATCCATCTGTTCATCCATCCATCCATCCATCCATCCATCCATCCATCCATCCATCCGTCTATGCATCTATCCATGCAATGAATACTGGGGTTAAGCCATCAATGAATGGGCTAGAATTAACCTCTGAAAGCATTGTTTACAATTGGGGCTGGCAATCTTTTTCTGTAAACGAACAGATGGTAAATATTTTAGGTTTGCAGACCATACTGTCTTTGTTGGAACTAGTCAGTTCTGCTGTTGTAGGGTAGAAACAGCCGTAGACACTGTGTAAATCAATGGCATGGTTGTGAGCCAACGAAATGCTGTTTACAAAAAAATCAACTTGCAGCTATAGTTAGCCCACCCCTCATTTAGACAGTGGAAGTATCCGACTCAACATAGTTTGGGAGCTACACAAAAACTTTTAAAGAAGTGTATGAATGCTTATAAGTTTTCTAACACTGCTTTATGTTCCAGGTTTGTTAGCTTAATTATTGTCTATTTTGGGATTTATCTAAAAAAGTAGTTTTATAGATTTTACTGTTTTTTATTTAAACATATTAATCATTTAAATGATATTAAGCTCTCACTGACACTGATTATATAAATGTCATTGGATTGGAAATCTACAAAAAAACAAGGAATAAAATTCACCACTCTATCACCCATAAAGCACCCATTACATTTAATAGTTTTTACTTATAAACATGATTTTAAAAACTACTTTGACATGGAAATATGGTCAAGTATATTGATGAGTGAAAAAAATGCAGATTGTAGAAGAGTTCTGAACAGTGTGTACAATGTGATTCTATTTGTGAAAAGAAAAAATATTATATATGCGTACACTAACATACGGTAAATATCTGAATAGATATGGAATCAGTTCTTAGTTTTCAAGCAAATGAAATCAACTCTCCAATATAAGCGGAAGAAATTTATTGAAGGATAATAAATTACTCACAGATTTCTGGAGTCCTTGAGAATCAGGTTTAGAGGCCATATATCTAGAAGCAATACCCCAAATAACTGGTTCTGCAAAGAGGCCCTGGCAACTGTCAGTCTGAATCCTTGATACTACTAAGCCTAGATGCCGGATTTGCCTCCACTGTTAGCAGTATTCCAGAATGAATTCTAGACAGTTACTGCTCTTCTGTGTCATCAGCTTCCAATTCAGAGTCTGCTGTGGGTGCATTGGATTGCCAGAGCCCAAGTTTTGTGCCCTGGCTGCAGAGGAACCTTAGCGGGGAAGAATGTGGAACTCACTTCTGTAGTGGACAAAGGGCCCTGCCTCCTAAGGTAGGGGATTTACCAAATGTAGGAAGAGGATTCAGAATCTTGGATGCCAGAAAGAGTGAGAGCCGTCCACAGCAGACTCCTGGGAAATTGTTAACATTGGTTACTTCTGGACGGTGGAGTTGGAAGGGCTAACTGGGAGCCTTCCAGAGGGAGGCTTTTACTTTAATTTTATTCTTCTGTCCTTTTTGAATATACATATATAATAAAAAAGTCCATGGGGAAAATGAACAAAAGGGAACAACAGTTTTTTCCAGCATTTCCACTGATAGTATTTTCGCATAAGAACTCAAGAATGGCTAGGCGCGATGGCTCACGCCTGTAATCCCAGCACTTTGGGAGCCTCGGGGGGCAGATCACCTGAGGTTAGGAGTTCAAGATCAGCCTGGACAACATGTTGAAACCCTGTTTCTATTAAAATTACAAAAATTAGCAGAGCGTGGTGGTGCGTGCCTGTAATCCCAGCTACTTGAGAGTCTGAAAATCACTTGAACCCAGGAGGCAGAGGTTGCAGTGAGCTATAAGATTGTGCCACTCCACTCCAGCCTGGGCGACAGAGTGAGACTCTGTCTCAAAAAAAAAAAAAAAAAAAAAAAAAAGGCCGGGCACATGCCTGTAATCCCAGCATTTTGGGAGGCCAAGGTGGGTGGATCATTTGAGGTCAGGAGTTCAAGACCAGCCTGGCCAACATGGTGAAACCCCATCTCTACTAAAAATACAAAATTTAGCCTGGCAGTAGTGGTGTGCACCTGTAATCCCAGCTACTTGGGAGGCTGAGGCAGGAGAATCACTTGAGCCTGGGAGGCAGAGGTTGCAGATCACACCACTGCACTCCAGCCTGGGTGACAGAGTGAGACCCTGTCTCAAAAAAAAAAAAAAAAAAAAAAAAAAGAACTAAAGAAGGCTTCTCAGCATAACTGGGCAGTTTTATCAACTTCGTACTCAATTTTATTTTGAAATTCAGTTTATAATTTTCTCCCAGATTCAGTCATCTCTATATAACTTGGTTGGGCAGAGAAGTTCATAAAATGGTTTTCTCTCAGATACCAGTGGCTTCCTTTTGGCTTGGTAGAGCTGATTTAGTTTATCTTTTTGAGGTCTACAGTATTCAGCTTTGAAAAGTAAGGTGTTGTCAGTGACTCTGATTGATGAAGTGTTCATAGATCTAAGGTGAAAAAATACAATCTACTTTAAAATTTTTGGCCCTACTATTTTTTCCAAACCCCCATAAATTTGCTACTTTCTAGAAAATTGATCTGAGAACTTAATTCAGTTTAATAAAGTTTTATCACATGTAATAACAATTTTTAAGAACAATTTTAGATTTACAGAAAAAGTATGAACATAGTACAAAGTTCTTAGATACCACACACAGGGTTTGCCTTATTAACATCTTACATACATGTAGGATACAATTATTATAGTTAATAAACCAATATTGATACATTCTTATTGACTAATGTTCCTTCTTTATTACGATTTCTTTAGTTTCTAAAGTTTATTTTTTTGTTCCAAGATAGCTGATATGTTTTATACATTTATATTGCATTTATTCATCTGTGCAGTAATGTCATGGAGCCATATCATAAATGCTATTTCTGTTTTAAGTAATACAGAATTTAGAGAAACAAAAAATAAAATAAAGCTTTGCTACAGTGAGCTTCTTAAATTATTTTATGCACAAGTGTCACCTCAGAAAAAATGTCCTTTTTTTTTTTTCCTGTTCTGTATTTAGCGGAAGAAGTCCCTATAGAACCATACAACATCCCACTGTCCCAGGCCGAAGTCATACAGGAAGGGAGTGATGTTACTCTAGTTGCCTGGGGCACTCAGGTGAGTAGCATTGATCCCAACTGTTAAAACCTACGTTGTGCTTGGAAGCTCTCATTTTAAATCCTGATACATGAAAAATTGAAAACGATGTTTTCTTTATATCTCAGATTAAGTCTGGTGCTACTGATGCTAATTTCTTTTTTCCCTCAACTTTATTGGTGTGTAATTGACAAATGAAATTATATATCTTCAAGGTATATATGTGATGATTTGATATATGCATACATTGTGAAATGATTGCCATAATCAAATTAATTAATGGATCCATCACCACACATAGTTACTATTTTGTGTGTGGGGGTGGGGGCGAGGACACTTCAGATCTATTATTTTCCCTAGTCACTGCTGTATATTAGATCCTGAGAACTTCCTCATCTTATAACTGAAAGTCTGTGGTACGGATTTCTGAGTGAAGGTGAGGTGTCTATATATATTAAAATGTATATGCATGTGGTGGCCATAAATATATTACAACAATGTATTAATTAGAAACACATATCTTTTGGAATACATGTATACCCATGTTACTTTCGCTGCAAATGGCTATAATCTTTTTCATCACATTTCCTGCCATCTCTCATCATTACTTTGCTGCTCACGTGGACCCATCCACTGGTCAAGCCTCAAAATTCCATATCTTCCTTTTTTTCCAGTGACCCTCTCTGCTGATCCACTTCATTTTCCCCCCGACTTGCTGTCACTTTGCTCTACCTCCCAACTTTTTCTCTGGCCACGAACTCCTATCTCTTCTACTTTTCTCTCTCCTTCTTTTACAGATATGGTCAGTTTTAATTTTTCTGTATAAAGGAAATCCTTATTTTAGGAAATTTAGGGCAATGCAATATAAAGAAGATAACAAAAATAGTTTTCAATATCACAAGCTCCTACTCTCCTTTCCTTTTGATTTTTGGCATGGAGAGCTAGAGTCCTTATGGTTTCTCACCTTCAGTGGGGTAACTCTGCTGCTTGGCGAGTTGTATCCCATTGATATTGTCCTTGGTGGGTGTGGCAAACCTTTTTGCTATCCTTCTGTCCACTTTTTGATCCACATCTCTGTGGTCAGCTCATGACCTTACTTCTCTTTTTAATAGGGAGGTTAGAGTGTATTAGGTATTAATTCAGATAACTTGCTCTTCCTCTTGCTTCTAATTCTTTCCTTCTTCCCTTTGTCTTGAAGAAGAGGTGTCTGGTTTACTTAGCAACCTCTGCAAATCAGTTTCAGACTGCGTTCCATTTTACCTTCTCCAGGACTGTAGTCTATTAGCTAGTCCATCTCTCTCCTGCATCTTCAGTTTTCCATTTCTTGTTGCTCTTATTTAAAAAGTATGTTTCTCTTCACTATTTAAAGATTCCTTTCTCCTTAAATACGATTATGTCTCCCTCCTTTTAACACTGAACTTGAACAACTGTTTTCTAGTGTCTGTATTTAATTTCTTAAATTCATTATATTTTTGTAGCTGTGAGTTCTATTCCCACTAATTTACTGTTTTTGTCAACATTACTGATCTTCTAGTTGTTTAAATTCAGCTCTTATTCCTGCTATGGTATGTGATACTGGCTGCTATCCCTATGAAATCTTTTCCTCTTAAGTTTCTGCAATACACTGTCTCCTGGTTTTCTTTCTAGCTCTTTAACCGTTCTTTTTATCTCCTTTTTTTCTTTCCTTCCCTCCATTTTTCCCTCCCTCCCTCCCTCTCTTTCTTCCTTCCTCTCCTCTTGGTCCATTTTTTCCTTAAATGTTGGTGATTTTTACCCTTTACTTCTCCCTCTACATGCTTTCTACGTATTTGTATGACTTCATTTACCTTCTACATGCCATCTTTGTAATCAGTATCTGTGGTACTGACTTCTCTCTCTAAGCACCTCTTTCCATCTGTTTTCTAGACATCTATACTTGTTATTTTCGCAGAATATGGGCTTCAACATATTTAAAACAAATTTATAAATTCTCCATGCAGATCAGTTCCTGAGACTTTAAATACTGTCTCTAATAGTGACATCAGCATTCAACTAGTTTTTGAGGCTAGAACCTTTGTAGTCATTCTCTGCATATTTTTCTCTTTATTTCAGGTTCATGTGATCCGAGAGGTAGCTTCCATGGCAAAAGAAAAGCTTGGAGTGTCTTGTGAAGTCATTGATCTGAGGACTATAATACCTTGGGATGTGGACACAATTTGTAAGGTATGAATATAATGGTGATAGAATGTCATTTCCCTGAAACCTTTGGCCAAATATGTTGTATATTTGCAAATAATTCTTTTGAAATTGTGAGCTATGTGAGCATTTTCAATTGATTTAAAACTTTTAAATTTGCAGCATGAAAGAAAGTTGTATAAACAGCTTCATGCTCAAGGAAACAAATCACTATAGAATTTATTTTTCCTCCTGTAGTTTCCTTTGTTTAAAATATTACAAAATGGGGTCCTTTATGCAGTCACCTTGGGTTGAATTGTGTGAGTCATAGAGCATATCAAGGATGCCGAAGGCACCTGTGTTTTTGACTTCTTATTAGTTATGGTTCAGTAAGCTAGGTTTAATTTAGTCAGGTAAATTAAGTGATTTGGCTGAATTTTCATTTATCTTCTCTCCAAAAGTAATGGGGATGGATTTTTTAAAAACATAACTCTGTATATAGTCTTAATACTGTGGATTACAGTCTAAGGGTTATGTGGAGATTCTGGCTCCTCTAATTTACAGTTTCTATCTAAGTAGCCTCATGACCTTTGGCCTGATTACATTGGTCTTGTTTTTACTATTAAGATTTACATAGCCAGTTCCCTCTTAAGAATATAGTTTAGCTCTCATTTACCTCTTTATATCCAGTATCTTTCACACCAATGCCAAGATAATTTAAGAAGCATCTATTTTCATATTGATACAAAGAAGGTTAAGCACTCTGTTTGTAATAGTCTTATCAATTAAGTCTAGCTACATGTAAATTATATGTACCTAGTCTTAATAGATAAGTACAATAGATATATGTACGATTAATAGATAGATGTACAATTACATGTAAAATTGTAGGAAACAATGACATGTATTATTTTTTCTTGATATACTGCTATAGTATAGGGCATTTTATATTTACCACTTTTAAGAGCTTTGGCATTTTCATAGCTTTTACAGGCTCTTTCTTGGGTTAGTTACATGAAAATAACCTGCAGATACTACTGTAAAAGTATAGCCTAGGATGTTTTTAGGTGAAGAGTGTTTTATAATTTAGTAGAAGATGTAAGATTTGTTATAGTAAATGTTTGTGAAGACTCACTTGACACCATCTAAACACTTGACATGCTTACAAATGATCCCGAGCCATTCTATTTGTAGTTGCTGTAATTAAGAGCAATATTTCAGATTGAGTTATTCATAGCTTCATGAAAATAACGCTTTTTGCAGGCATTTTCAAATCAAGTCAGACACCGGGTTTTCTTTCAAATAGCCAGACGTTCCAAATTATAGTTAAACTAGAGTTGTCTTCTTGTTTGCAACATATATCCACCACTTATCCTGGGGTTTGTATTTTTAGTGTAGATGGTGCTTTTGTATGGGGATATGATGTTTTATGATGGCGCAGTGCGGAGGGCATTCACATATGGTCAGGGCAAGCACTTTTAGAACTTTATTTACGTATCTATCTATATATATATAAATAATACCTTAAACATTCAAAAAGCATTTGTAGCAGCTTATTGTAAAGCACAAGTATACTAATACTTCATTTTGGCAACCGTGGAAGCAAAGAGAGTAGAGTTAGGGGCAGAAAGAAGGGTGAAGTTGTTTATATTTACATCGATAGCAGTTTGCTTTTGCATCACTGTGTTAAATCTGTTGGTCGCATCTTTGTCTGATCCTAGAATGCAGATCCATTTTCCTTAGGGCTCTATCCTACTGGGAAAGATGAAAGAGGAGACAAGCGATCTCTACTGAATGAGAAAGTGATGCATCAGACCTCTGACTTATTAGCGTCATTATTTTGTTTTGTTTTGGGATGCTTTCATCCGGTTGTGACAGTGAAAGCCAGCTTCTTGATTGCTTTGGGTCTATTTGAGACTCTCTTCGTTGCTGATGATGGTACCTCTCCTGTTTTCTTTTGATGTATCAAAAGAGGTAAAATTTTGATACTTAGCTTTTTCCTGCTAGGATTTAGAGATGATTTTAAAGAAGAGGGCCCTATAACCAAATATTTATATGGAAAATGAGGGTTTTTTTTCCCCCAGAGTGAAGCTTTTTTAATTCATCTTGATGAATTCTATAGTAACCAAAATTTATATTATAATCTCTTTTAATTAGCTGTGTTTTATCAGTTGTTTTTGTCTTATGACTCATTAGATCGCTGAGTTTTATTCGTTGTGTGTCAACTAAACCCCAATATATATCTTTTGGAACGCCTGATCAAGAAAAGAAAGCATATTAAAGGCAAAAACGATTCGTTGAACACACATTATCATACTCTATACACTAAAATGCCTCTGGGACACTTGAGGAATTCATACTTCTTGCTTAATCCTTGATACATGGTTTGGAAGTTATAAACCAAAATAAATATTTGCTCGGGGATAGAGAAAGGAGCAGAGTCTTTGACTGTTGCTCAAGGGAGTTAAAAAATTAGAGACTTAAATGGTCCTAGAAACCACAGCTAGTTTTTCCACTCAATTCTGAACTTGATATTAAAAAGCTAAGCTGGAGACTTCTGAAAAGCACAGTAGAAAATTCTTGAGTTTTGAAGTGCTTAAGAGACAGAGACCTACCCTGTGCCATGGGTGTGTGTGTGTGTGTGTGTGTGTGTGTGTGTGTGTGTGTGTGTAGGTGGATTGGCTTAAGAGAATCAGCTGTGTGAGTTCAAAGCCCTGAAATGAGTGGCATGTTGACACCGATGACCTATAGCTGCTTTTTAGTTGGCTACACTTGCTATTTGGTCTCAACCAGGTGTGTAGAATCCAGGTATATAGAACTCATATTTTGTGGGGCTGTAGTGACAAAATTGAAATTTTGAGGGGATTTAAACACATACTTGACCTTTTATTTGCCAAATTCTAAAGGTGTGAATGGTGAAAGGTAAGTAGAAAATATCTGGAAAGTGAAGCTATCACTTGGTAATGAAGTGACAAAGACCCATCATACTCTCAATTGAAAGCCATGGAGAGTTAGGTCTTACAATTAGAGGCAAACCAGATGTAGACCAGGTCATCTCAAACCCACAATACAGCCTCTACCCCTTTGAATTTTTTATTGAATTATGTACTTTTACTCTATCTGCGCAGCAGAGCCAAGGAGTCAATCCTCTCATTATCTGGAACTTCTATAAACCAGCATTCAATAAAAAACTAAGTAGATGAAGAGACAGGAGTATTTGATCAATAACAAAGGGGAAAGAAACAATAAAAAGCAGAAGCACAGCTGATCCAGATATTGGAGTTAGCAGACAAGAACATCTTGATTGTTATGCTTAGGAACATAGAGAAAATAAGGAACAAAAGAGGTAAGAGGGTGGAGAATTACCCTAGAAAGTTTGTGTGTGTGTGTGTGTGTGTGTGTGTACATGTATGTATATGGATCAAGTAAACTTTGTGGAGCCATCAGAGAAATATATATCTGACAATAAGAACTCAATGAATAGGCTTATAACATATCGGACTCAGTAGATGATAGCAATAATGAACTGGAAGGCTAGTTAATAGAAAATGTCCAAATTGAAGCACAAGTCAGAAAAGAGGATAAAACACATTTGGGATCTGGTCAAAAGATCTGTCTTATATACAATTTGAATTCCAGAAAAAGAAGAGAGAGAAAATCTCTAACAGTATCTAAAAAAAAATTCTCATGAAGATTTCAGAACATCATTACACAAGCTTTGTTAACTTTTAAGATTATATTCAAAGAAAACCACACCTGTATGCACAATGGCATAACATCTTAAATTGCTGACTGTGCTAGCCTACAATTCTATATTCAGTGAAAATATCTTTTAAAAATTAAGATGAAATAAAAATAGTTTAGGCAAACAGATATTGAGAGAATTTATCACTAGCAGGCTCTCACTAAAAGAAGGTACTGCAAGGGAGCTCCCTTTGGCAGAAGGAAAATGATTCTAAAAGAAAATATGGAGGAGAGCATACACTATAGCTTAGTATTGATTATCCGAAACAGTAGTCATAATTTTCTGTGAAAGTTTAAGTTTAGTGAAGTTTAAGTTAAATATATGGAATTGAAATGTAAGACAATAAAAACACAAAAGCTAGGGGGTCTTACATGGAGTTAAAATATTCTGTTGTTCTAGGATTATTATGAAGTGTAATGTTCTGGTTAGGTTATAATCAAGGATACAAGTTATAATCTCCAGTGTAACAACTGAAATAACAGGGAATGAATGCATATCTAGCAAGTTAATAAGAGAACTATAAATTAATAAAAATATTTGGTTAATCCAAAATAAATAAGTATGAAAAATGGATGGGTCAATAGATAACAGATGATAAGATGATATAAACCCAAATATAGAAGTAATTAAATTAAATACAAAAAGATTAAATAAACCTAGTAAAAGTCTAAGATCCTCAGACTTCATGAAAAACAACTACCACCACCATGTGTAGCTTAAAAAAGGCATACTTTAAATATAAGGACATCAAAATGTTGAAAATGAAAGGATGGAAAAAGAAAGCTGGTGTAGATACACTAATTTCAAATAAAGCATTAAGGCAAAAAGGACTACTAGAAGTGAAAAGGAGCATTTCATTATGCCAAAGGGACCAGTCCACCTTAAATATATCATAATCCTAAGTCTATTTCATCCTTAATAACATAGTTTGAAAATAAATAAAGCCATAAACTAAACAAAGAAAACACAGAACTCAGAAGAGGTATGAACATATTCACAGTTACAGCAGGAGACTTTAAGACATCCCTCTTAAATCTTGCTTAATCAAGCAGACAAAATCTCGTGAAGTGTATAGAAGATCTGAACAAAGCAATTTGTAAAGTTGTCCTAATTGTGCACCAAACTATCAATAGAATATGTAGCATTTGTCAAAATTGGCCAAATGCTGGGGCATAAATATAACCTTAAAAAATTCCAAAAGCTTGGAGTCATTGAGATTATGTTCTCTAACAATAGTGGAATTCAGTTAGAAATCAAGTGAAAGAAAAGGACAACTAGAAAAGCCTCGACTTCCTACAAATTAAGTACCTTACTCTAAATAACCGTGGATTACAGAAGAAACTCAAAAATTAGAAAAGAAACTGGACTGAATGTTAATGAAGATAGAATATATCAAAAGTTTCAAGAACCAGCTTAAGCCATGCTCAGAGGAAACTTTATAGCTGTAAATATATAAATTTAGGAAATAGGAATAAGAATTAAAAAAATTAATGATCTGAATTTCCATCTCCAGAAAGAAAATCAAACCTAGAGAAAGTAGAAGAAATGAAGTAATTAAGAGCAGAAATTACTGAAATTGAATCTGTAGAGAAATTTAATAAAGTAAAATTTAGATCTTTGAAGAGATTAATGTAATTGATAAACTTTTAACTAATGGAAAAAATAGGGTAGAAACAAAGGACAAATATTTGTTTGTATGATGAAGAGCCCACAGACAATGGTAAGACAAAGAGGATGTTATGAATAATTTTACAAATAAGTTTTGAGTAAAGTTGACAATTTTCTGGAAAAATATAAGTCATTCAACATTGATACAAGAGGAATTAGAAAATCTGAATAGTCATGATCTATTAAAAAATTAAATTTAATGTTATTAACTCTCATACAGAGAAAACCCCAGGCCTAAATGGCTTTATTGGTGAATTCTCTAAAATGTAGTCCTTATGCAAACCCTTACGGAGAGTGGAATCAAAGAGAAAACTTTCAAATTCTTTTTATAAGGCCAGCATAATCTTAATATCAAACGTATTTAGGACAGTATAAGAAAGGAAAATTATAGACAGCTTTTAAAATAAATGTAGAGCACATAATGTTCATAAATATTCACAAAGCAGTTGATACAATTCCTCATGTTAACAGAAAACAGGAAGAAAAACCTGACTACCTTGGTAGTGCAAGAGAAGTATTTATTAAAATTCAATATTTATTCATGATTAAAATTTCATAGCAACCTAGAAATGGAAGATAATTATCTTACTCTGGTGAAGATTAGTTGCAAAATGCCTGCAGCAAAAATTATAATTCCTAGTGAAATTTTGACAGCTTTCCTCTTGATATTAGGACTGTCTAGGGAAAAATTTCGTGATACGTATGTCAGAACTTTACACAGAAAATCACAGAATATTATTTAGGAAAATTAAAGGCCCATAAACTGAAGCATATAGCATGTTAGTGGATTGTAAGGCCAAGAAGAGCCAGAGCAATCTTGAAGAAGAACAAAACTGGAGGACTTAATTATCAAATGTTGAGATGTGTTATTAGTGCTGTAGTAATTATAACATTATATAGGTATAAAAATACACAAATAGACCAATGGAATAAAATAAGAGTCTAGAAACAGACCTGCTGGTTATCTGATTCAGGACAAAGGTGACTTTGCAATTTTGAGAGGAAGAGGTAGTTTTCTCAATAGAGGATGTTGATTCATTTGGGTACTATGAAAAATAATTATATTAACTCTTACCACACAAGCATCAGTTACAGCTGAGTTGCAGATCTAATTGTGAAAGGAAAAAATAATGCTCTTGGGAGAAAGCATAGGTGAATATGTTCATGTGATCTTGTGCACTAATAAAACACTAACGTTAAAAAAGGGCTGATAACATTGTGCTTCATTACATTTAAGAAAATTTATTCATCAAAAGGGTGCCAATAAGAGAGTAAACAGGTAATTACAGATTTGGAGAAACTCAAGGAAACTTATATCTGGAAATATAAAGTACTTACACAATCAAAAAGAAAAGACCAATATCCAATAGAAATATGGGTAACAGTCTTGAAAAGGTACACTAAGTGTTGGCAATAATGTGGAGCAATTCAACTCTCATAGACTATTGTTGGTAACATAAATTTGTACAACCATTTTGGAAAATTGTTTGGCAGTATCTACCTGAACCCTATAACCTAGCAATTCCAATCCTGTATGTGTATATGTGAAGAAATATACAAAAAAAAAAAAAAAAAAACCAGAAGCGTTCATAGGAACATTACTTCTAGTAGCCCCACACTGTAAACTGCCGAAGTACTCATCAACTAGAGAATGGATCAATAATAAGTATAATATTGTTCAGCGATGAGAATAAATGAACTAAAAATGTAATGGAATAATGTATATTCATCTCATAAACACAAAGAAGCCAGACTCAAGTAAGTACATACTGAATGATTTATTTTATATAGAGGTAAAAAATAGACAAAACTAATTGATGATGTTAGAAGTCAGGCTAGTGATTATCATGAGAGTGGTTAATAATTGGAAGAGTGTGTAAGGGCTATGAGTTGCTGGTAACAGTTTCTTGTTCTGAGTGCTGATTATTCAGGTTAAATTTTTGAAAACTGAGCCGAACACTCATTTGGTGCACCTTTTTTGTATATATGTTAAACTTGAACAAAATTTTTAAAAAAGAAATAAAAAGAAGCACTATCTTCTGTTTAATTCATTTCCTTTACTTCACATTGTAGTGAGCCCTTTTATGGACTCAGGGAGAGAGAGCCTTGGTGTCCTTAGCCAGGAAGATTTTCCTTTTATCATGCAGCTCTGTCCACACCCTTCGTTCAGTTTCTCCCTGCAACTCAGCTCAGCTGTCATGCTGATGTGAAACAGGAGCTCATAAGTAGGGCTGTTCTCTCTCAAGCCTTCCCAGGAGTAAGAACAGTGGTTAGGGTTATGGGCTTTAATGGACTTTCCTGCTGACATGCAGACCACATTCAAAATGAGTTAAAAAGTGAGCTGCCGTGTTAACAAAACAGTGGCCAGGCCGAATAGCTGTTGAGGTGCTGTCAAGCTTGAAAGGAAGATTTTTCTTAAATAAGGAGAAATTCAGAGAAGGTGCCTTCAAAAATAAGAACTTGATTTTGGCAGGAGAATAAACAAAAGGCTTTGAAAGAAACTCAGATTCTCAAGCATCGTTGTCATTTAATCTAGAATCAACTACATAACAACACTGCAAAAAAAGAACTGAAGCACAATCATTTACAAGGTCTAGGTGATTTTCACATATCTATAGAGAAGAAAAAACTGACACTTATAATTCTGACATGTTTAAACTTTACCTGAAGATTAAATTATGCTAATTATTAAAATGTATAAGAATTTGCCTTTATACCGTACAGTCTTTTTAATTTATCTTTTTCTGGTGTGTCCTGCCTCCCAGATTAAATTCCAAAGCATATCCTGCTGGCTTTGCCTACATAATATGTCCAAAATCTGACCACTGCTTGATCCTGCTGCAGACTACTAGCATTTCTCTCCTGGGTTTTGGCCATAGCCACCTAACAACTGTCTTGCGCTTCTGACCTTTCCTTGCCATAGGCAGAGTTGATACTTTTAATCTGAGTCATATCATGTTCCTTCTAGTTTCAAAAAGCCTCAGTGATTTCCCATTGAGAGAGAAGTCAAATTCCTTACCATGGCCTACAAGAATTTACCTGATTTCATCGCTTTCCACCTCCTACCACCCATCCACCCTTTAGAAAATGTTCTTTCTCCAGCAAGCCCCTTCATTCACTCTGTTATTCTATCAGGGGAACCTGCCCCCAACATTTCAACATAGATTCTTTCTATTTTCCATAAGTGTTGGCTGGCTGAGAAATAAAGAGAAAGAGTACAAAGAGAGGACTTTTACAGCTGGGCCACCGGGGGTGACATCACATATCAGTAGGACTGTGATGCCCACCTGAGCCTCAAATCAGCAAGTTTTTTATTTATTAAGGGCTTCAAAAGGGGAGGGGGTGTAAAACAGGGAGTAGATACAAAGATCACATGCTTCAAAAGGCAAAAAGCAGAACTACTAATAAGGGTCTAACAAAGAGCACATGCTTCTGAGGGAACAGGACAAAGGGAAAAAGCAGAACCACTGACAAGGGTCCAACAAAGATCACAAGGCAAAGGGCAAAAGCAGAACTACTGATAAGGGTCTATGTTCAGCAGTGCACCTGTTGTCTTGATAAGCATCTTAAACAACAGAAAACGGGGTTCAAGAGCAGAGAACCGGTCTGACCACAAATTTACCAGGGCGGAGTTTTTCCCCACCCTGATAAGCCTGAGGGTACTGCAGGAGACCAGGGCGTATCTCAGTCCTTATCTCAACTGCATAAGACAGACATTCCCAGAGTGGCTGTTTTAGACCTTCCCCCAGGAATGCATTCCTTTCCCAGGGTATTAATATTAATATTCCTTAAAAGAATTTAGCGATATCTCTCCTACTTGCATGTCCATTTATAGGCTCTCTGCAAGAAGAAAAATGTGGCTCTTTTTGCCCGACCCCGCAGGTGGTCAGACCTTATGGTTGTCTTCCCTTGTTCCCTAAAAATCACTGTTATTCTGTTCCTTTTCAGGTGCCCTGATTTCATATTGTTCAAACACACATGTTTTACAATCAATTTATACAGTTAACATAATTATCAGAGTGGTCCTGAGGTGACATATATCCTCAGTTTACGAAGATAACAGGATTAAGAGATTAAAGTAAAGACAGGTGTAAGAAATTATAAAAGTATTATTTGGGAACTGATAAATGTCCATGAAATCTTCACAATTTATGTTCCTGTGCCACAGCTCCAGCTGGCCCCTCCATTCGGGTTCCCTGACTTCCTGCAACATCATTCTGTTAGGCACTACTCAAATACCATTAAGGCCTTCCTTGACCAGCTTATGTGATACTGAATCCTATCAAGACTTCCTTTCACCTTTTCCTTCTTTCCTCTTCTCTGTAGTGATTAGCATGAGCTAAAATGTTACGTACTCTTGTTATTTACATTGTTGATCTTTCTTCCAAGTTCTGTGACAGCAGAAATTTTTGTCTTTTGGTTCAAAAATTCCCAGTACCTGCAACAATGACTGTGATAGGATTGGTGCTCAATAAATACTTGCTGAAAAGTAATAAATATTAGCAAGAGAAAGTTTAACAATGCTATGAAAACTGTTGTAATATTAAAATGTTTTCAATTTGGTGCTTCTTCTTGGTGCTCATAAAAAAGTTTAAAAAGTAACTTTAGAACAGTATTCTATGAATAAATACATTAGTTTATTCTAAATTGAAATATTTATTTAAAAGTTTTAAGTTTTGCTTTGACCTTGCATTTGACTTTTCTTAATGGTTGTCTATGTTTCATAATGGCATATAGAAATTATTTATTTGAATTCTTATTAGAATAGGAACAATTTATCTACTTTGAAAGGCAAAGTGAAATTGACTGTACAGTAAACTTCAGTTATTCTTAATTTCTAAGACATGAGTTTTATGGATAATTACATTTTCTGAATAGATGGGAGTTACTATTTGTATAGCAGCTTTTAAAACTGGGTCTGTCCTGAATTTCGTAGCCATCACAGCCACTGTGCACTGCTTTAGATGAGGGTTCTTCTCTGTTCAAATACACCCTGTTACAAGATACTGTCTCCCAGTCTTCCCTCCCCCTCACTCTCTGCCCAAAGCAATCTCCTACCTTTTTGAAGTTCTTGGGAAGTGTTTTTTTTTGTTTTTTTTTTTTTAATTTTAACAAAATTAGAAAATGATAGAGAAAATATCTTCATTTCTGTTCCCTCCATTTTTCTCTCCAGCTCTTTTTCCTGCTTTCCCTTTCTTTTCTCTTTTAAACATAGGTTATGTAGTAGAAGATGAAGACATACTCATAGAAATGAATAGTTGTTCTTTGGGTACATATTGGGCATCTCTAGTCTCAAGATATTTTAGGGGTAGTCTATCATAGGAGCAGGATAAGGCCTTAGGGGAAAGGAGCTAGAAGTAATTCAGCTGTGGCATGAGGGAGTGACAGTAGCTGGGAGGGAGGGCTCAGTGTTCTTAGATTTAGCATTCTTTCCTCCCATCCTTTCACCCCAATTATTTCCATTCTTGCTATAGAAGACTTCACTGGGGGAACTGGATAATAGCAGGACAGGCACTAAGGCTGGCAGAGTTAGTGGGAATGGAGACGATCAGGGAGCAGAGGTCTTCAGCAAAAAAGGAAAGGGAAATTGTAGAGCTGGAATGGGGAAGGAGTCAAACCTTAGTAATTGGATGAAGGACCAAGTTTGTTTACTCTTTGCATTTGCACCTGGGTGTTAATCACCAAGTATTTGTGAATGGTGCAGAAGATGTTCTGAAGACCCATAGATTAAATTGGAAATTTAATTCTGATTTGTTAGACTGAATAGCTTTAAACTGGTTTTATGGAGAAGTTGAAGAATTTGTCTATAGAGAATCTCTAATATTTAAGTATTGCCAGTTAAAATATACATTTTAAAAATTGGTTACTTGAACTTAAGTGAATAATTCCGTGACTGAATACTAGCTATTTTGTTTGAGGCTGTGTCTGTTTGAGGGGAGCAGAGGGGGACAGAAAGTGAGTTAATGAAATCAAGAACATTCTCAAACAGTTGAGGGGTTGGGATGGAAAGGGAGCTAGTAACTACCTATAACCACTAGAGGCCTCTCTTAGGCCAAGTTTCATGGTTAATACCACTAGGTTTCCACAGCGGGGCCTGGCTCTGCCATTGTAAATTAAACATATGTTATAATTCTGAATAAATAGTATGACAGTAGTTTTATTCTAGGGCATTATTATAATGTAACCTAAATGGTTTAGCTTATATATCAGAATAACTGATGATCTCGTGAATTGAAAACAACAAATTAGAATTATTTTCTCTCTTCTTTTTCTCTAAACCTTTAGTTAAAAATGTAATCAAAGACTATTGCTAGGTAAAATTATATGTCTTCTTGACCGTACAAGGATATATGGGTTTAAAATTATTCTTGTTACATGTTGTGTTTAATTGTTGAGAGTAGTTTATATTTCTGAGGGTAGACTATAATAAAGTCATTTTAAGTCATATGTTAAAAATTATGTGTATTTCTTTCATGCTTATAATAAGCCTCTAATATAAAAAAAAACTAAGAAATGATTCAAAGATCTGTTAGACTTAAATGCTTTTCCTTAGGCATAGGGAAAAATGGTCTCATTTTGTGTGAGTTTGGAATTATTTTGGATATGGTTTGACCTTGCAGAGAAAACAGGTAGGGCGGTGCCCTCCTCTCAGATGAGAATAGTTTGTTTCTCTGTTCCAAAACAGGATGGCTGACAATTTGAAAGTTGGTCCCTCCTGCCAAGTCATTCTTCCTGTAGGATTTTCTTTGTCATGATCACAACTAGTTAGTTGTTGTACTAATTGGAACAAGTTCTAGGCTGTTGGATGCTATATTGGGATGTGGCTACTACATTGATTGTCCTGCCTGACAGCCCTTGGCCACTTCCTTTAAGTCCCATGAGGGCAGGGAATTTTGTGTATTATGTTCATTGCTATATCTGCAAGAGTCCTGAAGAGTTTAGAATATAGTAGATGCTCAGTAAATATTTGTTGAACCATCTGAAAAATAACGTGGCATTTGGTTTTTCAGTGAAAGAAATTAAAGAACTGGTAAATCCTCTAGGAAGAAAATACACTGAGATTATCAGTCATGCCATGGGGTCTATTTTTATTATGATTTACATTTTAGGTACATTTTAAAGAAGATTAAAATAATAACTATGGGTTCTGACCTAATGTTATATATATATACTTTTTGTTTTTTTGAGACGGAGTCTCGCCGTGCCACCAGTCTGGAGTGCAGTGGCACGATCTCCACACTGCAATCTCCGCCTCTGGGGTTCAAGCCATTCTCCTGCCTCAGCCTCCTGAGTAGCTGGAACTACAGGCGTGCACCACCATGCCCGTCTAATTTTTTGTATTTTAGTACAGACAGGGTTTCACCATGTTGGCCAGGATGGTCTTGATCTCCTGACCTCGTGATCCGCCTACCTCGGCCTCCCAAAGTGCTGGGATTACAGACGTGAGCCACCGTGCCCGGCCAATGTATCTTACATAATAGGACTTAGTTCCTGGTAAATGGTAAATTAAAAAAGTTAAAACTACATATGTTATGCATGTTTCCTTTTGTATTCAAACAGTTCTTCTAATTAGACATCAGTGTCATTATTTTATAGGGAAGAAAACTGAGGTTTGGGGAAGGTGGAGCAGCTTACAGCCAGTGGGGGACAGCACTGGCTTCAACCCAGGTTGCTGGATAATAAAAATTGTCACTTGAGAGTTTTGCTGATCAAATGCTTCTAAATGTCAGCTTAGAACATATTTTATCATATGTCAGGAATTTTCTTTCACATTTGCCCACCTTTATAATATAAAGATATGTGTTTTACAGGTGGGCAAATGTGACCTGTATACACCTTGTAAATCACACTACCATATTTTCTTTCATTTAGCATTTTTTTTCCTTCCACATGGAACTGGAGAAAGCAAGATTAAATTATATAATTATATTGTTCCATTTCACATCCCACCTGATGTGTTTTTGGTGTCCTCTTATACACTTAAATTATTTGAGTTTGACTCAAGTTTTCATTTTGTTTAAACTGTTTGCTTTCACTGTTACGAATAGCAGTGAAAAGAAAGAAATCCGTTACCTCATTTCATAATGAAAAAAGATTATAGGTACATTATGTTCTTAGTTTAACATTTTAGGTGTAATACAAGAAATCTAAATGTGTTGACTTTCTGTTCTTTCTTTGATGGCGTTTAACTCTCTCCCATTAAACTGGTGCTTTTTTTACGAAATTGTATTTATTCTGTAATCGTTAAGAATTTCTTATCTTTTCTATTATAACACCCTGGCTTTGCAGTGCTGAGCAGTGATAATTTAACTTAAAAATTTATTGAAACTGTGATGTACAAAGGTTTAACAAAAGGATATTACTTTTCTAGTTTATTCCAAAACTGGGGCCAGCTATGGTGGCTCACTCCTGTAATCCTAGCACTGAGCCTGAGGCGGGTGGATCACTTGAGGTCAGGAGTTTGAGACCAGCCTGACCAACATGGTGAAACCCCACCTCTACTAAAAATACAAAAATTGCTGGGCATGGTGGCTGGCACCTATAATCCCAGCTACTCGGGAGGCTGGGGCAGAGAAACTCTTGAACCCGGGAGGCAGAGGTTGCAGTGAGCCGAGACTGTGCCATTGTACTCCAGCCTGGGCAGCAAGAGTGAAATTCCATCTCAAAAAGAAAAAAGAAAAAAACAAAACAAAACTGGGGCTACTCTTACCAGCCATGAATAGTCAATCTTTCCAAACACGTACTTTCTGTGCTTTCATTTTTTTCTTCTAGGAACTTGGTTTGTTTCTTTACGTGTTTATATTTTCTTTTATGTGTTTAATTAAGTTATATAGTTTCTTACATAACTATTTCACATCTCAAGTTTATCTTTTAATATTCTATATTTGGCATTGTGATCATATCATTACAGTTTTTTCTGTATTTCCCTTTCCTTTTTCTTTTTTGAATGTGGCAGAAGAGATTTAAAAATTCAAGCAATCCATTAACATAGCACTAAAACACACAGTACAATGGAGCTTATAATGCAAAGTATCATCTTCCTTCCCTGCCCCTACTCCCTAAACACAGCCACTTTTAACCATTTCTGTATTTTATTCTTCTGAAGGCCACTTCCATATCTCTAGCAATACATTGCACAGATATTTCTGCTATAATGGAGTATATACATTTCTGCAGAGTAAATTGGATTCTCCATGCATGCTCACTAAAAATAACAGGGTTTATGGAAAGAAAAAGTGCGTGTAGCAAACCACTTAAAACAGCTTGGTAACTAGAGCGAAGAAGGGTTTTTAACCAGAGTCAGGAAGGATTGAGCCTGTTGATTTATGGAGTTCAGGGCAAATGCATCAAAGTTGGGGAGAAAGATGTAATAAACACTTCTAAATCAGAGCAGATGGGCCAGCCTGAGCCAAGAGACATAGTGCATGGTACTATATTTCTCTGAGGCTTGAGTCAGCGCTGTGGCTCTGCTTTGCGTTTTGCTTTGTTCCTAAGTGGCATAAAACAATGTGCTGGGGCAGATTGTACATATGCCAACACGACTAGGTTGGTTGCCGCCACTTCTCACTGGAAACACATTTCATACTTGTGCCAGGAAAATGGACTTTTCCTTGCTCAGTCCATTCCCTCATGTGTTTCACTGCTGAGTTAGGTTTTGTCGGTGGAGCCTGGGTCACATCTTTATCTTGGCTATAATGGAGGCTGGAAAACATAGTTTTTTTATATTCTACCTTGGGAAAGTGGAATTCATAATTAGGAGAACTATCAAAATGTGGAGAATATGTTAAAAAGTTTTAGATTTTTCAGGAATCAGAAGCCTACCACACGCACATGCACTCATGCACACACATGCATATAGGTGTATACACGCACACGTATGTGTGTGTTTCAATGTCTGTAACTTTTGATTTATAAATTTTAACATAATTTATTCACCACTATGACACATAACAGTTTAGTGGGCTTGCATTCCCTGCTGTCTTCATCTCATATTTCCTCAGTTTTGAGTTATGATATTACCTGTATTTTATTTTTTCTACTGATTACCTCTTTATTGTAATTTATTTTAATTTCTATATCTTACTCCATTAACTTTGCTTAGAATCTTTTGACCTCTCACTATGTAAGAAGATGATGTTAATGCCCTCTACTCCTATATCCACTGTTCTTTCCTCCCTTCCAATTCCCATTTTCTGTCAGCTGATTATTTTTACATTGCCAAGACTGAGAACATTACATTGTTTTATAACCGAAATGAAATAATTAAACCCTTGATTTTAAAAGTTGAAAAGCAGTACACACTGTTAATATTATTATGATAACAAATATTTTTCACCACTGTTGGGGGTAAGATTTTATTTTTCACTTGAGGTCCAGTGCTTGGTCTTTGGGACCCTAAAAGGAGATTCTCTTGGCATCTAGATCAAATGGTTTGCCTTTTAAATTAGTGCATTAACTGTTCAATGTCTTGCCACATTCTGAATGTTTCATATTTGGGCTGTGGCATTCTTTTAGATCCTTTTGGATTTTTTAGTTTTAATTACCTTTCATTTTCTCTTTGAAAAATCAAGACAAGCCTTTAAAATATCTTGAAGATCACTCATATTCTTTTTTGGAATTTACTCTTTTTTTTTTTTTCTTTTTTTGGAGACAGGGTCTTGCTCTTGTCACGCAGGCTGGAGTGCATGGTGTGATCTCAGCTCACTGCAACCTCTGCCTCCTGGGTTCAAGCTATTCTCCTGCCTCAGACTCCCAAGTAGCTGGGATTGCAGGCATGCACCACGATGCACCACTAATTTTGTATTTTTTAGTAGAGACGGGATTTCACCATGTTGGTCAGTCTGGTCTCAAACTCCTGACTTCGGGTGATCCACACACCTCGGCCTCCCAAAGTGCTGGAATTACAGGCATAAGCCACCGCACCCAGGGTACTCTTAGTTCTCTAATTTCCTTTTCCAGTCTTGACTACCCTTCTCTATACCTGCTGCACAACAATCACCAGGGATGTTTCTCCACTTCACTCTTAAAGGCACCATTTCCTGGGTCCTGCGATTTGCTCTTCCATGGTTATCTTTCTCATTTTGTTGGAGTACATTCATAATTAACTTTTTAAAGCAAAGGGCATATTGGGTGCAGGAGGTTTTCTGACACTTGTGTTAGGTAAAATGTTTTTATTTGGACTCAACATTTGCTTGATATTTGGCTGCGTATAGTATTCTAGGTTCACAGTAACTTTTACTTAGGACTTTGAAGATAATGCTTCATTATATACTAGTGTCACATTGGGGTAGAAAATTTTGATGCCACCCTGATTCTTATTCTTTTATACATGATCTCTCTGTGTGTTTGTTTTTCTGGAAGCTTTTGTGATTTTTTGATACATTTTATACTGAAATATTACAGGTGTGAATCTAAATATGAGTCTGTTTGACTCATCTTGTTTTGCCTCTCATGACTTTCCTCTGGGAATGGCCTACATATTTAAGGATAATTATATTCTTTCTTTTTTTTGTATATTTTCTTTTCAAAAAACTCTTAGCAGTTGTATGATAGACCTGCTAGGTTGATTCTGTTTCTCATTTCTTCTCTCCTAGTTTTTGTCCTGTTGTGTTTTTACAGTGTTTTGCATATTTCCTTTATTGTATCATTTAATTTTTTTTGAATATTTCAATCTCATCAATCAAAATTTCCCCCTTGTACTCAGTTATTTTTGTATCATGCTATTTGTTTTTTTTTTTTTTTTGTCATGTATTTTCCTTCAGTTGTTACGGGTATATACATTTTTTTCAAGTTATGTTCTATAGATTATCTCTGTTTCTTTAGTAGTGTTTTTTTTTTTTTTTTTTGGTCATAGTTCTTTTCTTCATTTGTGATTGTTGATTATTCTGGATACCTGACTGGTGCAGCTTTCCTTTATGTCTCTTTCTTCTCTAGGCTTTTCCACTATGGAAAAAGTTGCATAGATCTGTGCACATGGATGAGACATTGCTTTAGGGTAAATGAATGAGAAGTTCATCCTTAGGCAGAAGGGGTTGCCACTAGGTTAGCAAATGGGATACTCTTGATTCTTGGACATCAGTGCTCATAGGATAAGCCTGTCTTTGTAGGCAATTTGAATGCTTTTTATCAGAGACTAGCTCTTTTTCTTTTCTTTTTCTTTTTTTTTTTTTTTTTGAGATGGAGTTTTGCTCTTGTCACTCAGGCTGGAGTGCAGTGGCAAAATCTCTACTCACTGCAATCTCCACCTCTTGGGTTCAAGCAATTCTCCTGCCTCAGCCTCCCAAGTAGCTGGGATTACAGGTGCCCACGACCATGCCTGGCTACTTTTTGTATTTTTAGTAGAGACAGGGTTTCACCATGTTGGTCAGGATGGTCTCTAACTCCTCACCTTGTGATCTACCTGCCTTGGCCTCCCAAAGTGCTGGGATTACAGGTGTGAGCCACCGCACCTGGCTATTTGCCTGATTATCTCTGGCATCATGCTTTTTATTTGGGTTTTATTTGGGGGAAGTGGAGCAATTGATACAACTGTGTTATTTAATTCTGTTGTTTTTATTCTCAATTCTTATACTCACCTCTCTACCTGCTCATGAGCTCATCTTCTCTCTGGGAGATTAGCTGTTTCTTCCACTGTACCTCCATTTATCTCCGCATTGGCTTCCTCTACTCTTTGTTTATATTTTCATCACACACCCACAAAAGACTTGTTCAGTCTCTCTTGTCTAATAATCACTACCCCTTCCCGACTTTGTTGTTTTTGCTGTTACAGGTTTTTCCTTTTGTATTCATGTCCTGTCTTGAGAGAAAAGGGACATGAAAGCGTATACTCAGTCTGTCATCTTGAACTGGAAAGTTTTCTCTATTGCATTTTCTTATTTTTTAATAGGCAGCATAATTTGTGTATCTTAGTCTGTGTACTGTCATTTCACCAAAATCTTATTTATTCTAATAGTTTCTTTATTGGTTTTCTGAGATTTTCTAGGTGGGTAATCATATTCTGTAAGTAAAACCTATTTTCATCTCTTCTTTTCTAATCTATATTCTTATTTTTTCTCATTTGTCTAGAACGACTGAATGATGATGAATGAAAAAAATGATAGCAGACATTAAATGTGATATTTATAAGGCCCAATTTGAACTTATTGAATTATTAAGTAGAAAATTGAAAGTATCAACTTCATTGTATAGATTTCTGGCTTACTGAGAAATGTATCAGCAATTTTCTGCATAATTAGTGTTTTTGAGTAAAAGAATTTGGCACTTACAGCCAAATACCGAGTATCTTATATGTTTCTTTTTCCAATAGCCACAATTCAGAATTGGGCTTCCTAAAACAGTGTATCCTTCCAATGGCGTTTCCTAATTTTATTATTATTTTTTAAAACGTTTTATTTTATTTTAGATTCAGGGGGTACACATGCGTGTTTGTTACCTGGGTACATTGTGTACTGTTAGGGATTGGGCTTCTAGTGTATGTACCCATTACCCAAATACTGAACATTGTACCCAGTGGGTAATTTTTCAACCCTTTCCCCACTCTCAGGCTCCCTCCTTTCGGAGTCCCCAGTGTCTATTATTTCCATCTTTGTGTCTGTGTGTACCTATTGTTTAGCTCCTACTTATAAGTCAGAACATCCAGTATTTGATTTTCTGTTACTGAGTTAGTTCACTTAAAAGTTTACCTAATTTTATATGACAAAGCTGGCAAATCACTGTTGGGCAACATGATTAATGTTATTGCAATAAGTCAGTTAAAAACAAGTCATTTAATTGGCAGCTATGAATCTTCAACTCTAAAGCCAATAAAGATCCAGTGAAACAACGATTACTAGAAAGATACCTGCATTTGAAAAATATGCCCCTCCTGATTGACAGCTAAAGAAAGACTCATTGCAAAAACAGACTCATTGCTTTTTCCTCTGTCCCTTCTTTCCCTGGATGGATCTAAGATCTGATAAGTCTTTCAACACTGAGTTTACAGGTTTTTTTCTTCATGGAGCTGTTCCTGATCTTTTTTTCCCATTGTCTTTTAAGTCTGCCTTGGAGTTGTCTTCTTAGTGTTCCCGTGGCATTTTCCATCCATCTGTTTCAGAGTAGATATCCCTTAGTGTTGTAATTTTTAATATCCTTATCTATTTCTCTCTAAGAGATTGGGTTTCTTGGAATCTCAGTTTTTTAGGATGTGGCTAAGAATCGTGAAGTAGGTAGAAGACTTCTAAGCAGCTTGAGGTGCTACCATAAACCCATGTATAAAAGCACATACATTTAGTCTATAAGAGTGGCTACTAGGCCCTTAATCATATCCCATCAACTGTTACTTTACATAGAATTCTAACAAACTTTTTACTTAGTTTCTTAGCCCACATTAGATTGGAAGCAACACATTAGAAGATGGGGAAAAGTTATGTTGATGAAGGTAGGGATGTTGGCAAGATCTAAAGATGATATATTGATAGCCTGAAAATAAGATAACTGATGGGAAAAGAAAAATCTGTTAAAAGTACAAAAGAATATAGTTTTAAAAATCACAGCCATTCATATTCATTTAATATAGAAACAAGGTAAACATCTACCTTGATAGCATAGTATTATAATTGATGTTCCAAATTATATCTATCATTGTGAAGAGATTAATTTCTGTTCTATATGCTGTGTTTGAAATACAATATTATTGCTTAAGGTATGAGTGGGGTGAACTCTCAAATGTGTTGAATAACTCAGCCCCCTACAGTGCTAGATAAATGAGTTCTTGTTGGTTTCTTTCTAAAAGCTGCAGGGTACTGGTGCTTTGCTTCTAATCATTAATTTTCCTTTGGTTACATTCACATTAATAATAATGTCATTAAGTCATCTTCTGTTAGGGCATTTTTCTATAAATTTCTAATTTCTTATGTCAGTTTTGGAAAATAATAAAATGACCCCTTTCTCTTGGCTCTTACTATTTTTTCTTTAATTATTTTAATCATGGAACTACTTATGAATTTTTCTGGTAGAAGCCTTAGTATACCATTAATTCTGATACTATTTTGCATTAACTCTTTGTGATATTTTCTAGACATTGCTTTAGCTGGATTGGTGGGCAGGAAAAAAGGAGGCGATTAATCCTCCATTTCTGTAGATTGAGATTTTGAGGTGTGACAGATACGATATGTAGTAACAGTACTGCAAATCCCTGTGCTGGGGCTTGAAACTATTAATCTTGTTGTGAATCATATGAGACATGTTTCGTATGTCTCTCCGTGTGGTTAAACTCTTCCAGGGGAGCTTGGGCTGGTGGTGCCAAAGGGTGGAGGGGGATTGACTAATCTGTTAAATAGCCTTTTATCTGTGAGTCTAGTTTCTCATTAGTATTTCTGACCAGAAGAATAGATGGTTGGAAATGTGGACTTTTGTTTTTAATTAGTCCCTCTAGGGATGAGAGGCTTATTTGGAAGAATGGAATTTTAAGGAAGCCTGACAACCTCAGTTTCCATGTGATTGAAAATGTTTGGCAGCTGAAAAATGTTTCACAATTATGAGTTAGAGCCAGATTTTCCACTGGCTAAGCTGTTCTTTGGGAGTTAGATACAGGGTAACTCATATTTCCACTTTCAGGTCTCAGTGGCTCCGTTTAGGGTGCTGTTCATGGGACTCTAATGCTCCTTCCTTCCCAATGGCCCAGAAGGCTCCCATGAGGTTTATTCTTCTATCATGTATAATAAACTGATGAAATAACCATATTTCATCTCATATTTATGCATTTTAATCAGGTTGGTTGATGTTTACCACAGACATATGTCTACAAGCATTTCATTATCTATAAAAGAGAGATTTTTTTCTTTCCTTTTTTTTTTAAAACAAGGTCTCACTGTGTTGCACAGGCCGCAGTACAATGGCACAATCTCAGCTCACTGCAACCTCTGCCTCCCAGGCTCAAGTGATCCCCCGACTTCAGCCTTCTGAGTAGCTGGTACTATAGGTGCACACCACCACACCCAGCTAATTTTGTATTTTTCTTTTGTAGAGACGGGCTTTCGCCATGTTGCCTAGGCTGGTCTTGAACTCCTGAGCTCAAGCAATCTGCCCACCTCAGCCTCCCAAGTTAAGTGCTGGGATTACAGGAGTGAGCCACTGTGCCAGACCCCCAAAAAGATATTTTCTTCCTCTTTTATACTACCATAAAATTATAATGCTACTGTATTGCCACAGTTTTACAACTGAGTCAGTTTTGCCCAAGATCCTTTGATCTAGCCAAAGTTTTGAAGTAGCCAAAAGTGCACAGACTTTGGAAGCCACGCAGTTCATCTCCCTGTGCACTTCAAGGTGACACCCTGACAGATGGTTGCTGAGCACCCACTGGATTTTTCCCATAAAGTGAGGCAACCAGTTCTTTTGTTGTGCGGTTCTAGTTGTTACAGTTTTCCATTGTTGAACTGAAATTTGCCTTTCTCTAACTTCCACCTATTGATTCTTATTCTTCCCTCTTGTATGTAACTTGCCTTTGAATATTCGAAGACAGCCTCCTCATAGTCCTCTTATATCTAGGTTAAGCATTCCATCCGTTCCTTTCAGGTGTTATTTAAATCTCCTGGTTTGCAGATGCACCACTATTCTGACTACCATTTTTTGGACATAGTCTTTATCTCTGATGGCCTTTAACTTAAAATGGCATTAAAATGGTCCTTTAGATATGGCTTGAGTAGCTGAATGCCTAGTAGAGCTGTTTTCCTAGAAGGAGATATATACTTTCTATACTTCTGTTTTGGAATACCTGAAAAGATAGTTTCTTGGCATTGGATATGTTAAGCAGATGCACATATGTTAGGGATGTTGTAGACAAAAAGTGAATAAAAAGTATGTTGGGAGGGTGGTGTCCTTACAAGAATAAATTTAAATGGCTGTTAATTTTTAACAGCACTATTATGAAATATCAACTATAAAATATAGGGCATATTACAGTATATAATGTTGGTAATAATGTCTGAGTGAATATTCTTTTCTTAGAAGGTCACTTAGGTGCTTTTGTTTTTTGAACAATTCCTGAATAAACTTGTTAGAGTACTTTGTATCTGTGAAAGATTGCATCCCTTGTCAAAAACTTTCAATTTCACAAAAATTCCATCAACATTTTCCCTTCACAGCAACATGATAGTGCTTTAATTTTCTCAATGTTTGGCCACATTGTTAACTTATTTTTTTCCCCACTTTTCTTCATTCTGCTCCTTCCTTTGAGGCAGTGTTTACTTGTTCTTTATAGAGTTAACATTTGGTGCAATACAACTAGATTGTTAGAAACTTTTAAAAACCCTACTCAGTATTGTTATTAGCATTGTTTTGTCCATTACCAACCATTCACCTGTTTCCTTTCCTAGGATAATGTTAACTGTGCTTTATTAGATGCTCTCAGATATTTACCAATGACATTTTTGTAAATGGAATATTGTTTACTCTTAATCCTAAAGTTTACTCTTAATCCTTAATCCTTTGGAATGTCTGTTGACCTTACTGTAAATTTAAGGCTGTATAACTGATAGATTTCAGCAAATTATGGCAGTGAGAGTTTTGATGGTATCTATTTTATGTCAAGTAATTCTTCAGTGACTATGTTAACATTTCACTGCATTGTGTAGAGTCTTATTTTGTTTTTCCATGAGGTAATTTTTAAAACTACAGGGCTATTGAGAGATATTTAGTCCAGTAATACATTCCATATAGGGGCATTCAACGAGAAGATTCTTGTGTTACAAGGAAAGGATGTTAAAAAACCAGAATCTCTCAGTAAATTGTGGTCTGTAACAATTCCATCCCTGGGGAAGGGCGGCGCATTGAAACTTCCATGACTATTAATCTTGAGAGAGAGCATGCATTGTCTTGTTGGACTGAAGCCTCTAGCCATCTTATCAAGCCAGAGCTACAAAAGTAGGATAACTTTGCATCCCTTTTTGGCCCACTGGTGAAAATGAAAATGGTAGGAGTGGATGGACAATAGATTAGGTTCTTTGACAAGTAAGTGTTGAGTGACAGTCATGAATATTTCCCATTTCTTGATTTTACCAATTGTGTCTCTAAATTCACTCACCAGAAATATACAATAAGAAGCTGAATTTTCTTGGATTACTTAACTTGTTTTAGTGAATGGGTGAGAAAGGTTTCCAGCTGTAGCTGTCAGGTTTTTTTCTGCAGCAGGCGCCTGCCTTCAGCGTTTTTGAGGATAACACGATACACTCTTTCTTCTTTTGCTACCATTAAGCATATTATGCTGCCTTTTGTAGGCAGGCCACCAGGCTATAAGTCGGACTCCGTAGTCTGGTTATGAGCTCTGAGGCATGGAGAGGGATCTCTGGCCCTGGCTTTTCTACTGGTTGCTGGATGACCTTGGGCAAGTGAGTCAACCTCTTCTTTATCTTCTTTCCACTTTGTAAAACTGAGACTTTCTTTTTTTCTCTAGTCTTAAAAAAAAGTTTGCAACCATTAAATATAAAGGGTAAACAAGAGTTTCTTGAGTAAGTTAACACCTCTCTGGATACTTTAGTTAATATAGATAGGATTACTTCTTGGATTACTACAGTAAATTAAACAAAATACTCTACATGCATTTAACATGTATTACAGATTGTCTATATTAAATAAAAGATGTAAGTCGTGTCTAATTTGTAGAAGTTATTTCAGTTTCTTTTGGAGGAAAGCAATGTAGTTATTTATGTTGTCCCTGTAAGTTGTATTACAGCATTAGAGAACTTCTGGGGACACTGAAGAATTGTTTAGTCACTTAAACCCTTAAACTCCCTTTAGGGAGTCCAGTTGATTCATGTGGACCCTCCAAATTATCTCGTTTCCCAAATTTTAAAATTGCATTGGGATTATTTCATCTCTTTAGGGCTTTTTTACTTTTCAATTTAATTTTGCTATGTTTTAAAAAAACTAGTGGATGAATTATGCTCACTCTGAAAAGTATTTGGGTTCCAGTTTACATAAATTTAATTCCAGTTTTGTGTCCCAGAAGTATGCTATGTCTTTAAAATTCAGTTAGCTCATTAACACTCCAGTTCTCATATTTGAGTGCCCTATAAATCTGTATACTTGAGTAACCTGAGCTGCAATCTGAAGTTAATAATACAATCTGTTCTTAGGTATGTGACCGTAAAATTCCTTAAAGGGAGTCCTGTGTTTATGAATCTGAAAGTGTTGAGCTTGAGGTAACAGTGGGGCTAACATCTTATGTGAGGGTTTAAAAATTATAATAATCTACTAATGGTAGAGATGTTTTCTAATAAGAGTAATTCTGTGACTCATTTTAGTTCCCTTGCTTTTTATTCCTGTGAGCCATAGAAAGAACCCACTGTAGGGGGTTAGAAATATTTTTTCTTATGATTGTGGGATGAAAGAGTGGTTGCTTTTTCCAACCACCATATGTGGTGATTAGGCTTTTCAGAATGACATTGGGGTACACACTGAGCATACAGCAACAGTCTTCCAAATAACTTATAATAAATAAAGTATGTAAGACGTTTCCCCCAGCCAGATGTAATCTTCAATAGTAGAGGAATAAATTTAAAGTGACTTCCCACAGGAAAATTTGGGAAATGCCTGGATGGACCAAGAAGGCAGTCATGCTGTTAGAAATAAGCAAACTCCTTTCCTCCTTTCAGGTGAGAATATATGATGGTTCATTTAAATTTTGTTTTTGTGATTTCTGGGATTTCTTAGAAAATGCATGGATAAAACCAAAAAACTCCAGTGAACTAAAAGTCTATTTGAACTGTTTGAACCTTGCTTTGCATTTTTGCTTCCAATATTCAAAAACATTTAAGCAGATGGTACTCAGATAAGTGTGGGGACATCTCCCTGAGTGTGTAGTAACAGATCTAATTTTTGTAAATTGAATTGTACTTTACATCTAATAGAGACAGCACCAGTTCCTGGGGATTCTTGAAAGGTGGCAATCTAAATCACCTTTATTTTCTGAGCTTCCTCTCAGGTGCCTAAAACAGCAGCTTCAGAATTTCTGTGAGGATGAATATGGGTGTTGAAGTGGGAGATAGCTAGAGAACTTGTCTTGAAATGGCATTTTGTTTTTCACAGACAGTGCTTTGAGATGGGTTTTATGTTTATTTAGGTGGGCTTGGGGTGGGGGGTTTTGTGATAGCCAGCCTTTGGTGCTTGTACTACTCTCAAACCATACCCGAGCCACATGTGCAGGCATGTGTGTAGAGACTTGAGGTGTACTGACCCAACTTGTCACCAGCCTGGGCTCTCAGAAGGTTTCAGAAGTTTGTTCTTCTCTCTGCTCGATGGGAGTTAAAAAGTATAGCAGTGGAGAGATCCAGTGTGAGGGCCTGGACTTCCAACCTTCCAGGGAGAGCTGGGCTTGGGAGACTAAGAACTCCTCAGGTATGCCTGAACATGCCCAGTAGTCTATAGCAAGGACTGGCCACTGAAACACAACAGAAGACATCCTGCCAAACTAGCATCTCCTGAAGGCATTCTCGTTAAAACTGTGTATTCCTTCCATTGTTTTTTTCATTTAACAGATACTCAGTGAGCACCTTCTGGGACCATGTGTTCTAGAAATGGAGAACAAAGTAAACAGAGTAGAAAATATTTTGCCCTCTTGGAGCTTAGACACTATTGCAGGAGGCAATCAGTAAACAGATATACTAATACATATTTAAGTCAGATCCCAATAAATTTTATGAAGAAAAATGAAGCAGCTTACAGAAATAGCAGAGTGAAGGGAAGGGCTATGATAGATGGTTAGATGATAGTTGTCACTGACCACTGCTCTCAGGTGGTGCCTTTTGAGCAGACACTTGGTATCTGAGAAGAAGAGTTGGCAGCATGATAGCATGTGCAAAAGGCCTGAGGCAGGAATATGTTTGTCCTATTGGAGGAACAGCAATAAGCTTGGTGTGGTTGTAGTCGGGTAAGCAAAGATTGTAAGAGATGAAGTCATGGAAGTAACCAGTGGAACAAAATAGGGATGTCCATTCTTATCATTAGTAATCAACATTATGCTGGAGAGTCTAAATAATTAGACTAGAAAATTGAAGAGTTGTTATTAAAAAAAAAGAAAAAGTAAAATTATTTGTATTTTAGTGAACATGAGTTTATGCTTTTGAAATCTAGAAGACTTTCACTAAATAATTTAGAATCAATGAAATAATTGAGAGAAGAAGCTTGAAATACAATGACTGTTTATAAAATCTATAGGTTTTCCTCATATTATTAGTAAGAAATAGCCAGAAATGGAAAATGACAAAGATATCCTATTTATAATTGAAACTATAAAATACTTTAGAATAAATTTTACAAGAAAGAAAGACAGTGGATACATAAAGAAAAGAATAAAATCTTAGGAAGGCTGTTAAAATCAGACTAAAATATACTGTGTTCTTAGGTATTCTTAAACAGTAGCACATAACACCATTTAATACAACCCCAATTTGAATTCCAAAGGGGTTTTTAGGTTGTTTTTTTTTTTTTTTTTTTTTTTTTTTTTTGAGACGGAGTCTCACTCTTTCGCCCAAGCTGGACTGCAGTGGCGCTATCCCGGCTCACTGCAAGCTCCGCCTCTTGGGTTCATGCCATTCTCCTGCCTCAGCCTCCCGAGTAGCTGGGATTACAGGCGCCCACCACCACGCCCGGCTAATTTTTTGTATTTTTAGTAGAGACGGGGTTTCACCGTGTTAGCCAGGATGGTCTCGATCTCCTGACCTCGTGATCCGCCCGCCTCGGCCTCCCAAAGTGCTGGGATTACAGGCGTGAGCCACCGCGCCTGGCCAGGTTTTTTTAAACTACCTAAAAATATTTAAAACTATATATAAAAAATACATGCCCCAAATAGCCAAGAAAAAAACAGTGAAGAAGATTTTCTATTGCCTGAAATTAAAATTTACTGCAGTGCCATGTAAACAAGCTATGGCTGGGATTTGACATATGGAACAGGGGGTTAGCAATTTTTTTTCTATAAAGAGCCAGATAGTAAATATTTTCAACTTTGTGGGCTATATGGTCTGTCTTAATTATTCAACTCTGCCCTTAAAGCAGTGTTTTAGTCCATTTTGTGTTGCTGTAGCAGAATGCCACTGACTGGGTAGTTTACAAAGCATGAGATTTATTTCTTACGGTTCTGGAGGCTAGGATGTCTAAGGTTGAGGTGCCTGCATCTGGCAAGGACCTTCTTGCTGTGCCATGATGAAGGAAAAGAGAGCACGTGCAAGAGAGAGAAGGAAGGGGGCCAAATTCCTCCTTTTTCAAGAACCCACTCGTGATAAAGTCATTCTGTAGTGACATGAGGGCTCTGTCATGAGAGCTTCATTCATGAGGGCTTTGTCTAATAACCTCTTAACAGTCCCACCAAACACTATTGCACTGAGAATTAAGTTTCCAACACATGAACTCCAGAGGACACATTCAAACCAATGCAAGCGCAGAAGCAGTTGTAAGTAATAAATAAATCAGTGGATGTGACTGGATCTCTTCATTGCCAGTGGTTGGCCAATTCATGATGTAGATCTTAAAACAAAATAGTGCTCAGAAATAGATAATATATGGCAAGAGTGCTATTTCAAGTCACTTGGGAAGGATAGTTTACTGAATAAATGGTGCTGACAGTTTATGTAAATTCTACTTAATTATACATACTTAATGTATGATGCTTTAAATATAAAAACCAAATAGTAAAACAATAGAAAAAAATTTAAGAGAATATTGTTATAACCTAGTGTTGAAGCAAAGTTTTTAAACAAGGCAGAAAATATAGAAGCTATAAAGAAAGTATAGATATTTGGCTACATAAAAAAGGAATGTTATTATGTATTATAAACATTTATAAACAAAAATAAACAAAAATAAAAATGGTATTCTGTGAAAAATATTTGCAACACATATAACAGAAAAAGGGCTATTTTCTTTACATCCAGTGTGCCTCTAGAAATGACCTAGTAAAAACAGGGCAAAGAACAGTTTCTGAAAAGAAAAGCCAAGTGGGCAATGACTGTAGGAAAAGATGCTCAGTATCATAGAAGCTGTAACCTTTTGTAAAATGGGATAGTAATAGTACCCACCTCTTAGTGCTGTTGGAAGGATTAAATCAAATCATACAAATAAAGTATAAGAAAGTGGTTGGGGCCAGGCGCAGTGGCTTATGCCTGTAATCCCAACACTTTGGGAGGCCGAAGCAGGCGGATTATGAGGTCAGGAGTTTGAGACCAGCCTGACCAACATGGTGAAACCCCGTCTCTACTAAAGATACAAAAATTAGCCGGGCCTGGTGGCACGCACCTGTAGTCCCAGCTACTTGGGAGGCTGAGGCAGGAGAATTGCTTGAACCCAGCGGGCAGAGGTTGCAATGAGCCGAGATTGCGCCACTGCACTCCAGCCAGGGTCACAGGGCGAGAGTCTGTCTGGAAATCACTGTACTGCTGCAAACTTTCTAAAAACAGAGTACATGTAGTTCACTGCCTTTTCCAATAAACCTTTTAAAATTTATTCTGTTTTTTCAACTTAGCGTCATTACAGCATAATCTTTTGGTGTAGGTTATAATACCAAAATGCTTTCAGAGAATTAAAGTATAGGGATATTTCCTACAGCATCCCTGGATTTTGGATATATCCTACCTGCTTATTATAGTGGCTCTTTTCTCCTTTACTGGTAGACTGTCACCTGTCACTTCCCTGTGCTGGCTGTTTAGTCTAATGCACTATAGCACTTTCTTTAACCCTTTTTTTTTTTAATCTCTACTTCTGATTGGGAAACCAGAGAGCTAAAATCGATCAAGATCAACCATAGAACTGTTAACAGAGAGAGGAAAGTAGGCATTCTTTACAATTAATAAACTAATTATGATTTTGTAGTAGATCTATTTTATAAATCTAAATATGTATCAGTATTTTTCCAAACATCTCATCTTTTTTCAGAGAAATTTACTGTGGGGCTCCTTTGAATAGTAGAATCCCCCTTTTCAGTTATATACATACATGTTTATATTCTCTCTATAGCACATATACATTTGTATATGTATGTGTATATATATACTGTATATATACTACATGTATTAAATTCTCCTTATGGTATGGTTACTATGTAAATCACCTGTAAATAAAATTATTTTATAAATATAAATATAAATGTAAATATTTAATATATTTAATATTATATTAAAGAGATATGTATGTTCTATATAGAGATATGATATATGTTATAGATATAACATCTATATCTGTGTTATATATGTATGAGAGTGTGTGTATGTGTGTTTGTGCGTTCTCTTTCTTTATGGCAAGCATATTAAAAAAATAACAGAAATCCAAGACAAAAATTGCTTGAGTCTTTTAATCAAGCCATTATCTTCATTTTCATTCATGTCACTATGTGAATGCATAATTTGCATAGTAATATGTAGGAATATCATGAGTAGATTTTAATACTTTATATTTTCATTTAATGCTTTTCTGCTGTCTTTTGTTTTTAAAGTTGTTTCTTCCTTTCTCTCAGTACTCCCTGTGCACAATTGACATGTCCAATACTCATGCTTAATATGCTTGTTTTTATATTTTCAGGTATGAAAGACTTTTTTGGACTTAATCATTGTTTCCATTTTGGCACCATTTTTGTCCTTATCTCATTAACATAGTAAGCCTAAAATGTCCTAATTCCAGGAACGGATAAAAATTCCATTCCATTTTATATTCAAAGGTTTGGATTTCTACCTTAATCCATTTCTTAAAGTGGCTAATGATTTTTATTACCCTAGTTGTCTCTAGGGCAGTAGCCTTTCTCAAATCATTTTAGTATAACTTTACAAAATGAATGCTGTAAATATACTATGAAACCTTCTTGAGATCATTCCCAACTAAGAATCAAAATTAGTGACTTATCTAAACATTCACATTCTTTTATATGTTGGGAAAGTTCACATCATTGCTCTTATCTGCCTCTAAATTCTTTCTCTCTGGATCGATAGTTTCCTGCTGGTTTTCAGAATCAAGTGCTTCTTATTTTTCTGAACCTTATTAATCTTAATTAGGCCTCCCTGGCTCTGGGGATTATTTAGAATTTCTTCAGGTAAAGGTCACACCTATTTGTAGTTCTTAATCTTTGCATTTTATCTACTTTGCGTGTCAAATGTTCAATGAAATGGAGCTCTACTGTAGGGACTCAATTTGTTAGACTGAGTACTCTTTCACGATCATCTACATACATCAGGTTTTATTCAGAGACTTCTAAAAGGAGCTATGATTTTTAGTTTCTGAAATTCCAAACCCCAATAAGCCAAACAGAACATAAATAAAAATAGTCGTATAGAGCAGCACTTCCCAACCTTTTTGGCACCAGGGACTGGTTTCATAGAAGACAGTTTTTCCACAGACTGGAAGACAATTTTTCCACAGACTGGAGGGGTGGGAAATGGTTTCGAGATGAAACTGTTCTACCTCAGATCACCAGGCATTAGATTCTCATAAGGAGCGTGCACCCTAGATCCCTCGCATGCACAGTTCACAATAGTGTTTGCACTTCTATGAGAATCGAATGCCACTGCTGCTGCTCTGACAGGAGGCAGAGCTCAGGCAGTAATGCTCCCTTGCCTGCTGCTCACCTCCTGCTGAGTGGCCAGGTTCCTAACAGGGCAGGGACCATACTGGTCCATGGCCTGGGGGTTGGGGACCCCTGGTATAATGGATGTAGTATCAGTCACCACAGTCTCCTGCCTTATTATTCCATGAAGAAACCAAGAAAATAGTTTTAAAAGAAGATTGCGACTATTTAGTTTAGAACAATGTGCTAGGTAGAGACTTAACTTTTTCTTGGCTATTATCACAGATAGAATAGGAATGTTTATGTGCTCAGCTGGAGGGGTGGCAGTTTATATTTGTATATAAATATAGATTGGGATAAAGGTTTTGAACTTAATAATAAATGGTGTCTTAAGCTTACATGTTTTAGTTTTCAGAGCAGATTATACTAACAGCAGTAACAATAGCTATGCTGAGAAGAATGCGGAGAAAGAGGAATGCTCATACATTGTTGATGGGAACATAAATTAGTACAGCTATTATGGGAAGCAGTATGGAGACTCCCAGAAAACTAAAAATAGAACTGCCATGCGACCCAGCAATCCCACTGCTGGCTGTGTATACTAAAAAAAAGAAATCAACTTATGGAAGAGATATCTCTGCTCCCATGTGTGTTGCAGCACAATTCATAATAGCCAAGATATGGAATCAACCTAAGGGCTCATCAGTGGATGAATGAATGAATGAAGACAATGTTTTATATATATATATATTAGACTATTATTCAGCCATAGAAAAGAATGAAATCCTGTCATTTGCAGTAACATGGCCGGAAAGTCAGGCCGAGGAAGACAAATACATGTTCTCATTCATATGTGAGAGCTGGAAAAATGATCTTATGGAGCTAGTGAGCAGAATAGTGGTAACCAGAGTCAGCAAATAGTAGGGGGAGTGGAGAATGAAGAGAGGTTGGTTAATGGGTATCAAAATACAGTTAGAAGAAATAAGTTCTAGTGTCCAGTAACACAGTAGGGTGACTCTAGTTAACAAGAATTTATTGTATATTTCAAAATAGCTAGAAGATCTACAATGTTCCTAACACAAGGAAATGATCAGTGTTTGAGATGATAGATGTCCCAGTTACCCTGATTTGATCAGTATGCACTGTATGCATGTATCCAAATAGCATATGTGCCCCATAAATATGTACAACTGTTATGTGTCAATAAAAAACAAACAAAAATAGCTATTTCTTCTAATATCAGGCATTGGTCAAACAAATATACTTGCTTCTTTTTATAACCTCATAACCTAAAGGGATAGTTGCTGTTAATCATTTCCATTTTACTTTTGAGGAAACATGTATTTAGACAAGTTAAGTAACTAACCTTTGGATAATCACTGAAAACATAGAAGCCAGCTCCCAGAATAATATCTTCTACAAAGTAGAAGAGATTATTTTTGAATTAGTGTCTGAGCTGGGACTAAAAATCTAGGTTAATCTGATATTAAACCCATGTTCTTGATCTTTGAGGTACATTTCTTCTCACTTGATTGCCACATTAATTATGTCCAAAGGCCAGTGGCACTTAGGTTCTATAGAAATATTTGTGTGGAATAAAAATTGTGTTCTACCAATTCTCCTTGCAGTTGCTTGTGTAGTGGATAGGATAATTTAAAATCATGGCCTGGTTCTTGAACAATCTTATTTTGTCATCTTTGAGTTTTATGAACAGCAGATGGCAACAGGACAATGGTCAGTCAGCTTGACTGAGCAGTGAAACTTTGTTCAGTGAGCACCGGCACTGGGAACAACTGGTCAGTCATATCATTCAGATGGGAATGGCTCTCATTAGCTTTGAAACTCAGATATTAATGACTAATTGCCAGTAAGATCAGGCAATGCTGGTCAACCAGGCAACTTAACCTGTGCTCCATGTGGAAAGGCTGCTTTTGCAGCCTTTTAAGTTTGGTTGTAAAATGTAAAATTAATTTTTCAATCTCAAGTTTATTCAGAATTCTATTAAAAACAATTGTTCTTTAGCCATTTTGGTATGCTGTTATTCTTTAATAAAATATCAGACTGTGAATTATTGCCTCTTCTCTTTAACTTTGTGTTGCTGTGTTCCCAAAGTACTTTATCCATATAATGAATGCATTACATATATTATGGTTATTTGATTACATGCATATTCCCAGCTTAACCAAGGACTGTTTGAAGGCAGGGCTGTTTTATACAATTTTGTATTTAACAGGTAATAGACTTTTAGGTGATCAGTCAATGTTGAACTAATTTGTACTGTAAAATGAAAGTCCACTGTTTGGCTCTGTTGTTCATAATGTAAATATTCATTTACTTAAATTTAACTGAACCTATAGTTTAGCTGGAAAAGTGAAAATTTTATCTAAGAAAATAAATGTAAGTTTAGGTTTCTGAGGCTGTCTATTGTTTACATGGGTAAAAAGCTAAAGCCCTCACTGTACAGCTATTTCAAATGTTTAACATATATTTACTCATTTATTCCTTACATTAGCAGAGGTAGTTACATTGAAAATACTGAGTCATTGAGAGGTTGAGTAACTGGCCCCAAGACACATACTAACAAGGGTTGAGCTGGGATTTGAACCCAGGCAGTCCAATTCCAGAGTCTGTGCTCTTAACCAATATTCTATGCAGCCTCATTTATCTGTTATGTGTATGTATGTAAGTCAATATGTACAGAGAGATTGAAAGAGACTTTATCTTATATTTTATAGTGAATGTTATTATCACTTCTTGGAAAAATACAGAATTTTGCAGAGGAATGTATAGTTTTCTAAGGTCAACTTTCAACGTCAAGTAAAATAATTTAAAAAAATTTTCATGTAGATATACTTTGAGAGACATTTAGATGCAGTGGAATGGGTTTGGAAAAGGACCAACAAAAGAATAAGGAAATATAAATCATGCTATTGTAGAAGACATTGTAAACATTTCATTCTGAGAGAATTTTATAAGGGAACTGCAAGTGTTTTTCAGATATTTGAAGGTAGAAATTGAGAGAGTTTGGCTTTGTTCTTTATAGTTTTGGTGGACAAAATTAAAGTCTTTGGTAGATGCTTTAGAGCAATAGGATTTTACACCATTTAAGGAGGAAATTTTTGCATGGAAGGTGGCCTTAGGAAATAATGAGCATTTTTCTATCAGGATGCTTAGATAGAGGCTGAAAACAGGGATGTCACTGAGGATAATCAAGCATTCGGCTGATTGAGTAACTGAACTAGGTGATCACATTTAAGTTACCTTCTAAACCTGCAACTTAAAGATTCTAATAACTTAGAAGGGATTCTGTTTTATTAATTTACTATGTAGGTGATTTCTAGTGAAACTTATGATCATTAATACCAGTGGTTGCGAAAAAATAATGCCTGTTACAGAATTATTCATAATAAGCTCATGGAAATTCACTCATCATACTTAGTGTTTATTATGTGTCAGATACCTTGTTAAGCACTTTATCATTTATTACCTTTTTACTCTTCACAGTAAACTTCTGGAGTGAGAACTATTATTGTCTTCTAGATGAGAGGTTCAGAAGTGCCCATGTTCACATTAACCAGTAAGTTGGCATGGCCAGAGCTTGAACCCGAGGCTTTCTGACTCCAAAACCTATATGCCTAACTACTGCACAACCTTTCAACTTTCTAGTTCAGATCAGAAATTGAAAATCAAGGTAATTAACATGACAAGGTTCTCAGAATATGATACTTTTGTTATTTACATAAGTAGAAAAGGTTCAGGCCATCCCTATCAGCTGGAGCAGACTGCTATAAAAAAAAGGAAGAATGAAATAGAAGAATTAGGGAAAGGAAAGAGAGCAAGGATGTTGTGTAGGAACTATTTCATGTCTAGTTGAAATGTGTTATAAAACTTAAATAGGTTTTTTAAAGTTCTGTTTTGGGTGGCATAAATTTATAAAGCAAAATTCCTTCCTCCCTCCTTCGCTTCCTTCCTTCCAAAGAGTATTGAGGAGATTTTAATCTTTTTTAAATTTTTATTTTATTTTTTGAGAGTCTCGCTCTGTCACCCAGGCTGGAGTTCAGTGGCGTGATCTTGGCTTATAGCAACCTCCGCCTCCTGGGTTCAAGCAGTTCTCCTGCCTCAGCCTCCTGAGTAGCTGGGGCTACAGGCGCATGCCACCACACCCGGCTAGTTTTTGTATTTTTTAGTATAGACTGGGTTTTGCCATGTTGGCTAGGCTTGTCTTGAACTCCTGACCTCAGGTCATCTGCTGGCCTTGGCCTCCCAAAGTGCTGGGATTACAGGCGTGAGCCATCCTGCCCAGCCTTATCTTTAAATTATTCAGTAAACAACAGTCAAAAGAAAAATCTTAGCCACATTAAGTTAATAGAGTTCAGTTGAGCAAATAACAACTCGTGAATCTGGCAGCCTCGGAAACCAGAGTAGGCTCAGAGACTCTCCAGCGCAGCCAAGTGGTGGAAGATTTTGTTTTTTCACTCTTTTTATTTTATTTTTATTTATTTATATATTTTTTATTTTTTATTATACTTTAAGTTCTACGGTACATGTGCACAACATGCAAGTTTGTTACATATGTATACATGTACCATGCTGGTGTGCTGCACCCATTAACTCGTCATTTACATTAGGTGTATCTCCTAATGCTATCCCTCCCCCCTCCTCCCATCCCATGACAGGCCCCAGTGTGTGATGTTCCCCACCCTGTGTCCAAGTATTCTCATTGTTCAATTCCCACCTATGAGTGAGAACATGTGGTGTTTAGTTTGCTGTCCTTGTGATAGTTTGCTCAGAATGATGGTTTCCAGCTTCATCCATGGCCCTGCAAAGGACATGAACTCATCCTTTTTTATGGCTGCATAGTATTCCATAGTGTATATGTGCCACATTTTCTTAGTCCATTCTATCATTGATAGACATTTGGGTTGGTTCCAAGTCTTTGCTATTGTGAATAATGCTGCAATGAACATACGTGTGCATGTGTCTTTATAGTAGAATGATTTATAATCCTTTGGATATATACCCAGTAATGAGATCGCTAGGTCAGATGGTATTTCTAGTTCTAGATCTTTGAGAAATCACCACACTGTCTTCTACAATGGTTGAACTAGTTTACACTCCCACCAACAGTGTAAAAGTGTTCCTATTTCTCCACATCCTCTCAAGCACCTGTTGTTTCCTGACTTTTTAATGATCACCATTCTAACTGGTGTGAGATGATATCTCAATGTGGTTTTGATTTGCATTTCTCTGATGGCCAGTGATGATGAGCATTTTTTTCATGTGTCTGTTGACTGCATAAATGTCTTCTTTTGAGAAGTGTCTGTTCATATCCTTCGCCCACTTTTTGATGGGGTTGTTTGATTTTTTCTTGTAAATTTTTTTAAGTTCTTTGTAGATTCTGGATATTAGCCCTTTGTCAGATGAGTAGATTGCAAAATTTTTCTCCCATTCTGTAGGTTGCCTATTCACTCTGATGGTAGTCTCCTTTGCTGTGCAGAAGCTCTTTAGTTTAATTAGATCCCATTTGACAATTTTGGCTTTTGTTACCATTGCTTTTGGTGTTTTAGTCATGAAGTCCTTGCCCATGCCTACGTCCTGAATAGTATTGCCTAGGTTTTCTTCTAGGGTTTTTATGGTTTTAGGTCTAACATTTAAGTCTTTAATTCCTCTTGAATTAATTTTTGTGTAAGATGTAAGGAAGGGATCCAGTTTCAGCTTTCTACGTATGGCTAGCCAGTTTTCCCAGCACCATTTATTAAATAGGGAATCCTTTCCCCATTTCTTGTTTATGTCAGGTTTGTCAAAGATCAGATGGTTGTAGATGTGTGGTGTTACTTCTGAGGGCTCTGTTCTGTTCCATTGGTCTATATCTCTGTTTTGGTACCAGTACCATGCTGTTTTGGTTGCTGTAGCCTTGTAGTATAGTTTGAAGTCAGGTAGCATGATGCCTCCAGCTTTGTTCTTTTTGCTTAGAATTGTCTTGGGAATGTGGGCTCTTTTTTGGTTCCATATGAAGTTTAAAGTAGATTTTTTCCAATGCTGTGAAGAAAGTCATTGTCAGCTTGATGGGGATGGCATTGAATCATGAAGAAAGTCATTGTCAGCTTGATGGGGATGGCATTGAATCTATAAATTACCTTGGGCAGTATGGCCATTTTCACGATATTGATTCCTCCTATCCATGAGCATGGAATGTTCTTCCATTTGTTTGTGTATTCTTTTATTTTGTTGAGCAGTGGTTTGTAGTTCTCCTTGAAGAGTTCTCCTCTTCAAGGAGAATACAACTCACATGCCTTGTAAGTTGGATTCCTAGGTATTTTATTCTCTTTGAAGCAATTGTGAATGGGAGTTCACTCATGATTTGGCTCTCTGTTTGTCTGTTATTGGTGTATAGGAATGCTTGTGATTTTTGCACATTGATTTTTGTATCGGACTTTACTGAAGTTGCTTATCAGCTTAAGGAGATTTTGGGCTGAGACGATGGGGTTTTCTAAATATACAATCATGTCATCTGCAAACAGGGACAATTTGACTTCCTCATTTCCTAATTGAATACCCTTTATTTCTTTCTCTTGCCTGATTGCCCTGGCCAGAACTTCCAACCCTGTGTTGAATAGGAGTGGTGAGAGAGGGCATCCCTGTCTTGTGCCAGTTTTTAAAGGGAATGCTTCCAGTTTTTGCCCATTTAGTATGATATTGGCCTGTCTTGCTAGGTTGGGGAAGTTCTCCTGGATAATATCCTGAAGAGTGTTTTCCAGCTTGGTTCCTTTCTCCCCGTCACTTTCAGGTACACCAATCAGACATAGATTTGGTCTTTTCACATAGTCCCATATTTCTTAGAGGCTTTTTTCGTTTCTTTTTACTCTTTTTTCTCTAAACTTCTCTTCTCACTTCACTTCATTCATCTGATCTTCAATCACTGATACCCTTCTTCCACTTGATCGAATCGGCCACTGAAGCTTGTGCATGTGTCACGTTGTTCTCATGTCATGGTTTTCATCTCCATCAGGTCATTTAAGGTCTTCTCTATGCTGTTTATTTTAGTTAGCCATTTGTCTAATCTTTTTTCAAGGTTTTAGCTTCCTTGCGATGGATTCGAACATCCTCCTTTAGCTCAGAGAAGTTTGTTATTACTGATCTTCTGAAGCCTACTTCTGTCAACTCGTCAAAGTCATTCTCCATCCAGCTTTGTTCCGTTGCTGGTGAGGAGCTGCGATCCTTTGAAGGAGAAGAGGCACTCTGATTTTTAGAATTTTCAGCTCTTCTGCTCTGGTTTCTCCCCATCTTTGTGGTTTTATCTACCTTTCGTCTTTGATGATGGTGACCTACAGATGGAGTTTTGGTATGAGTTGTCCTTTTTGTTGATGTTGCTGCTGTTCCTTTGTGCTTGTTGGTTTTCCTTCTAACAGTCAGGACCCTCAGCTGCAGGTCTGTTGGAGTTTGCTGGAGGTCCACTCCAGACCCTGTTTGCCTGGGCATCACCAGCGGAGGGTGCAGAGCAGCAAATATTGCAGAACAGCAATTTTTTATACATATTTCTTTATGTATATAGGCAATATTTCTGGTAAATTCCTGGGAATGAAACTTCTCATTCCTACATTATCAGCATTTTGAACTTTAGTAGGTATTGTCAAATGATTTTACAGTAGTTGTACCATTTACACGCTCACCAGCAGTATGTGAGATGTCCTGTTGTGATCAATCTGATTGTGTGAAATGGTATCCTACTGGGTTTAAATTTGCCTTTCTGTAATTGCTAATGAGGTTGAACATCTTGTCTGTAAATTTGCTTCCACTTTTCTATTGGGGGAAAATTTTTCTTACTGATTTGTGGATTTCTTTTTATTATTTGGCTAAGAAACCTTTATGAGTTATATATACATTGCAAGTATCCTTTCTCAGTCTGTGGCTTGTGTTTTCACTCTTTTAATGTTGTCTTTTGATGCACGGAAGTTTTAAATTTTTCTGTGGTCAAATTTATTCATCTTTTCATTTATGGATTCTACTTTCTCCGTCTCACTTAAATCCTTCCTTATCACAAGATCATGAAGATATTTTAAAATATTTTGAATAGTTTTAAAGTTTTACCTTTCAAACTTAGGTCTCTAGTCACCTTTAATCATACTTGATATATTTAGGGTGATTTAAGGTAAGAGCTCTGTTTTATTTTTGACCCTACACTCTGCATCTTTTAACAGTATCCACTGTTCATGTACACGTGGATTTGTTCATGGGCTGTCCATTTTATGTTTCTTTGTGTCTTTTTAGAGCCTTACAATACCTCTCTATCTTAACAATATAGCTTTATAATAAATTTGAATATCTGATAGGGCAAATCTCCCGAACTTGCTCTTCTTCAGTTATTTTTGGTGGGGTGGGAGCAGGGAGGAGAGGTGATATTTTTAGTCCTTTTATTTTCTTTAGGAATTTGAAGATTAATTGTTAAGTGACACACACACATACACATACACATGTACACACACACACACACAGTTCACATTTTTATGGGAATTGCATTTAATTTATAGATAATTTGAGGAATGTGACATCATGGCAATATTGATTATTCCTTTCCATGAATATTGGATTGTCTTTATTTATTCAAGCCTTCCTGTATTCTTAATTAATCTTTGCATCATGGGGAGGAGTGTGGTGCTGGCTGTTAACCAGGGTGGGGACTATTGACTAACATCTTTGCTACATCTGGGGTATAATAGTCCACTGGTACTGGGGCATCAGGCTAAATAGATGAGAACAGATAAAGTATAAAAATTGGGTAGGTTTCCAGAGACCCAAATCTGTTTGGGTTAAAGGCAAATCTGTAGTTTGAGTGTTCAGATTGCCATCAGTAGGCTGGTTTGGCAGGCAGAGAAGGTTGACATCTCTCGATCGGGCAAAGGATTCTATCTCTCAATTGGGGTTAATCGGGAAACGACTCAGGCATAGAGCATCAGGACTCTATAGTCATATCTCAGCCACAGACTAACTGGACAGTATGGCCAGAATCTAGTCACTGAAAGACTGGACAATAGGATAAAACAAGGTACAGAGAGACAAAGTAAAAGGGAGTACCACCTGGTACTGAGACTAGAAGTACAGGGATATCAAGAGAATGCTACTGAGCCAGCTCATTCCCAGGCAAAGGCTTATTATGTTTCATTCTTCAGCACCAGCACAAAGGCTGGAATATCAGTGGAGATAAACCCAAAGGTAGGAGAGTCCCAATCAGGGGGAAGAGGGAAGGAGTGGGGAGCCCTATGGTTCCTGACATGCTTTGCTCCCTGATGAGGTAATAGAAAGCTGAAGCAGTATATAGCTGATATAAGAAGATTCAATGTAGATAGAAAGAATATCTTAAACTAATGTCTGGATAAAACTATATTAAATTAAGTATTGTTTGACAACAGCTAAGAATTAATGAGAAAAGTCCTTAAATATCTCTCTCTCTATATTTTTTGAGTGAGGGTATCACTCTGTCATCCAGACTGGAGTGCAGTGGTGTGATCTCAGTGCACTGAAGCCTTGACCTCCAGAGCTCAAGCAGTCTTCCCACCTCAGCCTCCCGAGTAACTGGGACCACAGGTGTGCACTTCTGTGCCCAGCTAATTTTTGTTTACCTTTTTGTAGGGATAGTGTCTCATGGTGTTGCCCAAACTGGTCTTGAACTCCTGAGCTCAAGTGATTTTCCTTCTTCAGCCTCCCAAAGTGCTGGGATTATAGATATGAGCCACTGTGCCTGGCCAAGTATTTACATTTAAAGAAATCTCACTTTAAAAGTGTTTCTGTGTAAGTGTAGAGCTTAGAATTGTGAAGGCTATATTTATGTTTGTCTATTTCAATAAATAATTTATCTAAAGATGAATCAACAGCTCACTTACCTTTTTATTTCAGTAAACTGAAAATAAGAAGCCACAAGCTCTCAAAGTACCTAAGACAAAATACACTATTTCTTGAGGGCTGATCTATAATCCTGAGTCTATAAAATCATAGAAGAAGCCACTGGGTTTTTAATGTTAGGAAACTGATTGGGAAACATGTTAAGTATTGATGTGTAGGAAAGACTGAGGTGTTTGATGACAGATGAAAGTGAAGAAAGGCTGGTGAAGCAGGAGATGGAAGGGCACAGTCTGGGGACTGTGTGTGTGTGTGTGCATGTATGTGTGTACACACGTGCGCATGTAGGTGGATGTCTTAAACCACAGCACAACCTGACTAGAAGTGTATGTTGTTGTAGAAGTAATAACTAGGCAATGAATGGTTTCAAAAACATGTTAGAAATTTAAGTTTCCTTTTGAGGTAATATTCCATAGAGATTCTAAAAGAGGTTGCTCATAAATCAAATTGTGAGGAGCTCCAACTTAATTATAAGAAAAAAATAACACAGTTAAAATTACCCTTAAAGTAATTAGCATAATTTTTTTGTTTTGTTGTTATTTAAATAAAGAACAGAACTGTTGTTGCCCTGAGGGAAAAATGGATAACAGGCAGTTTGCTCATGTGGCTTATACTTTATGTATGTGTGCATCTATTGTAATAGTAACAGATAATGTCTTCTAATAGCTCATGGAAGAAATTAGTTTCTTTTCGAGCAAAATGGTAGCCTTGTGGAAGCTGACAAAAGTCATATTATAATGATTTTTGGCTCAATAAAGTAATGATAGCTTGGAAAAAGTAAAGGAGTACGGCAGCAGAAGAAAGATGACTGTAACAAAACAAATTATTTGAACAAAAGATAACTGTTTCTTTAATTGGATTCTCATGGAATATTGGTTTAAAATATGCTGACCAAAGGCAGTATCTGGAAGACAGGAACTTAGGATTTCTGAATCATAGTTCTCCTAGCTTGGATTGAATTCAATTCAACAAACTTTTGTTGAGCATCTACTCTGGAGCCAGGTGGCCTGAGTGTGGTTCTTGGTTCTACTATTCTACCTCTCTATCAGTTTCCTCATCTATAAAACAGAGATATAATAGTAGTCTTTATCTTCTGTGATTTTTTTTTTAGGATAAACAGAATTTTAATGTATGTAAAGTACTTAGAACACTGTTTGCCACTTTTGCACACACAGAAAGTCAACTGAATTAGAGACCGGAAACTGAAAGGTGCTTATACTGTCTTAGTGGGAGAGACAGATAAGAAACCCAACAATTTCAGTAGTATTTTCTGATAATACCAATAACATGTTTATCAAAAGGTTGCTATGGGAACCCAGGAATTGAAGAAAAAACGACCTTAGGGGGATAGTTTTCTGGAATAAAATTCAAAAAAGGCTTTCAATAGGAAAAAAAAAATCCCCCAAAAGCTCAGGAAACAAAAAGTAGACAAAGTGAGAGGCTGGAACACATTCATTTGTAGCTTTTTGAGCTTCCTTCCTTGCTGGACCTAACACTACATCTGGTCACCTTTTAGATACTTGGTAAAAACACGATAGAGATCATTTTAAGTTCTGATACTATTTTCATGTGTACTCTCAGTCACAGCATCTAGTTGAGACTAATGGAATTAGAATAACCAGAATAGCAAACTACTATTCCAAAGTGTAGTGCTCTGTGCTGTTAGACAAAATATTGACTTCTGGGTTGAGTTAGAACACCACGAAGGAGCAGCACTTTTATGTCATGGCCCTTCTTTTCTACTCTCTGTCAATTTGAATGAAGCAGAAGAGAGGCAAGTATTATCCAGTTAGAAATAAAAGAGAGGGCCGGGCACGGTGGTTCATGTCTGCAATCCCAGCACGTTGGGAGGCCGAGGCAGGTGGATCACTTAAGCTTAGGAATGCGAGACCAGCCTGGGCAATATGATGAAACACCATCACTACAAAAAAATACAAAAATTAGCCAAACATGGTGGTATGTGCCTGTGGTCCAGCTACTCGGGAGGCTGCTGTGGGAGGATCACTTGAGCCTGGAAGGGGGAGGTTGCAGTAATCTGAGATGACTCCCCTGCACTCCAATGTGTGTGACAGAGTGAGACCCTATCTCACTAAATAAATAAATGGATGAATGAGAGAAAGACATTTTAAACCAATATGTTAAGAATCACACTTTAGGATAACCTTGATATTGTAATAATTTATGATTCTCTAACCTGTGAAAATTGTAAATTGTTAAGCAATAAAGAGAAAATACACTTGTGGATATGCAGAAATGTGAGTTTCTCAGTGCATGGGAAGCATTGAGAGAAGGAAGGTGTCCATCCAGTCTGTGGTCCCCTGGTCGTCCCTCGCCTCCCCTATGTATCTTGTCTTGCTTAGGTTTTGACCTTTGTCTTCATGTTATCCTGCATTGCTATACAACAATTGGGGCATCTTGTGGTTGAAGTTTTAAGGTAAAATGAAACCATGGTTACTCCTTGCTGTTTCATTGGCTGGCCCTGCAGTTCTTCATGCTTACTAGCCCCCTTCCTGCCATTGCTACTACAAAAGCCCTCCAGACCTCCTTTGGTGGGAGGAGACATGAGAATGTTTTTTTATCTCACTGACATCCTACTGAAATCAGGGAAAGACAGGGCAGTGTAAAGCTTTCAGCTCATTCTAACCTGGCAGACTTCTTCACCATTGCAGCTGTATGCTGTCTACCCAACACTGGCTTACAGAATCCAAAATGGCTCTCCCAGAGGGCTTCAGAAGCTGGGCAGAAGCTCCTAATGTTTGTGGAGACACCCCCTTAGTCTTTCTGAATGTTTTACCATCTTACCACCCCATCTTCTGTCCAGCCCCATGCTGACACACACTTGTACACACTTGCACACACACATACACACATACATAGACAAACTCACACATTCCCCCACCCCTCTCCCCCAACATACAGACACACCTTCAAGGGCCCAGACAATGTTTAATCTCTAGTTAGACACTTTGGTCCTTATTTCATCCTAGAAGGCAATCAAACTTATATTTCTTTTCTTTGAGCCAGGGAAACTGCTTTAATATTCTCCTTTTGCCATATCTATGAGTAACTTTCATATAAGCTCTCAATTCTACAGTTCTGCATGGTCCAAGCAAAGTCCTTTTGGACCATCAAAACAAAACCGTTTCTCTCTCAAGCTCTTAGAGAATGTGGGTTGCAAAACAATTGCTTCTGCAAAGCTAATTTTTAAATTGCTATTTGGAAAATTATAACTGAACAATAATGCCTTTGTCCTTGGCTGTATCTGTCTGTCTCTCAAAGCCAAAGCTTTCAGCTTTGCTGGGTAAAGCAACAAGATTAGTAAGAATAAAAATAAATCACATAATATTTCAAAAATATTATCCTGTTAAATCTTATTACCTAGACCTGAGTTATTTCACACAAGAAGAATACTCAATCAGCTACATCCTTAAGGTTGTCATAACAAATCAGGCTGATTTCCACACATATTTATAACCGGAATTATTAGTTTTTCAAAGATATGTTACAGGTGAGCTAACATTAGATGTAGAAGGGAAACTTTTGATCAAAGTTTAAATTCTGATTCCTCTTGTTCACTTGGATGTCTTTACGATTCATTTAAACTTTCCAAAATCTTATTTCTAAAACAGGCATAACAATTCACTATGACAATGCAGCATATTGTCTGTACTTTTGGATGCTTTCTGGAAGGTTGTCAGCAGCCAACTAAATTCATTATTAGAGACTTACAGTGAAGGGAAATGGTTCTTGAGGTGACCCCTGTTCAGTCCAGAAATAGCAGCTCTTTATTTAGGTAATTACCATTGTGAATTGCTGCTAATGGCCACGTTAGTGGAAGTCTATGTTGTGATGAGGACCACTTTAACATTGGGGTGGTTTTGATTCTTTCTGCTACTTAACATTCAGAATGATCCATAGCTGAAGCTTAGTTACTATTAAAAATCTACAGTGTTTTGCCAGTGGGAATTCCAATTATTATTGCCTGGTAATTAAAAGACCTGCTTGCCTCAGAGTTTTTGAAAGAACAAAATAATACATGTGATTGTTTCAAACTTCAACTCTATTTGAATGTTAGGTGGTTGTTATTAATTTTTACTAACTCTCTTACTGTACTCTTTTTCTCCCTTATCTAGTTTTCCTGCTCTCTTTTCAATGCTTTGGGAAATTCATCTTCATAAAGCTTGATTTTTAATTGAAGCAAATTTTTCTCAGAGTCAGCACCACAGTGTCCAAGGTCATCTGTTGTCTTAGCATCTTTTCCACTGTTTAATCTGTGTCTTAAGGCTTCTTTGGTTCTTTTTGGATCTGTGATTGTTTCTGTTTTCTGAACATGGGATATAGTTCCAGATACACTGCTTTTTTATACTGAACTACATTCTGCGTTGCTTGGTTTTGTTTTACTTTGCTTTTCTCTAGTATTTTTTGAGCTTAGGGTTTATTTTTATCATTTATAAATTGGTTTGAAAAAAGATTAATTCACTCAGTGTTCAACATTTGAATCAAGTGACAATTATGTGCAAAATACAGTGGTATTGCTGGGATATGGTATGAGCCCAGAATGCCCAGGCTTCTGGCTTGACTACAGGATCAGTGGTGCTGTCATTCACCAGGGCTGGGACTGCTGGAGGTAGAGCTGAAGTGGAAGGGAGAGTTGGGGCAGAATGAGTGGATGATGGACAATTGCTGTTAGCTTTGCATGTGGGAAAGTTTAAGGTATCCAGTGGCTGGTGTGGTACCTTAGAGAGGCTCTCACTCCAAGTGGCAGATCTAGGTATCATTAGTATAAATACAGTAATTGAAGCCAAGGGAGTGAATGAAAGAGAATGGAGATGAATTCTCTGTTGAATGATCACCAGACTTGCCATGTTTTTCTATAGATAGATACCCTGGTTGGAAGTTTGTGTGTGTGTGTGTATGTGTGTGTGTGTGTGTGTGTGTGTGTATGTGTATTGTGTGTGTGCATCCCAGAATAGCCATAGTGGTGTGGAGGTGTGTATGTCTTCAGTGTATTTGGTAGGCTTCCTGGAAACTACAGTTTTAAAAATGATTGACAACCATAGGCTGGAACTTCTTAACCATGTTAACATGAATTTATAGTTTGTTTATTGTGGGGCTGTTCTGTGCATTGTAGGATGTTTAGCAGCATTCCTGATTTCTACCTACTAGATGCTAATAAGTTCCTCCCACCCAATCCTCATCCCCAGTTGTGGTGACCAAAAATGTCTTTAAGCATTGCTAAATGTTCCTTGGGCTAGATAATGCCACCTGAATAAGTTCTTCTCTGAATTTATTTACAGCATTTTGGGAGGAGCCACATTAACTTTTATGTTCCAGAATGCTTGAAAAACACATTCATGTCTGCAGTTATCCTGACTGATATTTAGGAAGCAGTTTACTCCTCCATCCTGGAGGATCAATTGAGTAATTTTACCATTAAAAAAAAAATCATTTGCTGCACATAAAAGTACAGATAGCTGCTAGATGCAAATTAAATTTTGTTTTACTTTATATGTGTATGATATATAAATGAAAAGGGGTGACCAGGACATGTTGTACTCCAAATAGTGAAATAGCCTGTAGTTATGACTCAGTCATTTCAAAGGAATTGCTGTCACTTCTTTATGTGTCAAATACATTTTAAGGCAGACCATCCCAAAGAGTACTCTTGGGGTGGAGGTAAGAGGGTGGAGTCCAAGTGCGGTGAACATGAATTTTGTAATAGTGATTTGAATGTAAAAAGTTTTAAAAGAGCTAGTGCTTAATATTTTTAAACTTCATTTATAAATTCCTTAAAGCAAAAGAATATAAAAGTAACTTAATTACCTGCCATGGAAGCTAAATTAACTTACACCTTGAAAACCTCCTCTTAAAATAACTCAGATTTTAAAGAGTCATTTGTAAGGTAAGTTGTGGCATTGTTGTAAGCACCTGCCTGTATGTGTGTTGCTCTGAAATAATGCTATTATTTATTCTATTATAGAATGTAGATTCTGTGAGGGGAAGGGTTTTGCCCATTTTCTTCACTTTTCTTTCTCCACCTCCCACACTTCCTTCATGTTACAGTACACAGTGGTGTAGAGTGTGGGCTGGGTTGCAGCCTCAGAGAGTAGTTAGTATCCTGTTTTAGTTGGCTCTCCTTCTTCTCTGACCTCTGCCGGCCTCCCCAACAGCCACTGCCACCACCTCACAGCCAATATTCTTGATATTCTGGTTGAGGAGATAACTGAAGCCTAGGAGTTTAGATCAGGGTGGTATCACTTCTCACAGATGAATCTTTACTTCTGGCATTTACTCCTAACTCTCAAAAAATTGTGGTATTAAATATTTTATATGACTCCTAGAATTGTGGCTGTAAAGTCCCAGCCTCTGTCTCAATCTTCTGTCAAATGAAGGAAGAAGAAAAAGATGAATTCTAGCTTTTGCAACATGTATTCAGTCCACGCTCAGAGGCCAATTCCTACCTTCCCAAACCGTGATCACAGCCCTTGATTGACAGAAATGGGAGGGAAAAGGGAGAGGGAGAGAAGAGAAGAGGTTTTTCATCTTGAAGACAGGAAGAGTCATATCTGGAGAGCTGAGGAAGGTGGGAGGCCTCCTCTGTGTACTTCTGTTGTCACTTGATTGGAATGACTAAGGACATTTTGAAACCAGAAACTGCATTTTATCACTGAATGCAGAATTGGGTTTAGGATCATCCAGGCTTATACAACATAGGGGGAAGATGGAGTGACTATCCTGTGGTAAGAATGAATCCATCTTATAAGAGTCCATGGCACAGTGGATATACAGCATGCTTATCTAAGCTTAATTACTGGTTCCATGTATGTACTTCGGCAAGTCACTTAACCTCTCTAGTCCTAACCCCACATCTGTGAAGTCCACTTAGGGTTATGAAGATTTAATGTAATTATGATATAAAGTGCTTAGTAGTTATAGAAGCAATTGCTATGGTTTAAATGGTGAATAAACAGATTGTTTATTGGCTCAGGAATTATGTGATAACTATTTAAGAATTGTACTTCTGGTTGTCCCGGGAGATTAGGATTCTTGTTTGGCTTCACTACTGACTAGATAGTATTAATAGTTAAGTCATTTAACTTTGTAGACCCTGGTTTCCTTTTATTCACAACTGTTGAAGTTGAGGATCTTTCATTTGGTAAGCTTGGGAATTCTATTTTGTTTTGCTGTTTAAAAACCTAGGCCTCTTGTTGTTAACAATACCTCTATTAACTAATTTGAGTTCTGACTCATCTGCTAGATCTAAATAGCCGTGGGAATGTGAAGCTTTTCACAAATAATGCTATGATTTTTCAGATAAGTTTTTGCTCTCCATGCAAATGGAGCAAATTACTTAATTGACATTTTACAATTAGGTATTAAAGCATCCTGTTCAAGGTTGGAGGACAGTATAAACTTATTTAAAATGTCTAGTGAACACAGTCTGTCACAGGGATATGGGAAAAAGGCAAAATTGTATTAAGATATTATTTGTAAGCAAGTGCTCTTCATTTCCAAGCAGTCTGTCCCTGAAGGGGGTGTAAATCATGTGTCTGTTCTGTGCTTAGAATTCATCCCTTCTGCCATATGTTTATTGTATAAACCAAGAAGATCATGTATTATCAAGAGACAACTTCTACTCCCGGCCTAAACTTTCAAATATTATTCATACTCTGTTCTCATAAAAAATTATTCTTAGGGTCTGAAAGACCATCATTTTCTTTTAGGTATTTCTGTTTGTGTATGGTATTTGCAGCAACCAACATCAACAGCTGGTTTGTTCTCTCATTTTTCAAGGTAATGGTAGGGATTTAAGTTATTAAGAATCAAATCTAACACACAAAAATACTTTGAACATGAGCTGTGTACAAATTTTTTATTGAGTTATTAACCTATTGGACATTGCTGCTGCTGTGGGGACTTTATCACATACATTTAAAAACTAATATAAACAAATGGAGAATATGAGTTGACACAGAAGAAAGGCTCAATTTTATGCCAAAGTAATAGCTAGCACTATAGCATGCTTACTGTAGGCATTACGTTGAGAGCTTTGTGTGCATTATTTCATTTAAGCATCCCAACTTTACTACTTGGTTGGGTGTTATTACTTCATCATTTTTATAGGCGAAGAAGCTGTCTCAGACAGGTTAAGTAAGTTGCCCATGTTCACACAACTAGTGAGCAGAAGTGCTAGGGGTTGAATCCAAGCCACCTGATTGCAAAGTCTATGCTGAAGTTGCATTTTAAAGTAACAGAAATTTCCTTCATACAACACTGGACTTATTTTTTTCTATCAAATGATGTGGCAAATTGAGAGATTTCTGGAGAAATTCAGGCCCAAACAATGTTATCGCTCAGATCATTCAGATCATTTTCAACATTAGCATTTAATGAATAAGACTGTGTCTTGAACCAAACATATTTATAAAAGAATTAGAGGAAGGTAACTTAATTCTCCATTCACTGGTGTCTTAGTTGTAAAACCACATTTTGTCAAGGTTATTGGTCATAAGTTATTTTAATAGCTTTTCCAAACTTAATTTTCTGAAGTTAATAAAATGCTGAGAAAAACTTAGATTATGTTTAAAAGCATTGAGTGAACTAAAACCTAAGTAAAGCTATTTACTTTGCATACATATGGCCACCATCTAAGATGGTTACTTATCCTTGAAAGGATAATGTTTAAAATAATATTTAAAATAATCTAAACCTAATTTCTTAACATTGAAATTTTTACAAAGTATAGTTATGTATAAATCTGATACTATCTTACTACAAGAGATACTAAATGAGTAACATAAATATTAAGCATAAAAGATTTAATTGGACTGTTACAACCTACTCTCACACAGTTTAAACAAAAGTCAGTTAAATAGGTTGTTTGTAAAGTTCTGTATAGTCTAGATTTCTTTCTTCTTCCTTCTCTTTCTTCACCCCCTCCTCCTCTCAGCATCATAATGATTATCATCATCCCCATCACCACTGTTATCATAATCATCATGGCTATCTTTTACATTGTTTTCCTCACAACATCTGCATCAGTAATTTAATTGTAAGCAACAGAAATTAAGGAGCAGTTTATTTAGAAAGATATCTTGTAGTTTTTAGTTTGAGGACAACCTGAAGAATGAGGCCTTGTAGAGCTGTGCCAAGACAGGCTGCTAGGCTTAAGATGGGGAACAGATGTCAGCAGATATTCATCACTTAGGGCTAAGGTCAGTTGGTTGAGCTTTGGGGCAGAGAGACCAGTCTAGTCCTGTAACACCAGCGTGCCATGCAGAGGTAAATTTTTGTGTGTGCAAAGACCTACAAACATCTGGGAAGTACCTTAGAAGAGGAGGAAACAGCAGATCTAGAGAGGAAGGTTGCAGGAAGCAGTAGATGGTCTTTTCAGGTTTCACCATTTAGGCAAATGAGTTTTTGGACCTTGTGCACACATGCTGTTTAATCATGCGTCGGGCTTTCTGGAGAGAGTTTTATTTATAATTCTTGGGCTATGTATCCATTCCTTGGTCAAGGGAATGTGGTACTCTTTGATTGACTCTTTGATTGATAAGATAACATTTTATCTTACTAGGAAAGCATAAACTTCCAAAGGAAAAATTACGTAAAGGAGAAGACATGGATGATAGGGAAAAAAGCAACATATCATGTCATATCACTTTACCATGCATAGAAATCATAAATAAAAATATTTTTCCTTTGATATAGTAGTCACAGGAGATCTTTTGCCCCCCAAAGTCATAGCTATATTTATAGTGTTTTTCTGAATATTATATAGTTTTTTAATGAATCTTGGTAAAAGAAGATTTTTTAACCATAACTTGTTTTTAATCCTATAGGAGAGGATAATAAGTTTTAGCTTTTATAGGCCACTAATTTTTTTCATGGCTTTTGTATTTTAAATAAGTTATTATTAAAATAGAAATTAAAAAAATCTACAGAACTTGAATTAAGTTAATTAATTAAGCAACATTTCATAATAAATTCTGTGCTGAAATAATTATGATCATTACTTTATTACAAAATAACTATCTAGAATGTTGTATCAGTATTAGTGTTTATGTTTTATCGAGGCATGTGCAATGTGCCTCAGGTGTCATCAAGGATGGGCATCGAATCACTGTTTCCCTTTTCATAATCAACTCCCAAAAGGTGAAAATTTCCCCTCTGGCTTCCTAGTATCCTAATATATTATTAATTTATTTACTTTATTATTTTATTATTATTTACTTTATTTCTATTTTATCCTGATTGTATCTCTTAAGGTACATATTCTTCTTTTTTCACATGTCATAGTTTTTTAATAAGATTGTTTTTGAGAATTTAAATGTTTTCCCTCTAAATTCTATATTATGAAGTGTGATTGTAATGTGAGTGATTTTTAAAGTTGTCTGTACACTAATTTTTAAAGATAATTCCAGCAGCCTGGGTGCGATGGCTCATGCCTGTAATCCTAGCACTTTGAGAGGCCGAAGCAGGAGGATTGCTTGAGCCCTGGGGTTCAAGACCAGCCCAGGCAACATAGTGAGACCCCATCTCTACAAAAATAAAAATAAAAAAATTAACCAGGTTGATGAAGTCCACCTTTGGTCCCATCTACTCTGTAGGTTGAGGCTGGAAAATTACTTGAGCCCAGGAGTTCGAGGTTACAATGAGCTGTGTTCACACCACTGCACTCCAGGCAGACTGACAGAGTAAAATCCTGTCTCTTAAAAAAACACAACACAATAAAACAAAACCAAAAACTACAAGACAAAGAAGGCTAAGGAATGCCAGAAATCCCCAGAAACTGAGAGAATCATAGATGATTTCCCTCTCAGAGTCTCTGATAAGGAAACAACTCTGTTGACAGCTTGATTTTGGACTTTTGGCCTCCTGAACTGTGAGAGAACACATTTCTGTTATCTTCAGCCAGATAGACAGACAGACAGACAGACAGATAAAATTATCTCTCTGTTTGTAACAAAAAGATCATTCCCCCTCAAATTCCCCAAAGTGTGTGAAACAACAGCTTCATTGTTAGAACAATGCTTTCTTTGGGTGTTTTGAAGAGGAGTGTTCATTGTTTAAAATGAGTCTGATTACATTGTCACCACATGTTATATCTGCTTTTTCTATATACTTTAGAAAATATCTTCTGGATTGTATACTCCTTGAAGACAGAGCTGAAGTCTTAGTTGTATTGGTTTTATACCTTATTGTACTTTTGCTAACAGTGCATTGCACCTCCATAAACTGTAATATGGAAAAGAGATAAGTACCATAATTATTTATGAGGACTGTAATATACAGATTGCTGTTAATATTTTCAAAACCTATTAGATGTAGGAATGTTTCTACTGTTTTTCAAAAATGAGTCATCAATGAAAGACTTTTCATAATTCATTCCTTTGTTTCTATTGATAGTGGCTTCTATTTTTCTCCGTTTAAGACCATTTTGATATTAAATTCTCAAATACTTCCATTTACAAAAAATAAAAGGACAAAAATTCATCAACACCTGTGAAAAGAAGGGAAAAAAAAGAAAAAAATTCGGATCACCGCTAACAGCTGATTACTAAGGAACCTGCTCTTACCGAACAGCATGCAGTGGGAGAAACTAATGTGGAGAAAATAATCAGTTTTCCTTGTTATAGGGATCATACAACCAGAAGGATTTTACCACTGTCTTACAACATACAGGGATGCAAGCCATGGATTTGGGTCCATGTGTTTAGAGAACAATGGAAATTTAGTTTCCCAAATTGGAATTTCCTCTGGACTATATCTTAGCCTCCTGAGCATAAAGAATATACCTAATATAAAATGTGTTTAATGTTTCTTATTTTGTTACTAGAGAAAATATGAAGGACATAAAGATGTCAGATGTACTATCCTAGTCACTAAAGTTCTTTTTGAACAACTGATAAGTCAAAAAGCCAGCAGTAGAAATTTGACTACTGGTTCCTGGTGGCCTGACTGTACCATTAGCGAAGTGATTTGTGCCCTGAGGCTATTTACCTTTGGTTATTTCCCCCCAAAGGCTGAAAGTTCTACAATATGCTTGTCTCTGAATTGAGAAACTGTTCATTTCTCTTTGGATCGTCAAAGTAGTTGCAAATAATAAACTTAAGTCAATAAAATGCAGAGTTAGAAAGAAAATGATCCATGTTATTTAACTTCCTCTCTTAATGTCACATTTATATGTATTGGCATGTTTCTTTGTATATACACAGTAATGCATCACTTAACGACAGGAGTACATTCTGAGAAACATGTTGTTAGGCAATTTTGTTGTGCAAATATTACAGAGTGTACTTACATGAATCTAGAACCTAGATAGCCTACTATACACCTAGGCTATATGGTATAGCCTACTGCTCCTAGACTATAAACCTGTGCGGCATGTTGCTGTACTGAATATTGTAGGCAGTTGTAACACAATGGTAAGTATTTGTGTATCAAAACATATCTAAACATAGAAAAGGTACAGTCAAAATACGGTTTATAATCTTATGAGGCTACTATGGTACATGTGGTCCACTGTTGACCAAAATTTAGTTATGGGCATGACTGTATATACACACACATATATAAAGTTGTTTGACTAAGGAAAATATCCAAATTCATAAAATCATCCATTTTTATAAAGCTTTTTTTATACTTTCATTTTTTATTTGGAAAGTTAACAGTCTCAGGTAGTTCTTCTTTGGTTCAGTTGCATAGCACTTCTCTCTGTGCTGGTGAAATCTAGTAACTCCTTATTAGGCTAAGCTAAATATACTCTGGTTGACATCTTATGTTGGCTTAGCTGTTTAGTCAGGAGGTATAATTGTTAATAATATTTAGCCATAATAAATGAAGTTGTCTCACAGTATGTATTTTAAAAAATGGCAACATATGGTTCAAAACAGAGACTCCTAATTAGACAATTATTGAGCAACAGGAAAGGATGTTTTCAAATTTGTATACTTATGGTTGTACTCTAAAATCTAGTAGTTTCCTGATGCAGTTTTATAGTTTTCTATCATTAGTTACACATACCATATCCACATTATTAAGAATAAATTTGCTCACTGGAGTTACAGCTTCTTTAATATTATTTATGTGAGACTTCTTTAAAAAGGGAAGAAATAATAATGTTTAGCCTTTCAACAAGTTAGTCTATTGAGTAGCTGCTATGCACTGATGCCCTGAAGCACAGCAGTGAAAAAACAGTCTGTCCTGTCATAGGGCTTCTAGTCTGATATTGGGCTGATTCACCACTTTTGGTTTAAAATCCTAGTTTCTCTTGTCTTTAATATCTGTCTGTCTCTCTTCATCTTTCTTTTTCTGTGAATACACACATGCTATGTGTGTATATGTATCTATACACACACACACACACACTTATATTGTGTATGTGTATATATACATATATTTTTAATTAAAGATATATAATTCATATATATTCCTTAAAGATACATATATATATATATATATGAATATATATTCTAATAAATAATGTAACAGTATAAGTATCTTGTTTGGGATAATACATATTATGTGTTAGGCTTCTTCAGAGAGACAGAATCAAAAGGAGATAGATAGATGAGAGGGGATTTATTAAGGGGTTCGTTTTATGTGCTTATCGAGGCTGAGAAGTCCTGCGACAGGCTGTCTGTAAGCTAGAGATTCTGGGATGCTGGTAGAGAGGCTCAGACTAAGTCTAAAGGCCTCAGAACCGGAGAAGACAATAGCGTTACTCTGAGAACCCAGGGCGAGGGAGTAGGGAGGCGGTTCTGGTGTAAGTCCCGGAGTCCAAAGGGCTGGAGCCTAGAGTTGTTGCCCAAGGATTGGAGAGGAAGGATATATCCCAGCCCAGCAAATAGACGGGCACATTTACCTTTTCTCCTTTTTTCCTTCGGACTCCCAGCAGATTGGATGGTGCCTGACTGCAATAAGGACAGATCTTCAAGTTAACACCTCAACTTAACTATTTGACACCTCAAATTAACCATCACAACATATATATATATATTTATTATAAAAATCTATAAATCAGGACATGAATTGTTTATATATAAGAATAATACATAGTTTAAGAATTTTAATTCTGCCTTTAAATACGCTGTACTATGTATCCTCAGTTTCCCACTTAATGTTCTGGTTCTGTATTATGTCTGCCATATTAATTTTTATCATAGAATTTTGCTTCTGTGTTGTTTAAAACAAAACAAAACACAGTGATTGACAAGGCACTGTTTCTGCTGAAAAGTTCAGAAGCATTCAAAGATCACTGACAGGTTCTGTTTTCACCTGTTCCTCATCAGCTTTTCATGGTTCAGGTGCCTGAGGAGAAACGGTCATCAAGCTGAGTCAGAGATTCACATTTTCAGGGGTTTGAAGGGGCAATGGGTTGAGACACTCCCCTTTCTGTTTAGAAGGTACCAGAGGAAATATTCAACAAAATTTTGTTATTCTTCCTTAAAAAGCATCAACCTTATAAACATCTTTTCATCACTGGCCTGTAGTTCTGTTGAATAAAATGTTCTAAAGCAGCAAACACTGGGTCTGATGCATTGGGATTAAAGGTAAGGATCAGGGGAGCAGCCCAAGGGGGCAGGATGCCCAGATGGCTCTGAGGCTCCCCCAGGCACCGGGAGAGTGAGTACCTGCCTTTTCCCAGCCCCAGGTTGCTGATGTGGGGGCTAGTATCTAAGCAGTGATCCTGATGAGGGGAGTAGACAATGCAAGGTGTGTACATGTATTCCTTGATGTATTATTTGATGAGAGTTAGTAAAAAAAAAAAAAGCATCCATTTTAGCAGCACTCATGCATTCTATCACTGATGCTCAAGTTAACAACATGAAGACATAAATTATAGTTTTCACCTTTACACTATAACTCTTGGGGTTATAATTTTCTTCCAGACTCCCCCCCAGTTCTTTCTTTCAAGCTGTAGTTAGAATGTAGGTCTTATGCTTCAAGTTACTGTTTGCTACTTTATTTGCAAATGTTTTTTCCTCAATATGAGGCCATTGCTGTAAGATGTCCTGGCATGGGGAGTGGTATCATATTGTTGTTTCTAAAAGTGGTCCTGAAACAGTTCAGTATTGAAGGCAGTGTAGATATACTTAATATTAATCTCCCTACTTGATTTTGTTAAAAAACCTGACCTTTGACATTTTCTAGATTAGATATTGGACTCTTTGATGGTTGCAGCTTATTGAGAATTTGGAGATTTGTCTTGAATGCCTTTCTTCAGCCATTCCTCCCTCCCCACTGTCTTGCTCACTGATCAGCAGCTTGCTGCTGCTCCAGGCCAGCTGCAATATTATGGTTTCAGTGTCACTGATGCAGTCAGTTGTGTTCCGATTTCAGAATTACGGTTGGCAGTCCCAGGGTAAAGTGATACGCTTTGGCATCATAAAGTAGTAGGACCGGGGAGCAATAACATTGAAAGCTATGTCAAGATTCCACCCTCATGGAGGTTTCCTGGTTACATTTGAGGCTATGGTTTAAAATACATGAACTTCACATAGTATAGGTAAAATGTGTGAAAAGGGTGCATTTATAAATACAACCACACATATTTATAGGTCATACAATTTTATAGTAGATGTGAGAAATGGTCATTTTTCTTTGAGACAGATTTATAAATGATTTCTTAAGTTATTTGGGTCTCCAGGTAGCCAAAAGAATAATGATACCCTAACATGTTTCTTTTAATTTATTGGAAATAACGATGACATTAATCATCATCAGAACTAAAGGAATACTGTAAAGTAGATTCAAAAACACCAATTTATATGCTTAATAAAAATTAATTTATGATGAGTAAAGCCAAAAACCCAATTCTGAATTTTATTTTTGAATGTAGTTAAGATGCACCAAGTGAAGGTGGAGATGTAGGTAACCTCTGGGACCATGACAGTAGTGATGATGAGGAGATAAATATCCACAACTCCAACCCCACACCATGACTCTATGAAAAGAACTTCCTATCTTATCCTCATCATTTAGGTCTTTGGATTTTCCAGCCCCTATTTTGTATTGGTCCTGAATTAAACCTGGTTACTTTCATGGTATCACCTTTATTTTCTTCCTTTGCTTTAAAACATTGGTTGTGGCTTTTTTACTTCCTCTTCATACCTGTTGATATACTGGTTCTAGACACCACTCTCACCGCTAGTTGCCTGGCCCAGCTGCCAATACTGATGGCCAAAATAAGCAATTTAGTAAAAACTGGTGGTAATGGTGGGTGTGTGTGTGTGTGTGGGGTAATAAAATACAATCTTACCATTTATCTTTTATGTAATGTTTTGAGAAAACTGTATTTTGGGTAACTTACTAAAACTTCTTTTAGTCAGTAAAACTGCATCTCATCCATTGCGGATGTTCTTGGTACAAGATTTCTCCTATGAGGGACTACAAATTATTGGGTCTCTTGAAACTGGAAACAGACTCTCACTCTTCCAGTAGTATATAAACACACTGGAGGGCTCCTGGTAAGGGCCCTAGGAGTGCTTCAGAAGTACGGTACATCACCAAGTACAATATGGGGAAGAGCTTCAGAGCCATAGAATCCTTTTTCCTGCATATTTAAAATTCCAAATGCCATAATTACCCATTTATGATGTCATTTTGGAACATATAGCAAGACTACTGAATGCTTAAATTTACACATTATCTTGACTAGTTCATTGTTTTTCTGGGTTTTAGAAACACGTGGTGAAGATATGGCTCAAATTTCTTTTGAACCACTGGGTCTGCTTTGCTAAATGTAACTTTACAACAAAATGGATGTTTATACTGGTAAATATCCACAAGATATTTGGGAAGGCCGGAATGGAAGTCTGCCTGATTCGGTGTATAATTTTGTGGGCAAAGATAACATAACAGAAAGTGCATCTTGATATTTGGAAAAAAAAGATCATTTTGCCAAAGATGTTTCCTTAAAGTATAGGTTGCAAACTCTTGGACAGAATCTGGCCTGGGGAGACATGTTTTGCTTGGCTTTCATAGTATTCAAAAAGAATAAAAAGGAAATGAGTTTGGCCCCCTAAGTCAGAGACTGTGTTCTCTGGTTGTCCACACCACCTTCCACTGCTTATTACCTTAGTTATTCCCATTACTTCTTGAGGTCATGAGATATTTGTTTCGTGACTCTTGCTAAATGAAAGCTCTTTGCAGTCTGTGATTTGTGTACCTCATCCTTTAAGTTGTTGTCACACTGGGAAGATGAACCTCCTTTTCTTCCTTTTTCTTTTTATTCTTGGCTTCTTTTCCAATTCGGGCAATAGCAGGCCTCAAGTGGACTTTGGGAAAGGACAAATGGAAGGATAGGAGGAAAGCACGTCCATGCTCTCCAGCAGTGGTCCTTGGCTGTCAGAAGGGATGGAGACAACCAGGGGAAAGCATCCTCACTGCCAGTCTGTGGCCAGGGGAGGAGGGGGAAAGAAAACTTGTTACTCAACTTGCCTTCCTGTCTGCTTGCTTCTTGTCCCTGTATTTTTCAGACATTTGCAGCTGAGGCCAATTTATCCCTACTCATTCACTCAGCAAATAGTTTTGAGGTCTGCTGAATGTGGAGCATCATACCCTGAGAGTGGTAGGCAGTAGGGGAAGATACCACGAGAATACACGAATCCACCACTATCATGGGTCTTCATTTCACGAGTGTGGTTTTAGCTTACTTATGAGACTTTCACGTTTCATCTGTATCCTTTCTTACCCAGCCTTATTATCTCCCTAGAATTATTATTCTTATTTCTTAAAGGTTAGCTCTTCGGTTGAGAGTACACAGTGGTTGCTTAACACTTTCTTCTGGATGTTAAGTAGATTATTCTTAGAGACCTGCTTTTCTTTTGAGTGATCAGGATAATTTTCAGCATTTTTTTTCAGTAGGCTCTATTAGCTTTAGTCTATGTTTTGCTTCCTTTACTAATCTTTGAATAGGGCAGTATCAGTTTGTACAGGCTCATTTGCCCATAACCAGAAGGTGGGGTTCGCTTTGATTCTGCTCTCAATTTGTTTGCTGTGGGAATCTCCTCAGGTTTCCACCCAAAGGGTAGAGCGTGCAGTTCCCATCTTGATCTCTGGTGTAGAAGCTCTGCTGTACAGGTAAGGTCTTCTCCTGTGCTGCCAGCTTTCCACTTGTTTTTCTGCCACTGAGCTAGGGTCACACACTGAAGGGCCTGCAGAGATTAGACAGATGAAACAAAATTAGTGAAGCAGTATGCAACCTATGGTAGCTGTGGAAGGGATTTAAAGGCAGTATTTCTAAAGTGCTTTGTCCTTTTAAGTGGAATTTGCCCATGACCAAATATGGTATTTGGGTATTTAGTATGATGCCCTGGCTCTAAAACAGTGTTTCTTAAATTTTTCTGAATTTTTTTGACCGTGGTAACACACAAACACACACGCACACACATATGACTATTTTAAACCAGAAGTCCAGTATTTTACATCTTTTGGAGTCCTCTGAGAATCAACTCTCAGAACTGAGATTCCTTATTTCAGGGATTTGAACATTTAGTAGCTTTTGGCAAATATATTCCCAAAATATTTCTCAAAAGACTTAATGGCAGTTTACATGGCCTTTGGCAATGTAAGGAAGATTTTAACTATATTCCTTTGTCAGAATTTAAATTTAAATTACTTTGTGACATTAATGGGTGAAATGCCACTTTGTCCTTACTTTTAAACTTATTTTTAAAAATTAATGGAGCAATAGAACATTTTCTTTGTTTAGCAGTGGTATTTTCTCTTTTATAATAACTATTTTATTCATAGACAATATAGCAAAGTGATCAACTTTTTATGATGAGGTGAGCCAAGCACAAAATCTTCTTGGATCACTCCTTAAAAAAATAAAATACTGTCATTCACAACCTAAGCTATTGTAAGTATATCTCACTTCTTCTGGTATAATAGACAGAAACATGTTACTGTTATAGTCCTTGTCAATGAAAGCATTGCAGAATAAAGAATTGTAAATCAAATAGGAATGGATTGTTGATATTTTTGTGCATTATGAGGAAAGAAAATTACTCAGCTCTTTCCCTGAACAAAAGGATTTAAACCTAGATAAAAATTGATTTTTAAATATTAAATTGTATTTCTGGAGAACTATTATTATTGTATCTTCTCACTAATATCCTATTAGCAATAATGTAATTTTTGACCTTAAGATTTTTGTGCCTCTGTTGTGCCACTGCTCTCCATTGGGCGTGACAGAGCGAGACCTTGTCTCAAAACAAACAAATGAATAAAACACAATAAATTTCTCCTCTGTATTCCTACCTTCTCTATTAAGTAATCAATGAATATGTTACGGAAAAATAGTACTATTTCTGCTAAAGAATTCTTTTCCTGAATCCATTTGTCACATTAATAACTTAGATACATAATTAAAACCCTCTTATCTTGGTTTTAATGAAAGCACGTAAGTTATATATTTTGTTTTTCTCTGTGCCATCTTAGTTATATACACTACAAAAGATATGTGTAATTTTTGCTGAAATATCCTTTGAGTTTTACTCCAGCACTTTTTTGAGTCATACCCAAAAACCCAAAAGATTTTAAGCCTTGCCCATGTATTATGAACTACACATAATTTTTGCTTCACAATGGGCCAAAAATTCATTTATTCCAGCAGAATTGGACCAAGTTTTAGAAAATAGGACCATTTATCCATGGTGATACAGAAGTGTAGCAGTGTTTATACTTTTGATCATTCCTTAGGGAAGCATGACCTTGGTAGACAACCAGCTGGCTTCAGGGAAAATTGTACCCTTGATACGTGCTTAAAACAGCAGTGTAAAATGTAACTGGCTGACAATCTTGGTTTTGGTTAGGGTCACTTTCTTCTTATTCACGGTATGCTGGGAGTACAAGGGATGATGTCAGTTTCTACCCTTTAGAACTGTTATGATGGCCAGACATAGTATTTCCCTCTGTTGTCAACACTTGAGAAAAATTTGCCAAGTGGGGACTTACGAATTGAAAAGCAGAGGATATTAGTAATTGTTGTTTTAAGAAGAGAAAAATTCATTTTTCAATTTTTTTTAGAAAAGAACAAAGGAGTTGAAATTTAAAATTCTAGAAAAACTTGTTTCTAACAAAAATAAATTGATTTTTAATACCAGTATCATGCCTTTCCTTGTTACTTATCACTTAAAATAATCTTTAAATTAATTTCTTTCTTTCTTGGGTATGCTTTGCCCTAGGGCATTGTGGCAACATATATAGTACAACCCTTTAGGGACCTGAGTTAACTCGTCTTTGCTTCCCCAGTATTAGCACATGTGGTTCAAGAAATTGTTTTAATATGAACTGATGACCTTTGGAATTTATACAACATTAAAAGTTAATTGAGAGATTGTATGTAATAAATAAGATGATGAAAGTGATTTCCTGGTTTGTACTAATATAATGTTCAAATTTTCTTATTTGGCATTATTTATCTCCTAATTACTGGCACAATATGGAGCAAAGCTATGAGGCTCAGAGGTTTTCTAGTGTGTAACTTGTCTCTTTTGTTTCTGTAGCAGTGAATTATAGGTGCTGTTACCATGTATAAGTTTTCTCTAAGATTCTGGTTAGCTGATTTACCGTTGAAGATTTTTCAGGAGAGGAGTGCTGTCATGGATAAGCAGTCTGGCAGAGGATGTGTGACATTGATGATGTCAGGAAAATTTTTCCCTGTGTCTCTTTCAGAATGGAGGATGGTGAGGAAACCAGAACGTGATGCTTTTTAAGAAAAGAGGACATGGTAAACAATTGAGATTTGATTATATATTTTTCCATATGGAATATCATATTCTGAAAAGATTTTCTTTCCAATCCTCAAAGGGACCAGTTTAAGAAATTAGATGTATTAAGCACCTTTGAAACACTATATCAACAACAAAACATAAAACAGGGGGATTAAAAAATGGAGAAAGGACTCAAATAGACATTTGTCCAAGAAAGATATGCCAGTGGCCATTAAGCACCTGGAAATTGCTTAACACCACTAATTATTAGGGAAATACAAATCACAATCACAATGAGATACCACCTCGTTCCCATTGGGATGGCTACTGTCAAAACTACAGAAAATAAGTGTTGGTACAGATGTGGAGAAATTGCATCTCTTGTGCACTGTTGGTGGGAATGTAAAATGGTATAGCCTCTGTGGAAATTACTATGACTATTTCTGAAAATATTAAACAATTATGGCATGACCCAGCAATTCCACTTCTGGGTATATATACAAAAGAAGTGAAAGCAGGGACTCAAACAGATATTTGTACACCTATGCTCATTGCAGCAGTACTCACAGTAGCCAGAAGGTAAAAGGAACTTAAGCATCCATTGATAGATGAATGTATAAACAAAATGTGATATATACATACAGTGGGATATTACTGTTTCAAAGGAGGGAAATTTTGACACATGATACAGCATAGATGAACCTTGAAAACATTATGCAACGTGAAATAAGGCAGTCACAAGATGACAAATATTGTATGAACCCATTTATATAAGGTTCCTAAACCAGTCAGATTCATAGAGACAGAAAGTAGAATGACACCAAGGGCTTGGAAGAAGAGGGAATGAGGAGTTATTGTTTAATGGCTACAGAGTTTTGCTAGGGAAGATAGATAAGGACTAGAGACGGATGGTCGTGATGGTTGTGTAATAATGTGAATGTACTTAATGCCACAGAACTGTACAATTAAAAATGATTAAAAGGGGAAAACAAAACTATCTTTATGGAATTTTTCAGTCAGCTTGTAATTATAACCTGAATGCTAAACTTGGAACAATATAATAGGTATTAACACCATGGTAACAACACTTGAATGAAGGTAAACTGCTGGAATTAATAAATGATAAATATAGTGGAATGATAATGACAGTGGTCTTTATGGTTGGTTCAGGTTCTAAATTTGCCAAATACTGTGCAGTAACTCTTGAACTCTCACTTTTTTATTTATTAGAAGAGCATAAGCATATTTACAGTAAGGCTTTAGTTATGTGGTACTTCCAAATGCCTCCTGCCATTGCCAACTCCAAAGAAAAATCCTGGAAGAGCCAGGAAGGGTCTTCTAAGGACAGAAGGTGTGGAAGATGCAGCACCCTGATTGTGTCTCAAAAGTACAACTTGGCTTTGTAGTAGACCTTTTCAACAGTTTTCTAAAATTCTATGACATGGAAGTCAACAGTATTAATAGCCAAATCACATGTTACAATTTCTTTTCTTCATAGAAACAGATTGAGTTGAGATGGAGATTAGGAATAAGTTTATGAAAATGTTTTTAAAAACTGATGGAAAAGAGTGAAGATACAAAAACAACCTGACAAGCAGCTACTTCAATCTTTGAAATATTGTTTTGGCAGAAATAATTATGTTGCTACCTACAGGTGGTTATGCTTTGTTTGATGTTTAAGCTGACAGGGAAATGGGGCAAAAAACTTTTGAAAGCATTTATTTACTATTTACCCATGTTTAACTACATCTCTAATAAATGTCCTCTAGTCCAGTACAATACCTTTGCCGCCATTGTGACCTTTTTTCAGTAGGAACGGGAAGCTTGTGTTCAGTACTAACTCAGTGTTTGTGTATTTGTTACCATCATGCATGTTTAAAAAGGTACACAGAAGCATGTATTGTACTGCGAACTCGTTATTCTAAAACAAGTCTGGAATAGGAAAAAATAGGTGGAGAGAGTTGGCCCAGGGCAGTCCTCTATTACAATTAGAACGATTAGAGCTTAGGTTATAGGACTTCTCTTTCAGCATCCTAATAACATTACTGGTCCCCTCTAAGATATGAAAGACATCAGAGACTTCCAGTCTTGAAGAGTTATTCATGTAAATTACTGTGTCTGTGTGCTTTTTGGGGGGATCAATATAAGCAACATTTATTGAGCGGCCACATATACAATGTATTAGGTATTCTAGTTAGGTACAGAATATTTGTTAGTTCTGAATTCCATGCTCTTGAATGATTTGGAGTGCTGAAGGAGATAGTATAGAGACCACCACCACCCCCCGCCCATGAAAAAAAATTCCTCAAAACAAAGAAACAAAGATACTTAGGTCCTTTTCTAAGCTGTTTATCTTTTACTAATATACAAAGGGCATAATTTGCTCAATGTAATATCTATTTGCCATGTGCTGTGTTCTTCAGTAGGCATTGTAAGTAAGAGTTTCTGTCTTCAAACTTGTAATTTAGAGTGAGGTTGGAGGATTAGACATATCTATACAGTGCTGTGCTATGAGGTAAATTGTGTGTCTTCCTAAGAGAGAGAGTTGAAGCAGAGTGTGCTGCCTTCACCTTATTACTGTACTTGATTCTTGCCCTTGTAACCTGGTTTTAGGTTTCATATAATATTTTGCATTGTCAGCTCCCTGAAATTCTACTGGGAAATGGTTACGAGTACATAGACAATCTGACAAGAAAAAGGAGGAAAGGTACCATGGGGTTTAATATAAGGGAAAGCCCAGCTGGTTGCGGGGACCAGGGAGAAAGAGTTGTATGAGATGGGTCTTGAGGGAGGGATAGAATGTCTGCCAGTGTGGGGAAGGAAGTCTGAGGTGGAAAACCATCAATCACATTCAGAGTTGTGAGGGGACTGACATGCCTGGAGCATAGAGGGACTATTAGAAAGCAAGTTGGAAAGGTAAGGTCGATTAACTGACAGGAACATGTTTATCTGAAATATTTTGAAGTAGCTTTCAGAAAGATGTCCACTTTTAATTTTGCAAAAGCAGTTTTCTTAGGTTCTTCAGTATTTCAGTTCTGATTATACAAATCATTGAGGAAAAAATGAACCAGTGAGGATGTACAAAAATTTCCCAAATGTTTTATTTCTTTGTCAACATTATTTGCTTATTTTTCAGCTCTTCATGTAATTGTCTTTGTGCTCTGCTTGTTCCCTTTTGTACTTTTTCCACACGGGTGATAAAGCCCTGACAATTTAGTTTTTCTTGGTTTACACTTTCCTACAATACTAAAATATGTGTAACCCCCTCACTAACATCTTTGCCAAAATGGAGTTTTCAAGACATTCTCTGAAGCTCAGGACTGTTTTTTTGTTGTTGTTTAGCATTGGCATTTCTCCAGCGGAATACTAGCCAGTGGTCCAGTCATGTGTGGAGGAGGTCATGCTGATTAACAAATTACTAGGCATATATTAATATGTTTGCTAACCTGTGATTAATTGTGAGGTTTTTCTGGCTAACTTGTTACATGCACTTGGCTACAAAACAAGAAAACGTCTCAAAAAATGTATCTAATTCAGTTGCGTTGATATTTGAAGTTCATCAAAATTCTATCCTTAATGATTCTAAATTGTATAAATAATATGTTCTTGATTAATGAAGTATACGTGCTATGATTTTACCATTAGTTGTACTTATATGTATGCATTACATATATGAGGTTCTCTTGATTTCAGAAGGAACTGATACAGACCAGCTTTGGTGTTTCTTTTGCTTTTTATTAGCTTTATATTCGGATAGAAAATATTAAAAGGGCTATAAATTGCCTATCCAAAATATTGCTTTTTTTTAACCTTATCAGCAGGCAGAATAGTTGCTGTACTTGGTGTAGGTAAGGTTCAGTTGTCTGTAAGAAAACAATCTTGCTATAGATTTTGAGGAAGAAATAAAATAAAAAATACAGATAGATGATAAATGTTTTGCTTTTCAAATGTCGATGTTGTACTTTCAGGAATATGGAAGCTTTATGGTTTGCCTATCTGTATCAGTTCTCCTAGAATAACAACTTAACAGTTTTCCTGGTTGGATTGTGTTAAAATCTTTAAAGGCTATATTCACTAAAACATATGTCTAATGTTTGGGCAGCCAAAGTCTGTGCAATCATTTTAACAGAGTATAACTTAGCAGCTCTCTTATTACCACAAATATCTTATTGTTAAAACTACATTAAAATACCATCAATTTGGAACATGCTACTTCATAATTAAATCATTCTGGGATGTGATCAAGTATATACTTCTGAACTACCTTAAAAATGGATTGTGCTAAGAATGCAATAGCATAAATAAATTTAAAGAGAACATGCATAATAAAGTTAAACGATTTGTTTTAATGGAGTTTTTATCTAGTTAACTTTTCTTGAGTGTCTACAATGTTCAGAGCACTGTGCTAGACATTCTGCATTGGTTAATTTATGGTCATTCATAAAGACGTTTGGGTAGAAAGAAAATGGGTAATGGGGAAAAGTCATAGAGTGGCCAAACAAGAAACAAGTTTAGGGTTCCAGCAGAACAGGGATGCCTTGATATATCTGCCTTTGGCAATGCCGTGTGTACGGAGCTGGGATTCTGATTGCTCCTATTGTGATAGTATGCCACTAATGCTCTGTTGGACGGAATGACTAACTGAAGTGGTGAGAAAACTGCGAGCCTTTCAGGACTGTTTTTAATGCTTTTTTGACAAATCTTTTAGAACAAATCTTTTGTTCCTTTGCAGGGAACAAAGTCCTTTTGTTTTATGGTAGAGGAGTTATTCAGGGTCCTGATCTTCAATTGGCTTAGCTTTCCCTGATGCCATTTGTCACCCGTAACTCATTGGTGCTCCATCTGCCATAGCCCGGAATCCAGGAACAGTACTCGGTGGTAAAAAGTTGGAGAAGTAGATACTTGCAAATCCAGCCTTACGTGATCTTTCCTGGCTTTGATAGGTTCAGCTTTCATCCTGAAAAGTTGTTTAAACACTTTTAATTTGTTTCAAGTGATGAAATGAATTTATCTCAGAAGAAAATTTAAAAACTTTAAAATTTATTTTATTTGGAAGAAAATATTTTTTAAATGATTATTAGCATTGTATCTACAATTATTTATCTTAAAAAGGTAAATGGCCATCTCCATTGAAACATACTGCATTAATTTTTACTAAGGACATCAAAATGCTAAATATGGTTAGGGGAATTTCTTGACAGTTACATATTATTTTGCCTAGATATGTGAACATTAAAAGCCTATTAAAGGGGACAAAAATATGTACTTTAATCAGAATATCTAATTAAAATAGACAGAATAGAAAGAAATAACATTCTCTTGTTTTGTAGATTTATAATGATCTCATTTTCACTATACTAACATTGTTAATAATTTCCAAAGTAGTATAGAAAAGCAGTCTTCAGGAATTTTATCAAGTTAAAATTGTGAATGATAAAAAGCATATAACAAATTTCTACTATACCTCACAAAATGATTGAACTGTTTTCAGACAGTTCAGTATATGCTAATTGAGTGTGACTGAAAGTATCAGTCTTCTAAATTTTTGCATTTTCAGAATTTTGACATAATACATTTTAATACTTTTAGACATTGGCAATGATTTTTAAGAAGCAAAAATGAATCATAAGTGCTTTCCAAATTAAGTGAAGTAATTGTAAAATACTCAGCTCAGAGCCTAGCACATAGCAATTTTTGTGACAATCATTGTTTATGATTGTGATTGTTACTTCTGACTCCTCTCTTCTTGCTGCACTATTTTTGTTCCATTTGTTTGTAGACAAGTGGCAATTTCCACAAACTCAAAGTGTGATTACTTTTATTGTATTTTTCCTCTAGTTCTTGGTGTTTTAGAAATTTCTGGAATTATTTCCATATCTGTCAGCCTAACTCCTCATCTGAGAGCACACAATTTTTGTAATGCACATACAGAGGTGTTGAAGAACTTGAACTTGTCTGATGCCAGTAGTTTATTGCTCATTTTGTCAAGTATCTAACGGCTTTGAGGGCCAAGTGATGAGCTGGATATGGTCCTGACCTGGAGCAGATCACACAGAGTGGGATGGGAAGACTGGCTCCCTGCGTTGTTAGTGTGCCTGTTTGCTGCTGGAGTTTGGATCTCAGGATTCCTTTGTTTCTGAAGCTAGTCCTAAGATATCACAAAAACATTATTATGTTTTTTGAGAAGATTATAACTACAAAATAACATGTATTTTTAAATGTTTGGCACTAATTCAAGGGCTTTCCCTTTATTTTTATTTATTTTAGACTTACTAGAATACTTTCAGTGATCTAAACATACATAAAGCAAAAAGTAAAAGTCTCTTTCCTACACTTCCTTCACTGCATTGCTCGGGAGAAACTATTTTTGATATTTTGGAGTGAAAGTTTCTGGACTGTTTATACATGTTGGCTCGATGTACATGTTGAAAAGATAAGTTGCTTGGTGTGCTCACTGCTGTGGTGGTTGTTTTTTACAAAATATAAGATTATATCGTCCTGCAACTTACTCATTTTACCAGTTAATTTGTCATGGCTGTCTTTACATGTCCTTAGTCTTTTTCATGGCTGCATAATACTCTACTATGTTGATGCATATTGGTCTATTTAGTCATTCCTCTGCTGAGGAGTGCTCAGAAGGGCTCCAAATTTTATCTGCTTACAAATCATGTTGAATCAACCTCAAATGTTGGAAGCTTTTGTCCTTGGTCATCTGTGCTTGATTTCACCATCCACTCTGTGGCCATCTGCATAGGCTATAGGATACATAGGCCACCTGCCCTGGTTGCTTGTTTGCTTTCAGGGATTATTCTAAAGGTTGTCATTTGATTTTGGATAGGCCTGAGCTCAGACAAAAAGGAACAATTTGGTTGTGTAGGGTTTTAGGGTACCAGCATTTTTATAGAAGTTTCTTATTTCTACCTGCTCAAAATTTAAGATGCACCAGATAGCTTGGATGGATTTTGGCTGTCATCCTTAGATACTTTTATGTTGGCCAAGTTCTGAGTTTCAGAGCTATAAGAGTGGTCTGATTCGGAGGTTGCAGTGAGCCGACATGGTGCCACTGCACTCCAGCCTGAGCAACAGAGTGAGACTCCATCTCAAAAAAAAACAAAAAAAGAATGATCTGATTGTCAAATCTTTTTTTTTTCATTGTTTATTCTTAAAGTCAGGACATCTTTTAGAAAACACTTTGAAAATACATATGTTGTTTTGTGATTGTGGAATATTTTTGTCTTTTTATATTTTTGTACAGGTACATTGAAATTTAATTTGTGACTCTTACAAATGGCATAATTAATCACAGTCATAGAAAGCCAAATACAAATATCCTAAGGTTAGCGTTTCACTGGGGTTTGAGTGGTATTCATTAAGGTGTTCATAAAATTTTATGTTCTAAAGTCACTATTTACCTAGTAGATATGGTAACTTATTTTTGTCATGGCTACTGGCTATATCTGAGAGTTTAACATATGCTAGCTGAAACTGCTGCATACTTTTTAAATTCTGAACTATAATTGCCTAGAATGAATGAAATCTTTTATTTCAATAGATATTTTTGCTTGAAAGATTTCATTTTATATTTATGAAATAGTAACAGATTTTATTAAAGGTGATGTTAAATTGTTAGAAATCTAAAGACAAAACTGCCATTTCTCTTTGGTACTATGATAATTTTTCAACATATTTTAAGCAATAACCTGCTGTTGATTTTAATAGTTTTACCTGCCAACACAGCTGGCATCCTGCTATGATATCATTGCTATACTTTTTTATTTAATATTTTACAGAGTGTATCATGCACAGTGTGGACAACCACATTGAACAACTATTGAGAATACGTACTCATTGTTTGTGACATTTTACCCTTAAAATAGAGTGTGGTCATCAACCAGATTTTAGAGCACATTAACGAAGGAGGTTTACTTTTGCAGGGATTTCTTACTGCCAAATTTTTCCTTTGCTATAGCTTTCACATACTGTTTTTGTGTTTTCCTTTTCCATAAAACAGTATTTCTTAAGGCCATTGTTATTTATGTGCAAACAAATGAATAAAAAAAACTTTCGCTCTTTAACATGAAGAAAAATATTAACATTGAAATATGAAATACAGCAATTCAGTTTATAACACAAACGTATCTTACAATAATGGGTATGCATTTTTAATTGCATATATGGAATTACAAATCTCATTTTTCTTTTCTACTGGGATTACAAACCATATTGAAAAAAATTTTACAGTTCAAAAATCAGATGACTGACCTGTCGAAAGCGAGTTGTAACTTATTGGCATACAATTGAATTACTGATTTTTACACTATTTATTGAATGTATATAATTTACTTTTATTACTGATTTAAAACTACCATCATATATATAAAATAGATATTCTTTTTAACATCAGGTTTTTCTTTTCTCTTTCAGTCTGTGATCAAAACAGGGCGACTGCTAATCAGTCACGAGGCTCCCTTGACAGGCGGCTTTGCATCGGAAATCAGCTCTACAGTTCAGGTAGAGTAATTTTTGGAACTGATTTCAATGCTTGTGCAATTCCACATGCCAATTCCAGAAGAAAATAAATTACTTATCACAATATGTGAAAGCATACACTTTATGGAAATGTAGTGCATGCTTTCATATACTGTGATAAGTAAATTTTTTTTCATTTTTTATTCTGACCACACTTTCTGTTTGTTAGTTAATGATCTAATTAATTTTCTAGAACAGATATCTTAAAATATTGAAAGCTGAAAAATTTTTTATGGGAAGAAAGTTTGGAATGAGTCTACTAAATTAACTTTGCTTGTATTTGCTACGTTAACAGAAAGAAAAATCTTTTTAATTTGAATCTGTTCCCATTCCCTGTTTATATGACTTGAGGTTATGGAATTGGTTGATTGTGGAATTGATCTTAGATTTTCACAGCATTCACGTTCTAAAAATGAATCTCTCAAAAGTCAATAATTTAAATTTAATAAGTAATTTTGAAAATTATTTATTTTAGTTATTCAAATTATGCTATGGTATTGGAAATGCTTTAGAATTGTTTAAAAACCTATGTTTTTTTAAAAAAAATGCTCATTAAGATGCCACATATCAGGAAAAAATTTTATACACCTCTTTCTGGCAAGTTTTACCTAAAACCTGTATTCAAATTTATATCATAGACATATATAAGATAATTTAAGGTAGTTTCATTCTTCCTAATTTTTAAATTGAAAATTAAGTAGCCATATTTTAAATGGAAGGTGCATGTCTTTTAAATTCAGAATATCTTCGCAGTTTGCAAACACTTTACTTCTCTTTACTGGTGTGAAGATGCTTTAATTGTTAAAATATATGAATAGGGAATTCCTTTAAGAGTATATGGCTTACTACATTGTTATAGAATTATGATATATGGATAATGGTAAGTTTTTATTTTTAGATGTTTAATTAGTAAACAATGATTTTTACCAATGAAATATCTTAAGTGCTAATTGCAAAATTAAAATATTTGTAAATTAGATGAACCCAATTTAAACATAAATGTTTTAAAAACTAGATCAAAGTAATCCATAATTATAGTCAAAAACGAAATTATTTTTACAATTTATATGTAGTCACTGATAGTAAGAAAAGCAAATATTTGAGTTTTGTAGATTTATTGTTTTCCTAGTTACTATATCAATTAAAATTTAAAATGTACTGATTATTATTATATAACATGAGTACCTAGTATTTATTGTGTATTTTATACATTGAGTAGCATAATACAAAGATTAGGGCAATCATTTCAAGCCAGAGGCAAAACTGGAAAAAGAAACTGGATTTTCTGACTTATAGTTAATATATAGTCTACTAAACCATTTGAAAGGATAGTGACTGTTGCTAATTGAAACTTTGACAGCCTTGTTGTGTTTTGTTCACTGCTTATTGATATCTCAAAAGTTTCAATTGCATATAATTAAAAAAGGAAAACAAGTAGAACATAGTTGGAATTAGATACTATAACTCCTCTTGTGAAGTTTGCTTTCTGTAAGTGTGCTTTTAAAGTTTGATCTCTGTAAGTTATTGGTAGACTGCAATTTAATACAACATTTTTTTAGATTGGAATAGAATTAGAAAGATAATCTAATCCAGTGTCTCTTGGTCTTAAATAATATGTGGTCTTATGTTAATGGAAAAATGTCTCTCAGGCCCCAAGAATACATTAGTGAATCCTAGTTTGAGAAGTAGTATATTAAGAATTAAACATAGTCACTATAACTAACATAAAATATCATAAACATAATATCAAAATAAGATCCTGAAATTATGTGATAATTGTCAGTTGCAAAAATTGTCAATGAGAGTATCAGAATATAATCGTATTTATATAATAATATGAAGACACCAAAACAAAGCATCTTGTAGCACTCTCAGACTCCCAGGAATGTGTTCATAGATCCTCAGGTGTCCCTAGTCTATATTTTGAGAAATATTGATCTAAACCAACTGCATTCTTTTTACAGATGAGTGTCATCCAGAGTGTTTGTGACTTACCCATTTTATAAAGACAGTGGAATATCTGGGATTAGACAGGAGTCTTGAATAAATGTAAAGTGTGTGCACATGCACTCTTAATTCAAAATCCCCTGCCTTCCACGAGGAAGATAATAGAAGTTTTGGACCCGTTATACAATGTTCTGTTGTTCATGGCAAAATTATTCACCAGCTAACCACAGAATGACTTGAGACAATAGTGTAATATTTGATGGAGGAATTATATTTAATATTTTGGATAATTTGAGTTTGGATTTATTAATATGAGAAATTTGAAAGGTACACAGTGTTTTTGCTTAATTCAGATTTTATTTGCACAAATAGAAAGTATAGAAAATGAATTTTAGTAAAATTTAGTGAGCATGATATCCATAAATGTTTGCCTGTTATGGCTTTTATCTACTGATAAAGAAGATTAGAAAAAAAACTAGACACTTGAAAAATTTTTTTTCATTGATAATTTTCCCATATAATTTTGAGTAATCTGAGTAATAAAATATACCTTTCAGTAACTCTTTCATGCAGATATTCAACTATGCAATATCCTGTATTGAGCTTCCTCTCTATGGAAAGCCTTGTTCCATATTATAAGTGAAACCTGTATCAAATTACCAGTGCCTTGGGTTGTTTAAACTGAGATCACCTAAGTTTGAGGTACAACTGCTTTCACCACTTAGCATGATTCATATTTCTCTATTTCTTTTTTGGGGTATATTTTTTAAGGTTAAAAAAGATAAAACAGGGTTAAGATATTGAAAGCCAACTTTCTGGGACAGCAGAGAAAATGTACACGGACAACTCTTTCATTGTTATCTGGGAAAAGATGTTTTAAATCGTGGATGAGAATGATGTATAAATTTGAGTACTTTTGATTAAAATATGAAGTTATTGTTGGTTCAACAAATGCAAGTTTTATGTCAAAGGAAATGAAAACAATGTTTGCTCCACAGGCGATTTTTGATAGAAGATATCTGGTAGCTTTTTAAAAGCTCATGGTTAATCCTACAAAATTGCTTTTAAAATATTTTAAGAGAATGAGTATTAATAGTAAAGTTATTGTTTTTAAATACATTAAAATCTGAAAACACCTGAAAATATGAACTATGCTGTTTTATTCAAAAGTTTAAGTTACTACCTATATTAAAATAAAAAATATTGAAGAGAATACAGCACTATGGAGAGTATTCTTTTAAGTTTATAATTGGTATTTTTAGATAGAAAAATTATGCTATATAAAATTAAATATCAAATAAAGGAACATTTTTATAAGAAGTGGTATTGGCATTACTATTTAAAGCTTATTTTAGTATACAGATCAAATATGAAAGAAATGAATATAAGATGGAGTCATAATTTATTTACAAAACTCTAGTTTATAGCAGATGGCTCTTTCATCGTGCAAGGAATTCAGTGCCCACATCTTAGGTTTGTTTCATTCCTGCTACTTTTTTTTTTATAAGCCTATTTATTTTACCATTTTACAGAAATTTATTGTTAACAGTCTTAGTTTGAAATAATGGTAAACTCACAGAAGTGATTAGAAGACTATTTTATATTGATTAGACATAATTTTTAAACTTATTTATTTAAAGTTTCTTCATAAAACATATATATAGAGAGAAATAAATGATTACAAAAATAAAAAACAGTGCATCTAATTTACGAAGTGCTTTATATTTCTATTGGATTTAATTTGGAAATTAACTGGAAGGCAGAGCAAGCTGAGGTCTGGTATATTTGGCCCCACTCTGGGGAAGATTTCTTGGTCAGTTATTTAAAGCTTCACTCTCTCTTCTTATCTTACATTCCCATCTGTTCTCACTTTAGGGTATGGGAACTTTTTCATTCTTTTCTTTTACTTGACACATACTATAACTTAAAATGCTTCTTTTAGGGAGTCATGAATTGTGCACCGTAATTTGTGGAAAAGTGCAATGACTATAGAGTTTAGATAATTCATTGTTCTTTTTATTGTGTATTTTAAGCAAAGATTTTATTGTTTCAGAAAATTATATGAATGAATTTTATTTGATGCTTGTATGCTTCAGCTTTATGTAACCCCAGGTTTTTTTAAGAAAGCCTTTAGTGTGTAAAAGTGTTAACCTCATCTATTTTAATATCACCCAAATTAATTTATATATTCTAGAATGTAATGTTCAACATAGCTATTATTTATTTAAATATTAAGACCAAATAGTTTATGGTATTTTGGCTGGTTTAAATAGAGTAAATTTTTTTAAGGATTGTAAATCAGCCTTTATTATTAATTTCCAACACACCTGCATAATGAAAAAACAAATCCTGAGTCTGATAAGAGTTGTGTGATAATTTTTTTTAAAGTTATTGTTTATTTCTCCTGCTTTGGATTCAGTGCTTAAAAAGAGTGCCAGAAATTTTAGGGATGTGGTTGGCTTAAGATTTGAGTTTTTTTTTTTTTTTTTTAAATCACATGGAAGCAATAAGTCTGCAATAAAGAGTCCAATTGGAGAGGATGGTAAGTTTCCATACCATTGTTACATCCTTTCTGTGCGGTCTCTTTTCTTAGCATAAGAACTCAGAAACTGTGGATACCAACATATATTTTTTAAGATTATCAGATTCTAATAGTTCAAAGGATTTTTATAGGGCCTATACAAGTCATTATGTAAAAGAAAACTTTTAATAACTTTCAAGTTAAAGGAATTTTTGCTTTTTTCAGTGTTTCATGTTAGAATAGTTTATGGAGAAGGATTTTTTCTTATAAACTTATTACTACTAAATTTCCAAGCACTTTGTTTAAAGATATCAATCTGAAAAGAGGGGAAAAGATCCTATAGGGTCTTGAATTTTTACCATTCTGGAAAACATGTTTCATTAAAATTGCCGTGCTGGTAAATTGTCATCAGAGAAAACTATCAGATTAGTAATTTGATGAGTAGTTTACTGCAATTTTATAATCTCAGTTAACAAAAAATTTACCAGTGATACAAAACCTTTCCTAATAGCAACAGATAAAACAATCAGGAGAAGTATACTTCTGTACTAAAAGATGGAGCCAGAGCATCAGAAAAACAGTTTAATGTGGAGTGTTTGGATATAGGATGGCATTTTAAAACTGTAGTTTCTTCCTGAAGCCTGTTTAGTATTCTGTAAACAGCTTCTGTGACCACAGATAGGAACCAAAGTCTAAATCACTCTGGGGATATATTGTGGATTGGGCTGCTTCATTACTGTTTGTAGTTAAATCCATGTTATACTCTGTTGGTTCTTCTCCTTGCCCTAACCACACCTGGTCTGCTTCCATGTCATCTTCTCCTTTGCTTGTTTAGTTTCCACCTCCAACCCTTTCCCCATTCTTTTTTTTGAGAGGGAGTCTCGCTCTGTCGCCCAGGCTGGAGTGCAGTGGCGCAATCTCAGCTCACTGCAACCTCCGCCTGCCGGGTTCAAGCAATTCCCTGCCTCAGCCTCCTGAGTAGCTGGGATTACAGGCACCTGCCACCCTGCCCAGCTAATGTTTGTATTTTTAGTAGGCACGAGGTTTCACCATCTTGGCCAGGCTGGTCTTGAACTCCTGACCTTGTGATCCACCGACCTCGGCCTCCCAAAGTGCCTTTCCCCATTCTTTCCTGGGACGTCTCAACCATTTGCATGGTTACTCTTGAAACCTTCAAATTTGAAACTTTCAAGGTTTGACCTGTTGAGCTTTAGACCCAAAATTCCAACATTATGCTTATTTTGGTAGAGATAAAACATTTGTGTAATAAAATGATTATCTGGAAAAATTTGAATGTGAAACAATGAGAAAAGGTAGGCATATGCACATGGTTATTTGCTAGTTTATGGAAATCAGCTTATATAAAAATGAACTCTATTTCTCTTCAACTTTTTCTGGACCTTTTAAACTGTCTCCTTTTTGTTTGTTTGTTTGTTTTTTGTTTTGTTTTGTTTTTTTGAGACAGAGTCTTGCTCTGGCTCCATCACCCAGGCTGGAGTGCAGTGGTGCGATCTCGGCTCACTGCAACCTCTGCCTCCCGGGTTCAAGTGATTCTCCTGCCTCAGCCTCCCAAGTAGCTGTAATTACAGGTACCTGCTGCCACGCCCATCTAATTTTTTGTATTTCTAGTAGAGACAGGGGTTTCACCATGTTGGTCAGGCTGGTCTCGAACTCCTGACCTCAAGTGATCCTCCTGCCTCTTCCTTCCAAAGTGCTGGGATTACAGGCGTGAGCCGCCAGACCCATCCTAAACTGTCTCCTTATCTTTGTCTCCAGCTGTTCACCTCTCGTCTAATTACTATGTATTATTTTCTTAAAACACACATCAAATTTCGTCCATTGTCTGTTTGAAAGCATCCAATGGATCCTCATTGGGTCTAGCAAAAAAATCTTTATGTCGGCATTCAAGATCCTGATCTACTCAAACCAGTCTTCCAGTGTTATTTCTCACATCCCTTTTTGACTCCAGTATGCAGATCACACTGGCCTACTGGCTATTTCCTGAATGATAAGTATTTCTTATAACCATCCTTTATTAAGTATTCTGGGGATAGCCTTAATATGGGCATTTCATCCAAGAATTGGTGTCCTTGTTTTAGAGACACTTAGAGTTTATTAGAAGTCGATGATAAACAGGTAGTTATAGTACATGTTAGAATGGAATATTCAGAGAACTATAGGATTATAAAATACGTGCTCATTTAACCCATATGTGGCAGCTAAGTTAACTCATGAAGGATAAGTATGAACTTGGTAGTGAAGGTAGGTGGGTATTTCAGGCAGAATGAACTATATGAATAAGGAATTAGGCAAAGGATTTGCTATTGAAGGAATTAAAGTGGTTTTGTGTGTTTAAAGACTAGCATGTGAGGCTGTAGCGTAAGGTAAGCGTTGACAAGTAGGTAAGAATTAGATCCTGAAGAATCTTAAATATTAAGGAATTTGTTTTTATGTGGAGGAAATAGATATGACAGAGTAAAGCCAGCTCACATAGATGTAACTTCCAGTTTTCTCATGTAATATATATAAAATATACTTTATGGAGTTCTTGGCAAATAGAAAGTAGTAGGAGCTGAAAATATTACTATAATTATTTAAGGCAAAAGAATATAAGTGAAGAATTTTAAGCAGGAGATTAATATAGATTTAAAAGTTAGAAAAACTCCTAGGTAGTTGTGTAGAGGATACACTGGGGAGGAGTGAGAGAGGAAGTGATGGAGAATTGCTAAAAAGCTAGTCACAGACTGCAAAACAACATTTTGGTCAACAATGGACCACATAGAAGATGTTGGTCCCATGAGATCATAGTGGAGCATAAATAGAAACCTAATAATATGGTGCTTGATGTGGGCATTGCAGATCAAGTATGGGAAATGATTGATATTTAATGCTGCTTCTGGGATATTTGGTTTTCCATGTGAAAAAATATGTATATAAATAAAAATATATATCATCTAGGTTTGTGAAAGTATAGTCTGTGATGTTTGCACAACCACAAAATTGCTTAATGCGTTTCTCAAAATGTATTCCTGTCCTTGTGACTCATTACTGTATGTGATTAAACTAGGTGAGATTTGACGGTCTTCTAAACCAAGGACATGGGAGTAGGTTAGAGAAAGGTGAATTTTTCAGATAGTAGGAGAGAGAATCTGAATGAAAGACTTGCTGACTCACAGGAGTGGGGTGGGGATTGAAGTGGATGAGGGAGAGGCAGACAGAAGTCAAGAATAAAGCATAGCTTGGTTTCTAGGTTGGATGATTTTTGAATAGAGGTGCAGTTTCACTGAGATGGGGAATATCATTGAAGAACAGGTGTATGCGTGTGTGTGTGTGTGTGTGTGTATAAGGTAATGAGTACATTTTAGATTTGTATCTGAAATGGGGATGAAAATGTGTTTCTGGAGCTCAGGAGAGAATCTAAGGTGTAGGAAATGGGTAAGGATTCATTCTCTTATACTGATATACTGGTGGCTGAGTTCATGGGTATAGATAGGGTCACATAGGAAGAGATAATCTTAAGAAGGGAAAGTTTCTGAAGAAGAAGCTGCCTGGGTTGAAGAAGAAGCCACACCAACATTTAAGAGAAAGAAAGGAAGTTATGAAGCAGAGTGAGAGGGAGTGGCTTCAGAAAAGGAAGGGAGTAGGAGAGAGCCATTACATGAGACAAGTGCAGAAGAGTTTGACAATAGCATATATGGCCAAGAATATTAAATGCTTCCAGAATTTAAGACAGCTAAAGACTAATGGTCCTACCTTGCATGTAGCAACTGGAAGACACTGGTGACTGATGAAAACAGAAGGGTGGCCAGGAAGCCAGACAACATTTAGACTGGTGAGTGAGTAAGTAGTGAAGACTTGAACCGATGAATATAGACTACCATTTCAAGAAACTTGACTTTCAAGGAAAGGAGAGGAATGAAGTAGTTAGAGCTAGGTTTGATCTCTTAATGCTATTCACTTGGCATAGAATGCCATTTATTTCCTCAATTTGCAGTCCTCCCTGGCAGCCTGCCTGTCTTCTCCCTCTCCTCCCTGCCCCTCTCCCTGTCCTCATTCTCTCCCTTCCCCTCCAAACCATCTAGCAGTCGGTTTTTAAACATCTATCAAACCTGACCTCTTTTTTCCATTTTCCTAATAAACTCTAAATGAACTTAGAAAAAAAAAAGAAAACCACTAAATCTAAAAGGAAAAGGTAGAAAATAGCTTATATTGGGATGGGCAAGACATTTTTAATCAGAAAATTAAAAGGCAGCAGACTCAATCATACTGTTACAGAGAAATATATTTGCATAAAATGGAAATTTTTGTATGGCAAAAACAAGCATGATTTTAAAAACAATGACAAATGAGAATATGTTGTAACACATGACAGAGAACTAACGTGTACTCTGTTAAGCATTCTTAAATGTCAATACGGAAATTAATAGGGCCTTTATTTAAAGGGTCAGAAACAGATTAGTTTTATAACTATAGCCAGCAAACATGAAAAAATATGCCACTTACTATTGATAAAATGCTAATTTTAAAAATGTAATATCGTTTGTTACTTATAAGAGTGGGACTGCTTAAAAATGAATTTTATTTTCTGCTGAGATGATGTAGAATGTGAATGTATTAATAGAAATTGATTCACGTTTCCAGGATATCATATTGAGAATGTGTATCGAGACTCTTCAAAGTGTAGATTTCCTTTGATTCAAGAATTCTAGGAATCCTCACTTAGGAGTTAAACACAAAAATATGTATTCATCTCAGTGTTGTTCGTTCGATAGGAAAATATCGGACACATTATTAATGACAACAACAGGAATATATTTTAATAAGTTATGATTTGTCCACTTGATGAATGTTATGGATTTATCAAAATCATTAAAAGAGTAGTTGATAACATTGTAATATTTGCATGAATAAAATAGTAAATGAAAACTCACCTGTATGCAAACCTACAGGTACTTTACTTGCTCAATGTTGTGAAAAGAAAAAAGAAAAAAACTTTATATATACATACATCTAGGCATAGGAAAAGAAACTTGCACTATAAGTCTTTTATTGATTTGTATTTTCTAATTGTTTCTTCATTTTTATGTACATACATGTCACTTTTTTAATAATTAAAAGCTTTATTATATGTAGATGTTTCTCTCACATGACATGGTTATTCTTTTAAATCTTCCTAGTTGTTTTAAATTAAAAAACCCATTTTGCTTATAAAGTTGTTTTGCAAAGATTTCATATTACTTATTTTGACATAATTCCTTTATCATGTACATTTGAGTTTTGGGATTTACCATTCATAGTGATGGTGGTTACTTACTCAGAATTGTCATGTGGGATGATTTTAAAACCAATGCCACCTCACCGCATAAGATTTGGTTTTTCTGCAGGTTAGTGTCTGTCTTCTACATGTATGGCATATTTTGATTCATTGCTCTTATTACAGAAGTGAAAGCAGCATTGTATTGGGGTATTCAGATTATTTAATTTTTCTGTATTAATCAGTAATGATACTGAAACTGACATTACTAGCATGTAATTGATACTAACATTGGGTTCACTGCTTATTTTCCATCCCTCTTTTTGGTATTGAATTTATCATGAATTGTCATCATTCTTTTTGAAGTCTTTCTGGATTTAAGCCAGTCAGAAAAAAGATCATATTTCATCTCCCTGAGTAATAAGTGCCCCAGTTTCTCTCATGCAATTCTTGGTATTTCTGTAGTCATAAGTAGTCCCCCTTGAATTCAAAGGTGCATTCATACCAAGCTCCTCTACTCTTTCTCTGTTGTCACCCCAGTAAGCTAAGGAAGACATTTATATTTACATATTTACCAATGAAGTTTCGTAGACTGAATGGACTATTAATTAGTAAAATAGATTCTCTGAAGGAAAGCATTACTTTATTTAAAAAGTTAATGGTGATTTCTATGACTTGGTCCCTTTTTGTTGTTTTTTAATACCTTAAAAGTTGTAGTTTCCATTCATTGCATTGATCCTTGAAAATATGGCTGTATCTTCAAAGAAAATTATAGTGGATTTAAAATATTTTCTTATTTGGTATGAAATGATTGTATTTCAGTATGTATATTTTAAAATGTACAGCCTTATCTTCAAAATTTTCTAACTACAATAAGGTTATTTAAAATTTTATACATGAAAGACAGCAGATAATGTATCCATAACCTGGCTGATTCTCTTGGCCACCTTGTACAACATTTTAGGCAAAAATGAAGACACATATTCAATTTGCCAAGAAATGTTAGCCATGTTTTGTCAGCATTGTATTCACAATCAGTAACAGGATGGGTCTGCCTCCTGGAGACAGAACTAAATTTCTCATTTTGTCATGCCCTTTGTAGGCAATAATGTTGGTGATGTTGATAGCTCATTTTGGTTTGGTAATTTAGGGTAATTAAACTTACAGATCAACTCAGTTTGTGTTTTGTTATGAGGGCCATTATCTATTTTCATGAATGAGTTCACAGCTCACTAAAATATAGTCGAGTTTAAAATAGACATTAAAATAGAGATTCACTACTGCTGATGCATTTTCTCCTCAATTTGAAGTTAAACACTTGTGAAAATTAAGACAAGTTAAAATCAGCACTTACTGCAAAAACAAGAATTTGAAAATGAAGGTTAAAAGCAGAAATCATCTAGTTGATAATTGTTTTGATTTTTCAAATCTATCAATATTAATGTGAGTCTTTAAGATATCTGAAAATTTCCATTTGATTGGAAAATGTTGGATGTTTGATCATTTTCTTTCAAGTTAACTTAAAAAGTGACTTTATTTTTGCTTCTTGATTCATTTGAAGAGACATAACTTTTTTGTTTTAATCCTTTAGAGGATCAGATAATGACATTTGCTGTTTAAGACAGTTTATATTTCAGATGGCACAAAGAGTCTATTTGTCTTTATCAAAATTATTAGCTGAAAAGGATATAATTCATGACTGTTCTTTAAAGGGGATCTAAATATTTATGTTTTTAAAAATGCCTTAAGGTGACTAACATTTCTAAACCTATATTTGTATCATCCACATTTGTAATTGTGCCATTGCTTAAAACAAGTCCTCATTGTGTCCTGTCTTTTGACAGGATTAGTTTGCTCTCTTAATTGTAACACATTTTCATTTCTTTTCTGGATTGATTTAAATTCTGGGCTTCAAAAAGCAGTAGCATAAAATAGTCACCATGCCTGTATTATTAGCTGCTTTCAGAACCACTCAGACAATGTTTTCTCTGAGATGGCTTGTATTTTTAAGTGTTGCATTTTTCTTCTTGTTCTGCTAGTCTTTTTTCTAATAGCAATGGTTAACTCTAATTTATATTAGCAGTTAAAAAAACTGAAACTTAATCTTGCCTTTTCAGCTCATTACTGAAGAATCTCCTGCCTCTGCACTCTGACACAAAATTTATACTTTATTTTTTAACCATGAACTTTTCTGGGCATAGAGTTCTACCTAAGTGTACATAGCTGAACAACTTGAGTGTATTTTGTGAGTAATATTCCAACATCGCACAATTCTAAATTTTATTAAAACCAGCTTTTCTGTGGCAGTCCCAATACACAGTTCAAGTACATTAAAATAATGAAGTACTGCATAAATGTTGATAAAATAGTCTTCTAATATGATGGAATGCCTAATTATGTATTCTGTTATCAATTTACCTAATAAATTAAATGCAGTTTCAATTTTAATAAAACCCGTGTACTTTATAAAAATAGGACCTTTACTAACCTATATCTATACTGAGTCATGGGAGCAACAGTAGCATGGGTAAATCCTTCTGGTAGTAAGCATGGATACTCTTATATCTGTTCAGAGAACCACAGTATCTTTTCTCCTTTCTGCCTGCCCTCTTGCTGCTCTTTCTGCCTTTAAAAAACAAACAAACAAACAACTTTCCGGGCAGTGTCCTCCATGCCAGTCTTGTGAACATGTGGACCTTTGCAGCAAAACTATAATATTTTTTGTCACCATGGGTAAACTAAGCATTATTTTGGGTAGTTTGTGCTTATGAAGGCTTTCTCCATCCTAGTAGACTAAAATAGAAGTATCCTGTAATATTAGATGAAAGTAAGGGAATGAGGTTTGATGTAGGCAAATCTTTTTTTCCTCCCTTGGGGTTGATCAAAGATGATACTCATTAAAAATACTATGAAATTGCTTAATACCATTCGAAAAGCATTTGTAAAGTGGATCTTCTGTCAGTATAAGGGATAAGTGTGTCTCTGTGTGTGTGTGTATATGTGTGTGTGTAGTAAGAGATGTTGATTCTCCCTACATTAACTTTTCAACCTGAAGAATATATGAATTAACTTTTTAAATTGATACTTTTTTAAACAGTGTAATTAAATGAGGTGTGATATATGAATTTTCTGCTTATGCTGTTAATTTTCTCCAAGGATATCATAGCTAACTGTAGCTTTACTGTTGCTACTAGAAGATATTTGGGCGATCAGCACAATACATAATTAAGAAAGAGATTCTTCAAATATAAACTAAGGAAAAAAACAAGTGGGAATTAGGAAAAACATTTAAAAACAATTTCTCCTTAGAGTAAACCCAATTTTAATTTTTCTTTTTAGAACAAATGTCTTATTTTGAAATGCTGGTTAGGCTATTTGAAGAGATTTGCTAAGTACTTAAACATTCATTTGTATGACTTTTCTTACTACTTGCCTTGTTACTCAAAATTGGGACAAAATATTTTGTTTATTGATGAAGACACATTTAGTTAATAATATAAAGCAGCATTATCTTTAACATCAACTTCACATTATATGTTAAAAGATTTCTTTAGAACCAGAGGCTTGGCTCACTGACTACCAGCTATTGAATTATTTTCCTTAGGGACAAACTCTTAGCCTTAAGTTAATGTCTTCTGAGAGGGTAGAATTCCTTATTATACACATATGGATAATTGCTTTGAGTTAACGGGGAGGATAGATGGGCTTCTCAGGTACTGGTTCATTGAAAGTTTTTTGCCTTTCAACTATGAAACCAGCAGTACAGCATTTTTAAATTGATAAGTGTTTCATAGACAGAGTCTGAAGCCCTGTGTTATTAATGAAGGTTTTCATTAGTAAAAGTTTATTTTTTTGTGTCACAGAAGTAGAGTATGATTACTTATATTTATCTTTTTATGACATATACAAGGCAAGCATTTAAGGGTGATTTTATTACATTTGCATTGTTGTTCATCAGTCTTTGGTCATCTGTCTATCAAGTAGAGCTGGCATCTATATTACAATAATTTTCTTTCAAAAAGAAATGTTCAGAAATATACAGTAAGTGACCATAGTTTCAGCTTCTATGTCAGGCCAAAGGGAGGTGAACTGGTGGGGAGTGAGTAGATTAGACCCACTTGTTGTTGATCCAACTGTTAAAAACATTGTTCTCTTTCCCACCAAGTTCCTAAATTCTTATTTACTTGCCTAAACAGGAAGCTTGCATAGAGTCAGAGAGATCCCAAGCTGGTAATGGAATAATGATGACCATATACTTTGTCTTCTGTAGTGGGACAACAGACATAAAGTGAGGTTGTTTGATGTAAACCAGGATGTTCACTTACATAGTTTTCATGCTACTTAATGGGAATATGTCAGCCACCATAGTATGCAATTAAAATTTAAGAGATTAGTGATAATGGAGTTAGGACTATATAGCAATTTTTCTAAATCAAATTTAGGCCTCTTAATGTCTGAGAACTTTAAAAAAGATCAAGAATATAAATGCTATTCCTTGGTTCAGTGATTTTTTTTTTTAATGTAATGTTGATACAGGATTTTTGCTCTTTTAGCTCAGCTAGGTCCAGGTTCTTGTCTCCCAACCAGGAAAAATTAGGCGTGCAGACACCAGAGAGTGAGTGGAACAGAATTTATTAAGCAAAAGGAAAGTTCTCAGCAAAGAGATGGGTCCTGTAAAGCAGGTTCCTGGTTGTTCCCTTCCAGTTTTGAATACAAGGGCTTTTATATAAAAGCTTGATGGAGCTGGATTCCCTGTTTGTATAAGGTGGGAATTCCTGGTGGCTCCACCCCATTCCCCCTGGACGCATGTGGGCACTTAGTCTGCTGAGGGCATGTTTAGACAAGCCCCCTGTGCACGTTCCCTTATCTGCACAAAACATGGGTCAGAGGTTTGCCTGGGACCCTTCCCTTACTTTCTGCCTAAAGCAAGCTGGTTAACTCCTTTCAATGTCAAAGAAAAATTTGAGGTTTCTTTGCCAGTAGCTACTGCTTCTTGTTCACTTCTATAATTTATTCTTAGTTAGTGACAAACTACTCGAGAATCATTGAATGACTTACAATTTGTTGTGTTGGAAATTAAATAATCCTCAGTAGTTCGATAATATCAATGATTCCTAAATAACTTAAAAGCTTTTTTTTTCCAAATTGGGTGTTAGTAGTTAGTATTACGCACAAAATGAAGATAAAATATAATTATATGATTTAGTATGCCTTTTACTTTTTAGCTGCTCGAGTAAGTGAAAAAATGATCCTTTCTATTAATAACAACTTTTAAAGTTTTACAAGCATGGTGTTTTCAAATAATTGCTAAAGGGGCAAATTACACTGTTATTTAATAGTGAATTAAGGATCTAGGGAGAATTGTTAAGCATTTATTATTTCAGTAAACTTCACTTTCATTAAATCATATTGTTAAAGGCCTGAAATTCTATAAAAATTTGTTTAATGGCATACTGACATGTTGTTATTCATCAACCTTAGGGTCTACGTTTTTGAAAAATATGATGAGAAAAGCCCATTTGGCAAGATCAGGATCTCATAGAAAACAGGGATTTAGAAGCAAATAAATATGACATTAAATATACTTGAAATGTATATTTAAAATAAGGACATGACTTCCTAAAGAAACTGGAATAATGAGTATTTGCCAACTGTGTAGATACCCCTCCCCTGAGTGATCTTCTGTTCATAAAATAATGCTGCAATATGTGATTGCCTAAGCCGACTGTACTTTGTCTTAAGGTTTTTAAACTAACTTGTATTATAATTAAAGTTAGTCATATATGTATATATAAATATATACCATATATATGTGTATTTTTTTTTCTTAAATACTGTGAAAATGCCCAGCCTTTTCAGATATTACTCTGAGAGTTAAGGGTTGATTTTCATTGCCTGGTCTTTGTTCATGTGTGGAATGGCTGAGTAAGTAACACATAGTATTGGGAAGCTTAGGGGCAGGGATGGAGGGGTAGGGAGCATTAATGGTTAAGTGAGCATTTTGTTTAAGGGGACAGAGCATATCTGTGTGTATATAAATAGATGTCACATTTTAAAATTCTAGTAAACACAGAGCTGTTTTCTCAAAACATAGATTTGCTAAGCCCTCATTGAGGGATTATTGAATGGCCAATTCATGTATATCTAGAACTTACTCATATATTTCCTTGCTTTTTGTGAGGAAAGAGTAGTTCTTCTAATTGTTCTTTTTATGGTTCTGGTAAGGCATTTTAGACAGTATGGTTGCATATAAAATTTCATTGCAGAATCTAAAATGCGAGCTAAAAATAGCCATTTTAAAATTGATTCCATGAGTACTTTACGGGTTATACATAGTACATTGTTGAACTTCTCCCTTCTTTGAAATAGTGAGACTGCCAAGTATATCAGGAGATGAAGTGATTATCAAACTGCACTGATTAATAGCAAAAAGATCAAAGGAGACATAAGGTTAAGATGGCTGACTAGATGCAGCCAGGAAGTGCAGCTCCCACTGAGAGAGACCAAATTTTAGAGTAAACCACTGTAATCTGGGCAGATCTTCGGAGAGAAAATGCTCAGATTGGGTTGAGAGGCAATGTTAAAATGAAGGGTGAAGAGTAAGGAAGCTGGCAGCCCTGTGCTGGGTACCTGAATACCAGGGCTAGTTCCCAGCCCCGAATGGCTCTTGGGAAAGGGGTGAATGAGGAACTGAGGGAAAGCTCACTCTCACCGCCAGCCTCTGGGATCCTAGATCCTAGTTACAGAACTCCGTGTCTCCCCTGGATGTGTGAGCTGACAGGGGCATCTCCCTGGGGAGCAGGCAGAGACAGGCCGTTGGACAGCATGGAGCCCAAAAGTTTTCGTGCACTGGGGAGCTCCAGCAGAGAGCAGCCATAGAGCTGCTCTGTGGGGAGGGCTCTTCATCCCTTTCTGGGAGGTGTGGACCCCAGCTGACCTTCAAGCTAGGAGAGAGTGAAACCAGCTTCCCTGTGGGACTAGAGCACATCTATTCTGCAAGGCTTCCTGCCTGCTGGCCCCACCCAGGGTCACGCTTAGCCACCCTGTAGGAGTGAGTGCACAGCACAGCCCCTGCAGCACAGCCTGAGTATGTTGCTCTACCTGAGTACTTTCCTAGTGACTTGGAAGCACATTGGATCCTCCCAGTACAGCTGGAATGCCAACCTAATCCACAGGCTGTCCCAGTGCCCCCAGGGCTGCTTCATGCAGCATTTTGGGAGTAAGTAGCCAAGATCTGTGGCCAGCACTCAAGTCAGGTAGAAGGGGGCAAGATCTTCAGGTTACTGGGCTGGGGTGGGAGGGGAGCAGGGTATGCCTACCTCCACAGAGTTGATCCAGAGATAGTGAGGCATATCTTCCTCCTGCAGCCCCTGATCAAGAAGGCCCCAGAGCCTGAAACACCTAACAAAAGAAACATGGGCACAGCATCAGTGACTGGAAGGAGGCTCCCCCAAGGCCCAGGAGCAGACCTGGTGAGGGGGCCATGTCTCTCCCCCGCCCACTGCGGAGCATGCCTGGGAACATGAGGAAGAACGAAAGAGCCTCATGGTGGGGTATTAACTTACCTAATTAATGGCCATTACTCCTAAGCACCATCTAATGGATTGCATTGAGACTACAGCACCAAAAATTTATCCCACTACTATATGCTCCTTTGAAATCCAGCACAAGAATTTGTTACCAGAAAGTGGTCCCAATTCAGACCCCAAGAGAGGGTTTTTGGATCTCTTGCAAGAAAGAATTCAAGATGAGTCCATAAATTGAAAAAGCAAGTTTATTAAGAAAGTAAAGGAATAAAAGAATAAAAGAATGGCTACTCCATAGACAGAGCAGCCCCAAGGGCTGGTGGTTGCCCATTTTTATAGTTATTTCTTGATTATATGCTAAACAAGGGATGGATTATTTATGCCTCCCCTTTTTAGAACACATAGGGGTAACTTGTTGACATTGTATGGCACTTGTAAACTGTCATGGTGCTGGTGAGAGTGTAGCAGTCAGGATGACCTGAGGTCACTCTCATTGCCATCTTGGTTTTGGTGGGTCTTAGCCAGCTTCTTTACTGCAGCCTGTATAATCAGCAAGGTCTTTATAATCTGTACCTTGTGCCAACCTCCTATCTCATCCTGTGAATTGGAATGCCTAACTGTCTGGGAATGCAGTCCAGTAGGTCTCAGCCTTATTTTACCCAGCCTTTATTCAAGATGGAGTTGCTCTGGTTCAAACGCCTTTGACATTTCTCCCCTCCCTTAAAAGAACCCTTAATCTTAAGGGTTACAGAGGGATGAAGATCAATCTTCTGTAACTTCTTGATGCTGAAAAGAAGCGATGACATTCCTCTCTAATTGTCAGGGTGTCTTGCATTCAGGGTAGAGAGGAGCTCAGTCAGAAATCATCGGTATGTCAAGGGCCATTTATAATTCTTGAGTTCTGACAGAATGTGATATCTGGAATATTAATAAGTATTTAAGAAAACATTCAGTAAGACTATTCTGCATTCCTGCACAAAGAGTACAACAGCAATATATTTCACAATGGTAAAGCAAGATCAGCAAAATTATCCCAAGTAAACTAAATAAGAAGGTTTTCCATGAACTCGGCAACTGCTGGAACCAAGCTGATATGGGGTTACTAGCTGATTCCACTATGTGTCCAGAATTAGAATATTGATCTAATTTCTACATTATCCATCCCTTTTGTTTTTTTTTCTGAGTAGCAGCCAGAGATCACTGGTTGGTTCACAGGAGTAAGCAGGGTTAGTCTAAATTGTAGGAAAAACCTCAAAAATAACTGATGAGACTAGAATTTAATAACAAGTGTACCACAGTTCTTGAAACATAATTTTTTTCGTCTCTTCAGTTTTATATTTTTACTAAAGACATAGTGGTAAGACCAAGTTGTTTTATTATACTTGGCCTATTTGTATAAAGTGCAGCAAGAATAATTATTTTTCACATAAGCTGTTTTTAAATTGGCTTTGATGGAACTCTGTTCCATGAAAGGAATCTTAGATAAGACTTCTTAAAAGCTGAGCCCTGCCATGGGTTTGTACCCTCAAGGACCTAGGAGTTGGGTAAATTCCCCTCCTTTTATGGTCTGAAGATAACTTGGGGCTCCTGGGCCTGTCATACAGTGACATTTTGTTACTTACCACAGGTCAGGAACCCTGTACAGGAACTGTGTAGACAAGGTATGAGGCCAGTTTTCCCAAGGGTCTTTTATTGGCTCTATAAGTTAAGTTTGATTCCTCAAAGGAAAGCACACCATTTCAGTTAAAGCCTTGGTGTATTAGTCTATTCTCACACTGCTGATAAAGACATACCTGATATTGGGTAATTTATAAAGGAAAGGGGTTTAGTTGACTCACAGTTCCACATGGCTGGAGAGACCTCACAATCATGATGGAAGAGCAGGGGAGGTCTTACAAGGCAGCAAGCAAAAGAGAACATGTGTAGGGAAACTCCTCTTTATAAAACCATCAGATCGCGTGAGACTTATTCACTGTCACGTGAACAGCCTGGGGAAGACCCATCCCCATGATTCAGTTACCTCCCACCGGGTCCCTCCCATGACGTGGGAATTATGGAACCTACAATTCAAGATGAGATTTGAGTGGGGGCACAGCCAAACCATATCATTCCACCCCAGCCCCTCCCAAATACCATGTCCTCACATTTCAAAACCAATCATCCCTTCCCAGCAGCCCCCCAAAGTCTTAACTCATTTCAGCATTAACTAAAAAGTCCACAGTCCAAAGTCTCATCCAAGACAAGGCAAGTCCCTTACACCTGTGAGCCTGTAAAATCAAAAGCAAGTTAGTTACTTCCTAGATACAGTGGAGCTACAGGCATTGAGTAAATACACTCGTTCCAAACAGAAGTTGGCCAAAACAGAAGGGCTACAATGCCCATACAAGACTGAAATCTAGCGAGGCAGTCAAATCTTAAAGCTCCAAAATGATCTTCTTTGACTCCATGTCTCACATCCAGGTCAGGCTAATGCAAGAGGTGGGTTCCCATGGTCTTGGGCAGAGCTGCCCCTGTGGCTTTGCAGGGTACAGCCCCTCTCCTGGCCACTTTCTCAGGCTGGCATTGAGTGTCTGTGGCTTTTCCAGGTGCACAGTGGAAGCTGTCAGTATATCTACCATTTTGGGGTCGAGAGGACGGTGGCCCTCTTCGCACGCTCCACTAGGGAGCACCCCAGTGGGGACTCTGTATGGGGACTCCCATGTTACATTTTCCTTCCACACTGACCTAGCACAGTTTCTCCCGGAGGGTTCTACCTCTGCAGCACACCTCTGCCTGGACATCCAGATATTTCCACACATCCTCTGAAATCTAAGCCTAGGTTCCCAAACTGCAATTCTTGATGTTTCTGCACCTGCAGGCTTAACACTACGTGGAAGCTGCCATGGCTTGAGGCTTGCACCCTCTAAAGCCACAGCCCAAGCTGTGCCTTGGCCCCTTTTAGCCACAGCTGGAGTGGCTAGAATGCAGGGCATCAAGTCCCTAGACTGCACACAGCAGGGGCTGGCCTGGCCCAGGAAACCATTTTTTGCTCCTAGGCCTCTAGGCCTGTGATGGAAGGGGCCACCGTGAAGGTCTCTGACATGCCCTGGAGACATTTTCCCATTGTCTTGGTGGTTAACATTGGGCTCCTTATTATTCAAATTTCTGCAGCTGGCTTGAATTTCTCCCCAGGAAATGGGTTTTTCTTTTCTATTGCATTGTCAGTCTGCAAATTTTCCAAACTTTTATGCTCTGTTTCCCTTTTAAAACTGAATGCTTTTAACAGCACCCAAGTCACCTCTTGAATGCTTTGCTGCTTAGAAATTTCTTCCACCAGATACCCTAAATCATCTCCCTCATGTTCAAAATTCCACAAATCTCTAGGGCAGGAGCAAAATACCACCAGTCTCCTTGTATAACAAGAGTAACGTTTACACCATTTCCCAACAAGTTCTTCATCTCTATCTGAGACCACCTCAGCCTGGACCTTATTGTCCATATCACTATCCGCATTTTGGTCAAAGCCATTCAACAAGTCTCTAGGAAGTTTCAAACTTTCCCACATTTTCCTGTCTTCTTCTGAGCCCTCCAAACTGTTCCAACCTCTGCCTATTACCCAATTCCAAAGTCAGTTCCACATTTTCACATAGCATCTCACTTTACTGGTGTTACAGGAAGTCAGGGACCCCGAATGGAGGGACCGGCTGGAGCTGCGGCAGAGGAACATAAATTGTGAAGATTTCATGGACATTTATCGGTTCTCAAATAATACTTTTATAATTTCTTATGCCTATCTTTACTTTAATCTCTTAATCCTGTTATCTTCATAAGCTGAGGATATACTTCACCTCAGGACCATGGTGATAATTGTGTTAACTGTACAAATTGATTGTAAAACATGTGTTTGAACAATATGAAATCAGTGCACCTTGAAAAAGAACAGAATAACAGTGACTTTTAGGGAACAAGGGAAGACAACCGTTAGGTCTGACCGCCTGTGGGGTTGGACAAAAAGAGCCATATTTTTCTTCTTGCAGAGAGCCTATAAACCGATGTGCAAGTAGGAGACATATCGCTAAATTATTTTCCTAGCAAGGAATATTTATATCAATGCCCTGGGAAAGGAATGCATTCCTGGGGGAGGTCTATAAACGACCACTCTGGGAGTGTCTGTCTTATGTGCTTGAGATAAGGACTGAGATACACCCTGGTCTCCTGCAGTACCCTCAGACTTATTAGGGTGGGGAAGAACTCCGCTCTGGTAAATTTGTGGTCAGACCGGTTCTCTGCTCTCAAACCCTGTTTTCTGTTGTTTAAGATGTTTATCAAGACAACACATGCATCACTGAACATAGACCCTTATCAGTAGTTCTCCTTTTGCCCTTTGGCTTGTGACCTTTATTGGACCCTTATCAGTGGTTCTGCTTTTTCCTTTTGTCCTGTTCCCTCAGAAGCATGTGATCTTTGTTCTGCTTTTTGCCTTTTAAAGCCTGTGATCTTTGTACCTACTCCCAGTTTTACACCCCCTCCCCTTTTGAAACCCTTAATAAAACACTTGCTGGTTTGAGGCTCAGGTGGGCATCACAGTCCTACCGATATGTGATGTCACCCCCAGCAGCCCAGCTGTAAAATTCCTCTCTTTATACTGTCTCTCTTTATTTCTCAGCTGGCCAGAACTTATGGAAAATAGAAAGAACTACATTGATATATTGGGGGTGGGTTCCCTCGATATACTGGTATCAATTTACTGTATTAGTGTGTTCTCATACTTCCGATAAAGACATACCTGAAACTGGGTAATTTATAAGGATAAAGGATATAATGGACTTACACTTCCACATGGCTGGGGAGGCCTCATAATCATGGCAGAAGACAAAGGAGGAGCAAAGTCACATCTCGTGTGGTGGCAGACAAGAGAGAGTGTGTACAGGGGATCTCCCCTTTATAAAACCGTCAGATCTCATGATACTTACTCACTATCACAGAACAGCATGGAAAAGACATGCCCCCATGATTCACTTACCTCCCACCGGATCTCTCCCATGACATATGGGAATTATGGGAGCTACAGTTCAAGATGAGATTTGAGTGGTGACACAGCCAAATCGTATTACTTGGTAAAATAACCAGTTTCTCCAATTGTGTCCTGTTACCAGAAAAAAAAAAAAAAAAGATTCTTATTGCACTTACACTAATAAGTATATTGTCATAAGTTAAGAATACTCACAACTAGTTTGCAAATTTGGAGAAAGTAGGTAGAAACAAATACGCTCCAAATTTTGTTCAGGGGAACTCCTCTTTATAAAACCATCAGATCTTGTGAGACTTATTCACTATCATGTGAATGGTCCAGGGAAGACCCACCCCCATGATTCAGTTACCTCCCACCGGATCCCTCCTATGACACGTGGGAATTATGGAACCTACAGTTCAAGATGAGATTTGAGTGGGGGCACAGCCAAACCAGTAATGTAAAATACAGGAGTATACTTTACTCAATTGTTAAAAGCTATTAATACCTCAAAAGTTTCCTTGATGCTGCAAAACAAAACAAAGGATCAGCAATGTTTGAAGCAAAGTCAACAAGATTACTTTAGTGTTCTATTAGTTCAGTTCATGCAGTTAACTCCTGTTCTGCTTGATATTTATGAACATTTCACCTGTCTATGAGAGTCCTGAAAGTTTTTTACCTCTATTCTAATGTTACAATCACCATAGTTATCAGAAACCTGCATTTAAGTGCACCTGTCAAAGTCTTATAGCTGATTATAAACCACCTTTTGAAGAGGATTAAAACAAGACAACAATTGTCTGTGAATGATAAAATGTCTTAGGAAAAAACCACAGTCAAAAACACAATTGACAAGGAAATTTGGTTACCTCTGTGGCATACAGTGATTTTATGTAGCCATTATAATTATTAATAACATACAGTTATTCATATTGGAATTGTAGGAGTTTCCCATAAGTTTGGAACACATATGAAACATATTTATACAAATACAGTCCAAAGACAACATCACTCCTGTATGATTTTAATATATCAAATAAGCCAAATTTTACCTTTACATTAGTGTGCTATTATTGATAAACCAAATTTTTAATAAAACCTTATAAACAAATCTGTTTAACCTTAATTAATTTGACCATAAGGTAATAGTCTCATAAACCTTTTATAACCCTTTACATTTTTTTTTAATGAGCAGATCAGTGCTATGAAAAACCTGTTGTGCTTTTATTCCAATGTTTAATTTATGGAAAAACTGAATGATGCCCTTTTAACTTTAGCCAATATGTTCACACACAGAATCTCTTTTACAATTAATTTTTCACAAACCTTCCACAACTGGCTTAAACCTTCAGCTTTATTTTATCTAACTTAAAACAATTATTTAACCTTTTAATCTTAGGGAAAAAAATCCTCATTCCCCTGCCTTCTTATAATCTTTTACCAAAAAACACATTTCACTTTCTTTACACAGCTTGCATGTAAAACTGTTTTTAGTAGTCTCAATTATGTGTTATAGCGTTAACTCTTAGTGACTTTTACTTTTGATGAAAACCTTGGTAAGAGATTTTAATTAGGTACTAGGTGTGGAGTCTAGGACAATGGACAGAAGTGCAGATAAGGGCGACTGTTTCCAGCATAGCAAGGGGGCATGGCTTTCCACATGTCCCAGGTCTTATGTAATACACAATGATCCAATGTAGGTAAATTGAACAGTTTTCCAAAGTCAAAGAAGCAGTTTATGACCCTAAACTACTTAGAAAACCTAATATCTGACCTGCCTAATTTGGACCAAATGTTTAAATTTTGAAGATATCTTTATTTTGTCAATAATTTTTGAAACTGCCTTCATTTCCAAAAGATTACTAAAGTCATATGAAGTAAATGACATTACACATTTTACTTTTCTGACAAACTATTTGATTTAAGCACTTACTATTTTTAAACTAATCAAAGTTTTTTCATATATAAACATCGCACACACACACACCATGTACAAATACATAGAGAGACAGAAGGTCCAGTAGTTGTAAGATTTTTCATTTCCAGTTTTTAAGTTTCTCTTTAAAGCATGCCTTTTCCAGGGTCTAATAAGCAGACACAGCTGGAAAGCAAAACTGATTTCCAAAAATTAAGGGTCCCATTTTTATTACCAGATCCTGGATCTCAAAAAGATGGAATTAACCAGCCTCCCATGGGAATCTTACCTCTCAGTGGAGAGTGAGGACATTTCCATAACTTGTAGGTGGCCAAGACCATGTTTCTCTGATCCATACTTGCAGAGATGAGTATCTCCCATAACTGCCATTAGCTAGCCCCAAAAGTATATTTCCTACCTAGTTATTACATACCAAAGCTCTCTCATAATGTGAAGCAATTTCTGATGCCCCCAGTGTCAAAAATGTCACACAATGCAGTGCAAAACAGAACAGAGCCTTAAATTTTGAGAGGGATTTATCCACTTCCAATTCCTGGGCTTTTATGAGAAAAACAGAGGATTTTTTTTTTCCCCCAAAATAGGGTCTGTGCTGCCTCCTCTGTTTTTTTCAAGGAGTCCCAGGCTGTTAGAGCTTGAATATATGCTTTTAATTAAGCTGATGTTTAACTATAGCACTCTTTAAAAAATGCCCTTTTAAATTTCTTTCTTTTTTTTTCCTAGACAGAGTCTCACTCTGTCACCCTGGCTGGAGTGCAGTGACACAATCTCTGCTCACTGCAACCTCTGCCTCCTGTGTTCAAGTGATTCTCATACCTTAGCCTCTCAAGTAGCTGGGATTACATGCATGTACCACCATGCCTGGCTAACTTTAGTATTTGTGGTAGAGACAGGGTTTTGCCATGTTGGCCAGGCTGGTCACACCTGGCCTCAAGTGATCCACTTGCCTCGGCCTCCCAAAATGCTGGGATTACAGGCATTAGCCACCATGCCTGCCCCTTTTAAATTTCTTATTACCTGATTTTAGCCATACCAAGTGGCCAATATGTCTGGCTTTTGGGCTTTACCAAATGTAACCTCCAAGTGCTCAGAGAATGGAAAAATTCAAGTTTTGTGGAGGAGAGGAGAATTAACAAATGGTAAAGGTAGAACAGATATCAAATCAGAAAGGACTCATTCCCTAAGCCAGGCCACCATTGTGATGATGGAGACCAAAAGAAAGTACTGCCACATGGTTACAGGTTCATGTTCCCAAGGACATTTCTCAATGTGTGGTCTCTGGGCAAGATGGTCACCCTAAGTAACAGAGAAGATTGGAAAAGGAAAGGAGAGAGAGGAAAGCGTTGCCTGTGGCAGGGTGGGGAAGATGAAGAGTTCAGTGAGGCCAAAGAAAGACCCACTCATTGCAGCCAACGCTGAATCAGAAGTTCAGTCTGCTGTTTGTTGGTCATGAAAGGATCTTTTCTGGCAGTCCCATCAGCTCTTAAGTTTCCCCCTTTAGGGAGAGAAAAAGCGCCCCATGTCCTATGGTCCCGTATATGCCTAATTCTGTCACCCATAGCCGTCAACAAAGATTGCAAGGCAGATTAATCCAAAGAGAATACCAGTTAACATCCCATAGTGCCAAACCCATTCTTAACTGAGAGGTACTTTACTGAAAGGGTCTTTCTAACTCCCTAAATTTTAGGAAGGACTCTAACCTTCCTAAGTTGAGCCTCAAACCAAGTTTGCTCAAGCATCCTTGCCTTTTATTAAGAGGGGCCTTTAACCCACTCTGTCTTAGGAGAGACTCTTAATTCCCCTAAATTGAGTCTTTAACCCAATCCCATTCTTTACCCAGGCAAATGCACCCCACTTACCCAAAAGTCAGCCAGTTGGTGTGTGTGTGCAGATGATTTTCCTTTGGGTCGGAGGGTCTCCTCAATATGGTCCCTTCTGTGTTTGGCCAGAAAGATGTTACCAGACGCCACCACTTACCTCAAGTTAGCCTTTGGTTCGGGGGTTTCCTCAGTATTTTTCCATCTGGGTCACCAGAAAGATGTTACTGGAAGGGGGTCCCAATCCAGACCCCAAGAGAGGGGTTCTTGGATCTCGTGCAAGAAAGAATTTGAGGTGAGTCCATAAAGTGAAAGCAAGTTTATTAAGAAAGTAAACTTTATAGAAAAGAAATTCCAACCAAGAATTTCATATCCTGCCAAACTAAGCTTTATAAGTGAAGGAGAAACAAAATCTTCCTCAGACAAGCAATTGTTGAGGGAATACATTTCATCTAGACCAGTCTTAAAGACATCCTTAAAGAGTGCTAAACACGGAATCAAAAGAACAAAACCTGCTACAACGAAAACATATAAGTATATAACCCACAGCCACTATAAATCAACTACACAATCAATTTTACATAACAGATAGCTAACAACATGGGGAAAAGGTTAAAATAATACATACCAACCTTGAATGTAAATGGGCTAAATTCCACACTTAAAAGAGACACAGTGGCAGGCTTGATATAAAGACAAGACGAAAGCATCTGTTGTCTTCAGTAGACCCATATCACATGTAATGACATAGACAGACTCAAAGAAAAGGATGGAGAAAGACCTATCATGCAAACGGAAAACAAAAGAGGAACAAGAGCCACTAGTCTTTTTTTTTTTTTTAAAGACAGGACCATATTCCCACTGCCCAGACTGGAGCGTAGCGCTATGATCTCAGCCCACTGCATCCTTGACTTCCAGAGCCCAGGTGATCCTCCCACCTCAGCCTCCCAAATAGCTGGGACCACAGGCCGTGCCACCATGCCCAGCTAATTTTAGTTGTTTTTAGTAGAGTCAGGGCTTCACCATGTTGCCCAGGCTTGTCTCAAAATCCTGGGCTCAAGCGATCCACACATCTCAGCCTCTCAAAGTGCTGGGATTACAGATGTGAACCACCATACCTGGGCAGGAGCCACTATTCTTATATCAGTAAAACAGACTTTAAGTCAATAAAAGGAAGGACAATGAAGGGCATTACATAATGATAAAGGGTACAATCCAATAAAAAGCCATAACTGTCCTAAATGTATACATACCCAACATTGAAGCAGCCAGTTTCATAAAACAGTTTCTTCTTGGCCTATGAAAAGACTTCGACAACCACACAGTAATAGTAGGAGACTTCAACAAGCCACTGACAGTGTTAGAAATATCACTGAGGCAGAAAACTAATAAACTCTGGATGTTAACTCAACATGTGACCAACTGGACCAAATGGACATCTACAGAACACTCCATCCAACTACTGCAGAATATATATTATTTTCATGTGCATGTGGGACATAGATTCTAAGAGCAACCACATGCTCAGTCATAAGGCAAATCTTAATAAATTTAAAAACAAATGAAATCATACCAAGCATATTCTCAGACCACAGTGCAATAAAAATATAAATCAATATCAAGAAGAGCTCTCAAAGCTACACAAATACAATTAAACAATTTGCTCCTGAATAACTACACAAAATAAATTAAACAATTTGCTCCTGAATAACTCCTGGGTGAACATAGAAATTGTCAGAAATAAAAAAAATTAGAAATTAATGAAAATAGGGACACAATTTACCAAAATCTCTAGGATGCAGCCAAAGCAGTGTTAAGAGAAAAGTTTATAGCCCTAAAAGGCTTTCATTAAGAAGTTAGAAAGGTTTCGAATTAACAATCTAACTTTTCACCTAAAGGAACTAGGAAGGAAAAAAAAAGAACAACCCTAAAGCTAGCAGAGGAAAATAAATAACAAAAATTAGAGAACTTAATGAGATTGAGATGCAAAAATCCATACAAAAGATCAATGAAACCAAGAGGTCGTTCTTCAAAAAAACAATAAGATTGACAGAACACTAGCTAGATTAACAAAGAATAAAATCAGAGAAGATCCAAATAAGTACAATTCGAGTTTATAAAGATGACATAACAGCTGATCCCACAGAGATCCTCATAGAATACTGTGGACAATTCTGTGCACACAAACTAGAAAATCTACAGGAAATTGTCAAATCCCTGGAAACATACAACCTCCAAAGATTGAACCAAGAAGAGAGTGAACACTTGGAACAGACCAATAACAAGTTAGGAAATTGAATCATTAAGCGCCATGAACCAGATAGATTCACAGTCAAATTCTACCAGACATACAAAGAACTGGTACCAATCCTACTGAAACTCTGCTTAAAAATCAAGGAGAAGGGGCTTCTCCCTAACTAATTCTACAAAGACAGCATCAGCCTGATACCAAAATCTCGCAGAGACACAACAACAAAAGAACACTTCAAGCCAATGAACATAGATGCAAAAATCCTCAACAGAATACTAGCAAACCGAATTCAGTAGCACATCAAAAAGTTAATACACTATGATCAAATAGGCTTTATTCCTGGGATACAAGGCTGGTTCAATGTAAGCAAATCAATAAATGTCATTCACCACACAAACAGAACTAAAAGAATTACTGGGATAATCTACTGATTACCTCAGTAGATGCAAAAAAAACTTTTGATAAAATTCATATCTCTTTATGATAACCCTCAATAGGCTAGGCATTGAAGGAACATACCTCAAAACAATAAAAGCCATCTATGACAAACCCACAGCTAACATCATACTGAATGAGCAAAAGCTGGAACCATTCCACTTGAGAACCGGAACAAGACAAGGATACCCACTCTCACCAATCCTATTCAAGATAGTACTGGAAGTCCTGGCCAGAGCAATCAGGCAAGAGAAAGAAATAAAAGGCATTCAAATAAGAAATGAAGAAATCAAACTGGCTCTCTTCATTAAAAATATGATTTTATACTTAGAAAACCCTACAGACTCTGCCAAAAGGCTACTAGAACTGATAAACAATTTTAGCAAGGTTTCAGGATACAAAATCAATGTACAAAAATCAGTAGCATTTCTATATACAGTAATGTCTAATTGAAATATATACTAAATTATTTTTAAAACAACTTTTAGATTTTTTCTTACAAATTTTTGCAATGATGTTGTGAGGATGCTTTCCTTTTGCAAAAGGCTTATTACATACCTTTTCCTTTTGCAAAATGTTTAGTTCTGTAATCATGACATAATCAACATGAGACATGTTAGAGGATTGGATGTTCAAAATGCTGACTTTCCTGGCAAAACCTATGTTGTCAAGTAGGTGATAAAAGTGTTTTCTAATAAAACAAGCACAGTGCTTATTTGTTATATGTCAGTGCAAACCAAATGAGCTTGAGTTTTCTAGCTGGTCGAATTTTAAACACAACAACCAGTTATTTCTATCGATTGCACTTATCCATTTGTTTAGCTTTAAACCATATTCTGGATTTGTTGTTTTGTCCCATTACACTGTTAAAGGAAAAAGAGAAAATATTCCATGAAGTTTTGCTGAGACAAAATTTTGGAATAAAATGAAATATGAGCTATGCTGTAAAACAAACATTGCAATATGAACATATGGAATGAAGCAGCTTTATTGGAAAACTCAGATCTGTGGAGGTGGCAGCACTCATGTTTGAGATTCACAAATGTTAGTGTTAGCTTAAGTGGGATAATGATGCTTAAAAAAAGAGCAGAATTTCCAGTGTGCACAGAGAAAAATACTGATAAGACTTGATTTATTAAAAGTAGGAAGTAAAGTCAAGTCATATACAGAAAAGTCCTCACCTATTACCTGAACTCAAAGGGTAATTCTTTTGTATTGTATGGCTTCAGTTAGTTGGATTTACGTAATCTTTTATTTTTTAATTTAGCATTAAATGCTTTATATATATATATTTATTATGCCTTAAGTTCTAGGAAGCGGATTTGCATAATCTTATGTCAGTATCCACTGGCATCGAGGTGGAGCCACTCTAATAAATCCTGCAGGCTAGATGGAGAAAGAAAGTTTTTTAATTTATTTAACGAGTTAAGTTCACTTACATATTGTAACTGAATAAGTCTGGCAAAAATAGATGACAGACAAAAGAACCTTAGAGAACATCCAACACAGTTTCCCATCTCATCTGCTTTGATCTCTCCTGATCTCCTTTCAACTTCTTCAAATGCCTGGGAACATGCCCACACCAACCTAAACATGGATGGACACAAGCTTCTGCATAAGAGCCAGAAAGGATACTGACACAATTGAAATTGAGCATTTGGCGTTCATCTATGTCAAGCAGAAATAGATTATAAATCCGTGTGAAATTAAAAATAGATAAGTACATAAAATCCATGCGTGTGTGTGTGTGTGTGATCTGCTTCAGCAACTCATCATTTCTTCCTTTAAACTTCTGTAAAGAGAGGTAGGGCACAGCAAATAGACCTAAGGAACTTGAGTTAAAAATTTACAAAGCATCACTTTATGACACCTCTAATTAACTCCCTCTCCTTTGAAAGAATGGAGACCACTAGAGAAGTGGTCTGTTACCTTAAATGAGTCATTTCAATTCTGAGTGAGGCATGAATTTACTTAATGTCATAGCTTTAGGAAATTTGATCACCATATTCCTTTAAGTTATTAGTAATTTAATAGGGAAAAAGTAAGACATGGAATGAAATGAAAGATTATTTTATGTGAATTTTTGTGAACAGAGGAATATTAGAAAGAAATAGGGTTTAGGAAATAGTCTATAATTTGCTGAAGATAAGTCTATGGTAGTAAGTGATTAATTCAGAAGTAGTTACATCCTGATAAAATCAAATACTTTATGCTTGTGAAAATTCGAACACAGTATAAGAAAGTAGACATGTGAGCAATACTGTGGTATTTTTGTACATTCTTCAGTTGGAAGATTCTTCACTTGTAGTAGGCTTTTGGCAGATCTGGGTCATTGTTATCCTAGGCAGAGTTGGGGTGGGGTAGAGATTGGTTAATACCTTTTGCCATTGCTACATTTTGGATTTTGAATTTCTGAATCTGGCTAAGTTTGCAATACATTTTTATTCTCTAATGTTTCCTAAAAATTCTGACTTTCCTAGCAAAGTGAAAACTGTTAAAGGTGACTCAAGAAGAAAAAGAAAACTCAAATCTTCCTATAGCATGAGAGAAACTGAACCATTAGCTTATTTTTCCTTAATGATAGCACTAGGCTCAATTGATTTTATTGGTAAGTTTTACTGGAGCTCAATGTTTTATACACAGTGTTCTAGAAGATTGATGAGAAAACCTAGCCCATCTCATTTTATAAATTTTGTGTAACTTCAAAACCAGACAAGGATAATTAAAGAACACAAAACTGTAAATCAATCTCACTCAGAAACATAGGTGCAAAGTTTTTATAGCAAACTGAATCCAGAAGTTTTCCAGACCAAGTTGGGTTTATTCCAGGAATGGCAGATTGACCTAACATTAGACATTGTATTAATATAATTTATTACATTGATTGACTAAAAAGAAAACTATACCATTTCAGTGCATGCAGAAAGAGCATTTAGTAACATTAAGTACCAGCTTATCATTAAAAGAAGAAATTAGAAACTTCCTTTACCTGATAAAGGTTATCTACCAAAAACCTGTAACAACCACTATATTTAATGGTAAAATATTGGAAGCATTAGCTTTAATATCAGAAACCATGAAACCTACTGAAACTAATTATATTTATTGTTGTACTCGATGTCCTAGGACAGGAGGTAAAAGAAATAAAAATGCCGTTCATTGACAGAATATGATTTTCTACATAGAAAATCTAATTTAGGCCATATATACTGCTTATTAGAATTAATTGGAGTTTAACAATGTTGCTATAGATAAACATCAATACAAATTGAAAATAAAAACTTTAAAAAACATCAGTATCTATGGTAGTGACTATAGGTATCTGGGGATAATCTTTAAAAAATCATTTGAGACCTTTATGGAAAAATTATGACTTAAAATAATTAACATTTTTTAAAAAAGACTATGTTCACAGATAGATTCATTGCAATATAAGTTGTTGCTTAATGGATCTCTAGAGTCAGTCCAATTTCTAAGAAAACCAAGTGGGTTTTTTTTTGAAAAATTATGACTTAATTAAAAAAAATTTAAAAATGTTTTTTAAAAGACTGTATTCATAGCTAGAGACATTTATTGCAATTTAAGTTGTTATTTAATGGCTCTCTAGGGTCTGTCCAAGTTATAACAAAATCAAGCTCTCTTTTTTTCTTGAAATGTGACAAATTGATTCTAAAATGTTGTAGATGAGTAAGAGCCCAAAATAACCAAGATACTCCAAAGAAGAACTGAGTGAGGGCTGATTTCTGCTACATGTTGAAGCAAAGGAGCCCCCCACATGTAGATGTTGTGGACATCACTTGTCTCTGTCCCTTAAGAGACCCCAAAACACACAGCACTGATGACACCTGTTCTGCCTCTCACCTACCATGGGACCAGATGAGGTTGATTTAACTTGACTTGTCCTCCTAGGATGTTCCTCCTATCTTACTGAACTGCTCTTGGGGATTAAATGACAAGGAATATAATAATGCCTAATACAGGGAGGACTTTGACAGTGATTCAGCAGTGAATCTAGAGCCAGCCTGCCTGAATTCAAATCTCAGCACTACTTCTTATTTGCTGGGTGGTTAATCTTTCTCTGCTTCAGTTTTCTCATCTGGAAAATGGAAAAAATAGCAGTACTTCTTCCATATGGCTATCGTGAAGATTAAGTGAATTAATACATGTAAAACTGGAACATCACCTGGCACATAGTGCTCAGCAAGTATTAGCTCTTCTTTTCATTTTGTTTACACCTTTATTCTTTTCATCAAAATGCTTTCATCCTTGTGTTACTCTTTGACAATACTTTGCATTAAGTTTAATTTAATGTTAAATTGTATTCAAATAGTACATACCTTAAGTGATAAACACAATAACATATTTATTTAACATGTGAATAGTGAACACCTGGTATAGGCTGAGGTTTAAAGTGTCTAGGAGGTCAAATAACTATCAGTTTATTAGGGAGATATTTTTCAATGAACAGCATGATTACTGAGATCCACTACAATGGGGATATGTAAATAGTACAGTCTAAACATAAAAAAAGGGTGCCTGAGTGAACCTAAGCAAATCAGTCCAGAAGACTTCATAAAGAATATAGGATTTTCTCTGAGATTGATGAATGAGTAAGTGTCCTGGACACATAAACATATAAGCCAGCCATTCACAGAAATCAGTTAATTAAAAACCTTTGCAAGGTGTGGCAACAGTGTGTGTTGATAGACACCAACAAATCAGATCAATAATTTCATTTCCTTAATGGCAAATGATACAGAAAATTATGGAAACAGATAAATCAGATGATGACACAGCATACTGTCACATGGAGATATATCTTTTCATTTTTTCATGGAGTCTTACAGCTGTGGATTCATAGCAGGCTTGAGTACTCTCATTTCCTTTATCCTGACCCCAGCTTCCTTGTGGAAGTTGGCTTGATGCCTCCTGGAGGCTCTTCTTCTGGAGACTTGATATGAGGCTACCTGGTAACTGAAAGCAAGTGACTGGTACATGTAAAGAACAATACAGTCCTAGATGGTGGTTACAGTGAGGTCAGAGTCAGTTTCCAGAAGTATTCATTGGACCAACCTCCAGCATATCCCAGATATGTTCCTCATATTGAGCCGGGGTCCTCAAGCCTCTCTCATCATTTAAGTTACATAACTAGTAGCTAAGTCTGAGACTCGCTCCCTAGTCCTTCAACTTGTCTTCACCACCAACTTTTCTTTCCCAAGAGGCATAATGGCCTTGAAGAAACAGCTTTATTTAATCATACAGACTGCAGTTAGAACCTACTACTTATTAATAGCTGTGTTTTCTTAAGAAACTTATTTTCATGTATAAATATAAATCTCAATTCCTTATTTGTAAACTGAGGATGATTATAGCTAACATATAGGGTTCCATGAGCTAACATATACAAAGTGGCTTGTGCATTGACAGATATTTAATAGGAATGTAATAAATTGTTTATATTCTTTTTTCCATATTCTAAAATTGAACTGTATCCAATATTAAATCCACCTGCCCCCTCTGTCAATATTCTGTGCTTCACAGTGCTAATGATTTTCTATTACATTTTTTTCAGATATACCCCCATGAAAGAACCTCTGTTAAATTTTCAGTAAATTAAAACTTAAACGTCTCCAGATGGGTCCATGAATGACTAAAAAAAATCTTCTAGTGAAAAATAACAAGATCGTCAACAGAAAAAGTGACAAACATAAAGTATATCTAGCCATTATAGAAAATGTAAAAAAAATTATTTGTATTCACATTAGGCCTATTTTAACACACAACACTGTGTAAATGTCCAGATTGACTTTTGTTAGACCATATTGTCAGATTTATTTTAGTAGAAGATGAAGCACACACTTCATAATGGAGTATAAAATTTACCAAAGTTGTAGATAATCCATTCAAATGGAATGTGTCTATATGTGTTTTGGACTACTTAACACTGCAAATGCAACTTCAAATAATTAAATTAAAAACATAAAAATTATTCCCAAAAGTAATATCATGGGCTACTTTACATTTTATTCAATTTAATCTAGCAAAAAATTTTGAATGCCAGATACTGCAAAGAATTCTACAATCACAACTAAGGGGATGGTCACTGACCTTGGAAGAGCTGATAGTCTAGTGAGAAATAAAACAAATATATGAATTAATTATAATATAAAATAAAATAAGATGAACAAAATTGGAAGACTAAGCTATAAGGTCCACTAAGCAGTGGCTATTTTTTTTCATTTCCCCCCTATGTATACAAGTGTTTATTTGTATTATTTTTACAATTTGGGGATTGTGCTGTGTGTTTTGATTCCAGCTTATTTTCATTTTTCATTGTATCATGGACATTGTTTCATATTCTTAACTTGTTCAAAAGTCGTGTTTAATGGCCATAAGGTATTCCATCATATGATAGTAATTTAAATATTCCTCTATTTTTGACCATTTAGATTGTTTACTCACTGCTACAAGCCTCAGAAGAAATAAAAGAGCAAAAATACCCCTAAACATTTATTATTAATGTAAAGTGTGTTCAAACATGTTTTCTACTACATACATTAAGCAAAGTTACTATCAGATCTTATATTATTGTATATAATTTTGTAGATATAATTAAACAGTACTACTCAGATTAAATGGGGAAAAAAAACCCAACACAGGTAGATTTTCTTCTTCTTCTTCTTCTTTTTTTTTTTTTTTGAGACGGAGTCTCGCTCTGTCGCCCAGGCTGGAGTGCAGTGGCGTGATCCCGGCTCACTGCAAGCTCCGCCTCCCAGGTTCACGCCATTCTCCTGCCTCAGCCTCCCGAGTAGCTGGGACTACAGGCGCCCGCCACCACGCCCGGCTAATTTTTTTGTATTTTTAGTAGAGACGGAGTTTCACCGTGTCTCGATCTCCTGATCTCGTCATCTGCCCGCCTTGGCCTCCCAAAGAGCTGGGTTACAGGTGTCAGCCACCGCACCCGGCCGTAGATTTTCTTCTTAACTTGCCTTGCCATTCACATGTATATACCTACCACACATAGATTTTCATAATTGTACCCAAATGCTATAGTTTATTGTGTACTTGCTATTATTTGCTATAAAATATTTCTTTATAATAAACCTATTGTGTTTTGGGGTGGTCTACTATTAAAAGTATAGTTTTTTTGTTTTTTGTTTTTTTTTTTAGACGGAGTCTCGCTTTTGCCAACCACGCTGGAGTGCAGTAGCATGATCTCGGCTCACTGCAACCTCCGCCTCCCAGGTTCAAGTGATTCTCCTGCCTCAGCCTCCCGAATAGCTGGGATTACAGGCACTTGCCACCACACCTGGCTAATTTTTGTATTTTTAGTAGAGACAGGGGTTTCACCATGTTGGCCAGGCTGGTCTTGGACTCCTGACCTCAGGTGATCTGCCCACCTTGGCCTCCCAAAGTATTGGGATTACAGGAGTGAGCCACCATGCCCAGCCAAAAGTATAGATTATCAACAATAAATTTTAATATTGGGAGCTATTCAAAGTGCATTCTGTGTACTTTTTCTGTCTCATACTTTCTACAGTCTCATCCTTTCTATAGTCTCATCATTAATTTTATAAAAATATTTATCTTTGAAATATTTACTTGTGTAATAATGACTTTGTTATTTTAACAAAAGAGTAAGTATTCATGTATTTTGGCCTGTGGTTTTTTTTGTTTGTTTGTTTGTTTGTTTGTTTGTTTTACTGAATAGCTTGTGGCTTGCCATCTTTATTTAACCATCTGGTGAAATGTTTCTCTTCCATACTAAAATGGCTTTATTCTTTACCATTTTACTTGTTAAAACTTTTATTTTAGTATCGGGGTACATGTGTAGGTTTGTTATATAGGTTGTGTGTCACGGGGATTTGGTGTACAGATTATTGGCCACACAGGTAATAAGCATAGTAACTGATAGGTAGCTTTTCCATCTTCACCCTCCTGCCAACCTCAGCCCTCAAGTAGGCCTCAGTGGTTTGCTGCCTTCTTTATGTTCATGTGTACTCAATGTTTAACTCCCATTTATAAGTGAGAACATGTATTCAGTTTTCTGTTCCTGAAATAATTAGCTTAGGCTAATGGCCTCCAGCTCCATCCATGTTGATGCAAGGACATGATCTCATTCCTTTTTATGACTACATGATATTGCATGGTGTATATATACAACATTTTCTTTTTTTTTTTTTAATTTCCAACTTTTAAGTTCAGGGTACATGTGCAGAATGTGCAGGTTTGTTACATAGGTAAACATCTGTCCTGGTGGTTTGCTACACAGATCATCCCATCACCCAAGTATTAAGCCCAGCATCTATTAGCTATTCTTCTTGATGCTCTTCCTCCTCCAACCCAAAGCCCTGCATCAGGCTGGTGTGTGTCATTGTCCCCAGTGTGTCCATGTGTTCTCATCATTTAGCTCCCACTTATAAGTGAGAACATGTGGTATTTAGTTTTCTGTTCCTGCATTAGTTTGCTAAGGATAATCGCTTCCAGCTCCATCCATGTCCCTGCAAAGGACATGATCTTGTTCTGTTTTATGACTGCATAGTATTCCATGGTTTATATGTACCACATTTTATTTGTCCAGTCTATCATTGACAGGCATTTAGGTTGATTCCATGTGTTTGCTATTGTGAATAGTACTGCATTGAATATATGTGTGCATGTATCTTTATAACAGAACCATTTATATTCCTTTGGGTATGTAATCAGTAATGGGATCGCTGGGTCAAATGGTATTTCTGTGTCTAGGTCTTTAAGGAATTGCCACATCATCTTCCACAGTGGTTGAATTTACACTCCCACCAACAATGTAAAAGTGTTCCCTTTTCTCCACAACCTCACCAGCATCTGTTGTTTTTTGATGTTTTAGTAGTAGCCATTCTGACTGGTGTCAGATGGTATTTCATTGGGGTTTTGATTTGCATTTCTCTAATGATAACAGTAATGTTGCACTTTTTTCATGTTTGATGGCCACATGTATGTCTTCTTTTGAGATGTGTCCTTCTGTTCATGTCCTTTGCCCACTTTTTAATGAGGTTCTTTTTTTCTTGTAAATTTGTTTAAGTTCCTTATAAATGCTGGATATTAGACTTTTTTCAGATGGTGATATGGTTTGGCTGTGACCCCACCCAATCTCACATTGTGGGTGGGACCCAGTGAGAGGTAATTGAATCATGGGGGCAGATCTTTCCCGTGCTGTTCTCATGATAGTGAATAAGTCTCATGAGATCTGATGGTTTTAAAAAGGGGAGTTTCCCTACACAAGCTCTCTCTTTTTGTCTGCCATCATCTATGTAAGATGACTTGTTCCTCCTTGCCTTCCCCCATGATTGTGAGCCCTCTCCAACCACATGGAACTGCAAGTCCATTAAACCTCTTTGTTTTGTAAATTGCCCAGTCTCGGGTATGCCTTTATGAGCAATGGGAAAACGGACTAATACAGATGGATAGATTGCAAAAATTTTCTCCCATTCTGTAGGTTGCCTGTTTACTCTGTTGATGGTTCCTTTTGCTGTGAAGAAGCTCTTAATTAGATTCATTTGTCAATTTTTGCTTTTGTTGCAATTGCTTTTGGCATCTTCGTCAAGAAATCTTTGCCTGTGCTTATGTCCTATTGCCTAGGTTTTCTTCTAGGGTTTTTATAGTTTTGGGTTTTACATGTAACTCTTTAATCCATCTTGAGTTGATTTTTGTATATTGTGTAAAGAAGGGGTCCAGCTTCAGTTTTCTGCATACGATTAGCCAGTTCTCCCAGCACCATATAAAACAGGGAATTTTTTCTCCATTGCTTGTTTTTGTCAGGTTCATCAAAGATCAAATTGTTATAGGTGTGTGGTTCTATTTCTGGGTTCTCTATTGTGTTTCATTGTTCTGTGTGTCTGTTTTTCTACCAGTAGCATGCTGTGTTGTTTACTGTAGCCTTGTAGTATAGTTTGAAGTCGAGTAACATTGATGCCTCCAGCCTTGTTCTTTTTGTTTAGGATTGTCTTGGCTATTTGGGCTCTTTTCAGGTTTCATATGAATTTCAAAATAGTATTTTCTAATTCTGTGAAGATTGTCAATAGTAAGTTAATGGGAATAGCATTGAATCTATAAACTGCTTTGGGCAGAATGGCCATTTTAATGATATCAGTTCTTATTAATGAGTCTGGAATGTTTTCCATGTCTTTGTGTCATCTCTGGATTTCTTTGAGCAGTGGTTTGTAGTTCTCATTGAAGAGGTCCTTCACTTCCCTTATTAGCTGTATTCCTAAGTGTTTTATTCTTTTTATGGCAATTGTGAATGGGAGTTCACATTCATAATTTGGCTCTTGGCTTGCCTGTTGTTAGTGTATAGGAATGCTAGTAATTTTTGGGCATTGATTCTGTATCCTGAGACTTTGATGAAGCTGCTTATCAGCTTAAGAATCTTTGGGGCCAAGATGATGGATTTTCTAAATATAAGATTATGTCATCTGCAAACAAAGATAGTTTGACTTCCTCTCTCTTTATTTGAATATGCTTTATTTCTTTGTCTTGCCTGATTGCCCTAGCCAGAACTTCCAGGACTATGTTGAATCAGAGTGATGAGAGAGGGCAACCTTGTCTTGTGCTGGTTTTCAAGGGGAAGGCTTCCAGCTTTTGCCCATTCAGTATGATATTGGCTGTGGGTCTGTCATACATATATGGCTCTTAGTAGCTAGAGGTATGTTCCTTCAGTACCTTGTTTATTGAGCATTTTTAACATGAAGGGATGTTGAATTTTATTGAAGGCTTTTTCTGAATCTATTGAGATAATCATGTGGTTTTTGTTGTTAGTTCTGTTTTTGCCCTGAATCACATATATTGATTTGCATATGTTGAACCAACCTTGCATCCCACGGGTGAAGCCAGCTTGATTATGATCGATAAGCTTTGTGATGTGCTGCTGGACTTGGTTTGCCAGCATTTTATTGAGGATGTTTGCATTGATGTTCATTAAGGATATTGGCCTAAAGTTTTTTGTTGTTGTATCTCTTCCAGGTTTTGGTATCAGGATGATGCTGGCCTCATAGAATGAGTTAGAGAGGAGTCCATCCTTTTTGATTTTTTGGAATAGTTTCAGTAGGAATGGTACCAAGCTCTTCTTTGTAGCACTGGTAGAAATCAGCTGTGAATCCATCTGGTCCTGGGCTTTTTTTGTGGTTAGGCTATTTATTACTGCCTCAATTTCAGAACTCGTTATTAGTCTATTCAGGGATTCAGTTTCTTCCTGGTTCAGTCTTGGGAGGGTGTATGTGTCCAGAAATTTATCCATTTCTTCTGTATTTTCTAGTTAACGTGCATAGAAGTGTTCATAGTATTCTCTAATGGTTGTTTGTATTTCTGGCATCAGTGGTAATATCCTGATTATTTAATATCCCAGTATTTCTGATTGTGTTTATTTGAATCTTCTCTCTTTTTTTCTTTATTAGTGTAGCTAGTGGTTTTGTTTTGTTTTGTTTTTCTTTGAGATGGAGTCTCGCTTTGTCACCCAGGCTGGAGTGCAGTGGCGCGATCTCAGCTCACTGCAACCTCTGCCTCCTGGGTTCAAGCGATTCTCCTGCCTCAGCCTCCCGAGTAGCTGGGATTACAGGCATCCGCCACCATGCCTGGCTAATTTTTGTATTTTTAGTAGAGACGTGGTTTCACCTTGTTGGCCAGGCTGGTCTCAAACTCCTGACCTCAGGTGATCTGCCCACCTCAGCCTCCCAAAGTGCTGGAATTACAGGTGTGAGCCACCACACCTGGCCTGAGCCACCGCGCCTGACCTATTTTATTAATTTTTTCAAAAAACCAGATCCTAGATTTGTTGATGTTTTGAAGGGTTTTTTGTGTTGCTGCGTTTTTCAGTTCATCTTTGATCTTGGTTATTTTTTGTCTTCTCCTAGCTTTGGGGTTTGTTTTCTCTTGGTTTTCTGGTTCTTTTGATGTTCTAGTTCTTGTGATGTTAGCTTGTTAACCTGAGATCTTTCCTAGCTTTTTTACGTGGGCATTTAGTGCTATAAATTTCCTCCTCAACACTGCTTTAGCTGCATCCCAGAGATTGTGGTGCTTTGTATCTTTGTTCTCATTAGTTTCAAAGAACTTCTTGATTTCTGCCTTAATTTCATTATTTACCCAAAAGTCATTCAGAGCAGGTTGTTCAATTTCCATTTAGTTGTATGGTTTTGAGTGATTTTCTTAATCTTGAGTTCTAATTTGATTGCACTGTTTATTATGATTTCAGTACTTTTGCATTTACTGAGGAGTGTTTTACTTCAGATTATGTGATCCATTTTAGAGTATATGCTGTGTGACAATGAGAAGAATGTATATGCTCTTCTATTTGGGTAGAGAGTTCTGTAGATACCTATCAGGTCTGCTTGAGCTGTCACTCAGTCAGGAGAACTGGGATCAGGGTCCCACTTAAAGGAGTAATCTGGCTGCGTTTTGGTGGAGCAGCTGTACTTTACTGAGGACCCCTTTTGTCCCTGATCCATTTGGGCTGCCCAAGGTCCACAGGCTGGACCAGCTGAGAAACCCAAACAGCAAAGGTGGTGGCCTGCTCCACCCACCATGCCCGCTGTCTTAGAGAGAAATTAGAACTCTTGTCAGCTGTAGTACACAGAGGGAGGTGGCTGGAGACCCCAAGTGGGAGGACCCACCCTCGAGGGGGATTTGTAACTCGGGGTCTCATTTAAAGAAGCAGTCTGGCAATGCCTCAACAAAACAGCTGTGCCATGCTGTGGAACCACTTTTGCCCTGGTCAGCTTGGACTCTTCAAAGCCCGCAGGCTGGAACCGCTGAGTCGTCAAAACAACCAAGGTGGTGGCCTGCCCCTCCCGCAAGGCACTCTGTCCGAGGGAGAGACCAGACCTCTGTCCATAGAATATGGGCTGGTAGGGGGAGCTCAGGCCTCTGGTGGGAGGTCCCACTTAGCGAGAAGGAATAGATCGGGGTCCTGCTTGAGGAAGCAGTCTGGCCACATTCTGGCAAAGCAGCTGTGCTGTGCGGCGGGACTCGCTGCTCATCCAGACCGTTTGTACTCTGCAAAGCCCACGGGCTGGAATGGCTGAGTTGTTTAAACTGCAGAGATGGCAGCCCACCTCTCCCCACTGGGGTTCCATCCCCTCTCAGGCAGCCTCCACACTGTTTCCAGCTGCCTGGAATTCCAAGCCACTGGGTCTTATCTTGTGAGGAAATGGGGCCTGTAGAACTGACACTGCTCAGCTCCCTAGATTTAGCCGCCTTCCTAGGGGTATGTATGAACCTCCTGCCTTGCTGGGGATCCCGGGGCCAGAGTATGTAAAGCTCTGGGTCTCTGTGCTGCCTGAGCAACCGCTCTGTTGAGACTCCACAGAGTTCTGTGTGTTGGACCCAAGGCCCTGGTGGCATGGGCTCATGAGGGGATCTCCAGATCTGAGGGTTGCAAAGATCCGTGGTTTCTTAGGGTTGTACATTCGTTCACTGCTTCCCTTAACTGGGGGTGGGGGTTCCCTTGACTACATGTCACTCCCAGTTGGGCCATCACCTCACCATACTTTTCTTCATTCTCCCTGGGTTGAGTTGTTTTCCTGATCAGTCCCAGTGCAAGTACCTGGATATTTCAGTAGAAGGTGCTGTATTTACTCACCCCCCTTTTGTTGCTCTCTGTGAGTGCCACGCACTACAGTTGCTTCTGTTCCACCGTCTTGGCCCCCGATCCCTTGTTTTTTTTTTTTAAGTTATTTATTTTTATTTATTTTTAGAGACAGGATCTTGCCATATCTCCCAGGTTTGAATGCAGTGGCACAATCATAGTTCACTGTATCTTCGAACTCCTGGGCTCAAGGAATCCTTCCACGTCGGCCTGCCAAAGTGCTGGGACTACATGCATGAGCCACCGCAACTGGCCTGTTTCCTTCGTCTAGAAAATGAGGCTCTTAGTAGTTCACTGGCATGGTGTAAGGAGTGAATTATGGAAAATATGTAAAGCACCTACCACAATATGTGGCATATAGTAAGCACAGAATAAGTAACCAATTCCTTCTCTTTTCTTCCTGTTTACACCGCAATTTAGAGTATTAACTGGCCTGTAAAAGATTCTGTAAAGAAAAATGCTGTATCAGTTAGAGCCTTTTAAAAAGTGAAAATATCTTTCGGGGATCTTCCTCCCATCAGGCAAGTTGTTGGACTAGGGTCACTTCTAAGGTTTCATTCCTATGCTGTGATTTTAGGATTCCGAAACAGTGAAAATAACTGGTATGCTTCATTAGGCAGTACAGTGTCAAGTTTAGGATAATTTACTTTGACAGATCATAAAACAGATGTTAAAACATTTATAAACCTCAATGAATTATTTTTTAATTCACAGTCCAATTATCTTAAGATTTTAAGCCATGCTTGTTTTAGATTTCCTTGAATCATAATGATTTTGTTTGCGTATGAAAAGTAATTCCAATTCTGTATCATTATGAGACAAAATATTCAGTGAAACTCAAACTGCTTTTTTTTTATTTTTCAAAGCCTTTTTTTCCTTTTGCATCGACTTTATTTCAGTTCTTCATAAGAATATAAAATATACTCCTTTTCATCAGAACTTTTCTTCCACAGCCACTAAGTTCATATCATATGACTATTTGGTGGGTAACAATATTAGCAAATATGTTTATGATATCCATTCTTTATTTAACCTTACTCTTAATAAATGGAGAAAATTATGAAATCAAGGTACTTCCCACAAGGAATTCTTAAAGGGCTTTATACCAATAACTTTTGTCTTGTGACTTCTGTTTTCTTTGCCTAGAAGGAATGGAAGAAATGAGAGGAAACTGATCTCATTTGTTTTACTCTCTCAGTGGCTAGTTATTATTTCCCTGCAGCCTGAACATTGGTTTTGTTACAGAGCTTTGTGGACTGCCTTCTTGTTTCATGCATAGACTATGCCAACCTTGGATCGCAGTGGAGGGCAGAAGCTATTTAGAAGCACCCAACAGTGTGGCTTTTATTCTGATTGTTTTCAAATGTGCTTAGTTGGCTCAAATCAGGCTTCCCAGAACAGAATCTTAGGGTGGGGTTTAGAATTAGAGCAGCATTTCTCCAGAAAGATTTACGCTGTCAACCTTTTATAAATTAGGACTCTCACTGGGCTTGCTCTAATTCTTTAAAACATTTGTATTCCAATTGCTTTCATCTTTGGTTGAGCTGTCTGGATCAGATGTGGCCGTTCTCTCTGATTTTGCTTCTGATACACACTTAGGGCCTGTGCAGTTTCTCTCCTTTACCCTTAAGGGGCAGACTTGACTAAAATTCAAAGATATCTGTGTTTTCTATTGCTGCCAAAATACCCAAATACCGTTCCAAAATACCCAAAACTTAAAGGGTACACCCCCAACTTAAAGCAACACAGATTTAATGTCTTACAGTTCTGTAGGTTTAGAGTCCAACACACATATCAATGGTCTAAAATCAAGGTGTCAACAGAGCCGCATTCCTTTCTGGAGAATTCTCTAGGGGACTATCTGTTTCCTAGCCCCATCTAACTTCTTGCGGCCTCTCACATTTTTTGGTTCATGGCTCTTCTTCTGTCTTCAAAGCCACAGAAATTGCATCTCGCGCATCTCGCTGACCCTTCTTCTATAGTCACAGCATCTGCTCAATGACCACAGCTAGGGGAAGTTCACCAATTTTAAAGGCATGTGATTAGGTTGGGCCCATCTGGGTAATCCAGGCTACTATTCCCATCTCAAGGTTTTTAATTACACCTGCAAAGTCCCTTTTGCCATGTAAGGTAACATATTCGTAGTTCGAAGGATTAGGACATGGACATTTTGGGGACAATTATTCTGCATATCACAATCCCTTTCTCTTTTCCTTAGTAGACCACACTAGTCTGGTGACTTGAAGGAACCTAGCCATTTCTCTTCTACCTCACCACAGTGGGCCCAGGATATAGTCATTTTAAAAACATAAAACCCAGTGTATCAGGCTCCAGGCCAGGGCTTCTCAGCTGACTGTTTCTATTGGTGTAACAGACTGGATTTTGGCTGTCTCTCCCTCTACTTTCCTCCAGCAGTCTTTGGTCTTGTTTTGAGATGTTTTCCCTCCTGTGGTCCTCAGTCTGCCAGTGTTCTTCCTATAACTTTATCTCTGTGTGTCAGGATATACACTGTACTCTATAGAAATGGCAGTGGAACCCCAACAATTGTGGGTGTTTGGGTAATAATCCACAACCTTATCATTCCCAACACCCTTCCCATTGTAGCTTTCCTCTATAAAGAGAAGTTTGGAGCTCCTAAAACCAGATCTGAAATTTATTTATTCAATTAATCATTCAAATGTGCAAGATGTGGGGAGAATTGGATATAGAGATATGGCTCCTGCCCTCAAGAAATTAATAGTCAAACAGGGAGAAGGACATGAAATACAAGCATTGCTGTATGTGGGATGGATGTCTGTATATACAGTTGGTCCTCTGTATGTATCCCTGTGTTCTTCATCTGTGGGTTCAACCAACCACAGATCAAAAAAATTGGGGGCTAGGCGTGGTGGCTCATGTCTGTAATCCTAGCACTTTGGGAGGCCAAGGCAAGTGGATCACCTGAGGTCAGGAGTTCGAGACCAGTCTGACCAATACGGTGAAACCCCATCTACTAAAAATATAAAAATTAGCCGGGCATGGCAGCATGCACCTGTAGTCCCAGCTACTCAGGAGGCTGAGGCAGGAGAATTGCTTGAACCCGGGAGGTGGAGGTTGCAGTGAGCCAAGATTGTGCCACTGCACTCCAGCCTGGGTGACAGAGTGAGACTCTCTCTCTTAAAAAAAAAAAAAAAAAAGAAAAGAAATTAGAAAAAAAAATTGTACTGAACATGTACAGACTTTTTTTTTATTGTCATTGTTTCCTAGGCAACACAGTGTAACAATCATTTACATCATATTATGTATTGTAAATAATCTAGAGATGACTTAAAGTATATGGGAGGATATACATAGATTATATGCAAATATTACACTATTTTATAAAAGGGACTTGAGCATCTTCAGATTTTGGTATCTATGGAAGGTTCTCAAGCCAATCCTTTATGGATACCAAGGGTTGACATATGTGTATATTTATATATGTGTGTTAGTTATCTGTTATAATGGGAGCACAGGAAAGATAAGCCCTTAAATTTCCCTCAGGGATTCAGGGAAAGTTGTCCAGAGGCAGCTAGGGTTGAGCAGCAGATGTCATGACACTACTAACCAGATAAGTCTTCTCCTTTCACTCAGGCCTTATGGAATAAGCTATGCTTGTGGAATTTTTTATGTGGAAAAGAATTACATGAAACAATCTGCATTGCTCTTCTCACTGTTTTTAGAGGGAATCAGTAGGAATCAGAATACTGGCTGACTCTTTAGGTATGTGGGCTTATATGAATTTTTTAGCTCTTTAATCCTTAGTTTTTCCATTAGTAGTACCCAACTTGCTGAATTGTGAGGTTTGAATGAATTATTAAAGTTAAGCTTTTAGAATGGGACCTACTACCCAGAAAATATTTAACAATATTATTGTAATGTATCACTGTCACCATTTATTACTACAATCTCTCTTGAATTACTCATCACTTTTCTGACATCATCATATGAAACAAGTTTTTTAATTCATGCCAGCTTCTCCCTCTTACTTACGGTTTAGGAGTTGCCTCTAATGCCTAAGGAAACGTGTAGCCCTCTGGTTGTACTGCAAAAGTGGTTGCATTTTGAAGGCAGGTGTATACAACTTCCAGAGTAAGAATATGTGTATTCAGGTGTAGGCGTTGTCAGTTTCCAATAAGATAATTTATAATGCTTAATTTATATTAGGAAGATCTCACATTGTTCTCTTCTGTAAATTATGCATGTATTTGTAAATCTAAAAGGAACTTTGATTTTTCTCTCTGATTAAGGTGTATAATTATAATCTTAAATAAAAGTGAAGTTCAAAGTAGCTTCATTTAAAATATTAATAGACAAAACATAAGATCAGTTCTTTTAGGGATTGGTTTGTCAGCCACATGTTAGATCTGCTTAGAAATCTTCAGTGAAATAGGAAACATTGTATAAATGTTACCTAATGTAAATACTGCTAAATTTAAGATATACTAAAATTTGAGTATTTTCCCTTTAGTCTCAAATAAGCAAAAGGAAATCTGAGTTATATGAAAATGAAAGCATGTATTCAGCTTTTATAAAACCATTATAAATAAGTTATTTTTCCTACCAAGTTAAATAGGATATGTTTACATGTTTTAAATTTTAGTTTTATTAGTTACAGTATCATATTGTGAATAGTAGCAAATATGTCCTTATATAGTTCTGGGTTCTTGCTTTATAATGTACATAGACAAATATCTTTTTAAAAAAATTTTTGTGTTCCACAGACGCAACAGGTTTTGATAATTTCTTATTTCACCTGTTGGTTACAGTCACAATAATATGTTCTTTCTTCTACCTTATGATTGACCATTTCTGACATAAAAGTTAAGAATTTGTATCATCTAAACAGCCTTTTATGTCCTTTCTCTTTTTTCATACATCTTGATAATTGTAGTGTTTTTCATGTTTGCTTCTATTTTCTATCTTTCCGAGTTTGCAAAACATTATTAAAACTTCATTTCTAGTTCTTCACTAATAGGACCCAAATCTAAGTCTCTCAACTTCAGGCTCTACTTAAGTATCCAGAGTTCACAATTCAGCGACCGTTTCCAGGGTGGAGGCCTGTAGAAGAATCAGTCCTATTTTTACAAAAACAGAGAAATTTGTGCTCCTAATATTTGCATAGTCATAAAATTGCAAAAGTTATATTGGTTTTACAATTTTAAATTGATAGGCAATTATGATTTTTGCAAATGACATTCTAATAAAAATTATCAACATTTGGTTATGGTAGCGATGGTGAAGAAACACAGTGAAAGCAAATATTTTCTTATGTCACTTATACATGTACAACAATGGCCATATTTCTGAAATGTAAATGAAAGTATAATGCCTTCTTCGATTTTTATTTTGACCACTGAGTAAATTAAACCTTCAATAATCTCATAAAAATGAGATATTTTCTTGCTATACCTCTGATATCCCCTGTCCCCTGAAAAAATATGAAATTAGTACAGAGCCAGTAAAAAATACCAAGAACACCCAGGATAGATTCTATCCTAACCTAAACAAGCTTATATTATGAAAGTGGTGTTATTTTTTAACAGATCATAAATTAGACAATATAGTTCATCTAGGGCCGATAACTTCTCCCCATGCAGCTGTTGTCACTCTTGGGAGGTGCTTCCTAGAATGTGTGCTGAGAAGGATGCTATAATTAGTGATGTCTGCCTTGGGTACAGAATATCAGTAGTGGTTAGGAGCAGTACACATTTTCCATCCTTAAGTATCTGGATGGGAAGAGATCTAGAGAACAGAATATCATATGTCTCCTGACTCATAACTTGGGATCTTTCCTCAATTCTACTGAATAACCTGTAGTGGAAAACCATGTTTCTATAGTCCTATCCCTCGTCCAGGTGGATTATCTGAACAGGACTCCTGTGGAATGGTTGTGGTAATGTAATTCATGTGGACATTGACAAGTTGCCATCATGTGGTCATGAGGATGGTGTTGGATTCCTTATGTGTGAGGCTGATAAGGGCCCTATGTTCAATTCTTAGTGGTCCTTTTAAACCTACACCTGTTTATATTTTTTATCAACATGCCCATAACTTATTTTTCGTGAATCCACTGAAACTTCCAGAGACTTGAACTTTGCCTAAAGTTTAAAACAGGAATTTTTTAAATCCCTTAAATGAAAAATAGTTTTAAGTGTATCCCAACTAATATGAAACAGGAAACTAATGTCTAATATCCTTGGGAACTATAAAATATTCAATAGTAATCAAAACATAAAATGATTCTCTTCTGTCTTTCCGTTATTCTCTACTTCCAATTACATTTTGTAAAATGTAAACAATTGCACCTGCAATTGATGGAAAAATACCATCATGAAATCAAATGTGTTTTCTGACTTCATATATGTATTGTAGTATTTAATATTAAGTAAGCTCAGAAGATACTTACATGGAATCTACTGCCTTTTCTGAGCACAAGAGAAGCAATGATTAATAGAATGTGGTACTTGCTCCAAGGAGCATTCATTTAAGAGGAGGGATGCTCCTATTTGGGTCTTCACTGTATAAAGCATTTATATGTATATTACTTAACAACTAAAAGGTATGTACTTATGCAGAATACTGCCATCATTGCTCTTTTCTTTACTGTAATGGTACCATTCATCAGGTCCATGGAAGCCAGCTTCTCACACATTCTCTCTTAGACATAGGCGTTTTCTTTCTTTCTTTTCTTTTTTTTTTTTTTTTTGGTGACGGAGTCGCACTTTGTTGCCCAGGCTGGAGTGCAATGGCACAATCTCGGCTCACTGCAACCTCTACCTCCCAGGTTCAAGTGATTCTCCTGCCTCAGCCTCCCGAGTAGCTGGGATTACAGGCGCGCACCACTACGCCTGGCTAATTTTTGTATTTTTAGTAGAGACAGGGTTTCACCATGTTGGTCAGGCTGGTCTCGAACTCCTGACCTCGTGATCCACCCGCCTCGGCCTCCCAAAGTGCTGGGATTACAGGCATGAGCCCCCACACCTGGCAGACGTGTGTTTTCTAAAGTGGATTTATTAGAAATTGGGATCCCCTTAACCATCTTTACTTAGAGGAGACTTTGGCTTAGTGACCTACAGTTGTGTGTAAATGAAAAGCAAAATTAATGGGAAGTATACTCACAAAAGAAGGACTTTAAAGTTGCAAAAATAGCATGCATCAAGAATAGTATAAAATTTTAATTCCTCCATCGTCACCAATAAACATTTATGGAGAATCCCCAGAGTGACTGACTCTGGATTTTACATCTTATGTTAAACTAACTCTTGCATTCTGTTCTTGCTGTTTTATAATTACCCCAAATGTTCTCTGTTACTTCTCCTAATGATTCTTCTTTTTTTTTCTTTTTTCTTTTTTTTTTTTTTTTTGCATACAGCAGAGAATGCCTGTGGGTTTAAAAATTTTTTAACTAATCTTGATGAATCAATTATAATTTATAAAAGTGGAGCATAACAGTTAAGAGCTCATGCTATGGAATTGGACAGAGCTGATTTCAGATACTGTTCTGCCACATGCAAAGTGCATAACTGGACTAGTCACTTACCTTTCTGAACCTCAGTTTCCTCATCTCTGAAGGGGATGATGAAGGTTCAGCCCTCTCATAGGGCTCATGACAATTAATGAGATAATGTCACATGCTTAATACCAGCATCTTGTATGCTCCATAGGTGTTAGCTGTCTGTTTGTAATAATATTTTTGTGTTTGGTTACACAAACCCACTTTCTTCATTTGTTTTCTGCTATTAATGCCTTTTGAAGTATTGTGTTGTTTGTGAACACATAGTACAAATTGACTTTTGTTTTTTTAATTATCAATTTTGTTTCTGTAACTGCACAGAAAAGTGATAAATTGTGAGCTTATATTTTCTTTTAATACATAGATATCGCCTCCCAACATACATGAATTTTAAGACACTAAAAACCCCTTAAAGATCTTTTCTTAATCAGTGTTTAGTAAATGGGCTTACATTCTAGCGTATAGACCAATTCAAACTGTTCTACAGTAGAGAGGAATTTGTATGTTGGCCAGTTTTTCATACAGTGATTTCTAACTCTTTCCCCTTCAGTATTTCCCTAACATACACTTTCTCATCCAGTATTTCTTTTAGAATTCTCACACTTTTGCCCTCATAACTCACTTTCATATTCCTAGAGCTCTTTTCTTCACACTGATTGTGCTGCTCCTTTTCAATTTTTCCAACCTTATGGAATTATTAGTGAGAAAAAGCAAAATTATTATTATTTGAGACGGAATCTCGCTCTGTTGCCCAGGCTGGCGTGCAGTGGCGCCATCTTGGCTCACTGCAAGCTCCGCCCCCCGGGTTCACGCCATTCTCCTGTCTCAGCCTCCGGAGTAGCTGGGACTACAGGCGCCCGCCACTACGGCCGGCTAATTTTTTGTATTTTTAGTAGAGACGGGGTTTCACCGTGTTAGCCAGGGTGGTCTCGATCTCCTGACCTCGTGATCCACCTGCCTCGGCCTCCCAAAGTGCTGGGATTACAGGCGTGAGCCACCGTGCCCGGCCCAAAATTATTTTTTATATATGGTGACTTTCCCCCACCCTTTCATCTTACAGTAGAGGCAGCTCAGAAAAAAATCACTGAATTAAGTCATTCAGAGGTCGTTTATAATAGCTATTCAGCAGTGAGCTGGTTCTCAGTCCTGGTTATCCATTACAATTTCCCAGCATTTAAAATTCTGATACCGTGACCATACCCAAGAATAATTAAATAAGACTTTCTGTAGGTGGGACCTAGGCATCTGTTTTTAAAGCCCTTCAGGTGATCTTAATGGGCAGCTAAGTATGAGAGCTACTATAGGACAGTGTTGTATGGCCTGATTAGGTAGGAATGAGAGGGAGAGGAAGAAATCAGGACAGGAGATGTAGACTTATTTTGATAAGTTTTGGTAGTGAAAGGCAGAAAAGAGATGGGACTGTAACTTAAGGAATTAGCAGGAAACACAACATACCTGAGAAAGAACATTCTAGCATATATATATATATTAGCATATATAGTAGTGAGTCTCAGCTACTCCCCTAGGGCAGTGTATCAGCAATTTAGGAACCAGGGATGAACATGCATTTGGCAAAACTTCCTAATTTTGATACACCTTTCCCTTTCTCACTACCCTCCCTTCTCTCTTCTCTCCCCAGCCCCTGTCTACAATACTGCTATCCTGCTCCCTCTGCTCCTCGTCCTTTTCTTTCTTAAACTGGGTGACAGAGCATCTCAAAGTTGACTTCCCTCATGGTGGCCATATGGCTCCAGCAGTTCTCAGCAAGAGTTCTGAATTCACCCTGATTAGACCATTAAGGTCGTATTTCAACTAGTAACTGAGGCTGGGGGAATGGAATATGCTCATTTGTGAAGTCAATCAAGAAAGTACATAGGAAGATGGGAAAGGATGCTGGTAGACAGCCAGTACTACCCACTATATATGTAAAAGTCACAGTGATTCAATGCAATCAGTTATTTTACATGTGCAAATTATGAGTGGTCTTGTATGGGGACGGTTTTGAATAACATATAGAAAGTACTATATAGTACTGATATTTTTCTGAGCATCAAATATTTAGAGAAAAAAATCTGTGGTGTTTTAGAATATAATATAATAAACATCAAATAATTTACTAGATCAAACATGGTTTATTAACTTAAACACTGTAGCATATAGCAGTCTGTAGCACATCTTACTGACTGATCCTTTTTTGAAAAAATCATTACTTCACATTGTTGATGTTGTGGCAGAATCTAGGACTTCTATAATTACATTTCTGGAGATTATCAGGCAAATGTGTGGCTTTTACCTTTTCTGGTTACTATTTTATAGAAAAATGTAATTGCTAGGTATGTCATTTAAGACCCTGCAATCTATTTGTCTGAAAAATGGAACAAATGCTAGTAAGAATTTTAAATGACTCTCAAAGCCTCCTGCAAAATGACATTAGCAGTTGAAATAAAATAGTTAACAGTCTAAAAACTGTTTAAGATAAAGCCCATAACTATTAATTTTAGGACTGTTTTGTATACAATGTAAATGACACATGTTTGAGTTAATCCATTTGATGGTGGTGATCACATTCTTAAGAAATGATTTGGTATCTCAAAGCAGTTTCTTAACTAGACAATGAGCAGAAAACCTGTTGCTAGTTTTGGAAGTTTAAATTGTCAAACTTCAATTACTTCTGTTTAATTTGGGATTAAAGTTTGGGATTAAAAACACATGAGCAAAAATCTCATAACCCCAGTTCAGTCATGAGAGAAACACCAGACAAATTTCAGTTGAGGGATATTCTACAGAATATATGTCCAGTACTCCTCAAAACTGTCCAAGTCATCAAAAAACAACAAAAGTCTGAGAAACTGTCGCAGCCAAGGGATACTAAGGAAACAAGAGGACTGAATGTAATTTGGATTCTGGATGGGATCCCAGAGTGGAAAAAGGACATTAGAGCAAAACCGAGGAAATCTCAATACAGGTTGGGCTTTAGTTAATGTGTCAATACTGGTTCATTAATTGTGACAAATACACTATATTAGTGTAGGATGTTAATAATATTAACAATGGTGGAAACCGGTTGTGGGATATATGGGAAAACTGTGTACTGTTTTCATAGTTTTTATCTAAATTTTAAAATACCTCAAAATAAAACGTTATTTTTAAAGATGTGGGGATACATTTTTCAGGAAAGAGTCTCCGCCATAAGCTTACTATAGCAGAGCCTGAATGCTACTGTTTGATGAATGAAAGAAGTCCGGTATTCTTGGAGATCTTCTCTGTAATCCTCCAGGCTGAGGCATCACTTAGATTTGGCATTTGAGACCTTTATTGTTGACCTATGAAATTCTGTTTTATGTCTGTCTCTCACTTTGTTTCACCATAGTATAGTATAGGTTATAGGAGCAAGAAAACTGATTTTTCTTTCAAGATCCACTGTATGCCAATCATGTACTGGATTTCACTAAAATTAACACATCCAATTTTTAGAAACTTTGTAGGATAGAGGACTACCCTTTCTACAAAAGAGGAAAACAGACTAAGAAGAGTAAGTTACTTGGCCAGGCACAGTGGCTCACACCTGTAATCCCAGCACTTTGGGAGGCCGAGGTAGGTAGATCACTTGAGGTCAGTAGTTCGAGACCAGCCTGGGCAATATGGTGAAACTCCATCTCTACTAAAAATACAAAAGTTAGCAGGGCATTGTGGCTTGTGTCTGTAATCCCAGAGAATTGCTTGAACCCAGGAGGCAGAAGTTGCTGTGAGCTGAGATCGCACCACTGGACTCCAGCTTGGGCAACAGAGCGAGACTCAGTCTCAAAAGAAAAGAAAAAAAAAGAGTAAGTAACTTGCCCAGAGTCACACAGATGTTTACTGACAGACTACATGAGAGCCTTGTTTATTACTTGACTCCAATTTCCAGCCTTTCTACCTTCTCATATATATGCCTTCTTTGTTATCGTAAGATTCAGATTAGCAAGGTACTCTTTTTAACCTGTGCCTATGTTTTAAAAAAAAATTGTTTAAGTTTGACATAAGTATAAGCCAGCAGGAAGTTGCAAAAACAGTACAGATGCTCCCCAACTTATGATGGGGTTACCTTCCAGTAGACTCATTATTGAAAGTATCGTAGGTCAAAAATACATTTAATACACCTAACCTGTAACTTAGCCTTGTATGCTTTAAGTGTGGTCATTAGCCTACAGTTGGGCAAAATCATCTAACACAAAGCCTATTTTATAATGAAGTGTTGAATATTTCATGTAATTTATTGAATACTGGAAGTGAAAAACAGAATGGTTGTATGAGTAAAGTACGGTTTCTACTGAATACATTTTGCTTTTGCACCATTGTAAAATCAAAAAATTTTTAAGTTGAACATTTCTTAATTTGGGGACTGTATTAGTTCATTCTCACAATGTTATAACAACATACCTGAGACTGGGTAATTTATAAAGGAAAGAGGTTTAATTGACTCACAATCCCACAAGGCTGGGAAGGTCTCAGGAAACTTGCAGTCTTTTGCATTTCACCATGAAAGAGTTCGTCCAACTTTTTAGGTTTTTATTACAAAATAAATAGTGTTTTCTCTGCCCTCTCTGTACCTCGTATTTGAGGAATTCTCATACTTCTCTTTCAAGATGTCTTTCCCCACCCATTTTGTTTATGGTGGTAATATTATACCAATATGGCCAGCTTTTATGTACTTTGTGATCTCGCTACTATGAAGTTAGCCCCCTTCAGCATTTATTCAGAATAATGCCTCTTAAAAAAGTGTTTAATGATTTCATAAGGTCCTTGGTGTTTCTTAATGTCTTCCTTTCTCTTTTTTCCCTCCCCTTTTCCCCTCCCCTTTTCTCCCCTCCCTTCTCCCCTCCCCTCCCTCCCTTCCTTCCTTCCTTTCATTTTTTCTCTGTGACCATCTGTATGTTCTTTTCTTTTTGTCTGCCTTTTAGTATTAAAATGGTCACCTGACGACCATCTGAGTTGAGCTTTGTCAAGAACCAAGGGCTGAAGTTCTTTTTGTTCAGACTATGTTTCTGTTACCAGTATTGAGGGACTAAGGACTTTCAAGCCCTTCTCATTCTCCCAGCCTGAGAGATATTAAGATAAGGGAAAACTAGATTTTGCAGGTAAACTTTGATTTGTTGAATGCCTGCTTTGTGCCAGACATTGCATGCTACGATATATTCTATTAAAAGGATTCAGGAAGGGCATTTACTCTTTTAGCTACTGGAGTTTGATTTTCTTTATTATCATGCTGATCAGTGTACACTGGCAGTGTGGCTGATTGAGTGGAAAAGGGAGAGCTACACTGTCTTGTCACTCACCTAGTTGATAACAGATTCAGGACAAGGACTCTCGTCTCCTTTCTAATACAATATTAGCCCTAAACCCAAAGAAGTTGAGATGTTTTGTCATTCTTTAGTTTTTCCCAAAGGGAACATTTTTCACAACATAAAAAGTTAGCTGATTGGAATTAACTTATACTTTATAAGAGATCAGTGCATATCTAGAGGCGACATAGTAGAATTTTCAAACAATCAGAAATCTCATAAATCGGAATCTAAGGGAAAACAAATATACCCTCCTGAACGTTGTATAATTGGGTATACAGAAAACTTTCTAATTTTATTTTGCCTTCATTTTTAGACTAACTTGCAATTACCCCAAGTTGCTAGGTAGCAAAATTATTATGGTACTAGCTCAGAATTTGCTGTATTTTAATCAGCCTTAGTGACTGAAAACACAGAGAGAATGTCAATGAGGGAGAAAGGTTTTCCTTTACTGCCCCTAGATAAAGCAGATGAAAATCTGTTTCTCTCCACGGTAGATTCCTACTCCTTGCCAAAGATACAATAGACAACATTTATAAAAATACAATCTTTGTGCATGTTGCTAGGTTGCTCAATTTTGAGCCTTTTTCTTTACAATACATAATCATTTAAAAAATACTGAAAGAGGTAAGAAATAGGGAGTGGAAACCAGTAGTGTGAGTAAATGGGAAATTGATATCTTTAAGGCACTAGATATGGTAATAAATATATTAGATTACTAGAAGAGAAAAAATACTTGAATAGTAGCCAAGAAAGGATTCCAATTACTTACAAACTACAGTGACTAACTTCTTTCAATTCTAAAATCCCCTATTTTAATTTTTCTAAGTTTCTGAGAAATGGGCATTTTAGTATTACTCCTTAAAAACTTTTTTACTGAATAAAATAATTTTCATGAAATTACAAAAACATAGGATCTGCTCATATTGATAGTGTGTTTGACTTACCACTCACTGTATTGTGTCTCACTTAGATTACCAGCAAAAATATTACTCACATCTAATGATATTTCTGGGTATCCTATAAATGAACCCTGAGAGGTTTCCTGGAGAGTCTTGTAATGCTTCCTAGCTACCCCTGTATATATTCTATAAAATATAGCCATGTAAAGTATGAAGACAATCTGTTACTGTCTTCCTGGCAGGGCTGGTCAACTGGCCATCAGACACTGTGGTTGCATCTGGTTGTCCCCTGCTTCCTACTGCTCCATTGTCCCACTTTGGGTGTCTCCCCCTCCTCCCTGTGCTGGTGCTGCCCTTTCATAGGCCTTCTCTCAATAACTGGATCTCACCAGGCTCCTTTCTGCATTCCTAGCTTTGTACTTGCTGTGTGACCTGGCAGGAGTGCTTCTCCTGGGTTCTTTGCAGATCTGGTTTCTCCTTCTCAAATGACACCACCTTAGAAAGCCCTTTCCTGAGCATACTGTGCAACTCAGAGCTCCCTGTTAGTCTCTATCACAGACCCCTTACTTACTTCCTTTTTAGCACTCCTCAAACACCTTCCCCCAACTAAAACATAAAACTCTATGAGGATAGGGACATTGTGGACACTCACATATTAATAAGTGATTGAAACATGAATGCATTTTTAAAAAGATCAGTACCAACATCCTAAAGGCTCGTGGAGAAGGGCATTTGAGCTGACTTTGAAAAGTAGAATGTGAAGATAGCAGGGTGTAGGAAAACAAGAGTTTTAGAAGAGAGAGGCTTGTGTCAAGGTGATCTTATAAAAAAAAAAAAGCTTTGGTATGAAGGCAGGCATGTGCATGTCTTTACTGGGCTTTGTGGAGAAAATAGAGATAAAGAATAAACTTTGGGGAACCAGGAAAACCTTTTATCTAGGAAAGGGACATGATCAAAATGGCACCAGTGTGGCATCTAGTGGATGAGTTGAAGGTTCAGGAATTGCTAAGAAGTAAAAGCATCCACACCCTACTTCCTGTCTTGCTGACATATATATATATTTGGCCTCATCAGTAGCAAAGCTCATTAATACTCCAGGATGATACAGAATAGAAATACAAACTGGAATTGTTTGTTTAATCTATATTTATGCATTCACAAATATTTACTGATCCCTGCTCCATGTCAGTCATTGTACCTCTGATCCATTTGGGCTTGTAAATCTGTGTATGTGATACTTGGAGATGTTTTTGCATACCTAAAATGAGACACCACTTAAGAGATTTAGCTGTTGATACTCGAACCAGTGAAGACAAAGCTGGCAAATACCTCCCTAAATAGGAAGGATATGTATTTAATTTGGAAAATGTCAATTTATTTGTTACCCTACACAGTAAGAATTAGATATCTAGAAACAACTACAGGTATGAAATATAACTGTTGAAATGTGTGCTTCTTTTAAGAAACTCCAAGAGCTACGTGGAAGCATGTGTTGTTTTCTTGTCAGTTTTCCTTCTCATATGACATTTGCTCCTAAAATACCCAATTTTTTTTCTGCCCAGACCTACACACCCAACCCACTTTAGCTGTACCATCCTTAGATTACTATGTCACAAATTTTACCTTGTTTTGAAACTGAAGTACAGTGGCTGATTTTGCTATTTTTGCATTTATTTGCAAAGCTGAATTCTAGTAATTACCAGCAAAGATAATCGTTTTGCACAAAAAGAGGTATATTTCTATCTTGAAACTAGGTTATATTGTTAATGCCACAGAAAAGGAAATGGCTTTTTCAGAATATTAGCGTTTGTAGCTCTTGCTTATTGATAGGGAAAAGTTAGTTGCCATAGTGATCTAACAGCCTCTGGAGGGAATGCAGTCATGGCCTTAAGCATCCGGCAACCCACCCAGTTGAGAGAGCCCCTCTGAAAAGGATTTCCTTCCATGGAAATTGAGTTTCTAAAATAAAAAGAGTTTATTTTAGCTTAGATTTGCTTATAGGTTTGTTTTGCACTTTTACCTACTGGAATTAAAGGAAAAACATTTATAATAAAGACAGCATATATTTCTTCAGGGATGACATTAAATAATAGATTTTTGTGTTAACCATTCCATAAATGTGCTCTCAGACACACAAAATGACCTTTATACTTTTATTCTTGTGAGCTATGGAGCTTAAAAGCAAACCACTTCAACCAGATGTTGATCCAATAAATTTATCAATATTTGGGGTTTTTAGAGTTTCAGTATATATTCTTAGGTAGAGGGAACTTTCATGGCCCATCAAAATCTGCTCAAGCTGTGCTGGGTGAAACAGCACTCATCTATAATACTCATGTAACATGAGCCAATCTGCAGTCGGTTGTTCTGAATTCTACATCACTCACAGCGCAGGTTGATGTGTGAACACTGTATTTACAGGACCAAAACTGCACATTTGCTCTGCAGCTGTGTTTAACAGTTATCAGTTTGGCACACAGCATGACTGCTTTGGAGGGAGAATAGACACTTCTCATCCCTTTTGGCATTTATGAAGTAACCAAAGTACCTACTGCTGAAGTGATTCACTTGAGCTTAATTAGATTTGCTACATAATTAGCATTTGAAGAAACCTAAAGAAAATCCTTGGGGGTTGGTTATTTGTTATGTCAATTGTAAGCATGCTCATTTGGGGGGGACTAGGAATTGAAAATGATGAAATTTAATGCACCATAAACCCAGATGTATTATATGCATATATAATTTTTTGAAGAGTTTTTAAAAGCTGTGCTTCGCAGGGATGACTGAAATGCTTGTCTCAGACAACTGAGACCTGTGCAAGGGGATTGATCCATCAGCATGTGCCCATGTCTGCTTGATGGCGCTTATGTGTGTACAACTAGCTTTACACCTCTCATGAGAGCCCACAGCTCTTTAATAAACACCCCAGTGCCAGCCGTGAGGGCTGTGCCAATAACCACCACTTGAAGCTGGAGAGTGCAGTCTGAGACAGTGAGATCCTATACTGCACTTGTATTTACATTTTAAGGTTAATTTAATTGCAATGGCTTGTTCTGGTATGTGTTGCTTTAATTGCAAAGAAAAAAAATGAATTTAATTTTATACTCGAGACATTTCTTTAAATACTCCTGAAGTTTGTTCTTTAGTATTAGAGTTCTACAAAGTGAATTAACTGTGGAGAATAGCTGTAAAATACTGAGAGGAGAGGTTAAATTTTATATTCCAGTTTAAGTTAAGGCTAGGATAAAACTTGTAAACTATGTTTATGTAAAATATTTTCTAATCTGTCAAAAAGTTGTCACATTTTAATCAAATTACTTAGTTACCTAAATTTGTCTAGCCATAAATAAGGAAATAAATGAGAGGGAACAAGTTTAATTTATTGATGAAGCACTCTGATGATTTTTTTTACCCTTATAGTAAAAAAAAAAAAAAAACACCTTCAAACTTACATCCTACCATATGTTCACCATCAAATCTCAAGTCAGAATCAGGTTCAAATCAGAATTCAAAACCAGTTTTAGAACTCAAGTGGCAGCTCATGCCCTGCATGCAGGCAAACGGCTAGGAATTAATCAGAAAGTTCCACCCATGTCCATCCTTCCTCTTACTTGCTCATCTTCCCAGCAAGCACTAAAAAGAAAAAAAAAAAAAGTACAAATTCGTACGGAACCTACTGTAACTCTGATTAAAGAGATCCTGTATTCCCCAATGACCGACCCCCTAGCTCCCCCAAAAAGGAATTAAACGGCTAAGCTTTTTATAAATGTTTTTAAAATCCTTATTGGACTTGACATAAACATGCAGATAATTCTACTAGTCTCTTTTTCATAGGTACAATAATAGCACTAAGTACAGAATTCCCCTTGTATCCAAGCAAGACTTTTACGAAAACTTAAACCTGAAGTCTTATGCAGTGCACCTAAAATTAACCAGGAGCCTTGGTGCATATACCAGCAAATGTTGTACACCTGTGTGATAGTGGTCACCTCACTTAACCTCTCCCAGCTTCAGTTTCTTGTCTTTACTACTACATAAAGTTGTTGAAAGGATTAAAGGAGACTATATAAACAGCTATTTTTATTTATGATTAAATAATATCTGTGTGGTTACTATTTAGTCTGGGTAACTAAATAGCTGGGTTTTTTTGTTCTTTGTACACATGCACATATTCCTTTTTTAAAACAGGCATATGGGCAAATACATTTTTTTTCTATATGCCTCCATGTTGTTTCTCTGGATTTCCGCCAGGATGGGATGTGCCAATTATGCACGGAATTGTTTGCGTGTCCATGGGTGCTTATATAAGTCATTATCTTTGGTGTATGACAAATACACAAACTCCTGTATCTCTAGTAGCCTGTAATTCCTAATTGAGGGACATGATTGAATTTATGTAGTTTAGCCCCAAGTAAGTAGATAAAAATTATTAAGTAAATGCCCTGGTTCATCTAAACAAAATATGTGACTAATAGCTTTTTATATGAACTATATACATTTAGTTTACCTAAGTTTATTAATAAATAGTATCTCTGGGCATTTTTAATTTTATATTTTATACTTAACTATGAAAGTATCCAGAACCAGATTCCAGTCACTAACTACCTCTTCATTAATGGATCAATGGTTTTATCAGATTTATTAGAAATTTGTCTATACTGAGCATGTAATATGTACTTTGTGAAAATAGGTATAAAACTGGGCTCATCTTATCAGCATACCATTTACCCAATTATGGGAGTAAAAAAGGAGGCATGTGTATTTTTCCCCTAATTCTGAAATGTCTCCCAGTTCTTGAAATTTGAATGTGAAAATGTGTGCATGCAAATTAAGACATTCAATCTGAAAGACTTCTTTGTATAAAATACTAACCAAATTTAAAGTTGAACCATAGGGTAAATATAGTAGAAAAGTATATTTTGAATTCTGAATTTTATTTCCATTGGATACAAACAATAATTACAATTGCTAGATGTGTTTTAATGAATAGTTTGAACTCATCATGCTAGCAAAAATCATCTGCATATAAATAATAGGGCAATTTCAAGCAATTTTTTCTTACTTAGGTCAGATATTCCTGCCAGAAACTTGTTTGCTTTGTTAATTTGTTCAATTATTAAACTTTGAGAGTACAAAGATAAATTTACTAATGGGGTTCAATTAACAAATTTCTGATTACATTTCCCTAATGATGATAGTATAGAACATTTATTTCTGCTGTGCTTTATTAGTAAAATTGCAGTGATCTGGTGACTGGAATTAAACTGCTGAAAAATGACTTGGTCTGATTTATTCACTGAGCAAAACCAAGCTTTAAAGGCTGTGTTGCTATGGCACCCAAGATTAACTGTTAAAAAAAAAAAAAAGTTTAATTTTAGTAAAAACATTGGTACATCTCTTTTGGCATTGTGTAGATAAAAATAGATTCCCCCCTCCCCCTTTTCTTGTCTTTTTTATGTTTAGCAAGTCCTTTGCATTCTTTTAAACATACACTAAAAGAAATTTAGCATATTTAAAGAGAAGGGAAAAAGCAGTAAAATAAAACTGTTTTATCAAAAGATTACAATTTGTAAAATAGCAAATATTTCAGTCATCATTTTTTATATGTATATATATATACTTTTTATTTTGTCTAATTTAATCCTTTCAAAAACTGTCTGGCTTCTCATACTTTTTAGAAAGATGGTGCCAGAGAGGGAGAAATCACTCTATTCTGGTAGTTTCGTTTTGTAATTAGTCTTCAAACTTAAAAACAGGTTGCAAAATTGGGACAGTAACAAGTTTTAGGAGAAATCTTAATGTAGCTCTAATCTTTCAAATTCTAAAAGAATATGTTTTCTGTTTCGTGAGACAAAAGAATTGTCTGGTTGCTTTAGCCAGGATTGATTTCTGTCTTCAGAACACCATTTGGTGGTGTTAAGACTGCTAGATGAAGAATTTTGTGGGAAAAAAAAAAAAAAAAGAAGAAAAATTGAATGCTTTGTATGATCATCAAAAGCCACTTTTCAGGAGTATTTTACATTTCTTGGTGCCAAGCAAATCAGAAATCCTACCTTACAGAGAGCGATTTGTTCATGAGATGACCCAGTGCTGCAAGTCGCTTATGTTTATCATTATGCTTCCACATTCTAAGGAAATTCCACTTTCAAACGTTGCCGTCAGTGCTTTCTTCTATAGGAAGAATTTGAACTATAAAATTTGAGAAGCTTCAGCGTCTGTGGAAATTTGAGAGCATTGCCTTTTTTCCTCTTTATTGAATGTAAAGTGTTTTAACAAAAGCATGGTAGCCCAGTACATTTTAAATGTCAAAACTTGCACATAGTGTATCTCATAAAGAATTTAAATTTTAGACTTTGAACTTTTAAAGCCTCAAACATCTTTAGAGGCTGACTACAGCAAATAAACAGAATGTTTTGCAGAGAGATTTAGTGAAGAAAATTTTTTTTTGCCGTTGTTTCTCACAGTGCTCTGCAGGTGAAAATGGTGAGGAAACTTTGATAGTTCAAGACTATGCAGGGGAGAATTTGAAAGCAGAAACAAGCTTTTACAGATTTTACCTGGAAAAACAAAGTGGTTTATATGAGGTGCTAGTTCTTACCTTTATGATTGCTAATTTAGATTTTATAAAAATTGAAATGAGTTAATATTTTAAAATATTTAAGTATGGTCTCTGGACAACAATAAGCACAGTGTACTTTTTTAAAAAGTGACTTTATGTAAGATTATAAATTACAGAAATGAGTTGTCACTTCCCTGTTGTTACTTATTTCTGATTTTAAAATAGCAAAATTTATAAAGCTATAGTTTTGAGAAAATAGTAATTCATATTCTTAAAATTGTTATAATCTCTAAATTAATACATAAATTATTGATTTAATGTTAAATTTTGATTTTAAAATTTATTTCAGTTTCTATAGGTAATATATTGAGGTTCTGACAATTTTATATTAATGTATGATTTTATTCTGACACAGCTGTTGAATTTGAACTACTAATTATTTCTAAGAATTTGTTAATACCATTCTCCAACTTTGTTTTAGGCAGCTAGATTGTATCCAGGGAAACCCATTTAGATCAGAAATAACATTTCGTTCTAACTTCAAAAAATAAGCATCCACTTTAAAAATGGAATCTGAATTTAAATAAAAATCCTAATTTAGGATTCAGTTCCATTCTTTAACTAGCGGAAAGAAATCTTAGCAAAAAAAACCAAAAAAACAAAAAAAAACCAAATTTACCAGATTGCCAGTAATTTGCATTAAGGAGGAAGAGATGGATTTTTTTTTAAGTCAGCAGGCATTGAAGATAGTTCAGTGAAGTTAAGTAATAGAGATCTCAGATTTTAATTTAGTCAAGATTATGATTTTACATAGAAGCACTGTTGAAATAGGCTTGATAATAATATTTTAAGTGTTATACAAATCTGGATGAAATTATATTATTTACTGTCTTACTCATTGGTTCAACTGTGTTTTAAAAGTGAGAGACCTTATATCAATGAGTGTTTGTTCTGTGCATCTCATGTGCATGGTGTTAACAAAATAAAATAAGCATACTTCTAACATTTGGGGGAGCATCCTATTAGTTTGGGGGTAGGTTAGGGACTCTGCTTTCCAAATAATTAATTTGATAGATCCATGCTCTTGAAAAATTGGGTACATACTATTTTTAAACTTTATTTTTCAAACATGATATGTATTGTTTAAAGCATTAGCTTAAATGAAAAATAATATTTTACATTCGTAAAGTTCTGTTTATTTAATTCAGTAATGAAATTAATTTGGAGTTGTTGGCATACTGCCTTCACAGGTTTCTGTGACTCATTTGCTGAGAAAGTGTGATTCAAGAGACCAGAATCATTTTTTTCTCATTTGCTAAAACTCATGTTTTGACTATGGGCAAATGTTCATGGCAGATTTAAAACAAATTTAAAGTAAATATTCTGTGATAATATTTGGAAGCTGAGTGATGTCTAGCCTTACATAACTAGGACAAATATAAATCTGTGAGTTCACGGACTTCAAAAGTATCAACTATACATCATTTTAGAATACTGGTTTTGTTTTTCTCATATTCTTAGAGTTTAACTCTTATACTACTAATTATGACCTCTAGAAGGTAATTGCATTTAGAAGCAGAATATCTGCTGTTTTATTAATTTAATAATTAAGGACTAAATGGTGTTCCAATTTAGGTTTAAAAGTAAGCACATTCACACAGCATTTAAAACTATTTCTTAATGTTTTTTTCCTAGAGAAGAAATGATAGCTCCATGATCGCTATATGTTCTGTTCAATACTCATTATATTTATAATTTATATTACATATATATTTATCCATTATATTTATAATTTAGTCCTGTCCAAATAAAATATATTCTCATAGTTAAGTGTGTTGTGGTAGTATAATGATTACATGAAATAACCTGGACCTTGCTGTTTGCAAAGTAATTTAAATGTTTATTTTCTGAGTTGCTACTTGGAAATTAAGTTGTGGAGTGATGTTTCTCATTGGTCCAAGGAGCAACATAAAATCCTGATTTATCAGATAATCCTACAGGAAACGTATGCCTGTTTTGACTTATGATATGTTTCTTAGTACAATGTCCTGCTTTTCTGGCTTTCCATTAAATGTTTAGAAAAATTAGTTAATAGTTTTGCAGGAAAAGAAAGGAAATTTATCAGTCTATACCAGCTATATAAGAAGTAGGAACATATATAAAAGACCTATAATTTTCCGATCTCACTTTGAACTTTTCTTCACAGTTTTCCAACTCAAGATGGTATATAGTCTTGCACAATGGGCTGTAGCCAACTTTCCGTCAGAAGAACTGAGTAAAAATTATTCCAAAATTGTTCTTAGAAATAAATCTGAGCCTGGAATTGTCTTGCATTAAAAAACAAAAAGCAAATGATTGCTTTAAAAGCACACCAAATGATATTGGATGGTCTTTATTCTTGACTCTGTTTTTTAAAGTGTGTATACGTTCATTACATCCAGTTGTCTATTGGGCTTTTTTACTCTAACTTTTCGGAAGTTGACTGACAGGCCACTTTTCTATAGTGGGAAATAGGCACCTTGTGTGCGCGGAGGGATTTCCAGCCCCCGACCCCGGAACCAGCAATTAGCGTTTAGGCGTCCTGCACCCCACCAGGGGGCAGCACCGGACACTGCCTTTCCTAGAGGCCTGAGTGCATTTAAGGCTTTCTGGCAGTGCTCTCCACCCCTCTTCCTCATACAGGCCTTACGTATTTTTGGTATTTTCTTACACATTTTAGGCTTAGTAAGTGTTTAATAAATGTTAGCTGTTTAGGCATTGTGCTATACGGATGCTACTTTTCAGGTTTGACCGTTCTGTGTACCTGAATTTTGTCTTTAATGATAATTTGTTCTATTATTTAAAATACCTTGTGCTTATTATAAATATGGGATTCCTTTAACTTGTAAAATCTAGCAATTATTGAGCACTATGACATGTCAGGCATGAAACCAGGTACTTTTTATATGCTACTGCAGAATCTAAGTAGACATAGAGGCAAGATAACAATAGAGTCATAAAACAATATGAAACTGCAATAATGGGGAATTGTAATACTTCTATTTTGATGTTGAATAAACAGTATAAACCTCGGGGAGGTTAAGTCACAATGGAACAAAGATCCCTTCAGATAGAATTCCAAATTCCGTGCTGTATCAATTATATTATGAAACCTTGCCATAAAAAAAAAAATTGTTGAGGATGAGCGAAGCCACGATGTGTAATGCCTGAGACAGAGGTTTCAGTGATGTAACTCCAGTGACACTGTGACAAGGAGAATTAGGGATTGACATACTTAAAACTTGAATGGAGAAATAGGGTTAGATATTGAGAGATCCCAAGGAAACCTGTGAAAACCTTAATATATGTGTTTTTATGGACACATAATATGTAACATATTACATTCATCAAAACATGGGAATAAATTGACGTACTCTTAATTTTTAAAAGCCCCATAAATATATTTTACTTAAAACCGTAATGGATCTTATTCTTTTAATTTGTGCTTGTCCTCTCTTACCTGCTAGAAAATTTAAAGGTTGTCTGTCCTTCCTAATTTTAACAAGATACTTCATTTTCCAAAAATGAAACAAGACAAAAAGGTAAATTTGTTTTGTTTTGTTACAGAAAATAGTCAAATGAAGATATTTTGCCTGTGTCTGTGACTTTAATGATTTGGAATTGTTATTTCACATTGTTTGCTTTCTTTTCTGGCTATAATGTGCATAGCAATCCAGATGGCTAATATATAAACAATTGGAGTTATGCTTATTGGAATCATTTAGTGTGGCTTAGGAGGTTCCCACTACCCAGGACCATCTGTTCATTGCTCTGTGTATTACCTTCATGATCAAGTTTGTGTTTTCAGCTCCTTCACATATCTTAGCCTACACCTTTCTTTATATGTGAAAGAGGCTTCTAAGACTGAACTTAACTCATATGGCCCTCAAGGCTATATTGTCAAACCTTGATAATCCAAGCCTGCCTTCCACATTACCATTCTTCTTTATTCCTAATTCAATTTTTTCCCTTATCATTGCTATTCTCAATAGTAGGGTCTTAAAATTTGCAGAAGAGTGACTAAGAAAATGGGCTTTGTAGTCAGGTTCGAATCTTACTTGGCTGTGTATGTAGCGATTTGATCTTGGGCAACCTCCTTTATCTTGGTTTCCTCACCTGTGAAATGGAGTATAATACTGACTTCATGGATTTGTTAAGATGGTTAAATTAGATAAAATATAACTCATTTAGCCCATGCCTGGTTTATTATTAACATAATTTAGAATGAAAATTCTCCTGTTGCAAAAAGGCATATTCAGAAGTAAATTCAAATACTATATTCTAAAATTTCACAGCGTCTTTTGGAAGAAATAGCTACTTTTCTTTAAGCACCTGTCATATGTGCTTTCACATTGCCAACAGAATATATGTAGGCGGTACTAAATTGTTGTTTTGGGGTTCATTTTCAGTCCTTCTTACTGGATCCTGGGTGCAACTTTAGACCCCAAGTAGCTAGAGAAAAGTTTCTCTAGGTGCCTGTCGTCTCTGGTTACATGTTACACTATAATCTGCTTTGGAGCCTCACAGCCACATATGTTATTGTTCCACGTGAACTGAGCCAGCTTACATACACAGCTCTGTGGGGAGAAAGACCATAAACGAACACTCCCCGTTTCTAGCCCATATTCTGCATAATACATGTAAGTCTCTCAACAGCCCTGTAGGCTATGCCATTACTTAATTCCCAATTTATGTGGCTTACTTTTTCTGAATGAAAAGTCATCAAATATGGTTTTTAAGTTATGGAACAGAAGAATATGATTAATCTGAATTGTCATGAAAATTCAGGGCACATGGTTGCTATGGTTATGGCGTCATGTATTTATAATGGAGAGATACTTTGTCTTCATTAATCTACAAACTTGCCAGTGGGATTCGGTATTTTTTTTCTGTGTGTGTGTGTGTGTTTGTGTGTGTGTGTACATACGTACGTACGTACATGTATACAGCTTCTGCATGAAAACACTGAGGCTGAACAAGGTGTTCTGTTTTGGTGGTAGTGCAGAGAAACATACTCACACATAAATTATTTATATGTGAACCAATTCAGTGAGAAGTAAGTACAGCTGCTTAATTGACCTAAGGGTCTTATTTCCAACTGCTTAAAAATAAGTGTAAAGTGAAGTTCATGGAAGAAATAACTTAAGGCTCTTTAATATACTTTTGTTGGTGAAGAGAATTTCAAGCTGTTTCAGTCAGTTAGCATATATTCTTAAAAAGACTGATATCCTATTCGTAGTCTTCTCTTATATATCCTTGAATTATCTTCCATGATTTTTATATTTTATATACTTATAATAGCGTATTATAACAACTTAATGCTACATAATTTACAGTAATCGTTTCCAAATTAAGGAAGCCCTATGTGTAAAATCACAAATTTATGTAACATAACACAGGAACTTTTATTCATATAAGAAAATCATTATTCACTTTACTGTTTTCCTTTATTTCAGCATCATTTATTACAAAATTAATACTGTTTTCGAAAAACCAAAACAATATATTATAAAGCACAACGTGGAGTCTTCTCTCACCTCCTTGTCATTCCCAGCCTCAAAGGGTAACCACTGTTTACAGTTCAAGTGTGTCTTCACAGCAGATGTTTTTCTATGCTCGTGCAGACATATAGATGTATTCCTGGAAAGAGTGATGCTTGCATTCTTGAGGAGTTAGGAGCATTGCTATTTGAAAAAATAAAAATCCAGTTTGATGATGTTAGTCATTATGCTGAAAGGAGTGATTTTAACAAATACCAACAGAACTTCTTGTGGTAGGCCAGCTTTCCAAGTTACTGGTTCAAGAGAACAGTCATTTTATAACAGGTATAAAATCAAAGACGTTTAGTAAAATATTTTGCCCTTAATTCTCCATGGATAGCTTGTTTATGAAGAGTTCAGTATTCAGGGAAGATGGAAAAACAGCCCAGTGTCAGCTAAAGTAATAAAACCGACTTAATCCCAAATTGACAATTTAAAGCCCTTTAAAATTACTTGTTGCAAACAAGAAATAATCCACCCAGTCTGTCATCTCTTTTCAGCTTATTAGTAGTGGAATCTCTTAGGTGGCTCTTTAAACCGTGTGTATTAAAAGTCCTAAAGTTGTTCGTGGAGATTTCCAGTTGCTAGGGAATACCAACACTTATTTGGTGTTTGATATTGTAAATCATGATAGTTATTGGGGCCAAAGGGAGGTCTGTAAATGTCCAGTAGGTTCTCTTTGGAGCTAATTTGTGCTGTTTGCATTTTCTTTCTGCCCCAATACACTTGTCACTGGAAGAAATCACACAGGGGGTAGGGATAAAGCATGAGGTATCATGATTCCTTCATGTAAAAATTTTGCTCAAATTAAAATGTGAACATAGTATAATATGTAAAAAAAACTGGACCTCCTTAAATCCTTTATAAAGCAAGGCAATGTGTAAACACATGAATAAATATGAAGGTTTTATTTTAAGTAATAGCTGTGAATGTTAAAAGTAATATTATTTTCCTTAGAATAGTTTAATCACATATCCCTTTTAAATTTTTTAAGCCTTTAAACGTTTTATTTTCAGTCTGGGCTTGGGGACTCACACCTGTAATCCTAGCAGTTTGGGAGGCTGAGGCTAGGGGATCACTTGAGCCCAGGAGTTTGAGACCAGCCTGGGCAACATAAGAAGACCTCATTTCTGAAAAAAAAAAAAAAAAAAAAAAAGAAAGGGAAGAAAGGGGAAGGAAGGGAAGGAAAGGGAAGAAAAAAACGAAAAGAAAAGGAACAAAGGAAGGCGTCGGTGATGTGCACAAGTGGTCACAGCTACTTGGTAGTCTGAGGTGGGATTGCTTGAGTCTGGAAGATCGAGGTTGCAGTGAGCCGTGTTTGCACCACTGCACTTCAGCCTGGGCGAGAGAGTGAGACCCTATTTCAAAATAAATTCAAATTTGAATATTTTACTTGAGTAACATTTTTTTTCTCCTGAAAATAATTTTCTACAGTGTTCTACTGTGGTTGAGGTTTTCATGTTTAAATCAGATCTCTAGCCTCATGGGACTCATAGTCTCTCATGGAAGACAGATAATTGGGCAACTACAATGGATTATGCCGAGTTCGGTGCTTTGGGAGCTCAGAGCACAAGCCCCTTCCTCATCTGCCCTGTAGGGCTGGGGAGGTGCTGTCAAGGAAGGCTTCCCAGCGGGAGTGATTCCTCAGGTAATAACCTGAGATTTGTACACACATCAGTCAGGCAAAGAGCTGTGGACTTGGGGTGTGAGTGGCCAGAGACCCAGCATTATCTGCAAAAGCTAGACTATGAGAGAGATGAGAACACAGTTAAGTAACTGATAGAAGTTCAGTCTGGCTGGGGCATGGAGGAATTACAAACATTTATTATGAAAGTAATACATGTGCATTGTATAAAATGTGAGAAAAACAGAAAATGAGAAGGTATATATTATTGCCAGTTTCATGCTGCAGAGTTAACTACTGTGAACATTTGTTGCATTTTTATAATTCTTTCCATTTATATTCGTAGAACAGCGTATTTGATATTATCCCAGTTTGGCTTAGACAATAGATATATATACAGGTATAAAATGCATATGCATACATGAAAACACATAATAAAACTGGGATCATGCGAACATGCTGTTACCTGCTTTTTTCATATTACAGTATACTTAAATATTTTTAATGTCCTTAGATGCAATTGTATTTTTAGTAAGTGAAATATTTTAAGTTGCACTATTTCATTTCTGTGAGTAAAAAAAATTCTTGAAGTTAAGCATCCTGACTCTGTCTGCAGGAGGAATGTTTCTTGAACCTAGAGGCTCCTATATCAAGAGTATGTGGTTATGACACACCATTTCCTCACATTTTTGAACCATTCTACATCCCAGACAAATGGAAGTGTTATGATGCCCTTCGAAAAATGATCAACTATTGACCATATAGGTAGGTATGCATCTTGAGAAAGCTACTATGTGCCCCTGACATTAACGTACTGTTAACCAAGACACAGCAATCATCAGTGTTTTGATGGTAACAAACTTTGATGGTAAAGTTGGTAAAAGGCAACTTTCAGAAGAAAATAATGTGCTTTAGAAAAAAAATTCAAATTTATAGTAGTATATTTACATTTTTGTTGTTGTTGTTGTTCTGAGATGGAGTCTCACTCTGTCGCCCAGGCTAGACTGCAGTGGTGCAATCTCAGCTCACTGCAACCTCCCCCCTACCCCTGAGTTCAAGCGATTCTCCTGCCTCAGCCTGCTGAGTAGTTGGGATTACAGGCGCCCACCACCATGCCCAGCTAATTTTTGTGTTTTTATTGGAGGTGGGGTGTCACTATGTTGGCTCAGCTGATTTCAAATTCCTGACCTCAAGTGATCCACCTGCCTTAGCCTCCCAAAGTGCTGGGATTACAGGCATGAGCCACTGCACCTGGCTATATTTACATTTAATAGAAACATATCTAGCATATGTATATGTGATTTTTTTTTTTTTTTTGAGACCGAGTCTCACTCTGTCACCAGGCTGGAGTGCAGTGGTGCGATCTTGGCTCATGGCAACCTCTGCCTCCCAGGTTCAAGCGATTGTCCTGCCTCAGTCTCCTGAGTAGCTGGGACTACAGGTGTGCACCAACATGCCCAGCTAATTTTTTATATTTTTAGTAGAGACGGGGTTTCACCATGTTGGCCAGGATGGTCTCGATCTCTTGACCTTGTGTTCCACCCGCCTTGGCCTCCCAAAGTGCTGGAATTACAGGCATGAGCCACCGCGCCTGGCCTGTATATGTGATTTCTAAAAAATAGATGCATGCATATGTTAACATTGAATAGTCAATCACTAGATGAAGATGCTCTCTACCATGGTTTAGATTGCAAGTGTACTTTATACCATTGTTTCAACTTCAACCTTTATTTTTGTATATATTTTTTCAGCTACTTAAACTGTTCATGAATAGGCGTACTTTCTGTATTTAAAAATGGCCCCTCAAGCACCGTTAATTTACATTCCAGTTATTTACATGATAATTCATGACATTCTGAAACTTGCCTGTATATTATCTGAAAAATGGATTTCTTGAGCAAAAGATCTGTTTATTGTATGTAAGGAAAAATTTTACCTGAAAACAAACAAACAAACCCTAAAACTCAGCACCACTACCATTTCCAGAAGCTTTTTTAACAAGTGAATATTTTTTACATAATGGATAATAAATGGTATTTATTCATCATGATTTTCTAAGTAATGCTTATCAGCCCCTTCAGTGGTGTTATTCTAACAAAATGAATACATTACAAATTATTAAGTTAGCTTTTCAGAGTTTTAATATAGAAGTTACTAGCACTGACACACTGATTTTGAAATGTTTCAAAATGAGTAGATATGATTAGATCCTTTACCTTTTAATATCTAGTTTTTCCAAAAATGATAGTAATATCTTTTGAAGAACTATGCTTTTTCAAAAGCAAAATCAACTCTGTATAATAGCACATTCTCTACTTTTTAAAGATCAGAAATGCTAGAATTCTTGACTTTTGTGTATGGGTAGTAAATCTAGCTCACTGAAAATCAGAGTGAAACGCCTTTACATTTGTGCGGATAGAGAAGTTAACTCTCCCTCATATGTCACTGTGCTACCATAATCCCTACATTTTCTGTCTGTTCTAGTCTAAGAATATTGTTATAGATGGAAGTTAGGACCATTAGCCCACAGATGCATGTATTCTCTCAGACATACCGGTGTAGATGCTATATTTCTGATGTCTTCTTAATGTCTGTGAAAGCAACTGGCATCTACAATAAATCACACTTAGAGCTGGTTAGAGGACTCCTTCACTTTTGTTGTCCATGTGGTTCCCTTCCGTGGACCAGCCGTAATAAAGAGCCAAGGTAGTGATGGTGGCCACGTGCCTCGTTGCTATTTTTAAAGTAATATTCAGATGTGGTTTTAAATTTAGATTATGTATTCCTTTTGAAACATAAGAAAAACATTTAAACCTATGCTGAAAATACGATAAAAGAAAAACAACTCCAATATGCTAAAAGTTAAATATGGTATTTAAGAAAATAGTCATGTATGCAATTGAGAAAGTCTATAATTTATTTTACAGAAAAGCTGGAAGATTATGACTAGATATGGAAATATTTTTTCTGAATTTTTTTTTATATTTCCTCCGACTTACCTCTTTTTGAAAAGAGAGTTTTTATTAAGTGAACCATCACGATATTGGCTGAAAAGTTCTACATTCTATTATTGTATTGTAACACACATGTATTGATGATTTTCATTAAGAGTTTCAGATTAACTTTGAAAAATATTCCACATGGTAATCTTATAAATTCTGTTTAATTACATCTGTAAATATTATGTGTGTGATAGTATTCAATAAAGTAAAATCAAATTGTCTTTGGGTTGTATGTGTTCTTTTTTTTTCCTTTAGTAAAAAGTTTTTGTTTCAGAGTAATAGCTTGTGAATTGGTTAATTAAATCTGAATTAAAGTACAGTATTCACTATAGAAATGGTGACTTCTCAACTTTATTGTATTTGGTTCAGTTCTTTATGACCAGGATGGTTATATGTTGACAGAACTTCTAGAATGTTTCCCCTCATTCTTCCCTCTTGCCTGAACAAGGTGTCGTAATGAATGTACTCACCTCCCCAGTGTGTGGTGGGTGGTGAGGCAGAATTTTTCCTACTGCCTCTCTTCCGTGAGATGGACAGCCTAAGCCTGTCCATTACAAAACTGCCAAGTTTTAGCTGTAGCTGTAGTGTTTGTCGTGATGTTGCAAAGCAATTTTTGCCCATGTTCTTTATATTATTACTTGGATAAAAAGAAAAAACAACAGTAGCAACAACAGATGACTCTGACAGGAGGAAACCTCCTTATTGGGGACATTGTCCAGTCCTCTTGTTTCTTACTCTGCCTCTTCTGCCCTTCACCACATTTTAGACAAGCCTTAGCCTTTCTAAATAACGAATCCTCCAGCAGAACCCCTCATCCCTGACACACCTCCCCTCCCATAGTTCCAGAAGATTTCCTCTCATGGGTTCTAGGAAAAAGGTCTCTACCCCCATAAAGCAAAGAATGAGGGTTGTCATGTTTTCCTTTCTCTAGAAACACTGGAAAAAAGCAAAAAGAAAAAAAAAAAGAACACTTTTCTATAACTACAATTGTATGTGTCCCTTTAAAACTGTAATTTCACAAGTTGTGTCCTATCTATTTTTACCAGCAATTTGAAGGAGGATACAGAAGGTCACTTCTGTAGATTACCAGAAACTTGGAGGCAAAGTAAAGGCACTTGATCACAGAGTCTGAATAGCTATGATCTGAAATAATGAACCCAATCATTTGTAAAAATAAAACCCTGTCCTTGGATTAAAAATAGAAAAACTTGTACAGCATAGGAAGGGAAAAGATGTAGTTTGTCAGCAACAAGTTTGGAAAAGATTTAGGGAGTTCAGTTGGCTTACCATACAGAACATTCTGAGTTTAAGATGCCAAAACTCAGTATGGACTTTGGCTTTGGTCTTTGTTCTCCACTAATGGCTCAAAGCATCCTACAGGGAACTCTGCACTGACATGGTCAGTCCAGCAGAACAGGACATGTGCGGTGGTCTGCCACCTTGGCCTACAGTGGGTTGTAGTTAAACATACTGATTTTAGTGGAATTAATTTGTTATGGCTGTTGTATCTTTCTAATGCTATATTTTCTATTCATTTGGTATTTTAAGGATTTTCTCTTAGCTATTTTAATTTTACTGTCTTTAACTCTATTTTTGAAATAGCAAGTGTGAGAATAACTCTGAGGATGATCTATGTACTAAATGCCTGTATTTGAAAGCCTCTTTTCACCTCTAGTTAGCCCTGCAGTCCCCACAAGTAAACACTCCCTTTTCTTCCAATAAACCTTTACAGTTAACACTAAACTCAATCTATGGCATAAGACATACATACACATTTAATTTATTGCCAAAATACATTTTTGCATGAAAGAAAGAGTCCATATTATGAAAATAAGAAAATAGTGGCAAGAAGGCACTTGAGAGATTTTAAATGAATGCCAGGTCCAAAATCCTCCACTGCTCCCAGCCTCACATAATAATGTCTGCTTCTTGTGACAACATGGATCTATAAACTAATTTAATTTCTGTGGTTTAATGTGTCTGATTCTTTCAGGAAAAAATATAATAACTGCATTCTATGCAACTAATGGAATAGCTAACTAAAAGACCTGTGTACATTTTAAAAAAAAATGAATAAGATTCAGAACTTCTAGAATGTTTTCCCTCATTCTTCCCTCTTGCCTGAACAAGGTGTTATATAGCTAACTAAAAGTTCTGTGTATATTTAAAAAAAAATGAGGAACAAGATTCAGAAAATTATCTCAATTCCTTAGGTTTAAATCTCATCATCTAAAAATTCTTGGTCAAAATGTTTAGAAGACCCACTTAGAAGGTCCACATTTGGTTTCATGTAATCCCTTTCTCATCAGCTTGCCTAGAGTGGATACATGTGGTTTCTGGCTGCCTAGCATCCCGGCCTCCAACTTCTAGAAACAGCACTGCTGTTTGTTTAGAGAACTCCCTCTCCCCACCACATGTGGTTCTGGAGAGGCTGCCAATCCCAACACTGTGCAGTGTTAGCCACAGAGATGGCCCTGATCCAGACCCAGCCAGGTACCTCAGAATAGAAAGTGAGGATACCCATGCAGAAACAAAAAGTATTAGACTCAGCCTTGTCGATGACACTGCAGTCTAAAAGACTGTGTCTCAAATTTTCACCTGCTCCAAGTACACCTGAATCTACAACTGATAGCTGCTAACCAGCTAGGCACACAGACTATGTTACTTTTAGCAGAAATCTTTGGCCTGATGGATGAGGAACATGACCCCAAAAAAGTCACATTGGAACCTCCAGGGCAACATGAGATTTAGAGATCCTGATATACTTTAAACTTGGGCCATCAGGTTTGGAAAGCAATAGAAAATATTCATATATGGTTAAAGATTTAGAAACCCTGGCACCTCTCTGAATATACTAATTAGAGATATTTACCAGAAAAGTTGGAAATAAAACAGTAACAAGAATGAGGACATCATAACTGGAAGGACTGGAACTGAAAATAGAAACAAGTAAAAAGGTGTATATCTAAATAATTGTCTTAAATACACTTTTATGTGAAGTGATGGCTCCATATTGCAAAAATAAGAAAATAGTGATGATCATAAATATGACTTAAGTTGACAAAGACTGGAGTAGTAGATTTGCCAAAAGGAGTTCAAAACTTCTAAACTCTTCATCTTTAGGAAAGAAGAGTGTAACTGCATTATTCTGCTGTTAACCTTGAAAGTTTAATAATGGCTTTTAAATGCTTCAAAAACTTAACCACTAATAGAACTAAAAGCAGCATATGTGTCTTCCACATCATTGCACAAATGGTCTATACTAATTACACAAACATTTAGTGAGTGCCTGTTACGGGCCGGGCACCGGGCTAGATTCTTAGGTACAAAGTTAACTAAGAAATAGCCCCTGCAACACAAATGAGGGGTGGGTAGTGGGGGGACAGCAAGGAAAGAAAAATAGGATAAAGCAAAGTCAAACATAAGACATAAATGTAATCAGGTGAATTCCCTAATTAATAAGAAAGAACTTAGATTGGGTTAAAAAACAAAATCCAATTAAAAGCTGTTCACCAGGAAGTCTTGAAATAAATTGACCTAGAAAGGTGAAAATTTGAAAATGGAAAAATATGTTAGGCAAAAATGAAAATGAAAACAAATATGGCATAATTCATATCAGACAAAATAGAAGAAAATATGCATTCGAAATTGACAAAAGGAATACATCATAGTGAAGGAAAGTATGACAGTTAAATCCTTTATGTTACAAATGTGTAGTATTAAAATACAAGTGAAAACTTTACAGTTACAAAAGATATGGAGAGAACAGTTGTAGAAGATGACTTTATCACTTTACTTGCAATTTGATAGATGAAGTAGACTAGAGTAAAAGAATATAGGATATTTTGGTTATATACATAGTAGAATAGAATCAATAGAAATATGTTTTAAACTTTTTTATTTCCACAAACAGAAACTATATCACCTTTTAAAGTATACATAAGTAGTTAAAACTACTGATCATGAATAAAGAAAAATAACAGTAAATTTCCCAAGGAAAAGAATATTGTAAAAGCACCATGTTTTCTGACCACATCCTAGATCAATAGTAAATATTCGAACTACATGGAAATAAAAAAGTACCCCACTTAGAAACTGTGGAGCCAAGAAGGAAATGTAAAAGCAATGACAAAATATTTAGAATATGAGATCACTGATGTGCTTCAGCTAAGATTCTACTCAGAGGTAAATTCACAGACATTAAATATTTTAAAGAAGAAAACCGAAGATATAAGAATGCGAGAACAAAGAAGGAAAAAGTGCAAGAAAAACGAAAAATAAAAGTAGTAAGTTCCAAATGAGAAAAAACTAAAATTGAAGTTTTTTAAAATAAAAATAGTGGGTTTTTTTTTTCCATTTTACTGTATATGTCTGTATCCTGTGAAGGTTAAGCTATGTTTTTATGTAATCATGGTATCTGCAAATACAGACCATGTATGGTTGTGTTTGCATTGGTTAATACTGCAAAGCTCCTTTCTTTGAGGGAGAAGAAGTGATTTTGCAAAACCTAATAGTTGGCCCACAGTGTTGATAAACAAAAGTCTTCATTATTAGGATATTTTATTCCACCATTTATATAAAATAATTATCAGGGTCTTGATTTGCTAAAAGTCCTTTTGTTTCTTGCTGAGCCCTATTTGGCTGTTGTAAGTATTTTATTTACTATGAACCCTCATAAGATTCAGTGGCTATAAAGAATTAGAATAATTATTTCAAGAATGTTTTCTTGATCATTTGGAACATTTATCTACTTATTTATCATGGGTTTTTGTTGTTGTTGTTTACTTATTTATTTTTGCCTTCCATCCTCAATGTTTTATTGGTTCCAGGACAAGGACCATTAGTCCATTTTGTTTACAACAAATTCCACAGAACCTAGAGTAACGCTTGGTCTACAGAAGGCTCTCAATATGTTGCTGAATGGACAGAAGAAAGGAAGCAAAGGCTTATCCCTAAGTTATACTTTGTACCTGAGAAACACTTTGTTAGAGGCCTGTTTGGTTAATGTGCACATTTAAAATGATATTATGTACATTTAACCTTGTATACTAGTTCTTATTTATTACATCAGACTCATGGGGTTGTACTTCATTTCTTAAAGAATTCCAGAAACAGAAAGAGTCCTTCATATAGGGCTAAATTCCAAGGATCTCCAATAGATAAGCTTTGTTTCTGAATTTTTAGGCCTATAGTCTTCAGATAGATTTCAAAACCATCTCTTTGTTAAGTAGCTCTAGGACAATATTGTGCTTTAAGGTGTCTATGTGTGTGTGTATATATATAGACAAAGTAGAATACTCATTCAAAACTCAGTTTAAGGGTGATGAGGGCAACTTTTCTTCATTTCTTTCATCTTTTCTGTTCTTGTAGTTACAAATGGAGAGTTGGCCTGGGTCCAAGTTAATTCTTCCCATGGCCCTGTCTGTATTGTCCCCTTTTTTCAGTGGTTAAAGTCTGCAGACTTCAGACTGGGCAGTCGTAGGACACCATCTCCTTGGCCACTGTGACTGGTGAAGGAATAGGTGACCAAAATTGGGCCAATCAGAGCCCTTCTTAAAGATTTTTCATATCAATAGATCTGGAATTTTTTTTTTTCTTTTTTTTTTTTTTTGAGACAGGGTGTCACTCTGTCACCCAGGCTGGAGTGCAGTGGTATGATCTCGGCTCACTTCAGCCTCGACCTCATGGGCTCAAGCAATTCTCCCACCTCAGCCTCCTGAGTAACTGGGACTACAAACGTGTGCTACCACACCCAGCTAATTTTTTCTTTCTTTCTTTTTTTTTTTTTTGAGACGGAGTTTCGCTCTTGTTGCCCAGGCTGGAGTGCAATGGCGCGATCTCAGCTCACCACAACCTCTGCCTTCCGGGTTCAAGCGATTCTCCTGCCTCCGCCTCCCAAGTAGCTGGGATTACAGGCATGTGCCACCACGCCCGACTAATTTTGTATTTTTAGTAGAGACGGGGTTTCTCCATGTTAATCAGGCTGGTCTCGAACTCCCGACCTCAGGTGATCTGCCCGCCTCGGCCTCCCAAAGTGGTGTTGGGATTACAGGCGTTAGCCACTGCGCCCGGCTTTTTGTTTTCTTCTTTTTGTTGTTGTTGTTTTTTTTTTGGAGATAGGGTTTGGCCATGTTGCCCAGGCTGGTCTTAAACTCCTGGGCTCAAGCCATCTGCCTGTCTCTGCGTCCAAAATGCTGGGACTACAGGTGTGAGCCACCACACTCAGCTGAAAGTTATTATTTTGGAGGGATTTATGGCCACCTTCTCTACAGAGGAGGTCATCTTTAACTGAAAAAGGGTGAAACCTCTATATTGAGGAATGCTGCAATGCAATATGGAGTCAATCTTGCCAGGTCCCTGCCTCTAGAGAGTCAGTCAATCAACCCCCAGGCTAGCTCCATTTCTGCCACATGCAGCCTGAAGTGTTCCATTCTTTCTCTCATTCTGTAAGGAATCAGCCCAAGGTCCTTCCAATGAACCACCATTTTCTGTAATCAAGTTAGGTTTCTATTGCTTGCAACCAAAAGCATTCTAATTCAACCATTCTAATAGTTTGCAGTATATTATATTTGAAAGAGGAAAATCTACATGTTTTAATAAAGTATACTTTGGGAAAACCCTCCACCTTGGGATTAGTTTATATATTGTGCTCAATTTTTTAAAATATGTGACATATATTTCATATATATGACATTAGCCACAGACCCTATGTTAATGTCAAGTGTTCTAACCACAAAATAAGTGAATGCAGACTCTCAGCCTGAAAGTTGAATGCTGGCAGCCTTCCCTTAGGCCAGAAAAATGAGCAGTTCCACAGCAGCTGTCCTTTAGAAACCATACTCCATGGAAGTTTATTTTGTTTTTAATTTTTATAAATTTATGGGGTACAAGTATAATTTTGTTACATGCATAGCTTGCATAGTCTTCAAGTCAAGACTTTAGGGTCTCCATCACCCAGATAACATACATTGTACCCATTAAGTGATTTCTCATCATTCACTGCCTTCCAACTCCCTCTCCTCTCTGAGTCTCCATTCTCTATTATTCCACTCTCTATGTCCATGTGTACACATTTTTTAGCACCTACTTATGAGTGAGAGCATGTGATATTTGACTTTCTGTGTCTGGCTTGTTTTACTTAAGATAATGACCTCCAGTTCCATCTATGTTCCTGAAAAAAATCTGATTTTACTCTTTTTAATCACTAAATAGTATTTCATTGTGTATATAATCACCATCTTTTCTTTATCCAATCATTCGTTGGTTGACTCTATATAGTGCTATGATAAACACATGAGTGCAGGTATCTTTTTGATACACTGATTTCTTTTCATTTGCATAGATATCCAGTAGTGTGATCACTGGATTGAATGATAGTTGTATTTTTAATTCTTTGAGAAATTTCCATGTTTTCCTTAGAGACTGTACTAATTTATATTCCCATCAATGTGTATAGGATTCTTTTTTCTCTTCATTCTCACTAAAATGTGTTTTTTTTTGTCTTTTAATAATAGCTCTTCTGTGGCCAGGCACAGTGGCTCACGCCTGTAATCCCAGCACTTTGGGAGGCTGAGGTGGGTGGATCACAAGGTCAAGAGATCAAGACCATCCTGGCCAACATGGTGAAACCCCATCTCTACTAAAAATACAAAAATTAGCTGGGTGTGGTGACACGTGCCTGTAGTCCCAGCAACTTGGGAGGCTGAGGCAGGAGAATCACTTGAACCCGGGAGGCAGAGGTTGCAGTGAGCTGAGATCATGCCACTGTGCTCCAGCCTGGGCGACAAAGTGAGACTCCGTCTCAAAAAAAAAATAAAAAGTAAAATAATAGTAGCCATTCTGACTAAGGTATGATGATGTCTCATTTTAATTTGCATTTCTATGATGATTAGTGATGTTGAGAATTTTCATACACCTGTAGGAAATTTGTATGTCTTCTTTTGAGAAATGTATATTCATATTTTTTGCCCATTTTTAATGAGATTATTTTTTGTATTTGTTGAATTGAGTTTCTTGTAGATTCTGGATATTAGTCTCCTCCTGTTGGATGAATAGTTTGCAAAAATGTTCTCTCACTATGCAGGTTTTCTATTCACCCTATTGATCATCTGTTATACTGTGCAGAAGTTTTTTAGTTTAATTTAGTTTAATTATAACCCATTTGTCTTTATTTATTTATTTATTTATTTATTTTTTTATACAGAGTCTCACTCTGTCACCCAGGCTGGAGTGCAATGGGGTGATCTCGGCTCACTACAACCTCTGCCTCACGGGTTCAAACAATTCTCCTGCCTCAGCCTCCCAAGTAAGTGGGATTACAGGCACATGCCATCATGCCCAGCTAATTTTTTTGTATTTTAGTAGAGACGGGGTTTCACTGTGTTGCCCAGGCTGGTCTTGAACTCCTGAGCTCAGGCAGTCCACCTGCCTTGGCCTCCCAAAGTGCTAGGATTACAGGTGTGAGCCTCCATGCCTGGCCCTATTTTTTTGTTGTTATTGCTTACACTTTTGAGGTCTTAGTCATAAATAATTTGCCTAGACCAATGTGCAGAAGAGTTTTCCCTGGGTTTTCTTCTAGTGTTTTTATAGTTTCAGGTTTTACTATTACGTTTTTAATTCATCTTGAGTTGATTTTTGTATACAGTGATAGGAGTTCAGTTCCATTCTTTTGCATATAGTGAATCTATTTTCTCAGCACCATTTATGGAAAAGGGTGTCCTTTGTGTATGTTTTTATTGGCTTTGTCAAAGATCAGTTAGCTGTAAATATGTGATCTTATGTCTGTGTTATCTATTCTGTTCCATTAATCTATGTGTCTGGTTTTATACCAGTACTGTGCTCTTTTGATTACTATAGCCTTATAGTATAATTTGAAATCAAGCAATGTGATGCCTCCAGCTTTGTTCTTTTGCTTAGGACTGCTTTGGTTATTTGGACTCTTTTTTGTTCCATATGAGTTTTAGAATTGTTTTTTCTAATTCCGTGAAAAATGATGTTGGTATCTTGATAGGGATTTCATTGAATCTGTAGATTGTTTTGAGCAGTATGATTATGTTAATGATATTAGTTATTCCAATTCATGGGATGTTTTTCCATTTGTTTGTGTCATCTACAATTAGGTAGGCAGATCACCTGAGGTCGGGAGTTCGAGACTAGCCTGGCCAACATGGTGAAACCCCATCTGTACTAAAAACACAAAAATTAACTGGGCATGGTGGTACACGCCTGTAATCCCAGCTACTTGTGAAGCTGAGGTGGGAGAATCTCTTGAACCCGGGAGGCAGAGGTTGCAATGAGCCGAGATCGTGCCACTGCACTCCAGCCTGGGCAACAGATTGAGACTCTGTCTCAAAAAAAAAAAAAAAAAAAAAGGAAGAAAATACTTTGTGTAAATTTGCCATATTTACACTCCTTCTATTAAAGCATGTTTACTTGCACCGTGATTTTATCTTTTAAGTGAAATATTTCGGAGAACAGTATAGTAAAAGTCTATGTACCCTCCCTCCTAGCATAAAAATTATAAAGTTCAATTCATTTTTTCCTAGTCTTCCCTAACCCAGAGGGCAATTTAGACCCTATGTTAACAGTAACAAATAGTATTTTTTTAAAAAAAATCTGTCCCAAAGGCTAGACAACCCACAAGGGTTTCCCTAATTATTTTGGGGAATTGCGTGAGGGTTGCTTTCAAACACAAGGAATTTGCACAACCACATGGAGTACATGGTTCTCTCTGGCTCTGGCTCTGTCTCCCAGCAGAAATATCTGCTGCCGGTAGCTATGGAAGGCACCTAAGGGCTGCTACTGCCACAGGTGCCGCCTGCAGCTGACGCTCACTATTGAAGCTATACTTCTTTGGGTTGTTGGAGTGGTGACAGTGCTCTTATTCTCTCTGGAGGTAGAAAAATCCTTCTCCTCTTGTTGAGATACAGGGATCCCAAATTAGTGTGACTGGTGATCACAACATCTCATCAATATTTGGTGAAACAGGCCTCACAGCTGTTCATCAGACAAGTGAATTAACTGACCGATTGTTGTACTTAGAACCTTTGTCCCTCTCCAGGACTCAAGCATTATCTGAGTCCCAAGCTCACTTTTCCCAGAGAATGGGCTTCTTGAAGGGGCTGCTTTGTTTCTCAGTACACATACACCATTGGCCAACTTGCCTGTCAATCCTACAGGCCACTCTAGATTCTAGAGCAAACACACTTTAAGTCCCAGCTTGGCTTACTCTTCTAAGGGAAGAACTCATGTCCATCAGATTTATTTGATGTTATTTTCTGAACAATAAAAGTGTTCAAATAGATTATAGGAACATTGCCTAGGATAATATGGTATAGCTGTGGTTTGTGATTTATGGTATATCCATATGATCAGGTACAATGTACAATTTTCAAATGATGATTATGAAAATTATGTAGCAAGATAGTAACATGGTCATTACATACTTTTAAGTAGAAAAATCAGGATTCAAAATTATGTGTGTATTATGATTAAAACTAGTATTACTTGTGATTACAACTATTATTACTTATGATTTTACTTACAAAGGAGTAATTAGAGAACATAGCCATGTTAGGGTGAGGATCATAAGTTATATCATAATGAAAGAATTTATTTTTCAGAATGTTTATTACACAAAGTAATAAAATATTTACTATGTGCTAAAAATTGTTACCAAATATTAAGTATTGCATAATCTTTCTGTTTTGTAAAACACTGTCCAAGCACCAGTATTAAAGGATCTTTTATCTGTCTGATTACTGCAAGAACCTGGAATCAATAAAATATGGTATTTTTTCTTCATCTCAAACTTTCTCTGTCTCTCTGTCACCCCCGACTCCTTCTGCCTCTGCCTCTTCCTGTCCTTTTCCCTCTCTCTCTCTCTCCCCCGCCCCCGCCCCCGCCCCCCCCCCACACACACGATTTGTTAGAAGGGAAGATTAAAAACAAATAATTCACCTACAATAATATACTAGTGCCCTTTTAAAGTTTGACTTTTTAAATTAAGCTTTAAAAAGTTTATTATTTAGGGTCATAGCAGAAAAAAAGATGTCATATTCAAAGGTTTGTCATTGAATACAGTTTAATAATGGGACTCTTTGCAAAGGTATGGGCGGATTAAGGGAACTGGGAAGGAAGGGTGAGGCACCCAGGAACTAGCAACTGTGGGAAGTCATTACCATTCCCTTGCCTGAAGGAGCAAGGAGGAGGGAATTGTCCTGGAACCTAGTGAGAGCTACAGCCATGGGAGAGGAGCTGCCAGATAAGAGATGCAGCCATAAAGGAAAAAGCACAGCTGTTGAAACAGAATGGAGAGGGGAGTATATCCTAGTCTCTCCTCCGGCCTTCTGATTGCCTGCCAGTGCTTCCCACTGGCTAAACCCAATTGCAAGATGGAGGCCAAGGGAGCCTGCTGATGCAGTCCCTAGGAGTCAGCCTCTCTTGACATAGAGAAGGCAAAGAAGGGTGGAGAATGAATTTGGAGGGGCAAATGGAGAATAACCAGTACACAGCACCCAGCTTCTCCATATCATAGGAGACAGGTAAATATCTGTTTAACTACATACAAAACTTCGACCTTGAAGCTGCTGAAAAGTGCAGATAATTTTTAATTGTGCTACGTTTTCCTGGGCAGGCCTGGAGTTTGGATGGCTGTGTACTCTGCTGATGGAAATTTATGGCTGTGTCCATACACTGTACTTTATTTGCAACGATGCTCTGAAAGTCTTCAGTTTTCTGCGCAATCCTGGACTGGTCATGTCTCAGCCTGTGACCCAGCTGTTGTTGAGCTGGAGCTCTTTCATCCTGTTTGCCAACTTACATCTCCTGTGTCCTGTATCCATGCTTTTTTCTTCTTGCACTTTGTTGGAGCACACAAATAGATTCCTTAGAAAGTATTCATGAGAAGCTAATTTTCTGAGACCATTCATGTCAGAAAATGTCCTTACTCTAACCCTTGACTAATAGTTTGGCTGAGTGTAGAATTTTAGACTAAGAAACATTTGTTTTTCAAAATAGGCCATTGCTTAATTTTCTTCTCACAATTGTATATGTCATTTTTTTTTCTCTCAAAATTTCTCTTGATCAGACTTTTTGGGATATTTCCTTATCTTCCTAACCTTCTATGTATTATTTTTATGTTGGCCAACTATTTCTTTTTAACCTTTGTTTTTCTCACAGCATCCTCTTATTATTTTAAGGATGCCATATATCTGTAGATATGTGTATACAGTAAATATACACATATATACACAAATAGATACACATATGGGTGTGCATTTTTTAATCTTTCAGGCTATGAGTTGTTACTTTTTTAAAAGTTTTACTGTGTCCTCTGATTTATATTGTTTTCTCCAGTTTTCATTTTTCTGTTTATTTTGGTTTCTCTCTTTTGCCTTATGTATGGTGATTGTCGATTGTTTTTATTCGACTGAGGCATCAAAAGCCGATCTGGATTGTAGTGTATTCACACAATGGAATATTATTCTATCATAAAAATGAATGAAGTACTGATACATGTGGTAACATGGATAAACCTCCAAAACATTACGCCAAGTGAGAGAAGTCAACGCAAAAGGTCACATATTGTATGATTCCTTTCATATGAAATATCTAGAATAGATACATTCATGAAGACAGAATGGAGATTGGTGATTTCCAGGGATCATGGGAAGGGGAGAATGGAGAGAAAGTGCTTAATAAGAACAGAGTTTTACTTTGTAGCGATGGGGACTAAATAGAGGTGGTGGCTGCAAAACATTACAAGTTTACTAAATGTCACTGAATCCTTCACTTTAAAATAGTAAATTTTATGTGACTATCATAAAATAAATTGATTTTTTAAAAGAGCTGCCTAGGAGACCCGTGGATGTGTGGCATGACAAGCAGTGGCCTTCATTTCTGAATAATGAGGCAGCAAATCAATCACTCTGAGAGGGCCCCAACATTGTTAGTGTGTACATGAGAGGATTTACTCTGGGGCTTTTTCACACAAAAATAGTTCGAATCTCTCCCCTAATGGGCAGCAGCCCAGTTCACCAAGTTCTTCGTGGGTCTGAGGCCTGCACGTGACATTAGTTCCCATCTTTTGTTCCTTGCGCATCATTCTGCTCTTGCTCTGAACCTGGTTTCCTGCTCCCAAAGCCTCTCCCTCTCAGCCTCTCCGGAGGCAGAGCACTGGTCCCTCACTGAGCAGGTAGAGACCTTGTTCTCCTCGTAGGAGGGCAGGAAGGGAATCTTTGGGCTCTCTTCCCTTGCCTCCACCTACTGTGTGCCACGCCAAAAACCTCTAAAGGCCTTGGCACAGCCAGTCAACTCTCCCCATTGGCTGGCCCTCCCCTGCACCACCCTTCCCGTGGTGAACTGGGACTTTCTTCCTTGGAAACTCATTTCTATCATTCTTCTGATGTTGTGTTTGTGTCCTCCTGTTTTCTTTGTCACTAGGGTTTATCCTTTTAAAAAAGCTTTTATTATCATTTTAATGCCACCTCAGGAGGGAGAAGAGATAAGCCAGTTTTTGGCTTAATACGCTTGTTTCTTATTGTTGTTGTTTGTTTGTTTTTTGAGATGGAGTCTCCCTCTGTCGCCAAGGCTGGAGTGCAGTGGCGCTATCTGGGCTCACTGCAACCTCTGCCTCCCTGGTTCAAGTGATTCTCCTGCCTCAGCCTCCTGAGTAGCTGGGATTACAGGTGCGTGCCACCACGCCTGGCTAATTTTTGTATTTTTAGTAGAGAGGGTTTCACCATGTTGGTCAGGCTGGTCTCAAACTCCTGACCTTGTGATCTGCCCACCTTGGCCTCCGAAGTGCTGGGATTACAGGTGTGAGCCACTGCGCCTGGCCAACACACGTGTTTAAATAGAAGACTGTATATTTCTTCTGACATCTTGCTGGGAAATTTTACCTCAGAGTGAAAAGAATGTTGTTCAGTTGTCAGCTCTAAATTAAGTTGTGTTCTCAGGCAAGTTGACAAATTGCCTAATCTTTTCTTATGCCTGATTTTTAACTGTTAAAATGGTGATTGGAGGTGGTTAGGGATGACAAGACATTGGGGAGGAGGCTCACATCTATTAAATGCCAATTATGTGCCAAGTGAACAATACTTTATTTCCTCAGGCTTCAAGTACAAATTACTGAAACTAAACTAATGGTTACCTGTCTTGTGTGACTGTTTTTGCCAAGTGTAGATTCTTGTAACTGTCTTTGAAGTAGGTGAAAAATCAAATAAGGTATTGTCTCCAAAGCCCTAGAACATCAGCCTATGCCTCTATGACAGACTTTTCACACATCATTGTCATTATTCGTTGACATCATTGATTCCCAGCCCCCAACAGGAAGGAATCCTGACTTATTCATCACCGTGCACAAGAGTAGCTCAATGAATAATGGAATTTGTGGTACTCCTGTTATAAGTATAATAATTTAGATGGAAGAAAATAAGTGATAAGTATAAAGTGATCTCCGAATGTAATCTCTTTAATGTCAGCTATGACTAAAACTAAGAGCCTTATGTTCACAGATTGCTACTTAGTGATGCCATTTTTTTATTAGAAGAAATCGACTGGTACATGTATATTTCATTGTGAGGACCCCAAATCTACTTGTTGGCTTAAGCAAGTTGAAATTTATTTAAGGAATCTAATTTCAGCAAGAACTCTAGGACTTATAAGAATTATTGGCCAGGTACAGTGGCTCATGCCTGTAATCCCAGCACTTTGGGAGGCTGCGGTGGGCGACTCACTTGGGGTCAGGAGTTCGAGACCAGCCTGGCCAATATGGTGAAACCCGTCTCTACTAAAAATACAAAAATTTGCCAGGTGTGGTGGTACATGCCTGTAATCCCAGCTACTCAGGAGGCTGAGGCAGGAGAATCGCTTTAACCAGGGAGGCGGAGGTTGCAGTGAGCTGAGATCCACCACTGCACTCCAGCCTGGGTGACAGAGCAAGACTCCATCTCAAAAAAAAAAAAAAAGAAAAAAATGAAAAAAAATTAGAAAGTTATATAGCTTTTCATTTTATTTCCCCACCTTTATTTCTCCCTTCATGTCTTCCAGGGGCCTCCCGGTATCTCTCTATCCTGCATGCCAGCTTCATTCTTTTCTCTCTGCTGACTGCTGCTTAATTTACTCATCACCTTGTGCTGGGCTGCTTTAAAATGGTAGCCTCTTCCTGCTGGCTTTCCAGCTTGGCGTCACATAATTAACAAACTCAATATTTGTTCATTCTAATTCGAAGTTCCCAGGAGGGAGAATAATTGGCCCAGCTTGGGTCAGGTGTCTACTCCTGCTCTTCCATTGGGACAGAGTGTGCAGGTGCACTGCATGTGGAGGGCTGGGAAAAGATGGCATCTCTAGTAGAGTACATTTGACAGGTCCCTCTCTCTAAAGGAGTTATGATTGTTGTTATTATTTATTCATAAGTAAGGTATTTTATCCAGAACTTAGTAGAGGAAGGTTAAGGTGAAATGTGGATGGATGTGTTCTCCTTTAGTGTAGCAGGAAAGCCCCCTGGGGTTGGGAATGGTGAGTCCTTTTTAGACTGTCCTGTCTGACGCTGCTCTTACTATGATCAAATAGGAGCATCACCCCCTCTAGAACTAGTGCTTTTCCTCTGCTTCAGCAAAATTCTTCAAGTGGTCATGTTGACACTGGTAGCTAACAAAGCAGTTGCAAGCAGAGTTTGGAAAAATGGAGCCTCTGTTACACCAAGGCTTGGAAGCCGCACATGAAAGAGGGATTGTCACGTTTCCATCTTTGTGATCTCTAAGTGCTGTTTTGCACACAGAGGACACATTTTGTGGCTTGAAATGAGAATAGGAGAGGAGGCAGATTCTGAGAGAAAGAACACGCATGGGAGAGAGCTAGAGAGTTGCTCCAGAGAGTAAAGTCCACATTTTATGTAGAAAGAGTGGTCCTGGGAGTTGTATAATTAAAGCATTATATTTATTTATTGTATTATTATTTAGATATACCATCTGTGTATACCAACTCAGAGGCTTTCTCTGAGTTGCTTCAAAATGAGATTCTGACCTGAGCTTTAGAGAAAGGAAGAAGTAATGATTACTTGTAAGGACAAACATGGACTAGAACTGAAAGCCTGTCTGGGCTCTGAGGCAGCCCTGGGAAAGCGGCTGCTTATTTCTTCTCTGTGATGGTCAACTTGATCTTATTTTCATGGTATCTTTGGTTTTCTCTTCTCTGATCACATTTTGACTCAAAGCGACACTGTTGAGCCCCAAGTTCCTGGTTCAATGAATATCCTATAGCCAGGATAGTAGAACTTGTTTTACAGAGTGTACACCAATGCTTTCCTCAGAAAGGGACTGTAGGAGCCAGGGGAAATAATGGGCATAATGATGCTTAATGAGCTGCTCAGTGTAGTCAGAAGTTGATAGCACTGATTTTTCAGTCCTCCGGCTAACCAGACAGCAAGCCACCCAGAGTGTCTTTTCTTGTGGGAATAGTGCTGGGTCACTCTTGTGGCTTCTCTGGGGGACTCATAGATAAGGGCAACCAAGAATGGTCATAGGATCCGCAAAGGCCATGTATAGAGGGACACCATTTCTTAAAATGCTGCCTGGCTGGAAGAGAAAGTCTTGAGTAGACTCACTCTGTTACCTAAAATGAGATTTATTCTCTGCAAAAGAGCAGAAAAAAATTCATAGGTAGGGGCACATGAGAGATTTGATGTGAACAAAGGGGATCAAGTGGACCTCACAGTTTTAAATAATATTTTTTCTCAGAAAAGTGGCCCTATAACTTTCAAAATTGCAAGCATTACAATCTGCTTGAATTTTAAATTTAATAAATGTTCTGTCAACTCCTGGACTTGAAATGAAAGTTGCATTAACCAAAGACGTGCCTTTAGATGTAAGTTTAAATAAAGCACCTCTAAAGAAGACTAAAATTCTATGTAATTTTACATAATTAAATGTAGCTATTTTGTCATACTACAATTTTCCACTCTTCTCCTTATGTCTACAATTTTGATGTTCATCATGGATTTGGATGGTTTATTTCAGTGCAAGCTTACCCACATTTGTAGGGTGCAAATGGTAATTATTCTCTACCTAAAGTCAGACAAGATGCCCCAAGTTCTCAGTTTAATGACACTTGGAAGATTTTTAGCAAAACAAATAGTGAATACTCTTCAAATCTGAACACAAACAATGAAAGCAAAAGTAATTTCCAAAAGGTCACTTTTATTTCTGCTGCTATTCTACCTTTTCAACGTCCCTATTCTTTTCATTGATGAGAATTTGATTGAGCATATTGGCACTGGCATTTCTGAAACGACTGAGATTACCATACAGTTCCAAGGGTTAATATGTTTTTGGTTACAAGAAACTGTTTTTTCAAGAGCTTATCTTTAGAAAATATTATTTTCTTGTCTTTTCAAATAAAAGATCATCAGAATGTCAAAGTCTGAAATCCTATGAGTCTTTGGGTGCAACTTTTTTCTCATTCCTTTTCTATCACACAAGAAAATTAACATTTTGAATTTTCTATGATTTTGTATAGAAAATTATTCATGTACTAAGCTCATTGAAGTTAGAAAAGATGATCTCAATCTATGAACACTGTCATACATACTTTATTGTCATAATATATGAGCATAGCACAGGGCTGTGGGCCAAGGAGATTACAAAAGAAATGTCCATGCTACCCAGAATATGCAATCCAGTGAAGCACAAGGAGTACAGCAGTGTTTTACAGTTTTCTTTTAAAATAGACTTAACTCACTAAAAGTCTGAGGAGGTCTACATAAAAATATTGAGATTATGAGTACAAAGAATATGTTAATATGGCAAAAATTACGTAGGTGGCTTGTAGATGACTGACATTTGTATAACACCATGCTTACTTATAGTCTTAATGGCATTGCAGTGAACCCCGGGCTACTTCTAAGGAGAACCAAATCACGGTTATTTACTCCATTGATTTGCATATATGCAAGGCAGTGGGGTAAAAGTTGCTAACAATTCACAAATACTTCCAACAAACACACAACACTTTCTTCTTTATAAAGTTTGAAATAACTAACAATACTCCTACAGTGATATCCTGCCTGTTTTTCTTCTTTTTAAATTCATGTGTGTATGAATCATGTGCAATAAGATTTACAGTGTGTATCACTTACATATTTTTATTTTTACTGTGAACTCAAACATGCAATTACCCCAAACCAGAAATGAATAGAACCAACTGAGGAAGAGAACAGCTAGTGAGCATCCTCAAGACACACCACAAATGACCAAGACTCTGAAGTGAGTTACTGGCAGCCAAGAGGCCTGCAGGGAGGCACAAATCATTCAATCAGGCATTGCTATTGACTCTGAAGAGGGCATTTGGCCGGGAGGGAGAGGGAGGAGATCCAGGTCTATTTGTGTCTTGATGCAGGCAGGGAGGTCATGAGCCATAAAGTACTGGTGAGAGGACAGCCCTACTTTCTGATGTTTCGAAGTAATTTTGAGACAAGTATTACTCCATAAGTAAAACGTATTCATTAGTCTATTTCAGAGATAAGTAGACTCTCACTTTTTTCTTCGAGACTCTTTGTTGTAGACACTGACACCAAAGAGTAAAACTACTCATTTATCAGGAGCCTTAAACTCAGTGGCTTTCAGTTGAGATTAAAATAAAAACTTGTTCAGACTGTAAAAACAGACTCATGATAACAGGAACAAATGTTGGCAATTCATAGAAACACAGATTTGCTCCTACTTTGGCTTTCCCCATACAATCAGTGAACCTGTTGAAAGCAAAGTTGGGTACTGGGGGAACCCACCCCCAATATTTCAACGGAGGTTCTTTATATTTTCCGTAAGTGTTGGCCAGCTGAGAAATAAAGAGAGACAGTATAAAGAGAAGAATTTTACAGCTGGGCTACTGGGGGTGACATCACATATCAGTACACCCGTGATGCCCGCCTGAGCCTCAAAACCAGTAAGTTTTTATTAAGGGTTTCAAAAGGGGAGGGGGTATAAGAACAGGGAGTAGGTATGAAGATCACATGCTTCAAAGGGCAAAAAGCAGAACTACTAATAAGGGTCTAACAAAGATCACATGCTTCTGAGGGAACAGGACAAAAGGCAAAAGCAGAACTACTGATAAGGGTCCAACAAAGATCACAAGGCAAAGGGCAAGAGCAGAACTACTGATAAGGGTCTATGTTCAGTGGTGCATGTATTGTCTTGATAAACATCTTAAACAACAGAAAACAGGGTTTGAGAGCAGAGAACCAGTCTGACCACAAATTTACCAGGGCAGAGTTTTTCCCCACCCTAGTAAGCCTGAGGGTACTGCAGGAGACCAGGGTGTAGCTCAGTCCTTATCTCAACTGCATAAGACAGACATTCCCAGAGGGTCTCCCCCCAGGAATGCATTCCTTTCCCAGGGTATTAATATTAATATTCCTTGCTAGGAAAGAATTTAGTGATATCTCTCCTACTTGCGTGTCCGTTTATAGGCTCTCTGCAAGAAGAAAAATATGGCTCTTTTTGCCTGACCCCTCAGGCAGTCAGACCTAATGGTTGTCTTCCCTTGTTCCCTAAAAATTGCTGTTATTCTATTCTTTTTCAAAGTGCACTGATTTCATATTGTTCAAATACACGTTTTACAATCAATTTGTACAGTTAACACAATTATCACAGTGGTCCTGAGGTGACGTACATCCTCAGCTTATGAAGATAACAGGATTAAGAGATTAAAGTAAAGAGAGACGTAAGAAATTATAAAAGTATTATTTGGGAACTGATAAATGTCCATGAATCTTCACAATTTATGTTCCTCTGCTGTGGCTCCAGCCGGTCCCTCCATTTGGGGTCCCTGACTTCCTGCAACAGTTGGGCCCAGGAATTAGTCCTGAATAGGAGGCTATAATATAACACATTTGGAAATAGTTGGAAAGCAAATGATCTCAGTACAACTGATATTAGTCTTTCAGGTATAATCACTCAAAGATGTCTTACAGTATATGCAGTTTGTGCTTTTATTAGTGTGGCGTGTGTTGCAATTTTCTGCAGGCCAATTTTACTCTTTAGACCAATGCCATAGCCTTGAACCTGGAATAATAAAAGCAGGAATTTTCCTGTTGTTTGGCACTGAGCTCTACTCATTAGCTGCTAATGAAGCAGAAGTTGTAGAGTCGAGTTCCATGTGGGCCAGTTGGCTTCATGTTGAGAGGAATATCTTTCAAAGACGCAGATTGAATTTCCATCTCTCAGCAACATCAGCCAGATGCGTATCATGGGACACAATTTGATCTTGGGGAAAGAGTTTGAATGTTTAGTATACTGTATGCCACAACTATAACTGGAAAGAAAAAACACACCAAATATGGCTGTCTAGTGCAACCCTAGCACATGCTCATAGACATAGTCAGCAACATTTCTCTTTAACGGTGAGAGAAAAAAATCCAAAAGGAAAAGAAGGATTAAAGAATCCAATTTAAACTTATAACCCAAGTGTGCTGTTGACCCTACAAGTGATAATGTGTTATGCATAAAGTGATTTACATAATATTTTCAGTGTTGTTCTCACTTTTATTATGCCATAAAAATCTCCCATTTTCTCATTTCATAGTGTAGTGCCCAACGTACAGAGAGTAGAAAACAAGGTACACAAGCCAGTTCCTCTATCCATCCATTCATCCATCTAGACTTCCAACACACTTTCTGAGAGTGTAATTTATCCTTGCTGCATTAATATTCTTTTTTCACTCCTTACTCCTTTGGAATCTAGCCTACAGTCTAGCTACTTTCCCCACACTACTCTCTCAAAGGTTATCAGAAACCACTTAACCTTCATGCTTAGTGTCTATTCTCAACAGACATCTGGCAGAATTAGGAGGTGAGCCATGTTCCTGGAGCCCTGGCTCTATGCCAGCTGGGAAGGCAGCCATGCAAAGTCTTGCTGCTAACCCCCAGCCCAGCAACAGGACTGCATTTAAACAAATAACCAAAAATACTCTCTCTTAAACACTTATCCTGTGACTTTCATGACTCATATTATCCTGGTTCCCCTTCCATTTATTGATCCTCTCAGGCTTGGCTCCATAATTTGTGGGGCCCAAAGCAAAATGAAAATTTGAGTTCCCTTGTTTGAAAAGCAAGAAAAATTACTGTTAAAGTTACTCAATATAATTCTGTTTCTTTTGCACTTTCTCTCGATTTGTCATGGAATTTTTTTATTTGCTATTTAACATAATTCTAAGTAAAGAAAAAATAAAATTTTTAATTATTAGAATAAATTTTACCACTTTTCTTCATATTGTACAATGCCAATTTTAAATGCAAATTTAAAAGCATTTAACTTATATGTGTACTCACCAAAATTATACAGCTATTATTTTTATAGCTCATACATATATATGTATTTCATTCTTACCTGAACAGTGGAATCACTGCACAAAACAAACTCTACTGTTTTTTTATTTCACTTACTGATATGCACACATTCTATCAACACTCTCTATGGTCAGTTTACTTGTATGTCATCATTTTCAGTATAAGTGCTTGACTAACACAAGTAAGAAATTAACACAAGTAAGAAAATATGTGATGGAGTTTATTTGAACATCATTGATTTCTTTCACACCAACAAGTTCTGGTTTGAACAGAAAGCATAGCCTCTCAAGGCTTATCAGCCTTCCCCTGCACATGCTTACTCTAAGGTGAAACATGTACCTGGTACTCATATTGAGTCTTGCTGAACTCCCATGCATTGTGAGTCCACTGGAATTCTGTGATCATGAGACATCATATGTGAGTGGGAAGGCCAGGAATGGTGGGGCATGCACATTGCACATAGTGCTTCTCCTCATGCATGTGGTCCATTGCCCCATCCAACTTTGCTTACAAAACACAGTTCAAAGATACATTTTTTTAAAAAATTATAAGACTGTGGCAATAGCATTACACTGAACTTGGAGCCCTTCTGAGAGTGACGCTGTGTGAGATTGCATAGGCCACACACCCATGTCACTGGCCCTGGACTCTCACTGGTTTCTGTGTCATCCAGTCCATCTAATAAGTGTCATGTGTAGTTCTGTCATCATCTTCTCTTTGTACATTTCATTCACCTTTATAAATTCAATTAACACCTCCCTGTCTTGCTCCCAGTTTTTCCCAGCCTCTGAATATCCAACTGCCTGCTGAATACATCTCAACACATACCACATCTAAAATAAAATCCACCATTTTTCCCCTAAAGCTGTTCTTCCTGGTTCAGTTAGCCAAAAATCTCAGTCATTTGGTCCGCAGTCTGTACAAAGCTGATCACATGGTAGTTGCTCAATATACACTGCTGGTTTATTGACCAAATTGAATATCTGCCTGCAGTTACAATTTGTAAGAGTCAGCCTAGATCATTCAGAGATAGTTGTTCTGGTTGTAGATTTCCCATATCCTTATTTCTTTTCAAAATTATTCTTATAATACAGCTTCAAGACATTGGACAGAGGCAGGAAATAAAGTTTAGCCATCCACTTCTACCTAACATTAATTAAAAACTTGTAACAGGAACCGTGATGATATTAATAGTTAAATTGGATACCAAGATTTAGAGTAGATTTCATCTACATATGCTCACAACTTTGCTTTTCAGTTATTCCCAAATAAGCGGTTTCATTTCTTTTCCATTTCCAGATTTCTATATACATGAACTTAAAAAAAAAAATCCAGCCCTGGGCATGGTGGCTCACACCTGTAATCCCAGCATTTTGGGAGGCCGAGGCGGGCGGATCACTGGAATTGAGGAGTTTGAGACTAGCCTGGGCCAATATGGCAAAACCTTTGTCTTTACTAAAATTACAAAAATTAGCCAGGCGTGGTGGCTCGTGCCTGTAGTCCCAGCTACTTGGGAGGCTGAGGCAGGAGAATCATTTGAACCCGAAAGGCAGAGGTTGCAGTGAGCCAAGATTGTGCCACTGCACTCCAGCTTGGGTGACAGAGTGAGACTCCATCTCAAAAAAAAAAAAAACAAAAGAAAAGAAAAAAAATTCCATCGGTGGGCATTAGACTTAGTCCCTGTCAAAGTCACACTGGCTACTGTCTTATTATTTGTATTCTTTGTTGTAATTTGATGTTGAAATTGTAATTTGATGAACTTTAATTATGGTGTCTTGATATTTCCAGTGCTTCCCACTCTGGGTAGGCCATGAAAATAATGGTAACATTTGTGTTGTTATTCGTTATTTGTATTCTTTGTTACAGAAATTGTAATTTGATGAACTTTAATTATAGTGTCTTGATATTTCCAGTGTTTCCCACTCTGGGTAGGCCATGAAAATAATGGCAGTATTTGTGTTGTTATTCTCGCATTTCCAGTTTAGACTGGAACCCAGAAGAGTTTGAAGGGTATTAAAAACAACATCAATAACAAAAAAGAAAAACAGAACTAATAAAGAAAGATGGGGGTTTAGATTATTTCAAACCTCATGATGATGTTTGGTTTATATTTAAGTGAGGTTCAAGTTAGTTCCTGTTTTTATGAGACTCTCTAGGTCCATTTCTAGCCACCTTTGCTTTAGGTTTGGCATGTGGAAAGACTAAAACTGCCTTCTTGCCTGACTATGGTTCATCTAGTCACTAACTGCCTGCAACGCCAAGGTAGAACTTCTTATTTCAGGCAGCCCAGACACTGGAAATAATGTGCTGCTTGTATTATAAATCCAAAGAAATGCCAAAATAACCTGTGGCTTTCAGGAGTGGTACAGTTAGCTTTTATGACCAAGGAATGGAAAGCCAACTTAGAACCCAGTATCAACCTTTCCATTCAAACCTGCATTCTGGTGGACATTAAAGTTCTAGTTATTTGTGAAATTTAAAAATAATATTTTAAATGAGATTTGCTTCTAAGCTGTTGTAAGATATATTTTATTTATGATATGTTATAGTAATCCTCTAATTTTGAGTTTCTCTCTTACTATTGTTTTAAACATCATTTACACTTCTGTGACATTTCTTATGCAATATCAAAGCCAATAAAGTAGTATATTAGTCAAGGAAGACATTGAATTTTTGATGCACACATCACTGTGGGTCATAAAATAGAAGTAAATGAGTAATTCCTACCTTCAGAAAATGAATCTTTTTGAGGCAATAATAATATAGGCCTATGAATAATTAGAGGACAATATAACATAGTACATAGTCCAGTTAAAAAAAGAGGTTAGAAGAGGAAAAAGACCAGATCTCTATGTGGAGGAGAAAATGATGCTTAAACTGTCTTTCTCTTCGGAAAAATAAGGAGGACAAGAGAGGGCATCCATCTATTCAGAAGACTTGTGAAAATAAACTATCTAAGGGCCTTTACATATTGGTAGATGCTGCATGCTGTTTTTCGCTTATTTTATTTTATGTTTGTTTCAATAGGGTTTTGGGGAACAGGTGGTCTTTTGTTACATGAGTAAGTTCTCTAGTGGTGATTTATGAGATTTTGGTGCACCCATCACCAGAGCACCATACACTGTACCCAATGTGTAGTCTTTTATCCCTCACCTCTGCCATCCTTTCCCCTGAGTCCTCAAAGTCCATTATATCATTCTTATTCCTTTGCAACCTCATAGCTTAGCTCCCATTTATGAGTGAAAACATACAATGTTTGGCTTTCCATTCCTGAGTTACTTCACTTAGAATAATGGTCTCCAATTCATTCTGGGTTGCTGTGAAGTCATTATTTCATTCCTTTTTATGGCTGAGTAGTGTTCCATGGGGTGTGTATATATAGCGTGTGTGTGTATATATAGCGTGTGTGTGTGTGTATATATATATGTGTGTGTGTGTGTGTGTGTTTGTGTGTGTGTATATATATAGATCATATTTTCTTTATCCACTCATTGATTGATGGGGATTTGGGCTGGTTCCATATTTTTGCAATTGCAAATTGTGCTGCTATAAACATGCATGCTCAAATATCTTTTTCATATAATGACTTCTTTTCCTCTGGGTAGATACCCAGGAGTGGGATTGCTGGATCAAATGGTATATCTGCTTTTAGTTCTTTAAGGAATCCCCACACTATTTTCCATAGTGGTTGTACTAGTTTACATTCCCACCAACAATGTAAAAGTGTTCCCTTTTTACCACATCCATGCCAACTTCTATTATTTTTTGATTTTTTGATTATGGCCATTCTTGCAGGAGTAAGGTGGTATCACATTGTCATTTTGATATGCATTTACCTGATCATTAGTGAGGTTGAGCATTTTTTCATATGTTTGTTGGTCATGTGTATATCTTTTTTTGAGAACTGTCTATTCATGTCCTTAGCCCATTTTTTGATGGAATTGTTTTTTTCTTGCTGATTTGTTTGAGTTCCTTGTAGAGTCAGGATATTAATCTTTTGTCAGACATATAGATTGTGAAGATTTTCTCTCACTCTGTGGGTGGTCTGTTTACTCTGTTGATTGTTCCTTTTGCTGTGCAGAAGCATTTTAGTTTAATCAAGTCCCATCTATGTATCTTTGTTTTTGTTACATGTGCTTTTGGGTTCTTGATCAGGAAGTCTTTGTCTCAAAGTCTAGAAGGGTTTTTCCAATGTTATCTTCTAGAATTTTTATGGTTTCAGGTCTTAGATTTAAGTATTTAATCCATCTTAAGTTGATTTTTGTATAAGATGAGAGATATGGATCCAGTTTCATTCTTCTACATGTGGCTTGTCAATTATCCCAGCACCAATTGTTAAACAGGGTATCTTTTCCCCCTTTATGTTTTTGTTTGCTTTGTTGAAGATAAGTTAACTGTAAGTATTTGGGTGGATTTCTAATTCTTTATTCTGTTCCATTGGTCTATATACCTATTTTTATACCAGTACCATGCTGTTTTGGTGACTATGACCTTATAGTATAGTTTGAAGTCAGGTAATGTGATGCCTCCAAATTTGTTCTTTTTGCTTCATCTTGCTTTGGCTATGTGGGCTCTTTTTTTGGTTCCATATGAATTTTGGATTGTTTTTCCTAGATGTGTGAAGACTGATGATGGTATTTTGATGGGAATTGCATTGAATTTGTATATTTCTTTTGGCAGTATGGTCATTTTCACCATAATGATTCTACCCACCCGTAAGTATGGGATGTGTTTCCATTTGTTTGTGTTGTCTATGATTTTTTTAAGCAGTGTTTTGTAGTTTTTTTTTGTAGAGGTCCTTGTTTAGGTATATTCCTAAGTATTTTTTAGCTATTGTAAAAGGTGTTGAGTTCTTGATTTGATTCTCAGCTTGGTCACTGTTGGTGTATAGCAGAGCTATTGATTTGTGTACATTAATTTTGTATCCTGAAACTGCTGAATTTATTTGCCAGTTCTAGGAGCTTTTCGGATGAGTCTTTATATGATCATATCAGCAGCAAACAGCAACAGTTTGACCTTGTCTTTACCAATTTGGATGCCCTTTATTTCTTGTTCTTATCTGATTGCTCTGGCTAGGACTTTCAGTACTATGTTGAATAGAAGTGGTGAAAGTGGGCATCCTTATCTTGTTCTAGTTCTCAGGGGGAATGCTTTCAACTTTTCTCTTTTCTGTATAATGTTGGCTGTGGGTTTGTCATAGATGGCTTTTATTTCCTCAATGTGTGTCCCTTCTATGCCGATTTTGCTGAGGGTTTTAATCATAAAGGGATGCTGGATTTTGTCAAATGCTTTTTCTACCTCTATTGAGATGATCATGTGATTTTTGTTTTTGATTCTGTTTATGTGGTGTATCACATTTATTGACTTGAGTATGTTAAACAATCCCTGCATCTCTGGAATGAAACAAACTTGATCATAGTGGATTCTCTTTTTGATTTGATGTTGGATTCAGTTAGCTAGTATTTTGTTGAGGATTTTTGTATCTATGTTCATCAGGGATCTTGGTCTGTATTTTTCTTTTTCTGTTATGTTCTTTCCTGGTTTTGGTATTAAGGTGATACTGGCTTCATAGAATGATTTAGGGAGGATTCCTTCTTTCTCTATCTGTGGAATAGTGTCAATAGGATTGGTACCAATTCTTCTTTGAATGTCTGATAAAATTCATCTGTGAATCCATCTGGTCCTGGAATTTTTTTTGTTTGGTAACTCAAATTACCATTTCAATCTTACTGCTTGTTATTTGTCTGTTAAGAGTCTCTCTTTATTTCTGGTCTAATCTAGGAGGGTTATATGTTTCCAGGAATTTATCCATCTCCTCTAGGTGTTCTAGTTTGTGCACATAAAGGTGTTCATAGTAACCTTTAATTATCTTTTGTACTTCTGTGGTTTCGGTTGACATATCTCCTGTTTCATTTCTAATTGAGCTATTTGGATCTTCTCTCTTCTTTTCTTGGTTAATCTTGCTAATGGTCTATCAGTTTTATTTATCTTTTCAAAGAACCAGTTTTTGTTTTATTTACCTTCTGTATTATCTTTTTTGTTGTTGTTGTTTAAATTTCATTTAGTTCTTCTAGGCTCTTTGTTATTTCTTTACTTTTGCTGGGTTTGGTTTGTTCTTGTTTCTCTAGTTCCTTGAGGTATGAGCTTAGATTGTCTTTTTGTGCTCTTTCAGACTTTTTGATGTAGGCATTTAACGCTATGTCAGTGGATAAAAGTCCCCCAATAGTATTGCATTGCTGTCTATCTCATCTCTTAGGTCTAATAATAATTGTTTTTATAAATTTGGGAGCTTCAGTATTGGGTGCATATATATTTGGGATTGTGATACTTTCCTGTTGGACTAGGCCTTTTATCATTATGTAATGTGCCTCTTTGTCTTTTTTAACTGCTGTTGCTTTTAAGTTTGTTTTGTCTGATACAAGAATAGCTACTCCTGCTTGCTTTTGGTGTCCATTTGCATGGAATATATTTTTCTACCCCTTTACCTTAAGTTTATGTGAATCCTTATGTGTCAGGTGAGTCTCTTGGAAACAGCAGATATTTGTTTGCTGAATTCTCAACCATTCTGCCATTCTGTGTCTTTTCTTTTTCCTTTTAATTGCATTTATTTTAATGCTGAATTTACTCCCATGCCATAAGTTTTTGTTTCATCAGTTTCTTCTGGGATATCTTTTTCTTCTGGGCAACTTCTTCTTCTGGTTTAGGAGCAATCTGTTCCTTTTCAGTAAGGCTCATCTCAATGTGGCAGGGAGAGCTCATGTATGGGTTAATCCGACTATGAGCTCTGTAGGTCTGGCAGCACATCTTAGATGCTTTATTCATTTGGATATGCTCAATGGCCAGAGAGTCTACATCTAAACCCTTAAGTTCACCATTACTGTCTGCATTTTTAAGCATGTGCAGCAAAAATTCAGCACTCTTTTTGGGCCACCAACCTTGTGTCTAGCCCCACTGCTTGGCCTGGGCACACCTGCCAACTCCACCATTGTAACGTCGGAATGGTACGCACCGTTTCTGTAAAGTGACATCTTTCAGATATTTTGTGGCTTTTCATATATGCATACCCTTGATGGCCTGGGCAGTTTCACGAGTGTTCTTAAGGTGAATACAAAGATTGGAACCTCTTGATTTGCATGATTTTGTGGGGTTCTCCCGGTCAAGTGTATAGGGCACCATTTTCACAGATTACCTCCGGCTACTTAGGAAAAGAGCCATTCTATATCTTTTAAGTGGAGCATTTAGGCCATTTACATTCAATGTTATTATTGAGATTTGAGGTACTATTCTATTCACCATGCTATTTGTCACCCGAATATCTAGGTTTTTTCATTGTGTTATTGTTTCATAGATCCTGTGAGATGTACGCTTTAAGGAGATTTTATTTTGTGTATTTCAAAGATTTGTTTTGAGATTTAGAACTTTTTTTTAGCAGTACTTGTAGTACTAGCTTGGTTATGGTGAATTCTCCCAGCATTTGTTTGTCTGGAAAAGACTGTATCTTTCCTTCATTTATGAAGCTTAGTTTCACTGGATTCAAAATTCTTGGCTGATAATTGTTTTGTTTAAGGAGGCTAAAGATAGAACCCGAATCCCTTCTAGCTTGTAGGGTTTCTGCTGAGAAATCTGCTGTTAATCTGATAGGTTTCCCTTTATAAGTTACCTGATGCTTTTGCCTTACAGTTCTTAAAGTCCTTTCCTTCATCTTTACTTTAGGTAACCTGATGACTATGTGTCTAGGTGATGATCTTTTTATGATGAATTTCCCAGGTGTTCTTTGAGCTTCTTGGATTTGAATGTTTAGATCTCCAGCAAGGCCAGGGAAGTTTTCTTGATTATTCCCTTCAATATGTTTTCCAAACTTTTAGATTTCTCTTCTTCCTTGGGAACACCAATTATTCTTAGGTTTGGTTGTTTAACATGATCCCAAACTTCTTGGAGGCTTTGTTCATTTTTAAAATTATTTTTTCTTTGTCTTTGTCAGATCGGGTTAATTTGAAAGCCTTGTCTTTGAGCTCTTAAAATCTTTCTTCTACTTGTTCGATGCTATTGCTGATACTTTCCAGTTCATTTTGCACTTCTCTAAATGTGTCCTTCATTTCCAGAAGTTATGATTGCCTTTTATTTATGCTATGTATTTCACTGAAGATTTTTTCATTTATATCCTGTATCATTTTTTTTTTTCATTAAGTTGGACTTACCTTTTCTCTGGTGCCTCCTTGATTAGCTTAACAGTCAACCTTCTGAATTCTCTTTCTGGCAATTCAGGGATTTATTCTTGGTTTGGATCTATTGCTGGTGAGCTAGTATGATCTCTTGGGTGTGTTAAAGAACTTGTTTTATCATATTGCCTGAATTATTTTTCTGGTTCCTTCTCATTTGGATAGACTATGACAGAGGGAAGATCTGGGACTCATGGGCTACTGTTCAGATTCTTTTTTCCCATGGGGAGCTTGCTTGATGTGGTGCTCTCCTTCTTCCCCTAAAGATGGGGCTTCCTGAGAATTGGTTGTATTTTTATTACGTGTGTTGGTTTTGTGTTGGTTGGCCTCTAGCCAAGAGGTGGCACTTCCAAGAATGCAACAGCTGTGGTAATGTAGGGAGAATACAACCTTGCCCTAGGATTACCTTTGGATAAGTATTCAGATTTCTCAGGTGGTAGGCAGGGCCATAGAGCTCCAAAGAGATTATGTCCTTTGTCTTCAGCTACCAAGGTGGGAAGAGAAAGACCATCAGGATGGGGCAAGGCTAGGTGTGTCTGAGCTCAGACTCTCTGGGTGGGGCTTGCTGCGGCTGTTATGGGGGATGGGGGTGTGGTTCCCAGGCCAATGGAGTTAAGTTCCTGGCAGGATCATGGTTGCCTCTACTTCATCGCACAGGTTGCCAGGGAAGTGGGGGAAAGCTGGCAGACACAGGCCTCACCCAGCTCCCACACAGCCCATACCCCAAAAGGCTGGTCTCACTCCCGCTGTGCACCCCCAGCAGCACCAAGTTTATTTCCAGGCAACTAGTAAGCAGGGCTGAGAACTTGGCCCAGGCTACATACAAGCCTCCCAGCAGAGAAAGCAAGCAGACTCACAGTTCCTCAGCTGTCCCATGGAACCTGCAATGGCAATCCACCTCCTTCAAAGGGTCTGTGAATTCTCTTGGCTTTTCTGGTATGTTCTTGTGGTAGTTCTTAGAGCAAAAGTTCACAATGTGAATTTCTGCATACTGCTCTGTCTGAGTGGGAGTTGCAAGTTAGTCCTGTCTCCTGTCTGGCATTTTTCCCAAACTCCATTTTCTATTTTTCACTTGTTTATCTGTAAAGAACATAGCATTTACAAAGACTAGGCTGTGTTCAATAATGAAGAGTTGGAGTGTGGGCAGATTATAAGAAAACTTAAGAACTTGAAAGAGCAACTTGTCTTGATAGAGGAAGAAATGATTTCTTAAAGGGAGTGAAGTGGCAGAGGAATATGAGAAATATATATTCAGATCTTTTGTCTATTTTTAATTGCGTTATTTGTCTTTTCAATATTGAGTTGTAGTTCTTTGTATATTCTAGATACAAGTCCCTTATCAGATATATGATCTGAAAGTATTTTCTTATTCTGTGGATTGTCTTTTCACTTTTTTAATAGTGTCCTTTGAATTATAAAGGCTTTTAATTTTTTTTTTTTTTTTTTGATGAAGTCTCACTCTGTCATGCCCAGGCTAGAGTTTAGTGGTACAATCTTGGCTCACTGCAACCTCTGTCTCCCAGGTTCAAGTGATTCTCCCACCTCAGTCTTTCAAGTAGCTGGATTTACAGGTGCCCACCACCACGCCTAGCTAATTTTTTGTATTTTTAGTAGAGACGAGGTTTCACCATATTGGCCAGGCTGGTCTCGAACTCCCAAATTCAAGTGATCTGTCCTCCTCGGCCTCCCAAAGTGCTGGGATTACAGGCATGAGCCACCACACCTGGCCTGATTTTTATGAAGTCCAATTTATCTAATTTTTTTGGTTGGTCATCCTTTTAGTGTCATAGGTAAGTTTTTTTTGCCAAAGCCGAGTTCATGCAAATGTTATCCCTATGTTTTCTTCTAAGAGTTTTACAGTTTTAGCTCTTAAATTTAGGTCTTTGACCCATTTTAAGTTAATTTCTTTATATAGTATGAAGTAAGGGTCTCATTTCATTCTTTTGCATGCAAATATCCAGTTATTTCACCACCATTTCTTTCCCTCAATGAATGGCCTGACACCCTTGTTGGAAATGAGTTGACCATAGATGTATGGATTTAATTCTGAATTTTCAAAGTTATTCCGTTAGTCTATATTTCTATTCTTATGCCAGTAATATAATGTTTTGATGTTGTTGTTTTGCAGTAAATTTTGAAATACAGCAGTGTAATTTCTCCTACTATATTTTTCTGTATCAGGATTGCAACTAAAACAACATAAAAGTCCTTTGTAATAAGTGTGACTTTTAGAATCATCTTGTGAATTTCTGCAAAGAAGTCAGCTGCAATTCTGAGAGGGATTATAGATCAATTTGGAAAGTACTCCCATCATTACAATGTTAAGTCTTTAGATCTGTGAACACGAGATATTTTTCCATTTGTTTAGATTTTCTTTAATTTATTTCAACAATGTTTTATAGTTTTCAGAGTATAAGTCTTCTCCTTTGATAAATTTACTGCAAAATTTTTTCTTTTTGATACTGTTGTAAATAAAACTGTTTTTTACATTTTTATTTTAGATTCAGAGGATACATGTGCTTGTTTGTTACATGGGTACTATGTGCATAATGGTTGAGATTGGGCTTCTAGTGTACTCATCATCAAAATATTGAACATTTTTCAACCCTCACCCTTCTCCCATGCTCCCTTCTTTTGTAGTCCCCAGTGTCTATTATCTCCACCTTTATGTCCATGTGCACTCATTGTTTAGCTCCCTCTTCTAAATGAGAACACGTGATATTTGATTTTCCACTTTTGAGTTAGTTTACTTAGGATAATGGCCTCCAGCTCCATCTAGGTTGCTGCAAAGACATGATTTTATTCCTTTTTATGGCTGAACAGTATTCCACTGTGTGTGTGTATGTGTGTGTGTGTATATATATAATATAAAGAAAACGTGGTAGGTATGTGTATAGAGAAAATGTGATAAGTGTCCACCAACCCTTGGTAATCACTTAGGTTGGTTCCATGACTTTGCTATTGTGAATAGTGCTGCGATGAACATATGAGTGCAGGTTATTTTGTATATAATGGATTATTTTTCTTTAGGTAGATACCCAGTAGTGGGATTGCTGAATCAAATGGTAGTTCTATTTTTACTTCTTTGGGATATCGCCATACTGTTTTCCATAGAGGTTGAACTAATTTACATTCCCTCCAACAGTGTATAAGCCTGCTCTTTACTCTGTATCCACAGTAACATATGTTGTTTTTTAACTTTGCAATAATAGCCACCCTGACTGATATAATATCTCATTGTGGTTTTAATTTGCATTTCTCTGATGGTTAGTGATGTTCAGGATTTATTTTATATGTTTATTGGAATACTTAGTAATGAAATCAAATCAGTAATAAAAAATCTCCCAACAACAACAAAAAAGACCAGGACCAGACAGATACACAGCCAAATTTTACCAGACATGCAAAGAGCTACTACCAATCTTGCTGAAACTATTCCAAAAAATTAAGGAGTAGGGATGTCTCCCTAACTCATTCTATAAATCCGGTGTCAGCCTGATGTGAAAAATCAGATAAGGACACAAGAAAAGAAACTACAAGCCAATACTCCTGACAAATGCAAAAGCAAATATCCTCAACAAAATATTATCAAACTGAATCCAACAGAACATAAAAAAAAATCCATCAAAATCACATGGGCTTTATTCCAGGGAGGCAAGGATGATTCAACATATGCAAATTAATAAACACGATTCACCATATAAACAGAACAAAGAACAAAAACTTTCTGATCATCTCAGTAGATGTAAAATAAGTATTTGATTAAATGCAACATAACATCACTTCATGATTTTAACAAACCCTCAACAAACTAGGCATAAATGGAACATATCTCAAAATAATAAGAGCCATATATGACAACCCCATAGTCAACATCATACTGAATGAGGAAAAGTTGAAAGCATTTCACTTCAGGTCTAGAACAAGATAAGGTTGTCCACTCTCATCACTCTTATTCAACATAGTACTGGTAGCCCAAGCCAGAACAATGAGGCAAGAAAAGAAATAAAAGACATTCAAATTAGAAAAGAGGGTGTCCAATTATCTCTGTTTGCTGATGACACAACCATATACTTAGAAAACCCTAAAGGCTCCTCCAGAAGACTCCTAGAGTTAATAAGCAACTTCTGTAAAGTCTCCGGATACGAAATCAATTTACATAATTAGTAGCATTTATATACACCAATAATGTTCAAAGTGAGAACCAAATTAAGAACTCAATCTATTTACAGTAGTCACACAAAAAAGTTAAACGCTTAGGAATACATTTAACAAAGATCTCTACAATAGAAACTACAAAACACTGGTGAAATAAATTGTAGCTGGCCCAATAAAATAGAAAAATACCCCATGCTCATGGATTAGAAGAATCAATATTATTAAAATGGCAATATTGCCCAAAGCAATCTACAGATTCAATGCAGTTCCTATCAAATTACCAATGTGTTTTTTCACAGAATTAGAAAAACAATCCTAAAATTCATATGGAACAACAACAAAAAGCCCAAATAGCCAAAGCACTCCTAAGCAGAAAGAACAAATCTGGAGGCATCACATTGCCTGACTTCAAATTATATTACAAGGCCATACTAATAAAAACTGCGTGGTACTGGCACAAAAATGGTACATGGATCAGTGAAGTAAAACAGAGAACCGAAAAATAAAGTCATATACCTATAACCAATGGATCTTTGATAAAGTTTACAAAAATAAACAATGGGGAAAGGACATCTTTTTCAATAAATGATGCTGGGAAAACTGGCTAGCTATCTGTGGAAGGATAAAGCTGGATCCCTCTCTCTTACTATATAAAAAAATTAACTCAAGATGGATTGAAGACCTAAACATAAGACTAGAAACTATAAAAATTCTAGAAGAAAATCTAGAAAAAACTCTTCTGGATATTGTTCTAAGGAAAGAATTTATGATGAAACCCAAAAGCACAAGCAACAAAAGCAAAAACAGACAAACAGACTCAATTAAACTAAAATGCTCCTGCACAGCAAGAGACATAATCAACAGAATAATCAGACAACCCACAGAATGGGAGAAGATATTTGCAAATTATTCCTCTGACAAAGGACTTATATCCAGAATCTACAAGTAGCTCAAACAAGTAAACAAGAAAAAACAAACAACCCCACTAAAAACTGGGCAAAGGAGATGAACAGATGTTTCTCAAAAAAAGAAGTACAAACAGCCAAGAACTGTTTTCTTAATTTCGTGTTCAGATTTTTTGTTGCAAGAATATAGAAACACAATTTTTAAATATTAATCTTGTATCCTGCAAACTTGCTGAAGACATTTATTAGTTCTAATAATTTTTTAGTGGATTCCTTAGGATTCTCTATAGAAGATCATGTCATCTGTGAAGAGAGGGGATTTTAATTATTTCTTTCATATCTGTATCAGGGAAACAGTATTCATATCTTATGTCTGGAAGGTAGGTATATAATTCAGACATATAAAATGATCTGGTATTATTTTGCTGCCTTTCTTAGATGCTTTCTAATCTCCTTTTACCTTATTTGTATGGCCTGTTTAGAGATGCCTGCATTTGTGATATTCACTGTTATTCTCACATTTTTTTTTCTGAACAAAGGTATACCGTCCTATACCAGATAGGCCTCATTCCATCAAGCTCAATGACACCTCTGAGAATAGAACTGCCAAAAGTTCTATATGCTAACATGTTTTGAAACTTCTGACCCAGAATGTGGATCATGCCAGGTCTCAATATATTTAGTTCCTCCTTGTGTGGAGATTAAATATATTTTGCCTTTTGTACACAATCGATAAAGCCATAAACAGAAGAAAATTTTACACCTTGCATTATTTCTCACTTTCTGTTATTTAACAGTGACACAGTTTTTGTTTTTCATTATTCTTCAAGTCTATCACATTTTAATATTAAAGTCAGGTGATGAGGTCAGCAGGTTTTCTAACAAAAATGTTTTCCTTTATCTGCATTGAGATGTCGTGTGTCATTTTTCAGTAGCATATTTGTTACTTTTGAGAGATATTTTATTAAATTATGCTTCTTGTGGTTATGTTTTATAACAAAATATTTTAAAATAAATTCTGCATTACTTTTCTGTGAAGGACATTTCTAACTACCAGCCACAATGTTTCTTCTTTATTTCACAGGGATGCAAACTGGTGAGCTGTTAATTCCTATAGCATCTATTTTATTAACAATCCTAAGATATAATAGCTCTGTTCTTAAAAAGGGTGTTTGATGTTCTGAATATTCAGTGTAATCCTCTGAGGCATGAAGAAATTCCTAAAACCTGATTAAAACCTAAAACCTAAAACGGTAAACTTGTTATATGAAAGTTTTCTACATGTCATTTGTTATATTTTTATTAAATACAATGTAATTTCTGGTAAATTGGAACCGAGGTAGTAAAGAGCCTGTTTAATAGCCAATACATTGATGTTGATGATAATGATGACATATTCTGGGAAGAGGAAGCAGATGTTGAAAATGTTTACCATCATTCTTGATGCATCCATCTTTGACAATTATGGACTCCAGATTGAACAATATCTCTTTTTCATTCCTCTCAACCATCAAATCAGTTTAATAAGATGTGGAAGACCTAGTATGAGTTTGTAATACTCATGGTTTTGGAAATTGCGAGACAAAAATTTTGGTTTATAAATTTTGGTCCTGATAGAGTTGTGTAAGAAAGTTACTAAAAGAGCATTGAAATAACAAATGACATTTGAAGCCCCTTCTCATTCAGAGAGCCTATGATTCTAATTGTATGGAGCCAAAGGTTATCTTCACTAGATTCTAGATATACTTTCTTGTCATTATTAACATCTAATTTATGCATAAATTTTACTGAAAACCCCTGTGTAAAACATGTTATGTGACATCAGTTAGATGTTCATTCCTTGGGTTTGCATTGGACCTCCACAGATGCTTCAGTTCAGCATTCAACCTTTGTGCCCTAACCTGCACCTCCTATAACTACCCTAATGTTTATTGCACTCTGCAGGGGATTGATTATATTCTTCCCAGTTCTCTCTTTTCTCCCACACTTCCCTGGACGTCTTCCCTGTCTTGATATATATATATATATTCATTTCCATTTGAAATAGTCCTTCACTTGAAATCCAAAGAACCAATGTGCCAATAAATGAAATATAATCAAATAATTCTTACTAATAAAATTGCATTATTACATTTTCTTTGTTCATGAGTTTATATTGCCTGTTTTTATTTGTAGCAGTTAGCAAATTCTTTTCTTCAATATTATAACTCATTTCAGTCATTTGTTATCTTTGCATTTATGGTTACTGCATTAGTAAGCTTTTGCTAAGTCATACTGTGAATATATATAACCACTGAAATCACAGTGGCCGGTAATAACCAGCCTTTATTTCTCTCTCATGTACATGTTGGCTGAAGACCAGCTTTGGCTCTGTTCCACATGTTCTGCATTTTGGGGTCAGGCTGAAGGAAAAGCTCCTATTTTGGTCTTGTGGCAGGGGGAAAAGAGCAATGTAAAGGCAAGTTTTAGCCAACTTGACATACTAAAAATGTCATCTTTTTTACTTAGGGTTGCATATCTTCGATTTAATATGTGGTCAACTATTTCCCATATGTTCTGTTTTCTTTTTTCTGTAGTAAATTGTTTTTTTCTTGTTCTTTACCATATTATCTAAAGAATGTTAAATATTTATTTTACTGATTTATGAGTTCCTGACATATAAGAATAATAGCACTGTTCTATAATTTTTAAAAACATTTTTCTAGTCTTTTTTGCCATTCAATTTATAATTTTTTAAATGCATAGAAAACAATTTTTAATGTAGACAATTACATATATAAAATTTTAAGACTTTTTCAAATGACTATAACTATATAGTTTAAATGATCCTGTGCATAACCAAATCAGTTAGCTTACCAATAATTTTCTAATATTTCCTAGCTTCAAATTTTACATTTAAATATTCAATTTATTTAAAATGTGTCTTTATAGTGTGAGATAAAAATCCAAGTTCTTTTTTTTCAAAATATCCAATCTCTTGTCTCTTTAGAAAAATAATGTTTTTTTAATCAGTAGTACATTCATATGGTTCAAAATACAAAAAGCATAAAATTGCAGTATCTTTCCTACTGTGTCCCACGTCACATAGCAATAAAAGGAGCTAGTCTTGTAGCATATTCTCTTCCCCATTCCCAGTTTTTCTAAATACAATATGGGTTTAACATACAGTTAATTGTGTTTTTTATATACATTCTATCTTATAATTATTTTTCTATATTTAGATGAATAAGAAAATAGATATTAAACAATTATTGAGAAAATGATATTTTATCTGCCAATACTTTTAAACCACCATTACTCATGAGCTCTTAATTTTACTCTCAAATTAGTTAGAATAAATTTTCACATAGTTTTTTTCCCCCAGGAAGTTAACATAGGAGTGATGGTTAATACTGAGTGTCAACTTGATCGGATTGAAGGATACAAACTATTGATCCTGGGTGTATCTGTGAGGGTGTTGTCAAAGGAGATTAACATTTGAGTCAGTGGGCTGGGAAAGGCAGACTCATCCTTAATTGGGTGGGTACCATCTAATCAGCTGCCAGCAAATATAAAGCAGGAAAAAACATGAAAAGGAGAGACTGGCCTAGCCTCCCAGCCCACAGGTTTCTCCCATGCTGGACGCTTTCTGCCCTTGAACATCGGACTCCCGATCTTCTTCTTCTTCTTCTTCTTTTTTTTTTTTTTTGTTGTTGTTTTCTGAGATGGAGTCTCGCTCTGTCACCCAGGCTGGAGTGCAATGGCGCGATCTTGGCACACTCCAACCTCTACCTCCCAGGTTCAAGCAATTCTCCTGACTCAGCCTCATGAGTAGGTGGGACTACAGGCCCCTGCCACAATGCCTGGCTAACTTTTGTATTTTTAATAGAGATGGAGTTTCACCATGTTGGCCACGCTGGTCTTGAACTCCTGATCTTGTGATCCGCCTGCCTTGGCCTCCCAAAGTGCTGGGATTACAGGTATGAGCCGCCGTGCCTGGCCCAGTTCTTCAGTTTTGAGACTTGGACTGGCTCTCCTTGCTCCTCAAGCTTGCAGACAGCCTATTGTGGGACCTTGTGATCATGTAAGTCAATACTCAATAAATTCCTCTTTATATATATCTTATTAGTTCTGTCCCTCTGGAGAACCCTGACTAATACAGATTTTGCTACCAGGAGTGGTTCTAGAGGAACAAAATATTAAGGATGGACTTCTTTTGTTGGTTTTGGGATTTCTGGAGTTGGCTACTTAATATGATTAGACTCCAAATTCTTAGGACTATACGTCTAATAGTATGGAGAACACTGATAGTCCTTGCTGTGAACAAGGAACTGATAGGCCTTGTTTAGAGAGTTACGTAAAATAAATGCATTTGACACTGCTGGTTCATTGCTCATGAGGGGCAAGAAGTTTAGTGATTTTATACATAATATCTTTGACCATATGAGGAGAACCAAGGACATAATGAAGCTGGTTGGTTGCTCCTAAGTTCAATGGACGAAGTGATGAAAGAAAGTGATGAACTCAGGGATTCTGTCTCCCAGCTTCAGAAGCAGATACTGAACATCAAATCTGCTAAGATTGCCCTGAGTGAGAGTCTTATCTCCCATGGAGAAAGAGCTGAAATTGTGAAAAAACAGACACAAGCTCTTATCATGTGAGTGGCTGACCTGCAACTAAAGGTGCTTGCACAGCCTCACCAGGTGTCTACTGTTAAAGTGAGAGCACTGATTGGAAAATAATGGGACCCTGCAACTTGGAATGCGGATGTGTGGGAGGACCCTGTTGAAGCTGGGGACACTGAGTTTGTAAACTCTAATGAACCTTTTTTGCCAGAAGAAACAGCTTCCCCATTCCCAGTAGTGGCAACATCCCCTCCCCAGCCCATGATTCCATCAGCCTTTCCACCTTTGTCTGAGGAGATAAACCCTGCACTGCCTGAGGCAACAGTGATGGCCTCTCCTGAGGCCGTTGCCAGGCAAAATAATGTTGATTCTCCTCAGGAGCCACCCTCTACACCTCTATTTGCTTCTAGACCTATAATTAGACTAAAGTCCTGGTGGGACTCTAGAAGTGAGGTTGATAGTGTGACCCATGAGGAGGCGCACAACACTGGAAAAGAACCGAGTTTTCGAATTTATATAAACAGGAATCTGGACAACAGGCATGGGAATGGATATTAAGGGTATGGGATAATGGTGGAAGCAACATAGAGTTGGATCAGGCTGAATTTATTGATTGGGGCCCACTAAGTAGGGAATCTGCATTTAATGTTGCAGCTTGGGGAGTTAAAAAAGTTCTAATAGTTTATTTGCTTGGTTAGCTGAAATGCGGATTAAAAGATGGCCCACTGTGAGTGAGCTAGAAATGCCTGATCTCCCTTGGTTTAATGTAGAGGAAGGGATCCAAAGGTTTAAGGGGATTGGGATGGTGGAGTGGATTAGTCACTTTAGACAGACTCATCCCAGCTGGAAGGGACCAATGCCTTGTGCAATAGATTTGTGAGAGCAGCACCTGCACCTTTGAAAAGCCCTGTAATTGCTTTTCTCTAGATGTCAGATCTAATGGTGGGAACTGCAGTCACTTAAATACAAAATTTAAATCCATGCCTATATTTGTTGCAGCACTATTTACAATAGCAAGGTATGAAATCAACCTAAGTGCCCATCAATGGTAGACTGGATAAAGAAAATGTAGTACATATATATCTTGGAATACTCTACAGGTATAAAAAGAATGAGATCATGTTCTTTGCAGGAATATAGATGGGGCTGGATGCCTTTATCCTTAGCCAACCGATGCCTTGCAAAATAGATTTGTGAGGGCAGCACCTGCACCTTTGAAGAGCCCTGTAATTGCTCTTCTCTGGATGTCAGATCTAATGGTGGGAACTGTAGTCACTCAACTACAAAATTTAAATGCAATGGGAATAATTGAATCCTGATGTGGCAGGGGCCAAGTGGTGGCACTCAACCATCAAAGGCAATGTGGGCATAGCTACTGTGATTGACAGCAGAGGTAAAGTGGCAATCAGAATAGTAGGACTTGTGTAGAGCTCTGGCAGGCTAATTAATCATGGTGTTCCTAGAAGTGAAATTGATAGGAAGCCTATTGCATTCGTACTTAATTTATAGAAGCAGAAAACTTCTAGGTTGAATGGACAAAAGACTAATTTGAATTATAAAAACAGAGAATCACAGCCCCTCAATCAATTTCCAGACTTGAGACAGTTTACAGACCCAGAACCCCTTGAATGAATGGGAGGAGGGGTCCACTAAAGGACCCCACTACATTACCGACAATTTATGCAGTGAATCTTTCTCCCATCCCCCCCCAAGGAGACCTCCAGCCTTTTACAAGGGTAACTGTGCATTGGGTAAAGGGAAATGATTAGACATTTCAGGGACCACTGGACATGCTCTGAGCTGACATTGATTCCAGGGGACCCAAAACCTCATTGTGGTCCTCCAGTTAAAGTAGAGGCTTATGGAGGTCAGGTAATTAATGGGGTTTTAGCTCAGCTCTGACTTACAGTGGGTCCAGTGGGTTCCTGGACTCATCCTGTGGTCGTTTCCCCAGTGTCAGAATGCATAAATGGCATAGACATACTTAACAGCTGGCAGAACCTCCACATTGGCTCCCTGACTGGCAGAGTGAGGGTTATTATGGTGGGAAAGGCTAAATAGAAGCCATTAGAGTTGCCTCTACCTAGAAAAAATAGTAATCAAAAACAATATCACATCCCTGGAGGGATTGCAGAGATTAGTGCCACCATCAAGGACTTGAAAGATGCAGGGGTGGTGATTCCCACCACATCCCTGTTCTACTCTCCCATTTGGCCTGTGCAGAAGACAGATGGATTTTGGAGAATGACAGTGGATTATCATAAGCTTAACTAAGTGGTGACTCCAATTGCAGCTGCTGTACCAGATGTGGTTTCATTGCTTGAGCAAATTAACATATCCCCTGTTACCTGGTATGCAGCCATTGACTTGGCAAATGCCTTTTTCTCCACTCCTGTCCATTAGGCCCACCAGAAGCAATTTGCCTTTAGCTGGCAAGGCCAGCAATATACTGTTACTGTCCTACCTCAAGGGTATATCAACTCTCTGACTTTGTGTCATAATCTTATTTGGAGAGACCTTGGTCGCTTTTCACTTCTGCAAGATATCACACTGGTCCATTACATTGATGACATTGTGCTGATTGGATCCAGTGAGCAAGAAGTAGCAAACACACTGGACTTATTGGTGAGACATTTGCATGCCAGAGGATGGGAAATAAATCCAACTAAAATTCAGGGACCTTCTACCTCAGTAAAATTTCTAGGGGGTCCAGTGGTGTGGGGTTTGTCAAGATATTCCTTCTAAGGTGAAGCATAAGTTACTGCATTAGGCCCCTCTTACAACCAAGAGAGAGGCACAATGCCTAGTGGGCCTATTTGGATTTGGGAGGCAACACATTTCTCATTTGAGTGTGTTACTCTGGCCCATTTATTGAGTGACCTGAAAGGCTGCCAGTTTTGAGTGGGGTCCAGAACTGGAGGAGGCTCTGAAACAGGTCCAGGCTGCTGTGAAAGCTTCTCTGCCACTTGGGCCATATGATCCAGTGGATCGAATGATGTTTGAGGTGTCAGTGGCAGATAGGGATGCTGTTTGGGGCCTTTGGCAGGCCTCCATAGGTCACAGAGGAGACCTCTAGGATTGTGGACCTAGACCCTGCCATTATCTGCAGATAACTACTCTCCTTTTGAGAGACAGCTCCTGGCCTGTTACTGAGCTTTGGTAGAAACTAGAAACTGAACATTTGACTATGGGTCATCAAGTCTCCATGTGACCTGAACTGCCTATCATGAACTGGGTGCTTTCTGACCCTTCTAGCCATAAAGTGGGGTATGCACAGCAGGATTTCATTATCAAATGCAAGTAGTATATACGTGGCTGGGGTCAAGCAGCTCCTGAAGGCACAAGTAAGTTACATGAGGAAGTGGCTCAAATGCCCATGATCTCTTCTCCTGCCACCCTGCCTTCTCTCTCTCAGCCTGCACCAGTGACCTCATGGGGAGTTCCCTAAAAGTTGACAGAGGAATAGAATACTAGGTCCTGGTTCACAGATGATTCTGCACGATATGCAGGCACCAGCTGAAAGTGGACAGCTGCAGCACTACAGCCCCTTTTTAGGACATCCCTGAAGGACAGCAGTGAAGAGAAATCTTCCCAGTGGGCAGAACTTCGAGCAGTGAACCCAGTGGTAGACTTTGCATGGAAGGAGAAATGGCCAGATGTGTGATTATATACTGATTCATGGGCTGTAGCCAATGGTTTCACTGGCTGGTCAGGGACTTGGAAGAAGCATGATTGGAAAATTGGTGACAAAGAAATTTGGGGAAGAGATATGTGGATGGAAACCTCTGTGAGTGGCCAAAAACTGTGAAGATATTTGTATCCCATGTGAGTGCTCACCAATGAGTGACCTCAGCAGAGGAAGATTTTAATAATCAAGTAGATAGGATGACCCCTTCTGTGGACACCACTCCAGCTCTTTCCCCAGCCACCCCTGTTATCACCTAATGGGCCCACGAACAAAATGCCCATGGTGGCAGGGATGGAGGTTACACATGGGCTCAGCAACATTTACTTCCACTCACCAAGGCTGACCTGGCTATGGCCACTGCTGAGTGCCCAATTTGCCAGCAGCAGAGACCAACACTGAGCCCTTGATATGGCACCATTCCTCAGGGTGATCAGTCAGCTACCTGGTGGCAAGTTGATTGTTTTGGACCTTGTCCGTAATGGAAAGGGCAGAGGTTTGTCCTCCCTGGAATAGACACTTACCTCAGATATGGGTTTGCCTATGCTGCATACAGTGCTTCTGCCAAGACTACCATCTATGGACTCATGAAATGCTTTATCCACCATCATGGTGTTCCATACAGCATTGCCTTTGACCAAGGCACTCACTTTATGGCTAAAGAAGTGCAGCAGTGGGCTTATGCTTATGAAATTCACTGGTTTTACCATGTCCCCATTATCCTAAAGTAGCTGGATTTATAGAATGGTGGAATGGCCTTTTGAAGTCACAGTTACAATGCCAACTAGGTGACAATACGATGCAGGGCTGGAGCAGAGTTCTCCAGAAGGTCGTGTATGCTCTGAATCAGCAACCAATATATAGTACTGTTTCTCCTATAACCAGGATTTATGGGTCCAGGAATCAAGAGGTGGAAGTAGCACCACTCACCATCACCCCTAGTGATCCAGTAGCAAAATTTTTGCTTCCTGTTCCCGTGACATTGTGTTCTGCTGGCCTAGAGGTCTTAGTTCCAGAGGGAGGAATGCTACCACCAGGAGACACAACAATCCCATTAAAATGGAAGTTAAGATTGCAACCTGGACACTTTGGGGTCCTCTTACTTTTAAGTCAACAGACTAACAAAGGAGTTACAGTGTTGGCTGGGGTGATTGACCCAGACTAACAAGATGAAATCAGTCTATTACTCCACAACAGAGGTAAGGAAGAGTATGCGTGGAATACAGGAGATCCATTAGGGCATCTCTTACTATTACCATGCCCTGTGATTAAGGTCAATGGGAAGCTACAACAGCCCGATCCAGGCAGGACTACAAATGGCCCAGATCCTTTAGGAATGAAGGTTTGGGTCACTCCGCCAGGAAAAAAACTCGACCTACTGAGGTGCTTGCTGAAGGCAAAGGGAATACAGAATGGGTAGTAGAAAAAGGTAGTCATCAATACCAGCTATGACCATGTGACCAGTTGCAGAAACAGGAACTGTAGTTGTCATGAGTATTTCCTCCTTCTTTTGTTAAAAACATGTTTGTGCATGTATACACTTGTGCTAAGAAAATATCTTCATTTTACTTCCTTTTTCCTTTATCATGTGACATAAGATTTATTTACTTCATTTCAGCATTTGAGTATTAACTTTATGTAATAGCATTTGGGTTGGGGATTGGTGCGTTTCCGGTTGTACGGAGGATAGTGGTATTATGTTAGGCACAATTATGACCTTACTATTGTCTTTCTTTATTTGAAGATTATGTTATGATCTCAGGAGATGTGTATAGGTTCAAGTTGAAAAGGGGTGGACTTATGATGGTTAATACTAAGTGTCAATGTGATTGGATTAAAGGATACAAAGTATTAATCCTGGGTGTGTCTATGAGGGTGTTGCCAAAGGAGATTAACATTTGAGTCAGTGGACTGGGAAAGGTAGACCCACCCTTAATCGAGTGGGCGCCATCCAATCAGCTGGCAGCAAATATAAAGCAGGCAGAAAAACGTGAAAAGGAGAGAGTGGCCTAGCCTCCCAGCCCACAGATTTCTCCCATGCTGGATGCTTCCTGCCCTTGAACATTGGACTCCAAGTTCTTCAATTCTGAGACTCAGACTGACTTCTTGCTCAAGTTTGCCAACAGCCAAGCAGCCTCAAGCTTACAGGCAGCATTCCTCCCTCTGGAACCTTGTGATTGTGTAAGTTAATACTTAATAAATGCATATATATATGTGTGTGTGTGTGTGTGTGTCTCCTATTAGTTCTGTTCCTCTAGAGAACCCTAATACAGATGGTGTAGTGGGTTGAATGGTGTCTCCAAAGATATGCCCACATCATAATCCCCAGAACCTGTCACTCTCACCTTATATGGCAAAAGATGTGATTCAGTTGAGGATCTTGAGAGGTGAAGCAAATACTGGATTTTCGAGACAAACCCTAAATGCAGTCATGCAAGAGAGAGGCAGAGGGAATTTGGGCACAGCCATGAAGAGAAGCTGGTGATGGGAAGAGAGCATCAGAGATTGGAGTGATGCAACTATAAACCAAGGAGCACCGAGGATTGCCAATAGTCACCAGAAACTAGGAAGAGGCAACGAGTAGGTTATTCCCTAGAGCCTCTAGAGGAAATGCAGCCAAGCTGACACCTTAATTTTGGACTTATGGTCCCTTTAACTATAAGAGAACAAATTTCTGTTGTTGTAAGCCTCCAAAGTTATGGTAATTTGTTACAGCATTCCTAGATACCTAGTACAGGTGGTGCTTAATGAACCTGGCAGGAAAGAATAAGAATGCTTTTCTCTGCCTTAATATACAAACTACAAATTGGCAAGGCATAAAATTTTGGGTTTACCATTTTATTCCTTAAATATTCTCTGCACATTGCTGTATTGATTATTACTTGCAACTGTTCCCTTTTTAAGGGAACATACATTTTCTTCCTGATAGCAGGATCCTTTTTTTTCTTTGTCCTTTTTAAAAAACCATTTCAAAGATTTACCCCTCTTTATTGATCACTTTCTGGAATACAGTTAGCCTTTTATTTTTATTATTATTGTTATTATTGAGATGGAGTCCCACTCTGTTGCCCAGGCTGGAGTGCAGTGGCATGATCTCAGCTCACTGCAACCTCCACCTCCCAGGTTCAAGCAATTATCCTGCCTCAGCCTCCTGGGTAGCTGGGACCACAGGTGTATGCCACCACATCCAGCTAATTTTTGTAATTTTTGGTAGAGGCAGGGCTCCACTATGTTGTCCAGGCTGGTCTCTAACTCCTGACTTCAAGTGATCCACCCACCTCGGCCTCCCAAAGTGCTGGGAGTATAGGAGTGAGTCACTGCGCCTGGGCAAGCATTTTTAAATAACATACAGAGATTGTTTTCTTCAGCTCAGAATATTTTGTTCTATTAGGGCTGTATTTTTTTTTTATTTATTTTGAACTTTCCTTTATTAACACCGCATGTAGATATGGTCCTCTTCTCTGACATCAATTTTTATTATTTTTTCTCTTATTATTTTCATCCCATTGTACCTTTCCTAGTTTATTATGGTTTAAATTTGTCCTCAATAATATTGTTTCTATTTTCTGCAAGAGTTTGTATGCTCCTTATTGTTCTTAATGTTTATTTTTATTTTTCTATTATGTTGTTAGCTGTTTCAGTCCATTTTAATTTCATGTTGCCTTTTATAAATTGATTTTCTTGTAATTTTTTTGATGCTATAGCAAATCATTTTCAGAGATATACTTTTTCTGTCACCAAAACTGTATTTTCTTATATAATTACATTTTTAAATTAAATTATATTTAATAGTCTAGTTAAAGTGACAGCCTATAACAAAGAATAGGAGTCCTCTGCTTCATCATAGCTTAACCTGGGTCATTCTAATTCCCACTCTCCAAAGGCAAACCTTTTTAACTTTTTTTTTTTTTTTTTTTTGGCTAATTACCTACTTAGTCTAAATAACATACTTATGCCGGCTTAAATAACATGCAATTTCTTGATTTTATAATTTTGATTTATTATTATGCTTTGGAATATGAAGATTTTCTCTCTAATATTGACTCTCTAATACATGTCTCCCCCAATACCCTGAAAGAGTTTTTTCATAATTTTTTCATCAATCGGTATTTAATATTTACATTATTATAACTAGCTAGAGTTCCCTCATGAGCTATGTAGTCTTTCAGAAACAGAACTCTTTTGCTTTCTCTGTAGCCATGAATTGCCTATTTATTATTTGATTTATTTTGATATAGCTATCACTAATTCATACCCAAATTCTCCCACGGAAGATTAATTCTCCTCAATATATTAGTTTCACTTTTCTTTGGTGACCTCTACTATGATATGAATGTGTCCCTCCAAAATTCATATCTTTAAATATAATCCTCACTGTGTTATTACAGTGTTAGGAAGTGGGGCCTTTAGGAGATGACTAGTTCAGGAGGGTAGAGGCCTGGGAATGATTAGCACCCTTGTAAAAGAGGTCTGAGAGAGCATGTGTGCCCTTTCCACATGTGAGCATACAGCAAGAAGATACCATTTATGAAGCAGAGAGAGATGTTTCACCAGACACTCAATCTGCTGGAGCCTTGATCTTGGACTGCTCAGCCTCCAGAACCATGAGCAACAAATCTTACAGTTGTTTATAAGTTATCCAGTCTAACTTATTTTGTTATAGCAGCCCAAATGGGCTATGACAACACCCCATCAGCAAGCCTTCAACCACATACTCTGATCAGGACTGATTCCTTATTGGACCTGCAGCACAGCTATCGTCTTGGATTTTGATTCACTAATATGCTTGACTTCCTTTTGTCAATATCCTGAGATTTCATTTATTTCCTACGTTGAACCACTTCTTTCCTGGACCTCATGTATTCCTCTTTCTTGGTTTATTTGTTTTAGTAGAGCTTATTTTCCAGGTGCTTCCTGAGAAAAGGTGTAAGTGAAGTAAAATTTTGAAAACTTGAGTTTCTAAAACATATTTTTTAAAATTCCACCTTCACACATGTTTGTTCTTTGAAGGACATAGAATTATAGCTTACAATATTTTTCTTTTATAATTTGACATCCTTACTCCATTTACTTATAGAATCCAGTGTTATTTTTGAGAAATCCTCTATTCATTTACTTTGTCTGTAAATTGATTCTGTTCCTCCAAGTTGGGAAACTTTTTAGAATATTTATCTCTAAGATTCTTGCATGTCACTAACAAGTAACTTGGAAAGTGTCTGTTCATTATCATCCTTATTTGTATTTCTAATTTTCTTATGTTTTCTCTACTGTTTCAATCTCTTTATTTGTTCTACTTTCTGGCAGATTTTCTCAAGTTTCTCTTTCATCATTTTGACTGAGTTTTAAATTTATTTTATCAAATCTTTAATATCCAAAAGCTTCTTTATATTCTGAATATATCTATTAAAATAGAGTTCTATTCTTGTTCTTTTGGATGCAATATTTATCTCACCATTTTTGACAATCTGAGTTATTGTTTTTTTTTTGTTTGTTTCAAGTTTACTTCTGCTCCCTGTGCTGTCTCTGCATCTCCTGTGCTCCATTGTTTCTGTTTGTATGCTTTGGTCTCTTTTATGTTTAGGATTCTCATCAACCTCTCATGATCCTAGGCCACTTAAGACTGATTGGGAACTCTGTGTGTGGTGTGGGAGAGGTTTGTCAAGTAACAGCATTAACTAAAGTTTAATTGGACAGAAACCAAGCCATTTTTACTAGGAGGATTTCCAGCTGTCAGTAGCTACAGGTCTGCTTTTGGGCCAGTGTATTTCCTCAGTAAGGGAGTAGTCTAATCCCTGCCTGATATGGTTTGGGTGTATTCCCACCAAAATCTCATCTTGTATTGTAGTTCCCATAATCCCCATGTGTCATGAGAGGGACCCAGTGGGAGGTAATTGAATTATGGCGTTGGTTACCCTATGCTGCTGTTCTTGTGATAGTGAGTTCTCAGGTGATCTGATGGTTTTATAAGGAGCTTTTCCCTGTTTGTTTGGCATATCTCTCCTGCTGCCTTGTGAAGGAGGACGTGTTTGTTTCCACTTTTGCCATGATTGTAAGTTTTCTGAGGCCCTCCCAGCCATGTGGAACTGTGAATCAATTAAACCACTTTTCATCATAAATTACCCAGTCTTAAATATTTCTTCATAGCAGGGTGAGAATGGCCTAATACAGTAAATTGGCACCAGGTGTGGGGTGCTGCTGTAAAGATACCCAAAAATGTGGAAGCAAGTTTGGAACTGGATAACAGAGCTTGGAACAGCTTGGAGGGCTCAGAAGAAGACAAGAAAATGTAGGAAAGTTTGGAGCTTCCTAAAGACTTGCAGGGCTCAGAAGACAGGAAGATGTGGGAAAGTTTGGAACTTGCTAGAGACTTCTTGAATGGCTTTGACTGAAATGCTGATAGTAAGATGGACAATGAAGTCCAGGCTGAGGTGATGTCAGATGGAGAAGGGAACTTGTTGGGAACTGGAGTAAAGATGAGTCTTGCTATGCAAAAAGACTGGCATTTTGCCCCTACCAGAGAGATGTGTGGAACTTTGAATTTGAGAAAGATGATTTAGGGTGTCTGGTGGAATAAATTTCTAAGCGGCAAAGCATTCAAGAGGAAGCAGAGCATAAAAGTTTGGAAAATTTGTAGCCTGAAGATTTGATAGGAAAGAAAACCCCATTTCTGGGGAGAAATTCAAGGTCTTCTGCAGAAATTTGCATAAGTAACAAGGAGCTGAATGTTAATTACCAAGGCCATGGGGAAAATATCTCCTGGGCATATCAGAGAACCTCAATGCAGCCCCTCTCATCACATGCCTAGAGGCCGAGGAGGGAAAAATGGTTTCATGGGCCAGGCTCAGGACCCTCCTGCTGTGTGCAGCCTTAGAACGTGGTGCCCTGCATTCCAGCTGCTTCAGCTCCAGCTCTGGATAAAAGGGGCCAGCATACAGCTCAGGCCATTGCTTCAGAGAGTACAAACCTCAAGCCTTGGTGGTTTACACGTGGGTGCAAAGAAGTCAAAAACTGAGGTTTGAGAACCTCCTCCTAGATTTCAGAGGATGTATGGAAATGCCTGGATGTCCAGGCAGAAGTTTGCTGTAGAGGCAGAGCCCTCATGGAGAACCACTACCAGGGCAGTGCAGATGGGAAATGTGTGGTTGGAGCTCCCACACAGAGTCCCCACTGGGGTATTGACTAGTGGAGCTGTGAGAAGAGGGCCATCATCCCTAGAATGGTAGATCCACTGACAGCTTGCACTTTGTGCCTGGAAAAGCCACAGACACTCAATGCCAGCCCAAGAAAGCAGCCAGGAGGGGTGCTGTTCCCTGCAAAGCCACAGGGCTGGCCACTTTCTCCCATTTAAAATGGATGTATTTACCCAATACCTCTATCCTCATTATATCTGGAAAGTAACTAACTTGCTTTTGATTTTACAGGCTCATAGACAGAAGAGACTTCTTGCCTTGTCCCAGATGACACTTTGGACTTGGACTTTTGGGTTAATGTGGGAATGAGTTAAGACTTTGCAAGACTGTTGGGAAGGCATGATTGTGTTTTGAAATGTGAGAAAATGAGATTTGGGAGGGATTGGGGTTGAATAATATGGTTTGGCTGTGTCCCCATCCAAATCTCATCTTGAATTTTAGTTTCCATAATTCCCACATTTCTGAGGGACCTCATGGGAGATAATTGAATCACGGGGGCAGTTATGCCCATGCAGCTGTTCTTGTGATAGTCAGTGAATTCTCAAGAGATCTGATTGTTTTATAAGGGGTTTTTCCCTCTTTGCTTGGCATTTCTTTCTCCTGCTGCCTTGTGAAGAAGGATGTGTTTACTTCCCCTTTTGTCATGATTGTAAGTTTCCTGAGGCCTTCCAAGCCATGTGGAACTGTAAATCAATTAAACCTCTTTTCATTTTAAATCACCCCGTCTTGGGTATGTCTTCATAACATTGTGAGAAAAGATTAATACACTGCCTATGATTGCTCATATTTCAGAGCCAAGTTAGAGGAAAAGGGGGCCCAAGTCTCACAGTTGTGTATGTTGTATCCTCTAGTTTAATCTTCCCAATTCTTACACTTCAGAACTGCACCCCCCGCTTACCTGTGCCCAGGCAAGTCCTGATTCTAGAATTTTTTGATTTAGCTAATTTAAATATTATAATTTACCTGAGTTTTTTGTCAGATAGGGGTGGGTATTTGCCAGCCTTCAGAATTCAGTGGGAAATATACTGGTCTATCTGCTTCCTTTATAAACACTTAGCAGAATTTCTGCTCTTCATTTTAACTTTTTAAGGGTATTTGGAGGCTTTTATAGTTTCTCTTGTGACAATCACTTATATACCCACCAGCTCTGTTTTTTAGTTTTGGAAATTTTGTTGATATCTTTTGTCTACTCATATTGCTACTCTTGTTTCCTTTGAACCCTTGAATTTAAGTTAAAGGCAATTGTGTGTGTGTATGTGTGTGTGTTTTTCAAATCCTTCAAATTATTTAACAGAGATATCAAGAGAAAGCAGAGGTAATATCTTTTCAATCCACCATAAAGTCATAAATGTGTCTATTCATTTCTGTCACAATTTTTCATAAGCTATTTGATGTTACTTTCTGCTTTTTAAAAAAATTAACTTCAAGAATAAAAAGCTTACTCAAGGCTGAGTGTGGAGGTTCACACCTGTAATACCAGCACTTTGGGAGGCCAAGACAGGCAGATCACTTAGGTCAGGAGTTTGAGACCAGCTTGTCCAACATGGTGTAACCCCATCTCTACTAAAAATACAAAAATTAGCCAGGCATGGTGGCGTGTGCCTAGTCCCAGTTACTCAGGAGGCTGAGGCAGGAGAATCCTTGAACCTGGGAGGCAGAGTTTGCAGTGAGCTGAGATCACACCACTGCACTCCAACCTGGAGACAGAGCAAGACTCTGTCTCAAAAACAAACCAACAAACCAACAAACAACAAACAAACAAAATAAACCTTACTGAAAACCATGCAAGTACATGGAAGTTAAACAAGTTGCTTCTGGGTTACTTGTGGGTAAATATTAGAATTAATGCAGAAATCAAGAAGTTATTTTATACTACTGAGAACAAAGAATCATCATATCAGTAGCTCTGGGACACAGTTAAGAGAGTGTTAAGAGAAAACTTTATAGCACTAAATGCCTGCATCAGAAAGTTAGAAACATCTTAAATTAACAATCTAACATCACAACTAAAAAAAAATTAGGGAAGCCAGAGCAAACAAATCCCAAATATAACAGAAGACAGGAAATATCAAAACCAGAGCTAAACTGAAGGAGATTGAGAAACAAAAATCACACAAAAGTACAATGAATCCTAGATTGGTTTATTAAAAAAAAATAAGAGAGATAGACTGCTAGCTAGACTACTAAAGAAGAAAAGAAAGAAGATTCAAGTAAATACAATTAGAAACTACAAAGTGAATGTTACCACTGACCACATAGAAATACAAATAACCATCAGAGAATACTGTGAGCACCTGTGTGCAGACAAACCAGAAAACAAGAAGATATGGATAAATTGCTGGACATATACAACCTCCCAAGATGGAACCAGGAAGATACTAATTCCATGAACAGACCAACAGTGAGCTCCAAAAATGAATCAGCAATAAAATCAGCAATAAATAGCCTACAAACAAAAGACAGCTCAGGAAAAGACAGATTCACAGTCAAATTCTACCAGATGTACAACAAAGAGCTGGTACTATTCCTACTAAAACTTTTGAAAAAAAAAAATAGGGAGGGATGACTCCTACCCAACTCATTCTATGAGGCCAGAATTATCTTGATACCAAAACCTGGCAGAGATACAAAAACAACAGCAAAAAAACTTCAGGCAAATATTCTTGATAAACATTGATGCAAAAATCTTGAGCAAAATACTTCCAAAATGAATCCAGTAGCACATCCAAAAGCTTATCCACCACGATCAAGTAGGCTTTATCCCTGGGATGGATGCATGGTTGGTTCAACATCCACAAATCAATAAATCAATAAATGTAATTCATCACATAAACAGAACTAGAGGCAAAACCATATGATTATTTCAATAGGGCAGAAAAGGCTTTTGATAAAATTCAACACCTCATCCTGTTAAAAACTCTAAATAAACTAGATATTGAAGGAACATACCTGAAAATAATAAGGGCCATCTATGAAAACCCACAGCCAACATCATACTCAATGGACAAAAGCTAGAAGCATTCCCTTGAAAACTGGCAAAAGAAAATGATGCTTTCTTTCACTACTATTATTAACATAGTATTAGAAGTCCTGACCAGAGCAATCAGGCAAGAGAAAGAAAGAAAGAGCATCCAGATGGAAAGAGAGGAAGTCAAACTGTCCGTTTGCAAACAACATAATTCTTATCTAGAAAACCCCATAGTCTTGGCCCAAAAGCACCTTTAGCTGATAAAAAACTTCAGCAGTTTCAGGATACAAAAGCAATGTGCAAAAATAACTAACATTTCTAAACAAACACAAGAATCAAGCTGGAAGCCAAATCAGAAATGCAATCCTATTCACAATTGCCACAAAAAATAAACTACCTAAGAGCACAACTACTGATGGTGGTGAAAGATCTCTACAAGGAGAACTACAAAACATTGCTCAAAGAAATCACAGAAGACACAACAAAGTATAAAACATTCCATGCTCATGAACAGGAAGAATCATTATCATTATAATGGCAATACTGTCCAAAACAATTTACATATTTAACACTATTCCTATAAAATTACCAATGACAGTCTTCACAGAACCAGAAAAAACTATTTTAAAATTCTTAGGGAACCAAAAATTAGCCTCAATAGCGAAGGCAATCCTAGCAAAAAGAACAAAGCTGGAGGCATCATGCAACTATTCTACAGGGCTACAGTAACCAAAACAACATGGTATTGGTACAAAACCAGACATATTGACTAATGGAATAGAATAGAGAGCCTATAAATAAAGCCATATACCTACAACTATTTGATCCTTGGCAAGCCTGACAAAAACAAGCAATGGGAAAGATTCCTTATTCAATAAATGGTGCTGGGATAATTGGCTAGCCACATGCAGAAGATTGAAACTGTACTCCTTCCTTATACCATAAATAAAAATAAACTCAAGATAGATTAAAGACTTAAAAATAAAACCTAAAACAATAAAAACCCTGGAAGACAACATAAGCAATAAGATTCTGAACACAGGAATGGGCAAAAATTTCATTATGAAGATGTGAAAAGCAATTGCGACAAAACCCAAAATTCACAAATGGGATCTTATCAAACTGAAGAGCTTCTACTCAGCAAAAGAAGCGTAAACAGACAACCTATAGAATGGGAGAAAATTTTTGCGTACTATGCATCTGACAAAGGTCTAATAGCCAGCATCTATGAAAAACTTAAATTTACAAAAAACACCGAAAAAACCACCCCATTACAAAGTGGGCAACAGATATGAACAGACACTTTTTAAGATAAGACATACATACCACCAAAAAATCATATAAAAATGCTCAACATCACTGATCATTAGAAAAATGCAAATCAAAACCACAATGAGAATCCATATCACTCTAGTCAGAATGGCTATTAGTAAAAAGTCAAAAAATAATAGATGCTGGTGAGGTTGTGCAGAAAAGGGAACACATATACTGTTGGTGGGAGTTTAAACTAGTTCAACCATTGTGGAAAGCAGTTTGGCAATTCCTCAAAGAGCTAAAAACAGTACTTCAACCCAGCAATCCTATAACTGGGTACATATCCCCAAGGAATATAAATTTTTCTACCGTAAAGACACATGCATGCATATGTTGATTGCAGCGCTATTCACAATGGCAAACATATGGAATCAACCTAAGTGCCCATCAATGGTAGGCTGGATAAAGAAAATGTAGTACATATACACCACAGAATACTATGAAGCCATAAGAAAGAATGAGATCATGTTCCTGGCAGCAACATGGATGGAGCTGGAGGTCATTATCCTTAGCAAACTAATGCAGGAACACAAATCCACATACCATATGTTCTCATTTATAAGTGGAGTTAAATTAGGAGAACATATAGACACAAAAAGGGAACAACAGACAGTGGGGCCTATTGAAGGGTGAAGGGTGGGAAGAGGGAGAAGATAAGAAAAAATAGTCAATGGATACTAGAATTAGTACCTGGATGACAAAATACCCTGTACAACAAACCCCTGTGACATGAGTTTACCTATATAGCAAACCTGCAAATGTACACCTGAAACTAATATAAAAGATTTTTTAAAATTAAAAATAAATAACTTTATTGGGGTATGATTAACATATAAATAGCAGTTCATACTTAATATATGCCTCTCAATGAGTCCACATCTGTGAAATTTTCACCACCATCAAAGCCAGGTACATATTAATCACCTTCTGTAGATCCCCCCGACCCCTTTTTAAATTATTTTTTTCTTTGTGTTTAGAACATTTAACATAAGATATACCCTCTTAGCAAATGTTAAGTTATATGGTTTGGCTCTGTGTCCTCACTGAAATCTCATGTCAAATTGTAATCCTCAATGTTGGAGAAGGGTCCTGGTGGGGTGTGATCTAATTAAACCTCCTTTTTTATGTATATAAAGTACTCAGTCTCAGGTAGTTCTTTATAGCAATGTGAAAATGGACTAATGCATTAAGTATACAACATGGTATTCTTAGCTATAGGCACTAAGCTTTATATTAGAGCTACAGAATTTATCTTATATAACTAAAATTTTGTACCCTTTAACTGTCATCTCCCAATTGCCCCCTTCCCCAAATCTTTGGCAACCACCATTTTACGCTGTACTTCTGTGAGTTTGAATATTTTAGATTTCACATATAAATTATATTATACAGTAATTGTTTTTCTATGTCTGGCTTATTTCACTTAACATAATGTTCTCTAGATCTATTCATATTTTTACAAATGTCACAAAAGTCAGGATTTCCTTTTTCTTTTTAAAAGCTAAATAATATTCTATTGCATATTGTGTCTACATATTGTATATTGTGTGTTCTACAGTGTCTTTATCTATTTATCCACTGATTGATATTTAAGCTGTTTCCATATCTTGATTATTGTGAATAATGCTGCAATAAGCATGGGGGAGCAGATTTCTCTTCAAGATAGTAATTTTATTTTTATTTTTGGGTAAGTACCTGAAAGTAAGATTACTGAATCATATAGTAGTTCTACTTTTAATTTTTTAAGGAACTCCATACTTTTTTGCATGATGCTTATAACAATTTACATTCCTGCCAACAGTGTACAAGGGTTCCCTTTTTCCACATCCTCATCAATACTTTTTATCTTTTGTCTTTTTATAATAACCAATCTAATAGGCGTGAGATGATATCTTATTGTGGTTTTGATTGCATCTTTCTGATGATTAGTGATGTCGAGCAACTAGTGATGTTGATCTTTTGCATGTCTTCTTTAGATAAGTTTCTATTCAGATTCTTTGTTCATTTTAAAATCAGGTTATTTGGTATGTTTGCTTTTGGGTTGTATGACTTCCATACATATTTTTAATATTAACTCATCATCAGATGTGTGGTTTGTGAACACTTTATCCCATTCTGTAGGTTGTCTCTTCACTCTGTTGATTCCTTTGCTGTGAAGAAGCTTTTTAGATGGATGTAATCACATTTGTTTATTTTTTGCTTTTATTGCCTGTACTTTTGGTGTTGAATCCAGAAAATCATTGCTAGGAATGTCAAGGAGTGTTTTTTCTATGTATTCTTCTAGAAGTTTATGATTTTATGTCTTACAATTAAGTCTTTAATCCATTTTGAGTTGACTTTTGTGTATGGTGTAAGATATGAATTCAATTTTATTTTTTTGCATGCACATAACCAGGTTTCTCAGCACCATTTACTGAAGAGATTATCCTTGCTCCATTGCATATTCTTAGTGCCCTTGTCAAAGATTAGTTGATCAGATATGTGAAGGTTTATGTCTGGGCTCTCTATTCTGTTTCATTCATCTATGTCCATGTTTTTATAACAGTATCACACTGTTTTCATTATCATAGCTTTGTAACATAATTTGGAATCAGAAAGTGAGGTGCCTATAGCTTCGTTTTTTCTCGATAATACTGCTTTTGCTATTCTGTATCTTTTGTGATTCCATATGAAGGTTAACATTATTTTTACTATTTCTGTGAAAAAGGCCATTGTAATTTTGATAGGAATTGCATTGACTCTCTAGATCACTTTGTGTGGCCATTTTAACAATATCAATTCTTCCAATCTATGAACGTGGGATATCTTTCCATGTATTTTTGTTTAATTTCTTTCATCAGTGCTTTATAGTTTTTCAGCATACAGATCTTACACTTCTTTGGTTAAATTTATACCTAAGTATTTTTATACCATTGTAAAAAATTGTTTTCTTAATTTCTTTTTCAGATAGTTCATTAGCATATAGAATCATAACTGATTTTTGTATGTTGATTTTGTATTCTGCAAGTTTACTAAATTCACTCATTTAAAATAGTTTTTTGGTGGATTCTTTAGGGTTTTCTTTATATAAGATCATGTCATCTACAAACAGAGGGAGTTTCACTTCTTCTATTCTAATGTTGGCGGCTTTTGTTTCCTTTTTTGGGATACTTGCTCTGACTAAAACTTCCAGTACCATGTTGAATAGAAGTGGTGAGATTGGGCATCATTATCTTATTCTTGAACTTAGAGGAAAGCTTTCAAATTTTCACCTTTGGGTATAATGTTAGCTGTGGATTTCCCATACATAAACTTTATTATATTGAGGCACATTCTTTCTATATCTAATTGGTTGAGAGTTTTTGTCATGAAAGTTGTTGAATTTTGTTGCATGCCTTTTCTGCATATATTAAGATAATCATATGTTTCTTATCCTTCATTCTGTTGTTGCAGTCTATGACATTTATTAATTTGTGTATGTTGAATAATCTTTGCATCTGGGGGATAAATGCCACCTGATCATGGTGTATGATCCTTTTAATGTGCTACTGAATTTGGTTTGTCAGTGGTTAGTTGAGAATTTTTGCATCTATGCTCATCAGGGGTATTGGCTTGTAGTTTTCTTTTCTTGTAATGTGCTTATCTGGGTTTGGTATCAGGGCAATGCTGGCCTTGTGTTATCAGTTTCAAAGTCTTCTCACTTCTAATTTTTTTAAAGAGTTTGAGCAGCATTGACACTAAGTCTTTAAATGTTGTTAGAACTCAACTGTGAAGCCAACAGATCCTAGTCTTTCTTTTCAAAGGGAATTTTTTTTAAAATGACTGATTTAGTCTTCTTACTTGTTATTGGTCCATTCAGGTTTTCTATTTCTTCATAGTTCAGTCTTAGGAACTTGGATGTTTCTAAGAATGATCCATCTCTTCTAGATTATGTACCTTTTTGATGTATAATTATAATCTCTTCTATTCCTTTGTGTTTCTATGGCATTGGTTGTAATACCTCCTCTCTTATTTATAATTTTATTTATTTGAGTCTTCTGTTTTTTTTCCCTTAGTTTAGCTAAGAATTTGTCTATTTTGCTCACCTTTTCAAAAAACAAAGTATTAGTTTCATTGATCATTTCTGTTTTTCTAGCCTCTATCTCGTTTCTTTCTGCTTTTAACTTTATTATTTTCTTCTTTTTGCTAATTGTGAGCTTAGTTTGTTCTTCTTTATCTTCTTCCATAAGGTATAACAGGTTGTTTATTTGTGATCATTCTTTTTTCTTAATGTATGTTGTTATTGCTATAAACTTCTTAGAACTGCTTTTGCTGTATCCCATAAGTTTTGGTATATGTGTTGCCATTTTTATTTGTCTCAAGATATTTTTTGATTTTTTCTTTCACTGTTTGTTTAGTAGAGTGTTGCTTAATTTCTACATATTTGTGAAATTTTCCAGTTTGTCTCCTGTTATTGATTTCTAGTTTCATAACACTGTGGTCAGAAAAGATACTTGGTATAATTTTGACCTTAAATTTGTTAGGACTGATTTTGTGGCCTGCCGTATGATCTATTCCAGAGAATATTCCATGTGTTCTTGAGAAGAATGTGTACTCTTCTGTTGGATGGACTGTTCTGTGTATGTTCTTTGGGTCCATTTCCTCTATAGTGCTGCTCATGTTTACTGCTTTCTTATTGATTTTCTGTCTGGATGATCTACCTATTGTTGAAAGTGGGGTATTTAAGTCCCCTACTATTATTGTATTGCTGTCTATCTTTCCCTTCAGTTTGGTTAATATTTACTTTACATATCTAGGTACTCCAATATTGGCTGCCTATTTATTTACAATTGTTATGCCTTCTTGATAAATTGCTTTATCATTATTTAATGACTTTCTTTGTTCCTCATGACAGTTTTCACTTAAAGTCTATTTTGTCTTATATAAGTATAGTCACCCCTGCTCTCTTTTGGTTTCTATTTGATTTACTATCTTTATTCATCTTTTCACTTTCAGTCTATGCATGTTCTTAAATATAAAGTGAGTCTGTTATGGGTTATATATGTTGGATCTTGTTTTTATTCATTCGGTCGCTATGCCTTTTGATTGGAGAATTTAATACACTTACATTTAAATTAATTATTCATAGGTAAGGCCTTACTATTGCCATTTTGTTCTTTTCTGGCTATTTTGTAGTTCCTTTGTTTTATTTCTTCTTTTCTTGCTGTCTTGATGATTTAATAATTTTTTGCAGTGCAGTGGTATGCTTTGATTACTTTCTTTTTATTTTTTGTGTGTCTACTAAAACTTTTTTCTTTGTGATTATTAGGAAGTTTACATAAAACATCTATAGTTACAGCAGCTTATTTTAGGTTGATAACAATTTAATACTGATAGCATATAAAACATGAAACTCTACACTTCCTTGCTCTCCATGTCCACCACATGATACTTTAAGTTCTAGGGTACATGTGGAAAACGAGCAGGTTTGTTACACAGGTATACATGTGCCATGTTGGCTTGCTGCGCCCATCAACTTGTCATTTACATTAGGTATTTCTCCTAATGCTATCCCTCCTCCAGGCCCCCGCCCCCACCAGGCCCCAGGGTGTGATGTTCCCTGCCTAGTGTCCATGTGTTCTCATTGTTCAATTCCCACCTATGAATGAGAACGTGCAGTGTTTTGTTTTCTATCCTCTTGTTAGTTTGCTGAGAATGATGGTTTCCAGCTTCATCCATGTCCCTGCAAAGGAAATGAATTCATGCTTTTTCATGGCTGCGTAGTATTCCATGGTGTATATATGCCACATTTTCTTAATCCAGTCTATCATTGATGGACATTTGGGTTTGTTCCAAGTCTTTGCTGTTGTGAATAGTGCCGCAATAAACATATGTGTGCATGTGTCTTTATAGTAGCATGATTTATAATCCTTTGGGTATATACCCAGTAATGGGATTGCCCTTGGGTATATACCCAGTAATGGGATTGCTGTCTCAAATGGTATTTCTAGTTCTAGATCCTTGAGGAATCACCACACTGTCTTCCACAATGGTTGAGCTAATTTACACTCCCACCAACAGTGTAAAAGCATTCCTATTTCTCCACATCCTCTCCAGCATCTGTTGTTTTCTAACTTTTTAGTGATCACCATTCTAACTGGTGTGAGATGGTATCTCACTGTGGTTTTGATTTGCATTTCTCTGATGACCAGTGATGATGAGCATTTTTTCATGTGTCTGTTGGCTGCATAAATGTCTTCTTTTGAGAAATGTCTGTTCATATCCTTTGCCTACTTTTTGATGGGGTTGTTTGATTTTTTCTTGTAAATTTGTTTAAGTTCTTTGTAGATTCTGGATATTAGCTATTTGTCAAATAGGTAGATTGCAAAAATTTTCTCCCATTCTGTAGGTTGCCTGTTCACTCTGATGATGGTTTCTTTTACTGTGCAGAAGCTCTTTAGTTTAATTAGATCCCATTTGTCTATTTTGGCTTTTGTTGCTATTGCTTTTGTGTTTTAGTCATGAAGTCCTTGCCCATGCCTATGTCCTGAATAGTACTGCCTACGTTTCCTTCTAGGGTTTTTATGGTTTTAGGTCTTACATTTAAGTCTTTAATCCATCTTGAGTTAATTTTTGTGTAAGGTGTAAGGAACGGATCTAGTTTTAGCTTTCTACATATGGCTAGCCAGTTTTCCCAGTACCATTTATTAAATAGGGAATCCTTTTCCCATTTTTTGTTTTTGTCAGGTTTGTCAAAGATTAGATGGATATAGATGTGTGGTGTTATTTCTGAGGCCTCTGTTCTGTTTCATTTGTCTATATATCTGCTTCGATAACAATACCATGCTGTTTTGGTTACTGTAGCCTTGTAGCATAGTTTGAAGTCAGGTAGCATGATACCTCCAGGTTTGTTCTTTTAGCTTATGATTGTCCTTGCTATGCAGGCTCTTTTTTGGTTCCATATGAACTTTAGAGTAGTTTTTTTCCAATTCTGTGAAGAAAGTCATTGGTAGCTTGATGGGGATGGCATTGAATCTATAAGTTACCTTGGGCAGTATGGCCATTTTCACGATATTGATTCTTCCTATCCATGAGCATGAAATGTTCTTCCATTTGTTTGTGTCTTCTTTTATTTCATTGAGCAGTGGTTTGTAGTTCTTGAAGATGTCCTTCACAATTCTTGTAAGTTGGATTCCTGGGTATTTTATTCCCTTTGTAGCAATTGTGAATGGGAGCTCACTCATGCTTTGGCTGTCTGTTTGTCTGTTAGTGGTGTATAGGAATGCTTGTGATTTTTGCACATTGATTTTGTATCCTGAGACTTTGCTGAAGTTGCTTATCAGCTTAAGGAGATTTTGGGCTGAGATGATGGGGTTTTCTAAATATACAGTCATGTCATCTGCAAACAGGGACAATTTGACTTCCTCTTTTTCTAATTGAATACCCTTTATTTCTTTCTTTTGCCTGATTGCCCTGGCTGGAACTTCCAACACTGTGTTGAATAGGAGTGTTGAGAGAGGGCATCCTTGTCTTGTGCCAGTTTTGAAAGGTAATGCTTCCAGTTTTTCCCATTCAGTATGATATTGGCTGTGGGTTTCTCGTAAGTAGCTCTTATTATTTTGAGCTACATTCCATCGACACCTAATTTATTGAGAGTTTTTAGCATGAAGGGGTGTTGAATTTTGTTGAAGGCCTTTTCTGCATCTGTTGAGATAATCATGTGGTTTTTGTGGTTTGTTCTGTTTGTGTGATGGATTACTTTTATTGATTTGCATATGTTGAACCAGGCTTGCATCCCAGGTATGAAGCTGAGTTGATTGTGGTGGATAAGCTTTTTGATCTGTTGCTGGATTTGGTTTGCCAGTATTTTCTTGAGGATTTTTGCATCAATGTTCATCAGGGATATTGGTCTAAAATTCTCTTTTTTTGTTGTGTGTCTGCCAGGCTTTGGTAGAAGGATGATGCTGGCCTCATAAAATGAGTAAGGGAGGATTCCTTCTTTTTCTTTTGATTGGAATAGCTTCAGAAGAAATGTTACCAGCTCCTTTTTTTTAACCTCTGGTAGAATTCGGCTGTGAATCTATCTGGTCCTGGACTTTTTTTGGTTGTTAGGCTATTAATTATTGCCTCAATTTCAGAAACTGTTATTGGTCTATACAGAGATTCAACTTCTTCCTGGTTTAGTCTTGGGAGGTTGTATGTGTCCCAGAATTTATTCATTTTTTCTAGATTTTCTAGGTTATTTGCATAGAGGTGTTTATGGTATTCTCTGATGGTAGTTTGTGTTTCTGTGGGATTGGTGGTGATATTCCTCTTATCATTTTTTATTGCATCTATTTGAGTCTTCTCTCTTTTCTTCTTTATTAGTGTTGCTAGCGGTCTATCTATTTTGTTGATCTTTTTTTTTTCAAAAAAAAAAACCAAACAGCTCCTGGATTCATTGATTTTTTTGAAGGGTTTTTTGTGTCTCTATCTCCTTCAGTGCTGCTCTGATCTTAGTTATTTCTTGCCTCCTGCTAGCTTTTGAGTTTGTTTGCTCTTGCTTCTCCAGTTCTATTTATTGTGATGTTAAGGTGTCAATTTTAGATCTTTCTTGCTTTCTTTTGCGGGCATTTAGTGCTATAAATTTCCCTCTATACAGTGCTTTAAATGTGTCCCAGAGGTCCTGGTATGTTGTGCCTTTCTTCTTATTGGTTTCAAAGAACATCTTTATTTCTGCTTTCATTTCATTATTTACCCATTAGTCATTCAGGAGCAGGTTGTTCAGTTTCCATGTAGTTGTAGTTGTGTGGTTTTGAGTGGGATTCTTAATCCTGAGTTCTAGTTTGATTGCACTGTGGTCTGAGAGACAGTTTGTTGTGATTTCTGTTCTGTTACATTTGCTGAGGAGTGTTTTACTTTCAATTATGTGGTCAATTTTAGAATAAGTTCGATGAGGTGCTGAGAAGAATGTATATTCTGTTGATTTGGGATGGAGAGTTCTGTAGATGTCTATTAGGTCCACTTGGTGCAGAGCTGAGTTCAAATCTTGGATATCTTTGTTAATCTTCTGTCTCATTGATCTGTCTAATATTGACAGTGGGGTGTTGAAGTCTCCCGTCATTATTTTGTGGGAGTCTGAGTCTCTTTGTAGGTCTCTAAGGACTTGCTTTATAAATCTGGGTGCTCTTGTATTGGTTGCATATATATATATATATATATATATATATATATATATATATATATATATATATATATGATAGTTAGTTCTTCTTGTTGAATTGCTTCCTTTACCATTATGTAATGGCCTTCTTTGTCTCTTTTGACTTTTGTTGGTTTAAAGTCTGTTTTATCAGAGACTAGGATTGCAACCCCTGCTGCTTTTTGCTTTCCATTTACTTCATAGATTTTCCTCTATCCCTTTATTTTGAGCCTATGTGTGTCTCTGCACATGAAATGGGTCTCCTGAATACAGCACTCTGATGGTTCTTGATTCTTTATCCAATTTGCCAGTCTGTATCTTTTAATTGGGACATTTAGCCCATTTACATTTAATCCTATGTGTGAATTTGATCCTCTCATTATGATGTTATGTGTGAATTTGATCCTCTCACTATGATGTTAGCTGGTTATTTTGCCCATTAATTGATGCAGTTTCTTCCTAGCATCAATGGCCTTTACAATTTGGCATGTTTTTGCAGTTGCTGGTACTGGTTTTTCTTTTCCATGTTTAGTGCTTCCTTCAGGAGCTCTTGTAAGGCAGGCCTGGTGGTGACAAAATCTCTCAGCAATTGCGTGTCTCTAAAGGATTTTATTTCTCTTTCACTTATGAAGCTTTGTTTGGCTGGATATGAGATTCTGGGTTGAAAATTATTTTCTTTAAGAATCTTGAATACTGGCCCCCACATTCTTCTTGCTTATCGGGTTTCTGCTGAGAGATCCACTGTTAGTCTGATGGGCTTCCCTTTGTGGGTAACCCGACCTTTCTCTCTGGCTGCCCTTAACATTGTTTCCTTCATTTCAACCTTGGTGAATCTGACGATTATGTGTGTTCGAGTTGCTCTTCTCAAGGAGTATCTTTGTGGTGTTCTCTATATTTCCTGAATTTGAATGTTGGCCTGCCCTGCTAGTTTGGAGTTCTGCTGTACAATATACTGAAAAATGTTTTCTAACTTGGTTCCATTCTCCCTGTCACTTTCAGGTACACCAATCAAATGTAGATTTGGTCTTTTCACATAGTCCCATATTTCTTGGAGGCTTTGTTCATTTCTTTCTACTCTTTTCTCTAATCTTGTCTTCTCACTTTATTTCATTAATTTGATCTTCAATCACTGATATTCTTTCTTCCACTTGATCGAATCAGCTATCGAAGCTTGTGCATGCATCATGAAGTTCTCTTGCTGTGATTTTCAGCTCCATCAGGTCATTTAAGTTCTTCTCTACACTGTTTATTCTAGTTAGCCATTCGTCTAACCTTTTTTCAAGGTTTTTAGCTTCCTTGCAATGGGTTTAGAACATGCTCCTTTAGCTTGGAGAAGTTTGTTATTACTGACCTTCTGAAGCCTACTTCTGTCAACTTGTCACAGTCATTCTCCATCCAGTTTTGTTCCATTGCTGGTGAGGAGTTGTGATCCTTTGCAGGAGAAGAGGTGCTCTGGTTTTTGGAATTTTCTGCTTTTCTCCTATGGTTTCTTCCCATCTTTGTGGTTTTATCTACCTTTGGTCTTTGATGTTGGTGACCTACAGATGGGTTTTTTGTGTGGATGTCCCTTTTGTTGATGTTGATGCTGGTCCTTTCTGTTTGTTAGTTTTCCTTCTAACAGGCCCCTCAGCTGCAGGTCTGTTGGAGTTTGCTGGAGGTCCACTCCAGATCCTGTTTGCCTAGGTATCACCAGCAGAGGCTGCAGAACAGCAAGTATTGCAGAAGAGAAAATATTGCTGCCTGATCCTTCCTCTGGAAGCTTCATCCCAGAGGGGGACCTGCCTGTATGAGGTGTCTATCAGCCCCTACTGGGAGGTGTCTCCCAGTCAGGCTACATGGGGTCAGGGACCCACTTGAGGAGGCATTCTGTCTGTTCTCAGAGCTCAAACGCTGTGCTGGGAGAACCACTACTCTCTTCAGAGCTGTCAGACAGGGACGTTAAAGTCTGCAGAAGTAGTCTGCTGGCTTTTGCTCAGCTATACCCTGCCCACAGAGGTGGAGTCTATAGAGGCAGTAGGCCTTGCTGAGATGTGTTGGGCTCTGCCCAGTTCCATCTTCCTGGCCACCTTGTTTACCTACTCAAGTCTCAGAAATGGTGGACGCCCCTCCCCCCATCAGGCTGCAGCCTCGCAGGTTGATCTCAGACTGCTGCGCTAGCAGTGAGCAAGGCTCTGTGGGCGTGTGACCCACTAAGCCAGGCACGGGAGGGAATCTCCTGGTTTGCCGGTTGCTAAGACCATTGAAAAGCGCAGTGTTTAGGCAGAAGTGTATCAGTTTTCCAGTCTGTCACAGCTTCCTTGGTTAGGAAAGGGAAATCCCCCGACCCCTTCAACTTCCCGGGTGAGGTGAGGCCCTGCCCTGCTTTGGCTCAGCCTCTGTGGGCTGCACCCACTGTCCAGCCAGTCCCAGTGAGATGAACAAGGTACCTCAGTTGGAAATGCAGAAATTGCCTGTCTTCTGCATCAATCTCACTGGGAGCTGCAGACCGGAGCTCTTCCTATTTGGCCATCTTGGAAGCAACAATCAAGAATCCATGTCCACCACATTTTATACTATTGGTCACAGTTTACATTTTTTTTTTTTTTTTTTAGACAGAATCTCACTGTCACCCAGGCTGGAGTGCAATGGCACAATCTCAGCTCACTGCAACCTCTGCCTCTTGGGTTCAAGTGATTCTGCTGCCTCAGCCTCTTGAGTAGCTGGGACTACAGGCATGCACCACCACACCTGGCTAATTTTTGTATTTTTTTTAGTAGAGATGGGGTTTCACCATGTTGGCCAGTCTGGTCTTGAACTCCTGACCTCAAATGATCCACCTGTCTCGGCCTCCCAGAGTGCTAGGATTACAGATGTAAGCCATCACACCCAGGCTATAGTTTATATTTTTTACACTATTCATCTATTAACAAATTATTGTAGTTATAATTAGTTTCAACACTTTTGTCTTTTAACTTTTATTATAGAGTTAAAAGTGATTTACATACTATCATTACAGTATTAGAGTTTTTTGAATTTGACTATATACTTACCTTCATCCATGAGTTGTATACCTTCAAATATTTTTATGTTGCTAATTAATGTTCTTTAGCTTTAACTTGAATAATTCCCTTTAATATTGTTTTGTATGGCAGGCCTGGTGTGACCAACTCCTTCAGCTTTTGTCTGGCAAAGTCTTTATTTCTTCTTAATTTCTGATCAACAGTTTTGCTAGATATAGTTATTTGGGTTGGCAGGTTTTTACTTTCAATTTTTTGAGTATGTAATCTAACTTTCTCCTGACCTGCAGGGTAATCTGCTGACAGTCTTATGAAGGTTCCCTTGAATGTGGCAAATAGCTTTTTACTCACTGCTTTCAAAATTTTCTGTTTTTGATTTTTGACAGTTTGATTATAATGTGACTCAGTGAAGACCTCTTTATTCTCAACCTATTTGGAGTTCTTTGGACTTCATGCATCTGGATGTTCATTTCCCTACCCAGATTTTGGATATTTTCTGTCATTATTTCTTTAAATTAGTTTTCTAACCCATCTTCCTTCTCTGCTCCTCTGCAACTCTTATAATGATATATAATTACTTGATGGTGCCCTATAAATCCCGAGGGCTTTCTTTACTCCTTTTTAAAAAGATAGTATATCAAAGACTTATCAATCTCTCACAAACATATTAGCAAAAAAAAGTTAATAAATTTAAGCTCACCGTAAGTATGTATTCCACTCTCAACATCTTTTTTTAAACTATTAAGTTCAGGCATACATGTGCAGGTTTGTTATATAGGTAAACTTATGTCATGGAGGTTTGTTTTACATATTATTTCATCATTCACATATTAAGTCCAGAACCCATTAGTTATTTTTCTTAGTCCTCTTCCTTTTCCCACCCTCCACTCTTTGATAGGCTCCAGTGTGTGTTGTTCTCCTCTATGTGTCCATATGTTTTTATCATTTAGCTCTTAATTGTAAGTGAGAATATATGGTATTTGGATTTGTGTACCTGCATTAGTTTGCTAAGGATAATGGCATCCAACTACATTCATGTTTCTGCAAAGAACATGATATCATTCTCGTTATGCCTGCATAGTATTCCATGATGCATATATACTACATTTTCTTTATCCAGTCTACCATTGATGGGCACTTAGATTGATTCCATATCTTTGCTATTGTGAATGGTGCTGCAATAAACATATTCATGCATGTTTCTCTATGGTAGAACAGTTTATATTCCTTGAGAGTATATACCCAGTAATGGGGTTGCTGGGTCATATAGAATTTCTGTTTTTATGTCTTTGAGAAATTGCAACACTGTCTTCCACAATGGTTGAACTAATTTACACTCCTACGAATGTTGCCTAGGCATTCATTTTTCTCTGCAACCTTGTCAGCATCTGTTACTTTTTGATTTTTTAATAACAGCCATTCTGACTGATGTGAGATGGTATCTCGTTGTAGTTTGATTTGCATTTCTTTAATAATCAGTGATGTTGAGTTTTTCTTCATATGATCATTGGCCACATGTATGTCTTTTTTTTTAAAAGTGTCTGTGTATAATATTTGCCCACTTTTTAATGGGGTTATTTGTTTTTTCTTGTAAATTTGTTTAAGTTTCTCATTGATGTTAGTTATTAGACGATTGTCAGATGCTTTGCAAATTTTTTCTCCCATTCTGTAGGTTGTCCCTTCACTCTATTGATAGCTTCCTTTGCTGTGCAGAAGCTCTTTAGTTTAATTAGATCCCATTTGTCAATTTTGGCTTTTTTTGCCATTGCTTTGAAATCTTCAGGAAATATTTTTCAGTTCCTATTTCCAGGATGGTATTTTCTAGGTTGCCTTCCAAGGTTTTCATAGTGTTCAGTTTTACATTGAAGTCCTTAATCTATCTTAATTTTTGTATGTGGTATAAGGAAGAGATCCAGTTTTAATCTTTTGCATATGGGTAGGCTGTTATCCCAGAATCTTTTGCCTATTGCTTGTATTTGTCAAAGATCAGATAGTTGTAAGGGTGCAGCCATACTTCTGGGTTCTCTATTCTGTTCTATTGGCCTACATGACTGCTTTTATACCAGCACCACGTTGTTTTATTTACTGTAGCCTTGTACAATTTTAAGTCAGGTAACTTGATTTCCAGCCGTGTTCTTTTTGATTAGGATTGACTTGGCTATTGGGGCTCTTTATGGTTCCATAGAAATTTTAAAATAGCTTTTTCCTAGTTCTGTAAAAAATGCCAATTGTAGTTTAATAGGAGTAGCATTGAACCTTTAAATTGCTTTGGGCTGTTTGGACATTACAAGGATATTGAATCTTCCTATTCGGGAGCATGGAATGTTTTTTCATTGGTTTGTGTCATTCCTGATTTCTTTGAACAATGTTTTGTAGTTCTCCTTGTGGATATCTTTCACCACCATCAGTAGTTGTGTTCTTAGGTATTTCTGTGTGTGTGTGTGTGTGTGTGGCAATTGTGAATAGAATTGCATTTCTCATTTGGCTCTCAGTTTGATTCTTGTGTTTGTTTAGAAATGTTAGTGACTTTTGCACATTGCTTTTTTATCCTGAAACTTCAGCAAAGTTTATCAGCTGAAGGCGCTTTTGGGCCAAGACTATGGGGTTTTCTAGATATCAGGTCATGTTGTTTGCAAACAGGGATGGTTTGACTTCCTCTTTTACTATTTGGATGACCTTCATTTCTTTCTTTTGCCTGATTGTCCTAGTCAGAACTTCCAATACTATGTTGAATAGGAGTAGTGAGAGGGCGTCCTCATCTTACCTTGAAAGTCCTCCCAGTTTTCAAGGGAAATGCTTCCAGATTTTGCCCATTGAGTATGATGTTGGCTGTGGTTTTGTCATAGATGGTCCTTATTATTTTGAGATGTTTGTTAAATACCTAATAAATTCAGAGCTTTTAACATGAAGGGGTGTTGAATTTTATCAAAAGCCTTTTCTGAATCTATTGAAATAATCATGTGGTTTTTGTTTTTAGTTCTATTCATGTGATGAATCACATTTATCAATTTGAGTATGTTGAACCAAACTTGCATCCCAGGGATAAAGCCTACTTGATAAGGCTTGATAAGCTTTTTGGTGTGTTGCTGGATTCGCCAGGCCAGTATTTGATTGAGGATTTTTGCATCAATGTTCATTAAGGGTATTGGCCTGAACGTTTCTTTTTTTGTTGCGTCTCTGCCAGGTTTTGGTATCCAGATAATTCTGACCTCATAGAATGAGTTGGGTAGGAGTCCTTCTTTCTCAATTTTTTGGTCTAGTTTCCATAGGAATGATACCAGCTCTTCTTTGTAAATGTTGTAGAATTCACCTGTGAATCTATGTGGTCCTGGGCTTTTCTTGGTGGGTAGTATAATTGTTATTGACTCAATTTCAGAGCTTGTTATTGATCTGTTCAGAAATTCAATTTCTTCCTGGTTCTGTTTTGGGAGGGTGTATTTCTTCAGGATTTTTTTTTATTTCTTCTAGATTTTACAGTTTATCTGCGTAGAGGTGTTCATGATATTCTCTGAGATGATTTGTATTTCTGTGGGGTCAGTGGGAATATCCCTCTTGTCATTTCTGATGGTGTGTATTTGTCTTCTCTCTTTTCTTCTTAGTCTAGCTAGTGGTCTACCTATTTTATTAGTTCTTCCAGAAAACCAGTCCCTGGATTTATTGATCTTTTGAATAGGTTTTTTTTTTTTTTCTTTGTATGTCAATCTTCTTCAGTTCAGCTCTGATTTTGGTTATTTCTTGTCTCCTGCTAGCTTTGGGACTTATTTGCTCTTGGTTTTTTAGTTCTTTTTATTGTGATGTTAGCTTGATAACTTGAGGTCTTTTTAACATTTTGATGTGGTCATATAGTATTATAAATTTCCCTCTCAACACTGCTTTAGCTGCATCCCAGAGATTCTGGTACTTTGTAACTTTGTTCTCATTAGCTTCAAAGAGCTTCTTGATTTCTGCTTTAATTTCATTAATTATCCAAAAGTCATTCCGGAGCAGGTTATTCAACTTCCATGTCATTGTATGGTTTTGAGTAAATTTCTTAGTCTTGATTTCTAATTTGATCGTGCTATTGTCCTAGAAATTGTTTCTTATGATTTCCATTCTTTTGCATTTGCTGAGGAGTATTTTACTTCTGATTATGTGATCAATTTACAGTTGTCCCATGTGGTGGTGAGAATAATGTATATTCTGGGTTTTTTATTTTTATTTTTATTTTTTTTAATTTTATTATTATTATACTTTAAGTTTTAGGTATTCTGGGTTTTTATTTGCTTTTTTTGTTTGTCTGGTGGAGAGTTCTATAAATGCCTATCAGGTCTATTTGATGCTGTACTATGCTCTGGCCCTAAATATTCTGTCTCAATTATCTGTCCAGTATGGTGAGTGGGGTGTTAAAATCTCCCGCTGTCATTGTGTAGGAGTCTAAGTCTCTTTAAAGCTTTCTAAGAACTTGCTTTATGAATCTGGGTGCTCCTGTGTTGGGTGCATATATATTTAAGATACTTAGATGATTTTGTTGAATTGAACTCTTGACCATTATGTAATGCTCTTGTCTTTTTTGATTGTTGTTGGTGTAAAGACTGTTTTGTCTGAAATTAGGATTGCAACTCCTTTTTTTCTGTTTTCCATTTGCTGGGTAGATTTTTCTCTATCTGTTTATTTTCAGCCTATGTGTGTCACTGCATATGAGATGGGTCTCTCAGAGACATTATATCAGTGGGTCTTGGTTCTTTATCTAGCTTGCCACTCTGTGTCTTTTAATTGGGAAATTTAGCCCATTTACCTCAAGATTAGTATGATATGTGTGGATTTGATTCTGTCACCATGATGTTAGCTGGTTATTTTGCACACTTGTTTATGCGGTTGTTTTATAGTGTCAGTGTGTACCTCAGTGTTTTTGTAGTGGCTTGTAATGGTCCTTCCTTTCCATATTTATTGCTTCCTTCAGGACTTCTTGTAAGGCAAGTCTGGGGGTAACGAATTTCCTCAGCATTTGCTTGTCTGCAAAAGATCTTATTTCTCCTTCACTTATGATGTTTAGTTCGGCCAGATATAAAATTCTGGGTTGGAGTTTCTTTAAGAATGTTGAATATTGTCTCCCAACCTCTTCTGGTTTGTAGGGTTTCTGCTGAGAGGTCTGCTGTTAGTCTGATGATCTTCCTTTTGTAGGTGACCTGACATTTCTCTCTAGTTGCCTTTAACATTTTTTTCTTTATTTCAACTATGGGGAATCTGATAATTATGTCTTGAGGATAATCTTCTTTTGGAGTATCTTACTGAGGTTCCCTGTATTTTCTGAATTTGAATGTTGGCCACTCTAGCTAGGTTGGGAAAATTCTCCTTGATAATATTCTGAAGTATGTTTTCCATGTTGGTTCCATTCTCCCCATCTCTTTCAGGGACACCAATGAGTCTTATATTCCATCTCTTTACATAATCCCATATATCTTGGAGGTTTTGTTTTTTCCTTTTCATTCATTTTTCTTTTTTTGTCTCACTATCTTGTTTCAGAGAGCTCATCTTCAAGCTCTTAGATTCTTTTCTCCACTTGATGTATTCTGCTATTAATATTTGTGATTGCATTATGAAATTCTTGTATTGTGTTTTTCACCTCTATCAGGTCGTTTGTTTTACCATGATTTTTAGCTTCCTTGGATCTGGTTTCAACATACTTCGGTAGCTCAATGATCTTTGTTCCTATCCATATTCTAAATTCTATTTCTGTCATTTCAGCTATTTCTGCCTGGTTCAGAACCCCTGCTAGAGAGGTGATGCAGTTGTTTGGAGGTAAGAAGGCACTCTGGCTTTTTGAGTTGTCAGGGTTCTTGTGCTGATTCTTTCTCACCTTTGTGGGTTTATCTACCTTCAATCTTTTAGGTTGCTTACCTTAGGATGGATTTTTTTTCTTTTATCCTATTTTTGACCTTGAGGGTTTGATTATGGTAAAAGGTGGATTCGGCCAACTGGCTTTGTTTTTGGAAGAATTTAGGGAGCCAACACTCAGCTTCCAACTGCTGAACTGTGTGCTCTAACTCTGTGTTCTTGTATTGGGCCCTGCCTTTCTTTTCTGGCTCCTTGAGGTTAGGAATCCACTATGCTGGGGAAAGGCCCAAAGTGCTTCTGGATCACTAATCACTACACTGTGATAGGTGGTGTTAACCAAAGTGCTTCATAGTGTGGTGACAGCGGAATCCATCCTTGTTTGCATGGGTCAGCCGCAGTGGTAGGGCAGCTGCAGCAGAGTGCTAGTGGGTGCCGGGGTTCCTGCCTCTCTGTGGGTGTTCATCACGGTAGCAGAGGTAATACAGCTTGGGGGCCACTTCTGGTGATTGTGTGCGTAGTTTTCCTGGAGGCGATGTTGGCTCCAGTTGGGTGTGGCACTGGCAGGTGCAGGTCCGAGTGCCTTCTCTGTGCCTCACAAGAAAGAGTGGTCACTCAGGTCAGGGCAGAATCTGCTGTTCTCTGTGCAGAATTAGCATCAGAGCACAGTGCTCATGGCAGCAGGGCTGGCTGGCTCTTTGCCTGCCAAGACCTCATCTGCAATGGAGATCATTTGGGGGAGGTGGGACAGCCTGCACTCTCACGTGCTGACAGGGCAAGGAAAGCAAAACCCACAGGCAGATACACACCAGCAAAGTGATGTGGGGAGTTGCCATGGGTCTGGGGGAAGCTGCAATATGAAGAAAGAATGTGTGGGCTGTTGCGTGGCTTTAGGGGCCACCATGCTGTAGTTCTCTGCTGGTCAAGCATAATTCACCAGCACAGAAGCTATGGTGTGGGATCCCAGAGCACCTGAGACTGATCTGCAAGCAGGGATGGCCAGGCTGGGGCCCCAGGAGAGACCGGCAGACCAAGAGCTGCTTGTGTCAGACTGACCCTCTCTCATGGGCAAGGCCACCCTGCAGAGTTCAGGTCTGGAAGTTTTCCTATGGCTAAAGTCTTCTATGGGAGCAAGTTGAGCTTAGGGGGATGGTTTTCCCTGGCCATGCTTTATTACAGGCACTCCTATACCAAACCCTCTGGGATCCATATCAATTGGCTTGCTACCCCTGCCATTTGTTTAAGCAGCCTCAACCACCCCATCAACTGATGTGTCTGTGGTGTTTGAGGGGTCTCTTCCTGCTGATTTCCAGAGGTCCATGGTGAGATAGGATTGCTCCTTACCAGTTCAACTCACCTCTTCCCCCAGAGCCACTGATGGCCAGGAATGAGTTCTGGTGCACTGTAGTCCCATGAACGGTTCCCAGCTTTCCTTTTTCACTCTTTTAATTATTTTTTTTCTTTTTGTTCCTTTGAATGGATAATTTCAAATGATCTATCTTTGAATATGCTAATTCTTTCCTCTACTTGATTAAGTCTTCTATCAAAGCTCTCTAATAAAATTTTTATTTCAGACATTGTATTCTTCTGCTCCAGGATTTCTATTTGGTTCTTTTTTATAGCTTCTATAAGCTTGTTGAATTTCTCATTTTATTCATGTATTATTTTCCTGATGTTGTTTAATTGTCTATTTGTGTTCTCTTGTAGCTCACTGAGCTTCTTTAAGGTGACTACTTTGTATTCTTTGGCAGACAATTTTTGATCTCCAATTTTTTAAGGTCAGCCACTACCCACTGGAACTTTATTTTGTTCCTTTGGTCCTGTCACATTTCCTTGATTCTTCTTGTTCCTTGAAGCTCTGCATTGCCATGTTTGCATTTGAAAAAGTATTCACCTCCTCCAGTCTTTATTGACTGGCTTTGGGAGAAAAAGGCCTTCTACATATTCTGGTAGACACGCAGACTTTTTCTATGGATTTTCCTGCTTCACTCCTTTTGTTCCTTCTCAGAAGGAAAGTTTTAGGATTGTGTGCTTTCTCCAGTTTTATAAAGCCAGGCCTGGTGCTAAGAGCATCCTGTTTAGCTTCCCTAGAGCAGTGCCCTGAAATGTTAAAGTTTGTACCTTCTTTCAAACCAGCAGAATCATGCCAGCTACTAAGATCTGTACATGCTGTTGAGATCCAAGGGCTCTTTGCTGGAACTCATGTGTGTTGTGTGTGGAAACACATGAGGTGCTGTCTACAGAGGAATGCCACATGGTGAAGTCTGTGAGCTGCTTAGCAAGATTCATGGCCAGCTGTTGAGCATTGTGCAGGTTGCTATGTACTCCTGTCCCTTCTCCTTGCTTTCAGTGGTCCCAGACTATTCAGCTGTGCTGCCGATGCCCTCAGTGTTCTGGGTGGGATGAGGCCTAAGTGGGCCTTTTGGGCAGTGTCCCATAAGGTTAAGGAGCCAAATGCTCAGTTAATTTTCATTTTCCCCTGTGGAAGCAATTATGAACCAAAGTGATCTCTCTTAGAATAAAGCTAGGCTTCCTTGGGGGATGAGTGACATGTAGAGTGAAACTGTTCTTCTCACCTCTTTCAACAAGTCTGCTCTCATATTTTTTGTTTTACTGGAATACTGGAACCTCTCAGCTAAACTCTGGGGCTCTGATATGGTTTGGCTCTGTGTCTCCACCCAAATTTCATCTTGAATTGTAATTCCCACAAGTTGAGGGAGGGACCTGGTGGGAGGTGATTGAATCATGGGGTTGGTTTCCCCCATTCTGTTCTCATGATAGAGAGTTCTCATGGATCTGATGGTTTAAAGGTGGCAGTTTCCCTTGTGTGCTCTCTCTCTCCCCTTCTGCCTTGTGAAAAAGGGGCCTACTTCCCCTTTGCCTTCCATTATGATTGTATGTTTCCTGAGGCCTCCCCAGCCGTGCAGAACTGTGAATTAATTAAACCTCTTTTGTTTATAAATTACCCAGTCTCTGGTAGTATTTTTATAGGATTGTGGAAACAGACTAATACAGAGAATTAGCACTGGGAGTGGGGCACTGCTATAAAGATAACCTGAAAAGGTGGAAGCAACTTTGAAACTGGGTAATAGGCAGAGGTTGGAACAATCTTGACGGCTCAGAAAAAGACAGAAAGATGAGGGAAAGATTGGAACTTCCTAAAGACTTGTTGAATGGTTTTGATCAAAACCCTGATAATGACATGGATGGCCAATGAAGTCAAGCTTGAGATGGTCTCAGATGGAACTTATTGGGAAATGGAGCAAATGTTACTCTTACCATGCTTTAGCAAAGAGACTGGTGGCATTTTGCTCCTGCCCTAGAGATCTGGGGAAATTTGAACTTGAGAGAGATGATTAGGGTATCTGGTGGAAGAAATTTCTAAAGAGCAAAGCATTCAAGAAGTGACCTGGCTGATTCCAAAAGTGTTTGGTCATATGCATTCACAAAGAGAATACCTGAAACTGGAAATTTATTTTAAAGGAAAACAGAACATAAATGTTTAGAAAATCTGCAGCGTGACCATGAGGTAGAAAAGAAAAACCCATTTTCTTGGGAGAAATTGAAGGCTGCTGCAGAAATTTGCCTAAGTAATAAGGAGCAATAAGTTAGTAGCCAAGATCATGAGAAAAATGTCTCCAGAGCATGCCAGAGTTCTTTGTGGCAGCCTCTCCCATCACAGGTCTAGAAGTCTAGGAGGTAAAAATGGTTTTGGGGCTGGGCCCAGGACCCCACTGCTCTGTTCAGCCTGTGGACCTGGTACCCTGCATCCCAGCTGCTCCATCCCCAGTCCTGGCTAAAAGGGACCAAAGTATCACAGGAGCCATGGCTTCAGAGGGTACAAACCCAAAGCCTTGTTGGCTTCTATGTGGTGTTGGGTCTGCAGTGTGCAGAAGACAAGAGTTGAGCTTTGGGAATCTCTGCCTAGATTTTAGAGGATGTATGGAAACACTTAGATGTCCAGGCAGAAGTCTGTTGCAGGAGTGGGGCCCTCATGGAGAACCTCTAGGGCAATGCAGAGGGAAAAGGTGGGGTTGGTGCACCCACACAGAGTCCCCAATGGGGCACTGCCTAGTGGAGCTGTGAGAAGGCCACCATCCTCCAGACCCCAAAAAGGTAGATACATTGAAAGCTTGCACTGTACACCTGGAAAAAACACAGACACTCAATGTCAGCCCATGAAAGCATCTGTGGGGTCTGCAGAGACACAGTAGTGCAGCTGCCCAAGGCCTTAGGAGTGCACTTCTTGCATCAGTGTGCCATGGATGTGAGACATGGAGTCAAAGGAGGTTATTTTAAAATGTTAAGATTTAATGAGTGCCCTGCCAGGTTTTGAACTTGCATAGGGATGGTGGCCTCTTTGTTTTGGCCAATTTCTCCAATTTGGAATGGGAACATTTACCCAATGCCTCTACCCCAGTTGTATCTAGGAAGTAAAAAACTTGTCTTTGATTTTACAGGCTTATAGGTGGAAGGGACTTTGCTTGTCTCAGATGAGACTTTGGACTTCAACATTTGAGTTACTGCTGAAATGAGTTAAGACTTTGGGGGACTGTTGGGAAGGCATGATTGACTTTGAAATGTGAAAGGGACATGAAATTTTTGAGGGGTTAGGCGTGGAATAATATGGTTTGGCTCTGTGTCCCCACCCAAAATTATAATCCAATTGTAATCCCCACATGTCGAGGGAGAGACCTGGTGGGTGATGATTGTATCATGGGCGTGGTTTCTGCCATGCTATTCTTATGATAGCAAGGAGTTCTCACAAGATCTACTGGTTTAAAAGTGGTAGTGTTCCCTATGCTCTCTCTCTCTATCCTGCCACCTTGCGAAGAAAGTGCCTTGCTTTCCCTTAACCTTACACCATGATTGTAAGTTTCCTGAGGCCTCCTCAGCCATGTGAAACTGTGAGTCAATTAAACCTGTTTTGTTCATAAATTACCCAGTCTCAGGTAGTATTTTTATAGCAGTGTGAAAACAGACTAATACAGGCTCTAACAAAGATATTCTAGTCTGTGATTGGTTGAGAAATTTGGTGTTTCTCTTGAAGGCGATATGGGTTGGAACCTCTTATTCCACCATCTTGCTAACATCCTATATTGCTTTCTTCTTAGTCTTCCCCCTTCCCCACCCATTGTGTAACTTGGTGGAACCATTTGGGTTACATAGTTATCCCACTGTATTCTCACCACTGTTCAAATCTATAGCTTTAAGCCATATTTAATCTCCACATCTCTTGAATTAGTCACCAATTACTATATAGGTTGATTTTGTAGAATATATCTCTGCTCTATTCTTGCTGAGTCTTTTTCTTTATCCTTTCACCTACTAATTAGTTTCTTGTTCATCTGAACTTATAACAGTGTCTGACAAATTATATTATAGTGATGCATTGCACCTCCATTCTTTCTTACCCAAGCTCTTTATGTATGGGTACTGCTTGCCTCAGAAGATGTGCTGCATTCAGAAATTTTCTTTGATTTCATGCCTGATTGTTTTCCAGGAGTTTTCAGTATCTGGAGTTGGGCAAAGTATACTCTGGTTTAGAAAGCATCTTTAAATGGTAGGGAGAGATACTTGCAGTGTCCCAGTTGCTATCAGTTCTGGAATGCTGAGATGTGAATGTATGGTGATAGAGGCATGAAACATCTATCTATTAATTTTTAGAAATTTTGTTGCATAAAGTGAGAGTGTGTCAGAAACTATAGTTCTGCCAACTGTCTTTTAGCTAATACTAAATCCTCCCAGATTCTGACTGTCTTTCAGCCTTTGTTTTCAGTGTTATCAAGAATTTTTATTTATTTTTGTTTTCAGAAGCTATTTAGTGAGAAGTTGAGAGGATGATTTTGGAATTACTACCCAGAGTCCTCTTGAGCCAGAATTCTTATTGCATTTGAAACTGTTCTTGTGATGCCTTTAAACTTCAAAGCACGCTTTTAAGTTAAAGGTCTCTAAAGTTCTTTCTGATGTCAAGACTGAAAGGAGTGTTTTAAAGAATACTGCATATTTTTATTCTTTCCCTAACCCATTTCTCATTCTTATAATTGCTTCCTAGTTTTTGGTAATATAACCCAGATTAATGCAACTACATCATTTGATATTATATAATTTCATTACATAATTAATTTGGCTATTTGCATCCAATTTTATAAATATTCAAAACTTTAAAAATCTAAGTTTATGTTTCATGCGTTAATGTTTATTTTTAATACTATTTTTAACCATAAGACCCCCATTCTTGAAATATTTAATTTGATTTATTCACATTAGTGATACATTGACACCTCATGTAGAATTCTTTCATTGAGTTTCCTTCTTTCAGCCTCAAAAGATATTGCAACATGGTCTCCTGGCATGTCAAATTGTGTATTGGACTACAGAAAGCAATTAGAATTTTTTAGCAAAGGGTATTTTTGGGTAATTTCTCAGGTTGACAGGAGGACTTTTCCTTTCAGGAGTTAATGGTGCCATTGCTAGGTTCCTAGCATGGAAAGCCATGGGATCTGGAATAGAGAGCGGAAAAGAGTCCAAGGAAAGCTTGTCATAGTCTTTCTGGCTTTGAAGCTGCTTGGTGTGGATGTACCCCTCTGTGGTGTTTCATGACTTATTAAATTGTACTAATGCAAAGAAGAGGAATGGCCAAAATTATAGATGACTGTCTGAAAAAGACTTTTCCCAGACTGAAGAAGTGGAACAGCTCACTGATAGAGAATTTAATGAATTACAGCTTGGAAGAAACCAAACAAAGATGACTTTACACTAATTTGCCACACACAAAACATTCTCCAAATATACAGGGGATAATGACTAAGCCCTGTGTAAGGGACTTAACTAGGTTGTATGTATACCACAGTTTTGGAAAAAAAGACAACTAACATTCCTTAGGCCACACTGGAATTCAAGACTAAAATACTTAATTTATCCAATGGTTAAGTATGAATTGTGCAACCACTGAGCTGCCAAATTTTCCTTTGGTTATGAACTGTTACAGATGCAACCACCACACATCACTGAGAAATTGTAACAGCTTGGTTTTTTCAACTGAAGAAATATAGATTCAATGAATTTGCTCTTTACAGCATTTTTCAGAGTAAACTATGTGTGGTCAGGAAAGGAATTACATCTGGAGTATCTGATAATAAGTCATTTCACAAGCAGTATTTAACGGAAAGATCTAAAATAGCATGTGTGAAAAAAGGTTATTTTGTTCTAGAGGAGGACCAACAGTTTTGAACACTTAGTCACCACAGCAGCTGATGACAATGAAACCTAAGACATCTGATCACTTTACCATGATCGTCTGCAAGGTTCTTACAACTACAACATCAGTTGTTCTCATGATAGTATACTTTTCTTAATGTTTATCATGCTGTGTTTTGTATTTGGAAAGGGGGATAATGTTGTGAAATGAAAACTTTCTCTCAGTTTTAAAAAATAAATGAGACAAATGTAACATCTCTCTAAGTTGTTTTCAAAGCAAGAAGCTTTCTTTGCACAGAGGCTGAGGGTAATATTTTTTTCAACTTTGTGTCTAAGATAAAAAACCAAAACTGACTTTTATGTTTCATTTCAAATTTTACTGGCAAAGACTTATTGCTGACATGGGTCTGGTGCAGACTGAGCTTTTCCTCTCAACTCATACTTAGCAGAGTAGTGTTCTAAATACAGCTTCATTTGCCTAATCACCACACTTTGCTGTCAGGCTAGGTAGAGAGAGTCTTCTTATATCTGCCAGGTTTTCTGTGAACAGGAAGAAAAATGTTTTCTAGTAAGAATGTTGTCTCCCTATGACCGAGGATGTTTTTGTATTTAATAATAATGCTCGTATGAAGATGATTTGATACTGCACTCTATAGGATGTTGAATTCATTTGGCTATCTTGGGCTGGGAATAGTTGTTTCTAAAAACTGGGACTTAGCTTCATTTATTTTATTGTTTTTCTGTTTTCCTTTGCTCTTACCTTTATTATTGTCTTCTTCTCTTTTATTTGGGTTTAACTTGCATTCTCCTTCTAGCATATTAAGATGGAAGCTTAGATCATTGATTCAGAACTTCTTTTCTAATATAATCATACAATGCTATAAATTTTCCTGTAAGCACTGCTTTAGCTGCCTCCCATAAATGTTAATATTATGTATTTTCATTTCCATTAAGTTAAAAATGCTTGTAAATTTTCCATGTGATGTCTTCTTTGACCCATGGGTTATTTGGAAGCAGCTTTTTAAATTTCTAAAGATGTGGGGATTAAAAAATATCTTTCTGTTATTAATTTCTAGTTTAATTATCTTGTGGTCAGAGAACACACTTTATACAAATTTAATCTTTAAAAAATGTACTGAGACATGTTTATGGCCCAGAATATAGTTTATTTTGTAAATGCTAAGTGTTTACCTGAAAAATTGTGTATTCTACTGTTGTGTGAGAGAGTATACTATAAATATCTGTTAGATTAAGTTGGTTGATAGTGTTGTCCACATCTTGTATAACCTATTGATTTTCTGTATGATCGTTCTACCATCAGTTGCTGAGAGAAAACTTCTAAAATCTTTAAACTATAATTTTGGATTTTTATATTTCTTTTCTCAGTTCCATTAATATTTGCTTCATATACTTTAGAATTCTAATGTATTTGTATATTTATTAGATATGCAAACATTTAGGATTACATTCTCTAGATGAATAAATACCTTTATGATTATAAAATGTCCATCTTTATTCCTGGTAACATTTTTCATTCATTCTAAAAATGACCTTCATCTGAAATTAATATAGCTGTTTTAGCTTTCTTCTGCTTAGGCCTAAATGGTATATTTTACTTTGTTCTTTCACTTTTAAGGTTTATTAGCGCTAATTCTTGGATTTGTTTTTTGTTTTTTAATGGCTGTTTTAAGGTTTGGAGTACCCATATTCAACTTACTCTAGTCTATCTTCCAACAATAATACTATAACACTTTATATATAGTGTAAGAATATTATAGTAGTGTATTTTCATTTTCCCCATTCCAACCTTTTTGCTATTATAGTCATACATTTTACTTGTACGTGTTATAAACCCCAAGATACATTGCTATTATTTTTGCTTGAACAATTATATTTTAAAGAAATTGGCAAATGAGAAAAATAATTTTAAAAGACTTTACATTTATCCACATGTTTACTATTTGCAGCATTTTTCATTCTTTCCTATAGATTTTAGTTTCTAATTTTCATTCTGCCTGAATATTTCCTTTAATATTTCTTTTTGTGCCTGACTGATGACAATAAATTCTTTTCAGCTTTTAATTTTTGTTCTTTTGGTCTGAAAATATCTTTATTAAATCTTCATTTGCTAAGATAATTTTACATACTATAGAATTCTAGGCTTACAATTTTCTTCAAATCTTTGAAGATGTTATACCACTGTGTTCTGCTTGCCTACTTCTTGACAAAAAGTCTGCAGTTGTTCATATTTTTTTCCCTTTGTACATAATGTGTTTTCCCCTTCCTCTGGCTGATTCAATTTTTATTTTTTATTATACTTTAAGTTCTGGGACACAAGTGCAGAATGTGCAGTTTTTGTCAGATAGGTATACACGTGCCAGGGTGGTTTGCTGCACCGTCACCTACATTAGGTATTTCTCCTAACGCTATCCCTCCCCTAACCCCCCACCCCCTCACAGGCCTCGGTGTGTGATGTTCCCCTCCCTGTGTCCATGTGTTCTCATTGTTCAACTCCCACTTATGAGTGAGAACATGCGGTGTTTGGTTTTCTGTTCTTGTATTAGTTTGCTGAGAATGATGGTTACCAGCTTTAACCATGTCCCTGCAAAGGACATGAATTCATCCTTTTCTATGGCTGCATAGTATTCCATGGTGTATATGTACCACATTTTCTTAATCCAGTCTATCACTGATGGACATTTGGGTTGGTTCCAAGTCTTGCTATTCTGAATAGTGTTGCAGTAAACATACGTGTGCATGTGTCCTTATAGTAGCATGATTTATAATCCTTGGGGTATATATCTAGTAATGGGATCACTGGGTCAAATGGTATTTCTAGTTCTTGATCCTTGAGGAGTTGCCATGCTGTCTTCCACAATGGTTGAACTAATTTACACTCCCACCAACAGTGTGAAAGTGTTCCTATTTCTCCACATCCTCTCCAGCATCTGTTGTTTCCTGACTTTTTAATGAACACCATTCTAAGTGGTGTGAAATGGTATCTCATTGTGATTTTGATTAGCATTTCTCTAATGACCAGTGATGATGAGCATTTTTTCATGTTTGTTGGCTGCATAAATGTCTTCTTTTGAGAAGTGTCTATTCATATCTTCTGCCCACTTTTTGATGGGGTTGTTTGTTTTTTTTCTTGTAAATTTGTTTAAGTTCTTTGTAGATTCTGGATATTAGCCCTTTGTCAGATGGACAGATTGCACAAATTTTCTCCCATGCTGTGGGTTGCCTGTTCACTCTGATGATAGTTTCTTTTGCTGTGCAGAAGCTCATTAGTTCAATTAGATCCCATTTGTCAATTTTGGCTTTTGTTGCCATTGGTTTTGGTGTTTTAGACATGAAGTCTTTGCCCATGCCTATGTCCTGAATGGTATTGCCTAGGTTTTCTGCTAAGATTTTTATGGTTTTACATCTTACATTTAAGTAGTTAATCCATCTTGAGATAATTTTTGTATAAGGTGTAAGGGAGGGGTCCAGTTTCAGTTTTCTGTATATGGCTAGCCAGTTTACCCAACACCACTTATTAAATAGGGAATCCTTTCCCCGTTGCTTGTTTGTGTCAGGTTTGTCAAAGATCAGATGGTTGTAGATGTGTGGTGTTATTTCTGAGGCTTCTGTTCAGTTCTGTTGGTCTATGTATCTGTTTTGGTACCAATACCATGCTGTTTTTGTTACTGTAGACTTGTAGTATAGTTTGAGTTCAGGTAGCATGATGCCTCCAGCTTTGTTCTTTTTGCTTAAGATTGTCTTGGCTATGCGAGCTGTTTTTTTGGTTCCATATGAAATTTATAATAGTTTTTTCCAATTCTGTGAAGAAAGTCAATGGTAGCTTGATTGGAATAGCATTGAATCTATAAACTACTTTGGGCAGTATGGCCATTTTCACAATATTGATTCTTCCTATCCATGAGCATGGAATGCTTTTCCATTTGTTTGTGCCCTCTCTTATTTCCTTAAGCAGTGGTTTGTAGTTCTCCTTGAAGAGGTCCTTCACATCCCTTGTAAGTTGGATTCCTAGGTATTTTATTCTCTTAGCAGCAATTGTGAATGGGAGCTCACTCATGATTTGGCTCTGTTTGTCTGTTATTGGTGTATAGGAATGCTTGTGATTTTTGCACATTGATTTTGTATCCTGAAACTTTGCTGAAGTTGCTTATCAGCTTAAGGAGATTTTGGGCTGAGTGGTGGGGAAATATATGATCATGTCATCTACAAACAGAGACAATTTGACTTCCTCTTTTCCTATTTGAATACCCTTTATTTCTTTCTCTTACCTGATTGCCCTGGCCAGAACTTCCAGTACTATGTTGAATAGGATTGTTGAGAGAGGGCATCCTTGTCTCGTGCCGGTTTTCAAAGGGAATGCTTCCAGTTTTTACCCATTCGGTATGCTATTGGCTGTGGGTTTGTCATAAATAGCTCTTACTATTTTGAGATACGTTCCATCGATACCTAGTTTATTGAGAGTTTTTAGCATGAAGGGCTGTTGAATTTTGTCAAAGGCCTTTTCTGCATCTTTTGAGATAATCATGTGGTTTTTGTCATTTGTTTTGTTTACACGATAGATTACGGTTATTGATTTGCATATGTTGAACCAGCCTTGCGTCCCAGGTATGAAGCTGACTTGATCATGGTGGATAAGCTTTTTGATCTGCTGCAGGATTCAGTTTCCCAGTATTTTATTGAGGATTTCTGCGTTGATGTTCATTAGGGATATTGGCCTAAAATTTTCTTTTTTGTTGTGTGTCTGCCAGGCTTGGTATCAGGATGATGCTGGCTTCAGAAAATGAGTTATGGAGGATTTGCTTTTTTTATGTTGTTTGGAATAGTTTCAGAAGGAATGGTACCAACTCCTCTTTGTACCTCTGGTAGAATTCAGCTGTGAATCCTTCTGGTCCTGGACTTTTTTTGGTTGGTAGGCTATTAATTACTGCCTCAATTTCAGGACTTGTTATTGGTCTATTCAGGGATTCAATTTTCCATTTCTTCTAGATTTTCTAGTTTATTTGTGTAGAGGTGTTTATTGTATTCTGTGATGGTAGTTTGTATTGCTGTGGGATCAGCAGTGATATCCCCTTTATCATTTTTTATTGCATCTATTTGATTCTTCTCCCTTTTCTTCTTTATGAGTCTCGCTAGCAGTCTATCTATTTTGTTGATCTTTTCCAAAAACCATCTCCTAGATTCATTTATTATTTGAAGGGTTTTTTGTGTCTCTATCTCCTTCAATTCTGCTCTGATCTTAGTTATTTCTTGTCTTCTGCTAGCTTTTGAATTTGTTTGCTCTTGCTCTGCTAGTTCTTTCAATTTTGGTGTTAGGGTGTAGATTTTATATCTTTCCTGTCTTCTCTTGTGGGTTTCTAGTGCTATAAATTTCCCTATACACTCTGCTTTAAATGTGGCCCAGAGATTCTGGTCCGTTGTGTCTTTGTTCTCATTAGTTTCAAATAACATCTTTATTTCTGCCTTCATTTCATTATTTACCCAGTAGTCATTCAGGAGCAGGTTGTTCAGTTTCCATATAGTTGTGTGGTTTTGAGGGAGTTTCTTAATCCTGAGTTCTAATTTGATTGCACTGTGGACTGAGAGACTGTTTATTATTATTTCAGTTCTTTTGCATTTGCTGAGGAGTGTTTTACTTCCAATTATGTGGTCAATTTTAGAATAAGTGCAATGAGTTGCTGAGAAGAATGTATATTCTGTTGATTTGGGGTGGAGAGTTCTGTGGATGTCTATTAGGCCTGCTTGGTCCAGAGCTGAGTCCAAGTCCTGAATATCCTTGTTAATTTTCTGTCTCATTGATCTGTCTAATATTGCCAGAGGGGTGTTAAAGTCTCCAACTATTATTGTGTGGGAGTCTAAGTCTCTTTGTAGGTCTCTAAGAACTTGCTTTATGAATCTGGGTGCTCCTGTATTGGGTGCATGTAAATTTAGGAAAGTTACCTCTTCTTGTTAAATTGCTCCCTTTACCATTATGTAATGCCCTTCTTTGTCTCTCTTGATGTTTGTTGGTTTAAAGTCTGTTTCATCAGAGATTAGGATTGCAATTCCTGCTTTTTTTCTGCTTTCCATTTGCCTGGTAAATATTACTCCATCCCTTTATTTTGAGCCTATGTGCATCTTTGCAGGTGAGATGTGTCTCTTGAATACAGCACACTGATGGGTCTTGACTCTATCCAATTTGCCAGTCTGTGTCTTTTAATTGGGACATTTTGTCCATTTACATTTAAGATTAATCTATTGTCCTATCCATGTTTAGTGCTTCCTTCAGGAGCTCTTGTAAGGCAGGACTGATGGTGACAAAATCTCTCAGCATTTGCTTGTCTGTAAAGGATTTTATTTCTCCTTCACTTATGAAGCTTAGTTTGGCTTGATATGAAATTCTGGGTTGAAAATTATATTCTTTAAGAATGTTGAATATTGGCCCCCATGCTCTTCTGGCTTGCAGGGTTTCTGCAGAGAGATCCACTGTTAGTCTGATGGGCTTCCCTTTGTGGGTAACCTGACCTTTCTCTCTGGCTGCCCTTAATATTTTTTCCTTCATTTTAATCCTGGTGAATCTGATGATTATGTGTCTTGGGGTTGCTCTTCTTGAGGTGTTCTCTGTATTTCCTGAATTTGAATGTTGGCCTGCCTTGCTAGGTTGGGGAAGTTCTCCTGGATAATATCCTGAAGAATGTTTTCCAACTTGGTTACATTCTGCCCATCAATTTCAGGTACACCAACCAAATGTAGATTTGGTCTTTTCACATAGTCCCATATTTCTTGGAGGCTTTGCTCATTCCTTTTTATTCTTTTTTCTCTAATCTTGTCTTCTTGCTTTATTTCATTAAGTTGGTCTTCAATCACTGATATCCTTTCTTCCGCTTGTTCGATTTGGCTACTGATACTTGTGTATGCTTCACGAAGTTCTCGTGCTGTGTTTTTCGGCTCCATCTGGTCATTTATGTTCTCTAAACTGGTTATTCTAGTTAGCAATTGGTCTAACCTTTTTTCAAGGTTCTTCGTTTCTTTGCATTGGGTTAGACATGCTCCTTTAGCTTGGAGGAGTTTGTTATTACCCACCTTCTGAAGCCTACTTCTGTCAATTCATCCAACTCATTCTCAGTCCAGTTTTGTTTCCTTGCTGGTGAGGAGTTGTGATCCTTTGGAGGAGAAGAGGCATTCTGGTTTTTGGAATTTTTAGCCATTTTGCTCTGGTTTCTTCCCATCTTTGTGGATTTATCTACCTTTCATCTTCAATGTTAGTGACCTATGGATGGGGTCTCTGAGTGGATGTGCTCTTCCTTTCTGTTTGTTAGTTTTCTTTCTAACAGTTAGCCCCTCTGCTGTAGGTCTGCTGGAGTTTGCTGGAGGTCCACTCCAGACCCTGTTTGCCTGGGTATCACCAGTGGAGGCTGCAGAACAGCAAAGATTGCTTCCTGTTCTTTCCTCTGGAAGCTTCGTCTCAGAGGGGCACCTGCCAGATGCCAGCCAGAGCTCTCCTGTATGAGGTGTCTGTTGGCCCATACTGGGAGATTCCTCCCAGTCAGGATACAAGGAGGTCAGGGACCTACTTGAGGAGGCAGTCTGACCCTTAGCAGAGGTTGAACACTGTGCTAGGAGGTCCTCTGCTCTTTTCAGAGCTGTCAGGCGGGGACGTATAAGTCTGCTGAATCTGTGTCCGCAGCCACCCCTTCCCCCAGGTGCTCTGTCCCAGGGAGATGGGGGTTTTATTTTTAAGTCCCCAACTGGGGCTGCTGCCTTTTTTTCAGAGATGCCCTGCCCAGAGAGGAGAAATCTGGCAGTCTGGCCTCAGAGGCCTTGCTGAGCTGCCGTTGGCTCCACCCAGTTCAAACTTCCCAAGGGGCTTTGTTTATACTGTAAGGGGAAAACCGCCTACTCGAGCCTCATCAATGGCAGACACCCCTCCCCGCGCCAAGCTTAAGTGTCCCAGGTTGATCTCAGACTGCTGCTGTGCTGGCAGTGAGAATTTCAAGCCAGTGGATCTTAGTTTGCTGTGCTCTGTGGGGGTGGGACCCATTGAACCAGACTACTCGGCTCCCTGGCTTCAGCCCCCTTTCCAGGAGAGTGAAGGGTTCTGTCTCATTGGCATTCCAGGAGTCACTGGTGTATGGAAAAAAAAAAGAACTCCTGAAGCTAGTTCGATGTCTGTCCTCTGGCTGATTTTAAGATTTTTTAAAAAACACTGATTTTCAGTACTTTGTGTGTGATGCACGGTTGTGCAATTTTCTTTCTGTTTGTTTTGATTTGGAATCATTATGTTTTTTGAATCTTTGGGTTTGTAGGCTTTATCATATTTGGAAATTTTTTTGGCCATTATTTCTTTAAATATTTTGTGTCTTTCTCTTAACTTTTCACTTCTGTGACTCCAGTTGGACAAATGCTTGACCACTTAATATTGTTTCACAGGTCACTGATACTCTGCTCTTTATTTGGGAGGCATCTTTTTAGTTAGTTAATTGTTTTACTCTTTTGAGCTCACTTTGGATAGTTTATATATGTATATGTGTCAACTGTTTTGGGTTAACAATTTTTTTTTCTGCCATTATATTCTGCCATTGTATTCATACATAATCACACTTGATATATTTTATTAAATTTCAAATATTGCTTTTCTTCATCTCGTTTGAGCCATTTTGATTTTTTATATCTTCCATTTCTCTCTATATCATTTAATATTTTTCTGCTTCTTAAAAACATACAACAGATTATGAGTATTATTTTAATAATAGTTTTCAGTCTACAAAGTAGACTGAAATAATACTCTACAAAGTAGAGTATTATTTTAATAATACTCATAATACTGTTTTAATGTACCTGTCTGCTAATTTTATCACCTCTGTCCTATGTAGGTCTATTTCTTTTTATTGATTTTTCTGTTTATTAATTAAATATTTTCCTGGGTTTTGCATGATGGTAATTTTTCATAGGATGTTAGATATTGTGAATTTTTTTATTAAATACTGTTTTTTATTTCATTAAAGGTTGTTAAATTTTGTTTTGATGTCTAATTAATTTACTTGAAACCAGTTTAATCCCTTTGTAGAATTCTTTTTCAGCTTTCTTAGGGCTTTGTTTTCAACAGAAGCTGCTTGTCTTGAGCTAATTTCATTCTGCTCCTAAGGCAGTACCTTCGGGAACTCTACCCAATTTCCTATATATTATGAAATCTCTCTACTCTGGCTGGTGGAAATATGTTCATGCCCAGCTCTATTTGAGCTCCACGACTTGTTCAGCCTACTGCTTTTCAGGGATTATTTCCCTGGCTTTGGGCAGTTTCCTTTTATGCAGTCATAGATCTGTGATCAGCCAGAAACTCAATGGTGTTTTTCCATAGATCTTTGGAGTTTTTTTCTTTGTGCAGCTTCTCTTCTTCAGCACTCTTTTCTGCAAATTCTTGCTATCTTGGCTTTCTTTAATTCTAATCTCGAACTTAGAAAGACTGCCAGGCTCTGTTTGGATTTCTCCAATTAGCTTTGTAGACTGAAAACTATTTCTAGGCAGCAAACTGGAGCAATTGTAGAGTTTATCTCATTTATTTATCTATCCCTATCCTAGGGATCATGGTCCTGTGCTGTCTGTTAGCCAATGTCTTAAAACAATTACGTCACATGAACCTCTATCATGGCCAGCAACAGGAGTCTACAGCTGGGCACAATTTGATTTTACTGAAATTTGTCATGTTATTTGTTAACTCTTATTTGTTGTTTAAATTTATATTTAGGAGCCAATGTAAAGTAATGGGAAAGAATCAGGACATGGAGACAGACAATCCAGGACCAAATCATAGCTCTATCTATATATGTACTAATTAAATCATTCAACTCATTCATAACTTTATTATTTTATTTTATAATGTTTATTGAATGTCTACTTTGTTCTAGTCACTGTGCAACATTCTAGTCTTAGTTTGTCATGTATAAAATAGGGAGAAATAACACTACTTCATTGTGGTAGATTGTGAAAATTACCACAAATTATTCCACTTTTTTTCAAGATCTTGCAATGCAAACTTGCAGCCTCTTCCATTAAGACATAAAGTTCATTTCTTCACTCATTAAACCTGGGCTGACACTGTGACTCATTTTGGTATATATACTGAAGCTGAAGTGAAACGTGTGTGAGTTCTGAACCTAGGTCATAAGAGACTTTTCAGCCAGGCACAGTGGCTCATGCCTGTAATCCCAGCACTTTGGAAGGCCGAGGTGGGTGGATCACGAGGTCCAGAGTTCGAGACCAGCCTGACCAACGTGGTAAAAACCCGTCTCTACTAAAAATACAAAAGATTAGCTGGCTGTAGTGGCGCATGCCTGTAATCCCAGCTGCTCAGGAGGCTGAGGTGGGAGAATCGCTTGAAGCCAGGAGGCGGAGGTTGACATTGTGAGAAAAAACTACAACATCTCTCAGGCCCAGCGCTTGATGTTAAATGAAAATTAAAAGAAGTTATAGTTTTTATTCTCTCAAATCTATTGTCTGTTGGCAAGATCCTATTTTATATGCCCAAAACCTAATATTAACTTTGTTTGTATTCTTTCTGAAAAATTCTTTTCTTTTTTTTTTTTTTTTTTTTTTTTTTGGCGGAGTCTCGCTCTGCTGCCCAGGCTGGAGTGGAGTGCAGTGGCGCGATCTTGGCTCACTGCAAGCTCTGCCCCCCGGGTTCACGCCATTCTCCCGTCTCAGCCTCCGGAGTAGCTGGGACTACAGGTGACCGCCACCACACCTGGCTAATTTTGCTTTTGTATTTTTAGTAGAGATGGGGTTTCACCGTGTTAGCCAGGATGGTCTCCATCTCCTGACCTCGTGATCCACCCGCCTTGGCCTCCTACTGGGCCCGGCCAAAATTCTTATTTTCAAAATATTATCCTGTTATAATCTCATGTTTTTACCCTATGGCATTTACCCATGTATTTAAGCATGTTAGATGCATGTACTGTTGTTTTTACTTCACCTGTCCCTTTCCATGTTTAGAAATCATCCTAGACATTCCTAAAAATGGTTTAAGTGTCACCTCCTCTGTGAAACCACTGCGAATTTAGAGGAATTTTTAAGCCTTTTCTTTGTGATTCCAAGGCATTTTGATAGTATTACTTATAGTGCTTTTCATATTATAAATATTTGATTAATACTCTTTCCCTTTTGAAGAAGATCTACAGTTTATTTCACTTCTTTCCGTAAATCCATGTAGAGATCCATGATTATATGTTGAATATATGCCTGACAGCATGATTGCTTTTTCTAAGAATATGTTTTCCTTTTAAGTACTGGTACATTCCAAACTACAGGTTGATTGTCACTACTCAACTGAATGCTTTGGGAGAACAGAATCATTCATGCCAAGCACTGATATTTTCCAAATTAGTCTGTGGAATAACCACTAGGTATAAGCTTTATTTTAGTTTTTTAGAATTGTTTTAATATACTCACCCATAATATTATTAGATGAGAAAAAGAAGATTTAGGCATTATTTTAATTAACTTAGTGTTTAAGACTATTTAAAATAGTATTTAATTTAATATAACTGATTATGAATTTCCAAACTTTTGAATTCTGCTGTCTCAGAAGTGTTCATCTTATAGACTTCCCAGAATAAAATCTTTAAAACCACCACAAAGTTCAGTAAAGAAAAAAAAATTCTTACATGGTTAAAACAATAGTTTAAGATATCATTACACTTTAACTTTTATTTCTGGAAAACAATCTTCAGAGCATTATCATTCATCTTAAGATTACTCATGTATGCATTCTTTGAAAATCTAACATCTTAACATGTATCCGCTGCCTTTTTTTTGCAAAGAGCCTCATTTTTCAAAAGTCACAATTAGAGGGCTTGCCAGCATTTTAACCTTGTGTTGGCTTCAATTCTCTTTGGAACAATGATCTCCCAGCCATAGTTACTACTTTCATCCTAGAAGCTCTCACTCATCCCATGAGGCTTTCTTCATTATTCCCAAGTTTAGCAACAGGGAAGCTGCAGTGTTCTCACAAAAAAAGTCCAAAAGTTGCTTAAAGAGTATAAGTAATATTTTCCATTTTTATTTAAATTTCTTTCTGATCCAGAGCCTTCCTTTTAGATTAAGACTAATTTCTTTGATGCTCATGGTTTTCAGATGATAAATCCCACAGTAACATTAGCATCTGACACTCTGAAAAAGCTCCTATGGTGCATAAATTTTCATCAAACACTCTAAATATTTTGTGGTTCTTAATGTTATGCTATATTTGAGTCAAGGAGTCATGGGATATATTTAAAAATCCAAATGACAGAGAAGTATATTGAATTGAAAAGTGATAGTTCTGCTGTACGTTCCAATCTATGCTGCAAATCCCCTTTTCCTTGCCAGAGATAACCTTGGTGCACTGTCTTCCTATGCCTGTCCTGTGTATCTCGCAGATGTATTTATTCATGTGGATGTCGCTTATTACGCACTGGATAATAGAAAGGATGAAACTCTTTATATCTGGGTCAACATCTGGCTTCCATTATATGTTGGATACTGAAGAAAATGAAGGAATACAAAGGCAAATTGCACTATTATCTCAGCCTCGGTTTCTTCCTCAGATCACATACACACTAGGAAACACAGTGCATACACACAGGCAGTTGTACTTAAATGATGTCATAATTTGCACACTGTTCTGCAACGTATTTTTGTTCTTACTACATCCTAGTTATTTTCTCATATCAGAACATTCCTCATCTTTCTTAACAAGGATCTCATAGCATAGACTTTTCATAATTTATGTAGCCATCACTGTATTGATAGGTGTTTACATTGTTTCTATTTTTTCTATTACAAAAATGTATTTGAAATTCATGTCTTTTTACATGCATGTTTTTACATGTGTACAAATATTTCTGTAAGACAGATTTCACTAAGTAGAACCAAAAAGTGATACAATTTTTTGTTTTCAAAAGATACCACTAAATAACTCCAAAAAGACCATAACAATTACATTTCACACTATGAAATTCCAAGATTCCTCATACCCTCATCAGCACTTGATAGTAAATGAGAAATATTTATATTACATATAAATGAAAAAAATTAAAATATACACTTGTGTTTCTAGCTCCAATTAGAGAAGTAACATTTTCAAAGCCTATTTGCTACTGAAAATTTAAAAGCACACATGAACTTTAGCATAACAAACACATATCATTTTCTGATTAAATGGGGTTACATCTGTGTTTGTTGTATTTGAGGATGAGCTCCTATAACAAAAAGGATCCAAAATACAGTGGCTTAACAAATGCAGAAATGAGTGTCTTTCTTGTGTAACAGAGCGGAAGTAAATAGCTCAGATGGGTGGGACAGATCAGCTATATGCAGTCATTCAGAGACAGATTCCATCTGAATAACTCAGACGGGTGGGACAGATCAGCTATATGCAGTCATTCAGAGATAGATTCCTGCAACCTAATTGCTCCCTCATCCTCTGGGATACAAATGAAGCTGGACCCCTGCCACATACAGAAAACATCTTAATGAGTTTTGCTGAATGTTTTAATTTCCAGACCCAGACACATCACTTCTGCTCACATTCTATTAACCAGAACTTGTCCATCTAACTGCTAGAGAGGCTGAGAAATACAACCTAGTTCAGAGGTTTCGACTCAATCACAATTTTATTTTCATGGCAAAAGGGAAGAACAGATTTTGGTGGAACTCAGTCGCATTTACTACTGCCCCCAATGTCATAGTAATATTCAAATAACTGAACTAAATAAAAAAGATGGCATTTCATAAAGGCAAATCCAGGAGAAGATAGAAATTGACATATTCAAAAGGCAATGTTTATATATATGAGCTTTAAATTACATAGAAATTTTCTTCCAATAATATTTTTTAAAGTGTTTACAACTATTTGGTCCATCCTAGGTCATCTGAAGTAAGTAAGCATTTCTTCTTATCTGTGGAAATATTCTATAAATATTGCAATGACTTAAAACGAAGTTCCCAAGATACCTCAAATTGTCATATTTCCTTCAGTTTGTATTAGTTTCATCTCATTACTTTAATCCTGGGCCACTTTTTAAAGGGCTAAACAAAAACAAATTTGTAACTACTTAACATTTTGAAAGTATACACAAGTAAGCCTAAGAAGAATTTAATGTCTAGAAATAAAATGCACCAAATGTATGCTCTACAGCAGGGGAAATCAATTCTAAAGCTGGGCCTGGGATAGAGAATAGAGGAGGCCAAAACCCTCTCTAGTTAGACTTAAGTCTGTACTAGAAGACATGCCTAACTCCTGTCTTGCTGGCACAATGAACACATTTAACTAAAGGCATACAACAAAGCCATTATTGTTTTCTGGAAGATGATAAGACCAACAGAATAGTATAATGCCTTTTTTGGCACTGAGAGATGAAGTCAGAGAACTTTGGAACTCAAAAGGAGCAATAAAATGGCCATGTGAAAAGGACACTTTGGAAATACAGTAATGACAGAAATATAAGATGCATAAATGTGATCAAGATTTACTGGTAGAGATGTGCTTCTGAGGTGCTGTCACTCTCTGCCACACCTGGCAGCAGGATGTTAGATGAGATGGGAGCCCACAATTAAATACCAATAAAGGTAACTTCAGGACTTCAGCCTGTGGCCTGCTTCATTCTGACCTCATAAAGAAGGTAGTCTGTGAAATGTATGCATGAGCCAAGGACTGTGTAAAAGGTAATACAATGACTAAGTACTCAACAAAAAAACAGAGAGGAGCAGGTAGTTTATGACTAACTTTACCAGATGGCTTCCTTAAGCACAGTCATAAATAATAAGTGAATGTCACATAAAAAGAATCACAGGAAGAGAATGGATGGACAGCTTCTTTACCATATGCCTTTTGCAAGATCCCTGATGGATTTAAATTCTGTTGGTTTTTTAGAGAAGTTGTTCATACCTCAATCCTGTGCCGTTCTTAGATTACACTGATCAGTCTCTTCTCTGCTCATAAACACCCCACATGCCCATGTTTGTTAACTAAAGATGTAATTTACTTCTGTTTTTAGCTTGGTACATTTTTTTTTTTTTTTCTGAACGTGTGTCTCTACAACTCCCTTTCACTTATCATTGTTCTGCTTTCAGTTGAGTCACTCAGTCATCGCTAAGGACTCATTAGCTGGTTAATGAGAAGCACTGTATGGAGAGAAAACTGTGCGCCTGCCAACTGCCTGCCGAAGGACCTGGGCTTTAATTTTCTTGCCATTTCAATCCCAATCTTTCTTTAGGAGACTGATGATAAGGTTCGGAGTGGACTCTTTGTTTGATGGCTTTCTAATATGGAGACAGTTCCAAGAGAGCCAGGATTAAATTGGCCAACTTCATGCACATGTGTGACCCAACCCAAATTACAGTCCAGGTGGCTGGTGGTGAAAGCCAACTCATTAACCTACAGTGACACCTGTTCATCTGACACACCTTTCCTGAGCTCAAAAGGTCTATTTCTTTTGAAATATTTATGGCTCTGAAACTAAAGGTCATTCCATTCTTGTCTTTAACTTCACATGATGGTTAAAACAGACACTTAAAATAATAAAATCACCTTTAAAGGCAGAGAAGAAACATACAAAGAAGTGTCCTTTCTGTCAGGACAGAAAGAAAATAAAATGTGCATATAGCATCCTGAAAGAAAAATCTTAACCCAATTTTAAGTGGGAGTTTTATTCAAATATCCAAATGACAGTTTCTATGGCACATCTTCAATTTGTTCATAGTAACCAAATTGAACATATTGCCTTATTCTGTTATGTGTATGTATGTCCTCTTGGCTGCCAAACTCTGGAGAGCTCAAAACAAGTGTGCAAGCAAAACTGAAAGAGGTTAATATCACAAGAGAACCTGCCACTTATAAAGGTCTTCTCTGTGTTGATTCTCAGAGACATGTTAATGGTCAATTTAATAAAAATAATTTAGTAATTTTTTGCCTGACACTTTAGATTTAATTTTTTAATTAAAATAACATATAATAAACAGACAAAGATTTTGTCATTTTAGATAAAGTTAGTAACTTTGGCTTTGGTTTTCCTTCTGGTTCCTCAGTGCTTTTTTGCAGTGTTTACCTATCTGTGGTCTCATGTCTTTCCCATTAATTCATTGAAATTGCTGTCATCATGTTTGTTATTAAATTCAAGTGACATTTCTCAGTTCTTAACCTATTTGACCTCTTATTTATCCAGCCAAAAAATATATACCAAATAGCTACTAAGTGCCAGGCACTGCATTTAGATGATAGGAATAAATGCTGAAGTAGACATATAAAGTCCCTACAGTTGTGGCATTTACAGTGGAATAGGAGAGCTTAATATTAAACAGTTACATAAACAATTATTCAATTACAATATGATTAATGATACAAAGAACAAATATAGCGTGCAATAAGAGCATATAAATGAAAAATATAATTTAGTTGGATATGTCAGGGAAATGTCCCTGAGAAAAAGACAGCTAACCTTAATATTAAAACTTATTTACTCAAAAATAAGTGTGCGAAACTGTATAGTTAACTTATCTTCAATTCAGTCAATCTAAAACATCAACTAAATAATGTATTCACAGATATACCACACAATGACAGTTAGTGTTCGTAATGATAATCTTGGATGAGAAAAGAGCCTACAGGGTCTTTTAGATCATCACAGTTAAATTATACTTGGCTAATATAGTTTGAATATTTAGTACAATTTCATGTTCAAAACTTCTGAAACACTTTTATTCACATGTAGACCATATAATACTTATATTATAGTAGACCATCCTATTTCACAATCAAATTATACAACAGTATACTAAATTATCATATCAGTTTTTTGTTTCTTTAATAGTTGCTAATATATGTGTATAGTTGTGAACATACCTGTATATGTGTATGTGATATGTATATATATCAACTGTATAGTTAAAACACCACATGTATAGAAGAGACCATCTGACTAGTATTTAAGCTTAGCCATGAGAATGGAATTTGGAAGATGAAGAATGTGACCTGGAGGAAAGAAGAAAATGATTACAGAGGGGCATTTGAGAGTGAGAGGATAGAGAAGAGAGAAAGAGGTTGAGGAAAGAAGATATCAGAGTCCCCTCACTGCCCTCCCCATTAACACACTCAAGGCTAAGCTAGTGAGGGGAGAGTATCTTTGGGATACTGGACAAAATATGGAATTCCAAGAACCAGGAAGCTTTTGTCTTATTCTAAAAGGATATAACTTGCAGGCTGTCTCCAGATCAATTGAGTGGTAGATCCATATTACAAATAAACATGATAGCAGAGTGTGATTAGGCAGAAGAAGGTGCATCTCAGCACCTCCTTCTGTGTAATGTGGAAATGAGCAGCTATTGTAGTGGGAATGAGCAACTCCACAGTAAAGGCATTAGGCTGTGCCATCTGGGCAGTGGATGACAGAGATATCAGTGTGTGGCTGGGGTCTGAAGCCTGTTCAGGGTCAAGATGAGCCTAAGTCATCCAGAAAGGCTGATGAAATCAGCAAAAGTCAGCCAGACAAAGGGCACTGTCAAGGCCATCATATGGCTCTAAGCATCCCTTTTCCCACCTCCTCAAGAGCACCAAGAAAGACACCAACATCCATTGCCAATTTCCTTCTCCTTGCCAGTAGGGAGGCTGAAAAAAAACAGATACTCTCTTTCTATTAATATATCTTCCTTATAGAGTAGGATGGATATTTGGCTAAGTATTGATCAATAAGATAAAGTGGAATTTGCTGGGTGGTGGGCGGGGGTCCTTTGTGTAATAATTTTGTGTCTTGATAAAGTAGGAATATGGCTGGGACCATCCCTGACTCTCTTTTTTCCTTGAATGTGAACACATGAGTGAAGCATACATCCATTGTCCATGGGGCAAGAAACATGAGGATGAAAAGCCAATATGTTAAGGACATGAAGTGAAAAGCGGGAAGAGCTTCTTATTCATGTTATCACTGAGCAGGTAAGTTAACAGTAACAGCTGCTTATATTTGGATTTTTTTGGTAAGGCAAAACAAACTCTTATTTGTTTAGGTCACTAAGCAAGTTTTCTATACTTTAGCCTTTTACTTTTTCACCACAAATTTCATTTATTTATTTATATATTTTTTAACTGTAGGAATGGGGTCTCATCATGTTGCCCAGGCTAGTTTCAAACTCCCGGCTTAAGGAATCCTCCTGCTGCATACTCCCAAAATGCTGGGATTACAGGCTATTCACCACAAATTGCATTGAGTGTCCATGTGATAGTTAATGTGAGTTTACTGAGGGTCCATCTAACAGATAGTTGTATAAGATCCCATATGTTCAGATATCTGAAAGATGAACGTGTCTACTGGAGTCATCTAAGCCAAGACTTAGTTACATAACACTGATTGAACCAAGTTTAAAATTTAAAACTTATTTTTCCCCTCTATCTAGTATTAGAAGTCAAAGTAAAGAAATTACATATTTCACTACTCTCTAGATTATGATATGGGTAAATTGGTGACCTAATTACAAAATCTTTAAAAGCTACAATTTTTAGTTAGCTAGAAAATAGTGTTTTTGTGGGGAGAGGAGTTGAAATGGAGGAAAATGATTTCAGGAAGGTTAAGTGGCAGCCAGATTGTGAAGAAACTTGTATGCCAAGATTTAAAAACGGACTTTGACTTGTAGATGTTTGGAAGTCACGGAAGAGTTTAAAATAGGAGATTAATATAAAATTAATATTTAAGAAAATTGCTTTGGAATCTATGGGGAAGGAAGAATGGAAGAGAAATAGAAAGATAAAAATGAAACTTTTAAGAGGCTAATGTAAACATGTTACGCCATGCCAGGAATATAATTCTTGATACTTATTAAAATAATTTAACCTGTAGTTCTGGTTTGCCTAACATTATCAACATAATAATAGCAGACACAGATGACAAAAAATAAAGATTTAAGTCTATTTAAAATGATTTTAATATAGTCAAAGTATTTTCTAATAACTCATCTCTTATATTAGTCAAAAGCACGCAACTGTTAAATTCGTGTGAAATTGCATATAGTGTCTTCATCCCAGCAGGTGCACAATAACTGCTTACTGACTGATGAGCTGAATTGAATTCAACAACTTATTACTAAATGCCTACTGCATATGTGCATTTACAAACAATTTTTAAAATGTCTTGCATATAGATATGGCCACCATAACACCTAGTTTTTCTGAGAGTAAATAATATCGTCAAATTTTGTGTTTTATTATTTACATAAACACAGTTATACTTGTCAAATCATGTCTCAATTTTTGTTTCAGAAATGTTAGTGCATATTCTTATGTTGCAATATAACCTAACAAATATGAACAATTATTAACACTACCTACATTTTTCTTTCCTTCCTGATACAGAATTTTTTAAGAGAATGAGATGGCCTCAAATTCTCAAGGTTGTGGCTGTCTATAGAAATGAATTGCCTAAAACAATCTTTTGAGTCTTCTAAACTGTAAGGTACATTTGAAAGTATTATCCACCCTTAGTATGAGGCAAACACTTCCTTGCCTCTTGTTTATATCTACCTTGGCACTAAAAATGATTCTTATCCTGTTTGGCTCTATCTTTCTGACTGGGCTACAGTGTTCACCCCTTTGCCTGGCACATCCCATTGACTTTGCAGTTAGTAGGACAAGGAACTCTTGTGCTTTCAGTATACAGGACTGAAGAAATTTTGTACTCATTTTTTTATCCTCTATGTGCCAAGGTTAAATATTTAACTACCTGTACATCATCAAAAAATATATCAAACCATTGCTTCAGATAGATCTGGGTTTGTTTTTGCTATCAGTTTTCTTTTCTAAAGGAAAAGACCCACAAGGATTCACTTACAAGCCAGGGTAAGACTGTTGGTGAGTGCTGGTTCCCACAGCTGAGTGAGACTCAATTGAAAGAAGCCAGGAAGAATGACTTACAAGGCAGAGGTCAGGAGAACTAATCACAACTGTAAATATATCTGTATCTATTATTATTTTAAGGATATTTCAACACTCCATAGAATGCGTAACCTGGTGTGGCTGATTTTAAGGAGAATATACCTAAAGTATCATAAGATGCAGAGACTTGTAGCAGATACATCTTAATAGCAGAGACTATAGAATGAGCCTTGAACCTACCCTTATCTGCTCCTGGCAACATTTAGAGATGTCGAGAGGAGGTCCACAAAATGAAACATATTAATATTTCATTTTCCTTTGACAAAATATACTCTTTAAAATTTTATACACATTCATTTTATTATTCCCCCAGCAAACCTGCCATGTTAAACTGTTAGGTTTAACTGTTAGGACCTAGTAGGTGCACATAAGTGAATAAATAAATACCATAGGCCATCTCTGTGCTGGATTACTCAAGGGAGCAAAGGTCTGGAAAATCAAATGCTCAGGAGAATGTTCAGGAAACAGGGAGCAGTACAATACAGCTGATGTGTAAGGTATACAGAGAGCCAAGGAATGAGATTTGTTTGGAAAAATGGATTATGTAAAATTTCATTGGCTATAGGCCTTATTGGCTGTAATTACAACAAAAAGCTAAGGTGCTCTAGGAGTGAAAATAATTTCCGGAATTAGTGGCATGATAAGTGATTGTCAAATCCAGTGTAAGTTAAAGGATCACTATCCATAGAGATTAAAGCAGTTTAGATGGATCATTAGTTATACAACTGCCAGAGAAGTTGACTTAACTGCTCATATTTAAAACTGTGTACGCATGAGAGTGGTTAGTTCTACAGCCAGGCACGTGGGCATTGTCTGATGTAGTGGGATAATTGGACTGCTCCAGCACATCCCTTCTTGAGAAGGTACAGAACACATTTTACATGGTTTCACGTGTTTATAAAGCTGCATGTTGGCACAAAGACAGCAGACCTGCTCCACTTAGGAGAACTGCTCAGTCCAATAGTCAGGACTCAGCTGGGCCCTTGGAGCATGGAGCACGAACTCGGTAATGAGGGGCAGCCTGCCCAGTCTCAGAAGGCCCATTACCTCCTACTCCAGTAATAAGCAGGTACAGAGTGGGAGGAAGGGGCAAGTGTAAGAGTTAAAGAAAGAGGAAAGAAACACGAAAAGTGGTTCAACAGTCAAAGACAGGTTTATTTTGGAGAATAAACCTGAGAGGGGCTTCTGGACAATTTTTTTTTTTTTTTTTTTTTTTGGTCAGGAGCATTCTCTCTTACAGACTAAGAGTATTTAGCGGATCTGGGTGGGAAAATTTATCACAGGCTTGTAATGTTTCTGTGTGGAAGTGAAGTTTATTGCATGGTTGGAATGTCTGTGGTCGAGGAGGGGTTTATCTTATGGTTGGAATGTTTCTGGTTGGAGATGTCATTTGTGCTTTATGGTCAAGCTGACCTTAGACATTAGGCTAATGCCCTCTGGATTTAGGCAGTTTTTAGGCAGTTTTTAATCAAGGTGAACTTTAAAATGGCAGTGCTTGTCCAAGATGGCAATGCTCCTGCTCTATCAGCAAGAGTGATGAAGCTTGGGACCTTGGGCGAGGATATTTTTAAGTGCTAAATAATAAAAACTAGTTTTTTTCTGGATATGATGAACTGTGTAGTACAGTTGAAAGTCCAATCCAGAATCATCTTCCTGGCCCTTTTGTGCCACCATTTTCTTATCTGCCAAATGAGGGCAATAATTCCTGCCTTATTATATACTGTTACTGTGAGGATCAGATGCATGATGTATGTGAAAGAAGTGGATACTATTTATTTTTTGCTACCTTTTTTTGTATTTTGCCTTTTTAAAAACAGCTTTGAGTATACAAGCATGCAATAAATGCAATAATGCATGATAAGCATGCAATAAACTGCACGTTAGAGGTGTACAATTTGAAATTCTTGACAAATATATACAGTTATATATATATATATACATATATACAGTTTATATATACTATTTATATATATATAACCACAATGTAGATATATACACATTATAGTTAACAAAGCATCACCACAATTAAGATAATGAGCATATTCATCATGTCCCTAAATTTCTTATGCCTAGCTCTCCTGCCTAACCCTTTTGTCCCAAGGAATCCATGGATTACTTTCTGTCACATTGGATTATCTTACATTTTCTAGAATTTGTGTAAATAGAATTATACACTATGTATTCTTTTTTGGGAGTGGGGGAAGTCTGACTTCTTTTGCTCAGCCATAAATAGATGCCATTTATTAAACATCTTCAGTGCAACAAGAACTGGACTAGGCACTCTCTGTTCAATACCTCATTTAACCCTCTCAGACAAGTATTGTCATGCCATTTTACAGACATGGAAACAAGTTTGGTGAGTTAAAATAACTTGTTCATTTATTTATTCATTTAACACATTTGTTTTGAACCCTTACTATGTGCCAAACATGGTAATAGATGGATAGTAAAAATAAATAAACATAGAAGTAAAATTAATAAAAATAAGACAAAAATAGATCATATCATGGTAGGTACTATGCAGAGAGTTAAACGGAGGTGCTGGGATTATGTGACTGGGTGGTATATCTGAAGAGATACCTTTAAGTAGATGACTGAGTGGTACAGACACACCAGCATCAAGCCAGGAAGGAAGGATGATAGCAAAGTCCCTGAGACTGGAAGACTTTTGTATGTTGGAGGAATGCAATTTAGGGTAGTGTAGCTGGAATGATGTGGACACAGGAAAAGTGGTGGAAGATGAAGTAAGGCAGGGACCAGATCTTATAAACCAGAGATAGGTTTTAGGATTTTTATACTGAGTGAAGCCTTTGAAAGATTTTTAAGAAGGAAGTGACATTGTCTGATTAAGTTTTTGGATGCTATGTGAAGAATATATTTTAGGGAAGAGGAGAGAAAGCAAGGGGACCAATCAGGAGGTTGCTCAGTACATCAGGAGAGAGCTAACGGTGGTTGGGGCCAGGATGGCAATGACAGAGATAGAGCAAATTGGAAGGATCCAGGACTCATGTAGGAGGTGAGGGTCAACAGAATCACTTGTGGGACAAGGGGGAAAAAAGGATAATTCACAGATAATTTTTTATTGTATTAATAAATTTATATCCTGTAAAAATTTCAACACACACAAAAGTGGAAGAAATAAAATGAATCCCAAATATCTTTCATCATATTGAATAATTATCAACATGTTTCTGTATTTGCTTCACCTATCACATCTGTCTGTGCTGAAGTATTTTAAAGAGATATCCTTGATGCCATGAAATTTCACACCAAAATACACAGGGCTGAAAAACTACCTATTGGGTACTATGCTCATTACCTGCATGATGGGATCATTTGTACCCCAAACCTCAATGTCACGCAAAATACCCATGTAACAAACCTGCACATGTACCCCCTGAATTTAAAATAAAAGTGGAAACTAGGAAACAAAATGTGAGAACATTTTCTTTCATACTTGCAACCTGATTATTATTCCTAACAAAATCAGTAGTAATTTCTTGTATCAATTAGTACCTAATCCTCAAATTTCCCCAGTTATCACAGAAAAAATGCCTTTCTAATGTTTGCTTGAATCAGGATCCCATAATCAATACTTTGCATTTGACTGTTAAGTTGCTTCAGATTCTTTTAATCTAGAACAGATTCCTCCTCTCTTTCTTTTTCCCATGCTATGTGCTGGTTGAAGAAACGAAATTGATTTTACTGTAGAATGCCCTAAACTTTGAAGACAGATGATTACTTCCTAACTTGTAAACAAGTTTGGTGAGGTTAAAATAACTTGTTATTCATTTGTTCATTTAATACATTTGTGTTGAAAACCTAGTATGTTCCAAACGTGATAATAGACTGTGAGAAAGGAGTGTTGGCTCGTCAGTACAAGGCCTTGTGCTGTTGGAGCTTATATTCCACAGAGAACATGGATAATAAAAATAAATTCTCAAGTAAGTAAAAATAAATAAGAATAGTAATTAATACATAAAAATGAGGCAAGGTTATGTCGAGGAGACGTTAACTTGTTCTCTATTCTCCATATTTCCTATAAATTTAAAGTTAGATCTAAAGACTTGATTAGACTCAAGTTAATCTTTTCTGACAAAAACCCTTTATAGATGTTGTGTGAACTTCAAATTACATCATATCGAGGGTCATCATGTCTGGTTGTCCCACTCTTAGAGATGGTGATGTGGACAGCCTGATCTTCCAGTGTCAAGATGTATTTCCCCTTTTATAACTAGCCATTAATCCATATGATCATATGACAATAATGTTCTGTCATCAACAAGTTCTATTTGTTTTTTACTAAAAAACAGTTCATAGAGTTCATATTGAAATATTTAAGCATTTAGCTTTTTTTTCTTCTTCTTTTTTTAACGTTAGTTTCCAATAGGAAGTTGCTGCCAGAGCAATCTCAATGGTGACTAATGAGTTTATTTTTGGATTTCCTTTTTGTGGAATATTATAATGAACTCATGGACTTTCATATGATATTATATTCAAATAATTGCAGTCAATAGTCTTCTTGGTCCCAAGTTGGTTAACAGGGTTCTGAGTGGAGTATGAAGAAAAAATGGCCTCTGAAAGAGCTGCAGAGGAAAAAGTGCTATTGGGAGGGTGTTTTATGTTTGTCAAGATGAAGCAGCTCATAAAGAGACAGGTCTACTTGATGCCAAAGCTCATGCTTCCATTACTCCCAGCCCTTCCTAAAATGAAGTGTAAAAGTAAAAGTACTTTCAAAAATAAGAATATTGCTTTTTAGTGATATCCTGCTTTGAGTGTATTAATCAGCTTTTCTTTTCTTTACTTTTTTTCTTAGAAAGAAACATTTAATGGGGGTTTATGAACAGAAGCTATGTCTGTGTCTTGGCCAGTAGTGAGACAAGATCGTGGATCCTAGCACCATTACCCACCAGACCCCAGATTATATACTTTAGGGGAGGGGCGCTTGTGCTTCAGAGGAAGGGGATAGGAATTTGCATTTAAGGGCAAGAGTTTTGGTATATAGGTGCTCTTACACAAAGGACAATAGATAAACTAGAAATCTCAGAGGCACTCCCGTAATTTGGGTTAATCGGAAGCCAATATGGCAGATTAGCACCCAAGGTGAAATTTTTTTGGCCTTCACACTTCACCCTTCTAATCCAGCTGTTACAATCTCATGCACCTTCCTCTTCCATGATGGTCCCTGAGCTTTTAGGAACGGTGTTTAATATGTTGTAGCTTTAGCAGCAACACACTGGCAATGAAAAACAACAGGCCCAGTGGGATTCCAAACGGGGTAGATTCACAGGGTAATCATCTCTAGTCTTCAGAATACAATGACTTCCATTTTCTCAGAAAAAGTAAAACAATGAGATACATAACATTAATAATTTAAATAGTAGAAATATAATGCACACAAATATTACAGTCAAAAGAGAATTTGTATGCCACAACAATAATAAAAATAATCTATTCCATAAGAAGTCAACTAAAGACGTCATGAGGAAAAATAAAACCTGGTTATTTTTTAGAGACTTCTTGTAGCCAGGAAATAATTCAGGATTAGCCCAAATTGTAGGCAAATAACAAAATTCAAAACAATGCTCAGGGCTAGAAACTAAAGTTTTCTTTCCCCGGTTTCCTCATTTCTACCAAGAATAAATCATAGTAGGACCAATTTATTTGCAAAATAAATTTTGGTCTCATTATATTTGGCCTGGTTATTTGCATAAAGCATATAAAAAGTGGTGATCAGCGTATAGGCTCTTTTTAAATTGGTTTTACTGGAACTTTTATAAGGAATTTCTAATTCAACTTTTTAAAAGCTTTGAGGCCAGAAGCCAAGCCAAGCATTCACCATTAGACTGTGCTTGTAATATCTATACAAATTTTGCTCTTCTTGAGGTCCCAAAATATCTTGAGGTTTCTGGGCCCACTAGAAAGTGGCATTCTTGGCTAGGCAAAGAGGCTGTAACCCCAGTACTTTGGGAGGCCTAGGCGGGTGGACCACTTGAGGCCGAGAGTTCGAAACCAGCCTGGCCAACATGGCAAAACCCATTTCTACTAAAAAATACAAAAATTAGTCGGGCATGGTGGCAGGTGCCTGTAATCCCAGCTACTGAGGCATGAGAATCACTTCAACCTGGGAAGCGGAGGTTGCAATGAGCGGAGATCACACCACTATACTCCAGCCTGGGTGACAGAGTGAGACTCTGTCTCAAAAGAAAAAAAAAAAAAAGAAAGTGACATTATTTATCACAGTATCACAGGTCAGAAACCTTGTAAGGAAACCATTTAGACAAGGTCCTGGGCCAGTCTTTTCAAGGGGCTTTTTTATTGGCTCTATACAGTCAATCTCAACCCCTCAATCTGGTCATATCTGAAAATATGCCATTCCAGTCAAAGCCTTGGTAAAATAACCAATATCTGTGATGTCAAATAATCCCCAAATCTCAGTGAATTGAAACAAACATCTATTCCTTTCTTATATTACAGTCTTTAGCTATGAATTGGCTATGACTGCTGGCTCCTTTTCAGTTCTGCTCCATGTGTCTTCTTCTGAACCCCAGGTTGCTGGAGTGGTCACAATATGGTACAGTCTGGTGGCAGAGGGGAGAGAGCAAGAGAGAGGTGGAATATGATGATGTCACTTAGATCTTGTATACATGGTTTACATCACATCTGCCCATGTTCCATTGGCTATAGTGTGTCGTAGGACCAAGCCCGATTTCAGTGGGGTAGAGATGTATATTCCAATAGGAGGCCCTGCAAATCACATGGCAAAGGCAGGGAATCAATGTTTTCTTACAGGGAAGGGAAGAACAAATACTTGAGAAAAATTATGCAAGCTATCACGATTGCCATTATCTGGTAACCTTCATAACAGAAATGGAGACATGAGTATAGCATTATGCAAACATAATATCTAAACAGTCAATGTAGATGCAGGGGATATAAGAATAAAAAATGATCACTATCAAGTCCCACAGAGCTTAAAGGAGAAAAAAAATCACTAATGTAAAAATGCATAATATACCAGAAAGGATTATGAAATGTTTATTTTATTATTATTTTAAAGAGTCTGTGTGTGTGACAGTTTAACTTTTGTACTCACAGAAGCATTCTTTAGTTCTTCATTCAAAATTTAATTGCTCTTAATTTACTCACAATTCTAAGAGGCAGATTAGAAGCAGAATGTTGTAGGTTGTGGTGGGCATGGAGCACACTGGAGGCAAACAGTAACAAAATGAAGGAGGAAGAGTCAACAGCAAAAGAAGTCTTAAGAATAACTAAATCAAGGATAAATAAAATCTCAGGAAACAGAGCTATCTGGGAGGATTTAGGAGCAAATGACTTTGTACAACCTAATACTTCTTAGCATGCAACAAACTATCTTTTCTTCTACAGTTAGTGCCGTCTTCTTGTCTGCCACGAATTACATTCCTTCCCACAAGAGAAACATGCATAGATAAAAATCACGTGCATTTAGTTGCTGTTTTCAGAAAATCACTATTATAATGCATATGAATATATATCAGTATGGACAGGCCAAGTTATCCTGTAGGAACAAATAACTCCCAAAATTTTGGTGGATGAAAATAATAAAGGTTTATTTCTTTTTCATGCTTCATTTCCAACGTGGTTAAGCGGGAACTGGGGGCTCTGCTCATTATAGTTGCCCACGGCCTCCAGTCAATGAAATTTCCGGCCAATGAAATGCTCTACTGTGACTGAAGCAGCAAAGAGAAGATGGTAAGTTATCCACAGGCACTTAAAGCCCCTGCCTAGAAGTGCTACATGTCACTTCTCACATTTCATAGTCAAAGCAAATCACAAAGCCACTTCAAGGGGCAGGGAAAAACACAGGACCTTTCAAGGAGAGGGAAATGCAATTTCCCTTCTGCCCAAGGGGAAAAATTAGAGATATTTAGGGCATGGCATTAATGACCAGACATATAGGACCACAATGTGAAAAACAGTTCATACACATACCACAGTGTGGTCCTATGTGTCTGGGCCTCCTGAAAATATAGAACAATTTTGTTGGATAGCCTGCCTAACTCTGAGCAAGGAGATATTATGTCCCCTGTATCTATTTTGACTGTTTATGATATTATATTTGCATAAAGCCCTGAGGAAATGAGACACTGTGTTGGTGAGGTTTGATGGGGCATGATAGATAAAAAGGAGTAGTGTCGGGTGTGCGATGGGGGAATCCTGTGAACACCCTCAGCTCTGGGGAGGTTGCAAGTTCCCAAAGTGCTGAGGATTATAGTGCATTATTTTCCTGATCTCTTCCTGTTCTTCCTGCTTTATTTAGAGAGTTAGGTATTCGGCAAGTTTCTTGTATTTCCTTCTCCCCTCCATTTTCATTCTCTTCTTCTAATACTGCCTAGAATAAGTGGTTCTTCACTCTGCTTCACACTGCTGCCTTGTTTTTCCACAAGCAGAACCCTGAGAAAGGCTCTGCTTATATTTCTTCTTCTTTTAATGTTGAGCCCTGTGACATGAGCATTTGGGCTCACATGCTATGGTATGGATTCTTAAAGGAATATGCTCATACACTCTACCTGACCCAATTTCACTTTAACTTTTTGAAGGGTGGCTTTGAAATCAGAATTGGATGCAGAGGGAGTCCCAGAGGCCAACACTGTGAACATAAGAAGGGAAAGACCAGTTCTGCAAGCACAGATGTAATTTTGAGAAGCAGAGCTACAGGTAATTAGCACATGGTCCCTAGAAAAATAGGCACAATGAGTCGACTAGAAATACACACTGTCTCTTGAGAGCAAAACTTCACAATCAGCACTGGTTCTTCCACAAAGGGTGTTTCTGGGTCATTGTTCTTTCCAACCACAATTAGTCACACTTGTTTTTTACTTGGTGGCTTGACAGATTGGCCACACACTACTGAGGTATGTGAACTTGCTGAGCTGGAAAGTGCTGCTGCTCATATGCATGACCCACTACACTCTTGAGGATCTACACTTTCTGAGTAATGAAGCTGTGGGATTCTCAGGCATGAAATATTGTGGAGGTAATGAGCTGAGTCTTGATACATCTCTTAAATAGTCAGAGCTGCAGACCTCATGGCCTCTGATCTTCCATAGAGACCTGGATAGAGCTGAGTATTGTTTGCAAGGCATTGGATGCTATAACTATCTTTCCAGATGGGTCCCAAGGAGATGAAGGCCCAGAAGATCTGAAAAATATGTGTATGAATTTGTAGGCAAGACCACACAGAATCAGGAGCCCCTCCCTACACTGTCAGACTAGGTCCTCCAAAGTTGACTTTTACGTTCTGCAGTCTAGCCCTGGCTTGTCCTTTCTTGTTTATGCCCAACTTGTCCTTCTTAATGACTCTCCATTGTGGTTTGAACTTTCCCGCCCATACATTTGCCTATCAATTTCAACACACTATTCTGATTCTAATTATTCTTTAGAATTGAGCTTTGACCTCATGTTGTCTATGAATCCTGTCTAATCACTTCTGCTGGAAAATGTCTTGCCTCATATTTCCTATTTTACACAGAGACCATTCCGGCCTCCTCTCCCATTTATTTCCTGCATATAGAAGCATCCTGCGTTTAACATTGTGAATGTATCTCATGCTCCCATGAGTAATATCCTTAAAGACCAAGACATATGTGTGGGAAGTGAGAGAGGAAGTGTAGAGATGTAAAGATATTTTACATTCTTTTGTGTATTTAAGTTGTCAGCCTAGGTTACCACACCTACTGAAACATAAATAAAATCTCACATCTTCTGGGAAATTCAGGGCCTCCCTCCAAGATTTCTACAAATTCTGGAAGGTTTACAGTCTCCTTTTCATAGTTACCCTCATTACCATTTCCTGTTGGTCCTGAATCTCACACATGTCGCATCTCCTCAAGACTTTACCTTATCTCAGCTTTGAACCTACCTGACTTGAAAACTACTACTGTTCTTGGATTTTCCTGATAATATGGCTCATGTAAGGCATTCATAGTAGCAGACTATGCTGAAGTCTTGTAGGGCTTAGACTCCTTTATACCATGCAGTAAAAATAGCATACTAGATATTTCTTTTCTTCACTGTTATTTCAGTACCCGTCAACGGAGAAATTTCTCACTAGCTAACTCCACAAGACATGCACCTATGCAATGGGATATCCCCTACAGGACCGGATCCCTTCCCTCTCTGCATGTTTTCAATCCCACATAAATCTCCCCTTCTGCAATTCTTAAAATCCTTAATGTTTTAACAAACATTTAGCTATCTCTTATCACATTTCCAACCACATTTTAGGTGTCTTGTCTTTCACACCCCAAACAAAGTAGCAGGTCAAGAAGGCAAGCTAAAAAGAAGACCATTGACGTTGGAGAGCAGGCATGCTGAGTACTACCTCAGGGGCAGCTGGGACTCAGTAACCGTTCTTTTAAATAACAAACCTTCGCTGGGCGCGGTGGCTCATGCCTGTAATCCCAGCACTTTGGGAGGCTGAGGTGGGTGGATCAGGAGTTTGAGACCAGCCTAGCCAATATGGTGAAACCCCATCTCTACTAAAAATACAAAAATTAGTCTGGGGTGGTGATGGGCGCCTGTAGTCCCAGCTACTCGGGAGGCTGAGGTGGAAGAATCTCTTGAACCCTGGAGGCGGAGGTTGCAGTGAGCCGAGATTGCACCACTGCACTCCAGCCAGAGGAACAAGAGCGAAACTCCATCTCAAAAAAAGAAAGAAAGAAAAAAAACTACCGCCAACAAAAACCCTAAAACAACAACACATAGTGCTTTTCACAAAGTAGATATCGGATGTCCATACGTTGAATAAAAGAACAATTGCAACAACAAAATCCAAGGTACTTCCCTGCTCAGGTAAGAGGCTGTGGCTCTGACAAAGCTTTGGGGGTGTCTCTCACCTGCCCCATCATTCACACTTCCTTTCCTAGCTCCCAGATTTCTGTCTATTGTTGTTAGCTGGTTGCCACTTAATCCCCGGTAAAAGTTTATCTTACAAAGGTGTAAAGCATGTGTAGCACTCCTTTCCGCTTCTCCATCACTTACCAGAAAACAAAAAAGCCTTCAAGATTCAAAGTAAAGCAGCTAAGCATTTAAGTATGAAGATAATATTTAGCCTGAAGGTCCTGCCAGTTGTCCCTTAAATGCCACTTGCTAAGTGGCTCAATGTACTGTAAGACAGCATCACTTTGGGTACTTGTTGAAAGTGCAGAATCTTACTGGATCACAATCTATGAGGATTCTTACTGCATTCTTAATAAGCTCCTTGAGGGATTCTTATGCTCAAAAGCCTGAAAGCTATAGTGTAAATGCATTCTCATACATGTGTTTCAGAGAAAAAAAGGATTCTTCCCTTCTTAGGACTAGTACATCTTCCGTCTTGATCCTTCTGCCTTCTCATGGAGGAAAATATGAGTTCATTATGCTGTATTGACAGCCAAACACATTTCTGTTTTGTTTTCATGTTGGCCACAATAAACTGTTTTTTTAAATAATAAATCAATTAGACTTCTTCATCATAAACAGATTTCTGAACACAACCACTTATATTGTGAACTTATGTGACACACTCCTTTTTCCGATAAGTAGCTAGAGAGTAAACAAGAAGCATACAGATAAATTTGGTGGCATTTTAAATTACATAAGAAAATGAAATAGGAAGTAACCTCAGCTGGAATGTGACTTGCAACTAGAACTACTGAACATGGCATACCTGGTGTGAGCTTGGCACACGTGAGTAGGACTTTCAATGGTCAGCCACCTCTGCTGCCTTTCAGACTTATGCTTTCTTTAGAGGCAAGTCCCTGGACCCTTGAAGTATGGGAATTTAATGCTGACACCAGCAGAAAAATGCCACCCTTCTAGTCCCCTGCAGCTATTGCTTGACTTTCTTGGATTGCAGCAGAACTCACCTCCTCTGCAAATCCTGACCCTGCTGAGTGTGTGAGCTCTGGCAGTGTGTCCAGGCTAAATTGGCACACACTCCCTCCTGTCTGTTTGGGTGAGTCACTGAGTGTTCAGAGCACATTTTCCCTTCATTGGCTGCCAGCTATAGCTATTGGCTCACTCATTCTCTTTGGAACAGCTCAGCACTCTTGTGCTAATGCAATTGCTTGAACTGATGTACAATTGTGTAGAGTCCTGCAGGAAAGCATAAAACTGCTGAAGGCTGAGACCTGTCTCATCTACCGGGAAGTCAGACAAAGATGCTTACCTTGGTTTACTTGTTGCTAACATACTCATCCTATTTGTGGCCCTCTTATGGCTTCCTAGTGTATAGAAACCTCACAAATTGCAAAGACTCAAAAGTGCCAGTGGCCAGGAAATCAAAGACAAATGTTTCCCCTTTCGTCTGCGTCTTAAGATGAGAAACAAAGGGTTTGTATATCTGGAAATATGGGCAATTTTTCTCCTTTTTCTGCTATTCTCAGCACTTGTGTATTTTGGAGTGCATTAGCTGAAGCTTGTATATAGACATAGATTTCACGTAAGTTAACTGTCTTCCTATATAAGCTACTACCTTCATTAAAAGCAGGGAACTATTCTCTTTTGTGTCTATCACAGAACCCAGTTATAGGTTGAGTTCAATGAAGCCTTAGAAAGGCTTGTTGAAAAACTGAATGGGGCAAACTCTTGTAGAAAAGCCAGGAGTGTTGAAGGAAGGACTATTTTGCCAGTCATCTTAATTTTTTCTGCACAATTTCTGCAGATCAAAGGAAGGCTTCACTTATTCTTGGAGAGAAGAAATGCATAATAAATCAGTCTGCAGTAACCTAATTTCACCTCCTGGGTCAAACAAATAGCCAGAATCAAGTTTTAAAGAAAAAGTGTTTGTGGGAATCTGGGCACATGACAGAGGCTGGGCATTTTATGTGAATTTGTCCACGTGTATGAATGTCTTAATTTTTCCAGTTATTGTTTAGTGGATGGAAGAAGCAGCAGGAGCTCTGTGAAGGCAGACAGTGTGTATGGTGGTTTAGATCTTGGACTCTGAAGTCAGAGATTCGAAACGGATTCCTGTCTAGGCCACATACAAACTCAGTGAATACGTGTGACACCACTTAACCTCTTTAAGCCTCAGGTGCTTCATGTATCAAGCATGTGTAATAGAAATCCCTCATGGAGTTGTGGTTAGAGTTAAATGAGATAATTAATGTCAAGTGCTTAGCCAGGTAACTATAGTAATCAATAAATGATAGTTATTATTACTAATAGTGTTTGATTACATGTGGACATTGAGGGATGGGGTGACTGAGACTTATATTCATATATTAATTTGTTTCTAATGTTGACCTGAATTTCTATGTAGTTCACTGTGAGAAAAAAAGTAAAAAAATCACCTAACTGTCATGAACAAAACTAAGCTAAATATCAGTGTCACTAATCATCAGGAAAATGCAAATTATAATTATAATGAGATATTAGTCACACTTGTCAGGATGACTATTATTTTAAAAAACCCACAAAATATAATAAGTGCTGTTGAGGATGTGGAGAAATTGGAACCGTTGTGCAATGTTGATGGGAATGCAAAGTGGTGCAGCCACTATAGAAAACAGTATGGAGGATTCTCAAAAAATAAAAAATAGAACTACCATAGGATCCAGTGATCTCACTTCTGGGTATTTATCCAAAAGAATTGAAATTAGTATTTCAAAGAGATATTAGCACTCCTGTGTTCACTGCAGCACCATTCACAGTAGCCAAGATGTGGAAACTATCCAAAAGTCCATTGACAAATGAGTAGATAAAGAAAATGTGGTATATACACATAATATAATACCATTCAGCCTTTAACAAGAAGGAAATTCTTTAAGATGCAATAATATGCATGAACCTTGAGAACATTTAGCAAAATAAATAAACCAGCCACCGAAATACAAAGACTGCATGATTCCACTCATATGAAGTATCTAAAATAGTCAAATCCATAGAATCAAAGAAAGCAATGGTGGTTACCAAGGACTGGTGGTGGAGGTAAATAGGGAATTACTAATTATCAGGCATAAAGCTTCAGGCAAGCAAGATGAATCTAGAGATCTGCTGTACAACGTTGTACTTATCATCAACAATGTACTGTATGCTTAAAATTGTGTTGAGGGTAGATATTATATTAAATGTTTTTACCACATTAATAATTTTTTAAAACCTTAAATTAAAATTAAATAGAAGTATTTGGTACACTCTCATTGGCCTATTGTTAATGCTTCACCTTGTGGAAAGTTGGCAACCTGAGAATTTTATGGAAATAGAATTGTTCCATCACTTTTATTTCCAAATATGTAACTGAGGTTCTTACTGACTCTTCCAAAGGTTGAATGTCAAGCTTATGTAACTGCATGGAATTACTCGATGATCTGAGTTATTCCAATTCATTATGACATCTTGGATCCATAAGCCATTTCCAAAGCCATCCCAAATAGATAAAGATCATCTACTGTCAATAGAACTGGAATTTCAGTAAAAAAGGTTGGCAGAAGATACTTTCTTCATGTACTTCCATAGTTTTTGAGGATTGTTCCTTATTGAGCTATGAGAGTATTGATTTTACCCCAATGGCTTCCATATTAGAAAAGATGTAAGAAATATCCTTACTAAATATACATTTTTAAGTCTTCAAGATATATCTAAATGATGAAGCAATATTTAACAGCAAGAACCTTTGAACTTTCTGGAAAAAACAAATTTTATTTTTCCAATTGAGATATCACAAGTAATACTGAGCATGTCTTGCACAACTCCAAATCAAAGATAATGTATTTAAGACAATAATAAAATTGTCCATGATATCCTTTAGGAATAAACGTGGAGAAAACTTTTCTTAATTATAAATGGATATTGCTGAACAAAACAAATACTAATGCAGAGGCACTTGCTTTACATTTCCCAGTGAACTCTATTTGACCTTCACTTTAAGGGCACACAGCAGGAAAGCTGTCTGGAATACCCCACCCTAAACAGTGAATAAATTTATTACATCTCTGAGTAAAGAATGCCCAAGCATTGGCTCACAACTTGATAAAGGAAGCAAAACAAAAATAGCCCAAGCCCTTTTTGTTCAGGAAAAGTTCAGTTTTTAGGTTTATCCTCAAAACATTGAAGTTGAAGAGACTTGGAGCTCCCTGACTTAGTGGTATATTTCAGTTATGAATAATAAGAGACATGAAGCATTTGTTACTATTGTAAAAACCTGATGAGCTCTATCCCACAGTGACTCAAAACTCTGCTGAGTTAATACTTTTGGAACAAGACTGATCTTGGCTTGAAATTACACTGAGTTAAGTGGACACTTTTTAGACCTTATCTTTCTTGACTGCTCTGCAAACTTTGACATTGTTGACTGAACTCTTCTCTGTGAAAGTCTTCCTTCTCTGTGAAACTCTTCAGCAGAGCTGAACTCTTCCTTGGCATCTGAGATTCCTCACTCTCAAAGAGATTCTCCACTCTACCTTATGATGGCTCTTGACCAATCTCTTAATAGTTGGTCTTGCTGAGATTTTGTCGTGATCTTGTTAGAATTAAACACTAAACGCATAGTCTCTTGGTGACGTAATCTATTTATGAGATCAACTACTACATATGGGATAAAGAATTTAAAAATCAATTATATTCTGAGATCAAAATCTCTATTTCCAACACCTCACTAGATTTTTTTACTTGGATGTTCTTCTGGTATCCCACATTTAATGTGTCCAAACTGAACCCATTATGTTCTGCCCTGCTTCTCCTATTCTTCCTGTTTCCATAAATGCTACCACCTAGTTGCCTCATTCAAAAACCATTCTTGAGTCCACCTTCATTTTTTCCCACAAATAATCAATATCCAAGACTGTGTCTATATTCTAATCCTCTCTCATCTTATCCATATCTGGTCATATTCATTGTCAGTGTCTCAGTTCAGGCTCCCATTGTCTGTTTCTTGATCACTGCCTTAGACTCCTAACTGGTTTTCCCTGACTCTTTTCTCTATGCTTCAGAGTTTTACAAAGTGTTACAAAATAGACATCTGATCATTTCTTTCACCTGATGAAAACTCTCCCCAAATTTGCTATCATCCTAATCATAAAGTCAAACTTGTAAGCAAGTAAAGAAGTCCTGGATGCTCTGATTTCTTTTTATTTTTTAATCTCTCTAGCTTTAGTGTTTTCCATCTTTCCTCTTGTACTCTACCCTATGGCCATATTAAAATACTTGAAATTGTTCAATGAGCCATTTTCTGTTTTTCCTCTGGGTCTTTGCCTATGCCCTTCCTTCTTCCTGGAATAATCTCTTTGTTGGTCTCATTGTTTGTCTGGCTTCTAATACACAAACAGTTGTCCTTATGATGTAAATGTGGAGAAAACCAACAGATGACAGCAAAATTTACCTGAAAATGAAGCAAAGAAATGAGGAGTTTAAAAGACAGAGAAGAACTGCCTTTAATCAAATGCTTGGAGATTTTGAACTTCTTATATTTTGATTACCAATGTACTTTTTTTTTCAAATGTATAAAGGTACTGGATTTTCCTAGCCCTTTCTGTTTATTTCATGTTCCTATCCATAAAAAATAAAAAGTGGTTTGACTATTTTCAAGGCATAAAAGAAAAACAACTATTACCTTTAAGCATATACTGTAGCATTAAACACATATTGTCTCTTTTCAATTCTAGGCCTAAGTTAGGAGTTCTTTCTTGTTACTTCTATGAGATCTGATGCATTTATATTTCATGATACTTATGAAAAAATATTTTCAATGCCTATTTACTTATCTTTCTCCTTCAAGAGTTATTTGAGGGCATGAGCTATATCTTTTCAACATCATATCCCTAATGTCTTTCTCAATAGTTGGTACATGGTAGGCACTCAACAGATATGTTTTAGAATTAACTAATTAATTGTGGAATTATAACCCAAGAAGAAGAAGATGCTTCAAATATCGTGCATTATTTCAGAGTCACTAAGCATCAGATGAGGATTTCTGGGCAACTTTTCTTAGCTGATGTGCCTTCAGCTCACATCCAGACATGGGAATGATAGAGAGATAATAGACAATTAATTTTAGGTTACAGTAGCCACAAACTGGGCCCTGAAAGCACATAGCCAGTGTTTCAGGAGTCTTCTCCGTGCCCTTCTAAGTGAGTATGAGAGAGAACTTTTATGGTTCTTGAAGGCATTATGGCCCCCATAATCTCTGAAGCCAGGGAAATACTTAATTCCACATTCATGGCTTTTGGGAATTCAAGTAGAATCCAGAATGTTGGACCTGATGCTCCATGAATTTGTGGGAATCAAATCAAGGTTGTCAGTGGTTACAGAGTGCCAAGAGGACTTGATATTTCCATAGATTTTCTTCTTCCAAATGAAGCTTGAAATTATTTGTCTATAGTTCTGCCGGAGGCCTCTCCAGATTGTGATGCACTGGGAGCAAGCCACCATGAACATATCCTCAGGTCTCCAGTCTTCTGCCATCGCATGAAAAATGGAGCTTGTCAAACACAGAGCAGAGCTGAACTTTCTGAATTCCACAGGACAGTTCAGAGTGCTTGGAATGACACCCACCTGCAATTTAAACAAAAAAGAAGGATGAGTAAGTGAGGAGCTAAAAATTGCATGTTTCCCTAAATTAGATTTATTTGTAAGCTTTAAGTAAGTGCAAACATATTTCGAATTATCTGTTATGAATTGTGGTTTTGTTATTAAATAGACATTTTGTTTAATTCTTATGTGCAAAGTGAAAAGAGACTTGTTTTGCTGGATTTTTCTTTTTGGTAAGTATTGAATTTTGAAGGGGTACTAGTTTTTCTAGCCAAATTGAAAAATTTCTCAGAATTTAAAGGATACTCCATGTGAGTTCAAGCTGTGTTAGGGTTTGGCTACATATTTTTCTTTGGCAATGAAAAGTATGTTTGATTCTTATGACTTGGTAGACTTCAAACAGGCTCACACACAAACTGTTGTCCTTATAAGGTAGATGTGGAGGAAACCAACATATGAGAGTGAAATTTATCTCAAAGCAAAGAAGTGAGGAGTTTAAAAGATAGAGAAATGCCTTTGATTAGATTCTCTGAGGTTTTGAGCTTCTAATATTTTGATTTTCAATATACTTTTTTTTTTCCAAAATTTGAAAGGTTCTGGGATTTCTTAGCCCTTGTTGTTTGTTTAAAGTTCCTATCCATAACTAATAGAAAGAAAGTGGTTTGGCTATGTTCAAGGCTTAAAAGAAAAACAGCTACCACCCATAAGCATCTATTATATGCCATAACATTGAACACATATTGTCTCATTTAATTTTCCTGGCCTCGTCACACTACAGTATTATCTTCCTCACTTTACATATGGGAATAATGAAACTCAGACAGGTAAAGTGATGTACACAAAGGCATGCAGTTAGTAAGTTTTGGGCCTTGTCCATCTGCTGTTCCCTATGTCTGAAATATTGTGTCCAGCATTCCCTTGGGCTCATTCCTCCTACCTTCCCTACTTTCTTTGAATAACTCCTATATCCTTCAAAGCACAGTCTCTGGTTTTCCACCACCACTCCAGTCTTAGTTAGGTGCCCTCCCACTTTCTACCCGACCGAGTCTGCCTGCATCAAACACAGATTACAAGTGCATTGAGTCTCTCTCATCTTTAAATCTTTATTATTATTATTATTCTTTTGAAGTGGAGTCTCACTCTGTCACCCAGGCTGGAGTGCAGTGGCGCGATCTTGGCTCACTGCAACCTCTGTCTCCTGGGTTCAAGTGATTCTCCTGCCTCGGCCTCCTGAGTACTGGGACCACAGGCATGTGTCACCACGCCCGGCTAATTTTTTTGTATTTTTAGTAGAGATGGGGTTTCACCATATTTGTCAGGCTGGTGTTGAACTCCTTAGCTCATGATCCACCCACCTCGGCCTCCCAAAGTGCTGGGATTGCAGGTGTGAGCCACTGCACCCAGCCTCATCTTTAAATCTTTAGTGATTCACTTAGCTCTACTAATTATTATTTGTGAAATAAAATTTTAAATTAGTAACTTCCTTAGAATTTCTATGAATAATTGCTCAATTGCCTTATCTGAAAAGAAAACCTTAATATCTAATAAAAATTCCTCTCCTCAGTCTTGCCCAATGGAGGCCATTCACTGAACAGTTGAAAGGAGACTGCTTGCCCTTTATTCCTCACACTTCTTTCATACTATTCTTCCAACATAACCATTAAATTTCACCTCAGAAGAAAGGCCACAATATTCATTATACTGCTCTTCCACATTTGCAGTACATCTTAGTTTCTGTATTCTAGGATAGTGAAGATAGAGCCTCAGGTAAGAATTAAGTGCTAGTGCTTTATTGGGAGTTAAATCCCAGGAGAGTGAGAACAAGAGAAAAGGTAAGTGGTGCAGCCAAGAAAGGTGAAGCATTACCCCTCCATTGGCTTCTTCACAAAGCAGGGCAAAGAGCACCTACTGTTATTTGGTAGGTGCCTACACTCAGTCATACAGGACTTCTTTATGCAGGCTGATTGGAGAAAGTAAGACAGAGGAAATTGAGCTGCCCAGGTTTTTTTCCCTGCCTCTCTTTGGCCAAGATAGCACCAGAGAGTGTTAACTACCTTGCATTCCAGTTTGGGTCATTCAGCTCCTTTAGCAGCCTCCTGGGAAGCCAGATGCACTCCCTGTGGTGGCATTTCCCCAAATGTAGAAGAGATGAGAGGAGTCAGAGACTGTGGGCTTAAAGTGGTTAGTTTTAAAAGGCTGACTGCATAGCCCTGCATTGGTAGTGGAAGTGAAGTAAGCTGCTGAAAATTGAAACAGGTAAACCTGAGAAACTCAGAAGGGGCATATGAATCCATACAGACATACTTCCACCTCGTACATCTGATTTATTTCTCTTTTTACACCATTTTCTGTCACAAATCTCACAGCTTTCCAAACTATAGTACAACTGGTCAAAATGTCTGAATGTTGTATACCAGGAAAATATGCTGGCAACTCAACCACAGCACAAGTCTAAAATCAAATTTTCTAATACTGTTCTGTCAAAACATTTTCCTTCTCTGATTTTTGTCATTTCTCTTCATGGAGACATGAATGCTTGTATTAACTTAGGTTGAAACATCAGAACTTCAGAGTTATCTCTGATTCCATCCCTCCTTCCACCCGTAGGCAAAGCACATCATGTAAACATATTAGCAATCTCTCAGTAGTGGTGAGGATACTCTCTGGCACAAATTGCACATTTAGCAAGAGTTTGAATAAAATAAATAAATCTGTTTGCTTTTCAGTTTGCTGCTACATTTGTGTGGGAAGTGCTGCTTGCCGATAGGGAAGTAGGAGAGGAAATAAGGAAAACAATAAACCAAGTACAGTTTTGCAAATACCCAGACACATTGGATGGACACAGAAGCTTTCACTGGGAGATTATGAAGGGTAGATGCTTTGTGTCTCCATTGCCTCCTGTGATGTGACCTCACATTACAAGCCACTGTGGTTGGAACTGCTGGCAAAATGGAAAGAACCAGGAAGAACATCAAAGGAGAGTTTTAAAAGGATATGAAATGTATTAATTTGTCGTAATTATCTACTTTTGATAGAAGAATCTCAGAGGTACTTAAGTTGATGTCTTGGACCTTCAGTCCAGTGCTGACATCTTGTAAAATGTCTTAAGTTCCTACCAGGTAATTTCTGCTTTCTGTCACAAAGCAGGAGAGAAGTTCCAGGAGGAAGTCATGTATTTTTCTCATCTTTAGGTATATTATATGTATACCCCATATTTCCCTATATTATACTTACACATATATTTATGTTACACTTTCTATTTCTCTTATTTACGTACATTATTAACAAAAAATTTTTGGAAGATTGTAGAAATAAGACATGTAGGCATTTGAAATTTTGTGAGAAAGAGCATGTCAGATTTGGGAGTTAGGGATTTTTAGACATTGCCATAAGAGGTAAGTAAATGCTGACACCTTGCCTATAGTTAATAAAAATATATTATACATTTGAAGTTTTCTAAGAGAGTAGATTTAAAATTTTCTCACTATACACACACACAATATATATATAACTATGTTAGGTGATTAACGTTAATTAGCTTGATTATGGTAATCATTTCACAACATAGACATATATCAAAACATCACATTGTATGCTTTGAATACATACCATTTTTATTTGTCAACCATTCCCCAATAAAGCTGGAAAAAACAAGACTTCATTCCTGTCAAATCTACTTCTCAGGGACCTACTCCAAGGGAGTCGCCATTCCTTCATTTTATTATTAAATTGCTTCTTCATAGAAAACCTATCTTCGGTGAAAAAATTAGACTCCAGAAATGATATTTTGCCAGAAACATCTCTAAAAGCCTTTTTATCTCCCTGATGAACTCAATGTAGCTATGGAAATTTGAATTCCCTATCTGGGGTCAGCTTCAGAAATGTGTTTATTTATGTGCTTCGAATTGACTTATCAACTAATGAACCAAGAAACAATTTTTCTTTTGGCTGTGTTTTAAAAGGGTCTTGCTCAAATTTTAAAGGTTGGGGCATTTTAGAGTCAGATTTGTTTCATAATTTTTCTATGTAACATATTCACTTCCCATTAAAATGTAATTTTCCCTACCAATAAGGTGTTAGGCTTCTGATCCCTCAGGGGAACTGTGGTTGACATGAGCATTACCTCATCCAAATGTATGTTCCCAGTGAACCTGTCATCGAGTGGACTTGATGCCTTCATTTTTTCCTTTTGTAGCAAGATGCCTAACTGGTTACTTATGCAAGCATTGTTATTGAAATTAGGGGGAGTAAGGGGAATAAAAAATGTATGGAAATTATGAGTGTTAGAACTGAGCACAATCATTGCAGCATCTGATGCAGACATTTCAGGGTAAGCGAAGTAGTCTCTTCAGAATAAAAATGAGGGTAATTAGACTCAATTCATTTATTCAACACTTGGGTCAAGTCCATGAACTCTACAAAGATAACTGTGCCATGGATTTTGCTCTCTAGAGTGGTAAGACACGTATATGGTTTGTCTACTCATTCAGCAAACACTTTCTGGGCATGTTTTGTCTCCTGAGGTCAGCTCTGGAGATACAATGGTACATGGCACAAATCTTTGCAAGTGCTAAATATAATACCTGATATTAATAGGCTGTGAGTGAAGAGCACAAAATGTGTAGTGGGTGTTCCTGGGATACAGTAGCTCTGTGCATGTAGAAGGGATTAGTAAGGGCCTCGTGAAGGAGACAGCATTTGTTCTGGGACTTGAAGGAAAGACAGGATTGGAAATGTAGAGATGCTAAGGAAGGTTGTCCTCAATAGAGAAAATGCCATAGCTGAAGGCCCCTCATATGCTATTCTTATCTAACTATGTGATTCTAAGCTCAGGTGATCCAAAGAGGCTCCTCAGAGTTGTGGCAAACTGAAGCCAGTGGTGTAGGTTGAAAGGAATCTGAGAGAAGATCAACACCCAGGAGAATCTAAGGTCCCATTGTGGGTGAATCATTTTGGGCCATGTTTCAGAACAAAATTTCCACAGACTCACTACCAAATACTCATGGACTTATATTTTTGGTTCAGAGGTTTGATGAAAAACTCTGGAAGCCTATTGCAGAGAACTGAATAAGGTAAAAATCTACCTTTTACTGGACACATCGTTTAGGAAGCAAATTAGTCTCCGTTATCAGAAAGTTCCAAGGGGGAATCTAAAATGTGATACTTTGCTCAGCAGCTGACAGTATTTTTGCTACATTTTCAACTTGCCTTCAATTCTGTTTATTTCGCTTGTCTAATTTACTATCTAGGTAATTTAAACAATGAGAATACAGTGACCCGCAATTTTCCTAATTTAAAGGTATCTCTTCTGCAATATTAAATTTGCATCTACATTGCCTGCCTAACAAGACTGTCACCTCCTTGAGGTCAATGTGATGTTATCTAATTTTTTAGATAACATCTATGTCTCTAATAGATCTATCTGTGCAATAGAACCATACAGTCCTTCGTAGATAGGGGAAGCACAAATGTTGGTTAATATTTAACAGAGTATCAGACCTGCATCCTTCTCTCTAAGAGCTCAAACTTCAGAGAGTAGATTCAGAGAGTAAATGTTTTCCCAGGCTCAGGCAAGAGGGGTGGTTTGTATGTTATTTCTTTCTTATTTTCCAGTTAGACTTTTGGAAATCTGCCAGATGCAATTGAAAAACCCTGCTCAGCTTTGTCCAATGTCTCATTTGAGGATCAGCATGAGTTTGTTTACTTGAGATTAACAGGAGTCAAGGATATACAAATTCAGCAATGTATGGATAACTTTCCCCTTTTTAACGCTGGCCTCACCACAAAACTACCACCATATTGTTGAATTTTGGAAGTTTATTATGCTTTATTTTTTCCTATAAAAAAATAAATGTCATCACATTGTAATAGTTTTATAACCTGTTTTATCATATTTTAAAATACATCTTGAATATTCTTTCATATAATTAATCTTCTACAGCATAATTTTAATATCTATGAAGATTCCATTATGTGCTTGTATTATACATTTTTACTCTGAATACATTATTGTTGTAAACAATGCTTACAATTATGAAAATAAATATATATGGCTCATTTACACATTATTCTAAATCTCATTGTACTCTCCGGTTAGTCATCATTAATGTCTTGAAGTTCACTGGTTTGGCATTTTATGTATATTTATATCTGTATGCATTAACAAAGTTTATTTATTATTATTACTATTATTATTATTATTATTATTATTATTATTATTATTATTATTTTGGAGACAGAGTCTTGCTCTGTCACCCAGACTGGAGTGCAGTGGCATGATCTTGGCTCACTGCAACCTCCGCCTCCTGGGTTCAAGTGATATTCCTGCCTCAGCCTCCTGAGTAGCTGGGATTACAGGCATGCGCCACCATGCCTGACTAATTATTTTTATCTTTAGTAGAGACAGGATTTCACCATGTTGGTCAAGTGGGTCTTCAACTCCTGACCTCATGATCCACCTGCTTCAGCCTCCCAAAGTGCTGGGATTACAGGCGTGAGCCACCGCACCCAGCCAACAAAGTTAATTTTTTAAAAATAAAAAATAAACAATTAATATTTGTTGGAGATAATTAGATAGGTATATTTCTAAATATATATATGTGTATAGTATAAAACAATAATCTCATTAAATCCTATACAAATAATAATCCTGCTTCTGAAGCCTGTAGACCCAACCTGCTAGCTTCAGAAATAGAACATTACTGGTAACTTAAAAACCAGTTTCTAGTCATTCCCCACTGCCTTCTCCTCTCTAGGCCCCAATGATTACCACTATCTGGAATTTTCTGTATGTTATCTTTAAGCTTTACTTTACAATTTTAAAACATACGCTTACAACCCTGAGAAAGTATTTTTAAATTTTATATGGTTTCATTACTATAGAGGTGGAAACATGTTTTCTAAATGTTGTCAATTAGAATATTGCCTTTCACACTTAAATCTTTAATCTGCCTGGAATTTATTTTTGTGTGTGGTATGAAGCAGAGATTAAATTTTATTTCTGCTAACTGCATATCAAATTAGCATCATTGATTGAAAAGTTATCTCATTAACCAGAAGACGTATCTCCAGGAAAGCTGCCTGGATCTGGTTGGTGAAGGTTCCAGAAGTGAAGCATCCAGCAATTGGAGTGGCTCCAGTGGCAGCAGCCCGCTTCAGCACAGCTGCTGGCTGATATTCCTGGAAGATTTGACACTGACATCAGCTGGGTTTTCAATGGCATGAGCCACCAGCAGAACTCTTCCCAGGTCCTCTTCAGAGTTATAATTTAAATGCCATCACTTTTCCTCTTGCAGAGGTACTGTTCCATTTGCAAGTCAAGGCTGATACCACCTAAGTAAGTTCCTGATGTAAGGAATTTGAGAACATTCTCCTCCTTCATCTACAGAGCATCAAGCGCTTCACACATTGTGAAAGTTTCCCTTTGTGTTATGACAGGAACCCAAGATAAGTTGGTATGAGTTGCTCTCTGGTTAGCACAAACAGGCTATACCTTTTTTGTGTCTTTCCTTTCTTCATCAGTCATGTTAGAAACTTACTGGTCTTATTAGTCTTTTTGAAGTGCCAACTTTTGGCTTTGTTAAATCTTTACATGGTACATATATTTGTTAATGTATTAATTTCTATACTTTATGCTTTCCTTCACTTTTTGGAAATTTCTGTCCTTTTTCTAATATATAATGCTTAATGCTTCGCTGGTTCATTTTCAAAATTTTTTTTTTTTACTATAAGTATTTAAGGCTACAAATTTATTTCTAGAAACATTATTGTGTGTATTGTACTAATATTTGGTTGCTGTTTCATTCTAAATATTTTTATTTCCATTAGCGTTATTTTAACTTATAGGTTATTTACATTTCTTAGTTTCAAAAGCTTGGAGAGTTTTAGTTGTGTTTTTGTTATTAATTCTAATTTATTTAAATTGAAGTCTTAATGTATAATCTATATGATACTGTGTTTTGGAATTTTTTGAGTTACTTTATGGTCAAGTATGAGATCAAATCTCCTAAATGCTTTATGTGTCCTTGAAAGAATGCGTGTTCTCTACCTTGATGAAATGTTCTGTGTTTTTCCATTACATCAAACTTATCAATTGTGTTTGTAGCAAAGACTGGTTAAAGGTTCAACAATCCTATCTCTTTTTCTTGGATGCAAAGGAAGACTGCAGTTCTAAGTCTTCCTTCAGTTGAGTTAGGATTCTATGACAGCATTCTGTCCATGAGAATAACGGGCAGAAGTAACATAAGGCACTTTTGTCTTTGTCTTTACAATGTCATGAAAGTTCTTCCTTCTTTCTCATTTCTTTTTGGCCAGTTTAATGCAGAGGACCTAGTAGGCTCAATAGAATTCCAATGGGGCCTAGAAGATGACAGTGCCATAAAATGGAAGAAATCACAATTTCTTAATTCTTGATGACTAATATGAGGAGAAACAAACTTCTATTGTAAGTCACTGAGGCTTCAAGATTTACCTGTTTCTGCACTGTTTCTACACTGTAACCTATCATAGCCTGATTAATACAGTGTTGTTCAAGTGTTTTATGTCCTCAGTGACATTTTATCTGTTAAATCTAGAAATTACTAAAAAAATGCTAAATATTCCACTCTGTTAGTAAATTTTCCAAATTTCTTCTTGTATTTCTGGTGCTTACAAATATTTTCAATTCCTATTTTTTATATTTTTAGGTGCATATAAGTTTAGAATGATTCTATTTCCCTGGTAAATCTAGTCTCCTCTCATTGTATAGTGACTTTATATTTCAAATAATGTCTTTGCCTTATAGTTTATTTTGTTTGATTGAAATATAATTATTCCCACTTTATTTTGGCTAGTATTGAAATATATCTTTTTCTGTGCTTTAACTTTCATCCACTCTATCTTTTAGGTGTATACCTTCAGCATATAGATATATTTTAAAAATCTGTCAACTATTTGTGTCTAAATGGTGTTAAATTTATTTATATTTACTGTGGTTTAGATAAATTTGGATTTATTTATGTCATCTTAGTTTATCTTTTCATGTATTTCTCTTTTTCTTAGTTTCTAAAATCCTCTACTACCCTTAAAAATAGATAAATCTAAAGTTTTCTTTTATTTATATTCTTTTAATGTCTATGAGTTTGGAAGAAATAGCATCTTTTTTCTGCCTATAACACATTCTTTAGAATTTTCTTTAATGAAGTTCTCTTAGATTAAATGCTCTCAGGCTTTGCTTGTTTATAACTTTCTTAATCTTATTATTGTTTTAAAAGTATATTCTTGTTAGGTATCAAATTATATATTGAAGTCTCTATTTCTAGGAATTATGGATTGGGTTGTATAAACCCAATCTTCCCTCTGAGAGTAACTAAAAAAGCTGGGTAAAATATAAAACATGTGTTTGAAGGCATTAAAGAGGTACTGAAGCAGCCAAAATGTGAGTGGTCAAGATCCAGAAGAGAAGGGAATTGAATTGAGGTGAGCCAAACGTTACTCACTACTGTTCTCAAAGCATTTGATGAACCAAAGCTGAGAAGTTGAGCAAAGCTTTTGTTAGTCTCACAGTTCAGGGCTATGAAAATCATATACTTTAGAGTATTCATTAAAAGAATAGTAAATAAATGTGCCACAAAAAACAATAGAGGAAAGAAAGTGGAAAAATTTTTTTAACACAAAGAAGGCAAGAAAGAAGTAAAACAGGAAGACAGAACAAGAGGAATAAATAAAAATAAACAGTAATATGATAGATTTAAAATAAAATGTCAGTGTTTACATTAAATGTTAAGTGGACTAAATATTCTAATAAATGAGTAATATGCTGTAGAGAAAAACAGAATTCAATTATTGGCTGTTTTTAAAAAGATATGCCTTAAATATGAATACACAAAAAGGTTGAAGATGAAAGAATTTAAAACAGATGTAACACATAAACACTAATGATTCTAGTTTGACATTAATTTTTTATTAACATAGTGAAGTTATTTTATTTTCTTCTAACTTCCACTGCTGCTGTTGAGGAATCAGTTGTCATAATTGTTGTTCATTTGAAGATGATCTGTATTTCTTCTCTGGCTGGTCATAAGATTTTTTTATGGCATGCCTAGATGTGCTTTTCATTTCATTTATCTTACTTGATATCCATTACCCTTTCTGTAACTATTAACCAATTTTTAGTTTTGTAATTATTTTCCCCATGATCCCTTTAAATGTTTCTTCCATTTAATTTTTTGTCTCTTTTTTCTACAAATATTTAAGTGGATATTGAACTTTCCTACTTTATTTTCCATGTCTATTAGCTCTTTATCATATTTTCTATTTGTATATTTAGATGTGCTACATTATGGAAAATTTAAGATAATTATTTGGTTAATTTTATTTTTAGCTATAGCAATTGTGTTGTGCATTGAGTATTTTACATGTTGTTATAGTTGTTATTTTTAAAGTTTTATGTTTTTCATTGTATGTTCTCATAAGTCAGAGCTAACCTGTGAGGACTGAAAGGCATAGTAATTATACAATGGACTTTGGGAACTTCAGGTAAAGGATAGGATGAGGATGAGGGATAAAATACTACCCACTGGGTATGGTGTACACTGTTCAGGTGATGGGTGCACCGAAATGTTAGAAATCACCACTAAAGAACTTATTTGTGTAACCAAACACCACCTGTTCTCTAAAAACCTATTGAAATAAAAAATATAAGGCTGGGCGCGGTGGCTCATGGCTGTAATCCTAGCACTTTGGGAGTCTGAGGCGGGTGGATCATGAGGTCAGGAGTTCGAGACCAGCCTGGCCAATATGGTGAAACCCATCTCTACTAAAAATACAAAAAGTAGCTGTGCGTGGTGGCGCACACCTGTAGTCCCAGCTGCTCAGAAGGCTGAAGGAAGAGAATCGCTTTAACCTGGGAGGTGAAGGTTTCAGTGAGCTGAGATCGTGCCACTGCACTCCAGCCAGGGCAACAGAGTGAGACTTTGTCTCAAAAAAAAAATTAAAAATGAAAAAGTTTTATGTTTTTATTTTTCAAGACTTGTTTTTAATAATCTCTTTTTCTCTAGTCCATATATTAAATCTCAGATTTTGTTTCTTTAAACGTATAAAACGTGTTTAGGTGATTCTGTTACCTGAGTACTAAAGTAACAGAATTATCAATTCTGAGTCTCAGTAACCTTGCATTGAAATGACAAATTTCCACCATTCCCACAACATTCATGTGCTTCCTGGAACCTCAGAATATAATCTTTTTGGCAATAAGGTGTTTGCAGATGTAATTAATTAACTCAAAATGAGGTCCTACTGAAGTAGAGTGGGCCATAAATACAAAGTGATTGTTATCTTTATAAGAAGACAAGAGAAACACACACAGAGAAGAAGTTGTGAAGACAAACACGTGAGGAGAATGCTGAGTAAAAATGGAGGCAGAGATTGTATTCTTCTACAAGCCAAGGAATGCCAAGCCTTGCTGGCAACTACCAGAAGCTAGGAGAGATCCTCTCCAATAATCTTCAGAGAGACATGACCCTGCTGATACTTTGATTTCAGACTTGTGGCCTCCAGAACCACAAAAACAAATTTCTGTTATTTTAAGGCAAGTTTGTGGTACTTCATTATAGCAGCCCATGGAAACTAATGCAAACCTCATTTGTAAAATGATTAATACCAATTCATTCAAAAGAGCTAATATGAGGATTAAATGAAATAATATATTACACATAAAGTACTTTGTCTTGTCTGTCCAGAAAAAGTGCTCAATAAATGTTAATTTTTTTAAAATTTGATTTTCAAACACCTCATCCCTGTGACGGTCTTGGATCTTTTTCGTTTCTTTTCTTTTCCTTGTCTTTCCTTTTTGTTCTTGTTTTTGTTTTTTGTTTTTTGTTTTGAGATGGCGTCTCGCTCTGTTGCCCAGGCTGGAGTGCAGTGGCATAATCTTGGCTCACTGCAACCTCCGCCTCCCAGGTTCAAGCAATTCTTCTCCTGCCTCAGCCTCCTGAGTAGCTGGGATTACAGGTGTGCACCACCCCATCTGGCTAAGTTTTGTATTTTTAGTACAGACGGAGTTTCACTATGTTGGTCAGGCTGGTCTGGAACTCCTGACCTCAGGTGATCCGCCCGCCTCGGCCTCCCAAAGTATTGGGATTACAGGCATGAGCCACTGCGCCCAGTTGCATCATTTTCTTTATAGTGCAAAAACATACACAAATGCACAACACACACACATCTAAATATCTGCATATATACATCATACATATTCACATGCAACTTACTCTAATTGCCCTTCATTCATACCTTGTTCGATCCTCTCCACATGATCTCAGCATCTCAGCTATGCACCCATTGAAGCTTTCCATATTTTTTAAAACTATGTATCTGAGAGCTTCTCAGTTTCAAATCAGATTTCATGAAATGGAATATTGATATTTTTCCTTCAAATAAAAGAAAAAATACTTTTTTATAATAAAGCTACAGAAATAATAAGTTCTGGTGGAGGAAAAAGGTTTCATATATAGTTAGTGCTCTCTTGGCTATTTTTATTACTCAGAGAAATCTTGTCACAGACATTTTTTTTCAGAATTAAAAAAAAAAAAAAACCTTGAAGCAAGGAGCGGAGTATTATGAGAAAAGTTAATTTTAATTTTCTAAGTCCCAACATATTGAAGTTCCTGTGAATCTAAAATAAAAGTGTGCTTTGAAATAAATTGTAACATGAATAAAGAAAATGAATGGACATTTGGATTGAATTATGTTATTTTTAGAAAGTGGCTTTTTTCTTCCTTCCTGTTATTTCACTGTGGATTTTAGTGGGCAAAGCATGAAGAAAACCCTGTGTGCTGTCATGGAGCGTAAGTACTTCTTCACATCCCACCTCTTCAAAGATATTTTGATACTTTGAAGATAATTCTAGGTTTAGTATATAAATGAAGAGTAAAGTCCTAAGCTGGGCAATAGCATCTTAGTTTGAAGACAGATTAACTCTAGACTGAAATCAAATAGGAAAAGAACCAGAAAAATTATCATTTTAGTTATGTATTTTCTATCAAGAGCATAATTTTTTTCTTTTCTTTAAGGGCTCAATATCATCATGTAATTACATAGTATAGTCATGTACTATAGCTCAATCTACAGAGTAATATTGCTTTAATGACATCGATCTAGAAAAAATGACTCCGTTTAAATAATCAGATCGACTAATATTCACAAAGAATCTTTAGAAGAATGGTAGAATCAAATACTCTTTACTTGTAAATATATGACTCTTAGAAATTAATTAATTAATTTACTCATGTATTTATCAAAAACATATTTATTGCATGCTCACAAAAGAACCTGTACTAGGTGCAGGAATATAGATGGGGAGAAAGACAATATATGAAAGAAGTAAGTAAAATATAAAATGTGTTAGATGGTGATCAGTGATTTGGAGGAAAATAAATTTGAGAAGGCGGGTGGGGATTCTAGGAGTATGTTGCAATTTTTGAAAGGAGGGTCAGAGAAGGTTTTACTGAGAGATGTCCATTGAGTTACCATCTGAAAGAGGGGAGGACATTTTCACATGAAGTTGTTGATGAGGAATTTGAATTTCTAAATATGAGTTACAGAAGAGAAGCCTGAATTGGAGGTAATGCACACACATATATTTAGACAAACTTATTAGAGTGCCCTCTGTTGTTAAGCATTTTGTATTTATTTGCAGAAGATACTGAAACTCTAGACCAGCAATATAATTCCAGTTTATTCTGAAGGTTTTTCTTTACCAACCTATAGTTGTTCAAGAACTGGTTATAATAATTTAGACAAAGGCTTCAATCACAAGCCATTTAGATATATTAGGGTAAGTATGCCCTCAGATAGCAAGTATATAATTGTGTTGTGGCTTCAGGTGTAGTCTACACTTCATAGTCCTGGAAACTTTGTGACATGTCCTGGTTCACTCAAAATGACAGGAACCTTAAGCAAGGCACTGTATTACCATTGCTACTGAGGGACTCCATCTGCAACATAAAAGGATTAGACTAAATGTTTTTTACAAAGTCACTTTTGGTTCTAATATCCCATGAATATATGATATTTGCTTTAATTCCTTTGTGAAGTGTTTTAAATTGTTAGCACATTGCCTAATTCAGCAGATTTCTCATGAAGAATTTTCTTTGCTCTTGTTAGTAATGGATCTTCTTTATATACTTTGGTTACAGGGCTTCTCTTATTGAAAGAACAGTTACTTACAAATTTAAGTCTGGACTCAGCAAAAAATAATGCTATATTGGACGACCTCAGAATATTTTATAGAGTGCTTATGAGTTTTTCTGTCTTGTTCTGTCTTGTTTAAACCAGAATTAATGCAGACCTAACCCATTTTTAGATCGTAGACGTTCATTAAATTTAGAAAGATTTGAGGCTTTTAGGGCCTTGAAGATAAGTATTATTTTCTGGTTCATTCTAGCTGTTATCATTGTTAAAGTAGTCTCCACTTTGTCAACTTCTTGAATTCCATAAGGCAGACTATAATCTTTCTGCTTTGTTTGTTTCTACTTCTCATCACCACTTTGCAAGTGTATTTCTGTCATTTGAAAGTAAAGACATGTACACTTGCTGAGCTTTAGAAGTACAGGATTTTTTTTTTAGTTATCTCTGGTTATTGCTTTTCTTCGATGTGCTATCAATAATGCAACTGAATGGTGATATTCTTCTCTCTCTAACAAGTGATACATATCACTGGTTGAATCAGGAGAAGCTACGTTTAGGAAAACATGTGTTCCAAGTAGTATTGTGGTGGCCAGTCACATGCTTTAAATCCTCCCAGGAAGTTTACATTCCAGGAATTATTGAGAACAAGAAAACCATGTCTCTTAAAACATTAATGAAGTCAGGAAGCTCCTTTAACAGGTTGGCAAATGGTAAGTGCTTAATAAATACTAGCTGAATTTATTATTGAATGAAATAAATAGCATACTTTGTATACTTTTATCCACTGTTAATAAACGTGTCAGGGCAAACTCTTTTTTACATTAGATGTATTCCTTGTCACTCTATTGAATACATTTTGGTAGAATGGGTGACTTTAACTTGCTTGAAACTTTGTATTCACATAGCAATTGTGGTGGTGGCCACAGAATATTTTTCATCCAGAATGAATTCCTGAGATGTTGAATAAATCAAGTGACCTTCCATTTTACTCAAAGCCTGGCAAACTGAAATGGAGAGGTGTAGACACTTCAGGCTTAAAGGCTACAAACCTATCTTCTTGGACTTTGCAACCAAAATAGACTTGAAACAGAATAAAAATTCAAACAGTATGAATCACTGTGTTGTATTATAAACTCAAGCAGAAATGGGAGGAGAAAACCTTACAGAGAGAATACACTGACATGTAAAGAAACGATGACATAACAATAATGATGATTACAATAATCAGAAGTAGTATTTGCTGTTTATTAACTGCCTGGCACTATATTAAGCATTTTCAGAGATTATTTCACTTAATCCTCACAACAAACTTTTTAGGGAGGTACTATTGTTATCCTCTTCAAAGAAGGTTTAGAGAAAACTTGTATCATCTCTAACAACTTTTCCTATGGTTACATAGCTAGGAAGTAGTAAAGCTGGATTCAGAAACCTATGCAGTTATCCACTATAGATTTGTGACTTAAGGAAGAGTTCTAAAAAACTAGAAATCAAGAATAGAATTAATTATATGAATGAACACATTTATTGGAAGAAACAACAGAATTGATAGTGTTAAAAAATTTGAATCCCAGCACTTTGGGAGGCCGAGGCGGGTGGATCACGAGGTCAGGAGATCGAGACCATCCCGGCTAAAACGGTGAAACCCCGTCTCTACTAAAAATACAAAAAATTAGCCGGGCGTAGTGGCGGGCGCCTGTAGTCCCAGCTACTTGGGAGGCTGAGGCAGGAGAATGGCGTGAACCCGGGAGGCGGAGCTTGCAGTGAGCCGAGATCGCGCCACTGCACTCCAGCCTGGGCGACAGAGCGAGACTCCGTCTCAAAAAAAAAAAAAAAAAAAAAAAAAAAAAAAAAAAAATTTGAATCACTGATGTGGAGGACCCCTTGAAACTATTACTATAAAACAAAAAGGTAAAATATGAAGGGACATGCTGATGCAGAGGTCAGTTAATGGAGATCCAGCCTAAGAATTACATATACTTCTGAAGAAGTCACAATTGAGACAGAGGATAAAGAAAGATATTTGAGGTGGAATGTTTTAAGGGTAAAAAGACCTAGAAATACAAATCAAAAGGACCAGTTAAATTCCAAAAAAAAAAAAAAAAAATTAATGGAAATACACCTTATCTCATCCTGTAACATTTTGGATTTACAGAGTTTATTTTATTTTATATTTTACAAAAGGCTTTTACAAGCATCTTTGTATAAAACTGAGGCTGACATCAAACTTCACCACCCTGACACTAAATATCAGAAAACTATGAAGTAATCTCTATAGAGTCATCTATGAATGAAGACAAGAGAGAAACATCATTTTCCCATAGGTTCAAAAAACTGTATAAACTATATACCCTCTTTAAAAATTACTTGAAGCTGTACACTAACTCATCAATACAGGATTTTAAGATGAATGAACTCAATGAGCATTTTCTCCCCTCTATACATCTATTTGAATAAAACAAATCACAATGCTGGAAATAATATATGTGAAAATATGCTCACCATTGTATTATATATTACAGTCAAAAATTGAAAATAACCAAATATTTCCTATTAAAATAACATGAGATATCATTCAGTCATTAGACGATGTCAGAAAATACTTTTTCAGTTTTCATGGTGTGTGATCTCAATTATGCATGGACAAATGCATTGAGCAATAATTGAAATGGTTAATATTAATTATATCTGGGGTGGAGAATATTTGTCTGGTTTTTAACTTTTTTTATTTTTCACATATAAGACAATACATAACAATGAAAAAATAGAAGAAAGGAGTAGGGATTGGTACTCTCAAAATTAGTTTGGGATTTATTTAATAAAAAGAAAACCCAGACATCTATATACTGACCAGGATTGACATTGCACTGAAACTTTTTCAAACAACCTGCAAAAGTGTAAGTAATATAAATCTTTCACAGGCCACAGGTCACATGTCTCTGAGATCTCTGGAGCAAAGTTAGCTTTGGCTACCAAGCTTGGAAGAAAATGTTCTTCTTTTGAAATATTTGCTATATTCTTTCCTCTACACTTCATTGTTTTTCCTTCTAACTGAATTGGAACTTTCACTGTAGTTTCCTTCAACCTTGCAATTTCTTCAAACCGTTTGGAGGCTAACATCTCAAATAACAGTGAGATTCCCAATAGTTAACTTCATAGTAACTTTCTCAAAGGTAAAATGTGCTTTCATCCAAAGTCTTCGGGATTGCTCCACTTTCAGCAGAAATCTTTCCTTTCAGTGATATTTATATAACATAAAAATTTGCTTTTTTATGCAGAAATATTTTTCAAATGGACCAGTTTATATTCCTTTTTCTAAACTACTTATGCAAAAAATGTATCATTTGAATGAAGTATGCCAAAGTATCTGCTCTTCCCAGAAATATTGCAAAGGATTTGTTGAAATGATGCACTGTCATTCCAATCCTACTTCACATCCCACACATTCATAAAAGGTAATGACTGGGTGGAGGTCAGAGGCAGAGGAAACCAGACAATGCTTAGCCTTTATGTTGATCTATAGGGCCTTAAAGACATATGTGACTAAACAGAACAAATTCTGCAACAACAACAAAAAAAAAAAACCTCAGTATTTTCTGAGTATCTTTAAAAAATTTCTCAGTTTCTGTTATTTCAGTGAACTGTTTATATTTCTTCCCTAATAATATTTTTTGCCATGAATAGGTTTTTCTCCTTTTTATATCTTAAGTGTCTGGTTTTGTACTTTGCTGGTAAATGTCACATTTCACTTCTGTTGTATTCCTCTCAGTTTCACATCTTCTTTCTTTTCCTCTCTAACCTAGCAATCCTATATACTAGCAGCTAACAAAAACACTGAAATAGTGACTTGATGCTCTTAATAAACTCTGCCAAACTATCCCAAGGCAATGAATTTATGGTACTATGTAATTTCTTTACACTTATGCCATGTTAAAACAAAAACAAAAAGCAAAACTGAAGCCACATGTGAAGGTCTTTTTGAAGGACTAGAGGCATTTATTGTTAAATACTTGCTTTATTGTCCATGAAAGTAATAAATTGATATCTGTTTTCTTTGGAGTCTTTTCAGACGAAAATATCAATATTGCTACCAGTTGTAAAAGTCCTATGATTTGTATAACACTAAGACTTGAAGTTGATATTGAAGTAATTTGCTTTTTTAAGGCAGAATAGTATAGGGGCTAGATTCATCGACTCAGGACCCAAATTACTTAGATTTCAATCTGTCTCCCTTTCACTGCTTTCTAGGCATGTAAACTTCATACAGTTATTTACCATTCTGTGCCTGTTTGCTTGGTTATACAATGAAGATAACAATAGTTTCCACATGATGGTTAATTAATATAAGGCACTTAGAAGGTTGCCTGGTACATGGTAAGTTACATATGTCCAATACAAAATTATTATTAAAATTAGGATTTTCTTAGAATGCTCTAGGAATTAAAAGTGAATTAATTAATTAAATGAAATTAATAAAATCTATAGAAGAGTTGTTGCTATTTTTTTTCTTTTTTGAGACACAATCTCACTCTATGGCCCAGGCTGGAGCACAGTGGTGTGGTCTCAGCTCAGTGTAACCTCTGCCTCCTGGTTTCAAGCGATTCTTGTGCCTCAGCCTCCTAAGTAGCTGGAATTACAGGTGCATGTCACTATACCCAGCTAATTTTTGTATTTTTAGTAAAGATGGGGTTTCGCCATATTGACCAGGCTGGTCTTGAACTCCTGACCTCAAGTGATCCACCTGCCTTGGCCTGCCAAAGTGCTGGGATTACACGCGTGAGCCCCCTACAGAAGAGTTGTTGAGAGTAATACTACTCAAACTTTACGCTGAGAATTATGTAAAATGTAATACTACAATCATAACAGCTTACACTTTATTGTGTACTACTTATGACTTTAAAAAAATTTTCTTCTTTACAAAAGTGTTTTGATTTTTTTACATTGCACTGATTGATGCACCCCCTTCAAATACACAATTTCTAACAGTCAGAATTAGAGGAGGCAGTGTCATGAACAATGGTTTAATAATATGCAGGCACTGTACTCGTGTATCTAACTATACTGAAATTTGCTGACACTGCAAGTCAGCTATACTTAGGGCAATTCTGGGGGCATCTAGATAGTCTCTATCCTGATGAGAACAACTGGTTGTTCTAGAGCAAGTTTGTCCAACCCATGGCCCACCAGCCACATGCGGCCCACGACTGCTTTGAATGCAGCCCAATGCAAATTCCTAAACTTTTTTAAAGCATTATGAGATTTTGTTGAATTTTTTTTTTTTTTAAGTTCATCAGCTATTGTTAGTGTTAGTGTATTCTATGTGTGGCCCAAGACAATTCTTCTTCCAATGTGGCCGAGGGAAGCCAAAAGACTGGACATCCCTCTTCTAGAGTATAGATAGGATGTTTAGTTTATCCCTTTGGTCAGCTGAATGGTGCAAGAAAAGAGTATACATAGCCTGTATCTAACTACAGTAGGTATTCAAGCTTATTATCCTGTCACAAGTCCATAAAGATGAAGAATGGATCATTTGAGAGTCATAGGGTCAAAATGGCCAGAATGCAACTGTGATGTTGCACTGTGTAAAATCAGGTCAACTGTCCTGCAGGTCCTTGGGTGTCTATAAAATGAGACAATTCTTTTTTTTTTTTTTTTTTTTTTTGTGAGCAACATGGCTGTTTATTTCACCTGGGTGCAGGCGGGCTGAGTCTGAAAAGAGAGTCAGCAAAGGGAGATAGGGGTGGGGCCGTTTTATAGGATTTGGGAAAGTAATGGAAAATTAGTCAAAGGGGGTTGTTCTCTGCTGGGCAGGGGCAGGGGTCACAAGGTGCTCAGTGGGGGAGCTTCTGAGCCAGGAGAAGGAAATTCATGGGTTAATCACTCAGTTAAGGTCGGGCAGGAACAAATCACAATGGTGGAATGTCATCAGTTAAGACAGGGCAGGGCCTTTTCACTTCTTTTGTGATTCTTCAGTTACTTCAGGCCATCTGGACGTATACGTGCAAGTCACAGGGGATGCGATGGCTTGGCTTGGGCTCAGAGGCCTGACATTCCTGCCTTCTTATATTAATAAGAAAAATAAAACAAAATAGTGTTGAAGTGTTAGGCGGCAAAAATTTTTGGGGGTGGTATGGAGAGAGAATGGGCGATGTTTCTCAGGGCTGCTTCAAGCGGGATTAGGGGTGGTGTGGGAACCTAGAGTGGGACAGATTAAGCTGAAGGGAGATCTTGTGGTAAGGGGTGATATTCTGGGGTGGTTAGAAGAAACATTTGTCACATAGAATGATTAGTGATGGCCTGGATACGGTTTGTATGAATTGAAAAACTAAATGGAATAAGAGAAGGAGAAAAACAGGTATAAAAGGACTAAGAATTGGGAGGACCTAGGACATCTAATTAGAGAGTGCCTACGGAGGTTCAGCATAGTCCTGCCAGCAAAGATTATTTATTTACTTCAAGAGTTAAGAGTGGCAGTTTGAGGATAGCACGAGGAGATATCAGTTGTGATGGCTTGGAGAAACAGTGTAAACCGGCAGTATAAACAAGAGCAGGGCATATATGAGTAGTTGAGAACAGTGAATAGGAGTATGACTAGACAGAAGATAGTAGGGATGACAAGTTATTTGGGGGCACAGTCGAAGTTGGTCTGGTGTCTGGAATGAGACTGGGGCCTAATAAAAAGGAGCGTCTATACAGGAGCTCAAATGGGCTGTACCTTGTAGCATTCTGAGGACAGGTCTGACTTCTGAGAAGGGAAAGTGGTAAAAGTATTGTCCAGTCCTTTTTAAGTTGGTGGCTGAGCTTGGTGAGGTGTGTTTTTAATAGACCATTAGTCTGTCACTGAATACTAAGAGCCTGAAAAAATGCTCGGCTGATTTGACTAATAAAGGCTGGTCTGTTATCAGACTGTATAGAGGTGGGAAGGCTAAACTGAGGAATTGTGTCTGACAGAAGAGAATAAATGACTGTGGTGGCCTTCTCAGACCTTGTAGGAAAGGCCTCTAAAAGTATTAAAGCAGCGGCAGCCGCTGCAGGCAGACATGAGGGCTAGGCTAAAACAGTAAGGTCAAGTTGTTTGGACAGAAAGGCTACAGGGTGCGGTCCTGGCTCTTGTGTAAGAATTCTGACCGCACTAACCATGCCTAGGAAGGAAAGGAGTTGTTGTTTTGTAAGGGATTGAGGTTTGGGAGATCAGCTGGACATGATCAGCAGGGACAGCACGTGTGTTTTTACGAGAATTATGTCGAGATAGGTAACAGATGAGGATGAAATTTGGGCTTGACTGAAGTAATGGGGGTTGTCTGTGAAGCCTTGCGGCAGTGCAGCCCAGGTAATTTGCTGAGCCTGATGGGTGTCAGGGTCAGTGCAAGTGAAAGCGAAGAGAGGCTGGGATGACGGGTGCAAAGGAATAGTAAAGAAAGCACGTTTGAGATCCAGAACAGAATAATGGATTGTGGAGGGAGGTATTGAGGATAGGAGAGTATATGGGTTTGGCACCATGGGGTGGATAGGCAAAACCATTTGGTTGATAAGGCATAGATCCTGAACTAACTTGTAAGGCTTGTCTGGTTTTAAGACAGGTAAAATGGGGGAATTGTAAGGAGAGTTTATAGGCTTTAAAAGGCCATGCTTTAGCAGGCGAGTGATAACAGGCTTTAATCCTTTCAAAGCATGCTGTGGGATGGGATATTGGCATTCATCGGGGTAAGGGTGATTAGGTTTTAATGAGATGGTAAGGGGTGCATGATCAGTCGCCAAGGAGGGAGTAGAGGTATCTTATACTTGTGGGTTAAGGTGGGAGAATACAAGAGGAGGATGCAAAGAAGGCTTTGGATTGGGAAGAAGGGCATCAATGAGATGCGGCTATAGTCCAAGGAATAGTCAGGTAAGCAGATAATTTGGTTAAAATATCTTGGTCTAATAAGGGAACTGGGCAGGTGGAGATAACTAAAAAAGAGTGCATAAAAGAGTGTTGTCGGCCGGGCGCGGTGGCTCACGCCTGTAATCCCAGCACTTTGGGAGGCCGAGGCGGGCGGATCACGAGGTCAGGAGATCGAGACCATCCCGGCTAAAACGGTGAAACCCCGTCTCTACTAAAAATACAAAAAAAAATTAGCCGGGCGTAGTGGCGGGTGCCTGTAGTCCCAGCTACTGGGGAGGCTGAGGCAGGAGAATGGCGTGAACCCGGGAGGCGGAGCTTGCAGTGAGCCGAGATCCCGCCACTGCACTCCAGCCTGGGCGACAGAGCGAGACTCCGTCTCAAAAAAAAAAAAAAAAAAAAAAAAAAGAGTGTTGTCTAAGTTGGCACCAGAGTTGGGGAGTTTTAAGAGGTTTAGAAGCCTGGCTGTCAATACCCACAACAGTTATGGAGGCAAGGGAAACAGGCCCTTGAAAAGAAGGTAATGTGGAGTGAGTAGCCTCAGTATTGATTAAGAAGGGGATGGACTTACCTTCCACTGTGAGAGTTACCCAAAGCTCGGCGTCCGTGGTGGTCTACGGGGCTTCCGAGGTGATCGGGCAGCGTCAGTCTTCAGCCGCTAAGCCCAGAAGGAGTCAGTCAGAGACCCTTGGGCCAGAGTTCCAGGAGCTCTGGGAGTGGCTGCCAGGTGAGTCGAACAGTCCGATTTCCAGTGGGGTCCCGCACAGATGGGACACGGCTTAGGAGGAATCCTGGGCTGCAGGCATTCCTTGGCCTGGTGGTCAGATTTCTGGCACTTGTAGCAAACTCCTGGGGGAGGAGGTTCTAGAGGAATGCCTGGCCGCTGCGGTTCAGGCGTTTGGAAGTTCTTGTGTGCTGGAGATGTGGCTGGGGTTTGTCTCACAGTGGAGGCAAGGAATTGCAACTTTTTTCTATTATTGTACACCTTGAAGGCGAGGTTAATTAAATACTGTTGTGGGGTTTGAGGGCCGGAATTTAATTTTTGGAGTTTTATTTAATGTCGGGAGCAGATTGGGTAATAAAATGTATATTGAGAAAAAGATGGCCTTTTGACCTTTTAGGGTCTAGGGCTGTAAAGTGTCTCAGGGTTGCTGCTGAACGAGCCATGAACTGGGCTGGGTTTTTATATTTGATGAAAAAGAGCCTAAATGCTATCTGATTTGGGATAAAGAAAAAGGAGCATTAACCCTGACTATGTCTTTGGCTCCAGCCACCTTTTTAAGAGTAAATTGCTGGGCAGGTGGGGGAGGGCTAGTCAGAGAATGAAACTGTAAGTCCCACCAGGTGTGAGGAGGGGAGGGGATAAAAAGATTATAGGGTGGAGGAGCGGAGGCTGAGGAAGAATTGGGACCTAGCTCGGCCTGGCAAGGAGGGGAGAGGTCAGATGGGTCTGTAGAAAAGGAAGATTAGAAAGACTCAGCGACGCTTGGGGTTGGGACTGAGGGGACAGGCGGGAGGGAAAGAAGGAAGATTTGGGATGAGTTGCACTGGGCACAGAGACTAGGAAGGGACTGATGTGTAAAAGAATGCCTGGATGTCAGGCACCTCAGATCATTTGCCCATTTTATGACAAGAATTATTTAGATCTTGTAGGATGGAAAAATTGCAAGTGCCATTTTCCGGCTATTTGGAACTACTGTCGAGTTTGTACTGGGGTCAAGCGGCATTGAAGAAAATAAGGCATTTAGGTTTTAGGTCAGGTGTGAGTTGAAGAGGTTTTAAGTTTTTGAGAACACAGGCTAAGGGAGAAGAAGGAGGAATGGAAGGTGGAATCTTACCCATAGTGAAGGAGGCAAGCCCAGAGAAAAGAGTAGAGACATGGAGAAGGAGTTGGGGGTTCTTGCCCTCCAGAAAAGCAGAGAAGGGGTTGGGGCATGGAAATAAGGGATTGGGGCACAGAGATAAGAGGTCAGGGTGTGGAAATAAGGGATTGGGGTGCAGAGATAAGAGGTTGGGGTGTGGAAATAAGCGATTGGGGGGTTCTTGCCCCCTAGGGAAGCGGGACTTGCCGCTAAGGGTGAAGGAGAAGGGGTTGAGGGGTACTTGCCCCTGCCCCAGGAAAGGCAGAGAAGGGGTAGAGACAAGGAGAGAAGGGGTTGGGGTGCTTGCCTCTTCCCCAGAAAAGCAGGACTTGCCGCTAAGGGTGAAGGACCAAGGCAGGCGTCCCTGTGTGGTCTGACACCCTTGAAATGTGGATGTATAATCACAGAGGCATCCCTGCAATGATTAAACACCAAGGGAAGCCTGCCTTCCCAGTCCGTGACTGGCGCCAGAGTTTTGGGTCCACGGATAAAACGTGTCTCTTTTGTCTCTACCAGAAAATGAAAGGAATTGAAATTAAGATAAGGGAGAGACTGAAGTGTAGCGCCAAGATTGAAAGGAGAAAGAGGTTGAGGGATAGTGAGGGAAGTTGGAGAAGAGAGTAAAAAGAGGCCGCTTACCGGATTTGAAATTGGTGAGATGTTGCTTGGGCTGGTCAGTCTGAGGACCTGAGGTCGTAGGCGGATCTTTCTCACGGAGCAAAGAGCAGGAGGACGGGGGATTGATCTCCCAAGGGAGGTCCCCCAATCCGAGTCACGACACCAAACTTCATGCACGTCTGTATGAAGAGACCACCAAACAGGCTTTGTGTGAGCAACATGGCTGTTTATTTCACCTGGGTGCAGGTGGGCTCAGTCTGAAAAGAGAGTCAGCCAAAAGGAGACAATTCTAATAACAATTCTATAGATTTAGTTCATCTTATAATTATTTATCCTCATTTCATATACAGATATATAGAATGCCTTACCTAGTGGATTACTCTTGATAAAAATGGGATTAAAATTTTAAGTCTTCTACTCTTGATTTGTATTTATGTAATATTTTTTACACTTTTTGATGTCTTTCCTTTAATGATCACACTGCACCTTAGTTGGAAGTACCTGGAAACTCTTAGTAAATATGTGTGTTTTGTTACTGAAGCCTTTTTTGGAAAGATTAGATATTACAATTATTTTGTCTCCTTTGGAATAGAGTCTATTTCACCTGCAAGATGTAGCAAAGGAGGAAGAGAATAGAGAGAAAAAGAGAAAATTAGAGGGGAATGGAGGTGGATCTTAAAGAAAATATAGCAGGAAATTTCTCTTGTCTGTGGTTCCTTCTTTGTTCATTCAACCAACATTTAAAAAAAAAAAAAAAAAAGACCTGTTCAAGAAATGAGTTGTAAACCCTATGGACTGTCCCCAAGGGGGCTGTCATGCATTGAATAACTTGTGATAAACGTTACCATGGCATCTAACACTTTGTCAGAAATCAGTCTTGTTGGCTAGGTGCGGTGGCTCATGCCTGTAATCCCAGCACTTTAGGAGGCTAAGGTGGGTGGATCACCTGAGGTCAAGAGTTCCAGACCAGCCTGACTAACATGGTGAAACCACTGTCTCTACTAAAAATACAAAACATTAGCTGGTGTGGTGGCAGATGCTTATAATCCCAGCTACTCAGGAGGCTGAGGCAGGAGAATTACTTGAACCCAGGAGGCAGAGGTGGCAGTGAGTGGAGATCATGCCACTGCACTCCAGCCTGGGTGACAGAGCAAGACTCTGTCTCAAAAAAAAAAAAAAAAAAAGAGAAAAGAAAAAGAAATCAGTCTTGTTAAATGTAAAGATAGAATTATTGATTTAGTCCAGAGAGGAATTTTTCAGACTTGAACTTTATGAAATCCACAGAAGAGGTTGTTGGGAGTGATGATATCCAAACTTTATATTGAGAATTATATAAAATTTAATACTGTAATCATAATAGACAATACTTTATTGTGTGCTACTTGCCCCTGATTGTGTGCTAACAATTCTATAAGTTTATTTCATCTTATAGTTACTTAAATAGAAACACAGGAAAGAGAGGAGCTTACCTGGTGTCAGGTAGCCAGTCAGTGGAGTCAGGGAGGTAGGTCTTCCTAACCATGATATCTAAAGCATGTCTCAACAGGAACCCTCCCTCTCTGGAACTTGGCCTTGTTCTATATCCTTAATTTAAAACTCATTTATTGATTTATTTACGTATTTACTTTTGTCTCAGTGATACTATTTTGTAAGTCACACAAGAGCAGAACAGTGCTTAGTATCTAATAGGTTCTCAGTAAAATTTTATTAAGTGAAAGAGCATTTAATAGTTCTTTATATGATCCTTAAAATATTATATAATACACATGGGTTATATCCATTGTGATTGTCAATTAATGTGTCAACTTGACTGGACTAAGAGATGCCCAGATAGCCAGTTAAACATTATTTCTGGGTGTGCCTCTGAGGGTATATCTGGAAGAGATTAGCATTTGAGATAGTAGACTGGGTAAAGAAGATGCCCTCACCTAAACAGCTGGACATCATCCAATCCATTGAGGACCTAAAAAGAATGAAAAGCAGAGGAAGGGCAAATTGTCCCTGTTTTCAAGATAGGATATTCATCTTCTCCTGCCTTTGGACATTGGACCTCTTGGTTCTTAGGCCTTCTGACTTCAGAACTTACACCAGTGTTGCTATCTCTCCCTTTCTGGCTTAACTGATCGGATAATTTCTTGGCTTCCATAATCTGTAAGCCAATTCTCCTATTGTTTCTCAAGAACCCTGACTAATACACTCATGATTTTGTATTATTTTCTTTCAAATAGAGAAAAAGAAACGGATGAGAGAAAAGAAGAGACCCAAGGACCTAGTATAAACTTTGAATTCAAAGCTAGATTTATTTTTCCTGAAAGCCCATTCACTTCCCTCCATTTATGCCAATAATCTCTCCCAGGAAACATCCTTGGAGCTATGCTAGTAAAATATAGTAATAACAATTGAGGAGGATGAAACCAAAAGTTTAATCATCAATTAAAACATGTAAATAACTGGAAGGAACTGATATATTTTTGAAAAGTGTCATTTTTGTCTTGGTATTAGATCAGTCTTGTTCCTTTGGACTGCCAAACCAGTGATTGACACCATCCTGTGATTTATGCCTCTCAGCTGTGCTTCTGAGACACCAATCATGCAAAAACCACAAAACCCACATTTCTCATGCACACAGGTTGTGACCAGTTATTTGAATCAAATGACAGATTTATATTTAGTGGATTGCTCCTTATGCATTTCATACAGTTTGCCTGATATAGAATAAAAGGTGAAAAGTGTTGTATATATTTTTTATTACCTTTTCTTTAAACTTTAACTTCTTGACCTTTATTTTCTAGGAGAAGAAATAATTATTTAATATAATAAAGTGGCAATTTTCTCCCAGCCCCGCCACAAAAATAGGACATTTGGCAGTGTCTGGAGACATTTTTGGTTGTCAAAACTAAAGGAAATGCTACTGGCATCTAGTGGGTAGAGGCCAGGGATGCTGCTAAGCATCCTACAACGCACAGGACAGTCCATCTAACAAAGAATTATCTGTCTCAAATGTCAGTAGTGCCGAGATTGAGAAATCTTGATATATTACAGTGATTCTGAATCCATCTTCTATTTTGTCACCTTCTCAACTTTCATATATAGAAATTTGGAAGTTCTTTTTATTAGTACATTAGAAAATAAAGCATAAAATGAGTCTGGATTCTGATTTTTCTCCTGCTGTTTATTTTCTTCCTGTTTCTTAACTGATTTTGGACATAGAATTCAATTCTATGTAACTTCAATTTCTGTATTTAGAACACAGATTATTATTTTTCAAGTTTGTGCTATGATTGCTGAATTATATTTTAAAAAACCCTTACAATCATTTATATCTTGTTGAGAAAGAATGATACAAAGTGGATGGAAAGGGTTATTATATGGTAATACCTATTCAGCATTCAATGAATAAACTCTTTGATTAGTGAAAACTTAGTTTGAGAAATTTATAGCATTGAGGACGTATAGATGTTATTTATTTTTACCTGAAGATTTTTGAAGTAATATTCAAGCTGTATTAAAATATGGAACATTTAGTGTGATTCTATAGTCTCGTTTAAATGGCATTCAAAGAGAGATTAAAAATAAAAACATGAATAAACAACCTAATTAAAAAATGGGCAAAAGATTGGAATAAACACCTCACCAAAGAATATATAGGGATGTCAAACAATCATTTGCAAAGATACTCAACATCATATGCCCAAAGGGATTGCAAGTGAAAACAATAAGATACAACTACACACTTATTAGAATGGACAAAATTCGAAACACCGACAGCATCAAATGCTGGTGAGGACGTAGAACAGGAACCCTCATTCATTACTGGTGGAAATGCAAAATGGTGTGATCACTTTGGAAGACAGTGCAGCAGTTTCTTATAAAACAAAACATACCCTTATCATATGATCCAGCAATAATGCTCCATGATATTTATCCAAATAAGTCAAACATTTACATGTATGTATTAACTAGTACATGAATGTTTATAGCAGCCTTATTCATAATTACCAAAACTTGGAAGCATCCAACATGTCCTTTGGTAAATGAATGGATGAATAAACTATGGTACATTCAGACAATAGAAAACGATACAGAGCTAATAAGAAATGAGCTATCAGGCTAGAGAAAAACATGAAGGAATCTTAAATGTGTATTACTAAGTGAAAGAAGCCAATATGAGAAGGCTGCATGCTATATGTCTACCTATATGACATTCAGGAATAGGCAAATCAATGAAGACAGTAAAAAGATCAGTGTTTTTCAGAGGTTAGGGAGCGGGAGGAATGAACAGGTAGAGCACAGAAGATTGGGCAGTGAGCTGCCATGTAGAATATTATAATGGCAGATATGTGTTATTATGCAGTTGATCCTTGAACAACATGGGTTTGAAATGCACAGATCCACTTATATAGGAACTATTTTTTCAATAAATATATTGAAAACATTTTGGAGTTTTGTGACAATGTGAAAAAAACTCACAGGGGAACTGTGTAGCCTCAAATAAAACAATTAAGAAAACATTATTTTATGAATGTTTAAAATATATATGTAGATACCACTCTATTTTATGATTTACAATCATTAAATATACACAAACATATTATAAAAAGTTAAAATTTATCAAAACGTATGCATACAAACACTTATAGACCATACATGGTGTCATTCTAAGAGATAACAGAAGTAAAGATGCAGTATTAAATTATAACTGCATAAAATTAACTGTAATTATTTTATTTTATTTTATTTTTTTATTAATATACTTTAAGTTTTAGGGTACATGTGCACAATGTGCAGGTTAGTTACATATGTATACATGTGCCATGCTGGTGCGCTGCACCCACTAACTGGTCATCCAGCATTAGGTATATCTCCCAATGCTATTCCTCCCCCCTCCCCCCACCCCAAAACGGTCCCCAGAGTGTGATGTTCCCCTTCCTGTGTCCATGTGTTCTCATTGTTCAATTCCCACCTATGAGTGAGAATATGCGGCCTTTGGTTTTTTGTTCTTGCGATAGTTTACTGAGAATGATGATTTCCAATTTCATCCATGTCCCTACAAAGGACATGAACTCATCATTTTTTATGGCTGCATAGTATTCCATGGTGTATATGTGCCACATTTTCTTAATCCAGTCTATCATTGTTGGACATTTGGGTTGGTTCCAAGTCTTTGCTATCGTGAATAATGCTGCAATAAACATACGTGTGCATGTATCTTTATAGCAGCATGATTTATAGTCCTTTGGGTATATACCCAGTAATGGGATGGCTGGGTCAAATGGTATTTCTAGTTCTAGATCCCTGAGGAATTGCCACACTGACTTCCACAATGGTTGAACTAGTTTACAGTCCCACCAACAGTGTCAAAGTGTTCCTATTTCTCCACATCCTCTCCAGCACCTGTTATTTCCTGACTTTTTAATGATTGCCATTCTAACTGGTGTGAGATGGTATCTCATTGTGGTTTTGATTTGCATTTCTCTGATGGCCAGTGATGCTGAGCATTTTTTCATGTGTTTTTTGGCTGCATAAATGTCTTCTTTTGAGAAGTGTCTGTTCATGTCCTTCGCCCACTTTTTGATGGGGTTGTTTGTTTTTTTCTTGTAAATTTGTTTGAGTTCATTGTAGATTCTGGTTATTAGCCCTTGGTCAGATGGGTAGGTTGCAAAAATTTTCTCCCAATTTGTAGGTTGCCTGTTCACTCTGATGGTAGTTTCTTTTGCTGTGCAGAAGTTCTTTAGTTGAATTAGATCCCATTTGTCAATTTTGGCTTTTGTTGCCATTGCTTTTGGTGTTTTAGACATGAAGTCCTTGCCCATGCCTATGTCCTGAATGGTAATGCCTAGGTTTTCTTCTAGGGTTTTTATGGTTTTAGGTCTAATGGTTAAGTCTTTAATCCATCTTGAATTGATTTTTGTATAAGGTGTAAGGAAAGGATCCAGTTTCAGCTTTCTACATATGGCTAGCCAGTTTTCCCAGCACCATTTATTAAATAAGGAATCCTTTCCCCATTGCTTGTTTTTCTCAGGTTTGTCAAAGATCAGATAGTTGTAGATATGCGGCATTATTTCTGAGGGCTCTGTTCTTTTCCATTGATCTATATCTCTGTTTTGGTACCAGTACCATGCTGTTTTGGTTACTGTAGCCTTGTAGTATAGTTTGAAGTCAGGTAATGTGATGCCTCCAGCTTTGTTCTTTTGGCTTAGGATTGACTTGGCGATGCGGGCTCTTTTTTGGTTCCATATGAACTTTAAAGTAGTTTTTTCCACTTCTGTAAAGAAAGTCATTGGTAGCTTTATGGGGATGGCATTGAATCTGTAAATTACCTTGGGCAGTATGGCCATTTTAACGATATTGATTCTTCCTATCCATGAGCATGGAATGTTCTTCCATTTGTTTGTATCCTCTTTTATTTCATTGAGCAGTGGTTTGTAGTTCTCCTTGAAGAGGTCCTTCACATCCCTTGTAAGTTGGATTCCTAGGTATTTTATTCTCTTTGAAGCAATTGTGAATGGGAGTTCACTCATGATTTGGCTCTCTGTTTGTCTGTTGTTTGTGTATAAGAATGCTTGTGATTTTTGTACATTGATTTTGTATCCTGAGACTTTGCTGAAGTTGCTTATCAGCTTAAGGAGATTTTGGGCTGAGACAATGGGGTTTTCTAGATATACAATCATGTCGTCTGCAAACAGGGACAATTTGACTTCCTCTTTTCCTAATTGAATACCCTTTATTTCCTTTTCCTGCCTGATTGCCCTGGCCAGAACTTCCAACACTATGTTGAATAGGAGTGGTGAGAGAGGGCATCCCTGTCTTGTGCCAGTTTTCAAAGGGAATGCTTCCAGTTTTTGCCCATTCAGTATGATACTGGCTGTGGGTTTGTCATAGATAGCTCTTATTATTTTGAAATACATCCCATCAATACCTAATTTATTCAGAGTTTTTAGCATGAAGGGTTGTTGAATTTTGTCAAAGGCCTTTTCTGCATCTATTGAGATAATCATGTGGTTTTTGTCTTTGGTTCTGTTTATATGCTGGATTACATTTATTGATTTGCATATATTGAACCAGCCTTGCATCCCAGGGATGAAGCCCACTTGATCATGATGGATAAGCTTTTTGATGTGCTGCTGGATTGGGTTTGCCAGTATTTTATTGAGGATTTTTGCGTCAATGTTCATCAAGGATATTGGTCTAAAATTCTGTTTTTTGGTTGTGTCTCTGCCCGGCTTTGGTATCAGGATGATGCTGGCCTCATAAAATGAGTTAGGGAGGATTCCCTCTTTTTCTATTGAATAGTTTCAGAAGGAATGGTACCAGTTCCTCCTTGTACCTCTGGTAGAATTCGGCTGTGAATCCATCTGGTCCTGGACTCTTTTTGGTTGGTAAGCTATTGATTATTGCCACAATTTCAGCTCCTGTTATTGGTCTATTCAGAGATTCAACTTCTTCCTGGTTTAGTCTTGGGAGAGTGTACGTGTTGAGGAATTTATCCATTTCTTCTAGATTTTCTAGTTTATTTGCATAGAGGTGTTTGTAGTATTCTCTGATGGTAGTTTGCATTTCTGTGGGATCGGTGGTGATATCCACTTTATCATTTTTTATTGCATCTATTTGAGTCTTCTCTCTTTTTTTCTTTATTAGCCTTGCTAGTGGTCTATCAATTTTGTTGATCCTTTCAAAAAACCAGCTCCTGGATTCATTAGTTTTTTGAAGGGTTTTTTGTGTCTCTATTTCCTTCAGTTCTGCTCTGATTTTAGTTATTTCTCGCCTTCTGCTAGCTTTTGAATGTGTTTGCTCTTGCTTTTCTAGTTCTTTTAATTACGATGTTAGGGTGTTAGTTTTGGATCTTTCCTGCTTTCTCTTGTGGGCATTTAGTGCTATAAATTTCCCTCTACACACTGCTTTGAAGGCATCCCAGAGATTCTGGTATGTTGTGTCTTTGTTCTCGTTGGTTTCAAAGAACATCTTTATTTCTGCCTTCATTTCGTTATGTACCCAGTAGTCCTTCAGGAGCAGGTTGTTCAGTTTCCATGTAGTTGAGTGGTTTTGAGTGAGATTCTGAATCCTGAGTTCTAGTTTGATTGCACTGTGGTCTGAGAGATAGCTTGTTATAATTTCTGTTCTTTTACATTTGCTGAGGAGAGCTTTACTTCCAAGTATGTGGTCAATTTTGGAATAGGTGTGGTGTGGTGCTGAAAAAAATGTATATTCTGTTGATTTGGGGAGGAGAGTTCTGTAGATGTCTATTAGGTCTGGTTGGTGCAGAGCTGAGTTCAATTCCTGGGTATCCTTGTTGACTTTCTGTCTCATTGATCTGTCTAATGTTGACAGTGGGGTGTTAAAGTCTCCCATTATTAATGTGTGGGAGTCTAAGTCTCTTTGTAGGTCACTCAGGACTTGCTTTATGAATCTGGGTGCTCCTGTATTGGGTGCATATATATTTAGGATAGTTAGCTCTTCTTGTTTAATTGATCCCTTTACCATTAAGTAATGGCCGCCTTTGTCTCTTTTGATCTTTGTTGGTTTAAAATCTGTTTTATCAGAGACTAGTATTGCAACCCCTGCCTTTTTTTGTTTTCCATTTGCTTGGTAGATCTTCCTCCATCCTTTTATTTTGAGCCTATGTGTGTCTCTGCATGTGAGATGGGTTTCCTGAATACAGCACACTGATGGGTCTTGACTCTTTATCCAATTTGCCAGTCTGTGTCTTTTAATTGGAGCATTTAGTCCATTTACATTTAAAGTTAATATTGTTATGTGTGAATTTGATCCTGTCATTATGATGTTAGCTGGTTATTTTGCTCATTAGTTGATGCAGTTTCTTCCTAGTCTCAATGGTCTTTACATTTTGGCATGATTTTGCAGTGGCTGGTACCGATTGTTCCTTTCCATGTTTAGCACTTCCTTCAGGAGCTCTTTTAGGGCAGGCCTGGTGGTGACAAAATCTCTCAGCATTTGCTTGTCCGTAAAGTATTTTATTTCTCCTTCACTTATGAAGCTTAGTTTGGCTGGATATGAAATTCTGGGTTGAAAATTCTTTTCTTTAAGAATGTTGAATATTGGCCCCCACTCTCTTCTGGCTTGTAGAGTTTCTGACATGAGATCTGCTGTTAGTCTGATGGGCTTCCCTTTGAGGGTAACCCGACCTTTCTCTCTGGCTGCCCTTAACATTTTTTCCTTCATTTCAACTTTGGTGAATCTGACAATTATGTGTCTTGGAGTTGCTCTTCTCGAGGAGTATCTTGGTGGCATTCTCTCTATTTCCTGAATCTGAATGTTTGCCTGCCTTGCTAGATTGGGGAGGTTCTCCTGGATAATATCCTGCAGAGTGTTTTCCAACTTGGTTCCATTTTCCCTGTCACTTTCAGGTACACCAATCAGATGTAGATTTGGTCTTTTCACACAGTCCCATATTTCTTGGAGGCTTTGCTCATTTCTTTTTATTCTTTTTTCTCTAAACTTCCCTTCTCACTTCATTTCATTCATTTCATCTTCCATTGCTGATACCCTTTCTTACAATTGATTGCATCGGCTCCTGAGGCTTCTGCATTCTTCACATAGTTCTCGAGCCTTGGTTTTCATCTCCATCAGCTCCTTTAAGCACTTCTCTGTATTGGTTATTCTAGTTATACATTCTTCTAAATTTTTTTCAAAGTTTTCAACTTCTTTGCCTTTGGTTTGAATGTCCTCCCATAGCTCGGAGTAATTTGATTGTCTGAAGCCTTCTCTCAGCTCGTCAAAGTCATTCTCCATCCAGCTTTTTTCCGTTGCTGGTGAGGAACTGCGTTCCTTTGGTGGAGGAGAGGTGCTCTGCTTTTTAGAGTTTCCAGTTTTTCTGCTCTGTTTTTTCCCCATCTTTGTGGTTTTATCTACTTGTGGTCTTTGATGATGGTGATGTACAGATGGGTTTTTGGTGTGGATGTCCTTTCTGTTTGTTAGTTTTCCTTCTAACAGACAGGACCCTCAGCTGCAGGTCTGTTGGAATACCCTGCCGTGTGAGGTGTCAGTGTGCCCCTGCTGGGGGGTGCCTCCCTGTTAGGCTGCTCGGGGGTCAGTGGTCAGAGACCCACTTGAGGAGGCAGTCTGCCCGTTCTCAGATCTCCAGCTGCGTGCTGGGAGAACCACTGCTCTCTTCAAAGCTGTCAGACAGGGACATTTAAGTCTGCAGAGGTTACTGCTGTCTTTTTGTTTGTCTGTGCCCTGTCCCCAGAGGTGGAGCCTACAGAGGCAGGCAGGCCTCCTTGAGCTGTGGTGGGCTCCACCCAGTTCGAGCTTCCCGGCTGCTTTGTTTACCTAAGCAAACCTGGGCAATGGTAGGTGCCCCTCCCCCAGCCTCGCTGCCGCTTTGCAGTTTGATCTCAGATTGCTATGCTAGCAATCAGCAAGACTCCATGGGTGTAGGACCCTCAGAGCCAGGTGTGGGATATAATCTCGTGGTTGGCCGTTTTTCAAGCCCGTCGGAAAAGCGCAGTATTTGGGTGGGAGTGACCTGATTTTCCAGGTGCCGTCTGTGACCCCTTTCTTTGACTAGGAAAGGGAACTCCCTGACCCCTTGCGCTTCCCTAGTGAGGCAATGCCTCGCCCTGCTTCGGTTCATGCATGGTGCGCGCACCCACTGACCTATGCCCACTGTCTGGCACTCCCTAGTGAGATGAACCCAGTACCTCAGATGGAAATGCAGAAATCACCCATCTTCTGCGTCTCTCACGCTGGGAGCTGTAGACTGAAGCTGTTCCTATTCGGCCATCTTGGCTCCTCCCAACTGTAATAATTGTATACTTGCTACATTCATCTTGTGTGGCCTCCATGATCTCCTCATTTTCCTTAGTGTTCAGCAGCTCCTCAGGCAGCACCATATTAATGAGGCACAGGACTTTTGTTGGGTAGCTGCCTATCTGCACCTGGGAGCACATCTGGCATGGCACTTAAAAAAAATGTTTAATGAGGAAATTCATCTAAAAAAATATGAAACTGCCACAGACAGTAAGAGAGCGATGGGGCCATGAGGCTGGAAATGGGTCAGGGGAAGACTACAGAAGAAAGAATCAACTACATTAAGTAAACATGGAGAAGATCAGAGAGGTCCAGGGGCAAGAGAAATGGAACCATGATCCTGGTAAGGATAAGGATAAGGCATTGAGGGCCAGACAACAAAATTCAAAATAGTTTGGCTGTAAAATATAAACACACTATGTTTCTAGTGTGCAGAAGGAGAGGAGGAAGGGGATATAAGGGAGAAGGAGAGGCTGTTTTAGAAGATATGGGGGTCCTATTCTGTCCTTCTGTGTACCCTATCCCTATCCCAACCCTTTCCTTCTGTGCCTGTGTGGGTGCATGTGTCTGTGTGGTCCTGTGTGTACACTTCCCCAGTTCCCTCCCTTCCCTGACCCTCCCCAAATCCCTTCCTTTCACTTTTTTTTTTTTTCTGAGACAGTTTTGATCTGTCACCCAGGCTGGAGTGCAGTGGCACAATATCTGCTCACTGCAACCTCCGCCTCCTGGGTTCAAGCGATTCTCCTGCTTCAGCCTCCCAAGTAGTTGGGACTACAGGTGCACACCACCACATCCCCACCAACTTAATTGTTTTTATTTTTTTCTGTTAAAGAAATGCTTTATTAACACAAACACACACAAGACAATCTATAAAGAACTAAAATATTTAAATATCTGTGTCATAGTAAACAGGTGCTAATTCAACATCCAGGGTTGGTGAAATGCTTGAAAGAGACTACAGTGGATTGGACTCTCATGGTGGAGGCAGCATCTTCACAAGTGAAGGGGAACCCAGCTACAACAGCTTTTAAATTCCCTCTCCTCTTCAAGGATCATAAGAGGCATTCCATTCAAAGGAATGTGCAATCTGGTGCTCTTCAACAAGGTGAAAACTCTCAAAATCCAATTATTCCTGTTCTCTGATGATATGATCTTATAACTAGAAAAATCTAAAGACCCCACCACAAAACTCTTAGATTTGATAAATGAATTCAGTCAATATCAGAATATAAAATCAATGTACAAAAATCATTAGCATTTCTGTACACTAATAATGATCTAGCTGACAACCAAATGAAGAAACTAATCCCATTTAGAATAGCTACAAAAAATTAAAATAACTATAAATATATTTAACCAAGGAGGTGAATCTCTACAAGGAAAACTGCAAAACACTGATGAGAGAAATTGTAGTTGACAGAGAAAAATGAAAAAACATTCCATGCTCAGGGATTAGAAGAATAAAAATCATAAAAATGACCATGCTCCCCAAAGTAATCTATGGATTCAATGCAATTCCTAGCAAAATATCAATGTCATTTTCCACAGAATTAGAAAAAACTATTCTAAAATTCATACGGAATCAGAAAAAAAAAAAAGCTGGAGACCTCACACTGCCTAAGTTCAAATTATACCATAAGGCTATAGTAATCAAAACAGCATGATACTATAACAACAGACTCATAGATCAATGGAATAGAATAGAGAATCCAGCAATAAAGCCACACATTTACAGCCAACTGATCTTTCACAAAGCCAACAAAAACATACACTGGGGAAAGGACACGTTTTTCAATAAAGTGCTGGGAAAGAAAAATTGAATCACCATATGCAAAAGAATGAAACTAGACCCACATTTCTCACCATATATACAAGAATCGACTCAAGGTGGATTACATATTTAATTGTAAGACATGGAACTATGAAAATACTAGAAGGACACTAAGAATAAACTCTAGTAAACATTGGTCTAAGCAAATAATTTATTACTAAGACCTCAAAAGCACAGGCAAAAGAACAAAAATAGACAAATGGGAGTTAATTAAATGACAAAGCGTCTGCACAACAAAAGAAATAATCAACAGAGTAAACAGAATCTGCGAATAAAATAAAATATTTGCAAACTATGCATCTGACAAGGGACTAATATCCAGACTTTAAAAGGAACTCAAGAACAGCAACAAAAACCAAATAATCCCATTAAAAATGGAGAAATGACATGAATAGACATTTTTAAAAAGAAGACAAAGAAATAGCCAACAGGCATACTCAGAAAACTAATCATCAGAGAAATGCAAATTGAAACCACAATGAGGCCTCAACTTATATCAGTGAGAATGGCTATCAATAAAAAGACAAAAAGTAAAAGATATTGGCAAGGATGTGGAGAGTAGGAAACTCATATGTCATTGTTGGGAATGTAAACTGATACAACCTCTATGGAAAAATCTATAAAGATTTCTCAACTAAAAATAGAACTACCATAGCCAGCATAGATAGCCAGCAATCTTACTACTGGCTATATCCCCAAAGGAAAATAAATCCTTATATCAAAAATACATCTTAATCTGTATGTTTATTATAGTGCTATTCACAATTGCAAAGATATGGATTCAGCCTAAGTGTCTATCAACATATGATTAGATTAAGAAAATGTTATATATACATATATACATATACATATGTATATGTATACATGTATAGATCATGAATATGCATGTGATTTATATGTATATATACATATAGATACACACCTATATACATATATACACAGATATATATATATATCATATATTCTCACTCATAAGTGAGATTAAATAATGTGTATACATGGATGTAGAGTGTGGAGTGACAGATAATAGAGACTCCGAAGGATGAGGGAGAGGAGAGAGAGTGGATGATGAGTAATTACTAAATGGGCATAATGTACATTAATCAAGTGATGGATATACTAAAAACCCTGACTTCACCACTACACAATGTATGCATGTAACAAAATTACACTTGTATCCCCAAGTTTATACTAAATAAATAAATAAAAATTTGGGGCCAGTCACAATAACTTACACCTGTAATCCCAGCACTTTAGGAGGCTGAGGCAGGTGGATCGCTGGAGCACAGGAGTTTGAGACCAGCTTGGGCAACACGATGAAATCCTGTGTCTACTAAAAATACAAAAAATTAGCTGGACATGATGGTACGCATGCAGTCCTAGCTATTCGAGAGGCTGAAGTGGGAAAATCACCTGAGCCTAGGAAGTTAATGCTGCAGAGAACTGTGATCACTCCAGTCCACTCCAGCCTGGTCAACGGGAGTGAGACCCAGTGTAAAAAAAAAAAAAAAATTACCTACCGACTATTGCTATTTTGGTGAGCTCAAGTGTTGAGAGAATCCACTTAAAAATAATGTTTGTCACTAATCGTCTTTGCTTGGGCAGTTCGTGTCTCCAGTAAACTGTGTATTGTAGTAAAAAGTACCTTCTAGTCATTCTCATGTGTTTTTCATCATGTTTAGTGCAATACTGTAAACTTTGACCAGCACCATGGGACCCATAGAAAGTGCCAGTAGTAATGCTGGAAGTGCTCTCAAGAAGCAAAGCCATGACATTACAATAAACAGTTGAATTGCTTGATACATACTGTAGATTGAGGTCTGTGACTGCGTTTGCCCACCATTTCAAGATAAATGAGTCCAGCTTAAGGGCCATTGTAAAAAAAAAGAAAAGAAAATTTGCTGCACTGTGCCATAGGCATAAAAACCTTGCACTTTTTGCAAAATACCTTTTTATCTCATATTCAAAATGCAGCTATTATGTGGGTGCAGGAAAGAAAGGCATACCTGGAGACCCTGATATGATATGAAAAATGAAGTCATTGTATGGCAACTTAAAGCAAAAGAAAGGTGAAGGATCTAAAGTTGGAGAATTGAATGCCAGTGAAGGATGGTTTGATAATTTTAGAAAAAGGCAGCTTTAAAAATGTTAAGACAAAAGAAGCAGCAGCTTCTTCTGACTAAGAGGCAGCAGAGTTTTCAGACACCATTAAGAAAATCATGGAGGAGAAAGGATATCTGCCTGAACAGGTTTTTAATAAAGACAACATTGCCCTATTCTGGAAAAATAAATGCCAAGAAGGACATTTATTACTAAGGAAGGGAAGTGAACACCAGGATTTAAGACAGTCTGGGATAGGCTAAGTCTACTCTTTTAAACAAATGCATTTGTGTTTATAATCAGGACTACTCTTATCTATAAAGCTACTAAATCATGAGCCTCAGAGGGAAAAGATAAACACCATCCTCAAGTCCTTTGGTTGTACCTTGAAAAGGCCTGGACAATGAGAACCCTTTTTATGGATTGATTCTCTCCCAGAAGTCAGAAAGTACCTTGCCAGTAAGAGGCTGCTTGTTAAAGTTCTTTTGATATTGGACAATGCCCCTGACCATTAAGAACCACATGAGCTTAATACCGAAGTCATCGAAGTGGTCTACTTGCTCCCAAATGTGTCTAATTTAGCCTCTAGATCAGGGAGTCATAAGGATCTCTGAAGCTCATTACACATGGTCCTCTATGGAAAGGATTGCCACTGCTATAGAGGAGAACCCTGAGAGAGAGAATATAATGAAATTTTGAAAGGATACACCTTTGAAGTTGCCATTGTTGTTGTAGAAAAATCCATAAAGGCCATCAAGCCCCAAACAATAAACTCCTGCTGGGAAAAACTGTGTCCAGATGTTGTGCATGACTTAACAGGATTTATAACAGAGCCAATAAAGGAAATTGTGAAAGAGATTGTGAAGACAGCAAAAGAGGTTGGGGGACGGGGTGAAGAGTTTCAAGATATGAATCTTGGAGAAAATCAAGAGTGAACAGACATCACACCAGAAAAATAAACAGATGATGCCCTGATAGAGATGAATACTTCCAAACCAGTGCAGATGATGTGAAAGAAGATGTAAAAAAAGAAGCAGCACTATAAAACAAATTGACATTAGACAATCTAGCAGAAGGGTTCTGATTATTCAAAACTGCCTTTGATGTCTTTTACAGCACAGACCCTTCTATGACACTGGCACTAAATCTAAAGCAAATGGTAAAAGGGTTGGTGCCATGCAGAAACATTTTTAGAAAAATGTCAGAGAGAAATTATATGTTTTCATAAAGTGACACCATGTACCTGCCTCTACTGCCTCCCCTTTCACCTCCTCCACATCTTCTACCCCTGCACCTCCTTTGTCCTCTGCCTTCTCCTCAGCCTACTCAATGTGGAGGCAATGAGGATGAAGATCTTTATGATGAACCACTTTCACTAAATGAATAGTAACTGTATTTTCTCTTTCTTATAACTTTCCTCAATAATATTTTATTTTCCCTAGCTTACTTTATTGTAAGAATACAGCATATAATACATATAGTATTCAAAATATAGGTTGACTGTTCATATTATTGGTAAGGTTTTGGGTCAACAGTAGACTATTAGTAGTTAGGTTTTTGAGGAGTCAAAAGTTACACGTGGATTCTTCACTGTGCAGGGGCCCCATACCCCTAACGCATTGTTGTTCAAGGGTCAACTGTATATTTGGCAAACTCATGGAATGTACAGCACTATGGACTTTGGGTGCTGATGGGCTAATGTAGGGTTATTGGTGATAACAAATATACCACTCTGGTGCAGGATGTTGATAGCAGGGGAGGCTGTGCATGTGTGGGAGTATAGGGTATGGGGGAACTCTGTGCTTCCTACTTGATTTTTCTGTAAACCTAAAACTGCTCTAAAAAATAAAATCTATTTTATTAAAAAAGAGCAAAACATAGAGATCATTAAGGACAAGAGAAAATCATATTAATTGAAAGAAATTGAGACTGTTGAAAGAGGAGGGAATCTAGAATTTGGAAACTCTAGCACAACAAAATGCCAGCTAGACAGGTCTTCATCTTCCAGGTGATATATAAGCACTAAGTGACCATAGTGCCCAGCAGGCTCTGACACTGGCTAAAGGGTTTTCAACCTGATCCTTTGAAGAATTTTCTACTGTTTAATAGGTCTGTATCTCCAAATTTATAAGTGAAATCAATGAGTAAATTCTACATGTGTGTGTATATAATTTTAAAATTGATTTAAAAAAATTGTATAAAATCAGATAAATTCAATGTATTAGTTCTTACATTTATTAAATGATAAAAATCCACACATATTTTATGTTTTTATAATTGAACTATTATTATTTCCTCACATATGGATTCACCATGATAAAAATGACTAGATATATATTTTTGGAAAAGCAGTGGTTCTTACACATGGAGGGCTTTTTCAGACAGATTGCTGGGCCCCATCCCCAGAGTTTCTGATTCAGTAGGTCTAAGGGTGGGACCTAACAAGTTGCATTTCTAATAACATGTTGCTGAAATTACTGGTGCAAGATCTCACTTCAAACACTACTGACATGTAATTTTAGTGTTGAATAAAGTGATTTCTCATTCATGAGTTATTTAGTCTTTGTCACAACCCTGATCAATGCACATTATTATTCTCATTTTATACAAGTAGACTCTGAGCCTCAGAGGGTTAAACAGATTTCCCAAGATCACTCAAATGATGTGTCAAAAAGAACAAGAGGGAAGTCTTTTTTGTACCTACAGTTTTCTGGTATCCTTCCTTTGATATCTAGGGTTATCTCTAATATGGCATTTGATTGTACTTTATTTCAGAAGGCGGAGTTTTGGTCTACATATTATTTCCTCCATTATTTACAGCAAGTGCTATATTTATGCCTGAGTCGGCATTTTTACTACTTTTTCACTCATGTGTAAAACATTGTCTGTGAATGGAATAAAAGCCTTTATAATAATAGAATATAAATTTCAGAGAGGGTGTGGGTAAAATTTTTATTACTTGTTTTAGACACAGCGGCACTTGGCCCTGTGTCATATGTTCAATTATTACTAAGCTCTCTTTATAACTATGAACTTGAATGTCAGAGGTTGAAGCAAAAGAAATTTGGAGAATGAAAGTGAATTAACATTTATTCAGGACCTACCTGAGCTAGATACTTTATTAAGCCTATTCTCTCACTTTTAATAAGGACAGAGGGAAATTAGAATAGAGGAAGATATGAATATGCAGGTAAAATTAAAATATTATTTGTGACAAACTAAACAAATTTTAAGTTTCAATATATAAAATATTGTCTATGAATGGAATAAAAGCCTTTACAAAAATAGATCCAAATTTCTAATATACTATAATTCTGATTCAAATTAAATACTGATGGATCCACACTTTCTGCAATATCACTTTGCAAAGCAAAATTATGCCAGTTGACTCCTGTCTTCAGAGTTTGAGAGTTCTATTTCTTCAAGTCTATAGTTTTAAAATTTTAAAATTATATGTATATTCATATTTATTTCCAGGCACTCTGCCTACTTTTGTTCTGGTCTTTCCATGTTTTCTTCTTTTTCTTTTTCCCTCCTTCACTGCTTGAGTCCAACACAAACGATTCCCTTTCAACGCACGGTTCTGCTCATTATTTAAGACGGAAATATGGCTAAAAAGGCATTTTTCTCATGCTATTTCTAGGATACCTCAAATTCAGCCTTGCTTCTAGTCCAATTCTTATGGAAAACCCAACCAACAGCTTCTGGAAAACCTAACCAGCATCTCCAGCAAAACAAGTTTATATTCCGTGGCCCATTTACCATCTACTCCAGTGAAAAACAAATTGGTTGGACTGTATTGCCATTATAAGACTATTGTAGCAGCAAATTTTATGGAATAACTCAACCGTAATTACAAAGAAAAACCAACATAGCAATAAAGCAATTTTAAAGAGTATTTCTTATTTAGCCCAAATTTTCTATTCTCGGAAAATGGTCATCCTAAACCCAAGAAGGGTCAGCACTGGCAGGAGACAAGCAACAGACTGCTGATGTGTTTCTTAAAAAGTCACGGTCTTCACAGGAAGACTTGACTCTAGGCTGTAAAAATGTATTCTCAAATTTTACAAGAAAAAAAGTCTCTCCAGAGTGGTGAGAATGTAGAATATGTTCTCACAAGATGGATCTTCCAGGAGTATAAATGGGTGATTGCCCTTTATATGCAAGGTTGCCACTTGTCTTAGGCAGGCTTGTAGTTTACATATAGACACTGGAAACACAGAGCTCACTATTAAAACAAGAACTTTAGTCTACAAATAGCATAACTTCACCCCCATTTGGTCTGGTGGGGCAGTGAGTGTGTTGGCACCTTTTTCTTTCATCATTGGCTCATCCGAAGTTCATGACTAATTGCTTAAAAAAATGCAATCACATTTTTAATGTATTTAACTAATTTTCTTCTTTATTATTCTGATAACCTTTTATTAAATGCCTTTTTTGTGTACAGTTGGCATTATAAAAAAATTTTCATCATGATACCATTGAAGCTTATGGTTGAAATTTCCTGGTCTATGTTAGCTTTAAAATAAACTCACACTGCCTTCTCAATGAAATAGCTTTTTTTTGGTTTTGACTTGGCATTCATCATATATTCATGGTTTTCATATCCATTTTTTTAAATTTTTGCCTTTTAAAAAGTTTAGCACAGAATTAACTATGCTGAGATGTAAGGATGTGTTTGTTCTAGCAGTATGAAAAATACAACTAGACCTGTCTTTTAAAAGGAATACCAGTCTCAGATATTTCTTTATAGCAATGCAAAAACAAACTATTGTGAGTCAGTCGTGGAATTGCTGGATTGTCTGGCTTTGAATTCCTAGTTAGCCTCAGTTGCTTATTTTTTAAAAAATGGGATTATATAAATTGCTATTCAAAGCATCATTTTGAATATTAAATGTGAAAATATTTGTTTTGAGCAAGCCCTCAACAAAGAATAACTCCTTCGTATACAAGTTACTTGGTTCAGTGGTGGTATTGTTTTAATTTATATTTTAAAATTCTATGGCAATCAGAACCACTCTAGTATTGCCCTATTTTTCTCTTTATTTCTTTATTTCTCCAGACTTCTGATGTATTTCTGTCATGATGCAATTTGACAAGTAATTAATTTGTTGATGCCTAGGGAGGAAGGCAGTTTCCGAGCCCTCCCAGGACACATGGGTCTTCGGCAGAATTGGTCCCCACTTTGCTTTAAAGGGACAATAAAGGGAAAGCTGGGTCTTCAAAATCAGGTATGAAAATGTTAGGAGATGGATTAGTTTTGGTTCATGCATGTTAGTATGTAAGTGACATTGCCTATCCTCTCAGGGCATAGGATCCACCTATATAGAAATAATTGAGCAGTCCACCCAGTTTGTTGACCTAGCTAGACTTTGAGAACAGGACTGAATTTTGTCCAATTTAGGGGACAATGAGATTGCAGGCCATGAGAAAATTTCAGGGTACAAAAATGTTAAGGGAACTTTGCCATTAATCTGAGTCAATGTCCCATAAATGTATGGGCAATGTATTAGGAGGACAAAAGGGCAGTGTGGTGATTGGAAAAGTGGAAAGAATGTGTGCCCCTGTTTTTTTCCTCAGACCTCTTTGACTCTGCTGGCCCATCTCCTGTAGAGTCCTGTTCCTCTCCCAGAACATTAAACATGGGGATTTCCAGGGTTCCTTCCTTACACCACTGCTCTTCTCACTAAACACACTCTGGAATGATCTCATTTACTCTCAGAATCTTCATTACCACCTATATCTCCCTTTCAGATATTTCCCCTGACAAACACATTCTTCATTCCAACTGCTGGTTGTATTATTTCTGTCAATGAGTTTCATGGGCTGTTCAGTCTCAGTGCATGTCACATTAAAATCTTCATGGTACCAACTCAGCAAACTCCCATCTCTGTAGATTCTGTGTTATCACTGTGCATCTATTTCTCAACTTAGAATTATCTGTGGCTCCCTCCTCCCCTTCAGCTTCCACATCCATTAGGACCTGACAATTTTACTTTTTATTTCTTGAATCTTTGCCTTCTAGTATATGTCCAACTTCCATGCATTATCCTTTTTTTTTTTTCAGTAGCCTTCTAACTAGATCCATTCTCCACACAGCCACCAGAATGGTGGATCTGAAATGTAAATCTTATTATGTTTCTCTCAGCCATAAGGTAAAGTTCAAATCCTTAGGGTGACACAAAAAGCCTTCCATGATTTGCTACTGACTGAACACTCATGGTCCATCCTGGGTGCTCCAGTTTTATGCAGCAGCTTCTGGGCCTCTGCACATAGCAAACTACTTTTCTGTATTGTTTTTTGTTGTTGTTATCTCCTTGGACTTTTGTGCCATTTCTTACCTCTCCACCTACCTAAATCCTACAGCTTTTTAAAATCTTAGTTGAGATGATCACTTCCCCCAGGAGCCTTCATTGTATTGATTTGCCATTTAAGTTCTGTTATCATTTGTCATTCATTTGGGTTCTTCAGAAGCAATCTATCGGAGGAGAATTCATGGAAAATTGTTAAGAAGCATTCCCTGGAAAAACCAACTGAGAAATGAGGAAGCTGGACTAATAGGGAAAAGGAAGCAGACAGATAAAAGTGTGTTATCAAGCAAAATTCTACAGACGGTAACTTTGGCTCAGTCTCACAGGGAAGCTCTGAAAAGAAAAAAGTGTAGGTCACACCTCAGAGTTGTCTTGATTGGCATGAAGGAGATGAAGTAGTTATAGTTCTGCTCCCTGCAGTTATTGTTAAGGGCTACCCTCCAGTACAATGTAAATTCTCAGCCATTTGTGTAAACAGGCAAATGTGTACTGGCTTGTGTGAGTGAAAGCACATTTCACAAGAGTTGCACAATAATGGTAAAGAGGTCAAGGGAGTAAGACTGGAGCATCTGTTCCTGGATTCAATTCTTGATGGTTCCATAATATTGCCATATCAAAAAAGTGAGGCTTATTTGGCTTGTCACAGCCTGGGAACACATACTGCAAAAGGGACTGTGGGGTATTTCAATAAGAGAGGATGGGAAGGGGCTTTTTATAGGGTTCAGGCTTGTGCTGAATGGGTCTCAGGAGGGCTTAGGGAAGTGGTCATCAGGTTTCTATTGATGCTGTTGAGGAGCAACAGCAGTTCAGCAATTGGATACCTCAATGATCTTTGTTTGAGAGGCAAAAGAATGCAGTAGGGCTGAGATGTCATTGGTGGGAAAGCAACAGTTGACTCAGAAGATGTAGGTATAAAATGACTAACATTTGTGGACTTGGAGCTATAATGAAAACATTGTTTTCTATTGACCTTGCTCAGGTATAATTGAAAACATTCTATTAGGAGAAGCACAGTTTAATTATCAGCAATGTTTATTTTCACTTTCTTATCAATCATCACCATCATGAGTTAGTCCATAAATCCTACTATACAGGGAAGATTAAACAACTAACATACTACTTAACTTCGGGGGTTTATGGTTTAAAGTAATTTCCTCTCAAACAGAAATTCTGACAAGCTTGTAATATGTCACAATTGCTTTACCGGGTGCTAAAACACTCCAGTTTATATTAGGTGGTTACTTTCATGCGCGTCCATGTGAAGACACCACCAAACAGGATTTGTGTGAGCAACGAGGCTGTTTATTTCACCTGGGTGCAGGCGGGCTGAGTCTGAAAAGAGTCAGGGAAGGGAGATAGGGGTGGGGCCATTTTATAGGATTTGGGTAGGTAAAGGAAAATTACAGTCAAAGGGGGTTGTTCTCTGGTTGGTAGGTGTAGGGGTCACAAGGTGCTCAGTAAGGGAGTTTTTGAGCCAGAATGAGCCAGGAGAAGGAATTTCACAAGATAATGTCAACAGTTAAGGTAGGAACAGGCCATTTTTACTTCTTTTGTGGTGGAAAGTCATCAGTTAAGGCAGGAACTGGCCATCTGGATGTGTACATGCAGGTCACAGGGGATATGATGGCTTAGCTTGAGCTCAGAGGCCTGACATTCTTGTCTTCTTATATTAATAAGAAAAATAAAACAAAATAGTGGTAAAATGTTGGGGCAGCGAAAATTTTTGGGGGTGGTATGGAGAGATAATGGGCGATGTTTCTCAGGGCTGCTTTGAGTGGGATTAGGGGTGGTGTGGGAACCTAGAGTGGGAGAGATTAAGCTGAAGGAAGATTTTGTGGTAAGGGGTGATATTGTGGGGTTGTTAGAAGAAACATTTGTCATTTAGAATTATTGGTGACAGCCTGGATACGGTTTTGTATGAATTGAAAAACAACGGAATAAGAGAAGGAGAAAAACAAGTATTAAAGGTCTAAGAATTGGGAGGACCTAGGACATCTAATTAGAGAGTGCCCAAGGAGATTCAGCATAGTTCTGCCAGCAAAGATTATTTATTTACTTTAAGAGTTAAGAGTGGCAGTTTGGGGATAGCACCAGGAGATATCAGCTGTGATGGCTTGGAGAAACAGTGTAAACAGGCAGGGTAAACAAGAGCAGGGCATGTATGAGTAGTTGAGAATGGTGAATAGGAGTATGACTAGACAGAAGATAGGAGTTTTTTGAGGCACAGTCCAAGTTGGTCTGGAGTCTGGAATGAGACTGTGGCCTAATAAAAAGGAGCGTCTATACAGGAGCTCAAATGGGCTGTACCTTGTAGCCTTCTGAGGACAGGCCTGAATTCTGAGAAGGGAAAGTGGTAAAAGTATTGTCTAGTCCTTTTTAAGTTGGTGGCTGAGCTTGGTGAGGTGTGTTTTTAAAAGACCATTAGTCCATTCTACCTTTCCTGAACACTGAGGACGGTAAGGGATATAAAGGTTTCACTGAATATCAAGAGCCTGAAAAACTGCTTGGGTGATTTGACTAATAAAGGCCGGTCTGCTATCAGACTGTATAGAGGTGGGAAGGCCAAACTGAGGAATTATGTCTGACGGAAGGGAAGAAATGACCACGGTGGCCTTCTTAGACCTTGTAGGAAAGGCCTCTACTTATCCAGTGAAAGTGTCTACCTAGACTAAGAGGTATTTTAGTTTTCTGACTCAGGGCATGTGAGTAAAGTCAATTTGCCAGTCCTGGGCAGAGGCAAATCTCCGAGCTTGATGTGTAGGAATGGGAGGAGGCCTGAACAATCCTTGAGGGGTAGTAGAATAGCAGATGGAACACTGAGAAGTGATTTCCTTGAGGATAGATTTCTATGATGGAAAGGAAATGAGAGGTTCTAAGAGATGGGCTAGCGGCTTGTAAGCTACATGGAAGAGGTTATGAAATGATGACAGAATAGAATGGGCCTGTGAGGCTGGAAGGAGATATTTTCCTTGGTCTAAGAACCATTTGCCTTGTGTGGGAAGAGATTGATATGTGGAAGTTTCAGCGGGGGAGTAGGTGGGAGTGACCGATGTAAAGGAGAGAAACTGGCTGTGAGGGACAGAAGTTGGAAAGCTAGCTGCTTGTCTAGCCACCTTATCAGCATAAGCGTTGCCTAGAGCAATGGGATCTGATGCCTTTTGATGGCCTTTGCAGTGAATGACTTCAGCTTCCTTTGGAAGTAAAGCGGCCTTAAGCAGAGTTTTTAATTAAAGAGGCATTAATGATGGAGGACCCTTGCGTAGTGAGGAAACCTCTTTCAGCCTATATAACAGCATGGTGGTCCAGAATATGAAAGGCATACTTAGAGTCAGTATAAATATTGATGCGTAGTCCTTTTGCAAGAGTGAGGGCTTGAGTTAAGGCAACTGGTTCAGCTTGATGAGAAGTAGTGGAGGGAGGCAGAGAGGTAGCCTCAATGATAGATGTGGAAGATACTATAGCATAGCCTGCCTTTGCTGGTGAGTGGCGATTAGGCCTGGTGGAACTGCCATCAATAAACTAAATGTGATCAGGCTGAGGAACAGGAAATAAGGAAATATGGGGAAATGGGGTGAATGTCAGGTGGATCAGAGAGATACAGTCATGAGGGTCAGGTGTGGTAACTAGAATAACGTGGGAGGCCAGATTGAAGTCCATGGCAGGAACAATGGTAATTGCGGGAGACTCAACAAAGAGTGAGTATAGCTGAAGGAGCCAGGAAGCAGAAAGTATATGCGTCAGGTATGAGGAAGAAAATAGATTTTGGAAGTTATGAGAACTATAGAGAGTGAGTTGAGCATAGTTTGTGATTTTGAGGGCCTCTAAAAGTATTAAGGCAGCGGCAGCTGCTGCACGCAGACATAAGGGCTAGGCTAAAACAGTAAGGTCAAATTGTTTGGACAGAAAGGCTACAGGGTGGGGTCCAGGCTCTTGTGTAAGAATTCTGACTGCACTAACCATGCCTAGGAAGGAAAGGAGTTGTTGTTTTGTAGAAGGGATCGAGGTTTGGGAGATTAGTCGGACATGATCAGCAGGGAGAGCACGTATGGTTTATGAGAATTATGCCAAGATAGGTAACAGATGAGGATGAAATTTGGGCTTGACTGAAGTAATGGGGGCTATCTGTGAAGCCTTGTGGCAGTACAGCCTACATAATTTGCTGAGCCTGATGGGTGTCAGGGTCAGTCCAAGTGAAAGCGAAGAGTGGCTGCAAAGGAATAGTAAAGAAAGCATGTTTGAGATCCAGAACAGAATAATGGATTGTGGAGGGAGGTATTGAGGATAGGAGAGTATATGGGTTTGGCACCATGGGGAGGATAGGCAAAACAATTTGGTTGATAAGGCGCAGATCCTGAACTAATTTGTAAGGCTTATCTGGTTTTAGGACAGGTAAAATAGGGGAATTGTAAGGAGAGTTTATAGGCTGTAAAAGGTCATGCTGTAGCAGGCGAGTGACAACAGGCTTTAATCTTTTTAAAGCATGCTGCAGGATGGGATATTGGCATTGATCAGGGGAAGGGTGATTAGGTTTTAATGAGAAGGTAAGGGGTGCATGATCAGTCGCCAAGGAGGGAGTAGAGGTGTCCTATACTTATGGGTTAAGGTGGGGGGATAGAAGGGGAAGACGCAAAGGAGGCTTTGGATTGGGAAGAAGGGTGGCAATGAGATGTGGCTGTAGCCCAGGAATAGTCAGGGAAGCAGATAATTTAGTTAAAGTGTCTCAGCCTAATAAGGGAACTGGGCAGTAGGGATAGCTAAAAAAGAGGGCTTTAAAAAGTGTTGTCTAAGTTGGCACCAGAGTTGGGGAGTTTTAAGAGGTTTAGAAGCCTGGCCATCAATACCTACAACAGTTATGGAGGCAAGGGAAACAGGCCCTTGAAAAGAAGGTAATGTGTAGTGGGTAGCCTCCATATTGATTAAGAAGGGGACGGACTTACTTTCCACTGTGAGAGTTACCTGAAGCTCGGCGTCTGTGATGGTCTAGGGGGCTTCTGAGGCGATTAGGCAGTGTCAGTCTTCAGCTGCTAAGCCAAGAAGATCTAGGAAGGAGTCAGTCAGAAAGCCTTGGGCCAGAGTTCCAGGGGCTCTGGGAGTGGCTGCCAGGTGAGTTGAACAGTCCGATTTTCAGTGGGGGTCTGCACAGATGGGACGTGGCTTAGGAGGAATCCTGGGCTGCGGGCATTCCTTGGCCCAGTGGCCAGATTTCTGGCACTTGTAGCAAGCTCCTGGGGGAGGCGGGCCTGGAGGAACACCTGGCCACTGCGGTTTAGGCGTTTGGAAGTTCTTGTGTGCTGGAAATATGGCTGGGGTTTGTCTCACAGTGGAGGCAAGGAATTGCAACTTGGAAATACGTTGCTACTTGGCTGCCTCTACTCTATTATTGTACACTTTGAAGGTGAGGTTAATTAAGTCCTGTTGTGGGGTTTGAGGGCTGGAATTTAATTTTTGGAGTTTTATTTAATGTCAGGAGCAGATTGGGTAATAAAATGTATATTGAGAATAAGACAGCCTTTTGACCTTTTAGGGTCTAGGACTATAAAGCATCTCAGGGTTGCTGCCAAATGAGCCATGAATCAGGCTGGGTTTTTATATTTGATGAAAAAGAGCCTAAACACTGTCTGGTTTGGGATAAAGAAAAAGGAGCATTAACCTTGACTATGCCTTTAGCTCCAGCCACCTTTTTAAGAGGAAATTGCTGGGCAGGTGGGGTAGGGCTAGTTGAGGAACGAAACTGTAAGCCGGACTGGGTGTGAGGAGGGAGGTGATTAAAACATTATAGGATAGAGGAGTGGAGGCTGAGGAAGAATTTGGACCTAGCTCTGCCTGGCGAGGAGCAGCCTTGGGAGGAGGGGAGAAGTCAGATGGGTCTGTAGAAAAGGAAGATTAGAAAGACTCAGTGACTTTTGGGGTTGGGACTGAGGGGACAGGCAGACAGGAAAGAAGGAAGATTTGGGACGAGTTGCACTGGGCACAGAGACTAGGAAGGGACTGATGTGTAAAAGAATGCCTGGACGTCAGGCACCTCAGACTGTTTGCTTATTTTATGACAAGAATTATGTAGATCTTGTAGGATGGAAAAATTGAAAGTGCCATTTTCTGGCTATTTGGAACCACTGTCAAGTTTGTATTGGGGTCAAGGGGTGTTGCAGAAGAAAATAAGACACTTAGATTTTAGGTCATGCAAGAGTTGAAGAGGTTTTAAGTTCTTAAGAACACAGGCTAAGGGAGAAGAAGGAGGAATGGAGGGTGGAAGTTTGCCCATAGTGAAGGAGGCAAGTTTAAAGAGAAGGGTAGAGACACGGAGAAGGGGATGGGGAGCAGCCCTGGGCTGCAACATGGGTGAGCAGCCAAAGCAGGCGTCCCTGCAATTGACTTGCCACCAAGGGAACATGGGTGAATGATGAAGGCAGGCATCCCCGCAGAGATCAGATACCAATGAAACATGGGTGAATAATCAGAGAGGTGTCCCCGCAATGATTAAACACCAAGGGAAGGCTGCCTTCCCGAGTCCGTGACCGGCGCCTGAGTTTTGGGTCCATGGATAAAATGTGTCTCCTTTGTCTCTACCAGAAAATGAAAGGAATTGAAATTAAGAGAAGGGAGAGATTGAAGTGTGGCACCAAGATTGAAAGGAGAAAGAGGTTGAGGGATAGTGAGGGAGGTTGGAGAAGAGAGTAAAAAGAGGCTGCTTACCGAATTTGAAATTGGTGAGATGTTCCTTGGGCTGGTTGTTCTGAGGACCTGAGGTCGTAGGTGGATCTTTCTCATGGAGCAAAGAGCAGGAGGACAGGGGATTGATCTCCCAAGGGAGGTCCCCCGATCTGAGTCACAGCACCAAATTTCATGTGTGTCCATGTAAAGAGACCACCAAACAGGCTTTGTGTGAGCAACAAGGCTGTTTATTTCATGTGGGTGCAGGTGGGCTGAGTCCGAAAAGAGAGTCAGGGAAGGGAGATAGGGGTGGGGCCATTTTATAGGATTTGGGTAGGTAAAGGAAAATTACAGTCAAAGGGGGTTATTCTCTGGCGGGCAGGTGTGGGGGTCACAAGGTGCTCAGTAGGGGAGCTTTTGAGCCAGGATGAGCCAGGAGAAGGAATTTCACAAGATAATGTCATCAATTAAGGCAGGAACAGGCCATTTTCACTTCTTTTGTGGTGGAATATCATCAGTTAAGGCAGGAACTGGCCATCTGGATGTGTACATGCAGGTCACAGGGGATATGATGGCTTAGCTTGGGCTCAGAGGCCTGACAGTTACTATCAGGAGACTTTAGGCAGAAGGTTGGGACTGACAATCAGGTTGATGTGGCAGTCTGGTGCTCACTTAATACTCCACTACTCTGCGTGCTTGGAGGTGGAAAGAAAGCAAACAAAACATTTCTTTTTTCCAGATGGGCCACATTTCCAAAGTTATTTTCACTGGCTTATTGGAGCTAAATTATCATTAAGGTCCCTGCACAAAACAGATACACTCAAATTGAGTAATTGGAAGGAAGTATAATAAAGGGGTCAGTTGAAAAGATGTGGGCAAGGAAAACCATATGGGAAGTCAGGAACCCAGAACTAGTGGAGACTGTTATTCCTAGGCCCAAAGGAGTAAGGGAAGGAAGTGGTGATAGAATCTAGAGACAGAACAGAATGTCTGGAAAAGGCAGGCTAACAGAAAAATGATCTTCATTCATGGGATAGAGCAAGCTGAGGTGATCCTCCCTCCAAGAAGCCAGGGGAAAAAATGCTCAGCTTTCTCTATCCCATGAATGAAGATCATTTTTCTGTTAGGCTGCCTTCTATGAAGAGCTGCCTCCTATGTCTTACTGGTGCTCTCCACTGGCCAATACAACAGGAAGCCAGAAGGCAAGGGGACTCTTTGAAAAGGTCCCTTCGAATCAGCCTCCTGGAACACAGAGCAGGATGGATCAGGGTGGAAGTGGATCTGAAATGGTAGATGGAAGAAATCTGGCACAGCCCATCTAGAGTGATGATAGAATTTTCTTGGCTGTTATGGATCAGAGGTCTCTGAATCTGCCTTCATCTGAATTGTCATATTTATGTCAACAAAGAAGAATATGAACCAAGTTGGCCCATGGAAAGTTTGGCAGTGAATAACAAAGTTCTGGGATCTGTTGCCTTTGACTATAAACTGTTCTGAAGATTGTTGGAATAGCTTAAAGCTCACCAGATTGCTATGTCTCTAATTATAGGTAAAATAGTAGACTTGCAAAAAAAAAAAAAAAAAAAAAAGAAACTTAGATTGTACTCATCTGTGAATATGATGACAACAAATGTACCTATGCATTGCATCTAGTTATTTCAGCAATATTTGTATTTGGGCCATTTACAGTTGTTTATTAATATGCCAAGGGATTGCTCCACAGGTAATTCAATGATGTCATGGCACGTGAATTTGCCTAAAGTTTTTCAACAAACCTTGACATATCTAAGTAATGTCAAGATCTCTACAAAAAAGACACTTGTGCTCCACATACAAAATTTAGAGAATGCTGTTTTGAGTTGAGAGCTACATGAATGAAAAACACACAAAGAAAAAGCACTTAGCAGTTTTCTCATAGGCAAATTTCATTGTTAAAGTCTCAGAAGCAGTTGAGAATAACAGGAGGATGGTTGTTGGGGGGAGGGTAGGGTGCCATTGTGAACAGCTATTCTGGAGATCAGCGGTAGGTAAATTAGGCAAAAGGACCTGGGAGAACACATCTACCTGGAGCAATGTTGTCTGCATCAATATCAACATCACCTGTTTCTCTACCTATAGAGCAAAGGAGCAAAGACTATGCACATGAAAGAATGCTGATAAGCACAAAATGACTCAGGTGAAAGTCTCCTCAGTAACAGAGGGAATTTTTTTGAAGTCTCAGGACAAATACAGTTGCCAAATTTCTATAAAATGAATAAAATTCAATTTCAAGGAAAGATTGAAATAATTCAGTTTAGAGAGGTCAAGAATAAGGAGGAAAAATAAGTGTGACCAAAGCAAGCGATAATATGGAAACTGGAAAATAAATATTACTAAGAATTCAACAGTGTATCAGGCTTCTTTTTAGAAATATGTGGTGCATGAAATATATTATGGAGGCATGACCAAAGGATAGAAAAGCTTTCAACAATGTTAATCCATGTTAGCCTTTGAATGTCATGTGACCCAGGGCAACTGTTTGCATCTATTTGGTGCCAGTTTTCTTATCTGTGAAGGCCAGAGTTGGAATTGTTAACCTTGAGAGATTTTTTTTAATTCTTATTTTCATTTTTTACCGTGTAGTCCATATGGTCAGTAAAGATTTTTCCAATGTTAAATGTATATTACACTAAATAACCCTGTTTCCTGCTGAAGACTCTAATCTTTATTGATTTACTTAATTAGGTATAACTCACAAAGAGGAAGTTTGTAAGTGCACAAATCTCAAGTGGAGAGGTCAGTGAATTTTTACTTGCATCTCTCTAATCACCACCCGAATCAAGACGGAATATTTCTAGCACCTCAGAAGGTTTTCCTGTGCCCCTTCCCAGTCAATACCCTCTTGACTAGTAGTCACCTAGTCTGACTTCTATTTTATTTTATTTATTTATTTTTGAGACAGAGTTTTGCTCTGTTGCCCAGGCTGGAGTGCAGTGGTGATCTCGACTCACTGCAACATCTGCTTCCCAGATTCGAGCGATTCTCCTGCCTCAGCCTCCTGAGTAGCTGGGACTACAGGCATGTACCACCATGCATGGCTAATTTTTGTATTTTTAGTAGAGACAGGGTTTCGCCATATTGGCCAGCCTGGTCTCAAACTCCTGACCTCAAGTGATATGCCAGCCTGGGCCTCTCAAAGTGCTGGGCTTACAGGTGTGAGCCACCCTGCCTGGCCTGACTTCTATTTTAGTAGTTGATTAATTATTTGCCTGTTCTTGAATTTTATATTCATAAATCACAAAGTATTCAAACACACTATTCTTTAACTTAGTCGTTAGTGTTATTCAAAGTAGATAACCTTTAGGTGTAATTGGTATTAATAATCTTATCATGATGCTGTGTAACTTTATGGGCTCTTTACATTTTATACAACTAAGGTGATCCTCTCTAACTTTTATTTATTGTACAGCTAATTGTGTGGTTTTCTTTCAGATGAGAATAGTATCCATTCTCAAATACGACTGTCCAATTATCACTCAAATGTCAAAATCCATTTCAAGTCTACTACCTCTGGAAAATCTTTTTCTAACTATTTCAGTCCACATCACTGCCCCATTTTCTTATCTCTATGTTGTTCTTAGTCTATACTATTTACCATGTATATTAATTATATAGTACTTTATATTTTATTTATCTGTTCCACATATTTGTGGTATCTTCTGTCAAAAAAATTGCATGTGCCAATGAAAAGGCAGTTTCATCTGTTATTTTTTAAAATCCTGGAATAATAAAAATACCACAGAATAGAAATGGTTGACAATGCATGCGTGTGTGTGTGTGTGTGTGTGTGTGTGTGTGTGTGTGTTTCTCTCCATTGTATAGCCACAGTATGAAAATGTGAGCACTGGAGTCAAACGGCCTGAGTTTTGATTGAAGCTACCATTTATAAGCAGTGGATTTATGGGTAAGTTACCTAACTCTTCTAAGCTTTGATTTACCATCTGTAAAGTGGAGGTCATGGCAAAATTTAACAAACAGGTAAAGTGCTCAGGACTTTTTGTCTTAATGAGGCATTTAGTCTTATCATACTCTATTCCAAAATCACCTTTTATATGTGGTTCTGTCACATTTTCATGAACATCGCTCTGGTCTTAGAACTGAGCTAGTGAACTGTGTTTAAGTGCTTGTCTCTCAAAAAATTGTTTTAGAGTGACACATTTCAGATGATCAGTTAAAGAAATAACTCTTTTTCCTACTTTTAGGCCTGTATCAATTGGTTTTAATATAAGCTACTAGCAGGAATTGCCACTACCTTCTGATGTAACATTTACTAACCTCCTGTTAGGTTCCAGATTGGCGTGTGTGCATATGTGTGTGTTTTGGGGAACGGCATTAGGTTTTTAGTAGATGAAATATGTAATGTGTAACTAGTTAATGGAAATGACATGAAATATTACTACTTGAATTTCTAGAATAGCTTTTTCTAAAAGGATTCTTCAGTGAAATCTTTGAAACAAATAAAATTAGAAGTAAAATATTATTAAAATAGTGTAAAATATGTCTTTTTTTAAGTGACTTTTAGGCATAGACTCAAGGAAATGAGATATTTATTTGTATTCAAAACTGTAGTGCGACTATAATTTGGTTAAAGAACTCCTAGAGGAGTATTAGTCCAACATATGTTAGAAAATAAGGGAAAGCCATTCTTTTGAGGACTGTGATTCAAATGATTTACAGTCTTGTCTTCATGTATTCTATGTAAGTATTGACCATTTAAAGTTAAGCCTTGAAATGCAGGGAGGATGGAGCACACGCCATCACATACTGTTGTGGTTACAGTAGTGGGTAACAAGCCTGTGCCATAGATCTTCTCCTGTATCAGCCTTCTGTTCAAGTCAACATATCATTAAAAAGAAGATCCCCCAAAACAGCAAAAAATTTTTCATGGACTCCAAGATGAATGTAGCTTTCTTACCATATTAGAACTAATTGAATTCTAATATAATACCCTGTTTCTCTCATCTGTTCCAATTCTTGGGTATTCACATAGCAATTTTGGTCATATTTTGGTAATGATGTAGATTTATGGAGGCTCATAATAGATGACTCATACAAAATCTTTTTTTTTCATTTCTGGAATCCTCTTGGCATGACTGCCAAAACTCAGCCACTAATAGAACATAAATATAGAGTGGCTATGTTTCTATTTCTAGAAAAAAGTGTAGTAAACTATAGTACTTAAGACATGGGGGTGGTTGGATTTGGGTATTTCCAAATCAGCAAAACATACTCATTTGCAACTTTTTAGGGTCATTTTCATTCTGAGTTTATCTTGGTGTTTTGTAATAACATGGCTGGCTTTGGCAATTCCATTTATATACACATTCTATATTTTTTCTTTAATTTTTTTCCTACTTATTCTTGGAGAAACTCAATTGGGTTCTAAGAACATTTTGAGAAATTTGGAAGTGTAGAGCAAATATATAAAACTTTAAAATATCCTTTTTATTAAAAGGATTTATTTATTTATCCTGCTGACAAAATTTTAATAGCTCTTTCTCCAAAACATTTAGCACTTGCTGTTTAGTATGTTTGCTGGGCAATATGATATTAAAATTGGAATTAGGTCTCATTTTGATATCTTGCAATGAAAATAAATCTTTTGTTTTAAGTAAAAGGAGGATCTGTTTCAATCTGTGAAATAATACAGAGAGCAAGGAACGTATTAACCTAAATATGTAAATTCAAATTTGCCATTAAAATGTTTATTCTTAACTTTTTATCTAAACCCGAAAACAACCATGAACCAGATTCCTTCATTTTTGGAAATGGAAGAAAACTTGCTTTTTTAAAAACTGAGATTTATAATCCCTTCATTATTCACCAAATGCTTAAAACTGAGAGCCCGCTATGTGCCATATGCTTTAAGACCCAAGGATTCAGTGGTAAGCAAAACAGATGCAGACGCTGCCCCGGCCTCCTGGAGCTCACAAAAGAGTCACACATTTTCTTCATGTCTTCTTTTATCTTGCAATGCAATGTATACATTAATTACATGTAATTGACTATTCGATACAATACTATGTAATGCATTCTTAATCATATCACGTACATGATGATGATTCAAGTATACAGTTAATGAAAATATTATGCTTAGTCCTTATCAAATGCTATTTACAGAAAAAAATCTGTATAGAAACTCCCAGTGTTCTTGAATGCTTACATTTTATTGCTATCAAATAAAGATACAAATAATTGCTAAAAATGACATCTATAAATATTTATAAGTGAGACATTATGTTTGTGTATCCTAATTGTATTTTAAGCATACACAGTTTAATCAAAAGCAGACTCTAAAATGATAATTAATATAACTGACATTGCACTAATGCAAGACATTTATAGAAGGTACATTTATCAAGTTAAGCACATTTATAACACATGTGGATGCTGGATAATTAAAATAACCTTTGCATGGAAATTTACTTTAGAAACTAACACAGGAAATCTTTTAATTTTCATGTTTTGAATAATTATATTGGAATATTCTTTTCTTCCCAGAAGTGGTTATTTCATTTATTTTTCATGGGAATTTAATGGGTTTAAATTTCTTCTTTTTCCAGATATGTTAAGGAACTAATAGGTACTGTAACTCTGATCAAGTGCTTTATTCCCAGCTCCAAAATGTTTAATAATTTTTGAATAATATTGATTGTGTTTAGTTTTTGTGTTATATTCCCTAATTTCTATGACTTTTATTAAAAAGATGAGTGTTAGATTTTATACATATATACTATGGTGGACTAGTGACATACCACCCCAGTCTGTCTTCTGGATTACAGGAATTATTCTTTTAGCTGCTGATAGTGCTGCTGGAAGAAGGTCATCAGCTATCAATCCTCTTTGGGGATGGTATCACATCCCCTGTCTGAAGCAGCCCACATTCAAACATCGATCACTGTAGAGTAGGAAGACCTAGCCAGTCTCTGAAGGGCTTTTTAGCTTCAGAGCAACCTGTGGGGTCTGCTGAGGCTGTTGCTGTTGTTGGTATTTCAGGGCCACTGTTAAACTCTGCTCCTTACCTCTGCTTTCCACAGGTATTGATACTAAGAGCCCTCTCAAATAAACACTCCATTTCAGAGTGCGCTGTCTGAAGAAATCAAGCTTGGAATGTGCCCACTGACTCAGAAGTCAAATGTCATTGTGTATTGACAGTAAATTCAAGCAGCTATTATTGCATTGAAATGTATTCTGGTCAGTTAATCGATGTAAATATTAATGAAGATATAGAATTTTTATTTTACTAATATTTTTTGATTTTTTAAAACAATCAGCTTCTTCACTTAATCATGGTTAGCTAACGATTAATTAAAAGCAGATGAACAATATGGCAAATAATTGATCTCAACAGAAAAATAAAACAAATCCATAGAAGTCACGTTTTTCTTTTGTGAAAGCCTTTGTACTATTTTGACCTGCTGATTTAGCAGGCTGCAGTCTGATTTTAAACAAAGGAAAAAAAGATGAAACAGACGCTTGTTAATCATGCCGGAACTTCTAAAACAGCTGTTGCTATGGGAGATATTGTCCCAGTATTTCTTTTGAATTTTACATGAGGACATTTACTCCCTTTTCCTCATTGCAAATTACAGGAGTGATTTAGGTAGTTCTAAGACACACAACCCCCTTATCCTCTTTGAATGTAGAACATTGCTATTTGGCATCCATTTGAAGGTAATGCCTTTTCAGCAAAGCAAGGAAAAGTCTATGAACTATAATTGCTCACTGCAAACGTGCTTTATTATTAACACAATTTCTCAAGAAAGCTGTAAAGAATGGAGACTGTGCTAAGGGAGTTAATAGAGAAATACCACTATTTCCTTAGCCAGTTTTTCCAGGTGCTGCCCCTGTCAAACAAAATCTATAGTTTCAGAATAGCATAACCCCTACACATGTATCAGTGGTCAAAACCAGAGCGGTGAAGCTCATCCAAGAGAAACAAGATTAAAAATTCAGCAAGAGACAGAAATCTGGACGTATACCAAGCAACTTTTCATCAGCATGTCTGCCTGAGAGGAAACATTTTCCAGTGTCCTCCTTCCTTTTTCTTTGAAAATGAGCTCAACGGCCGTGTTCCCAGGCACTATAACAAATGAGTTGCTTCAGGCACAGAGAGGCATTAATAAATGATGTTATTTGTTAAAAGTAGCTTAGATGTCCCGCTCCCTCAAGTCAATGTCAAACCCAGTGAAACAACAGCTCTAACAAATTTCTCTGTGGTCCACATTGGGTCTTCGGTGTGTTTTCTTTTATGGCGCAGGAGGGTCAGGTGGACAGGGCAGATGTGGTGGGGTGCAGGAGCTCTACTATTTATGCGGACCTCTGTTAAGGAAATGGCAGAATTTCCGGAATTCTTTAGCTACTTCCTCTTAGTATTTGCCACTTTCTCTCCAGCTGTGGATGCCGAAGCCCTTGAACAAAGGCGCAGAAGGCCCAGAGCCAGGAGAGGGCGCATCCCTGAGCCCGAAGCCGAGGCGGCTTCCACCTGTCTACAGGAAACACAACACCGCTTGCAGTTGGAAGGCTTGTTCTCAACCTACTGTTATATGGCTTGAGCCGTTAATCCGCCCCTATCACACAGGAACATTCAGAAGTTAGGGACATTAAAAACACACAGGGTTCAAGTGTTTTGCACTAAGCTTGTTTACAGGAAAAGGAGAGCCTGGTGAGTCATCCTTCTATTTTCAAATGGAAACTACCAAGAATTTGTGAGTGCACTTTGCAACTCTATGCATTTAAATTGATCAAACATTAAATATTAATGTGAATGACGTGGGAGCAGAATGCCGTTTACCAAGTAACTACGATAGAATGATTTTAAAGGTATTATGAGAAGGTGGGGAATTAGAAAGATACTTTGCCTTAGCTGTTTTTATTTTTATCCACCTGGGTATAGGAGGACTATTCAGTATTTGGTAGGGAGCAGGGTAACAGAAAGGTTACCATCATCAGTGATTCTAAATTACAGCAAACCCATTGCAAGTGGCAACAGACCATGATACAGGCTGTAGCTTAAAACAGGAAAAGGAAGTGGGGCTGAAGGAGGAGAGAGGAAAAGAAGAGCATTAACACTGGTGGAGGATTCAAGAGAAGCCTTGCTGCCCTTCTCTGAACACTCTGTCACTCTCCTTCCAGTGAGGGTGCTACACAGTTATTTTAAAGCTATGCCATTCTACACCTTTGCAGAACCTTGCAGGTTGCTGTCATCAGCTAACTGGGTGAGCTTGTCTTCTGTGTATCCATTCAAGTGATGTAAATACTGAACAGAATGGACCTTGTGGTATGTGTCTAGGAACCTTCCTCTAAGGTAACACTGTTTAATTAATCAGTATTGCTTAACATAATTTGTTTAATAAAATATAAACCCTGCTAATTTGCTTCAATTCAATCCACACATCTTCTGTTGTCTTCAAGATCAAGACTTGCCAAGTGGCTTGCTGAATAAAGACACACTTTGCCATTTTCAAGTCAAGAGAGTAGAGAGCTAAAGCACAGACTTTCAAGCTAGCCTGCCTCAGTTTTAATCTTGGCTTAACTATGTACAGTTACTGTATGTCTTTGAGCAAGTTACTTTTCTGTGCCTTAGTTTTCTTATCAGTAAAGTGGGGATAATAATAGTTTACACTTCGAGGGTTTCTGTGCGGATGAGATGAGTTAGTGACAACTGTATATGCTTAGAAAGCATGGAGTCCATAGTCAGTACTGCCCAAGTGTTTGTTCTTATTGTCATTGTCATAATCATCATCGAGTGATCCTCCCCAAACAGTGATCACATCATAGTCTGTTGGTATTTAACCTATGTTTACACCCAGTGATTACTATTCTACATCTATATGTCCTTGGGTAGATTACCTAATCTCTCTGATCCTCAGGGTTTTTTTTCTGTATAAAATATAAATGAGAATATGTGCACACAAAATGATGTGTACACAAAATGAAGGTCTAAAAATCATTGTAGAGTTTTCCTGCAAATCTTCCCTTTTGAGGCATCTCTCTTTTAAAACATAGAATATATATATGTATATATATGCGTAGAATATATATATATGCATAGAATATATATATAAAAGCATAGTATATATAGATAGATATATATATGGGCTACAAAATGCTCAGCAAATATAATACATGCAGTGAATATGAGATATCTAAACTATGTGTTCTTCCAAATACAGCATTAATTTGCTGAAAGCTTTTTTCTCCAAGTAGCTAAATTTGTCAACACTTTGGAAAAAGCAAGTGAATCTGCCACATCATTATCTACATCTATATGTCCTTGGGTAGATTACTTAATCTCTTTGAGCCTCAGGTTTTTTTTTTCTTATAAAATAGGAATGAGAATATGAATTTGATATGCACAGCATATCGAGTAATTATGTTTCTTCCACAATCTAAGCACTAGAGATGTTTTATTCAACATGAATAAAACAAAGTCTTTGCTGTGATGATAAACATATGTAAAAAGTACGTAGTATGTTAAGTGATTTAAAAATGTGCCATACAAATGTAAAGCAGAAAAGAGGCCGAAGAGTGATATGGAGCAGGAGCAGCAGATATGATAGCTTTTCTAATAGTGGATGTTGGCATGTTTGAAAATTCTTGGTGTCACAGCTCTAACACTATGAATTTTTTCATCAAAACTGAAAGGTGAAGAAATCTCTTTAAAAACTGTTCACTGGCACATGAGGCTTTTCTCCAAGCAAAAAGCTTCTTTTTGAAGCTACCACAGAATGGCTTCTGACATTCTGGAAACCAGAGCACGGGCTTTTGCGGGACAATTGTTCCAATATGCCCCCACGTAAGGAGCATGGCTGGCCGTATCCTCAGGAAAAAGATATTTTCCCATGTGTTCATGGCTTCAGTATCTCTTCACGACAAAAGAAGATAATTACATTTTTATTTTTTTCAGTAATTAATTGTTTGCTCTGAAATCACTCAAACTTGTTTTGTTTTTTCTTTTTGAGATGGAGTCTCACTCTGTTGTCCAGGCTGGAGTGCAGTGGCACCATCTTGGCTCACTGAAACCTCTGTCTCCTGGGTTCAAGCGATTCTCCTGCCTCAGCCTCCCAAGTAGCTGGGACTACAGGTGTGTTCCACCATGCCTGGCTAATTTTGTTGTTTTTAGTAGAGAGGAGATTTTGCCATATTGGCTAGGCAGGTCTCGAACTCCTGACCTCAAGTAATCTGCCATCCTTTGCCTCCCAAAGTGCTGGGATTATAGGGATGAGACACTGAGCCTGGAAAATCACTCAAATTGAACACTAGAATTAGAATTACCAGTGTTTTTTATGTAGATACCTTCATTCTCATCTGGAAACTCTTGTAGCTGGAACATCAACAATGCACTGAATTACCTGTATTTCTCCCCTTTAGAACTTTTCCCAGAGAAGTCCAAATGTCCTTGGACATTTTCAGTTATCATAGCTTAGAAAAAAGCACAGTCCTTAAGAGACTGGTAACTGAAAATTATTTCTGGGCTATCAGATATGCTTAATAAAAGCTTCAGTAAAGTCAACGACTTCTTTACAGCACACGTGATCTTAATGTGGAAGACATTTTACATTTTTCATCTGGCAAACCCTATGCAACACAGTTGGAATTATTCTTCAAGAAGTGTCAGCAAGTTGCTGAAATGAATCAGGGCTAAGCTTTGGTCACAACTTGTCCATTTTTAGGTTCTCTGGGAACCAAGTTATCTATGACTGTATAGAAGAGCCATGAGTGACTCTTCCCTCAGTATTCTTGCTATTTCACCTTTTGCTCCGTCCTTACTCTTTTCCAGTTGAAGAGCTTTCCATGTATAAATCAAAAGTGGAGGTTGGTCCCAGAGATTGGACCTGAATTAAAATCTGTTTTCTATATTTTCCTTGTCAAATGGGATTGTCTGAATTTCAAATCATGTTAGTTTGCTTACTCTGGCTAAATTTCTTATTTCTTTTGTTGATTAATTTTTGATATTCGATCATAGTTGTACAAATATTTTCAATTATTTCCAAATATTTGATTTAGTTTTTGGGCAATACACTGGGTTTCCCCTCCAAATTTATGAGCCTTGTCAATATTATCCAGAACTTTGATGTCTGAACAGGCCTCCCATGAAGAATGTTCTCCTTGGCTTTACTTTTGAATGCACTCTATGAAATAGCATGCTGCGTTTTTAGATTTGTCACTCATACTAAACTCCACATCCACATACTAGTTAAGCATATATTTGGACAGTTGAATTATATACAATAATTGTTGTGAGCCTTATCAAGGTTAAAGTTCACTTGTGTAGAGGAAACATTTTAAAACACTCTAAGGTCTTCTTAAGTTTGAGCAACACGTGAGTAAGTCATTACCACCAATAGCCTATCTATTCAGTTTCAGTGCTGTTTTTATAAGTACTTTCTATTTGGGCTTTCAAAAATGTAAGTGGGATGAGAGAGAGTAAACAGTCGTTGTTTGTTCTCTTCCAGGATCAGATTACATGATAGTTGCTTAGTTACTGCTCTACACAGTGTACGTACCTTTATGTGTAAATACAGATTTCAAAATCTCTACAGATGTACCCTGGGTCAGAGAGGTTTTTAGCAGATCCAGAAAATGCGTGGTCTTGGTTTCTCACAAAAAGGTACCGCCAAACATGTTTGGTAATAGGAATGTAAATAGTGAAACAAATCTACCGAGAGTAATCAGAAAAGAAAAGAACTTACTTGATTCCTAGAACCCAACGTACAAAAAGGCAAAGCTAACTGGAAAATGCCTCAGGTGGTGCATCATGTCTACCAGGTGCATTGTGTGACACTGTTTGCTTCTCTTTAGTACTTTTTCCATTAACTCCATGAAATATTTATAAACAACCATCTCCCTTTTCAGTACTGCCAATTCATTCTGTTCAGAACTAAGTCATTTGGTGCTAAGTACCCAATTCTTGCCATGGTGCTCCAGGGGCCAAGAATGACTGAGTTTGGTTTCAATAATGCCTCTCTTAGTATTCCATTCCTACCAGTGATGTTGAGAGCCAGAGAATTGGGAGACAGAGCTTGCAGGGGATTTCCTTTCTGTTCTTGTTCCAGAGTGGCTACAATGAAGATAAGATAAACAAGCAACTTCTGTGCAAGGCACTGCCCACTAGTGTCTTGGTGAAAAGTGCTTCTGAAAGTCAGGGACAAGGGGGAGAACTGATGACTACATGTGTTCCTGGTTAATTTCCCTTAATTACCACCAGATCAGCCTTGTACCCTGTCCCTTGTTTGCACTCAGAAAAAAGTTTCCTTTACAAATGTTTAACCTGAAAACTTTTCAGGTATAAAAAATACCTACAGCACACCACAAAGGCTCAACTCTGCCAGCACCCACCGCCCAAGGGCTTTAGGGACTGCTTATAGATGTTTATTTTAAAAGTTTAACCAAATGGCTGAGAAACAACTATTTTGAACCTCACCTATTCTTAAACAGATTGTAACTAGATTACAAGTAAAAACCCCAAGAAGCTGTCTTTAAATTAGTTAAAACTTGTATAATATCCAAGAAATTTATAGAAGTTAATTCTCCATTTCTCTCTCAAATTCATTCATTTAATTTATTTTCATAATTGGAGAAATCAGCAATTTTCCTATTCTGTTAGAATATCTATGAGATAATGATAAAGAGAAAAAAGTTAATCAAGTGGAAGAATTTGCAGAGGGATATTAGGTTCAGAAATAAATTATTTCAACATGTGAGGTTTTTACTGGGCTGCCAAAGAAAATCTATGGAGTAGGTCACAAGAATAGAAGCAGTAGCTAGTAGGCTTAAGTTTCTTGGTTTAGAAAAAGTTAAGATGGGTGTTCAGATATTACATTTTCTAAGAAGTTGGGTGGTTTGGAGAAGAATATGTACTTACAAGTTTAATTTCAAGAAACAGATTTTGGAAAACTTGATTAGAAGTAAATTTAACAATTACTAATCTTTGTCATTAATAATGGCTCACATTATCTTTCACTATATTTTATTCCAATATTTTAAATTATAAGTACTGGGCTAGAAGGAAGAAAATTGGGTTATAGTTCGATTTTTGACACTAACAAACAATGCAACTTTGGGAAAATTCATTTAACTTTTAGAGGCCTCAGTTTTCACTAAATGTGAACATTGCAATGTCTAATTTATGTACTTTCTAGCCTTCCAGCTCTAAAATTTACTCAAAGAAAAGTGAAGATATTTTCACCATCACTTCAGGTGTGTCCTCTAATTATATTTGGTTAGAAATGGTACCAACTTCTCTGAATGCTCTGTAGTTATTGCAAATTTGTGCTATTCAGATAGTAAACTTTCGCTCCTTAAACAAAAGTTTGAGGGCCACTGGTTCTATGAACTAGATGCATGAATTTGCATGCTTCAAACTCGAGTGATTTCTCAAGGATAGCAAGGTTTTACAGCAAAATTTACATTTATTTCTTCTGTAGCCAGGAAATCCTTTCTGCAAGAGTCTGATTTAAGTGATATTTTTGTTGTTGTATATTCTCTAAAATTAAGTTTTGAAAATACAATAGGCTTAGAGGACAACTAGTAAAACAAAATGAAAAACTTCATTACATTCATCCTGGAAATCAAGTACCAAAAAAGAAGGCACTAAAACCTTGGGATAAATAATAAGTAGTAGTTTTTAATTATTTTTAAACTAATGAACTTAGAGACTAAGAAAAGCTTTTGAAATGTTATATAGGCTCACCTACCGACAGGCATTTGCACACACATATTTACATACAATCTGAAGAGGTCCAAAAGGGAAAAGAACTCTATTAGGGTATCAGAAAACCAAATAGGCCATCTCTAAATTTCAGTTTTTGAAGTAAGTTTTGTTATCTGCATTCGACATTAGAGAGAAAAAACAAAGCAAAACAATGACAACTCTTAATTGTCCAAATAAGGGAAGAGTTTACCGGCATAGATAAATACAATCAATGGATAATTCTCAAATAATTTTTCTTTGATTTTGTAAAACTCATTTTAGCTTGTTTTGCCTTATGCTGATGTTGAAATCTGGGCATCTTGAGAACACACCAGTTGTTGGTTAGCCATATATGTGGTAAGTTGCTGGAGCAAATCCAGCCTGAATATTCTGTGAATGGTCTACAAAGTGTGAGCAATATATGTGGATAATTACGAGCTTTCAACAGGTTTTTATGTATTAATAAACATTTACTCCGAGGAGAAATCTGAGCACATTAATAAAGGCTGCAGTCAGTCCCACAGAGATACATATATTTTACCACAGCATGTGAATAGACTTTGAAAGGTGGCTGCCATTTCTCCTTCCAGATTTTACAGATGAGAATAATCTACAGTTAGAGGCATAGTATTCTGCTCTGAAATGGCACAGGATAGAACACAAGAAAATGTCTGGCCTTTCTCTCTCTCACTCACCTTTTACTTTTCTCTCCATTTTGATGTGGTCACTTTCTCATCTCCGATTCTGAAAACAATTTTAGTGTGGGTCTTACTCAGTGTGTTGTTCTGGAGAAATCACGGGGGCACTCAAATGTAATGCTGAGTCTGATTCTTGTTGGGCTCATGGTCAAGCACAGTTTTTAAATAGATGAAACCATTTTTGAGGGTTTGTTTTGATAATACTTATATCAATAATTTCACCCTTACAACAACACTCCTTAGTAGGTATTATTAACAGTGTTTATGAAGTGCAAATCAGGTCCCCAAGAAGCTAAATTATCTGAGGCCACTAGGATTGTAAGTGACAGAGCCAGTCCCAACTAACTGAAAATTTACATTCCCCATATATATATTTAGTTTCAGCTTATTTCAGTCTTTGGGATATAGTAGATGCTCAGTTACTATTTAGTGAATGTTGTTTGAAGGATATAGGTAACTTCAAAACTACACTAGCTTCCTGATGTGGCATCTAGCCAAACACATTGCTGTTCATCCTCCTCCATTCCCAATTAGATATTGAGCTTCTGTGCTCTTTGAAGCAGTGTGATGGACTAGACAACTCTAGCTGGAAACTTCATGTCTTGGGATGTATACAATTAAATGACTTCTTCAGTAATAAACATCTTATTCTTTGATGTTGTAGATACAATGATTTAAGACCTCTACATGTGACTTTTAGATAATAACATGTCTTTTAATCAAACAATGGGAGATAGGTTTAAAATACACCAAAGAGTAGCTGAGCCATTTATATCCTGGCATTGCATAATCCTACTTGCTACTGATGTCTTAAATAATTAAGAAATATTAAATGTTGACACTTTATAAGCACATGTAGTTTTTTTTTGTACTAGTAATTATTTTTTAATCCTGGAAAACATTAAAGTGATTGCAACCAGCTTTCACGTATTGAGTTTTCAGTGAAAATTTAAAGCAGCGATCTTATGTCTGAACTTTACAATGGTATCTATGTTAGAAAGTTCTAGAATGACTTCCTGTTATGTTTTTAGGTAAAAACTTCAATAATGTTATAACTATTTTTAATTTAATAGGCATATTTAACAATGGTCATTTTTACTATTGCTTCAAATCTTTAATCTTCTGAATTTATTGATGTTTATGTAAATAATGGTGTACACTAAGGAAGTTACCAGGCTTGGGGTTCTTGAACATACTGAATCCTTTTTCACATTCTTCTTGCCTTGGTTGTTGGCGTTCTGCCTGGATTAAAAAGAAAAAGCAAAACCAGAAACCATAAGTGAGAGACTCTTCATAATTCTATAACTAGTTAAGTGTGTGTGTGTGTGTGTGTGTGTGTGTGTGTTTGTGTGTTTGGTTTGAATTTCTGCTCCTTAGTGAACTGGGTATAATCTTTGACTGCAGACTGAGTCTATACATTTCAAGCCTTTCTTCTCCCTATATGACTCACATAATTCCTGTGTTGTGTGACATGGGAATGCTTATATCCTATAAGCCTGCACGTTTGTGTCAGAATCATAATTGACTTGGCACAATGGATGAGAGGAGTATTTAGGGGAGCCATTTCTATGCTATGAAGGAGAGCAGTATTCTGAACAATATGTAGAAGTGACTGTGAATCACATAAATATAGCCTAGTAAGCCCAATAAATGCACCCCCAACTTCTTAACTGAACTGAACCACAAATACTCATGGCCACTACCATGAGGAGGGGAAGTTAGCCAGCGGGGAAACTAAGCAGAAAGAGGTAGAAGGCCTACTAATTGAGGTTAAAATATGCCATGTTTGCAAATTTTATTAAAAAATATGACTATGTGAACACACTGTTAATCCCCCCTGCCAGGGCCTTGGAGGGATCCTGTGTGTGTGTGAGGAACCCTGAGGTTTTGGTTTCATTAGCTTCACAGTAAATCCACTTCTCTACCCCCAGACCCACCCTTTTCTCTAATGATGTGGTCTTTTTTCTCCATAAAGACTTTCGTAGTATGTTGTTTGCACCTGTCTTACAGAGGAAATTAACTTACACTGCTTTCTTTATAATACTTAAGTGTGTGACTATACATACACACATACGTATATACATCAATTAACTATTTATATACCTCTTTTTCTAGTATTGATCTTTTTGAGCATAGCTACTGTGAAATGCTTATTTTTGCATTCTATGCAATAGTAGGCTTTTTGAATAAATCTTTCTTCATACATATAAATTTATCCATCATTGATGGGCAAAGACGTGGACATTTAAAAAGGCCTTTTGATATAAATTTCACTATCATCTTCCAAAAAGATTATTTCTATGTACACTTGTACCAGCGGTATATAAGAATTATTGTTTAATCACATTCTACAAAGTGACTGATATTACTTAGGTTCCAAAATAACCCCATTGTATACATTTATTTGGGATAATTTTTATTTTTGCTACATTGAGTTTTGCTATTGGGCATCATACTACATTTTTTATGACTTAAGTAATCTTTACATCTCTCAGGGAAGTTTAATAGTTTTATTTATGTTTTAAACATTCATATTAAAATTTTCTGGCTATTTTATATTTTGTTGCTATTGTGAAAAACATCTTTTTTCTCTTGAATTTTTTATATCATCATTGAGGACATATAAAAAATTATTAATTTTGTGTATTTACTTAGTAGTTACTTATTAGTTATTTTCACTTGTTAATTGTAATAGTTACTCAGTTAAGAGATATTATTCCAGGAAAAGATTATTCTTTTGGTTAAGGGCATTTGGATATTAAGCTTGACCAAAGCTTTTTTACCTTATATAATTGTAATCTGATTATTCTTTAAATCTCTTATATGATAAACTATATATTTATTCATATTGAGTCATTATTACATTTCTTAATCTTTTTTGGCCATAGTTTTTTATTTGTTTAATATTCTGCTGAACTAGCTCCTAAATATAATGTAGGCAGGGATGTAGCTACAAGAATGTTTGTTTATTGCAGAAGTGTATATGAAAGCAAAGATTTATAAACAACTTGAATGTCCCAAACTAGATATTACTTAAATAAATTAAGGCACATATCCCCAATGGAGAATAAGCAGACAAAATGATGTTATAAAGCTATATTTCCTAATATGTTTACATTATTTGGTAAAATAGTAGTAAATCTTGAATGAACTCATTAAAAGCACATTTGTATGTGTGTATGTAAGTGTTTGAGGTCTGTGAACACATTTGTGTGTGAATAAGTGGGTCTGTGTGTGTGTGTATGCATGTGTATACGTACACTTGGAAAGATCTGTGCTATAACTACAGCATGAGGTTTCTCCAGATAAAGATTATATTATGTTTTCATATTTTTTTTAGAAAAACTGATGTTATAGATTTTTTGCTAAAAATTGCATATACTCAATATGAGAAGTTCTTCTAATATCTCAACCCAGAAGTGAACATTGCTAACAATAAGTTAACATCATTCCATATATCTCTTCTGTATAGTAAACATATAATTAGAAAGATATATTAGCAGATACTATGGCTATATTGTATATGTCCCTCCAAAATTCATACATTGGAACTTAATCTCCAAGGCTGTATTATTAAGAGGTGAGGCCCTGGGAGGTGATTATGTGGAGCCTCATGGATGGAATTAATGCCCTTATAAAAGAGGCTTGAGGGAGCCACCTATCACCTTCCATCCCTTTTACCATGTGAAGACAAAGCTTTTGGCCCCTTGTTCAAGGTGCTGCCTTGGAAGCAGAGCCTGAACCTTCACCAGATACTGAATTTGCTGGTGGCTTGATCTTGGACTTCCCAGCCTCCACAACTGTGGAACAATGAATTTGTTTATAAATCACTCAGTCTGAAGTGTTCTGTAATAGTATCAGGAATAGAGTAAGAGAGTAGAAATACCTTTAAAATTTTGATCATATTCTATATGCTATTTAATTTTATTTGTTCTTTGCATTTAAGAAATGATGATAAATTAAGTAAAATTGAATGGATTGCTCAACATCAGACTGTGGTTCTGCATTAGGACTTCCAGGAAAAAATCCATGGACTGGGTGGCTTAAACAACAGAAATTTAATTTACTTTCCCACAGTTCTGGAGGCTGGAAGTCTAAGCTCAAAGTGTTGGCAGTTTTGGTTTCTCCTGAGGCCTCTGTCTTTGGTTTGCAGATGGCTGCCTTCTTGTTGTGTTCTCACGTGGTCATCTGTGTTGTATGTGCCCTAATCTTCTCCTTTTATAAGGACACCAGTCATACTGTACTGGGGCCTACCCTAATGACTCCATTGTAACTTAATTGCTTATTTAAAGACCCTACCATCAAAACAGTCACATTCTGAGATTAGGAGGAGGGGAAGGATACACAATTCAGCCCATAACAGGTTCTTTACCAAAATATATTATAATCCCTTAACCTTTGAGTTTCTTTCAAGGGTTAAGAAAAAATGATTGTGTAAACATTAGGATGTGGGAATATCTTTCTAAAAATTATATATTAGTCTTGTATGCTTACACTTCTTCCTACCACCTGTTAGTCATATATATATGTGTATATATATATTGCTTTTACACCGTCAATATTTATATTATTTTGCAGTAAGTATAATTCCTATAGTCATTTAAGTTTAGTTCTATATTTGGATTGATTTAGTGCTCACCAACAGTCTTATCATAGTTTCTCCATTTCATGTATTGCCCACTTTCTATCATCAAGTAGAATTTTCAAGGCAGGTCCATAAGTACTGCTATCTTTTGAATTATTTCACATTGGTGGCTATGGGTCTACTGTCTCTCTCCGAGTTAGACTGACTGGGAGCACCATTTTCGGGTCTTATTTTATTTTCCACAGGTGACAAACTGGTTACTTACCAGTTTCTCCAGCCAACAGAGAAATTTTTTCCCAATAAAATTGGATAACGTTAATTTTGTTGCTGGAATTCAAAAGTTGGGAGAATTAATACAAAAGTTTGGATTTCTGAATTTTCTTGAAAAAATCAATGATGTAGTAATATGACATCCTGTTAACTACATTTTTCATTTTCTCAACAGAAAATTGGCTGTGGCTACCTTGTTTTGATAGCACATGTATGCTCTCCACTTCACTGAATCCAATCTGTTTCAATAACTTTTATATCTTGTCTCATCCTTATAGGCATTAGAGTTGGCAACTCCAAGCTCAGAATTTTTTTGACATTGCACTATCATTTCATGGCACTGAGTACTGGACTAGTCATTTTGCTGTGGCTTTTCCAGTCATTTCTTGGTGGGCTTTATTTGCATTTTTTTTCCTCAGGAAGTTCTCATGCATAATGTTTCCTAAGTTCTCTTATATTTCAGAATGTCTGAGTGTTGCCCTTATTCCTAAACTAACATGTCTGGCTACAATATATCTTGAAAATTTTTTTTTTCTTCAGGATATTCTGTTAGAAATAGATAATTGGTGCTGTTAAGAAAAGTCAGCAGGGAGACAAAGGATCTCTCAGCAAGGCCATTTTTACTTTCTGCAGAAAGGGTGCTCCTTGCAGATTGAACAATGGCAAGAGCACACTTCAACAAAGGGACCCAAATGTGTATCCCTTACACATTTGGGTCATCCTCATTGCTGTGTCCTGCATCCATTGGCTGGAGCTGGACCTCACAGTCTTAAGCTGATACCCAATTTTCTAATAACCTAAAACTTTCCTAAATAGGTAAGTGCAAGGGAGAACAAGGAAGGAGAGGAAGTTGCTTATGAAAGGTTTAAGGAAGCAATAACATTTCCAAAAAAGGAAGGGACATAAGCTATGAGCCAGGACTTGCCTGGGCCTGTCCAGACATGTCTGAGTGAGGCAAAGCAACTAACTGGGCTAAAGTGTAAGAACTAATAGTTGATAGGAGGCTTTAGAGTAAGAAGCTATTATTTCTAGTGTCTATTATTTTATTTTTAAACCAAGACGAGCTTTGAAGAGGAACTTTTCTACTTTCTACATATTCTATATATTTGTTCTACGATTTTCTGGGTTAATTTCTTGCTGTGGGGAGATCAGCAACCAACCTGGTTTCCTCCCTTTTATTTGACTTGTTCTTTCTGTCTGGATGGCTGAAAAAAATATTTCCTTGTCCTTGAATCTTAATAACTTAATCAGATAGTCTGCAGTGTTGATGCTTCTGTATATATTTTTTTCCTAGGTGACAAGGTCTGTCCTCTACTGTGCTTCTCTTTAATTTCAGAGATTTTTCTTTTTAATATTTTTATTTCTTGTTTCATTTTCTTGGGTTACAATGATAAGGACATAAAATATCCTGTTACTTTGCCCTCTATAAGCTTAGTTCTAATTTGTTAATATTATCTCAGGCCTTTCCTCAATCCCATTAATATGACATTCAGCTTGTCTTTTTTCTTGCTATTTCTAATTTATCAAATAGACATGTAATGGTTCTAATGATGTTGTTGGACTCTCAATTTATCTCTGTCATCTTCCTTTATATCTACTCCTGTTGTTTTATGAGCTTTCATATTTTTGGCTTCCTATTCTAAGTTTTGCACACTGTGAAGCAAGTTCGAGGAGTTTATTCTGCTCTTAAATACAGTTTCTTTCCATCTAGAATTTTGCTGTCTCTTTTGTATGCCATGTCAGTTTTCCTCTCTGCATTTTTGTTGCAGTTATGCATAACTGCAATGCCATTTCTTTTAGTCTGGCTCATGCTTACTGGGGGCAGCTCCCAAACTCTCTCTTCGCTCTGTAAGTGTGTCTGAGTGAATTCTGTAGGATACTTTTGCCACTATGTCTCTCCAGTTTGTCCTCTCTCAGAGCTGTACTCTGACGCCTGAGTATTGCTATTACTCAATTTTTCTCTAGCCTCAAGTCATGACAGTGGAGAAGGCAGAAAGCTTAGGCTCTGCTTTTTCTTCAAGTTGAGTAAATTTTCTGTATTACAATCAACTCCATCAAACTAGGAATGTGTTCTCTTCCTACTCACTTCAGTTCAATCTTCTGATTTGTGCGTGATGCCCTGAAGCGTATGCTTCCAGCAAGGAGAGTTTGTTTAGGTTATTCATTTTCCTTGTTTTACTTACACATTCTTCCAGCAGCCTTTTGTGTATACACCTTAGTTCCCAGTCAGAACAGGAAAAGATAATGATTCCTATGGGGTTTACCCCCATTACAGTTAATTGGGGTAGAGGTGACATCACCTTCTGTTTAATTTGTCAGCTTTTGGTGCTCACAGGTTTTTTGTTTGTTTGTTCCTATTTATCTACTCTTTTGTTTTCATGTCTGCAACTTACTGCTGGTGTTTTTTAGAACCCTCTCTTTTCCCCTCCCTTGCTAGTAGAGCGTAGAATGACACTCACTGAAATTTTTTCTCTTCCTCTATTGAGTACCTTTGGTAGGGGTGCTTGCATAGCTGTTTTCCTGACTCTTTCTCCAACAGCCTACTTCTTCAGCTTCTCCTCATTTTTAGGAATACCATTAAGACTTTTGAGGTGTTGATTAATCATCTACTTTTCCTATCATTTCTTCTGAAAGATGCAGATTAGTTTAAAAACTTCCTGAACCAAAAAAGCAATTTTTATTCATTTGTTTGGCACTTCTTTTCAAAATTTGTGTTTTGTGTTTCTTGTTCCTTTCATCAAGTGTTGGGGTAGGAACATTCTCTTCTCAGGCTTATCTCTACTGTCTCACCTTGGAAGTCTAAACTATCTTTCCATTTGTTTTTCGTTTTATCTTTTTTTTATGAGACAGGCAGATATGTGTTTATTTGTTTAAAATTTTTTTCTACTGTGGATATATACTGCTTTGGTTAAATTGTTTAAAAATTTAAAACAATCTATCTTGAAATAGTTTTTATATCATTTATTTAGACTTGTGTAACCACTTTAATATTTTATATCATTTAGATTTATATAAGTATGTTTATAACACATTATATTATAATTTCTATTTGAACTATTTATAACAATTTTGCCACCAGAGTTATGCTAGTTTTATATAAAGATGTGGGAAGTTGAAATAATTTTATGTATTCTGAAAATATTTAAACAGCATGATACTTATTTATTAAATTTTATATTGAATTTACTGGTCTCAGTGGTTATATCAGAGGTACATTTTGATAACTGTTTCATTATTTTTCATGGTTCTTAGCATATTTTTGCTCCTTGAAATAATTTTGATAATGTCTTAGATAATCTTATATTTAACCTAGATTTTTCCATTTTTCCACTGTAGTAATCTTATTTCCATCACAGTAATTACATATTTCCTTTATAGTAATTTTCTTTTTTATTATTTGATTTCCATAAGTGCATATCAGAATACTTTTCCCCATATTTTTAGCTGGGTAAATGTTGTATTTGATTATATCTTTATAGCCTTTAGAAAACTACATTTTCACCATAGTTTTTTAGCTTTTTGTATTTTAGAGGGGAAATTTGAGGCAAGTATCATTTTTGTGCTTGTGTGTATTACGTATATACATTTTGTATCTAGACTTTTATACTTGCTTTTTTTTAAATAAAAATAGGTATGATATATCATTATTTCTCTTCTTGATGGCCCTTTTTTAAAATTCAGGAAACTTTTCTTTTGTAATATCTTTGATTATTGTTTTTGTCCAATTTATTTACTTTTTCTCTGAGTAACAATTATTTGAATGTTGGTTCCATAGTCTCTGTCTGCCATATCAATTCTCTTTCCTCCATCATTTTCCTCTTTTTTCCTCATATTCTACATATTAAGAGTGCTTCTTAAATGTGTTATTATATTATTATTATATCATTATTTTCAATTTCCAACATATATTTTACTATTTGCCACTATCAATGTGCCTGACAGTTTTCTACTATTTTTAAAGTTTTGTGAACCCTACTGTTTTAAAGTTTTTTGAAACTCTCATATTATGTTTATTTTAAATCTCATTCTAAAGTTTTTACAGCTTAACTTTTGCACTTTTTATAGCTTTCTGCTCCTGTGTCAGAGACTACCTTTTTTGTATCTTTTGGGTGATGTCAGAAAAACAATAGTATCACAACAAGAACAAAAACAACAACAGTAGCAACAACAATAAAACTAACACAAAAAACCCCCACAACAACAAAAAACCCAGCAAAGAAAGAAAAACAATTTGGTTAATTTTTCAGATATTTTTCTGTGCATTATAGTAAGTAGTTGTCAGAGGTGAACTTTTCTTTCCTGTCTTCAGACTCTGTATTAATAAGGGTTCTCTAGAGTGTCAGAACTAATAGGGTAGATGTATATATGAAGGGGAGTTTATTAAGGAGAATTGACCTACACAGTCAGGAAGTGAAGTCCCATAATAGGCTGTCTGCAAGTTGAGGAGCAAGGAAGCCAGTCCAAATCCTTAAAACCTCAAAAGCAGGGAAGCCAATGGTGCAGCCTTCAGTATATGGCCAAAGGCCAGAGAGCCCCGGAAAACCACTGGTGTAAGTTCAAGAGTCCAAAAGCTGAAGAATTTGGAGGCTGATGTTCAAGGGCAGGAGGCGTCCAGCACGGGAGAAAGATGAAGTCTGGAAGACTTAGCAAGTCAGCTTCTACCACCTTCTTCTGCCTGTTTTATTCTAGCCACTCTGGCAGCTGATTAGATGGTGCCCACCCAGATTGAGGGTGGGCATGCCTCTCCCAGTCCACTGACACAAATGTTAATCTCCTTTGGACATACCCTCGCTGACACACCCAGGAACAATACTTCGCATCCTTCAATCCAATCAAGTTGACACTCAATATTAAGCATCACAGACTCAAAGGTCTATTTCTTTCTTATCTCATGCATTGCTTTATAAGACTATAAGGCTGTTGGACCTGGTACACATCTTAATCTCTAGACTGTAGAAAGCCTTCACCTAACTAGGGTAATTATCTTCTGTAGATTCTATCTTCTCTTATCCTCACAACCTGAATCTTTTTGGAAAAGCTCTATTTTGTAAGATACATACTGCCATCAAGGATCTTTTTCCCTTTGCCTTGGTTTTGCTTGGAGTGGTGTGATGGTCATTATGATCACACATAGTTGAGCTCCCAGCAATCAGTCTACATTTGCTCAAACACCATCCCCAGAAAAGAAGAGCGTAATAACACATCATTGTTTTCTGGGGATGGTGTCTGAGCAAATGTAGATTGATTGATGGGACCTCAACTATGTCTGATATAAGAAACAGCACAGTGGTGGTAGAGGATTGGATGCCCAGATATCATGTCCATGTAGCTGGCCAGAGAAAGGAAGAATGGCAGAAGGCCATGAAAGAAACACTCCCAGTTGAGTCAGTTCCGAGGGACCTACTTAAAGTCTGACAAACATTTTCACTATATGTCATGAACAGAAATTAGCCCTCTCCCTACACCCAAGTGTAAGAGTGTCTGGGTATGTAGCCTTTTGTTTTGGGTGGCAATATACCCAGGGAAAAATAAGGGTACTGAGAAGGATGGGAGAGAACAGGTCTTTCTGTAGGCAACTGGCTATCTTTGTCATAACCTAGGTCTTAGTGAGTTGGGGCTGACAGCAGAAGGGATTAAAAAGTACTTTATGTTATTAACCATAAACTACAGGAAGGACCAGCATGATCTCAGTCATCATTTTATCTCAGGCTTACTTATTATATTCCTTATATTATGTTCAAATTTCTTCCTCCTCCTCCAGCAATGTTAGGGTGACTGCTATGTTGAAAAGAGACCACAAACTGTTAAAGTCTCAAATTGCATGCCTCACCTTTCCACACCCTCCCTTTTGCAGGCCAAGTTGTTCATTCTCTTCTTTTGGGGCAATACCTAGCAGATTACTCATATGAGGATTAGTCAGCCCTTGTTCCCTGATGCCACATCCTCCCCCAACCAACTACCATGTATCAAAGAGTCCTGGGACTCCCACTTTTGTCTTTTCTGTTACTAGCACACTTAATTTCCCACTCACCATCTTCCTTCTTGCCTCCCACTCTGTTCCTACTAATAGTGTTAATACTATCAACAGCAATGACTAGCATTTTTATTGTTCTTCTTACAAAGTTCCTTCTCATATTTTTATTTTTATCTCATGTGCACCTCACAGCCATCCTGCTATATTTTTTCAATTTTCACTAAGGCATGTATTTTAGAAGGTTGGCAATTAAACAAATCCGTGTGAGTAACGGGTAGAAATGTAAGTCCAACCCAGGTCTCCTAACCTCACATCTCATGCTCTTTCTATCACACTATGCTGCAAGTCACACCTCTTGTATATTGTCTCCCAACAGCAGCAGTACAAATGATAAAAAGTCCTGGATTAGTGGGTACATGAGAAGGAAGGTTACAAAGTGCACTAAATGGAAATGGAGGCCATGAGGCCCAAATAGTTGGAGATGATCCTTGCTACAAAGTAGGAATGAGCAGTGACTATTCGTGCTTAAGGACACATGGACTTCAAAATACTCTTTCCTCTTACCAAAATGTTCCTGGAACTGGACAATATTAATAGGACAAACACTGGAGAAGTTCACAAATAATGAACAGCTGCAATAGCAAATCTCTCTTCCACCAGAGTGTTTTATCAGAGCTCGTGTGCTCCTGGCTTAATGCTTAATGCTTCACCAAGGGAAGCAATTCACGGGTGGAAGCAACCATGCAGATCAGAGAAGATTAGTTTTCTTTCTTTCCAGTGGTTTGGGACCTCATAGAATAGCCTCAGATAAAAGAGGAAGCTGCAGGCAGAAAGCCATGAACTCCTGAGCCTGACTGTAGAAGACAGGCGAATAGGTGGTAGAAATACAGTGATAATTTTTCCCAAGGGAGTTAGACAGCTTTTTAGTGAATGAAAGAAGCACAGCACAAATTAGTTCAGATCAAGTTTTCAGCTTCTAAGCTTGGGTTCCTCAGGCTATTTCTTGACTTTCTTTGAAACCACTGAAATCTGTAATAATACCCTAAGCTTCTGTTTTATTTTAGCCACCACATAGGCTATACTCAGATGTAAACATATTTGTCTAATTTAGCCTCAGTCCAGTACATTCAACATTTTATCAGGAAGTTACAATTTTACTGCTGTGTCCAGGGAGTGGTATGGAGGGTAGAGCAAGTGTATTAGTCAATTCACACACTGTAGTAAAGAACTACCTGAGGCTGAGTAATTTATAAAGAAAAGAGGTTTAATTGGCTCACGTTTCCACAGGCTATACAGGAAGCATGGCTGGGAGGCCTCAGGAAACTTACAATCATGGTGGAAGGCAAAGGAGAGGCTGGCACGTGCTACATGGCTGAAACAGGTGGAAGAGAAAGAATAAAGGGGAAGGTGCCACACACTTTTGAACAACCAGATCTCTTGAGAACTCTATTATGAGAACAGCAAGGGGCAAGTCCTCCCCCACGATTCAATCACCTCCCACTAGGTCCCTGACCCGATACTAGGGATTACAATTCGACATGAGATTTGGGTGGGGACACAGAGTCAAACCATATCAGCAAGGAAGAGGGCTGGGCCCTTATGGATATATATATAGACTTGTGAGAGCTTTATATTTGGTCAGTGTGCCATTTACTCTTCTATACAATGTGGCATTTAATCATCAGTGTGATTTGCACAGACTAAAGATAGTAGGGCTGGATAATATTTTAAGACAATAATGTACTTGTTTCTGTTATGTATTCAGTTATTTATTCATTCAGCCATTCAGCAGATATTTACTGAGTGCATCTATAGTGTGCCAAGCACTGTTTTACCTGCTAAGGATACAACAGTGAAGAAGACTAGCAAAACAATTCTTGTCTTCATGAAAACAGAGCATGCACTATACTCAATTCCTGATGAATAGCCAAGAGGAAAGCATAAAACATCTTTGTTTTCCATTAACCTCAACTATGCTCACAAATGCGAAGCCTGCTGTACCATTGACCCAAATAAGTGTGTTGTTTGGCCTCCACAGTTAAAAAATTTTTAATATTAATGCTTTTTGAGGTTCTTTCCCTTCCCAGTGTACAGCACTCTCTATCAGTCTTTATTCTATTACAACTGTCTTGCTTCTCCTATTTATTCTGTTCCTATGTCTCCTGTAAGTGTCAGACTCTTAGGATTTGGGCCTAAATCCTAAAAATTGGAGAACTATGAAATAAGTAAAAGTGAGAAAAACATTTTTAAGTCCCAGAGAATTACATGTACAAGCCGGGGAGTTTGGGCGACCCCAGTCACAAACTGAAATGGGATTCCCCTCCAGCCTGTAGGGGGAGAGGAGCAAATAGTCTGTGAGCGCTCGAGCAGTGGCAACTCTGCTTCCTGGGATGGAGAACCCAGAAGAATCTAGCAGGGAGTTGCTCTGCAGTGCGTTTAGTCAGACTGAGCCATAGATGCTTCATAAGAAAGTCTCATAGTAACAGTGTGAGGAAGCAGCTGATAGGGACAGAGCCCACGGACATACCGAGGATGACTCATATGGGTTGAGGATTGACACTTGATGAACACAGAACATTGAACTCCACACTGTGTCTGGGACTAGTCTAAGATTTCTGAGCCATATCCCAACCCTGGGGGAGAGCGGAGACTTCTCAAATAACTGAGGTTGCATTTTCCCAGCTGGGATAGCGCTTGGATTCAGCAATAAAGTTAAGTACTGAATAATCGGGAGAATGGTGCTTCCTGTACACTACAGTCAGTGGAATGAAATTCACACCTGTTTTGCTAGCTTGTAGGGGAAGCTTCTACCACTTTCCATTAGGGTAGAGGATGGGAGGACTGGAAAATGATCATATTTTGAGATGCAGGATGGTTTTTCCTTGTAATCTATATGTCTCAGTTGTCATCTTTTAAAGGGCTTGGTATGTGACCTATCTTTCCCTTTTAAATTTTTCTGGCACTTTTTTCTTATCCTGTAGGCTCCTTCGTTCTCATATCTCTTGGTTCAATCTGACTGCATGGAGTATTTTCAAGACCATACTCTCCATAGATTAGCTATGGAGGCAGCCCTTTGTTTCTACAGCCTCACAGGCTCAGCACCTTTCCACAGATCTCTCTCCTGGCTCCTGTCCTCCTTCTCCCTCATGCTTCCAAGCTTCTCCACTCTGCTCCCTCTTTAAACCAGAGAAGTCCAAAGTGCAGTCCCCAGGCCAGCAGCTCAGTAATCCTGGAGTCTTGTTAGACATGCAATTTCCAGAACCAGCTCCAGACCTACTGAATCAGAAATCTGCAGCTGGAACCCAGCCTGCCAGGGGACTTGGAGGCTTGCTTATATTTGAGAATTTCTGTTCTGAAAGGAAACACTAAGAATGTAGCATCCTGTGACAGGCAGCAAGAAAGCCTCCCCCAGAAGTGAACAAAAGTGTCTTGTGAGGAGTGTTGCTGTCCTTTATAAAAAACAAATACACTGATGTCCATTATTAAGTTTTCAAGCTCTCTTTTATAAATTCCAACCAATTCTCTCCACATCTAAATCAAATTTAAATGTTTTGACATTGTGGGTAACTTTTCAAGAAAATCCTAAAATCTAGAGATTTCACTTTACTTTTAGTCCTCTTTGCAGTGTTGTTTCAATTGATTTTCCATTATGTCATGTGTATTTTCATGGCTATATATGGTGGATATTATTTGATTGTCTTATTGGCCTGAAAAAAAAAGAAGAAGAAGAAGAAAAGAAAGACTTGGCTTTGTAGAAAGCATGTGGAAAGTTAGATGGAAATTCTTATGTGAAGTGTTGCATGATTACTACAGGTTTTCTTCTGGTAATTATGCATGCTCTTTATGAAACTCCTCTTTTAAAAAGTGCAGAAAGTTGAGACTTAAAAAATCTGAAACCTGGACAAATTTAATATTTCCAACAAGAGAGTCAGTGATCAGCAATACTTTTTTTAGCTTCTGTGTTTGCATAACATGTAAGATTTGCTGCCTGCTCATTTACATTTTCACTCAACAGTCTAACATGAATGGAGTGTTTCACTTTTTCTCAGCCAGTAAAGTATTGATTCTGCATCACAAGGGGAAAATATAAATGTAGGTCTTTCAAAGATGACCTCAACCACAATGTTAGAAAATTGCTAAGTGTTAGAAATCTTAAGTATAGTATTGGCAGAGAACAAAGGTTCACAATTTGGGATGCATAGTGTAAAATCTTTAGGTTCTATTTTTAATAGTCAAACCAAATCAAAATGGTGGGGCCAGTTAAATCTCTGTTAAAAAAACAAGACCTTTAAACCTCCAGTGTCATACATTTGAAAAAAAAAAAAAAAAAAAAGCAGGGTCAACGATCTACATAGATAGTAAAACACAAATCCTGAACATTCCCAAAATTGAAAATAAAATTCCCAGTGGATCAGTTATGGCCTCCGAAACAAATCTGCTTCCTCAATTCCCCAAGAATACTGAATCTTATTGGAAAAAAATGAATTTAGTAGAATACTACCTCTGTAAATGTATTATGCAAAAATCTCACTCCTTTTTTATAGGTTCATTATGAAAAAGTTTCACTCCTATGGTATAGGTAGTTCATTTCTGATTACTATGTCCTTTTATTTTGTAGCAGTAACCACCCACTCAGTAATTTCCATGCTGATGTGAATTGTATTTTAACTTGTGGTGCTGTTTTATATTAGTGTGCACTGGCTCTGTCTTCTCCTTTCATTTCCTTGAGGGAAGTATAGTATTTAGACAGCAAATTATTGTTTTAAAACAAGGGATGGGGTTATTGTTAAGGCATAGTGAGAAGATTTACTTTATTAATCAGACTTGGTTTGTTCTGAAGCAGTGTGTCCAAAAGGAAGCCAAGTAGAAACATCCATGTTTTAATCATAGGAAACCTTGATATTGTTTGTGCATGAATAAATACATTAAAGGAAAACATGTGGAGTGATCATGTTTGAGTTTTTCCTTATGGTGTTTGCCAACATGAGTAATTATGTATTAGATGTTAAATCAGGTTGAATTTCCAATTTGACATTGTCTCTTTCTTTGTTTTCCCTCATTTCCTTCTTTCTTTCCCACTACCCCCACACCACTTTGTCATCTGATACATTTATTTGAAGGATGTGGGCATCATCAAATTAAAAAATGTGTTACCTACTAGCTGAATAACTGAGCTTGGTATAGAAATATGAAATTGAAGAGGAATGGGTCCCTATGAGTAAACAGAAGTGCAGTGCTCAAGGAGCTAACAATTTAGTGGTGGCACAGACATGGACACAAAGAATCATAACACAGTCAGAATGTGCTATAATAAAACTATAAATATAGTTTTAATGGAACCATTGCATGAAACAAGAGGGAAGGCATACGTTTCTTTATAGAAGAAATAGCTTTGAGCTTGACCTTAAAATCTGAATAATGTTTGAAAGATGAAGATGGAATAAAATGCTCTATCAGATGAAGGTAACAGAGGTGGGTAAGTGTGCAGATAGAAATGCAGATGTCATGAATTGTGGCTGTGGAAGATGCATTAATATAAAGAAAAACGTCAGACCATAATGAAGACTCTAATAAAGCGATTTTAACAAGACCAAAAACAAACTAAGTGAGTGACAGAATGCCTCAGTGAGGGAGGTCATGGCTCTGAGATGGTCACTTATACCCTCCTACCCAGCTCCTCCTCCATTCCAGTGACAATGGGGCTGTTCTGGTTGAGAAATATATTGTCTAACCTAGAGGCCAAGAAGCAGAGATGATAATAAGGTGGTGGGTTCCAGGAAGAGTCAGCTGTATAAATCTGTTTATAAAAAACCTGACATGGTTTGGCTGTGTCCTCACCCAAAATCTCATCTTGAATTATAATCCTTATACTCCCCATAATCTTCGTGTGTCAAGGGCAGGATGAGGTATAGGTAATTAGATCATGGGGGTAGTTTCCCCCATGCTGTTCTCGTGATAGTGAGTGAGTCTCATAAGATCTGATGGTTTTATAAGCGTCTGGCATTTCTCTTGCTTGCACTCACTCTGTCCTGCTTCCCTGTGAAGAAGGTGCTTTCTCTTTGCCTTCCGCCATGATTGTAAGTTTTCCGAGGCCTCCCCAGCAATGCAGAACTGTGAGTCAATTAAACTTCTTTCCTTTATAAATTATCCAGTTTTGAGTATTTCTTCATAGCAATGTGAGAACAGACTAATACAACACCAAAGCATCCCAAAATTTCAGGCCACTATTCATTAATCAATTAATCTGTTACTCAGAATGTTTGTTTTATATATTATTTGTCCAAAGCAGTTTACTTCAGGTTTAACATTTCTCAAGCAAAATAGCCAGATTATTGAGCTAAATTTTAGAATTAAATTTACTAGATATTTTGGAATCATGTAAAACCAGCCTATATAAAAAGCATCTTCATCAGTGAGTTGGCTGGAGTTATTGTTAAACAAAAGCCATAGCACTCTGTCATGGGGTTGAATTTAGTTTCCTACCACATTTTTTTTCAAGTGAGTCACTAAAGCACCATTCTGAACCCACAATATGTTACCAACAAAAGCACTTCTTTATTTTTCTCTGGTTTCTCTTTGCAGCCAAGCAAATATCATATTCATCAGCAAGAAATCCCCAAATACCAAGCAGCATACCAGCATCTGCTTGGGCCACGGATTCAGGACAGATTTCAAATCCTGGGAGAGAGACTTAATATCCTCTTCTTCTTGGGCATGATCTAGAGCAAAAAATGATTTCACTGACCCATGTCAGTCTTAACACTTTGTTTCTCAGAAACAGACAGGGATCTCCATCAGGTATTATTTGTTGAGGATGTCTGTATATAGAGCATGAAACAGGAAACTGGCCTTTGCTGTATGCAGAAATAAATTTCTGGCCTTGGAATAGCCTTGTCTAAAACTCTGAAAGTGAGCATTTCTGCTGAGGTTTATTCTGAGTGTTTACATGTTAAGATCAGATGAAACCATTTTCCTTTTCCAAGTCAAGACTACTCTTTTAGAGGGCCAGTAAACACTATTTATCTTTAGCAGTGCATATTGCAATGATAAAAATTTAGTCACTTACCCTTATCTGACAGTCCAAGTCTCCATGTGCATACACATTGATAGAGGAGTAGTTGCCAATTACTGAATCAGTTATCGATGCGCTTTGACGTCAAATGGCAGCAACATAGTTTCCTTTACGGTGAGCTTCTGAGCAGCAGCTTAGGACAAGGAGGAGACCAATAGGAATTCCAGGAGAGGGTGCGGCTGCACGCACATCCACAGTCAATGCTTAGAAAGCCTGATGCAGCCAGGAGTAACTTGCACAAGAGCAGATGTGGGCTTTTGTCATACTTAAAACAATAGCTTTGCTCCCTTCTAATAACAAAATAAGAAATCCCCTGAGTCTTTAGATGGAAGAACATAAATTATAGTCATATTTTCCATATTTTAATAGTTCACTGTTTAAATCAGGGTAGAATTAAAACTCAACATCTGGAGACAACATCCAAGAATATCCTAGATTATTTTTTTCCTGGCAATATTATGCTTGCTGTGTCTTTAAAACTTTCCTCACAGCATAAAGAGATCTATGATTTTCTGGAGAATACAGTTTTCATTATTTTCCCTTTAGAAAGGAGAAATTTTTAGCCAATGTTGACAGTTAAGGGTCCTTGGAAGGCTTTTTGGTTCATCCTCTTCTTAAATGACTGGAAGATCTAGATTTTCAAGTTCCACAAAACTAAGAACGTCCGACTTGCTTTGCTTTCTTATATTTTAGGCTAGAGCTCTGTCATGTAAATGAGATGGGCTGAGGTTCAAACCCAGGTTCTGTCTATCTAGCACAATCGTGTGAGGGCCTAAGTCTGTATGGGTGTGTTTATTGCTGCTCTTGATACATGAAGACAGAGAGATATAAGTTGCAGATATGATCATATTACTCCTTTTCTTAAAATGTGTCTTTGGTTCCCCTTTGCCTACAGAAAAACATCACAATTTCTTGGCCCAGTTTTCAAGCCCTTCTAATCTATGCAGCTTCACCCTCATCACATCTTCTGCTTAAAATTTTACTTAATAATTCTTAAACACTATGTGATTTCCCTTTCTTTCTGTGTCTTTCCCTCCATTTTCCACCCAATGCAACTTCATTAATCCTTTCAGGGTCACTTCAAATTTCTCTCTCCTTGGGAGCCTTCCTTACTTTATCAAGTAGAATTGACTGATGCTTTCTTTGGCCCACACCCTTAGTTAATATCACTATTCTTACCCTTAAAGAATTACTCTGTATTTATTGGGCCATGGTCTATTTAATCTAACTGATTGCTACTTGCTTGAGGGAAAAGATTGTCTTAGTCATTTTCAATGTCTTTGGCATGCACAGTGCCTAGAAAATGGTAGATTTTTTTTTTAAATCAGTGGTACATAGATTGATGCTGGTCAGGTTTTCTGACATTTAAGCTGTTAAATTTGCTTCATTGGCACATGGTATGATCAATGTTTCTCAATGCTGATTGCTCACTGCAATCACATAGATTTGGATTTAGTTAGTCTTCAGTGGAGCCCAGGGGGTCTGTAGTAATAATAGCAAGTACTTATATAGCTCTTACTATATAAGGCATTATTTCTGACACTATTTTAAGCACTTTATTTACATTAATTTATAAGCATTTTTTTGAAATCTATGGTTGAGAATCACTACAGTCTGATTCAATGACAAGAAACTATAATCACTGAGATTGAAGTAGAATTCTGATACACAGTGATAGAACTAAACCAGTTTCTTTTAGCAAAGCCAAATAAAAATATATTTACTTGTTTTTGTTTTTAATTAAAGGAGTAAAGTAGCAGTCTCAATGTGTACAGTGTGATGAGTTGTGATTAAACTAAAAATAATTTTTAGTGACTGAAGGAAGAATTGAGATTGACCAAGGAGATGTTAAATGTTTCCAGCTTAATGTCCAGTTCTCATGAGACAGCATTTTACTAACCAATTTGCCATAAACATTTGTCTTTGCTCACTGGACGTTTTCACTTTTGAAACAGGGGGCTAATTTAATATGACATCTTTGCAATTACTTGAAGCATAACATCTGGAGAAAAAGAAACAAACGATTTAAGTGAAGCAACATTAAAAGAGGTTTACTAAAAAATGGTCCTAAGTTAAAATAGTAAGTTTAGAACATTTAAGTGGGGATTTTATGTATTATATTTAATTATGAAAAGAGTATTTTCAAACTAAGTACATTAATAAAATAGTTTACATTTGTGTGAAAATGTATTTTTCCAGTTTTCTTAAGGAACGTTACTCATATGATTTAAGCCACCTTCAGTACTGTTCATAACCTGCTCTCTAGTCTTTTTTGTCATGGGTAGTAACTATCTGGGGCAAGTGGTGCAGACAGTAAAGGAATTTACCAAGACCGTTGTAGGTAAAGAAAAGCAGATTTATTAGAGAAAGTATGAAAATACGTGGCAAGATTGCAACAGGCAGGACAGCAGAGAAGAGGCTGCCTGCAAAGAGGCAGGGGCTGGAGGGAAGTTTTATTAAGGTCCTGCTGGAGGAGGGCTACATGCAAGGTTGTTGTGCCCTCAGAATGAGGTCCTTGTGCCCTCAGGTTATTTGTGGTTAGCCATCTCTCAAAACAATTGTTCATTGTTCTTCCCCACCTGGGGACCTCCGCCACCTGGGTCTCCTTCCTTGTTATTGCTTATTTATCAAGACTCCACATTCTTGCTGCTTTTTCTTTCTTCCCATCCATCTTTCCCACGTGCCCAGTCATCTGTCCTCATCTGTGTTTGGAGGGTTAACTTCAGTGAAGTAAGACAGACTTGTCAGTGGGTCTGGAATAAACCCCACCATTATATAATACATAGACTTTTGTGTATGATTGAATTTTCATGATATTCAGAAACTATTATAACATTATTTTTATGAGTTCAGAAGATAAGTTTATAACTTAGATTTAAAAATCCAATGGGTCTAGTCATTGTCTTGTGCTTTTAATATTGAGTATTAGCTGTTACTGAATGATTATGTATAAATGAGAAGGAGTAGATCAGCATTCAAAATTATTCTCTATAAACCAGTGAGTTGAAATCAACCAGGGTTGATTTCAACTCACTCCTCACAACTCACTACTCACTCCTCAGGGACGTCTGACAATATATAGAGACATTTGGTGTTTTCACAAATGTGGGGCAGTGCTAGTGGCATTTAAGTGAGAGACTAAGTGTGGTGATAAAAGTCCTGCAATGCACAGGATAATCCCCCACAACAGACTTATCTGGTCGAAAATGTCAATAGTGCTGAGACTGAGAAACTGGGTATAGTACATGGCTAATGTTTGGTCTATTGAAAGTAACTGAAATACAGTCATGCACCACATAATGACGTTTTGGTAAACAATGGACCACATAAATAACAGTGGTCCCATAAGATTATAATGGAGCTGAAAAAATTCCTCTCCCCTAGTGATGATGCCATTATGAAGTCATAACACGATGCATTACTTTTTCTATGTTTAGATACACAAATACTTACCATTGTTACAGTTGCCTGCAGTATTCACTAGAGTAACATGCTGTACAGGTGTGTAGCCTAGAAACAATAGGCTCTATCATGTAGCCTGGGTGTGTAGTAGGGTAGGGGTCCCCAACCTCCACACCCCCATTCTGCCAAGACCGGTAGTGGTCTGTGTCCTGTTAGGAGCCAGGCCACAAAGCAGGAAACAGGAGGTCAGTGGGCCAGTGAGCAAGCATTACTGCCTGAGCTCTGCCTCCTGTCAGATCAGCAGAAGCATTAGATTCTCATAGGAGCGCAAACCCTATTGTGAACAGAGCATGTGAGGTATATAGGTTGCTGCTCCTTATGAGAATCAGGGAGGTGGAACAGTTTCATCCCCAAACTATCCCTGTTCCTCCCCTTCCAGGTTTGTGGAAAAATTATCTTCCATGAAACCAGTCCCTGGTGCCCAAAATTTTGGGGACCACAGACAGGTTTGTGTAAGTACACTCCATGATCCCACAACAAAGAATTCTCCTAAATTTCTCAGAATGTATCCTTGTGATTAAGCAACTCATAACTATATATACAAGCTAAGTTCATTGAAAGTATTAGCCACAGAGATATATTAGCTTCCATGAATAGGCTAAAGTTAATCAAAGTTGAAATTACGTAGACAATTAAGATGTAGAATAATCTTTCAGAGATTACTGAGTCTTCTTATTACATAAAAATTTACTGTGTTGACTTTTGCTTAAATAAGTGAGTCCAATTCTCCATAAAATATAGTTTAATAATGCAGAAGCTTTTGTAGTGGTTGTATAAACGTGGTTGTTTTGGATTGGATTCACATGTGGTTAAGCTACATGTTTCTATGGTTTCACTGGATTTCAGGTTTTACCTTACGAAGTAATATTGGTAAATGGAGGGATAGATATAAGGTGATTAGCCTGCTAATCAGATGTAATGTTGGAACTTTTTTCTCTGCTTTTAAAGTTTTGTACAGATTGGACTCCTATACTTTAAATCAAACTACTTATAATCCAAATGATTTACAGAAAAACTCTGCAAGGTGAGGTCAGTATGTGCTTCAGGGCCAGGGCAAAAGACTTTACTCTGCCATTTATTTCCACTGTTTTGTTTGGCCTTGTCCAAAGAACCAGATGGATAAGCAGGACACATATGGTGTCTGAACTGGCTGGAGCTCCCAGCAGGCCTGAGCTGTAGACGCTGTGGCCTGCTGCTCTGCTTTTATGTTTGAGTTCAAAATTCTCATACTCTTTTGTGCAGGGGTAGAGGCCCGGCCCATTGAAGCTCAGCAGGAAACAGCCACTCTGAAATCCAGAATGCTCATCTAGAAGGAAAAGACCTTCAGCAACAAAAGCCCTCTCGTCTATAATCTGCTTCTTTTCCTTTGTGCCAATGATTTCCTCTCTCAGGATCAAAGAGCTCTGTAGGGACACAACTCCTGACTCAACCCTTCGAGCAGTTTCTGTTTTGAATCCAGGTTTGGGTCTCTGGGTTGAATTTCCTTCTGGCTAGCCTTGTGACCACTCCTGGAGACAGATAGAGAAACCGCTACAAGGATTTGTAAAGACCAGAAAACAAAGGCCATCTTTCATGTTGACAATAGTAGTTCTGAGCCAGATGGGAGGTTGGGCCTAGGACCATTGTCTTGTGATTAGTGTTGAAAAAATCCTGGTCCTGTCTAGGGCTGAGCCACCTCAGTGAGATGGTGTGGGTCAGGTCACTAATATAATTTGTTCCCTTTTGCTTGTATTGTTTTTGAGGGTCATGATAACTTTTGCATCTTACACAGTGGTCCTGCATTTAGGAGGCTGTAGTGGTTTTATAAGCTTATAATTGGCTATAAGCCAGACTTCGGAATCAGAAAGATTAGTGTTGACTCATGGTATCTATCATATGTTAGCAGAGGAAGCTTGAAAATTATATAATCCCACTGAGCCTCAATTTTCCCATCTGACAAATGGATATAATAGTCCCTATATAACTAGGTCAAATGAGATGTTATATTTTGTTGTGGTAAGACTATACACTACAGAGTCAGACTGCTTGGGATTGAATGCTGGCTGACCTTGGACATATGCTTCAGTCTTCTGTGCTCTGTGGACATAATAATAGGATAAAGTAAGATGGCTCCTATTAAGATTAAGAGACTACATATGTAGAACACTTAGAACAATGTCAGGCATCTTGTAGTGCTTAAGAAAGGCTAGCAAATTATTATTGTGTAGGTGAAAATACTTTTTTCAGTAGCAGAGAAACCCTTTTGTGAGTATGTATTTATTACATACATGCATAACATTTATAGGTGTATTACATAGAAACTCTTTTTAATGCCCTAAACGATTGTATTATCTGGATAATTTCTCAGTCTTCTACTATAATGGAAAGTTATTTCAGATATATATGGCCACTTGGAAAGCCAGATCGGAGTGTCTGGTATTGTTCTTTTTTTCATTGTTATTAAAAACACTTACTTCGCATTTTATACAGGGCAACCTGAAGTCTGCATCATGACCTGACAGTTACCAGGGGCTTATACTGTGTTCATCTCAACAGCGTAGTTCTGGGGATGGTAGATCTACAGAAACACAGGCAGGAATTTGGAGGGAAGAAAGGGGCACAGAAGGAATGTATCTTAATCCTTTCTTAAAGAAAAGGCAGCAGAGCATTCTGAGTTTCTGAAAACCTGTGCAAATGGGGCTTCTAAGACAAACACTGTACTGTGAGTGCTTGAGGTAGGACAGGAAAACGATATTGATAAATAAGGGAGCATTTTCTTGAGGCAGAGGATGAAGAGGAAGACTTACTATTTTTAATCCTCTCAACTCCAGGACCCAATAATCAGAGGAGACCATGTCCAATCTTGAATCGTTTTCTTGTTCCAAAAGAGGTGCTAATACTCCTGGGATCAGACCCTGAAGCTATCATGCTATCATTCCTGAGTCCCTGTTTATGCCCCACAGTACCTTAGAAGGGCAGGGGAAGGTCAGAGGGTAGTGGCTTGTGTTCTGTGGAAGTAAAATATTTAGTTCACATTAAGCACTGATAAAAACCCAATGACTGGGACCACATATCAGACAGAACTGTTGAAAGAGGTCTCTGGTGAGGACCAAGATGGGGAGGTCCCAAACATCCTTACCTTGAGGTGCAACAGGTGTAGAAATTCTGAATGGGGGTGAGTATTAAAATAATGGGAAACAGAACACTCTGAGACCTTAATTTTAATAGGATGGTTTTGAAAAGAGAAATCACATCAAACACTGGGTGCCAGTTACAACAAACATTCCTTTATGCTCACCTGGTAGCATAAAAAGTTGCCAAAGCATGTCCAGCTAATCAATAGGTCTTGCTAGGAGGTGTTAGTGTGCAGAGGAGAGGGCTGAGGGACTTGGTACAGCTGATTATCTAACATCATTCCTATGGAAACAGAAAGGGAAGAGTCCTGGCTTGCTGGCTTATTGTGCACTTGGCAGAGTAGAAGCAAAATCTCAGAAGTGACTGCACATTCTCTGCAACCAGCTTTGACCCAGGGAAAGAGGAGCCAGATTCTCACTCTGAGATGGTGTGGGGGCCAAACTTAACCCATTACACATGCATTAGTTGTGGTCATTCTGCAGTTGATGGGCAACTCATACCAGGCAAGTGAAGGGAGTTGGTTAGGTTTTTCATCTTTTAAGCTTTTAATTTACATTTTAACCTCAAATCTATTATCAGTGCCTCAGATACAATTTAATCTTAAGTCTTTAAAGACCCCTTAAAACCAAAGTAGACTTTTTTTTTAAAGTGTCTTCACTTTCTGGTCGTCACTTTTCCCCCAGTCTCCAGTTTTATCCCAACTTAGAGTCCACAAACTTATCAGACCATCTATGTCTTGGACTTGGGCCTTTCTAGAGGGAATCCTAGTGCATGACTTCAGATGAGCTGTGCCAGTACACCCAATGCCTGAGACACTCTGAACAGAACAGTGTAGTAATTCATTTCCATCATGCCATAGTACTGGAGCAGTACCCCAGGGTGTGTCTACATTGGGCCAAGGATTCTTGGCCTTGCCATTCTCTAAGAGGATATTAAGCACAATCTTGTGTAGTTGAGCAACCAAGTTAACATGGGGTCATTATGTGGTGTTTCAGAGCAAACTCTCACAGCAGGTACCTCGTGGATCAATCTTCTTTAGCACTACATGGCCATAGTCTGGAATAACTTCATCTTGGGTTGAGTGTGTTCCAGGTGTAGTCTCATAATTTCTCATCTGCCACATCTTTGCCAACTGCCTTCTGTAGTTAAATTAGCCAGACAAGCACTTCCTGATTTGCTAGTACATGTAGAGGGCCTGTCAATCCATTCATGGCTGTTGCAAAGGACAGATAAGGGCTTGAAGGGGCACTGCCCAACAAGTTGCTGATATAGGCACTTACATTGCTGCCCTCATGGTCACTGTGGATGGTTTGATACAGATGCATGAGCTCAGTGAACTAAGCATCAGTATAGCCTAACATGTTGGTGAAATTGTGGGGCCAGTGCAGCTTGGAGTCAATGTCCCCAACATTTTTGCCCTTTTAGTAGAGATTTTGGTAGATCTTTGCTGCAACACAGGTAGCTTTGTGATCAGATCCACACAGTCTTCATAAATCAGCTCCCAGTACTTGATACCCTCTGCATATGCTCAGGCAGTATTACTTTCACTGTTGAGGGCTGTAAAGGCTGCACTGAGCTGAGACATGGGATGTATATTGGTGGGAAAGTTGTCCAGCATCATGACCACGTGGGAGGGTAGAGCTGTCCTCTTTGCCCACTTTTTTGAAAGCCAAGATGCCTGTTTCCTCTGTTGGGATCTGTTCAGCCACCAGCAGCTGAAATAAACCCTCCAGCAGGGTTTCTTTCTTACCCTTAGGCTTGGGTGGCAGCTTTTGGCACTCAGGGACACTAAAGCCTCAGAAATGGATGCTTTCATTAGGATCAAGAACTGATGTTTCATATACCAATCCCTTCTTGCCTCTCAGGCCACCATACATCATGCCCACAGTGTTTTGGCCCACCACCCTCTTGCCACATTGCTGTCTGGAGATCTTAATTCTGGCCTGCTCCTTGGGTATGAGGTAAGCTGATATGTCTTCCAAATTCCTGGAGGAGGTACTGGCATGCCAGGCAGCAAGAACAAGACAAGATACGTCCTTTGTTCCCAAGAACTGGGTGACAGTAGTGAGTAAAGCCATGGTGGGCCAACTCTGGGCTCTGATGGGCAGAGAAGGAAGGAGAGAGCTGTGGCAGGAACAGGAGCCTATGTTGCTGCACCAGAGGCCATGCCAATGGGTAGACAATGTTCTTGTTCTTTAAAATGAGGCTCATGCCTGTAATCCCAGCACTTTGGGAGGCCAAGGCGGGGGTGGATCACCTGAGGTCAGGAGTTCGAGACCAGTCTGGCCAACACAGTGAAACCCTATCTCTACTACACATACACAAAATTAGCCAGGCGTGGTGGCAGCCATCTGTAATCCCAGCTACTCAGGAGGCTGAGGCAGGAGAATCACTTGAACCCAGGAGGCAGAGGTTGCAGTGAGCCTCTCGTGCCACTGCATTCCAGCCTAGGTGACAGAGTGAGACTCCATCTCAATAAATAAATAAATAAATAAATAAATGTGACTAAAGTTTGAGAAAAGTACAAATACACACAGGCACCTTATGATAGAAGTAGATGGAAATTAAGTTTGATGAATGCAGCAATTGAAGAAAGGCCATCACAACTCAGGACTATTAGAAACCCTTGGCTGTAGGTGTGCCTGGAAATTGAAGGTTTGCCACACGACTGCAAATCATCTGCTATACAATTGGCAACTTACACTGACATTTTCTTCTCTGATGCCATTGTGTTTGTCTATCCCAGGAGGAACCCCCGTGTATCGTCCCTCCCAACTCTTTTTCTCCCCTTGACCCAGCCGTTCATTTCTAATTCTTTTCTGGATTACTCTGGCAGAGACACTAAGCACATTTACATAATGCATATTTTAAAAAGCACCAAAAGGAAGATCTATTTACTCTTACAATAGACCCAATTCTACCATTTGGTTGTTCAGTCCACAGCAGGACATTTTCTGGTTAATATTCTGACAGATTAAACAAAAGGAACAGATTGCTGGCTTGTATTTTTACATGTATCTTACGAAATCTATTTGTTTGAAAAAATGAAAAAACAGAAATGCAAAAATGATTATGAAAACCAAAACACTTCATATCTGTATGCTACCAAAGTTTCATTTCAGATAAAAAGGCTACATGTTGTTGAATTGATTAAAAATGATTCACTGAGAAAATATACATATGATGGCTTAATATTCCTTCCTAAGTTTAATTGGGTTTAGGTTATAAACAAATGCTAAAATGAACTGCAAATATTTTAAAGATAATTTGTATAAAAATATATTTAAGGAGTGTAAAACTCAAAAAGATTTCATTTAAAGTTTAGCTGACGGATGTTGCTTTATGTTTCAGTAAGCTAAAGTAAAAAGTGGTTGATATCACAGATATTTTATAGTTCATTTATCAAAATAAATTCATAAAAAGTTTTACCTTGTTCTCATAGAACTGAAATGCTTTAGTTTTTTGTAGGAGTATGTAAATTCTTTCAAATCTAATTGTAGCATCAAAATTAAAGTATGATGAAGACCTGCAGAACTTCAAGACTTCTTTCAAAACAAAAAGCATATTTAAAATTGTTCTGAGTTTTTCAGTTCGTTTGGCCTGGGCAGCTTCCTGCATGTCTTGTCATAACTCCCATGTTAAATTTAGTCATATATTCAGAAAATGGAGAAAAGTACTCACCACTGGCAGGTGAAAACAGGAAATAAAAATATTGACTTGGGATGTTCCGACGGCCATTAATGAAAGGATTGTAGTTCCTAAGGCCACCATGATTAGGAAAGTGGGCATAATTACCTCATTGGGCACCCACTTTATTCCAATTCATGGTGCCTATAATTTCTGGTTATGTGAGTAACATGGCAAAATAGATTGTATTGTAGTGAATTTTTTTAAGTGTCTCTTAAAGATCTTCTGTTTTTAGAATCACAAAGAATCTTCACTCTTCCATTTCCTCTCTTTTGGAAACACCTGGGATTTTTTGGAAATGCCTAGTCTTTCATTCTGATGCTTTAGTTCTAAACAAAATGAGCACACACCTAATCACCGATGGTACTGTTTATCTGGAAGACCATGCTGTTTCGGATCTCATAGGACCCTGAACTAGAATTGCTATAAAAATGGATATATTTATATATTTGTTGTTGTTGTTGTTGTTGTTTTGTTGTTGTTCAGGTTCTGATTAGAACACTAAGATAAATTATTTGGAAAAAATTTCTTCAAGAGAAAGGTATTCGTCTAGGAATCATCTATCAGAGAGTTACCATGTATGAAGTACTGTGTGCTAAAAGAGAGAAAAATAGTGTTTACATGTTATCTTGGAAAGTTAAATTGATGGAATTTACTGAGAGGTGACGACTTTTGCTTTTAGAAAGATATAAAGGCAATTCGCCATTTACGTAGCAGTTTTCAAGGCTTATGGCAGTCTGCATCAGGCACTTACACTGAATGCACTTTGATTATGGTATAAATCATTCAGACTGTGTCCATTTTGTTTGAAAGTATTGTTTATTGAATACATTGCCTACAGATGATATCAGGGAAATAACTTTTGTTATAAACCATAACTGATGGATTAGATGGTAAGGCTTAGTTCCAGAGGAGGGGGTTCCAAGATGGAGTTTCAATTAACGCAAGAGGGTAAGACTTGGAAGTTCTTGTGAGCGAGGCATCTTAGGGGAACTATAAAATCCACCCCTACTCTGGCTCCACTCCTACCAGATAAAGAGATGCTTGGAACATGAGATCCTGGAGGATTTGTCTCTTTCCTGGGGCCTGAAAAAATGAGTATGAATACTGCCTGACTACATTGTAAGGCACCACTGTGCCTGAGCACGTTATAAGGCACCAATATATTTGGCTCTCGAAAGGGAAAATAGTTTATTTATAAGCCAGTTGTCCCTGAAGAGTTCTCCCCATTGTGATAAGGGGATGCTAGAAAGTGGGTTGGGCTAGTGGCTGCAGAACAGGTGGACACAGTGTCTGCCTGTGTTACCCCTAGTGGAGGGATGGTCCTGCCTGAGGTCAACCACCAACTTAACACCAGACACCTCCACCCACTTCTCATGACTAGACACCCCAGGGGAGGGAAAAGGCCAATTCAGAACTAACTGAGTTTATGCCTCACTTGACCGAAAAACTTTGAAGTGGCTGAGAAAAAAAAAATACGTGGAATTGACTTAATTAAGTTTCTGCCATCCAGCAACTAAGCTCAATTATAAAGACAAATATTATTTTACATATCTGATTTTTCTCAGCTAAAAATATTGTGCTGACAAAGATTGCTGTAATTTCAGTAAATGTGCTCTATTTCCTATGTGGATGTATAAAATGATTTTGGAGCATTTATTTGATACTAGGATCAGCTTCATAGATAGGATTGTAAACTATTTTATAAAGTCCCTTTAATGGATTAATAAGGAGAAATTAATTACCATATGTTGATATGCTCAGAAATGTTTACGTAACCTATTAGTTGATTGGAAATTTTAAAATAATTATGTTTCAAGTAAGAAATCACCAATAGCAGAAGTTCAACAATATCAATTACAAAAACCTTCAGGATTTTGCCTGTCAATTTCTAGAAATGCTCATTTAAGGGAGCAGATTCTATTCTGTGAATGCATTTAGAGTGTTTGGGGCTGATTGTATGACATCCTAACTTTTTTCATAATTGTAAGACCATTGAGAGAACCATTGAATTACATTTTTGAATTAAATACTTTTTTCTTTTTTTTTGCTTTTCTTACTTTTTAAAGCAGTTGAACTTAATCTTTTATTGCTCTAAAAGTATGGCTCAAGTAATTTGTAAGGATTTCCCTTACGGATGTATTTTTTTACATACCTGGTAATCAACTATTTCTCCAAGGGTTTTGGAGACATCAACGTTCTGAGTATGGCTAAGACTTGGGTGGTTTTACCCAATCACAGAACTCCCTGTGTTCACTATAATGCATATCATAGATCTAGGTTTATGTCTAGACAAATTCTTTACTCTGAGACCTCAGTGATTGAGAAGGTTGTTTTGGATTTATGTAGCCTAAAGTAACTAATGATTGTGCTGCATAATTTTTATTAGGAATCTGTTACATGTCCACTCATTATCTTTCTTACCTTTATCTCTTTTTATCTGAGTTGATTTTCAGATACATTCTTTCTTGGCAGGTATTATATTATGCTCATTGCTGAAATTCCTAAAGATTACTTCCTATTGCTTTTCAATTATCATTAATAAATTTGCGTGCAATGTTATAGGAAACTTAGGATGGGTGGTGTTTTTAACAGGTTGTAACCTAAGCCTGAAAAGGCTTGTTGTGGAAAGTTTTAAGAAAAGCTTATGTATTTTTGACATATAATAAACTGCAAACATTTAAAGTGTACAATTTGATATGCTTTGCAATAGATACATACCTGTGAACCCACCACTATGATGAAGATAATGAACATATTCATTATGTCCCAAAGTTTCCTGTGCCATGGTAATACCTCCTTCCTGCCTTTCCCTGTCCCTCTTTTCATCCCCACGCAACCACTGATCTGTTTTCTGTGACTATAGATTACATTTTCTAGAGTTTAATATAAATGGGATTGTACTGTATGTACTGAAGTTTTCATCTTAATTCTTTCATTGAACATAAATATTTTGAGATTTGTTACATGTATTGATAGTTCATTTCTTTTAATTGTTTTTTCCCCATTGTATGGCTATATGACAATGTGTTTATCCACTCATCTGTTGGTGGTTATTGGAATTATTTCCATTTTGTGGCTTTTACTAATAAAGCTGCTATTAAGTCATCATATGGACATATGCTTTTATTTTCCTTTGTAAATACCTAAAAGTGGAATGGCTGGATCTTATAGTAGGTGTAGGTTACACTTCTTAAGAAATGGCCAAACTGTTTTCTAAAGTGGTTGTGGCATTTTACATCCTATAAGCAGTGCATGAGAGTTGTAATTACTCCATATTGTTGACAATCGCTCACTTGGTATGGTAAGTCTTTTTAGTTTTAGCTATGTAGTGGTATCTCATTGCACTTTTAATTTATACTTCCTTAATGTTAAATGACATTGAAACACTTTTCCTGTGCTTCTTTGACATGCAGATATCTTCTTTTATAAAGTATTTGTTGAACAATTTTGCCTATTTTAAAATTTTTACATATATAACTCAGAGATTCCAAGCCCATTCATACATTTGGTTATTCATTAGAAATACTCACAGGACTCAGAAGCAGCCGTAATCCTGATTATATTTTTTTAGTGATCAGCAATGGAAAAAGATACGTCAGGTAGTCTGGAGGAATCCCTGCACAGACTTCCAACATTTTCTCTCTCAAGAGGGATCACACAGAAATGCTCCTCCTCCACCAGTGAAATGCCCCAATATATGTGTAGTGTTTTGGCCCAGGAAACCTTGTTTGAGACTCAGAGTCCAGAGTTTTTATTTGGGGCTAGTTATATAGCTACCCTTTGCTGGTGTGGCCAGCCACACGTAGCAAATTTCCAGAAGGGAAGCAAGTATTCACCATCAACCACATTTTCTTATACAATCAGTGTAGGCAAGCTGGTACAACAACACTACAGTAACTCATGTAGACAAAACAGACTTATTAACATAGAGAATATTCTGAAAGCCAAGTCCTCAGATGCCAGCCAAAGGCCAATTCTGCAAGCAGACCCATCTAAAGATAGTAACCCCCAAAATGCTACGTTATCTCTCTCTCTCTCTCTATACACACACACACACACACACACACACACACACACGATTTTATTTTCACCAAAATAATCTTGTTATTGTGGGATATCAAGAAGAAGTGAGAATATGGTAAACCAGAAAAAGTCATTATGTTGGAAAAAGTAAATAACATAAGATACAGGGAAGCACAACATCTGGGAATGTGGTATTTGCCTTGGTGCCATAGCTGCTGGGATTTGAGTCAGATGTAATTTATAATAATTTGGTAAGGAATCCAGTTTCACCCAAAGATAGAACTTGCTTGATCTGATTGGAAAGTGAGGCTGAGAATAGGATGAGGTTTATAAAAACATAAAACTTTCTTCCGGGTTGTTCTTCAGCATGACCTGAAGCCCAGGGGACATATTGGAGGCAAGTTAAGGAATGAATTCAGTGGAGGGGGGTTACCACTCTGGTAGCACCTCAATCCCAGAAAAGAAATCTTTGGGATGAACATGGCATGCTCCCTCTGGGAGGCTAGATGGGTGCCTTTGGGGACATGAATCTTTCTACATCAAGCAGTGTTGCCCTCTTGAGCTTATTTTGATTAGTGCTTATTAAACTGCTTGTCTTAAATTCTATGTCCCACCCTCTTTACCCATGAAAGCTTCTTGTCATATAATAAACAATGACCTCCCCAACATTCTGGTGGTAAAAAGTACTTCCCATGAGGCTGTTTTTCTTTTTCCAGAATGTTCCCCAGTGCAAGCCAATGGGGTATGAAGGAGAATGAGGATGTGTGTAAATTAATAGTTCAATCCAGGTGGGCAATGTTCTACTGGTCTATCTTAATCCAAGGACAGGTTTTAGAGTATGTGGTGGAACTGACTACTGGAATCCTTCAGGCTACATTGTATAACTGTTGCTTTTCTTAATTTGTTTTTTGATAGCCATGTAAAGCCTTTCCACTAGGTTCAAGATTAGGCTTCCTGAAAAGTACTTGAAGAATAGGTATCAGATAAGTTCTTGTTAATAGGTGAGAGGCACTGGCTTTGAATTTATATTATTATGTGAAAATGAAGGCAGTCGAGAAAGACAGTTGTCTAGTCAGGGTCACCCCTCCTTAGTGAGAGGATGTGAAGTTACATTAAAGGTAAAGTTACAGTAAAGGTAGTTAGTTAAGAATGGATAAAGGGACTAATTGAAATTTGTCTTTGATGAAAATAGTAGATATTTAGTTTATGGGCTGTCACCTGTAGTTTGATTATGCTGCTACATTTTTTTAGGTCAAATTATCAAACGTAAATTTTCTAATTTTACCTTCATGAGAGATATGGATTTTGTTATCTGTATCTTTTGGAATTGTGTTAAAAATCAAACAAACAATTCCTATAAAGCTTCTCACCCCTGATGCCAAACATTGGTTGAGGTAACCTTATTTATTGAATGCTAACTTTATTAAATGAATATAATTTCTATCAGTGCCATAATTATTATTGTGCTTATTGTGAGTTATTGATATGCTTAGTGCCTAAGGAGCAGAAAGCCATGTAAAGATATTTAAAAGCTTTCAGGTCTTCTACTAATACAACACTAACCATAGTCCTGAAATATTTTGATATTACATTCCAGATATGAAGAGAGTCTCCACACATCTATTTAGCATGTTACCATTTCAAATATTACTTTCATCTTTTTAATGGAGACAAAGATGACTCATCGGATTCATTTACTTTCATTAAACTACTTCATGCTTCTTGAGATCAACTGTGGCAAAAGTGGAGGAAAACAATTTTCAAAGACAAAGAGTTGATGTTAGCAGTGAGCAGCAACATCAAGACCATGTCTATATTGGCACAAAGTGAAGTAAGGATCTGGTAATCAAAGGATTAATTTGTTCTGAGTAAATAGTCATTTCTGATGATAATGTTGATGATGATGGAAGTGGTGGTGGTTGTGGTGAAGATACTAACCCAAACTACCACTTTTTGAGTACTTATCAGGTGTCAGGCAATGTTCTCAGCACCATTCTTGCATTAATTCATTTAGTTATCAAATAATTCTAAGAAGTAAGTCTTATTTTTACCCTCATTTTTACAGACAAGTAGATTGAAGAACAGACGGGTTAAGTAAATTGTTCGAAGTCACACACTAGTAGTGGTAGAGGCAGGATTCATCCCTAGGCAGTTTAGTCCTGATACTGTACTCTAAATCGCTATTTTTTAAATATGCAAAAGTGACAATGTTATGTAATCTAATGTTCTAAATGATAATCTAATGTTATAAACTCTCTAACCATCTCTAACCACCTCACATGATTGTCTTCAGACACAAAAAGGATTGGTGAATGGGAAGCACTTTTAAAACTCGGAATATAATAAGTAACACAAGGATGAATTATTTAACCAAAACCTTTTATTAAAAAAGTTTTTAACATTTTTAAAACCATGGTGAGCTTGCTTGACTTTACACACAGGTGTTTAAATCCAGGGCTAAAGATATTACTGTTTACTTTCTCTGGGAAGCCTAATGCATGAGTCAAAAAGAGGAGAGCCTATAGGGAATGTTTAAAGGTGTTGGATAGGCTGTTTTGCTTCAAAATCCTTCATAACACATCTCTTCTGGTTCTGGGAACTCCTCCATTTGAGGCAGAATGGTACAGAGAAGAACTAGTGCACACAAGATCAGGGCTGGTGTGGCTGGTACAGCAGGCCAGTGAGGTGCAGAGGGCAGAGGATGGGCCTGGCTTCAGTTTCTGGTACTTTTAAGGCCCTTTCCACATTTAACAATCCTTTGGGTGATGGTCATGCCTGTTAAAATGCACAGCCTCATAGGATCGACCTAATCAGTAATACCTAGTGAGAATTAATTAATTAGATTATTTTCAGGTAAACATACTAGGGAAGGGCTTGCATTAGGGTTAATGGTAGTTGGAGGTGGGTAGAGGGAAAAGTGAATGGCTACAGGAGGAAGTCCTGTGGAGCTGGTAGCATCAAGAGGGTGCTCTAGATCCTTGAGAGGGTCCTACAGATTCTCAACAAGTGGCCCGTAGTGGAAAATAACGAGAACCGAGTGAGATGAGGAAGGCACAATCGGAGCTTTTTGTTTCATGTCATTGCTTGTGTCTGTTTTTTATCATAGTTCCACTTCCCCTACTGCCCCTTTGTACCCTGCAGCCTTTCCCTTACCTCAGGAAAGATCTAAGGATTCCTTGACATGCCCACTCCCCACTCCCATTAATTAATTTCCTCATCCTCTGCACATACTAATGTTGAACTCTATTCCCTATCACCTGTTTTTTGATTTGACTTTCAAAATACACAAGCTATGGGAAGGAACTGAAAGGTGGAAAGAAAAGTACATCTGAGATTACTGATTTTTTAAACCTAACTGTTTACTTCTTCCTGTTGTGTGAAAAACTGCCTTCTGTGACTCTCTGCAGATAAAGTTCAGGAGTTGAAGCCTTATGTTTTGCATAGGAAATCATAAACTCACAGTTTTAGAGCTAAGTTTGACTGTAGTTCAGATCTTTTTCTTAAAGGGACAATTTAATGCATCCCCAAATATTTGAGACTCTCACAAGATATGGCAGGTCTTCTGATTGCTAGTACCATGAAATTTCCATTCCACTACATCAAAATACTGAGTACCCACCTGTGTGTGTACCAACCCCCCCAGTATATTCACACACACATGCACACTCTTATTGGTTCTAAGACCAGTTCCTGTGCCTGAGCCGTCAGTGATGGAAACAGCTTTGCTACTATTTTCCCTTACACTGTTATTAGGCCTATGATTTGCATGTGGTATAGAGAGGTGGTTACCATGTTGAGTACATCCAGTTTGTCTACATATCTAAGTACTGGTCTAAAGTGATTTATTACTATTTTCATGATGTCAAGATTCCTAAGTGGCACCAGATGAAATTTCAAACTGGGACATGGTTACCCTGGTTATATTCCATTTTATGTTTTGAGACTGCAAAGAGAGATGGATTTGTGTTTGTGTTTTGTAAGCATTATAATTAAAATCTCCTTAAGGACAGGGATTTTGTCTGTGTTATTCACCAGTGTGTCAGCACCCAGAACACTGTTAATAACTGTTGACTGAAAAACATTAGCCTTATCATATGTACTGATCTTTGCAGTAGAGTCAAGCCCTGGAAATATTGTGCCCTTTTTCTGGTCTTGTCAACTCATTTCCCTCACCCCAACCCCCAATTTATTTTCTACTATAACATTACTGAAATTGACCAGATATAATTCAGTGAATATTATTTCCATTGATTATTTAGCAAAATCTATATAAAGCTGTTTTTAAATACCCAGTAAGTTCTGGGTGGAAAACAAAATTAATATTGGCACTGAATGCTTTAAATAATATCTGGACTTGAATGGAGAATGTATAGTGTACATTATCTCTGCTAATGTCTCAGCATATGCCAATTTTGTGAATTTGCTTGGCAGATCAGTATATGTTTTTTCCCAGAAAGCTCTACTTCCATTTTATAGTTTGGCTAATCAAAGAACAAAAAGATTTTTCTTTTATTTTTGGCTTTTTAAGCTTTAAAAATGAAGGTGGACATAGGAAGTCAGACTTACCCATATCCCTTTATGAGGATAGTGAAAAAAGTTATCAATCAGCTAAACATGAGTTTAATAACAGAAATTATGGAAAATATTGCTGTCCTGAACAGTGGAAACTGACAAAATAATTGTGTTTACTTGGAGATAAAAGGGAACCTACTTCCAGTTGTTCTTTTAGAAATAAAATAACCAGTGATTCTGTAATACTTTACCAGATTTGAGCAAATATTCCCTAATATATGTCCTCTTGTTTTGAACTAATTTAGACCTGAAGTGAGCATACTTCTGGTCTCAGTCTGATTTTATTTTAAAGGTTAGAAATATCCTGAAATTTTGAAGCAATGATTAATGTATACCTTGTCATATATTGGACATCCAATTATTCAATAAGATTTCAACATATTACAAGTCTGAATACAAATGTCATAATTTTAAATTTGGTTCATCAGTATTGTATATTTATTGAAGGAAAGGCAAATTGACTTTTTACTTTTGTATTTTTTTCTTTTAAAAAATAGTTTTGTGAGATTTAATTTATATGCCATATAATTCACCCTTTTTTATTTATTTTTATTATTATACTTTAAGTTTTAGGGTACATGTGCACATTGTGCAGGTTAGTTACATATGTATACATGTGCCATGCTGGTGCGCTGCACCCACTATCTCGTCATCTAGCATTAGGTATATCTTCCAATGCTATCCCTCCCCCGTCCCCCCACCCCACAACAGTCCCCAGAGTGTGATATTCCCCTTCCTGTGTCCATGTGATCTCATTGTTCAATTCCCACCTATGAGTGAGAATATGCGGTGTTTGGTTTTTTGTTCTTGCGATAGTTTACTGAGAATGATGATTTCCAATTTCATCCATGTCCCTACAAAGGACATGAACTAGTATTCCATGGTGTATATGTGCCACATTTTCTTAATCCAGTCTATCATTTTTGGACATTTGGGTTGGTTCCAAGTCTTTGCTATTGTGAATAATGCTGCAATAAACATACGTGTGCATGTATCTTTATAGCAGCATGATTTATAGTCCTTTGGGTATATACCCAGTAATGGGATGGCTGGGTCAAATGGTATTTCCAGTTGTAGATCCCTGAGGAATCGCCACACTGACTTCCACAATGGTTGAACTAGTTTACAGTACCACCAACAGTGTCAAAGTGTTCCTATTTCTCCACATCCTCTCCAGCACCTGTTGTTTCCTGACTTTTTAATGATTGCCATTCTAACTGGTGTGAGATGGTATCTCACTGCGGTTTTGATTTGCATTTCTCTGATGGCCAGTGATGGTGAGCATTTTTTCATGTGTTTTTTGGCTGCATAAATGTCTTCTTTTGAGAAGTGTCTGTTCATGTCCTTTGCCCACTTTTTGATGGGGTTGTTTGTTTCTTTCTTGTAAATTTGTTTGAGTTCATTGTAGATTCTGGATATTAGCCCTTTGTCAGATGAGTAGGTTGTGAAAATTTTCTCCCATTTTGTAGGTTGCCTGTTCACTCTGATGGTAGTTTCTTTTGCTGTGCAGAAGCTCTTTAGTTTAATTAGATCCCATTTGTCAATTTTGGCTTTTGTTGCCATTGCTTTTGTTGTTTTAGACATGAAGTCCTTGCCCATGCCTATGTCCTGAATGGTATTGCCTAGGTTTTCTTCTAGGGTTTTTATGGTTTTAGGTCTAACGTTTAAGTCTTCAATCCATCTTGAATTGTTTTTTGTATAAGGTATAAGGAAGGGATCCAGTTTCAGCTTTCTACATATGGCTAGCCAGTTTTCCCAGCACCATTTATTAAATAGGGAATCCTTTCCCCGTTGCTTATTTTTCTCAGGTTTGTCAAAGATCAGATAGTTGTAGATACGTGGCATTATTTCTGAGGGCTCTGTTCTGTTCCATTGATCTATATCTCTGTTTTGGTACCAGTACCATGCTGTTTTGGTTACTGTAGCCTTGTAGTATAGTTTGAAGTCAGGTAATGTGATGCCTCCAGCTTTGTTCTTTTGGCTTAGGATTGCCTTGGCGATGCGGGCTCTTTTTTGGTTCCATATGAACTTTAAAGTAGTTTTTTCCAATTCTGTGAAGAAAGTCATTGGTAGCTTGATGGGGATGGCATTGAATCTGTAAATTACCTTGGGCAGTATGGCCATTTTCACGATATTGATTCTTCCTACCCATGAGCATGGAAAGTTCTTCCATTTGTTTGTATCCTCTTTTATTGCATTGAGCAGTGGTTTGTAGTTCTCCTTGAAGAGGTCCTTCACATCCCTTGTAAGTTGGATTCCTAGGTATTTTATTCTCTTTGAAGCAATTGTGAATGGGAGTTTACTCATGATTTGGCTCTCTGTTTGTCTGTTGTTGGTGTATAAGAATGCTTGTGATTTTTGTACATTGATTTTGTATCCTGAGACTTTGCTGAAGTTGCTTATCAGCTTAAGGAGATTTTGGGCTGAGACAAGGGGTTTTCTAGATATACAATCATGTCGTCTGCAAACAGGGACAATTTGACTTCCTCTTTTCCTAAATGAATACCCTTTATTTCCTTCTCCTGCCTAATTGCCCTGGCCAGAACTTCCAACACTATGTTGAATAGGAGTGGTGAGAGAGGGCATCCCTGTCTTGTGCCAGTTTTCAAAGGGAATGCTTCCAGTTTTTGCCCATTCAGTATGATATTGGCTGTGGGTTTGTCATAGATAGCTCTTATTATTTTGAAATACGTCCCATCAATACCTAATTTATTGAGAGTTTTTAGCATGAAGCATTGTTGAATTTTGTCAAAGGCCTTTTCTGCGTCTATTGAGATAATCATGTGGTTTTTGTCTTTGGCTCTGTTTATATGCTGGATTACATTTATTGATTTGCGTATATTGAACCAGCCTTGCATCCCAGGGATGAAGCCCACTTGATCATGGTGGATAAGCTTTTTGATGTGCTGCTGGATTCGGTTTGCCAGTATTTTATTGAGGATTTTTGCGTCAATGTTCATCAAGGATATTGGTCTAAAATTCTCTTTTTTGGTTGTGTCTCTGCCTGGCTTTGGTATCAGAATGATGCTGGCTTCATAAAATGAGTTAGGGAGGATTCCCTCTTTTTCTATTGATTGGAATAGTTTCAGAAGGAATGGTACCAGTTCCTCCTTGTACCTCTGGTAGAATTCGGCTGTGAATCCATCTGGTCCAGGACTCCTTTTCGTTGGTAAGCTATTGATTATTGCCACAATTTCAGCTCCTGTTATTGGTCTATTCAGAGATTCAACTTCTTCCTGGTTTAGTCTTGGGAGAGTGTATGTGTCAAGGAATTTATCCATTTCTTCTAGATTTTCTAGTTTATTTGCATAGAGGTGTTTATAGTATTCTCTGATGGTAGTTTGCATTTCTGTGGGATCGGTGGTGATATCCGCTTTATCATTTTTTATTGCATCTATTTGAGTCTTCTCTCTTTTTTTCTTTATTAGCCTTGCTAGTGGTCTATCAATTTTGTTGATCCTTTCAAAAAACCAGCTCCTGGATTCATTAATTTTTTGAAGGGTTTTTGTGTCTCTATTTCCTTCAGTTCTGCTCTGGTTTTAGTTATTTCTTGCCTTCTGCTAGCTTTTGAATGTGTTTGCTCTTGCTTTTCTAGGTCTTTTAATTGTGATGTTAGGGTGTTAATTTTGGATCTTTCCTGCTTTCTCTTGTGGGCATTTAGTGCTATAAATTTCCCTCTACACACTGCTTTGAATGTGTCCCAGAGATTCTGGTATGTTGTGTCTTTGTTCTCGTTGGTTTCAAAGAACATCTTTATTTCTGCCTTCATTTCGTTATGTACCCAGTAGTCATTCAGGAGCAGGTTGTTCAGTTTCCATGTAGTTGAGCGGTTTTGAGTGAGATTCTTAATCCTGAGTTCTAGTTTGATTGCACTGTGGTCTGAGAGATAGTTTGTTATAATCTCTGTTCTTTTACATTTGCTGAGGAGAGCTTTACTTCCAAGTATGTGGTCAATTTTGGAATAGGTGTGGTGTGGTGCTGAAAAAAATGTATATTCTGTTGATTTGGGGTGGAGAGTTCCGTAGATGTCTATTAGGTCTGGTTGGTGCAGAGCTGAGTTCAATTCCTTGGTATCCTTGTTGACTTTCTGTCTCGTTGATCTGTCTAATGTTGACAGTGGGGTGTTAAAGTCTCCCATTATTAATGTGTGGGAGTCTAAGTCTCTTTGTAGGTCACTCAGGACTTGCTTTATGAATCTGGGTGCTCCTGTATTGGGTGCATATATATTTAGGATAGTTAGCTCTTCTTGTTGAATTGATCCCTTTACCATTATGTAATGGCCTTCTTTGTCTCTTTTGATCTTTGTTGGTTTAAAGTCTGTTTTATCAGAGACTAGGATTGCAACCCTTGCCTTTTTTTGTTTTCCATTTGCTTGGTAGATCTTCCTCCATCCTTTTATTTTGAGCCTATGTGTGTCTCTGCACGTGAGATGGGTTTCCTGAATACAGCACGTTGATGGGTCTTGACTCTTTATCCAATTTGCCAGTCTGTGTCTTTTAATTGGAGCATTTAGTCCATTTACATTTAAAGTTAATATTGTTATGTGTGAATTTGATCCTGTCATTATGATGTTAGCTGGTTATTTTGCTCGTTAGTTGATGCAGTTTCTTCCTAGTCTCGATGGTCTTTACATTTTGGCATGATTTTGCAGCTGCTGGTACCGGTTGTTCCTTTCCATATTTAGCACTTCCTTCAGAAGCTCTTTTAGGGCATGCCCTGTGGTGACAAAATCTCTCAGCATTTGCTTGTCTGTAAAGTATTTTATTTCTCCTTCACTTATGAAGCTTAGTTTGGCTGGATATGAAATTCTGGGTTGAAAATTCTTTTCTTTAAGAATGTTGAATATTGGCCTCCACTCTCTTCTGGCTTGTAGGGTTTCTGCCGAGAGATCCGCTGTTAGTCTGATGGGCTTCCCTTTGAGGGTAACCCGACCTTTCTCTCTGGCTGCCCTTAACATTTTTTCCTTCATTTCAACTTTGGTGAATCTGACAATTATGTGTCTTGGAGTTGCTCTTCTCTAGGAATATCTTTGTGGCGTTCTCTGTATTTCCTGAATCTGAACGTTGGCCTGCCTTGCTAGATTGGGGAAGTTCTCCTGGATAATATCCTGCAGCATGTTTTCCAACTTGGTTCCATTCTCCCCATCACTTTCAGGTACACAAATCAGACGTAGATTTGGTCTTTTCACATAGTCCCATATTTCTTGGAGGCTTTGCTCATTTCTTTTTATTCTTTTTTCTCTGAACTTCCCTTCTAGCTTCATTTCATTCATTTCATCTTCCATTGCTGATACCCTTTCTTCCAGTTGATCGCATTGGCTCCTGAGGCTTCTGCATTCTTCACGTAGTTCTCAAGCCTTGGTTTTCAACTCCATCAGCTCCTTTAAGCATTTCTCTGTATTGGTTATTCTAGTTATACATTCTTCTAAATTTTTTTTAAAGTTTTCAACTTCTTTGCCTTTGGTTTGAATGTCCTCCCGTAGCTCAGAGTAATTTGATCGTCTGAAGCCTTCTTCTCTCAGCTCGTCAATGTCATTCTCCATCCAGCTTTGTTCCGTTAATGGTGAGGAACTGTGTTCCTTTGGAGGAGGAGAGGTGCTCTGCTTTTTAGAGTTTCCAGTTTTTCTGTTCTGTTTTTTCCCCATCTTTGTGGTTTTATCTACTTTTGGTCTTTGATGATGGTGATGTACAGATGGGTTTTTGGTGTGGATGTCCTTTCTGTTTGTTAGTTTTCCTTCCAACAGAGAGGACCCTCAGCTGCAGGTCTGTTGGAATACCCTGCCGTGTGAGGTGTCGGTGTGCCCCTGCTGGGGGGTGCCTCCCAGTTAGGCTGCTCGGTGGTCAGGGGTCAGGGACCCACTTGAGGAGGCAGTCTGCCTGTTCTCAGATCTCCAGCTGCGTGCTGGGAGAACCACTGCTCTCTTCAAAGCTGTCAGACAGGGACATTTAAGTCTGCAGAAGTTACTGCTGTCTTTTTGTTTGTCTGTTCCCTGCCCCCAGAGGTGGAGCCTACAGAGGCAGGCAGGCCTCCTTGAGCTGTGGTGGGCTCCACCAGTTTGAGCTTCCCCGCTGCTTTGTTTACCTAATCAATCCTGGGCAATGGCGGGCGCCCCTCCCCCAGCCTCGCTGCCGCCTTGCAGTTTGATCTCAGACTGCTGTGCTAGCAGTCAGCAAGACTCCGTGGGCGTAGGACCCTCCGAGCCAGGTGCGGGACATAATCTTGTGGTGCGCTGTTTTTTAAGCCCGTAGGAAAAGCGCAGTATTCGGGTGGGAGTGACCTGATTTTCCAGGCGCTGTCCGTCACCCCTTTCTTTGACTGGGAAAGGGAACTCCCTGACCCCTTGTGCTTCCCAAGTGAGGCAATGCGTCGCCCTGCTTCGGCTCGCACACGGTGCACACACCCACTGACCTGTGCCCACTGTCTGGCACTCCCTAGTGAGATGAACCCGGTACCTCAGATGGAAATGCAGAAATCACCTGTCTTCTGTGTCGCTCACGCTGGGAGCTGTAGACTGGAGCTGTTCCTATTCGGCCATCTTGGCTCCTCCCCAATTCACCCTTTTAAAGTGTATGATTTAATGGCTTTTAGTATATTCTCAGAGTTGCACATTCATCATCACAATTTTAGAAGATTTTCATTACTCCAAAAGGAACTTCATGCTCCCACACCTCTTAACTGTCATCTCCTTTAGGTCAAATCCTGACCCTAGGCAACTGCTATCTATTTTCTGTCTCTATAGACTTGCCTGTTCTGAACATTTCATATAAATGGGATCATACAATATGGTCATTTGTAACTGGCCACTTTCCTTTAGCATAATGTGTCCAAGGTTCATCCATGTGATAGCATGTATCAGTACTTCATTTCATTTTATTGCCCAATAATATTCCATGGCATGAATATACCACATTTTTTTTTTTTTTACCTATCCATCAGTTGATGGACATTTGAGTTTTTTACACTTTTTGGTTATTATAAATAATGCTGTTATGAATATTTATGAACCATTTTTTGGTGTATGCTTCCATTTCTCTTGGGTTTAAGTACCCAGGAATGGAATATACCTAGAAATGGAATGGCATGGTAACTGAATATTTAACCATCTAAGGAACTTACAGATTGGTTTCCAAAGTGGCTCTACCATTTTACATTCTCACCAGCAATCTATGAGGGTTTCAGTTTCTCCATATTCTCATCAACACTTGTTAGTCTCTGTCTTTTTTTAATTATAGCCATTCTAATGGGGATAAACTGCTATCTTGTCATGGTTTTTGTTTTCATTTCCCTGATGGCTAATGATGTTGAACAGTTTTCAAGTGCATATTGGCCATTTTAATATCTTATTTGGAGAAATGTCTAAAATGTTATAATTTTAACTCTATATTCATGATGCATCCCCATCAACTTCCATTTTAGGAAATAAGTTTGAGCTGGTGACTTGAGAATTAAGGAAAAATCCAGTTACAAAAAGCTACATGTTATGTAATTTCATTGATATAAAATGTTTGGAATAGCAAATCCATGGAGACAGAGATTATTGGTTACTTAGGGCTTTGGAAGGGGAGGAATGGAGAATTACCACTAATGGTTGAAAGGTTTCCTTTTGGAGTGATGAAAATGTTCTAAAATTAAATCGTGGTAATGGTTATACAACTCTGTAGATATACTAAAAATGATTTAATTGCATACTTTAAATAGGTGAATTTTATTATATATAAATTATATCTCAATACAGCTGTTTCAAAAAGAGTAAAAAGAAACAAAAACAAAAACAAGAAGTAGGCAGCTAGTTCTTTTGGGTATCTATCTGTTGAACTCACAATATTATACTTTCTTCTTGATAGTTTGCATAGCTCCTAAGCGATGCTTAGTTAGAATAGAGAACAAATAATATGACATGCACATTTGTTAACCTCTTTATTCCAAAACCAGGTGTCATTTAGTTCTATAACAGAGTATTTATCTTTTCTTTCTATTTCAGAGTAATAATTCAGATAAAGTTAACATTTCCAATAAAAATTTGGGTTTTTCATTTTCGATGTATTCTATTTTAAGCTAATAACAATGAAAACTTCAAAGTATAGTAAATTAATGCCTTCCTCATTTGGCACTTTTTCAAATAACTTTTACTGAGAGGCTGCCATATGACAAACATTGTGATAGACAATTTTACATGTTGTTTTATTAACTCCACTTTATAGTTGAAAAGACTGGGGTTTCTGTGTTTATTTCATTTAATAGCATAATTAGAATAGCATACTTTTGACTGTGCTGATAGGCAGAGCAATTCTGCATTAATGTCATTTCCCTTGGAATATCTTCAGAATATAATAGTTATAGGCATTCTGGTTCAAAGGAGAGTAGAAGATAAGAAGGGAAAAAAGTCACTGGTTCTAAGCAATTGTGAAATCCAGCCAAGCATGTTTCCATAAGTAATGCTTAGATTCCTTTATTAGAAAAATAATCTGGGCTAGGCGCAGTGGTTCATGCTCATAATGCCAGCACTTTCAGAGGCTGAGGTGGGTGGATTACCTGAGGTCAGGAGTTCGAGACCAGCCTGACCAACATGGTGAAACCCTGTCTGTACTAAAAATACAAAAAAATTTAGCTGGGTGTGGTGGCAGGTGCCTATAATCCCAGCTACTTGGGAGCTACTTGGGAGGCTGAGGCAAGAGAATTGCTTGAACCTGTGAGGCGGAAGTCGTGGTGAGGTGAGCTGAGATTGTGCCACTGCACTCCAGCCTGGGTAACAGAGCGAGACTCTGTCTAAAAAAAGAAAAAGAAAAAAGAAAAATAATCTGCCTTCTTGTTAAAGTATTTGATAAAACAAAATCCACATGGATTCCGAAAGTGACTAAATAGCCAAATATATATATATATTTGTTTTTTTTTTGAGAATGGGAAAAAATTGGAAATCAATTCTTAGTTTGAAAATTATCCAGAAAACTTGACCTGGAATTTTTTTTTAGTTAAAAGGTTTTCTCATCAAGGTAGATTATTTTAATCCACATTTGAAATAAATGAGAATTTTTAACTAGAGTCTAATTCTTTAGACTTCTCTATCCAGTGAAATTATATTCCAAAAATTAAGAAAAATTTCTGCCAAAAGATGCCAAGAGAATTCATTGCTTTCAGAACTGCATTAAAATAAGAGAGTTCTTCAGGCAGAAGGGAAGTGATATCAGGTAAAATTTAGACCCTTCTTATCTTTACCAATCTTTTATCATTTCTGGCACTCTTCATTCTTTTGACTAAAAGAATTAAAAAACATCTTTAAAAGATACTTCATTGCTTAAGGCCAAAATAATTAGAATTGATTGTGGGGTTTATAACATGTGTAGAAGTAAAATGCATGACAATAATAGTATAAAGGATAGGAGAGGGAAATGGAGGTGTGCTGTTGTAAACTTTTTTATAGCTTATGTAATGACATATCACTTGAAGTTAGCATGAGATACGTTAAAGATGTATGTTGTAAACCCTGAGCAATCACTAAAAAGGTAAAACAAAGAGGTATGGCAAATAAGACAATAGTGAAGATAAAATGGGATACAAAAATACTTAATCCAAAACTAGCCAGGAGAAGAGGAACAAGGTGCAAAGAACAGATGGAGCATTGAGCACTATTAGAAAGATGATAGATTTTCAACCATACCATATTAATAATTATATGTTGATAAATACATAAATAGGCAATTATATTACACATAAAATGCAAATTGTTAGACTAAATAAAAAGCAAGACCCATCTTTGTCCTGTTTATAAGAGATCCACTTTGAATATAAAGTCACAGGTGAGTTAAAGTAAAAGAATGGAAAACACAATATTAAGCAAACACTAGTCAAAAGTAGCCAGAAGATGCTATATTAGTGTCAAACTGGACTTTAGAACAAAGAATATTACCAGGAATAAAGATATTACATATTAATAATGGGATCAATCTACTATGAGGACATAAACAGTTCTAAATGTTTATACAACTAACATCTCAGCTTCAAAATACTTGAGGAAAAACTGACACAACTGAATCCTTTTCTTTGTTAGAAACTTTTAAGCTCTTCAATAGCAATTCTATTAACTATTAGAATTTTTAAGATCTAAATCCCATGGATGAGATTTTTAGATGTTTGATACAGCAGCATCCTACTACCAATTACCAAAATCTGTATTAGTTCTACAGGTCTTTCCTAGATAAACCAATCTCTATTTTTGCCTTCAGCTCAGATGGATAAGAAGGAATTAATGTATGACATCTAAACAATTAATATAAACACTGTTTTTGTGAAGACAAAATTCTAACTCCAACATGGGCACCTTAAGCATATTAATTAAAATGTTTACTATATTGCACATAAGGAAACTGGGCCTTAATGAGATTGTGTACCTGCTCAAGGTCACACAGGAAAGGGCAGAGCTGAGATTTGAACTCAGATCTGTTTGTTGTTTATTGTTGAGTCTGTGATCTTCCTACCATATCACATTCTTTCTCTCAAAAACACATAATTACTTGAAATAAAATAAAAAAACTTGAACTGGAATTTGGGTGTGAATGTAAATGACAGTCATTCTCTGAATCATCAAAGAGATTGGAAAAGAAGGGAATGCCATTTGTTGGTTAACTGCTTTTGTTCTAGAGAACTACTAAACATAATTGCAGTTAGTTTAGGTAGAGACTCCCTTCTATAGGAGCCACACATACTAGTATAGTCTAAAGGCTGATAAGAAACCATGCAAAATTTGCAGTAATGTATACGCTGTAATTTCACAAATCTATATACAGCACTGCTACATTAATATTTGTTGAATGACTGAATGGATAGATATATTTCTGCAGTCAAATTATAATATCATGAGGTTTTAGTGTTATTAATTCACCAGTTTAAAAAGCATGTGGACCAAAGTAGTGGGATTTATAGAAACTGTTATTTTTCTGAAATTGATAAAATCTTCCTATTGCAATATTTCCATGATCTTATTAATTAACCAAGTCTTGCAAACTTGTTTTAGCAAAGGAAGTAGAACTGAATCAAGATACAGAGAAAGCGAACTGGTTGAAGAAATAAAAGGTGGAATTAAAAAATATCTTCTTCTGATTGCTACCACAATTTACAAACTATTTTGGAGATTCAAAATATCACAATCTATGACAATTGTCTTCATATTCACAGCTTGGACATGTTCACTACCTACATCTCATGTAACAGACAGTCAGCAGAATCAATGTGTTGCTAAGGAAACACATCTAGCACAAACATAAAAGACATAACAGGTTCAAAGGGCTCCAGGGAATTATTATAAAGCCATATAACCTGCCAAATAATTGGAACAATAAAAGTGGAAAATTAATTTCAAGCAAGACTAAACATTTCAACTGACTGCTGACAGGCTTTTAAAGAGTATATACATAGACAAGGAAAGAGGTGAGGACTTTTAAAGATCCAAGTGGCTAATTAATGGAGACTGAAGTCAAATGCAAGCATTGGGAGAATAGCAGAAAAAATTGGTTTCTGGTTTCACAAAAGAGGATTTACCTTAATCAAATTTATTAGTAAGAAGGATGAAGGTTCAGGGAACAGGCTCCTTGAAGCAGTTAAAAAATGGACCAATATTCTAAGCGTTGCAATTTGATGTGTTTCTTGGTCCAAGTAAAATATAACTAGGGTGTTAAAGGAAGTAGAGACAGAAATAGGAGACCTTTTTATGAATAGTTTTACAAGTGCACTTAGTTCTGGAGAGACCCCCTAGGATTAGCCAATGTGATGGAATTATTTTTAAAAGGTCTGGGAATGTACCAAGTGACTTGCATGCCAGTTGACATCACTCATAAGAAAAGTGTTAAAAGGTGTTTTGAGGGTCAAATGAAGAAACACTTGGAAGCTTACTTGCTTGATGAAGGAATGCCAACTGATTTTTTCAGATGGGCGAGAAATGCTTCATTAATTTGTCAAAATGTCAGAAAGGTATTATTTCTGCGGAAGAAAAGAGGTGTTGTAACATATCCTTAGCATTTCTATAGTGGGCAATTTACTGAAATGCTCCACTGGGGTTAAAACAATCTCCTCTCTTAAAAGTGGCATAATGAGAATATTGGTAGATTGAATTGAAACTTGCTAAATTGTAAGAAACAGAAGTTATTTGGCAATTGAATCATTGCTAGTTCAGAAAATCACCCTCCAGAGGACTTAATTTTGGCAGCCATGTGGATAGCTTCCTCTTTTTAGACAAAATCTATGTAAAATCCCCCCTTAGGCACTGTGTGCATAAAAAGTCATATAATACATGAGGTGTGACAAAATTATTTTTTAATAAAACTTATTTTGAAATAAAACTTAAAAACTTACACACTAAGGAAAAGTTAGTTCCATCAAAGTCATCAGCTTGGCAGGCTTCATACTCATTTCAGGGATGCCGCCTTTGGACAACTCATTCTTGGAATTTCTCTTGTGGAATTGTCCCACAAGACCATGCAAACTTTGAAAATTGTATTTCACAGTAAAAATTTTTCATGCTTTGAGCAAAAATATTGTATTTGGGAAAGGTCCAAAGAAATCAGAGGCTCATCTGGTAAAGAAAGTGAGTGATTAAACCGTTATTAATTTTTTTAAAAAATGAGGTGTAACTATTAAGTAAAGAAAGTGATATTATTTTGTGGCTTGTAACCTGATTTTCAAAGTAACTCCTAAAACATTTTAAACATGTTTTGATCAGTCAGTTATGCTTGTAATGGTACTAAAGATTTTCAAGGTGACTGCTTTGAAGGACAGTTTTAGAATTGGTAGCTGGTATGCTGATTAGAAAGCCAGTCTCATGGTGTTTTAACTTATAAAGAGAGAGAAGTAGAAATATATTGATGTCTAGTAAAAATTCCTTGGTGATTTTAAGAAATGAGAGCAATATATTTTAACGTTTTTATAGAAAAGGGAAAAGTCAAATTTCTGTTGTGGTTTGCTGTGGTGAGAAGAGCATGGTACCTACCGGAAGTCCAGAAGTGAAGCTATGTGAATTTGGGTAAGTCACTTTGACATCTTTTAGTATCTGCTTTTGTCTTAAAAATTGGATTATTTTTACTTTTGGACAATGACCGAAATATTATTGTCCCATTTGAAAAACATATGCACACACACCCGTTAAAGGGTGATTGTGAAGTTCAAATGTGATACTGTATGAAAATTCATTTTGAGAATGCTAATACACAGTATATATAATGTATTGTAATTTCAGAGAAAATATTGAGCAAAAATTAGAAGCGTATAATGATATCAGACTTTGTTCTGCATCCTGACTTCCTTCCATCATTAAGCTGTTGCTTTCATTTTTGCATAAACAGAGGCATGGACTTTGTCACAGCTTTTTCATACATAAAAGAAAGAGAGATGATACTTGCCTTTGAGTCATCACATTTAAATATAATGGAGTATTAGTAGAAACACTTGGAAATAAAGGCCTTGTATAAGTGTAAATTTACATTGCTAAGTGAAATGACTTGGCAAGTGCCTGGCACACAGTCAGTTTACAATACATTCTATTTATTATCGATATTCTTAGGCTTCATGGACAATGGTTTGTCATTGAATGTCATACTTTTGAATTTACATATCCAGAACTCAGATTTGAGCAGATTTTCTAGTAAAAGTACTGATATTTTATTTTTTTAATGCCTTAATTGTAGTCCAAGAGATCCTAGAGATAGGAAAAATAAAGTTCCCTTTAGCAGTAGAAAAATTCACCACGTCATGGAAAATTTGACTTGAATAACAAGAATTACTGTGGACACAAAAGATTGAGAACAAAAGACCTTAGTTTAGCTTCAGCTTCAGATTTCTAAATTACATTTTAAAATTGGGCATATAATAATAGAAACATCATGCAAAATGCTTGGAACTTGAGATATTTTGCATTTGGCATGAAAAAAATCATTGAGACCTCTGAAATAATGAAATTTTGTCATTATTCTCTCTTTTCTACTAGTGGTCCAGGCTGATATGTGTTGTAAATGATCCCTTTATGCCCAGGAAAAGATATTGAATAGTCTTGACGTAGTGAGGAAAACAGCAATAATACAACTTCTTAGACAAGAAGTCATCCCTTTCTCCAGTGTTCTCCACTGTGCATACAATAATTCTCTGAGCTTGATTTTGCCATGTGAAAATTCAAGCTCTGAGATACAGTGAGAAAGAAAGTGAGAGAATGTTTGGGACACAGGGTGATACCTCAGTACAGCTATTATACTTTTGTTTAACAAACTCTGAAATCTATCTTGGCTTCAGCACATCAAGGAGCTAGATATACTATATCACATGTTAGGAGTTCTTCCTCTACCTCATGAAATGTTTCAAAAATGAGTCCATGTTTTCTGAATCTAGTGGTAAAGAATGGGAATGATTGTTTTATGGGCTGAGAGCTCATACCTCATTTCACAGACGTTTCATGAAGTGCCCAGCTAGTTATCATAAGACCCAAACTCTACTTCTTGCTCCAGGTAGAGATATTGTGAATGGACATATATAAGAGAAATAGCTTTATCTAGGTATAGAATTTGGGGAGGGAGGAGATATTTACTATATGCAACAAAATTAGGGAAATTTTTTTAGGTAGAATTCAATCCATCAAGATACCAGTGTGAAACCATAAACAGCGGTCTTTGAATTTGGGATTAATGAAGTGATTTATTTAATATGCCTAAATCTTAAAAAAGACTAATACCTATGTTAGTTTCATTATAAATTAATTTAAACACACAATTAAAAAAATAGATACTTCTTCATGGACTAATGATATTGCTAGGTACTGGAGATAAGACTAGAGGGGCCAAGAAGGAGGCTTTTCTGATCAGTTGGGACTCTCATTTTTTGTGTTATCACTGTTCTTCCTTTTTTTTTTTCCTGGCAATCCCATAGAAATCTTGGAATTGTCTCTTTTCAGTTTCAGGTCTTTATTCTAATTTTTTAATGCACTTGATCAAATTATAGTCTTTATCAATTAATTTATACAATCACTTTGCTTCACCCTTATATACTCTGCAGAAATCCTGACTGCTCAACCTGATAAATCATTTTAGTGTGTTTAATTGACCCGGTAGCTCTCTGAACAATTTTTTATCTATGTATCTATGTCAACATATTTTCTGCTGTCTACTTTCTCTGGTTCACTATGTGAAGGTAGGGTTTATAATTCATTTTCTTTAGCGGGAAAGTGATTTGTGTTTGAGATCCATGCAGAAAACAGATGCTCAATAAATAAAAAAGACTGCTTTGACTACAGGTAACAGAAAACTAAGGATGTCTTAAACCATTAGGATGTTCAAGTTGATGAATAGGAAGCCCAGAAGTAGGCTGTATGGGAATACTTAATTAGCTTGGTGATGCCAGCGAAGAATCCAGACATTTTCAGCCTCTGTCAGGATGCTGGCCTTGTCCTTTGGCTCAAGTGCAGTCACAGAGGACTGCTGCAGCTCCTGACATTAGTCCCAGTGTGATGGCATCTAGAGAAAAAAGAAAGAGCAGGGGTTAAATGGGATCACTCAACGTGTATATCTCTTTTTTTAAGGCTGGAATATTTTCCAGAAGCAATCAGATATTTTCTACATAGTAATTTCCAGAATCATGTCTCATGGCCCCCTGAGCTACAAAAATGGCTGGAAAAAAATTTCTATTATTCCTAGACTCCCTGAACTAAGAGCAGGTTTAGGCTATTGAATGGGTAACTAAGGATTCATATCAATTACAGGCCAGGCACAGTGGCTGATGCCTGTAATCCTAGCACTTTGTGAAGCCAAGGTGGGCGAATCACTTGAGGCCAGGATTTTGAGACCAGCCTGGCCAACATGGCAAAAACCCATCTCTCAAAGAAATAAAAAAGTTAAAAAAAAGAATTATATCAATTACAATAATTGTGTTTTAATTTCCTGTTATACATAAATGTCCCCCTTCCCGCCACAGCAGGACACTTCTAATATCTTTTAATATCATAAGAGCTACATATACCCTTGCCTCTGTTCTCTATTCATTTCTAAACTGTGTCATAAATAACAATAACAATTCTTAATTGCACAGTTATGTGGATAAACATAAATTTTCATATACTAGAAATGGGTGTTTTGCTGTATCTCACATATACATAATGTGTGCTGAATAAATATTTAAAAAAATTAAGAGCAGAAACTGATCCAACACTAGAATTTCTCTGAATATCACTGGATATATGTTCATTGCTACAATTAAAGCAAAAATTAAAGTCTACACTTGATTAATGTAGAAACAAAAATGTTCTATTAATAAAAATAGCTATTGCAGTAATATATGTAAAATATATATAAAATAATATATATATAAAAGTAATAATATAATAAATAATGAATTAATTCAGGAACTGTTCAAGGAAATGAAGACACAGGAATGAACAAAACAGGTAAGATTTCATAGACCTTGTATTCTGTAGGTGAAACAGACAATAAACAGATAAGTAAATACACAGTATGTCAGGTGATGTTAGGTGCTTGTGAAGAAAAATAGCAGAGAATGCTGCTTTGGGTGGGTGGGTGTGTGAGGACTGTTGCTATTTTATACAAGGTGATCATAAAAGCGCTCATAGGTGAGATTCCTCACAGATAAATATTCTGAAGGAAGTGAGGGAACACGGGAACAAAGGGAAGTGACAAAGACAGAAGTCAAGAGACAACTTGGCCTTTTTAACACACAGGAATACATAGTAACTTCAAAAACTGTGCTGAATGGAGTGTTGCATAAATGAATGAACATATATAAATAATACTTAGGTATGCTTGCCTATTGGTCTGTTGTTAAACACCAATTCTTCATTATAAGGGCACTGGTGAAATGAATTTTTTTTTTAAGTTTTTTTTTAGATTCAAGGGATTTGTATGTAGGTTTATTACATGGATAAATTGCATGATGCTGAGGTTTGGGCTTCTAAAAGATCCTGTTGCCTGAGTAATTAATGTAGTACCTGATAGGTGGTTTTCCAACCCATTTCCCTGCTCCCTTTTCCCTCCTCTTTAGGAATCTTCAGTGTTTATTTTTCCTATCTTTGTATCCATGTGTACCCAGTGTTTAGCTCCCACTTACAAGTGAGAACATGTAATATTTGGTTTTCTGCTTTCAGCATGAATTCACTTAGGATAATGGTTTCCAGCTACATCCATGTTGCTGCAAAGAACATGATTGTGTTTTTTTATGGATGCATAGTATTCCATGGCATGTATGTACCACAGTTTGAAGTGGAATTTTTAAGGGAAAGTCTGTCCTCATTCAATCTAGGTCATTTTCTTTGCCTGTAGACCCAATTCTTTGTTACCTACTGGTTTTCTTATTGTAACAGTTACTATGTTGAGTACTTACTATGTGTTAGATAGAGTGTAAAATGGTTAAGACACAAATCTTACTTAATAATTTTCTCAGTCTTACAGGGTGAGATACATCAAGATTAACTTTTCCAATTTCAAAGCCAATGAGTGGCTAAAACAGAATTAGAACTTTGTTCTTAAATGATACCACATTTCAAACTAATTCACTAAAACTCAGAATGAACTTATAATTTTCTTGTACTTTGTATCACATGCAAATTGAAAAAGGTATCTCCATGTCTGTAGCTGTTAAATATTTAGAATTTAGGTAAACATTAATTTCTCTAGGTACATGATTTTAAAATTATATTACTTGGAGCACTATTGCAAAAGGTATTAATACTTTTTATATGAAAAAGTAGTTCCATGGTCAAATAATTTTTTAAGAACACCAGATTATAGAAAGGTAAACAGGCTACTTGAATATAGGGCTTCCCAAAGCCTTTACAATGCTAGTGATATGAATGCTCCATGAAATGAACGTCTCCAAATTATTGGATTATGGAAGGGCTGTTTATGAAAGACCTCTAAGTGTCTGAATGAACTAGTTTATGTGGTACACAGTTCTTGAAATTATACTTTGGTTATGTCAGTTTCTATGAGATACTATTCAAGTCTATTCAATGCAGGAGGTTTACCATGTGATATGGTTTGGCTGTGTCCCCACCCAAATCTCATCTTGAATTGTAGCTCCCATAATTCTCATGTGTCCTGAGAGGGACTCACTGGGTGATAGTTGAATCATGGGGGTGGGATTTTCCTGTGCTGTTCTTGTGATAGTGGTTGGTTTTATAAAGGGCAGTTCCCTGCACATGCTCTCTTGCCTGCTGCCATGTAAGACATGCCTTTCCTTCTCCTTTGCCTTCTGCCATGACTGTGAGGCCTCCCCAGCCATGTGGAATGTGAATCCTTTAAACCTCTTTTTCTGTGTAAATTACCCAGTCTCAAGTATTTCTTCATAGCAGTATGAAAATGGACTAATAGAGTAAATTGGTACCAGAATAATGGGGTGCTGCTCTAAAGATGCCCCAAAATATGGAAGCCACTTTGGAACTGGGTAACAGGCAGAGGTTGAAAGAGTTTAGAGGGCTCAGAAAAACATATAAAAATGTGGGAAAGTTTGGAACTTCCTAGAGACCTATTGAATTGCTTTGACCAAAATGCTGATGTGATATGGACAATAAAGTCCAGGCCAAGGTGGTCTGAGATGGAGATGAGTAACTTGTTGGGAAATGGAGTAAAGGTCACTCTTGCTATGCAAAGAGACTGGAGGCATTTTGTCTCTTCCCTAGAGATCTGTGGCACTTTGAAATTGAGAGAGATTATTTAGGGTATCTGGCAGAAGAAATTTCTAAATAGCATAGTATTCAAGAGGAGGCAGAGCATAAAAGTTTGAATTTTTTTTTTTTTTTTTTTTGAGACAGAGTTTTGCTCTTGTTGCCCAGGCTGGAGTGCAATGGCACGATCTCAGCTCACTGCAAAACATTGCAGCCTGATGATGCATTAAAACAGGAAAACCCATTTTCTGGAGAGAAATTCAAGCCAACTGCTGAAATTTGTATAAGTAACAAGGAGCCAAATGTTAATCACTAAAACAATGGGGAAAATGTCTCCAGGGCATGTCAGAGATCTTCACAGCAGCCATCACAGACCTGGAGGCCTAGGAGGAAAAAATGGTTATGTGGGCTGGGCTCAGGGCCCCCCTACTGTGTGCAGCTTAGGGACTTGGTGCCCTGCATCCCAGCTGCTTCAGCCATGGCTAAAAGGGGCTAAGGTACAGCTTGGGCTGTGGCATCAGAGGGTGAAAGCCCCAAGTCTTGGCAGCTTTGTTGTGATGTTGAATCTGAGGATGCATAGAAGTTAAGAATTGAGGTTTGAGAACTTCCACCTAGATTTCAGAGGATGCAGGGAAATGCCTGATGTCCAGGCAGAAGTTTGTTGCAGGGGCAGGGCCCTCATAGAGAAACTCTGCTAGGGCAGTGTGGAAGGGAAATGTGGGGTTGAAGCCTCCACACAGAGTCCTTGGGCACTGCCTAGAGGAGCTGTGAGAAGAAGGCCACTGTCCTCCAGACCCCAGAATGGTAGATCCACTGACGGTTTGCACTGTGGGCCAGGAAAAGCTCAGACACTCAATGCTAGGCTGTGAAAGCAGCTGGGAGGGGGTCTGTACTCTGCAAAGCCATAGAGGTAGAGGTGCCCAAGGCCATTGGAGCCCACTTCTTGCATCAGTGTGACCTGGATGTGAGACATGGAGCCAAAGGAGATTATATTGGAGCTTTAAGTTTTGACTGCCTCACTGGATTTCAGACTTGCATGGGGCCTGTAGCTCCCTCATTTTAGCTGATTTCTCCCATTTGGAATAGGTGTATTTTTCCAATGCCTGTAATCCCATTGTATGAAGGAAGTAACTAACTTGCTTTTGATTTTACAGGCTATTAGGTGGAAGGGACTTGCTTTGTCTCAGATGAGACTTTGAACTATGGACTTCTGAGTTAATGTGGGAATGAATTAAGACTTTGGGGGACTGTTGAGAAGGCATGCTTGGTTTCGAAAGGTGAGGACATGAGATTTGGGAGGGGCCAGGGGCATAATGATATGGTTTGGCTGTGTCCCTACCCAAATCTCATCTTGAATTGTGGCTCCCATAATCCCCTTGTGTCGTAGGTGAGTTCTGGTGGAAGGTAATTGAATCATGGAGTGAGTTTTCGCCATGCTGTTCTTGTGATAGTGAATATGTCTCATGAGATCTGACAGTTTTATAAAGGGCAGTTCCCTTGCTCGTGCTCTTTTGCCTGCCACCATGTAAAATGTGCCTTTGCTCCTCCTTCACCTTCTGCCATGATTGTGAGGGCTCCCCAGCCATGTGAAAGTGTGAGTCCATTAATCCTCTTTTTCTGTATAAATTACCCAGTCTCAGGTATTTCTTCCTAGTAGTATAAAAATGGAAAAATATGCTATGCTTCAGTCAGAATGCATTCTAGCTATTGCTTATATAAAAAAACTTTCTTGCCCTTCCTTAATTTGGAAGAGCTCCTATAACTTGAATTTAGATGGTAAAATAATTACATCAAAGATGAGTATCATCTAGAAGCTTTCCCCCCTTAAGCACTGATTTGTAAGTTACATTTAGAAATACCCATTTCTTTAATTCTTTCCTACCCATTTTCAGTTGTTTGGAATAAAGAGGAGATAAAGATCTGTCCACTTTATCCTTTTTTATAGGTTGCTGTTTAACTGTTTCTTGCCTATTTGTGTGCAGTTTAGGTCTTCTCCACCTGATACAATAGTCTTTGGCCAGCTTCAAGTAGGGCTATTTTAATCCCACATGTAACATGTCACAATTTACTCTGAGAACAAATGCTTTCATATTATATTTGGCTTGTAAATGACACTTCTGTTCATTAGTGGTACCTAGTTGGGGCTTTGAGGAGTAGCTAATTTTGATGTAATTTATCAATGACAGAAAGGAATACACGGGTGAAATTTCCAAAATTCAGCTACATCCTGACCTTGGGTTTCTATTTTCTGGAGGTACCAATTATCTTGGGAACTTTTAATTTCAAGAACATCTTTTCATCCTGCAGAGTTTCTTCAACCACAAGGTCAGCAGCAGAACATAAGATGTTGCCTTGAATCATTTCTCCATTTATTTTCATTCTGTTACATATTGTCTAGAAGTTAAAAGAGTTCCCTGGAATTAATACCATTTGTTGGAACAAGCAGGGGAAACTCCTACTTTTTTTTCCCCAGGCCCTTCTTTAGGAAATATGACAGCTTCTACCACCCCTGGTTTTTCTGGCAGTACTGTGCCATGGTTGTCCAGTGATCCCCCATTGTGAAGAGAGCTCAGTGACACCTGGGCACAGCATCATGGGATCCCAGAGAGATTTTCACCAATTCATCTGTTTTCCCCTGCTCATATCTCCTGGGAGTGAAACCCATGAAGTTTACTCACAGGAAATTTCTGTTTATTTTCCTCAAAAAATATTTGCCAGAGCTGACGATGTGTTTTCTTCCACAGAGTTTAAGAGTAATTCACATTAAGGTGACAAAATCTGGATACCACAGAGTCATAAGGTCACCATAGGCTGACACCTTTCTAGAAATAGCAGCTGTTAGCAGGACCCAGCACAGGTTCCAAGCAGGAGTCCCTTTGGGAAGCCACTTCAGCCAGCATAGATGTGGACTTGGACTGTGGCAGCTGGTCCTGGGGATAAAAGCTCTTTTGGGTAGCAGCTTTCAGCATGTCAGCTAATAGCCAAGTCCTCTCAGTGGCCATGGATCAAAGTGCCTACCAATTCTTTCACAAAAGTTCCTTCAAGAGCTCTGATAATTATATTGGCAAAACAAGTCTTTGCTAAATACTACACTCCTAGTCTCCAACTCAATTCCTTTTCATTCATAAAACGATAGAACTTTTGAGTTAGAAAAACCATCTCTGAGCTCAGCCTCTTATTTTATACTTCTGAAATATTGGCCTCAGAGAGGTGCTCTGATTGTCTAATTCTGCATTAAAAAAAATCAGGGTTACACCAAGATTGGAAGAAGTTTATACCATCCCCCGACCAAGTCCAAGGCTATTCTTACAAGTTATATTGGTCTCAAAATGTTCTAAATGTGAGCCCTGCCACATCAAGTGAGTTTCTTGGCTCAAAGCAAAGGAAGCTGACTCCAACTTAAGCCAATGGAAAAGGTATACACTAGAGATATAATGGGATGCCCAGAGAATTAAAGGAAGCTTGGAAAAATCAACCCTAGCAGAGATGAAACCTGGAAAGCTGCAAGCACTCCAACCCCAGAAAATTGGGATACAAATTTCTAGGTGCTGCTTCCTGCCCCTGTGAGCATCCTCTCTGTTGGCTGTACAGGCATGACACCAACATCTGCTTCTGGGGAGGCCTCAGGAAGCTTACAATCATGATGGAAGTCGAAGGGGGAGCAGGTGTGTCACATGGTGAGAGCAGTAGCAAGGGAGGTACCAGGCTCTTGAAACAATCAGATCTCACAGGAACTGATAGAGTGGGGACTCGCTTATTATTATTGACAGTTCTACCAGAACCACATGAAATAAGGGAGAATCAGTTTGCCCAGAAAAGGGATGGGGTGGGGTTCTTTAGCCTGATGCCTGATGCTCAAAGGAGAGGAAAAAATGCTGTACTTAGCTCGATAATCCTGAAGAAACCAAAGAAATGCTACAGACATGTAAATAAAATTGTAACACTGGATTTCTATTCACTAGAAAGAAATGAATAATTCTATTAATCTATAACTATTAAAAGTAAACCAGAGGGATGTTTTGGCCTTTGTTATTGAATTGTTGAGTAATCACCATTATTGTTTTACTAAAATACTATATACAGTGACCATAAGATAATCTTTTAATGTTGAATTCTTTATCTTAGTAAGATTTAGAAAAATCTAATGAAAGAGTCCTTTATAAAAATAAAATAAAGGAGGAAACTGGAGGGTCCTACTTAGAAAATACTCAACTATAGGGACAATAGTGACCAAATATATTAGATCGATATAAAATTAGGCTGTAACTTTTCACCTTTCTAATCTGTTTTCTGAGACAGTATGTAATATTAGAGGAAAAGTTTTCTCTCTGCTAAAAAGAATCTAAGAACCAATGGGGGAAGAATATTATCATGTAAGTAAAATGTTCAACTTAGTCTAAAATTCCTTTAAATACTTTATAAGGTTGTGTCAAATAGAATGTATTCATTTGGGAATTGAAGCATTTTGAAATATTCAGAAGAAATCCTCTTGGTCAGATCGAACAGTTCAACATTTATTCACTTTTTGAACACAATTAATTATCTGTGGGGGCATTCATTACACAGGAGACTTATAAAATAAAGCATGGAAACAAAATGCACATATACTGGTTTCTTCTTTTTTATAAAGATAAAATTCACATGACATAAAAGTCACCATTTTAACCATTTTAAAGTGTACATTTCATGGCTTTCTTATGTTCACAATGTTATGCTATCATTACCACTAATTCCAGAATAGTTCTATCACCACCCCCGCCAAAGAAACTCTATACCCAATTCTCCCATCCTCTATTTCCTGGCAACCACAAATCAACTTTCTGTCTCTATACATGTGCCTACTTTGAAGATTTCATATAAATATGGTAATGGGATAATAAAAATATCATGTAATAGGCAGCCCTTTGGTCTGGATTTTTTCAATTAGCAAAATATTTTTAAGGTTTATCCATGTTGTAGCATGTATCAATATTTCATTCTTTTTTTATGGCTGAATAATATTTCATTTTATGTATCACATTTTGTTTTCTCATTCATCAGTTGATGGACATTTGGGTTATTGCCACTGTATTAGTCTGTTTTCACACTGCTATAAAGAACTACTTGAAAATGGATAATTTATAAAGAGAAGAGGTTTAATTTACTCACAGTTCCACAGGGCTGGAGGCCTCAGGGAACTTATCATGGTGGAAGGCAAAGGGGAAACAAGGCCCATCTTACATGGTGGCAGGAGAGAGCAAGAGCGAAGGAAGCCACAGACTTTTAAACCATCATATCTCATGAGAACTCACTCGTTACCACAAGGTCAGCATGGGGGATCTGTCCCCATAATCCAATTACCTCCCACCGTCCCTCTCCCTCGACACATGGGGATTACAATTTGAGATGAGATTTGGGTGGAGACACAGAGCCAAACCATATCAGCCACATTTTACTATTATGAGAAATGTTGCTACAAACATTAGTGCATGAGTGGTTGTGTAAACATGTTTTCAGTTCTCTTGGGTATATACTTAGGAGTGGAATTGCTGGATCATATGGAAACCTTGTTTTTAACTTTTGGAGGAACTACTAAATTCCATAGTGGCTGCACTATTTTAAATTCCCATTAGCAATGTATGAGGGTTCCAATTTCTTCATGATCTCACCAACATTTATTTTTCATTTTTAAATCTTGTAATCATTATAGTTATTCTGGAGGATATGAAGTAGTATGCTATTGTGGTTTCAATTTGCATTTCCCTTAATAACAATAATGTTGGATATACATTAATTTTCAACCTATATCATTATATTAAAAGAAGAACAGCAACAAATAATTGCACAAAAACTCAAGCAGTATATATAAATTAACCATCATGTCAATATGTGGCAATTTCTAATCTGTCAAATTCATGTGCATATTTTCTATAGACCTTCAATCACACAGATGTATAGGAATGTGTGAAAATAGTCTAATAGGAAATTCAGTTGACCATGAGACAGAATCTTCTTGAGACTTTTTTGATGAGAAGAAATTGATCTTTCAAAGATTGTTATTATATCTGAATATTAAAGTGTCCTAGCTATAAAAAGTAAAATGGACAGTTGCCTTCAATAACTTCAACCTAAAAATCATGAACAATTTTTATCTTCTGTAGCATCCCATTTCTCCCTCTTTTCTTGAGATCCTCAAGCATAGAGTGTCCCTGGCTTTTCTAGCTTTTTCCTTTCTGAACTTACTCTCTTAAAAATATCCTATTGCTACTAGCTACATGCAAGTGTGGATGTAATTCAGTGTGTTACAATTGCAACAAGAACAAGAAAGTCAAGGTTAACGAAATAGTTTAGTTTGCTGCTTGAGCTGAGTGGACTCCATCTCTCATACTTGTATTCTTTGTGTTATTTTTTATGGCTTTTCTCTCATTCCTTTATTCCTGACTGGTCATCGTCTGTCACCTGACTTTTTTTTTTCTGTTCTGAGTGTAACTCCAATTTCACATGTGGACTCTGAAGCCATATTCTAAAAATCTGTTGAAAGGGTGTTTAAATAATAGTAGGCAGATGCTGAGTTGTTTCCTCTATAAGATAACTTCAGGGCATTAGGAGATAGATTATGTGATGGCTGTTTTGTCTGTTTAGTTATTTTTCCCTTTCTGTTACTTGATTACTTTTGCATTATGTGATATCTGGTATTTGATGGCAAATATTCAATGACCTCAGTTTTTTGAAACATCCAAATTGTGTGAACTTTTGACGCTTAACACTTTTATGAAGCAGTCAATTTAGATGCTAAAACAGCAGAGTTTAACTATGCAAACTTTCAGACAAGCCTAAGTTGGTCTAATGTCCCAGCAAAGCATTTATTGTGCTGCAACATGGCTGATGTTAACATCTACTCTGTGTTTCATGGGCCTGGTGGTGTTAACTGTTTCTTTGAGCAGATGTTTGTCGACAGTTAATGTACTATACTTTGTTGCTACCTGTTCTTTTCAGAAGCAATTATAGACCTTGGATTGCACTCTTAAATTAACAGCACGCTTGGCAGATCTAATAGAAGGGCTGTCCTCATCTTTTAACCACCTGCCCCGAAGAGATGCATCTGAGTTGTCAGAAATGCTACCTCTGGGCTTTAGAGTAATGTGCTTCTTATCTCTGCACTTATAACTACCATATTGAAATAGAGTACAACACCTTTTATCTTCTCCCACGCAGATGTACACCATTAATTTATATAAGTACAACTGCTCATCTTGGTTATCTTTGCTATGGATAGTGTATGATATCTATAATGTCAGTTTTGAGGAAGTCCATTTGTTTTGAAAGGAAAAAAAAGGTGCTAATAATTGATTTAAAGAAAAATTTTAATTATCATTATTTGTAGTAAAGCTATTTTTTTTATCCTACACTATTGTCAGGCTAATACTGGCTGGTACTTTGTTTCTATCTCTTATTCTCTTATCCAGGAAACTACTTTTACTTTGATAAAAAGAAATGATAATGGCTGATTTGACTAATTCATTCTTTTTTATTGAATTCAGATAAAAATTATGATTAGCCTAAATATATCACATCTGAAAAATTTAGAAAGTGTTATCTCCAAGGAAAATAAGGTAAAATTATTTGACAATACTTTGCTGGTTTTGTTGAGACCTCACTATGAGTAACAGATTGACATGTAAAAATTTTATGTTCCCAAGAGTTGTGCCTCCTCCCAGATTTCTACACATCTGTATCGTTCTCTCTCCAGTTTATTTGATCCCATGCACAGGTGTCAAAGTGTGTGTGGTTACTAAATCATGTTTGATCTTAAAGCATATTTCCAAACATGGTCAAGGATTGATGGACATCTCAAAGATGAAGGGTCTAAACAAGGAGTGAGGATGACTTCAGAAGGCCTGGGAAACAATAAAGTCATGCAAAAATAGTGAACTCGAAATGAAGAATAGAAAGAAAGACAAAAGCATTGGATTGAAGAAATATTGTTACCAAGAAGAGAGAATGAAAAAACTAGGGGAATTGAGATGCAAATATATTATTATACATGTATGGATATAGGTGAAAGATGAGAGAAAAAGTGGTTTTTCTTACCTGAGCTGCCTGTCCGTGGCCTAAACTGGTCCTTGGTCTTTTTTAATAGTGAAGGTTTACTTCCTAAGGGATTTTTTTTTCGGTGTGTGATGTTTAGACTCTACAATCTATTTTTTTCTGGTCTTTTTATTTATCTTCTAAGTTCACGTAAAATTCATGACTAGGATGTGTTTTCTTCATAAAGGCTCTAAATCATTGGAAATAACATTTCCTTTTATAAGTTAGATATTAATACAAAAATAAGTAATGAGACAAACTGTTTTAAGTCTTAGGAAGATAGTTTTTATAAAATATGAAAGTGTAATATTATAGAGGTAATATAAATAGATGTTTAATATAACCCAGATATCATTTGTGATCTTTGATTTTACTGAAATGGTATCATTCGTAATATTGCCTTCTAAATTTACATCACGGATTATAAGTGCTAGAACTAAGAATATCTATAAGGGTTTATTAATATTTTGGTAATGCAATACAATATAGTGGTAAAAGCACATACTTTGGTATCAGACATGTTCAGTTCAAAATCTGACTCAGTGCAGTGGCATGACATCTACCAGGAATCAGAGACCTAGATTCAAGCCTTGATACTAACATCAGTCAAATCGTTTGAATCTTTCTGAGCCTCAATTTTCTAATAGGGAAATGGGGATAAAAATACTTGCTCTGCTTAATGTTTAGGCTGCTTAGGGAGCTTAATTGGGGTAACCTGTGCAGTGCGGATAGCTGTGAGACATTGTTGTGAGCACAATTGTGAACTTGCTTTTTAACACCTGCATAATCCTGGCTCATGTACACTTAGTGGCCCTCAGATACTTTTTACTTATTCATCAATCTGATATTTTTTTATCCTGAATCTTTTACAGACAGGGCTCAAGGAGAAACTGCTATGAGGAAACTCAAAGAGCCATACCCTTAATTTTGGGCCTCTTACATCCTCCCGAGGGGAATTTGAGGATTTCAAACATGATAATTGTATCAGGATGCAATTTCTACTCTGACATATGCTTTAACATTTAATAAAGAAGAAATGGAATTTTAGTTTAAAAATTAAAATTCTTGACCAAATTGAATTTTTCAAAATGTAATATTTTTCACCTAAAAACGGGTTTTCCATTTGATTTTGTTTTTGGAGAGAAACTGGTTTTCTTATACAAAGGTGATAGAACTCTTTTTGTGTGGTTTGTCTTTTTAAAAAGTTTTTTGTTTAGTGAGGAAATTTCTCTGGAATGAGACGATGTTACTAGAACAGGCATTTTTAACACGTGAGAAAATTATAGGACTATGTGAAATTACAGTTTTAAGATTTAGAGATGTCTGAAATTACATAATGTATTCATATTATATGTTAAGGACTTGCTAATTAAGGTGGGCCTTTTAAAAATAATTAAGCACCGTGAGTGTTATTTAGCAGTGATTTAGTCATTTAAAAACAACATAAGCAGTATATCTAAGTTGTGTGTAAGTTTTATTAGGGATCTTCAGAATTACAGTATTGGAGACCAAGGAATTGATATTCTTTTCAGGAATAGCACTAATTTCAATATAATTAATGATATGGTGGCATATAAGCACAAGAAAATTATATAGAATTTCTTATTTGTTGTGGCCAAGATATTAATATTTTGTTTATGAGACTTTGTATCTGAACATATATAGAGAAATATTTTATTCAGTATTTGAAGCAAAAGACTTCTTCCCACATTTCTCTATGAATCAGTGTATATTTCATGTTCTGTTAAAACCAAACACCACTGTGAAAAAGTTTTCACTCTTTAAAAAAGTGTGACTATTTTATTTGTTTGTTAAATTCCTTAATATACTATAGGCAAATTTGGTGCTTAAAACATGACAGATAAGTTTTCTGTTATGGATGTGATTTCCTAATCAATAGTAAACTGAAAAAAATGTAGTAAATGTAGGCAGGTCATAAGGAAAGAAGGTATTACAAGGGATTGTCCTAGTGTCAGGCTGGCAGAGAACCACAGGGCAGTGTAGAGTGTGGTAAAGTGGGATCAAAGGGTTTGAACACTTCTATCTGTTTACTTAATGTCATTTTATTCAAAGCACCTAATCTGATCTCCCCCCATGTAAAATTATACACCCCAATGCTTCTAATTTTCCTTGTCGTGCTGTTTCCTTCTGGAGTGCTAATTACCTTCAAATGCACTATATATTTTAAAATATTTATTTGTTTTATTTTCTTCACCCTTCTCCCATCAACTGTAAACTTCATAAAGTCAGAAGTTTTGTTTGCTTTATTAATGCTTGCAATATCATCTGATAGCCTGCAAATGCTGAATAAATCCTTGTTGAATGAATGCATAAATGCATCAATATCTGCAGAAATAGATAAGTAGATTCAATGCACTGCATCAGCTTGTGCACCTGAAAGTGGTTCTAATTGATCATTTGGTTGTTTGTCTGAAGCCTGGACTCATCAGTGGAATGTATCAAATGAAGTTGAAATGACAGAAATAAATTTGTATCTTGTAGAAAGATAAATCTAAAGAATTTAGGGAGACTGGGTATCCTCCAAGTTTATTCCTCAAGAGGATACTGAAAACACTTCCTTCAGGTAGCGTGATGCCTCCAGTTTTGTTCTTTTTGCTTAGAATTGACTTGGCTATTTATTATTTTATTATTTTGCTTAGGATTGACGTGGCTATTGATTGGCTCTTTATGGTTCCATATGAATTTTAAAGTAGTTTTTTCTAATTCTGTGAATAATGTCAATAGTAGTTTGAACGGGAATAGCATTGAATCTATAAATTACTTTGGCTAGTATGGCCATTTTCACAATATTGATTCTTTCTATCCATGAGGATAGGATGTTTTTCCATTTGTTAGTGTCCTCTCTTATTTCCTTGAGCAGTGGTTTGCAGTTCTCCTTGAAGAGATCCTTCATGTACCTTTTTAGCTGTATTTCTAGTTATTTTACTGTAGGTATTTTATTCTGTTTGTAGCAATTGTGAATGAGAGTTCATTCATGGATTGTCTCTCTGCTTGTCTATTTCTGGTGTACAGGAATGCTTGTGATTTTTGCACATCGATTTTGTATCCTGAGACTTTGCCTAAGTTACTTATCAGCTTAAGGAACTTTTGGGCTGAGACGATGGGGTTTTCTAAATATAGGATCATGTCGTCTGCAAACAGAGACAATATGACTTCCTCTCTTCCTATTGGAATACCCTTGCTTTCTTTCTCTTGCCTGATTGCCCTGGTCAGAACTTCCAATACTGTGTTGAATAGGAGTGGTGAGAGAGGGCATCCTTGTCTTTTGCTGGTTTTTAAAGGGAATTCCAGCTTTTGCCCATTCAGTATGATATTGGCTGTGGGTTTGTCATAAATAGCTCTTATTATTTTTGAGATATGTTCCATCAATACCTGGTTTACTGAGAGTTTTTAACATGAAGGGATGTTGAATTTTATTGAGACTTTTTCTGCATCTACTGAGATAATCATGTTGTTTTTGTCATTGGTTCTGTTTATGTGATGGATTACATTTATAGATATATGTAAGTTGAACCAGCCCTGCATCCCAGGGATGAAACAGATTTGATTGTGGTGGATAAGCTTTTTGATGTGCTGCTGGATTCAGTTTGCCAGTATTTTATTGAGGATTCTTGCATGGATGTTCATCAGGATTATTGGCCTGAAGTTTTCTTTGTTTTGTCTGTGCCAGGTTTTGGTGTCAGGATGATGCTCGCTTCATAAAGTGAGTTAGGGAGGAGTTCCTCCTTTTTAATTGTTTGGAATAGTTTGAGAAGGAATGGTACCAGTTCCTCTTTTTACCTCTGGTAGAATTTGGCTGTGAATCTGTCTGGCCCTGGGCTTTTTCTTCTTTTCTTTTTTTGTTAGTAGGCTATTTATTCTGCCTCAATTTCAGAACTTGTTATTGGTCTATTCAAGGATTCGACTTCTTCCTGGTTTAGTCTTGGGAGGGTGTATGTGTTCAGGAATTTATCAATTTCTTCTAGATTTTCTAGTTTATTTGTGTAGAGGTGTTTATAGTATTGTCTGATGGTAGTTTCTATTTCTGTGGGGTCAGTGGTTATATTCTACAAGGCTACAGTAACCAAAACAGCATGGTACTGGTACCAAAACAGACATATAGAACAATGAAACAGAATACAGACCTCAGAAATAAGACCACATATCTACAACCATGTGATCTTTGACAAACCTGACCAAAACAAGCAAGGGGGAAAGGATTCACTACTTAATAAATGGTGCTGGGAAGACTGGCTAACCATATGAAGAAAACTGAAACTGGACCCCTTCCTTACACTTTATACAAAAATTAACTCAAGATGGATTAAAGACTTAAACGTAAAACCCAAAACCATAAAAACCCTGGAAGAAAATATAGGCAATATCATTCAGGACATAGGCATGGACAAAGATTTTAGGATGAAATTGCCAAAAGCAATTGCAACAAAAGCTAAAATTGACAAATGAGATCTAATTAAACTAAAGAGCTTCTGCACAGCAAAAGAAACTCATCAGAGCAAGCAGGCAACTTAAAGAATGAGAGAAAATTTTTGCAATCTACCCATCTGACAAAGGTCTAGTATCCAGAATTTACAGGGAACTTAAAAAAATTTAAGTTCCCTTTAAGAAAAAAGCAATCCCATCAAAAAGTGTGCAAACGATATGAACAGACTCTTCTCAAAAGAAGACATTTATATGGCCAAAAAACATGAAGTAAAGCTCAATATCACTCATCATTAGAGAAATGCAAATCGAAACCACAATGAGATACCATCTCATGACAGTCAGAATAGATTATTAAAAAGTCAAGAACAACAAATGCTGGTGAGGCTGTGGAGAAATAGGAACACTTTTACACTGTTGGTGGGAATGTAAATTAGTTCAACTATTGTGGAAGACAGTGTGGCAATTACTCAAGGATCTAGAACTAGAAATACCTTTCACCCAGCAATCCCATTATTGGGTATTATAAGGAATATAAATCATTCTATTATAAAGATACATGTACACATATGTTTATTGAAGTACTATTCACAATAGCAAAAACATGGAACCAACCCAAATGCCCATCAGTGATAGACTGAATAAGGAAAATGTGGTGCATATACACCATGGAATACTATGCAGCCATAAAAAGGAATGAGATCACATCCTTTGCAGGGACATGGATGAAGCTGGAAGCCATCATCCTCAGCAAACTAACAGGAACAGAAAACCAAACACCACATGTTCTCACTCATGAGTGGGAGCTGAACAATGAGAATACATGGACACAGGGAGGGGAACAACACACACTGGGGCCTGTCGGTGGGTGGGGAGGGAGAGCATCAGGATAAATAGCTAATTCATGCAGGGCTTAATACCTAGGTGATGGGTTGATAGGAGCAGCAAACCACCATTGCACATATTTACCTATGTAACAAACTTGCATGTTGTGCACATATATCCTGGAACTTAGAGTAAAATTTAAAAAATAAAAATAAAAAGGAAACACTTTCTTCATTAGATATTAAGAAATTCATTGAGAAGGGGAGTGCAACATTCTTGAAAAAGACTGCAGTGTTTGTTGTATCTTTGCTGGGATGATACCACCATATACAGTAGCATCCCATATTGACTGATGCCACACAGCAACACTTAATTGGTCAAGCTGGGTGATGCGGTTTTCATAATAATCAACTGGGTGAGAGTGATGATAATAAAATTTGACATTGAGAAAACCTTTGGAAGTGACTAACTGATCATGAGGATCCTAGAACTGAAACTGATAATAGCCCATTAAGGTCCCACTTAAAAACTTTCTAGGTTTGGCAGTGACTTGGGTGATGCACCACATTGGAAATTCATGGTCCCTCCCAACTTGCCTGCCTGACCTAATCAAATAATAGACTCAGAGCTCCTTAAATAAAGGGAAAGATTTACATCATTGAGAAGGGCCCCATAGTAATCTCTAGTATGTCTGTCTTCTAGTCTTCCTCTAGTATATTAGAGAGAGCATATTACTGGTTATTAAATTTATGTGATCCATAAATAGCAGGATATCAGAACTAGCCTGTGATGGCACTAAATATAAAAGGACTGAATATTTCTCAGAGATAATTATGGTGACTGAATGTGGATATTCACTTTGAGGAAGAGGATGCATACATTTTCATTTGGAGTATAGATAATTTCATTATGTCAAGTTTGAGTATGCTGTCATTGCTATTGCTTTGTTTTGAAGTTATATGTATGAGTAGAAGGTGGTGTTGTGGGGAGAAGTCAAAAGGCAGATTCTTTATTTTAAAATAGTTGGCTGACTTCTCTTTTATTTTTATTTATTTTTAATTTTTGTGAGTACATAGTAGGAGTATATGTTAGGTACATGAGCTATTTCAATACAGGCATACAGTGTGTAATAATCACATAAAAGTAAATGGAGTATTAATCATCTCAAGCTTTTATCCCTTATTTGTGTTATGAACAATACAATTACACTCTTTTAGTATTTTACAATGTACAATAAATTATTGTTGACTGTAGTCACCCTGTTGTGCTGTCAAATACCAGATTTTATTCATTCTAGCTACATATATTTCAGTACCCATTAACCATCCTACCTTCCCCACTACCCTAGGACCCTTCCCAGCCTCTGGTAACAATCCTTCTACTCTCTGTCTCCATAAGTTCATTTGTTTTAATTTTCAGTTCCCACACATAAGTGAGAACATGCAAAGTTTGCCTTTCTGTGCCTTGCTTATTTTACTTAAAGACCTCCAGTTCCACCCGTGTTGTTGCAAATGACAGGATCTCATTCTTTTTATGTTTGAATAGTACTCTATTGTGTAAATGTGCCACATTTTCTTTATCCATTCGCCTGTTCATGGACACTTAAGTTGCTTTTAAATCTTGGGAATTGTGAATAGTGCTGCAATTAACACAAGAGTGCAGGTATCATTTTGATATACTGTTTTCTCTTCTTTGGGTATATACCCAGCAGTGGGATTGCTGAATTATGTAGTAGCTCTATTTTTAGTTTTTTGAAGAACTTTCAAACTGTTCTTCACAGTGGTTGTACCAATTTATATTCCCACAAACAGTGTAAGAGGGTTCTCTTTTCTCCACATCCTTGCCAGGATTTGTTATTACCTGTGTTTTGGATAAAAGTCATTTTAACTGGGGTGAGATGTCACATTGTAGTTTTGATGTGCATTTCTCTGATGATCAATGATGCTGAGCACCTTTTCATACAACTTCTTACTATTTGCATGCCTTCTTTGAGAAATGTCTGTTCAAATCTTTTGCCCATTTTAATCAGATTATTAGATTTTTTTCCTAAACAGTTGTTTGAGCTCTTTATATATTCTGGTTATTAAGCCCTGTCAGATGGGTAGTTTGCAAATATTTTCTCCCATTCTGTGGGTTGTCTCTTCACTTAGTTGATTGTATCCTTTGCTGTGAAGAAGGTTTTTAACTTGATGTGATCCCATTTGTCTATTTTTGCTTTGATTGCCTGTCCTTGTGTGGTCTCAAGAAATCTTTGCCAAGTCCAATGCCCTGTAGAATTTCCCCAATTTTTTTTTTGGAGAGTTTCATAGGCTAAGGTGTTAGACATGTCTTTAATCCATTTGGATTTGATCTTTGTGTATGACAAGAGATAGGAGTCCAGTTTCATCATTCTGCATATGGATATCCAGTTTTCCCAGCACCATCGGCACCATTTATTGAAGACACTGACCTTTCCCCAGTGTTCTTGGCATCTTTGTTGAAAATGAGTTCACTATAGATGTATGGATTGGCTTCTGGGTTGTCTATTTTATTCCATTGATTTATGTGTTTGTTTTCATGTGAATATCATGCTGTTTTGGTTACTATACCTCTGTGGTATAATTTGAAGTCAGGTAATATACCCCCAGTGTTGTTTATTTCTGCTCAGGAGAGCTTTGGTTATTGTGGGTCTTTTGTGGCTCCATATAAATTTAAGGATTTGTTTTTCTATTCCTGTGAAGAATGTCATTGATATTTTGGTAGAGATTGCATATAATCTGTGGATTGTTTTAGGTAGTGTAGACATTTTAACAATATTGATCCTTCCAATTCATGAACACGGAATGAATATGTTTCCATTTTTTAGTGTGTCTTCAATTTATTTCATCAGTGTTTTATAGTTTTCATTATAGAAATCTTTTATTTCTTTAATTAAATTAATTCGTTAATATTTTATTTTATTTGTAGCTATTGTAATTGGGATTACTTTTTTAATTTCTTTTTTAGATTGTTTGCTGTTATCACATAGAAATGCTACTGATTTTTAGATATTGATTTTGTATCCTTCAACTTACTGAGTTTGTTTATTAGTTCTAATAGTTTTTTTTTGGTGGAGTCTTTAGGTTTTTCCAAATATAAGATCATATCATCTGCAAATAAGGATAATTTGATTTCTTCCTTTTCAACTTGATTGTCTTTTGTTTCTTTCTCTTGTCTAATTGCTCAAGCTAGGGCTTCCAGTACTATGTCGAATAACAGTGGTGAAAATGGGCATTCTTTTCATCTTCCAGATATTAGAGGAAAGGCTTTCAGTTTTTTTTTTTCCATTCAGTATGATACTGGGCCTGTTAAATATGGCTTCTATTGTGTTGAGGCATGTTTTTTTTATACCCACTTTTTTGACGGTTTTGATCACGAAGGCATGTTGAACTTTATCAAATTCTTTTTCAGCATTAATTGAAATGATCATATGGGTTTTGTCCTTCATTCTGTTGATACAATGTATCACATTGATTGACTTGCATATGGTGTACCATCCTTGCATCCCTGAGATAAATCCTACTTGATCACAATGAATCATCTTATAAATGTGTTGTTAAATTAGGTTTGCTAGTATTTTGTTGAGGATTTTTTCATCAATGTTTATCAAGAATGCTTGCCTGTAGTTGTCTTTTTAAAATTTGTCTTTGTCGGTTTTGCTATCAGGGTAATACTGGCCTCATAGAATGAGTTTGAAAATATTCCCTCCTCTTCTATTTTTTGAAATAATTTGAGTAGTACTGGTATTAATTCTTTTTTAAATGTTCGGTAAAATTCAGCAGTGAAACCCTTGGGTCCCGGGCTTTTCTCTGCTGGGATACTTCTTACTATGACTTCAATCTCATTAGTTGTTATTGATCTCTTCAGGTTTGGGATTTCTTCATGGTTCAGTCTTGGCAGGTTGTATGTGTCTAGGAATTTGTCTATTTCTGCTAAGCTTTCCAGTTCATTGGGATATAGTTGTTCATAATTGCCACTAACGATCCTTTGAATTTCTGTGGTGTCATTTGTAATGTCTCCTTATTCATCTCTGATTTTATTTAGATATTCTCCCTTTTTTCTTCATTGGTCTAACCAAAGTTTTGTTGACTTTAATTTTGCAAAAAACATTTTTTTTGTTTCTTTTATGTTTGTATTGTTTTCTTCATTTCAGTATCATTTATTTATTCTGTGATATTTATTATTTCTTTTCTTTTACTAATTTTGGCTTCAGTTTGTTCTTGCTTTTCTGGTTAACATGAATCATTAGGTTATTTGATATTTTTCTACTTTTTTGATGAAGGTGCTTATAGCTATAAACTCCCCCTTAGTACTCCCTCTGCTGTATCCCACAGGTTTCAATATGTTGTGTTCCTATTTTCATTTGTTCCAAGACATTTTTCAACTTTCTTCTGAATTTCTTCATTGACCCACTGGTTATTCAGGAGCATGTTTTTTAATTTCCATGTGTTTGTATAGTTTCCAAAATTCCTCTTGTTGTTCATTTCTAGTTTTATTCCATTGTGGAAAGAGAAGATACTTGATGTAATTTCAATTTTTTGGAATGATTTAAGACTTATTTTGTGACCTAACATATGGTCTATCCTTGAGAATGACCCATGTGCTGAGGAGATGAATATGTATTCTGCAGCTGTTGGATGAAATGTTCTGTAAATATCTATTAGGTTCATTTGGTCTAGGTGCAGATTAAGTCCCACGTTTCTTTGTGATTTTCTGTCTGGGAGGTCTGTCCAATGCTGAAAGAGGACTGTTGAAGTCTCTAGCTATTACTGTATTTAGGTCTATCTCTTACTTTATCTTTAATAACATTTGCTTTATATATCTGGCTGCTCCAATGTTGGGTGAATAAATACTTAAAATTGTTATATCCTCTTGCTGAATTGATCACTTTATCATTATATAATGACCTTTGTTTTCTTTTTTTGGAGTTTTGGCCTTAAAATCAATTTTGTCTGATATAAGCATATCTACTCCTGTGCTTTTTTGCTTTCCATTGGAGTGGAATCTCTTTTTCTATCCATTTATTTTCAGTCTGTTTGTATTTGTAGGTGAAGCGTGTTTCTCGCAATCAACAGATCACTAAGTCTTTGTTAAAAAATCAATTTAGCCACTTGATCTCTTTACTGGATAATTTAGTCGATTTACGTTCAATGTTATTATCGGTAAGTCAGGACTTCTGTTATTTGTAGTTTCCTGGTTGTTTTGTGGACTTTCTCTTTCTTCTTTCTTTCCTTCCTGTCTTCCTTTTAGTGAAGGTGGTTTTCTCTGGTGTTATGTTTTAATTTCTTGCTTTTTGTGTGTGTGTATCTGTTGTATGTTTTTTATTTGAGATTATCCTGAGGCTTGAAAATAATATCTTATAACCCATTATTTTAAACTGATGACAACTTAACACTGATGGCATAAAGAAACAAGCATACTAACAAAAAGCAAAGAGAGAACTAATAACAATGCCACACTTTAATTTTGTCCCTCTGCCTTTTAACTTTTTGATCTTTCTATTTATATCTGATTGTGCTGTCCCTGGTCTTGAAAAGCTCTTGTAGTTATTATTTTTGATTGACTCATCTTTTAGTCTTTCTGTTTAAGATACAAGTCATTTACACTCCACAGTTACAGTGTTTTTTTTATTTTTTTTGTTTAATTACAGTGTTTTTTAAAACACAATATTCTGTATTTTAAATCAGCATATTATTGATCACACTGTATCTTGCTCCTTCAACAACTACTCCTATTGCTTTTGAGTTTGTGTTCTATAACAGTCATTTTTGAGTTTCAGCCCAACTCCTGCCTCTTGTTTATGAATTTTTTCAAATCTTTGAACATGCAGTTGATACCATACAATTTAGTCCTGAATTATATACTGCCTCTTTGTTGGGTAATATTATATACGTGTGTCTTTTTCTTCCTTGAGATCATATTACTTTAAGACGAGGATGTCATATGTTCCCTTCTGAGTCATGCTCAATAACTGTTGGACTGTTAATCTAATGGAACTTCCATATTCATGTTCTCCTATCTAGTCATTTATACTTCAAACAAGTAGAGATCCAACAACTCAATTACAGCATTAATCAACTAGAGAAGTCCTGATACCCAAATCCTTAAAGTCTGGGAAAAATTAAAATATATTAGCATTTTTGAGGCTGATAATGGGGCTGGCAAAAAGGAGAGTTCAAAGCACCCACTCTTCATTCTATGAAACCAACCAGCAGAGGGAGCAAAAGAGATATTAAAGTTTTTCTGTTTCTGCTTGCGGACCTTCCTTGATGGTTGCTGTCTAAAGCTAGGCTATACTTTAAAAATATATTCCTTTAATCCCAAGGTAGAAATTCTGCCATATAATTACCATGTGTCTGTAAAACCAGTTCTAAAAGATTCTACGTGAAGGATTTCTTTCCCCAATTTTGAGTGGAAACCTTAAAATCTGCTGTTCAAAATCTAGGACTAAAATTCTAGGCTTCTAGGTGGCTTAGGAAGTAAGGCAAAGAGATTTTGAATGAATAAAAAATTTAGCTTTCTAACTGTTGCTTAGGTAAATGATATTAATAAATTTCTGCTATGTTTGGTGTTATCTGAAATCTTTCAAGAGATTTTTTCACACTATAATGGAGTTTTTACTACATTCAGAATCAATGTATATTTTCTATACAATCAGGAATATCACAGAGATGGTCACTCGGAAAATAATGTTTTAAAATATATATACATGCAAGTATCTATGTGTACACATTTAACACATATACTATACATAATATGTGTTCATATTTTCATATGAAATGTCTTTTAAAGATTATAGGTCAAAGGAGCTTCTCATTATCCTGGATATTTGGGCTTAGACAATTTTGTCAAATATAATCATGATGATTGCCAAAGACTCATGTATGATTTACGGCACCCTTTGCAAAGCTTTAAGAATGTCATTTCTTGCATTCTTCAGATGAATTCAGTATAAAGTTTTCTTGGATGTATCATATCTTGTTTCCAAAAGTGTCCCCTAAATTCAATAAAGTTATATTAAAGTATTGCCACAAGGGAAGTAAAGAAGCAAAAAATAATAAAAATATGTGATGATGCAAAGCTAATATGAGTTTAATATGAATCATTTTATTCCTCTGCTAAAGGATATCAAGAAAAAGAAGGATTTATAGCATATTTCATTTTTAAAGAGAAGACAATTTTGTTTCTTTTGTGTTGGGCTTGTATAAATTGTTACACTAATGAAATATAACACAAACTCTGGGAATTTCCAGATATCATAGCACGGCGGGCATTCTCATCACTTGTAATTTCTAATATTAGGTAGAATTATATTAGATTTAGTTGTTTCAATTGATCATTAAAAACATGTCATATGAAGAGTCCTTTGATTGAGACTATTAAAATTATTTTATGAGGAAGTAGATTGGACACATTGTGTGTGTCTGTATGACTGATCAACAATATAATATTTGCCTTCCCTAGGAAGAAACAATCTATCTGTCATAAAAATCGTTTCTTCTATTATCTATTTCTACTCTGTAGAAAATTTTTAACATAATGTGGTTATTCCTTGTGCCAAAGGCATAAATTCACAGAGTAACTGGAACTCTGTGTGGGACACCTTTTCTGTCCTCTGGCTGGGTGGTTGGATTATGCTGTGGAAAGAACAGCATTACAGCTTGGAGAAGAAAACGCTCCACCAAGTGTTTTGTAAGAACATCCAGAAGAGAAACAAATAAACCAATGTTGGCATTCATTTCATGAAAGACACTAAAAAAGTAAAGTTTGAAAACTCAAAGTCTAAAAGCACCTTGTATTTTAAAAGAATTAAACCTTTAGGAAGATTTAACTGTCTCATGCTTCTTGGTAATAGCAGTTTAAAGAAGTCCATTGTTTTAGATTTTTGGTTGTGTGAATATGGGTAATGTTTGAGTTTGTTGAAGTGATTCACGGATTGGGAGAAAGTGCTGAAGAGAAGGTGGAGTGGTGTGGTTCAGTGAGCTGGCTTGAATTAGCAGCCCAGACATGTCAGTTGTATAGACCCAACTTTATCATTCAGTAATTGCTTATCCTTGGCCAGTTCAGCAAATTTTTTCTCATCTGCTCTTCTTATAGGGTCCAATAATCAAATGGAGAAACTGAAAAAGCCTGGCATGTTATAAAAATGTGGACTATCTTTATGAAAATTATTTGTTGGTATTAAAAATACTCAAGTAGATGATCATTATGGTAGTTTTGAATGATTTTTAAAATTATACTCTAGAATACACAGCTTGGAAATAATAAATCTTAACTAAGAATAAGCCAAAGTGCCCTGATCTTTGGAAATCAGATGAAAATAATGCAGTATTCTTGAGGACATTCATGGTGATTAGGGAGATGACCTTGACCGGTTATCAAATTCACAACCTCTTACAATGGACCAAACCTAAGCCAATTTGATTAAAAGAGATTTTCCATTGTTTATAAAGACTACCATGGCCAGCCAGCACTTCATTCCAATACAAGCAGTTTAAATATTATGCAATCCTTTCTTATGTAATTCTTGATTCTCAGGCCACACCAGCATGGGGATAAAAATAGAACATTATGATTGCTGCAAACTGGTATTTCTCTGGCCATGCTCCTATTCACCATGTGAGAACTCTGGATTACCCTTACATTTTTATTAAATAATTATAGCATTCTTAAGATGTATGTCATCTACAATCAGAAAATTTAGCCTTTTAACTACCCAGTGGCATCCTATGCTCGATTTTCTCTATCTTTTATCATATGCCAGTGTAATATGTCTCCTGCCTTCTGGTATAAAAAACAGCAGCTTTGCTGCCAATGCCACCCTATGGAGATGATTCTAGAAGGAACAGTGTCTGTTCCCAGGCTGCTAGTGCTGACTGCCAAATGTGTCAACGAAGTCTTAGCATTAGTCACCAGTATCTCCTGCTGTGGGGGATGAGATTAACCCCAGCGCTGTAGTTGTCTTGTGTTCTGTATATCTGTGCTGGTCGCCCTTGGTTTTACTTGTTCTTCAGTCAATGCTATTCTGGTATTTGGTCAATACCATTCTGGTATTTGGTCATGAATCTGCAAGCTCTGAAGTAAGGGGAATATGAGTGACTGACATTGTACTGCCCAATAATTTTGTCTTGCCTTTTATTTTGTAGTCCTTGAACCAAACCTGTGTGTCTCAATTCAATTTTGCTGTAGTTTTACCCAGGAGGAGTTTCAGTCTCTTCTCTAATACTCCCTAGCAGGCACACCTTATAGCCCTACCAATCACAGGTAGTTCTTTAGGCTTAAACTGATATACTATACCCCAAAATATTCCCTAATAAAATCTATATCATGATAACTTCGAGGCGTTTCCTTTAGTTGGGGTCTTAGAGGCCTCTCTCATTTTTATAGAAGTACTTCATATACTAACAGATCATAGACAGCCTTCCCAAATATCACTTCTGCAAAAAGAACCTCAATTTTTTTAAAGTAAGGGTGTTATTTTATAGACTATTTCTTGTCTTTTTGATTGTAGGCTTGAAGTTTTCTTCAACTTATTGAAAAACTGGGATACCTCATTCTAAAATATAACTCCTCTCTTTCACAGCATTCCTTTGTTTATCAAGCCTAAATGATGAGATGAAGCATCATTTATGGGGTCCTAACATAACCCCCATTCTCAGTATGTCCAGTGTTATTGGAATCACACAAAGAGTGCATGCCTTTTAAATGACACATAAGAATGAAGTGTTACAGCAGGCTCCTGCTTTACCCTGGCTTGTAGTTTCCTGAGAGATGCCAGAATTGGCCAAGGGAATTCTTTTTGAAAAGATGGAAAAAGGTTCCATGGAAGACAAACATAGATCACTTTTAAAAAATCATTTTCTTCCATTTTTATTCCCCTCGTCAGTTCATAAATACTAAAGCCCACTTTCAAAAGGTACACATAACCTATTTGTGTTGGAATATAATTGGAGGGATTTTGAGAGCCATTTAGACATTTGACAAATGTCATTTTGAAAAAAATTTCATTATTGGCTGAATAAAATCTAAAGCAGATGTCACATTTGATTGTATCTATTAAAGATATATGTCAATTTATTAGTGCATATCAAAGAGCAAGTTGACATGTTTTTTCAATATATTCATTTCTCTAATTTATCTCAGGCAGTAAACAGTATAGGGTTTTTTTGTTTTGTCTTTTTTTTGTTTGTTTGTTTTTTAACACTGATCCCCATAAAGTATTCTGGGAAAGAAAGTTTCCATGGTGAGTGAGTTTGGCTTTATACCTTGTTTTCAGAGGCCCTGCAGCAAAAAATTTTTGCTTAACTTATTTAACTGACCCATTTCCAAACTAACTTGACCACAATAACTACCCTTTCCCTTTTGTTTCAAACAGGGACACAGGAACACATTTAACTCTTGTGGAACACACTTTGGTAACTGCCCTGGTTTAAACTCTCTAGTACTTTTGACTTAATGAGTAATTTATTTCAATTTTCCTCTCAATAAATATTTCAGGTATTGCGCTAGTTTTGTTGAGTCAACCAGGGTTTTTGATATGGCATACATATATAGCTTTATTCTACTCACAATTTTATATGCATTTTTTGAACATACTTGTTTGCCAAAATAATTGTTTGCATTAGGTTCTCATCATATGGTAAGGCAAATGCAAGAGGATCTAAACATGTATTTTTATTTTATTTCATTTTTTATTTTTAAATTTTTATCTTTTGCCTGGAGGCCACCCTAAGCATGTATTTTTAAAGTAAGGTCTAGGCAGTTTCTTAGGACCAGGATGGTGCTGAGCCTAGCTGTCTCCTGTTTGGGAAAATACCAAAGGTGCAGGACATTCAGTGAATGGGCAGACAGCTCAGAAATGCAATCAATTCAATAGCTGCAAGAGACCATAGATATCATGTAGTGTTAGCCTTTCATTTTGTGTTAGTAATCAGAGGCCCAGATTACCAATATGACTGGCCTCAGATTAGGCAGCAGTTGTGGTATAGTTGCATTTAAACCTGGCCTTATAACTCTTAGTCCTCTAAGATTTCTGCTATACTTAGGGCTTCTGCTATTTCTTATGACTCTGGTGGAATAGTCAGACCTTGCCTCAACTTCATTTCTACTATTTTCACCAAGATCACAAAGCCACAGCATTGAAAACATTGACCTTGGTTTTGAAAAGCACAGCTATAGAGCTGACAATGTATACCATGTGGAAAAAATGCCTTAAAATATTAAACTGCATCAATATATTTCTAAGTAAAAAAGTGAGTGTGGTGCCTCTGTGTGTGTGTGTGTGTGTGTGTGTAGGGTGATGGTGGTGGTGGTGATGGTGTGGGTGGGGAAGGGAAATGCACAATCTGCTTGACTTACCTAGGCTAGAAAAAAATTATTGGCTTGGGGTTTCAGGAAAAAACAAAATAAAAGTAAAACTGTCATCCCATTAAAGTAATTGTTGAATATTTTTTCTTAATTTATTTTTTGAAGAGCTATTAAATAGGCTGTGACACTTGTTGGTGGTAAAAAATGAGCCAGTAGCAATTATTTCCCCATGTCCTTGTTGACTTGAATAATACCAACTTTGCTTTGCTATGTACAACCTAACTGAAAATGCAGACCCAATGACTAATGTCTCGGGTGTGTCAAAATGGCATGCAGGCAGTGTTTACAACTCATCTCTCTATTTAGCATTTCTCTCTGTTTCCAGATTAATGTTAGTTTCCTCTTAACTCATCAAGCTAAGTCCTTTCACAGGGGAATACAGATTCTATTGCAATTACCTGGAAGAATCTCTACTCAAGTACTTGTTGGAAGTTCTTTGGGTGGAGTAGGGGTTTTAACAGGGAAATAAGCACTGCAAAATTATGTCCAGCTGTGTACAAATATTTATGGGAACAGCCACAGCAACTAAAATAATCGGTACAAAGAAAAACAATTACCAAACAAACATGACATTGTTTAGATGCAGCAGAATATTCCATGGCATCCCTCTCAATTCTCCATTATGGCTGTATTTATTAAATCTCAAAAAATTAGAAAAATTTCTGAAATTAGAAAGTAGTTGGCAAGAACTGGGTAGGCACTAATTATCATCATTTTCTAGAATAAGGACATTAATTAAAGAAAATATAAAGAAAGGGTTGTATTCTAGCCCAGGTACCAAAACATGACTTAGAATACTTGGCAATTAAAAATATAAGTAATAATAAAAGGCTACATTTCAGAAATTTCTGTGTAAGAATTTGTAATTTATTGATCAGTGCAGCATTGACACAAATTAGAAAGAAAGTAGTAAAATATACAAGGGGAATCATATTGATTTTATTTAAAAATATAGGTTGGAGTTCATATAGATTTACATATCTCTTAGGATAAATCTACTTCTGAGAGACTCAGAGCCCAGTGTCTAAGAACAGTGGGTTTTAACATAAATACAATACTTCATGTAGCACTCACTCAGGCTCAGCTCAGAACCACCTGCGTGTGCCCCTCCCACCAGCTTCAGGCTTCCCACAACCTTGCCCTGTGACAGCCAGTAGCCTCAGCCACTCCTGAGGGCATGCTGGGCACCCAGTGCATAGGCTTGCCCGTGGAGGTCGCCACGGAAGTCTGGACTGCTGAGGCATGTGGCTCATCTGCCGGCAGGTATTCTTTTGATCACAATGGATAGTGACTCTTCTCTTCTGCCTGAGAGTGGTTCAAAATTGAGTCTTCCAACTTCAAAATGACCAGGAAGCTTTCAGAGCCTGTTGAGGAACAGAAGAGTCCCCAGGAAGAGCTCCAGTCTACAGCTGCCAACGAGATTGACACAGAAGATGGGTGATTTCTGCATTTCCAACTGAGGTACCTGGTTCATCTCACTGGGACTGGTTGGACAGTGGGTGCAGCCCACAGAGGGCAGGGCATCGCCTCACTTGGGAAGTGCAAGGGGTCAGGGGATTTCCCTTTCCTAGCCAAGGGAAGCTGTGAGTGACTGTACCTGGAGGAGTGGTACACTCCTGCCCAAATACTGTGCTTTTCCCACAGTCTTCACAACTGCCAGACCAGGAGATCCCCTCCCATGCCTGGCTCAGTGGGTCCCATGCCCATGGAGCCTTGCTCACTGCTAGCGCAGCAGTCTGAGATTGACATGGGATGTGGGAGCTTAGCAGGTGAGGGGCGTCTGCCACTGCTGAGGCTTGAGCAGGTGGTTCTGTGGTCACAGTGTAAACAAAGTGGCAGGGAAGCTTGAACTAGGTGGAGCCCACCACAGCTCAGCAAGGTCTACTGCCGCACTAGATTCCACCTGTGGGGGCAGGGCACATATCAACAAAAGGCAGCAGACAGCATCTCCAGACTTAAACGTCCCTGCCTGACAGCTCTGAAGAGAGCTGTGGTTCTCCCAGCGTGGCGTTTGGCCTCCGATAAAGGACAGACTGCCTCCTCAAGTGGGTTCCTGACCCCGTGTAACCCAACTGGGAGACACCTCCCAGTAGGGGCTGACAGACTCCTTATACAGGCAGGTGCCCCTCTGGGATGAAGCTTCCAGAGGAAGGATCAGGCAGCAATATTTGCTATTCTGCAGCCTCCACTGGTGATACCTAAGCAAACAGGTTCTGGAGTGGACCTCCAGCAAACTCCAACAGACCTGCAGCTGAGGGACCTGTCTTTTAGAAGGAAAACTGACAAACAGAAAGGAATAGCATTAACATCAACAAAAAGGACATTCACACCACAAAACCCCATCTGTAGGTCACCAACATCAAAGACCAAAGGTAGATAAAACTACAAAGTAGGGAGAAACCAGAGCAGAAAGTCTGAAAATTCCAAAAACCAGAATGCCTCTTTTCCTCTAAAGGATCACAACTCCTCACCAGCAATGAAACAAAACTGGACAGAGAATGAGTTTGACGAGTTGACAGAAGTAGGCTTCAGAAGGTGGTAATAAAAAACTTCTGTGAGCTAAAGGAGCATGTTCTAACCCATCACAAGGAAGCTAAAAGCCTTGAAAAAAGGTTAGATGAATGGCTAACTAGAATAGTCAGTGTAGAGAAGAGCTTAAATGACCTGATGGAGCTGAAAACCACAGTATGGGAACTTCGTGAAGCATACACAAGCTTCAATAGCCAATTTGATGAAGTGGAAGAAAGGATACCAGCGATTGAAGATCAAATTAATGAAATAAAGTGAGAAGACAAGATTAGAGAAAAAAGGGTGAAAAGAAATGAACAAAGCCTCCAAGAAATATGGCACTATGTGAAAAGACCAAATCTACATTTCACTGGTGTACCTGAAAGGGATGGGGAGAATGGAACCAAGTTAGAAAACACTCTTCAGGATATTATCCAGGAGAACTTCCCCAACCTAGCAAGGCAGGCCAATTTTCAAATACAGGAAATACAGAGAACACCACAAAAATACTCCTTGAGAAGAGCAACCCCAAGACTCATAAGTGTCAGATTCACCAAGGTTGAAATGAGGAAAAAATGTTAAGGGCGGCCAGAGAGAAAGGGAAGCCCATCAGATTAACAGCGGATCTCTCGGCAGAAACCCTACAAGCCAGAAAGGGTGGGGCCAATATTCAACATTCTTAAAGAAAAGAATTTACAACTCAGAATTTTATATCCAGCCAAACTAAGCTTCATAAGTGAAGGAGAAATAAAATCCTTTACAGACAAGCAAATGATGAGAGATTTTGTCACCACCAGGCCTGCCTTATAAGAGCTCCTGAAGGAAGCACTAAACATAAATAGGAACAACCACTACCAGTCACTGCAAAAACATGCTAAATTGTAAAGACCATCTACGTTATGAAGAAACTGCATCAATTAACAGGTGAAATAACCAGTTGGCATCATAATGACAGGATCAAATTTACACGTAACAATATTAACTTTAAATGTAAATGGGCTAAATGCCCCAATTAAAAGACACAGACTGGCAAATCGAATAAAGAGTCAAGATCCATCAGTGGGCTGTATTGAGGAGACCCATCTCATGTGCAAAGACACACATAGGCTCAAAATAAAGGGATGGAGGAAGATCTACCAAGCAAATGGAAATAAAAAAAAAGCAGGGGTTGCAATCCTGGTCTCTTATAAAACAGACTTTAAACCAACAAAGATCAAAAGAGACAAAGAAGGCCATTAAAAAATGGTAAAAGGATTAATTCAACAAGAAGAGCTAACTATCCTAAATATATATGCTCCCAATACAGGAGCAGTCAGATTCATAAAGCAAGTTCTTAGAGACCTACAAAGAGACTTAGACTCCCACACAACAATAATGGGAGACTTTAACACACCACTGTCAATATTAGACAGATCAATGAGACAGAAAATTAACAAGGATATCCAGGACTTGAACTCAGTTCTGGACCAAGAAGACCTAATAGATATCTACAGAACTCTCCACCCCAAATCAACAGAATATACATTCTTCTCAGCACCACATCACACTTATTCTAAAATTGACCACGTAATTGGAAGTAAAGCACTCCTCAGCAAATATAAAAGAACAGAAATCACAACAAACTGTCTCTCAGACCACAGTGCAATCAAATTAGAACTCAGGATTAAGAATCTCACTCAAAACTGTACAACTACATGGAAACTGAACAACCTGCTCCTGAATGACTACTGGGTAAATAAAGAAATGAAGGCAGAAATAAAGATGTTCTTTGAAACCAATGAGAACAAAGACACATTTAAAGCAGTGCGTAGAGGGAAATTTATAGCACTAAATGCCCACAAGAGAAAACAGGAGAGATCTAAAATCGACACCCTAACATCACAATTAAAAGAACTGGAGAAGCAAGAGCAAACACATTCTAGCAGAAGGCAAGAAATAACTAAAATCAGAGCAGAACTGAAGGAGATACAGCCACAAAAAACCGTTCAAAAAAATCAATGAATCCAGGAGCTGGTTTTTTGAAAAGATCAACAAATTGATAGGCCACTAGCAAGACAAATAAAGAAGAAAAGAGAGGAGAATCAAATGACGCAATAAAAAATGATAAAGGGGATATCACCACCAATCCCACAGAAATACGAACTACCATCAGAGAATACCATAAATACCTCTATGCAAATAAACTAGAAAATCTAGAAGAAATGGATAAATTCCTCGACACATACACCCTCCCAAGACTAAACCAGGAAGAAGTTGAATCTCTGGATAGACCAAAAACAGGTTCTAAAATTGAGACAATAATTAATAGCCTAACCAAAAAAAGTCCAGCACCAGATGGATTCACAGCCGAATTCTACCAGAGGTACAAAGAGGAGTTGGTACCATTCCTTCTGAAACTATTCCCATCAATAGAAAAAGAGGAAATCCTCTCTAACTCATTTTATGAGGCCAGTATCATCCTGATACCAAAGCCTGGCAGAGACACAACAACAACAAAAAAATTTTAGGCCAATATCCCTGATGAACATTGATGCAAAAATCCTCAATAAAATACTGGCAAACCAAATCCAGCAGTACATTAAAAACCTTATCCACCATGATCAAGTGGGCTTCATCCCTGGGATGCAAGGCTGGTTCAACATACACAAATCAATAAACGTAATCTATCACATAAACAGAACCAATGACAAAAATCACATGATTATCTTAACTGATGCAGAAATGGCCTTCGACAAAATCCAACAGCCCTTCATGCTAAAAACTCTCAATAAACTAGGTAACAATGGAACGTATCTCAACATAATAAGAGCTATTTATGACAAACCCACAGCCAATATCATATGGAATGGGCAAAAACGGGAAGCATTCTCTTTGAAAACCGGCACAACACAAGTATGCCCTCTCACATCACTCCTATTCAACATAGTATTGGAAGTCCTTGCCAGAGCAATCAGGCAAGAGCAGGAAATAAAGGGTATACAATTAGGAAAAGAGGAAGTCAAATTGTCTCTGAGGATGACATGATTGTATATCTAGGAAACCCCATCATCTCAGCCCAAAATCTCCTTAAGCTGACAAGCAACTTTAGCAAAGTCTCAGGATACAAAATCAACGTGCAAAAATCACAAGCATTCCTACACACCAATAACAGACAAACAGCCAAATCATGAGTGAACTCCCATTCACAATTGCTACAAAGAGAATAAAATACCTAGGAATCCAACTTACAAGGTTTGTGAAGGACCTCTTCAAGGAGAACTACAAACCCCTGCTCAAGGAAATAAGAGAGGACACAAACAAATAGATAAACGTTCCATGCTCATGGATAGGAAGAATCAATATTGTGAAAATGGCCTTACTGCCCAAAGTAATTTAGAGATTCAATGCTATCCCCATCAAGCTACCACTGACTTTCTTCACAGAATTGGAAAAAACTACTTTAAACTTCATATGGAACCAAAAAAGAGCCCATGTAGTTAAGACAATCCTGGGCAAGAAGAACAAAGCTGGAGGCATCACACTACCTTACTTCAGACTTTACTACAAGGCTACAGTAACCAAAACAGCATGGTACTGTTACCAAAACAGATATATAGACCAATGGAACAGAATGGAAGCCTCAGAAATAACAATACACATCTATAACCATCTGATCTTTGACAAACCTGACACACACAAGCAATGGGGAAAAGATTCCCTATTTAATAAATGCTGTTGGGAAAATTGGCTAGCAATTGCAGAAAATTGAAACTGCACCCCTTCCTTACACCTCATACAAAAATCAATTCAAGTTGGATCAAAGAGTTAAACGTAAGACCTAGGACAATAAAAATCCTAGAAGAAAACCTGGGCAATACCATTCAGGACACAGGCATAGGCAAAGACTTCATGACTAAAACACCAAAAGCAATGGCAACAAAAGCCAAAATAGACAAATGGGATTTGATAAAACTAAAGAGCTTCTGCACAGAAAAATAAACTATCACCAGAGTGAACAGGCAACCTACAGAATGGGAGAAAATTTTTGCAAGCTACCTATCTGACAAAGGGCTAATATCCAGAATCTACAAAGAACTTAAACAAATTTACTAGAAAAAAACAACCCCATCAAAAAGTGGGTAAAGGATATGAACAGACACTTCTCAAAAAAGACGTCTGTGCAGCCAACAGACACATGAAAAAATGCTCCTCATCACTGGTCATCAGAGAAATGCAAATCAAAACCACAATTAGATATCATCTCATGCCAGTTAGAATGGCAATCATTAAAAAGTCAGGAAACAACAGATGCTGGAGAGGATATGAAGAAATAGGAATGCTTTTACACTGTTGGTGGGAGTGTAAATTGATTCAACCATTGTGGAAGACAGTGTGGAAATTCCTCAAGGATCTAGAACTAGAATTACCATTTGACCTAGCAATCCCATTACTGGGTATATACCCAAAGGATTATAAATCATGCTACTATAAAGATGCATGCACATGTATGTTTATTGCAGCAGTATTAACAATAGCAAAGACTTGGAACCAATCCAAATATCCATCAATGATAGATTGGATTAAGAAAATGTGGCACATTTACACCATGGAATACTATGCAGCCATAAAAAAGGATGAGTTCGTGTCCTTTGCAGGAACATGGATGAAGCTGGAAACCATCATTCTTAGCAAAGTATCACAAGGACAGAAAACCAAACACCGCATGTTCTCACTCATAGGGGGAATTGAACAATGAGATTACTTGGACACAGGGCAGGGAACATCACACACCAGGGCCTGTTGGGGGGTGGGCGGCTGGGGGAGGGATAGCATTAGGAGAAATACCTAATGTAAATGATGAGTTGATGGGTGCAGTAAACCAACATGGCACATGTATACCTATGTATCAAACCTGCACGTTGTGCACATGTACCCTAAAAGTTAAAGTATAATAATAATAAAAAAAAATAACACTTATAAATACAGTACTTTAAGTAGCCTTCACTGGCTTTGTCATCTTATCTTCCAGAAATCTATAGAATATCCTCATGATGAAAGCCACTTTAGATTTTTCCCTGCATTTCACTACCCCCAGCACTCCTACCACCACCACATGCCAGTCAACTCTATCTCTTCAATGTCTCTCAAATCTGTTTTCTTTGGGGGGAGTGGGGTGTGTCATCTTTTCAGACCAGGATTACTACAATGACCCTCTTACTAGTTCCTCTTCCTCCATTCTTGATCTTTTTAAATCTGTATTTAAAACAGCTACCAGAGTAATATGTGTATAATAATAAAATGTATTGAGTGACTACTATATACCAGGCACTTTACATTGATAAGGCCATTTAATTCTCATGGTAATATCATTACTCTACTTTGTTTGATAAGGAAATTATGGCCGACAGAAGCCAAGTGGCCCAGGTGTCACATGGCAGTAAGAAGCAGAGCCAGGAGTTGAACCCTCAAGGTCTGAAACCCAGTTTGCTTTTCTATTACACTATGCTTCTTCTTCAAGCCAATCAGATCATGCTGCTCTTTGTATTAATTTTGCTGTTCTGGTCATTTGTGAAATTGTCAGTTTGGGAAGGCAATTATTTTTCTTTGCGTGCTTTTGTTCTGCTGAGTAAATTGAAAAACTACATGATATTATTTTTATGTCTATTTTATGGTATTGTCTATCAATTAAACCTATCCATAACCAAAAGCGTTTCAATGATGCAGACCGACAATGAATGGATTGATTTGTAAGTCAGAGGTGCGCGAGTGTTAGAGAGATGTAGATCTTTAATTAACTGTGGTTGTTTAATTTGGGTGATTCACACACCATATGAATGAAATCACGTTCATGAATTCAGTTCTTGTGTGGGCCACATTATTTAGTCATGCTTGCACTCTTAACCTCAGCCAACCTCCTTACTAATGCATATTATTAGCTGAAAGCACAGTGCAATGTGAGTGGAAAAGTGCAAATCCCTTCCCACACTTGGAAAAAATTACACAATATGTATGTCCTAATGCCACTGGCAGAGAAACAGGGCACATTATTAAATCTTTGATTGTTTTTAGTTCTCCTGAAAAATTCATTATGTGACAAAGTGTTATGAATCATAAATAAATTTGAATCTCCTTAGAAGATTACTTTGACTGCATTTTAAACAAGTTAAACATTGAGATACAACAGATTTAGGTAAAAATAGAAAAGAAAGTATAATGATACCCTCAGTTTTAAGAAAAACATTCACTTATCTACATAGGAATAGTTACTAGTCACTTGAGCATTTTTACCTGGGGTATTCACTTTTTTCTGTTTCATAATAAATTCTTTTCATCTGAGTGAATGATGGTGATCTACGATACTACCTTCATTTTCATAGGCTTGAAATAGGCCTTCCAAAATTGTAGAAAAATATAGAAATTCCAACTTAATATTTCTCAGATTCTTTATCTTCCTTTCTAATCAAAGCAATGAACAGCTGACATAAATGAACCACCATCACCTTTTAGGTGCTACAGCCTATTTAATTCCCATTTATAATATTATTGCTCTTATAGTGCAATCTTTTCAACTATCCTAAAATACTGATTCTTTTCTTTGTGTTACCTACTATAGAGGGATGAATGTATTTATTTAATACATATTTATTGAGTTTTCACAAAATAAATTCATATTTTTTTAGCACTAGTCCTTGGAAATACATTTGTGAGCAAAAACAGTACATGGCCCTTTCCTCATGGAGGTTTAGAACATAGTGGGGATGAGAGACACTGATAAAATAATACCTTATTAAAATATTTATTAAATATTTCTATATAAAGAACTCAAAAATATCCCTGGCTGAGTTTATATTCCTATGAGAGGACAGAGTCTTAAACAAAATAAGAAACTAAAAATATATAATATTTCAGATGATAATAAATTATATGCAGAAAAATAAAGCAGGTGTGGGGTGAGATATATGGGTACAATTTTAAATAAGGTGGTCAGCAAGGCACCATTGAAAAATGTGACATTGTAGCAAAGAACAAAACGAGGTGAGGGCAAGAGTCTCATGTGTATCTAGGGGAAGAGAACAAGGGCAAAGCTCTCAGACAGAAGAATACAGAGTGTGTTCTCAGAACAAGACCAGAAAGGCTGAGGAAGAATAAGCAAGGGTGCAACCAGTATGAGCTGAAGTCAAGGATGTAACAGGCGGCCAGGACAGGTAGGACCTTAGTGGGACACACAGAGAGGTAGGTGGGGAGCCATTGATGGTTTTTATTATCCTTTTTAGATCTTAATAACATCATTCTGACTGCTGTATTGAGAATAGACTGTAGAGGGGCAAGAGGGCAGTGGTGAGGCACATCTATGATTTAGACTAGAGGTGATGATAGATTCGACCAGGACGCCAGTGGTGAGATGGTGACAATTGGTTAGTTTCCACATATATTCTATTATTTCTAATCAGTGGTACAGCATAATTGATTATATATAGGGGCAAAAATGTTAGGTTCATATACCATATCAAATATTTTCTAGTTTTCTTATATTTGAAATGTATAAAAAAGAATCTATAAAATTACCAGTAGATAATTTATATGTTATTACCCTTAACTGAAACTCACTCAACAGATTCTCATTCTATTTAAATTCCAAACTTTACAATGACCAAAAAGGCCAACCTAATCTACTGCTTTGCTGTCCAATATAGTAGCTACTAACCACATGTGGCTATTGAGCATTTGGAAGAAGGCTAGTGCAAATGAGATGTGTATATATATATATATATATATATATACACACACACACACATATATATGTATACATATATATGTATATATGTATATATGTATACATGTATATGTATACATATATATGTATATATGTATATATGTATACATGTATATGTTTACATATATATGTATACATATGTATACATGTATACGTATATATATGTATACATGTACACGTATATATGTGTATGTACACATGTACACGTATATATGTGTATGTACACATGTACACGTATATATGTGTATGTACACATGTACACACATATATGTGTATGTACACATGTACACACATATGTGTATGTACACATATACACATATGTGTATGTACACATGTACACACATATATGTGTATGTACACATGTACACACATATATGTGTATGTACACATGTACACATATATGTAAACATGTGTATGTACACATGCATACATATATGTAAACATGTGTATGTATACATGTATACATATATGTAAACATGTGTATGTATACATGTATACATATATACATATATATGTATACATATATGTATGTGTATATATGTATACATATATGTATGTGTACATATGTATACATATATGTATGTGTACATATGTATACATATATGTATGTGTACATATATGTATGTATACACATATATGTATATGTATATATGTTTACATATATGTATATGTATATATGTATACATATATGTATATGTGTATATGTGTATATGTGTATATGTGTATATATGTATATATGTATATATGTATATGTGTATATATGTATATGTATATATGTATATGTGTATACATGTATATGTATGTGTATATATGTATATATGTGTATATGTGTATGTGTATACATGTATATGTATGTGTATATATGTATATATGTGTATATGTGTATATATGTATATATTTACACGTATATACATATATATACATGTACACGTATATACGTATATACATGTACACGTATATACATATATATACATATATACGTGTACATGTATATACATATATATACGTGTACATGTATATATTATATATATGTATATATAAATGTATGTGTATATATGTGTATGTATATATATGTATATATATGTATGTACATACACATATGATAGAACTCAAAGCTTAGTAAAAAATGCAAAATATGCCATTAACATGCCATTAATAATTAATAATTTTTCAAATAGTTTTTCCAGTTGAAAGGATAATACCTTTGATACATTTCTTCAAACAAAATATAGTTTTATTATTAGCTTCATGTATTTTTTACTTTGAAAAAATGTGGCTAGTAAGACATTTAAAATTAGACATTTCTGGGAGTGGATCAAGATGGTAGAATAGAAGCCTGCACCATTAGTCTCCCCCACAGGAACACCACATATTAATAACTATCTGCACACAGAAAAGCACTATCACAAGAACCAAAAATCAGGTGAGAAATAATCTGAAATCAAAAGTATGCGGTTTTAACTTCATGTCACTGAAAAAGACATTGAAGAGTGTAGGTACGAGAGAGAGTCTTGAATCACCAACACCACTTCCTTATCCCCCAGCAGTGGCTGCACTGCGCAGAGAGAGAATGTATCCTTCTGGGAGAGGGAGAGCACAATGACTGGGAGATTTTACGTTGAACTCAGTGCTGCCTTGTCACAGTGGAGAATAAAGCCATGCTGGGCTCAGCCAGCACCTGCTCATAGAGAGAGCATTTGGACCAGCCCTAGCCAGAAGGGAATTGCTCATCCCAATGGTCATAATTTGAGTTTCTCCACAAGCCTTGCCACTACAGGCCAAAGGGCTCTGTGGTCCTAGGTAAACTTGAAAGGCAGCCTAGGACAAAAGGACTGCAATTCCTAGGCAACTCCTAGTGCTAGTCTGGGCTTCGAGCCAGTGGACTAGGCTGGCATGTGACCTAGAGGGATACTAGCTAGGGCAACTAAGGGAGTGATTATGCCATCCCTCCCCCAACCCTAGGCAGTACACCTTGCAGCAACTAAAGTAACTCCTTCCTTCTGCTTAAGGAGGGCAGAGCAAAGAGTAAAGAGGACTTTGTCTTGCATCTTGGACACCAGCTTAGCCACAGTAGGATAGGTCAGTGGGCAGAGTTTTGAGGACCCCATTCCAGGCCCTCACTCATGGATGAAATTTCTAGACACACTCTGGATGAAAAGAAAACATGCTGCCTGGAAAGGAAAGACCCAGTCCTGGCAGGATTCACCACCTGCTGACTAAAGAGTCCTTGGCCCCTGAATAACCAGCAGCAATACCCAGGGACTATGCTGTGGGCCTTGGGCTCTGAGACATGCTGACTTTGGGAGTGATCAGCACATTCCCAGCTGTTGTGGCTACAGGGAGACACTGTTTCTGTTTGAGAAAAGCAGAGGGAAAAGTAAAGGAGACTTTGTCTTGCACCTTAGGTACCAGCTTGGCCACAGTGGGGTAGAGCAAAAATCAGGCTCTTGGGGTCCCCAAGTCCAAGCCTAGGCTCTTGGACCTGCCCTGGGGCAGAGGGGAGTCCACTACCCTAAAGAGTGAGTCCCAGGCCTCATAACATTCACCACAGCTGACTGAAGAGCCCTTGGGCTTTAAAGTAAACATCAGTGGTGGCCTGGCAGAACCCTCCATGGGCAAGTGGTGGTGGAGGCCACAGGGAGAGTCTTCTCTGCCTGTGGAAAGGGATGGGAAGAGCAGGCAGTACTTTGTATTGTGGTTGAGTACCAGCTTAATTGTAATAGAATAGAATGGCAGGCAAATTTCTAAGGTTTTTGACTGCAATCTATGGCTCTCAGATAGGATCTCTGAACCCACCTGTGACCTGGGGGAACTTACAGCCCTAAAGGGAAGGACACAAACCTGTTTGGCTTTACCACCTCCTGCTGATCATAGAGCCATAGGTCCTTGAGTGAACATAGATAGTAACCAAGTAGTGATTACAGTGAGCCCTGGGCAAGACAGAGTTCTATGCTGGGTTCAGGTCTGATCCAGCACAGTTCCAGTGGTGGTGGCCACAGGGGTGCTTGCATCACCACACTCCCAGTTCCAGGCAACTCAGCATAGAGGTAGAGACTCCCTTTGGGAGAAAGTAAGAAAAAGACAAGAGTCTCTGCTTTGTAATTTAGAGAATTCTGCAACTTATCCAGGACCACCAAAGAAGTACCTTTATGAGTCTGCAAAACCACATTGTTATTGGACTTGGGGTCCATGTCCCTTTGAGTACCTGGAATGTCTTCCCAAGAGGGATGGGCACAAACAAGCCTGGACTTTGAAGACTACAATAAATACCTAACTCTTCAATGCCCAGACACTGACAAATGTCTAAAAGCATGAAGACTATCCAGGAAAACATGACCTCACTAAGCAAACTAAATGAGGCACCAGAGATCAATCCTAGAGAAACAGAGATATGTGACCTTTCAGACAGAGAATTCAAAATAGCTGTTTTGAGGAAACTCAAGGAAATTCAAAATAACACAGAGAAGGAATTCAGAATTCTATCAGATAAATTTAACAATGATATGGAAATAATTAAAAAGAATCAAGCAGAAATTCTAGAGTTAAAAATGCAATTGACATACTGAAGAATGCATCAGAACCTCTTAATAGCAGAACTGGTCAAGCAAAGAAGTAATTAGTGAGTATCTCTGGACACACTTGGGGCCTGGGGGTACACGCAGCTCTGAAGGGAAGTGCACAAACATGGCTCTGAAGGGAAGCACACAAACCTACTTGGCATTACCAGCTATTTGAGAAGACAGGCTATTTGAAAATACATGGTCAGTGGAGACAAAAGAAAAAGGAATAAAAAAGAGTGAAGCACAACTACAAGATCTAGAAAATATCCTGCAAAGGACAAATGTAAGAGTTATTGGCCTTAAAAAGGAGGTAGAGAAAGAGAAAGTGGTAGAAAGTTTATTTAAAGAGATAATATCAGACAACTTCCTGAACCTAGAGAAAGATGTCAACATTCAAATAGAAGAACGTTATAGAACACCAAGCAGATTTGACCCAAAGAAGACTACCTGAAAGCACTCAACAATCAAACTTTCAAAGCTTAAGGATGAAGAAGGGAAACTAAAAGCAGCAAGAGAAAAAAACAAATAATATGCAATGCAGTTTTACTATGTCTGGCAGAATTTTCAATGGAAACTTTTCAGGCAAGGAGAGAGGGCATGATATATTTAAAGTGCTGAAAGAAAAATAATAAAGTCAGGGGATGGAGTTAAAGTGTAAGGTTTTTATCAGTTTTCTTTTTGTGTGTTTGTGGTCAGTGTTAAGTTATAATTAGTTTAAATAATAGGTTATAAGATAGTATTTTCAAGTCTCATGGTGACCTAGATTGAGCAACATATAATGGATACATATACAAAAAAATCCCAAGAAATTAAATCACACTACCCAAGAAAATTACCTTTACCAAAAGGAGGATAAGAAGGAAGGAAAGAAGAAAGAGAAGCCAAAAAATAAACAACCAGAAAACAAGACAATAAAGTGGCAGGAGTAATTTCCTACTTATTAACAATAACATTGAATGTAAATAGATTAAACTCTTCGATAAAAACATATAAAGTGGTTGAATGGATGAAAAAACAAAACCCAATGATCTGTTGCCTACAAGAAACACACTTCACCAATTGATACACATAGACTGAAAATAAAAGGATGGAAAAAGATTCCATGCCAATGGAAACCAAAAAAAAAAAAAAAAAAAAAAGCAGGAGTAGCTATACTTATATCAGAAAAAATTGATTTCAAGACAAAAACTCTAAGAAGAGACAGAGAAGGTCATTATATTATGATAGATCAATTCACCAAGAGGATATAACAATTTAAAATATATATTCACCCAAAATTGGACCACTCAGATATATAAAGCAAATATTGTTAGAATTAAAGAGAGATATGAACCTCAGTACAAAAATAGCTGGAGACTCCAACAGTCTACTTTCAGCATTGGACAGATAATCCAGACAGAAAGTCAACAAAGAAACGCTGGACTTAATCTTCACTATAAGCAAAATGGACCTAATAAATATTTTATGGACCATTTCACTCAACGGCTGCTGAATACACATTCTTCTTTTAGCACATGGACCATTCCCAAGGATCGATCATATGTTAGGTCACAAAACAAGTCTTAAAACATTAAAAAAATTGAGGCTGGGTGCGGCGGCTCACACCTGTAATCCCAGCACTTTGGGAGGCTGAGGTGGGCGGATCATGAGGTCAGGAGATTGAGACCATCCTGGCTAACATGGTGGCACCCCATCTCTATTAAAAATACAAAAAAATTAGCTGGGCATGGTGGTGTGTGCCTGTAGTTCCAGCTGCTGGGAGGCTGAGGCAGGAGAATTACATGAACCCAGGAGGCAGAGCTTACACTGAACTGAGATCATGCCACTGCACTCCAGCCTGGGTGACAGAGGAAGACTCCATCTCAAAAAAAAAAAAAAAATTGAAATTACCTCAAGTATCTTCTCAACCACAGTGGAGTAAAACAGAAATGAGTAACAAGAGGAATTTTGGCAATGATCCAAACACATGGAAATTAAATAATATGGTCCTGAGTGACCAGTGGGTCAATGAAGAAAGAAGGAAATTGAAAAATTTCTTGAAACATATTATAATGGAAACACAACATACCAAAACCTATGGGATACAGTGAAAACAGCACTGAAACAGAAATTCATAGCTACAAGTGCCTGTATCAAAAAGAAGAAAACTTCAAATCAATAACTTAATGATGCATCTTGAAGAGCCAGAAAAGCAAGAGCAAACCAATCCCAAAATTAGTGGAAGAAAAAAAAAATAGTAAAGAGCAGAGCAGAAGTTCATGAAATTGAAATGAAGAAAACATTACAAAAGATCAATGAAATAAAAAAGTTGCTTTTTTGAAAAAGTAAACAAACTTTACAAACTCTTAGATTAATGAAGAAAAAAACGGAGAAGATCCAAATAAATAAGAGATGAAAAAGAAGACATTACAACTGATACTACAGAAATTCAAAGGATCATTAGTGGCTACTATGAACAGCTATATCCCAATACTGGGAAATCTAACAGAAATAGATAAATTCCTAGACACATATAACCAACCAAGATTAAACCATGAAGAAATCTGAAACCTGAACAGACCAATCACAAGTAATGAGATCAAAGTAAAGACAACTTGGGACCTGAGGGCTTCACTGCTGAATTTTATCAAACATTTAAAGAAGAACCAATACAAATCCTACTCAAACTATTCCAAAAAATAGAGGAGGAGGTAATATTTCCAACTCATTCTGTGAGGCCAGTATTGCCCTGATACCAAAATCAGACAAAGACAAATTAAAAAAAAGACAACTAAAGACTAGTATTCTTGATAAACATTGATGCAAAAATCCTCAACAAAGTACTAGTAAACCTAATTTAACAACACATTTAAAAGATAATTTATTATAACCAAGTAAGATTTATCCCAGGGATGCAAGGATGGTTCAAAATATGCAAGTCAATCAATATGATACATTATGTCAACAGAATAAAGGAAAAAAAAACACATGACAATTTCAATTAGTGCTAAAAAGTTTTTAGTTCAACATACCTTCATGATCAAAACTGTCAAAAAACTGGGTATAGATCAAATGTACTCAACACAATAAAAGCCATATTTAACAGACCCACAGCCAGTATCATACTGAATGGGAAAAAAACTGAAAGTCTTTCCTCTAATATCTGGAACATGAAAAGAATGCCTACTTTCACCACTGTTATTCAACATAGTCCTGGAAGCCCTAGCTACGGCAATTAGAAAAGAGAGGCATTTAGTTGGAAAGAAAGAAGTCAAATTATCCTTGCTTGCAGATGATATGATATTATATTTGGAAAAACCTAAAGACTCGACCAAAAAACTATTTAAACTGATAAACAAATTCAGTAAGTTGAAGGATACAAAATCAATATTTCAAAATCAGTAGCATTTCTGTATGATAACAGCAAATAATCTAAAAAAGAAATCAAGAAAGTAATCCCAATTACAATAGCTACAAATAAAATAAAATAATTAGAAATTAACTTAATTAAAGAAGTGAAGGATTTCTATAATGAAAACTATGCAATGCTGATGAAATAAATTGAAAAGGACACAAAAAATGAAAATACATTCCATGTTTATGAATCAGAAGTATAAATATTGTAAAATGTCTATACTACCTAAAGCAAGCCACAGATTAAATGCAATCTATATTAAAATATGACATTCTTCACAGAAATAGAAAACACAATTCTTTTAATTTATATGGAGCCACAAAAGACCCAGAATAGCCAAAGCTGTCTTGAGCAAAAAAAGCAAAAATTAAAAAACAAACAAGGAAACAAAAAAACTGGAGGAGGTATCACGTTATCTGACTTCAAAATATACTACAGAGCTATAGTAACCAAAATAGCATGGTACTCACATGAAAACAGACACATAGGCCAATGGAACGAATTAGATAACTCAGAAACAAATCCATATAACTACATTGAACTCATTTTCAACAAAGATGCCAAGAACATATATTGGGGAAAAGTCAGTGTCTTCAGTAAATGGTGCTGGCAAAACTGGATATCCATGTGCAGAAGAATGAAACTAGACCCCTATCTTTTGTCATATACAAAGATAAAATCCAAATGTATTAAAGACTTAAGTCTAACACCTTAAACTATGAAACTACTACAAGAAAACATTGGGGAACCTCTACAGGACATTGGACTAGGCAAAGATTTCTTGGGTAATACCCCATAAGCACAGGCAACCAAAGCAAAAATGAACAAATTGGGATCACATCAAGTTAAAAAGATTATATACAGCAAAGGATACAATCAACAAAGTGAAGAGACAACCCACAGAATGGGAGAAAATATTTGCAAACTACCCGTCTGACAGGGCTTAATAACCAGAATATAGCTCAAACAACTCTATAAGAAAAAAGTATAATAATCTGATTAAAAATGGACAAAAGATTCCAATAGACATTTCTCAAAGAAGGCATACAAATAGTAAGAAGTTATATGAAAAGGTGCTCAACATCATTGGTCATTAGGGAAATGCAAATTAAAACTACAATGTGATATCTCACCCCAGTTAAAATGGCTTTTATCCAAAAGACAGGTAATAAATGCTGATGAAGACATGGAGAAAAGAGAAAAGAGCAAAGGAAACAACCAGCAAAATGAAAAGACAACCCACAAAATGGGAGAAAATATTTGCAAACTATCCATCAGAAAAGGGATTAATAACTAGAACATATAAAGAGTTCAAACAAATATATAGGGAAAAAAATCTAATAATCTGATTTAAAAATGGGCAAAAGATCTGAATAGACGTTTCTCAAAAGAGTACATACAAATGGCAAATAGCAATATGAAAAGGTACCAAACATCATTGATCATCAGAGAAATGCAAATCAAAACTACAATGAGGTATCATCTCACCCCAGCTAAAATGGCCTTTTATCAAAAGATAGATAATAACAAATGCTGGTGAGGATGTGGAAAAAGGGAACAGTTGTACATGGTTGGTGGGAATATAATTTAGTACAATCACTATGGAGAACAATTTGGAGGTTCCTCAAGAAACTAAAACCTGGAGCCACCATATGATCCAGAGTCTCACTACTGGTTATATACCCAAAGGAAAAGAAGTCAGTGTATGAAAGAGATATCTGCACTCCCATGTTTATTGCAGCACTGTTCACAGTAGCCAAGATTTGGAGGCAACCTGTGTGTCCATCGACATAAGAATGGATAAAGATAATGTGTTACTTACACACAATGGAAAACTATTCTTCCAGCAAAAAATAAGGTCCTGTCATTTGCAACAACATGGATGGAACTTGACATCATCATATTAAATGAAATAAGCCAGGTACAAAAGACAAACATTGCATGTTCTCACTTATTTGTCGGGTATAAAAATGAAAACAATTGAACTCATGGAGACAGAGAGTAGAAGGATTGTTACCAGAGGCTAGGAAGGGTAGTGGGGGTATAGAGGGGAAGTGGGGATGGTTAATAGGCACAAAAAAAAAAAAGAATGAATGAATAAAACCCAATATATGATAGCACAACAGGGTGACTATAGTAAATAATAATTTAATTGTAAATTTAAAAATAACTAAATGAGTGTAATTGGATAACTTGTATCACAAAGGATAAATGCTTGAGGGGATGAAGACCTTATTTTTCATGTTATGATTATTACACACTGTATGCCTATATAAAAATATCTCATGTACCCCGTAAATATATACACTTACCATGTACCCACAAAAGTAAAAAATTAAAAATAAAAAAAACCATTTTTTTCCTGTTCTTAAAAAGTGTGATTAGAGGAGAAAATTAAGTGGATATACATTTCATCCTGTGCTGTACACTGCCTATGTGGTGCAGCACATATAGTAGACAGTATTGTCACTTTTCATGTTAGGGAACTGAGGTACAGCAAAGTTAAGAAACTCATGCAGTCATACATCTAGCAAGGGCAAAAGAAGAGGTTACAGCACTGGATTGTCTGATTGTAAAACTATAACTGCAATATTTTATGCTGCCTCTAACATCCACAAACTTAACATTTATGAAAAATATACTTACTAGATTTTGGAGTTTTGAATTGTTGGCTTTTCAACAATCAGGGTATTTGGTTGCAAGCAACAGAAACAGCTATCTAAATAAAGTGAAAAAAGAATGTTGTTAGAAGTAAAGTGGGTAGCTCATGAAAGCAAGAGGACTTTGGAAATGGGTAGGCGCAAAGAAAGCCCATTAGCATGCAAGATCATTCCACAGCTATGCTCAGGACAACACTGGTACTGTTGCATTGGAGTGCAGCTGTCATGACTGACTATCAATTCTGCCATTCCTGGATACTTGCTGCCATTTGGGTGTACTTTCAACTCTGCTAAACTTACAATGGATAACCTGTGCTTTTTCCTCAGGTTTTGGATCATGATCTCCACATCCCAAGTCTTAGGTGGCAACACCTGACTGGCTGAGCCTAGGCTTATGGACTAGTTGTCAGGGATCTGAAAAAAAGCCTCTTTGGCTTCCATTTTGGAAACTGGAGTCTTGATTTCCATTTGTTTTAGGATTGACACCAGACAGAAACAGTGTTGCTTTCTGGGCTTTGGAAATGAAAAATGTTTACCGCAGTCCAAATATTTGGCTTCCCCAAGCAACATAAACATTTTTATCTTACAGCATCTCTTGCCCATTCAAAAGCTTTCATCTAGCCTAATATAATTTGGGTCATATGGTCACAAATATCTCATGATCAAGTGTTCAGTCTTGACTAGCCCAGTTAAAAAGCATGAGCATTTTCTTAAAAGGAGAATAATATGTGTTAAGCAGTTCTCAAAATTGATGAGAACTCTAACGAACTAGACTAGGAAACTAGCCAGGAATTAATGGACATAAAACTAGCCAAGGATGCGACCATAGGAGTAGCCTGTCTGTTATTTCAACACTGGTGCCATCACAAATGGCCACTTACTGCAGCCAACACTGGACCTTGCTCCTCGTTATGGCACAGCACTTTCAATTCATCAGCAGGCACTAAAAATTATGTCAGACTGTGTTGAGGCTGTGGGTCACTAGCAGCAGAGATGAAGTCCTAAGTTAGAGCACAAGACTTGCCAGGTCTAGGAGTTGAGAAAGAGAACGTCTATGCACTTTGGCTTGGCTTCTTTAGTCAGTTTGGAATTCTCTCAAATAAGAGAATAACCAGAAAACCCAAAATGACAAAGGTCAAGTATAGCATATTTTTTTCTTGCATCAATATATAAAGAGTTGTTATGTAAGTCATTGTCTTTTTCTTGTATTTTATACCTTCTTGTTAAAAACAAAAGATCTCTGGACCTGTGAATCTATGAATTGAACTTTTTTTGTATTTAAGTAATATTTATACTATATTTGCTTATTGTTAATTTTCTTACTAGTAAATATTTTTCAAAGTAGACATTCAAAAGTGATTTGCAAACTATGCATCTGACAAAGGTCTAACATCCAGAATCTATAAGGAACTTTTAAGAAATTAACAAGCCAGAAACAAACAATCCTATTAAAAAGTGGGCAAAAGACATGAACAGACAATTTTCAGAAGAAGACATACATATGGCCAACAAGCATATAAAAAATGCTCAATATCACTGATCATTAGAGAAATGCAAATCACAACCACAATGAGATACCATCTCACATCGGTCAGAATGGCTATGACTAAAAAGTCAAAAAATAGCAGATGCTGGCAAGATTGCAGAGAAAAGAGAATGTTTATGCATTAGTGATGGGAATGTAAACTACTTTAGCCATTGTGGAAACAGCATGGCGATTTCTCAAAGAATGTAAAACAGAATCACCTTTGGACCCAGTAATCCCATTACTGGGTATATACCCAAAGGAATATAAATCATTCTACCATAAAGACACATGCACGTGTATGTTCATTGCCACACTATTCACAATAGCAAAGATATGGAAGCAATCTAAATGCCCATCAATAGTAGACTGGATAAAGAAAATGTTGTACATAGACACCACGGTATAATATGCAGCCATAAAACAGAATTAAATAATGTCCTTTGCAGCAACATGGATGAAACTGGAGGCCATTATCCTAAACAAACTAATGCAGGAACAGAAAACCAAATACCACATGTTCTCACTTATAAGTGGGAGCTAAATATCGAGAACACATGGACAGAAAGAAGGGAGCAACAGACACTGGTGCCTACTTGAGGGTGGAGGGTGGGAGGAGGAAGAGAATCAAAAACTATCTGTTGGGTACTATGCTTATTAGCTGGGTGATGAAATAATCTGTACTCCAACCCCCATGACATCAAATTTACCTAAATAACAAACCTGCACCTGTAACCCTCAGCCTAAAAGTTAGGGAAAAAAACCCAAACCCAACTGTTTATATGAAAAGATTTCTTCAAATATTTTGAGATAGTATTTTTTTGTAATATTCCTTTTCAACATTATGTTAAAAATTTGTAGTATAAATGCATTTTTTTCTGAAACAAGCAACTACCAATAAGTAATCTTAGTGCTTAATAATTGCACTAATGAGTTAAATAAACTTTTAAGTGACTTTTGGTGCCTAATTAAATTCTGGTGTAGCAATTTTGTGTTCAAATATAACATAGGGTTGTAATTTAGCATATAGCTTAGAAAATTAGATAAAATAATAATGATCCAATTTTTAAAGAAAGCATTTTTTACCATGTCAGATACACATTTTTTTTACTCCTTATGCCTTCAAAAATGTAGTGAACAAATTTAAATTAACTAGTCTTTAAATGGTTTTATTGGAACACTTAATGTATTGGTTCATTGTAAGAATTAAATTTACATTTAATGGGAAAATATAGCTAGAAGTCCCAAATTCTATTTGGCTATTAGTGTTGTAAGTATAGTATCTTATAACCACCAAATAGATTTTAAAATATGTTTTCATTTACTTTTCTATTATTAATCTCATATTTAGGATAGAAATTTAGAAAATCCAGAAAAGCAATGAGAATAAAAAAATTACTTAATGATTCTAGCTTTCAGAAATAGCACCTGTTGACGTTTTGATGTGTCAGCTTTTCCTGTGTCTGTGTCTATGTATGTACATGCATCTTTATGAGTGTGTGTTACTGTGTACATTACTTAACAATCAATTTTTTAAAAAACTGAGTTTGTAGAGCGATATGTTTGTGAAGCCACAAAGGGGTCTTGGACTGCAAACATATTCAAAAGATACATTGCAAATGCTGACTTTTGAATTTTAAAAGCTAATTTTTGAGTAGCTTTGCTTGGTCTAAGAATATACAAGTGAAATTTATAACAGGGCCTTCATGGCAAAACTCATTCCTGGGTCATTTTGAGGCTGTGTTCCTCAGCTACATTTTTCTGTTTCCTAAAGATCTTCAGATCCTCCTCCGTGATACCAAAATATCTGATTCTTGCAACACTGTGCCTCACCATTGTCGATACAATCTGTTGTAGTGAACTTATTTTTTCTTGTGTTCCTCAGGATTCTTAATCTCAGTTTCTTTTTCCTGAATCATAGACATTTAATTTTGGTTTCAAGTTAATTTTCCATCTGTTTTGTCTCAATGACTCCTGAGTATATTCAGTGGTGAAAGCCCTGGATTGTTACATTTCACTCTTGATAACAATTTAGAATGGCAGATTATTTACCTGGTCTGGATTCCAGGTTTCTCATGATTAACATGAGGATTTTGATTGTATGCTTTCTGAGTTCTTTTACAGATTTAACGCAGAATGTTGGTATGTCTATAAAAGTAGTATGGAAGAGTGGAAAGAACATGGGCTCTGCATCGAAGAGAAAAGTTGAGGGCAAATCTGGGAGCTCTGTGACTTTGGGCATGCTGCTTAATGTTTCCAAGCTTGTATTCTCTTACATGTAAAAAGGAAATATAGAAGAGATTATTGTACTTGGCTACATGTAACAGAAATATGACTACACTGGCATAAACAAACAAGGGGTTTATTTTTCTCTCTTATTGAGAAGTCTGGAGATAGGTAGTTCAGAGCTGGTTTGTTTGTCTGTTCCTTCATATTAACTTTATACTGGGTTTCTTCCACTTATTTCCTCCACCATCCTTGTATTGTTTTCATTTTTACGATCCTACCACCAAGCGTTGTAGGGAAAAGAGAGAGATCAGACTGTTACTGTGTCTGTGTAGAAAGGGAAGACAGACTCCATTTTGAAAAAGACCTGTACTTTTAACAATTGCTTTGCTGAGATGTTGTTAATTTGTAGCTTTGCCCCAGCCACTTTGACCCAACCTGGAGCTCACAAAAACATGTGTTGTATGAAATCAAGGTTTAAGGGATCTAGGGCTGTGCAGGACGTGCCTTGTTAACAAAATGTTTACAAGCAGTATACTTGGTAAAAGTCATCGCCATTCTCTAGTCTGAATAAACCAGGGGCACAATGCGCTGTGGAAAGCCGCAGGGACCTCTGCCTTGGAAGCAGGGTATTGTCCAAGGTTTCTCCCCATGTGATAGTCTGAAATATGGCGGAAAGGCCTGACTGTCCCCCAGCCCAACACCCGTAAAGGGTCTGTGCTGAGGTGGATTAGTAAAAGAGGAAAGCCTCTTGCAGTTGAGATAGAGGAAGGCCACTGTCTCCCGCCTGCCCCTGGGAACTGAATGTCTCGGTATAAAACCCGATTGAACATTTGTTCAATTCTGAGATAGGAGAAAAACCGCCCTATGGTGGGAGGTGAGACATGTTTGCAGTAATGCTGCCTTGTTATTCTTTACTCCACTGAGATGTTTGGGTGGAGAGAAACATAAATCTGGCTTACATGCACATCCAGTCATAGTACATTCCCTTGAACTTAATTATGACATAGATTCTTTTGCTCACATGTTTTTTGCTGACCTTCTCCTTATTATCACCCTGCTCTCCTACTACATTCCTTTTTGCTGAAATAATGAAAATAATAATCAATAAAAACTGAGGGAACTCAGAGGCCGGTGCTGGTGCAGGTCCTTGGTATGCTGAGCGCCGGTCCCCTGGGCCCACTGTTCTTTCTCTATACTTTGTCTCTGTGTCTTATTTCTTTTCCCAGTCTCTTGTCCCACTTGACTAGAAATACCCACAGGTGTGGAGGGGCAAGCCACCCCTTCAAGTGTAGTATCCATGTTCTAGACAAGAAGGATGGAACTTCAAAGGAGCATGAGAGCCTGTGAGGAAATCAGTTTTTCAACCACTGACTCCCTCCTACCTTGCCCCTCTGGTAGTCCCCAGTGTCTGCTGTTCTCATCTTTATGTCCATGTGTACTCAATATTTAGCTCCCACTTATAAGTGAGAACATGCAATATTTGGTTTTCTGTTCCTGCATTAATTCACTTCAGATAATGGCATCCAACTGCATATATGTTGCTGTAAAGAACATGGTTTTGTTCTTTTTTATGGCTGCATGGTATTCCATGGTGTATATGTACACATTTTCCTTATCCAATCCACCATCGATGGTCATCTAGGTTGATTTCATATCTTTGCTATTGAGAATAGTGCTGCAGTGAGCATATGCCTGCATGTCTTTTTGGTGGACTGATTTATTTTCCTTTGGGCATACACCTAGTAATGGAATTGCCGGGTCAAATGGTGGTTCTGCCTTAAGTTCTTTGAGAAATCTCCAATTAATGCCTCACTTAAAAAGCACACAGTGGCAAGCTGGATAAAAAAGCAAGACCCATCCATCTGCTGTCTTCAAGAGACCAATCTCATATGTAATGACACTCATAGACTCAAAGTAAAGGGTTAGAGAATGATCTGTCATGCACACAGAAAACAAAAAGAGAAGGGGTCACAATTCTTATATCAGATAAAATAGATTTTAAACCAACAGCAGTTAAACATGACAAAGAAGGGCACTATACAACGATAAAGGTTTCAATTCAACAGGATGATTTAACTATCCTAAATATATACACACCCAACATTGGGGCACCCAGATTCATAAAAAAAATACTTCTAGACCTATAAAAAACTTAAACAGCCACACAATATAGTAGTAGAATATTGTGAACAGGTTGCTGTGAAACTGGGCAGAGGCCAGGTCCATTATGTTGGTTGAGAAAGGGAAGATTTGATGCTTAGTGGGAGGTCAGCAGAATGAGGAGACTAGGAGGAACCAAAAGAGGGCAAGTTAGGGTTAGGAAGAGCAAACACAGTAGAGAACCTAGGCCTGTCTCCTTTCAATGCGCTGATGTTCAATACTAACACTATAGCACTTCATTATCATTACCCAGGATTTATAGAATAGAAAGTAATGCCTGACTTAAATCCAATTTAAATTTTGAAAGGACTCTGATATTTGACAGGAGCTGTGAATCATAGCTCCATGAAATACTTTCAGTGATATTTCAGATATTAGTAATACCTCAGAATTCCTTAGAGCCTTAATCCATGCTCCCATGCCTCTACCACTGCCATTAAATACTATGAAGGTGGGAATGTTTTATAGTTCCATGTATGTCTTTATTAATAATCAGAATGGTACCCTTTTGACTACTTGAATGTTCCCATTTAAGAAGATTTTCTCCAGGCTGATTGAAATAGGAAGATGTAGTTTCTTCTGTTTAGACTGTTAAATTTTTTACCTGTAATTCAGTGTGCCACATTAGCATTAATTTGCATGGTCAGGGAGTGGGAGCAATATTGAGTCATCATGTAATTATTCGGTGAAATTACACTTTCTTCTATAAATCAGCTCCCTTGAAAGGTTTAGATTTGATCTGTAATTCATTTTTTTTTAGTCTTTGAAAATTCTCCTTTAAATTTATTTAGCAAACACTTATTTGCCTATAAAGGCATTCTATAAATACTGACAGAGCTAATCCTTACTATAACCCAGTGAATTAGGTATTATTATTGTCCCCACTTAACAGTGGAGGAAACTGTGGTGGGGAGGATGAGCTCTTGAGCAACCTGCCCAAGACCACACAGCTAGTAAGTGTCAGAACTGGCATTTAGACCAAGCAGTCTGGCTCCATGAGTCAAACTCTAACCCACTGTTCCAGGCCTACAACTAGACTGCTTCACAATCTTTATTCTTAGATGTCTTTTGTCTTAAGTTCCTGTGCATTCTGGAGTTTTAATATATAATATTTTGGTAGTACTTTAGCTGTAGTCAATTTAGTTTTTTACACAATAGATTCATGATTTGTGGCATTAAATTGATCAGGTGTTAGACTTTCATTCATTTAAATAGCAAGATTTTCACTTCACTTTCCAAAGGTAAGTATAGACATAGTCCCAGAAGCTTTCAGAAAAATCATCACCACTAAAAGCGTTAAACATTTGGATACAAAACAGAATTCTGAAGAGATTACAATGGCAAGCAATAAGGTACTCTACATGGTTAATGTATCAATCATTTTGTGCCATAGTGCAAAAGTCTTCCTATGCAAGGAAATTTTTAAAAAATTGCGTAGTGTTAGATAATACTCCAGTTTTTATTTTTAGTGAGTTGGCTATTCCTATGACATTTCAAATATTACTCCTAGGGCCACTAGAAAAACCCAAGAGAACTGAATGAGCCAGGAATGAGAATAAAAAAAGCAGAAGCTAAATAAAATTACATAAATACATATATATGTGGCATGCAGCCTAACAGAATCATGCTTTGATTTGGGGTACTCTGTGAAAAAAGGATGGTGCTTTTTCATTTTACATGAAGATGAGCCCCCATTTGCATTTAGAGGAGTGGCAGGGCATGGTGAAACTGGTGCTTACTGGCTTAAAGGAGAGATAATTGTTTCCATTTTTTCCCAATTCCGCATTCAGAGGCTCATGTTGTAGCTTGACACTGGCTGTGGTAGGAGTATTTACACCATGGGAATCAGCAAACAGTGGAAATCAGGGCCTTTTCTTTTTACCCAGAGACTGTTGTCAAACATTTACCAACACACCACTGGATGCTTGGACACATAATGAATACATGGTATTTTAAAAATTCCCTCTAATAGTTTTAAAAGAAACAGAAAATAGAGATAAATATAACTCTCTAGCTTAGCTTCATTTATTTCACACTTTGTGTGTGTGGGGGCGGGGGTGCGGAGATTGAAAGCCTATTTTAAGATGAAGGTAATCAGTCCTAAGAACCTGAAATTCACCACTGAACCCTGTAACCAGACCTCTCAAAACACAATCTCTATCAGTCTTGGAAAGCTTTGTCAGGAAGCGAGTGCTTATTGGGTTTTCATTTCCATTTTTTCACCAGACATTTACAATGAAAAATTACTTCCTACTGAGTATCCATTAGCCCCCAGCACCAATGCTAATGAGCAAACTGCAGTGAGCTGGAGAGCAAATGGATATGAGTCACCAAATACACTTAGCGGGCACTTCCTGCTCAGCCTCCTGCGTCACTGCAGAGATACTTGTTCCTTAGCAGCCTGGGTCAAAGTCACAGTCACACAATTGTACGTTGCTGGGAGAGATGCTGATCTGAAGACGTGCACTGATTTGTACTTATGAAATCTGCGCACATACATTCCCTTTCTGGGGGTTTACATTCAGGTTGAAATACTTGCTCTTAAATGAATATTACACTAAAAGCACTCTTTTAATACATATTGCTTTATCAAGACCAGAAAGCCCAACAAAAAGGATTGAGAGAAAGCCTGCTTTTCTGTCCAAATGTAAATAAACATGCCCTTGGGAGTCAGGTAATGACAAGAACCACTAAGCAGCCAAAAGTAGGGAAACATTGAATGCTGCCCCATGGGAGCCTGGCTCTGTGTGGTTTTGTTAGTTTATTTTTGTTTTGTACCTTCCTAATCATAGATGCTACAAATGGGAAAAGGGAGAAGTTTGTGGCTTCAAGGCTTTCCTGGGAATGCTTCACAGCATCAAATAAATAGTCAAAAGCAGCAGATGGAAGACAGAATGATTTCTGATTAGCCCCTGGGAAGGAGGTGACGCACTTTGTGTACGTGGGCTACTGATGGGAACAATGTTAATTTCAAGTTTATGTTGCTTAACAAATGATGCTGATGCCTTGATGAGTGGCTAAGAGTTCACTGAAGGACATTTTTATTTTTAAGAATGATTTTTGTCAACCAGTAGAAGGTGAACATAATGAGGCAAAACTTTGGTTCAGTGGGAACTCTCTCAATGCTCGAGTTTAATGAATTAATTTATATTCTGCTTAGTCCCCACAATTATTTAAGACACTCTATGAAAGAGTATGTGATACAACCAAGTAAGCAAAAGAGGAAATAATAATGAAAAAACAACAAATTTACGATGAGGTTAGTTCACAGTTTGCATGACTGAGGTTTCCTTTACAGATCCTAGTGGTAGGCCATAGATTTGGCTTTGAGCTTTTAGGTAATAAAGGTAGAGAGGACAATATGATTAATTATTGGTTCAGTGTCTATAGGACGAAAACAAATCAGTTGCTCAGGAGAATCACTGCTATTTTACACTGTGTAGTGAGAAAAATTTGACTGAAAAAGCCAGTAAACCTTTACAAGTTGGGAGGAGCACTGAGTGATAGGTATTTGGGTCTGATGGACATCATTTTTAATTAATTTCTTGAAGAACGTTACATTTAAAAATTTAACAACATTTTAGTATTAAAAGTGCCAAAAATTAGAATTCAAATACCTATCAAAGAAAAAAAGGGGAGTGGGTCTAAATGGAAAACATTTTAAATGTTTAGCAGTTAATGGAAATAAACTTTCTATTTTTATGGTAGTAAAATGATATATCAATCTAAATTAAGTAGTAGAAAAAATTACTAAATAGTGCAAAGACAGGCAGGCCTTAGAAGCAGGTCTTTTAATATTGTGAAACCTCTCTGGCAATTGCAACTGTGGGCATTCAGAAGAATCAAAACAAAGGGACATTGAACCACAGCTCTTTTCACAGTTTCTATGAAACTTTCAAGTAGCAGGGTAAAATTGCAGACTCTTCACATTTTTTTGACAGACGATTTTATGTTACAGATAATAAAAAATAAAACTGCTTCTGAAAAGTGTTTTCAGCCTAGATGGCATATGAAATAATTAGTTTATTAACTTTCTAAGCACTTTTATAAAATATTATTAAAAACTAAAGCAACAGAAAAACATTCAAATATGAACATATAATTTACATTTTTAAAAGATGGAGTAGGCTTATAAATAATATAAAGGATATGCCTTATTCATAATCAAATAATGCAAATAAAACTGAGTTTTTCAAATTTATCTGATGAGTGAAATTCTTAAGCTTGTTTATGTGCAATACTGATGAAGCTTAAGGGAAAAGTCATGCTTATTCTAATTGGGAATAGGATTTAGAGTAAATATTTTGGAGAAAAATTCAAACATTCAGAAGTTTTTAAATACACATATTCTTTAATCCAATAACTTGTATTTCTAAAATTTTACTGTATGAACATATTGTCTATGTTCATCAAGATCTGGTACAAGAATGTTCATTGCATGGTTTCTTGTAATAGAAAAAATAGAAAAAAAAATCTGAGGTTATATCTCAAAAGCAATGGTGAAACAATGTTTGATGCGTCCAATTATGTATTTATATGCAGCCAATGAAAAGAATGGTCTCTATATATACCATATATATATATACACACCATATATATATACACCATATATATACCATATATATACACCATATATATATACCATATATATACTATATATACCATATATATACACCATATATATATACCATATATATACTATATATATACCATATATATACTATATATATACCATATATATACTATATATACCATATATATACTATATATATACCATATATATACTATATATATACCATATATATACTATATATATACCATATATATACACTATATATATACCATATATACTATATATATACCATATATATACTATATATATACCATATATAGTATATATATACCATATATATACACACCATATATATACACCATATATATATACACCATATATATATATATACACCATATATATATATATATATGCTATTGTAGAAGGAACTCCAAGATCTATTAGTTAGTAAGTTGGGAAGAGAAACAAATCATGGTATAGTGTATTTTCTGAAAATAAAAGAGCAACAGAGACAGATGTGGTTAGACAGAAAGGACATATAAGATTCGTGTTTGGGATGGTGAAAGAGTGGATGGCACAGGCAGGCTCTGAATGGACTGAGTTTGGAATCATAAGCAAACATTTCTGTGGTCATTCACATGCGTGATAATAGAAGGGAAAAGAATACAGGAACAAGTCATATCTGTGAATCATCTGTATCACTTATACTTGAGGTAAATCTCAAAATAATATTTATATGGTCCATCTCTTCCACTCCACCTCAGCCCTGCCCTTGCCAGTCATATGATTCAGAATCTCTGGGGCCCAGGGCTCAGAGATTGGCACTTATCACAAGCTTCCCCAGTACTCTTGGCCTCACAATTTCTGAAAACCAATAGGGCAACTCTCAGTTTTGGGATGTGGAGAAACTGTAGCTGGAACCTCTTGATCTTTCTTCCTCCTAGCTGCACTTTCCTCTCTTGGTCAAAGTATGGTCAACCTCTTCCATCCCTCCTGTGTAAAAGGAACACTCTTTGCCAAGGTACTCCTAATCACCACCTGTTCTTGATCAATACCTCCCTCTCTCCTTCCCCGGTCCACACCTTTCAAAGCCAACATAAAGAACTAATAGGTCATTTTTGTGGGCCTAAATGTGTGGTTGAATCCATCTTTCAAATAGTCTGAAAGTATTTATCCTCCATAGGATAAAGAACATTACTATCTCTAGCTCTTGATCTTTACATCCTTCATTCTCCACTTCAGAGCTAGGTTACCTTCCTTTTGATCTCACTAGGAAAGTCTCTGGAGAATAATCCTAATGGGGTTGGCTTGGCCAGCTGCCTATACATCACACTTTCAACATTTGGCCTGAAATTTAGAGTCATGAAATAAGTCAGACTTTTGGCCATCTGTCTTTGTACTTCTGGACCATTCTTGGTGAAAGGAAAATTATTATAACCAATGCACTCAGATAATTTTCATTTAAAATATTTTGTGTCTGAAGTATCTAACATCTTTAGCCTCTGTAATTGGAACATTGCCTGACAACTTAGTCATTCAATAAATTCTAGTGGGATGAGTTTCATTTAACAGATACTTATTGAGTGAGTACTATCTGTATTAGGTTCTGGAGATAAGGAATAAGACAACACACTCATTCCTGGAACCCATATATTTTGTAAGAGATAAATGGATGAATATGTTGGATTTATATAAAGAAACCAATAACTTCCATGGAAACTTGATTTGTGGATGATTTAGATTGCACAATTGTGATCAATCACCCAAAATCATAATTGACCCTTTTCTAGATCACATAATGACGGTGGTATTATTCAAAATGTAGATCTTCTGTGAGAGACTTCTGTGATACTGTTTACTAATTTTCACAAAGTGCTTGTTCAAGTAAAACAAATCTTGTCATGCTTAAAGCACAGTCATTAAATAAATTGAACTGAAGTTGCTTTTCCTCCTAAAATAAATGTATATATATATTATTAAGAACCCACAATTTAAGGGGGGTACATAATGTTTTTTAAAAATCATTGCTTCCAACTGTGCTCTATTATATTATTTACTTCCAATCCTTTAATTAAACAATAGCAGATTCCATACTTTTTAAAATTACTTTTAATTCTTAGGAATCCATCCATTCCAGTTCAAACATCAATTTCAAATTAAATGAAATATTTTCCTCTGTTTTGTTACTGGTTACACATATGTCTGAAGGCAGTCTATTTGGACACTCTGCAGAGACAAAATGGATCCTCACCAAAAATCTGATTCATATGTCCAGAATAATGATAGCACACATGTACCACAAGTTATAAAAAGCTTAACTGCTTATATCATGAGGCTTTATAGGGACAGCAGTAAAACTCCCAAGGATGTTAAAAAATGACTTGAGAGATCTGGGAAAGGAGACTGGCTTGGGGTGCTTACTGGGTTTAGAGTGTAGGGCCAGTTGAGGGTTCACAGGAAGACAGAGACTTACCTGGTTTCAACTTCCTACAGGTAGCAAATGAGAGAGAACCCAGGCTTTCTTTGCTCGACAATTGTAGGGCAGAAGGGAAAGAGGAGTGGGTGGGATTGACAGCTGTCGGTAGTCAAACATTAGAAATTGAGTCAGAGTTCATTAGAGTCAAAACAAGCTTCCCCCTCTCCCCCACTCCCACACCCAGCCGCCTTTTTTTTGTATCTGCTTCTTCATTTGGGAGGAAACGCAAAGAGAAAAATATTAGCTAATTATTACAAAGCATCAATACTCATTATAAACCAGTCACAGTTTTTCTTTTGTATGATTGCACAGTTGTATATTATGTAGATATATTTTACTAAAGTAGTAGATATTTTACTTGATTCATACAGGATGTGGTGGCAGATGAGAAGATCAGTCTCTGAAAGATTTAAAATCATGCTCCACGCTCCACATTCCACAGTCTTTCTGCTCCAGGTGTGGCTGGTGTACCAGCAGCATCAACACCTGGGAGCTTGTTAGGAATTGTAGGCTCTCAGGCCCCCCCCAGGCCTACTAAATTGGAATCTGCATTTTACCGAGTTTCCCACAATAAAGCTATCCTTTAGTCCTGTAAGCAGTTCCACATGGAAAGTGTATTTTCCACACAAATAGCTGTTTGATAAAATTCAGCTTTAAAACTAAACTAACCTCTCAATTGGTTCTGAATTCAGAAAAGCAACTGGATTTTAATTTTTTTATCTGATACCAAAACAGGTTTTAACTAAAATTTTCAGTTATCAACTCATTATTTGAGTGTCATGGCTAGTCTTTCTGCTCCAGGTGTGGCTGGTGTACCAGCAGCATCAACACCTGGGAGCTTGTTAGGAATTGTAGACTCTCAGGCCCACTGCAGGCCTACTAAATTGGAATCTGCATTTTACCGAGTTTCCCACAATAAAGCTGTCCTTTAGTCCTGCAAGTAGTTCCACATGGAAAGTGTATTTTCCACACAAATAGCTGTTTGATAAAATTCAGCTTTAAAAATAAACTAACCTCTCAATTGGTTCTGAATTCAGAAAAGCAACCAGATTTTAATTTTTTTATCTGATACCAAAACAGGTTTTAACTAAAATTTTCAGTTATCAACTCATTATTTGAGTGTCATGGCTAGTATACAGGAAGGCATTAATATTTTTGAGATGAAAATGTCACGTTATGCAAAGTTTTTTTTTTTTAAATCTTGTCCAGATGCTTAGACTATGACCCTTGACAAAACATATACAACAAAAGCATATGTTTGTGTGTGTGTGTGTGTGTGTGGGGGTACTGGTTTGTTTTAAAAGAGAAAACACTCTGCTCTGATAAAGCAATAAAAAGCAAATAGGGTTAGATCCACATCTGAGACATGTTACCCTTTGTGATGAGATATGTTGCCTTCTGTGGGGTTCAGCATGTAACCTGTGAGGTTCAGAGGCATTCCCTCTGAGAACTGGAACAAGACAAGGATGCCCACTTTCAGTGCTTCTATTCAACATTGTACTGGAAGTCCTAGCAATCAGACAAGAAACCAGAGCAATCAGACAAGAAAAAGAAATAAAGAACATCCAAATTGGTAAAGAGGAAGTCAAACGGTTCCTTATTGCTGATGATATGATCCTATGCCTAGAAAACCATAGACTCCTCCAAAAGGCTTCTAGAACTGATAAATGAATTCAGCAAAGTTTCAGAATACAAAATCAATGTGCACAAATCAGTAGCTCTTCTATACACCAACAGCAACCATGCTGAGAACTAAATCAAGAACTCAACCTCTTTTACAATAGATGCAAAAAAAAAAAAAAAACAAAAAAAACCTAGGAATTCACCTAACCAAGGAGGTGAAAGACCTCTACAAGGAAAATTACAAAACACTGCTGAAAGAAATCACAGATGACACAAACAAATGGAAACACACTCCATGCTCATGAATGGGTAGAATCAATATTGTGAAAATGACCATCCTACCAAAAGCAATATACAAATTCAATGCAATTCCCATCAAAATACCACCATCATTCTTCACAGAACTAGAAAAATAATCCGAAAATTCATATGGAACCAAAAAAGAGCCTGCATAGCCAAAGCAAGACTAAGCAAAAAGAACAAATCTGGAGGAATCACATTGCCTGATTTCAAACTATACTCTAAGGCTATAGTCACCAAAACAGCATGGTACTGGTATAAAAATAGGCACATAGACAAATGGAACAGAATAAAGAACCCAGAAATAAACCCAAATACTTACAGCCAATGATCTTTGACAATGCAATCAAAAACATAAAGTGGGGAAAGGACACCCTATTCAACAAATGGTGCTGGGATAATTGGCAAGCCACATGTAGAAGAATGAACTCGATCCTCATATCTCACCTTATACAAAAATCAACTCAAGATGGATCAAGGACTTAAATTGAAGACCTGAAACCATAAAAATTCTAGAAGATAACATCAGAAAAACCCTTCTAGATATTGGCTTAGGCAAAGACCAAGAACCCAGAAGCAAATGCAACAAAAACAAAGACAAATAGATGGGACTTAATTAAACTAAAAAGCTTCTGCATAGCAAAAGAAACAGTCAACAGAGTAAACAACCCACAGAGTGGGAGAAAATCTTTGTAATCTACGCATCTGACAATGGACTAATATGCAGAATCTACAAGGAACTCAAATCAGCAAGAGAAAAACAAACAATCCCATCAAAAAGTGGGCTAAGGACTTGAACAGACAGTTCTCAAAGGAAGATATACACATGGCCAACAAACATATGGAAAAATGCTCAACATCACTAACGATCAGGGAAATGCAAATCAAAACCACAATGCAATACCACTTTACTCCTGCAAGAATGGCCATAATAAAAAAAATAAAAAAATAATAGATGTTGGCATGGATGGGGTGAACAGGGAACACTTCTATACCGCTGATGGGAAAGTAAACTAGTGCAATCACTTTGGAAAACAGTTTGGAGATTCCTGAAAGGACTAAAAGTAGAACTACCATTTGATCCAGCAATTCCACTACTGGGTATCTATCCAGAGGAAAAGAAACCATTATACGAAAAAGATACTTGCACATGCATATTTATGGCAGCACAATTCGCAATTGCATAAGTATGGGTCTACTCCAAATGCCCATCAAGCATTTGCAGCAATCTGGATGGAACTACAAGGAATGGAAAACCAAACATTGTATATTCTCACTTATAAGTGGAGGCTAAACTATGAGGATGCAAAGGCATAGAATGATACAATGGACTCTGGGGACTCAGGCAAAAGAGTGGGAGGAGGTGAGGGATAAATGACCACAAATTGGGTTCAGTGTATACTGCTTGGGTGATGGGTGCACCAAAATCTCACTAATCACCGCTAAGAATTTACTCATGAAAGCAAACACCACCTGTTCCCCAAAAACCTATGGAAATAAAAAATTGTTTTTAAAAAGTGTGTGGCACCTCCCTCTGCCTCCCAAAAGCAAAACAAAACAAAACAAAGTGGACCCCATGGCTTTGCATTACAATGACAAAACCTACTTAATTTGCTTCAGAATAACTTGTTCAAATCTGAACTGTTTGGAAATGTCTCCTGCAGAACGTTTGTCATGGTCTGGGCATCTTTTTGTCACTGTAAACTCCTTCTTAAGAAAACATGCGGAACATTTAATTTGATTATCTGGTTTCTAGGGATTCCCAGGACTATCTTCATTTACATGAATGTACATTAGCTCTGGCATGGATCGCCTGCAGAAGTGAGTGCATTCAAGACATCTCATTAAGCACTAAATTTAGTCCCTGAAGACTGAAAGAGGAGAAGAACAACCAGCTGCAGAAAGTCTTGGGCTCTGTGACTGGTGAGTTGTAGAAGACAGAAGGAGGTTTGTACGCTTTACTCTAGAGTAATAGAATGGTCTGTAAATCAGGAGCTGGAAAAATGGTAAATGAAGATGTTGAATAGGAGATTCTCTAGCCTATTGTAAGAGTGTATTGAAGGAAACCTTAAAAAATTATACAGTAGTTCAGACCTTTCTTTCATATATCTTCTCCTTTTTCCATTTCCCTAATTTTATGCCATATTGATAACCCACAATAAGATTTGGGTAGGTAAAGGAAAAAGGGGGATTCTTCTCTGGTGGGCAGGGGTGGGGGTCACAAGGTGCTCAGCAGGGGATCTTTTGAGCCAGGATGAGCCAGGAGAAGGAATTTCACAAGGTAATGTCATCAGTTAAGGCAAGAACAGACCATTTTCACTTCTTTTGTGGTGGAATGTCATCAGTTAAGGCAGGAACTGGCCATCTGGATGTGTATGTGCAGGTCACAGGGGATATGATGGCTTAGCTTTAGCTCAGAGGCCTGACATTCTTGTCTTCTTATATTAATAAGAAAAATAAAACAAAATAGTGGTAAAGTGTTGGGGTGGCAAAAATTTTTGGGGGTGGTATGGAGAGATAATGGGCGATGTTTCTCAGGGCTGCTTTGAGCGGGATTAGGGGTGACGTGGGAACCTAAAGTGGGAGAGATCAAGCTGAAGGAAGATTTTGTGGTAAGGGGTGATATTGTGGGGTTGTTAGAAGAAACATTTGTCATGTAGAATTATTAGTGATGGCCTGGATATGGTTTTGTATGAATTGAAAAACTAAACGGAATAAGAGAAGGAGAAAAACAGGTATTAAAGGACTAAGAATTGGGAGGACCCAGGACATCTAATTAGAGAGTGCCCAAGGAGATTCAGCATAGCCTTGCCAGCAAAGATTATTTATTTACTTTAAGAGTTAAGAGTGGCGGTTTGGGGATAGCACCAGGAGATATCAGCTGTGACAGCTTGGAGAAACAGCGTAAACCAGCAGTGTAAATAAGAGCAGGGCATTTATAAGTAGTTGAGAATGGTGAATAGGAGTATGACTAGACAGAAGATAGTAGGATGACAAGTTTTTTGGGGCACAGCCCAAGTTGGTCTGGTGTCTGGAATGAGACTGGGGACTAATAAAAAGGAGCGTCTATACAGGAGCTTAAATGGGCTGTACCCTGTAGCATTCCGAGGACAGGCCCGACTTCTGAGAAGGGAAAGTGATAAAAGTATTGTCCAGTCCTTTTTAAGTTGGTGGCTGAGCTTGGTGAGGTGTGTTTTTAAAAGACCATTACTTCATCCTACCTTTCCTGAAGACTGAGGACTGTAAGGGATATAAAGGTTTTACTGAATACCAAGAGCCTGAAAAACTGCTTGGGTGATTTGACTAATAATGGCCAGTCCGTTATCGGGCTGTATAGAGGTGGGAAGGCCAAACCGAGGAATTATATCTGACAGAAGGGAAGAAATGACCGCAGTGGCCTTCTCAGACCCTGTGGGAAAGGCCTCTACCCATTCAGTGAAAGTATCTACCTAGACCAAGAGGTATTTTAGTTTCCTGACTTGAGGCATGTGAGTAAAGTTAATTTGCCAGTCCTGGGCGGGGGCAAATCCCCGAGCTTGATGTGTAGGGAAGGGAAGGGCCTGAGAAACTCCTGAGGAGTAGCAGAATAGCAGATGGAACACTGAGAAGTGATTTCCCTGAGGAAAGATTTCCATGATGGAAAGGAAATGAGAGGTTCTAAGAGGCAGGCTAGTGGCTTGTAACCTACATGGAAGAGGTTATGAAATGACAACAGAATAGAATGGGCCTGTGAGGCTGGAAGGAGATATTTTCCTTGGTCTAAGAACCATTTGCCTTGTGTGGGAAGAGATTGATAGGCGGAAGTTTCAATGGGGGAGTAGGTGGGAGTGGCCAGATTAGAAGGAGAAAAACTGAAAGTGAGGGATAGAAGTTGGAACGCTAGCTGCTTTTTTAGCTACCTTATCAGCATAAGCGTTGTCCTGAGTGATGGGATCTGATGCCTTTTGGGCCTTTGCAGTGAATGACTCCAGCTTCCTTTGGAAGTAAAGTGGCTTTGAGAAGCGTTTTTATTAAAGAGGCATTAATGATGGAGGACCCTTGCGTAGTGAGGCAATCTCTTTCAGCCCATGTAACAGCATGGTGGTGCAAGATATGGAAGGCATATTTAAGAGTCAGTACAAATATTGACACGTAGTCCTTTTGCAAGAGTGAGGGCTTGAGTTAAGGCAATGAGTTTGGCTTACTGAGAGGCAGTGGAGGGGAGCAGGAAGTATATGCGTCAGGTGTGAGGAAGAAAATAGATTTCAGAAGTTATGAGAACTATAGAGAGTGAGTTGAGCATAGTTTGTGATTTTGAGGGCCTCTAAAAGTATTAAGGCAGTGGCAGCTGCTGCACGCAGACATGAGGGCTAGGCTAAAACAGTAAGGTCAAGTTGTTTGGACAGAAAAGCTACAGGGTGCTGCCTGGGCTCTTGTGTAAGAATTCTGACTGCACTAACCATGCCTAGGAAGGAAAGGAGTTGTTATTTTGTAGAAGGGATTGGGGTTTGGGAGATTAGCTGGACATGATCAGCAGGGAGAGCATGTTATCATGAGAATTATGTCGAGATAGGTAACAGATGAGGAAGAAATTTGGGCTTGACTGAAGTAATGGGGGCTGTCAGTGAAGCCTTGCGGCAGTACAGCCCAGGTAATTTGCTGAGCCTGATGGGTGTCAGGGTCAGTCTAAGTGAAAGTGAAGAGAGGCTGGGGTGAAGGGTGCACAGGAATAGTAAAGAAAGCATGTTTGAGATCCAGAATAGAATAATGGGTTTGTGGAGGGAGATATTTAGGATAGGAGAGTATATGTGTTTGGCACCATGGGGTGGATAGGCAAAACAAGTTGGTTGATAAGGCGCAGATCCTGAACTAACCTGTAAGACTTGTCTGGTTTTTGGACAGATAAAATGGGGGAATTGTAAGGAGAGTTAGAGGCTTTAAAAGGCCATGCTGTAACAGGCGAGTGATAACAGGCTTTAATCCTTTTAAAGCGTGCTGCGGGATGGGATATTGGCCTTGAGTGGGGTAAGGGTGATTAGGTTTTAATGGGATGGTAAGGAGTGCATGATCAGTCGCTAAGGAGGGAGTAGAAGTAGAGGTATCCCATACTTGTGGGTTAAAGTGGGGAGATATAAGGGGAGGATGTGAAGGAGGCTTTGGACTGGGGGAAAAGGCGGCAATGAGGTGTGGCTGTAGCCCAGGAATAGTCAGGGAAGCAGATAATTTAGTTAAAGTGTCTCCACCTAATAAGGGAACTGGGCAGGTGGGGATAACTAAAAGGAGTGCTTAAAAGAGCATTGTCTAAGTTGGCACCAGAATAGGGGAGTTTTAAGAGGTTTAGAAGCCTGGCCGTCAATAGCCACATCAGTTATGGAGGCAAGGGAAACAGGCCCTTGAAAAGAAGGTAATGTGGTGTGAGTAGCCTCTGTATTGATTAAGAAGGGGACGGACTTACCCTCCGTATTGATTAAGAAGGGGACGGACTTACCCTCCACTGTGAGAGTTACCCGAAGATCGGCATCCGTGATGGTCTAGGGGGCTTCCAAGGCAATAGGGCAGCGTTAGTCTTCAGCCGCTAAGCCAAGAAGATCTGGGAAGGAGTCAGAGAGCCTTGGGCCAAAGTTCCAGGGGCTCTGGGAGTGGCTTCCAGGTGAGTTGAACAGTCTGATTTTCAGTGGGGTCCCGCACAGATGGGACATGGCTTAGGAGGAATCCTGGGCTGTGGGCATTCCTTGGCCCAGTGGCCAGATTTCTGGCACTTCTAGCAAGCTCCTGGGGGAGGCAGGCCTGGGTGAATGCCTGACTGCTGTGGTTCAGGCGTTTGGAAGTTCTTGTGTGCTGGAGATATGGCTGGGGTTTGTCTCATGGTTGAGGCAAGGAAGTGCAACTCAGAAATACATTGCTACTTGGCTGCCTCTACTCTATTATTGTACACCTTGAAAGTGAGGTTAATTAAGTCCTGTTGTGGGGTTTGAGGGCTGGAATTTAAATTTTGGAGTTTTGTTTAATGTCTGGAGCAGATTGGGTAATAAAATAAAATGCATATTGAGAATAAGACGACCTTCTGACCTTTCAGGGTCTAGGGCTGTAAAGTGTCTCAGGGTTGCTGCCAAACAAGCCATGAACTGGGCTGGGTTTTTATATTTGATGAAAGAGCCTATACACTAACTGATTTGGGAGAGGTCGGATAAAGAAAAAGGAGCATTAACCTTGACTATGCCTTTAGCTCCAGCCACCTTTTTAAGAGGAAATTGCTGGGCAGGTGGGGGAGGGCTAGTCACGGAATGAAACTGTAAGCCGGACCAGGTGTGAGGAGGAGAGATGATAAAAGGATTATAGGGTGGAGGAGCAGAGGCTGTGGAAGAATTGAGACCTAGCTCGGCCTGGCGAGGAGGAGCCTGGGGAGGAGGGGAGAGGTCAGATTGGTCTGTAGAAAAGGAAGATTGGAAAGAGGAAAGACTCAGCAATGCTTGGGGTTGGGACTGAGGGGACAGGCGGAAGGGAAAGAAGGAAGATTTGGGATGAGTTGCATTGGGAACGGAGACTAGGGAGGAACAAGGTGTAAAAGAATGCCTGGATATCAGGCACCTCAGACCATTTGCCCATTTTATGACAAGAATTATTTAGATCTTGTAGGATGGAAAAAATCGAAAGTACTGTTTTCTGGCTATTTGGAACCACTGTCAAGTTTGTATTGGGGTCAAGTGGCATTTGCAGAAGAAAATAAGGCATTTAGGTGTTAGGTCAGGTGTGAGTTGAAGAGGTTTTAAGTCTTTGAGAACACAGGCTAAGGGAGAAGGAAGAATGGAGGGTGGAAGTTTGCCTATAGTGAAGGAGGCAAGTCCAGAGAAAAGAGAGGGTAGAGACACGGAGAGAAGGGGTGAGGGGTGCTTGCCCCCCAGGAAAGTGGAGAAGGGGTAGAGATATGGAGAGAAGGGGTCGGGGGGTTCTTGACCCCCAGAAAAGTGACACTTGCCACTAAGGGTCAAGGACCAAGGCAGGAGTCCCCGCGTGGTCAGACACCACTGAAACATGGGTGAATAATCAGGCAGGCATCCCTGCATGGTCAGACACCTGTGAAATATGGGTGAATAATCAGGCAGGCATCCCCCACAATGATTGAACACCAAGGGAAGACTGCCTTCCCGAGTCCGTGACCTGCGCCGGAGTTTTGGGTTCATGGATAAAACGCATCTCCTGAGTTGTCTTTACCAGAGAACGAAAGGAAATGAAATTAAGAGAAGGGAGAGACTGAAAGCTGGTGCCAAGATTGAAAGGAGAAAGAGGTTGAGGGATAGTGAGGGAGGTTGGAGAAGAGAGTAAAAAGAGGCTGCTTACTGGATTTTAAATTGGTGAGATGTTCCTTGGGCTGGTCAGTCTGAGGACCCGAGGTTGTAGGTGGATCTTTCTCACGGAGCAAAGAGCAGGAGGACAGGGGATTGATCTCCCAAGGGAGGTCCCCCTATCTGAGTCACAGCACCAAATTTCATGCATGTCTGTGTGAAGAGACCACCAAACAAGCTTTGTGTGAGCAACAAGGCTGTTTATTTCACCTGGGTGCAGGCAGGCTGAGTCCGAAAAGAGAGTCAGCGAAGGGAGATAGGGGTGGGGCCGTTTTATAAGATTTGGGTAGGTAAAGGAAAAAGGGGGATTGTTCTCTGGCGGGCAGGGTTGGGGGTCACAAGGTGCTCAGCGGGGGAGCTTTTGAACCAGGATGAGCCAGGAGAAGGAATTTCACAAGGTAATGTCATCAGTTAAGGCAGGAACAGGCCATTTTCACTTCTTTTGTGGTGGAATGTCATCAGTTAAGGCAGGAACTGGCCATCTGGATGTGTACATGCAGGTCACAGGGGATATAATGGCTTAGCTTGGGCTCAGAGGCCTGACACTCAACATTAAGTGACACCTGACTCTATATCACTATTGTTTGAGATGAAGAAATGAAAGCTCAATAAAAAGCCACATTTTGTTTAAGCAGGATGGTATTATATTCACTAGCTTCTATTTTAATATTATTATAATTTAATTGTTTTCCATCTGCAATGCCTTCTCCCCATACCACATTCTTCTCAGGCTTCAAAGTTTAATTCTAGTCTCACCTCTTCCAAAAATTATTCCACTTTGCAGTTTCACACTGATTTCCTACTTCTCTACGTACTTTTTCATATACAATTTGAGTTACTTTAACATTTTATTGTACACTTCTTCAGCAGTTGTTTCATATGTCTACCTTCTCCTCCAAATTAGACAAAGTCCTTTAGGGTAATATGATGTCTTAGCAATATTGTATTCCTAGTGCTTCCAATGGACTCAGAACATATTAGCTGCTTGGGAAGAAACAAGTTATTTAGATCAATTTACTCAATTGCCTGCAAAATGAAACCTAAGAGAGTTAGATTTTTTTTAGGTACATTGAATGAATCAGAAGGTTCATCAAAGCTATAAAGAAGGTTATAAAAACAGAAGTAGGCTGGGCACAGTGGCTCACGCCTGTAATCCCAGGACTTTCGGAGGCCGAGGTGGGCAGATCACTTGATGTCAGGAGTTCAAGACCAGCCTGGCCAACATGGTGAAACCCAGTCTCTACTAAAAATACAAAAATTAGCTGAGTGTGGTGGCGGGCACCTGTAATCCCAGCTACTTGGGAGGCTGAGGCAGGAGAATCACTTAAACCCAGGAGGCAGAAGCTTCAGTGAGCCCAGTTCGTACCACTGCACTCTCTAGCCTGGACAACAGAGTGAGACTCTATCTCAAAAAAAAAAAAAAAAAAAAAAAAAAAGAAGAAAGAAAAAAAGAAAAAAAATGATGGTAGAAAGCAAGTTGAGAGTGTTTGCATTCAAACTTCATGAGCTTCACAGATTTCCCAATGCTAACTCGATTCCAACTTGACTTACCCAAATTTGCCAAGGTGAAGGTTTGTAAAAGGTGGGTGAATGATATAACTGAAGCTTAAACTAAACCGTGCAAACTCTAGCACCATTATCTTGGCTTATGTTTCTGGCAATGGCATACTCCCTGCTGTTGAGGTAATTAAGCACAATTATTAGAGGCTGTGGCAGATCCTAGTTTTTAGACTAAAGGCTTAATTGATCTTTCTTTCACCAGAGTCTCTCCTAAGGAGCCCTAGATTAGTTCATCTACTCTACTCTTGGATTATGAGGGAGAAAGTTGCTGGTAACCAGAAAGGCACCATTTTCTAGAACATTGTTCTAACCCCTGAAATCTGGCTGTGATTGAATTATCACATTCAGATGTGGTGTGGGGTTTTATGACATCGTATTATATGTAGGTGTTCTCTGGGCATTTTTGTAACCCAAAACATCATGGAAAGTCTGTTGAAATCTTTGTCTGTGGGGATGAGTATGCACAGAGTTTTACTTTTTCATGTCTCTTAGGTACATGAATACATTTGCTAGGCTCTGGCCGATTAGCATTTTGGACCCGAGGAAGATTTGTTTGCTAGTTATCATGCAAGAGGGATAATTTTTTTCCAGTTCTCCAATATGCAAAATTCACTCAGAAAAAAAATTAAAGGCTTTAATTACCTGCTAATTTCCTTTATGGGAGACAAGAAAACTGCCAAACATGTGTTCTGAGGGATGGTATTTATAATTAATTGCATGTACAGTAGTTTCCCCTTATCTATGGGGATAACTTCCAAGACCCCCAGTAGATGTCTGAAACCTTGGCTAGTACTGAACCATAAACAGACAGTTCCTGACTTATGATGGTTTGATTTACAGTTTTTAAACTTCATGATGGTGTGAAAGTGATATGCATTTAGTGTGCTCTTTGACTTATGAGGGAGTTATGTCCCGATAAACCCATCATAAGTTGAAAAATACTGTAAGTTCAAATGCAGTTTTGACTTATTATATTTTCAGTTTATAATTGATATAACAGTTTGTAACCCCAGTGTAAGTTAAGGAGTATCTGTATATACAGTATTATTTTTCCTATATATACATACCTATGATAAAGTCTAATTTATACACTAAGAACAGTAAGAGGTTTACAACAATAACTAATAAAGTAGGACAATTACAGAAATAGGCTAGTATTACTTCTCTTGTTCTTTGGGGCCATTATTAAGGGTTACTTGAACACAAACAATGTAATATCTCGGCAGTCAACCTGATAACCCAGACAGCTACTAAGTGACTAACAGGTGGGTTGTGTGTACAGTTGTGTATACAGGACAAAGGGATGGTCTCATCCAGAGCAGGACTCAGGGGACAGAGTGAGATTTCATTATGCTAGTCAGAATGGCTCACTATTTTAAACTTCTGAATTGCTCACCTCTGGAATTTTCCATTTAATATTCAGACTGCAGTTGTCCTCAGGTAACTGAAATTGGATAAGTGAAACCGTGGATAAGAGGGAACTACTGCAATTCTTCATTTTCTATATCCATGCTGATGAATATGTGCTAATAATTACATTAAATGCTTTTTCTATGTTTTATGTAAAAGGGCACAGATATCCCTTGTAGCATTTATAGTTATATTATTACCAAACATGGATTTTGTAATCATAGTTCATATATAAGATCTCATACTGAATTAACAGAAGTTGAATGATGACTCTGTTTTTAAGGTCACATAGCCAGTTATCCAGTTTTAAAATCAATGTTGGCTTCATATAATCTGCAAACACACAAGTATCTTGCACTTAGAACATATTTGCTCAGGCAAGACACTCTCACATTATTTACTCAGAAACTACCTAAATTGTTTTGATTGTCAATTCTATTAATCACATTACTTCCTTGGTCACTTTCCTGCATTGTTTTATCTTTCAAACTTCTGTCTTTTCAATGTCCACTTTTGTGCACCCTAACTTAAATCATCTTGGTTAGTGGAAAGAAAACATTATTATGCATTCCCAAATTTTAACTAATCATTTAAAATGAATATCCTCCGATGTGTTGGATAGGCATCGTAAAAACAGGATAAAATGCCATAATTTGCCAGTGAATGGCCAGAATATTTATTTATAAATTGAGATATGAAGAATGCACATTTTCTGAGCATCTTCTATAGCTTAGGTATCGTACTAGGAGTTTTACGTTCATTATCTTGCTTAACCTTTACCCTGAGGTGGGTAGTCTTATTATTCTACAGATAAAATTGAAAAAGGGTTTCAGGGAGGGAGAGAGTTAGTACCTATCTCAACCACCTGGCTGGTAAGAGTTGAAGCATGATTTAAACTCATATATTTGTAACTGTCTTGCCTCTTTACCGAGAAACAGAAAAAGTAGAAAAGTTGCTCGCTCTTCAACATGACTATGACCCAGTAATTCCTTTGGAAAATGGCAGTCTGGGAAACCTCACTGACCCAGGTTCTACTTCCATGACTTTTGTACTCAGGATGCCTGTCTTTGTACTGGATAGGATGAACTAGCTCTGTCCAGGAGAGTTTTTGGTTACAACCTGATTTGCAGAAACTAAGTTGTCTACTTACGTCGCTGTGGTATATAAAATATTCACCAGTCAACTGTCACCTGGCTTGAGAAAGTTTTTAATGATCTAAGGTGCTGGAAAGATAAATTTTATTGAAACTAAAACTCTAATAATAAACTGAGAAGACCATATCTCATAGAATCATTATGCTGTGACATCAATAGACTCAGGAGGGAAAGGGGAGGGGGTGGAGGTAGTGATGGCAGTCAGAGGCCTACTAGAAGAAGGAGAGGACCCACCACGGTAAAACTGTCTACCATTTTGTAGAACTTGTTTATTTGCATGTACAGAGTATGTAGCATTTAATATTTGAGAAAACAGTGTTAGCACAATGGCTGAAGGCATCATTAAAAGGAGCATAAAGTTTTTAATCTGTTAGACTTATGAGATGTGCCTGTATTAGTCAGGGTTCTTTGGAGGGACAGGACTAACAGGACAGATGTATATATGAAAGTGAGTTTATTAAGGAGTAATGACTCAACACAATTGCAAGGTGAAGTCCCACAATAGACTCTGTGCAAGATGAGGAGCAAAGAAGACAGTATGAGTCCCCAAACCTCAAATGTAGGGAAGCCTACAGGGCAGCTTTCAGTCTGAGGCCGAAGGCCCTAGAGGCCCTGGCAAATCACTGGTATAGGTCCAAAAGTCCAAAAGCTGAAAAACTAGGAGTCTGATGTTTGAGGGCAGGAAGCATCCAGCATGGAAGAAAGATGGAGGCAAGGAGACTTAGCCAGGCTAGTCCTTCCACGTTCGTCTGCCTGCTTTTATCCTAGGTGCACTGGCAGCTGATTAGATGGTGCCCACCCAGATTCAGGGTGTGTCCGCCTCTCCTAGTCCACTGACTCGCATGTTAATCTCCTTTGGCAACACCCTCATAGACACACCCAGGAACAATACTTTGCATCCTTCAATCCAATCAAGTTGACACTCAATATTAACCATCACAGTGCCATTAGAAATTTATAAGACCATTGGAAAGCTCTTTAATTCCTTTGAAATTGGACAACCCCATCTATTAGGGCTATGTGGTGTGGATATTTGTACTAATTTTATGAGTGTCATCCTTGTTTTCTTTTCTAGAATGTAACATTTTTAATGTTGGTTTTGAGTCATCAAGGTTTTATTTAAAAAGTGTCACAGTTAACTTGCAAATTGATTTTCTTTCCTTGGCTTTCTTTTTTCTTTTTCTTTTTTTGAGATGGGGTCTTACTCTGTTGCCCAGGCTGGAGTGCAGTGGCCCGATCATGGATAAGGGGACGCTACTGTATTATCATATACAGGAGCTACTGAATTAGGCATATTTAAATAGAGATTCACATTCTGTGATGAAAACTTACTCTGTGGCTAATGAGAATCTCCCTGACTGGATCACCTTTTTCTGTCAAAGAGAGCTAGTATAACATAGTGAAAGCAAAAGAGAGCTTTGGAATAAAAACCTTGCACTTCAGTTGGCTCCATTCTTAGCAGTTGATTTAGTTTAGATACCTACCATTCCATAAGTCATGGTTCATCATCTATAAAATGTTGATGATTAAAATTCTAACTGTTGTTGTGAGGCTAAAATATATATAAAAAATATTTACACAGAAGCATTTAATATTAACACTTGTTATTATTATACCCATCCAAAAGACCAAAGTATCATGAATTTTGATGAACCAAGGTAATGGTGGCATCAAGGTAGGATGAAGAGGAAAAGTGAGGGATAATGTAAAATAGATTTTAAAACGAAACAAAAGGCAATTCGATGTCATCCTGGGTTGATTAGCTTCACCCTCAGCCTGAGGACTTGACTAGGTAATAAAGCTGATTAGCACTGATGGTAGAAGAGGCAAGCAAGCCTCGTGGCTGGGCTGGTGGGGAGATGAAGGAGGAGCCTCTTCTCACGTTGTCTTCCCTTCCCCTACACTTTTTTTTTTTTTTTTTTTTGAGACGGAGTCTCGCTCTGTCGCCCAGGCTGGAGTGCGGTGGCTGATCTCGGCTCACTGCAAGCTCCGCCTCCCGGGTTTACGCCATTCTCCTGCCTCAGCCTCCGTAGTAGCTGAGACTATAGGCGCCGGCCACCACGCCCAGCTAAATTTTTGTAGTTTTAGTACAGACGGGGTTTCACCATGTTAGTTAGGATGGTCTCCATCTCCTGATCTCGTGATCCGCCCGACTCGGCCTCCCGAAGTCCTGGGATTACAGGCGTGGCCACCGCGCCGGGCCCCCCTATACCTTTTTAACAAGAACTTCCACCCTGATAGTTCAGAACGTTTCAGGCTGCTTAGGTGAGTAATTAGGCATTAACTAGCCCTACTTAATTATTAGGCAGTGCTTGGATGGTGAGTTTTCCCAGCTTCTTATTATGGTTTACTATTATTTAAACTGGTTAGTATGGTTGACAGCCTCTTCCAAATGTAAGGCAGATCATTGTTTTTATGAAAACCTCAACTCAAATAATGGCATGCATATCACTTTCACATACAACTCAGAAATACCACTTGGAAATCTTAGCTTCTTTGGCCAGTCTACAGAGAATATGTGCTGGGAAGATGAGTTTGTAACCATGATGACAAAAGAACTTGAAGGAAGAGCTGCTATTTGGATGTTTAATAGTCTTCCCCATCTTAACTGTCAGTGAAATTGCTGTATAAGGACAGCTATGAGAAAGACATTTGTAAAAAGGTTTTGAAGGGGCAATCACAAATTGCTGATGAAAGTAGATGAAGCTATGAAAAAGATTTATGAAGACTAATTTAGAACTGAATAGTGTTATGAGACACTTTTGGAATTCCACAGTGTGGCTGGGGCCAGGAGGGAAGGGATGAGAGAAAGTAGAATACTGAATACCGTTTGCCAGCAGACACATTAGGCCTACAGCTCAGATCTCAGCTGTAAAATTTCATTGCACTCTGGGCATATTGGTTGTGGGAAATGCCTGTGATTTTCCCAGCTTGCTTCTCTTAGCAGGCTTTGAGTGCAAGTTGTCTCAAAGGCTATAAGAAACCAATAGGAAAGGGAACAGTAAAAGCTAATAATTGAAAAAAAAAAAAAAAGAAATAGCAATTGTTAATTGAAACAATTTTTTTTTCAGTATGCTGTGAATCATCTTATGATGATAGTTGCTCACTTCTTAAGGCGGGTGGCATGGTGTGTGCAGCTCTTGGTTGGCTGAGAGTCTCCCATACATATAGGAGGAATAAAGCCAAATAGCCTCTGTAGAGATAAGAGGGACTCCTTCAACGCATGTTCATTCTGGTGCGAGCCAGCAGTTTCTGCCCCTTAAACTAAGACACCCTTTAGAGAATACATCAGTCTATTGAATTTTTCAACCTTATACCTTACAAACTGACACCTAATTTTAGTCTATGTTCAGATTTTATATAACTTTTACTCTCAATATAGTTTAATTGTGATAATGAATCAAAGTGATACCTAGGTTAAACACTTGTTAGTTTTCCTATTCATTTTATTAATGAAAACTTTAACGGTGACAAAGATTCTAAAATTTTAATAGAGCAGAATGTTTTTGAAGACTACCTGTATTGGTTTGTGAGTGTGCACTTTGACCTTTTTGTTTTGTAGAGATGGGGTCTTGCTATGTTGTCCAGGTGATCCTCCCACCTCAACTTCTCAAAGCACTGAGATTACAGGCTTGAGACACTACTCCTGTCCTTTCATCTTGAATAAATAAACAATATTAAAATTTCTAGTACACATATTCCTAGTTCCACATGAAAAGTACTATGGAAATGAGTATGTCGTAGTAGAGATGAGATGTATAGATTTGGAATCTGTTAGATTGAGTTTAAGTCACCAGCTGAGCACTCTCAAGCAATTTACTTAATTCCTCTGTTTCATATTGCTCATTTGTAAACTGAGGTTGCCACCATCCTCACAAGGTTTCCATGACATTAAATGATGTGCATAGAAAAACAAAATATTGGCACACAGTAAAGATACAAAATGTAGTCTTCCATTTCCTTCTCTAGGGGAAAATCCATATATAGTCTCAATTCGCTAATAAGGAATGAGAAAAGAGTATAACAATTAAGAGTTACTGTGTGCCACTGAGAACTAGCCCATCTGCCCCTATATATTGTATAGGATAAAACTCTTAGTGTTTTTCTATATAAATATTTTCAATTGAAAACTTCAATGTATGTATATGTCATGTTATAAAATCTCAGAAGTGTTACTGATTTTTAAAAATGTAATCATGATTTGTTTATCTCCACATATGGGATGGAACACAAAATTATCATGAGTACAAATGTGTCAGGAATCCATGAATAAATTTTTATCCCTTTATAAAACACAAGAAATATTTTAATGAGATTTAAGAATTAAGTTAGCAAGAGAAATTGCAACTGAGATATCAGTCCCAAAATGAGACATGACATTGTACATTCATGAATCTGGTATCTATGACCTTTTTCTGGCTCCCTCATTATTTTATCAATAAGAATTAGAATCTGCACATTTCATTTTACACTTCCTGAGGCATGCTGTGGAGAATGTTAATGATCAAAAACAGAAATAGAGCAACCTTTAAAACCAATGTTTCCATTGCAACATTTAATATCTAGGGAAATTGGAGTAAAACGATGAAAAAAAGACATAGTTATTGCAACTCCTTGATCATTGTCAAAAACTAAGGTCCTGAAAACTAAAGGAAAGGAAATAAAGTCCATGCCCTCCGGTTATTTTTTCATTAGGACTTAGCAAACCAAGCTTGTGCACATGGCATACATTAATATTGCTGCCTGTCCATTCATTGCTGCTCATGCCTATTATAAAAGACAAAAGATTTACATGATCTCAAGAAAAACCGGAGTATGTGCTCATGCCGATTTATGCTTGGTTCTGACACTTCTCTCTATAATCCTGGGCCATTAAAGAGCTCACTTCAACTTCTCTGACTGCTTCCGTAGATGCTATCCGTTTTGATGGAACAGAGTGGCTGTGAGTGCCACTTTTGTTCTCTTAACCACAAATGAGTGCACATTTCTACTCTTCTACAATACCGGACCTATTTATCTTAGGGTACCTGAGAGAAGAGATGGTATCTGGGATAGACCATGATAACCCCCTTTCTATTGTTGGTCAGTTTTTCTTTTTCCACATTTCCAAGAAACATATTCATTTGAATAAATTAAACTTAATAAAGAAGCTAGTGACAAAGTACATGCAAGCCTCATGATGACTATTTTTAAAGTTATGGCTAGATTTTCTAAATGTACAGTAATGCTTAAAGTAGACTGCAGTTATCTTAACATGAATGTAGACATAGGCTAAAAATTTATAATTTAAGAAATATTTAAAACTGATGCCCAGTCCCAAAAGGTTCTTTATACTAAAGTCATCTTTTTAACTATAATTTTTACTATTGACTTTCTTTGGCAGGTTCAATTATATCTTTCTAAAATATCACTTAGAATGATTAACCATTTTGGTGACTTTTAAAACACGGTGCTTTAAAATAATGCTTATGCACGGGAAACAAAGTGCAAAATGATAGACAGTAAATAAGATATCTTTTTTTCTACCCCAGACCACCTTTGCATGATTTTGATATTAGTTTTTGATACCTTTTTATAAGTTCTTAATTGCAACGATGAATACTTCACTTATTTTCATTCTTTTCTTCAACAATGCTATATTTAATATCTGCATAAGATTTACACAATTATGTAACATTTCAAATAGAGAGTGATAGTATAATATACCCACATATACCTATTATTCCACTTACATAACAAACCTTGTTTCCTCCATTACTCCCTCCAAATTTAACCCTTGTTTCTGGATTTCTTTGACGATAATTCTGGGCAGTGTATTCTTTCACCAGTAAATATTTTAGTACTGACTATATCTCTAAAGCATAAAGAGTCTTGTTCCATAACATTTTGTATAATTTTGAGCACATCTGGTAAGAGCACTATTTTCAATTTCATAAATTATTTCAACATGAGCGATGCTAAACAATGCCATTACTGGCACCCTGCCCTGCTACACTAAACTTGTTTTGATAGATTTATCAAACAATTAACACTTGGGGTCACAGAAAGTGAGTTAAAAATTTTCAAATTCAATTTCATTATATATCCACCTTGATATTTTCTTCCATATATATTTTAGAAAAAAAATTATTTGTTTATTAACTGTTCAAGAAAAGACAGTTTTGTGGGTGGCAGGGCCAGGGAAGGTCAGATAATATCTTCAAATTTCTTTGTTCTATAAAAAGAACTCATGTTTTTACATGTTGATTTTCAACACCAGCAAGCTAAAATTCATTTGAAAATTTCAAATTTAAAAATTCAGAATGCATCAGAAACTTGTTAATACTTATTTCCCCCAGATTAGTATTGCAATGTTTTTAAAGTCTTATTTATTTACCTTAAGAGCTAGTATTCTTAGAGGGTTTCTTCAATTAATGGTTAAGAATTCTTCTTTTCATTTCTCTGATGGCCAGTGATGATGAGCATTTTTTCATGTGTCTGTTGGCTGCATAAATGGCTTCTTTTGAGAAGTGTCTGTTCATATCCTTCACCCACTTTGTGATGGGTTTTTTTTTTTCTTGTAAATTTGTTTTGAGTTATTTGTAGATTCTGGATATTAGCCCTTTGTCAGATGAGTAGATGGCAAAAATTTTCTCCCATTCTGTAGGTTGCCTGTTCACTCTGATGGTAGTTTCTTTTGCTGTGCAGAAGCTCTTTAGTTTAATTAGATCCCATTTGCCAATTTTGGCTTTTGTTGCCATTGCTTTTGGTGTTTTAGGTATGAAGTCCTTGCCCATGCCTATGTCCTGAATGGTTATTGCCTAGGTTTTCTTCTAGGGTTTTTATGGTTTTAGGTCTAACATTTAAGTCTTTAATACAGTGTGGCGATTCCTCAGGGATCTAGAACTAGAAATACCATTTGACCCAGCCATGCCATTACTGGGTATGTACCCAAAGGATTATAAGTCATGTGGCTATAAAGACACATGCACACGTATGTCTATTGTGGCACTATTCACAATAGCAAAGACTTGGAACCAACCCAAATGTCCAAAAATGATAGACTGGATTAAGAAAATGTGGCACATATACACCATGGAATACTATGCAGCCATAAAAATGATGAGTTCATGTCCTTTGTAGGGACGTGGATGAAGCTGGAAAGCATCATTCTCAGCAAACTGTTGCAAGGACAAAAAAACAAACACCGCATGTTCTCACTCATAGGTGGGAAATGAACAATGAGAACACTTGGACACAGGAAGGGGAACATCACACACGGGGGCCTGTTGTGGGGTGGGGGGAGTGGGGAGGGATAGCATTAGGAGATATACCTAATGTTAAATGATGAGTTAATGGGTGCAGCACACCAACATGGCACATGTATACGTATGTAACAAACCTGCACGTTGTGCACATGTACTCTAGAACTTAAAGTATAATAATAATAAAAAAAGAATTCTTTTCACCTACTGAAAGGAAAATTGAGAGTTTGAACCTATAAACGATGTAGACCTTCACTGTATACTTTTCTTTCTCCTCATCATTTTTCTGTTTCCAAAATTAATGACTTTTAGGGTTTGTCTTTTCTCTGCTTGATGGGTAACTAAATGTGAACACTCTCAGGTCTAAAGTATGCAGTAAGGTGCAGTGGTGGGCTCTCCAGGGTCTGATAGCATTTTTAGAAACAAGAAAGAATTTCAAGGTAAGTAATTTTATTAATAATGTTTTCAGCCAGAAGATTTTAGTAAATTCTAGGCTGGGATTCAAGCAGAGCTATTAAAACCAATCAATATTCTATAGGGACTGAGTTATTGCTTTTCCCTTTGTATTGACCCCACCCACACATGAATTTCTGTGACACTTTATATGAAACATATTCATGCAATACACCTAGAGAAATGCCCATAGAATATTTATAGATGCACATTTATATTCTTTTACTCAAAATATGGATTGTACTATATTTAATATATAAATATATACAAAGAGACGTCATTCTGATATGTTATAAACCTTGCTTTTAGTTGTCAACATGAGCCCAGCTGAGTTTGAAGCTTTTTTTGCCCTTTAAGTCACACATGTGCTCATTGGGTATCTTCCCTTATTTCTGCATATGTGTGAATTTGGGGAAAGCTGTGTGTTTAGAAACACACAGAGTAGAGTGTAGAGAAAGGCCAAATCCAATTTTCTCAGAGCCCATTCTTTTTACCTGCTTTCTTTGGTTGCCAGAAGCCTCAAAGCTTCACAAATTAATGTGGTCCGCAGGTGGTATCTCTTGTGATGCACATCAGTGGAAGAGCTGAACCAATTTCCAGAACCTTCCACCTTTCACTAGGCTACGTGGTCACAATACTTTAAAATAATTTCATTTCATTTATCTTAATTGCTTGATTAATTAAGTCTCCTAGGATGGATCTAAGATAAACTTTACCTGCAGTGATTTCTGCCATATGTTAAGCCTTAGAAATAAATTCTGGTCTAGACTGGGACTTCTGGGATCATTTAGCATCCAAACTCTCCTTTGAGTAAATGGTGAGAAGTGGTGAATATTTTTACAATCCAAATAGAGACGTCTATTAATCCTAAAATGAAATAGTCAGATATAGGAAAAAATAATCAAATGCTTTAGATGTTAAGTGGGAATACAATTTAAATGTATCTTGAAAATTAAAGGAGGTTAAATGTAGTTATGGATGTTAGTTTTATTATATTTACTTGAAAATTAGTATTTTTCTGAATAACACATGGTTCCTCCAGTATTTAATGAACTAGTATTTACTAACTGCTGGAGACAGATGACTTAACGCAAACATTTAGGTAAATTATTTGTAACAGTCTTCCATTATCTCCATTTTAAAGACTTGAAGCTCAGATATATAAAATGACAAATCAGTGTCTCCTGGTTACACAGCAGTAGAGCTGGGTGGATCCAGAGGTTTCCTGACTCTGTCCAGTGCTCTATTCACCTTTCTACAGAAACTCCTAACAATACTGAAAGAGTAAAGTGAGTATTATGTTAAAGTTACAGGTTAAGTGTCATAGAAATATGGGGAATTAGTCACGTCTGAGAGAGGGGAAAAGCCTCATAGATATAAGGCTGAAAATATTAGACCCGGTCACTCATATATTTTGTTAAAGTGTTTGCATTTTGTTCATTAGGCCATTGGGAGCCATTAACAGATTTTTAAAGAAGCATAAGTCATGATTCAAGTGTGTATTAAGAGAATAACTTTAGCAGCTGTGAGAATTAAAGACTACAGCAGTGTTTGTTTTCCCAGCTTTTTGGATTTTTTCATAATATAACATATACTTTTTGTTTATAAGTCACATTGCTAGTGCCATAGTACTAAAGTTATGTATAAGATTACAACAAAGGGGAAAATAAAGATAAGATTCAACTCTTAATTCTTTTAAATTTTATTTTATTAACAGTAAAAAATACTTTTGCTTCCTAATATAAAGTTAAGATAGTAATACAATTTTACTACTATATAAAATTTATGTATGCTTACATTGAGAACAATGTGAATAAATATATTTCCTAAAAAGAAAACAACTCTGTAGTTTATTTACCCTTTGTGAAAAAGCTATATTATGTGCTTATCTTAGTTCAGTTTATTTTGATTCTTTAATCATATTACTTTCATAGTTGTTATAATATTTATTCAATATTCATGATTTTATTCAATTTTAGAATATTTCTTCACTTTCAAATCTTACCCTTCAATTATGCAAAGTTTTGTTTTAAAACTTAGGTAATTCCCATCTTTCCTGATGACAGACAGTAGTTACAAATTAATTGGAAGTTGTCAGATTTTTAATAAATCAGCTCTATATCTACTAATAGAATTTGCAAACACTTTTAACAGGTGAGCAAAATGTATTCCTGAGTTTTTAAATGTGTAGGTAAGAAGTTTTGTAGTTGCTGATATTAATATTGGGAGAAAATTACATAACCATATTGGATTTGATTAGTTCATCATGTTCTGCCCTAGAATGTGGCTGATTAAATGCATTGGTGTTGTGATTTTCTTGGCTTTTTAATGCTATCTTAAATTTAGTGTTTTATTTTACTATTTTGTTGCTGAAATCTTTTTTTAATTACTATTCTATGATGACCAGTTTGATTAAAATGAAATAATCAAAACCTGGCTTCAACTGCTTTGTAAGACAATATGCTGAAACTATCAATTATTCTACATTGTTGAATGTCCTCTTTGCCCTCAGGATTATTACCATATCAGAGGAAATGGCTGGCATACTGCCAAAGGAGTGGGCTAGCATTGACTTACATATTAATAATTACAGCTAATCTTCATTTACAACTTACTTTTTTCCAAGCACTGTTCTACCCTAACTAATCTTCACAGCAGCTCTGTGGAAAAAAGTACTATATTATCTGTCTATTATATACAAAGAAATAAATTATTTTTAATTTTATGTTCATTGAATTTTTGGAGTAAAAATAAATATAAATGGACTGTCTAATATTTCTTCCAATACTCAGGAGATTGACTTTACAGCTCCTAGGGCATCTGTACCTCACTTTAGAGATCTCTAGATGAGAGATGTGATGGAGGGAAGGAAGGAGATAGATTAGAAGGCCATGGCAGTAGGCAAATGAAAAACAATGACATCTTGTACTAGGGCAATGGAAGTGCAGTTATATAGAAGGTAGAATTCATAGAATTTATGACTCTTTAACATAAACTTCAGTTAACACAGAAGAAATATAGGCAGTAATAACACAAAAGGCATATTTCCAACACCCTCAGAATTAATTGAACATAAACTTTTGGTTGATTCCAAGCTATGTGTTACTGTTTCAACCTTTTCCAAGTCTAGTGATTCAATTTTCCCCTTACCAGTTTGTTATGAAGTTGGTCACTGAGTCAGTGCCTTCCTCAGCTGCCCTGGTAGTATCAGAGGACTGCAGAGAATGGCTGCCACTTTGTGTTTTGGTAAAATGATTTATCTTTCAGGAGACAGAAGGATTATGAGAAAAGCACTAGCTGTTCCGGTTGTTCTGTTTCATATATGGTAGTAGTTACATGGTCAGTGGTACATGGACATATTTTGAACCTACAGATCAACCTGTGATCACTCAGTGCCAGACTTCCCTATTCCAGTCGTATATTTAATGAATCTTTTGCCCCCAGCTTATTTTCCTTCTAATGTTTTTATTGTGTTTTTTAATACACAGAACTATAAAACTTTTGTAAAGAACTAGTAAAGTTTTGTTATTTTGCTTCAAAAGTTTTTTCTTTTTCCAAAATTATACAACTATTTACCCATAGTTTATTCCTCTTTGAAAAATGGTTTCAATTTTTACAATTACCACTTTAACCTCCTAGAGATCTTTGGCAAGTGTTGTGAAGGCTATTATTTTTTAATATTATTAACCAGTTATTTTAACTGGTTAGAATATTTATTTACTAGTCGTATTGATTTATAAAAATAAGTATTTTTATGTTTAATTCTATTTTCAGCATTCTCTTTTATTTCAGTGTGTATTATTTATGGTAAAATATTATATTTTAAAATACGAAAGTGCTAATATTTCCTTGCTCATTTCACCACAAAATTTCTCTTCATTTTGTCTATTTATTTTTCTAGGTAACTTAGAATTAACTCAATACATCCAAAAATTTTGTTTTGACTTGTATAGAAATTATTTTAGATAACTGTATAAATTAATGTTAGAGTGTCAACATTTTTGGAATATTGAGTGTTCTTACACTGAATGTAATTTGGTTCAATATTTATTCAAGTGTTTTTAAATCCCTTAGTAAAATATTGAACTTTTACTTTTCTAAGTTTCCTAAAATTCATGGTTTTTTGGTTTCTGAACACTTTATGTAATTTTTTTTAAAATTTTGTGTTTAATTTTAAAATTTGTTTTGTATGTAGTTCCTGATATATGGGTAAAAGTTTTATTTTATTTTTATATTTGGTATTCAGTCTTTGTAGAGAAAGGGTTTCCCTACGTTGCCCAGGCTGGCCTCAAGCAATCCTCTCACCTCAGCCTCCCCAAGTGCTGGAATTTACAGGCATGAGCCACTATGCCTGGCCACATTTTCTTATTAGGTCTACTGATTTTTATGTTGATTGTCTGGAATTATTTAAATAATTCTATTGTCTTAAAATGATCTTTTTATTTCTGACTTTTAATTTTTAAAACTCATTCTATTTTATTGCAGAAATAGTACCGGCAATGTATTCTTGAATTATTTTAGCTCCAGTATATATATAGTATGCCAAATTCTCAGTAGAAAATGAGATTCAGCTTTAATTATTGCAAAGGCCTGTGTGTTTTATCACCTTTTTAAGAGTTACAATGGCACATGAAAATCAAACTGTCATTAGCTGCTTTTTTTTTTTTTTTTTTTTTTAATCAAGGGCAGTGTGGACCTACTTATTTTGAATGTGTAGCTGCAGGCATCAATTCCCATATCCTCTTTATTTCTCAGAAGATTTTGCTTCCTTATGACCACTTTGTATGCTGCGATCCATTAAGAGACCTATAGTGGGAACTGTTTTTCTTTAGCTCACTTGTTTATTGACACTGTTTTAACTCTTTACTAGCCATATATATATATGGCTAGTATATATATATACAGTTAACCTCCTGGTAAGTATGGTTTGGAGAGTGCATGTTATTTTAATCTGATGATGCAAGGATCAGTAGATCTGGAAGATGTGTGAACCTAAAAATGTGGCATTAAATACATTTCTGTAATATTATTCCAATTTCTCATCCTTTCTTTGTAAAGTTGGAAATAAGAATTTTCAACTGGAGATAAACATGCTTTATAATGCTATGGAATCATAAATACACAATCAATGTGATTAAGTACAAACTTACTGGAGAAAATCAGGAATTGGCTAATGGGACACCCGGAGGGAGCACTGTTTATTCTGACCATGATGTCTGCTGGTGTATAACCCATAGGATTGGCGAGCATACTCAGAGGTCTGTCTATGAGAACTTTTCTTTGTCTCTTTGCATAGCCGAGCTTAAGAACTCAAACAGGTAAGATTCATTTTGATGATTAGCAGATCAGCATCAGGAGAAGCCAATGAAGAGGATTTTGGGAAGATGCCGGTCTATGAGCCATCTTGAAAAATATAGGAAGATAGGGATTAGAAGGAATTAGGACAAGGGTATATAGTATGGGCCCACAGGTTTCTGATCAGAGTTTTGATGTGACCTGTGGCCACAAGAAGCCTTTGCACATCTTTGGCCTTCTGTGACTCTGCTGTTCCTATAATCTAGGCTTCTTTGTTCTTTCTTCCATTTGCCCCAATTAGATTTAATATTGAGGATCATTCTGAGACTTTCGTGATGCTACCATTTTATTTGTCATCTTGAACAATTTGCACATGCCTCCAACATGGCAACTGTCATGTCGCCGTGTAATTATCTGTTAATCTGGCTCCTCCTTATGGCACTACATATGGTCAAGAATAATGCTGGAGTTCTGTTGGGGCTGCATTTAGGGATCAAGAGGTGAATTCAGGTAGAACTGTGACATAACCCCAAATTTGGGGGAAATGGCAGGCATACATTAAAAAGAGAGAGATTGACAGGAGAATAGAATAGGCCCTTTGGAGGGTATATGTTGGATATTAAGGACAAGACTGGAAATGATGTTATTTGTCCTGTTGCCTTTTATCCTCCAACATGATTTAAAGGGATAATTATATCTGAATCACCTAGTTCAGAATAGTTATCTTATTGAAAACAAGAAAAATAACTTACAGCGTCTCAAATTTACTCAATGATCAAAATAACCTGAAATGATTGTTAAATGTTCAGCTTACCAGGCCTCTTTGAAATTCTAGTTCAGAAACACAGTGTTGGTTGCCTAGGAATTTGTGCTTTGAATAAGCTGACTACTGATGAATCTGGTACATGCTAACATGTGAGAACCAGTGATAGAGGCTATAATCTTAAGAAAGCTAAGCAGTTTATTTCCTTCTTCCAATATGTATTCCCTGCTTTCTTTTTACGTTAGAAGAACCCACAGATGAAGGCACATTTATAAAGATTGTATGTGTGACTAGGTTTGGCCAGTGAGATATGTGGAACTGATGGGTACAAGTTCCTGGTGGTGTCCTTGTGAAGAAAGTCTGTGCTGCTTTTCCGACCCTGCCTTTATCTTGCTACATGGGATGTGGACATGGTGGGTGCACCATCATAAGCCATGCAAATAAGGACCAGACTGCAGATTTGAGGGAGCAGCAAGATTGAAGGAGCCGGAATCCCTGGACATTATCCCTTTCACATGAGAGAAGTACTTTTTACCTGGCCATTCAGATCTGTTATATATAATCCAGCTCATATCTTAAATAATGGAATACAATAAAAGAGTAAAATAGTTAAAAACATAGCTTAGTGAAATGTAAATTAATATATGAAGACAAAAAGAGGAAACAGAATCTTAAGTCACAAAGTTGTTTATAGTGGTTATCTCTTAGACATGCATTTGGTTTCAAGTTTCTAGAAAGTAGAAGTAAAAAGGGAAATATGATTAGATATACTTTCTCCAATATCACAAGGTAAAACTTTGCTTATCCTTTACCTCTAAAGTTTTTTTTCAAGTGTTGTTACATATGTGGGGCATTATTGAACAATGAGAACACATGGACACAGGAAGGGGAACATCACACACCGGGGCCTGTTGTGGGGTGGGGGGAGTGGGGAGGGATAGCATTAGGAGATATACCTAATGCTAAATGATGAGTAATGGGTGCAGCACACCAATATGGCACATGTATACATACGTAACTAACCTGCACGTTGTGCACATGTACCCTAAAACTTAAAGTATCATAAAAAAAAAAAAAAGAAAAAAAAGGTAGGCAGTGGGAAGAGAGCTCAATAATTACTTACAGCAATTGCATTAAGAGTTTCACAGTGTAGTTGCTGGCTGTGTCTCTTAATAACAATAATCAGGCCGGGCACTTTGGGAGGCCAAGGTGGGTTCAAGACCAGCCTGGACAACATGGTGAAACCCTGCCTCCACTAAAATTACAAAAATTAGCTAGGTGTGGTGGCAGATGCCTGTAATCCCAGCTACTCAGGAGGCTGAGGCATAAGATTTGCTTGAACCCAGGAGGCAGAGGTTGAAGTGAGCTGAGATTGTGCCACTGCACTCCAGCCTGGGTGACAGAGGGGAACTCTGTCTCGCTCACACAAAAAACAAACAAAAATAATCAATATTATTACTGTCCTGGAATCAATACGATATTGTGTAATCATGAAGAATTCCAATGCTTAATGCTCAGGATTAATTTAAGTATAAAATTAAGTATAAAGTTTAGCATTATCACAGCAGCGAATTTTATAGTTTTTAAGTATCAGAATCCCCTTTTCTTTTCAACTGAAATGTGTGGCCGACCCTGATATGTAAAACAACTCTCTTGATTTAGGTGGGAGTGATAGGCTCTGACATCTTTCAACTTGGCCTGCCCTTGTTCTTAAGGATCAGTAGATCTGGAAGATGTGTGAACCTAAAAATGTGAACTGTAGAACCCAAGAACTCAAGGTAGAAGTCCCTAATTTGAGGAATGAGTGTCTTGCATATTCTTCAAACCGTATGTCATAAATATCACTTTTTGTCAGTGGAACTTTGATAAGATTCAGACAGCTTGATCACTCAAGGCTGTATATATATATATGTATATATATATATATATATTTTTTTTTTTTTTTTGCAAAACCCCACATATTTATATAGATTATGAAGGCTCACAACAGCACGTTTCAAAAAAATTATGGAATCTTTAGATAATTTCTGGTGTATTTTGCTGATTTGTATAGAAATATGACTCTTGTTGCTTAGTGATTTAATTTAAAGTGATAATTTATTGACCAGAATAGATTGGTATAATCCTATCCTTCTGAATTAACTTAAGAACTTGAATTTACTCATTAAAAATTTTAAACATCTGCCAGCCTGGAAAAAACAGAGGCATATATGAAAATAAGTGCTGAAACAGTGAAAAGGAAAATGGAAAATTAATTCAGAGGATTTGGAATTGTTCTAAAGTAAAAGTCATTTTTTAGATGGAAACACTTATTGGAGCTAACAAGATTTTTAGGGAGTGATTTCTTGATTGATCCCAGATTTTGGAGGTGTTCATTCCAAATCTTTGTCTGAGGTATTTTTTTAAAACCATAGAAATAGAGTTGGTAGCTTAGTAACTAATACTGCTTTGGAGGTTAACATTTTCAAGCAGGGCACCTTTGTGTTCACAAGAAATACAGAACCTACCAAAAAAAATGCAGCTTGAAATACAAAGCAGACATTTTGGCTAGTTATATGGGGTTAATAAGGTTAATAGGGGATAAAGACGTGGATGGAATTTTGTCACTTAAGAGTTTGTTTCTGTTACAGTGAAAATAGTGTCATGTCACAGGACATGAGAAAGGCTACATTAGCAGAACTTATTTTGAAGGTTCCTAGATAATTGTTTTGTGCACAATCCTTAAACATAGTCTACTTTCTCAACTTTTGAGTCACAGAAAGTCACAAAAAACTGGTGGCTCACAGCTTAATCTAGTCTATTGATGTTTAATTTTTGTGTGTGTACATGTGTGTCTAGGAATGTGCAGAGTCAACACTTTTTTTTTTTTTAAACTGACTTTAAATGCTTTTTGCAGTAGCTTACACTGCCTCTTTGGTTCATCACTGGCCCCACTATTTCTACTCTCTTCACACTTTTGCCCATCTTACATGCATATTAATTGTCTTCACTCTGATGGTATTTATATCTACCAATTTGTAACCATATAGAATAATTCTTGCCTCTGGCATCTGAAGGGAAGCTGGGTTGCTATTCTCATTCTTTTTTTTTTTTAACTGCCTTTTTCTTTTTAATGAACAATTTTTTCAGCACTTTTAGGTAAATAAGAGAACAGAACATGCTTATAACACTCTTGCCATTCACAGCATTAAACAGAGTGGTCATGAAAACAAACAAAAACCAGCTAACTTTAGAAGATTTACGGATACTAAGATTAAAAAGCAAACAAACTTCTCAAATATTTAGATACAGATGCCTGAATAGAATAACTGATTTCCTGAACTGTATGTTTGTGTACACATTGAAAGTTTCAAGAGTATGGCTAGACATCATGTTCAGACCATCCAAGCAGACTCAGGAACTGGGTTCAAAAAACTTTGAGGAGCATCTTACTGTGAGGGTCTTTGGCTCAGAACTCAAACTTTTAGCAAAAAAGGCAGATCAAGTGCCATAACTAAAATAAGAGCAGTTAATTTTTTCTTCTCCCCTCAACCCAAATCTAGACTCATTTCATGTTGACTTTATCAAATGATTTGATGTTGAGGATTTGAATGAAGCAATGTTTATACTTGTACTTGATTTTTCTAAAATGTTGTTTAAGAATAATTATCCAGATTGAGGACTCCTAGGAATTTTATTCACCTTGTTTACCATCCTATGTACATGGTGGTTCTATTTTTCTCCAATTAAACTTTTATTTAAAAGGGTTTCTAGAAGAGATCTTTAAAATGCAAACATTGTAAGAAAGTTTTAAAACCACAGGACTTAAAATCTTCCTAACAACTAGTTTTAATGACTCACATTTGCCAATTTTGTTACTTTTAAACATTTTAAATTTTGTGGTGGTTTTTATGATAATGTTACTCTCATTCTTTTGACTCTTTCTAGACGTGAGTAGTCTCATTACTCAGTGGGTTTAAGGCAATGGTGTGTTGGAGCAACTCCTAGCAATCCACTGTACTTTCCAATTTCTTTCTAATCCATGATCAGGGACCCTTCAGTTGGTAGCTTGAAATCAGCCCTGGCGATATTTACACAATAGAAATCTGCAACTGCTACAAATGGTCTTGGGGAAGGGAGGTGAGTTAGTTGTTAAATATTTACCAAGATACCAGTGGTTGGAGAATATACCTGAGTGCTACAAAGTCTTATCTTAAAAGGATAGTAATTAACTCTTTGCTTTCATAGTAAACATTCATTTGGTACATTTAGCTTGCCAGGCATAGAGAGTGATTTTCTCCTGAAAGTAAATATTTACTGGGCTGAGCACTATAAGAATGGAAATGGGGTGAAGATGCCAAGTGCTAGAATTAAGATTATAGGTTCTGAGTTGAGACTTCTAGCGGATGAGCCCCAACTGTCCCAGTGGTTCTCACTGTGTATCTTTGGGAAAGTTGCTTAAACCCACTAAGCCTCAGTTTCCTCCTATGTAATAGGGATTAAAACAAAATGTTTCCCATGGGTTTGCTTTGAGCACAGCGGCTGGCACATAGTAAACCCTCAATAAATGCTAATATTATAATTGCATTACCTACTAAATGTTTTTCCACATAATTTTATGAAATTATAAAACAGCACCATCATGCAGATAGAACAATTTTCATATTTTGGATGAGGAAACTAAGGCTCAGAGAGGTCAAACAGCATCTCCATGATTGCACAAATGTTATGTGGCAGAGATAGACTTTTTCTTTTTAAATCTAGGTCCACTAGGTTCTACAGCATTGGCAAATCTTTAGAAGGCTTAGAATTTTCTCTTTTTAGTTATGGAATAATTGCCATAAACAACAATGTAGGCTTAGGTTTGGCTGTAAGTACCAGAGGCAAAAAACCGTGTCTAACATAAATTGTTGCTGCAGAACAAATCACCCCCAAACTAAGTGACATGCAGCAATCAAGCGTTTATCATGCTCACAGGTCAACTGGAGTGATTCAAACCAAGACTGAAGGTCTGTGGGTCAGCTGGGGTGATTCTTCCTAAATTGCAGATTTGAAGGAGAGCTTCAAATCCACTTATTACCCATTCTTCAGGAATCAATAGGCTACTAGGCTAAATTTTTTCTTGTGGCAATGACAGTAGCGTAAGAGGACAAGCTCAGCTATAAAATACAAACACACTTCAAGCTTTTGCTTGTGTATTATCTGCTGGCATTCAGTTGGTCAGGGCCAAAGTCAAGGGATAGCGAAGTGTACTGTGCTTTTTGTTGGAGTAACTGTAAAGACACATAGCTGGCAGGATATGAGGAAGGGTGAGGAATTGAGGGCAATATTCAGTCTATTACATTATGGAATAGTGGCTTTAAAATGTAGGAATTTATTTTTCTTTCATATGAAGATCTGGGGGTACTGGATCCAGGATTGTATGACAGCTCTTCTCCATGAAGCTTTGAAGAGTTGAGATTCCTATTTTATATATCATTGCTATGCCTAGCCTGGCCTCCATTGCTAAGATTAGGAGTTAATGAAATATTTCTATAAATGGCCAAATAGCAAGTATTTTACATTTTGTGAGCCATATGGTTTCTGTTGGAACTATTGAACTCTGCCACTATAGTATGAAAACAGCCATAAACAGTAAGATGAATGAATGTGGCTGTGTTCTAATAAATTTTTTATGGACATTGATGATTTGAATTTTGTATTATTTTGATGTGTCATAAAATATTCCTTTTTTGATTTTTTTTTCGCATCTAGAAAATGTAAAACTCATTTTCTTCCTGTCAGCTATATAAAAACCGTCAGTTGGTTGAATTGTTCCATGGGCTATAGCTTGCTGACTCCTGCCCAAGATATCTCAAGGATCAAATGATTGCTAAGTCATCACAGCTGTATTAGTCAGCAGGCAGGAGGAAGGGATGAAAAAACAGGGGGAAAAGGGCATATTACATGCTGGTTGGATTTTTAAGAAAAACTGCGAAAAGCTGCCACATGGCATTCCCACTTATATCTCATTGGCTAAACTTAGTGACATGGTCACACCTAGCTGCAAGGGAAGCTGGGATAAGTAGTAGACTTTACTGTGATCAGTTAAACTCCCTGGTTAAAAATTGTGAGTTCTCTCTCTGTAAAGAAAAGGTAAAACAAATGCTATGGGACAACCAGCAGGCTCTGGCATCCAGTGTACAGAGTTTAGGGGTGAAGGGGCAGAAGAACTGAGTTCACTAACTACATCATTGGACATGAATAAATGTGTCACTAAATTATCTTTTTGTCATAGAAAATAGATACAATGCCTACTTTGAGAACAGTATCCTATAAGCCTCCTCCTTGAGAGAAAAACAAAAATCAGAAACATTTTTTTTATAAATGGGAAACTTAAAGTAAACATGAAACAAATTATTTAACGCAAGTTTTTTCTTCTAGTTCTGTACATAAAGGCCCTATTCTGTGTGTCTACATAAACTGAATTTTTCATGCAATGAACATATCCCTTTAATTGTCAGACTTCTTAATCGTGTTTTGTAACTATCCACAATTATCTAAGCCATATTCTTAAACCTTGACTCTCATCTAAACTTGTCTGGATGTTGAAGTTGGTGAAACATGTGTCAGATAACCATAGTTAGTTATAAAACATGGCTCATTTAAGAAATGGTAATTGTTCATAAAGTTTGCCTCTTATCAGTCACTTCAAATATAAGCAAAAGTGAAATTACTGTGAGTTAAAAAAAAACCCAGTAACTTGACAATTTTTTCTTTCCTAGGACAAAGCCCTAATATTTTGCAATATCAGAAGCATTTAGTGCCCAGCATTCAAATGCCTCAGCCCAATATAATAACAATCCCAACTTAGGGGCCAGGTCTGTGTACAGGGAGCACCTGCCTCAAGTGCCTCTCATCCATCATTCTACTCTTCTGCCTCAGGGCTCTCTCCAGAGCTGTAGACCACAGTTTCATGCTGGTGCAGCCCACAGTGCAAGGGCAAACCCTCAAATAATGGTAAACAGGAATTAGTGGATAAGTGTTCCACCCTCCTAGATTTGGATGAAATATTCTGGGTTTTTTTTCTGTACTGATTTGAGAGTACAAAACATTTGAACTGCTGCTGCTGATGATAGTGACCCCAAGGATTCATTTGTTTTCTCCTACCTTGTCTCATTGTCCCTGCCTCCTCACTCTTGCTTCCTGGTATTATTCCCAGAAAAACTACATTTGCATTTCTAACAATTTCTTTTTTTAGGCAGAGACAGGAGTTTTATTATTACTCAAATCAGTCTCCCTGAGCATTTGGGGATCACAATTTTTAAGGACAACTTGGTGGAAGGTGGGGAAGCCGGTGAACTGAGAGTGCTGATTGGTCAGGTCAGAGATGAAATCATAGAGTCTTCTTGCACCAAGTCAGTTCCTGGGTGGGGACCATAAAAGCGGATGAGCCAGTTTATCAATCTGGGTGGTGCCAGTTGATCCATCAAATGCAGGGTCTGCAAAATGTCTCAAGCACTGGTCTTAGGTTTTACAATAGTGAATTTTATCCCCAGGAGCAATTTGGGGAGGGTCAGAATCTTGCAGCCTCTAGCTGCATGACTCCTAAACCATAATTTCTAAACTTTTGGCTAATTTGTTAGTCCTACAAAGGCAGTTGAGTCCAGGGTTTGTTTTGGGAAAGGGCTGTTATCGTCTTTGTTCTAAACTATAAACTAAGTTTCTCCCAAAGTTAGTTCAGCCTACGCCTAAGCATGAACAAGGACAGCTTGGAGGTTAGAAACAAGATGGAGTTGGTTAGGTCAGATCTCTTCCACTGTCTCAGTTATAATTTTGCCATGGCAGTTCAATCCCTTCCTTTGGGTTTTATACCACCCTAAATGTGCCTGATCTCATCTGCATTTCTAACCAATTTCTAGGTGATGTTTATTCTGTTGGTTCAGGGACCACACTCTAAGAACCACTGTAATAGTGTGCTTTAAGATTCAAGCAACACCTTGATGGGAATGGGATAGAATACCTAGGGACATGGTGGGACACAGGTTTATAAGCAACCCTCAGAAGGGAGTAACCTAAGGAGAAAATAAAAGGAGCATGAGTATTGTCTATTAAAGTAAGAAATAGAGACCCAAGATCCAGAACATCAATGTAAGCCTGAGCAGGCTAGTCAATGATTAAAGAACACAGATAGTGTAAACTCACATGGAGCCAATCGGTAACTAGATGCAGGGTCACACCTCAAGCCATAAGAAAACAAAAGCCATGATCAGGAAACCCACTGATAGACAGTGCAGGATTGAAGTCCAAGAGGTGTCTTTGTCTGTGTAACAGCTGGAACCCTAAAAATCAATGAGATGTGAGGGGCGCAGACCAATGCTACAATATCCAGATGTGGCTGGAATTAAATTATTACAGTGGCTTCTATTAGGTGCCTTCTTTTCTTCCTCCATTCCTCTCTGCCTTCCTTCCTTTCTTCAACAAATACTTGACATACTACTTGTTACTTGAGACTCCTGTGGATATTCAGAGAATTAATTTAACCTGATCCTCATATGTGTACTTCCTCACTTATCCCAATAGTCAGCATTCATTCACTTATTCATTAATTCATGGATATTGACTGAGTGCCTCCTAGGCAGCTGCCCTTGTTGAAGGCTAGAAATGCAGTCTCAGGGCTGAGGTGAGCTCAAGTCTCTTGAGGGTTTATGTTACTGTACAGGTTATAGTATGTGAAGTTGTCAAACTCTTCATCACGGTGTGTCAGGGTTTATCAGGCATCCCCCAAGATGTTTCACTAATACTGCTCTTAAACCGTCTCTTTCTTTCTCATAGCATTGACCTAGTTGCTGTGAATATTTTTCTTTTTAAATTGACAAATGAAGAGTACTGAGTTGATAAGTGTTAGAGTTAAAATGAAGTTAAAGTCTAGATTATTTTGTCTCAGGTAGCATTAGTTTTGACCTCCAAGCTTGCTACTTAGTTTGGCATTGTGATGGGACTGAGCCTCCTAGCCCCAATTTTCTCATCCATTGAAACAGGCTTGAATATCTCCCTATGGGGTTGTTTTAAGAATAAAATGAGGTGATGCATATAAAGTGTTTAGCAGAGCACCTAACACAAAGTACAGAACACTCAGATGAATGTCAGTTAATAGGAATTTGTATGGTCTCACATCAGAAATCCAGAACTGGAAGGCCCAGACTTTCAGTTCTCAGTCTGCTGGCTCTGTGTGTTGTCTTTCATCCCCAGCATGTTTGTTCCTTGTTGCAAGATGACTACTGCTGCTCAAGAACAGGACTCATGGAAAGACAAAAAGGGAGGGGATACTGAGTGAGAGGAACATCCTTGTGGATCTTGCTTTTTAAATCAGGGAGTGAAAATTGTTACCCAGAACATCTCTATGGAATCCCTTTTTGGCTCCTCTACTGGCAAATGAAGCTGGTAAATTGGACAGCTAGCATTATCAGATTGTCATGGGGAAGGTGACTAGTAGAACGGGGGAAGGAAATGGCATTTGCTTAGCAACACACAGTATTTGCCACATATGCTGAAAGACAAATAGATTTTTTTTCCTTTTAGATTTCCTGAGGGGGAATATTTAATTAAAGTGTTTAAAGTGCCTCTCTCTCTTTTCCTCATTTGTTTCAATGCCTCTACACATGCATCATTTAGCCAGTGGAAAATACAATACCCGGTGGGCTTACTGTGCACACAACATTATAGGAAATTCAGTACAAACACAGAGGTTTCTAATAGGGACACTATACTATTAAGACCATGTATCCTTCTGAAAGTAATTTTTTCTTTCCCTCTTGTTTTATTCTTTTGATACTGTCTGGTTTCCCTTTCATTAGTGCAAACTCTATATAATAAGGTCAGCATTTATGTGCAAAGCATGGTGCTGGACAACTTGGGGGAGACTCAGAAGAAAAAGGAGACACCATTACAGCCTTAATAAATTTAGCATATAGTGGAAATGAAGAAAGGAGGGACAAAACAGGCAGTCAGGGTAGCATGCACAAGGAAGATGAAAGGTTATGGGTAGTAAATCAAGTACAGACTCAAGCCATGGCCCAGACATCTTCCTCATCCCTAGGATGCCAGGGTTCAGACAAAGGAATGTGCTAGTGGCAATGGCCTGTATACCGTTTTCTTAATTTCATTCCCTGCCATCAACCCAACTCCTCAGCAAATTGAGGTAGATATAGAGGCAGCACAAGAATGTTCATGCCATTGAAAATGTTGTTTTTTGACTAAAAAATAGCGAAGTAAACTTTCAAGCTCTGGGCCTGGTGTTTTATTTACCTTCTCAGGTTTTGTTGGGACATAATAGGTGTTTATTATATTAAATCATGAATAGAAGACTGGATCTGATCCCATGTTCACTGAATCAGATCATGTTCTTAAATATTACTCATATTACAAAGATTGTGTTTCCAGGGGAACCATACAACACTTTAACATGGGGGGAAAAGAGAAAAAGGGCAGAAAAAAGAAAAATGGAGACTAATAACTTAGTGGATAGGAAAATGTAAAACAATCCTCGAAATGGAAAGATTCAAAATCATAAATAGGATATCTTGATTTTTTAAAATCTTCAGCCTCCTGGTCCACATCCCAGTTTGCCACGTATTCTGCATGTTAGACGTGACTACTATGTGTAGTGACTCTTTTCAAAACTGTATTATTTAAAGCTACTTCTGTTGCTCATTCTGAGTTTGCAGCTGATAGAGATTATTGTATAGTGGTCAGACCATAGCTGCTGTCATGAATCCCACAATGAATAAAATACCACTAGTATGTCTAAAACCAATTTTTTTGGGAGGGAGATGGTAAAAAAAAAATATGGACCAAAATATTTAATCGAATTACCTGCCAATTTTTAAATTTTAATTTACAAAGTTTTCATGGAAAATAAGTCTTTTTTTTAAAGTTACAAAACATTTGTTTGCATTTATTCATAAAATTACATACAATCTTTTCTGTACATTATATGTAAGGAGTAGATCTAAGCCTCCTTTATTTTTAGAAGATTGTGGGCATTAACATTTATGCATAGCTTGATTTTTTTTTTTTTTTTTTTTTTTTTTTTTTTTTTTTTTTGAGATGGAGTCTCGCTCTGTCACCAGGCTAGAGTGCAGTGGCACAATCTCGGCTCACTGCAACCTCTGCCTCCCGGGTTCAAGCGATTCTACTGCCTCAGCCTCCCAAGTAGATGGGACTACAGGCACTCACCACCATGCCCAGCTGATTTTTGTATTTTTAGTAGAGACAGGGTTTCACCATGTTGACCAGGATGGTCTCGATCTCCTGACCTTGTGATCTGCCCGCCTTGGCCTCCCTAAGTGCTGGGATTACAGGCGTGAGCCACCTTTCCTGGCCAGATTGATGTTTTTGTGTTATTTTTAATAATGGATAGTCTTGAACCCTTTGGCATTTTAGAATGAAAGGTATAGTTTCAAGGTCTATAGGAAAATACTAGGTTTTCATCATTGCTTTATTTTGGTAAGACTACCTGTTTGGTCCTATGGTATCAACAGTACAGTACCCAGTTTCCATGGTAATTGAACATCAGTTTATTTCTGCAAAATCTAGGTTATTTAGTCTTAAGTGAGACCATCTGTGGGACATAAGCTGTCTAGTTCATGTGGGGCTACATCAAGCCCAGTCCAGTTCCTTGTTAGTCTTTTCTAATAAAGAAAGAAATTTCTTAAGATACAAACTCAGCCAGGGCTTCCTTGGTACAATGTAAAGCCCCTGGCATGGAGTGGGTACTCAGGAAATAGCTGCTGTATTAAGGAAACATGGCCAAAGAAGGATTAGAATCTAAGTCCTTAGGATAAATTCAGAATTAGCATTCCTTTTGATGAAAAATTCATCTAAAAAATGTGTTTAATTGAGTACATTTTCTAGGCATTAACATGCTTTTATAAACAAATCCATCACTAGGAACCTTCCACATGAATCAAGCAATTCTAATAAATAATGCTTGAAATTCATATGGGCTTAATAAATAATGGAAAAATTCACTTTAGCTTTTGCCAAATTTCAAATATTGGCAAAAAAAGTTGCAGAACATTTGATCAACAATCTAGATATTTCCACATGTAACAAACTACAAACATGATATAAATATGTAATGAATATATTTAGAAATTATGATAATTGTTTGTACATAGTCTATCCATAGCTTTTGTTTATATGTCACAGAAACTTTTCTGTGAAGTATGGTTCATATATTTTGAATTCGTTTTTCTCCCATGTACAGTAGGCAAAAAAATATTTGTTTGTGGTATGTCTCATTGCCTTGTACTTTTTAAAACTGTTTTCAGATGTCAATCTGTGTAATGTGATAACTCACCATAAGGATTTCATGAAATGTTTTTAGTTCTTTTAGAAGACCAAAGCAGATTTATAAAAATAAATATTTGTTAAAAACAGTGTTCTCTGTGAAAAATTTAATGGTTAAAAAATAGAGAAAAACAGAGCCTTAATCAATGTATTACCTCCCCTGAAGATGTTGAAATTCAGTGAAAGAATATAATCCAGGTTTGAGATGTCAATCTGGTCCAACTATTGTGTACTCTCTATATAAATCCCACACCAGTATCTCTTGAAAGTAATTTTCCAGACTTTATACGGATATTTCCAGAGACAAAGAACAAAGTACTTTATTCCATTTGGGACAACTATAATTTCATAGAGCTCATTCTTATAATGTGAGTCAAAAACTGCCTCTCTGACTCTTCTTAGCATTCGTTGACTCTTGTGTTCTCTAAATCATTTAGAAATGAGGTTTCTTTCTTACAAGACAGTTCTTTAAACGTCTTGAGAAAACTATCATATTTTTAATGGCTTCCCTTTAGAATTTAATATTCTTTTATTTTTTTCCTTTTTTTTCCTCTTCCTTTTCTCTCTCCTTTCCTCTCTTTCTCCTTTCTTCCATTTCTACCAGATTTTCATGGTAGGCGGGGATTGACATGATCCCCTTTCTACAAGGAATCATGGTAATTCCTTTAGTAGCCAGTTAAATAGAGTGCTGTGAGGGCTCACAAAATGAGCAGAAGTCATGTGAGGCTTCACAGCAGGATGGCACCAAGTTGTAGAGAATGAGTGGTAGGAAAAACCTGGCCAGCTGGGAGCTGTCTTTGGGGAATGTCTTTCTAAGCAGAGAAAATAACATTCCTGGCCCTGAAGGAACCCTTTTACTCCTCAAGGAACTTCATTTATATTGTTTCTTCCATCCTGGTTGCTCCCTTCATATCTGTCCCAGTCTGGCTACACTTTAGGACTGTTGATAGGTAGGTTAAAAAAATTAACCTAAAAAAATTAACTATTTCAGCAACAAACAGTACACCTTATTTCTACACATGTTTAGGTGCAAGAAAGACAGTGTACTAAGTTGGGTTTTAAGAGAGTGTTCATTGTTAGGAAGTGAGTTAGGACATTGGAAATTAGGGAGGGAGAAAATGTAGTGGCAGTCAGGCAGAAAATAAAGACACTAAGTGGAAAAAGAGGGATTAACGGTCATTAAAAAATGAAAAGTATGAAAGAAAATGAATAGGATGCTTCCTGTATGGATGAACTTAAAGTGTGTTATAATCACGGCTTTGAGTATTAACATAGTTGTAAATGTGGAAATCCCTTGTCAATGTTGTGATTATTTTCAGTATTCTAAACTACTGTGTCCACCTATGTGAAGGAAAAAAGAGATGTTTTCCTCATGAATTCTTCACATTAAAATACATTCAATATTCTAACCCATCGCAAGGAAGCTAAAAACCTTGAAAAAAGGTTAGATGAATGGTTAACTGAATAAACATTATAGAGAAGATCTTAAATGACTAGATGGAGCTAAAAACCATGGCATGAGAACTTCGTGATGCATACACAAGCTTCAATAGCCGATTCAATCAAGTGGAAGAGAGGATATCAGTGATTGAAGATCAAATTAATGAAATAAAGCAAGAAGACAAGATTAGAAACAAAAGAGTAAAAAGACACACACAAAGCCTCCAAGAAATATGAGACTATGTGAAAAGACCAAATCTATGTTTGATTGGTGTACCTGACAGTGACAGAGAGGATGGAACCAAGTTGGAAAACACTCTTCAGGATATTATCCAGGAGAACTTCCCCAACCTAGCAAGGCAGGCAAACATTCAAATTCAGGAAATACAGAGAACACCACAAACAAACCTCGAGAAGAGCAACCCCAAGACACATAACTGTCAGATTCACCAAGGTTGAAATGAAGGAAAAAATCTTAAGGGCAGCCAGAGAGAAAGGTCAGTTTACCCACAAAGGAAGCCCATCAGACTAACAGTGGCTCTCTTGGCAGAAATCCCACAAACCAGAAGAGAGTGGGGGCCAATTTTCAACATTCTTAAAGAAAAGAATTTTCAACCCAGAATTTCATATCCAGCCAAACTAAGCTTCATAAGTGAAGGAGAAATAAAATCCTTTACAGACAAGCAAATGCTGAGAGATTTTGTCACCACCAGGCCTGCCTTACAAGAGCTCCTGAAGGAAGCACAAAACCTGGAAAGGAACAACTGGTATGAGCCACTGCAAAAACTTGCCAAATTGTAAACACCATCAATGCTATGAAGAAACTGCATCAATTAATGGGCAAAATAACCAGCTAACATCATAATGACAGGATCAAATTCACACATAACAATATTAAACTTAAATGTAAATGGGCTAAATGCCCCAATTAAAAGACTGGCAAATTGGATAAAGAGTCAAGACCCATCAGTGTGCTGTAATCAGGAGACCAAGCTCACATGCAGAGACAAACACAGGCTCAAAATAAAGGGATAGAGAAAGATCTACCAAGCAAATGGAAAGCAAAAAAATCAGGGGTTTCCATCCTAGTCTCTGATAAAACAGACTTTAAACCAACCAAAGTCAAAAGAGACAAAGAAGGCCATTACATAATGGTAAAGGGATCAATTCAACAAGAAGAGCTAACTATCCTAAATATATATGCACCCAATACAGGAACACCCAGATTCATAAAGCAAATCCTTAGAAACCTACAAAGAGACTTAGACTCCCACACAATAATAATAGAAAACTTTAACACCCCACTGTCAATATTAGACAGATCAATGAGATGGAAGGTTAACAAGAATATCCAGGACTTGAACTCAGCTCTGCATTAAGTGGACCTAATAGATGTCTACAGAACTCTTCACCCCAAATCAACAGAATATACATTCCTCTTAGCACCACATCTAACTTATTCTAAAATTGACCACATAATTGGAAGTAAACCACTCCTCAGCAAATTTAAAAGAACAGAAATCACAACAAACGGTCTCTCAGACCACAGTGCAATCAAATTAGAAGTCAGGATTAAGAAACTTACTCAAAACTGCACAACTACATGGAACCTGAATAACCTGCTCCTGAATGACTACTGGGTACATAACTAAAGGAAGACAGAAATAAAGATGTTCTTTGAAACCAATGAGAACAAAGACACAACATACCAGAATCTCTGGGACACATTTAAAGCAGTGTGTAGAGGGAAATTTATAGCACTAAATGCCCACAAGAGAAAGCAGGAAAGATGTAAAATCGACATGCTAACATCACAATGAAAAGAACTAGAGAAGCAACAGCAAACACATTCTAGCAGAAGGCAAGAGACAACTAAGATCAGAGCAGAACTGAAAGAGATAGAAACACAAAAAACCATCAAAAAATCAATGAGTACAGGAGCTGGTTTTTTGAAAAGATCAGCAAAATTGATAGACCACTAGCAAGACTAATAAAGAGGAAAAGAGAGAAGAATCAAATAGACACAATAAAAAATGATAAAGGGGATATCACCAATGATCCCACAGACATACAAACTACCATCAGAGAATAGTATAAACACCTCTATGCAAATAAACTAGAAAACCTAGAAGAAATGGATAAATTCCTGGACACATAACCCTCCCAAGACTAAACCAGGAAGAAGTTTAGTCTCTGAATAGACCAATAACAGGCTCTAAAATTGAGGCAGTAATTAATAGCCTACCTGTCAAAAAAAGTCCAGGACCAGATGTATTCACAGCTGAATTCTACCAGAGGTACAAAGAGGAGTTGATACCATTCCTTCTGAAACTATTCCAGTCAATAGAAAAAGAGGGAATCCTCCCTAACTCATTTTAGGAGGCCGCCATCATCCTGATACCAAAGCCTGGAAGAGAAACGACAAGAAAAGAAAATTTTAGACCAATATCCCTGGTGAACATCAACGCAAAAATCCTCAATAAAATACTGGCCGACTGAATCCAGCAGCACATCAAAAAGCTTATTCACCATGATCAAGTGGGCTTCATCCCTGGAATGCAAGGCTGGTTCAACATACACAAATCAATAAACATAATCCATCACATAAACAGAATCAATGACAAAAACCATATGATTATCTCCATAGATGCAGAAAAGACCTTCAACAAAATTCAACAGCTCTTCATGCTAAAAACTCTCAATAAACTAGGTATTGATGAAATGTATCTCAAAATAATAAGAGCTATTTATGACAAACCCACAGCCAATATCATACCAAATGGGCAAAAACTGGAAGCATTCTCTTTGAAAACTGGCATAAGACAAGGATGCCCTCTGTCACCACTCCTATTCAACACCGTGTTGGAAGTTCTGGCCAGGGCAATCAGGCAAGAGAAAGAAATAAAGGGTATTCAATTAGAAAAAGAGGGAGTCACATTGTCCCTGTTTGCAGATGACATGATTGTATATTTAGAAAACCCCATTGTCTCAGCCCAAAATCTCCTTAAGCTGATAAGCAACTTCAGCAAAGTCTCAGGATACAAAATCAATGTGCAAAAATCACAAGCATTCCTATACACCAATAACAGACAAACAGAGAGCCAAATCATGAGTGAACTCCCATTCACAATTGCTTCAAAGAGAATAAAATACCTAGGAATCCAACTTACAAGGCATGTGAAGGACCTCTTCAAGGAGAACTACAAACCACTGCTCAACAAAATAAAAAAGGACACAAACAAATTGAAGAACATTCCATGCTCATGGATAGGAAGAATCAATATCGTGAAAGTGGCCATACTGCCCAAGGTAATTTATAGATTCAATACCGTCCCCATCAAGCTACCAAAGACTTTCTTCACAGAATTGGAAAAAAACTACTTTAACATTCATATGGAACCAAAAAAGAGCCTGCATAGCAAAGACAATCCTAAGCAAAAAGAACAAAGCTGGAGGCATCATGCTACCTGACTTCAAACTATACTACAAGGCTACAGTAACCAAAACATCATGGTACTGGTACCCAAACAGATATATAGACCAGTGGAACAGAACAGAGGCCTCAGAAACCACACATCTACAACCATCTGATCTTTGACAAACCTGAGAAAAACACGCAGTAGGGAAAGGATTCCCTATTTAATAAATGGTGCTGGGAAAACTGGCTAGCCATATGTAGAAAGCTGAAACTGGATCCCTTCCTTACACCTTATACAAAAATTAATTCAAAATGGATTAAAGACTTAAATGTAAGACCTAAAATTATAAAAACCCTAGAAGAAAACCTAGGCAATACCATTCAGGACATAGGCATCGGCAAAGACTTCATGTCTAAAACACCAAAAGCAATGGCAACAAAAGCCAAAATAGAAAAATGGGATCTAATTAAACTAAAGAGCTCCTGCACAGCAAAAGAAACTACCATCAGAGTGAACAGGCAACCTACAGAATGGGAGAAAATTTTTGTAATCTACCCATCTGACAAAGGGCTAATATCCAGAATCTACAAAGAACTTAAACAAATTTACAAGAAAAAAACAACCCCATCAAAAAGTGGGCAAAGGATATGAACAGACACTTCTCAAAATAAGACATTTATGCAGCCAACAGACACATGAAAAAACGCTCATCATCACTGGTCATCTGAGAAATGCAAATCAAAATCACAATGAGATACCATCTCATGTCAGTTAGAATGGCAATCATTAAAAAGTCAGGAAACAACAGATGCTGGAGAGGACGTGGAGAAATAGGAATGCTTTTACACTGTTGCTGAGAGTGTAAATTAGTTCCACTGTTGTGGAATACAATGTGGCGTTTCCTCAAGGATCCAGAACTAGAAATAACAATTGACCCAGCCATCCCATTACTGGGTATACACCCAAAGGATTATAAATCATGCTGCTATAAAGACACATGCACACATATGTTTATTGTGGCACTACTCACAATAGCAAAGAGTTGGAACCAACCCAAATGTCCAACAATGATAGACTGGATTAAGAAAATGTGGCACATATATACCATGGAATACTATGCAGCCATAAAAAATGATGAGTTCATGTCCTTTGTAGGGAAATGGATGAAGCTGGAAACCATCATTCTCAGCAAACTATTGCAAAGACAAAAAACCAAACACTGCATGTTCTCACCCATAGGTGGGAATTGAACAATGAGAACACATTGACACAGGAAGGGGAACATCACACACCGCGGCCTGTTGTGGGGTGGGGGGAGAGGGGAGGGATAGCATTAGGAGATATACCTAATGTTAAATGACGAGTTAATGGGTGCAGCACACCAACATGGCGCGTGTATACATATGTAACTAACCTGCATGTTGTGCACGTATATCCTAGAACTTAAAGTATAATAAAAAAAAATTCACATTGGTACATTTCACATCTTTATGGCCCTTGTTTTTTCTTTTTCTCAATACTCTGTGATTTCCTAATTTAGTCTGTATATTTAGAATACACGTGATTCAATGGAATCAGTACTTTTTAAAAAATTACCATCAACCCATTATTTGAGAATTTTTAAAAAATTTTACACAATTCTGAATCGTACTATTTGAAAGGAAAATTCCCAGTGGAAATGTATTTTCTGTTAAGCAAATAAAATTTTATTCTCTTTCTTGGGATAGTTTTCTTAAAAGCATAAAATTGTTTTCCGCAGTTATGGAAGTATATGAATAAGAGCATGTTTTATCTTCTCAGTTATTGAGCACAGCTCTAATTTCACCCAGTTTTAAATGAATGATGTAGCTCCTGAGTAATATGCTGGTTGTGGTCCCATTTAACTCCAATGCTTGTGATGTCTACAGTCTTTTTCCAGATCCCAATCCTGCTCTTTCTTCAAGGTCCAGCCTTCTGGACCTTTTGTTTCAGTTTCCTTTCGTATTTCTGTTTCAGTTTCCTTTCTTATTTCTTGGCCATTATCATACCTGTCAAGTTCACTGTTTGTTTTCCATTTCATTAGGTTCCTTTTCATACTTAGGGTCTCTGTTTGCATACCAGCATGTTTGTGTGTATTAGGAAAAGACATCCTTCCTCAAGCAGACAAATTGCTAATAGATGCTACCAGTGACTGGGAAAATTAGCAGAAGTCTCTTCATCTCGGGAGAAGCCACTATAAGTAGAGCTTGCCTAGATTTCAGCCCCCACTTGCCTTTTGGCTGGGTATCCACGTGAACAACTGCACTATTATGTACAGTTTTTTTCCACTCATCAAATTTATCACACATATGACTAGTAATGGGAACTTAATAAATAGTTGCATTTATTTCAATCTTTGTTAAATTAGGAGGAACTTTTTTAATCATAAAAAGAATAATGCCATAAATCTTTTTTTCCCCAAAGTAAAAGATCATCCTGATGATATAATGTTTATATTTCTGGCCAAATAAGAGCAGGAAAGCACAGGAGAAGGGAGGCAGAAATTAGACAATTTAGTGAATAGGGTTGTCATTGAAACTGTGGTCACGATGGGACCAATTTTCAATGGATTTTTGGCCCAAGCAGGTTGTGAAGTAAGGGTCTAATTTTTTCAAAAGCTGTTCTCATGCTCACACAAGCTTGTTTTAATACATCTCATTTAACTTCATGTTTTTCTTGGATGCTATATCAAAGTTGTTACATTTTCACACAATGGTGTAGTGCCAAGATGCGATTCTACGCATGGATCATGTGGTGTGTGCTTTCCCTGGAGCAACTGCATGATCCTGTCACAGACATTGAAGAAAGACTGCATCCCCTGGCTGGATTTCCTAAGCTCCTGGAATTTAGAATCTTAGCCAGTAGCCAGGAGCAAGCCATCTATGTTTATTAGGTTACTCTTTAGTATTCAGAATTTTACAAACAGTGCCTCTTTCGAAGTTGCATCAGTTCTCTCATTATGCCTTATGCACGTTAACATTTGCAAAAAGCATTGCAGAAAATCAGGTGCTGTTGCTATACTTCTTACCATCTGTTGTGCAGTTATTTTTAGTTCTCTTCTTCATCAATCACCGTGGCTATGAGGGAAAAGGGACTACAAGTGTTGCCCGACTGTGTTTATACTGCCAGTGACTTCTGAGTCAGTTTTTCCTCTTTTTCATTTGAGACATCACACTGGGTTATGCCTGGCAAGTTTATTTTAGTGGAGAGATTATTTAATAGATTGGCATTAGATGAAATAGTTTATCATGATTCTGGTGAATAGACATAGACTAATAAGTTTGAGTATAGCTCACAGAAATAAGACTCATTCAATTTACTTGGATTCCCTTACTTACCACTGCTTTTGCCTGCCATTTCTGGGAATGTGGAAATTTCCTGGCAACTACTGTCCTTTTTGTAAAAATGCTAATAAGTAAAATAAGCACTGTTAGAAAATATATGACATGTAGTAACTGTTTTGGATAATTTAAAAGTGTATGGTATTTTCTGAGGTGAGGAGAGAACAAATCACATTTACAGTTCAGAAGAGTAAACTATTTCTCTATCCTTTAATGAAAGTGGAAACACTTTTTTATTCTTTTTGTGGTATACTGATGGTCATTTACATTGAATAAAGATAGTTGCGCATTAACAGGGAAGTGTCAATTTGTGTGATCAGATGCATGATGGTCAAATCTCCACAAAGATGTGCATTACACTGGATCACGTTCTTCTATTCCTGAATGTCCACGAATCTTTCTAACCATTAGCATCACTGCCCTCACATAATCTTTACTGATCACAATTCATAGCACTTTTCGCTGTATTAATCATTGCCATAACTTGGTGTACACATTAGAAATGCCCATGGGGACTTACATTTGAGATGAAATTTTGAACTTCAGGCTCTCATTATACTTGGACTGATAAGTACTATTTTATTGCGATGCATACTGCTGACAGTCTTTATACTCAAGCAATAAATGTTTGCTTTTAGAGTCATTCAATAAATTTACTATTTCTTGGTGAGACTGCATTTACTCCATATCAAGCCAGTTTATAGAAATAGCCCCATATTTTATCTCCTGAAACCATGTGTTTCATTTAAATGGTGATGGACATTGGGATGTTTTCAGTTTTTGGTGTATTATTTATAAAAATGCCTTGAACATTTGAGTACAAGTCTCTGTGTGTATATATGTCTTCATTTCTCTTGACTAATTCCTAAAAAAGATTAATATTCTCACCTGGAGATAAATCACAAATTAATATTTAATATTATTTTTAGAATATTTTGCATTATTTTCCAAAATGGTAGTATCATCCAATGTATGAGAGTTCTTATTGCTCATAGTTGTCAACATTTTTAAGTTTTTAAAATTATTTTTCTATTTTTTTACTATTTTGTTTTATTTTTTGAGACAGGATCTGGCTCTGTCACCCAGGCTGGAGTGCAGTGGCACCATCTTGGCTCACTGCAACCTCTGTCTCCTGGGCTCAAGCCATCCTCCCACCTCAGCCTCCCAAGTAGCTGGGACTATAGGCGCATGCCACCGCACCCAGCTAATTAAAAAAAAAAATTTTTGTAGAACCAGGGTTTCACCATGTTGCTCAGTCTAGTCTCAAACTCCTGAGCTCAAGTGATCTGCCAACCTCGGCCTCCCAAAGTGCTGGGATTACAGGTGTAAGCCACTGTGCCAGGCCACTCTTTTTAATTTTAGCCTTTTTGGTAGAGTATAGTTGTATGTCATTATAGTTTTAATTTGCATTTCCTTGATGACTAATGATGATAATTTTTCATGTGAATATTTAACATTTATTATATTATATTTGTTATTATATTCTATTAAAATTTGCTGCCCATTTTTTTCTTACTAATGAGTTTAAAGAGTACTTCTTATGCTTTAGATGACAATGCTTTAACAGATATACATATAGCTAATTTTTTCTCCAAATATAGAGTTTGTTCTTTTATTTTAGAAACAAAGTTTTAAATTCTGAATAAGTGCAATTTATGAATTTTGTTCTTTTATTATTAAAACTTTTGGAGTCCTAGCTAAGAATCCCTGCTTCCCCTAATGTCACAAAGATTTTCTCCTCTGTTTTCCTTTTAGTTTTATATTTTTTGCTTTAGATTGAGGTATATAATTGATCCCATGTTAGTTTTTGTGCATACTGGAGGCGAGGATTCATTCAGATATCAGATTTTCCAGTACTATTAATTGAAAAGATTATCCTCTCTCTTTAAATTGATCCTTTTGAAAATCAATTGATCATGAGTGTGTGTATGTGTATAGACTTTATATTCTCTCATTTACCTATATATCTCTGTGTTAGAGCCACACTATCTTGATTACCATAGGTTTATCAAGTACCATAAGCCTTACAGTTTTCTTCTTCTTTTCAAAATTGTTTTGGCATTTAGGTTTTTTGTATTTCCATGTAAATATTAAATTCAGCTTGTGAATTTTTGCAGTCTTGTTGGGATGTTGATTGAGATTGTTTTGAACTTATAGATAATTTTGAGGAATTTTATATTTTACTAATATTGAGTCTCCCAATTCATTATGGTATATTCCTTTTTTTAGGTCTTTAGTCACTTTTAAGAATGTTTTGTAGTTTTTTTTGTGGAAGTTTGCACCAATTTCTGTTGTTTACCTAAGTATTTAAGGTGTTTTTCATGCAATGATAAAATATTTTATTTTCGAATTGTTTATTTCTAGTGTATGAAAAATAATTTTTGTTTTGTATATTGAACTTGTATTCTGTTTTCTTGATAAATTCACTTCTTAGTACTAGTAGGTTTTGGTTGTATATGCCTTAGTTTTTTTCAGGCATAACATTTTTTCCTATGCAAATCAATAGTTTTACTTCTTTCTTTACAATATGTATGTCATTATTTGTTATTCTTGCCTACAGCATGGCCTAGGATCTCCAGTACTATGTTGAATAGAATAGAGAAGAGCAGACATGTTTGCCTTGTTCCTATTTTTAGGGCAACAATGTTCAGTCTATCATCATTAAGTAAGATTTTAGGTAGTTGTTCCATAGATGCTCTATATAATATCACAGAAAGTCTTTTCTGTTTCTAGTGTGTCAAGTTTTTATTTTTTGTATGAATGGATATTGATTGAATTTTGTGATGTGATTTTTCTGTATTTATTAAGATGTTCATGTCATTTTCTTCTTCATTCTTTCAAACTGAATTAATACATTGAATACTTTTCAAATGTTAAACTAACCTTTCATTTTTAGGGTAAGCCCTACCTCATAATAATACATTTTTTAATGTATTGCTGGATTTAATTTGGTAATGTTTTGTTAAGGATGTTTACATCTATGTTCATGCGTATCTCTCTCTCTTTTCCCCTGCATCTCTCATATTGTGTTAATGAAGCCTATGGTTTTCTTGTGTTTTTGTCCAGTCTTGACATCAAGGTAATATTGTCACAAAATTATTTGGAAATGTTCTCTTCTCTATATTACAAAAGAGTTTTTAGTGGCTTGCTATTATTTCTTTACTGTTTAATAGAATTTGCTAGTAAAGCAAACTGGCTCTGTAGTTTTCTTTGCTAGAAGGCTTTTAATTACAAGTTGAATTTATTTAAAGATATATGAATATTTTGTATTCCTGTGTTTCAGTTCTTTGTATCTTCCAAAGAATTTGTCCATTTTCTCTAAACTGTTGAATTTGTTGACGTAGTTATTGATAATATTGCCTTAATACCATTTAATATTAGTAGGAGTAGAATGAGTTCCTGTTTATTGTTCTAATATTGGTCATTTCTGTGTTCTTTGTTCTCTTTTTTATTGCTAGGTCTAGATAGAAATATGTCAATTATATTGATCTTTTCCAAAAATCAGTTTTGATTTTTGATTATTATTCTCGTTTTTTAATATCATTGATTTTGTTCTCTTTATTTCTACCTGCTTTGCATTTAATGTGATTTTAATTTTCAACCTTCATTAAAAAGCTTCAGTCATTGATGTTAGACCTTTGTAATTTTCCATTATAAGCATTTAATGATGTAATACTTTCATAAGTACATCTTTAGCTCAAGTCAGCAAAATCTAGTAAATTTAGTCTTCATTATCATTCAGTTCAAGATATTTTCTAATTTACTGTGTGATTTATTTTTTGATCCATTGATTATTTATAACTGTATTGTTTAATTTCCAAATGTTTAGAGATTTTTTAGTTCTTTTTCTGTAATTGATTTCTAATCTACTTACCTGGTGATCAGAGAATGTCCTTTTATAATTTTAATCCTTTCAGTGCTATTGAGATTTGTTTCATGTCATCTATTCCACCTTGGAGACTGTTCTATGTCCGCCCCCCACCCCAACCGGCTTTTTTTTTTCTGTTTGAGATGGAGTCTCGCTCTTTTGCCCAGGCTGCTGGAGTTCAGTGGCACAATTTCAGCTCACTGTAACCTCCGCCTCCCAGGTTCAAGCAATTCCTGCCTCGGTCTTCGAAGTAGCTGGGATTACAGGCATGCGCCACCGTGCCTGGCTAAATTTTGTCTTTTTAGTAGAGACGGGGTTTCTCCTTATTGGCCAGGCTGATCTCAAACTCCTGACCTTGGGTGATCTGCCCGCCTTGGCCTCCCAAAGTGCTAGGATTACAGGAATAAGCCAATCTGTATTCTTTACAGGAGATTAGGCAAAGGAATTTTGGGAAAGAAATATTAATCTAAGATTCCTCATGATTTACTGAATATAGAAGTAGCATTTCCAAGTTGATTTATTTAATCTTCTCAGAAATACTTATTTATGTACAGATGAAGTTATACTGGTGTTAAACTATACGCATAATGGGTACTTCCTTTGTAGTGTCCAGAAATATCAAGGAGAAATTGTTGATAATTTATTTTTACCTGCAAACAAAAACAGACTTAAATTTGTATAAAATAATTTTAGAAAAATTTTTTATAAGCTCTAGCAATTCAATTCAGGTTGTATAAAAGATAGTAATAGCAACATGAGGGATGTTTCTAGAAAAGTAAAATAGTTGTAAGTATAATACAAGTAATTATACAAACTAAATTTCATCTGTTAATATTATAGCAGGGAGCAACCAGTTCTTGTTTTGAAAGTAAATAGTAGGTTAGTGCAAAAGTAATTGCTGTCTTTGTCACTGAAAGTAATGGGAGAAACCGCAATTACTTTTGCACCAATCTAATAATTGTAACAGTATTCTTAATGGCAACAAAAAGTAATTCTAAGATCATTGAAATAATTGGCATAAGGTGTACTTTTCCAATGAAAATAGGTGCCTTATTAAAAACATCATTACTTACCTTTTAAAATATTTTCACAAACAAAGCCAAGCAATAGTTCTTCTTTGCTTAAGATGTAGAAACCCAAAACAATATGTGATTTTACTCTAACAATGACAGCCATATAATCTACAACATTTTAAATTCCCTTAGAAAACTGAGCTTATAATGCAACCAAGTAAGCTATATACTCAAAATTCAAATGCCTCAGGAGGAATAAAACATTGTTTGTTTTGCAGTTGGCAGAGTGCAAGGGGAAGAAGTGGTCATCATAAAAGTAAATAAAAAGAATACAGCTGATATTTTAACAAACTCTCAAAGGCTGAATGTAGGCCAGCTTGACAGTTTAAAATAACTGGGAGCTCCAGGTCAAAGGGAGTCCACATTTACTTACAAGTACTTTTCCATGAGTCCCAGCAGGTTCTCACAAGAAAGGTCAAAGACAATTTATTACCCTTAAGAAAAGGCCCCTCAAGTGAGTGGTATAGAAACAAACTAACCTTCCTCTAGAACCCCGGGTAAATACCCACTAGTTCTGGAAAGAAATAGAAGCAAAAATGGTCTGCATCTGTGGGGAGGGACAGAAAATGCTCTTACACTCAAGATTCTAAACCAAGCAGAAACTAAGCAGAAATCTCCCTCCACTGAGAGAAGGGCAGAAAACTCATTCACAGAAGAACAACTACAGATGCAAGGTAAAGTTGGGAAGTGCAGGGATACTGACAAAGCTCCATTATCGAGGCCCAGGCTCATATGTCCTTTCTGTGACCAACGCTGGACAAACATAGCTGAGAATCCCCCAACTTCCAAAAACAATTCTAGCAGTGAGTAACAAGAAATAGCAGTTATTTTTTAGAGGGGAAAGAAGAGCATGGAGAGGGCATCACTATGGGGTCCAGCAGTGCAAAGATGACTGAAAGCTTAGAGTGACACACAAATAGTGAAAAAAAGAAAAAACAATCAAACACTGCAGTCTTTACCCTAGGCACAAGAAATAGCAATTCACTTCTAGAAAGATGGGATGCTTGTGTTGCACTGGAGCTAATGACAGAAACACAAAACTATAAACTAACTCAACCCCTGGATAGAGTGAGTGAACCTCCCAAAGAAGATGCATACATATACATAAATATGATTTAACTCAGTTTCTACTGTCCTATACACAATGAACTACATTCATTAAAAAATTGACAGACACAAAAAGGATGAAAAATTAACACATTTTCAAGAGATAAATAATAAACAGAACTAGACACAGAGATGGCATTAAAATAGCTATAAGTAATGTATTAAATAATCTAAGAGACAAGATGAACAGAATCCACAAACAGAAAGGATGTTTGAGCAGAGACATGGTGATATGGTTTGGCTATGTGTCCACCATCAGTCATAGCAAGAAGTCCTAAGGTAATATCAAAATCTGATCAATTGAGAAATAGCATTCAAAATAATTCTTATGTATATTGAATAACCACTGGAGGAAATAGTTAAATAATTAAAATTTAGTTGTGTTAAAGTATAATTTTCAAAAAGGTAAAATTATGACTCTCAAACAAACATAAAATAAGGATGTGTCAAATATCTTATTCAATTCATTAATTAAAAAGGGAACCTGTAAGGTACAGTACAAAGGGCATTTGAATTGCTAAACAGTGTTAGGAAATTTATGAAAGAAATGTTAGGATCTGATTGCTGGATCAGATATAAAACTGGGTAATGTCCCACAGGACAATAAACTGTATCTATTATGTTTTCCACTGGATCAAAATTGGTTGCATTCTCTATCAGAAAAAAATCTACTAGTTAATATGTAACCTCACTAAGTTTAGCTTTTATCCTTGGCCTAAAATGTTGCTTTTGGTGAATTGGTCTACAAATAGAACAGAACGTTTAAAAAATGTTGTTTAGCCATGTATGATTACTACTTAGGTAAAAAGAAAACAGAAAATAAATTAAAATATTTGTCTATTAAGGTAAGGTCAGCCAACATTTATTTGAAGTTTGATATGTGCTGAGCACCTTGAAAATATTTAACATAAATTACATTGTTTAATTTTGCCACATCCCCTGAATCACATAGATGGTCTTTAAAAATTTGCTACATCCTGTGAGATATATAATATTAATTTGTGCATCATACATATGAGGACAGAAGTTCTAGGTAAGTTAAGAAACTCGGCCAAAGTTACATATATACTGAATGGCAATTGCTTGTGTGTGATTTTGACTATGTACTAATCATACCAGAGAATGAGGAGAAGCTGGCTGTTTCAACATTAGAATAGAGCACATTAGGATGTGGAGATTATTCTGGGATTTGAATAATTCATTAGGAAAATAAAACCCATTTCTGATTTGATGCTATTTGTGTTTAGGAGTTTCGAGAACAAGTACGGAAGCAGACAACATTTAAATGTTTCCCTACTAAGAACAGCAGAGACCTATCGTTTGAATAGCCTTAGCTTTTCTCATGCACAATTTTAGCCTTGTCAGCTCATTTAAGCAGATTAGGTTTTTGAATGTTAATAATACATAATTTTTGCCATCTTCAATGAATGCCTTTTTTTATTTAACTACAGTTTTCTCCACATGACTAATCAGTGTACCAAACTATTTTACTGTTCAGATTTCCTTTTTCAATTAAAATTTACATGATTATCTTTTGAATATGAAATATCTACTTGTTGCCAAATAGTTTTGTTTTGTTTTTACTATAATAGCTAGTGTCTTAATATAGGTGTGCTTGAGAATTTCTCATTTATTTATTTCACGACAGATTTTTTTTTTAGTTTTGCTACTTAAAACACTATGCTAATGATTAAGCCTCTGCTATTTCAATGTTTTTGTGCTTCTTCAAAATTCATTGTTAGACTATATATATATATATATATATATGCTAATTAATGGTTATTGCCTAAAGAACCTAATTCCTACCACTGCTGCATGTGGAAAAGGAAACATTGAAAGAATAGTGCTACCAGAGGGATATGATAGGGCAATGTGTGTGTGTGTGTGTGTGTGTGTGTGTCTGTGTGTGAAGATTCCCATAACCTACTAGCTTTAGCTGAAACCCACCTCACACCTTCCCACCCCAGAGGACTTGCTTTCCAGTTGGTTTGTTGAGAAGCTTATTTTTTTCTCACATCACACAGACCATACTTATGAGTGATGTCCTCCTTGCTTCCCTTCAGGGCTCCAGTCCCTAACTTTGTCACTGTCCACCTACACCTTTGGGGCTAGAACATTCTCTTTCTCTTCTTGTTGATGTCACCTTCTCTTCTGCTATCATTCTTCTACACCCAGTGGAGACTTTAGATTCCGGACCTTCATCTCCTCTCAGATGCTTTTCATCCTTCACTGCCATGTTAGGGGAGAAAATATCTAACATCGCAATTTGTTCATTTCTTAAAGTTTTCATTTTTAGTAATCATTTTCCCCATACTCTTTACCACCTACCCTGATGGTCATATGCTAGATTTTGCTTTCAATGTCTTATGTCTTTTTTGTTTTTCAGTTTCTCTATTAGTGCCTTATTTTATATTAAATATATATTTTCTTTAATTTCTTTGTCACTTCTTTCACTGAATTTTTTGAGTTATTTTCTTAGTGGTTCCTCTGGAGATTAAAATATTCATCTTAATTTATAGCAATTTAGTTCAAATGCATACCAATTAATTTTAATAATATAAAAAATTTGCTCATATACATATAGCATGCATCCCATCTTTATATTGTTATTGCCATAAATTACATCTTAATAGATTGTATGCCCATCAACTTAGATTTATAATTGTCATTTTTATGTAGTTCTCCTCTATATCAGATAGAAAAAAGAGAGTTAATGATAAAATACAGTTGGCCCTCATATCCATAGATTCTGTACTTGTGGATTTAACCAACTGCAGATCAAAAATATTCAGAAAAAATATCCAAAGAGTAAAGTTGCAAAGAGCAAAATTTGAATTTGCTGTGTACCAAGTACTATGTTAAATCCTCACAAATAAAGGGATGTGTAGGCTTCTCTTGGGTATTATAAGTAATCTAGAGATGATTTAAAGTGTACGGGAGGATGTGTATAGGTTATATGGAAATACTGCACCATTTTACGTAATGGACTTGAGCATCTGTAGATTTTGGGATCCGCAAAGATTCCTGGAACCAATCCCCCATGGATACTGAGTAATGACTGTATACATTTATACTGTTCATTATATTTTCCTATGTAGTTACATGTCTCAGTGTTTTTTTCATGGCTTGAGGGTGAAATAAAAGAACACTAGACAATAAGTAAGCTCTACATGAGTTATTGTCTAGTGTTCTTTACTTCAGGTTAAGGACTCCCTTTAGCATTTCTTATAGGACAGATATGCTAGTGATGAATTCTCTGATATCATTTATCTGGGAATGTCTTAATTTTTCTTTCATTTTTGGAGGATACTTCTGCTGGATATAGAATTCTTGTTAGAAACTCTTTTTTTGTTTTTCTTTTAGCACTTTAAACAAGTATGTAACCCAATGCCTTCTGGCCTCCATGATTTCTGAAAAAATAAACTGTTAATCTTACTGAAGATCCCTTGTATGCGATGAGTCAGTGCTTTCTTGCTTTCGAGATTCTCTCTTTGTCTTGGGTTTCTAACAGTTTGATTAAAATGTGCTTGGTGTGGATCTCTTTGAGTTTATCCTGTTTGGAATTTGCTAAGCTTTTTGAATGTGTAGCAAAATGTTTTAAATCATGTCTGGGAAGTTTTCAGTCATTATTTTTTCAAATGTTCTTTCAGCCTGTTTCACCCTGTCCTCTTCTATTATTCCCATGATGTGTTTCTATGTGTTACCTATTATTATTATTTTTTCTTCCTCAGACGAGGTAATCTCAATGAACTTATCTTAAAGTTTGTTGATTCTTTCTTCTATCTGTTCAAATCTCCTTTTAAGCTGCCTAGTAAATTTAGTAAATGTTTTACAAGAAATAATTATTTTTAATACAACAAAGAAATGAACTTTCTCAAGAATATTTTGATAAATTCTTGTCATTTTGAAAAATGTTAAACGTGGTTTTGTCATTTCATTAATGTAGACTTTATAAATAGATTCATAAATGTATTATTCTTGAATATTTTCAATCACTATTTGATATGGTTTGGCTGTGTCCCCACCCAAATCTCATCGTGAATTGTAGTGCCCATAATCCCCAGGTGTCATGGGCGGGACCCAGTGGGAGGTAATTAAATCACAGAGGTGGGTTTTCCTGTGCTGTTCTGGTGATAATGAATAAATTTCATGAGATCTGATAGTTTTATAAGGGACTTTTCCCCCTTTTGCTCGGCCCTTCTCCTTGCTACCACCCTGAGAAGAAGGCTGTGTTTGCTTCCCCTTCCACCATGATTGTAAGTTTCCTGAGGCTTCCCTAGGCCTGTGGAGCTGTGAGTCAGTTAAACCTCTTTATTTTATAAATTACCCAGTCTTGAGTATGCCTTTATTAGCAGAATGTGAATGGACCAATACAGTAAATTTGTACCACAGAGAGTGGGGTACTGCTGTAAAGATACCCAAAAATGTGGAAGCAACTTTAGAACTGTGTAATAGGCAGAGGCTGAAACAGTTTGGAGGGCACAAAAGAAGACAGGAAAATGTGTGAAAGTTTGGAACGTCCTAGAGAATTGTTGAATGTCCTTGACCCAAATGCTGATAGTGATATGGACAATAAAATCCAGGCTGAGGTGGCCTCAAATGGAGATGAGGTACTTGTTAGAAACTGGATTAAAGGTCACTCTTGCTATGCAAAAAGACTGGTGGCATTTTGTGCTCATCCTAGAGATCTGTGGAACTTTGAACTTGAGATAAATGATTTAGGGTATCTGGCAGTGGAAATTTCTAAGTGGCAAAGCGTTCAAGAGAAAGCAGAGCATAAAAGTTTGGAAAATTTGCAGCCTAACAATGCAATAAAAAGAAAAACCAATTTTCTGGGGAGAAAATCAAGTGACTGCAGAAATTTGCATAAGTAACAAGGAGCTGAATGTGAATAACCAAGACAATGGAGAAAATATCTCCAGGATATGTCAGAACCTTTGTGGCAGCCCCTCTCTGTCATAGGCCTGGAAGCTTAGGTTTTGTAGGCCTGGCCCAGGGCCCCCACTGATGTGTGCAGCTTTGGGATTGGTCCCCTGCATCCCAGCTGCTTCAGTCATGACTAAAAGGGGCAAAGGTACAGCTCAGGCTGTGGCTTTGGAGGGTTCAAGCCCCAAGTCTTGGCAACTTTCATGTGGCGTTGAGCCTGTGGGTGCACAAAAGTCATGAATTGAGGTTTGGGATCATCCATATAGCTTTCAGAAGATGTATGGAAATGCCTGGATGTCCAGGCAGAGGTGTGCTGCATGGATGAAGCCCTCATGTAGAACCTTTGCTAGGGCAGTGTGGAAGGAAAATATAGGGTGGGAGCCCCCATACAGAGTCCCCAATGGGGCTCTGCCTAGTGGAGCTGTGAGAAGAGGGCCACTTTCCTCCAGACACCAGAATGGTAGATCCACTGACAGCTTGCATCATACACCTGGAAAAACTGCAGACACTCAAACCAGCCCATGAAAGAAACTGGGAGGGGCCTGTACCCTGCAAAGCCACGGGGTGGAGCTGCTCAAGGCTATGGGAGCCCACCTGTTTCATCAATGAGACTTGGATGTGTCACACATGAAGTCAAAGGAGACCATTTTAGAGCTTCTAGATTTGGCTGTCTTGCTGGATTTCGGACTTGCATGGGGCCTGTAGTCCTTTTGTTTTGGCCAATTTCTTCTATTTGGAACAGGTGTAATTACCCAATGCCTGTACCCCTATTTTAACTTGGAAGTAACTAATTGCCTTTTGATTTTACAGGCTCACAGGTGGAAGGTATTTGCCTTGTATCAGATGAGACTTTGGACTGTGGACTTTTGAGTTAATGCTGAAATGAGTTAAGACTTTGAGGAACGGTTGGAAGGGCATGACAGGTTTTGAAATGTGAGGACATGAGATTTGGGAGGGCCCAGGGGTGGAATGATGTGGTTTGGCTCTGTCCCCACCCAAATCTCATCTTGAATTGTAGCTCCCCTAATCCCCATATGTCATGGAAGGGACCAGGTGGGAGGTAACTGAATAATAGGGTTGGGTTTTTCCATTGCTGTTCTTGTGATGGTGAATAAGTCTCATGATATCTGATAGTTTTTATAAATGGCAGTTCCCCTGCAAATGCTCTCTTGCCTGACACCATGTAAGACGTGCCTTTGCTCCTCCTTTGCCTTCTGCCATGATTGTGAGGCCTCCTCAGCCATGTAGAACTGTGAGTTCATTAAACTTCTTTTTCTTTATTAATTACCCAGTCTTGGGTATTTTTTCATAGTAGTATAAAAATGAACTAATACACTAGTATTTTAAAAACTATAACCAGGTTATTTTAAATGGGAACTTTTTAGTTATGTTATTTTCTTTCAAATCTCTTTTAAAGTCATTTTTTTTGGTTTCATGAATTTCCAAATTTGGGGGATTCTCTGAACATCTTTTAGGTTAATCAATTTGCCAAATTTATAAATTACTGTTTTATAAGATCATTTTTTTACCATTTAAAAAATTTTATAGGTGTTTATAGTAGATAGAATGATTTTAACAACTTTTTATAATATATCTATAAAGTTTTAATCAGTAAGTTTTTATTATGTATTGAAACATATTTTACGTATTGTCTTATTTTACCCTGTGCATGGTCTAAGCTCCCTCTGCTTCTGAAGCTATAGAAATATGCAGTGTCATGGGGATCCTCTGATACAATAAGTATGATAACGGAGATAAAACTAAAGGGATACAGATAATAGGATTATGTTATAGGGCTGTCAGAGAACTATAGTCTGAAGAGATACACATTAGTGGAAACATAGAAGATGAGGAAGAGGCAACTATGCAAAGAGTTTGGAAAACTACCTTATAGAAAGAAAGAACAGCATGTTGTGTCTTTGAAGACCCTATAGCAGAAAAGATCTTGGGTTAATTTGTTAGCTGGGAGGACTAGTGATTGTTATGTAACACTTTGCATATGCAATTACTAGATGCATACAATTGCACGCCACTGTTAATATGTGCATTTATAGTCAATCCTAATTATTTATGGATTCTGTATTTGCAAATTTGCCTGCTTGCTAAAATTTGTTATGTCACTTAATACTCCTGGCATTTTGTGGTCATTCTCAGATATGTACAGAGTAGTAAAAATAGGGTCATCTGGCATGCATGTTACTAGCTAAGCTCTAACAGGGTGACCCTCTGCCTTCTTGTTTCAGTTCTCATTAGGTTTTAAAAAAGTATCTTTTTTGTGGTCTCTTTAGTACCAATTTTTTTTTCCATGTTTGTGCTTTTTGTTGGGAGATTTTGCTCCTAATAATGGTCCCCAAGTATACTGCTGAAGTGCTGTCTAATGTTTCTAAGGGCAAGAAGGCTGTGATGCACCTTATGGAGAAAATATGTGTGTTAAATACTTTCATTTAGATGGGAGTTATAGTGCTATTGGCTGTGAGTTCAATGTTACTGAATCAACAATATGTATTAAAGTGTCTTTAAACAAAAACAAATAAAATATAACTTGTTGATGATAATGTGATCAAAGACTGAATCTAACCCTTTTTCCCCCTAGCAACAATAAATCAGTATTTGCTAAGCCAGTGTTCTCAACAATATAGAAGATAACTACCACAAATAATGAGACTTGATTATATAATGCGGTGCTGATGCTTACATGACTATTTCTCAGGTTTATAGACTGCATTTGTCTATATGTTCCCAGCTTTTACCTTTGTATTGGCCCTTGAAGCAGTGTTTGATAAATGTTTATTGTGGTACATAAAATAATGAACTATCACTGCACATTATATTCAGCCATTTGTACTGCATTTGCTTTGCATACTGCCAATTTAAGCCAGGATTTATTCTAGAACAACACTTTAGCAAACCTACAACACAAAAACTGACAACCTTATTATTCTGATTGAAAAATAATATTACTTATGAATTTTTAAAACGAAGACTGTAAGTTTCATATGTCTGCTGCATAATTCAACATGATTTTTTATGAAGCCATTTCTCCAAGGAAATTAGTAGATTTGAAAATTTAAACACACTGGATGCATGTTGAGATGCGTTAAGTCTAAGTGAAATTTCTGAAACTGATAGTTAAGGACTAAATTATAATTCTGATGTCTGTTAGCACAATACTTTCCCTCAAATTATTATCAGTTACTCAGAAGATGACATATACCTTGAAATATTTCACTGAACTATAAGAGAAAGGATTTCCTTTTTTTTTTTTTTTTAGATGGAGTTTCACTCTTGTTGCCCAGGCTAGAGTGCAGTGGCGTGATCTCGGCTCACGCAACCTCCGCCTCCCAGGTTCAAGCATTTCTCCTGCCTCAGCCTCCTGAGTAGCTGGGATTACAGGCATGTGCCACCACGCCCAACTAATTTTTGTATTTTTTTAGTAGAGATGGGGTTTCACCATGTTGGCCAGGCTGGTCTCTAACTTTTGACCTCAGATGATCCACCCACCTCGGCCTCCTAAAGTGCTGGGATTACAGGCGTGAACCACCGCACCCAGATTTACATGTTTTAGACAGCTGATGTGAAACACATTAGTGATTTGTCTTTGTTGCTACAGGGCCCTTGCTTTCACATTTGTGGAAATGTGCCATTGATTATGCATCATGGACTGAATTTATCATTACATAAATAGATCTCTCCCATGTTCTTATTCTTATTTGTATCTTAGGGAGTGTACACATAACTTCCTTTTTCACACCTGGAGTCACATAGATAAATGAACTTAGAATAGTGAGGAGGACAATAATTTCCCTTAATTACTCCATAACAGGGAATTCTAAGGTGATTTCTCTATGTGTAGATTGTCTCTAATTTTTTTTCAAGAAAGTGACTTTATTAGTTGAATCCAAGTTTGTAAGGAAATTGCAGGCTCCTTTAAAAAAAAAACAAAAACATTATCTTGTCCCAAGTGATTAGTCAATTTGGTCTTACTTTGAAGTACATGAAAATTTCTGACTTCTTTTAGAAAACGTATTTTTTTAACAAGTTTTCTGAGATGGGCCAATATGTATGAATCAGTGAGGTCTCTAGATCGTGTCTTATAATTTATGGTAATTTAAGATATTGATTATTAATGATATAATTACAATTACTAGCAAAGTGAGGAACAGTCTTTCTAATTGTGTCATTTACTATATATCAGTTGCTATATTAAGTGATTTATAAGCATAATATAATTTAATTCTTGCAGTATCTTATGAGACAGGTACTATTACTTTTTAGATTAAAAAAACCCTGAGGCTTATTTAATATAAGTAACTTTCCCAAAGCCACAAAGTAAACAAGTAAACCTTAACTCCTCTCAGATCTCATCTTCTTGGGAAGCCTGCTGCAACCCCCCTCACATGGGGCAGGGCCTCCTCAGATACCTATGCTTTCATGGTATCATGCATCTTTACTTATTTGAGCATCCATTTGACTGATAGATGATTCATTAGTGTATGGACCATGTATATGTCTTCAAACTCGGCATGATGTCGGCATGTAAAAAACTCTACAATTATTTGTGCAATAAATGGCTGAAATGGAAAAGCCACTGTTTGATTCAGAAAATTTGTTTTAGAACTGTTGCTCTTCACCAAAACACTTATATTTAAGAACCACAATAAATTAATTGGTAAAATCTTGAGTATAAACATGTGAATTATGGGTTTTATTGAGTTTGAATAATTGCTTCTGGACTGTCTCATGTATGTTGAGAAAAAAATACCAAAACATTTTTCCTTCTCAAGGTATAGTTAGATGGGAAATTTGCTACTTAATTCCCCAAAGTTCTAAGCAGCAAAACTAGTCATCTTTAAGATAATCTGCTATTCTAATTATCCACATTATATTTCCAAGATAGTTAATTGTGTTTTCTGTATGTCATTAAAATAAGTTGTAGAAATGTCTGGCTGAAAGTATATAGTAAGGAGTCTAAGGTGTAGAAATTGTCTCACAATTTACCTTCTAATTAAATTCTTTTGTAAATTGGTACTTTGGAATATGACAAATTATAGTCAAGTAGAGTTCAAATTAAATATCTTAGTAATCATTGACCCTATTTTACTTTGCTAGAATGTGAGGTTATTACTTGCTTTTAAGGACGTTTTTCAATAGCTTGATTCCACTGACAAATTTTTATGTATTACAAATCAAAATAGTTATAATCAACATTAAGACATTTTGAAATAGGTTACAAGAAAACTATATTTTATGCTTTTATATCCTACTACTTCAAATTAAAACATTTTACATTCAAAGGAAATCATCGTATGCACAGGGAGGAGTAAAACTGCTTTTGTTTGCTGATAAAATTTCCTCTGAAAAAGTACTAAAATAAACATTTTTGGAAACTTTCAAGGCATATTTTCATTGTTTATATTCAATAAATGGGAAATGATTTATAAATGATAATGATACTTCATGCCTTGAAGGACATCTTCATATTTATGGAATAAAACACATCTAGGTAGTACCCACAGTTTTTTTAGCTGTAAAACAGCAAGACAAGTTACGCCAAAAAGTATAACCTCATACCTCCCATTTTAATTACTCTAATTTTACATCACTCTGAATTCTAGTGTTTCTGTTCCATTAATAGTACTGTAAAATAGCTCCTATCTACAAATCAAGTCTATAGCAACATCATGTTTTGGAATTCCACCAAGATTCTAAACATTAGCAAAGGAGACCTTTGGTAGCTATATTAAAATGCTCCAAACCCAATATGCCCAAAATTCTTGTAGTTTGTAGAAGTAGTATTTCGGGCCCACACTCATGTCTCATTTATGTACATATGAACCTCAAGTTTAAAAATCTGGTTATTTATTTTACAAAATAACCAAAAATTAGAAACACTATTAGCAGATGAGACAGCTGGCATACATAGCCAGGCATACCTAAGGCAGTGATGATAGATGTGGAAAGCAGTATAAGAAAATGCAAATCAACCCAAAAGTCAGGACTAATTGTGTCACCAAACCAAACAACAACAAACACAACAACCACAACAATGAAATGAATAATAATAGGGTCACAATAAAGTGATTTAGACTTATTAGTTCAGTAGCAAAGTTCTGTGTTTTAGTTTCTGCAAGTGTTTCACTATAACTGTTGTTTGTAGTAATGACAGTGTCAAGCATAATGTCAATAAAGTTAAAATGAATTAAATATATTCCAATCATTTAACCAAACTGATTAATAAAATATATTGTTGCATAAAGGAGTTAACCAGGAACTCTTAAATTTTTAATCAGCCTTACCTATTTTATATTGACTTCCTGTAATCATGAAATCACCTTATAGCGATTATTAATAGGATACATAAAGGGAGCCCAAAATAGAAAAGGAATCACTTATTGAGTGTCTACTCTAGCTTAGATACTCTCGTAGACTTAAATACACTACTTTATTTAATAAAAATATTTTTCTTGCAAATTTGTCCAGGAAATTTGCAAGAGAAAATTGGAAGGTAAACTACATATACATGCCATGAAATCTACTGCACAGGGCCTTGAGTAGTGAAGCATTCTAGGAGCTCTCACCAGGGAGGAGGTAGTGAGATGATTAGGTGAAAACTCTAGAATGTCAAATCTGAGCAAACATGGAAAGCTCATGTTGGATCGAGCCTGAGGTTATTTGCAAAGATATATTTAATATTTGAAGGAAGGAACAGGTCTTTGGAGCAGAAGTGAGCATTATACAGCTTTCCAGCTTAACTGTTACTAAATGTCCAGCTAACTTACAGTCTTGAGGAAGGGGGAATATTTCAAGGTGCAGTTAGCTTGGAAGTCATTCTTTTTCCAGAAGGATTGTTTTTGTGTTGGGCTTGTGCCTTTCTCATATATGAACTGACTAGTGCATCCAAAGCTTTTGCTCGTGGAAAATTTTTCTGTTGAATTTTAGTAAGTGTAATGATAAAAGCAATAAAGTCATCTCTTGATATATATATATATATATATATATCCGTGGATATATATATATATCTCATATAGATAAAGGTTTTATGTTTATTCTTTTATGGTTTGGTTTAGTTTATTGTAGGATTTTTACATGACTTAGTGTACTGCAGGATTTCTTAGAGATGCTATTGTACTATGCTATTGTATACTGTAACTCACCAAAATGGAGATTAAAGGGGAACAACAATAATAAGTATTTTTATTGAGCCATTTCTAAATATCAAGTGCCGTGCTAAGTACTTTAAACTCATTGTTTCATTTTACCGATAAATTAATGGGTAAAATTTTGTTTCCATTTTACAAATAAGGAAATGGAAGAATAGTTAAATTGCTTTTCCAAAGTCATGAAGTTAGATAGGAAAGGGTTTTTAGTCTAACTTCAGAACTTATGCTGTTACTTAATAGCATCCTACGTTTATTTGATCAGTAGGATTTTGTTCACATAAAATTCATTGACATTTCCAAGAACAAGTGTGTGTGGAAAGACATTTAAGAACTGCCTGGGCTACATTGTAAGCAAGTCTGGATTAGAAACTATGTCCTGCTCATCTGCTAGTGTTTCTAGTGCCTCAAACAGCACTTACTACTAAAATAACTAATTAAACCTTTATAGTAATCACCATGGAAATAGTATTTGAAAAGCTACAATTTAGAAAATTATTTGAGCAAAGACTAATGACAGAACTCTAGTGGAAACTAGTGTGAATATGGAGTCTATTAGAATGACTATACCCTAAGTATGAATCACTTCTGGGGGTATATTGGTGCTTATATGATAAAGTAGTATTAATACATCCTTTATGTTTGTTTTATTAATCGCTCAAAACTCATTGTATAGAAGAAAAAATAAAAAAATAGTTTAAAATATATATTGTGTTATTTAGTATACTTTAAAAGGTGTAAGATAATAATATCTATTTGGCACCATTTATGTTTTCAGAAGGGAATGCAATTTTCTTTTGAACAAAATAAATTTTTCCTTACTAGCAAAAATAAGTTAACTTCTGTAACAATGCCCAAATATGAACAATATTTAATAATCTTAGCTTACAATAGAATTTTCTTGTTCTAGCAGTATTCGATGGGTGAAAATATTGGGGCATCCCTGCTTTATACAGTTCTTCAGGTATATAGTCTCTTCCCTCTTTAAAATGCGTCTTCTAAGATTACTCTGGGGAGTCCTTTTCATTCTAGCCTGCCAACAAAGGAAAAGACCAAAAAAGAGCACGATATTGAAGAATGATTTAGATCTGCAAGTGGCACTCATTACTTCCATTCACAATCCACAGGTTGGAACTCAATGATATGGCCATGCTTAATTCCAAGTAGACTGGGAAATGCAGGATCTGGGTGGACAACCACTTTCCAGTCTCAAGTCTAGCATATTTGAAGATAACCAAGTATTTTTGGTGGGCTGATAGTCACAGCATTTGTTTTATATAACCTAAACACCAATCCATACATTGATTAGCCACTGATGACAATGACAATTTGCTTCTGGATTCTGATTCAGTGGTATAAAAAATATGAAAATTGAGAATTTAATCAGAATCTGACCACTAAGCATATGTATTTTTTAACATACAATGCAAAGACACTGTTGCAGTACAAGATAATTCTGCCTTTGACATTTAACTATGCCTGATGTTGAAGGCAAACAGGTACAAAAATGTTTGGAAATGAGAAAAAAATTAAAATATTTTAGAGTGACATTAAAGCTAATAAAAAGATATCCAATGGGCAGTCACAAGACATGAGTTTTTGGTATTTTGTAGAAGCTGAGGCTATCAAGATTTCTAAACTAGATTGGACTTGGATGCAAATTCCTGGGCTCCACAAGAGAATCAAATCTGACAGAAGTTCAAGCATCTTATTATTGCCTCATCTGAAGCATGACCTCCCAGTCACTACAGCAGAGAAGAAAAGAGACTGGATACTCACAAACAGGCTTTTCGCTGCCTCAGTGAAAGTGCTTGTGCTTGGAAGTGATAGTGCTTCAGTGTCACTCTCATTTCATTGGCCAGAATAAGTCACATGCTACCCTTATTGCAGCGAAGCTGGGAAATGTTGGAGAATAATTGCTGGGCATATTTGGTGGTAATCCAGCGTCTGCCAAAGGCACATGCCCAGGGATTGATACATTTCCTCACTCATCTAAAAATAAATCAAAGTGATATTACTGGTCATAATTTAAAACCCTATTCAAATATTGTTACGGAATATGAAGTAATAATTTTCCAGAACCCAGTATAATCAGAAAGTAGATAATAGATCTGTGTCAATCCCAAACTAAGATAGTCAACCTTCCAGCCTTTAAATAAGAAATAGTCATCCATTTATCAGCTAATGGATTTTCGAAAAACATTTTTCTGCTATTTCTGAGTCGATGTTTATCCAGTTATGCAACACTATCTCACAGAGACCATATGCTTTGCTTTTTTCTAACTAAATGAAACAGTTATTAAAATTTAAAATTAGATGTTATTTTAATTTTTCTAAATTGTTATGGATTTTTCTGCGTGAGAACCAAAACCCATTAAGTGAATCAAGGATGTCAAAACTTTGGAAAAAAGGTCCACTGTGTGGTCAAGCTCCAGAGGATCCTCAGAGCACTTGAAATTATATGTGAGAATTTTTGTGAATGGATTTGTGTATATATGTATATAGTATATATATGCACTTAGTGTATGTGTATACACACACACACATACATATATATATATATATATACACTTTTTTTCTGGGAAGAATTATTACATTTTCGAAGGATTAATGAACATCAGAGGAAACAAATGAATAATCAATATTTCATATATTTTTTTTTTGACAGAGTCTCCCTCTGTGACCCCTCGGCTGGAGTACAGTGGCATGATCTTGGCTCACTGCAACCTCCGCCTCTTAGTTTCAAGTGATTCTCTTGCCTCAGCCTCCTGAGTAGCTGGGACTACAGGCATGCACCACCATGCCTAGCTAATATTTGTATTTTTAGTAGAGATGGGGTTTCACTATGCTGGTTAGGCAGGTCTCAACTTCTGACCTTAAATAAATGATCCACCCGCCTCAGCCTCCCCAAATGCTGGGGTTATAGCTGTGAACTGCTGCACCTGGCCTACCAATATTTCTTTATTAAATTAAAAAAATGCTTACAGGTGTTATTTAAAAATTCCTTAAAATGTGAATTATACAAAATTGAATGTTTCGGAGCTATTCAGGTTGCAAAGTATAATTGCAAAGTAGCTCCTAGAGTCTTTTAGCACAGTAGGGTACATAAATGGGAGGGCATGTTTGGTGAGTTTTGTACTCTAAAACAAATAAGGAAAGGAGGATCCTAGCAGATTTGAGTTCTATGTGAAGATGGGAATCAGGATATTGACAAGGAGAAAAATTATTAAGATATGTAAAAGTTTAAAACTTTGTCATGTATCCAACTATGTTTTTTGTATCCAGCAGATAAGAAAAAATTACTAAAAAGACATTCAAAATTCTGAGCCACAAACTAATCAGGAAGAAAGATGTCTGTTCTTCTCCCACTTAGCATTTACCATGGAGCAGTACTGGAAAGCATTCCTTTTGGCAGTATTTTAAAGGAGTGGTCAGAAGGCACTTAGTGGATGAATGTATAGTTCTAAAGACCTCAGGAAACCTTTGGTAAAAGGATTAGCTGGAGCTAAGAACTAGACCACAGCTTTCCTGTTGGAATAATGCACCTGGGCTTGAAATCTGGGGTTGAGTTTGAGACCTTTTTGGACTCTTCCACCCCACAGCTATCACAGACTGACAAAAATAGGCTGAGCTTTTAGGCACTTTGTTGTGACCCTGCATGAATTTGGATATAGGATTCAGGTCATATGATACTAGAAACAATGGTAATTTCAGAAGGCCAGCCAACACATTAGACATATTTACATTAAAAGGACCTTATTTACTATAAAGGTATTGTATGGACATACTATCTAGGTGGGTATTGAATATAATTTAGGTTAATTAGCTCATGGGTTTAAAAATAATTTGAAGATGAAAATTCAGTTGCTTGCAGTTTTAGTAGATTATTATTTTTCTCAGTTTCTATCACTTTTTGTTTGTTTCCCTTAGTAGGTGTTACTTAAGAACAGTCTTGATAAAATATTCAATTTGGTTTATTCAGTTTAGTGTTGCAAATATTTGTTAAATATCTACTTTGTCATATGTTATGGGCTATGGGAATGCAGCCAATTGAATAAGATCCTGCCTTCTCTTAGTTCTTCGTGAAGAGTGTTTTAAATGCTATAGTTAAAGATGTTAAGGGGTTTGGGAGAACAGAGGAAATAAAATGAATTCAGAAAAATAAGAGGACATGAAAGGTTTTATAGAGAAGAGCTATCTGAGTAGAGTTTTGGAAAATAAGCAAGAGTTGGAAGGCAAAGATGAACAATGGAGAGAAGGGCATTACAGAGAACAGCAAAGTATGAGCAAACAGGGCACATTTGATGTATGACAGAAATTTTAGTAGATTATGGGTGTAGTGCATACAGAGTAGGGAGAGGCAGGAATGAAAGCTGAGAGTCAGGCATAACCATATCATAAATCAAATGTACTGTGAAGGGATAAGATAATCACATTTTAGCTCTAGAGCTATTCTATTGGGGGACAATATAGACAATGGAAGGGATGGGGGGAATATTGGAGGTAGGATGAAGGCTTAGGAGGCCATTCAATGGTCCAAGGGATAAACTGATTTCATGCTGGTTGGTGAGGATGAAGACAGGAGAGATCTTAGAGATCCTAAGGAGGGAAACAGGCAAGACTTCATGATTTGCAAAAAACAGATGATGAGAGAAAGGCAAGAGAATGGGATGACATCCAAATTTCTGTCTTAGGTGGTTGGGTTTTATTAAATACGAAAGGCAGTATAATCTAGTAAATAATACAGTTTAGAAGCATCTGACAAATTATCTTTCATTAAAAGGTAGAATATAACATCTGCCAGACTGTAAATTATACACAGCAGATTCTGTAACATGAAAATACTGTTACGCTTTTCTGGGTAAAAATATGAAATCTGTAACTAAACATCAATGAACAAATTGTTTCAATATGGGACTCCTGACAGGTCCAGCTTTTCCAGGGGCTCTGGTGTAAGAATATGCTGTTGTGTATTTTGTAAGAGGGATGCAGAGCCCTGTTTAGTTAAGAAATTTGCAGAAAATAATTTTGCATTTAAAAAAATCTCATTCTAGCTCTTGTCATGTGAGAGTATTTTATAAAGTGTTTTTCTGTCCCTCTTACTACTCAAAATTTTTCTAGATGTGTTTTCAAGTCATACAGATCAATAGGAGTCAACACTAGTAAACATAGTTCTACTAATGTCATGCGTTTTCCAAATGGTAATTTCGGTTTGTCTTTTTGTTAATCATTTTTTTTTTCTGTATCAAAGGTGGAATAATTAAGTTAGGGAAATTTGCTATTTCGGCCCGCAAGAGATTTTGGGATGGTCCTTACATGACGTGAAATTTTGATGATGTCATCTCTGTTTTGAATTCTTAGCAAGTATCTCATGGAGTGACACAAGGCAGGGACTTGATGTAGTGATGATTGTAGTCTGGCAGATGCTTCACCCTTTGGTGAATATTTTGCTATGAGTTGCTGTGTCCCTTCGGGTCTTCCATCTTGCCATACTTGGCATTTCCAAACTCTCTCTACATGAGTTACCTTTGCTTTAGCCATGATTTCAAGAATTTGGCACTTGAAGGTTAAAAAAGATTATTTGGGTCATGAATTAGCATCAGGCAATTAATACTAAACACCTGATTTTATACTCAGCTCTGTTCATAAACTTCTAAAATATAAATTAAGTAGGAGTAGGGGAAGAAAACATCTACAGAAGTTTGCCTTAACTGTGGCTACTTTTTCTTAGAGAGTATATAATTTTCTTTTATATTTTTGTAGACATAGCAAACTTATTCAAATTCATAACATTATTGAAATCAGCAATCTATCAGCAGTAGTCTAACATGGCATATATGTTTTACATTTCAAATAATTCACAAGCTGGATGAGGTGATAATGCTGTAAATAACTGATGTCATACTTTCTTTTTCATGGATGTAATATCATCTGTGGGGTTTCCTTATGAAAGTTAACAACGGAATTATGCGGCCATGGTTCATGCTTTTTAAATTTAAACTTCCAAAATGTGTAAGAAAACAGTTAAATTCTACAGTAAATTTTTGTTGCCCTTTAATGTTCTTCTTTATATAAGCTTGACAATGACTAACCCATGCAATTGTTAATTATTAAAATGTAATGTATTTTGGAAATTTTCAGAAAAGTTCTAGGTGTTAGAGTAAAATAATGAAAAGATTAAATTGATTCAGATCACATAGTGCCTTTAAAAAAGTATTCAATAGAGATTTTAGACTCTATCCTAGATCTTTATTTCACCTACTGTAAATCCTACATTAAAAAAATCATTTTGATTGTTAACTTACATAGAAACCTGCTGAGTTTGGAACTGAGAAAGATTGTAACTCGTAGTGCTTATTGAGGCGGGGCATAGGATCGAGGCATTTTTAAGTTAGTGTTGTGTCAGGCACATTTGCCTTGCCAGGCCATGGTTAGCTTGAAAGACATGTGGTAGATGAGAAAAAATGATGGAGGTGAAATGCCAGCCGTGGCATGCAAGAGAGAAAGAGGCCTTTCAAGGCACAGTTACAGAGAATCCCTGGCAAGGAGATGGCTGGTAAAGGCTCTGAACCTAGTCAGATGCTTTCACATTAAACAGACACTTACTATTATGTATTTTTACTTTGATTTTTCCTACTAAATATAACTCATGTATTACTAAAGAAATGGAAGACACAGAACATAGAAGGAAATAAAACTATAATATGTATTATTGAAGAAATAAAAAATGCAGAAAATAGATGGAAATAAAACATGCTATGAGGGTAAAGAAAAGGTTGTGAGTCTGGACATAGGAATATCTGTGTGGGACTGGTGCAAGTTTGGATTTCTGAGCCCACTGTGAGTTTGAGGCAGCTAGAGCTTCCTTGCAGTGAGAAAAGACAAGGAAAGAAAATAAAGGCACAGGGGTGGGAAAATGTGGATCCAAATAAAAGCAATTACCCTTGCAAACTTTTGTGTATGAATGTGTTATTTTAAAACATATGGTTCAAGAATTGAGAACCATAGGAGGAGGACTCATTGTCTACAGCACCGAGGTTTTCAAAATTATGAAGAAACCACCTGGGTTACAATGACAAGATGTGTCTCTTTATAAAGAATACAACATGCCCTCTGCAGCTGATTTTGAGACTGAAGTATATAGAAGCTAGAAGATTTCCTCCAGTTCACTGTACATTTTATGAGAGATGAGTGCAGACCAGAGGCCACTTCAGTCAGTTTTAGGTACAGTTTGTACTGGGCTTCCTTTTATTCCTCACACAGTGCTTCAGTTTTTCACAAAGCTCCACCCTGTTCTTCCTCTAGCCACAAGACTCTGTTGACCCATTCATTTCTTTATTCCCACGAAGTCCCAAATTACTCTTCCTCCATGAGCACTGCTGTAGTTTCCAGTATCCTCAACCTCACCTTTCCCACAGGCAATTATAGACATTCAGAAATAGACATTATTTGTCAGTGTAAAATATTAAAAAATATGGCAAATAAAAAAGAAAGTTGGGTAAGTACTCCCAGCAGTGCTAATGTGCAGTGACATTGCACATATATGGCTTTTTTTTTTTTTTGCCTTTGTGGGTCCAGTCACCACTTTTACCAAGTACAAGTGGGCCATCTTCAGTGTGCTATGATTGCATTCAGTGCACAGAGACCTATCTTAAGCCACGTCCTCTGTCCTTCTGACTACCCACCTATTTAACATCTTTGCTATGTTCTGGGATGTAATCACAATGCAAAAAATCTGGTGGAGAAAGGGGAATGTGTAAGATTTAATTGAATGATCACACAAATATAAACTTCCAACCATGCCAAATGATATGAGGAAAGCTATAGTGAATGATTATTAAGTTTATTTTGATGTAACAAAACATTTCTTTCACACATGGAACCTAATATTAAGGAAAGAGATGAATCAGACCCACTTACCCAGATTGGATTTGGTATTTTGAATCACGGTTAGAAAAAAAAAACTACAGTAAATATAAGTAATGATTACTTCAGCTACAACCCATATACCTCTAGTGTGTTATTTAACAACTTTGTAACTTCTCTTGAGTTTCTATAAAAACGACTTTCTGCAAAAATGGGTGGATTTGGTATCACTAATTGTCTGGTATTTACATGGGTTTCTATATATTCTCAATTTACTTGCCTCAATTTACTCTCACATATCACCTGAAAAATATCATCTGGCATATAAATGAAGAACTTTGTTTATGTTCAAAACCAGGAGACTGAACATTCAGTCATAACCTCAAAATCATGATAGGTACATAGTGTATTCAGTACATAGTAAAAGGAGTCATTGAACATTTCACTTTTGATAAATGTGTTTCTTAGTTCCTATGGTCCGGTCACGCCTGTGGTAGGACAACCCAGCAATCTGAGCCAAACCATGTCCTCAAATTATATGCTGGAATTCTCTAAAATTCAACTGTAGCTATTTATGTGTTGACTGATCACTACTACTATAGAGATATATCATTTTAGTTTAATGGAGTTATTTATAGGGCTAGATTTGTTTTCAAGTAGTATCACATGTAAATATTATATAAAATCCTCTCCATATGAAAAATGTGAATATTCAAGAAAGTGTCTTTTGCATCATTAATATTTTATTACCTTCTTTACTGGCTGATATATAGTATATTACTACTAGTTTTTTTATTAGTTATACAATGGTTAAGTTTTATGGCCTGACAAGAAAGCAAATGAAGGCATTTGAAAGGTAAAGAATTTACTTCACGTCATTTTTGGTGCTAGTAAAAGTATATTTTTCTGGGAAGCTTTTCTCTGTGCTTCTGTCAATGAATTCTATCCATATTTTCACAGGAGAGCATACATTGTCACTCCCCTCTTCTTAAGAAACACCACATTGGGAGTCTGATATCAACTTTATTTTTAACACTTTTGGCTTCAATCTTGGCTACGTCTTTTGCTATACTCTAAGGCAAACCCATTCTCTCTGAATTTTAAATTTCTCATCTAAAAATGAGCATTATGTTGTTGTCATTGAATACTCCAAAGGGTTACTGTGAAGAGCAAATAAAATGACACTTGTAAAACAATTATGTAATCTGTGAAATGCTATGCAAGTATATTATTACTTAACTAATTTCTTATTTTTAATAGGAAAACTGGCCTCAGATAGAAAACTGCTGAGAAAGTGATGCTGAATTTAAGATGAGTGATTTTAAACTTAGACTGAGTTTGGAAGGAGTAGAGTGGGAAACAGGCAGGAAGAGGTTAAGGGAATGTTCGCAACATAAAGAAACCTATAATAAATTGTCTTGACCAATCTCTAAAAATTTATTAGGATATTCTTTCTCGTAATGAATAAAAGTTTTTCTTATTTACAGAATTTTGATTTCTAAACACATACTTCTCCATACTTACTCAATATTTCCTAAATGACAGAACTTTATTTAACAACATTTCATCTTACAAGATTTTTTCATCATTCCATGACATTCTAGGACCTCTTTGTATTTTATTTTAGTTAGTTAATCAAATAAGTGGTCCTCTTGGTTCTAGGTTTTTAAAAATTTGTTAACCACATTACCTATATTTTATTGCATTTTTAAATTAGTGGTAGGCACATGTTAGCATGTGCTAGGTCTTGTGCAAAGTCTTGGGGGAAATACAAAGATGAATAAAAATCATGGTACCTAACATCAATGTAGACCTCCTCATAGTCTACTGGGAAGAGAGAGATATAATATACTATAGTAACTAAAAAATAGTGATTTTTATATGATATAAGGCTAACATTACCCCATAAACATCTATGTCAGCAAAGCTCATGGTTTTAAAGAAAGCCAACTAAATGTAAATGAAATTAGGATATGATATCCAAAAATTTTGCTATTACTTTTTAAATTTTTTCTTGGATCCAATTTATGATTTTGGAGAGAATTTTAGAGATTTATTCTGAGAAAGATATTTGTGTTCCTTAAAAATTATAGCGTTTATATTTTCTGAATGTAAAAGTCAGCATGTTCTGGATTGGCTAAGAATAAACATAGTGAAAAAAAAAGAGGAAGTCAGTTTGGGAATTTCTATGAGAAGCAGAAGAAACTGGTAAAACAGAGGGACAATATAGAAGGTAAAGGGAGGAGTGGACAAGACTCTTGGTCCTGTGTTGGATATATATTCCTAACTCCCTCACATTCCTCCCTTTGTGGAAATATGTGTCAGCCACATTGCCAAAGACTATACATTGTTAATTTTCACAAAAAATATATGTTGGAAGAACTCTTATTATTCTCATTTATGGATGAGAAATCTAAGACATTGACAGATTAAATATCTTGCCTCAAATCTCAGCTACTTAGTGATGGGTATGAGATTCTAATTTAGAATCTAACTCCAAATTATTTACCCTAGCAGAGAGGGAAAGAGAGGAAATATGAAGGAGTTAGAGAAACAAACCAGAACTAAGAGATGGAAAGAGACAGCCTTTGTTGTACTTGGCCAAGCTGTGTCTGAAGACAGACCTCCCTTGGACTTTTAATTTACTCTGTGGTTATCATTAGAATGACCATAGAAACTGTAACTGAAGTTTACAGCCTGGACAGCCTGGACGCCATCCCAACCCAGCACTGGTGTGCCTGCACTGGGGGCAGTGCTGACATGCCAGTGCTCCTTGCCACCTTGGCCCACTCTGAAACTTTGGCAATGAGGAGCACAGAGAGAGAGGCCGGGTGGGGCTTGAGGGCAGCTTGTTGTGGGCCTGCAGGTGCCCCTTGACATGAGCAATCTGGGTGCCATGGGTGGCATGTTGATGGTGGGAGGCAGACAGGTTCCTAGGTGGAAAAGGGCAGGTCCCTGGTGAAACCCCACCTTCAAGCCAGGGATTGTCTAAAGCCTGTGGGCCAGGATGCCAGTTCTGTGTGGAATCCTTGGCCTGGAGTGAGAAATTATGGTGCTTTTTCCAGGCCCAACCATGGCCACCCACAGACCAATCAGCACATACTTCCTCCCTTCTGAGCCCATAAAAATCCTGGACTCAGCCAGACTCAGACAGATATCCAGACAACTTGCTTGTGGAAAGTAGCTACCCACTGTGGGTCTCCTCTCTGCTGAATGCTGGACACTCCTCAGGATTACCTGCCTGTAGAAAGGAGGTACACACTGCTGGTCTCCTGAGAGCTGTTCTGTTGCTCAAAGAAGCTCCTCTCTGCATTGCTCACCCCCTGGTTGGCTGTGTACCTCATTCTTCCTGGATAGGGGACAAGAACTCAGGACCTGCTGAATGGTGGGACTGTAAGAGCTGTAACACAAACAGGGCTGAAACACCCTGCCATCCCCCACCCCCACCGCCACCCCCACCACCACATTGCAGGTGATGAGGAGGAGAGAAGAGCTGTGGCCCTTTGGGGCTCCCTGATCCGGGACTGATTCCCTCTTTGGGGCTCTGCAGTTCCTGGTGTCTCCAAGCTTCTGGGCACCACTGCATTCCCCTCGTCCAGACATAGGTGTCCACAGTGGAAGCCACATGTGGTACATCTGATCCAGCTGCAGCCTTGCACAGACTTGGCACCTGTGCTGGTGCCTGGAGCTGCCCACCCTGCCATAGCAGCCAGTGTGCCTGGCTGTGGACAGTGGCTGGACCCCGTGCTTGCTTGCCCACACACAGCTCTCTGCTGTGTGCCTGGCTCACCCTTGGCAGGTGTGAGATCTGGGCTGGTAGCACAAGCTGAGCACAGCCTGCCAGGCCAAGTGGGTAGTATGAGCCCAGCAGGCATGAACAATACTCAGGCAGAAGGTGGGGCTGGCCACAGAGGTTTCCGGCTGGCCAAACAACACCCCAAGGATGTTGTGACACTAGGATAAGGTGGAAGAGTTAGAAAATAATAGCTGTGAACTTTGTGGACATATAGCAAACCTCACAATACACTAATCATAAAAATAAGTTTTGAATGGCCTCTAGGGTCACGACAAGAACTATTCTGGAAGTGTACAATTCCGTATTTCATACCCAAGTCAAAACCTCTGATCCTCAAGCAAAGCCAGCCTCAGCCAACTGAGAAGGTAGATGCCTCCTAGGGGTTAAGTGTCTTTAACTCTAAGGAAAATTAAAATCATAGTTCTGAAGTGATGAAGTAAACCAAACCACAGTACTTCTATTTTTTTGTGTGATAAACTATAATTTGTGCAGATTTCAGCATTTTAAGCTTTTTAAAAGCTTATGGAAGATTTTATCTTATTAGAATAACAAATTGAGTAATTTGTTTAAACTTTGGTTTTTAGTTGAAATCCTACAGCATTTTAAAATATTAGAACAAGTAGGAAATCCCAAAGCTCATTATATTTATTAGTATAACTTTCTGAGAATTTCTGAAGTACATAGGAAGACTTCTTTAATCATCCTGGTGTACTTCAAAAAAGAATGTGTACAACATTTTTAACCACAGTTTAAAATATTTAAGGGAGTAGACATAATTAAACTGTAAAACCTCTGTTATAAATCATTATTAAAATTGACAATTGATAAATAGAATATAAGATTTGTAAATTGAGCTAAAAGTGTGACAAAAAAGTATTTCAAATTGGTAACTGTTAAAAATAAAATATTAATATGACAAAATTCTCAATTAATAATTGTTTTGGTTCAAAAAATTATACCCTCTAGGGCATGAAAAATATTCAACTTGACAAGATAGCTGGCTATGCCTGAAGTCAAAACCATCCTTGAACGTTTTAGTTATATAAACCAATACACTTTCTTTTTCTTTTTTTTTTTTTAAGTATAACTTATTCCAAGTTGATTATCTAATTATCCAAGACTTGGAACTAAAAGTGTTTTGACTATGCAGTCAGGTTTGAGGATATTTTGGAGTTTGGAGGAAAAAGAAAGACTTTGGGAGATGTGTTGGATAACTGAAAGTATTTGGAGAAACAGGATTTTAAAACATTTCTCCTGTATATTTGGATAAAATTCCATGTTGACATTGGGCAATATTAGGAATTTGCTTTTTGAGGGTTGTGGTAAAAATTTGGGAAATGCCAAAATGTCTGAAAAAAATTCAGGCATGGTTTCACCACTCGGAAATAACCACAGTTAACATTTTAATGTATTTTCCTCTAGTCTTTCACTATTTTTATGTGTGCATATGTACGTGTTTGTATAAAATGTATACAAACACATAAAACATACAGAAATATATGATTATATGGATTAATATATAATCCATATAGTCTGGAGAATATATTGATTCTCTCTCTTTTTATATATTATCACATACAGTTTTGTATCCTGCTCTTTCAGTTAACTATTTTATTTTATGTTATTGAGACAGAGCCCTGCTCTGTCGCCCAGGCTGGAGTGTAGCAGCTGATCTCTGCTCACTGCAACCTCTGCCTCCCGGGTTCAAGCGATTCTCCTGACTCAGCCTTCTGAGTAACTGGGATTATAGGACCTGCCACCATGCCTGGCTAATTTTTTTTTTTATTTTTAGTAGAGACAGGGTTTTGCCATGTCGGCCAGGCTAGTCTCGAACTTCTGACTCAGGTGATCTACCTGCCTTGACCTCCCAAAGTGCTGAGATTACAAACATGAGCCACCTTTATATTGTGAAATATTAACTATTCTACAATATAACATTAATGTCTAGATACTACTCTATTATATGGAAATATGTAAATGTATTTAACTCATCTGTTATTAATGATGATTAGGAGGTTTTCAATATTTAGCTTTAGTAAATAAGGATAATAAATGAGGGCTTGAAATAATGGCAACTCTAGGAAGTATGCAAATTCTGGTAACCAGAAAGTTTTATCTCAAAAAACATTGAAAACACTCCTTGGGGCTCAATAAGGAATGAATCTACCATTAAGAAAGAAAGAATCATGAGATTAGGTTCTAGTTGGCTTGTGTGGCCGGAATCAAAAGTTCACTCAACAGAGTTATGTAACTAGAAGAGCACCCATAGTAACTTATGGAAAGAATAGCATTCCATAAAACTACCTATTCTTCACATTTTTCTCCTCCCAACAAAGCTTGACAAGAACTTAATAACATGTTAATTCCTAATATAGCTAAGGGCTAGGGAAACAAATAATTTCAGGTATGTGTGTGTGTGTGTTTGTGCGTATAGATATATATATATATACCTATATATCCATAAAACTTTCTAGAGGTTTTGTCATTTTGACAAAGTTAATTAAACTAATTAAAAATACTTATATTCATCAAATTAAAAATTCCCATTTAAAGAATTAAATTGAGAACATATTCAGAACATATACAAAATATTTATACAAAGATGTTCATAGCAGCATTATTAAAGCTAAATATTGAAAACCTCCTGATGTTCATTAATGACAGATAAATTAAATACATTTACATATTTCCATATAATATAGTATCTAGACATTAACATTATATTGTAGAATAGTTAATGACTTAAAAATGTTCACAATAAATTATTCAATCAGAAAATCAGTTCTAAGCCTCGTGTGGTGGTTCACGTCTATAATCTTAGTGCTTTGGGAGGCCAAGGCAGGAGGATTTTTGAGGCCAAGCGTATGAGACCAGCCTTGGCAACAGTGAGACTCTGTGTCTACAAAAATTAAAAAGTTAGCAGAGCATGGTGGCATCTACCTGTAATTCAGCTACTCAGAAGGCTGAGGCAGTGGGATTGCTTGAGTTCAGGAGGTCGAGTCTGTAGTGAGCCATGATTACACTATTACGCTCTAGGTGACACAGCAAACCCTGTCTTTAAAAAAATCATTTATAAAATATTATGCTCATGGTATTCTTTGTAGTTTTCTTAAAAATAATCCATGTATAAATATTCATAGAAAAATAGACCAAGCACAGCAGCTCATGCCTGTAATCTCAGCACTTTGTGAGGCCAGGGTGGGCAGATCACCTGAGGTCCAGAGTTCGAGACCAGCCTGGCCAACATAGTGAAACCCTGTCTCTACTAAAAATACAAAAATTAGCTGGGCATGGTGGTGCATGCCTGTAGTCCTAGCTACTCGGGAGGCTGAGGCAGGAGAATTGTTTGAACCCGGGAGGCGGAGGTTGCAGTGAACAGAGATGGCACCACTGCACTCCAGCCTGGGTGACAGAGCGAGACTCTGTCTCAAAAAGAAAAAATAGTAAGGATATGAAATAAAATGTTAATATTAATTATTTGTGGTAAGATTACCTGTGTTTCTCATTTTCTTCTACCTACCTTTATTTTCCAGTTTACTACAAATATCATACATTATCTTTGAAATTCAAAAACATGCCATTTAAAATATATAAGCATTTAACAAAAATTAAGGAATAGTACTGCATACCTTTAAATCTTGACTTAATGGTGGAGAGAAAACCCTATTAAAAACATTTGCTTATTGACTTAAAAAACTGAAAGTAGACTAGCAGAAAAGAATTCAGTTTTTTAAGCCTAACCTTTTTGCATTTGGAGAGGTGATCTATTTGAGTTCATTTAATTTTGTCTAAAGATGACTTCCAGCTTTTAAGGATGTCTTTTAAATGCGTCTCTAAAATGCAGAAAAGATTTTTTGAAAATAAAAAATTGCTCTTTAAATAACATTTGATGACTTGTGTGTAAAAGAACTAGACACATGGATTTAAAACTTAAAGGCAAAAATGCTTTGCAAAATAGCTTTTAGGTTATATTCTGACCATTTGAAAAATAACTTTAAAAAGTGAAACTAACCTAAGATGAAAGTTACCGTAACTCATAACTTCATGCAAGGTGTTCAAAGCAAAAGTTGACCATTTTATATTATTGACATTGACCAAGTAGATTCCACATAGGTCTATTTTGTCTTAAGTCAAATAAAAATGCTCTTAAACCAAACTATGACAATTCTTAAAATAGAAACTTTCTTGAGGTTATAGGGAACCACAATCTTACAGCCACCCAAAAAGCATTCTACAAGTAGTAATAGGCATCTATTTTGGGTGAAGTATTTTGAGTTCAGTTCTTAGTGACAATGCTGAAGTCATTTGGGCATTTCTGGGGTTGTGTGAGGAAGAACCAACTTTGTGTGTGGTCTGCATTCTTGTAATAATGACATATGACCAAAAAGATCTCAGAAGGCAAGCAGTTAATGCACCCAAATTTCAGTTAGGTCACTGTTCTCTGGATAATGAAATCTTCAAGGGATGACACAAACTCACTTACTTGGATTTATTTTTTTTAATTTTAGTGAGTGTCAATGTGATATTATCCCCCTGAAGTCTTTTAAGGAGAACTGATTACTCATTTTAAACAACTGCTTGCCCAAGGAGGTTATTCTTAAACAACTTAGTGCATTGTTCACTATTTACCATTGCCTCGTTTTATGTTTGCACATGATACTGCTGATTCGGTGTTTCTGAGCCAGTCTTCCTGTTAACAGAAGGGCTTATGTTGAGCTGTTTCTGGAGGAGAAGACTTGACACATGGCTTCAATCTCCTTTCTCTGGCGGCATGTGAATCCAGCCAGTTGGCAGATTCCAGGTCTGTAGCAGAAATATAGGCTGCTTTTCTTGCACTGAGCTTGGGTTCTGCTGTTATAGCAGAAACGAGCTTCTCACAACACGTGAAATGTAATCTAATAGGAGAAGAAAAGAAATAAGGCAGGAGTGGCAGAGGTGAGGAGCACATGGAGCCATATGTAGATTACAGATAATATAATATCAAAATAATACAGAGCTAATATTGCCAATTGTTATACAGGTAGCTATCCATAAAAACAGGAGCTTTCACCATTTCAGTTGTTCATGTAATGTAGCATCTGTTCAAAACCCAACATTGTTGCAATATTTGATTCTTTCAGGCTTTAATAATTTTTATCTAAGATGGCTATGATCAAAAATACATTATTTCTTATCCTTTTTTTTGTATGTGAATTGAACTGGATGGAGTCAGATATCTGGGAATTCTAATATAGTTCCACTGTCTGTTAGTTATATGGTATTAGACAACTAACTTATCTCATTGGACATCAGGCTTCTTATCTGTAAAATAAAAAGTATGGAATAGATAATCTCTAATATCTGTATCGACTCTTAAATTCGAAATCCATCATTCACAGTTGCAGCTGGTCCCTCCTGGAGCAGTAGTTCTTTGTTAGACTTCCCAGGAACCTGAAAGACTGAGTTGAAATGTTTGATCATCCTTTAGGTCATTATCCCTCTCCCAACTCAATCTTATCTTTAGGATTTAAGGATTAAGCTTGTTAGTTCAAATATATCTGACATATATAAATATAGCCTAAGAAGAGAGTGTTGTATTCCATATATTTAAAGAATCATTGGATGAGAAATTATGATACATAAATCATAGTATAAACATTTTCATTAAATAATTGAATGATTTGGAGCAAGCCATTTTACCTCCTAGGAAGTCAGTTTTATTTATTGAAAGAACATAGTATATTTCCAACTTTTTCACAAAACTTTGTAAATATTGAAAGGGAGAATGTTTAAGGTAAGAGAATTTTTAAAACATTAATTTCTATACATGACCATCTTGATATTATATATTATGTTTATTAAAATGACTAACAGGGCAAACTGTTGAAAACCTTAAAGCAATTACTTCTTAGAATAAATAAAGTCAGAATTGGTAAAAGAAAGAAAATTAGCTGGTTCAGCATGATTTGTTTTTCTATTTAACAGATATTTATTATTTACTACGTACCAGGCACTATTCTCAGTGGAATATATCAGTAAAAAGCAGACAGTGCTCTCTGAGCTCATGGAATTTACATTCTATTAATTTTATTGGCTCTTAAGGAACATGAGTTACTTTTTGATTTTGAAATAAATTTTAGCACAAATTAATAGCTAAAATGTAATTTAAACTACTTCTCCAATTTATTACTTTTTGTGTGTGCGTGTGAGACAGAGTCTCGCTCTGTTGCCCAGGCTGGAGTGCAGTGGTGTGATCTCGGCTCACTGCAAGCTCCATCTCCCCGGTTCATGCCATTCTCCTGCCTCAGCCTCCTGAGTAGCTGGGACTGCAGGCGCCCACCACCATGCCTGGCTAATTTTTTTCTTTTTTTTGTATTTTTAGTACAGACGGGGTTTCACCGTGTTAACCAGGATGGTCTCGATCTCCTGACCTCGTGATCCGCCTGCCTCGGCCTCCCAAAATGCTGGGATTACAGGCGTGAGCCACCACGCCTGGCCTTTATTACTTCTAAAAAATATTGTATGTTATTACTCAACCATATAACTTGCTAAATAGCCTGCAAATGAATTTTATTAAATAATACAACAGATAGAGGTATTCTCTTCCAGTGAATTTTAACAGGTCTTAGTGTCGCAAGAAGATTATGTTTGGGCAACTAGAGGATAGAGCTACAGATATTTCCTTAAAAACATAGGGGTAGCATTAGGAGAAATAACTAATGTAGATGACGGGTTGATGGGTGCAGCAAACCACCATGGCATTTGTATACCTATGTAACAAACCAGCATGTTCTGCACATGTATCCCAGAACTTAAAGTATTAAAAAAACTAAAAAAAAAAAAAGATAAAATTTATAATGGTTGGCATCCCATTAAAAAAAATAACACATCACAACAATAACAAAAACATAAAGCAGCAAATAAACACATAGGTATAGAAAGAAACTTTTTTTTAATGTGGAATTATTAATTTGGTAATAGTTCTATCCTATCTAGTAAATAAAGTAATTTGTCAATCCTTTGGATGGTATCAAACTAATTAGCACATTTCATGTTATGCTTATTTCATTTGATTAGTTATGATAATTATGTCATATACATGCAATACATAATTACCTCAGTTTCATGACTTTTTAAATGACTGAATATTTTAATGCTTTATTAACTTTTTTTAGCTGATAGAGAGCTGGTAACTCATTTTTTAAAAATTTGTGGATAGATGTTTTTCCTCCTAAAATTCTGACACACATTCTCATTTATCAATTTCTTTGCCAAGAGCTAAGCAGCTGTACATGTTTGAAAATAAAAAGTAGAGTAACTTCCTTTTACAAAAATTCTGGAAGTTGAAATTTACATAGCAAGCTCTGTGGTTCATATTGAAAATAAAATTCAATGGCTCTTTTTAAAATTCTCCTTGTTTTGTTGGTGTTTTAGCACCTGGTACTAATTGCCTGAGACATTAATTTGTTGATAGCAGTTTGTTTGTGGATTGATGACCTAGAGTTAGCCAGAATCTAGTCCTGTCAGGAAGTATTGTGAAATATTTGTAAAAGTACTCCTAAGGGAGTACTTTTTCCACCTCAAAAAGATTCCCTCATACAACGACAAAAAAGATGTGAAAACTAGGCTGTGGCAGGAACCATTTTTTTCTAACCTAAAGTAAATTAGAGATGAATCCAACTTAATACATTTGTGATTGTACATTCTAAAATTTTTGCCCCAGTATTTTAATATAGCCTTTGCAAAAAAAAAAATAATGTGGAGAGAACATGGTAGAGTTATGATTTGCTTAACTCGTACAGTTATGGGGAGCAGTAAGTATCTGCTTATCTTTTTTCCTTTCCTTCTAAATTTTGGCATAATCAATAAAGATTCCTTGATTTAGGACTTTTGTGATTAATGATTTATTTTTCCCAGGGCAGTCATAGGAACTCAATCATGATTAATCAAATTATATCATTTTTAAATAAATCTTGGTCATACAATTGGAATGTACAAACAACTACACATTGCCATAGAGACCCATCACGTGCCATGAGCACATGAACCCTATGAACTATGAAGATCAACAAGGACTCATTTTTAAAGATCTGTGATTATTTTTCTTCTTTTCAGAAATTTTTATAGATTAAGGAGAAACTATCTCTTAGAAATTCTCTCAGATAATCAGCTCATTTTGTGTTTGTACTCTGACAACTTTTATGGTATCCAGATATTAATATAACTAACTAGAAAAATAATCAACTGATCAATCATCAATGTATTATTATTTTTTCTACTGAATGTCCAAATATGCAGTTTGATAGATTACTACTTTGACTAGTTTGGTAGTTTACTAATGGAACTAAACTTTGCATTTCTCTCCATTAATATTTATCATGGAGGAGCCATTGTTTCTTATTATAAAGCAAATACAATATCGCGATTATTCATCATTTGGGTAAGTCTGCCTGAAGAATATACATAGTCACAGTAGGTATTAGTCTTATATAATGTGAAAAATGTTAGATCAAAATATCTGGATAAGCCTTGATATTTCTGTCATATCTATGAACCCTGTGCCCAATCTGACCTTGAACAAAAAAATTTCCACCAAAACTGGCTATGGAGTTCACAAGCAAGCAGTTAATCACAGGGCTCAGACAACCCTGTAGCTAGCCAGGCTGGGCCTGCAATGGAAGAGAAGACTTTGATGAAAAACTCTTTCTTTTTTGTCATTCTTTGATAACATTTATAGGCTCTCTGTAGTCTTACAATTGTCACACTTAGAAGTTTTCTATAAGAAAAAGGCATAAGAGGATAAAGGAGTGAATATAGGACTGGGATGTAGCAATGGCAGATTCAGCAGTGGCAAGGTAGATCTTAACAGGAGAGCATCATGAGGAAAAAGTGATTCTGGGGTTAAATAAGGAGAAAAGATGCAAAACAAATCAGGAGGCAGAGATTATGAGAAAAGGATAGACTTTGGGTTTAGCAGACTAGGGAGCGGAAGAGGTAGAACTCTTCCAGAGAGTTCCAAACTTTCTTCAGAAAAGTTTGGAAAAGCAGTCTTGGTTTGAATAGGAGTCAGGAACTTGTCTTGAAGCTGCATTTTTAGAGCAAATAATTTTAACTAGTTCAATGGTTTAAAACTTGAGCGTGCAGCAAAATCACTTGGAAGGCTTGTTAAAACACAAATTGCTGATTTCCACCTCTAACTCTAGCACTTTTAATTCAGTAGGATTTTGGGGGTGATTCTGAGAATTTTCATTACTTACAAGAGCTTAGGTAAGAATTCTCTTGCTGGTCTGAGAACCACTGATATGGAGAATATGTTCACCTGAGGGTACTGGAGGGTTTAATGTTGATTTTGATGTAGATAAACCTTGCCTGCAAATGGCTGAATTTTGCGTAGCCTCACTTCTCTCATTGACAAAGTGGAGAAATAATACCTTGAGTGTTGAATGAGGCTTAGAGATAATAAATATAGAGTTCTAAAGGCAGTATCTGATTCCTATTAGGAATTCAAAAAATGGTAGCTATGGTAAGAAGAATGATATAAATAAATAATGCAAACAAGAAGACCCAACCATAATACTGGAATTTTAATCACCTTTGGGAGTGCTGAAGTTTCATGAAAACCTCATTATAATCTCTGACTTCATTCCTTTCAAGAATGAATTTTCAGATTTTAAGTTTTTCTTGAGTCTAAAAATTTTCTAAATTTTAAACATTTAAAAATTTCTTGATTTTTTATTCAGATATACCTTGTGTAGATGATTGTTTCTTATAATGCTCAAATCACTTAACCTGATAGTTAAAGTATGTGCAGTTATTTGAAAATATAATCTAAAAAGGGAAAAATAAATGTCAAATTTTCCTGTGAAACCAGTAGAGAAAAAGTATGTTTTTAAGATGAGGTTAAGGCTAATGGGCAAATGTAACATTTGTATAATTTTATTTCTTCCCTAACTTAAGCATTTCTATGTTTTATTTTTATAATTGTAGTTGTTTTCTAGAGGTTGATAATTGCAGTTGTTTTATTATGAACTGACCTTTTATTAAGCCTAGCATATATGGTTCTAATCTTGATTGCCCCATAAAAGTCCATTCCAAAATGAAAGCACGAAGGGACAATTACTTTCAATCAAAACACATGTTTTACTTTTTAAAAAATAAACTATTTATAAAGAATGCTTATTCTTGCCCTCACACCCCTCCCAGATTCAAATTTCACTTTCAGATTATGAGCTTGTTATCAATAACTTAGTTCAAAGAGATTCTTTTCATTGTTCTGAATGACAACTGAAATGATTTAGAAATTTTTATGATTAAAGAGCATGCACTTTTCAGCAACACTCCTTACCAAATTAGTCTGTTTTACTTTAAAAATTGTTTTTGAGGCCAGACTTTTTAACTGAGTAACATTTTCTGAAATTATAGGCCATTCTTATATAAAGACCCAGATGTTTTCTGATTGTTTTATATGTAAGAAGAAGAGTAAACATGAATACATGAAAGGCGTTGGTCTTTGAATGAGAGATTATAACTAATAGCACACAACTAAAACTTTATCTTGACATGTTCTGATTTCTTCTTTAGTTTTCAAGTTTCTTCTTTAGTTTCCAAGTTTGTAAGTTCTGGCTTATTTTGGATATTTTAAGGTACAAGTGCAGCATGAAGAATAGGTGATCTATATGCATACTATGTTCATTTATTTATTCAATGAAGATTTATTGAATACCTTCCATGTTGCATTCCATGCACCATAGAAAGTATTCCATAAATGTACTTTGTGCATATAAAGATGCTAACCACATTTTAAAATATAATCTTTTATTTATTTTTTTCCACAGTCATTTGTGGACAATTTACCTTATGCTAAGCACTTTTCTGGACTCTGGATTACCAAGGTAAATAGGGCACAATCCTTAGTTTAAGGAGTTTACAGTGTAACAGAGAGGGAAAACTATAGTCATTAATTAATTATTTAAATATTTAATGAGCATCCACCAAGCATCAGATAGTGATGGAAGGGTGCATCAGCATCGAATCAGACAAGGTTCTTACCCTCATGAAGCCCTCATATTCTGTCACATTGTATTCGGTATATATAGGAAAATGGGGGGAGGAAGAGGCTACTTTATATAAGAATGATGGACAATGCTTTTTGGAGGTGACACTTGAGCAGAGACCTGAAGAATGGCCATGAGAATCCCACATAGGAATTAGAAGTTATAGAGATCATCAAGGGGGTAAGTTCTGAAGTGGGAAAGGATACATAGTGTCTGAAGAGCAGTGTGATAATCCTAGTGTTGGAGACTAATGAGGAATTGAGGTGAAAGGTGATGTGAGATGAGGTTAGAGAGGCAGGTGGGCCCAAATCATATAGGGCACTGCAGGCCATGGAGGAACTTTAGATGTGTATCATAAAGTAATAGGAACATATTAATATGCAAATCAGCGTGATCTAGCCTGATGACCTTTTAAAAAGATCGCTCTACAGGCTTCAGGAAATATAAGTTGGAAAGAAGCCAGAGTTGAAGAAGGGAGATGGGTTAGGAGAGTATTGTAATCAGTAAGACCAGAAATTATTTTGGTGTGGATTGAGATAAGTGATGGTAAAGGATATAAAGAGAAGGTACATTTCGTCTATATTTTAGAAGTGAGACCAATGGGGTTTGTTGATGGATAGAATAAAAATTGTTATATGTGGTAATGTGTTATACATGTTATGCTAAATGGCCCAGATGAAAAAGTGATGACTCCTTCTGGGGTGTACATAATGCCAGGGAAGCCATGAAGAAAGATGCTTGAGTTGAGTCTGTGGGATGAATTTATGTTCACAGGCAGTCAGGGCATGTGGAAAGGCAGAGGAAGGGTAATTCAGACAGATGCACTAGCGTGAGTAAAGTCATACAGAAGACATACAGAAGAGTAGTGGGTGGGAGCAAATGGCAAGAGTCACAGCAGGAGAGGTGAGTCAGGCCATGCAGTTCCTAATGAGAATTAAGGTGTTATCTGGTAGTATATGGAGAGATTCATTATCTGGAAGAAGAGGTAATGCAGCGTAATTAGAGAGTGGAGAAAGTAGTAAATTATCCTGCTTGTAGGAAATCGACCAAGTTCATCATTTAGTTGCAGCTTAATCAGTTTTGAATACCATTAGTTTAAATATTCACAAATTTTTATAATATGAAAACTTTAAGTTCTCTAAATTGTTAATGTTCTCTAAGCCTGTTGTTCATTACTAATGAAAAACATGTTCCCTAGGAAGAAAATTAACTTTGTTATTTGTGGCAAAGCCTATAACACAGGAAGTGTATAGATAATTTATATGTAATTAAAATATATTTCTTTCACATCTTACTCTCAAGTTTCATCCTACCAAGCCAGCTGCTAGTTAAAAATAACAATGGTTAAATCATAATTTATTTCATTTTCTCTTCTGTGATCTGTAGGTATGGTAGTAATAATTGAAATGAACACATTAGTCTGGAATCTTCAAACCATGTAACTAATCTCTGATTTTTTAAAGGCTTCTTTTTTGTGAAAGATGTTTTGTTCATTTTTTTAAAAAATGCAAAAGGTAAATTTAAGTCTGTTTCTATAGTGTGAAAGTTTCTCAGTGGAGAATTTTGAAGGTAATTGTAAGTGAAAATGGGATTATAACATAAATTATCTTGAGACTATAATGAGATGAAAGTGTTTTATACCACAAAAGCTACGGAATAACATTCATTTCAGCATGACCAGCATGTCAGGCACTCTCAAGGTAATGAATGCATTCCAGAAGATTGTCTGTATTTTTTCCACACTTTAAATAGCAGGAAGATGTTTGAAACAATTTACTGTGGCATCAAAGGCATTGTGATGGGCGTTACCCTCACAATTCTGAGGCAGAATTTAGCTTTGGCAAAGAGTGAGTATTTTAATGAATACTAGCTTACATTTTTCTTGGCATTAGGTTTATATAGGGCCACATTTCTTCCTCTTAGGAAAAAGATACAAAAATGCAAAGAATGACTATAATGGTTAACCAAAATGAATGTCCATTGCTGTTAGGTATTATAAAGAACACCAGGTAGCATTTTGTGAAAGATTTAGTGACTTGTTGGTACCCTGTGGTTGTTGTTTAAGTGAAATAAACCATTTTTGAAGATGTGAATGGATTTTTCTGAGGATTTTATTATTTGCAACAAGGAAAAATTCAGAATCATATGTTGGCAAAAGTTAATGAAAGTAGTCAGTAGTTTGACTTGCTGCTATTCTGATATGTGCCATTTGTGCACAAGAAGAGTTACTGATGTTTAAGTGCTAAATAATTGAGTTTCCTAAGATGAAACCCAGGGAAACCTGGTTGACTCCACAATTTCACCTGGAATTATGTTTGTGTGATGCATAGGTAGATTAAGGAAACAAACTAAGTTGGACAAATTCAGTTTATGTAAAGCTTTGATAATAAACTTTAGAAAGCAATTGATGCAGAGAGACTGAGTTGTCTTTACTTTTATGAGAAAATTGAAGCATATATCTTAGTTTTTTAGAGAAGCAAATGTCTCTCAATACATGCCATATGGGGATAAGGGGCAAATTTTTTTCCAAGATTATGGAATTAATTGTACAAAAATCTCTTAACATTTGTGAGAATTGTTATTGCCTTTCTGTGAAGTATCCTCCTTCCACAGTCTTCTTACGTTCAGCCCTATCGTATGCTGATTTTTGGTATCACTTTTCAAATTAGTTGAAGCTGTAATTTTAAGACATAGTTTTAATTATTCTTAATAATTTATTTGAGAGTTTTTTGTGAGTCCAAGTTACACAGGAACCTAGTTCTAAAATAGAAGTAAGAATATGTTTTGCTATCAGGATGAAAATTATGGTATTTTAGTCCACATTGAGTACATATAATTCAAAGGATATAAATATAATTTGAAGCATATTCACATTTTATCAGGGGTGCAATGAGGTATGTGGTGTACAATTATTATGTTGTAGCACCTCCCTCAGATAGGAAAAACATAAACAAACCAAATAATCAGATATTTTCTTGGGCACCTTCTGTGTGCCTTGACTGTATTAGGTGTCATTGGAAAAGAAATTATCATTGAGATGTAGTTTCCTCTCTATGAGCTTCTGAGGTAGTAGGGTCAAGTCATTTTTTGTAGGAAATTTGAAAGATTCAGAAAATTTTAACCATCAGATAGAACAAATATCAAATGGCTAAGCAAAGATGTAAATGTCTGGGGCATATTAGAAAATAATGAGCAGAGCAGTTTGGCAAGAGAAAGGCTTTTGTAGAGGGCATGAGACTGGGGCATAGGGCTGGGTTTCCTGCGGAAGACTTTGACTAGCAGACAGAAGGGTCCTTAGTTCTCTAGTAATTAGAGTAGTGGGTCCTTAATTCTCTAGTAATTTTTGAAATTAAATCAAAAATTTTTGAGTAGGGTAGTGACATAATCAATTTTTTTAGACAGATACAATTTTCCATAGTGTTCAAGACAAATTTGATTTAGAAAAATATTCAGGGCATTAAGACCATGTGGAATTTTCTGCAATAATCTTGGTAACAGTAGCAAGGATCTAGTCGTGGTAGGAGAATGGAGAAGCGAATGCTGACCACGGCGGTCCTGGGAAATTTGACTATGGAAAGCTGGGGATCACAAAGGCTATAACATCTTTTCTTTTTATGTCAAGAATTTGTCTTTTACTTTAATAAACATATATCTATAAAAATTTTACACCCAAATGAAATTTTACTCCTTGTGAAATAAATTGAATTCTCTTGTTTGTGCATAAAACTTAAAAAGGAAAATAGAAAAAAGGTGCTATCACTTAGCAATTTAACCTGTTTATTGTTGAGTATCCAGCAAAGAACAATAAAAGTGCTAGTAATGAGGATAATTAATCTAATGAATGTGTTTTTGTGCCATTATGTCTATTGGTTTAAATAAAAGTTATTGAGGTAGTGTTGATGGCTTGTTTACTTAGTAATTTCTCAATATTTATGATTTTCTTCCTCAATATGAACATCGTGACACATACGCTATTAATAAAAATTTCAAGCACAGATGGAGGTGAGGAGCATTTCTCAGTTTGTATTGAACAGTTGGAGAATTATCAAGAAGAGTAAATAAAATAAAGCTCTACTTTTTATTAAAGAAGGTTTGCCAATGAAGTAAAAACTTACGGAAAAGGAAGTTCAGGGTTTTTTTAATCGTTGTGAACCAATAAGATGTAAATGCCATCCATATTAAATCCAAAATACACATTGTGTTTCCCTGTAATTTCTTCTCTGAACTCTGTTTATATCTTTTGGCTCATATGTGGATTAGTATTTGCTGTCTAGAATGGCAAGCCTTGATTATTAGCAAATAATATTATTTCTCAAATTACACCTTGACATTTATTCTGATGTATTTACCCCCAGTCAATCTATTTCATAATAAAAACTTGGCAAAGGCATCACAAACAGTTGGAGCTTTTGAAAAGTACATTGCAATAAAAATATGAGACCATGTTTTTCCAACAATTCTCAGGTTTCAAATAGAAAGTAAGCTGAGTGTAAATTAAAATAGATAGTATTTAATTACTGAAAGCACAGTAAACATTTGTGTGAATATATAATATGATTATAGTGGTAGATCTTTAGAATGATATTGGCTATGTGGCACATTTTCCATTACACCATTTAATCTCATTTTATCTTTGAAAAGAGCAAGCACATGTTAATAAGGTGTCAGCCCACTATCCTCTTACTTCTCTTCCCTGCGTTTTAGCCTCCATGTTGCTGCCTGAATTTAAGGCAGAATTTACCTTTACAACATTGTACTAGTTTCATGATATAATCAACACCTCTGAAACTAAGGCTTGTCTTACTACCTGACTTTGAGTTGACTTGCTACATGTGCGAGATCTAACTGCTACCGCCTTTCTCAGTTAATTTTTCTGAACTTGCTACTTTGTGCACTCAGCAACAGCTGAAAGATCATTTATGTTTATCTACTCTCATTCTGCTCCTCTTGATAAGTTCAGTTCGTTGGCTTGTGTATCCTGGATATAACTGTGGAACTTTATGGACTGATGGTGCCATTTCCTTATTTTCTGTTTTTGCTAAATCAGTAAAAATAATAATGAAATTCCTAGACTCTAAGATATTGTTATCTTTGGTTTAGAATCTTGCTGTGAAATATATGCAACAATTTATTATATGCCTGCACTAATATATATTGATTCATTCTAAAAAAGCTACTATGACTAGTGCCATAATCATAGTTTTTGTCTATGCCTTCTTTCATAATGCATACCAGATTCATTATTTATGAGGCTTAATAGTTTGGAAGATTATGAAAATATCTTCTTAGCTTAATATATGAAGTATTGATAGTGATTTCTGACAGACTAATACTTTGAGGTCTTATGTAGTACATAAGCTTCCTCTGCAATGACCCTCCCACAAATCAGAATGAAGACATTAAATTTTCATTTGGTGTGGTCATCAGAAACTGAAATCTGCAAGATTCTTGATTTGAGATTCAAAACCTAGTATGTGGATGATGGAGAAAATTTCAAAGTGCTATTAAAATGAGACAATCTGATAGGTTGGCCTGAACCCTTATCTAGTGTGGTCAACCATTCTAGTTTGCCTGGCACTGGGGCTTCCAGGACCTGGAATTTCAGTGCTAAAATTGGGAAAGTGTAATTGAAAAGTGCGGGAGTGTCATTTAGTTTTTTTCCTCTCTGCCGTGTTTTTGCTGTAGCCCAGAAATAAGGTGTAAAGCCTTAATTAGGATTCAAATTAAGTATTTTTTGTGAGATTTAGTAATGCTGTCTACTTTACACCTCATTTTAAAATTATATCTCAAACTGTCTTATTGAAACATTCATAGGCTACTTTATAATATTTTCTGAGTTATACATTTATAATTTTTATAATACAGTTATGTCTTGCTTAATGACAGGTATGCTTGCTGAGAAATGCCTAGTTAAGCGACTTCCTCATTGTGCAAACATCATAGAATGTACCTACACAGAGCTAGATAGTATAGCCTGCTAAACACCTAGGCTGTGTGGTATAGCTTATTGCTCCTAGGCTACAAACCTGTACAGCATGTTTCTGTACGGAATACTGTAGGCAATTATAACATAATGGTATTTGTGTGTCTAAAAATATCCAAACATTTAAAAGGTATAGTAAAAAAATGGTATAAAAGATAAATATGGGTATGCCTGTATAGGGTAGCTCCATTATCTAATGGGCTCACCATTGTATATGTCTGTCATTGACCAAAACATTGTTGTGCATGACTGTATATTAGTATCATCTCTAACATATGGACAAAGAAAAAATTCCATAATATATAAAAGAAGTCAAATTATGGTTCTAAAACCAAAATTCGCTCCTTTTTTGTTGCATTCCCTCCCTCTCTCTGTCCCTCCCTCCCTTCCTTCCCTTCCCTTTCCTTCCTTCCTTTTTTTTTTTTTTCAGTACTGAGGTTATCAATTGTCTGTTCTATGAAAGTTACTCATGTAAAGTCTTTAGGATAAAAGGATCATTCCATCCAGGAATAAAAATGTCTAAGTGGATTCTTGACTTAAATTTATTTTAAAATGCTTTCTTTTTGTTACAATACTATATTAAGTGTTGGAATATATCAGTTCTATATTGTATTTTTTAGATTTAGTCAAACCAAAGACCCTGATACAGCAAGAATAAAAATATATCATGTTCAACAAAAGCCAATTTTTGACCTGAGTCACCTATGATGTGGATGGCAGTATACAAAGGGTTTATATTTTTTTAATTTTATTTTCTGGTTGATAAAAAATAATCATACATATTCACATGGTTCACAGTGATATTTTCACACATAAAACATATAGTAATTAAATTAGGATAATTAGCATATCCATTATCTTGAACGTTTATCATTTCTCTGTGTTGGGAACATTCCATATCCTCTTTTGAGCTATTTAAAACTAATAATACATTACTGTTAACTATAGTCAGACTACAATGCTGTAGAACACTAACTTATTCTTACTATCTAGCTGTAATTTTTTATCCTTCAATAAATATCTGCCTATCTCTCCTTTCCCCATACCCTTCTCAGTCTTTAATATCTTCTGTTGTACTTTTTACTTCTAGAAGATCAATTTTTTTTAGCTTTCACATATAAGTGAAAACATGCAGTATTTAATTTTTTACTACTGGTTTATTTCACTTAACATAACATTCTCCAGTTCTAGCCATGTTGCTGTGAATTATAGGATTTCATTATTTCGTATTACTGAATAATTTGTATTCCCTTACGTATATATACCACATTTTCTTTATTCGTTCAGCTGTTGCTGGACACCTAGGTTGATTCCATATCTTGGTTATTGTGAATAGTGCTGCAATAAACATTGGGGCACAGATGTCTCTTTGATATAATGATTTCCTTTTGATCATTCTCAGTAGTGAGATTGCTGGATCATATGTTAATTCTATTTGTAGTTTTTGAGGAACCTTCATACTGTTCTCCATAGTGGTTGTACTATGTATTCCCACCAACAGCCTTTAAAGGCTCTCTTTCTTCCACATCCTCGCCAGCATTAATTATTTTTTTCTTTGATAATAGCCATTCTAACTGGAGTAAGATGATATGTCAGTGTGGTTTTGATTTTCCCTTCTCTGATGACTTGATTTTCATATAGCTGTTGGCCATTTTTATGTCTGTTTTTTGAGAAAGGTCTATTCAGATCATTTGCCTATTTTTATTCCTTTTTTTTTTCAGTTGAGATGTTTGAGTTCCTTGTCTGTTCTGGATGGATATTAATCCTCTGTAGGATGAGTAGTTTGCAAATATTTTCTTCCACTTTTTAGGTTTTCTTTTCACTCTGTTGATTATTTCCTTTGCTGTGCAGAGCTTCTTAGTTTGATATAATCCCGTTGTTTTTGTTTTTGCTTTTGTTGCCTGTGTTTTCGAGGTCTTATTAATAAAATGTTTTCCCAGACTAATATCCTGAAGTGTTTCCTCTATGTCTTCTTTTAGTAATTTTACCATTTTGGATTTCACATTTAGTCCTTTGATCCATTTTGAGTTGATTTTTGTATAGGTTGAGAGGTGGAAGTCCAGTTTAATTCTTCAGCATGTGACTATCCAGTTCTCCCAGTACCATTTATTTAAGAGATTTCCTTTTGTAAATGAGTATTCTTGGCACCTTTGTCAAACATTAGTTGGCTGTAGATAAGCTGATTAATTTTTGGATTCTCTATTCTGTTCCATTCATCTATGTGTCTGTTTTTATGCCAGTACCATGTTGTTTTGGTTACAACACATTTGTAGTATGTTTTGAGGTCTAGTAGTGTGATACCTCCAACTTTGTTATTTTTGTTCAGGATTGCTTTGGTTATTTGGGGTCTTTCGTGGTTCCATTCATGTTTTAGAATTGTTTTCTGCATCTGTGAAGGATGTCATGGGTATTTTGATAGGAATTGTGTTGACTCTCTAGATGAATTTGAGTGTATTGTCATTTTAATAATATTAATTCTTTCAATCCATGAGTATAGAATGTCCTCCTATTTTTTGTATTCTGTTCAGTTTCTTTCATTAGTGTTTTGTAGTTTTCCACGTAGAGTTCTTTCACCTCCTTGGTTAAATGTATTGCTAGATATATTATTTTTTGGAGGTAGCTATTCTAAATGGGATTACCTTCTGGATTTCTTTTTCAGCTAGTACATTGTTCATGTATAGAAACACTACTGATTTTTGTATGTCAATTTTGTATCCTGCAACTTTACTGAATTTGTTTCTCAGTTCTAAGAGGTTTTTGGTAAAGTTTTTAGGTTTTATTATATATAAGATCATGACATCTGCAAGATGTTCAACATATGCAAATTAATAAACATCATACATCACATCTATAGAATGAAGGACAAAAATCATATGATAATCTCAATAGATGGAGAATAAGGTTTTGATAAGCTTCAATATCTCTTTATGATAAAACACTTAATAAATTAGGTATGGATAAAAATACTTCAACACCGTAAAGGCCATGTATGACAAATCCACAGGTAACATCTTATTGAATGGAGAAAAGCTCAAAGCTTTTCTTCTAAGAACTGGAACAAAACAAGGATACTCACTCTCACAACTCTCATTCAAATAATACTGGAAGTCCTAGCCAGAGAAATTATGCAAGAGAAAGAAATAAAGAATATCCAAATTATAAAGGAGTAAGTATTCACCTCTGACCTCTGAGGATTTGATGTGATCAGAACTAAAAATACAGATTTCTTGGATGCTAATAATATTAATTGTTTCCATAATTGGGGAGACTTCTCAGTATTTTTGCTTCACTTTAATTTACAAATTACAGTTTAAGGTGGTTTTCCACCTGAAGTTAGGAAATATCATTGGTGATCTTCCTTATTGTAATTGGGATGCTTAAAAGATAGCAGACTTTTCTCTAAAGAAGACATATAAGTGGCCAAGAGGTGTACAAAAATTATCATCATCACTAATTATTACAGAAATGCAAAAAAATTACAATAATATCACCTCACACCTGCCAGGATGGTTATTACCAAAGAACAAAAGACGAGTGTTGGCAAGGACATGGAAAAATTGGAACCCTTGCCTTCTGCTTATGGGAATGCAAAATATAGCAGCCAGTGTAGAAAATAGTATGGAGATTCACCAAAAGTTAAACATAGAACTTTGATGTGGTCTGGAAATCTCACTTCAGAGTGTTTATTCAAAATAATTAAAATCAGGATCCCAAAAACATATTGGCACTCCCATGTTTATTTCATTTCAGCACTATTAATAATAGCCAAGATGGAAAAACTACCTGCTCATTGACTGTTTAATGGATTAAAAATGTGATAGACACATAATGATATACTATTCAGCCTTAAAACGGAAAGAGACCTAGCAATATATTTCAACATGGTCGAATCTTGAGGACATTAAGCTAAGTGAAAATAGCCAGGGACAGAAAGACAAAAACTGCATTGTTCCACTTACATGGGGTATCTAAAATAGTCAAATTCACAGAATCAAAAAGTAGCACAATAGTGCTTGCCAAGGGCTTGGGGCAAAGGAAATGGGGAGTTGAGTTACTTATCTAAAGGCATAAAGTTTCAGTTAAGTAAGATAATTAAGCTCTAATAATCTGATGTACAAACATTATGTCTGTAGTAAGCCATAATGTTTTGTACATTTGTACATCATGTTTTGTACATTTGTAAATTTGTGAAAAGGATAGATCTCATGTTGTGATTTACTACAGTAATAAAGATTACGAACGTTAAAACTCTTTTATTTACTAATATAGTAGGAAAATATTTATATTTTTCTTTTTATATAAGTATGATTTACTAGTCTTTTAGATGGGATATAAATATCTGTCTATGCCAACCAATCCAAAGTTTTTTATTCTTTATTTTAAAAGCATTTTTCAGCATAGTGTAGGTGTTTTCAAAAATTTGTTCTATATGCCTAGTCTAACTATATATCTAATCTAAACTATTGGCTTAGAAAATTGAAGTTAATAGGTCAACTAGGGCCTTTGTAGGAGCTAAATGGCTCAGAACCTAACCAGTAGACTGTGGCGTCATTTCCTCTTAACACCAAAACAGTCTCTTTATTGAAAAAGATCAGTCACCAAGAAACATGTTATTTTTCTCACACATAGATGGCGCTGACCCATCACCATAAACACCTTTACTGAGTTTTCACCAATGAGTGGAATTTACTGAGTTTTCACCAATGTATCCATGTCTGGTCCCCAGATACTTTCTATTTCTAGAACTCTAACTGGGGTTTTGGGTGGAGTGAAGTCCTAAACAAGAAGCTGTTGTTATTGTGTATAACCAAGCATGTTAATATTTAGAAACGAAACATGTTGGCTGACCGGACTTTTCATATTTCAACTGAATAATTAGTTGGTATTGTGAGTGAAGACAATGGAGCCTGACTTGGACCCTTTTGCTTGCTCAACATCCCATGAACATAATCATTCTGAGCTACTGAGGATTTCATTGCATCACCTTCGCATCTGTTTTCCTTTTTTGAATGGAAGGGAAGAAACCAAAATTTACTGACAATCTAGTATATGCTAATTATTGGGTTAGTCATAAATGATATATTATTTAATCCCCTCATCCCAGTGGAAATTGGATTATCTTTATTTTACACAGCAAAAGGATGAAGGTCAGATATGTTATATGACTCTAGATCTCATAAGTAAGTCACCAAGTCAGCATGGTCTTGTGACTGATGCCTAGTTCAAAATTATTTAGGATTTAAGTCAAATGTTCTTTATATATAAACTTGTTATGAAATTAATAGTTACTTTTCTGTAATCCCAGCACTGTGGGAGGCTGAGGCAGGTGGATCATTAAGGTCAGGAGTCCAAGACCAGCCTGGCCAATATGGTGAAACCCCATTTCTACTAAAAATGCCCCAAATTAGTTCAGTGTGATGGTGCACACCTGTAATCCCAGTTACTTGGGAGGCTGAGGCACAAGAATCACTTGAACCCAGGAGGTAGAGGTTGCACTGAGCAGAGATAGTGCCACTGCACTCCAGCCTGGGAAACAGAGCAAGACTCCATTTCAAAATAAAACAAACAACAGAACAGAACAAAACAAAACAAAAAACTAACTTTATAATAGTCTTAATACTAATGTTATACTATCGTGGCTGCCACAGAGAAAGGTAAATATTATTTCTTTGGAAGGACAGAATACATATAGTAGCTCTCTTAAAAGATTGTCATACAATGAGTCATGAGATTAACCAATGTTCTCTTTGGTTTTAAAAAATTATTTATTAAATTAATTAATTAATTTGAGTAGGGGTATTGCTGTTGCCCAGGCTAGAGTACAGTAGCATCATCGTGGCTCACTGTGGCCTTCAACACGTGGGCTCAATTGATCCTCCCATGTCAGCCTCCCTAGTAGGTGGGATTACAGGTGTGTGCCAACATGCCTGGCTGTTTTTTGTTGTTGTTGTTGTTGTTGTTAATTTTTGTAGAGATGGGGTCTTACTATGTTTTCTAAGCTGGCCTTGAACTCCTGGCTTCAGGCAATCCTCCCATCTCAGGCTCCCAAAGTGCTGGAACTACAGGCATGAGTCACTGTGCCTGGATTTTCCTTTTGTATAGAACATACTGACTTGTGTAGGTGAAGATTTAGAAATATACAAAATATACTCCTTCTGTTGTTTATATTATTTAGTGAAAACCTATTATCTAGAATTGATATTTAAAAGTTATAAATATATTTTTACAATTTTATTAAGGACTACATGAATTTGAAAACTTCAAGGCCCATGGAAATCATAGGAAAAAGTACATAATTTTGATAGGTTTAAGAGAATGCAGTTTTATTAAAAAAAAACTTGGCTATTTTTGATGATTTGACAAAATTAATACAACACAGACACTTTACTACATCATTTATACTGGCTGCTTCTGAAGATCATCAGGACCACTCTCTTCAGAGACAAGAGGAAAAAAATCTGCTACTCATTATATGAAATTTGAAAACATCTGGATATTCCTTCCAGGGTTCTCTCTCACTTACCCAGTTTGACTCAATTACATCAGATATACCTACTTTTGCTCTCTAAGACCATGTTGGTAAAATTTCATGAGACATAATTATTTTTATATAAATTATCTAAATAAGAAAGGTGCTTATTTCTTCAATTTGGCATACTGTAACTAAGTCTCTATAGTTTAGATTATAGGATCTTCTCAAATCTTTGCATTTAAGGTACTTGTCATAAGCATTTGGTAAAGAAATCCCATGACAAAATTTATGGCGACCCGTAAAGAAGGACATTCAACAGAAGGATCAACATAAAAACAGAAGCAGAGGCCAGTGAACATGTAGGCACAGAGGCATGAAGACTTTAGGACTAAGGAAAATTTGAAGGTCAATATGCTGCAAGAGAAAAACAGTAGTTCTCGAGCCTTGACTTTCAGCTCCATCAGCTCCTTTAAGCACTTCTCTGTATTGGTTATTCTAGTTATATATTCATCTAAATTTTTTTCAAAGTTTTTAACTTCTTTGCCTTTGATTAGAATTTCCTCCTGAAGTTCGTACTTTGATCATCTGAAGCCTTCTTCTCTCAACTCGTCAAAGTCATTCTCCGTCCAGCTTTGTTCCATTGCTGGTGAGGAACTGCGTTCCTTTGGAGGAGGAGAGGTGCTCTGCTTTTTAGAGTTTCCAGTTTTTCTGCTCTGTTTTTTCCCCATCTTTGTGGTTTTATCTACTTTTGGTCTGTTGATGGTGATGTACAGATGGGTTTTTGGTGTGGACGTCCTTTCTGTTTGTTAGTTTTCCTTCTAACAGACAGGACCCTCAGCTGCAGGTCTGTTGGAGTTTGCTAGAGGTCCACTCCAGACCTTGTTTGCCTGGGTATCAGCAGCGGTGTTTGCAGAACAGTGGTTTTTCGTGAACCGCGGATGCTGCTGTCTGATCGTTCCTCTGGAAGTTTTGTCTCAGAGGAGTACCCGGCCATGTGAAGTGTCAGTCTGCCCCTACTGGGGGGTGCCTTGAGAACTATGTGAAGAATGCAGAAGCCTCAGGAGACGATGCGATCAACTGCAAGAAAGGGTATCAGTGATGGAAGATGAAGTGAATGAAATGAAGCGAGAAGGGAAGTTTAGAGAAAAAAGAATAAAAAGAAATGAACAAAGCCTCCAAGAAATATGGGACTATATGAAAAGACCAAATCTATGTCTGATTGGTGTACCTGAAAGTGACGGGGAGAATGGAACCAAGTTGGAAAACACTCTGCAGGATATTATCCAGGAGAATTTCCCCAATCTAGCAAGGCAGGCCAACATTCAGTTTCAGGAAATACAGAGAATGCCACAAAGATACTCCTCGAGAAGAGCAACTCCAGGACACATACTTGTCAGATTCACCAAAATTGAAATGAAGGAAACAATGTTAAGGGCAGCCAGAGAGAAAGGTCGGGTTACCCACAAAGGGAAGCCCATCAGACTAACAGTGGATCTCTCAGCAGAAACTCTACAAGCCAGAAGAGTGTGGGGGCCAATATTCAACATTCTTAAAGAAAAGAATTTTCAACCCAGAATTTCATATCCAGCCAAACTAAGCTTCATAAGTGAAGGAGAAATAAAACAGTTTACAGACAAGCAAATGCTGAGAGATTTTGTCACCACCAGGCCTGCCCTAAAAGAGCTCCTGAAGGAAGCACTAAACATGGAAAGGAACAACCAGTACCAGCCGTTGCAAAATCATGCCAAAATGTAAAGACCATCGAGACTAGGAAGAAACTGCATCAACTAACAAGCGAAATAACCAGCTAACATCATAATGACAGGATCAAATTCACACTTAACAATATTAAATGTAAATGGACTAAACGCTCCAATTAAAAGACACAGACTGGCAAATTGGATAAAGAGTCAGGACCCATCAGTGTGCTGTATTCAGGAAACCCATCTCACATGCAGAGACACACATAGGCTCAAAATAAAGGATGGAGGAAGATCTACCAAGCAAATGGAAAACAAAAAAAGGCAGGAGCTGCAATCCCAGTCTCTGATAAAACAGACTTTAAACGAGCAAAGATCAAAAGAGACAAAGAAGGCCATTACTTAATGGTAAAGGGATCAATTCAACAAGAAGAGCTAACTATCCTAAATATATATGCACCCAATACAGGAGCACCCAGATTCATAAGGCAAGTCCTGAGTGACCTACAAAGGGACTTAGACTCCCACACAATAATAATGGGAGACTTTAACACCCCACTGTCAACATTAGACAGATCAACGAGACAGAAAGTTAACAAGGATACCCAGGAATTGAACTCAGCTCTGCACCAAGCAAACCTAATAGACATCTACAGAACTCTCCACCCCAAATCAACAGAATATACATTTTTTTCAGCACCACACCACACCTATTCCAAAATTGACCACATACTTGGAAGTAAAGCTCTCCTCAGCAAATATAAAAGAACAGAAATTATAACAAACTATCTCTCAGAACACAGTGCAATCAAACTAGAACTCAGAATTAAGAAACTCACTCAAAACCACTCAACTACATGGAAACTGAACAACCTGCTCCTGAAGGACTACTGGGTACGTAACGAAATGAAGGCAGAAATAAAGATGTTCTTTGAAACCAACAAGAACAAAGACACAACATACCAGAATCTCTGGGACACATTCAAAGCAGTGTGTAGAGGGAAATTTATAGCACTAAATGCCCACAAGAGAAAGCAGGAAAGATCCAAAATTGACACCCTAACATCACAATTAAAAGAACTAGAAAAGCAAGAGCAAACACACTCAAAAGCTAGCAGAAGGCAAGAAATAACTAAAATCAGAGCAGAACTGAAGGAAATAGAGACACAAAAAAACCTTCAAAAAATTAATGAATCCAGGAGCTAGTTTTTTGAAAGGATCAACAAAATTGATAGACCGCTACCAAGACCAATAAAGAAAAAAAGAGAGAAGAGTCAAATAGACGCAAAAAAAATGATAAAGGGGATATCACCACTGATCCCACAGAAATACAAACTACCATCAGAGAATACTACAAACACCTCTATGCAAATAAACTAGAAAATCTAGAAGAAATGGATAAATTCCTCGACACATACAACCTCCCAAGACTAAACCAGGAAGAAGTTGAATCTCTGAATAGACCAATAACAGGATCTGAAATTGTGGCAATAATCAATAGCTTACCAACCAAAAAGAGTCCAGGACCAGAGGGATTCACAGCTGAATTCTACCAGAGGTACAAGAAGGAACTGGTACCATTCCTTCTGAAACTATTGAACTCAATAGAAAAAGAGGGAATCCTCCCTAACTCATTTTATGAGGCCAGCATCATCCTGATACCAAAGCCGGGCAGAGGCACAACCAAAAAAGAGAATTTTAGACCAATATCCTTGATGAACACTGATGCAAAAATCCTCAATAAAATACTGGCAAACTGAATCCAGCAGCACATCAAAAAGCTTATCCACCATGATCAAGTGGGCTTCATCCCTGGGATGCAAGGCTGGTTCAATATACACAAATCAATAAATGTAATCCAGCATATAAACAGAACCAAAGACAAAAACCACATGATTATCTCAACAGATGCAGAAAAGGCCTTTGACAAAATTCAACAACCCTTCGTGCTAAAAACTCTCAATAAATTAGGTATTGATGGGACGTATCTCAAAATAATAAGAGCTATCTATGACAAACCCACTGCCAATATCATACTGAATGGGCAAAAATTGGAAGCATTCCCTTTGAAAACTGGCACAAGACAGGGATGCCCTCTCTCACCACTCCTATTCAACATAGTGTTGGAAGTTCTGGCCAGGGCAATTAGGCAGGAGAAGGAAATAAAGGGTATTCAATTAGGAAAAGACGAAGTCAAATTGTCCCTGTTTGCAGACAACATGATTGTATATCTAGAAACCCCATTGTCTCAGCCCAAAATCTCCTTAAGCTGATAAGCAACTTCAGCAAAGTCTCAGGATACAAAATCAATGTACAAAAATCACAAGCATTCTTATACACCAATAACAGACAAACAGAGAGCCAAATCATGAGTGAACTCCCATTCACAATTGCTTCAAAGAGAATAAAATACTTACGAATCCACCTTACAAGGGATGTGAAGGACCTCTTCAAGGAGAACTACAAACCACTGCTCAATGAAATAAAAGAGGATACAAACAAATGGAAGAACATTCCATGCTTATGGGTAGGAAGAATCAATATCGTGAAAATGGCCATACTGCCCAAGGTAATTTATAGATTCAATGCCATCCCCATCAAGCTACCAATGACTTTCTTCACAGAATTGGAAAAAACGACTTTAAAGTTCATATGGAACTAAAAAACAGCCCCCATCACCAAGTCAATCCTGAGCCAAAAGAACAAAGCTGGAGGCATCACACTACCTGACTTCAAACTATACTACAAGGCTACAGTAACCAAAACAGCATGGTACTGGTACCAAAACAGAGATATAGATCAGTGGAACAGAACAGAGCCCTCAGAAATAACTCCGTATGTCTACAACTATCTGATCATTGATAAACCTGAGAAAAACAAGCAATGGGGGAAGGATTCCCTATTTAATAAATGGTGCTGGGAAAACTGGCTAGCCATATGTAGAAAGATGAAACTGGATCCCTTCCTTACACCTTATACAAAAGTCAATTCAAGATGGATTAAAGACTTAAACGTTAGACCTAAAACCATAAAAACCCTAGAAGAAAACCTAGGAAGTACCATTCAGGACATAGGCATGGGCAAGGACTTCATGTCTAAAACACCAAAAGCAATGGCAATAAAAGCCGAAATTGACAAATGGGATCTAATTAAACTAAAGAGCTTCTGCACAGCAAAAGAAACTACCATCAGAGTGAACAGGCAACCCACAAAATGGGAGAAAATTTTCGCAACCTACTCATCTGACAAAGGGCTAATATCCAGAATCTACAATGAACTCAAACAAATTTACAAGAAAAAAACAAACAACCCCATCAAAAGTGGGTGAAGGAGATGAACAGACACTTCTCAAAAGAAGACATTTATGCAGCCAAAAAACACAAGAAAAAATGCTCATCATCACTGGCCATCAGAGAAATGCAAATCAAAACCACAATGAGATACCATCTCACACCAGTTAGAATGGCAATCATTAAAAAGTCAGGAAACAACAGGTGCTGGAGAGGATGTGGAGAAATAGGAACACTTTGACACTGTTGGTGGGACTGTAAACTAGTTCAACCATTGTGGAAGTCAGTGTGGCGATTCCTCAGGGAGCTAGAACTAGAAATACCATTTGACCCAGCCATCCCATTTCTGGGTATATACCCAAAGGACTATAAATCATGCTGCTATAAAGACACATGCACACGTATGTTTATTGCAGCACTATTCACAATAGCAAAGACTTGAACCAACCCAAATGTCCAACAATGATAGACTGGATTAAGAAAATGTGGCACGTATACACCATAGAATACTATGCATCCATAAAAAATGATGAGTTCATGTCCTTTGTAGGGACATGGATGAAATTGGAAATCATCATTCTCAGTAAACTATTGCAAGAACAAAAAACCAAACACCGCATATTCTCACTCGTAGGTGGCAATTGAACAATGAGACCACATGGACACAGGAAGGGGAACATCACACTCTGGGGACTGTTGTGGGGTTGGGGTGGGGGGAGGGATAGTATTGGGAGATATACCAAATGCTAGATGATGAGTTAGTGGGTGCAGCGCACCAGCATCACACATGTATACATATGTAACCTGCACATTGTGCACATGTACCCTAAAACTTAAAATATAATAATAATAAAAAAAAAGGAAAACAGTAAATTTTGTGGGATCACCTTGAGTCAAAAGTTTAGAATGAGTTAAAGAGTTTTTATATTCATTTAAGCAGAAACAGGCCAGATTATTGGTGGATGGCTCTAGAGCAAGTGTTTGGCCATGATATTAGCGCTGGAAATGGAAAGGTAGATAAAGAATTAGGCTTCATACATGGAGAGAGGGTGGTGGTGGAGGAATGGAATTTCTAGTTAATGGGAGAACTGGGTCTTGGGAAACTTGAAAATTGATTAGAATATTGAAAACAAATATTAGAACTCAGATAACATGTCAGGGGAATTCTTTCACCTGGGAAAGGAAAGTTCCACATATTATCCATTTTATTTTATCCTTATCTTTATTCTTGTCATATACACTCTTCCACTTATACAGTGGATCGTATTAATTTTGCTTTTGCAAACATTCTACCCCTGTATTTATTCTCCTTTTTTTCTACCTTAATGATATCTCCGTCTTCCCTGGATATTCCTATCAACATTCAAAGTTTCAAACAAAATCTAGGATGTTTCAATATAATCAAAGCAAAAAACTTCCTTCGTCACTAGTCTGCGTCCAGATTCTACCACACTTCAATATTTTCCTTAATAGGATGAAACAAAGAAAGAACAACAACAAAAATGCAGCTCAAGAGTTGTTTAATTTCCAGTCCTCACTTCTCAACTTCCCATTTACTCTCTAGTGGTCCAGTTTCCACCCCCATTCCTGTCAAAAATTATTACTTCATGGACACCAGTGATTTCCATATTATCAAATACATAGGGTACTTCTGTCTTCATTTCCCTGTGCTTAGTAGTATCCAACACAGATGATCACTCACTCGGTATTGAAACTATTTTCTCTTTTGGCTTCTAAGACAGTATATTCTCTTGGCTATCCATGTAAAGAATAATTTTACTTTGGAATAAGTGAAGGAGATTACTAGATAGATGTCTTTTCAATGCAATACTGGATCTTCTGGGATTGTTTGGTTCTGTGGGGCTTCTGAGCTACTTTACAGTTGGGATTTATGGATAACTGAAAGCAATATAAATAATTCTTATCTGTAGACATGAAAATAAATTCTATATAATGGGGGATACAATTCTCACCTTTACCTCCCTCCAAAATTGTATTTTGGGTCCATTTGTATATTTATTTTAACATTCCTTTCTTTACACCATATGTACTTTGACTTCTTTAGATTAGTTGTAACATCTGCATGAGTCTTTGTTGATTAATGAGTTAAATAAAATTTTATATGTATTTATTTTATGTCTACATAAGAGTGATAGTTCTAACTTTTTACTTTTTAAAAATATTTTTTAACACACACTCTCCTTGATATGACTCTTCGATATGATCACAGCTTCTAGGTCTCGTTGGCTGGCTTCTACTTCTACTGATAATTTTTGCTCTGTCTCTGTTTTTCTCTGTAAGTGATCTCATTCAGTGATCCTCAGTTTTCAGTCATATCTTTATGCTGATTATTCCCAATTATTTATTTATAGCCCTGACCTCTTACTTGAACTCCAGAATTATATATCTAATTCCTTATCATATATCCAGGTCTTATCAATATTTGCTCTTACAGGAAGCAAATGGACCTCTTGATTTCTGTTCCCCTTTTATCCATAAAAAATGGCAACAATAATAAGCAATCCAATGAAAAGCAAACAACCTGCTTCTCTCCCATTTCCTCGTTTCAATAAATCAGTATCATAAACAATTGCTTAAGTAAGAAACTCAAGTACCCACATCACCTTATCCATCAATAAGCTTTGTCTTTTCTACTCTAAAGTATCTCAAAATTGTTACTTGGTTTTGTTTTCCTTGTAACTACCATATCATCTCTTCCCTGGACCATACTAATAACAGTAGCTTCTGTTAATACTTTGTCTTGCTCATTACTTCTATTCTTGTCCTTTCATAGTCCTTTACTACCAAGCAGTCAGATGGATTTTTAAAACATAAATCTCATGAATTCACTTTAATACCCTTTAATACCTCCCAATTTCATTTGGACTAAATTTCAAATTCCTTATTTTGGTTTACATAGTTCTTTTTCTACCTTCTCAAATCATTTATCTTACTAACCTTTGTCTCATTTACTATATTCCAGCTATTCTGGATTTGTTTCTTTTCCTTGAATTATCACACATCTTTCCCACCTCTGGGACTTTACACTTGATTTTTCCTTTATCTAAAATACATTCTATCTGACTTTTCATAAGTTTGACTCTTTCCTGTTTGAATCTGGAAAAAGCATCTTCAGATTCCAAACCACTCTCTTCAGAGAGGCCTCCTCTTACCCTACCTAAATGAGCCTCATGTCTTGTTACTTTCCATTATACTACTCAGTCTTTTTCTCAGGATTTATCACAAATCAAAATATCTTTCCTATAATTTTAGAAGCTGACCTTAACTGTTCATAGTCTGCTCAATTCTGCCTTCCCCCTCCCCAATTCTATCCCTTACCCATAGAATGCCATACTCCAGGGAGGCAGGTAGGTGCCTGCCCTTCTCATTTTGTATTTCCTATACCCTGGATTCTCCCTGAATCATGAAAGATACTTAAAATACTATAAAAAGTGAATTAATAAATGAAGTACTAATCCTAAACTTTTGATGTAATTATTTGTTGATATCAACCTTCTTTCTCTGCTATAGGAGATGAAATGGAATGCAATTGCATTTACTTGCTATTGTATTCCACTAGTATCATGCCTGGTCCATAGTTGGTGCTCAATAAATATTTTTAAATAAATTAGTGAGCAAACTAAAAACAAAATCTCAAAGTCAGAACAGATTCTCAAATGCCACTTTACTGCCATAGACTGGCTGGCTTATTGTTTCATTATTGGGGGCTAAATAAATGCCAAATTCTGGGGTAGAACGGATTCTGAAGATGTGAAGAATTAGGTGTAGTAACTGGTTAGAGGAGAAGTTGAAAAACTGGCAGGCTGCAATACTACGTTTAGTTTCTAGGTCACCTTTTAATGTCTAGGTTTTTATTTTAACTTTTATTTTAGGTTCAGGAGTTCTTATGCAGGTTTGTTATATAAGTAAACTGCGTGTCTTGGGGGTTTGGTATACAGATTTTTTTTGTCACCCAATAAGCATAGTAATGAGTATATTAACTAATAGGTATTTTTTCTGATCTTCTTCGTTCTGCCACCCTCCAACCTCAATGTCTGCTGTTAGCCTGTGTCCATGTGTTCTCATTGTTTAGTTCCCACTTATAAGTGAGAACACGTGGTATTTGGTTTTCTGTTCCTGTGTTAGTTTGCTTAGGATAATGGCCTCCTGCTCCTTCCATGTTACTGCAACAACATGATCTCATTCTTTTCTATGGCTGCATAGTATTCTATAGTGTTATATATACCACATTGTCTTTTTCCAGTCTACCATTGATGGGTATTTAGGTTGATTTCATGTAGTTGCTATTGTGAATAGTGTTGTAATGAACATAGGCGTTCTTGTGTCTTTGTGACAGAATGATTTATATTCCTTTGGTTGTATACCCAATAATGGGATTACTGGGTCCGATGATAATTCTGCTTTAAGTTCTTTGAGAAATCACCACACTGCTTCCATAATGACTGAACTAATTTACACTGCTACTAGAAGTGTATAAGTTGTTCCCTTTTCTGCACAACGTTGCCAGCATTTGTTATTTTTTGATCTCAATACTAGCTATTCTGACTGATGTGAGATGGTATCTCATTGTGATTTTGATTTGCATTTTCTTAATATCAGTGATGTTGAGTATTTTTTTCATATGCTTGTTGGCCACATGCATGTCTTCTTTTGAAAAGTGTCTGTTCATGTCCTTTGCCCACTTTTTAATGGGTTTGTCTTTTGCTTGCAAATTTGTTTCTTATAGATTGTGCATATTAGACCTTTGTCAGATGGATAGTTTGCAAATAGTTTCTCCCATTCTGTAGGTTGTCTGTTTACTCTATTGATAGTTTCTTTTGCTGTGCAGTTGCTCTTTAGTTTAATTAGGTCCCATTTGTCAATTTGTGTTTTTGTTGCAATTGCTTTTGGCGTTTTCATCATTAAATCTTTGCCAGGTCCTATGTCTAGAGTGGTATTTCTTAGGTTATCTTCCAGGTCTTCATAGTTTTAGGCTTCACATTTAAGTCTTTAATTCATCTTGAGTTGATTTTTTATATATGGTGTATGAAAAAGGTTAGTTTCAATCTTCTGCATATGGCTAGCCAGTTATCCTAGAACTAGTTATCGAATAGGGAGTCTTTTCCCCATTGCTTATTTGTGTTAGCATTGTCAAAGATCAGACGACTGAAGGTGTCTGGCCTTATTTCTGGGCTCTCCATTCTGTTCCATCGGTCTATGTGTGTGTTTTTGTACCATTATCATATTGTTTTGGTTACAGTAGCCTTGTAGTATAGTTTGACATTGGGTAATGTGATACCTCCACCTTCCTTCTTTTTGCTCAGGATTGCCTTGGCTATTTGAGCTTTTTTTTGTTTTATATGAATTTTATTTTTTTTAATTCTGTGAACAATGTCACTGGTAGTTTCATAGGAATAGCATTGAATCTGTACATTGCTTTGGATGGTATGGTCGTTTTAATAATGATTCTTTCTATCCCTGAGCATGGAATGTTTTGCCATTTGTTTGTGTCATCTCTGATTTCTTTGAGTTTTTTGTAATTTTCATTGTGGAGATCTTTCACCTCCCTGGTTAGCTGTATTCCTAGGTATTTTATTTTTTTCTGTAGCAATTGTGAATCAGATTGTGTTCCTGATTTGGCTCTTGGCTTGGGTGTTGTTGGCACATAGGACTGCTACTGATTTTTGTACATTGATTTTGTGTCCTGCAACGTCGAAGTGGTTTATCAGATGATGAAGTTTTGGGCTGAAACTATGGGGTTGTCTAGGTATAAAAGCATATCTTCTGCAAACAGGGATAGTTTGAATTCTTGCCTCCTTATTTGAATGCCTTTTATTTCTTCCTCCTGACTGATTGCTCTGGCCAGGGCTTCCAGCACTGTGTTGAACAGGAGTGGTGGGAGAGGGCATCCTTGTCTTCTGCCAGTTTTCAAGGGGAAAGCTTCCAGCTTTTGCCCATTCACTGTGATGTTGGCTGTAGGTTTGTCATAATGACTCTTATGATTTTAAAGTATGTTCCTTCAATACCTAGTTTATTGAGAGATTTTAACATGAAGGGATGTTAAATATTATTGAAAGCCTTTTCTGCTTGATTTTTTGCCTATTTTAAAAATCAGATTATTTGTTTTCTTTTTATTAAATTGAATTCCTTATATATTTTGGATACTAACTCTTTATCAGATGTATAGTTTGCAAATATTTTCTCCCATGCCGTTAGTTGTTTCATCACTCTATTGCTTTCTTTGCTTTACAGAAACTTTTTATTTTGATATAATGCCATTTATCTATTTTTGTTTTTGTTGCCTGTGCTTTTGAGGTCATCTTTAAAAAAGTCACTTCCCAGATCAGTGTCAAAGAGCTTTACCTCTATGTTTCCTCCCAGTAGGTTCATAGTTCCTAGTCTTACATTTAAGTCTTGAATCCATTTTAAGTTGATTTTTGTATATGGTGGGAGATAAGAGTCTCTTATCTCTCTTTATTCTTTTTCATGTGGCTATCCAGTTTTCCCAACATCATTTATTAAAAATATTCCCCTATTTTCATTGTGTGTTCTTGGCACCTTTGTGGGAAATGTATTTGCTGTAAATGCATGTATTTGTGGACCCTCTATTCTGTTCCATTGGTCTATATGTCTGTTTTTATACCAGTAGCATGTTATTTTGGTTGCTAGAGCTTTGTAGTATATTTTGAAGTCAAGTAGTGTGATGCATCCAGACTTGTTCTTTGTGATAAAGATTATTTGGGCTATTAGAGGTCTTTTGTCATTCTACATGAATTTTAAAATTGTTTTTCTACTTCTGTAAAAATTCATTGGAATTTAACTTGGAATTACATTCAATCTGTAGATTACTTTGGGTAATATGAATAGTAACAGTATCATTCTTTCAATTCATGAAAACGGTATATTATTCTATTTATTTGTGTCTTGAACATTTCTTTCATTAGTGTTTTATAGTTTTCCATATAGAGATCTTTTACCTCCTTAGTTAAATTTATTCCAAGGTATTTTTCGTAGCTATTGAAAATGGGATTTTTTTCTTTATTTCTTTCTCAGAAGTTTGCTATTAGTGTCTAAAAATTCTATTGATTTTTGCATGTTGATTTTGTATACTCCATCTTTACTGAATTTGTTTATTAGATCTAACAGGTTTTTTTATTTTTTAAGCTGGACCCTCTAGGGTTTTCCACAAGATTATGTCATCTGCAAACATGTATAATTTAACTTCTTACTTTCCAATTTGTATGCCCTTTTCCTTTCTCTTGCCTAATTGCTCTGGCTAGGACTTCCAGTACTATCTTGAATAGAAGTGGTGAAAGTGGGCATCCCTGTCTTGTTCCAAATATTAGAGGAAAGCTTTCAGCTTTTCCCCATTCAGTATGATGATAGCACTGAAGTTGTTGTATATGGCCTTGCTGCATTGAGGTGCATTCCTACATACCTAATTTGCTGAGAAATATTTTTTTTTGTCATGAAGAGATATTGAGTTTTGTCAACTGCTTTTTCTACATCTATTTAAATAATCATATGCTTTTGTCCTTTCTTAATTTGAGGTATTATGTTCCTTGATTTGCAAATGTTGAACCATCTGTACAGCCCTGGGATGAATGCCACTTGACTATGGAAAATGACCTTTCTAATGTGCTATTTAATTTGTTTTGCTAGTATTTTGTTAAAAATTTTTACATGTATGTTCATCAAGGATATTGGCCTTTAGTTATTTTTTTCTTTTGTATCCTCAACTGGTTTTGGTAACAGGGTAGTGTTGGCCTCCTAGAATGAGTTTGGAAGTATTTGCTTCTCTTCACTTTTTTGGAACAGTTTGAGAAGAATTGGTATCAGTTCTTTGAATGTTTGGTAGAACTCAGTAGTGCAGCCATCAGATCCTGAACTCTTCTTTGATGAAAGACTTTTTATTACTGATTTAGTTTTCTTAGTTATTTGTTCAGATTTTCCATTTCTTCATAATTCAATCTTGGTAGATTTTATGTGTCCAGTAATGTATCCATTTCTTCTAGGTTATTCAATTCGTTGGCATGTAATTGTCATTACTAGTCTTTTATAATCCTTTGTAGTTCTGTGGTAACAAATGTAATGTCTACTTTTTCATTTCTAATTATAGGTATTTGAATGTTTTTTCTTTTTCTTAGCTTAGCTAAAAGTTTGTTAATTTTGTTTATTTTTCAAAAAACAACTTTTTATTTGTTGATATTTTGTAGTTTTTTAGTCTCAATTTCATTTATTTCTGTTCCCTTCTTTACTTTTTCCCTCCTTCTAATAATTTGGGTTGAATTTGTCTTTGTTTTTCTAGTTCCTTGGGGTAATTAGAGATTATTTGTTTGAGATTTTTCTTCCCTTTTTTGATGTAAGCATTTATTACTATAAATATCCCATTTAGAACTGTTTCTGCTATATCCCTAGGTTTTGGTATGTTACATTTTAATTTGCATTTTTCTTAAGAAATTTTTAAATTTGTCTTTTAATTTCTTCATTGACTCATTGGTTATTTAGGAACATGTTGTTTCTTTTCCATGTATTTGTAATGTTTCTGAAGTTTTATCTGTTATTGATTTCTGGTTTTATATTATGTGGTCAAAAAAGGTACCTGATATGGTTTCAGTGTTCTTAAATTTGTTAAGACTAGTTTTGTGGCCTAAGATATAGTCTACCCTGGAGAAGGTCCTGCAATTGTGGAAGAATATGTTTTTTTCTGCAGCTATTAGATGTAATGTTCTGTAAATGTCTGTTAGGTCCATTTGGTTGAGAATGTGGTTTAAATCTGATGTGTCTTTGTTGATTTTCTGTCTGATGAGTCTGTCCTTTGCTGAGAATGGAGTGTTAAAGTACCCTACAATTATTGTATTGCAGTCTTGCTCTCCCTTTAGATCCACTAATATTTGCTTCAAATATTTGGGTGCCTCAATGTTGAGCATATATATATTTGCAATTGTTATATCTTCTTGCTGTATTGACCCTTTATCATTATTTAACAACCTTCTTTGTTTCATTTTATCATTTTTGACTTAAAGTCCATTTTATCTGATATAAGTATAGCTAATCCTGGTCTCTTTTGCTTCCCATTTGCATGGAACACTTTTTATATTAATTCACTTTCAGTGTGTGTGTCTTTGGTAGGCAGAATATATTTGAGCCTTGTTATTTTATCAGTTCAGCCACTTTGTGTCTTTTAATTGGACAATTTATTCCATTTGTATTTAAGGTCATTATTGATAGGTAAGGTCTTACTGCTGCCATTTTGTTAATTGTTTTCTAGTTGTTTTGTAGATGCTGTCTTTCTTTTTCCTCTCTTACTGTCTTCCTTAGTGGTTAAGTGATTTTCTCTAGTAATATTTTTTTATTCTTTGCTTTTTATTTTTAGTGTATCTATAATAGGCTTTTGCTTTATGGTTACCATAAGGCTTAAAAGAAAACTCTTACAAGTATAAGAGATTATTGTAAGCTGATAAAAACTTAACTTTAATTGCTAAAAAATCCCTACAAACCAAAAAACTACACTTTAACTCCACTCCCCCCCAAATTTTCAATTTTTGATGCTATAATTTCCATCTTTTTATATTGCATATTCTTTAATAAATTATTGCAGTTATCATTTTTAATATTTTTATCTTTTAACCTTCATACTAAAGATACAAGTTATTTACAACCACCATTACAGTATTAAAGTAATGTGAATTTGACTATGAACATATTTTATCAGTGAGCTTTATACTTCAGACGTTTTTATGTTACTCATTAGCATATTTTTCTTTCAACTTGAAGAATTCCCTTCATCATTTATAGTAGGATTGTTCTAGTGGTGATGAAGTTGCTTAGCTTGTGTTTGTCTGGGAAAGTTTTTAATCTCTTCTACATGTCTGAAGAACAGCTTTGCTGGGGAGAGTATTCTTGGTTAGCAGTTTTGTTGGCATTTTTTGTTAATTCGGCAATTTGAATATATCATCCCACTCTTTCCTGATCTGTAAGGTCTCTGCTCAGAAGTCTGCTACTAGTTATATTGAGACTTCATTATATGTCATTTGCTTCTTTCTCTTGCTGATTTCAGGTTTCTCTATTTGTCTCTTTTCTTTGACAGTTTGATTATAATGTATCATAGGGTAGTGTTATTTGAATTTGATTAGACACATTTCACCTTCTTCTACCTGGATATTCATATCTTTCTCTAGGTATGGAAAGTTATCTCTATTATTTGCTTAAATAAACTTCTGCCCCTTTATCATTTTCTACTCCCTCTTCGACAGCAATGATTCATAAATTTGATCTTCTAATGCTGTTCCACAAACCCTGTTAGCCTTTCTATCATTTGTTTTTACTCTTTTTTCTCCTCTAACTGTATCTTTTCTAATAACCTGTCTTCTAGTTCACAGATTCTTTCCTCTTCTTGATCAATTCTGCTACTGATGCTCCCTATTGCATTTTCCATTTTGTTTATTGTGTTTTTTTTTTGCTCCAGGATTTCTGTATAATTTCTAAAAATTATTTCAATCTTTCTGTTAAATTTCTCTGATAAATTTATGAATTGTTTTCTGTATTTTACTGGTGTTTGCTGAACTTTCTTAAAACAGCCACTTTAAAATTACTTGTCGGCTAGTTCATACACCTCCATTGATTTAGGGCCAATCACTGACACCTTATTTTTTCCATTTTCCATTTCCAAAACAAACTCAAGTTTGTTTTGAAGGAGCAGTGGGGTCCTGTCTAGTGTTGGGGCAGGCCTAGAGGCTCAGTCTGGGGTACCAACCTAGAGCCAGGGGCTGTGAGGATCTGCCTGGTGCTGTGTTTTACTGTGGCAGACCTAACATTGGGGTTTAAGGCAAAGTTCCATGCTTACTTCAGCCTTTCCCCCTCAAGAAGATGCTATTTCTGTCCATGCTGTGCTGCCTAGGTATAGGGAAGGGCTGATGTGGATAATTTAAACCTGGCCTTCCTACCGTCTTTAATTCATCTTTTCTTATTGTTATGCTTCAACCAGGTACTACAATCTCTCACTTGGTTTCTTTAGCTTTGGGGAAGGTGAGGGGTGACTAATGTAATGTAAAACTGTCCTTCCTATTCTCTGCAATGCATATTTTCTTATCATTATGCTATAATCAGGTACAATAATTTTTTACTAGTTTACTTAGCTCTTGTGAAGGTATTTTTGTATGTCGATAGTTGTTCAATTTAATGTTCCTGTGGGGAGATGATTACCGGATATTTCTATTCCACCATCTTGCTTCACCCCCCTCTGATGTCTAGTTTTTGACTCATATTTACTATGTGGAAATCTCAAATTCTATGCACTATAAATTAGAGTTCTTTTATATCTTTCTCAATTGGTGAATAGTCACATTCATTTAATAATAAAACACATTCTATTTTATGCATGCTTTCTCTGCGAACAAGGAGAAACTTTCCCGAGGGAGAGATAAAAGTAAAGGTAAAAAAGGTAGACAAAGCTCATTTTTTTTTTGCATTTATATTTCTTAAAAACACAAAAACTGAAATATGCAAAACATATTCCAAATCAACCAGAAATCTGAGGAAGTATTATTTTGCATTTATATTTCTTAAAAACACAAAAACTGAAATATGCAAAACATATTCCAAATCAACCAGAAATCTGAGGAAGTATTAATAGAACACGATTTCATTTAGAACAAAATCTTGAATTGTGAACTTTTAAAAAAAAATTACAAAACTATTTTTAATGAAGCCAATGAAATGTAGATTTATACAAATCCATTATATAAAAAAAGTCTTATTTTAATTCATTTTGATTGTAATGTTTTTAGGATTCAATTGACTTGGTAGGAAATTTTGAACTTAGATTATTTTTAACTGTAAACACTGATGTTTCTTAAAAAAAGACTATTTTCCTTGGAGCAAAATAAAATTTGGCTTTGTTGTTAACTGTTTATTAATTTTGGGGTAGAAGAATTGTTATAAATTTAGAATTTAATTCCTCAAAGCTATCCATATTTTAGGAATAATCTCACAATAGATATTATCCTTATATACAAATGAATGAAATAAAATAGATATAAGTTTATGTGAGAACTTAATAAGTTCAGTGACTATCAGTTCTAACTAAGATAACTTTTAGGGATAATTTGAGATATTGAAACATATCCTAAACAAAGAATGAGAACTCTGAATGCCAATTCTAGTTCTTATGCTAATTTACTATATTTTATGACAAGTAAGTTTTTTTCCAATGAACTGGAAATCTTCATCTACAAAATAAGGGAATAAGACATCTTAACTTGCTATATTTATACTTAAAACTGAGGCCCTCAGTGAGCAATAGTATATAAAGAGTCATAATCAAGTCCTAATTAATCCACTATTATACTTACAGCTTATATTCAAATAGAGGAAAAAATAAAATAATCTAGTCCAAGAATCTTATCATACATTATACTTCTTGAGAATTGTATGAATGGTTATTTTTATTTCCCTTCACTCTTGACTTTCTGATCCAATTGGATCTTGTAGCTCTGATCAGTTCTGAATTCCACATTGTAACAAATAAAAAGAGCACAAGAAAGAATATTCTTGATTTTAGAAAACTTTCTCTCACACTATCCTTTTTGGATTGTTTAATATACTATCTCATCTATTCTTCCTCCTACCTGGGTTTCTTTATAAACTTTTAAAATTAATATTATAAGTTTTTGTGTAAAAATGTTTTAAAGAAAATTGGAACATTTATAACTATAAATATAGATACTATAACTAAATATAACTAAAATTAACAAAAAAAGTAAACATTACTTAAGACACCTGTATGAGTCAATGGGATATTAAGAGTCACAGCTGAATTAATATAAAATAATTGATATAGCCATTTCACAATGTATACATATATCAAAACGTCATGCTATATGCCATATATATATACACAATTTTTGTCAATTAAAAGTTGATTGTATTACTATGCTTTATAGCATTATATATCTTATATATTATTTTGTATTTGCCAAATATTTAAAACAGTATTTTAATACCTAAAAGTGTATTGAAGAAAGAAGAAAAAAAAACTAAAAGAAAATCTTGAAAACAGGAAACCTCATCTGTGTCAAATGTTGAAGCTTTTGGAAATGGGAAATAAATATTTCTAAAATTCTGGAGACCATTGTCTGCAGTCTCCAATAGCTTCTTTTTTTAATTAAAAGATAAGATAAACAAAACAGTAAGCTAAAAAATATAAAAGTACTAAGGCAGTGCATTAGAGTAAAACTAAACAAGCTTTAAATAATTGGAACCTTGAATTTGTTGCACATTACCCAGTATATAAAGTGATTGAAATAAATCATTCAGCAAAAAGCATGTCCTTCATTTTAAATTAATCCAAATCACGATTAGCATTAGTTATTATGAATGCTGAATAAGAGATGAAATATTGTAGAGTTACATTTTTTATTGTCAATTTTCTCTATTAAGCAGAATAAACCAGAAACATCATCTATGAGTGTACCTTTGTCAAATATTTACAATTTTAACAAATGCATGTAGTTTTCCTTACATTTCTGTCAGAGAAATCATGTTCACTTCACTGGGAAATTTGCCTTTTTCCAATTCAAAGCTCTAGGCATGACAGCTTAGCAAGATTATCCTATAATTACAGAAATTACTGACAACACCCCATTGTGCCAAAATCTGTTGTCTATGTTCAGATTCTAAATTTCAGAAGTGCAGCCATTTATTCAACGCTGCAGCTGTTTAAACCATGAAGCAACCATTTAAACCTTGAAGCAGATCATTTTGATCATTTTGACATTATCTAGAGTTCTTCCCAACTGCACCCAACTGGTATGTCTTTATATGTTCCTCCATCATCTGCTTTTTGGATCATTGTCTTTAGCAACCTGTAAACGATACCTTATTACTTCACAATAAGTGGATTTGCCTATACTCCATATTGGGGTGGTTAGGCCAGGTAGACATGCTCTAATGAAAATCTCAAATCAGTAGGAGCCAATGAAATCACAGTATAAGGAGAGTTGAATAATTGAGTAACTGCAAAAAAGTCAAAAATGATTGTTTTTACTGAAATAGTCAAGTTTAACTGTTTGTTTGACTTTATCATAATAGGATCATTGCAAGAGTAATTATGGCTTCGGATAATCCTTTGATGTATAATTTAGAAATTCAGATATTTGAATTTTTGTTTTAAAATTTTAGTCTTTTCATATTGTATTATGTAACTATATTAATTTAATTCCAGATTAAATTAAGGTGAATAATTTTATTTTTATTTGAACACACCCAGAAAGTATATTTTTAGTGTGAAATGTCAAAGTTTTTTTTTTTTCCTATTTCCTGCTTGAAAATAGTTTGCAGGTTTGGTTGACATTTGATATAAAGTAATTTCTATAGTTTGAGGCACAAGTGAACTTCAATTTTAACTTGTAATGATTATACATGTTTATGAAAAATGATGTGAAATGTAGAACTGCAATCATTGTCTGCATTTTCCAGTCTTTGGCAGGCATAAATGCCTTTTTATTTAGAGGATTTTCCATGCCTTTGGGTCACTTAGATTCCAAATAATGTAAACTGGTATATTTTTATTTGGTTACATCAGTAGCCCAAAGGCAGTGACTATGAGACTATGAGCTTTATTCAAAATATCATATTTTGCATGAGCTTTGCCTACAGATTCTTGGAACAAAATGGTAACATATCATGAATAGAGGAATAAACCATTCTGGAAGAATGGTCTGGCTTAGGGCTGACACACTCAAGGAAGAATGGGAAAAGGGCAAAGTTACGGTATTTAAGATCACAATGCAATCTCAGGCTGATCAGTGGTAGTTAAATTGTTAAAAGGCACAATCCAGTTTGTGGGTGCTTAGCAGCAAATGAAGTACTTCTAATTAGGCTGGTAGTTCTGTCTTGGATTCAAAAGGAGCTCAAGAAGTTTGAAATAAAACCTCAGTCATTAGCCAAAAAGGACTGGGACAGGACCCATCTCCTAAAAGAGAAGATGTTTGCAAGTTTTAAGGATTCTAGCCAAACTGGTTGCAGTTTAAGGGGTTGGTATCAGAGGTCTACTGGAACACAAACTAGAAAGTGAGGCAAAGCTCAAATATATAGAACTGCAGAAAAAAATACTGGGTTTTAGAAAGACAGCTATGGAGAATCCAGCTAACTTTAGATCCCTCTTGTTACCCAGGAGAAAATCTGTCAATGTGATTCTCATGGGTTTGGTGGTAGAAGGGCCTGGAGCCTCCAATTGAGAGTCTTCAGTTACTAGTGATGAATAAGCAGAAAAGGAATCACATGAGGACTCTAGAATAAATATTTTCAACTCAGTCAACCAACTGGTTTTACAAATTTTCTTTGCATTAGTTTGATTAATTGGCTGAATTAATCCTTTAGAATAGTTTGAGGACAGTCTGAAGTACATGATATTTTCTTCTTCAACATGATCTTGAATGCTAAACCTTTTTTCATTTAAAGTTTTACTATGTAGTAGAGTCTGCTTGATGTTAAGCAGATTTTTAAATATTTGGGTATGCCAAAACTAATTATTCAATTTAGTGAAAATATTGTAAAACATTCAGTTTTGTGAAGAAAAATTTTTGGAACGAGGTTGGTGCAAAATAATTGCAGTTTTTGAGTTATTGAAATTTGCTGTTTGATATTGGAATATATTCTTAAATAAATGTGGTTATGTTATACACCATTTTAATGCACATTTCTTGCTGTCTGTTTTTTTCGCTAATGACTTACTACTTGCAGTTTAATTTATTTTAGACTATGGAAGTGATGTTAGACAAAAAGCAAATTTGAGCAATTTTCTTATCTGAGTTCAAAATGGGTTGTAAAGCAGCAGAGACAACTCACAACATCAACAATGCATTTGGTCCAGGAACTGCTAATGAATGTACAGAGCAGCGGTGGTTCAAGAAGTTTTGCAAATGAGATGAAAGACTTGAAGATGAGGAGCATAGTAGCCAGCCATCAGAAATTGACAACAACCGATTGAGAAAAATCATCAAAGCTGATCCTGTTACAACTACCTGATAAATTGCCAAATAACTCAAAATCAACTATTCTACCATCTTTCGGCATTTGAAGCTAACTGGAAGGGTGAAAAAGCTCTATAAGTGGGTGTCTCATGAGCTGGGGAAAAATCGTCTTTTCAAAGGGTCGTCTTTTCATTTTATGCAACAACAATGAACAATTTCTCAATCAGATTGTGATGTGTAATGAAAAGTGGATTTTATATGACAACTGGCAGTGATTGGCTCAGACACTGGATTCAGAAGAAGCTCCAAAGCACTTCCCAAAGCCAAACTTGCACCCAAAAAAGATCATGGTCATTGATTGGTGGTTTGCTGCTGGTCTGATACACTACAGCTTTCTGAATCCAGGTGAAACCATTACATCTGAGAAGTACACTCAGCAAATCGATGAGATGCACCAAAAACTGCAATGTCTGCAGCCGGCATTGATCAGCAGAAAGGGCCCAGTTCTTCTCCAGGACAATGCCCAACCACATGTTGCACGACCAATGCTTCAAAAGTTGAATGAATCTGGCTGAGAAGTTTTGCCTCATCTGCCACATTCACCTGACCTCTAGCCAACTGACTACCACTTCTTCAGGCATCTCCACAGCATTTTGCAGGGAAAACGCTTCCACAACTAGCAGGATACAGAAAATGCTTTCTAAGAGTTTGTTAAATCCTGAAGCACAGATTTTTATGCTACAGGAATAAACATTTCTTATTGGCAAAAATTGTTGATTTTAATGGTTCCTATTTTGATTAATAAAGATGTGTTTGAGCCTAGCTATAATAATTTAAAATTCACGGTCTGAAACCACAATTACTTTTGCACCAACCTAAAAGTATAAAATACATTGAGGAAAGTGGCACTTCATCAGTATATAGCTAATGAATGTTCACAAACTGAACATGCCCTGATCAAGAAACAGAATATTACAGCTTCCCAAAAGGCAACTTCTAGTTACTAACTCCAAAGGACTAACTACTCTCCTGATAATAAATAAGATCTGTGTGCTTTGAACTTTATATGAAGTGAATCATATAGATATTCTTTTGTGTCTGGTTTTTTTTTTTGCTTAATATTATGCTTGAGAGATTCCACAATGTTGCCTTAGTCATAGATCATTTATTACTAATTGTATACAGTGTTCTATTACATAACCATATTAAAATTTTTCACCCCAACTGTTAGTAAGAATTTAGGTAGTTTTCTGCATGGATGCTATTATTTGTATTGCTGCTCTAAATATTCTAGTACATCTTTTGGTAAACCCATATACAGATTTCTGTGGATACTTTAAGTGGACTGCAGGGTCATGTATCAGTAAAACTTTTTAATGTGTCATCTGAAGTTTGGAATTTTTATCAGTTAGCCAATCCCAAAGATTTCCTATTATCACAGATATGTCACAGGTCTATTTTGTCCTTGCTGTGCATTATTTCCTTTGGCTTACTTTTTGCCAAAGTTTGTATGCATAGCGGTTTAATTATGTGCCTCCTTTCTTTGATATGTGTATATCTATCTGTCTATTTATCTATCTATCTAGATATGTAATTCCCTTGATATTAGGCTTGAAGTATAACTACTGGAATTTTAGTAAACAGATAAAGAACACAACAGTCTATTTTGTAGTTTTTAAAACTTATGCATTGGTCTGCTTAGTTTTTAGGCTTTTGCCAACAAATAATAGAGAAGAAATATTTATGTAACCTAATGTAAAATGGTTCACCATTTTAAAAGTTGACCATGTTAAAAGATGACATTTCCAAACAAGTAGATAAATGGGTATTAATTCACATAAAACATCATTTTGTTTATAAGAGGATCAAGCTCAAACTTTTAATTTTTGAGTTCCCCAGTGAACTTAAAATATAATTCTCATTTTATATAGGAGACTGGAAAGAATATTTATTGAAAACCTACTGTCCTCCAGACACTGTGCCAGCTACTTTCAAATAAATTTTCTTATTCAGTCCTCATAAAGTACACTGAAATTCTACTTACTGTCCCATTTTTCAGATGTGAGAACCTTAGCTTTGTTAAGTAACTTGCTGAAGGCTATGCAGCAATTAATGAAGTGGATATTGAATCCAAACTGGACCTGTGGGAATACAAAGCCTATGCTCTTTTTCACATAATGTTTTATATCTAGCTTTCTAAGATTCTGTTTATTATATAACATAATGGAGTAGATGGATGAATGCCTATCTATAGAAAAATGTTTTTATAAATAAAATTGTGTCCCTAAATGAGTAGCATGATTAAAATATTTGACTGAGGACATGAAAACAGAATTTGATGATTTAATTACATATTTTATTATTTCAGTAGAACATAGGGAGGTTGTATTTTAAGTGTCCAACATTTTGGAGCTGAAAAACTTTTTGCCTTAGTGTCTGCCCCACTCTTGACCATTTCACATTCCATTCCTGTGACCGACTAATGTGCATGACTATGACGAACACTTGGCAGCCTCACTGGGAGGGGCCTGTCAGTGTGAGGATTCAACTTGTCATTAAACTGGGGCCTGGAGCCAAGGACTGAGTGCATTCTGAAGACACTGCTCCAAGCTTCACCACCCTATTGGCCAAGGAACAAGTGGAAATTGTACTTGTGAATTTATCATAAATTATTTTTTTTAAATGGAGCATTTTAAATGAGACAAAGAAAATGCATTCCCTCTGTAATGGAATCCCACCCTATTGCAATCTGAATTTGACTTGATAAATAATGGGACAGGCTACTGAAGGAGATTACAAATTGTGTCTCTCATGGGGTTCTTAAGGAGAGAATAACCATCCATCCAGGATGAGTCCAAGGTGTCTATGAATCTGAGAAGCCCAGGGTGTTGAAAAGAGCATTTTGCTAAAAGTAAGGAGAAGTAGTCTTTGGTTCTCAGCTTTCCAGTAACCCTTATTGTGACCTTAAGCAAGTTGATTGAATTCTGAGTCCTCATTTCACAATGTTGTGATACTGCCATAGAGTGGAGCCCTTATCGTCTTCCAGCCCTATATATAAAAAATCAACTCTCCCTAAATTAGGATGAGAAGGTTGGACTAAAATGCATTCTGTAGCAAATTAGCTACATGGGCGATAAATAACAACTCTGTTACGGAAGTGTTTTGTCATATACTGGGGGAAAGTGAGCTGAACAAAATTTAGCATTTTTTTAAAAAAACAGTTAAGAGTTCTAGAAGCCTTGAACGTGTAAGAGATCCGTGTGTTTTTCAGGAGTGAAGAGGTATTCACTGTTTCTCAAACACACTTAACTGTGAACCCTGTTTTCTGCAACATATAATAGATCTGTTATTCTATGAAACAGCTTAATAGTCACAAATTTGAGCTATTAAACGTCCGACCTTGAAAATTCAGTGTGCCTGTTTTTATAAATATGTTTCTTTTCATACCTATCAAGGGAAACATGACAATTTATTTATTCATTGATTAGCACCTATTATGAACAGTGCTGAGTGTGGAGGATACATCAGTGAATATACTACAATAAAACAGGATTCCTGCCCACATGAAACTTATGTTTTAGGACAGGGAGATAGATAATAAGCAATTAAGTAATAACATATAAGTATGTGCTATGGGGAGAAATAAAGATAGAATTCTGTGTTGATCTTAGTGATTCATTTATAAACAATAGAATTCAGTAGAAGTGAAACTGCTTGATTTCTGAAGCTAGGTCAGGAAAGGCCATGCTACTCTGGCTGCTTTGCTTGGAATGGCCATTCTCAAGAGATTTACAACATACTGTGAACTAAGAGACTCATGCTGGCTGCTGTACATATCATCTCTGTTCAGAAATCTCTATTCAAGACCTCAGATTTTTCAGACAGCATGAAATTGGAGCAAGAGTTATTTGATTACTTCACATGGCTAAAAAAATTAAGCTGTGGTAAACGAGTCATTCCCATAAGAGGCATAAACCTCTCAGTATAAGAAGTTGAGTTTAATTGACTGGTTACCTCTATGCAGTGCTAGATAAGCATGGTTCATTTTGTTTTACTGACTATATTTCTTTCTGTTCTATGTTTATTTCCAAATTTTGAGATAAATAGTTCTTTTAAAAATCCCAAATGCCATTAATTTTGTTACCATAAAATATTTCTTTACACCTGAAAGCCATCCTGTTTCTTTAAGGTGAATTTTAATATAGCTTATCTTATACCATTACTTCAATATTCAGATTCCTAATATTCTAGAAACCAATGATCTCTACCCTCATTACTGAAAAGGATGGAACATTTGTACTTACATGGGATATTAAGAGGGTATATTTTCTAAAAGTACCATGACATCAGTAAGTAGGACACAGTTCCAAATAAATCTATAAAATGGTACATTTATTTTTAATTTATTTTCTTTAAAATTGACATGAGAAGCAGAGGCAATTCACAGAATATAAATGTGACTTGTGATAACATTGGTCTTTATAATATAACTAAGTCTTTGTTTGAATGAATATTTTAAAAGTTACTCTTAATAGCTTTGATGACAATTTATAGCATCCGTACCTCCTTTACTACTAGTCCCTATAATCAATCCAATCAACTTTTAAAAACTTAAAAACTTAAAATCTTCTTTCTCTAGGAATGTAATTTTCTGTGCCACTAAAATGCAAATCACTACACCTGTGCAATTATGCCATGGGTAGGGAGAGTTCTTTAGCCCCTCGATTCTAACGATGCATAGTTGTCACAGTCATTAGTAAGATAGTATAAGGTCTCTGCAAGACTTCAGAATCAATCAACCTGCAATTATGGCTGTATGTCTATTTATTTGTAAGCAGAGTCTTCATGTCTGATTATCATAAATGAGCTATTTTTTTGGCTGACATATGAGGAAGAAAGAATAAATGATATGACATTTAAAGAGGAAATTTATGCAGCCTATGCAGTTTTACACAATTATAAAATCTTTAAGGCGACAAACCTAGCAGATTATCCTGTCCATCACTCCAATTATGTAGGATTATTCTATATACAGTGTGTGTGATTTTATAGTAATTATCCTCTCGTTGCTTCATTTCGGGGGCTCATTCCATGAAATAAGAAAATTTTTGATTAGGACAAAACATACTTAGCTTTTTAGTATGAAATATATTGTTCTTAAAAATGTGATATTTTGAATACAGGGAAATTGGCATAATTGCACAAAATGCAGGTGGCCCTTAGGAAATACATAAAAATAGATTTTTAAAATTCAATTTTCATCAAACTTTCCTTTGTTGCTTTGGTATTCAGTGAGGTTGGAATGATTGTAAGTCAACCTGCCTGTACACTGTGCTTTATTCAGACACAGATTTTCCAAAGTTCATTGATTTCATGTTGGATCAGACTCAGATAGTTAACTTGTATCTGGGTCCACAAAGTTGCAGTCTTTTCCAGGGAAGATTCACTATTTGGCATGTTTATTCAGATTGGCTTGAAAAGAATAAAAATAAAATTATGGCCATAAAAACAAGTAAATATTTGAGCTGGAGAAGCATTGTGGACATGAGATGCAGAAGGGGAAGAAGCACAGTGTTCTAAAAGATGGTTATCGAGGTCAGAATAACTATCAATAACTATCACTGGGGTCAAAAGAGGTTAAAGAAGGAGGTTTGGATGGAGATTCTAACCATTAAAATGGCATAAATGGCACAGCATAAATAGTTTTATGCTGTGCTGCCTGTGGATGGGATATAGTTGATCAACCCAGAGAAACGTACAAGATCAGATACCCTTAAGTCAAAGCTGAAAAATACCTTAATTGCTAACACATTTTATTGTGAAAATTAGCCCAGGTATTTATAATATTATTTTATACTACAGGAATACCTAAACATGGCTTCTAATAAGTAGTGACAAATGTAGAAACATTTTGTTGGTCAATTTTTAGTTCAATTTCTTCCTAAGCTGAACTGCTGTGCACATTTTTCCCTCTTTCCAATGGTGTTTCTGATGTAGCCTGCTCTTTATTTCATGACTACTGTATTATTTTCTTCCTTTACTTATTCATTTCCAGTGCATACTGGAAATGTGTATTGAGAATATATAATATACTACGTACTGAGAGCACACAATATACTTCCAGAACATTTGAATCAGTCACTGGGAAAGTAATGGATGAAGTGAAATGCTTTCTGTCCCTCTAGAGTTTAAAATTCTAGTAATAAAGACAGGCATTAATCATGAGGCTGACATGACAAAACGTGACTTTCAGTTGTTCTGGGAGAAGACACATTAGTGCTTGTTGTAGTATATTATTAATACATTAATAATATTAAGTTAACATTTATGAAGAGCCTATTCTGTGCTGGGTACTGTGTTAAAGGCTTTACATGCAAGAAGAAGCTTAATCTTCACTACTTCTCATGATACTATTAGATAGGTAGAGTAGTTATGTTCATTTCTAGATGAAGGAATTGAAACAAAGAGATGAAATAACTTTTCAGGTATGCATAACTTGTAACATTCAAAGGCAGAATTTGAATTTACAATAGGTAGAATAACATTTCTCCCTTCTGTCTACCCATTCTCCCTGGCTTTTTCCCGCTGTCAAAGGACAAACTAATCAGAATGAGTGCATGGTTTATTCTGAGGCTGGTTAGTACCTTGGATAGCTCCCAGGGCAGTTTTCAGATGAAGCCCAATGCCTCATTGGGTCTTTTATTTCCAGAGCATCCCAGGTATCTGGTAGAATTTGCCTCCCCCTTGCTCTCCTTGCAGTGGGTCTCTGAACATTAAAGAGGCTCTGCCAGTTACATTTAGTAACTCATTCATCAACACTTATTATCTGGAAAACGTTATAGTGGAAGGGTGAAGGGAGTACATATGGAAGCCTATAGGCCAATATAGGGTCTGAGATGAGGGCGCTTTCTTTTCATTCTCCTCTAATACCTCTCTCCCCCCTAACACAAACATCATCTGTTAGAAGAGAAAGACAGGCCTTTTTAGCTAGTAAGGTATTCTACAGGGATTTAATGACCCCAGGAGCTCTTGCAGACTTGTAATAACACATTTTGAACAGTTAATCAAGAGTTTAACCAACAAGGATTAAGGGTAGAAATTTAAAGTAATTTCACAACATGGGGTATAATTGGTTTCTTTTGTGCTTTGCTCTCTTGTTCAGCCAAATATATCTTACATTTGCTCTAAAATAAAATTACTTTTCCTCAAAGAAATGTGGTTAATAACTACGGTAACCCCTTCCCCCAAATAAACATAACATATTCTAACCTTCTGATTATTTTTGATAGAAAAGAAGATTACTTTTTTCATTGCCTGGGGAAAAAATGCTGCCACTTTTTTTTTTTCATGTGCACAGAGTTCTGCCTCAAAGTTATTTCTTGTTTAGTTTTCTGTATCATTCCTCTTTTCAGACCCAGAAACAAGGAAGGATTACAAAAGAATAGGACAAGTAAATGATGTGTGGATTCAGATCCTCTCGTCTTTAATATCACTGTGAAACCAGATGCATGCTGTCCATCAGAGGCTTTAATCTGCCCTATAATCCTATTGGCAAACTTTTGTATCTGTTCCTTATCATATTCTGGAAGGAATTCCATGAAAGAGCTTTGAAGCAGGGGAAACATGGTAAAAACAGACCAAAAATCTCATGAGACAGCATTTTAGGGAAAAGTAAATAATGAGAAAACTGCTTATATTTTGAGTAATCTAAAATATTTTGATTTTTAGTTTAGGGTTTTAACTACAATTGAGCAATTGTACTAATAAAATCGATCTGCTTTACCTTGTTTGCTCCTTGAAAATGAGCAAACATTATTTACCTAATTTATAGATATATTAATTGATACTCAAAGAATATAAGTATTTCACTCGAAGTAAGTGAGATCAGGCATTCTGACTTTCTTTCTAAGCTCTATTTCATTGATCTGCTTCATACATAATAAACCTAAACTGTTTTTTCTTTAACATGAGTAGAATATTACAAATTAAATTGTGAGGCAAAAACAATAACCAAACCAAAAAGGAGCATGAAATATTCAAATGTCTGAGGTTGATTGAACTATATGATGTTAAAAATACTCAGTTTAGAGCTGGTATGGTGGCTCATGCCTGGAATCACAGCATGTTGGGAGGACAAAGTGGGTGGATCACTTGAGGTTAGGAGTTCGAGATCAGCCTGGCCAACATGGTGAAACCCCGCCTCTACTAAAACTACAAAAAGTAGCTGGGCATGGTGGTGGGCACCTGTAGTCCCAGCTACTCAAGAGGCTGAGGCATGAGAATGCTTAAACCTGGGGAGGTGTAGGTTGCGGTGAGCCTAGATCCTGCCATAGTACTCCAGCCCGGGTGACAGAAGGAGACCCTGTCTCAAAAAGAAAACAACAACAACAAAAAAACCCACCTCAGTTTGGTTTAATATGCTGTCTACTAGAGAGCCTTTCTAATTTAGGCTAATGTGGAGATATAGCCTTATTGGATTATGTGAAAATAAATAATATATTACATTTATATTAACATGGGCTATTTAAAAACATATTATTGATTAAAGATACATTTCTATCATAAATGTGATGAATAAATTATAATCAATTGTTATTAAATAAATGCGCACGTCTAACATTCCCAAGCACCAGAACCAGGTATCCTTTTTTTTTTTCCCTTTTGAAACAGGGGTCTCACTCTGTAGCCCTAGCTGGAGGGCAGTGGCACGATGTTGGGTCACCGCAACCTCTGTTTCCCGGATTCAAGCGATTCTCCTGCCTCAGTCTCCCAAGTAGCTGGAGTTACAGTCGTGAGCCCACCAGGCCCGGCTAATTTTTGTACTTTTAGTAGAGACGGGGTTTCGACATGTTGGCCATGCTGGTCTCTAACTCCCGATCTTAGGTGATCTGCCGGCCTTGGCTTCCCAAAGTGCTGGGATTACAGGCGTTAGTCACCACACCCGGCGCCAGGTATGCTTTTAAAAAGGCAGAATATTTCTCTAGGGTATCTTATATCGTGAACTTATTTTAACATACTTACATATGTAGGTAGTGCAAAAGTGTTTATTTCTGTAATGCAATTATAAATAATTGTCTAAATAAAAGTGTAAAAATGAAACACTACTCTATGTTATCACGGTGTAGGGTTATTGCTGAAAATAATCATTACTACTGATGAACAATGGTTATGTAAAGGAATGTTAGCGCTGGCCATATCTATTTTAAAACTAATGTGGTATTGATTTTGCTCAATAAATTGGGTTCAGCATAAGCAACAGTTTTTTCAGCCTGAACCTATCTTGGAGTTTTCTTCACAGCAAAACAATGATTTTAAAATGTTGTCTTCTAAGTCATTTTTCATCAAATACTAAGAAACAACATGTTTGTTTTGGGTTAACAACTTTGTCAAACTTCAAAATTCAGAAGAATAATCTTTTAAAGTTCATGTATTTAAAAATAAAATATGTTAAATTTAGTTTTACAGAAGGGAAAAACTCAAAGTAAGATTTAAGGAAAGAAATATTGAACATATAAATATATTCTCTCTAAAATGGTAGTTATGTCTTAAAGATACTTGTAAGATTAGAAAAAGTCAATAAAACTGTTTTCAATAATTATGTTTTTAAAGACCATCTTTAAAACTTTTAATGAACTGATTAATATATGATATAAAATAACTCACATTCATGTTTCCCATGTCTTGATATTTTAAGTTATGTTGATAGTCTTACACTGTCAAGATATCAAACATTTGCATTCCTTTTGTAACTATAATTCCTATAACTGTTTATTTGCATGTTCAAATTGATCAATAATGTATCCATTCATTCTACGATGGCTTTTCCCTCCCATTTATTTATCCTTGGCTCTTATTAACTTGATTTTTTTAATGTAGGTTTTTAAAAAGACATTTTACTAGTTGACAAATTCTTCAAATTAGCCTTTGAGAATGCCTATTCATTATATTATGAATAATTACCATAGCGGCTGGTTATAACATTCTGAGTCATAATTTCTTTCACTCAGAATTTAGCCATTTCCACATGTCTTTTGGCATCGTATGTTGCTGTGGAGAATCATAGGCTAGCCTGTTTATTATTATTTTCTCTGTTTAGATGAATTGCCTTTTGTAAATTTTTTTGGAAGAAAGTAACTACTTTTGAGTTTTCAATAGAATATAAGACCCCAATTATAAGTCACTTATATCATATTCATATTCAAAGTACTTTAATCTCATTTCATTTAGTCTCCACAATAAGTTTGTAAAATAAATATTCTTTCCACATTTCATAAGATGAAAATAAATTTCAAATATTGTAAATGATTTTTTCAGGTTTTAGATAGGGTACTAAACTAAAATTGAACTTAAACCTAATTCTAAATTCAGTGTTCTTTGTATATTCTTGGCTTTTTAAGATGACTACAAAAATTAGTTTTGGTTAGCATTTTCTGTACCATTTAGGAAGAAATAAATTCATTACTAATTAAAAATTTTTAACTACTTGTTATGAATTACATGATTCTGTCACCCCTATATTCACATGTTGAAACCTTAGCCCCCAGTAAGATAGTAGTAGAAAGTGAGGCCTTTGAGAGGGAATTAGATCATGAAGTTGGAGACCCTAAGATGAAGTTAGTGTTCATAAAAGAATAGGAAGAGTGCTAATCCTCTCTCTTTTCCGCTCTGTGAGGATACAATGAGAAGTATGTAGTTTGCAACCTGGAAGGGGGTCCTCACCAGAACTCTACCATGTTGGTATCCTGGTCTTGGACTTCCAGTCTCCAGAACAGTGACAAATAAATTTCTATTGTTTTTACAAGCTTTCGGTCTACAGTACTTTGTTATAGCATCACAAGTTAAGTGTGTAGGTAGGTAGATAGAAGGATGGATAGATAGATAGATAGATTAGATAGATAGATAGATAGATAGATAGATAGATAGATAGATCTCACATAGATTTACTATAACAATGAGCTTTGCAGGTATTATAATTCATTGATGACAAACTTCCTTATAAGATAACTAAATTTTTGCTATTCAAATTATGCATACAACATTATATTGACTTGATTATTTTCAAGACATAAAATTATACATTATTTGATTCATAAAATAATTAATATATTATTAGCTCGAATGACTTAAAAAAAATTCCCAAGTCCCGTGACTTGCAAATTTTTCAGATTTTAGCATCATTTTTCTTGTTTTATAAGGACATGGTATGACTTACAGGAGATTTGATAATAGGGTTTCATTTATGATATTTGAACTTTTCTCAGTTTTGATTACTAACAAAACTATATTGTAACCAGAGGTTTAACAAGTATGTCAAAAAATAGAGTATAATTATTTTTCACTTTCCAGGAAAACAAAAATATTTTTAAACATAGTTACCAGTTTAAAATTCGAAGTCTCTTTGCTTCTCTGTCCTTTTCTTCTTAGACAATAAAGATTATTTATGCCTTTTAAGAATCCAACATGATTATGTTTTGGCATTTATTTTTACCTCATTAAAACAGTTAATAAAAAGTACAGTTATTTTCTAATAAAAATAACATTAAACATCTGTGATTACAATAGAAGTAGGGCATTTTTCTGATGTTATTTATTATTTGTATTATTATCTCTCTAAATATCTCTTGTAGGTAAATTTAATTTTTGTATTACTATGATAATGACTATTATTTATTAAGGATTTGCTATATCTAAAGCACTCTACTAAATACCTTAAATATATCATATTTTTAATTTTCATATGAGCTGTATCAAAAGAATGTTATGTGTTCCTATTTTTCACATTATAGAACATGTTTCGGGGGGTTAAATACATTGAGCAAGATCAGTAAGCGGAGGGGTCAATGTCTGAACCCATGTTTGACTTCAAAGCTGTTTTATAAATGTTTTACTACACTTTGTATACCCAAAATGGCTTATCAATCTTCAAACACAATAATAAAATCAGAGATTAAATAAGATTCAGAAATTTAACCTGATGAAACATAAAGATTCTGTCATCAACCAAAGAGCATTGTTAAAATCTTTATGTATTATGCTTTTAAAGCAGTTATACAGCTTATATCTAAGTAACTATCTTAAGTACCTCCAATATCCTGGAAAATTACTCATCAGCATCCTAGAGCTGAATGCAATCTTTTATAGCAAGTCTTAGGATAATTTAATTCTCACATTTTTTAATTTTAATTTTTTATTGACCCATTATAATTGTACCTATTTATAAGGGCATTTATGATGTTTTGATACATGTCATTAAATCAGTGTAATTAGCTTACCCATAATCTCAAACATCTATCATTTTTTGTGTTGAGAACATCTAATTGACTCCTTCTAGCTATTTGAAACTATATATTATTGTTAACTGTAGTTATCCAATAGTGCTACAGAACACTAGAATTTATTTCTACAATCTGCTGTGATTTTTTATCCTTTAATAAATCTCTCCCTATGCCTTCCTTTCTCCTAGCCTTCTCAGCTATTCCTCTGTTCCACTTTTTACTTTCATAAGATCAAATTTTTTTTAGCTTCCACATATAAGTGAGAATATGTGGTGTTTAACTTTCTGTTTCTGGCTTATTTTACTTACCATAATGTATTCAAGTTTCATCTATGTCACTGTGAATGACAAGATTTCATTTTTTTTTCTGACTGAATAGCATTCCATTGTGTATACGTACCACATTTTCTTTAACCATCCATGTGTTGTTTAACACTTAGGTTGATTCCATATCATGGTTATTGTGAATAGTGCAGCAATAAACATGACAGTGCAGATGTCTCTTCGATGTACTGATTCCCTTTCCTTTAGATAAATTTCCAGTAGTGGAATTACTGGATCTTATTGTAGTTCTAAATGTTCATACTTCCCAAAGCAATCTACAGATTCAACCCAATCATGCCAAATAAAATCATATCAAGCCAAAAAACTTGTGCACTACAAAGGAAACAATCAACAGAGTGAAGAGACAACCCACAGAATGGGAGAAAATATTTGCAAACTATCCACCTGATAAGAGATTAATAATCAGTATAGTTCAAACAACTCAAAAGAAAAAATACAATTTTAAAATGGGCAAAAGATCTGAATAAACATTTCTCAAAAGAGGACATACAAAGGCCAACAGTTATACCAAAAATGCCCAACATCACTAATTGTCAGAAAAATGCTAATCAAAACTACAAGAAGATGTATTACCCAAGTTAAAATGGCGTTGATCCTAAGGACACGCAATAATGAATGCTGGCAAACATGAAGAGAAAAGGAGACCTTCGTACACTGCTGGTAGGAATGTAAATTATTGCAGCCACTAGTGATCCTTTGTATTTTTCTGGTATCCATTGTGACATTTCCTTTTTCATTTCTGATTTTATTTGGGTCTTCTCTTTCTTCTTAGTCTAGTTGTGGGTTTGTCGATTTTGTTTCTTTTCAAAAAACTTTTCGTTTGCTAATATTTCGTTTCAATTTCATTTCTGCTATTTCTTTTCTTCTAATAATTTTGTGTTTAGCTTGTTCTTGATGTTTTAGTTCCTTGAGATGCACTATTAGGTTATTTATTTGAAATCTTTCTATTTTTTGATGTGGATTTTTATTGCTATACATTGCTTCTTAATATTGATTTTGCTGTGTCCCATAGGTCTTGGTATGTTGTATTTCTATTGTCATTTGTTTTAAGGAATTGTTTTTCCTTCTTAATTTCTCCCTTCACTGATTGGTCACTCAAGAGCATATTGTTTAATTTTCTCATATTTGTATAGTTTCAAATGTTCCCCTTTTTATTTATTCCTAGTTTCTTCCATTGTGGTCAGATGAGATACTTGATATGATTTTGATTTAAAAATATTTTTGAGGTTTATTTTGTATTCTCATATATGGTCAATTCTGGAAAATATTCCATGTACTAATAAAAAATGTGTATTTTGCAGCTGTTGTGTAAAATGTTCCATAAATGTCTGTTAGGTACATTGGACATTTGGTCTATGGCACAGATTAAATCTGTGCCATAGATGATGTGCCTAGATTACCTGTCCAATGCCGAGAGTGGGGTGCTGCAGTTCCCAATGTTGTATTGGGGTCTATCTCTCCCTTTACGTCTAATTATATTTGTTGTATAGATATGGGTGCTCTGCTATTGGGTACATATATATTTATAATTGTTACATTCTCGCTGAATTTATATGTTTATTATTATATAATGTCCATCTTTGTCTCTTTTTGTAGCTTTGGGTTTTAAGTCTCTTTTGTTTCACATAAGAATATCTATTCCGTGAAATTCTTTATAATTTTAATAACACTGGTATCTTTTAGGGATAGTATTTGGTTTTCTTTTTATTATTATAAGTTTTAGGGTACATGTGCACAACGTGCAGGCTTGTTACATATATGTACATGTGCCATGTTGGTGTGCTGCACCCATTAAGTTGTCATTTACATTAGGTATATCTCCTAATGCTATCCCTCCCCACTCCCCCCCACCCCACAACAGGCCCCGGTGTGTGATGTTCCCCTTCCTGTGTCCAAGTGTTCTCATCGTTCAGTTCCCACCTATGAGTGAGAACATGCGGTGTTTGGTTTTTTGTCCTTGCAATAGTTTGCTGAGAATGATGGTTTCCAGCTTCATCCATGTCCCTGCAAAGGACATGAACTCAAAATCATGATTCCTAATGGTTACATGGAACATGTTTTATGACTGAACCATGCACTGTTTGTCTATTCCCTAACTGTTGTATATGTATGTTGGTTCAGATTTTACAATATTATAAATACTTCTGTAATAAACACATTTACATATAAATCTAAAAAAAAAGAATATCTATTCCTGCAAATTCTACTGTTCATATAATGGGGATTCCCTTTTATGTCACTTGACACTTTTGTTGTTGTAAACATTCTCTGCTTGTCTGACTTTTGATAATTTGACTATAATGTGCCTCAGAGAGGACCTGTTTCAGTTGAATCTATTTGGGACTTTTGAGCTTCCTGGATCTGGATGTCCATCTCTTCCTACTTGGGACATTTCCAGCTATTATTTTATTAAATGTTTGTTACAGCTTTTCCTTTCTTTATGGAATATTCATATTTGTGAACATTTGTTCACTTTATGGTGTTCCATAAGTCGTGGGCTTTCTTCATTCTTTTTTATTTTTTTAATCTTTTTTTTCTGCCTGTTTATTTCAAAAGACCTGTCTTCAAGGTCAGAAATTCTGTTTTCTGCTTGGTCTATCTGGTCTGTTGTTGAAGCCCTTGATTGTATTTTTATTTCATTCAGTGAGTTATTCAGTGTTAGGATTTCTGTTTGGTTCCTTTTTAAATAATATCTATCTCTTTGTTGAATTTCTAATTCAAATAATGCATTATTTTCCTGATTTTGTTGAATTGTCTATTTGTATCCTCCTGTATCTCATGGAGTGTCCCTAAAATTATTATTTTGAATTCTTTTCTGGCATTTTGTATATTTCCTTATGATTGGGGCCTATTACTGGAGAACTACTGCATTCCTTTTGGGTTATCATGTTTTCCTTTTCCTTATTTTTTCGTGTTTTATGTGTTCCTACATTGATTTCTATGCATCTGTTGGAAAAGTCACCTCTTCTACTTTTATAGAGTAGGTCTTGTAAGGAAAGACTTATTCATACAGATGGATCTTGAGGTGTCATTTGAGTGACGTGTGCATTGGCTTTGGTTCTAGGTGTATATAATAGTGTAGTCTTTGTGTAGTTTCCTCAGCTGTAATCTATGCTAGTGACATTTGCAAGTGTATCAGTGTGAAAGTTTGAGGTGGCAATAGCACAGTTTTGCTGGAGTACACTCAGTGGGCTATTTTTCAGGTTGAGAATTGCATGCATGCACACATGGCGTTGGCCAACTTGAGGTCTGACTCACTGGGGTTGTGGCCACAGGGCTGTTTCTCAGGTCAGAGATTCAGGCTTATGGCTGTTCAGCTGGCCTGGGGGCCTGTCTGCCTGGGATGGCCCATGGGCTCTTTCTCAGGCACTGAGCATGAGTATGGGGCCATTGCACAGGACTAGGGCATGTCTGCAGGGTGTGAGGGAACCATGGAGCTGTTTTTCAGGCACTGGATACAGGTGTATAGCCACTCTGCCATTCCAGGGGTGTGTCAGCTTCTCAGTAGCTCAAGGATCTCTCCAGTTTGGGGGAGTTCCTCATGTAGTGCTTTGGTCTGCTCAAGGATAGGCTCACCCTAGGTGGGAATGCCAGATTGTTCCTCTAGCTGAAAGTGCAGGCAGCAGGGATTGTTTTGCCTGCTGTGCAGGACCAGAGTCACAGTTGATTCTGGTCCCAGGGCAGGAGACATGCCGTCGCTATTGGCTCCAGAACATGGCATACTCCAGAAGGGGGTCTGTTCTCAAGATAGTGCTGTGCTGCAGCAGCTTGGCTCATAGGGGGTGGGTGGAATGTGGGAAGTGCGTACCTTGTGCTCCTCATCTGGAGTGAAGCAGCTGCATGAATTCATAGCAGCTCCCCAAACAAGGTTCAGGACTCGCAAGGACTCCAAGATTCTCCTGTAATAAGAACTGTAGGTCTTTGCAGTGGCAGTGGGAGCTGGTAGGGTTCTTTTGCTTACCTTTTCCCCACAAGGGCAAGTCCCTTGTGACTCTGGGTTGATCCAGGTGGGAGAGATCTGGCTGCAGTGACAGGTACCTCCATCCCACCCTGTGGGCTTCCAGTCATCACAGGTGCATCTCCACTAACTCGCTGCACTCCGGCTTCTTCCCTTCAACACTCCAGTCAAATGATAAATGTTTATTTGTTGATTTTCCTTGGTTGTTTTTTGGTGTATGTGGTGGTGGGGAAGGGGGGATGAGTGCCATGTGCCTCTAGTCAGCGATCTTGGCAACATCACTTTTTTTCCTCTCACATCCTTTATTTTAGACACTACTCCTATCAGTGCAGCTGTAGAAAGATAGATATCTCATATATTTTAAGAAAACATTTTTTAGATTGATGCAGACTCATTGACCAGGAATTTTTGTGATATTCTGTCAAAATTACATATTCCATGTTTCCTCATTTTTGTTATAAGTATACCATAAGAGGCTAGATCAGATGTCTAACCTAAAGTCCAATATACGACATTTATTAAATTTTGCTGATCAATGGAATTATCACCTTAATAAATCTAGTGCTGAAACCTAAAAACAACTACTTCTTACTTCTTTAGTAATTACTTCTAGAATTTTGATTGAAATTCGTCATACTTTTGGGCTTGCGGTTGGTATAAAATCTTTTTTTTTAAATAAACTGATACCTTTTCTTTCCTTTTTCAGCGTAATTTTTTTTATTTTTTATTATACTTTAAGTTTTAGGGTACATGTGCACAACATGCAGGTTAGTTACATATGTATACATGTGCCATGTTGGTGTGCTGCACCCAGTAACTCATCATTTAACATTAGGTATATCTCCTAATGCTATCCCTCCCCCCTCCCCCCACCCCACAACAGGCCCCGGTGTGTGATGTTCCACTTCCTGTGTCCATGTGTTCTCATTTTTCAATTCCCACCTATGAGTGAGAACATGCAGTGTTTGCTGGGGTGAAGTCAAGATGGCCGAACAGCTACAGTCTACAGCTCCCAGTGTGAGTGACACAGAAGACAGGTGATTTCCACATTTCCAACTGAGGTACCAGGTTCATCTCACTGGGGAGTGTCAGAAACTGGGTGAAGGACAGTGGGTGCAGCACAAAGAGCATGAGCCGAAGCAGGGTGAGGCATCGCCTCACCCAGGAAGTGCAAGGGGTCAGGTAATTCCCTTTCCTAGTCAAAGAAAGGGGTGACAGACGGCACCTGGAAAATTGGGTCACTCCCACGCTAATACTGCGCTTTTCCAACGGTCTTAGCAAATGGCACACCAGGAGATTATATCCCGCACATGGCTTGGAGGGTCCTATGCCCACGGAGCCTCACTCATTGCTAGCACAGCAGTCTGAGATCAAACTGCAAGGCAGCTGCGAGGCCGGGGGAGGGGCGCCCGCCATTGCCAAGGCTTGAGTAGGTAAACGAAGTGGCCAGGAAGCTCGAACTGGATGGAGCCCACTGCAGCTCAAGGAGGCCTGTCTGCTTCTGTAGACTCCACCTCTGGGGGCAGGGCATAGCCAAACAAAAGGTAGCAGAAACCTCTGCAGACTTAAATGTCCCTGTCTGACAGCTTGGAAGACAGTAGTGGTTCTCCCAGCATGTAGCTGGAGATCTGAGAACGGACAGACTGCCTCCTCAAGTGGGTCCCTCACCCCCGAGTAGCCTAACTGGGAGGCACCCCCAGTGGGGGGAGACTGACACCTCACAAGGCTGGGTACTCCTCTGAGACAAAACTTCCAGAGGAACGATCAGGCAGCAACAGTTGCTGTTCACCAATATCCACTGTTCTGCAGCCTCTGCTGCTGATACCCAGGCAAACAGGGTCTGGAGTGGACCTCCAACAAACTCCAACAGACCTGCAGCTGAAGGTCCTGACTGTTAGAAGGAAAATTAACAAGGAGAAAGGACATCCACACCAAAACCCCATCTGTACATCACCATCATCAAAGACCAAAGGTAGATAAAACCACAAAGATGGGGAAAAAACAGAGCAGAAAAACTGGAAACTAAAAATCAGAGCACCTCTCATCTTCCAAAGGAACACAGCTCCTCACCAGCAATGGAACAAAGCTGGACACAGAATGACTTTGACGAGTTGAGAGAAGAAGGCTTCAGACGATCAAACTACTCTGAACTAAAGGAGGAAGTTTGAACCCATGGCAAAGAAGTTAAAAACCTTGAAAAAAGATTAGACGAATGGCTAACTAGAATAATCAATGCAGAAAAGTCTTTAAAGGACCTGATGGAGCTGAAAACCAAGGCGTGAGAACCATGTGACGAATGCGCAAGCCTCAGTAACCGATGCGATCAACTGGAAGAAAGGGTGTCAGTGAAGGAAGATGAAATGAATGAAATGAAGCGAGAATAGAAGTTTAGAGAAAAAAGAATAAAAAGAAACGAACAAAGCCTCCAAGGAATATGGGACTATGTGAAAAGACCAAATCTATGTCTGATTGGTGTACCTGAAAGTGACGGGGAGAATGGAACCAAGTTGGAAAACACTCTGCAGGATATTATCCAGAACTTCCCCAATCTAGCAAGGCAGGCCAACATTCAAATTCAGGAAATACAGAGAATGCCACAAAGATACTCCTCGAGAAGAGCAACTCCAAGACACATAATTGTCAGATTCACCAAAGTTGAAATGAAGGAAAAAATGTTAAGGGCAACCAGAGAGAAAGATCAGGTTACCCACAAAGGGAAGCCCATCAGACTCACAGCTGATCTCTCGGCAGAAACTCTACAAGCCAGAAGAGAGTGGGGGCCAATATTCAACATTCTTAAAGAAAATAATTTTCAACCCAGAATTTCATGTCCAGCCAAACTAAGCTTCATAACTGAAGGAGAAATAAAATATTTTACAAGCAAATGCTGAGAGATTTTGCCATCACCAGACCTGCTCTAAAAGAGCTCCTGAAGGAAGCACTAAATATGGAAAGGAACAACCAGTACCAACCACTGCAAAAACATGCCAAATTATAAAGACCATTGAGGCTAGGAAGAAACCGCATCAACTAACGAGCAAAATAGCCAGCTAACATCATAATGACAGGATCAAATTCACACATAACTGATACCTTTTCTATTGAGATAAAACAAGTATTGGTGTGCTGCCCCACTTATAGGCCACATCTAGGCACTTGTTCATGAAGAAAATCACACTAATAATTGGAGCCTTGCAATTTTCAGTAGTGAATTGTAAATACTTGACACTCAGGGATTCATATTGTGAAAGCATATTAACCTATAAAGTAAGTTGTATCCAGTGATGGGAAAGACAGATAATGTAAACTTGTTGATATCGTTTGGTTCTGTGTCCCCACCCAAATCCCATGTCGAATTTTATTCACAATCTTGTGAGAGGGACCTGGTGGGAGGTGATTGGATCGTGGGTGCAGATTTCCCCTTGCTGTTCTTGTGATAGTGTGTGAGTTCTCACAAGATCTGGTTGTTTACAAGTGTATAGCACATCACCCTTCACTCTCCGTCTTCTTCTCTACCATAGTAAGACACGCTTGTTTCCCCTTTGCCTTCTGCCATGACTGTAAGTTTCCTGAGGCTTCCCCAGTCATGCCTCCTATACAGCCTGAAGAACTGTAAGTCAATTAAACCTTTTTCCTTTATAAACTATCCAGTCTCAGGTAGTTCTTTATAGCAATGTGGGAATGGGATAATATAGGAGTCAGAGGAAAGATGATGTTGCTATTATATAAAGCCTTCCTTAGACAACTCTTCTTGTGGGGTTTAATTGAAAAGCATCTGGACACTAGAGAGATGAATACTTGAATAGGCAGTGCCCCAGGTTTAATGCTATTGATATTTGTAGTAAGCCCTAAAAATTAAGGTACAAATGCCAGACTCAAGTTAGACAATCTATTTAAAGGATGTTCATTTTAGGAATATTTTGTGTATATAATGGTTTCAGGATAAAGGGCCTCTGTGGAACTTCAGAATTAGTCTTCAGGTATAGCATCCCAGATCTGTCCAGCATGATAAATTCTGTCATAAGTGATATAAAAATTAAGGGATTATGTCAGTATATGTAGACTAGCTATAAGTACTTGATATAGAGTCTGACTTCTATTCCTACATATCCTTCTTACTTTCTAAAAGTAAGTTCTTGCACAAATCACTCAATTTTTCAGAGCCTTAGTTTTACTATGTGTTAAATGGGAATATCTGCTTTCTCTGCCTTTCCAGTTGTTTCGTGTTGTTTTGTTTTGTTTTGTTTTGAGATGAGGTCTTGCTCTGTTACCCATGCTAGAATGCAGTTGTGTGAACATAGTCCATTGCATCCCTAAACTCTTTGACTCAAGAGATTCTCCCATGAGGATCATGCCTACTGAGTAGCTGGGACTACTGGCATGAGCCATTGAACTTAGCTCTCCCCAGGCTTTAATAAGGATCAGTTGAAAGCATTTTGCTCAACAAATGTGACCATTGATGCTTATTGTTAAGGTCCATCAGAAATAGAAAGGATCTAAAATTCCTAGTATAGCAACAAAAGAGTAAATTAAAAAATGTTAAAAATTGCTCTGATTGAAAAGACCATTACAACTAATTCTTTGGTGAATCTGTTTATTATGATGGTCCTCTCAAGTGATATTTTATGAGGCTGCTGAGCGTTTTTGGCTGCAACATCTTAGCGAAAACAAAAGGCATTATGTACACTTAAGCCATGCAATTAGCATTGTCTTGAATCAGTATCTCGTGTTTAAAATTGTCTCTATTTCCAATTAGAAATTTTTCAAGCAGGAGATAAAAGAAACTTAAGGAATTTTGTACATTTTAGTTTTACATATAATTTTTGTTTTATATCCCTTAAAAATTTACATTTGTAAATAAAATATGCTTTAACTAGTACTTTCTGAAATTCTCTTGATAGCATTCAACAGTGATGAGTTTCTCATCATACATAATAAATGTGAAAAAGCAACAAAAGTGAACTTCTGATTACCCAATATTCTAGGTGCTCCTTCAGAATATACACTTAGTCTTTTCCAAGAAAAAGATTGGAGAGAGATGTTCTGTTGTGATACAAAGATTAAAGGTAAATTTTATTCAGAGATGGTAACTAATTTAATGTCTATTACTTTAAGGAACGAAACAGTTATAATTAGTGAAAAATCAAAAAAGATCCTGTCTTTGGATTAGAACAGATGGTGTTAAAATGTGAAAAAAAGTGTAAATCAATAAAAATCACATGCACATTTCTAGAGAAAGCTATTTTATATTTTGATATAAAAATGGGTTATGGATAACTTTTATATTTTAATATAAGCAAATGGCATTAGGGGACACTTTGGAAAATGTATAGTATCCGTTTAAAAATGTGTTTTTGTCTGTTTGTTTGTTTTGAGACGGGAGTCTCACTCTCTCACCCAGGCTGGAGTGCAGTGGTGTGATATCAGCTCACTGCAACCTCTGCCTCCTGGGTTCAAACAATTCTCTGCCTCAGCCTTCCAAAAATATGTTTTTATAGCAGCAAGAGTCCAGACAACTTTATAGTTTTTAATGATTACTATTATTTTTCATCAACTAAATTACATGTCTTTATGGACAGTTCATTAAGTTTTCACTTATTTTCAGACTTTGCTCTGGGAATTCTCATATTATTCAATAGTGTATTTTGCTGAACTAATTTGTTTCCTGTCAGTTTTTTGAAAGTTGGCAAAAAATAATATGCACAAACTCAGAAAATGAAAGTAAATTATCTTTCGGAAGTAGAGGTTTAAAATTTGGAATCCAGCTGATTATTTTCCTGTGCTTTGATACTGGGGAAGACCTGTGCTTTAGCTTTATGGAGCTTTTTTTATTTGGCATGGTAGAATCTTAATAATTTCTAATTTTATTTGAAACTTTTATAAAAGAGAGAGAAAAAAACAATTCAGATAATTTGTAGAAGCTCACAAAGTTTTGGGTGTTTTGAATTTTTTCTCCATTCCTTTTCTGAAACAATCATAGAAATCTAGAAATAGAAGGAAACTGCGATGTCAGTTAATAAGACCTCCCACCCTCATCCTCCATTTGAAGAAGAAGAAACAAAGGTTAATTGCCCGTAGGTCGACAAAATTACCTAGGTCTCCTCATTCTTACTCAAATACCGGTCCTGGGTTAAAAATGCCATGGGCTGATGAAAGAAGGAACAGCCATTACTGTTGGTCCAGGCCCCAGTGAGCATCTGGAGGCACCCTGGAGGCTGGCAAATGCCTGCTAAAAAAGTGAATCAAAAAACAAGATATGGAAGAGAAGGACGGCACTGAGGTAAAGGACTGTTTTTTTCTCTGTCAGCCGACTCTTTCACTCTAGTCAGTGTCAAACAGATGGTGGCTACTTTAACTATTTTGTCTATTCTTGTGTTATATTTAATACACCTCTTTTTGTTTATCTTGGTATTATAGTGCCGTCTGGGTGAATGTAGATCTCATTATTTTAAGCCAGAAGAAAAAAAGTGGCTGATTTATGTATGTTATTTTAGTACAGTGTGATTATAATAGTGTTTCCATCTGGAAGGTCCTACTCATCTTTCGGACCTGTCTCTCATATACTGAGCTAGGAATGAAGACTAGAACAGCCTTACTAGAAGATAATTTGACAATAGAATTCCAAAGATTAGTATGAGTGTAGACATTTAGACTGTATCCCTTGACCCACATAGAATCCCTTGACCCACACTTATATTTAGCCTAAAGAAGGAATTGTGGGTGCTCTTCATAATATTGTTTATATAGAAATATTTAGAGAAAATATAAATAACAAGGGATTGAATATTATACATTATTATATACTCATCAAATGATCATGTAAAAATAAAATGCTGACATTAAAAGATATTATTAAGATTTTACAAATGAATTATAGGATACAAAATATTTAATGGATATACTATCTGAAAGAGCATATGTTAAAAACAGTTGTGTCTTGATGTCTAGGTGGGAGAAAGTACAGGTAATTTTTATTTTTCCATCAGAATCTTTAAACATTTCATGATAAGCCTGTATCACTTGTATAACAGCAAAAATGCTATTACAAAGTCAGTCAAAATTCATGACAGATTAAAATAAAATAGTACCAAAACATAATTTCAATGAAAATTAATTACAATGTAGATATGTGCTACATTACGATAGCTGGCTCCATCAGTCTTCACAGCTTTTAAGAAGCTTCTCTTAACATTGAGTGCTAACAGAGGAAGAAGAAAGAAGATGAGATAGAATGGACAGAGTCAAGAGGGGATTTTAGATAGAAGAATGTGTGTTTATTGAAACATATTTCTATTAACTGCTTTAAGATGATAGCCAGCCTGGCATGGTGGCTCATGCCTGTAATCGCAGCACTTTGAGAGGCTGAGGCAGGTGGATCACCTGAGGTCAGGAGTTCAAGACTAGCCTGACCAATATGGTGAACCCCTGTCTCTACTAAAAAAACAACAAAATTAGTTAGGTGGAGGGCGCCTGAAATACCAGCTACTAGGGAGGCTGAGGAAGGAGAATCTCTTGAACCTAGGAGGCAGAGGTTGCAGTGAGCCAAGATCATGCCACTGCACTCCAGCCTGGGTGACAGAGTGAGACTTGGTCCTAAAAATAAAAGATATACAATAAAATAAAATGATAGGCACTTGGTGAACACAGGAAAATAAAGAAGACTGTAGGTCCACAAAGAAGCAAGGAGGGTTCATTTTACCTGTTCTCAGTTCTTCTATCATACTTTTAATACATAATATTAGCTTATATTATTTTTCTGTGCTTGCTAAAAATTAATATGACTCCCACCCTTACCCAATAAGGTATTAATAATATTGTCCCTTGATACCTACATCATCTTGTCTCTGATTTATTGGTTCTAATAAATTTATGGCACCAACTAAGGTTTGTTGGTTATCAGTTGGGTATTATTTTAGTTGCTCCCAGCTTTCCAGTTATTTGTTATCATTTCATAGCTATGGGATATAAAGCCAGCCAAGTATGTCTGCCTCTTAACCCAGTTACTTTAGTTCCTGGGCTGAATTCAGTCCCACACATGGATGAAAACAAATTTCATTTGAGTTCTTAACCAGAGGGAAGTGCCTCTTTGGTGGGATCCAGAAGAGTTCTAAATAGCAAAATCGTGTTATGAGTGAAGTTTTTGAATGTCCAACAAGTTTGGCAGGATTTCACCTCTCAGTCCCCCATGAGGGTGCTTGTAAGTATAAGGTAGGATCTTATGCAAGAGTCTTAAGTTTATTAGTCATATTTACTTACCTTATAAAACCAAAATTATGTCTCTCAATTGTTTTGAAGACAGCTGCAGCTAGCATATCTATCCCTTTGGGAACTCTCAGACTTGGCTTCTATATTCTCAACTTTTTGGAACAGTTTAGATCCTGGCTACCACATTGCAATACTGCAGCAAACAAATTATTCAGAGCATATTATTATTATGATTCACCACAGAGAGGGAACTTCAGATACAGGAAATTTCCAATGTTGTAGGGAATGGAAAACCTTGAAACAGTGTTATAACTATGGGAAGCAAAAATTTAGAATAGAGAGCTGGGTTTGAGGCTCTGATCAGTTTCTGACTGGGAAAGTTGATTCTTAGAGGGGGACAGAATAGATGGATCTAAGAATATAAACAGGAAACTTAACTTGTATCTGGATTTAGAGTCTGGTTTCGTTTTACCACCAGGAAACAAATACCACTTTTATAGTTAATATATGTGTCAGGAATGTCCTATATTTACAGTTTAAGGATTACAAATTAGTATTTCCTACTTTCATCTTGAACATCATTGTAATATTTATTCTCTTTTGAAGTTGGATATGTTAGTTTAGGACAGGGAACAGTAAACTTTTCTGTGAAGGGCCAGGGAGTAAATATTTTGGGGTCATAAAGTTTTTGTTGTAACTACTCAACTCTGTCATTGTGGCTTAAGAGGAACCAGAAATAATATGAAAATAAATGGACTGTGTTCCTTGGTTTTTATTTCCAGAAACAGGAGGTAAGCAGATTTGGCCTGCAGGCTGAAGTTTACACTCCTGGCTTAGGGTCATTTTTAGCTGAGGCAAAAAGATCAGTGATCAATTTTAGATTTTAAATCTTTGTTGTATTTTTTAAAACATTCTAAACTCTTAGGATTATACTTTGTATGACTTTGAATCTTGTATTTTACATGTGCAACAGATTTTTTAAAGTAGCCAAATTTTAAAATGTTCTTGAGGTGTCCTAAAACTCAAGTCCAGTTTTGCTTTATATACAAGTAATTTGACAGACGGTTGACTTAGTAATATGTCTCTATATTCTGTGAATAGCCAATGATAACCTTCTTTTCCCATGAAATACCTAAATATCTTTATGAATTTTATTTGTTTTCACGTCAAACCTGAGTTTCACATAGGAAGCTGTCGCTTAAGGTGGCTATTGAGCATGTTCACACAATTTTGCAAATTATTGATAAGGTCTAGTGCCCTGAATCGTAATGAGAAAAATTCCTTAACACTAGGCAATTAGGGATTTTCATAGGCTAAGAGGGATACTAGCCAAATATGGTTGCCTGGGCCTTTAGTAGACTAAAATCTACTCCTAAACCTTTCATTGTTAGGATGATATTATACAAAATGAGTCAATCCATTTACTTTGTTCTAAAAGACCACATTTGCCATCTTTGATTTTTAGACATTCAAATAGACCAACTAGCTTCCTTGATCTACTCTGACTTTCAAATTTTATTTATTTTGCTTTTAATGTTTTACAATTTTGCTTCTCTATCATAACAACATGCATGCTTTATAACCAAATATTATGCTAACAATTGGTTCTTCAAATTTTCAGTTGATGAAATTACAAGGAAATGTCATAGAATCTCAGAGGTAAAAAGGATTTACAAGATATCTATTTCCTCTTTTCTTTTAATATCAGGTTGTGGGTGTTGTCCAAGTTTTACATTTTTTTAATACTGTAGACTAGTGGACATTTTGTAATTATGTGACTGCCAGCAAACAATAGGCAGAGAACTAAGTTATTTAACACTTACTGAATCCTATTGCAAAACAATTTAAAATAAAGGTTGTTTAATGAAAGTAGGTTACCAGCAACAATTGGGTACTCTACTTTCTGTCATTTTGTATAGTGATAATGGGTTATTTAGAGGTGAAGTAAGCACTCACATTCTAAGTTCATTGAACTGAATCATAGCAGATGGGATTTTTTGTACTAAACTTAAAGAATGTTGACTGACAGAGGAAAAAAAAAAGAAGAGCCATAATTTTTAAGTTGTGGTTTTTCTGAACTTTATAGTCTTTCATTTATAGTTTACTATATTTCATGTGAATGAAAACAAATCAAGACATTGGCCCACCAAGAGACAAAAGAGAGGAGACCATACTCTATGGAGGAAGTGTTGCAAAAGAGTTTCTTTTCATTCCCCATTTATTAATATTCTGTTTATATGTAGTGACAACCAATAGGGGTGGTTTCATTGTGAGCAATATGAGGGATTACATTATCTATAGATAATTTAAAAGTAATAAATAAAAAATAAGTCTACATTTTAAATAATGAACATGTCCTGACAATTCTAAACAATGTCAGTTACTATGATGAAAATATTTCCATTAATATATTTTTCCCCCCAAATCCCCTTTTTTTTGGTAATGTCTAAATCAGGGAGGGGTTGGTAACTGTAATCTATGGACCAAATCCAGAATATGACTTAAAAATAATTTGTGGAATTTTTTTTCTCTTGTTAGATAAGTCCTATATAATATCTTCAGTTTTGCTTCTTGGCTCACAAAAAGCCTAAAATACTTACTATCTGGCTCTTTAAAGAAACAGTTTGCCAACCCTTACGTTTAATAATTGTTGTGGTTAATGTTTTATTTTTATGTGTTACATATATAGATTTATACACTTAAAATAATAATAATAATTATTATTATTATTATTTAGACAGAGTCTTGCTCTGTTGCCCAGGCTAGAGTGCAGTGGCACAATCTGGGCTCACTGCAACCTCTGCCTCCCAGGTTCAAGAGATTCTCCTGCCTCAGCCTCCTGAGTAGCTGGGTAACAGGTGCCTGCTACCACACCAGCTAATTTTTGTATTTTTAGTAGAGACGGGGTTTCACCATGTTGGTCAGGCTGGTCTCAAACTCCTGACCTCAAGTGATGAACCTGCCTCAGCCTCCCAAAGTGCTAGGATTATAGGCATGAGCCACTGTGCCTGGCTAAAATAAGATTTTTTTTGTCATTAATATTTTAATAACATTGTTAATTTGGGAAAAAATAATATAGAATGCCCCCAACATATAAGGACTTGACTACTTGCATTGGTTTCCAAAATAAGTTTATAATGGTTCAGAAACATTTGAACTACCTTCATTTACTGCTAGTATGTCCAATCATATAGTACTACATATTCTTATGTTAAAACATTAGAAGGAAACAATGACATTGATTGTAAATCAAAGAAACAGAACTTCAGTTACTTCAATTCTGACATTCTATGTGACCACAAAAATGTTTGCAAATGAACAGTTAGCCTTGAAGAGTGAAAAATAGGCTCCAAAATGGTTCCTCGATGATTCTTGCTGTACAAAAACTATAAAGAATATTAGTCATGCAACAATAAAATGTGAAGAAATGGATATTTAAATAGAAAAAAGATACAAATTTTGAAAAATTCCAGGAGAAATGACAGACGGTGTTCTTACATTGCCAGAAAAAATAAAGAAGACAAAGTCAAATGTAGTCATTGTCAGAAAAAACTGGGTATTTGTTCTAGAAAACTGGATCAAATAATGTCAGGATTTACCGTCATTTAGTCTTTTGCTCTGATTTTTGCAGGAGAAAAGTGTTGGAAGTTTTTAATGACATATAACTCAAATTTATGATGAAGTTTCTGGTGAAAATGTTTTGGTAAATTTATTTCAAGTATGAAGCCATTTGAAAGCTTCCAGAATAAATTCTAAAAAACTAAGGCCTTCAGTAATACTACAAATTCTCAAATTTGGTGTGAAACGGGATTTTCATGTTTTTACCCAACTTAACCTAACCTTTAACACTTTTCCTATTTGTGCATCTGTTGCTTCACTGAAACTTTTCAAAATTGGCATCAATAAAAGAATCTTTTTCTCCAATAATCTCTCAGTAAAGATAGATTGACAAAAATCTGGATATACTGAACATGAATATGTGAGGGAGCTTCATGTTTTATTGAACTTGAATGTGTGAGGAAGATTCATATCCATGAAGTCGTCATTAAACACAATATTGTTAGTATTTATTACGGTGACAGATTGCTATGGTTTGAATGTGTCCCCTTCAAAATACACATGTTCAAACTTAATGGACAATGTAATAGTATTAACAAGTAAGGTCTTTAAGAAATGATGATTAGACCATGAGGTCTCTTCCTTCAGAATGGGATGAAAGTCCTCATAAAGGAAGCTTCACATAACATTTGAGTTGTTCTTCCCCTTCCATCTCTTCTGCCACAGAAGGACACGATATTTGTTCCCTACAGAGGATGCAGCTTCAAAATGCCCTCTTGAAAGCAGACAGAGAAGTCCTCACAGATGCTCATACCCTTATGTTGGACTCCCCAGCCTCCAGAATGTGAAAAAATACAGTTCTTTTCTTTATAAATTAATCAGTGTCAGATATTTTTGTTACAGCAGAAAAAATGAAGACACAGATCAGTGTATAAGATTTCTCCCATTTTGTCAAACAAAAAAAACCACATTAATTTAATTAAAACTAGTAATCTGTTGGTGGGAATGTAAATCAGTTCAACCATTGTGGAAGACAGGATGGAAATTCCTTAAAGACCTTGTGGCAGAAATATCACTTGACCCAGCAATCCCATTAGTGGGTATATACCCAAAGGAATACAAATCAGTCTATTATAAAGATACATGCATGCATAAGTTCAATGCAGCACTATTCACAATAGCAAGGACATAGAATCAAGCCAAATGCCCATTAATGATAGCTTGGATAAAGAAAATGTGGTACATATATACCATGGAATACTATGCAGCCTTAAAAAGAAATGAGATCATGTCCTTTGCAGAGACATGGATGGAGTTGGAAGCCCTTATCCTCAGAAAACGACACAGAAACAGAAAACCAAACGCTGAATGTTCTCACTTTTTTTTCTTTTTTTATTATTATTATACTTTAAGTTTTAGGGTACATGTGCACAATGTGCAGGTTAGTTACATATGTATACATGTGCCATGCTGGTGTGCTGCACCCATTAACTCATCATTTAGCATTAGGTATATCTCATAATGCTATCCCTCCCCCCTCCCCCCACCCCAAAACAGTCCCCAGAGTGTGATGTTCCCCTTCCTGTGTCCATGTGTTCTCATTGTTCAATTCCCATCTATGAGTGAGAACATGTGGTGTTTGGTTTTTTTGTCCTTGTGATGGTTTACTGAGAATGATGATTTCCAATTTCATCCATGTCCCTACAAAGGCCATGAACTCATCATTTTTTATGGCTGCATAGTATTCCATGGTGTATATGTGCCACATTTTCTTAATCCAGTCTATCACTGTTGGACGTTTGGGTTGGTTCCAAGTCTTTGCTATTGTGAATAGTGCCACAATAAACATACGTTGCATGTGTCTTTATGGCAGCATGATTTAGAGTCCTTTGGGTATATACCCAGTAATGGGATGGCTGGGTCAAATGGTATTTCTAGTTCTAGATCCCTGAGGAATCGCCACACTGACTTCCACAATGGTTGAACTAGTTTACAGTCCCACCAACAGTGTAAAAGTGTTCCTATTTCTCCACATCCTCTCCAGCACCTGTTGTTTCCTGACTTTTTAATGATTGCCATTCTAACTGGTGTGAGATGGTATCTCATTGTGGTTTTGATTTGCATTTGTCTGATGGCCAGTGATGATGAGCATTTTTTCATGTGTTTTTCAGCTGCATAAATGTCTTCTTTAGAGAAGTGTCTGTTCATATCCTTTGCCCATTTTTGATGGGGTTGTTTGTTTTTTTCTTGTAAATTTGTTTGAGTTCATTGTAGATTCTGGATATTAGCCCTTTGTCAGATGAGTAGGTTGCAAAAATTTTCTCCCATTTTGTAGGTTGCCTGTTCACTCTGATGGTAGTTTCTTTTGCTGTGCAGAAGCTCTTTAGTTTAATTAGATCCCATTTGTCAATTTTGGCTTTTGTTGCCATTGCTTTTGGTGTTTTAGACATGAAGTCCTTGCCCATGCCTATGTCCTGAATGGTAATGCCTAGGTTTTCTTCTAGGATTTTTATGGTTTTAGGTCTAATGTTTAAGTCTTTAATCCATCTTGAATTAATTTTTGTATAAGGTGTAAGGAAGGGATCCAGTTTCAGCTTTCTACATATGGCTAGCCAGTTTTCCCAGCACCATTTATTAAATAGGGAATCCTTTCCCCATTGCTTGTTTTTCTCAGGTTTGTCAAAGATCAGATAGTTTTAGATATGTGGCATTATTTCTGAGGGCTCTGTTCTGTTCCATTGATCTATATCTCTGTTTTGGTACTGCAGAAAAGGCCTTTGACAAAATTCAACAACCCTTCATGCTAAAAACTCTCAATAAATTAGGTATTGATGGGACGTATCTCAAAATAATAAGAGCTATCTATGACAAACCCACAGCCAATATCATACTGAATGGGCAAAAACCGGAAGCATTCCCTTTGAAAACTGGCACAAGACAGGGATGCCCTCTCTCACCACTCCTATTCAACATAGTGTTGGAAGTTCTGTCCAGGGCAATTAGGCAGGAGAAGGAAAGAAAGGGTATTCAATTAGGAAAAGAGGAAGTCAAATTGTCCCTGTTTGCAGATGACATGATTGTATATCTAGAAAACTCCATTGTCTCACCCCAAAATCTCCTTAAGCTGATAAGCAACTTCAGCAAAGTCTCAGGATACAAAATCAATGTACAAAAATCACAAGCATTCTTATACACCAATAACAGACAAACAGAGAGCCAAATCATGAGTGAATTCCCTTTCACAATTGCTTCAAAGAGTATAAAATACTTAGAAATCCAACTTACAAGGGACGTGAAGGACCTCTTCAAGGAGAACTACAAACCACTGCTCAAGGAAATAGAAGAGGATACAAACAAATGGAAGAACATTCCATGCTCATGGGTAGGAAGAATCAATATCGTGAAAATGATCATACTGCCCAAGGTAATTTAGAGATTCAATGCCATCCCCATCAAGCTACCAATGTCTTTCTTCACAGAATTGGAAAAAATGACTTTAAAGTTCATATGGAACCAAAAAAGAGCCCGCATCACCAAATCAATCCTAAGCCAAAAGAACAAAGCTGGAGGCATCACGCTACCTGACTTCAAGCTATACTACAAGGCTACAGTAACCAAAACAGCATGGTACTGGTTCTCACATGTTAAGTGGGAGTCAAACAATGAGAACACTTGGACACTGAGGCCTGTTGTTGGGGAGGTGAGCAGGGAGAGCATCAGGAGAAGATCTTATGGATGCTGGGCTTGATACCTAGGTGATGAAATGATCTTTGCAACAAACCACCATGGCACACATTTACCTATGTAACAAACCTGCACATCCTGCACATGTATTTCAGAACTTGAAGGAAAAAATTAATCCGATATATTTTTTCTTTTTTTGGTTTAATAATTTTTAATTTTTTAGTGGGAATAATTATATATAATGTATATATAAGATACATATATTTATGATATACATATAGATTTACAAAGTTCAACAAAAACAAATTTTCAAAATCTTCAAGGAAAATATTTTTTCTTCCCATTGTTATTCTTTATTTCATATCATAATTACTGAAAATAATTTTGTTGTATAGAAGAGGGTATTGTTTAAAAGTTATATGTTCCAGGTATAAAATATTGCAGGCTTGTCCCTGCTCTCATATGTACAGACATTATGAAAAAGAAAAAGTCAATCATTTTAAGCTTATATTGCTAGTTACTGTGTTATACTATGGTTAATAACACTGTATATTTGCTTATCTTCTTTGACTTTTCCATATAGTTACTCATGATTTCTCTGTCTTAATTTGACCCACATAATGCAGTAAACCTACTAATTCTGAACAACAAGAAAAAAGAAAACTAACAGACAAATATAGGTTACTTATTAATTTGATTTTTAATTGGTGAGAACTTAGAATTACAGCTTTAAAAATATATTGCATAGAGCTAGAGTGGTAAATCTTCTTCTCTTGATGTCTTACTTCCATGAAGGGAGCGATATTAGTGAAATGATCCTGGCCCCACCTCTCCATTTTCAGGCACTCTTCCCCTGGAAGATGGAGTTGTAGGGAGGAGGGATGGAAAGCAAGGCACAAGCTAATTGTTGAATTTGAAGTATAAACTGGGCATGTAGAGCTCACCCCTCATTCCTCTACTCTGCTGCCTGGATCTGGTGCCCTAGTGCAGCCTTCTCTTTATTATGATAAATCTACCTATTTCTAACCAGTGCTGCCATGATTGAGAGCTAAATTGGCATAATTCTGGTGTTTACAATTAAGGAAACCCATTTGTTTTTGGAATTACTTCCCACTCCTCAATATGAGCTTAATGATGGTAATGCATTGGTACAATGTGCTTTACTCTATAGTCTTATTTTCAAATGGATTCAGAATTTGAGTGGAGATGGAAATGCAATTTTACTGAGCCTCCTCAGAGACCCAATTGTGAACACTATCAATTTTCTAGGATATATTTTAAATAACATCCTTTCAACATATAATTTTATATTTTGAGGGTATTGTGCTAATGCTAATAACAATGTAAAAATGTAAAGAGTGATTAGAAAATTTTGATTGATAATTAATTTAAATACAAATTGAAAAATATGTAAAAAATTTACTCTGAAAAGTGAGTTCTTAGACAATTTCACTGCAGATTGTTCTTTAACTGCTCACTGTCATTTTTACTATAAATATTTAATTAGGAGAAAATAAGGATAATAGTATCTTTATGTTAGTTCTACTGTTATAACTTAAGAGCAGTAAGTTATAGAGAAAATTTATTATTAAAATCTGCTTTGTAAATACTGTACTATTTGCCTTACATTTGAAGCATGTAATTTCATATATTATCTGAATTTATTAAATTCATAAAATTTAAAAGAAAAAACAAGGACAATTGTATATTAGTTATATACCTCTGATATCTTAGTATGTTCTTTCTTCTCTTTTTTATTATACTTTCAGTTCTGGGATACAAGTGCAGAAAGTGCAGGTTTGTTACATAGTTATACATGTTCCATGGTGGTCTGCTGAGCCTATCATCAACCCCTCATCCAGGTTTTAAGCCCTGCATGCATTAGGTATTTGTCCTAATGCTGTCCCTCCCATTGTGCCCCAACCCCCAACAGGCCCTGGTGTGTGATGTTCCCCTCCCAGTGTTCCTGTGTTTTTATTGTTCAACTACCACTTATGAGTGAGAACATGCAGTGTTTGTTTTTCTGTTCCTTTGTTAGTTTGCTGAGAATGATGGTTTCCAGCTTCATCTATGTCCCTGCAAAGGACATGAACTCATTCTTTTTTATGGCTGCATAGTATTCCATGGTGTATATGTGCCACATATGCTTTATCCAGTCTAACATTGATGGGCATTTGGGTTGGTTCCAAGTCTTTGCTATTGTGAATAGTGCTGCAATAAATATACATGTACGTATGTCTTTATAGTAGAATGATTTATAATCATTTGGGTATATACCCAGTAATGGGATTGCTGGGTCAAATGGTATTTCTAGTTCTAGATCCTTGAGGAATTGCCACACTGTCTTCCACAATGGTTGAACTAATTTACATTCCCACCAACAGTGTAAAAGTATTCCTATTTCTCACATCCTCTCCAGCAAGTGTTGTTTCCTGGCTTTTTGATGATCACCATTCTAACTGGCATGAGATGGTATCACATTGTGGTTTTGATTTGCATTTCTCTAATGACCCGTGATGATGAGCTTTTTTTCATATCTTCCTTGGCTGCATAAATGTCTTCTTTTGAGAGTGTCTGTTCATATCCTTTGCTCACTTTTTGATGGGGTTGTTTGTTTTTTTCTTGTAAATTTGTTTAAGTTCCTTGTAGATTCTGGATAGGAAGAATTAATATAGTGAAAATGGCCATACTGCCAAAAGTAATTTAGAGATTTAATGCTATTCACATCAAGCTACCATTGACTTTCTTCACAGAGCTAGAAAAAACTTTCTTTTTTTTTTTTTTTTTTTTGAGGAAAAAGAAAGTTTATTGTATTCATCCATGTTTTGGCTTTTCCTGCTATTTGTTCTTCCTTTCTAATGTTCCAAGATATCCCTTCTCTATGAAAGACTTTCTTTGCCATTTGTTTTTTAGGATAGTTCTGCTAGTGAACATTTTTATTTATTTATTTATTTATTTTTATTTATTTTTTATTTTTATTTTTTTTAATATACTTTAAGTTTTAGGGTACATGTGCACATTGTGCAGGTTAGTTACATATGTATACATGTGACATGCTGGTGCGCTGCACCCACTAACTCGTCATCTAGCATTAGGTATATCTCCCAGTGCTATCCCTCCCCCCTCCCCCCACCCCACCACAGTCCCCAGAGTGTGATATTCCCCTTCCTGTGTCCATGTGATTTCATTGTTCAATTCCCACCTATGAGTGAGAATATGCGGTGTTTGGTTTTTTGTTCTTGCGATAGTTTACAGAGAATGATGATTTCCAATTTCATCCATGTCCCAACAAAGGACACAAACTCATCATTTTTTATGGCTGCATAGTATTCCATGGTTAGACTCCCACACATTAATAATGGGAGACTTTAACACCCCACTGTCAACATTAGACAGATCAACGAGACAGAAAGTCAACAAGGATACCCAGGAATTGAACTCAGCTCTGCACCAAGTGGACCTAATAGACATCTACAGAACTCTCCACCCCAAATCAACAGAATATACATTTTTTTCAGCACCACACCACACCTATTCCAAAATTGACCACATACTTGGAAGTAAAGCTCTCCTCAGCAAATGTAAAAGAACAGAAATTATAACAAACTATCTCTCAGACCACAGTGCAATCAAACTAGAACTCAGGATTAAGAATCTCACTCAAAGCCACTCAACTACATGGAAACTGAACAACCTGCTCCTGAATGACTACTGGGTACATAAAGAAATGAAGGCAGAAATAAAGATGTGCTTTGAAACCAACGAGAACAAATACACCACATACCAGAATCTCTGGGATGCCTTCAAAGCAGTGTGTAGAGGGAAATTTATAGCACTAAATGCCCACAAGAGAAAGCAGGAAAGATCCAAAATTGACACCCTAACATCACAATTAAAAGAACTAGAAAAGCAAGAGCAAACACATTCAAAAGCTAGCAGAAGGCAAGAAATAACTAAAATCAGAGCAGAACTGAAGGAAATAGAGACACAAAAAACCCTTCAAAAAATCAATGAATCCAGGAGCTGGTTTTTTGAAAGGATCAACAAAATTGATAGACCACTAGCAAGACTAAAGAAAAAAAGAGAGAAGAATCAAATAGACACAATAAAAAATGATAAAGGGGATATCACCACTGATCCCACAGAAATACAAACTACCATCAGAGAATACTACAAACACTTCTATGCAAATAAACTAGAAAATCTAGAAGAAATGGATAAATTCCTCAACACATACACTCTCCCAAGACTAAACCAGGAAGAAGTTGAATCTCTGAATAGACCAATAACAGGAGCTGAAATTGTGGCAATAATCAATAGTTTACCAACCAAAAAGAGTCCAGGACCAGATGGATTCACAGCTGAATTCTACCAGAGGTACAAGGAGGAACTGGTACCATTCCTTCTGAAACTATTCCAATCAATAGAAAAAGAGGGAATCCTCCCTAACTCATTTTATGAGGCCAGCATTATTCTGATACCAAAGCCGGGCAGAGACACAACCAAAAAAGAGAATTTTAGACCAATATCCTTGATGAACATTGATGCAAAAATCCTCAATAAAATACTGACAAAACGAATCCAGCAGCACATCAAAAAGCTTATCTACCATGATCAAGTGGGCTTCATCCCTGGGATGCAAGGCTGGTTCAATATATGCAAATCAATAAATGTAATCCAGCATATAGACAGAGCCAAAGACAAAAACCACATGATAATCTCAATAGATGCAGAAAAAGCCTTTGACAAAACTCAACAACCCTTCATGCTAAAAACTCTCAATAAATTAGGTATTGATGGGACGTATTTCAAAATAATAAGAGCTATCTATGACAAACCCACAGCCAATATCATACTGAATGGGCAAAAACTGGAAGCATTCCCTTTGAAAACTGGCACAAGACAGGGATGCCCTCTCTCACCACTCCTATTCAACATAGTGTTGGAAGTTCTGGCCAGGGCAATTAGGCAGGAGAAGGAAATAAAGGGTATTCAATTAGGAAAAGAGGAAGTCAAATTGTCCCTGTTTGCAGACGACATGACTGTATATCTAGAAAACCCCATTGTCTCAGCCCAAAATCTCCTTAAGCTGATAAGCAACTTCAGCAAAGTCTCAGGATACAAAATCAATGTACAAAAATCACAAGCATTCTTATACACCAACAACAGACAAACAGAGAGCCAAATCATGAGTGAACTCCCATTCACAATTGCTTCAAAGAGAATAAAATACCTAGGAATCTAACTTACAAGGGATATGAAGGACCTCTTCAAGGAGAACTACAAACCACTGCTCAATGAAATAAAAGAGGATACAAACAAATGGAAGAACATTCCATGCTCATGGGTAGGAAGAAGCAATATCGTGAAAATGGCCATACTGCCCAAGGTAATTTACAGATTCAATGCCATCCCCATCAAGCTACCAATGACTTTCTTCACAGAAGTGGAAAAAACGACTTTAAAGTTCATATGGAACCAAAAAACAGCCCGCATCACCAAGTCAATCCTGAGCCAAAAGAACAAAGCTGGAGGCATCACACTACCTGACTTCAAACTATACTACAAGGCTACAGTAACCAAAACAGCATGGTACTGGTACCAAAACAGAGATATAGATCAATGGAACAGAACAGAGCCCTCAGAAATAACGCCGCATATCTACAACTATCTGATCTTTGACAAACCTGAGAAAAACAAGCAATGGGGAAAGGATTCCCTATTTAATAAATGGTGCTGGGAAAACTGGCTAGCCATATGTAGAAAGATGAAACTGGATCCCTTCCTTACACCTTATACAAAAATCAATTCAAGATGGATTAAAGACTTAAACGTTAGACCTAAAACCATAAAAACCCTAGAAGAAAACCTAGGCATTACCATTCAGGACATAGGCATGGGCAAGGACTTCATGTCTAAAACACCAAAAGCAATGGCAACAAAAGCCAAAATTGACAAATGGGATCTAATTAAACTAAAGAGCTTCTGCACAGCAAAAGAAACTACCATCAGAGTGAACAGGCAACCTACAAAATGGGAGAAAATTTTTGCAACCTACTCATCTGACAAAGGGCTAATATCCAGAATCTACAATGAACTCAAACAAATTTACAAGAAAAAAACAAACAACCCCATCAAAAAGTGGGCGAAGGACATGAACAGACACTTCTCAAAAGAAGACATTTATGCAGCCAAAAAACACATGAAAAAATGCTCATCATCACTGGCCATCAGAGAAATGCAAATCAAAACCACAATGAGATACCATCTCACACCAGTTAGAATGGCAATCATTAAAAAGTCAGGAAACAACAGATGCTGGAGAGGATGTGGAGAAATAGGAACACTTTTACACTGTTGGTGGGACTGTAAACTAGTTCAACCATTGTTGAAGTCAGTGTGGCGATTCCTCAGGGATCTAGAACTAGAAATACCATTTGACCCAGCCATCCCATTACTGGGCATATACCCAAATGACTATAAATCATGCTGCTATAAAGACACATGCACACGAATGTTTATTGCGGCATTATTCACAATAGCAAAGACTTGGAACCAACCCAAATGTCCAACAATGATAGAAAAAACTACTTTCAATTTCATATGGAACGAAAAAGAGCCCGTATAGCCTAGACAATCCTAAGCAAAAAGAACAAAGCTGGAGGAATCATGCTACCTGATTTAAAACTGTCCTTACAGTAACCAAAACAGCGTGGTACTGGTACCAAGACAGATATACAGACCAAAGGAACAGAACAGAGGCCTCAAAAATAACACCACATATCTACCACCATCTGATCTTTGACAAACCTGACAAAAACAAACAATGGGAAAAGGATTCCCCATTTAATGTTTCTGGGAAAACTGGCTAGCCATATGCAAACATCTAGAACTGGACCGCTTCCTTACATCTTATTCAAAAATTAACTCAAAATGGATTAAAAACTTAAACATAAAACCTAAAACCATAAAAACCCTAGAAGAAAACCTAGGCAATAGCATTCAGAACATAGGCATGGGCAAAGAAAGACTTCATGACTGAAACACCAGAAGCAATGGCAACCAAAGCCAAAATTGACAAATGGGATTTAATATGTTCTATATATTTCACATAATTTATTTCCAGCCATTTAATGTAATATGGCTAAAATGTTGTCAAGTCATTATATAATCAAAATAGAAGGTATATATTTATGAATTTTGCTTGAAAATAATATATATCAAGCTAATTTTAGACACAGTCCATTTTATTTTAAGGTCCCAGAAAATAATAGTAAGATATTTTAAAAATAATTTTTCAAAGTGCCCACTGTAATTTATATGTATTTTTTATTAATAGCAATAATGCTGTTTTTAAATCAGAGTATATTAATATAGATAGATAGATAGATGGATGGATGGATAGATAGATATTTTTCTTTTAAACATGAATAAGAAAACTCTTTTTTGGAACTTCTCCTCATAGGAAAAGTGGCTTAGATACACAATAGGCAAGATACACAATAGGCAAGATAGGTAGAGATAAATTCAAGTCAAGAATTTTGCTAAAATTGAATGAAACCCCCAAATTGAAACTATACAAGGGTGTCAGGTAAACTGCATTCAAGCGAATTGTATTCAAGTAATATTTATAAAATCATTCTACTGTGATGGCATTGGGATTATAAAGAAATAAAATACTTCACAGATGAGTAAACAGGTTTAGAGAAAGTGGGATTTACTTTACTACTAAAGTAGAATCTACTTTAAAGCAGATTCATTGTTAGTCAACAACTTCCATGTATATACTTCATCCCTTCTCTCAGTCTAAAACAACTTTTTTTCTGTAATCTTTTTTAATGTTGGTATTCCTTTGAAACTTAAAAAAGGCAGTTTCCAAAAAAACTCAATGTTACTCCATCGGCAATAAATAATTATAGAACTTGTAGTACGTACTGCATTACAATATGCTTAAGATATTTTTATGATACCTACAGTGAGTTACTAAAAGAGAGATAAGTTTTTTCCAGGTATATTCCAAATATTGAGAAAAATTCATGTTGGAACATGTAATATAAAATGTTCTCCTGGTGTCAACATCAGAGGTAAATCAACCCTCCTACATCCCAGAGTAGCATTTCTTAGGGTTTAATTAGGCAGGTAAAGAGTTGTGACAGTTACAGAGTTTTGGCTATTCCTTATTTGGGATTCTGGTTCAAGTTCATCCCATGTGCTTTCCCTTGATGACACCTCTTTACATTCACCCCAATAAAGCCTAATTGACTTTTACTCCTTAATGTTCCCACATTCCTCTTTTTATATGTTTTTAATCACACGAATGATCCTATCATAACCTAGAATTTTAATTATCTGTGACTATGCTTGTCTCTCCTGCTTGCTAAATTTATGGAATGTAGTGATCATGACATACTCATTTTTATATTGTCCATATTGTTTAGTAATTGTACTCAGCTAATAATTAGAGTGGATTTTAGTCTTAATACTTCTGAATATGTCAACTGGAAAAGGCAAAAAAGACACAACTCAGATTTGCACGCTTTTGTGACTTGCCAGGACTTTTCACAAAGTAGAAGCAGGCAAAAATAGAAATATAATAGAAAAAATAGCAGAAGGTAGAAATAAAAATAATAGAGTTAGCACAGCAGAAATAGGATAAAATGATATGTACTGTAGCTGACAACAAAACTCTACTTAAGACAAGATATGTATGTGTATCTGTTTTAAATGCCAGCAGAGATAACAGCTTTGGCTTTCTAAGAAATACTGAAGAGTGGGGATGGGATGAATCACCCAGCAGGGCAAGTAAAGTGACTCTATTTACATGCTATTCATGTGTTTCTCTGAAAAGGGTCCTTGGTGATATTTAGTCTGCTTGTTGCTAGAAACAGAAGACTCCCTTATGTCTTTAATATATGTATTACATTTAGACCCAAATTCATGAGTAGATGGTAGCACTGAGGTTTATCTGAATATTGGTGATTTTCAGCATTTTTTTTCTTGTCATATACTTCTTATTTTGTCTCCTTTTAAACTTTCTACCTTTCTTCTTCCACACTAGTTTCCTTTCTCTCTCTCTCTCTCTCTCTCTGTGTGTGTGTCTGCGTGTGTGTGTGTCTCTGTCTCAGCTCTGTTTCCTTCCTTCTCTGTTTCTCAACTCTTAACACCTTTGTAGATATGTAAGAATACTGAGTTTGTGGATGCGCTTACAAAATTTAAAATGCTGGAACTTGACAGTTTTTGATAGCAGTTTATTCCTTCAATGCTCGCTCTGCAGATGAAGGTGCTACCTGAATGGTCCTCTAAATCTATGCTTGCTGCTATTTTATGTCTCTGCATCGTCCCGCTCTTGGTATCAGGTCTAGGTTTTAGAATAAAACTATGGTTGTGATTCAGAAACACCTGGAGGTTTGCTGGTGGGAATGCATTGGTGAGGTCCTTCTGGAAAGAAATTTGTCAATGCTTAACAAAACTGTAAATGCACTTATCTTTTGATGAAGCAATACCACTTCTAGGAATGTATGCCAAAGTTACATCTCCAACAATATAAAAATTCCATAGCATTAGGAGATATACCTAATGTTAAATGACGAGTTGATGGGTGCAGCACACCAACATGGCACATGTATACATATGTAACTAACCTGCACGTTGTGCACATGTACCCTAAAGCTTAAAGTATAATAGAATAAGAAAAGAAATTCATGAATAATGGGTCATTCATTGCAGCGTTGTTTATAATTTCAAGAGAATAGTTGAATAAACTGTAAAACATATATGATAAATGTATTTTAGATTGGTTCCCAGGATATACTAAGTGAAAAAAGGAAAGTTCAAAAGTGTACCTGAAATATGCTATTTTTCAAGTAAGAAAGTACAGGATGTAAGAAAATACACATCTCTTCATTTTTGTAAAATAAATATTTAGGAGGGCTGAGTGGGAAAGGAGTGAAAATGAATGGGGAATGGAACCAAGTTAGTATGAGAATGAGGAAGGAATGATGCTACTTACAGTTTAACAGTTTGTGTTGTTTTGACTCCGAAAAATGTAAATAATGTTCATTTTTTCCCACTCCCCAAATAAGTAATAAAAATCAACCTGAAGGAGGAGAAAGCCCCACATTGAATACAAGCAGTAATAAGTGAACCTTACTATATTACAAATGAATAACCTAATCACACCGAAGGGGATAGGAAAGCAAAGAACTCACCTAAGTAACTTTGATAAATAAAAACTTAACTGGATATTGTGAGACTGAAGACAAAAATAACTGTATAGAAGTACTATACTCTAGTAAATTTATTTTTCACATGCGTATGGTTAACTGAAACTATTTTGTATATGCTAGGTTTGAACAAGAAAGAGAATATATTTAAGATAATATTGTTGAGTTTTTTTCACTGTCAGAGAAAGAAGTTTTAACAAAGAGAGATGGAAGGCTAGGAAGAAATTTATAGTGGATTGGAATTGGAGATATTAGTATGAATTTATAGGTAATACCTACGTGCATATATAAATGTACATACACAAATAGATACAGAAATAACTACAAATTTGTGTCTTGTAGGGTTAGTATATATACATATATACATATATACACATATATATACATATATACATATATACACACATATATACATATATACATAGCTATACATATATACATATCTATACATATATACATATATACATAAATATACACATATATACACATATATACACTTATATATATACATATATACATATATACACATATACATATATACATATATACACATATACATATATACATATATATACATATATACATATATACATATATACATATATACATATATATACATATATACATATATATACACACATATATATACATATATATATATACACACATATATATCCTTGCTCTGTCTGCTAAGACAGCCAAAGAGCAATAATATTTTAGTGGCAATGAGTACATCTAGCACCCATATTTTGGTTTCTGTATCCCATGGTGTAATTAAGAAAACAAGAGCTCCAAAAGCTCTTTGCAGAAGTTGTTGATCCCAAGGCTTGAGCAGGGAAAATGTAAGGTGGACCTGGACTATTTCATGATAACAGAAAATAATAAAGTGGTTAGAAAATAGGATAACATTAAAAAGACACAGAATTCATAATGGCCAAAGGTAGAAATGTGAGCAACAAAATAATGGTAGAATTGTATTATAATCCACAATCCACAGAATAAAATAAATAACCATGAGTTCATATTGATAAATGAATAAATAAATAAATAAATGATTGGTGGTGAAAGGACTACTTGCATAAGAATTTCAATTAATAAAATTAAAAGGAATAAAGGATTCATGAAATCATTAGGCAATATTGTTACAGGTAGGATCAGATTAATGCTAAAAATCAGTCTGTAAAAGTTTGGGGAGAACAGAATAATAACATCATCCCAATAATCTCCCCCAGATATTTATCAATAAAAAGGTAACTTTACGGTGAGAGGTAAGTCCTTAACCAAGTGACTAATGTTAACATCATCAGTAATAAGTATGATACACAGAGAACACCATATTTCTATGGCATTCTTGCTAAAAATATACAACCTTACCCTAATTTATGAAAACATTGGATGAATCTAAGTTTAAGTACATTTTTCAAAACAACTAACCAGTACTTAAAAGTATTAAGGTCATGAAAAACAAGGCAAGACTGAGAAACTCACAGACTGGAGGAGACAAGAAGACACAACTAAATGCAATGTAAGATCCTGGATTGGAGCAGAAACAAAAAGACATTAGGGGAAAAAACTGGTAAAATCATATAAGATCTGTGGTTTAGTTATTAACATTTTACCAATCTTCGACATCCTGGTTTGATAATTCTGTTATTTGTAAACATGATACAATACATAATATTACACAATACGTTGACATTTGAGGAAACTGGATTAATGTATACATAAACTTTCTCTACTACTTTGTAGCATCCTGTATGTCTAAGATTATCCTGAAGTAAAAAGTTAAAAAAGCAACGATAAAGGCTAGAATTTGAAAAAAAAAAATGAAGATTATTTGTATCAATATAAGCATAATTCAAAATAAACTATTGAGTGAACAAAATAATTTGCAGGAAAATAGTTTAAATCAATAAATAATACCACATATTGTATATTGGGACATATCTATGCAGTAAAAAGGGAACTGACTGATAAATATATACTTCAGAAGAGTTGTTACTTACGGAAAGCAAGAAAGGAGAATAGGAGATGAAAGAAATCCAGAAGATACTGTATCTGTAATGTTTTATTTTCTTAAAAAAAGTAAGGTGAGCATGGCAAATGTTAGGATTTCATGAATCTGGATGGTAGGTTCACATGTGTTAGGTCCTATAAGCTTAAATTATTCTGAATAAAAATATTAAGAGAAAATGTAATGTATTAAGTAGGTTCCTTTAAATAAATAGTGAAAAATCTTGGCTGGGATCTGTACATTGATGGAAAGCATTTTGAAAGTTCTAACTCATACTTGCTGGTGTTTTGCAATAAAAACCAGCTTTAAGCTAATAACATTGACCTGATTTTTACTTTTTCCTTTGGATTTTATACTAAAAAACACTATTTTATGATTTTAAGTATTTATATCTACATATAATCTACACACAAACATAAAATGCCTTGACTTTATAGCCAATTACCTAGAGTAGAAATCACACGCTATTATCCTATGGGTTGAATTTGGGCCATACAGTGTTTTGTTTGGCTTACATTGTGTTTTTAATAAAATTAAGCCAACATTTAAACATTGACATGTTTTACTTAGAGAACCAGACTTCTGGATTCTTGTGAACAGAAAAACAAGAGGCTGACAGCACTGGCTCTTTCCTAAATGGGCTGTAGTACATGGTGATAGCCCCATTTGGACAGTCTTGAGTGCTCCATTCCCTAGAGCCCCCACTATTCATACCAAGCATGTATCTGCACCTATATTTGTCACTTCATGTCTTGATTTTTTACCTGCTTGACTTTGGGACCTAGAAGTTTGAGATGTCTGAGTTCTAATATAAAATACCAGCTTTTCTTTTTTTGGAGAAATTGAGTGTGTGTGTGTGTGTGTGTGTGTGTGTGTGTGTCAGTGTGTTAAAGCATAAGTTAAAAATATGTAAGCTGTATCTTTCTTCCTAATTTGATTTTCTCAAATACTGTATGTAAATAGGTAGATTGGAGTAAGTAACCTGAACATAGGATTGGCCTTAGAAAGACTTACTATTGCAAAGCCAATTACACTAACAATCCCTAAAGCTATCTAAACAAGATCAGCTGAACTTCCCTCTAATTAATGCAAAAATATAGTATTGTTTAATTTATCAAACTTTGAATCACATTTTTCTCTAGTTCTTTTTTTATTTTCCTACTTCCTTTTGTTTTATTAACACATTAGAGATAGTATCATACACAGATAACTTGAACTCTGTAATGGAAACTGTGGTCTGTTGCCTGTTAATTAAATATCACACAAATTTAATAAGCAAATCCTGCCAAAAAGAACATGTTCTCTATAACTTAAGATTAAATTCTCACTTTACTGCTGATTGATCATTGTTTTTAGTACTGGCAAACGTGTATTATGCTCATAAAATTTTGTTCATTATCATGCAAAACTTCAAGGGTTCTTGTTCTTGGCAACCTCCCTCCCCCCAAATAGCTTCAGTTCTGGATTTATTCTTTTTTAAAAAAAAATTTTTCTGCACCCATTAACTCGTCATTTTTAATGGGTTCAGCACACCAGCATGGCACATGTATACATATGTAACTAACTGGCACACTGTGCACATGTACCCTAAAACTTAAAGTATAATAATAATAAAATAAAATAAAATAAAAAGAAATTTTTCTTTCTCTTCTCTCCTCTTTTTTTTTTAAATTATCATTAGGAACACTGTATCTGTGGCCTCACGGACATAACATTGAGACACTGAGTAGCAGTTATAAGAACTAATGTCTTAATATGCCAGTAACCTCTCATGAACCATTGGTTAGATCAGTAACTTTTGGAAACGTTCCTGGGCTGGTTTCCTGAATTTAACCTATAAACCCAGGGTGAGCAGATAGAAAGACATTACAAGGAACAGGCAAGGTCTCAGGCACTCTTCCTCTATTTCTGATTTTGAGAAATGTCTGTGTATCTTCAACCTAGTCTAAGCCTCATCTACTAGTTTTCTGACTTCTGGTATAAATACCACTGCTCCTCTGATTTTCTGATCTTGCTCCTTGATTTATGCAAGGCTTCTAATCTCTAATCTTCATCTAGATTTCATGTTTTAGTCACTAATCTATTCTTTATTCCTGACTTATACTCCTTGATGACTTGACATTTTTAGTATATACACCAGATATTCCAAATGAATTTTCTGTTTTGATGCTCATAAAGGAAGGTATTTTTATGTATAATGTAATCCCATGAGTGTGTCCAGATTTCAGAAATAGTTCCCTTAATTTCTCAAATCTTGTGGGTATTGAAACAACTAGTACCACTGCCTCTTTTTCTGGCACTGCCTATAAGCACATTAGGAGAACATTAATGTAATTATTGGGTGAAAGGTTATATAGGGATCAACTTGAATTTTCACTGATTTATTTTAAAATAAAGAAACTTTGCTATTTTAACTTGTATTTATATTACCTCTATTGTAAACTGACTACAATGGGCTAGCTTATTTAGACTCAGTGGGTGTGACTGAAAGACAAGTATTATAACAGGGTCCCATATCCTCAGTATAAACTGATTGAGGCAAAATATGTTTGATTTTTTTTTTCCATGTAAGGAATTTATGTTCTTTAAAGGGAAAGAAAAAAAGAAATAATGAACTAATTATTCATTCACTCATCTGTGTATCAATCAGATGAGAGCAAACTTGTCCAAAGTAATTAGAGGTGGGCAGGTTCTATATAATCACCTAAAGAAAGAGGTCTCTTTCCATCATTTGTATGTTTTTAAACACTGACTGGATGAGACTAAACTAACCAGAAAATCAGGAAAAAAAGTGCAAAGCATTTTAGACAGGAACATTGCATTAGCCAGACTTCTCCAGAGAAACAAAACTAATAGGTGCTCTCGCTCTCTCTCTCTCCGTATATACATATATATATATATATATATATATATATATATATATATATGTATATATGGATAGATACATAAGAAAATATTTATTATGGGAATTGACTTACAAAGTTATGGAGACTGAGAAGTCTCATAATATGCCTTTTTTATGCTGGAGAACCAGAAGAGCCAGTGGTGTAATTCAGTCTGAGTCCAAAGCCCGAGAGCCAGGAGAGCCACTGGTGTAATTCTGTATGAGTCCAAAGGCTTAAGAACTGGGGCTGCTTATGTAAGCCCAGAGTGTGAAGACCCAAGAACAAGGAGCTCCAGCATCTGAGGGCAGAAGAATATTGATGTGGGTTCTCAAAGGACTAGAAGAGTCCACCAACATTGGTAAGGGCGGATCTTCTTTGCTCAATCTACTGATTCAAAATGTTGATCTCTAACACCCTCACAGACACACTCACAAATAATGTTTTACCATCTATCTGAGTTTTCTTTAGCCCAGTCAAGTTGACACATAATATTAACTATCAGGAATTCACCCCTTGTCAACTTGGGACCATAGGTATCTTTTTAAAACATACTTAATCTCCAAATAAAGACAACAAGAATGTTATAATTTCATCTAACAGTATATGAATATCCTAAATATAACAAAAATCAAACTAATCTGTTCCCCAGAAGAGGACGTAAGGTCTTGGTTGATGTTTACTCCTCTTCTGATGTTCCATAATTAAATGCCATGATGTAAAATTAACAATACTTAAATATGATATAAAGTCAATACATCTTATATGATAAAAAATGAAAGAGGGAAAGAAAACAGATATTTACTTAATATATGTATATATTCACATAAATCTAGGCATAGCAAAATGGGAGAAAATACTCATGACAATTACAGTCTTCATTTTTATGACTGGTTACATGGTCACAGCTACTATTTATAACATCCTTCTTCTACTTCCCATTCTGTACCTACCTTGCCTTCAGCAAGCACCTCAGCTGGTCATGGTACTTCATCTGGTGGGGTGACCCAAACCTTTGTTTCTAAAGGGTCTGGATTATTTGTAGTGCTGCCTGGATTGGGTGGTCATAGTTTTTCATTGAGCTTAATCACAAGTCATGGTTATTCTAAGAGACAACCTAAGGGATTTCCTGTATGCTAGGCATGCTCTTCCTTACCTCCACTGAGGAGGAGGCTTCCAATTTTGTCTTGATCAATCACTCCAGTGAACACCATAATTCCATTCATGGCCTGTTGACTCAGGCACAAGGAGTCCAAAGTGGCTGGGTGGTAGTCTTAATTTCCAGTTCAATGAAATTTTTATGTCTTCCATAGGGTGGAAGCATTTCTCCCTCTGGAACTAAGAACTCTAGGCCAGCAGAGAATAGAGTTGTGGGAATAGGGAGCAAACCTTTTATTAATGGGTTACTAGGGGTAATGATGAGTGGTGCCACTCCCGTTTCCACCACTTAATTCCTGAGTCTTTTAATCCTGGTTATTAGAGAAATAGTACCATGTTGTATATGGTACCATAGATTGGATTCAGAACATATACAGCCTTATGGAGAACCTAACCCCAGTTATTTCCACCCAGTTTGTGCTATAACTGAGTCTTCAAAATGTTAATCATTCTATTAAGCCATCTGCTTTGGGATGGTGGGGAACATGGTAAGATTAGCGAATTCCATGAGCATGGGCTCACTACCACACTTCTTTGGCTGTGAAGTGAGTTTCTTGGTCAGTAGCAGTGATGTGTGGAATACTGTGGTGGTACATAAGACATTCTGTAAATCCATGGATAGTAGTTTTAACAGAAGTATTGCATGGCAGGGAAGGAAATCCATATACAGGGTGCCTGTTTCAATAAGAAAAAAATGCTGTCTCTTCCATGATGGAAACTGTTCAATGAATTCAACCTGCTGCTAGGTAGCTTGCTGATCACCCTGGGGAATGGTACCATATTGGGGGTTCAGTGTTTGGTCTTTGCTGCTGCCATATTGGGCATGAAGTTGTGGCCATAGCCACATAGCCACATTGGCCTTGGTGAGTATAAGTCCATGTTGCTGAACCCATGCATAAACTCTATCCCTGATACCAGGATCACTTTGTTAATGAGCCCATTGGGCAATGACAGGGATAGCTGGGGAAAAAGGCTGACCGGTATCCACAGAACACATTATTGTATCTTCTTGATTATTAAAATTTTCCTTTGCTGAGGTCACCCTTTGGTGAGCATTCACATGGGACACAAATACTTCATGCTTTTTGCCCATTTAGAGAAGTATATCTACATATCTTTCTCCAAATTTGTTACTAATTTTGTAATCATGTTCCCTCAAAGCAAAGTGCATTGCCCCAAATTCTGCCCACTTGGAGGATTTCCCTTCACCACTGTCCTTCAGTAATATGCCAGGGAGGGGATGCAGTGCTGCAACTGTTAACTTTTAGGTGGTACCTTCATGTTGTGCAGGACCATATATAAACCAGAACCTAGTCTTCTATTCTTCTGTTGATCATTGGGAACTCCCCATGAGCCTAATAGTGCAGGCTGAAAGAGAGAAGGCAGTGTAGGAAAAGGGGGGCTCAGAGGCATTTGGGCCACTTCTTCATGTAATTTACTTGTGCTTTCAGGGCCTACTCAGGTTCCATCATGAATATATTGCTTCCATTTGATGATGGAGTGTTGCTGTGCGTGCCTAACTGTATGACTTTGAGTGGTCAGATAACACCCAGTCTGTAATGGGTAGCTAGGCTCACATAGTAACTAGGTAGCCCATGGCCAAGTGTTAAGTTTCTGCTAAAGCCAAGAGATGTCTCTAAAAAGGAGAATAATTATCTATAGATTATGGCAGATCCTTGCTCCAAAATCCTAAAGGCCTGAGTTGTGATTCACCTATGGGGGCCTGCTGAAGGCTCTAATGAGTATTCCTATCTTCTACCTATACTCCAAACATCATTGATTCTATTGGATCATATAGCCCAAAAGGCAGAGCAGCATCATTGATTCTATTTGATCATGTAGCCCAAGAGGCAGAGCAGCTGGCAGAGCAGGCTGGATCTCTTGCAGAGGTTTCTCTTGTCTTGGATCCTACTCACAACTAGCAATTTTTTGAGTCACTCTGTAAATAGGCTGGAGTAACTCACTCAAATGAGAAGTATGTTGCCTTCAAAATCCAAATAGATTCAAAAGTGATAGTGCCTCTTTTCTTGGTTGTATGAGGTACCATATGCAACAACTTATCCTTTGCCTTAGAAGGAACAGCTCAACTTGCCCCATTCTACTGGATCCCTAGAAATTTCACTGAGGTAGAAGGCCTCTGAATTTTAGTCCATTTTATCACTCATCCTCTAACATGCAAATGTCCTACCAAAAAGTGTAGAGCAGTTACTACTTCTCTCACACAAGTTTCAATCAGCATAATGTTAGCAATCATTACAGACACCAAAAAGAGAAACTTATACAAGGTGTTCATGGTGCTTAGCTGAAAGTAAAACTTAAAACCAAAATGCTAATGCTTGTAACAATTTTTAGAATCCCAGGAAATTAAAAAATATGCTTGGGTTATAAGTCCAAGTTAACCCCTTTGATACTAATTGTACAGATACTGGTATTGGAAAAATTGCTTGAAAGACATACTTCTTTAAAACAAAATACTTTCATCTTCTTTAACCACAAGTCAATTAAATTCTGAAATAAGTTTATAGTCTAAATGGTGACACTTAATTAGTATATTAGAGAATACATGGGAATATTCTTTTACATATTTTCCCATGGAAAAAACAGTGCTCCAGACTGAATTGGAATCTTTCCCAGAGACAAACTATTGAAGTGGGATCAAATAGAAAATTCGAAACCACTAGATAATTGGTTTAACTTGTGAGCAAATTATCTACTAGATAATTTTTTTCCTATCCAATGGGTAAAAATAACATGAAATTTTACCTTTTGAAGTCGAATTTGTAATCCCCTTTGTGATTTCTTTTTTTATAATTAACTTTTCTATTTTCACCAAATGGTAGAAATAATTCTGAAGGCTGTATTATATTGATATTCTTTGCTGGACTCAATAATGAAAAGATGCTCAAGGTCTTGCTTTTGTCATTAACTGATGGACAAACACATTTAGAAATGTGGATGGACAGTCTTCACCATTAGCATTACATTCAGCCTAAACTTAGTATTAACTTTGGAGCAAAATCAATACTATGCTATGAGAAATGGTTTTTGAAGTTTTAACTTGTTTCTATATTCACAAACTTCAGAAGCTAATTCAGTTTTAGAACCTCATGTTGTGTATATAAATTATAACTATTGAAAATGGTTTTAGATCAACAAATAGTTGCTACTTTGGGCTACTTGATCTTATGAATAATAATATTCATTTATGTTAATTTATTTATATGCCTTTTACCTGAGTAATGTATTTAATGTGTATTTATTGAATAACATCTATCTAGCCCCAAAGACATGCAAAATAAATATGAGAGAAACTCTCCACATTTTTTCATATTTGTATTTCCTGGTGCCAAATTAACTTCATTATTTATTTGCCTGTTTTGTTTATTATTATTTTTAAAATCCATCTCTTACTAAATAACACAAATATTCTAAGCAAGCACACAAACCAAACAACAGCAATGCTGCTAGCCTGGGTTTATTTATTCTCATGAACCCTTATGCCATCCTTCAGTTTTTAAACATAATTTTTTGAGCAGTTTAAGAGTTTTAAAAAAATTGAGTAGAAGGTACAGACAGTTCCTATATAGTCCTTCACCATCATTTCCCAGTTTCCCCTATTATTAACATTTACATTTGTTACAAATGATGAGCTAATACATTATTATTAACTAAATTGCATTGTTTGCATTAGGAATCACTCTTTGTGTTGTATACTCTATGGGTTTGGGCAAATAGATCCACCATTATGTTATCATACAGTACAATTTCACTGCCCTAAAAATGCTGTGTGCTCCACCGATTTACCGTTCCCCTGCTCTCTCTGAACCCCTAGCAAACACTGATCTTTTTATTGTCTCCATAGTTTTGTTTTTTTCCCAAATGTTATACAGTTAGAATTATAGACTATGTTGCCTCTTCACATTGGCTTCTTTCACCTAGTAATGTACACTTAAGTTACCTCCATGTCTTTTCATGGCTTGATTTCTCATTTATTTTTATCACTGAATAATACTCCATTGTATAGATTTACCACAGCTTGTCCATTCACTTACTGAAATACATTTTGGCTGTTTCCAAGTTTTGGCAATTATGAATAAAGTTGCTATAAATATCCATGTGCAGATTTTTGTGTAGAAGTTAATTGTAAATTTTCAAGTCATTTGAGTAAATACCAAACAGTGTAATGGTTGGATCCTATGGTAAAAGTATGTTTAGTATTGTAACAAACTGTCAAACTATCGTCCAAAGTGGCTATATTTTTTGTATTCCCACCAGCAATGATGAAAGTTCCTGTTACTCTACATTCTTGTCAGCATTTGGTCCTGTAAAAGTTTTGGATTTTAGGTATTCTAATAAGTATGTAGTAGTTTTCTCATTGCTGTTTTAATTTGCAGTTCCCTAATACCAATTTCATATTCTTACTGATGTCTGTGTGTCTTCCTTGGTAAGTTGTCTGTTTAGCGGTTTTGCCTATTTTTAATGGGTTGTTTTCTTGCTGAGTTTTAAGAATTCTTTGTATATCTGGCATACAAATCCTTTATTAAATATGTATTTTGCAGATAATTTCTTCTAGGTTTTTTTTTTCATTCTCTTAAAAATCTCTTTCACAGTGTAGGAGTTTTTAATTTTAACATTTCTATTTTAAGTGCAACATAGCAATTTTTTAATGGATCATGCTTTTGGCATTTCTTCTCTTTTTGAGTACTATCTTTATGACTAATTACAAACTTTTATCAAGCATTTCAGGTATTACTGTTTTTTTTTGCCCCTTCTGTTATATACTTCTGAAATATTACTATTTCTAACTATTTTAGGTGAAAAAATGAGAAAATTTTTCTATTTCATTACCTGTTACTAAGTTTGATAAAGGTAGAAGAAGGTTGAGGCTGGAGAGAGGTTTTCTAATATTCTTGAAAATTATCTTAGTCTTAGCACTCAACTCCTGTGCCCAATGGAGTGGGTAATAATGTGTTGATTGAATAACATACATTTTTAATGACTCTAAGAGGTACAAGTCTGATCATTGATTCTAAGCATTTTTCTTATTACCCCAAGCCACTCTTTCTTAATGTGTTTCTTTGAATTCTTGTCAGTTCCCATCACGTGTATGTGAAATGTGTTGTCAGCCACATTGCTGTTGATTCCTGCAGACCACTTTTGCAAGGCTCCTGTGTTGGGCTGCCAGCCTCCATACACCTTACCTCTACCCCACCTCTTGTGCTCCATCTTTGTATGAGCCTGGGACAAGCTTTCCATTGAGCACATGAGTTACTTATTCAAGTGTGACAGAGTTGTGAAGCAATGCTAGAAATCATGTACTTAGAGAGTTTTAAAATAGAAAAATAAATTGGCAAACAAATGAACTGCGTTTCAGAAAAAAACTTCATATTTGTGAAGAAAATAGGGTTGGTATGGAATAGTATGCTAGTTATCTCAAATCGTGGAAAAGGGTGACTCCAGTCTGTAAGAAAAAGTTCATTGATGATGAACTTTTCTGAACTGGCCCCAGGATAAGGCAGCAGACCTGGGATCATTCTATTTTATCCCCCAGAATATTGCTTAATTGTTATTTGGAACAAGGGATTTACTTAATATGAATTCTTTCATTCTTTTGTCAATGATTGTTAGTTTTAAAGAAATTAAACAATTCTTTTAACCGTATGAAGTTAATGAAAAATGTCTGCATTTCAGCTACTGCATAAATCCTTAGAGACCCCTAGAACAATTACAGCAACTGGGAAGTTTGCCTCCATAATTTTATTTCTGGGTTAAATTATGAAGGTTCATTTTATCCATTGCAAGCAAAGATCTGTTTTTAATAAACTTCATTAAACATGTGGCTTGATAATAATTAAATGAATAAGTCGATATGTCTAGGACAATGATTTCCACACAGTTGATATTCTTTAAATTGTATTTGCTAAGTTTTCAAAAACATAATTGTATGCAAAACAGCAATCTCACTAAATATTATTAAACAGTGTGAAAACATCCTAATAGCTTTTGAATCCAAGATTCAGATGTCTTATTCCAGTCCAGAAGTTTTACTGATATCAAGATAGTGATGGTATTAACAGACATTGACTATTGTGATAAAGTTAAAATATTTGATACTTTGAGAAGACTATGAAGTCAAATAAAACCACATTGATGTTTTCCCTAGAATTATATTTAGAAAATAACTTACATTTTAATAATGTTTTACAGAGATTATATTATTCCATTTTTACATGGTAGTTTAAAATTATACATCACTTTGTATATGGAGCTCATTATCTCATATATATATAGACTTGAAGAAAATATCACATAAGAAACATTTCAATATGGGACTTAACAAAATATTTTAAACCAAAGCATACATTTTTTTCAGTGCTTAAAATGAATAGACTTTTTTTGGAGTTGACATAAATTATAGACAGATGTCTATTAATACTATCAATAACTTGCGTTCATTAAGACTTTTGCTATCATAAAACTAACATTCTAGTGCAAATTCCTCTCTTACAGATTTAGCAAGGGAGGCTCTAAGAGGCCAGATGACTTATTCAGGGTCTCCTCAGTGACTGCCCTAGGCCTATAGCGTGGTCTTTATATCTTTATTGACATCCCAATGTGCTTTCAAGAAGGCCTTATGTATCAAGACTTTAATGTGGCACTCAGACTTGATGGTTTGGAGTAAGAGCATGGGCATTTTCTCTTCTCACCTCAGCTCAGTATGTGTACATAAACATGGAATACTGTAAGAAAAGAGCACACAAAAGTAAGCTTTACTTGTAAGCTCTTTTAATAACTGATTATAGGGTTTGGTTATGTAGTATTATAAATAAAAAATATCTCTGATGAATGTGCTTCTCTTATTATTCCACTTCTCTCTTAAACCCTTTCTCTAAGTCTTGGTTGCCTCTTGTAGCAGTGAAGAACCTGTACTCTAGAGTCAGTTGACCTGCGTTAAAATTTTGACTTCTTGAATAGGAACAGCTCCGGTCTACAGCTCCCAGCATGAGCGACGCAGAAAACAGGTGATTTCGGCATTTCTATCTGAGCTTTGAAGAGAGCAGTGGTTCTCCCAGGACGCAGCTGGAGATCTGAGAACAGGCAGACTGCCTCCTCAAGTGGGTCCCTGACCCCTGACCCCCAAGCAGCCTAACTGGGAGGCACCCCCCAGCAGGGGCAGACTGACACCTCACATGGCCAGGTACTCCAACAGACCTGCAGCTGAGGGTCCTCTCTGTTAGAAGGAAAACTAACAAACAGAAAGGACATCCACACCAAAAACCCATTTGTACATCACCATCATCAAAGACCAAAAGTAGATAAAACCACACAGATGGGGAAAAAACAGAGCAGAAAAACTGGAAATTCTAAAAAGCAGAGTGCCTCTCCTCCTCCAAAGGAACACAGTTCCTCACCAGCAACGGAACAAAGCTGGACGGAGAATGACTTTGACGAGCTGAGAGAAGAAGGCTTCAGATGATGAAATTACTCCGAGCTACGGGAGGACATTCAAACCAAAGGCAAAGAAGTTGAAAACTTTGAAAAAAATTTAGAAGAATGTATAACTAGAATAATCAATACCGAGAAGTGCTTAAAGGAGCGGATGGAGCTGAAAACCAAGGCTCGAGAACGATGTGAAGAATGCAGAAGCCTCAGGAGCTGATGTGATCAACTGGAAGAAAGGATATCAGCGATGGAAGATGAAATGAATGAAATGAAGCGAGAAGGGAAGTTCAGAGAAAAAAGAATAAAAAGAAACAAACAAAGCCTCCAAGAAATATGAGACTATGTGAAAAGACCAAATCTATGTCTGATTGGTGTACCTGAAAGTGACGGGGAGAATGGAACCAAGTTGGAAAACACTCTGCAGGATATTATCCAGGAGAACTTCCCCAATCTAGCAAGGCAGGCCAACATTCAGATTCAGGAAATACAGAGAACGCCACAAAGATACTCCTCGAGAAGAGCAACTCCAAGACACATAATTGTCAGATTCACCAAAGTTGAAATGAAGGAAAAAATGTTAAGGGCAGCCAGAGAGAAAGGTCGGGTTACCCTCAAAGGGAAGCCCATCAGACTAACAGCGGATCTCTTGGCAGAAACTCTACAAGCCAGAAGAGAGTGGGGGCCAATATTCAACATTCTTCAAGAGAAGAATTTTCAACCCAGAATTTCATATCCAGCCAAACTAAGCTTCATAAGTGAAGGAGAAATAAAATCCTTTACAGACAAGCAAATGCTGAGAGATTTTGTCACCACCAGGCCTGCCCTAAAAGAGCTCCTGAGGGAAGCGCTAAACATGGAAAGGAACAACCAGTACCAGCCGCTGAAAAAGCATGCCAAAATGTAAAGACCATCGAGACTAGGAAGAAACTGCATCAACTAACGAGCAAAATAACCAGCTAACATCATAATGACAGGATCAAATTCACACATAACAATATTAACTTTAAATGTAAATGGACTAAATGCTCCAATTAAAAGACACAGACTGGCAAATTGGATAAAGAGTCACGACCCATCAGTGTGCTGTATTCAGGAAACCCATCTCATGGGCAGAGACACACATAAGCTCAAAATAAAAGGATGGAGGAAGATCTACCAAGCAAATGGAAAACAAAAAAATGCAGGGATTGCAATCCTAGTCTCTGAAAAAACAGACTTTAAACCAACAAAGATCAAAAGAGACAAAGAAGGCCATTACTTAATGGTAAAGGGATCAATTCAACAAGAAGAGCTAACTGTCCTAAATATACATGCCCCCAATACAGGAGCACCCAGATTCATAAAGCAAGTCCTGAGTGACCTACAAAGAGACTTAGACTCCCACACAATAATAATTGGAGACCTTAACACCCCACTGTCAACATTAGACAGATCAACGAGACAGAAAGTCAACAAGGATACCCAGGAATTGAACTCAGCTCTGCACCAAGCAGACCTAATAGACATCTACAGAACTCTCCACTCCAAATCAACAGAATATACATTTTCTTCAGCACCACACCACACCTATTCCAAAACTGACCACATACTTGGAAGTAAAGCTCTCGTCAGCAAATGTAAAAGAACAGAAATTATAACAAACTATCTCTCAGACCACAGTGCAATCAAACTAGAACTCAGGATTAAGAATCTCACTCAAAACTGCTCAACTACATGGAAACTGAACAACCTGCTCCTGAATGACTACTGGGTACATAACGAAATGAAGGCAGAAATAAAGATGTTCTTTGAAACCAACGAGAACAAAGATACAATGTACCAGAATCTCTGGGATGCATTCAAAGCAGTGTGTAGAGGGAAATTTATAGCACTAAATGCCCACAAGAGAAAGCAGGAAAGATCCAAAATTGACACCCTAACATCACAATTAAAAGAACTAGAAAAGCGAGAGCAAACACATTCAAAAGCTAGCAGAAGGCAAGAAATAACTAAAATCAGAGCAGAACTGAAGGAAATAGACACAAAAAACACTTCAAAAAATTAACGAATCCAGGAGCTGGTTTTTTGAAAGGATCAACAAAATTGATAGACCACTAGCAAGACTAATAAGGAAAAAAAAGAGAGAAGAATCAAATAGACACAATAAAAAATGATAAAGGGGATATCACCACTGATCCCACAGAAATACAAACTACCATCAGAGAATACTACAAACACCTCGACCAATAACAGGAGCTGAAATTGTGGCAATAATCAATAGCTTACCAACGAAAAAGAGTCCAGGACCAGATGGATTCACAGCCGAATTCTACCAGAGGTACAAGGAGGAACTAGTACCATTCCTTCTGAAACTATTGCAATCAATAGAAAAAGAGGGAATCCTCCCTAACTCATTTTATGAGGCCAGCATCACCCTGGTACCAAAGCTGGGCAGAGACACAACCAAAAAAGAGAATTTTAGACCAATATTCTTGATGAACATTGATGCAAAAATCCTCAATAAAATACTGGCAAACCGAATCCAGCAGCACATCAAAAAGCTTATCCACCATGATCAAGTGGGCTTCATCCCTGGGATGCAAGGCTGGTTCAATATACGCAAATCAATAAATGTAATCCAGCATATAAACAGAACCAAAGACAAAAACCACATGTTTATCTCAATAGATGCAGAAAAGGCCTTTGACAAAATTCAACAGCCCTTCATGCTAAAAACTCTCAATAAGTTAGGTATTGATCAGACGTATCTCAAAATAATAAGAGCTATCTATGACAAACCCACAGCCAATATCATACTGAATGGGCAAAAACTGGAAGCATTCCCTTTGAAAACTGGCACAAGACAGGGATGCCCTCTCTCACCACTCCTATTCAACATAGTGTTGGAAGTTCTGGCCAGAGCAATTAGGCAGGAGAAGGAAATAAAGGTTATTCAATTAGGAAAAGAGGAAGTCAAATTGTCCCTGTTTGCAGACGACATGATTGATTGTATATCTAGAAAACCCCATTGTCTCAGCCCAAAATCTCCTTAAGCTGATAAGCAACTTCACCAAAGTCTCAGGATACAAAATCAATGTACAAAAATCACAAGCATTCTTATACACCAATAACAGACAAACAGAGAGCCAAATCATGAGTGAACTCCCATTCACAATTGCTTCAAAGAGAATAAAATACCTAGGAATCCAACTTACAAGGATGTGAAGGACCTCTTCAAGGAGAACTACAAACCACTGCTCAATGAAATAAAAGAGGATACAAACAAACGGAAGAACATTCCATGCTCATGGGTAGGAAAAATCAATATCGTGAAAATGGCCATACTGCCCAAGGTAATTTACAGATTCAATGCCATCCCCATCAAGCTACCAATGACTTTCTTCACAGAAGTGGAAAAAACGACTTTAAAGTTCATATGGAACCAAAAAACAGCCCACATCACCAAGTCAATCCTGAGCCAAAAGAACAAAGCTGGAGGCATCACACTACCTGACTTCAAACTATACTACAAGGCTACAGTAACCAAAACAGCATGGTACTGGTACCAAAACAGAGATATAGATCAATGGAACAGAACAGAGCCCTCACAAATAACGCTGCATATCTACAACTATCTGATCTTTGACAAATCTGAGAAAAACAAGCAATGGGGAAAGGATTCCCTATTTAATAAATGGTGCTGGGAAAACTGGCTAGCCATATGTAGAAAGATGAAACTGGATCCCTTCCTTACACCTTATACAAAAATCAATTCAAGATGGATTAAAGACTTAAACGTTAGACCTAAAACCATAAAAACCCTAGAAGAAAACCTAGGCATTACCATTCAGGACATAGGCATGGGCAAGGACTTCATGTCTAAAACACCAAAAGCAATGGCAACAAAAGCCAAAATTGACAAATGGGATCTAATTAAACTAAAGAGCTTCTGCACAGCAAAAGAAACTACCATCAGAGTGAACAGGCAACCTACAAAATGGGAGAAAATTTTCACAACCTACTCATCTGACAAAGGGCTAATATCCAGAATCTACAATGAACTCCAACAAATTTACAAGAAAAAAACAACCCCATCAAAAAGTGGGCATAGGACATGAACAGACACTTCTCAAAAGAAGACATTTATGCAGCCAAAAAACACAAGAAAAAATGCTCACCATCACAGGCCATCAGAGAAATGCAAATCAAAACCATAATGAGATACCATCTCACACCAGTTAGAATGGCAATCATTAAAAAGTCAGGAAATAACAGGTGCTGGAGAGGATGTGGAGAAATAGGAACACATTGACACTGTTGGTGGGACTGTAAACTAGTTCAACCATTGTGGAAGTCAGTGTGGCGATTCCTCAGGGATCTAGAACTAGAAATACCTTTTGACCCAGCCATCCCATTACTGGGTATATACCCAAAGGACTATAAATCATGCTGCTATAAAGACACATGCACACGTATGTTTATTGCGGCATTATTCACAATAGCAAAGACTTGGAACCAACCCAGATGTCCAACAATGATAGACTGGGTTAAGAAAATGTGGCACATATACACCATGGAATACTAGCAGCCATAAAAAATGATGAGTTCATGTCCTTTGTAGGGACATGGATGAAATTGGAAATCATCATTCTCAATAAACTATTGCAAGAACAAAAAACCAAACACTGCATATTCTCACTCATAGGTGGGAATTGAACAATGAGGACACATGGACACAGGAAGGGGAACATCACACTCTGGGTACTGTTGTGGGGTGGGGAGAGCGGGGAGGGATAGCACTGGGAGATATACCTAATGCTAGATGACGAGTTAGTGGGTGCAGCGCACCAGCATGGCACATGTATACATATGTAACTAACCTGCACATTGTGCACATGTACCCTAAAACTTAAAGTATAATAATAATAATAATAAAAGAAAAAAAAATTTTGACTTTTCTATTTTTCATCTGTTTGACCTGGGAAAAATTACTTAATTGTTGTGTAGATCACAATAGTACCTCCTCCATGGTAGTTAGTTGAAATAATTGATTAATAACATTTACACTATTCCTGGTATACAGTAGTGTTTGATTAATGTTATTGAAGATGACATTGATACTTATGGCAATACTAATGACACTATGTCCCCTTGGTTTTTTACCCATCTCATTGGTCACTTAATCTCAGTTCCTTTTGCTAATACCTCATCAGCCTGACCTCTGTCCATTGCCACTCCTCATGGATCACTTTCTCTATTTGCATTCCTTTCCCTGGTGAACTCATTTAATCCTATGGTTCTTAATAACATTTTTATTTGAACAATTTTTGATATAATATCTGTACATGTATCTCTCTAAGATTTTTACTTGAATATTTAATAAGCATCTCAATTTGAAAGGGAACAAAACTTAATCACTTAAACTAACCTCAAATTAACACCTCCTGAGTCTTCCTGACCACAATAGCTACTCTTTCTATTTCTCAGACACAAAATCTTGGAATGATTTTCCTTTGTTTTCTTTTAATCTTCATATTTAATCCGTCAGCAATTTCCATCAAATTTACTCAAAATACATTCAGAAACTGACCATTTTCACCACTTGTACTGCTACTGCTGTCGTTTTTCTTCTGGATCATTGTAGCAGTCTCCTAACTGGTCTCCGGCTACTATGATTGTTTCCTTTGAGCATTTTCTCAACACATCAGACAGAATGATTCTTCAAAAGTTTAAAACATGGGTCCAATCATGCAATGCTCCTGCTCAAAATTCTCCAGTGGCCTCCCAACACACTTAAAGCAAACTCAGATTTTTCCCATGCCTACCAATCTCACCTCTGATCCATCTGTGCTCTACCATCTGCTGCTTCTTTCATGTTGCTTCTGCTCTAGCCACACTGTTCTCCTTGGCATTCTTCAAACTCCACACAAATTCTAGCCTCAATGCTTTTGCTGTTGTTTTCTCTGCCTGGAACCATTTCCCCTAAGATAATTTGGCCCTTCACTTCCTTTACTAATCACTTTTTCAGCAAAGCCTTCTCTGTTGTACTATTTAACCAACGAATTAGTGAATACTGTTGACCTTTTATAGAATAGTTACATCTATTAAAGACATTTCTAAAAGCAAGTTTTATTTAAAGGCAGTCATTGAAACTCAGAGTAATCGATGCTCCATTAAGCATTTAATAACTGGCAGAGGTGGACGGACTGTCAGTAGCGGTGCTATGTTGTTCTGCATTTAGTGTCTCACCTCATATGTTTTTGTTTCTATTAGAAGTGCCACGCTTTGAGAAATTCTAACAGAAGGATACTCAATGAGAAACTCAATATGGGAGTCAGGAAGCCATAAAAAACAAGAGAATTATGTTAGCAAGACTTCCATTTATCAGCTACAATGAAGCATTTGAGTCTACATAATCAAGAGTTTATTTTACATTTTAGACTGTGAGCAATATGAGGAAAGGACTCTATCATTTTAACACTATATCTCATACTTAGTACCTAGTAAGATCTAAATAAAACTAACAATTTTTGATAAACTACAAGCATCAAACTAAGCAGGCAGTCACGTCGTAGAATTTAAGAATTTATGTTCTGGGAGAACACATACTCTAAGGTATAATTCCTAAAATATATTGTATTCTTCAAATACAAGATAAGTGGCCTCCGTATACTTTTTTGCTATATATAGAATTTAAAAAAAGATCTGTTACTCAAGAACATGGGTTACCTCAGGGATGTTTCATTGACTGCAATACTGCTGAAACTATTTTGGTTTTGTGTAAAGATAACTGTATTCATTGTACATTTTTTATCATAAGTGACAAAGTTTGATAAGGTTTCAGACCTTTTTTGTTTTTTGTATTTTTTTTAATTTTTTTAACTTTTATTTTAGGTTTAGGGCTACATGTGAAGGTTTGCTACATAGGTACACACGTGTCACTGGGGTTTGTTGTATGTATTATTTCTTCACCCAGGCATTAAGCCCAGTATCCAATAGTCATCTTTTCTGCTCCTCTCCCTCCTCCGATGGTTCCTGCTGAAATAGACCCCAGTGTCTGTGGTTTCCCTCTTTGTGTTAATAAGTTCTTTTTTTTATTATTATACTTTAAGTTTTAGGGTACATTTGCACAACGTGCAGGTTAGTTACATATGTATACATGTGCCAAGTTGGTGTGCTGCACCCAGTAACTCATCATTTAACATTAGGGATATCTCCAAATGCTATCCCTCCCCCCTCTCCCCAACCCACAACAGGCCCTGGTGTGTGATGTTCCCCTTCCTGTGTCCATATGTTCTTATTGTTCAATTCCCACCGAAGAGTGAGAACATGCAGTGTTTGGTTTTTTGTCCTTGCAATAGTTTGCTGAGAATGATGGTTTGCAGCTTCATTCATGCCTTTACAAATGACATGAACTCATCATTTCTTATGGCTGCATTGTATTCCATGGTGTATATGTGCCACATTTTCTTAATCCAGTCTACTATTGTTGGATGTTTGGCTTGGTTCCAAGTCTTTGCTATTGTGAATAGTGCCACAATAAACATACGTGTGCATGTGTCTTTATAGCAGCATGATTTATAATCCTTTCGGTATATACCCAGTAATGGGATTGCTGGGTCGAATGGTATTTCTAGTTCTAGATCCCTGAGGAATCACCACACTGTCTTCCACAATGGTTGAACCAGTTTACAGTCCCACCAACAGTGTAAAAGTGTTCCTATTTCTCCACATCCTCTCCAGCACCTGTTGTTTCCTGGCTTTTTAATGATCGCCATTCTAACTGGTGTGAGATGGTATCTCATTGTGGTTTTGATTTGCATTTCTCTGATGGCCAGTGATGATGAGCATTTTTCCATGTGTCTTTTGGCTGCATAAATGTCTTCTTTTGAGAAGTGTCTGTTCATATCCTTTGCCCACTTTTTGATGGGGTTGTTTTTTTCTTGTAAATTTGTTTGAGTTCATTGTAGATTCTGGATATTAGCCGTTTGTCAGATGAGTAGATTGTAAAAATTTCCTCCCATTCTGCAGGTTGCCTGTTCACTCTGATGGTAGTTTCTTTTGCTGTGTAGAAGCTCTTTAGTTTAATTAGATCCCATTTGTCAATTTTGGCTTTTGTTGTCATTGCTTTCAGTGTTTTAGACATGAAGTCCTTGCCCATGCCTATATCCTGAATGGTATTACCTAGGATTTCTTCTAGGGTTTTTATGGTTTCAGATCTAACATTTAAGTCTTTAATCCATCTTGAATTAATTTTTGTATGCAGATGACATGATTGTATGTCTAGAAAACCCCATCATCTCAGCCCAAAATCTCCTTACGCTGATAAGCAACTTCAGCAAAGTCTCAGGATACAAAATCAATGTACAAAAATCACAAGCATTCTTATACACCAATAACAGACAAACAGAGAGCCAAATCATCAGTGAACTCCCATTCACAATTGCTTCAAAGAGAATAAAATACCTAGGAATCCAACTTACAAGGGACTTGAAGGACCTCTTCAAGGAGAACTACAAACCACTGCTCAATGAAATAAAAGAGGATACAAACAAATGGAAGAACACTCCATGCTCATGGGTAGGAAGAATCAATATTGTGAAAATGGCCATACTGCCCAAGGTAATTTATAGATTCTATGCCATCCCCATCAAGCTACCAATGACTTTCTTCACAGAATTGGAAAAAACTACTTTAAAGTTCATCTCAAACCAAAAAAGAGCCCGCATCGCCAAGTCAATCCTAAGCCAAAAGAACAAAGCTGGAGGCATCACACTACCTGACTTCAAAGTATACCACAAGGCTACAGTAACCAAAACAGCATGGTACTGGTACCAAAACAGAGATATAGATCAATGGAGCAGAACAGAGCCCTCAGAAATAATGCCGCGTATCTACAACCATCTGATCTTTGACAAACCTGAGACAAACAAGCAATGGGGAAAGGATTCCCTATTTAATAAATGGTGCTGGGAAAACTGGCTAGCCATATGTAGAAAGCTGAAACTGGATCCCTTCCTCTCTCACCGCTTCTATTCAACATAGTATTGGAATCCTTGCCAGAGCAAGTAGGCAAGAGAAAGAAATAAATGGCATCCAAACAGGAAGGAAGAAAGTCAAACTATCTCTGTTTGCAGACAACATGATTCTATATCTAGGAAACACCATATTCTTGGCCCTAAAGTTCCTCCAGATGATAAACAATTTCAACAAAGTTTCAGGATACAAAATAAGTGTACAGACTGTTTCTTATAAAACAAATAGGTTGAAAAGAAAATTGTTGTAGCTTTTTTTTTTTTTTTTTTTTTTTGAGATTCAATGTCGCTTTGTTGCCCAGGTTGGAAGGCAATGGCGTGATCTTGGCTCACTGCAACCTTCACCTCCCAGGTTCAAGTGATTCTCCTGCCTTAGCCTCCCAAGCAATTTTTAGCAATGCTCTTACAAAGTAATTGACAATTCAAACACTACCTTTGTTTATAAACCTATAACTTTGACCTTTGAGACCTTTATCTTTATTCAACTACATGATTCTAGAAACATTAAAAATTATAAAAATATTGTTTCGATTTAAAAAAGTATTTAAGGAATATAATCCATTAGGTTAATAAATAGCCTTTGAGTACTTGTTTTATTTTGAGAGTAAAGCAGCCTGGAGGTAAATCCTAAAACCAGGGATGAGGGAAAATGAGATCTGTAATAGTGTTTGTTCATGGCACTATAGTTTGTCTACAGTTAGCAATATATTATATATTTTCAAATAGGTAGAAGATAAAGAATGTCCTCAAAATGAAGGTAATAGATCTATTACTGATCACTTAAAATTTGGATACTTTTAATTCTAGTTATTTTTTCTGTGTATGTACTTATATTCCCAATCTTTTAGTATTGGAGTCCTTGTCTCAATCTTGAGCTTCTTAAATTTTCTGTGTAGATATACTTCCTTTATAACCTTATCTGATTCACTGACTTTAAATAGCAACATATTCAGACAACTCTCAAATGTATATCTCTACTCAAATCCTGCAATCTTATTCACCTGTTTGTCTCTAGAGCTGGTATACATACAGTAACTACTCACTAAGTGCAAGTGGAACTAAACAGAGATGTGGTCAAGAGAAAGAACGTGGCGTATGAATGTGGGAAAGTTGATGATCTGGCATTTAAAGGAAAAGCAAAATTGTGGTATGATGATATGAGTCGTAGGGAAGGTAACAATGTTGGAATAAAAGAAAGACATGACAGGATAGGTAGACTTGTGTATATATGTATATGTGTGTATATATAAAAATATATTTATGTATCTACTGCCTTTTGTATCTATCTACTGAGCTTCTGTTCCATAGTTTTACCCATCTCATTAATAACAATTACATTTTACTTATTTATATTTGATTTAAAAACTTTTAGGTAACAAATACAATTGTATATATTCAAGATGTACAATGAGATGATTCGATATACATATTCATTGTTCATTGATTTCCAAAGTCAAATTAATTAACACATTTATCGCCACCCAGAGTAACCATTGTGTGTGTGTGTGTGTGTGTGTTAAAGATACCTAAAATTTCTCTTATCAAATTTCTAGTAAACAATACAACATTATATACTGTAGTCACCATGCTTTACAACAAATTCCCAGATCTTATTCATCTTATATAACTAAAACTTGTATCTTTGACCAACACCATTTCCCCTACCTCCTCCTAGACTCTGACAATAGCCATTCCATTCTCTGCTTCTATGAGTTGCAGGTTTTTAGGTTCCATATATAAGTGAAGTCATGCAGTATTTGTCTAGTTTATTTCACTAGCGTTATTTCCTCCAGGTTTGTTCAATTATATTTTTGCAAATGTTCTTTATTGAAAGCTAGGTGCTGTCCTTAATTTCTCTTGTTTCTTCACACTCTTTATCTGCTCCAATAGCATGATTTCCTGGCTCACATTTCAAAATATATTCATAATATCTCAATTTATTGCCATCTCCATTGGCATCACCTAGGGTAAATAATCCTCTCCCCCTTTGATTGCCTCCTAACTCAACTGTTGGCTTCCACTCTACTTTATCTTCAAGGGTATACCTATGTCACTCCATCTCTCTCTCTCTCTCTCTCACACACACACAATTTTTATGTCTAGTAAATTTATCTAATTTAGAACATTTCTTTCTCAATTCTAAGAATCCTGAGAGCAGGAAATCATGTCTTATTCACCTGTGTGTCTCTAAAGCTAGTATACAGTAGCTACTCACCAAGTGCAAGTGGCACTAAACGGAGACGTGATCAATAGAAAGAATGTGAAATTGGGAAAGTTGATGACTTGGCATTTAAAATAAAAGCAAATTTGTGATGTGACAATATGAGTGGTAAGAAAGGCAACAATGTTGGAATAGAAGAAAGAGAGACATGACAGGATCGTAGGGTGTTCTAAGGTGTTAGCAAGTACTAGAATGAAGTGGAGAAGTTTGAGATGTCAGAATGTAAGATGTATCATCCTATTAAATGATTCAAATTAGGAAGAATAATTGCAAGGAAAAAAACAAAGATTTTGATTAACTTATAAATTTCTTCATCCTACACATTCAGTTAGGAATGTTAAATATGCTTATCTCATAAATCCTCCAGCAACTTCTAAGATAGGTACAGTAAAAGAAAATTAAACCCAGAATGGTAAAATGACCTTCCCAGGGTCCACAGATAAAAGAGTGGAGCTTAAATTAAAAATCTATATTTTAATTCAAAATCCATGTTATTTCCACTATGCCACTATTATGCTACTATGGGAGACCTGAAGCTGGTGATGAAATGTTATATAAAATGGGAGACTGAGCTAATGTAAGAGGAGCGTGGAAAAAGGTGAGCTATTTAAGTAAAAAGAACTATTTATATTGCAGGAATGTAAAACATAGTTAGAAATACTTTAAACATAATACTGACTCTCTCAACTGAATAGACCAGAAACTAACCCTAGGGACCTCTTCTTTCCCATGCTCAAATAATATGAGCAGGGTGTGGTTTGTCTTGCCAATTATTGACTCTGCTTTTGCCTTCTTCAGTCCATCCTCAGACATATTCTTCTCTTTCAATCACAAGACGGTTATAATCAGCTCTTGATGCTGTATTCAGTCTTCTTTGATGTGTGCATTAGAACAGGGATTATCTCTTTTAATAGGTCTTGCAAAAGGAAAGAATCTCCTTGTCTCCAATATGCTGCAAAATCTCGCTAGCTCTGATTAGGTCATTTGTATATGCTAGAGCAGCTCCTTTAACCAGGGAACGGACTACACAGTTTGGTTTAAGCCCTTCCTTGAAGGGCCCATGGGATCACTTCCCCCAAATTCACATGACTAAAAATATATGAGGAGTTAATTCTCCAGTGAAAATATGTTGGCCTAAGAAAAGTCACCATGGGGTATGTGGTAGGGAATGCTTGCTGTGGAGTCAACCAGAAATGACTTCATCTGGAATAAATAATTTTTGCATTAATTTACTTATGCATTAATAATTCCTGCACTAATATACTCATGCAGCAAAAAATTATTGACTGTAAAATGCGTTAGGCACTGTGTGAGGGGCTTATTATATGGCCAAAACCACAGCACTTTTCCTCAAAGATCTCATGGTCTCTTATAGGAGACCGATGAACTAGCAATTAAAATGCAATATAATAAATAATAATGTAGCAGCCACATGAGTGCAATGAAGAAGTAACTAAACTGGACAGTGAAGAGTAAGCAAGGAAAGTTTTCTGGGAAAGGAGAACCTGATCTGAGAGTTTAAGTTCCAATAAGAATCAACCAGGTCAACCGGGTATTCCAGATAATAAGAGCATATTTAAAGGCACAAAGGTGAAAGACAGTGTGGTTCATCTGCCACTTACAACTAGTCTTCTATGAAGAATTTGCACAAGAGCCTTCAGGCTTTTTAAAAATATTCTTACGAATGTAAGAGTAGAATCAGATGAATTTGTAGCTGTTTCAAATATTGAACTGTGGTTGGCAAATGAATTACATTTCGAATAGTAATTTTCTTTAGCCTTCACAACTTGCGAGTGTGTTACTATTTTCTTAGGCATAGAGCCTAGTCATTTTGTGGGGAGCGTAGGATGGGGGAAAAGGTTGGAATGAGATGGAAGCACTTTTTCCTAATTTCAGTCCAGTTATTTTTGAAGTGGAAATTCTAAATGTCCTTGTATGGAGAAGAAGCATGTTCAGATCCTAACAGGTAACACATAGGAAAACAATTCTACTGCCGATTCTTATTTTCAGGGTGTTCTCTAATTATACCATTTACTTTTCAATGAGGAACAGAGGAAAACAAGCCAGTGTAGGGCCATGGAAGAGCTTTTCAGAGAAGTGAGGCACCCATTCAACCCCAAATCATATTTTACTTTTGGTCAAGAAAAACCAATTGGATAGTTTTTTTTACTGACAGTATTACACTTGAGCCTAAATATAAATAGGAAGAAAAAAAGCTTTAGAAAACTTCAAAGAAAAACTAATTTTAAAATTCACAATAAAGAATACTCAAAGTTGTGGAACAAACTTCTTTAGGGTTCAGATGTAATTGCTTTTCTTCTTAGGCCTGACACTGGGACTATTAGTTTAAGAATACCTTTGGGATAACAGGCCTTGCCAATGGCTACATGGACAAACACTTTCCTGGTTAAGAAAATAAAGAAAAAAGCAAGGCAAACAGTATTCTCTGGGATGATCTCACATCCAAGGACCGTCTCTTCAGGTCCACTGGCGGAGGGAGTCCTCTCTATAAAAGGTGCTACTTTGATATGACCATTTGTCTAGCTATTGTCTGGCCTAACTCTGAGACACACAGATGGAGACCCTTGAAAATTGTTTGGGGGCAACTTTTTAATTCTGCATGGGTAAAGCATGAAGAATTCTGATAATAATGACAATTATATATTTGTATTGAAATTACAATATTTATTATTTCATCACTAAGGGAAAAAGTTTGAGGGAAATTTATAATGAGCTAATTCATATCACAGCACCCTAACAAAAAGAAAGATACTCATTTTTTTTTTGTTTTTTCAGAGTTTCAGAGCTTCTATATTTTTCCTTAAATGGAATTGACTGTGCAAGGGAAGTAAGCGACTATTTGGAATTCAGAGACAAAAAATAAAATGAAAACAGAATTCAGATTTTTTTTTTTCCTTTTTGAGATGGAGTCTTGCTCTGTCACCCAAGCTGGAGTATAGTGGCACGATCTCAGCTCACTGCAACCTCCACCTCCTGGATTCAAGCAATATTCCTCCCTCAGCCTCCCAAGTAGCTGGGAATTCAGATGCGTGCCACCATGCCCAGCTAATTTTTGTATTTTTAGTAGAGACGGGGTTTCACCATGTTGGTCAGGCTGATCTCGAACTCCTGACTTCAGGTGATCCACCCCTCTTGGCCTCCCAAAGTGCTGGGATTACAGGCATGAGCCACCCTACTGGGGCCAGAATTCAGAATTTTATGTGGTAAAAATGATCAGGGATTATAACTTTAGTTGAACATTATTTTAATTGGTCCTATACTGAAACTTTCTTATGTATATTCCTTTGCTGCTAAATAGAAGGATATTGAATCATTCTCAAAGATGGGCAGGTTGAGGTACAAATCAATGAAGTAGATATTTCAGTGGCTTAAAGTCACACATTAAAAATGACATATTGGGAATAAGCTTTGGAATCAGACAGACCTCCTATCAAAGCTCCATAACTTTTTAACTATGTGACATTAGGTATAATTCTTAAACCCTGAGCTGTATTTTTAGTTATCTACACAAACAGAAACTAATATGTATCTTAAGAATCGTTATAGAAATTAAAATTAACTTGTAAATATCAAAGTATAGTCAGTGCTGACTTGGAATTTAATTTTTTTAAAAAACAAATCAGATCCATGTAGTAATAAACGGTCCAGATGAAGATATATTTAATTTATTTATTATATTTGCTGCAATTTAATATTAAGTCAACACATTTGTTGATAAAATATTCCATCATAAACTCTTTTGGCTCAGAGGATGTAAGTAAGTATTAGCAAGAAAAATGAGCTTTGTATTCTAGAGGAGAAATCAACAATAAAAGTAAAAGAAATATATTAATGATAGAATTTTAGAGTGACATGCTATAAATAATCAGATCATATGGGGGTATAAATATTAATCCAACTCTAATAAGAATTGCTTGAAAAGTTTTAGTCAGAAGTCACATCTCATGGCATAACTGTGTCTTTTTCCAGTTTTGCTCTCAGAGAACCAGCTTGAAATAAATATGTTATTGTTTTACAAGGATTTCCAATTTTTCCTACAGGAAGAGAGAAACACACTACTCCCTACTCCACCTTGACTCAGCCAGTTTACTATTTTTTTCTTTTTCTTTTTAATAAGTTTTTAAAAGTTGAAGTTACACTAACTTCAACCATACTAACTTCATGTTATGATAAATTACAAATTAATAGTACACCAGCTTTTGCCTCAGACTGCTGTATTTTGGGAAACTCAGTATAAGAACATACAGCTAATTAGGCTGAAAAATAATTTATTGAAGATATTAGATAGCTCACAAAATAGCTTAGAAAGGCACAGAATCAGATGTGGATGTTTCCAAGTTGGGAACAGCATGGATATCATACGTACAGGGCCCACTCTTAAAGACCTTACACCTAGCACTAGTCACAGATAATACAAAACATAACATGGCATTTCTGTCAGGGCTACTTTTGACAACTGATGTATCTGCTCTCACCCTTACTGGAACACATCCATTAAAATGCCTGCTTCTTCACATTATATTTGAATTGAAGATTTGCAAAGATGATGTTAAGTGTCATAGCCAAGTTATATGACTGTTCTCTCTGACATAGAGAACATTTCCCCTATATGACATAGAGAACAGTCATATAGGGGAAACTGCAAAAATGAGTTTCTGGAATGATTGAAAATATGGAAAATTCTCCAAGCATAAGAAGAAATTTAAAAAGCACTAGTGATCTGAGAACAAGAAAAATGTCCACCAAAGTTTCTCCTTCATTGTCCAACATCAACATACCCTCTTTTCTCTTTTAATTTTTTTTAAAAATTATGGTAATACATGCATAAGATAAAAGTTACCTTCTTAACCATTTTTAAGTGTACAATACAGTAGTGTCAAGTATATTCACACTGTTGTGCAACATTCTACTGGGCGTGAGATGAGCCAGTTCATTATTTTAAGGGCACTTCACAACTGGTACCAATTTTTGCATTAACCTTATTATTTTATCGTTTTGGTTGCAATGAGAGAAACCCAACTTGAACTTGGTTAAGTCAAAACCAAACAAGCAAACAAACAAACCTTATAGGTTTAAAGCACAGATGCATGAAACTAGTCTATTATTATTAAATCTGTCTTTTTAACTTTTTTCCATATTTCCCTTCCTCTTTTTACCTGCTTCCTCCTCTGTTAGTTTAATTCTCAGGCAAGCTTTCCCCAACTTCATATTTGCTCAGTGGTCACTAGATTCACTCATCCTTATACTAGTCTCCACAAATAGGCATGTGTCTCTTTCATCATAACTTTGAAAAGATTTCTATGGATGAATCGCCTGGATTGGGTGATTTGACTGTTCCTAAACAAAGCTCTATGTCCTTAATTAGGCAGCTGGATTATAAATGGATACCCTTACTCTCATATCTGCCTTGAGTGAAGCAGAGCCATGCTATTGGCCCTCCTGCCCTGTATGTTTGTATGCGGTAGTTGAAGGGAAGTTTCTAAAACAATGGTCCAAAGACTGATATCAGACAGTCAAGACCAGCTTTACATGAATCATTTCATAGGCTCCTGTCATATCCTTACTAAGCTGGTCCTCATTTCAGGAAGGAGGAATATTTTCTGTTCTCCCTATTTAATACTTGCCTGCTAAGTTTTAATCAAATTTCGACATTGATAACTGGCCGTGGAAATCTCCAATCTCTTCAAGAGAAAAGCCTCACTCCTACTAAGAGGGTTGTGTTCTGACCCTGTGGTCAGATAAATAACCATGCTAGAGTCTGACTTGAATATATCCCCCAAGGTCATATAAACAATGTCAATAATAGTTCCTCAGTCCAGGTTTACTTATTTTAACTTTAGTCCATTTCTTATGTGTAAACTTCTGTAAGATATTTTTAGGATGGTGAAGTGAGCACATGCATTGTGCTGACACTTCCAGTTAAAAATATTATTATAGAAAAATTCACTAGAATTGAGGAATAAAAATAAAATGAAATAAAAACAAAAAAAGATGGTCTCACCAGACAAATAAAAAATAATATAGTAGACAAATCAATAATTTACAATGTTTATAAAATTATTTTAACATGAAGCAAGATGCAATTATAAAGAATCAAGCAGAAATTTGGGATATAAAAAATAAAATGGTTGGCATAAAAAACTCAAGCAATGAAATAAGAGGATAGGTAAGCTGAGGAACAAATTTTCCAGGTGGAAATCAGGTTAAGATATCAAAAAATGAAAAAGAAAATTAAAGAAAAAGATAAGACTTTAAAAAGAATAAAATGATAGAAAAGATAAAATAAATGTAAGTAAAAATAAAATAGTAGTATCAGAAATCCATATACAAGCAATTTCAGATGAGGATAAAAAATAAACAGTAGGGAAATAGTTAAATAAATGACTGATAATTCCTAAGAATTACAGAAATATCTTAGGACTAGAAGAGTTGTAGGAGAGTAGAATTTATCAGTTAGTCTTTGTTGTATAACAAGCCATCATCTCAAAACTCTGTGGCTTAAAATGACAACAAAAATCATTCATTAGTTCATAATTCTGAGAGCTGGCAATTTAAATTTATATCATCTGAGTAGTTTTGCTTCTGACCTCTGCTAGGTTCACTTATGGGTCTGTAGTCAGATGTCAGATTGACTGAGACTGGCTAATCTAGGATGCTCTTACTCTTATATCTGTCAGGTGTTAGGCTATTTTTCCTGTGGTCTCTCCAGTAGGTTATCTCAGCCTCATTCACATCCTTGTTTTGTGGTCTCAGAATTCCAAGGGCTGCAAAAGAGGGCAAAACCCAACAGGTAAGTGTTGCCAGGTCTCTGTGTGTATCATGTTTGCTAATATTCTATTGAAGAAATAAGTAATATGTCTAAGCCAAGATTTAAGGTGTAGAGAAATAAACTCTACTAATTGAAAGGACCATTAAAGTTACATTGCAAAGTTACAGAAAAGGAGAAAGTATTGCGATCATCTTTACAATCTATTATAACAATTAAGTTACATAGGAAAAAAATACACCCAGATTGTATGGAGATTCAAGAACAATGAAGTCAAAGAGAAAAATCTAAAAGCTTCTAGATTAAAAAAGACCACATGACTTATAAAGATACAAGAATTGAATGCACATATCAAATACTCAACAGTGAAATAGAAAGCTGTACCATTTAAATATGAGGGCACAGTTATGATATTTGGGGGTTCTACAAGTCCTCAGAAGTATACAAACATCTCTTAGAAAATGCTTTTGAATAATGTCTCAATAAGAAGAAAAGAAACAATGGATATGAGAAATAAGACTATTCAAGTAATTCAGTAAAAATGTTAGTGGCTTAAAAAATTAAGTATTTCCTCCTATTATCACCAAGAAGATTCTATACCCTTATTCTACTGAAGAAATAAGTTATATGCCTAAGCTAAGATTTATGGATTTCTATCTATTGAAAGAAAGATCATTAAATTTACATTGCAAAGTGACAGAAAAGGAGAAAGTATTGGGGTCATCTTTACAATCTATTACAGCAATTAAGTTAGATAGGAGAAAAAATACACCTAGATATATTCTAGATATTGCCTAAAATTCTAGATATTGCCAACATGCTTATAGGGAAGGTGGATGTAATACAAATAATGGGCCCAGATGTAAAATAATGCTTAAGTATTCTTTGTAGAAGGGAATATCATTAATATTTACAGAAAAAATAAACATGAAAGAAAGGAGAGAAGATGCAAACAAATCAAATACAAAATTAAAGACAATATGGCAGAAGTTGAACAATAATAAAATTACATTATGAGTAAATACATGCTAGTTAATTTGGTAGACTAAATGAAATAATTAAATATATTAAAGAAATAGATGACAAAATTGGTAATAAAAGGATTTTTTAAAATAAAATTTGGATTTACTAATAGCCACTGGAAAATTGATATGGTAACCAAAGACTTTTCCGTTAGGCAATAAATTCCCCTATTTTTCATATTGATTTACATGTTAGTTTTACTAAACATTTATGAAACAGATAATCTTTAAATTATGTTAGCTGTTCAAGAAAAAATAGATAAATTGGGAAGTTGCAACTCTTATTTTGGGGATACTATAACTTTGATTCAAAATAAGAAGTATTATAAAATAAAGAATATATAATTTCACTTGTGAACAGAGACACTCACATTTTAAGTTGAAATATTATCTAGCCAAAGCTATAATGTATTAAATTATAACAAATAAGGTTTATCCCAATAATACAAGTGTAGGTCAACATTAGAAAAAGCTACCCATGTAATACACCATACTTTTGAACTAAAGGAAAAAAATGTATTCTTATCTCAATATATTTAAAAATGCATGTGATGAAATTTAACATCTATTTATCACCAAAAAACTCTGAATTAATAGCATCAAAAAGTATGTCCAACCAGAAATACAAAAAACAAAAAAGTAAAATAAATACTAAAAAGTATTAAACGTATTAAAAATAATAAAAGTATTAAACATAACGAACTAGAAAGCAAAATAACAGTAAAACTGATCAGTAAAAACAAAACTGTTGTAAATATTGCTGCAATAAACATATGTGTGTGTGTGTGTCTGTGTGTGTGTGTGTGTGTGTGTGTGTGTGTATTTATAGTAGAATGATTTATAACCCTTTGGGTATATACCCAGTAATGGGATTGCTGGGCCAAATGGTATTTCTGGTCCTAGATCCTTGAGGAATCGCCACACTGTTTTCCACAATGGTTGAACTAATTTACACTCACACCAACAGTGTAAAAGCATTCCTATTTCTCCACAGCCTTGCCAGCATCTATTGTTTCCTGACTTTTTGATAATCACCATTCTGCCATTCTGGCACATGTATCCCAGAACTTAAAGTAAAAGGAAAAAAAGAAATAGCATATTACAGAGGAAATGTTGAAAGGAGAGGTGGCAATAGCAATTATAAAAAGGGCAAAAAGCCTGAAAGCAAAAAAGAGAAAAACTATGAAAATCAGACAACAGAACTCAAAGCCCATTGAGTATAGGAGAAAAAATATGTACATTTCGGTAATCTCTCATGGTATCATAGTATTAAAGCACAGTAAAAATTAAAAAAAAAACTGGTTTCTTTAAAAAGATTTTTAAAAATAGCCTAAATGCTTGAATAGGTGAAGAAAAAAACAAAAAGTAAAGAGAGCCTCTGCTTCTAGGTATGATAGAGTAGTGTGCATCAGACCAAATCTCCCTTTGTGAAAAAGTAGAAAAGGCAGATAATATACAAAATGGAAACATTGGTTTGCAGGTGTCATAGAGATGTCAAGCAACCAAGAATTCCTGGAGAAGGAGTGACCACAGAAGTGAGTGGACATTCCCCTCAGGGAGTATGCCTATTTTGGGCACAGGGCTGCAGGCTGAATTATTTTCCTAGTCTCTCTCTAAAGAAATATATTACAGAGATTGTGCTGTACTACAAAGAGCACAAAGATGATATAACCAAAGAATGTAGGAAAAAACAATATTAGAGAGGAGTTATAGTCAACAAAGGTAGTTTGGTATATGTGACATTTGCCATCTTTTAAAATCTCGGTAAATCATTATGATTTTTTTTCCCATTCTAAATAAATTTGTACCTAGTTTTGTTTTATTTTATTTAAAGACGACTTAATCCACCCTTAACCAGTTATCTGGGCTTCAGGTTCCATAGAACAAGATCTGCTCCTGATTAGGATAGAGGAATGGGACAAATATTTTTTTCCCACTTTTAATTTTTTCTTCTATTAAATCAAAATGATAAAGTGCTACATAAATCTCAGTTGTGTGTGTGTGTGTGTGTGTCTGTATGTTTATTTTAACTTCTAAAAAAGAAATAGGATTCCAAGTCACTTTGTTAGTCTTTACATAGAGTCATTCGCTTACCTTGAATGGCGATGATTTAAGGCATCTCTAGAGTTCATCATGTAGAGATAGCTATTATATGAATTTTACAACTGGAGGAACTCAACACCAAAGAATGTTTCTGAAGAATAAATGTTTGTTTGCTATTTCTGCCTTATAAAAGTCAGTCATCGACCCAATAGTTAGAATCCTGATGTGAATTGCACCCTTGCTGATAGATGGTCCAGCTCCCACTAGAAAATAGAAAACAACTCTTGTTTTTATTAAACGGATCTCATGAACACCTCAGATCTACTATCATGTGGCTGCCCATTTTTATTAATATGTGCTTATGTTAATTCTTATATGTAGAATAAACAGTCCATTGCCAGGAAAATATTTTATGTAAGCATAACCATCTATATATGAAATTAATGTATTTTCTTGTTTCATCATAAACTTTCCTTATGGCTTCAAAACTAATATTTTAGAAGCTAATATTTGTCTCCTGGGGTGAGTTACTCTAGGTACTACTCTTAAAATGTTCCAAAAGGGTTATGAATTATATAGACTGTGAAAAAATATTCAAAATACATTGTGTTTCATTTCAATTTGAAAATTTGAATTGAATTGAAATTAAAATGAAATAAAAGTTAAATACATTACATTTATTTTGGCAATAAATGTAGGTCTATAAGAAAAATAAAAATACTATGTATGAGGGAATGGTCTCTAGTTTTATGTGTTAATTTATTCAAATTATTGTGACATTATTGTATTATTTGGTATCATGTTAAATATTAATTTAATAAGCATTAAATTACAAAATTTATTTCACTTATTTTTTTAAATCTGGGCAGAATAAATTAAATTTCTCATTTTAAATTTTCTTTGGATAGTCACCATCGTTGAATGGCATTTTGAAAAAAAAGTGGTTAAATTTGAAATTGTAAAACATAATTGTCACAAGCAGAGAGAAAAAACTGGGAAAATTTTAATTTATGAAACTTTATACCACTTTTGTAATGTTCTAAAGTAAAATTTCATCCAATTGTGATTTTAAAAGTAATATAAATAGTGGATGTTCTTTTGAATTGAGAGGAATACATTATAAAAATCATCCTGAATGGTGCTGTATATAACTCTGTAACATATTTCTCATAGATGGGGAGAAGGTAGGCTTGAGTTGGAATCGAACTCTAAAGTCTTAATAAGAGAGTGGTGGAAAGGCAATGGGTAAATAGCCAAGAAAGATTTAGTAACATGCCTGTAATAACAGTACACATATAATCAGGTTCTCTGTTTAGAATGTCTAAAGAATTAGCCTATAGTTCATGTTTTTGGTAATCATAGCAACAATAATTTTGCAGCCATTTGTGGACCAAAAAAGTGCCTTTGGGCAAGCCTTAGGATTAAGGCAGGAGGTTGTGAAACTCTAGTGGAGCCCAAAAACTAGGAGGGGTGTTTTGAGAGGAGAAACCCATGCTTAAGTGTCAGACTTACTGCTGCAGGGTCCTCGCTCCAGACCAAGAAATGGACTCATCTCCTTGTGGATTTGGCTATAGCCCCATGTGATCTTTGTCCTGCTACCAAAACCACCTGCCAAGGGGCTTAGAAAGAGTTATGTGCACAAGTGCCTCAGGTGACAGCCTAGCCAACCTGTGTTCCTGCTGTGGACCCTGAAAACAGCCCTGAAACTTGATTCTAGCCCCTTTTGGCTGTGGTCTGAGATCAGTGCTGCCTATATAGGGACCAGAAGAAGACACACTCTTCAGAGTTCCCAGGGTAGGCTTGACAACCTCGGCCCCACAGCAGATCCTAAAATGGCCTGAAATTTTGCTCTTGCTCCTTTCAACTGCCCTCTATGAGCAGCTGTCTCCACAGGAACCCAGAGAAGAGACATGCCCATTAATGCCTCTACAGACAAGGCTTGTTGGCCATAGTCCCATTTTGGATCTTGAAATGGCACTGTAAGTCTGTTCTAACCCCTCTCAGCTGCAGTCTGAGGGCAGTCCTAATGCCCATGGTACCCATGCCTATTTGACCTCAGAGGCAGGTAACAGACGAGGCTTAGCTGTGGACTCTGAAGTGGTGGTAATGACTTGGTTCTGGCCCATCTCAGATGCAGCTTTGATTCAACCAATGACTGAGTAGGAGCCCTTCCAGTGACCTAGAGGAAGTCACACATATCAATTCACATGACATGTTGTTTGTACCCTCAAGCAGACCCTTATCTTAATGCAAGTCCTACTGACCAATGTACCAGAGGCAGTCCAGTCCATCCAGGGACCAGAAAGGATCTATGTCCATTAAAGTCCCTTGTAACAGGTCTGCCAACTACAGACCCAAGAGTAGCCACATGATCTTCCTCCAATCCCCAATCCCATCAACTTGGTATTCAACAGGAGACTTTCACCAGCTGAAACAAATCTGTCAAGACTGTAAGAGGTGTTTCCTCCTTCAAATGCTGACATTACATGCATAGTAAAAAATCAACCAAACATGACTTCACCAGAGGAAACTAAGATAAAGCTCCAATAACCAATTTCAATGACATAGAGAACTATGAATTGTTTAAAAAAAGAATTCAAATAATTATCTGCATTAAGTTCAGTGAGATGCAAGAAAACACAGATATAAAACAAAATAAAATTAGAAAAGCAATGTGGGCAAAATGAAAAGTTTAATAAAGAAATAGGAACCATAAAAAGAACCAAGCAAAAATCCTAGAGCTGAATACAATGACAGAACTAAAAAATTGTACAAAGAGCTCCAAAAGAGATGGAATCATAGAAAGAAAGAATTAGTAAACTCAAAGACAGTTCATTTGAAATTAGCTACTTAGAGGAACAATAACAGAAGATCAAAAAGAAGAAAGAAAATATAAAGAGACATAGTGAAGCACACAAATACACAAATTATGAAAATTTCAGAAGCAGAAAAAAAGGTTATTTAAATAAATAAACATTGAAAATTTTACAAATCTCTGGGGATGCATGGACATACAGGGTCAGTAAGCTCAAAAGACACTGAGCAAGATCAACCAAAAGAAAATAATTGAAAATTTCACAAATCTTAAAGGGTGTATGGACTTACAGAGTCAGGAAACTCAAAGGACTCTAAGCAAGATCAACAATAACAACAAAATACTCTAGGATGCTTGTAATCAAATTTTCAAGTCCAAAAAGAGAGAATCTTCAAACAACCAGATAAAAAAGTCTCATCACATTAAGAGAACCTCCAAGAGGTTATCAGCAGACTTCTAAACAAAAATCTTGCAAGCCAGTAGGGAGACAGATGATATCTTCAAAGTGCTGAATGAAAAAAACCTGTCAACTAAGAAAACTATACCTCCTGAAACTGTCCTTCAGAAATGAAGGAGAGATCAAAATATTCCCAAACAAAAGCTGAGAGTGTTTATCACTATGAGACCTGCCTTACATGAACTTCTAAAGAAAGTTCTTCAAATTCAATAAAAATATGCTAAATAACAGCATGAAACATATGAAAATATAAAACTCACTGTTAAATGTAAATGCATAGTCAAACTCAGAATACTGTTAAAACTGTAATGGTGGTGTGTAAATCACTTTTAACTCAAGAATTCATGTTAAAAGACAAAGGTATTAAAAATAGCCATAGCTATAATAAGGCTCCAGGATCACCCTTAAAGATACAGGATCCACGTTTGTCTCCATGGACTGAGGCTTTAGGCACACAACAGCACTAGGCCAGCCCCCATGGACTAAGGCTCCAGGTTGCAGTAGAACCAGCTACAAACCTCACCTCCTGGACACAAAAAACAGGTCCAACCCACTGGATTCATTCTCCAAGTTCAACCCTGAACACCTAAGTGACAGGCCTGCCACTTGCAGACATGAGCACCAGGCTAGCCTCACTAAGGACTCCAGCCATAAGCTCACCTATGGATTATGCTAGATGGGCTGCACAGAATCTTTGGATGAACTGACTAGTGAAGCACTTTCCCCGAAGAAGCCAGTCTCCAAGGATGGAATAAGATCCTTATTCTTCAAATGCACAGATGTTAGTGTAAGGCAACAAGTAACATGAAAGCAATGAAACATAATACCACCCAAATAACACAATAACCTCCCAGTGGTTGACACCAAAGAAATGGAGATATATAGACTGTCTGACAAATAAATCAAAATAAATGTTTTAAGGAAGCTTAGCAAACTTCAAGAATATACAGAGAAACAATTCAATGAAATGAGGAAAACAATAATTGACCAAATAAGATATTTAAAAGGGATATTGAAATTATTTTTTAAAAAATCAAACATAAATTCAGGAGATGAGAAATATAATGAATGAAATAAAAATACAATAGAGAGTATCAATAGCAGAACCTATTAAGCAGAAGAAACAATTTGTGAACTTGACCACAGGCTATTTGAAACAAACACACACAGAAGAGAAAAATAAAGCATAAAAAGAAACTAAGAAAACTTTCAAGATTTTGGGGACAGCATCAAAAGAGAAAACATTTGAGTTACACAATTTCAAGGAGAAGAAGAGAGAGACATAGGAGCTGAAAGCTTATTTAAAGAACTAATATCAAAAGATTTCCAAATCTGGGGAATAAGAAATATCTTGAATGTAAATGGATTGAATTCTCCAATTAAATACATAGAGTGACTGAATGGTTGAGAAAATAAAATCCAATCTACAGACTGAATGCTGCTGATAGCCTCACTGTACATGTAAGGACACACAAAGACTAAAAATGAAGAGATAAAAAAGGATATTCCCTGCTAATTAGAACAAAAAATGAGCAAAGGTTGCTACACTTATATCACACAAAGTAAATTTTAAGTCAAACCCTATACAATGAGACAAAGAAGGTCATCATATAATAACAAAGGAGTCAATTTCCACTGGGAGATAACAATTGTAAATGTATGTACACCCAATATCAGAGTACCTAAATACATAAAGCAAATATTAACAGATCTGAGGAGAGATAAAATAATAGTAAAGACTCCTATACCCCACTATGAGCAATGGATAGATTATTCAGATAGCAAATCAAAAAAAAGACATTGAACTTCAACTACGCTGTAGGCAAAATGAGTCTAACAGACATATACAGAGAAAATGTCATCTAACAGACAGATAATAAGCATTTCTTTAAAGGGCATGTGGAACAGTCTCCAAGACAAAGCATATGTTGTGCTACAAAACAAGTCTTAACATATTCAAGAAGATTTAAGTCATATCAATTATCTTTTCCAAACACAATGGTCTTAAACTAGACATGAATAACAAGAGGAATTTTGGAAAGTTGAAAAAATATGTGGAATTTAAACAACGCAGTCCAGAAGAGCCAGTGTGTTTGAAGAAAAAATGAAAAGAGAAATTGAAAAATAAAAAAACGCACACAAGGGGGGAGGAGCCAAGATGGCCGAATAGGAAGAGCTCCGGTCTACAGCTCCCAGCATGAGCAATGCAGAAGATGGGTGATTTCTGCATTTCCATCTGAGGTACCAGGTTCATCTCACTAGGGAGTGTGAGACAGTGGGCGCAGGTCAGTGGGTGCACGCACCGTGTGTGAGCGGAAGCAGGGCGAGGCATTGCCTCACCTGGGAAGTGCAAGGGGTCAGGGAGTTCCCTTTTCTACTCAAAGAAAGGGGTGACAGACAGCACCTGGAAAATCGGGTCACTCCCACCCAAATAATGCGCTTTTCTGACGGGCTTAAAAAATGGCGCACCAGGAGATTATATCCTGCACATGGCTTGGAGGGTCCTACGTCCACGGAGTCTCGCTGATTGCTAGCACAGCAGTCTGAGATCAAACTGCAAGGTGGCAGCGAGGCCGCAAGAGGGGCGCCAGGCATTGCCCAGGCTTGCTTAGGTAAACAAAGCATCCAGGAAGCTCGAACTGGGTGGCGCCCACCACAGCTCAAGGAGGCCTGCCTGCCTCTGTAGGCTCCACCTCTGGGGGCAGGGCACAGACAAACAAAAAGACAGCAGTAACCTCTGCAGACTTAAATGTCCCTGTCTGACAGCTTTGAAGAGAGCAGTGGTTCTCCCAGCATGCAGCTGGAGATCTGAGAACGGGCAGACTGCCTCCTCAAGTGGGTCCCTGACCCCTGGCCCCCGAGCAGCCAGACTGGGAGGCACCCCCCAGCAGGGGCAGACTGACACCTCACATGGCCGGGTACTCCAACAGACTTGCAGCTGAGGGTCCTGCCTGTTAGAAGGAAAACTAACAAACAGAAAGGACATCCACACCAAAAACCCATCTGTATATCACCATCATCAAAGACCAAAAGTAGATAAAACCACAAAGATGGGGAAAAAACAGAACAGAAAAACTGGAAACTCTAAAAAGCAGAGTGCCTCTCCTCCTCCAAAGGAACGCAGTTCCTCACCAGCAACAGAACAAAGCTGGACAGAGAATGACTTTGATGAGCTGAGAGAAGAAGCCTTCAGATGATCAAATTACTCTGAGCTATGGGAGGAAATTCAAACCAAAGGCAAAGAAGTTGAAAACTTTGAAAAAAGTTTAGAAGAATGTATAACTGGAATAACCAATACAGAGAAGTGCTTAAAGGAGCTGATGGAGCTGAAAACCAAGGCTTGAGAACTACGTGAAGAATGCAGAAGCCTCAGGAGCCAATGTGATCAACTGGAAGAAAGGGTATCAGTGATGGAAGATGAAGTGAATGAAATGAAGTGAGAAGGGAAGTTTAGAGAAAAAAAGAATAAAAAGAAATGAGCAAAGCCTCCAAGAAATATGGGACTATGTGAAAAGACCAAATCTATGTCTGATTGGTGTACCTGAAAGTGACAGGGAGAATGGAACCAAGTTGGAAAACACTCTGCAGGATATTATCCAGGAGAACTTCCCCAGTCTAGCAAGGCAGGCCAACATTCAGATTCAGGAAATACAGAGAACGCCAGAAAGATACTCCTTGAGAAGAACAACTCCAAGACACATAATTGTCAGATTCACCAAAGTTGAAATGGAGGAAAAAATGTTAAGGGCAGCCAGAGAGAAAGGTCAGGTTACTCTCAAAGGGAAGCCCATCAGACTAACAGCGGATCTCTCGGCAGAAACTCTACAAGCCAGAAGAGAGTGGGGGCCAATATTCAACATTCTTAAAGAAAAGAATTTTCAACCCAGAATTTCATATCCAGCCAAACTAAGCTTCATAAGTGAAGGAGAAATAAAATCCTTTAAAGACAAGCAAATGCTCAGAGATTTTGTCACCACCAGGCCTGCCCTAAAAGAGCTCCTGAAGGAAGCACTAAACACGGAAAGGAACAACCAGTAACAGCCGCTGCAAAAACATGCCAAATTGTAAAGACCATCGATGCTAGGAAGAAACTGCATCAACTAATGAGCAAAATAACCAGCTAACATCATAATGACAGGATCAAATTCACACATAACAATATTAACTTTAAATGTAAATGGACTAAATGCTCCAATTAAAAGACACAGACTGGCAAATTGGATAAAGAGTCAGGACCCATCAGTGTGCTGCATTCATGAAACCCATCTCATGTGCAGAGACACACATAGGCTCAAAATAAAAGGATGGAGGAAGATCTACCAAGCAAATGGAAAACAAAAAAATGCAGGGGTTGCAATCCTAGTCTCTGATAAAACAGACTTTAAACCAACAAAGATCAAAAGAGACAAAGAAGGCCATTACTTAATGGTAAAGGGATCAATTCAACAAGAAGAGCTAACTATCATAAATATATATGCACCCAATACAGGAGCACCCAGATTCATAAAGCAAGTCCTGAACGACCTACAAAGAGACTTAGACTCCCACACATTAATAATGGGAGACTTTAACACCCCATTGTCAACATTAGAGAGATCAACGAGACAAAAAGTCAACAAGGATACCCAGGAATTGAACTCAGCTCTGCACCAAGTGGACCTAATAGACATCTACAGAACTCTCCACCCCAAATCAACAGAATATACATTTTTTTCAGCACCACACCACACCTATTCCAAAATTGACCACAGACTTGGAAGTAAAGCTCTCCTCAGCAAATGTAAAAGAACAGAAATTATAACAAACTATCTCTCAGACCACAGTGCAATCAAACTAGAACTCAGAATTAAGAATCTCACTCAAAACTGCTCAACTACATGGAAACTGAACAACCTGCTCCTGAATGACTACTGGGTACATAACGAAATGAAGGCAGAAATAAAGATGTTCTTTGAAACCAATGAGAACAAAGACACAACATACCAGAATCTCTGGGACACATTCAAAGCAGTGTGTAGAGGGAAATTTATAGCACTAAATGCCCACAAGAGAAAGCAGGAAAGATCCAAAATTGACACCCTAACATCACAATTAAAAGAACTAGAAAAGCCAGAGCAAACACATTCAAAAGCTAGCAGAAGGCAAGAAATAACTAAAATCAGAGCAGAACTGAAGGAAATAGAGACACAAAAAACCCTTCAAAAAATTAATGAATCTAGGAGCTAGTTTTTTGAAAGGATCAACAAAATTGATAGACTGCTAGCAAGACTAATAAAGAAAAAAAGAGAGAAGAATCAAATAGATGCAATAAAAAATGATAAAGGGGATATCACCACCAATCCCACAGAAATACAAACTACCATCAGAGAATACTACAAACACCTCTCCGCAAATAAAGTAGAAAATCTAGAAGAAATGGATAAATTCCTCGACATATACACTCTCCCAAGACTAAACCAGGAAGAAGTTGAATCTCTGAATAGACCAATAACAGGAGCTGAAATTGTGGCAATAATCAATAGCTTACGAACCAAAAAGAGTCCAGGACCAGATGGATTCACAGCCGAATTCTACCAGAAGTACAAGGAGGATCTAGTACCATTCCTTCTGAAACTATTCCAATGAATAGAAAAAGAGGGAATCCTCCCTAACTCATTTTATAAGGCCAGCATCATCCTGATACCAAAGCCTAGCAGAGACACCACCAAAAAAGAGAATTTTAGACCAATATCCTTGATGAACATTGATGCAAAAATCCTCAATAAAATACTGGCAAACCAAATCCAGCAGCACATCAAAAAGCTTATCCACCATGATCAAGTGGGCTTCATCCCTGGGATGCAAGGCTGGTTCAATACACGAAAATCAATAAATGTAATCCAGCATATAAACAGAACCAAAGACAAAAACCACATGATTATCTCAATAGATGCAGAAAAGGCCTTCGACAAAATTCAACAACCCTTCATGCTAAAAACTCTCAATAAATTAAGTATTGATGGGATGTATCTCAAAATAATAAGAGCTATCTATGACAAACCCACAGCCAATATCATACTGAATGGGCAAAAACTGGAAGCACTCCCTTTGAAAACTGGCACAAGACAGGGATGCCCTCTCTCACCACTCCTATTCAACATAGTGTTGGAAGTTCTGGCCAGGGCAATTAGGCAGGAGAAGGAAATAAAGGGTATTCAATTAGGAAAAGAGGAAGTCAAATTGTCCCTGTTTGCAGATGACATGATTGTATATCTGGAAAACCCCATTTTCTCAGCCCAAAATCTCCTTAAGCTGATAAGCAACTTCACCAAAGTCTCAGGATACAAAATCAATGTACAAAAATCACAAGCATTCTTATACACCAGTAACAGACAAACAGAGAGCCAAATCATGAGTGAACTCCCATTCACAATTGCTTCAAAGAGAATAAAATACCTAGGAATCCAACTTACAAGGGACGTGAAGGACCTCTTCAAGGAGAACTACACACCACTGCTCAAGGAAATAAAAGAGGATACAAACAAATGGGAGAACATTCCATGCTCATGTGTAGGAAGAATCAATATCGTGAAAATGGCCATACTGCCCAAGGTAATTTACAGATTCAATGCAATCCCCATCAAGCTACCAATGACTTTCTTCACAGAATTGGAAAAAACTACTTTAAAGTTCATATGGAACCAACAAAGAGCCCACATCGCCAAGTTAATCCTAAGCCAAAAGAACAAAGCTGGAGGCATCACACGACCTGACTTCAAAGTATACCACAAGGCTACAGTAACCAAAACAGCATGGTACTGGTACCAAAACAGAGATATAGATCCATGGAACAGAACAGAGCCCTCAGAAATAACGCCGCATATCTACAACTATCTGATCTTTGACAAACCTGAGAAAAACAAGCAATGGGGAAAGGATTCCCTATTTAATAAATGGTGCTGGGAAAACTGGCTAGCCATATGTAGAAAGCTGAAACTGGATCCCTTCTTTACACCTTATACAAAAATCAATTCAAGATGGATTAAAGACTTAAACGTTAGACCTAAAACCATAAAAACTCTAGAAGGAAACCTAGGCATTACCATTCAGGACATAGGCATGGGCAAGGACGTCATGTCTAAAACACCAAAAGCAATGGCAACAAAAGCCACAATTGACAAATGGGATCTAATTAAACTAAAGAGCTTCTGCACAGCAAAAGAAACCACCATCAGAGTGAACAGGCAACCTACAAAATGGGAGAAAATCTTCACAACCTACTCATCTGACAAAGGGCTAATATCCAGAATCTACAATGAACTCAAACAAATTTACAAGAAAAAAACAAACAACCCCATCAAAAAGTGGGCGAAGGACATGAACAGACACTTCTCAAAAGAAGACATTTATGCAGCCAAAAAACACAAGAAAAAATGCTCATCATCACTGGCCATCAGAGAAATGCAAATCAAAACCACAATGAGATACCATCTCATACCAGTTAGAATATCAATCATTAAAAAGTCAAGAAACAACAGGTGCTGGAGAGGATGTGGAGAAATAGGAACACTTTTACACTGTTGGTGGGACTGTAAACTAGTTCAACCCTTGTGGAAGTCAGTGTGGTGATTCCTCAGGGATCTAGAACTGGAAATACCATTTGACCCAGCCATCCCATTACTGGGTATATACCCAAAGGACTATAAGTCATGCTGCTATAAAGACACATGCACATGTATATTTATTGCGGCATTATTCACAAGAGCAAAGACTTGGAACCAACCCAAATGTCTAACAATGATAGACTGGATTAAGAAAATATGGCAGATATACACCATGGAATACTATGCAGCCATAAAAAATGATGAGTTCACGTCCTTTGTTGGGACATGGATGAAATTGGAAATCATCATTCTCAGTAAACTATCGCAAGAACCAAAAACCAAACACTGCATATTCTCACTCATAGGTGGGAATTGAACAATGAGAACACATGGACACAGGAAGGGGAACATCACACTCTGGGGACTGTTGTGGGGTTGGGGGAGCGGGAAGGGATAGCATTTGGAGATATACCTAATGCTAGATCACGGGTTAGTGGGTGCAGCACACCAGCATGGCACATGTATACATATGTAACTAACCTGCACATTGTGCACATGTACCCTAAAACTTAAAGTATAATAATAAATTTTAAAAAACGCACAAAAAATATACAAAACCTTACAAGATGCAAAAAAAAGCAGTTTTAAGAGGGAAGGTTACAGCAATCACTGCCCCCATCAAAGTAAAAAGATCTCAGATAAACAACTTAGCTTCACATTTCAAGGAACTAGAAAAAGACGAGTAAACAGAACCTAATGCAAATGGAAGAAAGGAAATTACAAAGATAAGATAATAAATGCAAAAGACTAGGAAAACAATATAAAAAATCAACAACACCAGAAGCTGTTTTCTTTTAAATAAACAATAACTGCCAAACCCTTTGCTATACTAAGCAATAAAAAAGAGAATATACTCGAATAAAATAAGAAATGGAAGAGGAGACATTAAAACTTGTACTACAAAGCCAGTTGTGGTGGCTCACACCTGTAATCCCAACACTTTGGGAGTCCAAGGTGGGTGAATCACTTGAGCTCAGGAGTTTGAGAACATCCTGGGCAACATGGTGAATCCCCATTTCTACTAAAAAATACAAAACTTAGCTAGGTGTGGTGGTGTATACGTGTGGTCCAAGCTATTCAGGAGGCTGAGCTGGGAGGATCGCTGGAGTTTGGCGGGGCAGAGGTTGCAGTGAGCCAAGATTGCACCACTGCACTCCAGCCTAGGTGACAGAGTGAGACGCTGTCCAAACAAAGAAACAACAACTAAAAACTTGTACCACAAAACCATGAAGGATCATAAAACTACAACAAACAATTATATACCAACAATTATATACCAACTAATCTAGAAGAAATTGATTAAATTCCTAGACATATACAACCTATCAATACTGAATTACAAAGAAATAGCAAATATAGACAGAGCAATAATGAGTAATGAGATTGAATCAGTAATAAAAAGTCTCCCATCAAAGAAAAGCCCAGGACCAGATGACTTCACTGCTGAATTTAACCAAACACTTAAATAAGAACTGATAACAATCCTTCTCAAACTCTTCCAAAAAGTTTAAGTAGAGGAAATCCTTCCAAACTTGTTTCCATGCTAGCATTACCTTGATACTAAAGCCAAAGAAGGGTGCTACAAGAAAAAAAAATACAGGTCAATGTTTCTAATGAACATAGATACTAAAATCCTCAACAAATTACTAGCAAATAGTATTTGATATCATAGTAGAAGGATTATTCACCCATGATCATTTGAGATTTCTTCAGGGATGCAAGAATATTTTAGTATATTCATATAAATAAATACAATAATACATCATGTTAACAGAAGGATAAAAGAAAACCTGTTATTATTTCAATAGATGGAGAAAAAGCATTTGACAAAACTAAACATTCTTTCATGGCAAAAACTTCCAATGAAGTAGTAATAGCAGAAATGTACCTCAAAATAATTCAGGCCATATATGACACACCCACAACTAACATCATATTCAATGGTAAAAAGTTGAAAAGTTTTCCACTAAGACCAAGAACAAGAAAAGGATGCCCACTCCTGCCATTTATATTAAATATAAGTCCTAGCCAGAGTAATAAGATAAGAAAAAAAATTGGAAGGCATCCAAATTGGAAAGGAAGAAGTTAAATTGTTCCTATTGCAGATGTCATGATCTTTTTCAATAGAAAACTGTAAATATTCTGCCAAAAAACTATTAGAATTGTCAAACAAATTCAGCAATGGTACAGGATGAAAAATCAACATACTAAAATTAGTAGAATTCCTTTAACCATAAACTCTGAAAAAGAAAAAAAATCCATTTACAATAACTACAAAAACAAAAACCATGTAGGAATAAATTTAACCAAAGAGGCAAAAGACCTGTATAATGAAATCTATAAAATACTGATGACAGAAACTGAATAAAAAGCACACATTAATAAAAAGACAACCCCTTTTCATGAATTGGAAGAATTGATGTTGTTAAAATGTCAATTTTACCTATAGCAATGTACAGATTCAGTGCAATCCCTGTCAAAATTTTAGTGACTTTTTAATAGAAATATTTAAAAATTCCTAAAATTTGTATGAATACACAACAACTCAGAAGTGCCAAAATAATCTTGCACACACAAAAAAGCTGGATGTATAACACTACCTGACTTTAAAATATACTACAAAACTGTAGTAATCAAAACAGCATGTTTGTATAAAACAGACACACAAACCAATGGAACAGAATAGAGAGCCTAGAAATACATCTGCACATTTATGATCAAGTGATTTTTGACAAAGGTGCCAAGAACAGACAATGTCGAAAGGAAAGTCTTTTCAATAAATGCTGTTAGAAAAACTGATTATACACATAAAGAATAATGAAATTTGACCCTTATCTTGCACTATATAAAAATCAATTCAAAATACATTAAAGACTTAAATCTAAGGCCTGAAATTGTCAAACTAGTAGAAGAAAACATAGAGAAAAAGCTCAATGATGTTGGTCTGGGCAATAATATTTTAAATATGACCCCAAAGGCACAGGCAACAGGAGCAAAAATAGATAAATGACATTACATTAAACTAAAAATCTTCTGCACAACAAATAAAACAATCAACAAAGAAGCAACCGATAGAATGGAAGAAAATATTTGCAAACCATTAACTTGATAAGGGGTGAATACATAAAATACATAAGGAACTCAAACAACTCAATAATAACAAAAGACATAATCTGATGAGGAAATGGGTAAAGGAACTAGATACACATTTTTCAAAAGAAGACATACAAATGGATGACAAGTACATGAAAAAATTCTCAACATCACTAATCATCAGAGAAATGCAAATCAAAATTAAAATTGCATGTCACCTCACAGCTGATAAAATGCCTATTACCAAAATGATGAATGTTATCATTACTGGTGAGGATGTGAAGAAAAGAGAACCCTTGGGCTCCAAGTCATTTAAACTATCCATGTTTCACATTCCTTTTTTTCTGAAATGAGAATAACAATAATAATTTAATTCACTTGAATTATTTTGAAATTTATATAATTTATTTATAAATGCCTGCTGCTTTGTAAGTATTTGATAAATATTAAGCTTTAACAAACTTGAAAGAATTGCAAAAAAATTAAAAATACAATATTAGGAACACAGGAAAAAAATTAATTTTTGAATATAAAAGTAAACAAAAATGTAGAAGAAAATCTTCATAACTTTGGAGTAGACAATAATTAGGACAAAACAGCACTAGCTATAGAAGAAAAATCTAATAACTTAGATTTCTCAAAACTAAAACTTGAGCTATTTAAAAATATTTCTTATATGCTAGGACTTTTTTTTTTCTCCACTTTTTTTTTTTATTATACTTTAAGTTCTAGAGTACATGTGCACAACGTGCAGGTTTGTTACATACATATACATGTGCCATGTTGGTGTGCTGCACCCATTAACTCATCATTTACATTAGGTATATCTCCTAATGCTTTCCCTCTCCCCTCCCCCCACCCCACCACAGGCCCTGGTGTGTGATGTTCCCCTTCCTGTGTCCAAGTGTTCTCATTGTTCACTTCCCACGTATGAGTGAGAACATGCGGTGTTTGGTTTTCTGTCCTTGCGATAGTATGCTAGGACTTTTCACTGCAAAATAGTGAAAAGGCAAACTAAAGACAGAAAATATGTGCAATCCATATATTTGACAAAACATTTCTATCTAGAATATATAAAGAAATCTTAAAATAACTCAATCCAATAAAATGTGTGAGTTATTTGAAAAGACAATTCATAAAAGGAAGTATATGAATGGCTAGTAAACATGAAAGTTATTCAATATAATTAATCATCAAGAAATGCAAATAAAATCATAATGTGATACCATTACATAACCACTAACATAGCTAAAATTTGAAAAAAGGCAGCAAAAAACAAAACTACTTTTGGGGAACAAGTGGAACAATTATAACTCTAATAGTTACTAGCAGGAATGAAAAGTGGTACGACCATTTTGGAAAAAAAATAGCCAAGTTTTTTGTAAAATTAAACATTCAGTTACCAAATAACTCAGTAATTACACTCTTAGGTATTTATTCCAAGTAAATGAAAGCTTATGCCCACACATAATCTTGTGCATAAATATTTAGCAGCTTTATTCATAATCACCCCATAAAGGATGTAACCCAAGCGCTCATGAACAGGTAAGTTGTTAAAAAAAAAAAAAAAAGTTTTGGTATCGTTCATGCAAAAGAATTCTACACAGCAAAAAAATAGAAACAAGCTTCTGATATATAAAAGAAGTAGTGACTCTCAAAAACATGCTGAATTAAAGAAGCCATGAATAAGAGGGTGCATACTACCATGTTATTTCATTTATATGACATTCCAGAAGAGGGAAAACTAATCTATAGTGACAGACCACAGAGTAGTGGTTGACTGGGGCTGGGATTGATTGCAAATCTTTGTGGTAATATCCTGATTGTGATGGTAGTGATGTTTTGGATTTTGTCAAAACTTATCCACTTAAGATGGGTGCATATTATTTTATGTCAATGTTACCTCAGTGAAAATTTTTGAAAATGTTTTAAAAATGTCATTTATGTAAAGCACAAGAATAAAGTTAAATATTTCATGGGAAATGTTTCTAATATGCTAGGACTTAATAAAAATATAGTTCGAATGTTGTTTTCCTTAAAAAAAAAGTTATTTGAAGCAAAACACTTATTACTGAGAGAAAAAGGAAAATTAGTCGTGATGTCTCTTAAATGTAAACTACAAGTTCTAGGGCTATGACATTTGATGAGGAAGTCCAGAAGACGCTGGAGGCCATGGGAATTAGCAATCCACACCTAGTCATTAAGCATGCCTGTAATGATCATCATGAAGAAAAGGGTCCTGGTGATGGTATTTCTGGTTTAAAAGAACCTCAACACTTAAAAAAAAATAGAGACCTCAGAGTGACAAGAACTAGGACACTTAGCTTTAGATACTTTATAGTGAGATATATTGCACTTGACATATTTTAAATATAGGTTAGTTATTTCTCTGTAAAATGTCCATTCCACTTCATAAGGGGGTTGAGAGACTAATACAAAATGAAAAATAAGACAAAATGTTGCATATACCTTGTTTTGATCACTGATACCAAGAATTTACAAAAGCAGCTATAAAAATGGTATTTTATAAAAAGCCAATATTTAGTAACCCAGAATTAAACCACACTGTATATATTAAAGAAGACCAAGGAGCAGATGAGTGCATGAGTGTGGAAATTTGTACGGAGTAAAGGTAGATTACATTTTTATTTTAAATAGAAAGGATTCTAAAATATCAGATAATGCCTCTCATAATTCTGGAAATACTGTTTAAGATTTAAATCTAAAAGTTAGTAGAATTAGAAATGGAATACACATATCATCTAAAACACTGGCAAAAACGGGGCTGGGCAGGGTGGTGCACGCCTGTGGTCCCAGCTACTTGGAAGGCTGAGGTGGGAGGATCACTTGAGCTTGGGAGGTCAAGGCTGCAATGAGCAGTTACACTCAGTCTGGAAAGCAAAAACCAAAAAACTCTGAAAATAATAAAAGCAAAGGTAACAGAATCTCTCCCTGCCAAAAAAAAAAAAAAAAAAAAAAAAAAGCAGATGACAAGGAAATAGGAAATACAGAAACACACAAATAAGAAAGAGTAAAACAAGATAAAGTTTGTAAGAACAAATGTATCAGGCAAATTACTAGATGAAAATGAGTTAATTTCCCCAATTTCAATGAATAATATTCGCAATACAACCAGGAAAACACTTTGAAGTAAGAAATGGTTTATTTTTTAGTATTCCATCCTACAAAATGCAGGTTAATAAAATAGATATTATATTTATACAACAGCAGTCAATGATGAAGAGGGCAGAGAAAAGAGAACAGGAGGAAAGAAATCAGTAAAGAGATTGGCTCTGACCTTCTCAGGGAATTGCTACATTGTACTAGCAGCTTTTCTTTCCTCAGTAGGAAAGAGTCTGGGTAGAGAATACCATGCATTGTCAAAGACCTGTTATTCTTTTTATATCCGGAAGTGTGTATGTCAGTGTGTCTGTGTGTACTTCTGATGGAGCATTTTCATACACACGTGGAAGAAGAGGGTAGAGCTTCCGACAACCAAAAAAGGACATCACTGAAGTAAGCATCAGGTAAGTCAGTTTCTAATTACAGAAAACACAGGTCTCCTCCTACTGTGCACTGGGAAAAACATAAGGGAAATATTGAGCATTGTCTTGCACTCTAAAGTTTACAATTTTATTGAGAAGGATTGTCCACATATGTAAAATAAGCAGGTATGTAGGCAAAAAAACAAGATAAATATATAAGTTTGGAAAGGGAGTAATCAGTGTAGCCTGCTGTTCTTAGACTATCTCCATAAAAACATAGTTTGGAATATGGTCATGGAGGCTAAACAGGCTTTAGAGAGTAGACAAGTGAAAAGAAATGAGAACCCAGAAGGGCAGAAAGAAGCAAGGTATGAGGCAATGGCAGAGAGTAGAACAGCATTCCGGGAATGAGACTTGGACTAGTTTACAAGAGAGACTGTGCAGCAAAAAAGGTAAACTTTAGCATATCTTCACTGAGAGTTATACGCATCTCAGAAGTATGTGTATGGGATTGTATTTATGCACATACATAAAATGTGCATCCTGAAATTAGTGTTTTTTTATGAAGCTGTATCCATTGACAACAATATCTCTAACTAACTTTGGTACTTTGCTAGGTAAAAGGGATTAAAGATTAAGATCTATATACTAATATGTAGCTTTGTGTGACTCTTAGGGTTGTTTAACATCAACCAAACTGCATTGCACAGAAGTAACATCAGAGTTTTCTAGACATAGAGGAACTCTAAATAAAATTTGTATATTGTAAGTTGGTGATTTATAAACTATGAAAATGATTTTATGAATTTAGTAAACAAGTAGAGAGCTACATACAGGCTTCACGTGGATTATCCAGAGCTAGATTTTTAAGAGTCTGCCTCAATTGTAGCAAATATTCAGTAGGTCCTCATTATTCTTACACAATTTTTGAAGTAACCCAGAGGCTCTTTGCAATTGGCCAGCCCATAAAAAAACAAATGAGTGTTCCTCAGACCGTAAGAATTCTGTCTTTAAATAAAATGCCATTTTTTCAGCATATGTCTGAGGAACCAGTGAACCTGGAAATATTTTTGATGCTCCAGTCATCTTAAATTAATTTTCTATCATGCCAGACTAAGAAAACCCAAATACCTATTTCATATAACTTTGTGTATTTAAGAGAATGTTCACCCATGTGCTTTTAATTCATTTACACTTATATCGTCAAATATTAGCTTTATGAGTTTTTGATGTAGAACCAATTTTAGCTGCCTTCTCAATAAAGTATGTTTTAATGCTTTTCCCTTTCAAGAACAGGAAGACTTGTTTTTCCAAAGACAAATAAATTCAAATATACAAAGCTTTGGATTTGATATGTAACTCAAATCTCACACTATTTGCATATCTAGAATTACATCCCTTTTCTGGTACCCACATAACTGAAACTAACCAGAGCCTCAAAATACTCCTGCTAGATGCTAAACAACCGATGGATTTGGCAACGACCATTGAATAAAATCTCCAGGAAAAAAAATATGGAGCTCTTCAAAAATATTGGCAAAGGCTTGAGTGAAAATAGAATTTCTCCCCACTATTTAGAATGTCTAAGTATAATTATGCCTAGGCAAATGTTAGAAGCTAATTTTATCCTGTCTGAAATGTTAAAGAATTATCAATAAGGATGAACTTCAAATAATTCCAGGTTTCCTCGGTGTCACAGAATAGAATCTTCCTGGGATATATTGGATTTATATACTTAAATAGTATTATCAAGCTTTATATATTTGAAGTGGCATACTTTTCCCATTTATTGCCTGTTGAGTAAAGTAGAATACTTTCGTGAGTTAAAAAAATTTCATTTTATGCAATTCAAAAAAGTTTCTTTAAATATGCTGGCGTCTCCTAGGATTTAATCAACAAAAACTCTGTTTATTACTTTTGTGATATTATTCACTTTAATTTTAACCCTTTCGGTTTTGTTTTGTTTTGTTTTGTTTTTTTTGAGACGGAGTCTCACTCTGTCGCCCAGGCTGGAGTGCGGTGGCGTGATCTCGGCTCACTGCAAGCTCTGCCTCCCGGGTTCACGTCATTCTCCTGCCTCAGACTCCTGAGTAGCTGGTACTACGGGCACCCACCACCACGCCCGGCTAATTTTTTGTACTTTTAGTAGAGATGAGGTTTCTCCGTGTTAGCCAGGATGGTCTCCATCTCCTGACCTCGTGATCCGCGCGCCTAGGCCTCCCAAAGTGCTGGGATTACAGGCCTGAGCCATCGCGCCTGGCCCGGTCTGTTCTTATATAATGAACAAATTTGAAGTAACTAAGCATGTGAATATCTGGAAAAGATAAACAAATGGCTATTAGTTCAATTTTGGAAAATAAAAAGATTTTCAACAAGTTCTTAGCCAAAATTCTATTGCCAAAGTTTAGTTAAAATGACATATTAAGGAACTGGGGGAAATCTATTTTCATGACTGGGGGAAATACTTTAGTTATTTAAAAAATGCAGAGGTAAAATGTAGCTTTTCTGAATGGCAAACTACATGAACTAATATTCCTTAGGGAAATAATTTATTATCTCCTTTATATCTTGTAAGAGACAGCAAAGATCTCATATATAAAAAAATGTATATCCTCTATGTAAACAATTTAAGAAGGAATGGGAAGTATTAAAGGGTTGTGAGACATTTTTAAGTGTAATACAGAGAATTTAGGTATAATTCATTTTAAATTTAGATATGAGTTGCCCAGCACCTAATGATATAGGAATTTACATGTAATTTGTACTAGCCTATTTTCTGAAGGCACTGGCTGTACACTAAAAGAGAGGAGGATAATTTGAAAACATCAGAAACCAAAGAGGAAATATTAACTGCTGTGTTCCTTTTGTGTCCCTCTCCCAAAGCTGCAAAGTAATAGTAGCTAATATATGTTGAATACCTACTGTAAGCCAGACACTCATTTAAACATATTATAGGTGTTATTTAGTGCAATTTTTTTAGACAGATACTGTTATCCAATTTTACGAATAAGGAAAACAAGACACAGAGGGATTGATTAAGTTGTCCGTGATGACACAGCCTGTAAATGAAAATGTGAAATCTGAGCTTGAACAGCTTGATTCCAGATTATGCCTTCTAAGTACTGGTTGGCACTGCTTCTTCACACAGTCATATTTTATACACATATGGGACATTCGTCCTAAATATCACAGAGAAGTCAACCAATCTAAGTGAGATTTTTGAGAAGAAAAGTGGAAGAGCTAAAATATTTCAAATTGGGAACAAGTACAGTCATCTACGAACTTGAGAACAGAATAAAATATAAATAGAAGATAGGAAAGTTGGAATCTACATCCACATACTCAATATTTCCAGTGGAATGTTACCTTTCTTATGAGCCTGGCCCAGGAATGAACTTAATTGTGCAGAGCCAGGCTGGGCCCAGGCCAATTCTACCTTATTTGTTCTTTAGGACAGCTGCTAATGTAGAGTCTCAACAGAAACTTCCCAAATTAAAATGTAAGTAAAAAATAATTTTTAAAAAAGCAACACAATATCCAAGAACTGTGGGACGATTACACAGGCATAACATACATGAAATGGGAATACCAGATGAAAAAAGATTAAAACAAAATTTGAAGTAATACTGAGTAAAAATTTTCCAAAATTAATGACCTTCACCAAACCGTGAATTCATGAAGCTCAGAAAACTATCCTATGAATCAGGATAAATATCAAAGAATCTACATGTAGGCATAACATATTCTTCAGAAAATCAAAGACAGAAATAAATCTTGAAATTTTTCATTTAACTCTTACATACAGAGAAACAAGAGTAATAATTATATCAGATTTATCTTCAGAAACTATGTAATCAAAAAGAGAGTGGAGTAAAATATTTAAAGTGTTGAATAAAAATAAAACAACTAACTTAGAATTCTGTATCCTGGGAAATTATTCTTCAAAAGTGAAAGAGAAAGAAAGACTTTATCAGACACACAAGTATTGGGGAAATTTGTCATCAGTAGACCTGCTTTGTAAGAAATGTTAAGAGATGTGCTTCATAGAGAAGAAAAATGAGATAGGTGAGAAGCTTGGATTTATATAAAGATAATAAAAGCATTAGAGAGAGAATAAATGAAGGTAAAATAGAATCTTTTATATTTTCTTATTCTCAATTGATCTAACAGTAACAGTTTGTTCAAAATAATAACAACAACATATTCAGTGATTATAATTTATGGACAAGTGAAATAATACCAATGTTATTATTATCTATAAATCATTATAATACTACTAGGTGTACCTATATGTGTTTATAATTTTTTGATTTATCTGTTTCCCCAAGACTACTAAGTACTCAATTTTTTATATTTGATAGCTTGATAGATTAAAAACAATTGATTCCCATGTTGAATTTCTATTTTTGGAAGTGAGCTTCAATTATCAGTTTATAACTTTGCATTTTTTCTATAAATATTGGTGTATTTTTCTTATTTATTTTTAAAGCCCTTTATTTTCATTTTGATTAATATTTCTATCATATATGTGCAGATAATTTTTCTAGGGTAAAACTTTTACATATTTTTAGTAATTCAAAATACATCCCAGGCACATGAAGGAAGAAATAGATGCAATAATAGTAAGGGACTTCAGTATTCCACTTTCAACAATGTACAAATTATCCAGACAGAAAATTAATAAGGAAAAACTAGAATGAACTGCTTTAGACAAAATGCACAGATATATGTAGAACACTCCATCCTACAGCTGCAGATTACACACATTCTTCTTCAGTGCACAAAGAACATCATTCAAGATAGAACATATATATATATATCATATATATAGAGAGAGATATATAGATATATAGATATATGATATATATAGTAAGCCACAAACCAGTCTTAACAAATTATAAAAAATTGAAATCATGCCAAGTATTGTTTCTGAACACAATGGTATGAAATAGCCAATTAATAACAGGAGGAAATTCAGAAAATATACAAATACACAGAAATTAGACAACATGCTCTTCAATAAGTCAATGAAGAAATTAAAATTTAAAGGTAAAATATATTTATAGACAGATGAAAATAGAACATATCAAAATATACCAAAACCAATGGGATAGAGCAAAAACAGTACTTACAGGAAATGCCTATATCAAAAAATTAGAAAGACCTTAAAGAAACAACATAACATTGCACTTCCAGGAACTAGGAAAACAAGAACAAACTCCACCCAAAATTAATAGAAGTAAGGAAATAATAAAGGTCACAGCAGAAATAATTGAAATTGAGACTAAAAATACAATACAAAGAATCAATGAAACAAAAAGTTTGTTCTTTGAAAAGATAACAAAATCAACAAACATTTAGCCAAACTAAGGAACAAAAGAGGGAAGACTCAAATAAAATCAGAGATGAAGCAGAAGATATTGCACCTGATACCACAGAAATACAAAGGATCACAGGAGCCTATTATAAGCAATTATAGGCCAACAAATTGGAAAACATGGAAGAAATGGATAAATTCCTGGACAGACACAACCTATTAAGATTGAATCATGAAGAAATAGAAAATCTGAACAGAGCAATAAGGAGTCATGAGATGGAATCAGTAATAAAAAGCCTCCCATCAAAGAAAAGCTCAGGACCAGATGGCTTCACTGCTGAATTCTACCAAACATTTAAAGAACTAATATCAACCTTTTTCAAACTATTAAATAAAATTGAAGTAAATACTTCCAAACTCATTCACTAGACCAGCATTATTCTGATATCAAAACCGACAAGGACACAACAGAGAAAGAAAACTAAAGGCCAATATCCCTGATAAACATAGTTTCAAAAATCCTCAACAAAATAATAGCAATCAGAATCCAGCAGCATATTAAAAAGATCATTCACCATAATCAAATGAGATTGATCGCAGAAATGCACGTCTGGTTCAATATATTCAAATCCATAAATATGATCAACAGTCAGTGAATCACTTTAACAGAATGAAGAAAAAAATCATATGATTATTTCAAATTAGGCATAGAAGGTAAATTCCTCAACACAGTAATAGCCATATATAACAAACCCATAGCTAACATTATACTAAATATGGAAAAGTTGAAGGCTTATCTTTTAATATCCAGATTAAGACAAGGATGCTAATTTTCTCCACTTCTAATTTAGCATTATACTGGAAATCCTAGGCAGAGCAATTAGACAAGAGAAAGAAATAAAAGGCATCTAAATAGGAAAAAAGAAAATCAAAGTGTTCCTTTTGGTAGACAGCATGATCTTATATAGAGAGAACCCTGAAGACTCAAACCAAGAAATTGTTAGAAATAATAAAAAAAAATCCATAAAGTTGCAGGGTACAGAATCGACATACAGAATTAGTAGAATTTCTTTAAAATAATAGTGAGCTATCTGAAAAAGAAATCAAGAAAAAAATTCCATTTATAATGGTTACAAAAAAGACATGTAGGAATAAATATAGCCAAGGAGATGAAATTTCTCCACAATGAAAACCATGCAATGCTGATGAAAGAAATTGAAGATTACACAAATAAATGAAAATATATCTTTTGTGTCTATAAATTGGAAGAATTAATGTCATTAAAATATTCATACTACCCAAATTGACTTACAGATTCAATGTAATCCCTATCAAAATAACCAGTGACATTCTTCTCAGAAATAGAAAAACAATTCTAAAATTTATATAGAACCACAAAAAACCATCAATAGCAAAAGCAATCTTGAGTAAAAAGAACAAAGCTGGACGCATCACACTACCTTACTTAAACTATACTACAAAATTTGAGTTACCAAAACAGCATGTTACTGACATACAGACTCATAGACTAATGGAACAGTACAGAGAACCCAGAAATTAATCCACGTATCTACAGTCAACTAATTTTTGACAAAGGGGCCAAGGAAACGTACTGGGGAAAGGATAGTCTTTTCAGTAAATAGTTCTGGGAAGATTGGATATCCACATGCAAGAAGAATAAAACTAGACTCGTATCTCTCATCATATACAAAAATCAAAATGGATTGGAGACTTAACTGTAAGACCTGAACTATGAAACTACTAGAAGAAAACATAGGAGAAATGCTTCAAGACATTGGTCCGGGAAGACATTTTGTGAATTAATTCTCAAAAACACAAACAACACAAGAAAAAAACATATGGGGTTATATCAAAATTAAAAAGCTTCTGTGCAGTGAAGGAAACAATTGACAGAGTGAAAAGACAACCTACAGAATGAAAGAAAACATTTGCAAAGTACTCATCTGGCAAGGTTAATATCGATAATATATAAAAACTCAATAGCAAAGAAACAAATAATCTGACTTAAAAATGGGCAAAATATCTGAATAGACATTTCTCAAAAGAAGACATAGAAATGACAAACAGGCATATTTTTTAAAGTGCTCAACATCATTAACAATCAAAGACATGCAAATCAAAACCGTAATGAGATATCACCTCACTCCAGTTAGAATGGCTATTATAAAAAGACAAAAGATAACAAGTGTTGGTGAGGATGTAGAGAAAATGGAATTCTCACACACTGTTGATATAAATGTAAATTTAGATACTCATTATTAAAATAATATGGAGGTTCCTTAAAAATTAAAAATAGAACTATAATATGGTCTAGCAATGCCACTGCTAGATATATATCAAAATGAAAATCAGTATGTCAAAGAAATATCTCCATCCCCATATTTATTGCAGCACTACTCATAATAATCAGGATATGGAATCAATCTAAGTGTCCATCAATGGAAAATGGATAAAGAAAATATGGTATGAATACACAATGAAATAATATTTAGCCATAAAAAATAAAACTATGTCATTTGCAGCAACATGGATGGAGCCGGATGACATCATATTCACTGATATAAGCTAGGCACAGAAAGACAGATCTGGCATGATCTCACTTATATGGGGAATCTGAAAAAGTTCATCTCATGTAAGTGGAGGATAGAATTGTGGTTACCAAAGCCTGGAATGCCTAGGGAGAAGGGGGAGTTGGGGAGACATTGGTCAATGAGTAAACAGTTATAGTTAGATAGGAATTAGTTCTAGTGTTCTATTACACAGTAGGGTCACTATAGTTAACCATAATGTATAGTTTCAACTAGCTAGAAGAGAGGATTCTGAATGTTCTCACCACAGAGAAATGATAGATATTTAAGGTGATGGATTTGCTAATTACCCTGATTTAACTATTAGCCAATATGTACATATATTAAAACAGCACAATATACCTCATAAATATGTACAATTATTGTGTCAATTAAAAATAAAATAAAACTACACAAATAAAAATAAAATAATATACACCATAGTCAATCATCTTCTCCTTTTAAGATTTTTTATTCAAGTTTGAAAAAGCCTTTCCTAGCCTTAAATTTAAATATGGCATATTATTTTTTCCCTGCAGAGGTCTTTCACATGCTTGTATTTTTTTTGGGGGGGGGGCAGCTATTGTGAAAGGGGTTGAGTTCCTGATTTGCTTCCCAGCTTGATCTGCTGTATAGCAGAACTACTGATTTGTGTACACCAATTTTGTATCCTGAAACTTTGTTGAATTCATTTACCAGTTCTAAGAGCCTTTTGGATGAGTCTTTAGGGTTTTTTAGGTATACATTTATCATATCATTAGCAAGCAATTTGGATGCCCTTTTTTATCTTTCTCTTGTCTGATTGCTCTGGTAAGCACTTCCTTTCTATGCAGAATTGAAGTGGTTAAAGTGAATGCGTATCCTTGTCTTGTTCCAGTTCTCAGAGGGAATGCTTTCAACTTTTTTCTGTTCAGTACAATGTTGGCTGTGGGTTTGTCATAGATGGCTTTTATTACCTTCAAGTATGTCCTTTCTATGCCAATTTTGCTGAGGATTTTAATCATAGAGGAATGCTACATTATGTCAAATGCTTTTTCCGCTTCTATTGAGACGATCATGTGATTTTGTTTTTAATTATGATGTATCACATTTATTGACTTAAGTATGTTAAACCATCCCTGCATCCTGGGTATGAAACCCACTTGATCATGGTGGATTATCTTTTTGATATGCTGTTGGATCCAGTTAGCTAGTATTTTGTTGAGGATTTTTGCATCTGTGTTCATCAGGGATATCAGTCTGTAGTGTTTTTGTTTGTTTGTTTGTTTGTTCAATATGTCCTTTGCTGGTTTTGGTATTAGGGTGATACTGGCTTCATAGAATGAATTAGGGAGGATTTCTTTCTCAATAGGATTGGTACCAATTCTTCTTTGAATGTCTGATAGAATTCAGCTGTGAATCTGTCTGGTCCTGGGCTTTTTTTTTTTTTTTTTTGTGGGCAATTTTTTATTACTATTTCAATCTTGCTGCTTGTTATTGGTGTATTCAAAATTTCTATTTCTTCCTGGTTTAATGTAGGAGGGTTGTATACTTCCAGAAATTAATCCATCTCCTCTAGGTTTTCTAGTTTATGTGCATAAAAGTGTGCATATTATTCTTGAATAATCTTTTATATTTCTGTGGTATTAGTTGTAATATCTCCCATTTCGTTTCTAATTGAGCTTATTTGGATGTTCTCTCTTCTTTTCTTGGTTAATCTCACTAATGGTCTATAAAGTTTAACTTTTCAAAGAACCAGGTTTTTATCATTTTTATTTTTGTTGTTTCAATTTTATTTAGTTCTGCTTTGATCTTCATTATTTCTTTTCTTCTGCCAGGTTTGGGTTTAGATCGTTCTTGTTTCTCCAGTTCCGTGAACTGTGACCTTACATTGTGTATTCATGCTTTTTAGATTTTTTGATGTAAGCATTTAAGGGTACGAACTTTCTCAAGTACTGTCTTTGCTGTAGAATTTTTAAATTTCCATCTTGATTTTATTGTTGACCCAATGATCATTCAGGAGCAAGTTATTTAATTTCCATGTATGTGCATGGTTTTGAGTGTCCCTTTTGGTATTGATTTCTAGTTTTATCAACTGTGATCTGAGAGAGTAATTGATATAATTTTGATTTTCTTAAATTTACTGCAATTTGTTTTGTGGCATAATGTATGTTCTATCTTGGAGAATGTTCCATGTGCTGATGAATGGAATGTATATTCTGCAGTTGTTGGGTAAAATGTTCTGTAAATATGTGTTAAGCCCATTTGTTCTAGGGAATAGTTTAAGTCCATTGTTTCTTGGTTGACTTTCTGTCTTGATGACCTGGCTAGTGTTGTCAGTGGAGTATTACAGTCCCCCAATATTATTGTGTGGCCATCTAATTTGTTACATCTGTTAGTAATTGTTTTATACATTTGGGAGCTCCAGTGTTTGGTGCATATATATTTAGAATTGTGATGTTTCCCCACTGGAAAATATCCTTTTATCATTATATAATGTCCCTCTTGGAAAACCATAAAACACTGTTGAAAGAAATCATACACAACACAAACAAATGGAAACTCTTCCCATGCTCATAGATGAGTAGAATCAATATTGTGAAAATGACTATACTGCCTAAGAAGTCTACAAATTCAATGCAATTCCCATCAAAATACCACCATCATTCTTCACATAACTAGAATAAACAATCCTAAAATTCATATGGAACCAAAATGAGCCCCCATAGCCAAAGCAAGTCTAAGCAAAAAGAACAAATATGGAGGCATTACATTACCCAACTTCATACTATAAGGCTATCATCACCAAAAACAGCATGGTACTAGTATAAAAAATAGGCATATAGACCAATGAAACAGAATATAAAACCCAGAGATAAAGCCAAATACTTAAAGCCAACTGATCTTTGACAACCAAACAAAAGCATAAAACGGGGAAAGGACACCCTATTCAATAATTGGTGCTGGGATAATTGGCAAGCCACATGTAGAAGAATGAAACTGGATCCTCATCTCTGACCTTATACAAAAATCAACTCAAGATGTATTAAAGATTTAAATCTAAGACCTGAAACCATAAAGATTCTAGATGATAGCATTGGAAAAACCCTTCTCGACAATGGCTTAAACAAAGATTTTATGACCAAAAACCCAAAGCAGATGCCACAAAAACAAAGATAAATAGATGGGCCTTAATTAAACTAAAAAGCTTCTGCACAGCAAAAGAAACAATCAACAGAGTAAAAAGACAACCCACAGAGTGGGAGATAATCTTTGCAATGTATACATCTGACAAATGACTAATATCTAGAATCTATAAAGAACTCAAACAAATCACCAAGAAAAAAAAAGCAATCCTATCAAAAATTGGGCTAAGGACATGAATAGACACTTCTCAAAAGAAGATATATAAATGGTTAAAAGGCACATGGAAAAATGTCTAAGATCACTAATGATCAGGGAAATGCAAATCAAAACCACAATAGATACGACTTTACTCCTGTAAGAATGACCATAATAAAAAAAAATAGATGTTGGTGTGGATGTGGTGAAAAGGGAAGACTCTTACACTGTTGGTGGGAATATAAAGTAGTACAACCACTATGGAAAACAGTGTGGAGATTCCTTAAATAACTATAAGTAGATCTACCATTTGATCCAGCAATCCTGCTACTGGATAGCTACCCAGAGGAAAAGAAGTCATTACACAAAAAAAGATACTTGCACGCCCATGTTTATAGCAGCACAATTTGCAATTGTAAAAATATGGAATCAGCCCAAATGCCCATTAATCAATCAGTAATGAAAATGTTATCTATATCTATCTATCTATCTATCTATCTATCTATCTATCTATCTATCTATCTATCAATCTATCATCTATCCATCCACCCACCCACCATGGAATACTACTCAGCCATAAAATGGAAGGAAATAACAGCATTCACAGCAACTTGGATGGAACTGGAGACCATTATTCTAAGTGAAGTAAGTCAGGAATGGAACACCAAACATCATATGTTCTCTCTTACAAGTGGGAGCTAAGCTATAAGGATGTGAATGCATAAGAATGATACATTGGACTTTGGGGACTCAGGGGAAAATGTAGGGGGTGGGGAGGGATAAAAGACTACACGTTGGATACAGTGTACAGTGCCCTGGTTACTGGTGCACCAAAATATCAGAAATCAGCAATAAAGAACTTAAGCAAACACCACCTATTCCCCAAAAACCGATTGAAATAAAAAACTTAAATGATAAATAAATATGGCCTACTAGTTTTTGAAAGATCTTATATGCCAATTTGTCACATTATTGTGTAGAGTAAAAAAGGGATTTGTTACAGTCTTATTTCAGCAAAATTCCAAGTGCTCCTAAGTGAGATGATAATCAAAAGAAAATATTCATTAGGAAAGAAGTATCTCATACATTAAATTTTAAACATATGTGTAGCTAAACTTTTCTTTGAAACTCAAATATGTATATTTCTGAGACAGCAATCTCAAAAGAGTATGAACAAACATTTGTCTCTTTGAGATACCATACAGCAGGGAGTGTAGAAGACCACATAAGACAAAGATTACATTCTCACATTTTGATTTTTTTTTTGACCGGATTTGACCTTTCCCTTTCACAATATTGGACTCAATAACCTTGCTCCTCTCTCTGTCCATGAACTGTTGGCTTCAACAATTCTTGCGCTATGGAATCCTGCCAGCACTGCAGGAGGGCTGGAGTACAGAGGCAAGGTTCCAATGTCTAAATTAGGGCCAGTTACTTCCAGAAGAAAATTCACAGCTCTTGCTGGGGGTTGCTTGCAGGGAATTTTTCCAGAGAAAGTGTGTTTGTAAAAGTATGGAAGTGGTCTGTGAAGTATATAGACGCAGTCTCAGGGAGAAAAGAGGGGTGGGAGATATTACTTGAATTGATCATCTTGGACCTAAGAAGGATCTCAGGCCTGAGGGATCAGAAATAAACACAGTTGTTCACAAACTTGGAGCAGCTCTCTAGCACCTTTTTATTTTCAGAAAAATACAATTTTTAACAAAGATTCTCCCTGAGCTTTCAGTTTCAAAAATATTTTCCCCTGGAGATAGGAATAAGAGAAGTCAATTGTCTCTGTATGTTGCCCTGCTTGTTTCCTTCCTTCCTTCCTTCCTTCCTTCCTTCCTTCCTTCCTTCCTTCCCTTCCTTTCTTCTTTCCTGTCTCTGTAGCTGTCACAAATTCTTACATGTTAACTCTTCCCTACATCCAAAATTAAGAGGAAAATAATTATTAAATAAAAATAATTTCTTCTTAACAATAATCCACTTTTCTGGGTTCACCTAAATTCACCTTTCAGTTTCTAGGGCTGAATGTTTACCAGGTGTTGTTACTTCTTAGCTGTGTGTTTTTGCAGATGTGTACACTGCAGTTTTTTTCTGTCACTGGACCTTGATAAAAGAGGACTCCAGAGGCCTAGGGGCTTACCTTTTAGAGTTGATTATGGGTTCCACCATTATACTTTTACTTAGCCTTTCAAACCACATCGACAGTCTTAGATAATTAAGTAACTTTCCTTTGTAAACCTGGGCTTTTAAGCATTAACCTCCACTAATATTAGATTAGGAAAGGGTAAATAAAACACTTTTATTTATTTTTCAATATACACTACAATTTGTCTCACACAATTGTCTTTCAAATTAATTTTCCCAATATTTTGGAGAACCATATTTTTAACCTGACATGTTCTTGGCCTAGTCAGAGAAGAGATAAGTTTATTGCTTACATAACCATGTGAATCAGACATGGAAAATACATATTAAATTATTTAATTCATTCTTCTGCCAATATTATATTATTCCCTAAAGTCCATTCCTCTATTTTTTAGACTTGTTATGTAATTTACTAACCCGGTTTAACTAACATTTCTTATTTTCCTTATTCATTAATTGATACAGATACATTTTTCCAGTCAATGTAATTTTCATTAATATTTGCTGACTAGATAAAAGAAAACATTAATATTGCCTTTTATTTTTATAGTAATTCTCTGTATATACACATAATTTTTTAAAATTTGTGCCATCAATGACATATTGTTGTACCTATTATATAACTGAGAAAATTAGGGTACAAAGAAATTGTGGAACTTCTTCAAAATGATATAGTGAGTGACTTATCCAATGTGGACTAAATTCTATAATTTTAAAATTCAAAATGACAACGGTCTTACAGAACAATGAAAATAAAAAAAAGTTGAAAAACTTATTAAACCCAACTGTGGATAAGCAATCCATGCACTGTAGTAATAACATACATTATTTTATTCAATACTTAAAACTGTCCTGTTAGATAATATTATAATTTCCACTTTGAGGATGACTCTAGTTCTGGAAGTTCATGTAACTTTTTGAAGGTTGAAATTCTAGTATTGAAGAGCTTCAGGCAGCCAGACAGAACACTATATTAAACTGAAAATGAATCTTATTTTTCTATGTTCCATATTATTTTGCAACAATATCTTTAAGTTTATTTTTTCTTATATTATGCTAAAGTTTGTACGTTGAAGAAAGAGTCTAAGAAGTGACAATGTATAAACATTTCAAGATTCTGGATATGTGCTGTCAATTTTTTTCAAATAAATTCAATCAATTTATACTATCTTTAATATTTAGATTTTTCTCATAACATTATCAAATATTATTAACATGTAAAGTTATATAATTGTTACATAAAATGTATTTATTCATATTTTTAATTGCATACTTTAGAGTACTGGTAAGTTTCAATTTTTGAATAGCTATTCATTATTTTTTTGCTTTTCAGGAAAAATCATCTTTTCATTCCTGTGCTTGTGGAACATCTCAAATACTGGGGGTTTCTTATTTATTTGCCAGAGCTGTACACCTATTAAAAACATTAGCACTTGCTCTATCATATTTTAATAAATACTTTTCTCAGTTTTTCACTTTTCTTTTTAATTTGTAAGAGTTTCAAAATTGTGTGTCAACATATATTGATATTTTTCTTTCTCATATGCTTGATAAGATTGCAGAATCTTCCACCATCTAGATTTGATTAATAGTCACACTTATTTTTGCTTGTCTATGCTGTTGTTTTTGTCAGCTTAATATTCTACTTATTATTGGAAGCCGTGAAGAATCTGAATTATTCTTGCAATTAATCAATACATTAAACATCATCATTAATAATTAAATTTGGATACATTTATGCATATTATTTTTTCATCATGTTTATGTAATAGAACTGGATAGTTTCCTGGCAATGTATTAACTAGAATTAAATCATCTTCGTATTTTTTCTTGTTGGCATAATGATAAAATTGTAGTATTTCATTATTGCCTGTTTTTTACTAGACTATTGGTTCCATAATCAGTGATTGTGTATTTGCTGTTTTCTGATATTGTCTATGGTACTTGAACCATAGTGGTACTCAAGATAAATATGTGTACAAATATGTGTATGTTTGTGTGTGTGTGTGTGTATACATACATATACATTTATAAACATATAGGTATATATCTGTTAGACATCTATATGTATGTACACATATATGTATTCATATATATGTGTATATATACACACTTTTACTGTTCAGACTGGTCAATAAAAAGAGCTAATACTGTAAAAATGCATAAAGTATTTTTAAAGGATTTCTATGCAATGTCATTCTGGTATTTATGGGTTATTTAAAAAAGAGAATAGTATGAACACATGCTTAAAGGGCTTTGCCATGCATCCTCTCACTCCATCCCTGAAAGTGACAAATTGGTCTATTCTGCTTTCCTACCTGTCCTGCAACTTGCTAATTCTTGCCTTCTCCAATAAGCTTATCTATATTGGCAGAAACTGAAGAATAACCTTAAAACTGGCACTTGTTTTCTGTATGTCAGAGACAGATGAAGATAATATTTCCTTTACATACAGCTACCAACTATCAGACTCTCTTTTGCATTTTTATGCTTACCCTTCATTCTTTTTAGAATCCATTTCAGATTCTGTTGTTAACAGCATGATTATTTTAATTTCTGAGATTCTCTGTGGAACCATTTTAAAAGAATCTGCAACCTTCTCATTCTCTCAACTCAATGATAGCTTCTGAAGTCTTTGTATTCACGTGAAATCATTCTGAAAAATGCCCATGTGTTTGAAACAATGTTCATTGATTTAGATTTTATTTATATCATGTTCACTTAACAAAAGGATTTCAGAATTCTTATCATTGTTGCTACCTGCTGATCACATCAGGAAAGAGCTGTGTAAGGAGCTTTCTCAGTTTTATTTTATTATTATACTTTAAGTTCTGGGATACATGTGCAGAACATGCAGGTTTGTTACATAGGTATACATGTGCCATAGTGGTTTACTGCATCCATCAATCCATCATCTAGGTTTTAAGCACCACATGAATTAGGTATTTATCCAAATGTTCTCCCTCCCCTTGCTCCCCACTACCTGACAGGCCCTGGTGTGTGATGTTCTCCTCCCTGTGTCCACGTGTTCTCATTGCTCAACTCCCACTTATGAGTGAGAACATGCAGTGTTTGATTTTCTGTTCCTGTATTACTTTGCTGAGAATGATGGTTTCCAACTTCACCCATGTCTCTGCACAGGACATGAACTCATTCTTTTTTATGGCTGCATAGTATTTCATGGTGTATATGTGCCACATTTTCTTTATCCAGTCTAACATTGATGGGCATTTGGGTTGATTCCAAGTCTTTTCTATAGGGTATAGTGCTGCAATAAACATGTGTGTGCATGTGTCTTTATAGTAGCATGATTTATAATCCCTTGGGTATATACCCAGTAAAGGGATTGCTGAGTCAAATGGTATTTCTGTTTCTAGATCCTTGAGGAATTGCCACACTGTCTTCCACAATGGTTGAACTAATTTACACTCCCACCAACAATGTAAAAGCTTTCCTATTTCTCCACATCCTTGCCAGCATCTGTTGTTTCCAGACTTTAATGATCACCATCCTAACTGGTGTGAGATGGTATCTCATTGTGGTTTTGATTTGCATTTCTCTAACGACCAGTTATGACGAGCTTTTTTTCATGTTTGTTGGTCACATAAATGTCTAAGAAATGTCTGTTCATATCCTTCACTCACTTTTTGATGGGGCTGTTATTTTCTTGTAAATTTGTTCAAGTTCCTTGTAGATTCTGGATATTAGACCTTTGTCAGATGAATAGACTGCAAAATTTTTCTCCCGTTCTGTAGGTTGCCTGTTCACTCTGATGATAGTTTCTTTTGCTGTGCAGAAGCTCTTTAGTTTAATTAGATCCCATTTGTCAATTTTGGCTTCTGTTGCAATTGCTTTTGGTGTTTTAGACATGAAGTCTTTGCCCATGCCTATGTTCTGAATGGTATTGCCTGGGTTTTCTTCTAGAGTTTTTATGGTTTTAGTTCTTACGTTTAAGTCTGCAATCCATCTTGAGTGAAATTTTGTATAAGGTGTAAGGAAGAGGTCCAGTTTCAGTTTTCTGCATATGGCTAGCCAGTTTTCCCAGCACCATTTATTAAATAGGGAATCCTTTCCCCATTGTGTGTTTTTGTGAGGTTTATTGAAGATCAGATGGTTGTAGATGAGTGGTGTTATTTTTGAGGCCTCTGTTTTGTTCCATTGGTCAAACATCTGTTTTGGTACCAGTACTATGTTGTTTTGGTTACTGTAGCCTTGAAGTATAGTTTGAAGTCAGGTAGTGTGATGCCTCGAGCTTTGTTCTTTCTGCTTAGGATTGTCTTGGCTATATGGGTTCCTTTTTGGTTCCATATGAAATTTAAAGTCTTTTTTTTTCTAGTTCTGTGAAGAAAGTCAATGGTAGTGTGTCCGAAATTTATTCCTTCCAGTGGGTTCTTGGTCTCGCTGACTTCAAGAATGAAGTCGCGGACCCTTGCGGTGAATGTTACAGTTCTTAAAGATGGTGTGTCCGGAGTTTGTTCCTTCAGATGTTCAGATGTGTCTGGAGTTTCTTCCTTCTGGTGGGTTCGTGGTCTCGCTGACTTCAGGAGTGAAGCTGCAGACCTTCGCAGTGAGTGTTACAGCTCTTAAGAGTGGTGCGTCTGGAGTTGTTTGTTCCTCCCAGTGGGTTCGTGGTCTTGCTGATTTCAGAAGTGAAGCCGCAGACCTTTGCAGTGAGTGTTACAGCTCTTAAAGGTGGTGCGGTCCCAAAAAGTGAGCAGCAGCAAGATTTATTGTGAAGAGCAAAGAAAAAAGTTTCCACAGCATGGAAGGGGACCTGAGAGAGTTGCCTCTGCTTGCTCAGGTGGCCAGCTTTTATTCTTTTATTTGGCCCCATTCACGTCCTGCTGATTGGTCCATTTTACAGAGTGCTGATTGGTCCATTTTTACATAGTGCTGATTGGTGTGTTTACAATCCTCTAGCTAGAATCTATAAATCACCTTTGGCAGTATTGCCATTTTCATGATATTGATTATTTCTATCCATGATCATGGAAAGTTTTTCTATTTGTTTGTGTCCTCTCTTATTTCCTTGAGCAGTGGTTTGTAGTTCTCCTTGAGGAGGTCTTTCACATCCCTTGTAAGTTGTGTTCCTAGATATTTTATTTTCTTTGTAGCAATTGTGAATGGGAGTTTGACCTGATAGCCTTTCCAGTGATCAGAAACTGATTCATTATGTTCCCTAGTAGACTAAGAGGAGGGCAGAGATCCAGCTGATAAGAAGACCAAAAAAGAAATTTACCCTCTCTCACATGCTTCCTTTCCTACTTTATTGAAATGAATACACCTACCCACAGTTCCATAAGAATTGAAAATGAATTTTCCGTGCCTAATCACTTATTAAAAATAATTAACTAGTGATTTTTTAAAAAAATTGACAAAAAATCATATATTTTTATGTTAGCTCATGATTTGTGATACATGGCAAGCTAATGCAATATGCACATAAGCATTACCCCACATATCTTTTTTGTGATGAGAACATTTAAAATATACTCTCAGGAAATTTCAAGTACACAATATATTGTTATTAACTATAATTACTATGCTGAACAATAGATCTCCTAAACTTATTTTTCCTAACTAATTTTATATTTGATTATCAATATCTTCCCAATCTCCCAATGAGTTCTTTTTAATTACACATTTTTGTGGATACAGAGAGAAGAAGTTGAATAAGAGTGTGAAATGTTGGGCTGAGCACAGTGGCTGAAGCCTGTAATTCCAGCACTTAGGAAGGCTGAAGCAGAAGGATTGCTAGAGGCCACAAGCCTGAGACCAGCCTGGGTAATGAAGGGAAACCCTGTCTCTACAAGCTTTTTTAAAAATATTTTATGTATTTATGTATTTATTTATTTATTTATTCATTTATTTATTTATTTTAACGTTAGCTCGGCATGGTGGCACATGCCTGTATTTCCAATTGCTTGGGAGGCTGAGGTGGGAGGATTGCCTGAGCTTAGAAGGTTGAGCCTACAGTGAGCCATGATTGTTGCCAATGCACTCCAGCCTGGGAGTCAGACCCTCCCTCAAAAAAATAAAAAATAAAAAAGGTGAAAAGTTTAAATCCACCCATGTCTCTTAATGTGTATGAAGATATGCAATCTATCCTTACGGAAAAGATGCGAAAAGCTTTACCCAGACAACTGTCTTACAGAAAAGATGTGTGCATAAAGAAGGACTCTGGATAGGAGATGCTAAGGCTGTGCTTGAAGAAACTCTAAGACTTTAAAACACTGATCTTCAAGTAAGAATCTTCAAATGAGCACTGAGATAACTGAGGTGCCAGTGAGCCCTAAGGGGATTGTCAGCATATTTTTACCTCTTCATCAAATATCTAAATTCAAGGTATCATAAATTGCTATGGCATAGTCACTGATAAATATAGACAGATTATAAATACTATTCATCTAAATAATATCATTGGATTCAATGAAGAACTGCCAGCACTCTATAAATGCATACGTATATGAACAGAACTCCTTCTTTTTCCAATTCAATGCATAGCTTAAAAATTTACAAAGCTTATCTTTGATGTCTTCCTTCCCCCATCCCCTGCCTAGCTCCAAGTGCTGAACTCTGACTGCCCAAAGTAGACATTCTGATGCTTCAATATCTGTGCTAGTGCCAAATTTTTCATACCCCATGCCATCTTTACTAAAACTCTTGTCCTACATTTAATGCCATTTGGTATTTATATTAGCAAACCAACTGTAGTGTGCAGTTATTAGGTACTATGCATTAAGCTACAAACTTAAATTTCTTATGTCACTTGATCCTCACAGCAATTATTCAAGCAGGTCTGGCTTTTTACCTACAGATGAGAATAAAGAGTGTTAGAGATTTGATTATTTTGCCTAAGATAACAGATACAGGTGCAGTGGCTGAACTTAAACCCAAATCTGTATGGTTTCAAAGCTAATACTATTAATCACTTCCGGTAAAATAGTATATTACTGCAAATCATAGGATTTCATTCATTTTTATGATTGAGTAGTTTTCCATTGTGTACATATATCACATTTCTTTTCTCCAGTCATCTATCGTTGGACACCTAGGTTGATTCCATATCTTGGCTACTGAGAAGAGTGCTACAATAAACATGGGCATGCAGATCTCTATTTGATATACAATTTCCTTTCCTTTGCATAAGTTCCCAAAAATGGGATTGCTGAATCACGTGGTAGTTCTATTTGTAGTTTTTTTGAGAAGCCCCCATACTGTTCTGCATAGTGGCTGTACTAGTTTACATTCTTACCAGTAGTGTATTGAGATTTCCCTTTCCTGCCCATCCTCACCAGCATTTATTATTTTTTGTCTTTTGGATTATAGCCATCCGAACTGGGATGAGATAATACCTCATTGTGGTTTTGATTTGCATTTCACTGATGATTAGTATGTTGAGTATTTTTTCCATGTACCTGTTTGCCATTTGCATGTCTTCTCTTGAGAAATGTTTATTTAGATCTTTTGTCCATTTTTAAATCAGATTATTTGGTTCACTGATATTGAGTTGTTTGAGTATCTTATACATTCTGGATATTAACCCCTTGTCAGATGCATAGTTTACAAATATTTTCCTCTATTCTCTAAGTTGTCTCTTCACTCTGTGGGTTGTTTTCTTTTCTGTTCATAGCTTCTAAGTTTGATGCAATTTCATTTGTCTATTTTTGCTTTTGTTGCCTATGCTTATGGGGTCTTAGCTAAAAAATCCTTGCTGAGACCAATGTCATGAAGCATTTCCTCTATGTTTTCTAGTATTTTTGTGTTTGGGGCCTTATATTCGGATCTTTGATCCATTTTGAGTTGATTTTTGTACAGGGTGAGAGGTAGGGATCTACTTTAATTCTTTTGTGTATGGATATCTAGTTTTCCCAGAACCATTTATGGAAAAGTCTCTTTCCCCAATGAGTGTTCTTGGCATCTTGTTCAAGAATCAGTTGGCTGTAGATTCATGGATTAATTTATTGGTTCTCTATTGTGTTCCATTGTTTTTGAACTGGTGGTTATTATGTTAGATGGAATAAGCCAGGAACAGAAGGTTAAGCACTGCATGTTGTCATTTACATGGGGAAGCTAAAAAAGTTGATCTTATAGAAGTAAAAAGTAGAATAAAGGATACTAGAGGCTGGGAAGGATAGAGAGAAGGGAAGAATAGGGAGACGTTTCTTAAAGGATACAAAATTATAGCTAGATATGAAGAATAAGTTCTAACGTTCTATAATACTGTAGGATGACTACAGTTAGCAATATTATATACTTTTAGACAGCTTAAAGGAGAATATTGACTGTTTTCAACACAAAAAGTGATAAATGTTTGAAATGATGGATATGCTAATTACCTTGATCTGATCACTACACATTACATGTATCAAAACATCTCTATATACCCTACGATATGTATAACATTTGTCAATTCAAAAAATGAAATTGATAAAAATAAAAGTAAACATATATTGACTGTTACTGGAGGTTTATAAGTGCAACAGCAACATTATAATTGAGAAATATGGGATGACATAAAAAAATTTACATAATATATGTTGAGAAATGTCTATCTCCACCGACAATAATGGAAAATATACAGAATGTATTCATTAGGTGCAAAGTCTTTAGAGTTCAAACTTCCTGGTTTCAGTCTTGTTTCCATCACTCTCTGGCTGTGCAGTCTTGGGGAAGTTAACCTATTTGTTCTCTAATTTCTATGAAAAATCAGAAAATATATATATATATGTGTAAAGTCTCACAAGGGAATTCTGAAGATTAAGTCATTTAATGTTCACAGCACACAGAATAGTTCCTAACTCAAGCAAATATTACACATTTTCTTAAAAATCAAATCAAACCTAAAATATACATTGGTGTATTCCAGAGGCAAGAATGTGAGATCCAAAAAGGAAATAACTTTCTGTGTATTTTCATAACTAGTTTCTCCAAATGTAAACCAATGCCCAAAACAAGGCAGTGCTCAGAAAATGTTTGTTAAATAAAAAAATGAGTGATTTTCATCTATTGAATGTGCCGAAAAAGAAAACCATATATAAAGCATAATTTTAGCTAAATTGTAATGCAAATAGTAAATTTCAAGTAGTGACAGTGTAAGTTATAGGTTTAAAATTTAGTTTTGCAAAATATTTTCAAAACTAAGAAATCCATATTTTACAAAATGTTAAATTACTAAGAATTTTGCAAATAAAAAATGTAAAACAGGAAAACTGAATGCAATAATTTGTTTAGTTACTTGTCACTTATAATAGTAACAAAAAGAAGTAAATTTAAACAACCATTTTCATAAAACAGAAATCATAATTTATTAGAATATTTCATGACCACCAGACATAATATATGTAAAGTATATGTTGTAACATGGAAAGGCTATAAAAAATGTAATTGGAAACACATGCCATTTTATTTAATTTTACACAAAATGCTCAATATAGTTTTCTTTTCAGTGCTGCTATAATATTATTTGTTATGATAAATCAAACACTTGCTTCCAATTGAAAAAGTTAAATTATATCCTTCTTCTGCCAAATTTCTCCTGTTCTTTTTTCCAAATTTGACAAGATTATCTAAAGAGAGTAATTCACTTGTTGATATGAATGATACTTCTTTTTCTAACTATTATTTATTTAGAAAGAGAATGAGTAAGAGACAAAAAGACTACAACATAAGAAAAAAATATAAGCAAAACATGAATCTAGAAGGGCTTACCCAAGTGTATTAAATTTAAGCAATCATGCTGAATATTCCTAGTGCTAGTGAAGGCTAGCATTTTGTTGGTGGTATACAATTTTTGGCATTTTTTAAAAAGAATTTTGCAGATGGGTCTTATTGAAGAAGATATTAACCCAAAGAGGAAGAGAAAGATGTCTGACACTATGTTTTAGGTCTTAATTAATCAGGGAATCTCTGTAAGTTTGGCTCTTCAGAAGAAGCTGCAGCTATCTAATAGTGGGCATGGAAGGCTATACTTTTATAAACATTGAATATACTGAGACATTATCACATTTACAGTAACAGTTCAATCTGAAATATTTGGGTTTTATTTGACCTGCTAAAATGTATATTTTGAGATGTATTTTTATACATATGCATTCCTGTTATGTTATCAAATCTTAATATTAAAAAACGTGTTATATTTCATATTAAAAAATATTTCCCCTAAGCCAACTATGAAGTTTCAAGCTGTCAAGATAAAGAGGGAGAGAAAAAAAAGGCTCTCTAGCTGGTTTCAGCAATTCTGAGGCATTTTATATTAATTTTAGAAGTCCCTTTAGCTTACAAAATCTTAGGCATTCTCTCATTCTTGATTATATTATTCCAGCAAATATTAAGAGTCTTGAAGAATAAAATCTTACCCTACATTTTACATGCAGGTTTAACAGTCTCATTTTGCAAAGCCATGTTCTTTGGTATGAGGTAAAAGTTCTATTGCTTAGATTAAGATGGAAAAATGAATCATTGGGAAAGTCTGGGTTAAACTGGATTCAATTTCCAATAGTTAATTTACATTTCTTCTGACTAAGTCTTTGCTTGATTCCACATGATGTGTTTTCAAACAGAACTCATTTTTCAAATTGCATCAAAACACAATAGGAGCAAGTGCAGAAAGATCATTAAATTGTATATACATTCTTTTGTGGAAGAATTATTTATCGTTACTGTGATGGACTACACTGTGCCTCAAAATTTTAACAAACTGGCAAAAACATGTGATGGCTGTCAATATCCTAAACCACCTTGTCATCATAGTTTTAGTTTCTAATCATCAGCTCAGATGATTTTACTGGGAAGAAATAAGAAATAAAAATCAGTGAGTTTTTTTCTCCACCATTTGTTCTGGTCATGCCATTGGAATATGTACAAACATTTCTTTTCTGATGAAGTCTTGGTTGACTGGAATGGACATTACACACAATTTCCTATTGTTCTAAGATTACACACAGGGTCATTAAAACATGAGATCAAATCGAAGCCACCATGCCTACTGACATACTTGTCACAAGGACACTTCTTATAATGGAAATCAATAAAAATCATTAGACCAAAATATTTAAAAATAAAAAATTATCTGACTCTTTAAACAGGCTAAAAAATGGAATGATCTAACAAATTAATAATTTCACTGAATACAAATTAAATAATAATGCTTAGATCAATGAACTAAAAAATGAAAGTCTAAATTTTTATATTAAGTATGCAAGTAAATATGAATATAAACTGGTACATCTTTCCTTTAAGTGTGAACAGTTTTCTCAAAAATTTATCAGGTTAATTTTTTGAAGTATTTTTGTGAAGTTCTGGAGTTGACAAACTATAGTCTATGGGCCAAATCTGATCTACCATCTATTTTTGTAAAGGAAGTTTATTGGAGCTTATGCATGTTTATTCTTTTATGTACTGTCTGTGGCTAATTTCATGCTAAAACATCAGAGTGAGTAGTGGCAAAAGATAACATGCTTGCAAACTCTAAAATGTTTACTACCTGTCCTTCTGCAATCCCTGGTCTAGTTGTTAAGAATACATGAAGTTCACACCCACATTTTAGCCTTGTCCCAAACAACAGATTCTAATACTTGATTATATTATGTTACATAAAATATACATTAATTCTTTCACCTTTTGTCTGAAAAATAGAATAAATATGGAAAATAATACTAAGGAAATAGGATAAATACGCTCAAGTGCTCTGGCTGAAAAAAAAATATCGGCCAAAATGTCTTCTCAATTAAGATAATATCTTTATATATATATATATATATATATATATATTTAGAATGAACATTGTGCTTTCTTTTACCAAAAAATTAATGCTTAAATTAACAGATTGTTTTCTCTGTCACTCAAAAGGCTTTTAGTTTGATGTAATTCCATTTATGTATTTTTACTTTTGTTTCCTATGCTTTTGTGGTCATATAACAAAAAAATCATTGCCTAGACTAATGTCATGGATATTTCACCCTGCCTGTTTTCTGCCAGTAGTTTTATATTAATAGTTTTAGGTTTTGTTTGTCAGATGCTAAATTATTTTTAGTTGATTTTTCATAGGAGATGGAATAAGGATCCAATTTCATTCTTCTGCATGTGGATATTCAGTTTTCCCAAAAATATTTCTTAAAAAGATTATCCTTCTCTATTGTATGTTCTTGGCACCTTTGTCAAAAATTAACTGGTCATCAATGTGTAAGTTTATTTTTGGGCTCTCAGTTCTGTTCGTTTTTTTATGCCATGCTGTCCTGGTTCCTCTGGCTCTGTCGATTTCTGTAGTTTTTTTTTTTTTTTCCTTTTCTTTTTTTTCTGTTCAATATTGCTTTGGCTATTTTGGATATTTTGAGGTTCCATACAAATTTTAGTACTTAGTTTTTTCTATTTCTGTGAAAAATATTATTGGAGTGTTAATAAAGATTGCACTGATTTTGCATTGATTCTTTAGATCACTTTGGGTAGTATGGATTCTCCTGATTTTTTTTTTTGTTGTTCTACTTTTAATTTTAAATTAATTAATATAGCTGTTTTTGGGTGGTAAATTAGAAAGTAGGCTGTAGCTTATACATTAAAGAGAAGGGACTTATTCTTATGCCTAGAAGTCTCTGAAAACTTGGAATTAGAAGAAGTTTCTTGACTGTTAAAGTCAATTGATGTAAATTGCAGTAATATCTAAGAAAAAGTTCTCGATATTAGGGTATTTTAAGGGTTAGAAAGGGTATAGAGCACTCAGGTTTTTTTCTCAGATAATTTATGTATTGGGATACGATTCATGTCATTTATACTTTTTAAGTATACAATTCAGTGTTTTTAAGTATACAATTCAGTGTTTTTTAGTATATTCACAATGTTGTACAAATATCACCACTATCCAATTCCAGAACATTTCATCACCAAAAACGGAATCTTGTCCACATTTGTAGTCACTCTATTCCTCCCTCCTCCAGTCCCTGGCAACCACTAATAAGATTTCCATTCCTATGAATTTGTCTTTTCTGGACATTTAATGTAAATGAAAACATATAATATGTGGCCTTTTGTGTCTATTTTACACAGAGAAATTTTTACAAAGTTCATTCATATTGTAGTACATATCAGTACTTCATTCTTTTAAATTGTTGAATAATATTCCATTGTATGAATATACCACATTTTGTTTTACCACTCATCATTTGATGGACATTTGACCCACTTCTACTTTTTGGTTATTATGAATAATGCTGTTATAAATATTCATGTGCAAGTTTCTGTGTAGGCATTTATTGTCATTTTGTAGGGCAGCGCAGGGTGTGTATAGACCTAGGAGTGGGATTGCTGGGTTGTATGGAAACTATGTTTCAGCTTTTGAGGAACTGTTAGATTGTTTTCCAAGGTGCTATGCTATTTTACTCCCCCACCAGCAATGTAATCTAAGTCATAGTTTTCTCAGCTACTTCTTCCTATTTGAGAGTGAAGGCATTTTTTTTATGTGTACGTACATGCCTGTGAAAAAGCTGAGAAAAAAGACAGTCAGATAGAGACTGAAACAAAAAACTGAGAGAGACTTGGTGAGGGGAAGTTTTTGAAGATAATGTGTGAGGAGTATTATCATATACTAAGCAGTTTTTTCTATCCCCTTATCATCCAAAATTATTTTATCATTCTAATGCTCATTCTAATTCCAAATTTTAAATTTTACTCGGTGTCAATAATCATTTTAAATTTTGCTTTTTAAAAATGGTATTTAATTCTTTCGTCTAAATGTAATACATACAAATGATTTTTAACAGCACAAATGATACAAATGTGTGTATGTAAAAGTTAAATATCTCTTGGGGAGAGATGTTTCTGCCATCTTCCATTCTCAAAAATCACTTCAAAAGAAAATTGGGAATCAAAAGAGAAATGTAATATTTTTCACTAAAACTGAAATATGTCTATAACTTCAAAACCTTAATATTGAAATGGAAACAGGATGCAAGGGAGATAACTGACTTTGAAATTATGAGGAGGACAAAAGTCACATCTTCAGATATTAAAACTATTAAAAATATATACACGTTCCCAGGAAATGACTGAGGTTTTGTTTTGGAAAAATGAAGGAATAAACAAAGACATGTAAACATGGAAACAAGGAAGTATGTAATCTAATACAGAAACGCAGTGAAGGTAATCCCCAGAATTAAAGTAAAAGAACATCACATTGTTAGAGCTGAGCAAGAAGTGTAGATGGCAATCAGGCAAATTGGCAATAAAGGTGAGGACTCTACCCTAGAAGAAAAGATACCAGGAAAAAAATGGGCATCATAGGTCTGAACATGCAATTTTTTTTCTGTTAGGCTAGAAATTCCCAATTTATCTTAGTTCATGATGCTGTCTTATTTCAGAAATTTTTCCACAATGCCCCTCCAACAACAACAAAATACGTGAGTTTGACCTAAGACTAGCTAAGTCAAAACAATAACTACTTATGTCCTAACAACATCTTAGTACATGTTGAAAGAAAAATACACACAAATGGAAAAAATATATTTTTATATCATTATTAAATAAGCATAATTATTTACTACTAGAATGTGGGTACCTATGGGCACTGCACAGTTCTCAAAACTTGGAATTAGACTAAACATTGTCACTCTTATTTCCTGTTGCACATTGATTTTCCTGGAATTCTTTATTTTTGTCACAGCAACTTTGTAAAATTCAACTTTGCAAAGATGTGATGTCAATGAGAAGAATGTAGATATGGTAGCACCTGAAAGAACCAAGAATAGTTTAATGTTGAAGTGGTGGTCTACTTCAGCTAGTATTTTCTCAGTGTGTGGAAGCTCTCAGGTGTGGCTGTTTCTCTCAACAATCTAAAATATCCCACAGTGCTCCTGTGAGTTTGCTGCAATGGACTAAGGTGTGGGCTGGCATACAATCTGCAAAATGTGGTGTTAGACAACTAGATGATATAGTAAAATACGGCCATAGGTATTTATGTAAACAAGCAAATATAACCAACTCAGAAAATTAAAAAGGCAATTATTTATTCCAGAAAAATCAAAACAAAGACACACAAAGCATTATATTATGTAGTATCTATTTATACCCAACTATAAAATAGTAGGTAGGATCCATACTAGCCCTTGCCTCCTTCTTATTACTCCAATTATTATTAGTAATATAACTGTTTTTACATCTTTCTAGTGGCTGCCTTTGTAACTTTAAACAATGTACTATTTTTATCTACTCACCCTCCTGTACCCACTTTTATCTGGGACCTTTGCTCTTATTCTATGGGGTTCTGGTGGACTACACTTCAGAGTATGCATTCTTTACCTAAACCTGGCTTGCCCCCAGTTAGTTCCATTGATTCTTACATTACATTGTTTTCTAACTTTGTGGATTTAATTTTACTTTTTATGGGAATATACTTGGCCACATATAAGTATTTTCCCTAGAATGGATGCCCAATTAGTAGGTTATTTTTGTCTACATATTTGAAAATATATTTATTTAATCTATATAATTACTCAAATGTATATGGGATTTTAGATTCAACACATAACTTTCTTTATATCGAGGACTAAGTAAGCATAAGAATGATGTCAAAGAATATAAATACTTGGGTTAAAATAAGTGCTTTACACTTCGGTTATTAAGGACATGGTTTATTAAACAAAACATAGAAAGCCTAACTGTCCTGAAATCACTGTAGTAGCTCAAGGTATAAGGGCATCTCTGTTGGTGGTTTTGGCATCTGAGTAGCCAGGTATGGCTTGAAATTCAGCCATGATATGACTTCTGTGGGCTTTTGTTGTTAGCAATTCCTTCCAGCATGACAGGTTTATCAACTGACTCTGCTATTTTAACAGATGAATACCAGGTTTATTTGTCATTGTGTCAAACATTTTTTGTGATATTGTAAGGAAATGAGTTGTAAAAGCATACACACAAATATACAACACCTACACACAAAATGACAAAAGTCTTAGAAAGAGGGCTATGGAGTTATTCTTCTATTAGCTAGTTATGTGGACTTGGGGAGATTAAATAATATCACAATTTAATTTATTTATATGTAAAATAAAGCCTATTGTAAAATTGTCTTTAGCTAATGTAGTTAATATAATAATTAAGCTCAATGTTTTAGAACTATCTTTCCTCCTTATTAAACTAATGACTTTCTATCACTTTCTCCATGCTTTTCTGATTCTTTAATATAATTTATATTTGTATATATTTTAAGCTATGTAATATTTTAGCAATAGTTTTAACATCACGAGAGTAATGAAGAAACATCAAATAGTGTTATATTTACTTTTTATCTAGAAATTTTATTCTTAGACATCAGATTCATATATCATGATTAGTTTGAACATGAAGCAACTATTTTATTTCATAATTACAATACTTTTCTATGTTAATAATAGACTTATGTTCCAAAGGAGTTAATCGAATTTACTTAGTTGTAATTGGTAGATATTTTTCATGTACAGAACTATAAATCCCCTGCTTTCAAGTCCACTTTTAAAATCTCAGCTTTTTTTCAATTAGAAAATAATGATTAGTTTGGGATTTATTTAATCCAATTCCTTGTATAAGTTATTTAACACACCAGAAGACTGTTTATAAAATGCACCTAAAATGACATTCCTTTTTGGTATTTATTTTAAAACATGATTTTAAACGTAATATTAAAAATAAAAACTTTCAGTCATTTTCAGAATGTGGCTGCTAAAAAATAACTAGTTCTTCTATTTTTCTTACCCTTAAAGCAACCCACAGATTATATATTCTCTAAAGTATACAGTATGTCACCAAACAAAATATTTTATATATACTCTTCTTTAACCCTTTTGTGTTAATACACTTTTCTAATGATTTAATATGTAAACAAAATGCTAAATTCAGAATATCTTATTTATCTTAAAAGCATTTGTTGCCTGGGCTGCTAGTTTGCTTATTTGGTCTGAATTAATAATTCAGTCATCGAGTGTCATATTGCTGTGCATAGTACATAACTATAACTAAATGTGAAACTTATTTTCTGCCACATAGCATCCTCATATAATACACACTTAATAAATACATTTTATCTGAGTCAACAATAATGCTCCATGAAGTCCCATCAGTCTGTGAAAGATCTGATATTCAATCACACTTCCCATTCTCAATCTAGCTATTAGATAAACATATGGGAAGAGCAGGGCTTAAGATTCTATTTGGTACAAATCCTTCAACTTTGGGACAAGGTGATCAATTCCTTTAAGATAGCATAAATGAATGTCTTTAGAGTAAAAGGACAATAATACCTGCACTTCTTAAGGTAGGTGAACTCTATTGCAAGGTATGAACAGAGGTACTACACATATCTCCTTCCGTGTGTGTGTGCATGTGTGAGTGTTAGGTGCATATTTGTGTTTTATTGTGCCTATCTCTGAGTAATTTGCCTGAAATATACTTTTCCTGATTCAAGTCATTTACTTACAGAAGGAATTCAATAACTGCATGATCACAGCTAAAACTCAACACAGTGGGCTTTTCTTATACTTGTAAACATAGATATATGCAAATATATGTGTGTTACTTAGAAGAAACTTGTTTATCTACACAGATTTTATTTGTTTTCTGAAGAAAAACTCCCCAACTATTAAAAATATTATAATAAGTACATTAATTTCAGACACATTAAAGTTCTAAAATAAATAAATACGAATCCAAATAAATACATGTTACAAACAGAATTTATCGATGGATATTATCAATAATCTATCACATGATTAAATTAATTAAAACTAAGCATACTGAAAAGTTTAAGTATTTGGAGACTGCTCAGGTGTGTGCAGCTGGAAACAGTAGGCAGCTGAGACATACATCTGATCATAATCTTAAGATAGTTTTAAATAATTCATTTTACAGAAATATCTCCTTACAAGTACAGGTGAGATCCATGCTCAGAAATATTGGTTAAATGATTGAATTTTCCAAATAGTGTGTGTCTAGACAACTTAATAGCTAAGTAGGTCCACATGAATGCTGAGCCTGCAAGCCATGCCTGCATACACCTGCTGCAACTGCCTAGATATGTTAATAGTTCACTGGTATATGACTGATCAGCTATGAGGCTGGGTTTCCTGATGGAACCATTCTAACTGCCAAGGTTCATTATGCAGAATAGAGTTCCATTTTCAAAGAGAAAGAAGAAAAAGAAATGGAGAGAGAAAAGAAAAGAAAGAGAGAAAAGGAAGGAAGGAAAGAAGGAGGGAAGAAAGGAAGGAAAGAGAAAAGAAGAAGAAAGAAAAAGAAATGAAAGAAAGAAAGAGAAAGAAAGAAAGAGAAAGAAGGAAAGAAAGAAAGAAAGAAAGAAAGAAAGAAAGAAAGAAAGAAAGAGAGGAAGGAATGAAGGAGAGAGGAAAATCTTTTTTCAAGTCAATGGAATCTTCCTATATTAGCTCCATGCAAGTTTCTATAGCTGCCTTGTTTAGTGACTGGGAAGAAAAGAATGAAAAGCCAGACTACCAGTGAAAGTGCTGACAGAGAAGAATCCAGCAATAAACGTTATGAACAGTTCTGCTCTAATTCACCATCACAGTTGGATGAAAATAGAGTGTGCTTCCTGTCACAGAGGGCAGGTTTGAGTTGCTGGCTTGACAACGGAGATTAAAGCATTCACCTTTGCTAAAGTTTTGACTACTTTAATATTTTTAGGAAAAGCAGAGGAAAGAAAGTGGTGTGAAATATTTCACAGAAATATCTGTAGTGGTAATGAAATGTGACATGAAAAGAACAGATAAATGAGAAGACAGACAGGAGTGGACTGAGTTGCTGACAGCATTCTTTGGTGAAGACTTCAAAACAAATGATAAAATGCTTACATTTTCACACCAAGTACAGAGTCAGCTCATACCAGAATTAATTTCTGTTGGGTTCCTATCATTAAGTTAATTAATGCCAACAATTGGCCAATTAAAAGTATTTATTGAGTGCCTGTTGAACATAGGGCACTGTTCCTGATACTGAGAACAATGGAGGGCTCACAGCAGGTATATGCCTGCCTTATGGAGCTGAAGATCCTGGACTGTGCCCTGGTGTCTCATCCCATCTCAGGACCTCAGAAAGTTTTTCAACATTCTGTCTTCAGATACTAGTGATACCATTAAGATATTATTATTAATATTGTTAATTAAAATCTAAGAGTTTTATTGGAGAGGATTTTTTCTGGCTCTGAAATAGATCTACGCATATCCAAAAATATTTTCTGCTGTCACTTTTGAATAGTAAGTTGATGGACTTTGAAGCTATTTCTTCATTGTTTTTTGACATGTATTGTGCAGTCTATCATCAAACTAGTTGTCTTTGTGCACTTTGATAACTTTAAAGACTATTTTATTCTTGGTCTACTGGAGACAAGAATAGAAAGATTCACTACAATGGGCAATACTAGGAAAGAGTTGGCTTTAAATAAACCTGCCTTAATATTCACAGTATTCTATCTCTTGATCGAAGGTTTTTATTTACAATTCAGAAAACTTTAAGCAAATACCTCTTTTGTTACCAATCCCTAAATTTATTCTGGAATTCTTATAGGATGATAAACACTTCATTAAAAAAAATCTTTCTTGCTTTATCACTTGTTTGTTCCTTCTCATTGCTGAGTAGTGGTCACAGCATGGATGTACCACAGTTTGTTTAATAACGCAAATATTGAACATCATCATCTATTATGTAGATAGCTTCCAGTTTAGGGCTATTATGAATTAGGTTGCTATAAATATTCTTAATTTTAATATAGTTGATTTATTAAAGTTTTCTTTACAGTTTGTACTTTTATGTCTGGCTTAAGAGATTCTCCCCTCACAAGGGGAATTAAAATAATTTTCTTATTTCTTCTCATATAGTACAAGTTTGAAATAGTTATATTTCTATGTTTTGATTTAAAACATTTGCTGTTTGAATTTGGTGCATTTTTGTGCTTGTGTATAACAATTATGTCACTATTTAAATAAATGTTGATTCTTTTCCAGACAATCTGCAATACAGTGTCTGCCAGAAATCACATTTATATGATGTTTGTCTATAGATGAACTCTCTGTTCTATTTAATTTACTATTTTACTTTATAGTAAGGTACTACATTAATTCTATTCTTTCATAAATACTATAAATTTATAGAAATCTCATTATCTGGGAGTACATGTCACTTCACCTTTTCCTTCCTTCACTATGTGATTTGACACTATATACTCTAATGTAAATATTAGAATTAGTTTGTCAACTTATACAGTTACACAGAATTGTATTTAATATCTATGAGATTTTAATTGAAATTGTATTAAATATATTGATAACTATTAATTGATGTTTTTGTGGGTCTATCTACAAAAGAAAATTAATATTTCTCCATCAGCTAAACTAAGTTTTACTTAATAACATTCCATTTTAAAAGTATGGTGACATTTTTAATAGATTTGTTTTATTCATAAATACTTTATGATCTTGTGGCTGTTACAAATATATTTTTAATTAGCACATAAAAACTATATATATTTATAGTATACAAAGTGATGTTTTGATATATGTATACATTGCAAAATGATTAAATAAAGCTAATTAACACAAACCATTTTTTTGTGTGATTCATAAGAACATTTAAGACATTCTGCCTTTGAAATTTTCAAGTATACAACACATTATTATTAACTATACTCTCCATGCTGTATAACACATCTCTGGAACTTATTTCTGATGTCTAATCAAAACTTTGCACCCTTTGACCAACATTTTACCCATTCCTTCCTATTATTACCTCTCCCAACTCCTGGAAACCACCGCTTCATACTCTTTCTATGAGTTCACATAGAAACTCATATTTTGTAGATTCCACATATAAGTGAGATCATGCAATATGCATCGTTCTTTGCCTGGCTTATTTGACTTAGCACAATGACCTCTAGGTTCATTCATGTTTTCACAAATGACAAGATTTTCCTTTGAAAATCTAAATAGGACTACATTGCCTGTCTGTTTGTGCATCTATCCACCAATCTTTTATCTATCTATCACATTTTCTTTATCCATTATGGATTTCATTTTCTTTAGATATACACCTAGGGATAAGATTATTGGATTATATGATAGTTCTATTTTTAATTTTTAGGGGAGTTTCTATAGTGTTTTTCATAATGGGTATACTAATTAGCATTTCAAACAACAGTATACAAAGATTCCCTTTTCTTCACATCCCAGCCAACACTTATCTATATAATTTTTTTGGACATAGCCATTTTAACAGGTATGAGGGCATATTTCATTATGGTTTTAATTATAATTTCCCTGATGATTAGTGATAGTGAGCATTCTTTCAAATACCAGTTAGTCATTTTATGTGTTCTTTTGATAAATGTGTATTCAGATCCTGTGTCCATTTTTTAATCAGGTTATTTGTTTTCTTGCTGTTAAGTTGATTGAGTTCCTTACACATTTTGAATATTAAACCCTTATCATACGTATGATTTGTAAATAGTATTTTCCATTCTAGAAGTTGCCTCTCACACAGTTGACTGTGTCCTTTACTGTGCAGAAGCCTTTTAGTTTCATTGAATTCTGTTTGTCCATTTTTGCTTTTGTTGCTTGTGATTTTGGAGTCATACCCAAAAAATTATTGCTCAGACCAATGTCAGGAAGCATTCCTCCTATATTTTCTCCTAATAGTTTTGCTGTTGCATGTCTTAAGTTTAAGTTTTCAATCCATTTGAGTGGATTTTTGTATATGATGTAAGATTCAATTTCATTCTTTTGAATGAAGAATAAAATTTTTTTCCAACATTATTTATTAAAGAGATTGTCCTTTGCTCATTGTATGTTCTATGGCATCATTGTCAAGAGTCAATCAATCACAAATGCATGAATTTTTTTTCTGTGTTCCTTTTTCTATTCTATTGGTATATTTGCCTGTTTTATGCAAATATCATGCTGTTTTGATTACTGTAGCTTTGTAGTATATTTTGAAATCAGGTGGTGTAATGCACTTAGCTTTGTTCATTTTCTTAATATCGTTTTGGCTATTCAAGTTCTTTTGTGTTTTATATGAATTTTAATCTTTTTCTATTTGTGTAAAAATATTGTAATTTTAATAAATATTGCATTGACTCTCTAGATCACTTTGGGTAATATGGACATTTTAACAACATTAATTCTTGTAATCTATTAACATAAGATACCTTTTCATTTATTTGTGTCTTAATATCCTTTATCTACATTCCATAGTTTTCAGTGTACCGACCTTTTTATTTTCTTGGTTAAATTTATTCTTAAGTATTTTATTTCTTTGTAGCTATTTTAAATGAGATTGTTCTTTTGATTTCTTTTTTCAGATAATTTGTTGTTGCAGAAACGCTACTTAAAAGAGTCTAGATTATGTATCTTGCAACTTTATTGAATACATTTATTAGCTCTAACAATGTTTTGATGAAATCCTTAGAGTTTTCTATATAGAAGATTATGTCATTTGACAAGAAAGACAATTTTGTTTTCTTTTAAATTTAGATGACTTTAATTTTTTTTTATCCTGCCTAACTGTTGTGGCTAGGACATCCAGTACTAGATGGAATAAAAGTGGTATGAGTGGGCATTGTTTTCTTGTTCCTGATCTTATAAAAAAAAAAGATTTCTGAAATGTTTCAAAGTGAATTTTCCTGTTTATATAAAGAATTTTATAACTTTATTTTGTACCCGGCTACATTGCTCACTTTTATATTAGCTCTTTTAATTAGTTTTTAAGTTCTTTGGATTTTTTTCATGTGGAAAAACATATTTGCAATTACCATCAGTTTTATTTCTTTAAAAGAATCTTTATATATTTAATTTATCTCTTTTCTTGCCTCACTGCAATGGCTAAAGCTCCTAGTACAATGTTGAATAACCATAAAAGTAGTAGGTACCACTAACTTCGTTTTGATATAAGATAAATTATTCTAACATGTTTTTATACATTATTATTTATTAGGGTAAATGGGTTCCTTTTAATTTCTTGTTTGCTATGCATTTTTAAAGATCTTGCACCTTTTTTGCTTGTTCTATTGAAATAAGAGTAAGTTTATCTCATTAAATCTATTTATGTGTATAGCTATTAATATGTGTAGTTTTTAATTGATTTTCTAATGTTAAACCAGCTTTGCAGTATTGGGTTCCAAATTAGTCTTGGTGTCATTTCTTTAATATATTGCAGGATTATATATTGTTAGGAATTGTATCTATTATCATAATTGAGATTAGCCTATATTATTTTCTTGTCCTTACTTGTAGTATAAAGAGTATATGAGACCCATAAAATGAATTTGGAAGTGGCCAGATTTTTTTTCTATTTTATACTTTAAAACATTGTAAAAGGGTTATTTTATCACTCTTCAAGTACTGGTAAAATTTTCTACAACTCTTATTTAAAATAGTAGTTTTCATAACAAAGAGTGATGAAAATTTCATTGTTATGTGGTCATCTCTTTATTTACCATTATTATTTAATATGACAGAGTAATATGCCAAATAAACTTGGAAGGCAGGTAACAGAGAGTTGGTAGTCTAGTAAAAATATTGAAAGTTTGTATTATTGTTGATTTTCCTAAGTATTTGTATTTGTGTATGTTTTTAATAGTAATTTGCTTTGTGTTTCTAATTTTTTGTCTTTTGTTTTGAAAATAATTTTTGATAAAATGAGAAGATTTGAAACAGCATAAGATGAAAAACATTTAGTTTCTTGCATTTATTAAAATTCAATTCCTAAAATTTATTTTATTATATAACACCTTTAAGTTGCCATTGTTATAATACTTTTTGTTTATATAATTCAAGAATACCCTCTAATATCAAATAGTGTGAACTTATACTTCCTCTCTGTTTATTTTATTCAGTTTTTAATTTCTTTATTTACCATCTGCTCTGTGAGATATACCTCCACTAGAGATATTGAGTAGGTATTTGGTCATATGGATCAAAAACTTGGAGTACAAGTTTGGATTGCAGCTCTATATTTCAGAGTCATCCACAAATTGATTGATTTTGAAGCCATAAGACTGCATAAAACACTAAGGAACTGAATAGTCACAGAGGACCAAGAACTGGGCCCTACAGCATCCAAAAATTAGAGCTCTAGGATAAGAGAAGGAACAAGCACAAGAAACTGAGACGTGAACACTGATAAAGGAGATAAATCAGGCAAGCATGGTGTCCTAGAAGTCCAGATGCAGAGGGCAATCAACTTTTTCAAATGCTTCTGATAGTTCAAGTGAGATAAGGATCAATAATTAATCATTTAGTGGTAAGAAGTCATATATAAGTTTAATGAAAAACCGTTTTCCTGGAATAGCAGCAAAATCAAGAATGTAGTGGGCTTATGACAGAATTGAAGTGGAGAAACAAGTGAAGGTTAATGTAGACAATACTTGTGAGTAGTTTTACTTTAAAGGAAAATAAGGAAATGAGACAATAAAGATTGAGGATTGTATGGCCATTTAAAAAGGTAGCAATATCAGCATGATTTTACGGTAATGGGAGGAAGCAAAAATGATCAGGAGAGAAGAAAAAAAGAATGACATAGTAGAGAGAAGCCAAAAATTGCCACAGTGATATCATTGGGTAGGTAAAAAAACAGGATCTAGAAAACAAATGAAGAAATGGGATTTTGAGAGACTTATGGGTAGCTTATCTATCATATCACTTAGGGAGGCAAATTATATAGGGGTAGATGTTGATAGGTGGATATATTTGGCAATCTATGGAGTTCTCTTTAATTGCATAAATTTTGTCAAAGGAGATATGTCGTCACAATGTCATCAGCTCAGAACGAGTTTGGGAATGGGGCTGTTGAATATTTGAGGGAAAAAAGAGATATGATATAGTCATCTAGGAGGTAAGAAGAGTGAGTAGACTAATGAAGTCAAATGTGAGAACATAAATTGATCAAGGACATATAGTGTAGTAGCCTGGCAGAAGTAAATGTATACTTGAAGGTTGCAGTCGTAACTTTAGGATAAGATGGTCAGTACAGTTGGGATATTTTCTCCCACCCATGAATCTAGAAAGAGAATACGTAGAGAGCTGGATTAAACCAGGGTTGTGATTTTCCAAGCAAGTACAATGAAGTGAGAGAAAGGTGAGGAAGTTAAGAGTGTATGCAAGGCAATGATTATTTAGCCTTGGAATTTAACTGAGTACAAAGAGAGGATATCAAGATGAAAGAGGGTGAAAAATTACTAGAATCAATAAATTGGAGATCCTAGTGTGTTTTAAGCATTTTGGGGTCAGTGCATTAGATGCAATGAGAAAGAGAGAAATTGGTTGTAATTGAGTAGCAATTATAAAATTGAAATGATAAAGGAATTGCAGTTATTGGTATTGAGAAGGACTGGGGTGTGACCATGGGAACTCGTAATTCTGGAAGGGTAGAGGATAAGATCATTGTAAGAGACAAATTCATGGGACTTGGAGGCTAAGGTTTAGAGACAGCATCAAAATATATCTTTAACCCACAAGAATAAATGCTGTAGCAATATTGGAGAGATCGATAATAAGCCACAAACTAAAACTGTGGAAAAATATAAGATAGGAACTGCAAAAAATGGAAGGGAACAACATGCACCAACAATGAGGGTTTGTGGGTGATACAAACTGATTATATGAGATTTAAAACAGATTACTTTTTAGGAAGAAGTAGTAATAAAGAACAAATATGTCTATTCCACTGCCAGGTCTGTGGACAATGCTGTGGTGGTAAAAATAGACACCACTGGTGAGAACTGTAGGGGAAATAGAGGAACCAGCTTAAGGAAGAGCTGGGTTTTTATTTTTATTTTATTTTATTTAGTACAGATGGCGGTTTCACCATGTTGGCCAGGCTGATCCTGATTTCATGACTTCAAGTGATCTGCCCGCCTCAGCCTCCCAAATTGCTGGGATTACAGGTGTGAGACACTGTACTTGGCCCAAGAGCTGGATTTTTATGAAAGCTAGAGTGTGCAAAGAGCATTCTGGAAAGAGGTGGAAGATAAAAGGGGGATTTCCTAATGCTGAAATGTGTATTCCAGAGAATACAGTACAGAGTATTTGGGAGAAGTGAAGGATGGATGGTGTATTAATCTGTTCTCACCTTGCTATAAAGAAGTAGCTGAGAATGGATAATTTAAAAGGAAAAGAGGTTTAATTGACTCACAGTTCTACATGCTGTACAGAAAACATGGCTGGGGGCGGGGGCCTCTGAAAACTTACAATCATGGCAGAAGGGAAAAGAGGAAGCAAGCACCTTCTTCACATGGTGGAATTGCAGAGAGACAGAGCAAAGGGGCAAGTGCTACATACTTTTAAACAGCCAGATATCATGAGAACTCACTCACTATCATAAGAACAGCAAGAGGGAAATCCACCTCCATGATTCAATCACCTCCCACTGGCTCCTCCCCAACATTGGAAATTATAATTTGACATGAAGTTTGGGTGGTGACACAGAGGTAAACCATATAATTCCACCCCTGGCCCCTCCCAAATCTCACGTTCTTCTCACATTTAAAAACACAATCTTGCCTTTCTAATAGTCCCCTAGTGTTTTAACTCATTCCAGCATTAACTGAGAAGTCCAAGTCCAAACCCTCATATAAGACAATGCAAGTCCCTTCTGCCTATGAGCCTGTAAAATCAAAAACAAACTATTTAGTTCCACGATACAACAGAGGTACATGAATTGGGTAAATGCCCTTTTCCAAAAGGGAGAAGTTGGCCAAAAAAAAAGGGGCTATAGGCCCCATGCATGCCCAAAACCCAGCAGAGGAGTCATTAAATCTTAAAGCTCCAAAATAATCTCCTTTGACTCCATGACTCACACGTAGGCCTCACTGATCCAAGAAGTGGGCTCCTAAGGCCTTGAGCATCTCTGCCCCTGTGGCTCTGAAGGGTAGCTTCCCTGCAGCTGCTTTCATGAGCTGACATTGAGTGCCAGCAGCTTTTCCAGGTACATGGTGCAAGCTGTTGTTGGATATACCATTGTGGGGTCTGGAGGATGGTGGCACTCTTCTCACAGTTCCAGTTGGCAGTGGCCCAATGGGAATTGTGTGTGGGAGCTCCAAACTCAGTTTTCCTCCATAATGCCCCGGAAAAGGTTCTCATGAAGGCTCCACCCCTGCAGCAGACTTCTGCCTGGACATCCAGGTATTTCCATACATCCTCTGAAATCTAGGTGGAAGCCCCCAAACCTCAAATCTTGCCTTTAGTGTACCTGCAGGCCCAACACCAAATGGAAGTCACTGATGCTTCAGGCTTAAAACCTCTGAAGCCATGGCCTGAGCTTTACTTTGGCCCCTTTTAGCCACAGCTGAAGCTGGAGCAGCTGGGATGCAGGGCACCATGTCCCAATGCTGCATAGAGCAATGGGGACCGGGGCCTGGCCCACAAGACCATCCTATGATAGAAGGGGCTGCCAGTAAAGGTCTCTGAAATGTCTTCGAGGCATTTTCCCCATTGTCTTGGCTATTAACATTTGGTTGTTTTTTACTTATGCAAATTTCTGCAGCCTTGAATTCTTCCCCCCAAAATGGGTTTTTTCTTTTCTACTTCATGGTCAGAGTGCAAATTTCCCAAATTTTAAGCTCTGCTTCCTTTTTAAATATAAGTTCTAGTTTCAAGTGATTTATTTGCTTATGCAAATGAGCTTAGGCTTTGAGAAGCAGCCAAGTCACTCTTGAACACCTTGCTGCTTAGAAATTTCTTCCACCAGATACCCTAAATCATCTCTCAAAGTTCAAAGTTCCACAGATCCCTAGAGCAGGGGCACAATGCTGCTATTCTCTTTGCTAAAGCATAAAAAGAGTGACCTTTCCTCCAATTCCCAATAAATTCCTCATCTCTGTCTGAGACCTCCTTAGTCTGGACTTCATTGTCCATATCACTATCAACATTTTGGTCAAAATAAACAAGTTCCTAGGAAGTTCCAAACTTTCCTTCTTCCTGTCTTCTGAGTCCTCCAAATTCTTCCAACCTCTGTCCATGACCCAGTTCCAAAGCTGCTTACACATTTTCAAGTATCTTCATAGCAACACCTCACCTTTCTGGTACGAATTTTCTGTATTAGTCCATTCATACACTGCTATAAAAAACTACCTGAGACTGTGTTACTTATGAAGGAAAGTGGTTTAATTGACCCACAGTTCCACAGGCTGTACAGGAAGCATGGCTAGGTAAGTCTCAGGCAACTTACAATAATGGTAGAAAGGCAGAGGGGAAGTAATCACATTCTTCACATGGTAGAGCATGAGAGATAGCATGAAGAAGGAAGTCTGACACACTTCGAAACAACCAGATCTCATGAGGACTCACTCACTATCACGAGAAAAGCAAAGGGGAAATTCACCCCCATAATCCAATCACCTCCCACCAGGTCCCTCCTCCAATATTGGGAATTAAAATTTGACATGAAATTTGGGTGGGGACACAGAGACAACCATATCAGATAGGAAAAGGGGAAAAAGAGGTTACCATGCAGAAAACTGTACTGATCAATCCTTGGGGGTAAAATTGTGGACTTCTGAGAATACCAGTTGTTACTTAGAGCATGTGGGCCCCTGAAATTGAGTATGAAAAGCCAAGAGAAATGAAAATTAATTTTTTCTTGGTATCCACAAGTCAAATAACAAGGGCAACAAGAAACTGGTGTATTTTGAATTCATGGAGGGGAACCACTTTAGGGTTCACAATGGACAGGAGAACATATAGATACTTTTTACTGTAGTTCTGCGTCTTTTATACTGCAAGGAGCTGGGGCTGCATAGAGATGCAGAGCCTAGTTCATGGGTAAAGACAGCTCCATGTACATGAACATTTTCTTAAGTGGAAGCACCAAATGTGTATATAGCATGTACACATTTTCTTGGATGACAGAGTATTTTCCCTGTAAAAATATTAGCGATAAAGTAGAAATTTGATTTACTGGCTTTTGCCTTCATAGTGTCCTATCTAAGCAAAGGAAAATTAAAGGAAGCATACCTTGCATTTATTCCTGCTCTGTGTTCCCATCTCTATTCTGTCTTTAGAAAAAAAAAAGAAACTCCTTCTCCAAGTAAAACATACTTTATTACAACTATGTGTATTTTCTCAACATCATTCTGTAACCAGCTTAAATGCCAAAAAATGCAAAGGTGTTTTCCATTTTTGTTTTAAAGCTTTCTTATAATTTAATCAATAAAGCTTTATTGTGGAGAGTTTCCATTACATCCAATTATTAGCCATGCAAAATATTGCAGCTATTAGGAACAAAGTAGTGATTCTTTCAGATTTGACCTTTTAGTGTTTTTAAAGCATATAGTAATTTTCCATACTATTTCTATGTTTTGAGTACTGGCCTCATGTATTAACACATATACATTTTAATTATCTTTGGGTACAACTACAACATAATAATCAAATGAACATTTTTGTACTTAGGCTTAATAACAAATTTCTAAATACAAATGACAAATATATCACTCACAGAATTTAGGAATAATAATTTTGTGATAAAAGAAACTTTCCTGGTTTTTCACTTTATTTCTCACATTTGTCTAGTTGGGGTACATTATGTATCTTAGTTTACAGAGAAAGGTACAAAAAGTTGGACACCTAAATAATTCTCTTGGGGATACATAATGAAGGAGTTGTAGAACTGAAATTTAAAACCCATAATCAATCCTAAGAAACTAAACTATTCATTAATACAATATAACCACTCTAGCCCAAATTAAATATTAGAAATTGCTCAAAAGTGGAATTTAAACTGTTTATGTAGATTTCTTACAATAGTAATACTAATGCAAATATATTATGCACCTAATATTGCACATTTTATGTGTATTAGTCTGTTTTTACCCTGCTGTAAAAAACTGTCCGATACTGGGTAATTTATAAAGAAAAGAGGTTTAAGGGATTCATGGTTTTGCATTGTGGGGAGGCCTGAGGAAACTTATAATCATGGTGGGAGGCAAAGGAGAAGCAGGCACCTTCTTCAAAGGGTGACAGGACAGAGTGAGTGTCAACAGGGGAAATGCCAAAGGCTTACAAAACCATCAGATCTTGTAAGTCTCACTCATTATTACAAGAACAGCATGGGAGAACTGCTCTCATGATCCAATTACCTCCACCTGGTCTTGCCCTTGACATGTCAGGATTATTACAATTCAAGTTGAGGTTTGGGTGGGGACACAGAGCCAAACCATATCAGTATATGTCAAGCTCTGTGATAAATGGCTCATTGTGTATAAGCCTCCTTTAAACTTAAGTATAGTGTAAAGTGGAAATAATTTCCATTCTACAAGAGGCAAAATTATTTGTCTGAAGTCACATTTGTATTTAGCAGAAAAGTTGGGAACCAAAGGAAGTCAGATCAGATCCTGCAGTGGTAGCTAATAGTTTAATTCAAATGTTTCAGCAAATATCCAGGTTGTTACAAATATATTATGTCCAAGTGTAAAGTATGTAATTTTATAGTCTCTGTAGACAATTATATAATTCAGTCATAAAAGATTTAGAGCAATTGGATTGGTCAACTGTCAGTTCCTTAAATTCAAAAGATTTTTTGTTGGTTTTGTGCAAATGCTAAAGTTAAAATGAAATGCCCAGTTTGCACAAAAGCACCAGAACATTCTGTTTTCTCCATTAGTTTTATTCCAGTGAACATTGTACTATTCCTAACAATTTGATGAGGGTGATGAAGTGAATTAGTCCTCCAGATTTTGAAAGATTGTGGATTTGTGCCCTTTTGGAAGCATTTTTTCTCCCAGGAATGTCAAAGCTGGCAATTTTTGGATGGTAATTTGCTTCTCCATCTGTCCCATACATTTAGAATAGTTGTGAAGAATGAATTTCATACTATGCCTAGTAGGCCTTTCCTTTTTTGTGTTGCCAGTGTGATTTCTCTAAGGAGAGGTCACCTTTGTGTTGGGATTCTGTGACTGCCCAGGTGAAATTGTTCAATTCTTTGACAAATCTTAAGGAAGCTCAAAAGTGATAGACAAATAAATAAATAAATAAAACCTGAAATATGGTGTTTCTGTATTAGTCAAGGTAGATTAAGCTATGCTCTGATGCCATATACACCTGTGCTACTTAGTGACTTAACACATGCAAGTGTATTTCTTATTCAGTCACAAGGTCTCACTTAATATATAAAAACAAGAAAGAAGGAAGTGACATAGAAGGACAACTGGATTTGAGTGAACACTAGTAATTTCTACCACTGCTGCCAATCCTTCTTCATTTAAAAAGTTTATCGTTTATTATTCTAGCCCTTTTGATATTGCAGATTACATAACCAAATTTATCACCCAGATGAATAATGTAGATTTGGATTGATTCATAGTTTATTTTGAAAGAAAAATAAAATTTGCAGCTTTTTGAAAATTAATATGCCCAACTTTTTGCCTGTTATGTTTGGAAGACTTATTAATGTAATGTTATAATATGAAAAATTAATGTTGCATCATTTTCTCAATCAATACATTGCTAGAAGAAAATTTTAGAGAAAAGTAGAAAAAGATTTTAGAGAAAACTAGAATAGCATTTCTAGTTTTCTCTAAAATAATTGTATCTCTAACATCTGAAACATTTGAAAAGTTTTATGGGCCTCTGAACAAGCTGTTTGTCCCTGGGTGAGTTATTTGACCTCTTTAAACCATATTTCCTCAAATTGGGGAAGGAAGTAGTAACATCTTTTGTAGAGTTCATGTATTAAGTCATAAAATTATTGTAAGAAAACAACAATAGTTTCTGGTATTTACTAAAAGCTCAGTGAAATTAGCTAGTGCTATATGGACCTCTGAAAAGGTGATGATCATGTCTATCTCAAGTTTGAGCCAAACTCAGATGTATGTATCTGTTAGTTATGTACAGATTTCCTATGTGCTAAAATGCTATTAAGGACTTTCCATGAGTAAATATTAATATACCTTTGGGAGCCATTAAATAAAAACTTAAGCTAACACATTTTATCCTGAGAGTTTGTTTTTAGTGTTTTTGATGATTATCCTGTTCATATTCTGTGATGTTAACATCAGAAGTTCCTTCTATGAATTTAATAATTTTCCACATAGAAATAAAGCTAAGATTTATAATCTATGTTTATAAGTTATAAACATAGTCCAACAGAAATATAATTCAACATATTGATTAAATATTATTGCTGTAGGCCTAAGAAGAATTGGGTAGTAAGAGACGATAAAAGTTTTCAGTTTAACTTCATGATAATGGTTATGTTATAGGTTGAATTCTTCCCCATCCCAAATTGGGATGTTGCAGTCCTAACCCCCAGCACTCATAATGTAATCTTATTTGGAAATAGGATTGCTGCACATGTAATCAGTTAAGATGAGATCATACTGGATTAGAGTGGGCTCCTAATCCAACATGACTGGTGTCTTTATGAGGAAAGATGATGTGAAGGCACTAGGGGAAAACCATATACAAGCCAAAGTACTCCTGAGGCCACTGCTCTCAGAAGGAACCAACCCTGCCAAGACCTTGATCTCATACTTCTAGCCTTCAGAATTCTGAGACAATGAATTTCTGTTATGTAAGCCAGCCAGTTTGTGGTACTTTGTTATGGCAGCCCTAGCAAACCAAAATAGTTTGTCACACATTTCAATGTTACAAGTTTTGAGGCCCATAAGAAATTATTAATATTCATTTACATCTCCAGCACTTTAAGTGGAAATCTTGGAGTACCAGGTATAATCTCAGACATCCTACCTTAGCTATGTAAGAAACGGCCTGAACAGATAATATCAAAGTATAAAACTCTTAAAGACTAGCTTAGCAAAAGTATATTTTTTACAGAGGGAGTTTCTTATCTTCAGCTATATACAGCATTACGTTTTGCAAACTAATCTGTATAACTCTGTTCCTAAATTTTACATGTGAAGATGTAGCCATCTTCCACTCCTTGTTGTATTAGTTGTCAGCACACATTGTTCACCCACAGTTAGATATATAATGCCTAGTATGGATACATAGTCATGAGTTGAATACATAAATGCCTTTCATTGGTGGTGGGGTTTTGTAAAATCAGTGGATATCTTCATGAAATTGCCTGTGGTAAGTATGAAAACTAAATTTAGATATATTTATGGCCTATGGACAACATAAAATGGAAGAACACTGGTAGAACAAATACTATAACAATGTCTTTAGAATTTAATGTCTATATACATTTCATATGGAAATGCTTTTTCAGGTCTTTATTCAAATAAAGAATTATAAAGTTAGACTAACCATTGAAATAGCCTATATTTCTGATGTATTTAAATGAATTTTTGCAATCTACCCATCTGACAAAGGCCTAATATCCAAAATCTTCAAAGGGCTTAAACAAATTTACAAGAAAAAAAGACAAACAACCTCATCAAAAACTGGGCAAAGGATATGAACAGACACTTCTCAAAAGAAGACATTTATGCACCCAACAGACACATGAAAAAATGCTCATCATCACTGGCCATCAGAGAAATGCAAATCAAAACCACAATGAGATACCATCTCACACCAGTTAGAATGGTGATCATTAAAAAGTCAGGAAACAACAGGTGCTGGAGAGGATGTGGAGAAATAGGAACACTTTGACACTGTTGGTGGGACTGTAAACTAGCTCAACCATTGTAGAAGACAGTGTGGCGATTCCTCAAGGATCTAGAACTAGAAATACCATTTGACCCAGCCATCCCATTACTGTGTATATACCCAAAGGATTATAAATCATGCTGCTATAAAGACACATGCAGACGTATGTTTATTGTGGCACTATTCACAATAGCAAAGACTTGGAACCAACCCAAATGTCCAACAATGATAGACTGGATTAAGAAAATGTGGCACATATACACCATGGAATACTATGCAGCCATAAAAAAGGGTGAGTTCATGTCCTTTGTAGGGACATGGATGAAGCTGGAAACCATAGTTCTGAGCAAACTATTGCAAGACAAAAAACCAAACACCGCATGTTCTCACTCATAGGTGGGAATTGAACAATGAGAACACTTGGACACAGGAAGGGGAACATCACACACCGGGGTCTGTCATGAGGTGGGGGGAGGGGGGAGGGATAGCATTAGGAGATATACCTAATGCAAATGACGAGTTAATGGGTGCAGCACATCAACATGGCACATGTATACATATGTAACAAATGCACATTGTGCCCATGTACCCTAGAACTTAAAGTATAATAATAAAATAAAATAAAAATAACAACAACAACAACAAAAAGAAAATCTATGCCCATTAAACACCTCTTTTCCCTTCTGCCCCCAACCCCTGGTAACCACCATTCTATTTTGTTTCTATGAATTTAACTACTTTAGATACCTCAAATAAGTGGAAGCACTTTTTTTTTTTATCTAAAATATTAGTGGTCACTGAAGAAAAGGGATTTTTTGCTTGTTTTGTTTTGCTGATAGTTTGGCCTGACCTCAGTCAATAAAGTGAATGAATTTAAAAATAAAATAAAATAAATAATTTTTTGTACAGATTGTTGAAGTACCACATAAATAATGTTAAACCTTTCAAGCATACTTCTAATAAAGCCATCAAAAATTTGTTTTGAGAACTAAAATAATAGATATGGAGACTCTAAATCTGAACTTTAAATACAAATAAAATTCCTCTTTTTAGGTTGCTCTTTCTTCTTCTCTTCTAATTTTCTCTCTTCTTCCTCTTGTCTACTCTTTTTCTCCTCTCTCTACTTTACTTCTTCCTTTCTCCTCTCTTCTACTTTTGAGAAAGACGATGAAATTTTCTCATACTGTGGCAAGGAACATTTGCTGTCATATAATATCCTCCCAGGAGCAATTTAATGTGTGCCTAACGGGGAAGAGAATGTGTGGACTCTAAATCAAGTTTCTTTATTTTACCCAAGAGATGCTACTGTAATGTTTGTGAGGCCAGAGTACTCAAAGCAGAGATAGAACGTAAGAGCAAACCTCTCATCATTAGGCTTATAGTTGCCAGTTTCAATATTCTCTCTTCTTTTTGATATGGGACATTAATTTTCCCAATCTTGTAACCTCAGGTGGAATCATATGCATATAAAATATATAAAAACATTAAAATGTTAATATAAAAATGTTAGTTTAATGTCTCTAGCGTTATGTCGTAAAAACTGTTATATATTCATTCTGACCTTGTAAGTATCAGCTGTGCCTTGTTTAATTTAAGCAATCCTAGTTAAATTTTGATGCCCTGGTATAGAATTTGTTCTATTATGTCCCTCGAATGTACTTGAGCTTCGATGATTAAAAACCTCCAATGCTTATGTTTAATATCGAGAGTTCTCCCTTTCCCAGTTCAAACATTTGTAAGATGTACTTATGCATGAAGATTACATCTTAATTTTGGACTAGCTGCCCTCCCAGTCTATGTAACTACTATTTACCTTTAACTAATTGTTTTTAGCTTTAAGATAAAACTAATTTATATGTGCCAGTTTATAAAGTCATTCAATGTCATCATCATTAAAATTATAGTTATTACATATTCTATCATAAGTCTTTTATTTTTACAATAATACACTGAAACTCAGAGCTGTTCATGAAGAGTTTTAGATAGATCCAGGATGTGCATGATAATTAGATACTAACAACAACAATACACATACAATAATTATATGTGTAAACTCTATTCAGATTTTGTGCTAAATATTACATCTCCTTTAATGTCTTCAACCATCTTATTTTGTAGAGGCACTATTATAATGCATATTTTATAAGAGGAAACTGAAACTCAGAAAAAAATAACATGCTCAAAGTTACACAGCTAAAATAGGATTCATATTGGGTTTATTTCACTGTAAAGGTTTTTCTCTAAATGTCTGCCAGTTCTGCTAAAATAGAGCAGCCTTGTTGTTTAGCATGCATATAAAAATATATAAAAATATACAAATGTTAATATAAAAATGTTAGTTTAATGTCTCTAGCATTATGTCTTAAAAACAGTTATATACTCATTCTGACCTTGTAATTATCAGCTATGCCTTATTTACATGGCTGGGTTCATTGAATCTGAAAAAACACAAAGAATACGTAAATCCTATATAAAATCTAGGGTAAAGTTGAAGCTAAAATATTATAAACAAAAAGGATGCAGTTTATCATCAAGTGACTCTTTAATAGGAAAGGAGATAAGAGTTATTACTGGGTAAGCATTGTTAACAGTGTCTTATTCTGGGTAACAAAAGGGAGGATGTATTAACAAAATTTATTGGACCAAGATCTCTACTGAGGAGGTAGGTAGAAGAGTACAGAAACTTTTTTTCCTAATTTTGATTCAGGAGCCACTCAATATATTCATTGAGCCTTGGATTTTTAGGGAATTTATACCCGAAATATGAAATTAGACTAACCATTGAACTAACCTACATTATAGAAAAATTTTTTCAGATTCCGCTCACACTTTGATGACTTCTCAGGAAATAGTTGATGTCGTAAGGGATTTACATAATACTTAATTCAATAAAAATAGCAGCAAGAGGTGGATTTATTTGTGAAAAGATAAAACTTTTTCAAACACTTGAAATTCATTAAATTCTAACAAAAGACAATTTTGGCATTAATATAGTAGCTAAGTCAACTAGCCAAATAAAATTATACAATGTAATTTACTTAAAAACTGCAATAAATATGAGGTCATTTTCTGACAAACAGTGGAAGAAAAATTTCATTTATCATTTTCGTAAAAAGTCCTTTTGGTTTCTGTATCTCTTGCTATTACACCTGCTAAACCACACTACAAACAGTAGTCAAAGTAATTTCTAATAACTGATTTGACTACATTTGGCCTCAGCTTTCTGTTGGTTCTCCAATGAATGTAGAATAAAACCTAGACAATTTTGCCTAGCATTCAAGACCCTGCACAATCACATAATAAGCCACTTCCTCAGCTTTTTAAAGCAAACACCAGTCAGAATTTTTTCCCCAATCTTTATGTGTAGTCTCATCTCCATACACTAATTGATGCCTACGTTTCCTCAGGAAAATTTTACTATTGTCTGTGTGTCTGAATCCTAATATTTATTTAAGACCAGCTTACAACCTATTTTTCTTGAAATTATTTTGTCCTCAACGCAATTTTTTTCTTCATCTTCAGAATTAACAAACTGCTTTTTATATCACTTAATATTTTTTAGACTTCTTGATACTATTTTGAATAGTAGTTTATATTCAATTTTTCCTTTAACTCCCTTTTCAGGAGGGTGATGACTAGGTTTGTTTAGTTATACGTACTTTAAAAACAATAAATGATGGCATAATTTATTTTCAGTGTCTTCACAGGCTTTTTGAAGGAGGGTTTTTAATTTCGGTGAAATTCTGATTAACCAATTTGTTCTTTTATGGATCATGTCATATGTAAGAAATGTGTGCCTAATCAAAAGTCATAAAGGCTTCTATAAATTTTTTAATATGTTTGAAATGTACTTATATTTCTTTTATCCTTTTTGAGTTAATCTTTATATTCAGATAAAGCTTTTTTTTTGCACGTGAATATCTAATTGTAGCAATATAACTTATTGATAAAACTATTATTTATTTACTGCATTGCTTTATATCTTGGTCAAAAATCAGCTGTCCTATAAAAGTATTGATTTACTTTGGACTTTTCTGTTTTACTAATTTACCTTAATACTCATACCACACAGCCTAGATTATAGTAGCTTTAATAACATTTGAAATCAGGTAGTTTGGGTCTTATAATGTTCTTTTTGAAGTGTGCTTGACTCTTCATTTGCATATCCATATACATTTTAGAATTAGTTTTTCTGCTGTGTTTAAAGAACATTTGGGATTTTGGTTGAGATTGTACTGCATGTAAAGCTCAATCTGAGGATAATTGATGTCTTAATAATATTGAGTCTTCTGAACCATGAACCTGGTGGTATATTTCTCTGTTAATGACCAGAGTTATCTCTCTCAGCAATGTTTTGTAATTTTCTCTGCATGAGTATTTCACTTGATGATTTTTGTCAAAATCATCACTAAATATTTCATATTTTTGATGCTATTGTAAGTGGCAATTATTATTAATTTCAATTACTTACAGTTTGTTGCTAGTATATAGAAATGCAATTGATTTTTGCCTGTTGATCTTGGGTCTCATTTAATCAGTCTTGTTAAGTTCACTTATTTTTGGTAGTATTTTTGTATTGCTTTGGAAATTCTATAGAGACTTTCATATAATCTGTGAATAGTGACAATTGTATTTATTTCATATTTGAATGAGTTTTATTTTTCTTATCTTATAGTCCTTGCTAGAACCTCCAGTATGACATTAAGTAATAATGAGTAGGCATTACACTCTTTGTCTTAAACTTACAGGAAACACTCCGTCTTTCATTACAAAGTGTAATGTTAGCTTCCTCATCTGTCCTTTGTTAGGTTAAAAATTTCCTATTCCTGTTCTGCTGCATGGTTTTTAAAAATCAGAAGTAGATATTTAATTTTGTTAAATACTTTTTCTACATCTACTGAAATGATTTTGTATCTATATGGTTTATTAATATGCTAAATTAGATGGATTGATTTTTAGATCTTTGACCAACTTTGCATTTCTAAGATAAACCCTACTTGGTCATAAAGTATTAGCATTTTATATATTGTTGTATTTGACTTGCTAACTTTTTTTTAATTATTATTATACTTTAAGTTTTAGGGTACATGTGTATAATGTGCAGATTAGTTACATATGTATACATGTGCCATGCTGGTGTGCTGCACCCATTAACTCATCATTTAGCATTAGGTATATCTCCTAAAGCTATCCCTCCCCCCTCCCCCCACCCCACAACAGTCCCCAGAGTGTGATGTTCCCCTTCCTGTGTCCATGTGTTCTCATTGTTCAATTCACACCTATGAGTGAGAATATGTGGTGTTTGGTTTTTTGTTCTTGCAATAGTTTACTGAGAATGATGATTTCCAATTTCATCCATGTCCCTAAAAAGGACATGAACTCATCCTTTTTTATGGCTGCATAGTATTCCATGGTGTATATGTGCCACATTTTCTTAATCCAGTCTATCATTGTTGGACATTTGGGTTGGTTCCAAGTATTTGCTATTGTGAATAGTGCCGCAATAAACATACATGTGCATGTGTCTTTATAGCAGCATGATTTATAATCCTTTGGGTATATACCCAGTAATGGGATGGCTGGGTCAAATGGTATTTCTAGTTCTAGATCCCTGAGGAATCACCACACTGACTTCCACAATGGTTGAACTAGTTTACAGTCCCACCAACAGTGTCAAAGTGTTCCTATTTCTCCACATCCTCTCCAGCACCTGTTGTTTCCTGACTTTTTAATGATTGCCATTCTAACTGGTGTGAGATGGTAAACCACTGCTCAGTGAAATAAAAGAGGATACAAACAAATGGAAGAACATTCCATGCTTATGGGTAGGAAGAATCAATATCGTGAAAATGGCCATACTGCCCAAGGTAATTTATAGATTCAATGCCACCCCCATCAAGCTACCAATGACTTTCTTCAAAGAATTGGAAAAAACTACTTTAAAATTCATATGACATCAAAAAAGAGCCCGCATCGCCAAGTCAATCCTAAGCCAAAAGAACAAAGCTGGAGGCATCACGCTACCTGACTTCAAACTATACTACAACGCTACAGTAACCAAAACAGCATGGTACTGGTACCAAAACAGAGATATAGATCAATGGAACACAACAGAGACCTCAGAAATAACACCGCATATCTACAACTATCTGATCTTTGACAAACCTGAGAAAAACAAGCAATGGGGAAATGATTCCCTATTTAATAAATGGTGCTGGGAAAACTGGCTAGCCATATGTAGAAAGCTGAAACTGGATCCCTTCCTTACACCTTATACAAAAATTAATTCAAGATGGATTAAAGACTTAAACTTTAGACTTAAAACCATAAAAACCCTAGAAGAAAACCTAGGCATTACCATTCAGGACATAGGCATGGGCAAGTACTTCATGTCTAAAACACCAAAAGCAATGGAAACAAAAGCCAAAATTGACAAATGGGATCTAATTAAACTAAAGAGCTTCTGCACAGCAAAGGAAACTACCATCAGAGTGAACAGGCAACCTACAAAATGGGAGAAAATTTTCACAACCTACTCATCTGACAAAGGGCTAATATCCAGAATCTACAATGAACTCAAACAAATTTACAAGAAAAAAACAAACAACCCCATCAAAAAGTGGGCAAAGGACATGAACAGACACTTCTCAAAAGAAGACATTTATGCAGACAAAAAACACATGAAAAAATGCTCACCATCACTGGCTATCAGAGACTCGCTAACATTTTGTTTAGAAATTTTGCATCTATATATATGAGGAATATTTGTCATAGTTCTCTTTTCTGTATTTTTCTGGATTGGATAGCAGAGTAATCCTGGCCACATAGAATGAGTTAGAAAATACTATTTCCTCTTCATTCTTTTTTTGGAAGAGTTTCAAACTAACAGATTATTAGTTTTTCTTTGTTTAAAGAATGCACCAGTGAAGGTATATTGTCCTGGAGTTTTTTGTATACAGTTTTTTTAGTTTTTGATTTTTTAAATTAAATTTTAGTTCCTCTAATAGATACAGCTCATGTCATCTATTTCTTCTTGAGTTAGCTCAGGTGAGCTGAGTAAATTAAAGCAGTTGTATCTTTCAAGGAATTTTTCCATTTCAATAATTTGTAGTTATCGACATTAAGTTGTTCATAATGTTCTCTTACTATCCTTTAATATCTATAGAACTACTTTTCTCATTATTGGGTATACAATGCCACTTTTGTCATTCTTGGGTATAAATTGGTAACATATCTACTGTCTCACTTTTTTTCTGATATCTGACTAGATGTGTATTAATTTCATTGATTTTCTCAAAGAACTAGACTCAGGTTTTATTTAGTTTCTCTATATTTTTAAATTAAAGTATTATTGATTTTCTTTGATTCTGGATTACAGTTTCTGTCTTTTACTACTTTAAAAATGTTGCTTCACTATCCTCTCAATTTTGTTTTTTTTTTGTTTTTGTTTTTGTTTTTTGAGACAGAGTCTCGCTCTGTCCCCCAGGCTGGAATGCAGTGGTGCGATCTCGGCTCACTGCGAGCTCCACCTCTGGGGTTCACGCCATTCTCCTGCCTTAGCCTCCCAAGTAGCTGGGACTACAGGCACCCGCCACCACGCCCGGCTAATTTTTTGCATTTTTAGTAGAGACGGGGTTTCACCGTGGTCTTGATCTCCTGACCTCATGATCCGCCCACCTTGGCCTCCCAAAGTGCTGGGATTACAGGCGTGAGCCACCGTGCGTGGCCAATTTCATTTTTTTAAAAACAAGAAATATTCTTTCATTCCTATCTTTATTCTTCTGTATGTCTTCATTTGCTCAATTTATGATTTTCTCTTTCTCACTGGTTATGAGCAACTTAATTTTGATTTGCCCTGGTGCAGTTTTCTTTTTGTTTCTTGTTCTTGTGCTTCATTGGGATTGTTAAATCTATGAAGTTTTAGACTTTTTCAAATTGCAAATTGAATATTGAAAAACTTTTGCCCATTAGTTTTGAATGTGTGTTTTGTCTTAGATGTTTCTTCTTCCAGGACTAAAAGTATAAGCACATGAAGCCACTTGAATTTTTCACAAAGCTTATTGTTGCTGTCTTCGTTTCTCTGGTTTTCATTTCAGATAGTTCCTATGGCTGTTCTTTCAAGTTTACTATCTTTACTTCTGCAATATCTAATTTCATCCAGTGCATTTTTTCATCTTATACATTGCAGTTTTCATTTCTAGAAATTTAGTTTTTGAATATTTTCCATATCTCTATTTAAAATTTCAAGCATTACAATATATTTATAATACCAGTTTTAATATCCTTATCTATTATTTAATATCAATGTCAGTTCTGGATTGGTTTTTATTGATTAGGCCTCATTATGATTCATATTTCACTGCTTTGTTGTAAACCTGGTAACTTTTTAATTGGATTTTAAACATTATAAATTTTATCTTGTTGGACGCTGAATATTTTTGTATTGCTACAAATATTCTAGATGTTCCAAAAATGTTAAGCTCTGTTCTACAATAAAGTTAAGTAACATAAAAACAATTGACTTTTTGTTTGTTTCTAACATGTGTTAGGTAGGACTAAAGTAATTAGGCTAGGGCTAATTATTTCCCATGATTGAGGCAAAACCACTTTGTGTACTCTACACAATGGCCTGTGACTACTGATGTTTTCAAATCTAGATAGTGGGAACAGATATTATTCCTGTCTCTGTATGATTACTGAGCTCTGTTGTCTTCATCTTTTTAGGTGTATTTTGCTTTGTTTTGTTTTGCTGACTAGGGTAGTTTCCTTACACAAATTTCCTAATCAACGCTCAACTAAATACTCCAGATAGATCCTCTCCCAAACTCCAGAATTAGCTCTCTGCAAATATCTCTCTGAAAATGTTTCCTGTGAATCCCAGCTGTGTTATTTTCTACAGAATTTCGGGTCTGTTTTATCTTAAGCAGTTTGCTAGGCTCAGTATTAGTTTATTCTTCCTGAATTGTGACCCAAAAAGTCTCCTAAATTAATATGTTGGGGCAATTGTAGGTCTCATTTGTTTGTTTCCCATTTCTCAGGTACAAGTGTTCTTTATTGTCTGATGTGTAGTGTCTTATGAAACCTTCCTCATATGTTTTGCTTATTTTTTATTGTTTCAGGAAACAAGCTAAGTCTGGTGTTGTTTACTTTGTCTTGGTCAGAAGTGCAAGTCCAGGATGGCTTTTTAATTAGCAAATAAATTTTAGTCTGAATATTTCTTAAAAGAATAAAAATATGCCTTGTTATCACTCTCACTCAAATATATTAACATTTGGAAATTATGAGGGTTCTTACTTATAAAGTAATGAGGACAAATGATTTTTTCCTTAGAATACTTGAAAATAATTGAAGTCTCATATCCTTGACCTAAAATAAATCACGGTGGAGCAAATAAAGAATTGGGCTATGGTCTAATGATGAAAATATTAATATAGTTGGTCTGTATTTTCTTTTTGTCTAGTTTTCATGCTAATCTGAACCTGTGTGAGATTCCAGATCTACTTGGGACAGAGAGATTTTTTTTTTTATATATATACAAAGACATTTATTACATTATTGTTCACAATAAGGAATTGGAAATAATCGAAATATCAACAATGAAATTATTAAATAAGTAATGGTATATACAATATATACATAAAAGATTACTAAGCTGCTTTTAAAAATAATAAAGTATCTGTTTAACACGACATGGAAAGATGATGACAATTTATTAAGCAAAAAGAGAAAGTTTCACAATAGTGTATTAATCTCATTTCTGTAAATAATTATTTTTTGTATATATATAAAAACTTTTGGAAATATAGGTACAAACATTAACTGCGGGAGTAGGAGTTACAGGAGTAGGGAGGATGGGGGCTTATACATTCTGTTTTGCGCAATTTTTTTTTAATTTTTATTTTTATTTATTTTATTTATTTATTTATTTTTTTTTATTATACTCTAAGTTTTAGGGTACATGTGCACATCGTGCAGGTTAGTTACATATGTATACATGTGCCATGCTGGTGCGCTGCACCCACTAACGTGTCATCTAGCATTATGTATATCTCCCAATGCTATCCCTCCCCCCTCCCCCGACCCCACCACAGTCCCCAGAGTGTAATATTCCCCTTCCTGTGTCCATGTGATCTCATTGTTCAATTCCCACCTATGAGTGAGAATATGTGGTGTTTGGTTTTTTGTTCTTGTGATAGTTTACTGAGAATGATGGTTTCCAATTTCATCCATGTCCCTACAAAGGACATGAACTCATCATTTTTTATGGCTGCATAGTATTCCATGGTGTATATGTGCCACGTTTTCTTAATCCAGTCTATCATTGTTGGACATTTGGGTTGGTTCCAAGTCTTTGCTATTGTGAATAGTGCCGCAATAAACATACGTGTGCATGTGTCTTTATAGCAGCATGATTTATAGTCCTTTGGGTATATACCCAGTAATGGGATGGCTGGGTCAAATGGTATTTCTAGTTCTAGATCCCTGAGGAATCGCCACACTGACTTCCACAATGGTTGAACTAGTTTACAGTCCCACCAACAGTGTAAAAGTGTTCCTATTTCTCCACATCCTCTCCAGCATCTGTTGTTTCCTGACTTTTTAATGATTGCCATTCTAACTGGTGTGAGATGGTATCTCATTGTGGTTTTGATTTGCATTTCTCTGATGGCCAGTGATGGTGAGCATTTTTTCATGTGTTTTTTGGCTGCATAAATGTCTTCTTTTGAGAAGTGTCTGTTCATGTCCTTTGCCCACTTTTTGATGGGGTTGTTTGTTTTTTTCTTGTAAATTTGTTTGAGTTCATTGTAGATTCTGGATATTAGCCCTTTGTCAGATGAGTAGGTTGCGAAAATTTTCTCCCATGTTGTAGGTTGCCTGTTCACTCTGATGGTAGTTTCTTTTGCTGTGCAGAAGCTCTTTAGTTTAATTAGATCCCATTTGTCAATTTTGGCTTTTGTTGCCATTGCTTTTGGTGTTTTGGACATGAATTCCTTGCCCACGCCTATGTCCTGAACAGTAATGCCTAGGTTTTCTTCTAGGGTTTTTATGGTTTTAGGTCTAATGTTTAAATCTTTAATCCATCTTGAATTGATTTTTGTATAAGGTGTAAGGAAGGGATCCAGTTTCAGCTTTCTACATATGGCTAGCCAGTTTTCCCAGCACCATTTATTAAATAGGGAATCCTTTCCCCATTGCTTGTTTTTCTCAGGTTTGTCAAAGATCAGATAGTTGTAGATATGCGGCATTATTTCTGATGGCTCTGTTCTGTTCCATTGATCTATATCTCTGTTTTGGTACCAGTACCATGCTGTTTTGGTTACTGTAGTGTTGTAGTATAGTTTGAAGTCAGGTAGCGTGATGCCTCCAGCTTTGTTCTTTTGGCTTAGGATTGACTTGGCGATGCGGGCTCTTTTTTGGTTCCATATGAACTTTAAAGTAGTTTTTTCCAATTCTGTGAAGAAAGTCATTGGTAGCTTGATGGGGATGGCATTGAATCTGTAAATTACCTTGGGCAGTATGGCCATTTTCACGATATTGATTCTTCCTACCCATGAGCATGGAATGTTCTTCCATTTGTTTGTGTCCTCTTTTATTTCCTTGAGCAGTGGTTTGTAGTTCTCCTTGAAGAGGAATTTCATATCCAACCAAACTAAGCTTCATAAGTGAAGGAGAAATAAAATACTTTATAGACAAACAAATGCTGAGAGATTTTGTCACCACCAGGCCTGCCCTAAAAGAGCTCCTGAAGGAAGCGCTAAACATGGAAAGGAACAACCGGTACCAGCCACTGCAAAATCATGCCAAAATATAAAGACCATCGAGACTAGGAAGAAACTGCATCAACTAATGAGCAAAATCACCAGCTAACATCATAATGACAGGATCAAATTCACACATAACAATATTAACTTTAAATATAAATGGACTAAATTCTGCAATTAAAAGACACAGACTGGCAAGTTGGATAAAGAGTCAAGACCCATCAGTGTGCTGTATTCAGGAAACCCATCTCACGTGCAGAGACACACATAGGCTCAAAATAAAAGGATGGAGGAAGATCTACCAAGCCAATGGAAAACAAAAAAATGCAGGGGTTGCAATCCTAGTCTCTGATAAAACAGACTTTAAACCAACAAAGATCAAAAGAGACAAAGAAGGCCATTACTTAATGGTAAAGGGATCAATTCAACAAGAGGAGCTAACTATCCTAAATATTTATGCACCCAATACAGGAGCACCCAGATTCATAAAGCAAGTCCTGAGTGACATACAAAGAGACTTAGACTCCCACACATTAATAATGGGAGACTTTAACACCCCACTGTCAACATTAGACAGATCAACGAGACAGAAAGTCAACAAGGATACCCAGGAATTGAACTCAGCTCTGCACCAAGCAGACCTAATAGACATCTACAGAACTCTCCACCCCAAATCAACAGAATATACATTTTTTTCAGCACCACACCACACCTATTCCAAAATTGACCACATAGTTGGAAGTAAAGCTCTCCTCAGCAAATGTAAAAGAACAGAGATTATAACAAACTATCTCTCAGACCACAGTGCAATCAAACTAGAACTCAGGATTAAGAATCTCACTCAAAGCCGCTCAACTACATGGAAACTGAACAACCTGCTCCTGAATGACTACTGGGTACATAACGAAATGAAGGCAGAAATAAAGATGTTCTTTGAAACCAACGAGAACAAAGACACCACATACCAGAATCTCTGGGACGCATTCAAAGCAGTGTGTAGAGGGAAATTTATAGCACTAAATGCCTACAAGAGAAAGCAGGAAAGATCCAAAATTGACACCCTAACATCACATTTAAAAGAACTAGAAAAGCAAGAGCAAACACATTCAAAAGCTAGCAGAAGGCAAGAAATAACTAAAATCAGAGCAGAACTGAAGGAAATAGAGACACAAAAAACCCTTCAAAAAATCAATGAATCCAGGAACTGGTTTTTTGAAAGGATCAACAAAATTGATAGACCGCTAGCAAGACTAATAAAGAAAAAAAGAGAGAAGAATCAAATAGACACAATAAAAAATGATAAAGGGGATATCACCACCGATCCCACAGAAATACAAACTACCATCAGAGAATACTACAAACACCTCTACGCAAATAAACTAGAAAATCTAGAAGAAATGGATACATTCCTCGACACATACACTCTCCCAAGACTAAACCAGGAAGAAGTTGAATCTCTGAATAGACCAATAACAGGCTCTGAAATTGTGGCAATAATCAATAGTTTACCAACCAAAAAGAGTCCAGGACCAGATGGATTCACAGCTGAATTCTACCAGAGGTACAAGGAGGAACTGGTACCATTCCTTCTGAAACTATTCCAATCAATAGAAAAAGAGGGAATCCTCCCTAACTCATTTTATGAGGCCAGCATCATTCTGATACCAAAGCCGGGCAGAGACACAACCAAAAAAGAGAATTTTAGACCAATATCCTTGATGAACATTGATGCAAAAATCCTCAATAAAATACTGGCAAACCAAATCCAGCAGCACATCAAAAAGCTTATCCACCATGATCAAGTGGGCTTCATCCCTGGGATGCAAGGCTGGTTCAATATACGCAAATCAATAAATGTAATCCAGCATATAAACAGAGCCAAAGACAAAAACCACATGATTATCTCAATAGATGCAGAAAAGGCCTTTGACAAAATTCAACAACCCTTCATGCTAAAAACTCTCAATAAATTAGGTATTGATGGGACGTATTTCAAAATAATAAGAGCTATCTATGACAAACCCACAGCCAATATCATACTGAATGGGCAAAAACTGGAAGCATTCCCTTTGAAAACTGGCACAAGACAGGGATGCCCTCTCTCACCGCTCCTATTCAACATAGTGTTGGAAGTTCTGGCCAGGGCAATCAGGCAGGAGAAGGAAATAAAGGGTATTCAATTAGGAAAAGAGGAAGTCAAATTGTCCCTGTTTGCAGACGACATGATTGTTTATCTAGAAAACCCCATCGTCTCAGCCCAAAATCTCCTTAAGCTGATAAGCAACTTCAGCAAAGTCTCAGGATACAAAATCAATGTACAAAAATCACAAGCAGTCTTATACACCAACAACAGACAAACAGAGAGCCAAATCATGAGTGAACTCCCATTCACAATTGCTTCAAAGAGAATAAAATACCTAGGAATCCAACTTACAAGGGACAGAGAGATTCTTATGCTCCTTTTATTAGGTTGGTGCAAAAGTGATTGTGGTTTTTGCCATTGAAAATGGCACCAACCTAATAACTATTGATATGGATGGACTGAAATGATTAAACATAATATGAGTAAAAATGACTGAAACTGTAATAGATTTTTGAAGATTATTTGTGAGGCTAGGTAGAAACCATTTTATGTTACAGAATGTTTCCATTGTTAATAAGACCAAAGTATCTCAGAACTAACAGAAGTGTAGTTTCTCTCCCTCTGCCTTAGTAGAAGATGTGAAAGTGCCATGACTATCTGACGTCGAGAGCAAAAGGCCACGAAAGGGCCAGTAGTGATGTTATCAATAAGGTATTCTGTGGAGATGGGGAAGGATTCAATATAATACTTCCTGAAACACTGAAGAACATCCTAAATTCATCTCTTTCTAAAATAAGGGTCCTTGTTCTGTGGCCATAAATGGGAGTGAATCTGTGGCAGGGTGTTAATATTATTTTTTAGGGTATGTTTTCCCACATGGGTTTTTGTTCTGATAATCTGTTCTTGTTCTGCTCTGGGAATCTATCATTATGAATAAATACTTAAAATCTTCCTTTTTCAGTTTCATTATTTACATCTGGACATTGGATCTCATTTACATTTGTTTATGTCAAAAGGACCTAAAATTCCTGAATTTGGAATATGATAATTTCAGCTTCAAATGTTATCAGAACCATAGAAAAGTTTCACCCCTTCAGAGATGAGGGCAAGTTAGAGAAAGGAGTGCACTGAAATGTCAACCCAGACTTTGGACTATGCGAGGATAGCCTGCTGCATGTGCTGTTTTCCAGGTTTGTCCCTCAATCTGAACCTGTGTTTTGAATTATTTTTCCCCTAGATGTGTTAGTTCTTTTTTCCAAGTTGAACCTATTTTATTTTCTTTGCTAGGGCTCATTTTATTATTCCAACATTTCCCATTTTAGTATCATCTGCAGAATTCATTAAGACCCTGTTTACTCCCTTGCTGAGGTCTCTGAGACAGAGCTGGACAGGGCTTGGGGTCAGACTGTGCATTCCCTCTCTTCCATGCAGCCCCCAAAACTGTCTCTGACCCATGTAAATGAGGATCTAATCTCCTCCAAGATTTCCCTATGGAATGTGACTTCTTAGGTTTTCTTATAGCATAAAACTCAAGTGGAAAATGGAAAAGATAATAACAACAATATGTTTCTCTTTGCTGCCTGAGAATAAAGCACTCAACAAACAATTATTAATTCAGCACGTGTCCAGACCTTGGCTAAGTAGCATGAGTGATATAAAGAAGGAAAAGCTTTAGTGCCCTCTCGAGGAAGTTATCATCTAGTTTAGAGGAGGAAGCATACACACACACACACACACACACACACACCCCTACTCCTGAAACAATGAAAGGACAAAGCACCATGCACAAATACACTGACTTGAGAGATGCAGAACAGAATTGCCCAAAGAGTGAAAAATAGCCACATGGATTATAAAGCTCAGGAAATATTTGGCAGAGGAGAGATTATCTCCCAAGCATTTATTTATAAATAATTTTTGTTCTGCTGCAGATATTTACTGGGCATATACTATATGGAAGAAATTCTCCTAGGAGAAAGGGAGTATATACAAATCTTATGCCATCACTAAGCTTTTAGCTGACAAGAAACAAAGAATATCACTATACAGTGTGATAGGAGCTAGCATGACTTTTCATTGCGGGTTGCTTTTCCAGATACTAAAAGTCCACAAAGTAAGACGTGATCTGCATGGGTTACTAGATTCACAATTAATTTATTGATTCGTTCATTCACTTACTTGTCCTAAGCATTTACTCTGTGCAATACATTAGGCTAGATGTTATGTAAACATGAAGAATTGGACTTGGACCCTGACTTCACAATTTTAGTCTCACATGGACAAATATACCTGAAAATGCATAGTGCAAAGTAGAAACTGATTGCCATATTTTTATCTGAAATGTGGCTTACATTTCAGTTAGCCACAGAAGCCTAAGAGAGCAATTCAAAAACATATTTGTTATATGGAAAGAAGGTTTTCATTAAAAGTGCTGGCAAGAAGTGAGACCATCTTGGGGACTTAGGAAGGAACCTGGCTTTACTCTGTGAGGAGGAGAATGCAAGTATTTGAAATGTCTGAATAGCATGATTAATATTCAGGAAAGTAAAACAGCAACAGTAACAGGAGTAACAGCTTATGCATTTGGGACTTACTCTAGGTCAAGCTCTTCAAATTGGAGAATCTCATTTAATCTTCCCAATAGTCCCACAAGATAGCTATTATTATTTTCCATATTTCACATAAAGTAATCTAAGCCTTAGAAATGAACAAGGTCTGACCCAATTAGGGCGGCTAAGTGTGAACTCAAACTCAGGCATCTCTAAGTCTAAATCAAAATGTAAGAAGTAGGAGTTGCCATGGGGATAAAGGGATTTTACTTTGAACAATAGCCCAAGGCAGTGTTTATTAACCTTAAGTGCACATTAAAAATACTCGGGAGCTTAAAAATATCTTTGTCATAATCTAACATGATGAGAATCTTGGGATGTGGGTCTCAGGCATCGGATTTTCTGGAGGCTCCCCAGGTGATCCTAGCAGCCAGCCAAAAACCAAATATCTTTAGGTCTTCTGCAGAGCAAAAGAGAAAAACAAATATTCTAAAAACAAACAATAATTTTATGTCTATTTATACAGATACTTCCTGACTTACAATAGGGTTACATCCCAGAAACTCATCATAAGTTGAAAATATCATAAGTTGAAAATGCACTTAATACATGTAACTTATCAAACATTATAGCTTAGCTTAGCCTAGCCTATTTTAAACATGCCCACAACACTTACATTAGCCTATAGTTGGGCAAAATGATCTAACACAAAGCCCATTTTATAATAAAGTGTTGAATATCTCATGTATGAGTATAGTAACACATATAGCTAGCCCTGGAAAAGTACAAAACTCAAAATTCTAAGTATGGTTTTCACTGAATATTTATTGCTGTTGCACCATCATAAAGTCAAACAATTGTAAGCCAAACCATCATAAATCAGGGACCATCTGTATAGTCTCTGTAGTTACACTTAGAATTCATACGCACATCTACAAGTAAATATTCTGAGAGCTGAAACCTACTCCAGAAATATCAAATTCCTTGTTGCAGGGGGTTGTCCTACAATAGGCAGATCCATATCGTTTAAACAGGTTATGACATTCAGCTAAGTGCTCCAAGAAGTCAAAAGGACTTTATCTTCCTTGTTCTAAGTCTGTATGGCATAAGTTTTTACAGCAGGACTCCAATGTTTATCTACAAATTATTGACAATACTTAATTATTGATTAAGTAGAAAGAATGGCTACTTTATTTTGAATCTGGAGAGGTTTGAAGGCACAAGATCAACTGAAAGGTCTGTAGGTGAGAGAGAAATCCTCTTTGTTAGCAATGTCACTTAAATACTGAACTCCCTACAATGGCCGTTTCATGCTTTACCAATTCCTTTCCTCAGCACGCACCTCAGAGGCGCACATTACATTAGATCAAGACAAAAAGTTCAAACACGTAAGAGCTCATGTGTGAGAAAAATGTCTGTTCTGAATACCATTAAGCATCCAAAGATAAAAGAATATTTTCCTTACATACACTGTCTTGGAATCTCAAAACAAATCCTGATCTTATCAGTTGACAGATAAAGTAGAGGAGTTATAGCCATACATATCCAGAAATATACTGGAAATAGGGAAGTAGATAGGAACCTTTCTACATTGGGATTAGCAAATTTTAAAGTTTCAACAACTCTTTTTCTTAAAATTTTGCTTGGTGTTTAAGAAATTGAAATCTTACACCTGGATGGAAGTGAGGGATAAGGGATAATAACTGATAAATATGTCAAATTTATCAAATTATGTAAAATACAAAATGTCTTAAAATCCAATGCCAGCCTTAAAATAATACTTTTCTTTTAAAATACAGTCTTGTTTTCATGGAAACTACACATTTTCATAAAACCTGAAAATAAATTTAATATTTTAAAAGATGTCAATTAATTCATTCCAGTGAATTACAGGTTTTTAGATCCCACGCCAAAGGTTTTGCTTGACAATTGAAACTGGTTTATGGAGTATTATTGTAGGCCAGCTAAATCTAATGACCTTTCCTCCCTCCAAGTTTCAAGCCACAGATTTCAGGAACAGAGACCAATGAAATGTGTATCTTACATTCCAGCCAGCAAAAGTAGCAAGGAGCTTTTCCTGTGGCTAGTAAAGAACATGTTTCTTAATACGAAAATGACGGTTTTAGCACGGTAACACATAAAGTCATTTCCTGGCTTGTGTTTTACATGTGGCTTTCTATTATTATCTGATACACTGAATTTGCATCCTTGATACTTCTGACCTTCACCCTCACCCATATTTTAAATCTTTTCTTAACCTTTCCTCCAATAATGGATTTAGCTCTTTGCTTCTCAATTCTGACCAAAGTGAATGTTGAAAGAAAATGGAAGATGTGGGTCATGGGAGAAAATCTAAAAGGAAATTTCCTCTAGGGAAATTGAAATATGTCACTCATACTTTATTTTTTCTCAGGGCTCTAATATTAATTTCTGTGCCACCAAGTTGTCAATTGTCATTACTTTTTGTTTACAAATTGTAGCATCCCAAAGTTGAACCACTCCTTTATTTCCTGCCACCCATCCTTTACACTTAAGCCTACCATTTCTCAACATATAATCTCCAGCATTGCTCTCCTATGAAGTAAAATGGTTCAGAAACGGAGTAAATGAGTGGACATTGGATGAAGTAGAGTTAATATATTGTATATATTCTCTCTTGCACTCTTTTACCAGCTTTTAGTTTGACTTCTGTCTTCTTAAACATCTTGGCTTTATTCCTCCAAAGAGATGACGAGTTTATATTTATTTACAGTTTATAAACGGGCACATAGCACTGAAGATAATTAGTAAGGGCCATCATAACCAACTGAAATCTTAATTTACACAGAAATGGCTGAACTTAGATTTTACTTCACATATATCCTTTAATTAATACATCATTTTACTTGATGCTATGGTAGTTACTGTGGGATGTAACAATAAATAGGAGCATGGTACACAAAGAGTTTACAGTGTTATGGCTAGAGTTGGGTAATAAAATTACAACTTAAATATTATGTAGAGAAACAGTGTGTTATAATGGAAAGAATCCTGAACTAGATCATGAAGGAAGTCAGAGATAATTCCAACATCACCATTTCCCACTAGGACCCTGTTATTGATTAAATTATGTTCATCAAAATTGATGGGTTGAAACCCTAACCCTAATATGACTGCATTTGGAGATAGAGGTTTTAAAAAGAGGTAATTAAGATTAAATGAGGTCATAAAGGTGGGGTCCTAATCCAATATGATGAGTGCCCTTATAAGAAGAGGAAGAGGCACCAGGAATGTGTGTGCACAGAAAAAAAGGCCATGTGTGGACACAAGAACATGGGCATCTTGCAAGCCAAAGAGAGAGGCCTCTGGAGAAACCAACCCTGCTGGCACTTTGATTTTGGACTTCCAACCTCCAGAACTGTGAGAAAATAAATTTCTTTTGTTTAATTCACTAATTCTGTGATATTTTGTTACCTCAACCCCAGAAAATCACAGGGCCTTTAAGAAAATCACTTAAAATTGTCAACCACAACCTTCTTCTGAAACATTCTTTCCTCATATACTCTGACAATTTTTTGTTTGCTTACTCGTGACCTCTTTTCTAGGCAATATTTCCTCTGCCATTCTCATAAGGTATTTGCCAGGGATCTGCCCCAGGTCTTCTCTGCTTTTTGATTTTCACATGTTTCTAGGGGATCTTGCACACTCCCATGGCTTCAGGAATGACCTAGTTGCTGATAGATCTGCCAGATTTTTCTTAAGGCCTAGAGTTGTGTATCTAATTTCTTACTTGACATCTGTATTTCAGTATTTCAGCTGCCTCAAACTCAAAATGTTCAAAACCAAAGTGATCACTTTTCCCAGGTGAATTTGTTTGGTATTTCCCATTTTGTTAGAACCACCACCATCCTCTCAATTATCCAAGAAACCACCTTGGTCATCACCTTGGACTCCCTTTTTCCCTCACTCTCAAAGTCAACCAGTAACAAAGTTTCATGAATTCTACTTTAAAACATAAGTGTGTGTATTGATCTTCATCCTCAGGATCATGAAGCTCATGAAAGCCACCATATCCATATGATGGACTGTAATAGACTCCCAAATGGATCTTCTTGGAACCAGTCTTACCTTCTCAAATTCATTCTTCAGGCCAGGTGCGGTGGCTCATGCCTGTAATCCTAGCACTTTGGGAGGCTGAGGCATGTGGATCACGAGGTCAGGAGTTCAAGACCAATCTGACCAATATGGTAAAACCCCATCTCTACTAAAAATACAAAAATCATCTGGGTGTGGTGGTGCATGCCTGTAGTCCCAGCTACTTGGGAGGCTGAGGCAGGAGGATCACTTGAACCTGGGAGGCAGAGGTTGCAGTGAGCTGAGATTGTGCCACTGCACTCCAGCCTGGACAACAGAGCGAGACTCCGTCTCAAAAAAAAGAAAAAAAAAAAATCATTCTTCACTGTGTAGAAAGAGTTATTCTTCTAAAATGCAAATGTCGTTCCGATACCCCCCTTAGGAGGACGAAAATCTTTGATGTCTTTTGCTTTCAGGATAAAGATCCAATTTCTTGCTATGCCTTAAAAAGCATTGTCCTTAGTCAACTATGTAGTCTTATGCCCACCCTCCCAATCACCCTTCCAACTCCTTTGACCTCCATGCACTGCATGTTCAGCACAATTTTATTCTTTCAGGTCCTAGTGCCTGTCAGTTCTTACTTACCTCTGGACTTTCTTATGGGCTTTTTCCTTTATCTGGAATACTCTTTCCCCTTTATCTTGGATAATTCTTCCTCAAATATTAAGTCCAAATGAGACCACATTTTCTTCATTAACTGCCCCTTGCGGTAGATCTTGCCATGCTAGACAAGGGCCACTGCTATGTACACCAGCAATATTCTGGACATGCCTTACAATAGCATTTAATAGCTTTTTCTTGTATTTTTATCAGTTGCTTTCAGTAGCAGCTCACCATAATGTTGTTAGGGCCTCGCATCCTACATTTCTGGATGACTATTAAATATTTACTAAATGAATAAATAAATGAAATTCACTGAATCTGTAAGCAAGAAATACCAATGATGGTTCACTTTGTCCCAGCACAATTCCCATATGAAGACAAATGATATAAAACATTAAAAAAATTAAGAAAAAATTATCATGAAAAAATAGGGTAATAGTAAATAAATTTGGCCTTCAGCTAAACAGAGAGAGAAAATTCTATTTAACACAAACTGCATTTAATAGTGAAATAATTCCCAATTATCCTACATTTTAAAGCTTGTACTATCACACCTGAGGAAATTCTATTTATTTCTGAATTGGCATATAAACCTGTGCATAAATAATCTATTACATTTCTGTTTATTACATGATATTCACAGTGATATATTAAAATGTGATGATTTTAAATATATTGGTTATTTGGGAATTTTGACCCACAAATCTATAGCTATGCTGAGAAAGCCCTAAAGTAGAATTTTGCTTTATTTCAAAAAGTTTATTTTTCATGCTTCAATGATTTTCTTGCAAAATTCATTTAGTATTCATTGATTCTTGCATTTCTGAAAATCTTTCCAGAAGCATGATTTCCAGATTCTACTCTAACATTATCCTTTACAAATTTTACTAGATACTTTAATAATATTTGGATATTTCTGTATTTTTGACCTTTTCTCCACATGGGCTTGCATTATTTAATAAAATAATGAATTTTATTTGGAAAAGGTCTTAGAGGTTATCTTACAGAAATCCCATCTCCAGTTAGATGGTTTTCCAGCCTTAGCTTAAGCACTTCCGGGGATTTGGCACTCTTTTCTAAGGGAATTCTTTTCAGAGTTTAAAAGATTTTCTTTTATTAGTCTAAATTATGCCGCTATATTACAGACATCTACTTGCTGGTTCTAGCATTTTCCTCTGTAGCAAAACTGGTTGTCCATAAGGTAACACTTCCAATTTTTAAAATTAATTCAAGCAGTTTTGCATTAAAATAATGGATTTGAGGTGTTTGTTACTATAATTATTCTAATCTATGTCATTGTTTTCTAAATGTTCAATTCATATAATCAACTAATATACCTCATTTAATTTTTTTAAATTATAAGCCTTTGTCAGGAACCTCATTTGAATTTAAATTTCTTACCTGTATTTCCTCATATGCATGACCTTTTAATGTCAATATAATGTTGTTTTATGTGGATATCTCTTGTTCATTGTGTTCTGCATTCTAGGCTAAAAGTACTCAATTTTCAAATGAGTCTCATTACTTAGCTTTTGGTTTCTGCCATGTCCTAGCTGTTGTTCTCAGGATACTCTCTTGTTTGCCATTGTCTCTTCCAAAATGAACCTTCTAAAACCGGAGACAATGTTGTAAAGCTGGAATGACAATAACCAAACACACTTCTGAAACTGTCCTGAATTTGATATTATACATACAGTGAAAAAGTCATAGGCTTAGACAACTCTGTGTCTTCCTCTACATGTCTTAGCCATTGAGTGATATTTCTGGGACCAAAACCTGTAACACCATGTTTTAGCTAAGAGTCCATCTTTTATGACAAATAAGTTAGGTTCTCATTCCAAAGACAGCTTCAAATATACTGTTAGTTCCTCTATTTTGTAAGTAGTCTTCTAACTCCATGTGAAAAATTGTCAGTTACATTCAAACTTCTATTTTTGGCTTACCTAGCTGAGATAATTTTGAATCATAATTCTGTTGTTCGAATTCATACATATAGCTTTCCATCTGATTAAAATGTGAAATAAAATCAAGTCTGTTTTGGCTAAAATTATCCTGATTCACAAGACACTATTGATAATAAATGGGATGCAAAATTTTAGAACCTGCCAAACATTCACCCAAAAACTCTAAAATTCTACAAAGGTATTATTATAATTAACTGTTAAAGTGCCTTGCTTGAAAGTTATTTTCCTTAATAACAGACTACTCTCTTTTTGTCTTTTCTTAACATTATAGACTCTTCCCCTTCATTGTTCATCTTCTTGCTTAAGAAATGTCTACAAATACTTTTATATTGCTCCTATTACTCTTCACAAGTCTCAATTTGTTCTGAGCTTTATTCTATGGATGCCATTCTTAGAGGTACATGGTACTCTTTTGTGTCCATTTCTCCTTAGATAATTTTTAATCCATCTGTGGCACCTATTTGTCAAAAAGATCACTTTTGATCAATCTGATATAATTTTATTGCCTATATTTACTTATATTATTGGCAAAGCAAACACTAAGTTTCCAGATCAAGGACAGAGTGTTATCACTTATAGCAATAGCTACATTAGTTCTTGATGTCTCATACTTACCTCTTTGGGGTGATGCAGTGAGGGCCAGCTGAGCCATGTATGTGCAAAGAATTTTTTGCACTGCAGGAGAGAAAGCTCCAACTATGAATGTGGGAGTTAAATATAATCTACACAGTGCCCCCTGTCTTCCTGAGAAAAGGAGAGAAATCTTTGCTCCCTAATGTTTTAAGTCCTTTTGGAATGTAAAGGGATTTCATCCTTTGAAATGTAAACACCAAGAAGATAAAATATTTAAATCTTTTTCATGATCTTTCACTATTTGTTCAGTCATCTTTTAACTGCTAAGATTTATCCTTCAATCCAAATTCTAGCTTTCTTTTATCTTAAAGCTCTAACCATGTAGAAATATGAAAATATTCACTCTCCTACACTATCCATAATCCTCTAATCCTTACATATGGAAGCGCCAACTAAGAAAAATATACCTATATATTTAATAAGAAGAAATAATAACAAAAAGGTAAATCTCTAACAAAAAGGTAAATAATAACAGAAAGGTAAATCTCTATAGGGGAAAGAGTAAAAAATGTTTAAGATTATATTATTTGCTCTAATGATAAACTTGCTTCTAAGGGTGGGTTTAAGAAACCTTAATTTTTAGATGCCATTTTCTCATGCTTCACTGAAAGACTGATTAATGCACATTGGGCATAATTAATTACTGGAAGAGATGGTGAAATCCTTCGCTGCTTCTCTTCTACACTTCCCTTAGCATCTTATCAAAACTACTATGATTGTCTTATATTTATACTCACATCTATCACCATTCTGTCTACAGCAAACAGATATATTTTTTTAACTCTCGTGATCTCTAAAATATTTAACAATTTTTTGGTACACTTATTTTATTTAATATTTTTTGAGACAGAGTCTAGCTTTGTCACCCAGGCTGGAGTGCAGTGGCATGAACACAGCTCACTGCAGCTTTGACATCCCAGGCCCAGGTGATTCTCCTGCCTCATTCCCCCAGGTAGTTGTAGGGACTACAGGCATGTACCACCACACCCAGCTAATTTTTGTATTTTTTGTAGAGATGGGGTTTCACTATGTTGCCCAGGCTGGTCTTGAACTTCTGGGCTCAAGTGACGCATCTGCCTCGGCCTCCCAGAGTGTTGGGATTACAGGAGTAAGCTACCACACCTAGACTGTATGCACATTTCAAATGGATGAATTGTACTGTATGCAAATCATATATCAATAAAGCTCTTTTTAAAACATGCTACCTGAAACACTGAGCATAATTCATTTCTTTCTTTTTTTTTTTTTTTTTTTACATTTCTGTGCAATCCTTAGCAGGTTTTCAGTTTTTTATTTCAATAGGTTTTGGGGGAATGGGTGATGTTTGTTTACATTAATAAATTCTTTAGTGGTGATTTTTAAGATTTTGGTGCACCCATCACCTGAACGGTGTACACTGTACCCAATCTGTAATATTTTATCTCTCATCCCCCTCCCCTCCTTTCCCTCGAGTCCCCAAAGTCCATTTCCTCATTCTTACGCCTTTGCATCCTCATAGCTTAGCTTCCACTTATGAGTGAGAACATATGATGTTTGGTTTTCTATTCCTGAGTTATTTCATTTAGAATAATGGTCTCCAATTCCATCCAGGTTTCTGCAAATGCCAATTGTTTCCTTTCTTTTTTGTGGCTGAGTAGTATTCAATGGTGTGTGTGTATATATATATATATATATATATATATATATATATATACACACCACAATTTCTTTATTCAATTGTTGATTGTTGGGCATTTGGGCTCGTTCCATATTTTTGAATTTGTGAATTGTGCTGCTATAAACATGAGTGTGTAAGTATCTTTTTTTGTGTAATTACTTCTTTTCCTCTGGGTAGACAACCAGCAGAGGGATTGCCGGATCAAATGGTAGTTCTACTTTTAGTGCTTTGAGGAATGTCTACACTGTTTTCCACAGTGGTTGTAATAGTTTAGATTCCCACCAGCAGTGTAAAAGTGTTCCCTTTTCACCACATCCACACCAACATCTATTATTTTTTTTATTTTTGGATCATGGCCATTCTTGCAAGAGTAAAGTGGTATTGCATTGTGGTTTTGATTTGCATTACCCTGATCATTAGTCATGTGGAGCATTTTTCATATGTTTTTTGGCCATGTGTATATCTTAAGAACTGACTATTCATGTCCTTAGCACACTGTTTGATGGGATTGTTTGTTTTTCTATTACTGAGTTGCTTGAGTTTCTTGTAGATTCTGGATATTAGTTCTTTGCCAGATGTATATATTGCAAAGATTTTCTCCCATTCTGTGGGTTGTCTGTTTTTTCTGCTGACTTTTTCTTTTGCTGTGCAGAAGTTTTTAGTTTAATTAAGCCCCATCTATTTGTCTTTGTTTTTGTTGCATTTGCTTTTGGGTTCTTGGTCATGAAGTCTTTGCCTAAGCCAATGTCTGGAAGGGTTTTTCTGATGTTATCTTCTAAAATTTTTATGGTTACAGTTCTTTAAGTTCTTGATCCATCTTGAGTTTTTATATAAAATGAGAGATGAGGATCCAGTTTCATTCTACTACATGTGGCTTGCCAATTTTCCCAGCAGCATTTGTTGAATATGCTGTCATTTCCCCACTTTATGTTTTGTTTGCTTTGTTGAAGATCAATTGACCGTAAGTATTTGGCTTTATCTCTGGGTTCTCTATTCTCTTCCATTGGTCTATGTGCCTATTTTTTATTACCAGTACCATGCTCTTTTGGTGACTACAGCCTTATAGTATAGTTTGAATGTGGGTAATGTAATGTCTCTATATTTGTTCTTTTTGCTTAGTCTTGCTTTGGCTATGCACTCTCAAAATTCATATTGGTTTCATATGAATTTTAGGATTGTTTATTCTAGTTCTGTGAAGAATGTTGGTGGTATTATGATGGGAATTGCACTGAATTTGTAGATTTCTTTTGGCATTATGGTCGTTTTTACAATATTGATTCTACCCATCCATGAGCATGGGATGTGTTTCCATTTGTTTGTGTCATCTATGATTTCCTTCAGCAGTGTTTTGTAGCTTTCTTTGCAGAGATCTTTCACATCCTTGATTATGTATACTCTTAAGTATTTTATTTTATTTTTTGCAACTATAGCAAAAGGGGTTGAGTTCTTGATTTGATTCTTGGTTTGGTTGCTGTGGTCTACAGCAGAGCTTCTGATTTGTGTACATTAATTTTGTATCCTGAAACTCTGCTGAATTCATTTCTCAGTTCTAGGAACTTTTTGGCAGAGTCTTTAGGGTTTTCTATGTATATTATCATATCATCAGCAAAAAGCAACAGTTCGAATTCTACTTTACTGATTTGGATGCCTTTTATTTCTTTTTCTTGTCTGATTGCTCTGGCTAGGACTTCCAGTACTATGATGAATAGAAGTGGTGAGAGTGGGCATCTTTGTCTTTTTCTAGTTCCTAGGGAAAATGCTTTCAACTTTCCCTCCTTCAGTATTATGTTGGCTGTTGGTTTGTTATAGATGGCTTTTATTACTTTGAGGTATGTTCCTTTTATGCCGATTTTGCTGAGGGCTTTAATCATAAAATGATGCTGGATTTTGTAATGCTTTTCTGCATCTATTGAGATGATCATGTGATTTTTGTTTTTAATTCTGTTTATGTGGTGTATCATATGTTAAACTTGCATATGTTAAACCATCCCTGCATCCCTGGTATGAAACCTACTTCATCATGGTGGATTATCTTCTTGATATGCTGTTGGATTCAGTTAGTTAGGATTTTAGGATTTCTTTGATGATTTTTTCACTATGTTCATCAGGGATATTGGTCTATAGTTTTCTTTTTCTTTATATCCTTTCCTGGTTTTGGTATTAGGATGATACTGGTTTCACAGATTGATTTAGGGAGGATTCCCTCTTTGTCTTGTAGAATAGTATCAATAGGATTGGTAATAATTTTTCTTTGAACGTCTGTTGGAATTCAGCTGTGAATCTGTCTGATCCCGGACTTTTTTCTTGGCAACTTTTTTATTACCATTTCAATCTCACTGCTTGTTATTGGTCTGTTCAGAGTTTCTATTTCTCCCTGGTTTAATGTAGGAGGGTTGTATATTTCCAGAAATTTATTCCTCTCCTCTAGGTTTTCTAGTTTATGCATGTAAAGGTGTTCATAGTAGCCTTTAATAATCTTTTGTATTTCTGTGGTATTTGTTGTAATAGCTCCTGTTTCATTTCTAATTTATTTGGATCTTCTCTCTTCTTTTCTTGGTTAATCTTACTAATGGTGTATCAATTTTATCTTTTCAAAGAATCAGCTTTTGTTTCATTTATCTTTTGTAATTCTTTTTTCAATTTCATTTTGTTCTGCTCTGATCTTTGTTATTTCTTTTCTTTTTCTGGGTTTGGGTTTGGATTGGTCTTATTTCTCTAGTTTCTTGAGGTGTGACCTTACATTGTTTATGTGTGCTCTTTCAGAAATTTTGATATAGGCATTTAAGGGTATGAACTTTCCTCTTAGCACTGCCTTTGCTCTATCCCAGAGGTTTTGGTAAATTGTATCACTATTATCATTCAGTTCAAATAATTTCTTAATTTCCATCTTGATTTCATTGTTGACCCAGTGATTATTCAGGAGCAGATCATTTAATTTCCATTTATTTGCATGATTTTGAGTATTCCTTTTTGAGTTAATTTCCAATTTTATTCCACTATGGTCTGATAGAGTACCTGATATAATTTTGATTTTCTTAAATTTATTGAGACTTGTTTTGTGGCCTATCATATGGTCAACCTTGGAGAATGTTCCATGTGCTGATGAATAGAATGTGTATTCTGTAGTTGTTGAGTAGAATGTTCTGTAAGTATGTGTTAAGTCCATTTGTTCTGGTATATAGTTTAAATTCATTGTTTCTTTGTTGACTTTCTGTCTTGATGACCTGTCTAGTGTTGTCAGTGGTGTACTGAAGTCCCTCACCACTATTTTGTTGCTATTTCATCTTGTAGATCTAGTAGTAATTGTTTTATAAATTTGTGATCTCCAGTGTTAAGTGCATATATATTTATGATTGTGATATTTTCCTGGTGGATAAGTCCTTTTATCATTATGTAATATCCCTCTTTGTCTTTTTAAACTGCTGTTTCTTTAAAGTTTGTTTTGTCTGATATAAGGATAGCTACTCCTGCTTGCTTTTGGCGTCCATTTGCAAAGAATATTTTCTTCCAACCTTTTACCTTAAGTTTATGTGAGTCCTTATGTGTTAAGCGAGTTTCCTGAAGACAGCAGATACTTAGCTGATGAATTCTTATTATTTTGCCATTTTGTATCTTTTAAGTGGAGCAGTTAGGTCATTTACATTCAATGTTAGTATTGAGATGTAAGGTACTATTCATTGTGCTATTTTTTGCCTGAATACCTTGTTTTTTTAAAAATATTGTGTTTTTGTTGCATATGTTTTGTGAGATTTATGTGTTAAGGAGGTTCTATTTTGGTATATTTTAAGGATTTGTTTTAAGATTTAGAGCTCCTTTTAGCAGTTCTTGTAGTGCTGCCTTGGTAGTGGTAAATTCTCTCAGCATTTGTTTGTCTGAAAAAGGCTGTATCTTTCCTTCATTAATGAAGCTTTCTTTCACTGATTACAAAATTCTTGGCTGATAATTGTTTTGTTTAAGTAGGCTAAAGATAGGGACCCAATCCTATCTAGCTTGTAGGGTTTCTGCTGAGAAATGGGCTGTTAATCTGATAGATCTTCCTTTATAGGTTACCTCATGCTTTTGCCTTACAGCTCTTGAGGTTCTTTCCTTTGTCTTAACTTTAGATAACCTGATGACTATGTGCCTAGGTGATGATCTTCTTGTGACAAATTTCCCAGGTGTTCTTTGAGCTTTTTGTATTTGAATGTCTAGATCTCTAACAAGGCAGGGAAAGTTTTCTTCAATTATTCCCTCAAATATGTTTTCTGAACATTTAGATTTTTCTTCTTCCACAGGAACAACAATTATTCTTAGGTTTGTTTGTTTAACATAATCCCAAAACTTCTTGGAGGCTTTGTTAATTTTTTAAAAGTTTTTTTTTTTGGTCTTTTTTTTTGGATTAGGTCAATTTGAAAATCTTATCTTTGATCTCTGAAGTTCTTTCTTCTGCTTGTTTGATTATATTGCTGAGACTTTCCAGTGTATTTTACATTTCTCTAAGTGTGTCCTTCATTTCTAGAAATATGATTGCTTTTTATTTATGCTATCTATTTCACTGAAGATTTTTCCTTTCATGTCTTGTATCATTATTTTTTTTTATTTCATTAAGTTGGACTCAACTTTCTCTGGTGCCTCCTTGATTAGCTTAATAATCAACCTTCTAATTTCTTTTTCTGGCAATTCAGGGATTTCTTCTTGGTTTGGATCCATTGCTGGTAAGCTAGTGTAATCTTTTGGGGGTGTTAAAGAACCTTGTTTTGTCATACTACCAGAATTGTTTTTCTGGTTCCTTCGCATTTTTGAAACTATATCAGAGGAAAGATGTGGGACTCATGGGCTGCTATTCAGACTCTTTTGTCCCATGGGGTGCTCCCTTGATGTGGTGTTCCTCCTTTTCCCCCAGGGAAGGAGCTTCCTGAGAGCTGAACTGCAGTCATTGTTATTTCTCTTCTGGAACTAGCCATCCAGTGGAGCTACCAAGCTCTGCGCTGGTATTGGGGGATTTAGGCACAGTACTGTGATGTCAACCATCTTCAGGTCTCTCAGTTGTGGATACCAGCACCTCCTCTAGTGGAGGTGGCAGGGGAGTAAAATGGGCTCTGTGAAGGTCCTTAGCTTTAGTTTTGTTTATTACACTAATTTTGTGTTGATTGGCCTCCAGCCAGGAGGTAGCACTTTTTAAAGAACATGAGTTGCGGTAGTGTAGGGAGGATCAGGTGGCGGGTGGGGTCTTAGAGTTTCCAAGAGAATGTGTCCTTTGTCTTTGGCCACCAGGATGGGTAGAGAAAGGCCATCAGGTGGGGGCAGGGTTAGGTGTGTCTGAACTCAGACTCTTCTTGGGTGGGGCTTGCTGGGCTGCTATGGGTATGGGGGTGTCATTCTCAAGCCAATGGAGTTATGTTCCCAGGGGGATTATGGCTGCCTCTTCTGTGTCACCCCAGGGAAGTGGGGTAAAGCCGGCAATTACAGGCCTCATCCAGCTCTCCTGCAGCCCAAGAGGCCAGTCTCACTCCCACTGTGCCCCTACAACTGCACCAAGTTTATTTCCGGGCAGCTGATGAGCAGGGCTGAGAACTTGCCCCAGGCCACCAACCTCCTGGCTGAGAAAGCAAGTAAGGCTCTCAGGTATCGCACTTCCCCACCTGCCACAGGGAAGTGCGATACTGCCATTCTCTTCCCCATGGCAGGTGGGGAAGTGTGATACTGCCATTCTCTTGGCTTTCCTGGTATGCTCCTGCAATAGTACTTGGAGCAAAAGTTCACAGTATGCGTCTCCACACACTGCTCTGTCTGAGTGGGAGCTGCAAGTTAGTCCTGCCTCCTATCCATGATTTTTTTCCAACAATTTCTTTTCTTTTTTAACTTAACCTCTAAATTATTATACTTAGAATGTAATTCAAATTTATTAACTCTTCAAGCTTAATTTGTCTTCTGCCTACTTCTCTGGCATTACCTTTCCCTTTTTCCCCTTTTCTCACAATACTTTAGCCACAGTGGCCCTGAGATATTTAAACAACAAAACAAGATCTATCCACTTCATGGCTTCTCATACTAGTTTGCTTTGCCTAGAACGTGCCTTCAAGTGAGAACTAGACCCATCTAACCTCCAGATGGCTTCCACCTTTTCTTATCTATCAAGTTACAACTTGTAACAGATTTGGGTAATTATCCACCAACAAAAACATGTTCCCCCTTCCAAAGTGTAGAGTCATCACAGGAAGCATTGCATTTCCCATCCCCTTTGCTGCTAATTAGAGCCATGTGCCTAGTTCTGGACATGGCAATATGAGCAGACATGCCATGTGCCACTTCAAGGTCTGGCTATTAAAATTTTTCCTCATGCTTCCTCATTCCCTCTCCACTGTCTGTAGGGCTAGAATTAAGGTAACCACAAGTGTCTTTGAAAACAACATATTGGAGATGTAAGAGACTCCATCAGAATGGGTACTTGGATAACTGAGGGGACAAGGGTGGCCCCACTAATCTGTTCACCTAGCTAACAGTTTTACATAAATGTAACTAATCCCTTGTAAGCCAGCATACACTTTAAAGTATAATTTTTGTGGCAGCTAGTCTACCCTTATGAATACAGAGAAGTATGGCCTTCAACAACTTAGAAGGCAGAGCAAGTGCACCAAATTTGGTAGTTCTAAAAGAGGTTGGAGAGCACAATGTTAGTAACCTGGGTTGTTTGACGCTCTATGGAAGGTATTTAAAAAAACTAGCTTGGGCAAGAATTAGCTGATTTTTGAACAGAAACAAAAGAGAAGAGAGAGGATCTAGAAACTAAAATAGTAGGAAACAAGATTTACAAAGGACTAAAAACACAGGTTCATCAAAGTTTCTCATTAAGCAGAGGATCTCAGTTTTGAAAAGTTTAAGTTAAAAATTCTTCCCTTCCACTCAAGTGTAATGTTTCACATGGCCTCAAGGTAGCTGTCATAAAGAGACAGAGATGTGGAAGCAGAGAAATAAATCAGACTTAAGAAGTATGTCCAGGATAAAATTTAAGTTGTAGTTACTGGCACCTCATACTGACTGGAGGCATCTGGTACTGACTGAAGCCTATCATTTTTGAAAGAATTTTGTTTCCAAAAAATGATTAGCCTGAACCAAAAAAGTCTTTGACTGTTAAAGCCTTATAACAACTTTCTAGCTACTTAATGTGTATGTGTAACAAGTAAGGAGCTGAGAAATCTGTCAAAGAGGGCATACCCTTCAACATTCCTCTTTAGATGTAGCTCTGGGCAATAGGTGAACAATAGGTTCTTCCAAATAATTCAGATAAGATCTGAGTAAATGAGAGACCATCCCTCGCTGCCAGGGTGGGGACTTCTACAATGACTGCCAGTGAGGATACCATGATTGCTATGGATGGGTGATTGCTGTGTATCTGGTATTCTTTAACACTTCGAAAGTGGGTTTTAATTGCCATCCTTGCTCCACCCACCTTGTAAAATGGAAATGTGGGGTTGGAGGATGAAAATAAATGGCTTTAGTGGACATCACGAGATTATGAGAAGCCACTTTTATACCTAATTGAAAAAAAGCATGCATCTCCTGCATATCCTGGACTTTGTACTGGATGCAGTGACTGGATTGGACTTTGAATTACTTCCTCATGAATGGAATACAGAGTGATATTTGGAGGGGTGAGAGATAGATTGTGGAAGAGATAGCTAATTGTTCACCAAAAACATATTTCCTCTTCCATATTACGGAGTTTTTTAAGGGAGGTACAAGGCAAATTTTTCCAGGCTTTCTTGTATGTACTTGTAGCTGGGATCGTGTGACCAGTTGTATTCGATGCAATGTCAGTAGATGAGACTTGAGTCACTTACAACACTGGCCCATAAAATGTCCCTGGCAATCCTCTTGTTTTTGTTTGTTTGTTTTTCATTCCAGTCAGTGAAACTGAAGAAAACTTCCAGGGTATCTTAGAGGCCTTATTTTAAAGACAGCAGAGCCTCTTTAAGTTTATTTATGGAAGATAGCATTTAGGAGTGTGATTCTGCTGACAAACACATCTGCCATCTATGTTAAGAGGGCAACAGCTGAGTTTCTGTTGTGTTAGAGTGATTATACATATGTGAATCTATTTGATTCACTTCTTTTGAGAACATTCCTATTCAGATAACATCTATCTGAATGCCTGGACATGTAGAAATGGTTAGTAAATTTTTTTAATGACTCAATAAATGTATAATTTTTTAAACAAACTCTTTGAGTTGTGACTTTCAACATATTTCTTCTTCTAATATTTTACCAGTTAAAGTAGATTAACCATTTAGATATATTGTTACCTAACCAAACATACCCTATTTGTTATATAAACTGTCAGCTTGCTGTTTTTCTCTCAACTCACAATATACTAGTTGTCTCCATTGTGACCTTTAAAAAATTTTATTTCATCTGGATAGTTTCTCAGAACTGTTACTGTCACTCACTCACTCATACACACACACACACACACACACACACACACACACCACAGAGAAATAGAATTCCTGGAATTAGCAAGAAAAAGAAACCTCCTGGAATTACTAACTCATTCTTTTACTCTCCGAAGAAAATTAATGTAGTGTTAAGCTACTGATGATGTGATGGTCTCTCTTTTAATATAATAAACATTGAAGGTTGTTGACCTCATTGTGACTGCAAGAATTTATTATTTGGTTCTTCACAAAAATATCTAGGCTCTTTCTCATGTCCACTCTTTTGGCTCAAGCAGACAATGATTTGGCCACAGGCACTGGAAAAAGGTTTTCCTTTTTGTCTCTAGCAGTGTTTGGTTATGTGCATTTCTAGGGTCTAACTCTTTTGCTCTATGAGCTCAGAACCTTTCTAAGAATCAAAAATATAGGAAACTAACAATGCAATGCATTATTACATTAAGCACTGACTCATTTTAACTTGGCAAATTATGAGATTTATTTTTTACTGTAGCAAAAATACTCCTTTCCATGGAACTTCTATTTCAAGCCACATACAAATTATCATGTCCTTATCACCAGAGTTTAAATGTTCAAAGTTGACTTTGTGGTCACATTCTTGTAATTCAAGTTTTCAAAAGAAGCAAAATCTCAAGTTTGTAATTTTATTCAATGTTAAAATGAGGTTTATAAAGAACAAGTGGTATTTAGGCCATAAATTAAGAAATGTACTTTTTTTTTGCAGAAAAACTATCATGGGACAGAGACTCATTCTTTGAACTTGTTTTGTATGCATGTGTTTGTGGTCTGTTTAAAGCCTTTCGATGAATAAGAGACCTTCATTTTAGCACAACTCAACAAAAGCTCCCAAACTATGCACTTTTAAAACCTATTTCATGGAACAAAAACATTTCTTATATTTTAAGATAAATATCTTTTCAAGAAAAAGAAATATTTCCTTGGTAGGCCTGCAAAGGGAACAAAGTCATAGATCTACATGATAATTTGCTGAATGTGAATATCACAATTTTCAGCTATAGAAAATTTCTAGTGAAGTTCTGTGTAACACTTAACACCTAGTAGGTGACCATCTCATCCTAGTTTGCTTAGGACTGGCCACGATGGACTTAACATTCTCCTCGGTTTGACTGAACTTTAGACAGGGTTTCTCCAGACCCTTGGCCCTAAGACCCTTGGCTCTTTCTTAGAGCACTTATTTTGGAAAGTTTTCCATTGTAAATTCTTTCTCTGCCCCTTAGAGATGAAAAGTTGTTTTACAACCCAGAAATGTCTTTCTCAAAGACCTGGGAGTTATCCCTTTGATAGGTAATCATCAAGAAAGATGGCATCTCTATATTCCAGTTTCTGTGGAAGGATAGGAGCCTAATATTTTAAAAGTAGCAAACAGAGATGACTTAACATTGACTATCTATCCCCTAACATTTTACTATACTTTTCCCACTATCTACCCCAGAATTTAAAAACCCAGTCACCTTTTGTTTTAGTGGAGTTGGGTTCAATCTCTGTCCTCTATTGCAATAGTCTTAAATAAAGTCTTCCTTGCTTGACTTTATCTGATGCATTTTTTTCTTTGACAAGATGCTTCGAGAGATGGTATTGAAAGTCCAAATCCCTAGAACCTTCTGGGACAATTAGGCTTGTTTGTTTTGTTTGGTTTGATTTTTTTGCACAGTCCTATAGCCTATTTATATGGTTCTGAAGCCTGCTGATCTCTCAAAAAATCATTGCCAAAGACCCTATCATTATATGTGGTGGTCTGCATATTATTCTTCTGCTGAACAGGGTAAGTGCTTAATAAATATTTGTCCAATAAATAAATTGAGAGCATTGAAAACAATTATGAACACACACTGATGCTATTGGAACATTTGTCTTCATTATTAGATCAATGCAGAATATACAATGATCTTTGTTCACTTACTTATTCACTTATTCATTCATTAATTTTATTCATTCTATGCGTTCAACAAATAGATTTTAGGCTCCCATTGTCAGCCTAACCGATTTGCCCCTTGACCTTTAATAGTTTACAGACTTGACGAAGAAATAGTAATGAACCAAAAACAACAACAGCAGCAACAACAATGGAACTCTCTCTCTGACACACACGTACATGCAGACACACACACACATACACAGACACACACACACATAAACAACTTACGACTGTGGAAAGTCCTGTGGTTAAAATTCAGAGAGTGATATCAGAGAATGTAAAGTAGGTATTGACTATAGTTTTCTATTTTTACTCTTTACAATCTTTTAACAGCCCTAAAACTTTTAAGAAGATTTGATATTTGTTTTCTATTGTGGTTTGGGACAGAATGTTTTAAATACCATGAGGTGGTCCAATATATTCTTGTCAACATGCAAATTATTAAGAGGAAAGAACATGTAGATCCACTGAGGCCCTGAGATTAGCTACCATAAGAAACATTTGCCATGTGTTGGAAATAATTTTTGGTATCCCAAACTTTAAAGAAGTATTTAAATGTTAATAATGAATTTCAAATTTACATTTTAGGATATGAAGATGAGTCCATCGGGAGAGGTTGTGAGCTAACAGACCTCACATAGCCAAACAGATGGAAATTTTGCTACTGACATCAGTTTTTCCTATCATTCTGGGAAACAAAATTGTTTTCTATTCCAAGTAATACAGGAGAAAGGATGATAAAGCTATGTCTGACTAAGGGCTGTGCATGGGCATTGGATCACATGCCATTTCTATGTCTTTCTTTGGGCACAATAGAATGTGTGTGTGTGTTTTTTTTTTTGTGGGGGCAGGTTGTGATATGTATTTGACCTGCAGGGTACTATTTTTAAATGAACACATAGAGCTATTATGTGCTTGTTGTGACTTTTCAGGTGGAACTTAGTGTGCTTACAAATGACAAAAATAGTTTTCCAATTCTCTTATCCCTTTGTTGGTTATTCTGGCATGCTCTATTCAACCTCACAAAGATTCTTATGGGGTCACCAGGTGGGATTAGATTAAAAATTTATGACACTTCAGCAGAGTCATCAGTTAATAGGATGCATGGTTTACAACATGCAAAATTTCTACATGCCTAAAGACTTGTTAGCCAAGTGATATATCAGCCCAAGATTTGAATGTGGAATTTCTATTTGTATTGGTTAAGACTACTTTAATTGCAAATAAAAGGAAACAAAACACAAACTGGTATAATCAACAACCAAAAAAGAATTTATTAACTTATATAACTCAGTAGCCAAGATAGAGGATGCATATGTGACTTGGCACAGTGAGTATAAACTGCTAGGCATCTAATTTCTTTTCTGTCTCTTTGCTCTAACTTCTGTAGTACTAGCCAACTAGTGGTCTTTTTCAGCTCCACATAGTGGCTCCTGGATCTTTTTTTATGATGACTGCTGTTCTGCACCTCATATTATCCCATCAGTTCATCCAGAGGAAGAAAAAGGCTATTTCTCAGTGGCCTGAAAACTGAACTGGGTTCTGGGTCAGCATTAAATAAAATACCAAAGCCATGGGGATGAGAGAAATTGACCAGATTAAATTAATGTAATCTATTCTGTTCCAGGCTACCCAATAAGTATAGCTACTATACTGTAAGGATATATAAACCCTCTCACTGAGAAAAATCAGGCTACTTTTCATAGAAAAATGAGGAAATGGATGCTTTACATTCTAAAGTTCAAAAGCAACCACTAAAAGTCTTTTATAATTTATGCAAAGACTGCTTAGCTATCAAATAGTCTCTTTTAACATGGCTCCTGGGCACAGAAAAAAAATCCTTGTAATGTTTCTTCTCTCTCCCATTTATTTAGTTCTTTCCAGCAGAAACTCTAGCACTATTTTCCTGGGCTTACTGTATGTTTTCCTTTCACCCTGCTATTTCTCTTCTCTATCCAAGTCTCTCCAGCCTCCCAGCTCCTACTCATTTTACTGTGCACATTAAACTATTATTTTATTTATCCACATATCAGCATTTATTTACTCAAACACAGCAATGTACCACAGACTGTCAGGTAGAATTTCAATAACCCATTATAACTGGACTCCATGTCATTATCTAAAGAAAATTACTTTTCCTTTCCTTGAAGAACCCTAATTGTCTAACCTTTTCTTCCTAAAAAAAAAAGAAAATTATTTTTACTCAGTCTTGGAAAAATATTCCCTTTTCATAAGAATGAGCAAAATTATTCTGTAAAATGCTAAAAGAAAAAGGCAACACTGAATTTAACAGCCATATTCTGTTATAGTACAACTAAATTATATCTTTGTTGAGAAGACTTGCAGAAAGCGGAAAGGTTTTGAGTTACCAAATCATGCTAACTCTACTTCTCAATTTCCCTATTTTCAGAGAAATTAATTAAAGGGTAAGATAATGGTAGTGATAGCAAACACACATGTAGCATCCACTATGTGTTACATAATGTCCAAACATAAAATAATTTCTTTATTTCTTACAATAGTTCCATGAGATAGGTAATATTATTATCCATATTGGAAGTTTAAGAGAACTATGTCACACAGAAGAAGCTAAGCAACTTGCCAAGGGGGCACAACTAACGTGGCAGAGCTAGTCAGTTTGGCTTTGGAATCCATGTTTTTACTACCAACACTATATTACTATGAATTATTAAGTTTTTTGAGTTTGTGGTAAGTCAAAAGGTGACTTAGCTAAAATGATGAAACATAAGGTCAGAAGCTAGATTAATTCCCAGAGTGGGCCTATTCAGGGACAATCTGAGACTTTGGTCTCCTACGATAATTCTAGAGAATATCAACTAGCTCTTAGTACTGTTTTGTCTATGAAACCTAAGATGAGAACATAATATTTGAGAATTAGATGAACTTTTAGATTCTTTAGCCCAATCTCATGTCATTGTTATATAATGTCTGTGAGTCTCTCCTATAGCTTCAATTTATTGTTCAGTGAAAAAGATCTAAGTTTTGGTTAATAATTTTAGAGAAGAGATAGGAAATAAACAGAATTATCTTTTGATAATTCTTATTATTGATGTGATGTTAGTTAAAAGACTCAAAATTTCAGTTAAGCGGTATAAATTCAGGAAATGTACAGCATGGTGTCTGTAGTTAATAACAATGTATTATATACTTGAAAATTGCTAATAGTGATTTTAAATACCTTACTACAAAAAAGTTTATGAGATAATAGACATGTTAATTAGCTTGATTTAGCCATTCCACAATGCATACATATAGAAACATATCATGCTGGACACAATATATAAAATTTTTGTCAATTAAAAAATAGTTCTTATAAACTCAACTGATAAAGACCCAATAGAAAAAAATAGAAATAAATTAGCTACCTTATATGTTATTTAGATTTTTTCTATTCTTATTTTTAAATAATATAAAATTTTCTGCTATTCAACATTTGAAGAACTTGGACAAATGTAATTGGATTTACAAATAAAAATATTGGGTATACATAGAAAAGATCAAGCTTGATAATTTTTATGGAAGAACCATTTATATGAGACATAGAAAATACTTAAGGAATACATAAAATAAAATCTCCTGTATTTTTAATAGTTCTGAAACTAATTTTATATGGTAAAATAATCTATAAATAATAATATAATAAAATAAGCTATGAATAATAAGCTATTAATAATGTAATTATTTAAATATTGATATTTATCCTTTATTTGTATATGGCTACCTTATTTGACAGGCATACTGTCTAAAGTTTTGGAGTTATACTTTATATTGTAGGAGTAAAGTTTTAAATCCTATGTTGATAATGAAAAAAATTGAATTGCATCACTAATGTTTTCAGATGATTGGATTTATCCCATATTTCATAACTTTCAAAACTTTTACAGTTAAAAGTTGCTGCCTGCTATAGATTGAATGTGCCCCTCAAAGTTTACGGGTCAGAAACTTAATCCCCAATGCAACAGTGGTAAGAGGTGGGACCTCTGAGAGGTGATTAGGCCATAAAGGCCCCGCCCTCAATAACGGATAATGCCAGTTATAAAAGGGCTTGAGGCTACACAAGTTCAATCTCTTGCTGTCTGTTGCATGCACATGCTTTCTTGCCCTTTTACCTTCTGCTATGGGATGACACAGTAAGAAGGCCTTTGCAAAATGCTGGCACCTTGGACTTCCTGGCCTCTAGAACTATGATAAATATTTTTTCTTTATAAATTACTCAATAGGTGATATTATGTTATAGTAAAAGAAAATGGACTAGATACTGACACCATCTTTCATATTAATTTTAAATTTGTGTGAGAAATATCTCCAGTAACTAATCAACTGAAATCCTTCCTCATTTATCTACTTCAAAAATATATGTAACCAGCTGGGTATGGTGGCTCATGCCTGTAATACTAACACTTTGGGAGATCAAGTTGGGAGGATTGCTGGAGGTGAGGAGTATGAGACCAGCCTGGGAAATATAGCAAGACCCCATCTCTAAAAAAAACGTTAGCCAGGTATGGTGGTGCATGCCTGTAACCCCAGCTTCTCAGGAGGCTGAGGCAAGAGGATCACTTGAGCTAAGGAGTTGAAGGCTGCAGTGACCTATGTTTGCCACTGTACTCCAGCCTGGGTGACAAAGCAAGACCTTGTCTCAAAAAAAATCTATCTTCAATCTAATGTATTAATAACACCCATATGTTCACAAATGTAAAATATACCACTCTTTTGTCCCTTAAGCTTACTTAACACTTCTTAGAAACATTTATCTGCTCTGCAACTAGTATTAAACCATAAGTCAAATAAACACATTTTAATTGATCTAAGGACTGAAAGTAACTATTAAACTTTATTTATATGTTAGCCCTTAGTACCTAATTCTGACACCCAAAGCTTTGATGTTAACATAGGCTGCTCAAGGTTCTCTCTTAATCATTTCACCTTGGCTTACCCACACATATCAAAAGCATTACATGATTAGTAATAAACAAAACACTTAGTAGGCCCTGCAACTTCTGAAGTTATTTTCCCTCCTTTCACACAGCTGGCTGCCTATAATAACTGGGCTGGTACTCATTGCTCTATAAGGCTTAATAGAATGTTACTGTATTAGTAGGTGTCCCATGTCAGGGATATGGTTTCTGTGAAGGACGACTACAACTGATTATTTCCACACCACCGCCACCCCACCCCCGCCCTGGTATTAACTCATCTCTCTGCCTTCACCTGGCAACCAGCAGACTTGCTGAAGATTCTTTTTTTGCCTGGCTGATTATGGACCACTCCCATCAACAAGCAAGGAGGGAGAAATAGCAAGTTATGGTCCATATATTGTTTAGAGAAAAGGTATATATTAAGTTATTGATTTGTTGTTGTTGAGGAAAATTGATAAATGAAAAGAGAATGTGATAGAAAGGAGTGTCATGTGCACAGCATTTATATACAATCTCACTGGCTCTTTTTAGAAGTTTCAATGAGATAGTATATATTACATTTTCATGGATATTGCTTGGCAAATGACAGACAACTTTTAAAAAATTTACTTTACTACTTAGTACAGTACTTATCATTATCAATATTAGTTTGAATGAATAAGTCCTTATAACCTTATTGGGAGACCAGGGTAGGTAAGTGGTCTATCCATTTTATGAGCAAGGGTAAGAAATCTCACAAAATACATTTTATTAATATTTCATAGTATGAGTGGCTCACAACCTTCAAACATTGCACTATTGTATAAATGATCTTCATAGGTCATTTAGTAAGTAGTACTTGAGGTATGCTTGGGTTGCAAGGAATAAAATGTGTGACATTAGTCTGGCACAACATATCCTGCAAAATCAGAGTGTAACTTTCACTTTTTCATTTAGCTTTCATTGAGTGAATAATGCAATTTCAATTGAGCACTGAATTGGAGATACAGAGAACTAAGGTTTTATTACCAGCTCCATCACTGACATACAGTGAGCCATTAGGAAAAAATAACTTTTCTGCTCTGAACATCAGAATTCCCTTCTTTAAAATAAAAACAAATTTGGTGGCTCAGAAAATGATGTTGGATTTGTCAAATGTAGGTATGTTCAATATTCTACACCATTTGCATTAATGAAATTCATGATGTGCATAATACAAATAAATAGCAAATCTGTATACATGTGCATAGTTATAACAATGATGATGAAAATAAATAAATAACTACATAGGAAACTACATCAGCCAGTGTAGCCATATTTATGCAGCATATTGTCTTAAGCTGTGAGTGTGGAAGAGCAAAATCATCTCTCCCCTTTGAGAGCATGCCTGGTGCCCAAATTAGCCCTCTACAATGTGCTCATGCTCAAACTTGGTGCTTGTAGGAGTAGCATCATTCAGTGTTTGTATGATTGTGTATTCACAGGTGTACGTTACTATATATATGTCAAGATCATGGGAGATCTCCAAGCTGTGGATGAAGTGGATATACATAAAACAAGGCAGAAGTGAGTCCAGCTGGTGGAGAAAGAGTGGAGTGAAACAAGGCAAGGAGAGGAACAATTTCCACTAAAAATAAAATTATTCAAAACCAGTCTTCAAACCCTTCAGGAAATTCTGGTGAGAAAAGAAGATAAACAGGAGACTAGAGAGATGGATATCCAGACACAATAGGGAGTAGGTTGGACTGTAGCTTGATGTTTCTGCTGATGTATTAGGGTAAGAAGCATTTGAATTCAAAGATAAGTACAACTGAAAAACGGGAAGTGGAGACTTTTTATCAAGTCTTGAACTAAAGGGGTAGGGGTTTTAACCAGCTATAAGCTGACTCTCAGTTGTATAGGTAGGTGTAAGAAAGTGAGGGTGGCTATTCTGAGCAAGGGGAATCAAGACAGGGACCATGAGGGAATGTCAGTTATTGCAAATACAGTGACATTTCCAAGTATTAGTGTCTTTGAGTGTTCAGATATCCTAAAAACATAGATTTACATGATTTTAACCCATTAGAGAAAGCTGTATTTTAAAACACATATTTATTATTAACTAAGTCTGAAAGACTAAACAAAAACATCAAAAAGCAATCAGAAAAGAAGTACTGACATATCACTAGTTAAATGAAATGTCACAAGTCAGAAAAGAGGGTGATAAAACAAAAAAGGTTAGAAAATATTACTATTTATATATACAAAGGAAATTTTGTTTGCTCTACAAATAAGGGTAGACATAATTGGATTAACTGCTTTTTTGATAGGAATGATTCATTGGAAACATAGATCATAAAAATTATAACAGAATTTAGATAAGTTAAGAGGTTGAACATAAAAATAAAAATCACTCATTTTGTATGTATCTCTTGAGTACCTACTATGTTCCAGTCACTATTCTAATCATTGGGGTATGTAAAGAAGAACATAGACATAGGCCCTGTCCTCATGTGCCTTACATTACAATGGAAAGAGAGAAACAACAATATATTAAATAACTTTAACAGTAAATAAAAATATTTAAAAAATAAAAAGCAAAGAAAATCTTTAAAACTAGAACTATATTTGTGAAGAATAATAATGAATTTATATTTGAAATTCATTAATAAATTAGCCATTCAAGAAAACATTAGTGGATTTGTTTATTCATACTTTTACCAATTAATTACAAAGGAATTCTGGGAGGACAGCAGCATGCTCACTCATCCCTGACTCCTTCTTCCTCCAATCTTCCATGTTTTATGGAATAATATAACAAAGGAGGGCATAAAAGCCACTCTCAGGTGAAATCATTCATCTCCCCTGAGCATTATAGGTAAGAAAATAGGCACCGGATTTTTACTACCTTTGATGCTCAGAGAGAGTGAAGGGACCAATTTTTAAGCAAAATTGCCATTTTTTTTCTTTTTCTTGCAAGAACACTTCAGTGAAGAACATAGTGACCACTAGTACAGTTGGGAGCTACTACCTTAATTTGTGCTAAGGTACTAGCAATTCTACACATCACTGCGTCTGCACCATCCATGCCAAAGTCAACCCAGTGCTTTCATGAGATTAAAAAAAAAAATGAAATTCAACAACATTACTCAATACTTTGAATATTTCAGTGCCCCTTGTATTTGCTACCAAACATTCACATAAAACAACATAAAACAAGATCTTTGTGGCTGCTTAGTCAGTGCTGAAATCAAATGAATAGAAGCAAATGAGCTAGACTAGCCACATCTGCAGATTTATCCATTTGTAAGGTAAAAAGTCCAGTTCTGCAAACAAGATATTATCTTACTCTTCATGTTTGCAACATAATATTTAATTCAATAAGATACTACAACATTAGAAATTGGCACTGCTGTGAATGCTTTTACTAATTTTTCATCAATAGACATTGAGTAATATCAATAGTCTAAGGTTTTATTAAACTCCAGCTATTGTATGTTCTTCTACAGCAAATGCAATATGATATAAATGTTGCAGGATGTTTCAGCAGCTTCTCTGTGTCTTAATTTGAAAAGCTGTAACACATGATTCAGGCTGTTAAAGACTTCAATCCAGCTATGAATAAGATATTTAATTATTTTTTACATTAACCTATGAATGTTTGGTTTCAAAATGACACTGCAACATAATTGGCAGTGCAAAACTGTTTAAAAAGATTCTGTTTCAAAAGATAAACTAAAGAAAAGTGTTAGCATATGTAAAGATGATGGGAATAGCACTTGTCATAGTATTAATTACAGTTTCACCCAGGTTCTTTGGAGTAGATTCCTCTCTTTCATGAATCAAATGACCCTCTGATATGAAAGTTTTACTTTTCTTAGTATCCTAGGTGTAGACAGTGCAGCTGTGCATTGATAAACATTTTACCATTTTTTGTATGCCAATAATCACTCTGTAAATATAGTAGAAATGTTCCCTCTATTTCAGAATAAACTATGATTACATTCTAAAATAATAACAGTTTTAGACGAAACCTAAAACTTTAGAAATTTTTTAAAAAATTTTAAGATATAATGTAAATAAAAACGTGCTGACCTTTTTTATGCTTCTATGTAGGCAGAGAAGAATTTCAGGATTTCAAAGTAACATTTGTTAGATGATTAGAGTTTATAAGATTACTATGATATAACCAGTGATAGTAATAGAACAGCAGAAGTGCTGTTTCAAAACTGAGTTAATATATGAAAATGCAAATATTTATGTGCCAATATTAGATTTTATAAGTATAAGAACATGCAGCACATATTTTATTGGCATAAGCCATGACATCCTATATGGCATGTACTTTCTAGAAAGCCTACTCTATACCTGGTCAAGAATTAAAGTAAAAGGGCAAATAATGTCTTATTACTATTGAAATTCTTTTGGCCTTGCAGAATTCCTGAAATGGTCTTGGGAACTTCCAGGGGTTCCCTTGATAATACTTTTAAAACTATTGTCCTACTGGATAAATGGGGGTGGCTCATGAATAAGTTTAGCTAAATCATAGAACAATTTTAACAAGTGATAATTTCACATTGACTAAAAATTTAAAAATCAAACTACATTCATCTTAAATACAAAGAAATATTTTTTTCAAGGAAAAAATTTTGATACCGATACCTATATTTCTATACACTTGTGTGTGTTTGATTTACAAGAAGAGAAAGTTTCTTCAATTTTACTTAACAATTGACTTTATAATACAAACATTAATTTAATTTTTTTTTGCAAAACAGTAAATGAATGATTAACTTTATGAAAGTGATTTTATCATGTAAAGTTCATGTCTGCTACTGACAAGGATCTAAAATATTTTCTAAGGTAGCATCAGTAGACTGCAAGCATCAGTTGTTAAGAACATTAATCCCAAAATAGCAAAAATTATTTTTTTCATATTCAACTGTAATTAAGATGATAGAGTCAGAATGAAAGCAAGATACTTTCAGGTGTAACATCGTAATCACTGACTGGTCAAGCCATGAACATTCGAGTTTGGAAGGAACCTTACTTGTTGGGATTCATAAAAGATACTGCAAAATAGTATTCTGTTCTCAGGCTGCTAATAAAGACACACCCAAGACTGGGTAATTTAAAAAGGAAAGAGATTTAATTGACTCACAGTTCAGCATGGCTGGGGAGGCCTCACAATCATGGCTGAAGTTGAAGGAAGAGCAAAGTCATATCTTACGTGGTGGCAGGCAAGAGAGCATGTGCAGGGGAAATGCCCTTTATAAAACCACCAGATCTTGTGAGACTTACTCAGAAGATCTTACTCACAAGAACAGCACAGGAAAAACCCACCCTCATGATTCAATTACCTCCCACTGGGTCCCTCTCATGAAACGTGGGGATTATGGGAGCTACAATTCAAGATAAGATTGGGGGAGGTGGGGGGGACACAGCCAAACCATCACTGTGCTTTGACATACTGAACTGAAGAAGTCTCAAGATCTCTCTAACATTTCCCCATCCTCTCTGTCTCTCAATTATCTGTCTCTCTCAAAGTACAGGATGAAGTAATTTTCTGAAGTTCCCTTACTTGCCTAAAGTTTGGACCTAGCAAAGAAGGAAACAATTACCTCTGATCCCTTCCCTGAGTTTTCATTAACTAAACTCATATGACAGGAAGAAAGACTGAAGCCTGTCAATGCACCTGGACAAACTTTTATCACAAACTGTTATCTGCTCCTCAAGCCCAATAGACTTTGTCCTAGGCCATTGTATGTTCTCCGAGTCCAATGATTCCCCTAAAAATAATTTACTACCACCCTAATATTGTCCACACTTCCCCACCTCCCTTTACTCCAGGAAGAAGGGTATATAAGCATCTTAGCCCACTGGGATAGGAGGCAATTACACTGTGTGTGATTCTCCTCTGTGCACACTAATAAATTTGTATACCGTTTCTCCTATTAATCTACCTTTTATGAGCTGATTTTTTCCGTGCCACTTCAGGGCAAAGTGGAAGGTTTCCACTGGCACCTACACAATTGTCTAATTCAACTGTGTATCAAATACCTAAGTATATTCTACAGCTTCTCTGACAAGTTTAGTCTCTGTTTAAATGTCTCTTAATCCATGAAGAATATATAATACTCTAGATTGCCGTTTTTTTAATGTGGCACTTTTGCCAGAATTTCATCCTTCTATAGAATGTCTGGTTTTTATGCTCATTTACATACATTTTTACTAGTTTGATCCCTAATCCAGATTGAGACATTCCAGCTCAGTCAGTAACTAGTTATGTAATCTTTGAAAGTCACCTCAATGATCTAGCTACAGTGTTTTATAGGAAATGCTTGAATTCTATTATCCTCAACATTTCGTTGTTTGTTCCTGCTCTAAAATTTGACAGTTCTCTATATGCACATATATATGTGAATTCATGCCAGATGTGTGATCTTATGTTATCCCACTAATCCTTGGGATCCCAATTTCCTTTTTTCTTAGTTGTTAAAAATAATATCTACTTTATTTTTCAAGAGATTATTTGAAAAAAGTAAACATTATACAAAAAACATATTTGGTAAGCCTGGAGTACACTATATGTAGGCAACTAAAATAATAATTGATTAAAAATATAATTAATATTATGGGAAATGAGTAAAAGGAAGTAGTATATTAGCAATTAGAATAAATAATTTTAAACAGAAATATTCTAGGAAATGAGTAAAGGGAGTAATCAGCAGCATAAATAATTATTTTGTTAGTCAAAAATATACCATATGTACTGTCATATAACATAATAGAATTTGGTGAATTTCTGCCTCTAGTACATAATAGACTGAACCTTTACCAGATAACAACTATAAAATTTTGAGGAAAATAACCCACAGAATTCTACTAGCCGGCTCCGGAGAAGAGATAAAAGCAGACATATATTGGAGGGCAGTTGAAATTTAGAAGAAAGGACTGTGATGGATTAATTTTCTTGTTTTTATGATCTTATACTGAGGTTAACCACAGTCACAAGTGCAAGGTGGTGAAGGACAGCTAAAATACTTAGAGAAAAATGACTGTCCTTCTGTCCAAAGAACCAAAAGACAGAGCCCAGGACATCCATGACCCCTAGAAAATGAGAAAGAAGTCCTGAAGCAGAGAAAGTCAGAGAAGGGGAGTGGTAATTTCTCTATAAAAACTCTACCGAAATCTCTGCTTGGCCCCAGAACCATGCATACATGAGGCAATTCAAAATACGCAACTAAGGATAAAGGACTGAAATGAGATCTGAAATACCACCCCTGCAGGAGAAACAGAATTTGCAGTGTCAGTCTAACCAATTTGACTGTTAAAACAAACATATCAACTTTAATGGTCACTTATGTTTACAACTTTGAGAAGGCTAATGAACTACAAGTAGAATAAATACAAATAAAATGCCTCCACATGTGAAAAAAAAATCTGCTAAAACACCAAAGTGGAAGAAAGAATGTTGGGAAAAGTCAGGAAAAAAAATGATTGGAAAGATTGTAGTTTTTACACCCGACACAAGGAAGGCCAGAAGACCATGGATCAAATCTTTAAAGCACAGAAAGAAAAAAAAAAGCTGTCAAGAAAAAAACGTAGTCTGACAAAAATATGCTTCAAGAATGAAGGTGAAATAAAGGAATTTGGGGTTAACAAAAACAAAATAAACAACAAACAACAAATCACCAGCAGATATGCACTTCAAGGAAGGTCTTCAAGCTGAAAGGAAGTGATACCAGAGGTAAGCATAAATCTTAAATGAATGAAAAGCATTAGAAATGACAAATGTTTCAGTGTATATAAAGGACACTTTATTTTAATTTCTTTAAATACAAACATTTAAAACAAGTTACAACACTGTTCTGTGAGGCATAGAATGCATGGTGGCATAATAAATATGACAAGTATATATATAAAAAGAAGGGTTTGGGTAATAAATAGCCACACTCTATTCTAAGGTTTCTGTATTTAGTCGTAAAATTTTAACTTATAAACCATAAAAATTAGACATTATTTAATACCACACCACCTACTAAAAATAAAATAAGTGTTACAGTAAAAAAAAATTAAAATTGAATGTGAAAAATATTCCGATAATCCATAAGAAGATAGAAAAGAGCCAATAAAAACAAGAAATAGGAAGGATGAAATAGAATACAAAAAATTAGCAAGGGTGAGATATATATATATATTTCAAGATCAACAAAATTGATAAACATCTAACTAGACTGACGAAATAAAAAATAAAACACTTCTTTTTAGTTAATATACTTGTTTTGAATCAGGACTGTGGTGACAGTGAAACAATTTGTTAACACTGAAAATGTATACAACAAATAGTAAATTGTACTGTATATAAATTTAAAAATATCAATCAGAATGTGAGGGAGATTCAAAATCAAATACAAACTCTAGAAATGAACCTGATTGTATCACAAATGATTAACAACTACAGTGAAGGGGGTATGGAAGAAAAGACTGACCTAAGAAACTTGAGTAACAGTATTTGGACTTCATTTTTAAGGTTTAAGTTTGCACATAAACATTGTACTCTACATAGTAAATTTGTTTCTCACACATATGGATTAGCAACTTTAAAATTATGTATAAACTAGAGTTGTGAAAATAAGTAAGTATATTGTAAATAATGAAAATCAGGTGTATTACTAAGAGAGAAAGAAGTTACAAAAAAGGGAAGGGTGAAAGCTTGAATGAACCTTGTGTCTTGGGGTAGGAATCAGAATTATCAGTGTGAACTGATTGTTTTTTTAAAAATAGAGACAGCTGGAGACAGTAATAAATATAAATCTATGTGTAAGTATATATGTATACATCAGCTCTGTCCACTGAGAAGAACTATAAGCAGTGGATTAGCATATTTAGCACAAACTTGAGTTCTCCATATTATTGTTCAATAAAAAATGCAAGAAGATGTGGTTGATTTCAGGGATGGCACAGGAAGAATAAAAGATGAGCCTAAACCATGTTTTAGTGCCAGAAAGTAATGACGTGCTCAAAAAAGAATGGAACCATGTTAAAAGAACACAGGAAGCAAGCTGAAGGAACTCCTGATAGCCAAATCTAGAACAATGTAACAATGATATAACTAATGATAGCACTGTTTTATAATTCATAAAATAAAAATAATTCATGAATACACATGCATATAAATAATCATATATGGAAAGATGGGGCAGTTCTTCCTTGCAGAAGAATTCTAATTAATAAATATATAAAGAATGAAGGAAATAGAAAGAACACCACACTAGTAATTTTTGCAGGAAGGATCTACTGATGGATGCTATAATTAAATGGGTAAAATTTAAAAGTGAAGCTGGATGTTTGCATAGTCTCAAAGTATCTCCTCCAAGATAGTCATTACCTATGTAGAGAAAAATAACAACTTTTCACTGACAGATCCAACAAACACCTCCTTAACCAAATGATCATAGTTAACATCACAAGTAATAAGACATATTGATATCATGTACTCCTTGGTATATTGCACTGAGAAGGAAATCTCATTTATTATTCTTGCCAAAAATTCATAGCTTCAATTTAATCATGAAATAATGTTAGATAAACACAAATGAAGGACATTCTACAGAGTAACTGAGGAGTTGTCATCAAAATTGCCAATGTCATAAAGCATAAAGAAGACTGGCACTGTTACTCATTGGAGGAGACAAAGATAAGAGGCTGAAAATACAGACAATGGCCATACCATGTTTAAAAATAGAACTCTGACCCACAATCTGCAGCCACCAGTCCAGGAAGCCAACTCATTACCTTCAGTAACCAGTTCAGGAACTCAAACTATTATTTATAGCTAACAATCCGGGCAGCCAAACAATAACCCCTATAGAAATGAGCCCTAAAAAGCCAGAATCATATAACTGACAGCTTCTCTAATTTTTCCCTTACTTCCAACTTAGAGCACCTGGAAAAAAGCTGTAACCTTTACTTGTTCTCATTTGAGTGATTTTCCTTTATTTCCACAAAGGAGACTTAACAACTGAATGCAATGTGGGATTTTGGGATTCTATTAGTGTAAAAACTAATGAAATACAAGTCTCTAGTTTAGTTAATAGTATTTTAGCAATCTTGTCATCTTACTTTTGATAATTATAACTTGATCACAAAAAATGTTAAAATTAAAGGAAGTTCTGTGAAGGGTCTTCAGGAACTCTCCGTACTATTTTGGCAACTTTTCTATATGTTCAATATTATTGCAAAATGAAATGTAAAATTGCAAACTAGAAAAAACAAAGGAGAAAATATTTGCAAAGTTGGGGTAGGCAAAGACTTCCTAAATAGAATATAAAAAGCACATAGACCACAGAAAGTTAAGTTTGACTTTATCATAATTATTTTTCTCTTTGAAAAACATAGTTAAGAAAGCAAAAACATACTAAAGACTGCAAATGAATATTTGCAATATGTATATCTGCCAAAGGACTTATATCCATAATAATACATCTTATAATTCAGCAGTAAGAAGAGAAATAACCCTATAAAAATGATAAAACTATTTTCACTAATGATACTTTACAAAAGAAGGTAAAAGAATGACTATGTGCACATGAGAAGATACTTAACATCATAGTCATCAAGGAAATGAAGATAAAAATGAGATAAATCTTTGTACACATTAGAATGGTTCAAATTAAAAGCTATGTACACATTAGAATGGCTCAAAATAAAAAGGCTAAAAATACCAAGTGTTGGTGAGGACGTGGAGGAACTCTTGTACACCGATAGTCAGAATGTAAAATTAATTATATGCTAAAACATATAGCTCAGCCATGTTACTCTTAAATATTTATCCAGTAGAATTGAAAACCTATGTCCACAGAAATACTTATGCATGCATTTTCATAGAAGATTTATTCATAATAGATCCAAACTAGAAATAACCTAAATGTCCATCAGCAGATGCATAGATTAAAAAAATAAGAAGAAGAAGAATGAAGTAAGTACTGGTGCATGATAACCACATGGATGATTCTCAAAAATCATTATGCTGACTGACTAAAGCCAGACATAAAATAGTACATACTGCATAATTTTGTTTACCTAAATACAAACTCCTTTATACTGATCAGTGATTGTTTGGGTTGGAGGTAAAGGAAGAATTGTCTACAAAGGGGCGTGAAAAATCTTCAGGGGATGATTGAAATATTCTGCCTTTTGATTGTATTGGTGGTTTCATGGGTGTGTACATCTGTCAAAACTAATTTAATTGTACACTTCAAATAGATGCAGTACACTTTAAGTAGATGCAGTTTATTTTACATAAAATATACTCAATAAATTTAATAAAAATAAATGGAATAATATAAATTAAAATTTGAAGGAACCTCAGAAATCATTTAGTTGTCTTCCCTGATATTATAGAAAAGGGAAGACTAATTCCAAAAAGGTTAAATTAATTACACATAGTTTTTAATATCTAATGAGGAGGGGAATATAGGTTAGAATCAAGATCTTTTGCTTCCTAGTCTGAATTGCATTAACTATATAAATATGTATATATATATATATATATATATATGTAGGTATGTATAATAGAAAACTTGAAGTACTATGTGATATTCTACATGGCATTGCCTCCTTTTGTTTAAATTCTGAAAGTGACTTATTCTTAAATATGGACTGGCTGAATGGGGTACTTTGTCTTTCTGCCAGAAGGGGCAAGGGAAGGCCACTAGGTTCTCAGAACATATTGGTTTGCCTGGCTTTTCCAGAAATGATTGGAATTTCTATTTGGATGTATTTCCAGGGCCTGGAAATGTTTTCAATAAGCCATGAGGAGTTTTGGCTCAACCTCCTGTTCAGTTCATGCCTTTTGGGCTTCACAGAACACTCAATCTACAACATGTGCTAGAAACCTGGACAAGGCTAAGATTGAAAACGTCTGCTGTCTATTATCTGCCACTTTGCTTTTCTTTCATTCAGTGGTCCATTTCCACCTGCCTGGGAAAGTAAACCTCTATCAGCAGCAGAGATGGGAGGTCACAGTTAACCCTTCCCAGGTCTGCAAGCTAGTTCTCACTGCCTACCTCCTCTCCAGCATGTCTGAGCTAATCTTGGATTCATCATCTTGTCATTTGCCATGCTCTGCTCAAAAGGAGAAGTGTTTGAATATTATTTTACATGGCACACTTCAGTATTTATCTAGAACAACAAAAAAGTTCAATTCAGTTCAAACACTTGGCAGGAGCTGTGAAAGGTGCACAAGGTTACTAAGCACTCCAGGGGCTCAGAGTCTTGTAAGGGAGACAGATGCAGTAGCTAAGCCTTTCCACTGCATTCACAGAGATATTTGTTGGGTGTTCACAGAGGATATTCTTTTCTCCTTGTCAGACTGAATAAAACACAACAGAGGGAATCTGGCCAAGAAAAATCTAAGCTTTACCTTAAAAAATAGAAAAGGGCAATGTACAAGTATGAACTTTTGGGGTTGTAAGTTTCCTTATTTGTGAAGTGAATGTTTGGATAACCTTAAAACCAGTCCTACCATTCTGTTTATCTTGTTTAATAGCTTGATAGAATGGGTCACCTCTGAAGTCCAACTCAGAGAAATTACTTCATGTTTATAAGCCCCAGACACTGTCATCCTTCTTTCTGGTCTCTGGGAATCTAACAAAGAGTCAGTTCCCCTAATAATTTTTTCTATCTCCCTGCACGTGGCTATGTCCATTCTCAAATGTTTGGCTCATCCTGCTAGGCCTTTTTACAAAGATGCAGATGTTTCTTAAAAGTGGCAGAAAGATCAAAGAGACATTTTGTGCCTGATGTGCTGGAATGGGACTGAGTTCTGCTTAATCTGATTTGAACATATTAAATAAAACCAGAGACTAGTGGTTTGTAAGAGGTTGCTGGTGAAGTATGGAGCTTCGTGGGTGAAAACTGTAGCACACAAAAAGCCAGATTTCATTGCCTTTTTCTTTTGAATCATAACTGGAAATAAGAAACAAAATGGATGCTGCTATACATTATGACTGGTTTTTTTTAGAATATTAGTGCTTTTGCAATTAATTAGCACAATTCTATGGACTATTGCTTGCTCCTTTTTTATCCTAAATATGACCAAAGAGTATTCTTAACAAGTATAATGATGGCTGAAAGCAAAACTGAATATACAGACATAAAATGATCATTTCTTTCATACAAAGCTTGGAATAGGAACTAAGGAAACAAATAGAAACATTTACACCATTCCTACCCTCACAGATGACACATGCTAAAAAGGAATATAAAACACTCATGTAACTGCCATACAAATAAATTCCATAAATTTGTACAAAAGTTTATGGAGTTTGAAGAGGAACAGCTCAAATCCAGTTGAGTTAATTTTATCTTTGGTGTACTTCAACTACCTCTAGTCATATTTTCTTCACAGCCTAAGTATTTCTTTTGTGCTTAGTACCAAGTCCCAGAGTTGGTGTGAAGTGATGATTAGTAACCCTCCATAAGGTTTTAAATGATAATTAATGTATTTGCAGAATGACGTGTCTTGAGTGTGATTGAATTTTAATGCTATAGAAATCCAGGAGAATGAAACTATTGGTATAATAACAGGAAAAGTTGATGTATTTGTTGTCGGTCCTTGAACTTCATCCTAACATCCGTTCAATTAAACCATTATATTTAAAGTTAACAGCAGTGTATCTTTGAGTTAGATGAGCTTTTTGAATGTGTTCTAAAGATAAATATTACTTGGGTGGTGAAATAATCTGTACACCAAAACACCATGACATGCAATTTGCCTATATAACAAACTGCATAGGTACCCCGAACCTAAGACAAAAGTTTAAAAAAATTAAAAATGGAAGCTCTAGAAAATTAACTACTGTTATTTGAATACCTTTCTCTGTAATTTCTGTTGCCATTGAGCCATAATTTCCCTACAATTGGTACTCACTGAATTAGTACAATAGGAAATACTTCCACACTGAGTAGTATTACAGGCCAGCCTGAGAGGCATCTGGTAAGCAGACTGAATGGAGTCATACCAGTACGAAAAGAAAGGAAATGTTGAATTTTGAAATATCAGAAAAACACAAATAATTGAGAAAAAAGAACCCAACAACCTGAGAGCTGGATTCAGATTCTCTCGGATCATACTTTTCTTCTACAATCTAAAATTATCTTAGACATCAAGAAACTTCATGTGCTTATTTTCAGTTCTAAAATTCTATGATCCTATATAATCTATCAATTTGGATAAAATTGATATATTTTGCCACTGAATACAAGTCGTATATTTGAGAAAAACAGATATTATCATTCATTTGATTTTATATATATATATATATGTATTTTTTTTTTTCTGAGCAACTTTGCTTCAGATATTATGTGCTATGCTAAAGGTGGAGGGACTGAATGGTCAGGCTCTCAGGTGACTATCTAGTGAGGCTCTGGATAACCTTTAGACATATATACATGCAAAAGACTCCAGAACAGTGTGCAGGAGGTAAGATGGGGAGGTAAACATTTAATTTCCATTTTTAATATTATTTTCACCTCCTCAAATATTCTTTCTTACCTTTTTTTAATGACTCTCACCTCTCACCTCTTTTCATTATTTGGAGTGAAGATGTTTCTCTTATTAAGCAATTGTGTTTACAGTTCAGTTATTTTAGGAGCAAAGACTTTCTAAAGATTGTAATAAATTACTCAGATACTGTGATGATATTTCTTTAAAGATTGCGTTATTTGTAAATCTTCAGCAAGAATGATGTACAATGAATAGTTAAGCAGTGTGTGATAAAGTTATTAAAACATAAAGCTTATATCTCCAGTAAATTCATATTTCTCCCATATATTTTATTTTGCAGTGAACGTATTTTTACTCTAACGTGACTTACTTTAGCATACAATTCTATGACCTATATTTAGCATGGTATTCTTATTTTGCACTTTATCAAGGGAGTTTATTTATTGAGGTAACAAAAGCCCTCATTTTATCATAAAATAAAGATTGCCATAGATTTTAGAAATGAGTTAATCAACAATAAAAGAGAAAGCTCAAGAATAGTAATTCTCATACCCTTTATAGGGGACAGTGGAGAGGCCAGCCAGCTGAGAGAAAGGTTTGTATTGGCTGATACTGAACAGAAGGTTCTGGCTCTGTAGGACTCCTGTCATTAACCTCCCACATAACCCTTTTAAGAAGTTTGTCATCTTACTGAAAGATGACACCTACCCTGTTGTAACTGCCTTAAATTCCAAAGGTCCCTTTATCAGTGGAAGTTATTGCAGCTGCTACACAGGTGACCTCCAGGCATAGTCCAATTCACTAAGCCCACAGGGTGGCATGAAGAAATTGTAGTCTAATTGGTGATATGGTAACATTTGTGACTTAAAAGTCTGAAAGTCACTTTTTTCTTCTCACTTTGTCTTAAGAAAACAAGAAACATATTATGTATCTGAATATAAATGAAAAACTTGTATCTTTACCTCTTCCTTTATTGGGGATTATTGAATTTCATAAATCTTATGCAGAGCAAGGCTTTGAGGACAGAATGACAGGATAAGATCCTGGCCTTGGTACTTACTAGCTATACATCCTTGAGTCAATTAACCACCTTTGTTTCTCAGTTGCTTCAACTATAAAATGGGAATAATCACTGTACCTAACTCTTGTAAGTATTCTGATGGTTAAATGAGAAAAAAAAAACTTTAGACTAATACCATACTAATACCAAATGTATTATTTTTAGTATACTATCATACATTTTTTCTGTTATCATACTAAAAAATTTTCCACTTCTCAATGCCCAAGCTTATTACGTATTTCATCAAGGGAGGACAGGCCCGAGTTCTTATAACTCTTTCATTTTTTCTTTCTTAGTTTTTCCTGTTTAATATTATCCTAAGCGCTACATTGCTTTGACTATGAAGAAAACCCATCTTATTCTGTTTGTTTGCTTAAATTACGTAACAGCATTTGCATTATCATGAAGTTCTCCAGAAAAGATCATTGTTCATACTCATAAATTTTAGCAAAAGGGTGAGCTAGGAAAACAACAATATTTAGAGATAAGAACGTTTGGGACAGCATTTTGACATTTGGAACAAACTTACTTTATTCTTTTTGGTTGCTTAAACTACATAAGTAGCATTTACATTTCACAGATATTTTCTGGGAAATAGTATTGTTCAAACGTTTAAATTTTAGTAAATGTGTGAACTGAAACATTCATGTTTTGAGCTAAGCATATCAAAGTCAGTCTGAAATTCTTTTATCTTTACAGAGACAATAATGGATTTTAATGAAAATGAAGTTTTCCTTTGCTAAGCACTGGAGTTAGTTAGGGCATAATATTGGATTACAGAGAGAGTTTACATGGACAGAAGCAAGCGCAGGTGAAAAGAATTAACATCATTCCTCATTTCAAGAGTGAAGAAAAAAATTCCAAAGGTAGCACAGGGGCAAATGTCCCAGGATACAGTAGAAATAGTTATTTGGAGCCTGTATGCATACACCAAGTGATCTGGTTCAGGAAAAAACAGAAGAGGTAACAGAAACTAAATATGAAAATGGTTGTTTTGTAACAACAACCAAAAAATAAAAGGGTATCGTGTATCTTCTTATAACAATAAACAAAGCTAAACAAGTCATCAGGGACTATACAAACATTTTCAGTTGTATGCTTTTTAGATGTTTATAAAAATGATAGAATTGGTAACAATTGATAAAGCTTTTCTAATAAAAATTAGGCTATTAAGATTCTTAAACTTTTTATTAACTCAACTTACCTGCTATAATCAAGCAACTTATTGCTGTCTATTGAGAGGTGTAAGATATATAAATATTATTGTAGAGTAAGTAATCCTATGTTGATATTTATAGTAACAAAAAATGCTACAGAGTAAGTAGTTTAGAATCATTCTAAGTTTTGCAGCCTTCCCAAGTTTGATTTTATAGATTGGATTTCAAAATGCCACATTGGGATGGGGTACAAAAGTGATGCAGCAGAATAAATATTTTTGTTTGCTAGTTTTTTTTCATAATACCTTTAGTGATATCTTAGAGAAATATGAGATTGTTCAAAAAACAGTACAGAACTGAACCTGGGAATATAATACTGTGATTTGCTTTGTTTCTTCATTGTTAATTAAATAATGCTAACATAGTCATTGTATTAGTCAAGGTTCTTTACAGAAACAGAACTAATATGAGAGATATATATGTATACCTTATACACTATTCAAAACAATAAGATTTAGAACTGTGTTTTTTATTTTCTTCCCAACATATTTGCTGAATATTTTACCATTTAGGGTATTGTGGGGAAATTTATTGTAATTAAAATGGTTCCAATTACTCTCGATTTCTCTTAACATGTTTGATTATATATTATCCATTCCTTTCTAAGACTTCCTTTGAACTGTACTGAATGTGTGATATCTGACAGGGTAAGCTGATATTCATGTTAACAGATCTCAGCTGATGTTCCATAGTTATTATTATGAGTGACAACTGTTACAAGTCATATTTTTAAAAATTAGGATATATTAAGGGAAGAATATAAACATAAATATTAATATTAAATTTTATATGTTGTCTGTCATGTTTAAATTATAGTGAAATAAATCTAATTTTTCCTAGTTTAAATATAGAATTTAAAGGGATTGCTGTTGAGTGGGATTTTCTATATGAATATTCCAGATAAAAAACATTTACTTAGTAAGTCCAGGGACTATACACAGTACTCAAGGTAATAATTTCTGTCCTTAATAAGTTTTATGTATGACATTTGAACTTCCAGATTTAGACTGTTTGGCTTTACAATCAGTTATTTTGTAGCCAAATAAACGAGGCCCAGAAAATGACTAACATGGGAGACTCATTTCATTTTTGGACTCCCAAAGTTGGAATATGAATATTTATGATATGTTCAAATTATCCCTTACTCTCATTTAATTTTTTCTCTCCACATGTAGGACTAGCTGCTTATACAACTGACAAAGTTGTCATGACGTGTTACAACCACAGGTTCTTTTTAGTGTTGTTAGCTATTTCTTTTTTTTCCTTGACAAAGTGCAGCAGATGCCATTTTAATAAAGGAGAAAGACATGTCAGAGTAGATGGGGCAAAAGGGAAAAGGTATGGAAAATGTGACAACATAGTTGATGGCTGAAGATCATAGGGGTAATGAGATAGAATGCACCTGGAGGCCTTTGTGATATAATCAGAAAAGCTGGGACATCCATGCCAACTCTGATTGTACTTTCTTCACTTGCTTTGATGCATATAGTAATTGAGAAACCAATTCCAATCTCCTGGTTGATAAGTGTTTGTAATTTATGTAATTTTATTAATTACCCATGATCAGAATAAGGGACCTACTTTGCTCTGCTTTTAAACATTTTGCTTTTAAACACTTCTTTTGACTTTTCCCAAGAATCTCTTACTGATTGTCCCATTCATCTCCATATTGCTCTTGTAAAAATTATCAGTAACTTAGTGGATTAAAACAACATAATTTCCTCATAGTTTTGGAAGTTGGAATTGTAAATTTGAGATATCTGTAGGACGTGTTCCCTTAGGAGGTTTAAAGGAGGAATCCATTTCCTTGCATTTTTTTCGGTTTCTAGAGGTTGCCTGCATTCCTTCGCTCATAGCTCCTTCCTCAGATCCCTCCACCTAGCTTCCGTGCTCATATTTCCTGCTACTTACTCAAATTCTCCTCTTTCTCTCTTATAAGGGCCTTTACACTGGGCTGTCCTAGACAATCCAGGATACTCTCCCCATGTCAAGATCCTTAATCACATCTGCAACATGCCTTTTAACATGTAAGGTAACATATTAAAGGTTTCCAGAGATTTAGGACATGGACATCTTCAGGGGGTCATTATTCAGCCTGCTACAGGAATAAAAGATATTGGGATGTTATCCTATTTGAAAGAGAAACTGAAATAATAGGGATTACAGAAGGTTTTATGAAATTACACTCCTAGTTAGTGGAAGAGGAGAGGCTAATTATAATCCAGATTTCTGGACCCTTAGCTCATTGGAGTTCTCTCTGATTCAAACGGAGCTCCCTGAATCAGGATTGTGCCAGGTAGGAACTTCCACTCAGACTACATTTCTACCAAGGATAGACCAGGTTGTCTATGACAATACCTCAATTCCGATGCTCCATAGTTGTCCTTTAGAGGTATGAGCAGTTTAAGCAATGCACCTCCCTTAGTACTGAGGCAACTACAATAATATCAGTAAATTGCATGCCTTGGATCAGAATTGCAAGGTTCACTCAATGACATGATAATATCTCATTGCTGATGTACTACATTAAAAACTATCCAGGCAATCAAGTAACTTTGTTTCTGTTAGGTGACATATGGACACTCTCTTGGAACAATTATGGATAAAAGTTTGGGCTAACAATTACAAAGAGCAATACAAATATAATACAAGCGTCCTCATCATCTAAATATTTTTATCCATGTCTTTCCAATTAGAAGAGATATAACTGATGAAGGGCATCACCATGGAAAAATATTTCAAGCAAACTTATTCTTTATAAAATTAATTCCCCAATTCAGAACTAAGTAGTAATACCTATGCCTTACTTATCATCTCACTAATTTTTGGTTATTGTAAACACAAAATAATACAATGCAAATACAATAAAAATCAGTTACAAATGAAAATGCTTTTTGCAATGTTGTATCGGAGAATTCATCAAACCATAGGCAAAACCACTGACAAATTAGAATCAGCATAGACTGCTTAATACTAAATAAGAGGAAATAACAAGAATGATGACAAGATGGAATTTTGTAAAGATAATGATTTGATAATCAGATAGTTAAAAGAAGCCGTTGGGGAAACTCATGAGGATATCAAATATTTTTGCACTCTTTATGATCCTGTTGTAAAGGTGAATTATAAAATGAAGGATGTTGTCATTCAGAGTTTTGATACAACATGTGACTGATTCTTTTTTATTTTTGCATATTCTAAGTATTAGTTTACAATTTCAATTCTATTTTGAATGTTATTAAATATAAAATAAAACAAACTTCATATTAATTTAGTTTGCCTTAAGGTAAAAGATCACTTGCTCTCTTAAAATTAATTTATTCCTTATTTTAAACAATTTACGTAGTTTTCTTCCTACTACAAATGACCCTCAGAGAACAAGGACTTTCTGTATTCCAGGGTCTATAGCCCACCTTTAATGGGCAGGAAAGTATTTGAGGGTTTTCTAGTCCCAACCATCAGCATCTAGTTGTAAAACACAACTTAAGGCTGACAGCTTTTTGGCAGTTGGTAGACAAAGTTTTGAAGTAGTAAACAGGAAAAGACCACTGCCAGATGGTTAATGGGCTTCCTGGGAAGACAGTGTTCTAAAAAGATTTCTTAAGTGTCTTGCTGGGGCCGGCAGGGGGGTGGTGGTGGGAAGGGTGAGGGGGAAGAGTCTTTCTTTCAGGGAGTAGACAAAGAGACCTCTGAGGGGGCTGCTGGAAGCCAGAGAAACCCCTCCCAGACCTCTGAGATGAGGTAGAGTGTGTGGCCACTTCTGACCAGCAGCCACCATCACCAGCATCATGAGCCTGATGAAAGAAAGCTGAGCCAGAGTAGTCAGGATCATGCTGGAGTCTCCTAGAGGCCCAGAGAAGCAGAGTCCAGAGAAGTTCGTTTTGACAAAATTCAAGAGGAATGCTAAAAAGACAGTCAACAATTATACCTTTTGTTGTATAAGACTCAGGCTATTAAATTGTTCATGTACTCTAGGTTAAACTGTTCATGTACCTATGTTAATTGTTTAGTAAATATTTGTCTGAAGTAACCCAGGATATTTTTAAATTCCTCCCAAGTAGGTTCTTTCATTGTTCACTGGATTCCCCAGGTAAAAATAATTTTAGATATAATAAAATGGAAATAGTTGAATTTGGGTGAAAGCAGTTAATGATTTGGAGTTATTTTTGGTAATGTTCTATCAGGAAGTATTTTTTTAAAAAGTACATTGACAAGGAAGGTTTGAAGAATTGGTGCCTGAATAGAAACTTGCTCTGTCTTGAGTGTTTTTATAAAATTTTGTAAACCATTTTGTATTATTTATCTGTCTCTCTTCCTCTTTGTCTGTATCTTTGTGTCTCCGTGTCTCCTCTTACTTTGTCTCACCATCTTTCTTTTCCCTTCCATCCTCTCTGTTTCTGTCTCTTTGTCTCTGTTTCTCTCTCCTACATCCTCTTATTTTCTCTTTTCCTCTTTCTCTCACTGTATCTGTGTCTCTTTTTGTTTATCTCCCCCCATAAACATGTATGTAGTTTGTTTATTTAGGTTTCTGCTTCCCTGATAACTTGTGACTTCCCCAAAGGCAGGGACTGTGGCCTATTTGTGACTGAATTTCAAGTCTCTTGATGTTTAAAAAGTAGATTAAACAAATCAGTGAATTTTAATAATTTAGTATCATAGTTCCACAAGTAGTTTTATTTCTCTTTCTCAATATCTGTATTCATTCACTTTTTCTCAAATTATAAACCCGCAAATTGTGAAAACTAGAATGTAGGCCTAATTCTAGGAATTGAGGAACGTTTCCCTCTCAGAGAGAAGGGAATAAGATGGTGTTTTATTATTATTTCCAGATTTATGATGTTTAATTCTCATTGCGTATATACAGATTGTATGAAAGAAAGAATAAATAATATTTGGGAGCCAAAGGTTTACGCTACTATAAAATGCTAGGTGATAATAACAGCTACAATTTAGTATAATTTCTTGAGTGTCTATTATTTATTAGGCTTCTAGCTAGACATTTCACATGTAATCTTTTCATCAGATATGCAAAATAGTTGTAGCCCCCTCTCCTTATTTTTAACAGGGAAAAAATTAAGCTTAGTAAATTTTCCCACATAACAAGAGAAAAAAGCCTGTAAATGGCAAAAACCCAGAATTTAAACTTAGGCAGTCACACTCTGAGGCATTCTGGTATGTCCTGAGTCTTTTATATTCTTTCAAAAGATATGCTCTATTTGGGATATGACAGTGTGAGGGGAAAGGGACCATTCATTGGCTGCTTCTATCTAATTTAGGGTTTGTGTATATAGTCCTCTTTCAATAAACACTTCACCTTTGTGAATTCTGATTAAAGTAGAATCTGTGGACACTGTTAACCACAAATTATTACTGACTCAGTTGTGGAGTGTTGTAGTAGGTTTGCACTAACATTAAGTGCAGAAAGTCTCTAGGCACAGATGACTGAGTCATCCCTCCTCCCTTAATTAGGCCTTTACATGTGCTTTTCTGGCCTATCTACCTCTCTGGCCTGTCTACCTCTCTGTTCAAAGTAGAGAGGACATTACTCACATATGATGTTTAGCTTTTATCTGACAGAATCAAAAGAGCCAAGTAATTCTAACAAACACAGAGACCACTATGTTTGCATTATGTTTAACCATTGTTTGAGTCTATATAAAGAGAGTTTTCTTTGTTAGATGTAATTTGAGTTTATATGCTACACTCTTCTGTTCTTATCTATGATTCATGTAACTACAGATGGTCAGTCTGTGGATCCTTTGGAGATACAGGATCTAAGTGTTACTGAGTACTATAAGCTTAATACTGATGACTGAGGCCTTCCTGGTTTTGTTAAAGAATAATTTTGGGAGACATATCAAGGGACAGTTGAAGTAGCTGCTTCATAAACATAATGTATTTGCCCCATAATACTTTTTCCAAAAAATATGAGCTTATAAATGGAGAGGACATATCAATGTTTATATCAATTCCATCAGGCAGGTGGAAGCTAAGTATCATCTGTAAAATTACCATCTGTGTCTCAGCTGTGTGCTGAGTGTTGTATTTACAAACAGTGTCTCCATTGGCATCACACTTCCACACACTGCTTCTGTTTCCCTCTTCACAGGTCCATTGATAAATCCAGATGCAGAATGAGGAATGAAGCTAGTTATAGGCAAAATTAATAACAGCAGTAGACTGGCAAGCCTAGAGATTTAGGTTTTCATTTGAAAGTTGCCAATAATTAGATATGTCACATAGCTAATTCTTGAATGGTTTACTGAATTTCTCTGAACATTAGTATTCTCAGAGAATCTAAAAATGGGAGGCTTACATAATTGCCAGATTAGGTTTCTTTAACTTTGACAGTCAATAGATCTACTGACAAATGGCAAGGAAACACCAGTGATTTCTCATCAAAACCCAGAGGCTTCAGAGAGTTTTAGAACTTCATTCGATGATGAAAAGAGAGTGGAGGGAGCAAACTTTCAAAACTGGGATCTAAAGAGTGGGGGAACAGGATATTTCTCCATGCTCTATATCTGTCTTACAATCCCTGTCATCACTGTCTTTTTTCCTTTCCCTTGCCTTGATTTCCCATCCAATCTGGTGCCCCAGACTCTCCTTTCTACCACTGATTCAGCCCCAGTTAGTGCTTACAGAAGCAGGTTTTGTAATCATTCCACTGGAATACAGTGATAAACATCCAACTAGTATTTACATTTCAGTCTCTCACAACTTTAATGTATTTTACAACTTTCTTCCAGATTAGGAATCCTGAAACACAATCTGTTCACATCACTGTCCTGTAACAATATCAAACCAAATAAAAGCACCAAGAGTGAACAGCTACTGAAAACAGAATTAACACAAACTTAAACCATACAACTTTATGATTTGGCTCAAATCTTATTTCCCAGAAATAATTCCCATTACCACTCACAGAGTTTACGTTCCAAAAAAACTGTCTCCATGAAGTTCCCTATTGATGTAATTTGATGTGATTGGCATTTCTGTTGTTTCTGAGAAAGTTTCAGAAATGGCTTTTCAACTATATCTTCTCAAATCTCTGTAAACCAACTCATACCCATCTCTCAAGGTTAGGCTCAAATATTACCACATTCCCAAAGCCCATTATAACACTCACATCTGAAAATACTTTCTTCATTTAATATTTCGTAGCATACTCATATCTCTAGATTTCTCTTTTGGCATTTAGTGATTGATAGGTAGATAAAGACAGAAAAATTTATACATTTTTCATACTAAATCTGAGTATTATTCTTTTCCTAATTATATATTACCTTAAAATATTAATTGCTCATAAATGTTTGATGAGTAAATAATCACAGACAATTTATCATGAACGCATACCATATTATGATCCTGAATAATAAGGAATAGAACTAGGAAATAAACGTCAGAAGGGGTATATTAGAATTCTTGGAAGTGACATTTGCAAAAGCATATTTTAAATTCCATTGTTTTATTTTGTGGACATACCATTCAACTAATTTTGGAATTTCAACTAACTCTAAATGAGTTTTGATATTTTTATCCAAATAATTTATAGCTTAAAAAATTGAGGATTGCTGCTTTCATTTGCTGGTAATGAATTTTGTTGATAATTCTGAATTCAAGTTTTCACCATTGTTGCAGGTTTAGTAATATCAACCAGGTGTATGCTGACCACAAGTACTACTTTTAAGTAAGAAATCTCTCCTGACTTCAAGCTAGATATGTTATCACTCTGCCTTGGAATCCTTTATTTTTCTCCAATTATGTTAACACATTCTGCATCAAATTTTAAAACATTATGTTCCTGTCTTCTTTATTCCTTATTCATTTTTTTCCTCCCACAAACCTAAAATTTTTCTTTGCACAGAGTAAGACATAATAGTAATGATTACAACAACAATAGCTGGCTTGAATCATATTTCTTTAAAAGAAGCTTATTTTCCTGTTTTCTTAAGGCTTTAAGACCTTGAATAGCTGCTAGAATTTGAGAACGTCCCGTTGCTGCTCAAATGATCATTTTGTCACTATTTATCTAATTTTGTAGGTGAATTATCTTTTTCCTTTGTCTTCAGATGGCTTCTCTGTTTTATATTGCATGCTACGTGTATGTATGTGTGTATATATACATATGTATATATATGTATATATATCAAATTGCCTATTTAGTTTATGGAATGGAATGCTGATTTGATTTTCCAGTAGATACAGCTTATAAATTATCCCATGGAAGTTCATGCATTATGGTTGTGTTCTATTTTGATGTTGCTTTGAAAGTAAATAATGCATTTGCACTACTTTTGGTGATAATTTTTTTAAATGTACATAATACACATATCTTTAAATAGTTAATTCTTGGGTTTTCAAAATTTGTGATCATGTCTCTTACCTTAAAAGACTTTCTAAAATCACCCTTTGGAAGAAAAGATTATAATTTACGTGGGTTGAGACAAAGGGAGTATATCAGATGGTGTTTGTTTGAGCATACCAGTAACTACATTTCCTCCAATGGTGATTCATTTTTTTCTAAGGCAATTTATTTTTACTTCTTTGCAATTAAAATTTTCACTTCATGAGAACAATAAAAATGTATACCAAGGAAAGTAAATTATTATCTTTATAATTCACTCATGAATGCAGTATTGCATTTGGGTCAGAATTTTGATAGGGAGGAGTAAATTTACAGACTTCCATTTGGTCTTTCTACCACTTTAGCCCTTACTTAGCCAATGAGTCAGGAAACCAGTTTTTAGATTATATTTCCATTGCTGAGTCCATCTATTTCAACTTCAATAGAAAACTAATACCAATATATACTGAAAATATTTATCCAAGACATTTCCAAAAGTCCATGGAGCTAATCACATAAGATGACTATGAACTTATAAAAGAGTAATAACCATCCTGTGTGTCTATTAACTGGATCCAGTATAGGACAGACTCAGACTGAAGCTCCATTTATCACTAAGCTAACTTCCATATGAAATGTAGTACTATTTTGTTCCCTCAAATTAGCATTGATTCAGAGCTAGTGTCCTTAATGTCTGGTTATTACTTTTCAGTTTTGTATTGTTGATGTAACAAATCACCATAAATTTAGTGGCTTAAAACAACACAAATTTATTATCTTACATTTCTGTAAGTTAGAAGTCTGATATAGATCTCACCAGGCTGAAAGAAAGGTGCCATTAGAGCTAGAAGAGAATATTTTTCACTGCCTATTTCAGCTCTAGAGGCTGCCCCATTCCTTGACTGCTGGATCCCTTCCTTCATCTTCATAGACAGCAACATTGCATCACTCTGTTCATTCTTTCCTGTCACATCTCTCTCTAACTCTGACTCCCTATTCTGTCTCCCACTTCTACTTTTAAGGACTCTTGTCATTATATTGGATTCATCTGGAACATATATAGATGAATAGAATGAATGCATAAATGAATACACACAGAAACATCTTCCTATTTGAAGGTCAGATAATTAGCAATCTTAATTCTATCTGCAACTTTACTTCCACTTTGCCATGTGATATGGTTTGGATCTGTGTCCCCAACCAAATCTCATGTTGAAATGTAATTGCTAATGTTGGAGGTGAGGCCTGTTGGGAGGTGATTGGATCACAGGGGTAGTCTTTCCTGAATGGTTTAGTACCATCATTTTAGCACTGCACTTGTGATAGTGAGTTCTCATAAGATCTGGTCATTTAAAACTATGTGGCACGTTCCCTATTTCTCTCTTGATCCTGCTCTGGCTATGTGACATACCTGCTACCCCTACACATTCTGCCAGGATTGGAAGTTTCCTGCAGCCTCCCCAGAAGACAAGCAGATGATAGCATCATGCTTCTTTTAATATCTGCAGAACTGTGAACCAACTAAACCTCTTGTCTTTATAAATTACTCAGTCTCAGGCATTTCTTTATAGCAATGCAAGAACAGCTTAATACAGAAAATTGGTGCTGAGGAGGGGGACATTGTTATAAAACCTGAAAATGGGAAAGCAGTTTTGGAACTGGGCAATAAGCAGACATTGAAAGAGTTTGGAGGGCTCAGAAGAAGATAGAAAGATGAAATAAAGCTTTGAATTTATTAGAGACTGGGTAAATAGTTGTCACCAAAATTTCAACAGTGATACAGACAATGAAGTTCAAAGTGAGGAGGCCTCAGATGGAAATGAGGAACTTAGGAACTGGAGAAAAGGTCGCTTTTGCTATGCCTTAGCAAAGAACTTGCCTGCATTGTGCTCCTGCCCTAGAGATCTATGGAACTTTGAAATTGAGAATGATGATTTGGGGTATCTGATGCAGCAAAGCATTCAAGTAGTGGCTGGGGAGATTCTAACAGCCCTTGCTCATCTGTGGGAGCATAGAAATAACTTAAAGTTGGAACTTATATTTAAAAGGAAAGCAGAATATAAAAGCTTGAAAAATTTGCAGCCTGGCTATGTGGCAGAGAAAAAAAAAAACAAAAATAAACTTTTTTTGGGAGAAAAATTTAAGCAGGCTGCGGAGCTACCACTTGCTAAGAAATTTGCATAACTAAGAGGAAGCCAAGTGCTATTATCTAAGACAATGGGAAAACTGGCCTCAAAAGCATTTCAGAGAGATTGGCAGCCCCTCCCATCACAGGTCCTGAGGCCTAGGAAGAAAGAATGGTTTTATGGGTCAGATACAGGGCCTTGCTGCCTTGCACACCCTCAGGACACTGCTCCCCACATTCCAGCCACTGTAGCTCCAGTCTCAAAGGGGCCCAGGCACAGCTCACGCTACAGCTCTAGAGGGCACAGCTATCATAAGCCAGCTTCCACATGGTGTTAAGCCTGCAGGTGCAAAGACTGAATAAGGCTTGTCACCCTCCACCTAGATTTCAGAGGTTATATGAGAAAGTCTGAGTGCCAAGGCAGAAGCCTGCTGCAGGGTTGGAAGCCTCACAGAGGACATCTACTGGGGCAGTGTGGACGGAAAATGTGAGGTTGGAGGTCTCACAGAGAGTCCCCACTGGGACATTGCCTAGTGGATCTGTGGAAAGAGGGCCACCATCCTACAGACCCCAGAATGGTGGATACACTGGAAGCTTGCATGCTCAGTGTTAAGCACAGGTGCTCAACAACCTGTGAGAGCAGCCTCTAGGGCTAAACACTGCAAAGCCACAGGGGCAGAGCTGCCCAAGGCCTTAGGAGTCTACCCCTTGTAACAGTGTGCCCGAGATGTAGAACATGGAATTAAATTATTTTGGGTTTAATGCCCTACTGGGTTTCAAACTTGCCTGCAGCCTGTAGCCCCTTTCTTGCAGCTGATTTTTGGAATTCTTTTTGGAATTTTTGGATTCCTTTTGGAATATGAGCATTTACCCAATGCCTATAATTTCCTTGCATCTTGGAAATAACTAACTTGTTTTTTTTGATTTTATAAGCTCATAGGTGGAAGAGCTAGCGTTGTCTCAGATGAGACTTTGGACTTTGGAGTTAATGCTTAATGAATTAAGAATTTGGGGGACAGTTGCGAAGGCATAATTGTATTTTTCAGGGTGAGAAGACATGAGATATGGGATGGGCCAGGGGCAGAATGACATAGTTTAGATCTGTGTCTCCACACATATCTCATGTTTAAATGTCATCCCAAATGTTGGAGGCGGGAGCTTAAGTGGGAGGTTATTAGATCATGATGGTGGTTTCTCATGAATGGTTTAGTATCATCCTCTTAGCAGTATCCTCACAATAGTGAGTTCTTCCCAGATCTAGTTGTTTAAAAGTGTGTGACACCTTCCCTCTTTCTCTCTTGCTCCTGTTCTAGCCATGTGATGTACCTGCTCCCCCTTTGCCTTTTGCTGTAATTAGAAATTTCCTGCTTCTTGTACAGCCTGTGGAACCATGAGCAAATTAAACCTCTTCTTTATAAATTACCCAGTCTCAGGTATTTCTTTATAGCATGAAACAATGGACTAATACACCATGTAAACTAACACAGTCAAAGGTTCCATAGATTAGTACAAGAATGTGTTTTGGGGAATTATTATTCTGAGCTTCCACAACATGACAGCCTTATTGTAGCACTCTCTTATGGAGACTAGACTCCCCTTCTGTAAATAACTCCTAACAGGGTGGGAACTCATGACTTTAGATGATAGTGGTTCAAATAAGGTATCTGCTTACCATGCCTAGGGATTTGGGGTTATATAGATGATGTAACATCTGTTGGTTATATAGATAGTATATCATCTATAAGCTAAACCTTTCTTAGCTTACTCTAAAGAAGAAAACTATTCTCAGATTCCTATATGTCAAAATACTCTTAATTTCTCCTCCAGCCATTATGCTTATTGCAATGTTGGTGCTTGCATTGTTTCTGAGGGTTAGTCATTGTCACGTGGACTCCTTTGCTTCAGAATTCCATCGCCCTTACTCAAATCAGGGAGTCCACTTCAATAGCAGCATCTCTTGCCATCATTCCTAGATTATAGATGACAGCCATCATGAAGATATTATGGATGGTATCTCTTTTGTTATTATTTAATTTCTTAATGCCTTAGGGAAAAGAGGTCTTACTCGTGAATATGACATAGGAGACAGGCAGGACTTGTTTTCAGATCACAATCCTGCTGGCCAAAACAGAATCTGATCCAGACAGAGGAAGTGAAAAAACTGGCAAGAATAACGTATAATGACAAAAGCAATTCGTAGCATCCCTTGTTGGCACAAGATGTTCCCACCAGCACCATGATATTTACAATTCCATGGCAATAACTGGGTACTTACCACCCATTTCATGGCAATGACTGAAAAGTTACAGCACCATTCCTAGAAAGTTCTAAATAATCCTCCCCTCAATTTGCATTGACCTGCCCTTTACTATGGATGTACTTGAAAGTGGACTTTACTGAATATAAATACAGTTGCCAATAGCCCTTACAGTGCTGAATCTGGGATTAGTATCTATGAGTTAGGTTACCCTCCAAGGAGCAGTATTGTTTAATAAAATATTGCTGTATAATGCCACTGCCTCATTCTTGAATTCTTTCCTAGGCAAAGCCAAGAATCCTCTCAGGCTAAGCCCCAATTTTCAGGCTCGTCTGTCCTGCATCATCTGGCGACCACAAATGGACAAAGATGAGTGAGTGACTAACAGGACAATGAAACAGTGGCAATCAGTGGCAAAATGGTGAGAGAGTGGTGATCAGCAGAGAGGTGAGACAGAGGAGGTGGCTGCGATCAGTGGTGAGATAGCAAGAGAGTGACAATCAGCAGAGAGATGGCAAGACATCTGAGATGGTAGCAATCACTAATTGGTGGAGGGGCAAGACAACAAGAAACACTGAAAGACAGCAAGGCAGTGAGAAGCAGCAACTGACAGTTGATGAGATAGCCAGAGGAGACAAGAGGTGGCAATTAGTGAGAGTCAGTGAGATAATAATTGGTGAGACAGAGAGCTGGAAGGTGGCAACTGGTGCTATGACAAGCAAAGTTGCAGAGCTATAACAGTAAAGAGCTGTTGGGAGGCCGAGGCAGGCAGATCACGAGGTCAGGAGATCAAGACCATCCTGGCTAACATGGTGAAACCTCAACTCTACTAAAAATACAAAAAAAAAAAAAATTAGCCAGGTGTGGTGGCGGATGCCTGTAGTCCCAGCTACTGGGGAGGCTGACGCAGAAGAATGGTATGAACCCAGGAGGCAGAGCTTGCAGTGAGCCAAGATCTCGCCACTGCTCTCCAGCCTGGGTGACACAGTGAGACCCTGTCTCAAAAAAAAAAAAAAAAAAAAAAAAAAAGCTGTTAACATGAAAGAGTTTTAACACTAGCCAAATCATCTTAAAAGCCATATCTTTCCTGACAGGTGGTAGGGCTGTGTGGATGGGTGAGTGGCCACAGTTCTACTTTGTGTGAGAACTGCTTCTCTGGCTGGCTGGTTACAAGACTGTGCAGTGATCTCCTCATAATAGCAAAGCCTGCCCAAGCCAGGGAAACCTAGGGAGGAGACCTTCACCTCAGCCGCAAGTTAGAGAATGGTAAATGCCATTTTGGCTCCTTGCAGATGAGTGTCACCTCTAACTCCCACAGTATTGAGTGAACCAGGTAAAGAGACCTTTGGCTAAGTAGTCAATTCAATGTCCCCTGCCATTTGGGTGCCCTAGACAAAAACACACATGAACAACTTCATTGTTGTCACCCCTTCTCTCAATCCTTCGTCATCTAACGCCAATTTATTTTTCTGTTGGCCATTTTATTTTCTGCTGTAAAATGTATGCTTTGTTCAAAGGGATTTTGCTTTAGCTCCCTGCTAACTGTATTTGGGCAATTATTTAAGGCAGGATATTTGATTGTGAGAGATCTCCTGTTGTTTTGACTCTGGGACACCAGAGTCATGGTATTCTCTTGCCTCAATCAGGCCTTTGGGGTTCACAGTTGGCCACCTGCCAGATACTCCAGGATTTTCAGCATTTGGTGTGGGGACACTCGTTGGTTGATACAGTTACTCCATGTTTTCAGCCTTTGGTATTGTTGGCTGCCCCCAGATGCTCCGGGGTTTTTGGCACTGGCATTTCCTCTAAGATTGTGGGCTGGAGATCCACTCTAGGGGAATCCTGGTCTTGGCTTTTCTTGATTTCTGCTCTAAAGTTATCATTTTCCATAACAGCATTTTCTTTTCTTATTGTCACTTTATTTACATGTTTCCTTTATACTTAGTTTAATAAAAATACTTTTCTCATATTTTCACTTTCACAATGCCTTAATACATATACTTTCTTTGCAGAAAGTGAAAATCTAAAAGGGAAAAATAGCAAGGGCCCAGTTGATTTCCCTCTAATTAGACTTAAAAACTTTCTGTGTCCAGTAAAAAATAATGAGCATCCTGGAGGACTCACTACTAGGGTGTCTTGTAGGCTAATGGAACAAATTCAAATTTCATTAGAACAAAACAAAACAAGACCAAAAAAACCTCATTTTCTACTGTGACACTGTTTATGTCCAATACAAATTAGAAAACCAACACATTTGGCCTAAAAATGATACTTTATGTTATAATAATATTTTATAATTGAATTTATTCTGTAAAAAAATAGAAAAGAAAAATAGAAAAAGGTCCCTTAGACATGGGCTCTTATGACCCTTTACTGGCTCATGTTATTGCCTGGCCCCAAGAAGCCACATTTAAGATATCTCCTCCTAGATGCTCCCCCTAAAAGGCCTACACCCCCGCCATCATCTCCTCAGTCCCCCAATTCTGACAGATAACCTGCTAGTTATCTAATGAAGGATTCCACCCCGAAGTCATCAAGCACCCCTGCCCTTTATCCAACTGGCCCCAGCCTATACCTACTTCTTCCTGATAAAGTATACCTGACCAGTAGCACCAGAAATGGGGCCCCATATCAGCCTCTAAAATCAAACCTGTGTCCATTTCAGGAGATATTTAACAAAAATAAACACATAGAGAACATGTGTCATTTTTCTATGTGTGATTTGGCTTTATAGAAGGAAAATTTGGCCAGTTTTCAAAAGATCCAAAAATGTTTATAGAGAAATTTGTTGAATTGACCATATTCTTTCATTGAACTTCTCATGACTTGCAAGTATTGTCATCTGCTTGCTGCGCCATGGAGAAAAAGCAGAAAAAAAAAAAAGGGTGTGGTTAGGCTAGTTAATTGTGACAAGGTAGGAAAAATAAGACAAGGAAAAGATAAGAATCTCACTCTGCTTCAGGCTCATTTAGTTGAGGCACTCAGGGAATATATTAATGAAGACCCAGACTTCCCAGAAGGGCGAGCTATCCTAGGTATACATTTTATTACTCAATGTGCACCCGGTATTAGGAAGAAGCTACAGAAAGCATCAATGGGAACTTAAATCCCTATAAGCCAACTTAAATGTGGTCTTTAAAGTTTACAACAATAGCGGCAGGGCAAAATAAATGAAAAAAAAAAATAGCCAAAAAGTGTAATCATTAATAGTTGCTTTAAATCCCCTACCACCTCAAAATGAACCAAAATTACCAAAACATTGTTATACGATTGGCAGCTGGGATGCCCAGACAAGAGTCCCCAAATTGCCAGCCCCTGAGTCAGAATCAGTGTGCTTACTATAAGCAAAAGAGCCACTGGCAATGAGAATGTCCTAACCATCCCTGGTGAGGGAGAAAAAAGGAAAAACTCCCCATCAATACAAGAGCTAACCTTCTTCTACTAGCCCAAACAAGCTGCCTTGCTCAAGTAAGTTTACTGAGGGTTTCAGGCCCTTGAGTCAATGGACAGCTTCCCACAGTGGCAGACAAGTGGCCTCCTAAACATTTTTCTTTGGTTTCTCTGCTAGTGGGTGAGCTCTCCAGTGGCTCAGAGACTCAGGTCTTGCCTTGAGCAATACAGTTTGCCCCCTGCCTTCCTTATGTAATGTTATGGGATCCCCTTCCTTGTCTCTTCCTATCTTCCATACATATCAGGGCAGACAAAATTTGGCCAGATAGATATGTCCCAATTTTATAAATAAGTTAGATCCAGCTGTTTTGTATAGGTTGCTTTGTTTAACGTTGTTGTTTATATGTATATACAGATATTGTGATATATATTATGTCTAGCATGCTGTCAAATTGACTTATAAAAGACTGCTCATAAATTAAACAGATAAGACTAGCATAAATGTATAAATTCCAAGAGAATATTGTGTCTTCTAAAATTTAAGATTTTTACCTAAATAAATCACTTTATAGGCTTTTAAATGGTAAAAAAATGGCTTAGTCAGCTTTATGTATAGTTAAAAATCCTATAATTATGAAATAATTCTCATCTCTAGAATGCTAATGGCTGGTGGGCAGTTCAGGATTTCTTGCTTCCTAAGTTTATATAAAATATGACAAATAAATGTATTCTTTATTGGAAAAAAGAATAATTTTTGTTAATTTTAGAAATTATTAATGTGGAGGTTCAAAATATAAGAAGCCAGTAAATGAAAAATAAATATATAAATAATTATGGATAAAATGTTTTTGAAGAAAGTGTCAGGCCTCTGAGCCCAAGCTAAGCCATCATATCCCCTGTGACTGGTATGTATACATCCAGATGGCCTGAAGCAACTGAAGATCCACAAAAGAAGTGAAAATAGTCAGTTCCTGCCTTAACTGATGACATTCCACCATTCCCATCCCACCCTAACTGATCAATTGACTTTGTGACAATACACCCTCCATGCCCTTGCAATAATGTACTTTGTGATATTCCCCTGCCCTTGTGAATGTACTTTGTATGATAACACCCTCCCCACCCTTGAGAAGGTACTTTGTAATATCCTCCCCGGCCCTTAAGAAGGTACTTTGTAATATTCTCTCCATCCTTGAAAATGTACTTTGTAAGATCCACTCCCTGCCTGCAAAAAATTGCTCCTAATTCCACTGCCTATCCCAAACCTATAAGAACTAATGATAATCCCACCACCCTTTGCTGACTCCTTTTTTGGACTCAGCCCGCCTGCACCAAGGTGAAATAAACAGCCTTGTTGCTCACACAAAGTCTGTTGGTGGACTCTCTTCACACGGACACATGTGACAGAAAGACTATTTAAAAATTTATATAAAAAGAATCTTATTAGTACATTTTTGTCCTAAAATAAAATGACTGTTTTTTAAAAAATATATAGAATAATTCAAAGTGTCCAAGCATATTATAAGTAGTCAGTGTAAGTTGTAATAACATTCATAAGCAGCATTTATGAAAGAAACTTTGTGTGTAATTAAGCTAGCAGTAATTTAAAATATTGTTTATAATAGACTTTCTTAAAAATGATCGACATGTTAAAATCAAATTTTCTTAAGATATTAATTGCTAAATTACCAGAAAATTTTACTTTTCAATTCTGGTATCTCTTTTTTATAATTTCAGATTCATATATCTCTCTCCTTTAGCTTTTTTTGGTCTGCTCCTCTGACATTTTCTCTTCTGGTTCTATTATTGTGGCCTAATGCTAAAGTATTTTGTATTAAAGGTATATGGGAGCAGTGTTTTCCCTCAATATAACTTAATTGTCTGTTCTTGGTTTTTCTTAATATATAACCTTAATTTTGGCTTTCAGTTTTTGACTCTTAAAAAAGGGATTTTAGGGTTAATGAGTGCCTGCCCACCTCCATTCCCATATGGCCTAATATGTTTAATTGGATACAGGTCCTTTGGCTCTGAGTCTTTTGGCCAGTGGAAATCCCAAAGAAATCTAAAACAATCTAATTTAGGCCATGAAGAAAACAGAGGGTTGGACACATCTGACTATATTCCCTTTAACGTTTAGGCTAGGTTCACAAGGCCCTTCAAAATATAAAAATAAAATATTGCCTCCAACCAAAAGACTTAATCTTACTAAAACCTTTCTTAAATCCCCTGAAAATAAATTACAACTAAAATAAAGAGCTCTTATCAGGTATTATTAAATACCTTCACTGCTGCTAAACTTAAGGAAATCACTAACTGGATACACTTGTCCAGGATTAAACCTGTTTCATATGAGTCCCTGAAAGCATAAGTGGAGGACACCATAACCTACACTTATAAACTTTTAAAGACTTAAGGTTGTTATTTCACAAATGCATACATTATGTGATGCGGTAGGTGAGCATAGAAACACTATTTTTTCCTCTTTCTTCTATTTTAATTTTCTTGTTTAATTTCCTAGTAAAGTTTATATATTCTAGATTCCACATAAAGATGATACTAACACAAGCCATCTAATCCATCCCATCTTCTGACCGCAAAACAAAGACATCGTGCCATTGGACCCCTTGGGTTAGGTATCCAAAAATATTTACTCCTCCAATGCTAGGCAGGGGTTATGCCTATAAGAACAGCAAAAAGCAATAACAGAAGATGGATCACCATGTTTCTGTAGCCCCCTTAAAATTAAAAAAAAAGAATAATCTCTGAGGGGAAAGTGAGGTACAAGATGGGCATGACTTGTTTTCTGATCACTACGCTACTTGCCAAAACAGAATCTGATCCAGACAAGAAAAGGTAAGAAACATGGCAGAAACCTACAAATGTCAACAAAAGAGATCCCCAGCTGCCCTCATGGCTCTTTGGCATAAGACACTCCCACTAGTGCCAGGGCAGTTTACAAATGCCATGGTAATAACCCAGAAGTTACCATCCCTTTCCATGGAAATAACTGAAAACTTACGGTCCCTTTCCTAGAAAGTTCTAAATAACCCACCCCTCAATTTGCATTGACCTTCCCCTTACTTTATATGTAATTAAAAGTGGGTTTAAGTGAGTAGAATACTATTTCCAAGAGCCCATACATTGCTGACTCTGAGCACACTATGAGTTAGCCTTGCTCTACAAGGAACAATATATTCAATACAAGATTTTTGTGTACCACCACAGGCTTGGCCTTAAATTATTTCCTGTGAGAAGCGAAGAACCTCCCTGGCTAAGCTCCAGTTTTGGGGCCCACCTAAATGAAAGCCATTTTTAAAACCAAGATTCAGTCAACTAAACTAATAATCTGTTAGCATCACTTCCAGCTGCTCGTGTTAATATATTAAATCAAGAATCTTGATTAAGGACACCTATATCAATAATTGTAGTTTTCCTCTATGGTGTAACATTCTTAGAATCCAACCACATACATACTCCCTAATTTCTGGCTGATATGAATTTGCAAAATATTACAGTTTTTTTGGTTTATAAGCTATATCTTTCTAGAGAAGATCCTGCAATTTTCCTGGGTTATATTGGTGTCAAATTGCCTATGGGTTTGAGAATAATGAAAATTGGTTGGGTGGGTTATAAGGAGAACAGAATGCCCCTTGTGAAGCAACTGGCTCAGGTAAATCCATCACACTGGCTTTAAGAAGGGAAGGACTACAGGAGAGGACAGAAAAGGATAAGTCTACCGGCAAAGGGAGCTCAAAGTACTTAGAATTTCCATTTTAATCAAAATCTACCTAAAATACCCAATTACAATGATCAAAGTCTTGCTCATTCCATATTGTTTTAAATTCAACAAAAATAACTTGTTGTGACTGTATTCAATTTGAGATTTGATTGTGAAATATGCACATTTAGCAAATGAATCTAATTCTAAACCATGTATTCTTTGAGGCTAACAGAGACTTTAAAACTATGGGTCCATGTTAAGAACGTTTTAGAAAATTTAAAAAATGTTAAAAAGTAAAAAGAAGAAGAATATCTAATACAGACTGTATGGGGTTCTATAATCCCTGAAATATTTGCCATCTGACCATTTACAGAAAAAGTTCCCTAAACCCTGTTCTAGAAGAGAAAAATTATTATTTTAAGTTTCTAAGCCAGACTCAGTGGCTCACACCTATAATCCCAGCACTTTGGGAGGCCAATGCAAGCGGATCGCTTGAGGTCAGGAGCTCGAGACCAGCCTGGCCAACATGGTGAAATCCCACCTCTACTAAAAATAGAAAACTTAGCCGGGCATCGTGGTGCATGCCTGTAATCCTAGCTACTTGGGAGGCTGAGGCAGGAGAATCACTTGAACCTGGGAGGCAGAGTTTTCAGTGAGCCAAGATCGTGCCACTGCATTCAAGCCTGGCAACAGAGTGAGACTCTGTCTCAGTTACTATAGATGGTCTGGTCTTTCACACATTTTAATGCTGACAGTGTCTAAATCTGAGTTAAAAATCTAGTAGTCCTCCTACTGCTCAGACTTTGTAGTCTATTACAGTTTTGTTTTGCTTTGTTTTCTTGATACAGTCTCATTCTGTCACCCAGTCTGGTGTGAAGTGGCATGATCTCAGCTCACTGCAGCCTTGCCCCCCTGGGCTCAGACAATCCTTTAAACCCAGCCTGCCAAGCAGCTGGGACTACAGGTGCACCACCATGCCCAGCCAATTTGTATATTTTTTTGTAGAGATGGGGTTTTGCCATGCTGCCCCATCTTGTCCCAAATTCTTGGGCTCAAGTGATCTGCCTGCTTTGGCCTCCCAAAGTGCTGGGTGTAATCTATTACATAAAGCCTCACAATCAATGGGCAGTTCATCCCAAACATTTATAGTTCAGAATTTTATAAAGTAACACATTACTGATATATCTTTGTCACCGAAAAGATTTTATCAAAGTATTTAAACTAAAAGAATTGGACTATTTCATTTCATAATCTTATACTGAGAGTCTTGATACCAAGAACTACGTCAGTCAAAATCTAGTCAGAAAATGGAAACCATTACCTTCATTTGAAATAAAAGAACTTTATATAAGAAATTGATTTCACATATAATGGAAGAACAGAGAATGTAAACACAGGATGATGAGGCATCCCAGAAATAAGCAATAGTGGGAATTCCCTAGCACCTCTAGAGCTATAAAGAAAAAGGGAAGACATGATGTTACCAGAGCTCAGGAGCAGATCTATCACACAGAAGCCGTGTAGAATTATGTTGGGCTTGTTTACCAGGAGCTGGGTCTATGGAGCATAGAGTTGCTTAGCAGGTGATAAACCAATGTAGGGTAAGGAGGAGGACTGTAGCTATTTTTGGAGACGCTATTCAAGGCAGGTGAATGGAAACATCCTGTCTTCTCATTCCTTCTACCTTGCAGCCTTCTGGTATACTTGCATAGCCTAAAGCTATTTGAAAACTGAAGGCAAGGAAGCCTGGAAAATACAATGCTAGACAAAGCATTGCATTTGCAAATGCCCTGCTAGACAAAGCAAGGCAGAGAAGTGCAGAAATTGGACATAAAACAGAAAAATAACTGTGACATTTTTGTGTGTTCAGCAACATGTTAAAAGTTTAAATTAATTCTAATAATGCATCTTTTTTCATTAATGGATGTGCAATAATGTATATTTGTGGTTCATATTTATTTTCCAACTAATAGAGTATTATCTTTTTATTGACTAACTGCTCTCATTAGGACTCCCAATAAAATATTAAAATAGAAATACTATCAGTGGATATTTATCTATTACAAAGGGAAAGTTTTCAACATTTCAATAGAGGATACTTTTATTTTTGTACCCTGTATTTTTTTTTGGCTCATTAATTGCTTCATTTATATATTTAATTATTATTGTCATTGCAGTTGCTCTTTATAAAATCACTTTATAGAAGTATTTACATACAAAAAGGTGTACATATATAATTTATGCAACTTGGAGAATTTGGAGCTAGGTATACACCACAAGCTATGCCATAAACATGCCCATCACTTCCAAAAGCTTCCTCCCTTTTTATTAATTTTTATTATTATTTATGTGATAAGAAGACTTACCATTAGATCTTCTTAACAAATTTTGAAGTATATGACATGATAGTGTTAACTATAGGCACCATGATGTACAACAGATCTCTAGGACTCATTCATCTTACATAACTAAAACTTCATACCCTTTGACCAATGCCTTCCTATTTCTCCCTCTCTCCAGCCCTGGCAACCATTATTCTACTCTCTGTTACTATAAGTTTGACTCTTTTATATTAATCATATAAGTGGGATCATGTAGTATTTGACTTTCTGTGTCTGCCTTATTTCAGTTTGCATAATGACTTTCAGGTTCATACATGTTACAAATGGCAAAATTTCCCTCAATTTAAAAACTGAATAACATATTTATATATGTCATATAGATATACATTTATAATAATACACATACACACGCTACATTTTCATTATCTATTCATCCATCAAAGGACATTTACATTCCTTCCATGTCTTAGTTATTGTTAATAATGCTGCAATCAACATGGAAGTGCAGGTATCTCTTTGAGATCTTGATTTCACTTCTTTCAAATTTATACCGAGAATTGGATTACTGTACCACATGGTAGAAATAGGCAGGGGACGATAGTAATAGAAGACTTTAATGCTTCACTCTTAATAATAGATCATTCAAACAGAAAATTAATAACAGCAGACTTTAACAACACTGTAGAATGAGTTTACCTCACGGAAATATACAGAACATTCAACCCAACAGCAGTAGAATGCACATTCTTCTCAAGTGTACATAGAACATACTCTAGGATAGATCACATGCTTGGTCACAAAACAAGTCTTATGAATATTGAAATAATTCCAAATATCTTTTCACACCACAATGGAATCAAACTAGAAATCAATACCCTAAAGTAAAGGGAAAATATTTACAAATAAATGCAAGTTAAACAACACAGTCTTGAACAATCATCAGGCCAAAGAAGAAATCAAAAGGGAAATTATAAAATATCTTGAGACAAAAATGAGAACAGAACGTACCAAAACATGGGATGTAGAAAAAACAGTACTAAGAGGGAAGTTCATACCAATAAATGCCTACATTATAAAAGAAAGATCTCAAATAAATAACCAAATTTTGCATATCAGAGAACTAGAAAAAGAAGAAAATAAGCCCAATGATAACATAAGAAAGGAAATAATAAGGATTAGAGCAGAAATAAATGAAATGTACAATATGAAAAATAGACAAAACTGAGTTTATTTGTTGAAAAGATAAAATGGACAAACCCTTACCTAGACTAAGGAAAAAAAGAGAATACTCAAATAAATAAATACAATCAGAAATTAAAAGGAGACATTACAACTGATGCCACAGAAATAAAAGACATAATGGGGGACTATCCTGGGTTTATTAAAAAGTAGATCTTATTTTGGATCTTCATTCCCACTTCTCCAAATTATAACATCACACATTATTACTTTTCAGCTGACTTTCTATAAATGTGCAAAACTTGTTTCTCTTTTGCATTGCTAACTATATTTAAAGCCTCAAATGCACTTCGTATAACAATTTGCTAAATTGGTTGACTTTTTTTCAGTCTTTTTTCTCACCTATTTTCTATTCAGCTCATATTCTTGTCTAGTTGATCTTTTCTCCTTATCAAACTTGGTTTCTACGTTGCATTAGCCATGCCACATTTTTTTCCATTGAGATGCAAAATAATTTTCTTAAATGTTATTTTTTTTTCTGTCAAATGTGACAGGAACAAGTTTTGTATGGAATTTGTAGAAAATGGGCAAAAGATAATAATGTGGGATATAACAATTTCTTTCCTGTAATAAAATATTTAGAGGTGTGATCTTTTGCTAAGTCTTCCAAATATGTTCTACTTTATTCTAAAGAACATTTTATAACTACATTAGGTTTTTAATATTTATATATCCTTTATTGTACAAAATGTGACCAAATATTTTGCTAATTGTTCGAGGATATGCATAGCTCTTGGCTAAATTCTTTGCTAACCTGGGTGCTCATGGATTCGTCTTATCATTTTTACAGCTGCTGTACACATTGTTGTGTATAACTTATGACTTCGTTCTCAGTATCTGGCAGGGTTTATTTAATGCAATGCTGCTGGAATCAACTTCTGATATTTCTAGTGTGTGATACATTGAAACTTGGCATACAAGTGACTGAACTTCAGAGCCAAGTATATATTAGTATCAGAATATAACTATCTCTTCTCACACCCACAACATGTTCATGTAGGAAACACATCTTGGGTAATACCAGTAGTAGTGCCCCAACTCTTCAACAATATATGAATGGAAAATTGGGAAAAGCCTAACTAGATTTTACTTAAGACACTGTATTATACAGCAAACCAATTTCTGGATAATTTTAAGTACAAACTTTTCACACATATACATTGCAAAGTATTTCAATAGCGCAGTAGGAATGCTCACAAAGATAGCTATCCATTTTTATTTCCAGAACGTTTACCTTGATTTTGTTTATATACCATTCTGTTAAACTCTACTACAGAGAAGGATTTTTAAAAATTCTTAGTAAAAGTGTTAAGTAAATGTTAATTTACAAAGAACGATCTAACTGTTTTTCCACAAATTTTACAATTTTGTTCCTAAAGTTTACCCTGATTTAGTCACAAGTTCTTTGGAGAATGTTATAAACTAAAGACTTCCAGCACCATCTGGTATAGATTACTGCAGACATTACTGGTAGAGAGACAAAGGACTCTACAGGATGAAATTAAATATCATTTAATCCTGTATCAGTGCTCTGTATAAAACACAAGAATGCCGAAAGTCAGCCAGAGCAGAACAAAGCTTTAATCAATTCTCTGTTTCTTACTGAGGTTGGTTTTGCTTCAGTGGGCAGAAATCTGATTATCTCTAACAGGCTAATAGAAAAGTTTCTATAAACCGATAACAGTTACTGGCTGCATTGCTTTTCCTATTTCAGTTTCCTCACTGAAATATGACTTCTTCCCTTCTTCCACTAAAAGGCTAAAAAAGTGTTAGATTTAACTGGAAATGAGTATCAGGATGGATATGAGCTTAGAAAATGAAATTCAACATTTATTAGTTAATTCCACAGAAACTATGATTGCTTATGATATGTCAGACATTGTGATAAACATTGAGGAATCCAAAGATATTTAGAGACCTCTTTAACCTCTAGTGCTTCCCATCCAGCATGAAGACAAATGAAGAAAATACAATCCAGTGCTATGGCAGAAAGATGAAACAAATTTCTTCTATTTTCGCATTATTTTGATTTTAAAAAAAGACTACAACAAAAAAGTGACGTAAATGACATGGTTTTTCCAGCTTTGAAATTACAGTCTCTCTCTTTACTTTTTCTTCTCTTTATTAAAGTTTTAGCAAACAAACATAAGAAAAATAGATTAAGTGATAATATTTTACACACCATGATAAGGCAACTGTGTCAATAATATAAGGCACTGGAATCATAAAAAATCTCTGAAGTTCAAACATACTTCATAAAATAATGAGAGGAGTTACATTTTTTAAAAATAGTAACATTTTCTTTAGGGTTTATATCTTATCTGAGGTCAATAAAATACTAGAAACATCAAACAAGAATAGAACAAGTTAAATGAAATTTAAATCACACTGTAAATATGAGAGGTGTTTTATGTTTATTTTCCCTAATTTTCCTAGCATATTTTACAAGGCATTTCTAGTATTCTTGAAAGAATAATGAATATCTTCAATAATTATTTTGAAATCATAGAAGAGGAAGATGTATTTTATTCTGTGAATCATAAAACAAGTCTTGGAAGAAGGAACTCCCTTTTCAGAATCACATCTGTTCTAGTTCAATACGTGTTTATCCCACTTATGAAAAATCAGTCAGGGGGATGGTTTTGATTATACAGGTTATAGTTTCAAAGACCCATTCTTATTGATAAGTGTTTATTGTATAATGCTTTTATTAAATTAGAATTTAAATTTAGATAACTCATTTGATATTGGGTTTGTGCTTACCAAATATGATGTCTTATCTAATAACATGTTAGTAAACACTTTTGTAGATTACTTAAATACAAAGTCTGTCTAATTAAAAATATACTGACCAGTCACAGTGGCTTATGCCTGAAATCCAAGTGCTTTGGAAGGCTGAGGCAGGTGGATCACTTGAGGCCAAGAGTTCAAGACCAGCCTTGCCAACATGGTGAAACCCCGTCTCTACTAAAAATAAAAAAAATTAGCTGGTCTTAGTGGCTCACACCTGTGATCTCAGCTACTCAGGAGGCTGAGGTACGAGACTCGCTTGAACCTGGGAGGCAGAGGTTGCAGTGAACTGAGATTGTGCCACTGCACTCCAGCCTGGCAACAGAGCAAACCCTGTCTTAAAACAAAACAAAACAAAACAAAAATCACAAGGCAGGGCCTTTCAAAAATGGCTACATGAAGAAGTGTTTCTAATCATAGAGAATAATTTACCATTTCACAAATTACAACAACAAAATATTTAGAAATGATTTCTTGTAAGCATTTGAAAATAAGAGTTAGAAACTTGCAAAATGTTTACTCTTGAGCAACTGCTACCTTGAATAAGAACTGTAAATTTGTGGCTTTCTTATCTGAGCCTGCTCCCTCACTCCAAAGTTTCCTACTCCAGGCAGTGGTAATATGCAACCTCACTGGCTCAAGGTGCACATAATAGAGTTCTGAAAAGAGTTAAGTTAGAAAACATATAGGAGACTCCCAAGAACCTGGTGCAAAAGTAGACAAAAATTAGAGGGTCTAACTTTGGGAAAAAAGTAGACCTTATCTTTGCATGTTTGCTGTGCTTTTAATGTGATTCCAAACCTGTACACAATGTGGAAAGCTTGGGGGTAGAATGTGGGGGCACATAATGAGAAATCAGGCAAACCCCCAAGCAAAATAACCTCGCAGAAGGTGAACCTCAAAATCTGAATATAAACTCGGCTTATTCTTTGAATGACTACTAAGCTACACAGCCTCAGGGAGGACTTTCAAGGGTCCAAACTAAAGAATAACAGCTAGTAGCAGGAAAAAACTGAGCGGAAACATCAGCAGATACCCACCATGTAGGAGAAAGATTTTTCAATTTGTGTCTTGGTGAATTAAGTGGCTACTATAACAAGATTAGGGCAATAATCCTAGTAGAAACAAACGAAAAAAGGCAGATCTCAAAGTCTTTAAAATACCATTCACAATAAACAAAGGAATAGGAATGTGTGAATCACACTCAGCAAAGCAGCAGGCATTAAAAATTAACACCAAATGGACCCAGTTGTGAGATTTAGCAGATAAAAATGTCACAGCAACTATTTAAAATTTTCTCAAGGGATTAAACTATGTATAAAAAATTAAATGTTAATTTGGTATTAACGATAAAAGAGTAAGGGAATCTCACCCGGAAATGAGAAATTATAAAAATAAAGTAATTCAAATAATAATTTAAAAATTGAATTAACTGAAAGGAAAATGTACTATATGTTATTAAAAGAACATTTTAGATAGCATGAAAATAATCAGTACATTTTTAAATTAAATTAATAGATATTATCCAATCTGAACGAAGTGTGAAAAAAAGGTTTTTTTAAAAAAACCCATAAAGACCTTATCAAATGGAACAATATATTTGCAATTAAAGTCCCAACAGGAGCAGAATAGAAAAAGGAGCAGACAATTTTTTGAAGAAAAAATGACTAAAAACTTCTAAAATTCAGTGAAAATAACATATAATAGCATAAATGTAAGGAAAATTGTTCTTACTTAAGTACATTATAATTCAACAGATAAAAGCCAAATCAGAAAATGTTAAATACAACTAGAGAAAATGATATATTATATATTACAGATAGAAACAATAACAACTAATGGCTGTTTTCTCATTAGAAATAATGAATGCCAGAACCCAGTTAAACAGTATATTCAAAGTACTACAAAAAACTTTTAATGCAGGATTTTATAATCAATCAGGCTAACTCTTAAATCTGAATGCTTAATCAAATCATTTTATATTAAAAGCAGAAAGAATTTGTTGTTAGCAGAACTGCACTTTAAGAAACACTAAAGTAAATCAGTCTGAAGAGAAATGGTACCAGTGGGCAACCTGAATTATGCAGGAAAAAATGAAGAACACTAGAAATAATAAAGATATGGGTAAATATAAAAGACTACAGTCATATAGCATATATGCATATAGAGATCTATGCAATATATAAAATATACATACATAGGTATTATTTTTTCTCTTAATTTCTTTATGGCAAATAAAACTAATCAAAAGAAAATCTAACACTATTTCCTTAGTGTTTTAACACATGTAGATATACAATAACAATGGTATAAAGGATAAGGAGGTATAAATGTAATACTGTCGTAAGTTTTCTGTTTTACCACATATAATAATATATTAAAGTAAAAACCGTAATAAATTTAATATGAATGCTGTAATTTTTAAAGCAACTGCTAAATAATGTGAAGGTGTATAGTTGAAAGTCAGAAGTTTAAAACATTATACTAAAAATCTTAACTCAAAAGAAGATACAAAATATAGAAAAAAACCCACATTAGACAAATGGAACTGAAAAAAAGCAGACCTAAATCCAACCATATATTATTACATTAAATATAAATGGACTAAACATTCTTATTAATAGGCAGAGATTACCATAATTGATAAGAAAGGGCCGCTTATATAATTGTCTAAAAGAGATAGACTTTAAATACAAAACACACAGATACATATCCTATAAACCAATAAGTATCATCGAGCTGGTTGACTATATTAATAACAAATAAAATATAATTTTAGTAATATGGGAAGTATTACTAGAGATGAAAGGGAGAGTTCATAATGATAACATCAATGCAACAAAAATAGCAATGATAAATGTATACTTGTCTACTAAAAAAATTTCCAAAATATAAAAGCAAAAACTGACAGATTGAAAGGAAAATAGACAATGTATCAGTTATAGTTGAAGATTATAATACTTCTCACTCAGTAATTGATGGAATAAGTAGATGAAAAATCAGAAAATGTATGAACAACTTTATAAATTAACTTACTTTTACTGACATTTATAAAATACTCCACTAATAGCAGAAGAGTATACATTTTTTGCCAGTGTACATAGAACCTACATCAAAATGTTTCATGGGAAGTGCTATAAGATATTTTAATAAGTGTATAAAGAATAAAATTATACAAATCTGACAAAAATTAATTAGAAACAAATTACAAAAGTGATATCTGGACAATTGAAAATGATCGAATTTAAATAACATGTGTTTAAATGATCCAGCAGTCCAAAAGTTGCAATTATTTATAATTGAAATTAAGAAAAATATTTTGAATTGAAAATGAGAACACAACATGTAAATATTTGGGCAGGTCAAATAAAAAAGTAAAATTTATTTCATGTGTGAATATGAGATGATAAGGAAGACCTAAAAATAATGATCTAAGTCTCCATCTTAAAAGCTAGAAAAGCAAGATAAGTTACATTTAAAGGCAAATAAATTTTAAAAAATGATAAAAGAAGAAATCAGTGAAATAGGAAACAAACTATAGAGAAAATTCAGTGAAACCAAAATACGAGTTTTAAAAGATTAATAAATTTGGAAAAACCTCTTAGCTAATCAAGAAGATAAAAGAAAAGTCACAATTTAAATGTCAATAATAAAAGGGGACATCACTACAGAGCTCACACTGAAAAAGATAATAAATGAATACCAGAAATAAATTTATTCCAATGAATTTGAAATGTTAAAGTAGGTAAATCCTTTAAAAGCATGAATTATCAAAAGCAGTATTCAAAGGAATAGAAAACCTAATATCCCTATATTTATTAAATAAATTGAATTTGTAATTAAAATCCTTTCAACAGAAATTTAGGCCCTGTTGTGATACGTGGTGATTTTTTTCTTACTTTCAATAAATAAATAATGCTAAACAACTCTTTCAGAAAGCAGAGGGGAAAGGAATACATTCCAACTTATTTTATGAGGCTGGTATTGTCTGACACTAAACCAGACAATTGTTTCAAACAATATTAAACACAAATTTCTCCCGTTAATATAGGTCCACATATCTTAACATACCATTTGAAAATAAACTTTAGTTGTATATAAAAAGAATGCTATCTCATTACTAAAGGTGTTTTATCCTAGGAATGAACATTTGGATTAACATCAAAAAATCAAATCACGTATTTCACCATATTAGTAGCATATAAAAGAGAAAATTTGCCTCAGTTGAAAAACTCAACATGCATTCATGTTAGTAAAGATGGCCAGCAAAGTAGTAATTTTAAATACTCCCTTAAACTGATAAAGGACAGAAACCAAAATTTATAGCTACTTAGACTGGTTAATAACAAAATTATTTCTAGGTAAAAGTCAGTAATATGAAATGGGTTATCTTGTCATCACTTCTGTTAGCTGTTGTACTGGAATCCTAGTCAGTCGAACAAAGCAAGAAAAGAATATAAAAGACATACAAAGCAGAAAGAAGAGTAAAATTGCCTTTGGTCACAGATGACATAATAGGTGTCTACAAAACGACTACTAGAACTAAAGAGTGAACTTACCAAGCTTGCAAGAAACAAGGGCAATATACAAAATCAATTGCATTTCTATATACCAGTAATGAACAATTAGGAAATTAAAAACCAAGTGTTTTTACAATAGAATACTCAGTAATTAATTAAATATGTACAATCCTCTACAATGAAAATCACAAATTACTTTTGGAAATCCTCTACAGTAAAAATGACAAATAACTTTTAGAGAGAAATTGAATATATGAAGCAATATATGTTATACATTGAAAAACTATTTGTTACAGTGACAATAATGCTTAAATTGATCTATACATTTAATACAATAATTTTTTCATTTGGAACCATTTTATATTTTTGTACTTTTTGATTTTTTATTTTTGTGGGTACATAAGTGTATATATTTATCCGCTTTATGAGATGTTTTGATACAGACATGTGGTATGAAATAATCATATCATGGAGAATGGGTTATCCATACCCTTCAAGCATTTATCATTTGTGTTAAACAATCTAATTACACTCTTATTTTCAAATGTCCATTTAAGTTATTATTGACTATACTCACCCTGTTGTGCTATCAAATAGTAGGTCTTATTCATTCTTTCTAACCATTTACCACTCTTTCTAACCATTTACCATTCTTTCTAAGCATTTACCATTCCCCCTTCCTCCTCAGCCCCTATCTACCCTTCCCAGCCTCTGGTAACCATCCTTCTACTCTTTAGTTCCATAAGTTCAATTGTTTTGAATTTAGATCACACAAATAACTGAGAACATGTTATGTTTCTCTTTCTGTGCCTGGCTTATTTTACATAATGTAATAATCTCCAGTTCCATTCATGTTGCAAATGACAGTATCTCATTCTATTTTATGGCTGAATAGCACTCCACTGTTTATATATGCCACATTTTCTTTATCCATTCCTCTGTTGATGGATACATAGGTTGCTTCCAAATATTACCTTTGTAAACAGTGCTGCAGCAAACATGGAAGTGCAGATATCTCTTCAATATACTGATTTCCTTTCTTTTGGGTATATATCCAGCAGTGGGATTGCTGAATCATATGGTAGCCCATATTTTAGTTTTCTGAGGAACCTCCAAACTTTCCTCCATAGTGATTGTACTAATTTACGTTCCCAACAACAGTGTACCAGGGTTCCCTTTTCTCTACATCTCACCAGTATTTGTTATTGCTTGTCTCTAGGATATAAGCCATTTTAACTGGGGTGAGATAACATCTCATTGTAGTTTTGATTTGCATTTCTCTGATGATCGGTGATGTTGAGCCCCGTTTCATATGTCTGTTTGTGGGCGGATCACGAGGTCAGGAGATCGAGACCATCCTGGCTAACACGGTGAAACCCCATCTGTACTAAAAAATGCAAAAAATTAGCCTCGCGTGGTGGCGGGCGCCTGTTGTTCCAGCTACTCGGGAGACTGAGGCAGGAGAATGGCGTGAACCCAGGAGGCGGAGCTTGCAGTGAGCCAAGGTCGAGCCACTGCACTCCAGCCTGTGTGACAGAGCAAGACTCCGTCTCAAGAAAAAGAAAAAGAAAAAAAATCAACTCAAAAGCAATCTTGTATCTAAACATAACAGTGTTTTGGGAGTGCCCAGATAAATTGGTGTTCCGATACCATACCAGAGCTGCTAGCAATCTGCCCTAAGGGGAAATGAAGGAGAGCTGGATGTTTTTACCTGGCAGATGACCTAACGACTTGTTGTCCAACCCATGACCAGGGAGTACGTCACACGGAAAAATCATTTATACTGGCAGATACCCTTATGGATCTTGTCTGACTTGTGTCCAGTTTATGCCTACCTGACTATCACTCCAGCACTGGGAGTCTGACTTTGTGTTCTCCGGCATCTGAGGGAAAACCTGGCCTGGGGCAGACCCTAGCGCTTTTGATGGAAGGCACATATTCAATATGCCACCGTCATAGAAAGTAAGTTTAAAATATTTTACTTACAGATCCTGAGCAAGGAATGTTGAGTCCCAGGTTTTGCAATGCACGCATGAAGAGTCAGGCAGACAGAGATGAGAGTGAGAGGAGAGAGTGAGTGAGAGAGTGAGCGAGAGAGTGCAACTGGCAACTAGCAATATAGATGGATGGATGGATAGATAGATAGATAGATAGATAGATAGATAGATAGATAGATAGATAGATAGATAGATAGATAACTTTAAGTTATGTGTATATAGGCAAATGCCTGAATGGTCCTTTTAAATGAAGCTGCCACAAAACAGGGAGCCCAGTCTGCCAATTGGGTAGATGTCTCTAAGTTCCTAACTCTGGCGGCCAGATTTATTCATCTGGGTGGCGTGTAGACTTGAAAACTGTATTGCGAGTGACTGAACCCTACTGCTAGTAAAAGAAAGTTAAACCTGTAATCGAAATGAAAACTGAGAAAAAATGAAATAAGAATTTACCACAAAGAGATAAAACCATACAAATTTTTAAAGAAAACATAGGAGAAAATATTTGGCTTTGATTTAGGCAAACTTTAAAAAATAGAACACAGAGATAACAGCCATTAAAAAATGATAACTTGGACCACAACAAAATTAAAAGCTATTACCCTTTGAAAGCCATGGTTAGGAAAATAAACAGCAACCCACCAATGTCAGGAAAATATTCTGAGTGAAGATAAGTATTTAGCTAATTTTTACAAAACAATTATTAGAAGTGTCTATCACAAGATTTGAATAGACACTTAACAAAAGAAGCTATTCACATGCGCAATGCACAACCAATCAACAGGAAATTAAAAATAAAACCACTATTGAATACTACTACACAAAAACATAGAATGACTAAAACTGAATAAGACTAGCAATACAAATTTTGGCATAGATGTAGAGCAAATAGACCTCTTAAATCTTACTGGTAAAAATTCAAAATCAAAACAGCAACATTGGAAAAAAGTTAAGCAGCTTTTTAGGTAGTTAAATATATGACCAGCATATGACCCAGTAATTCCACTATTAGGTTTTTATATAAGACTGAATGAAATGTATTGACAAAGACACATGAATGTGTGTAGCAGTATAACTAATAATTGTCAAAAACTAGAAACAAATGATCATTAACTGGTGAATGGATAAACAAATTGAGGCATATTTATTTAACTAAATTCTACTCTATTAAATGCTGTCTAGCAATACAAGAGAACAAACTACTCTTATATGTAATAATACAGATAAATTCCAAAAACTCATTTTTAATGAAATAAATCAAACAAGTATTTCTATTTTTATAAAATTCTAGAAGGCAAAATTATATTTACTGGAAGCAGATCATTGATTGCCTAGGGCTAGGAGTACAAAGAGACATGAAACATTTGGGAGATGGAAATGTTCTATAAGTTGATTTTCATGGTGGGGATATGCTTATATACATTTGTCAAAATTCATTGAACTGTGTATTTAAAAATGGATGAATTAGAATATGCAAAGTACACCTTTAGAAAGCTGCTAAAAATAAATAAGCACAATAAGGAAGGTATAGAACATACTTGAGAATACATAACTCTTTTGCTTTCTTGAAATTATGCTTTTTTTTATAGTCTCTTTATCCTGTTTAGTGAATACAGATATTCACTAATTCTGCTTTGACTCTCTAATGATCTCTTACAGTCACTTTGTATAAGATGATGTTCTTACGTGCATTTTGAACTGTATGGCTTATCACTTCATTATGGTTTATCACTTCAGTACTAATCTTTTTCCTGAGACACAGGCCCACATTCCCAATAGCTTTCTAGACATTCCTACTTATGTGTTCCAGCACATAGTTACATGTTTTTGCAAGGTAAAAAAATAGGATTTAATATCAATACCTCCAAATTGGAAAAATTATTATAACTTTCCCATACTGAACCTTAGCTAATAGTAGGTACTGTGAAGATTAGTGAACATTTCCTCATCTAATTTTTACAAAAATGGTTCATTTGTTATTAACTTTTTTTTTCACAAATGACATATCTGAAACTCAGAGAAGTTAAACAAGTTTTCCAAAGTAATACAACTAGTAAGAGGTTGAGATAATTATCAAGTTCTTAAGCCTGGAATGTACTGTAGTTATTTATTTATTTATTATTGCTATTATTACTGAGACAGAGTCTCTGTCACCCAGGCTGAAGTGCAGTGGCATGATCTCGGCTCACTGCAACCTCCACCTTCCGGGTTCAAGTGAGTTCAAGCAATTCTTGTGCCTCAGCTTCCCGAGTAGCTGGGATTACAGGTGTGCTCCAACATACCAGGCTAATTTTTGTATTTTTGTTAGAGACCGCGTTTCACCCTGTTGGCCAGGCTGGTCTTGAACTCCTGGCTCAAATGATTCACCTCCCTCTACCTCTCAAAGTGCTAGGATTATAGGCATGAGCCATCACCCCAGCCAATACACTGTTACTTTTAAAGAAGACCATACAGGGTTGAATTTTGAGCAATTATTTATTCTTCTCTGTTTCTTGTACCATATGGTAAGAATCACTATAGCTCTTTTTATGTTGGTTCTGCATTTATTTTCTGTTTGGCCTTGATTAAATTATTCAACAGCCAAGTCTCAGTTTCCTTTTCTCTTAAATTGGGCACTAATAGCAACCACATAATTAGTTAAAAGACATAATAATAACTCATAAAATGATTTAAAATACTAATAATTTAACATACTAATAATTTAACATACTAATAATTTAACATATGTAATGTGTCTAATGTAGTGCCTGTAAAATAGTAATTGTTGTTCAGTAAGTACGTAAAAGTAACTATTATCTGTTTTTCTAATAAATCAATGCACCCCTTCTTTCTCTTTCACTCTACTGTGACTCTAGTAAAGGTCTACCTTATGTCCTCTTAAACCATAACAATATTTTACTATGCCCTCCTCTCTGCCCTGAACACAGCTATTGCCCTTAATATCCTTGTACATAATTGGCAGCATATTACTTTTTGAGTCAAATGCTTTAATTCTCTATTGCCTACCTAATAAATTCTGTACTTCTTAGTCTTTATAATCTTTCAATGAATTGATATTAATCTCATATCTCTTATTCCAGAAAAAGGGTTGTACTTGTTGAGTTGATATTTCCTAGTTCTATCTTGTACTTTTTTTCCCTTTAAATATTGGATGATGCTGTTCTTTTTATGCCAAAAGTAATTATCTCTGATTTTAATCTATTATGTTTATGTGTCAAGATAGAGTTAAAATTTAGCCACTTCGATGAATCCTCTTCTGTTACTGTCAGATGATGATGAACCCCATTTCCTTTGAAATTTATGACTCTTATTCACTGAACAAGGTAAGGAGGAAAGTAAGGTACAAAGGGCAGAGGAGTTTGAGTCGAGAGACTTAGATTTATTTTCTGAGTCTTTTAAGACCTACTAGTAAAATCACAGACATGTCATTTTATGGTTTCTGAGGGTCAAATATCAGAGTATTTGTTGTGATCCATAGAGCAATGTGTAACTATTGGTTATAATAACTACTAGTACACATCTTTTTGTAAACTACCACCTAGTATAGATAATTCTTTGATATTGAAATTCTGATATTGAATGGGGACCTCTCAGGAATTAAGAAACTATAACATTTTTCAAAATACAGATATAAATTATGACACATCTGTCTTATGAAGTGTCATGATGCTTTTCAAAATAAAATTTCTCAAATATTTAAGGGAGACTATTCATGTCCTTCGCCCAATTTTTAACGGGGTTATTTTCTTGTAAATTTGCTTAAGTTCCTTGTAGATTCTTGATATGAGAATTTGTCAGGTGGATAGATCGCAAACATTTTCTCCCATTCCATAGATTGTCTGTTTACTCTGATGATAGTTTCTTTTGCTGTGCAGAAGCTCTTTTGTTTAATTAGATCTTGTTTGTCAATATTTGCTTTTGTTGCAATTGCTTTTGGGGATTTTGTCTTAAAATCTCTGCCCATGCCTGTGTCCTGAATGGTATTGCCTAGATTTTCTTCAAGGGTTTTTATAGTTTGGGGTTTTACATTTAAGTCTTTAATTTATCTTAAATTAATTTTTGTATACGGTATAATGAAGAGGGTCCAGTTGCAATTACCTGCATATGGCTAGCCAGTTCTCCCAGCATCATTTACTAAATAGGGAATCCTTTCCCCATTGCTTGTTTTTGTCATGTTTGTTGAATATCAGTCGGTTGTAGATGTGTGGTCTTATTTCTGAGTTCTCTATTCTGTTCCACTGGACTATGTGTCTGTTTTTGTACAAGTACCATGTCATTTTGGTTACTGTAGCCTTGTAGTCTAGTTTGAAGTCTGGTAGCATGATGCTTCCAGCTTTGTTCTTTTTGCTTAGGATTGTCTTGGCTATACCATCTCTTTTTTGGTTCCATACGAATTTTAACATAGTTTTTTCTAATTGTGTGAAGAATGTCAGTGGTAATTAAATGGGAATAGCATTGAATCTATAAATTATTTTGGCCAGTATGGCCATTTTCACAATATTGATTCTTCTTATCCATGAGCATGGAATGCTTCTCCATTTGTTTGTGTCCTCTCATTTCCTTGAGTAGTGGTTTGTAGTTCTCCTTGAAGAAGGCCTTCACTTCTCTTGTTAGCTGTATTCCTAGGTATGTTATTCTCTTTGTAGCAATTATGAATGGGAATTAATTATGTTTTGGCTCTGCTTGCCTGCTGTTGGTATATAGGAACGCTTGTGACTTTTGCATAAAGATACAGGCATGCATATGTTCATTGCAGCACTATACACAATAGTAAAGACATGGAATCAACCCAAATGCCCATCTATGATAGACTGGATAAAGAAAATGTGGCACATATACATCGTGGAATACTATGCAACCATAAAAATGAACAAGATCCTGTCCTTTGCAGGGACATGGATGGAGCTGGAAGGCATTATCCTCAGCAAACTAATGCAGGAACAGAAAACCAAACACCTCATGTCCACATTTATAAGTGGGAGTTGAACAATGAGAACCATGGACACAGGAAGGAAAAAACCACACACTGGGGCCTGCCACAGGGTGGGATGGCGGGGAGGGAGAGCATTAGGAGAAAATAGCTAATGCATGCTGCTCTCAGTACCTAGGTGATGGGTTGATAAGTAGAGCAAAACACGATGGTACACACTTACCTATGTAACAAACCTGCATATCTGGCGCATGTACCCCAGAACTTAAAATAAAATTAAAATTAAAAAATAACAAAAATGAGAGACTACAATCTCTTCTTAAAAAATAGAACAGGCTAGAAAATTAGAAAAAAAAGGGAAGGGGTCTTAAAAACCAGATTGCCTGGGCTTAAAATTCAGCACCAAGCAGTTAGTACCTTGAGACATTTGGATAAATTACTTACTCTCTCTGCATTTTAACCACATTTGTTTAATGGTAAAAAGAACATACCTCATAGGACTGCTGTGACTGATGATTCACTAAGATAATATGTGGAAAATATGTAGTAACACTGTAGGCACGTTGCCAATATACAATATTGACAATTATAATAAGCCTATAGATAAATAATAATACCAAAATTGTTTAAAAAATAGTTCTCTTTAGGAGAGGAGATGATAGATCTAATTTTGATTTTCTGCTATAGATTTTTCCCTGTGTACTCTATTTATCTACAATAGGAACAAATTATTTTTAAATTCATTTCTAGCAAATATAAAGACATATTTTAATTGTTAGTTCATTTGCAAATAGGCACAAGTCAGTTTACACAATCTATGAATTAAGCTCAGTGAAGTTCTATTTGTGTTACTTTAGGTATTCCAGGTCAGGACTCTGCACATTAGGAACCAATGGCTGGAAAGAGCATACTTAAGGAATCATTAGTGAGTACAAGCTACAGGTCTCACCAGTTTCCTGTACCATTTGTAGGCAAGTGTGGTGAGTATTATCCAGTGGTTTGTAGGTAAATGTTAATAACTAGCTCTCCAGAAATAGAAAGTTCTGATTTGTAGTGTTTGCTTATCTTTATAGCTTAAAACATTCACCCACCATGACTGATATCAAGCTATTAACATGGTGTCACTGAACAAAGACTTGGGAAAAGATGTATAGTAGCATATACCATTGTATAGGATCTCCACCATATAGCCACCATAGATGTGGCTATTATTCGTTATGAAAAGCTAACAAATATAATAACATTATAACATATTAATATATTTTAACAAAATTATGTTAATATATTTAATAAAAGGCATAAAATACCTAAGAAGTAATGAGATTTGGGTATTTATTACTTTTATTTTTAATCTGATGTATTTAACTGTAAGTTTCTAAGTTTCAATAATTTAAATTTTATTTGAGGCTGTGCTTAACTACTGACTCATAAAATTTATGAAAATTTTACAGTCTGTTCACGGGAGCTGGCATGAATCACCTCCAGCATACTGTTGAGAATATCTCTGAAATTTGTTAGCTCATCCACATACTGTGAATATCTTTGTTTTTAACAATGAAAGCCTATTTCTAAAAACTCGTCAGAACAGTTGAGAGACTACTATTTTTACATACATGAAAAAGACACTCATTGTTCTATGTAACAGAATGAAAAGTGCTGATTGAGATACTGATTGGAGAAGCACTCATCATTTCCTTTGAATTGTGGTTCTTTCAGATAAAATGCTAGCTGACCATCTTGAGCTGTGCACTTTTTAAAATTTGACTCATAAAGACTTCAGTATTTATCTCAAAAAGATAATAACTATAGTTAAATTTTATGTTTTTAGATAATTTTAAACTCACATGCAGTTGTAAAAATATAATACAGAAAAAGTCCATATCCCATACCCCATACAATTGGAGAGATACTGGGATTTTTCCAGTATCTCTCCAACTGTAATGTCTGCCACTGTTACAGAACAATATCCCCAGTCAGAATATTGACCTTGGTACAGTCAAAAGATAGAACATTTCCATCATCACAAAGATCCCTCATGTCACCGTTCTTTAGTCACACCCCCTTACATGCTACCTATCCTCTTTTTAACCTCTGATTTGTCCTTCATTTCTATAATTTGGTTATTTCTAAAATATTATAAAAATGGAATAATACAATGTATGTTTTATGTTGCTTTTAACCAAGCAGTATAATTCTCTGAAGATACATTTGATTTTCTGTTTGCATAATTTTTACTCTTTTTCATTGCTGAGTAGTATTTCACAGCATTGATATACCATGGCTTATTTATATATTTACCCTTTGAAGGACATGGGTTAATATTAGTTTATGGTATTATGAATAAAACTGTTATGAATACTTGTGTGAAATATTTTTGTGAAGATAAGTTTTCATTCTACTGGGACAAATGCCTAGGAGTACATACAATTGCTGGGTTGTGTGGCTTTTGTATGTTAAATTATTTCCAGAGTGACTATACCATTTTTTATTTTTACCAGCAATTATGAGTGATCCAGTTTCTCCACATCCATGCCAGCATTTGGTATTGCCACTATATTTTATTTTAGTCACTGTAATTTTGATTTATATTTCCCTAATGGCTAATGATGTTGAACCTCTTTTTATATGTTTGTTCACTATCTGTATATCTTTAGTGACATTTGTCTCCACTTTTTTTGTCTTAATTGGACAGTGATATGGCTTGGCTGTGTCCCCGCCCAAATATCATCTTGAATTGTAGTTCCCATAATCCCCATGTGTCATAGGAGGGACTCAGTGGGAGGCAATTGAATCATAGGGGTGCTGGCATTATAAGGGGCTTTTCCCCTTTTGCTCGGCTCCCACTCTCTCTCCTGGGACCCTATGAAAAGCTGCCTTCCTCCGTGATTGTAAGTTTCCTGAGGCCTCCCCAGCCATGCAGAACTGTGAGTCAATTAAATCTCTTTTCTTTTTAAATTATCCAGTCTCTGGCATTTCTTCATAGCAATGTCAGAATGGACTAACATAAACAGTTTCCTTTTTATTTTACTATTGTATTTTGATTTACTATTGTGCTTGTGTTTTTAGGATAGACACTAAACCTTTGTCAGATATATGGTTTGAAAATATTTCATCTCAGTCTGTCGCTTGTCATTATATCCCCTGTGATGGTTAATACTGAGTGTCAACTGGATTGGATTGAAGGATACAAAGTATTGATGTTGTGTGTGTCTATGAGGGTGTTGCCAAAAGAGATTAACATTTGAGTCAGTGGGCTGGGGAAGGCAGATCCACCCTTAATCTGGTGGGCACAATCTAATCAGCTGCCAGCAAATATAAAGCAGGCAGAAAAATGTGAGAAGGACAGATGGGCCTAACCTACCAGCCCACATCTTTCTCCCGTGCTGGATGCCTCTTGCCCTAGAACATCCGACTGCAGGTTCTTCAGTTTTGGGTCTTCTCTCCTTGCTCGTCAGCATGCAGACAGCCTATGTGGGACCTTGTGATCATGTAAGTTAATACTTAATAAACTATATATATATAGAGAGACAGAGAGAGAGAGAAAGAGAGAGTGTGTTTATTAGAGTTTATATATATGCTTATTATAAGTATATATATATATATATATATATATATATAGAGAGAGAGAGAGAGAGAGAGAGAGAGAGAGAGAGAGAGAGAGAGAGATCTCCTATTAGTTCTGTTCCTCTAACAGAACTCTAATACAGAAATTGGTAACAGTAGAGTGGGGCATTGCTGAAAAGATACCTGAAAATGTGAATGTGACTTTGGAACTGGATAACAGCCAGAGGTTGGAACAGTTTGAAGGGCTTAGAAAAAGACAGGAAAATGTGGGAAAGTTTGGAACTTGCTAGAGAATCGTTGAATGGATTTACCCAAAATGTTGACAGTGATATTGACAATAAAATTCAGATGGAGGTGATCTCAGATGGAGATGAGGAACTTGTTGGAAGCTGGAACAAAGGTGACTCTTGTCATGTTTTAGCAAAGAGACTGGCAGCATTTTGCCCCTGCCCTAGAGATTTGTAGAACTTTGAACTTGAGAGAGATTATTTAGGGTATCTGGCAGAAGAAATTTCTAAGCAGTGAAGCATTCAAGAGGTAACTTGGGTGCTGTTAAAGGCATTCAGTTTTATAAGAGAAGCAGAGCATAAGTGTTTGGAAAATTTGCAGCCTGACTATATGATAGAAAAGAAAAAACATTTTCTGGGGAGAAATTCAAGCTGGCTGCAGAAATTTGCATAAGTAGCAAGGAGCCTAATGTTAATCCCCAAGACCATGAATAAAATGTCTCCAGGTCACGTCAGAGAACTTCTTGGCAGCCCCTCCCATCACAGGCCCAGAGGTCCAGAAGGAAAATAATGGTTTTGTGGGCTGGGCCCCGGGTCCTCACACTGTGTGCAGTCTAGGGACTTGGTGCCCTATGTCCCAGTTGCTCCAGCTGTGGCTGAAAGGGGCCAGTGTACAGCTTAGGCTGTGGCTTCAGAGGGTGGGAGCACCATGCCTTGGCAGCTTCCACGTGGTATTGAGCATGTGGGTGCAAGGAAGTCAAGAATTGAGGTTTGAGAACCTCTGCCTAGATTTCAGAAGATGCACGGAAACACCTGGATGCCCATGCAGAAGTTTGATGCAGGGGTGGGGCCCTCATGGAGAACCTCTTCTAGGGCAGTGCAAAAGAGAAATTTGGGGTCGGAGCATCCACATAGAGTCCCTACTGGGGTGCTACCTAGTGGAACTGAGAAGAGGGCTACCCTCCTCCAGACCTCAGAATGGTAGATCCACCTACAGCTTGCACTGTGCACCTGGAAAAGCCACAGACACACAACACCAGCCCATCAAAGCAACCAGGAGGGCGACTGTACCCTGCAAAGCCACAGGAGTGGATTTGCCCAAGACCATGGAAACCCACCTCTAACATCAGTGTGACCTGGATGTGAGACTAGGAGTCAAAGGAGATGATTTTGGCACTTTAAAATTTGACTGCCCTGCTGGATTTTGGACTTGCATAGGACCTTTAACCCCTTTGTTTTGGCCAATTTCTCCCATATGGAAAGGCTGTATTTACCCAATACCTGTACTGCACTAGGAAGTAACTAGCTTGCTTTTGATTTTACAGGCTCATAGGCAGAAGGAACTTGCCTTGTCTCAGATGAGACTTTGGACTGTGGACTTTCAGGTTAATGTTGAAATGAGTAAAGAATTTGGGGGACTGTTGGGAAGGCATGATTGGTTTTGAAATGTGAAGACATGAGATATGGAGGGGCCAGGGGCAGAATGATATGGTTTGGCTGTGTCCCCACTGAAATCTCAACCTGAATTGTATCTCCCAGGATTCCTATGTGATGTGGAGGGACCCAGGGGGAGGTAATTGAATCATGGGAGCCAGTCTTTCCCATGCTATTCTTGTGATAGTGAATAAATCTCATGAGATTTGATGGTTTTGTCAGAGGTTTTCGCTTTTGTTTCTTCCCATTTACTCTTGCCGCAACCATGTAAGAAGAGCCTTTCACCTCCTGCCATGATTCTGAGGCCTTGCCAGCCATGTGGAACTGTAAGTCCAGTTAAACCTTTTTTTTTGTTCTCAGTTTCAGGTATGTCTTTATCAGGAGTATGAAAACATCCTCTTAAAAGTATATTCACGAGCAAATATTTGTAAATTTTATGAAGTCCAGTTTTTTATTTCTCTTTTTATGGATTATGCTTTAAATATCAAGTCCTGATAACTTTTTATATTGTCCTAGGCCCAGAGGACTTTGTTCTGTATTCTTTTTCCAAAAGTCTTATTTAAAGTCCAAGATCTATTTTTAGTTAAATTTTATTTAAGGCATGAAATTCAGGTCAACATACTTTGTCTTTCTACTTGTGTTGAATTACTCCTATACTATTTAATGAAAAGGCTATTGTTTTGTACCTTTGTCAATAATAGGCAAATTTGCATACTTATATGATTTTTCATTGATCTGTATCTCTAACCCTCTACTGATACCACATAGTTTTGAGTATTGCAGCTATATAATGGCTTTTCAAAATTATTTAACTATTCTAGCTCCTTTGCCTTCCCATATAAATTACAGAATATCTTGTTTATATATATAAAATCATCTTACTGGAATGTTGATAGAAATTGCATTGACCTGCATATCATTTGGGGTAGAACTGAGATCTTTACTATGGGTGACTCAATCTGTGAACATAATGTGTCTCTACCTTTATTTAGATCTTCAGTGTGTTTTTTTTTTCCTTTGGTAGCTTTCAGCATGAGTCCTATCCATGATTTATTAGATTGACACACAGGTCTTTCATTTTTTGAGCAATTTTAAATGGTATTATATTTTTAATTCTGGTTCCCATAGGTTCATTGCTAGTATATATAAAAACATTTTATTTTTTCTCATTCTCTTATTTCCTGTGATCTTCCTGAACATCTAACAGGGAATGTCCATGTAGGTAATCGTGTTTTCTGTAAATAAGAACAATTTTTTCCTTTCTGATTTAAATAACGTTTATTTCTTTTTCTTGTCTTTTTGCACTTGCTAGAACTTACAATATTACGTTAAGTAAGAGTGTTAAAAGCAGGCATCTTTGCATTGTTCCCATCTTAGGAAGAAAACATTCAGTTTTTTACAATTCAGTATAATGTTACCTACATAATTTTCAGATGCTCTTCATCAATTAAAAAAGTTCCCTTCTGTGTTATAATAGGAAATACATAATTGATTTCTGCTCTTGGTTCCTGAAACAGCACTCCTAAAATTCTTAAATTTCTTGCATGTTAGAGATAATAGTAATATCTTTTGCTATAATATTTGGTTTTGGTCCCTGGTTCCCAACACAAGAGTTCCTAAGACCTTTGATTCTCTGGAGTGATAAAGTCTTTTAATGTACGCTAATGAGATGACTGGTGGTTGGGGTCCTACATAGCTTCAAAACTGGGGCTGATTGCCAGAAAGACCAAGGTATGACTAGAGAGCTAGAACTTTTGGCATCAACCCTTGACCTTTTGGGAAAAGAGAGGCTGAAGATTGACTTAATCACCAATGGCCAATAATGTAATTACTCATGCTTAGGTAATAAAAGCCTCCATAACATTTCTAAACAATAAGATTTGGAGAGCTTTCATTTCCAAGGTTCTGGAAGAACAGCATACACAGAGAGAGGATAGAAGCACTATGCAGCCTTCCCTACCTGCCTGGCCCTGTGCGTTTCTTCTGTCTGGTTGTTCCTGGGTTGCATCCTTTATAATAAACTGTTAATAGTATGTAAAGTGTTTCTATGAGTTCTGTGAAAAGTTATAGCAAATTATTTAATATGAAGAGGGGATTGTGGAAGCCCCCAAGTTGTAGCCAAGTCAAACAAAAATGGGGACCCAATACTTGTGATTTGTGTCTGAAGTCATGGGCAGTCTATGAGACTAAGCCCTTTAACTTGTGGATTGGACATTAACTCCAAGTAGACAGCATCAGAATTGGATTGACTTGTAGCACAGCCAATAGCTGTCCACAGAGAATTGGAGAATGTCTTGGTGTGGGGAAAAAAAGAACGCATTTGATATCAGAAGTGTGTGAGTATAGAAAAACAGGGTTAACTATTTTTCTGAAAGTCTTAATATGAACGTGTGTTGAATTTTGTCAAATGCTTTTTCTGTATCAATTGATATGCTTATGTGATATTTTTGGCCGTAGTCTGTATTTGATATTCATATAGTCATTCCCTTTTTTTGTTTAATGTTGACATGGTATATTTGTTTCCATCCTTTTACTTTAACCTACTGATATCATTATATTCAAAATGAGTTTCTTGTATATAGCACACAATTTTTTTAAGATTCACTCTGCCAGTGTGTTTTAATTGGTGTACTTAAACCATTTACATTTAATGTAATTATTATGTTAGGGCTTCAATCTGCCACTATTTTTTTGTTTTGTTTTTTGTTTGTTCTGCTTTTGTTTCTCTGTTCTTTATTCCTGCCTTCTGATAGGTTACATTAATATTTTCTTAGAATTATATTTTTGTTTACCTATGCAGTTTTTATGTATTTTTTTGCATAGGTTTTAGTGGCTGCTCTAGGTATGACATTACATGTCCAAATCTTATAGTCCACTGATATAGTCATTTCACCAATTTGAGTGAAATATAGAAAGCTAAACTCCCTTTATGTCCCTTTACTTGCCTCTATTTATAATTGCCTTAATTTCTCCCTACATACATTCAGAATCACGTTAGACATTGTTCTAATTGTTTTTCAACTATCAATTCAGAAATTTCAAGGAAAAAAGTATCTATTGTATTTACCCATATTTTTTATTATTGTGTTCTTCTTTCCATCCCAATGTTTGAAAGTTCCTTCTTTTATCATTTCCTTTCCGTTTAGAGTACATCCTTTAGCCATTGTTTTAGGGTAGGTTTGCTATCTAATTTGCTTAGTTATCTTTCATTTAAAAATGACTTGGTTTCCCTTTCATTCCTAAATATTTTTTTCCTCCCTAAATATAGAATCCTGGGCTAACCTTTCTTTTCTTTCAGCGCTTGAAGAAAGTGCCACTTCCTTCTGGTACCACCTTGTTACTTCTAGGTAGAGATAGAAATCTAGGTTCCAAAGTCTACCTCTGTTGACACCTAAAGGAAGGAGTGGTTCCTTATTACTGTTGGCCAGAGCGGGAGTTCTGGCTTGCCACCAGACTTCCACTGGCTGAGAGAGGTAATAGTGCCTTGTTACTATTCCCCACTTTGCTTCTACTAGTAGCACTAGAAGAAGAGTAGACGCTTTATACTTGGCAGTGGTAAAAGTCCTGTCCACTAGAATCCCTTGAACACCACCCCAGTGAGGAGAAGACGGGATACTTTATTACTTCCGGTGGGAAGAAGTGCAGATTCCCTGCATGGTCTCTACTGAAACGAGTGTGGAACAGGTAGGCTCATTATTTCTGTGCAAAGTTGATAGTCTAGGTTCCCTACTTGGCCTCCTCTAACACTACATCAGCAGATAAATTAGGTTGCCTCATTGCCTCATTACAGCATGATGAGGGTAGAGATCTAGGCTCCCCTTTCAGTCTTTGCTGGAATGGGTGTGCTGGGGGACACAAATATTTTGTGTTATGAATTACAGTGGTTATTGTTGAAAAATTTTTATCATGCTAGGCTACTACTTTCCTGGTCCTTTGGTAAAAGAGAGCAGGCTTTTATTGGGGCTTTTGTTTTTATTTTTAGGTGGGGGAATCTATGCTTGTCGCCATTTCCAGGTTATCTGCTTGTTCATTTTCAAGTCTTAGGTATAGGAAGCAAAATTTACTACCTTGTTATTTCTTAGGTTTAAAGTCCTTAGAGAGTCTGTTCTCTTCATCTTTTAGAGTTTTCTATATTACATATAATGTCAAGGAACTTTATTTTATCTAGCAGGAGGAATAGGGAAAAGTATGTTCACTCTATCTTCCCAGAACAGGAACTCAAGCCAATTTTTGTAACAACATTACCATTAGAACACAAAAAACATCCAAAGGTAATTTTACGATATTTTGATTTTTTCAAAGTAACTTTTTCCAAATGGTTTCAAAAATGACAAAATGATTTGCTTAAAAAGGAATATTAGTTCAATATACTGCACTTGATTTATATCACTGTTGAACCTCTCAATCTGTAATAGTCTTCTTTATATTTTCATATCTTGGATTTATTAAAGACACTTATTCTGAAAAATTTTTATATGATTTGTGATGTCATTAAATATGTTTCTCTGCTCCTTTTTTCTTGCAAATTGATACTTAGATCTAGAGGTATCTGCGGGGATATTTCTTTCTAGAGTCTTTGAGGCAAGCATCAATTTCCCCACCCATTTCAGCTCTTAATTGTTGCATTCCTCGGCCTGTACCTCTTATTTCAAAAAGTGTCACTTCAAACTGTGCTTTCATGATCACATCATTTTTTCAACAGTCTGACCATCCTGAGTACCTTATATACATACTATTATTTAACTTTTGACTTCATCATTCAATCTTATTTCTAAAAAAATTTAATAGTTACTGCTAATCCTTAAATTGTAGCTACTCAATATATATGTTGCCAGCTCATTTTCTTTTATATTCCACAGAAAGAGTAAAAGGAAATAATGTCTCTAAATTCATGCTCATAACTGCCGTCTGTGGCCTCATAACTGCTGTCTGTTGCCTCTGAATTCATGCTCATAACTGCTGCCTCTGACTTGAAATTTAGTTACTCTGGATATTAAAATTTAACTCACATTATTTCCTTAAGATACATGTTATAATCTGTCAAAAATAATTTTTTTTATTATACTATAAGTTTTAGGGTACATGTGCACAACATGCAGGTTACATATGTATACATGTGCCATGTGGGTGTGCTGCACCCATTAACTCGTCATTTAACATTAGGTATATCTCCTAATGCTATCCCTCCCTCCTCCCCTCACCCCACAACAGGACCCAGTGTGTGATGTTCCCCTTCATGTGTCCATGTGTTCTCATTGTTCAATTCCCCCCAATGAGTGAGAACATGCAGCGTTTGGTTTTTTGTCCTTGCGATTGTTTGCTGAGAATAATGGTTTCCAGGTTCATCCATGTTCCTACAAAGGACATGAACTCATCATTTTTTATGGCTGCATAGTATTCCATGGTGTATATGTGCCACATTTTCTTAATTCAGTTTATCATTGTTGGACATTTGGGTTGGTTCCAAGTCTTTGCTACTGTGAAGACTGCCGCAATAAACATACGTGTGCATGTGTCTTTATGGCAGCATGATTTATAATCCTTTGGGTATATACCCAGTAATGGGATGGCTGGGTCAAATGGTATTTCTAGTTCTAGATCCCTGAGGAATCACCACACTGACTTCCACAATGGTTGAACTAGTTTACAGTCCCGCCAACAGTGTAAAAGTGTTCCTATTTCTCCACATCCTCTCCAGCACCTGCTGTTTCCTGGCTTTTTAATGATCACCATTCTAATTGGTGTGAGATGGTGTCTCATTGTGGATTTGATTTCAATTTCTCTGATGGCCAGTGATGATGAGCATTTTTTCATGTGTCTTTTGGCTGCATAAATGTCTTCTTTTGAGAAGTGTCTGTTCATATCCTTTGCCCACTGTTTGATGGGATTGTTTCTTATAAATTTGTTTGAGTTCATTGTAGATTCTGGATATTAGACCTTGGTCAGATGAGTAGATTACAAAAATTTTCTACCATTCTGTAGGTTGCCTGCTCACTCTGATAGTAGTTTCTTTTGCTGTGCAGAAGCTCTTTAATTAGATCCCATTTGTCAATTTTGGCTTTTGTTGCCATTGCTTTGGGTGTTTTAGGCGTGAAGTCTTTGCCCATGCTTATGTCCTGAATGGTATTGCCTAGGTTTTCTTCCAGGGTTCTTATGGTTTTAGGTCTAACATTTAAGTCTTTAATCCATCTTGAATTAATTTTTGTATATGGTGTAAGGAAGGGATCCAGTTTCAGCTTTCTACTTATGGCTAGCCAGTTTTCCCAGCACCATTTATTAAATAGGGAATCTTTTCCCCATTTCTTGTTTTTGTCAGGTTTGTCAAAGATCAGATAGTTGTAGATCTGCGGCATTATTTCTGAGGGCTCTGTTCTGTTCCATTCGTCTGTATCTCTGTTTTGGTACCAGTACCATGCTGTTTTGGTTACTGTAGCCTTGTAGTATAGTTTGAAGTCAGGTAGTGTGATGTCTCCAGCTTTGTTCTTTTGGCTTAGGATTCACTTGGCAATGCAGGCTCGTTTTTGGTTCCATATGAACTTTAAAGTAGTTTTTTCCAATTCTGTGAAGAAAGTCATTGGTAGCTTGATGGGGATGGCATTGAATCTATAAATTACCTTGGGCAGTATGGCCATTTTCACAATATTGATTCTTCCTACCCATGAGCATGGAATATTCTTCCATTTGTTTATATCCTCTTATTTCATTGAGCAGTGGTTTGTAGTTCTCCTTGAAGAGGTCCTACACAACCTTGTAAGTTGGATTCCTAGGTATTTTATTCTCTTTGGAGCAGTTGTGAATGGAAGTTCACTCATGATTTGGCTGTTTGTCTGTTATTGGTGTATAAGAATGCTTGTGATTTTTGCACATTGATTTTGTATCCTGAGACTTTGCTGAAGTTGCTTATCAGCTTAAGGAGATTTTGGGCTGAGAAAATGGGGTTTTCTAGATATACAATCATGTCATCTGCAAACAGGGACAATTTGACTTCCTCTTTTCCTAATTGAATACCCTTTATTTCCTTCTCCTGCCTGATTGCCCTGGCCAGAACTTCCAACACTATGTTGAATAGGAGTGGTGAGAGAGGGCATCCCTGTCTTGTGCCAGTTTTCAAAAGGAATGCTTCCAGTTTTTGCCCATTCAGTATGATATTGGCTGTGTGCTTGTCATAGATAGCTCTTATTATTTTGAGATACATCCCATCAATACCTAATTTATTGAGAGTTTTTAGAATGAAGGTTGTTGAATTTTGTCAAAGGCCTTTTCTGCATCTATTGAGATAATCATATGGTTTTTGTCGTTGGTTCTGTTTATATGCTGGATTACATTTCTTAATTTGCATATGTTGAACCAGCCTTGCATCCCAGGGATGAAGCCCACTTGATCATGGTGGATAAGCTTTTTGATGTGCTGCTGGATTTGGTTTGCCAGTATTTTATTGAGGATTTTTGCATCGATGTACATCAGGAATATTGTTCTAAAATTCCCTTTTTTTGTGTGTCTTTGCCAGGCTTTGGTATCAGGATGATGCTGGCTTCATAAAATGAGTTAGGGAGGATTCCCTCTTTTTCTATTGATGGGAATAGTTTCACAAGGAATGTTACCAGCTCCTCCTTGTACCTCTGGTAGAATTCGGCTGTGAATCCATCTGGTTCTGGACTTTTTTTGGTTGGTAAACTATTAATTATTGCCTCAATTTCAGAGCCTGTTATTGGTCTCTTCAGGGATTCAACTTCTTCCTGGTTTAGTCTTGGGAGGGTGTATGTGTCGAGGAATTTATCCATTTCTTCTAGATTTTCTAGTTTATGTGCATAGAGTTGTTTACAGTATTCTCTGATAGTAGTTTGTATTTCTGTGGGATTGGTGGTGATATCGCCTTTATCATTTTTTATTACATCTATTTGATTCTTCTCTCTTTTCTTCTTTATTAGTCTTGCTAGCAGTCTATCAATTTTGTTGATCTTTTCAAAAAACCAGCTCCTGGATTCATTGATTTTTTGAAGGGTTTTTTGTGTCTCTATCTCCTTCACTTCTGCTCTGATCTTAGTTATTTCTTGTCTTCTGCTAGCTTTTGAATGTGTTTGCTCTTGCTTCTCTAGTTCTTTTAATTGTGATGCAAGAGTGTCAATTTTAGATCTTTCCTGCTTTCTCTTGTGGGCATTTAGTGCTATAAATTTCCCTCTACACACTGCTTTGAATGTGTCCCAGAGATTCTTGTATGTCGTGTCTTTGTTCTCATTGGTTTCAAAGAACATCTTTATTTCTACCTTCATTTCATTATGTACCCAGTAGTCATTCAGGAGCAGGTTGTTCAGTTTCCATGTAGTTGAGTGTTTTTGAGTGAGTTTGTTAATCCTGAGTTCTAGTTTGATTGCACTGTGGTCTGACAGACAGTTTGTTATAATTTCTGTTCTTTTACATTTGCTGAGGAGTGCTTTACTTCCAACTATGTGGTTAATTTTGGAATAAGTGCAGTGTGGTGCTGAGAAGAATGTATATTCTGTTGATTTTGGGTGGAGAGCTCAGTAGATGTCTATTAGGTCCTCTTGGTGCAGAGCTGGATTCAATTCCTGGATATCCTTGTTAACTTTGTCTTGTTGATCCATCTAATGTTGACAGTGGGGTGTTAAAGTCTCCCATTATTATTGTGTGGGAGTCTAAGTCTCTTTGTAGGTCTCTGAGGACTTGCTTTATGAATCTGGGTGCTCCTGTATTGGGTGCATATATATTTAGGATAGTTAGCTCTTGTTGAATTGATCCCTTTACCATTATGTAATGGCCTTCTTTGTCTCTTTTGATCTTTGTTTGTTTAAAGTCTGTTTTATCAGAGACTAGAATTGCAACCCCTACCTATTTTTGTTTTCCATCTGCTTGGTAGATCTTCCTCCATCCCTTTATTTTGAGCCTATTTGTGTCTCTGCACATGAGATGGGTTTCCTGAATACAGCACACTGATGGGTCTTGACTCTTTATCCAATTTTCCAGTCTGTGTCTTTTAATTGGAGCATTTAGTCCATTTACATTTAAAGTTAATATTGTTATGTGTGAATTTTATCATGTCATTATAATGTTAACTGGTTATTTTGCTCATTAGTTGATGCAGTTTCTTCCTAGCCTCTGTGGTCTGTACAGTTTGGCATGATTTTGCAGTGGCTGGTACTGGTTGTTCCTTTCCATGTTTAGTGCTTCCTTCAGGAGATCTTGTAGGGCAGGCCTGGTGGTGACAAAATCTCTCAGCATTTGCTTGTCTGTAAAGGATTTTATTTCTCCTTCAATTATGAAGTTTAGCTTGGCTGGATATGAAATTCTGGGTTGAAAATTCTTTTCTTTAAGAATGTTGAATATTGGCCCCCACTCTCTTCCGGCTTGTGGAGTTTCTGCTGAGAGACCAGCTGTTAGTCTGATGGGCTTCCCTTTGTGGGTAACCTGACCTTTCTCTCTGGCTGCCCTTAACATTTTTTCCTTCATTTCAACTTTGGTGAATCTGACAATTATGTGTCTTGGAGTTGCTCTTCTTGAGGAGTATCTTTGTGGGGTTCTCTGTATTTCCTGAATTTGAATGTTGGCCCGTCTTGCTAGATTGGGGAAATTCTCCTGGATAATATCCTGCAGAGTGTTTTCCAATTTGGTTCCATTCTCCCCATCACTTTCAGGTACACCAATCAGACGTAGATTTGGTCTTTTCACATAGTTCCATATTTCTTGGAGGCTTTGTTCATTTCTTTTTATTCTTTTTTCTCTAAACTTCTCTTCTCACTTCATTTCATTCATTTGATCTTCCATCACTGATACCCTTTCTTCCAGTTGATCAAATCAGCTACTGAGGCTTCTGCATTCATCACCTAGTTCTTGTGCCTTGGTTTTCAGCTCCATCAGGTCCTTTAAGGACTTCTCTGCATTAGTTACTCTAGTTAGCCATTTGTCTAATTTTTTTCAAGGTTTTTAACTTCTTTGCCATGGGTTCGAACTTCCTCCTTTAGCTCGGAGTAGTTTGATCATCTGAAGCCTTCTTCTCTTAACTCATCAAAGTCATTCTCCTTCCAGCCTTGTTCCATTGCTGGTGCAGAGCTGCATTCCTTTGGAGGGGGAGAGGCGCTCTGATTTTTAGAGTTTCCAGTTTTTCTGCTCTGTTTTTTCCCCATCTTTGTGGTTTTATCTACCTTTGGTCTTTGATGATGGTGATATACAGACGGGGTTTTGGTGTGGATGTCCTTTCTGTTTGTTAGTTTTCCTTCTAACAGTCAGGACCCTCAACTGCAGGTCTGTTGGAGTTTGCTGGAGGTCCACTCCAGACCGTGTTTGCCTGGGTTATCAGCAGCGGAGGCTGCAGAACAGCGAATATTGGTGAGCAGCAAATGTTGCTGCCTGATCCTTCCTCTGGAAGTTTTGTCTCAGAGGAGTCCCTGGCCATGTGAGGTGTCAGTCTGCCCCTACTAGAGGGTACCTCCCAGTTAAGCTACTTGGGGGTCAGGGACCCACTTGAGAAGGCAGTCTGTCTGTTCTCAGATTTCCAGCTGCGTGCTGGGGAACCACTCTTCTCTTCAAAACTGTCAGACAGGGACATTTAAGTCTGCAGAGGATTCTGTTGCCTTTTGTTTGTCTATGCCCTGCCCCCAGAGGTGGAGTCTACAGAGGCAGGCAGGCCTCCTTGAGCTGTGGTGGGCTTCACCCAGTTCGAGCTTCCCAGCCACTTTGTTTACCTACTCAAGCCTTGGCAATGGCGGGCGCCCCTCCCCAAGCATGGATGCTGCCTTGCAGTTTGATCTCAGACTGCTGTGCTAGCAAAGAGCTGGGCTCCATGGGCATGGGACCCTCTGAGCCAGGCGCAGGATATAATCTCCTGGTGTGCCGTTTGCTAAGACCGTTGGAAAAGTGCAGTATTAGGGTTGGAGTGACCTGATTTTCCATGTGCTGTCTGTCACCCCTTTCTTTGACTAGGAAAGGGAATTCCCTGACCCCTAGCACTTCCTGGGTGAGGCAATGCCTTGCTCTGCTTTGGCTCATGCTCAGTGCACTGCACCTGCTGTCCTTCACCCACTTTCCAACACTCCCCAGTGAGATGAACCCGGTACCTCAGTTGGAAATGCAGAAATCACCCATCTTCTGCGTCGCTCAAACTGGGAGCTGTAGACTGGAGCTGTTCCTATTCAGCCATCTTGGCTCCACCCTCAAAAATCATTTTCTATGTGATTTTGTTTCCCTTCTAATTGATTTAATCTTTTGGGTTTCAGACTCATAGTATTTGTTTATTCTCTTTTTATGTCCACTAGCTTTATTAAAATAACTGTTTTTATTTTCTACTCTTGGTTAATTTTACCATGTACACAGCAATTTCATTTTAATATATTAGTTTAAGTCACATTAATTTTTATTTATGGAATTTTTATGTTTATAGTTTCTAGAATTAGTTCTGTTCATTGTCTCTTTCTTCTCCAAGGATTCTTGTAATGTGTAGTTTGGTTTGCCTATCTTAGCGCTCTCTCTTCAATTCTGTTTGATATATTTTAAAATGTACACTGTATTGTAATTTACTAATTTAATATTAATTTCTGAAACTGATTTTTAAAAATATTATTTCAATTCTCCCTGGGCTGTCATCATTCTTTTCATTAACTCTGTTTTTCAACCAACTATCTAATCTCTGAGCTTTGTTAATTATAATTAATGTTATTTTATAATATTGTCTAAAATTTTAAAACTTTTTGTTTTTAATATATTTTGGTCATATTCTTATTGTTTTTCATTATTTGAACCTATTTCATTTAGTCCATTGTTACATTCTTTTGTCTTACAATATTTTATGCTGGTTTGATTAAAATTATGTACTTATTTCATATATAAATACTACTTACGTAAGATGGGTTTCTTATACTTTAGAAGGCAGTTCTTATGTTGGTGATAAAGGTGTATACACATGCTAGGTTTCCCTCTCTTTTACAGAAAATATTTAAAAATATGCTCCATTAAAAGCTATTTTTCTAATACTTTTTGAAATACATGTATTTTTTTTCTGGATACTTCTCTCATGTGAAATTTTACTCTTCTTTACGCCAGAGTTGCAGGCCAAATAGTGGGTTCTATTCTCTGAAGCATCTCTTCAGAGTGTTCATTATCATACTAACTGTACCCATCCTGTGAGCCCAGTATACTCAGCGTGCTCTAATTTTCCTATAATCCCCTTTGTTTTTGCCTACAAATTAGAGCGTTTGGAGCTCTTTCCCAATTTACCAAGTGACTCTTCCACTAAGAGTGGGAAACCTCTCTTTATTGAAATGAGAGTGTCGGGAATTTGTTTCACAGATCTTAGATCTGTTAGAAGCCCTTTTGCCTTTCCTGTGCTGTTCCCACACAGCTTCCTTTCCCATATTTTTTCTTGCTACATTTGGGTTGGACTTGCATGCTCATACTCTGAGGCTTATGGAAATCCTTTATCAACAACATTTTGGAAGATTTCTTTTTATCCTAGTTGTCCATCTCTTTTTAAGAAAGAACTGTAAAGATTTAAAGACTATGCTGTTGCTACCATCATTCCTTTCTTACCCATATTATATTTAAAAACAGCAATAGTAAACATTCTAAAGTAACGTAAAACATATACAATACAATTAAACCATGCAATACAAAAGTATAATTTGTTTTGTTTAACTGCTCCTCTAAAAGAGAGGTGCACAGAGAAGAATAGAAGCTGACATTTTAAGCAGAGCAGCAGAGCAATATCCTGGTGATGTAAGGCAGGTGAGCCCCCAAATTTGGGCTCAGCCAAGGAAAGTTCTTGGCTTTGCCAGAAAAGAATTCAAGTGCAAGCCAGCAGTGAAAGAAAGCAGTTTTAATGAAGAGGCAGTGTACAGCAAAGTGGCTTCTCCTGGTGGAACAGGGCTAACCTATAGTCAGTGCGCCTAGAGTAGCAGCATGTGGGCTGTAGGCTATCTGTATTTATAACTACTTTAAATGACATGCAAATTAAATGGTAGGTTAATCAGAAAGCACTAGAAAAGGGGCAGTAAATTTGGAGTATGCTATGGCATTCATAAACTGTCATGCGTTGGTGGGAATGTCTTAAGCTGATGGGCAGCGAGGGCAATTAGAGGGTGCCTTTGGTGCCATTTGCTGATTGTGGCTGGTTTCTTTATTTCATCCTGTCAGGACCAGGAAATAAGTTTTGCCAGTGTCTTACCTTGTTCCCCTGCTCAGAGATTATATACTTCTCTTTAATCCTAAGGGGGCTGCAGAAGGGTAAAGGTCTATTTTTTTTTTTCTTTGTAAGTTTTCCCTGCTGATTTTATGGGTATTGGCCCTGCCTAGCATTGGAAGAGTAAAAATCTCTGGATACCTGATCTAAAGGGCCCAAAGACATGATGCTTTTATTCTCCAGGTCAGAAAGTGGGATGGGTTGGAAGCCTTGTGCCAGCATCATTTTTACATGGAATTGTAATCTACGAGACACAAACTTTACAAGGATGTTAAACAAGCAAGAGGCAAAATCAATTGTAACAATACAGCTATCAAAGGTCCTAGGAAACATGGAAACCTGGTGAGATTTGGGAGGGCATGTTTTATAGTCAACCAGTTATAGATGGGGTCAATATCCTGGTTATATCTATGTAACTACATAGCTTGTTTATATATTTTTTGAATGTTGATCTCAACTTGTTCAGATTAATATACATGCAGCAGGTCTTATTAATAACTGCATAGGTTCCCCCTTGTTCAGCTAATACACAATTCAATTCTAGTCTGTTGTAAAGGACTAAACTTGTTAGAGAGTCTAGAGACTCTTGAATTCCCATTAATGACTGACTGTTGTTGGCTGACTCTAGAATTTGAGTCAAGTTCCTTAGGTTGACTCAGGGTAGGCAAAGTCACTCCATGGGGCTGCTAGACTTATTGCTGCCCCAATTCCTTCTAGAATTAGTTCTATTGCTTATTTATTTTGGTACCCCTGGGCCTCATTAGAGTTATAGATGGTGGTCTCTGTAGGGGCAATGGTGGCCAATATATATTCACCCATGTTCTGAAAGCTACTCCTGAAAGAATAGATGGCTCCCCAGGGAGTCAGGAATGGTTACAAGGTGGAATTTATTCCCGGTCATGGCCATAGGCAAAAATTAGCCCAGTTAGGGCACAAATTGAGGCCCTGTGGGGTGTAACATCTGTCCTCTGCTGCCAAGTTTTGTTTATAGAAATATTTTTTCCCAAACTCCAGTGGGGATGATCAAACAGCTCTTATTTTCTAGAACAGGCTGGTACTTCCACTTTCGCAGGTCAGGAAGTTGTTTCTCCTTTGCGTGTATTGGCCCTGAAGGAGGCACCATGTGTGGTTTCCTCAACACTGCCTTGGGAACTTGGCAACTAGGGTTGGATCACAGGGAAACTTTTGCTTTTGTGTTATTATCACAACCATGGGTACGAAAGATAGTGCCATTAAGCCACTAAGAGGTATAAATACCAATTTTCCAGGTCCAGATAACAGTGGCAGAGACAGTTAGGTAGGATTTATTAAGTAGGGGAGAGTTCCATCTAACAAGTTAGGGGTCTGAGTGTTAAGGGATCACTATGGTTAATTAGGAGGTCTGGGAGATGGCCATGAGATGTCTTGATGTGTCATATGGTGGAACTCTATCCTGGGTATGCTGATGACAGATCTAGCAACCATAAAGATGATTTCCTATTGCTATAATTTTTGAAATATTTATCATAGCATTTTATTACCACCCACATGCTGGATTAGGTTAACTGGGAGAACAAACAGGATTAACAGAGGCAGCATGGTGTCCAATTTGGCCTTAGAGTGACATCTTTATCCAACAAGGAAAAAAAGAGGTGTCTTTCAGGAAGAGGTGATTGACGGATGGCAGAGAACAAGAATTATGATCAAGAGTAAAATAAAAATTGATACTTCTATGCTCACCCCAAGCATCACATCACTGCATTGGACTGAGCCTCCCCTTCCCCTACCCCTTCTCCTTTCTCTTCCTCTTCCCCTTCCCCTTCCCATTTTTGAGATGGAGTCTCACTCTGTCACCCAGGCTGGAGTGTACTGGCGTGATCTCAGCTCACTGGAACCTCTGCCTCCTGGGTTTAAGCAATTCTCCTGTCTCCACCTCCCAAGTAGCTGGGCTTGCAGGCATGTGCCACCATGCCTGGCTAATTTCTGTATTTTTAGTAGAGACAAGGTTGTATCATGTTAGCCAGGCTAGTCTTGCACTTCTGCTGCCTGACTTGGCCTCCCAAAGTGCTGGGATTACATACGTGAGCCACCGTGCCCAGCCAGTGGTGGTCCTTTTAAAAACGTAGCGGGGTCCTCCAGAGGCTTACAAGTATTGGTGATGTTGTTTGTTTCTACAGTCTGTGGGGAATCATGGGTTTAATCTTGGACAGGTGTGGCCAGCTAGCAATTTCATGAAGTTTAACAATAGAGAGGTGCTTAACAATACCTGATATAGGCCCTTCCATTTTGGTTGTAATGGATCCTCAGAGGATTCTTTTTTTCCAAGTATTTAGTAGGACTTAATCTCCTGATTGAGCAGGGGAGCTAAGCGTTTCCTTTGTGGAAAAGGTCAATTCCCTATTTTAATTTTCTTGGAGGGTCTTTCGAACCTGGCCTAAATATCAAAGATGAGAGAAAGGTATATTGAGGCATGTCTGACCCCATTCCCATTATGGCATGTATTAGCTTTTCATAGGTATTTAAACCTTCTAGACCAGAGAGAAATGGAAGTCTAGCCTAGAATGCCAGCTCTCATTTGCCTTAAAACCCTTTTCAAGCAGTGTAAAGGTAAAATACCAAAAGCCAAAATAAAGTTATACTTCAAACAACAACAACAACAACAACTCAAGAGTATAGAATTAAGTTAAATTGGAGGAAAACATTATTTTATAGATCTCTAAGTTAAAATATTTTAGCATTAGTTCAACAACAGTTAGAACTAGAGGGAAAAAAAGTTATAGGAGCTGATGAAAAAGTTGAAGTAGAGAGTTATCCTAGGTTTTCTCAAGGGGAGGAAAAAAGCAAATCAATACCTAAAAACAGTTTGTTTTAATATGGGAGACTATACTTTAGAAAGGTTATTATAAACAATTCCATTTTAATTACAGCAAATTTAATTATACACAAAATTCCTTTATACATTTTCCTACATGAATCTTACCATGACTTACACAGACCATTAATGACATGCTTGAACTTTTTTGACTTGTATACTACCTCGTTCTTAAATAACTAGTCATTTTATTCTAGGGCAAGAATTTACAACACAATATCCTTTCTCAGATAAAACTACTCTTTCCTTTATAACCTTTCTTACCAAAAATAAATCTTCATATCTGTAATTTTTGTTATACTTCTCTCCCATACTTAACTGTGTCCCTTCTATGTTGTTTCATAAATAACCTTTTGAAAGGTTTTTTAAAGTCTATAATTTGAATTAACCTTTAGATAATTTTCAACTGGAAAAAATTTTTTCTTAATAAGAACACATCTTCTTTGGTGCATTTCAAATAAACCCAAGAAGTGAGAAATTCTGAAATGTTTATTAGATATTAGTATTTTATAGATAAAGCCATTCCACAATTTTTTAATAAACAAACATGTTTCCCCATATCATAACCCCTTAATTAGAAATGACCCAGACATCCAACATCCAACATAATTTTAAGATTTTAAATGATACAAAAAGTTTACTTATATGCATTTATTCCATTTTTCCCTAATTACTATTATTGTTTAATAGTTGACTGAGACTATCTATGAAAACTGCACTATGAGACAAAGCTAATCAACATTCAATTTCCTTGTCAACTATTTTTTGAAGACTGCTTATTAGGTAAATACCGAGTAAAAATATTAAAGTTGAACACATAGGCATTTTGCTGATTTAGCTGTTTTTATTGAACTAACAATCTTATTATTAGTTACTTAGTAACTAATATATAATAATCTTATTATTAGTCTTATTTACACAATTATGTAGATATTTTTATTATCATTAATTTTATTACCAGTTTTATTTCCCAAAGATTAAAGTGAACTTGAAAACACTTAGATTTACTTAATTTATGAGTACTCATTTACTTAAAATCCAATTTGTTAGCATGCCAGACCCAACACATAACATATGAACACATAAACATATATGTGTTTATACATATATAAACATATCTAAACATATATAAACATTTACATATAAACATCATACATATATAAACATATTTACACATATAAACATATCTAAACATGTGTATACACAAAGACTCAATGTCTTTTATCTCAGAATTTTAGTCATAAGAGAGCACTATAAATTTACCACTTTGTAAGAAATAACTGAATTTAAATTATTTCTGAGACAACTGAAACTTGTCCACATGGTTAAGCTTTGTTCGCCCTGATAGGTAATACAAAGAAAGCTGTAGACTAGACTTTGGGTAAAGCAGTTTTTCATGGCAGTTTTGATCTTAAAAATTTTCTGTTACCAGTCATTTTTAATGGCAGCAAGAGAGAAGGAGTAAATAGTATTGCTCAACAGGTGCCCTTGGTGTCCCCAAGCTGCTGGTGAACTCACTCGGCAGTAGAGACACCAAAGAAAGTGTTCAGGAAGCTGCTTGTCTGCCATTGTGGGGAGCTGTCAGTCAGATTAGAGGTCAGGGACACCCAGAAAAATAGGCTCAGCAAGAGAGTAGCTAGGGTTATAGGCTGAGGCTAGTTGGATAAGAGGGAGGAGTTTCTAATGAACTTGGGATGGAATCCTACAGTGGAGAACTGGAGGGACGCCCTCAGAATTGGGGGACTGAGTAGGCTCTGAGGGGGACATGGGCCCTCCAGGAAGAGCAGCTAGGAGGGGGTTATCTAAGATATGTGGTGTTACTTCTTGGTGTCTGGAAGTAGAAAAGCCACACACATTTTACATTTGTCCCTTAAGTCAGGATCCTGGTAAAAGCCAAAAAAGCTTAAGGGACTTCTCCCCATTTTCCTTCCTGTTTACAGAATAAGTCTAATTATAAGGAACAATTTTTAGGCCACATTTTTTGGCCTCCCAATTTGTAAGGAACCCAAATGATGCTTCAATCGAAAATGAGTTTCTCTTTAACCCATCCAATTGGAATTTGCTCCAATTGCCTAAAAGACACGCTAGTGGCTGTCCTTTAGGATGATCATTGTTCTCACGTCTGACAAGGATCTCTTCTAGACAAAGTTTTTAAAAGCCTAGCAAGAGGCCAGTTATTTTCCCTTTTAAATTCCTACCTCTCTTTCTTTTCATGAAGAATGGTCAGTAGGCAATTGCCACCAATTCCTGCAAAGAGGGTTTAAGTACAGGTCACAGTGAAAGTTAATTCTAAGATATGAGTGAGCAGTGGAGTGATGACTGTATTCACCAGCAAATAGAACATGATGGAAGAGGTGCTTTTTAGTAAGCAGATTATAAAAGGAGAGGTGGAAATAGAGTGACAAGATTAAGAACCCCCTAGCGTGGAACTGTAACCCACAATCCTAGAAGGCCAACTAAGGAACCCCCTAGGGTTGGAATCTAACCCACAGTCCTAATGCTACAATAGGAACTCTAACCCACAATAATCCTGATGAATTCTCCTAGAGTGGGACTCTAACCCACAATCTTAGAGGAAATAATGTGGCCCTGGCATCCCAGAGTTGGCACAGTAGGGGACCTCCCAAGACCAAAAAAAAAAGAGGATTTAAAACAAACAAGAAAAGCAAAAAAACACATGTCCAAATACAGTTAGCAGTAGCCAAAGTGAAAACTGTAAATGAAACATACATTTCAGAACAGAAAGTAAAATGGCTGGTGGAAAAATAAACATTAGCAGAGAAAAGGACTAAAGGAAAGGACTAAACAAGCATGTAGTTGATCAAGCATGCTTCTGTCTTGGGCACCCAAATGACAGGGGACGTCAAATTCACCACACAGCCAGAGGCCTCATTTCCTGGTTTACCCAGCATCAAATGAGGTACAGAGGGACACTCACCCAGCCACAAGAGCCAAAATGGTGCTGACCAGTCTCCAACCTGGGGCCTATATGAAGGTCTTTCTCAGGTTTTCCAAGCTTGAGTAGATTCAGCTGCTGCAAAAGGACTGACATGCAGACCAGCAACCTGCTGGTCTAAGTGGTGGGTCCCACACAAGGCAGCGGCACTGCAGCTGCTCCCTCACTGCTTGGCTTCACCATCACTGCATGTTGGGAAAGATAATGGCTCTAAAAATAACCTTTGGCTGGTGTTATAGCTCTTTGGTATTAGCAGTTCTTTAGTGTTATAGCTAGTCTGTTACAGCTCTGGATGTCAATCACTGATTGCTGTCTCACTGTCTTTTGCTGTCATGCCAATTGCTGTCTTACCATGTCACTACCTCTCTTTGCTGTCTTGCCATCGTTTTCACTGTCTCACTACCACACTGTCTCACTGTGTCTCACCATCTTCTCAAGCCCCACATTGGGTGCCAGATAATGCAGGAGAGGTAAGCTCCAAATTGGGCCCAGAAGGGTTCTTGGCTTCATTCAAGAAAAAAATTTAAGAGTAAGCTGGTGGTGGAAGAAAGCAGGCGTATTAAAGTGGCATTGTACAGCAGAGTGGCTGCTCCTAGCAGAGCAGGGCTAACCCATAATCAGTGCACCTGGAGTAGCAGCATATGGGCTATTGGCTAGCTGTATTTATACCTACTTTTAATTACATACAAATTAAGAGGAAAGTTACTCAGAAATTCCTAGAAAAGGGGTGCTAACTTCCAGATGTTGTCATGGCATTTGTAAACTGTCATGGCACTGTTGTGAGTGTCTTATGCTGATGAACAGCAAAGGCAACTAGAGGTTGCCTTTGGTGCCATTTGCTGGTCCTGGCAGGTTTCCTTATTTCATCTCGTTGGGACCAGGAAATAAGTCTTGCCAGTCTCCAACCTCACTGTTTTCGTTAGAGAAATTGAGTCGTAGGCCAGAAATGTAGAATTCTGGAGGATAAACTGGGAGATATTACCTGTCACTGAAGCTTTAGAATTGAGTTATGTGTCAGAAGCAGTAATGTAATTACTTTAAGGATTAACAACAGCTAGAAATAATGTAGGCATAATAGGAAAAGTGCTAAAATAGTATATCCCTGTAAATCAAATTGCAGGATGCTGAAAATAGTCTATACATTTCAAAGTTCACTGCCCAAATGACTGCCTAAACAAGTTGCTAATGTGTTAATTCTCTTTAGTTCCAAATTCTTGCCACATAATTCGGGTGATTGGACTATTTTACTGAAGTGTTCACAATGACTGGCTGCTTTTCTATTTAATAACCTTTTAAATTCAGTGGTATTATACTGAAATATAAACCAGGTTTAGTCCAGGAATTAAACAAAGATTGCTTCATATAATGGTATTATGTAATGGTATAGGATAGTGTATTTATCCTATATACACACAACTACTATATAATGGCATAGGAAGCAGAGATACCTATTTTGGATATAGATTTGCCTTCCTTGCCTGTAATACTTCTGCAAGCACCACCATCCATGGACTCACAGAATGCCTTAATCACTATCATGGAAGTTTCCATACAATTGTTCCTGATCAAGAAATTTATTTCATAATAAAGGAAGTTTGGAAATGGGTGCAGACCTGTGAAATTAATTCATCTTATTACATACCTCATCATTCAGAAGTTGCTAGAGTAATTGACATATGAAATGGTTTGCTGAATAATCAGTTACATTACAAATACATATAGGCTCTGTCTTACAGGACATAGTATGTTATGAATCAGAGATCATTTTAGGGTTCAGTATACCCCATAGACAGTACTTTTGAGTCTGGAAATCAAAAGTAGAAATGTGAATGTCTCCTTTTGTGATTACACCCAACAAGTTGAATAAAATCAGAATTGTTATGAATATAAAAAATAGGAAGATAAGGACTTTTAAATCATAAATGTCTACTAGTGAATGTAGTAGGAAAGATAGAATTAGAAAATCAACATTTGGTAACTATCAAAGTAATAATTCAAACATAAAGTATCAATGGATATTATAACTGACAAAAGTTTGATTAGAATGTATATTTATATAGATTCAAGTACCTCCTCTCAAAAAATATGTTAACTACAAACCAGGAAAGTATAACTTTATAATGGGGAAACTAGCAGACAAGAATTTAACCAAATAAGCAAAATTAATAATAACAGTAAATCAAATAATCAAAAAAATCAAAAACTTGTACCACCTGATAGAATACAATGAGAAAAATAATATTATCACTTCTGTAACATTTTTGTCAAAAGTGCTTAACAGAAAAATACTCATGAGGAAACTTCTGACCAACACTACTTAGAGGACATTCTATAAGATGCCAATATCATGAAAGTCACAAAAAGACAGAAATTGTTCTAGACTGAAGGAACTCAAAGGGACATGATAATTAAATGTGAAGTGTGATCTTGGGGGAGAAGATCCTGTTATTATAAAGGGCATTGGTAAAATTGGAGGTACATGATTAGATAGTAGTAATGTTTCAGTGTTGAGTTCCCAATTTTCATTGTAGTGTTGTGTGTGGTCTTGTAGGAGCATATCCTTGTTGAAAGAACTACATAGTAATGTATCTGGAGAATACTAAGACATCGTCTTTCCAACTTATGTTTCAGGAAAAAATAGTTTTTGTATTTTTCCAACCATTTGTAAACTAAAAAATATTTCCAACTAAAGATTGTTTGCCATTTAAAAATTGTAAAACTACACATTACTGGATTTCTTTGCAGTTAATTGAATTTTAAATTCTTGTTGAAATAGAAACTTCACAAGTAGGGTTTAGTTTTGATTTCTCTATTTGTGGAAAGAAAATTATCCATTGCCATATCTCTCATTTGGTGAGAGAAATAGCTATCCATAAATTAATATTAAGACAGGCTTTACCCAATTGCAAGTTAGTAGTCTTTAGAAATGAGGAAAGCAACAGGTAAGGTACAGAATAAACACTCATTGCCTACTAAGCCAATTTCAGTCTGTTAGTCTGCAGTCAGATTATTGGTGTCACAACAATCATCATCAAAATCAATCACCACTATCTTCAAAATCAGTTGCCAAATTGTATAAATTTCTCTGTCAAGATGTAGGGTACATTATCAATAATTTAGATTAATCTATTCTACATTTATGACAGAAGCCATAAAATGGGGGCCAAAGGTGTTGGCTCACTCCTGTAATCCCAGCACTTTGGGAGGCGGAGGCAGGCGGATCGCCTGAGGTCAGGAGTTTGAGACTAGCCTGGCCAACATAGTGAATCCCCATCTCTAGTAAAGATACAAAAATTAGTTGAGAATGGTAATGCATGCCTGTAGTCCCAGCCACTCAGGGGGCTAAGGCAGAAGAATAGCTTGAGACTGGTAGGTGCAGGTTGTGGTGAGCCGAGATCACGCCACTGCACTCCACACTCCAGCCTGGGTGATAGAGTGAGACTCCATCAAAAAAAGAAAGAAAGAAAAGAAAGAAAGGAAAAAAAGAAAAGAAAGAAAGGAAAAGGAAGAGAAAAAAGAAAGAAAGAGAAAGGAAGAGGGAGGAAGGAAGGAGGGAAAGAAGGAAGGAAGGAAAGAAAGGAGGGAGGGAGGGAAAATATTGCTGACACTAGTGAGAAAGTTTTAATTGAACAACAAACATTAAGGTGGACATACTTAAAATAAATTTCATCTATGTTTAAATGTAATCCAATTCAACTCTTTCATTACATTCCTAATAGGTATGAAGTTAAGTTTCCTATTCCTGGTCTCAGCTCCTCATATTTTATGAAAGAGGAAAGGGGAATGGGCAAAAAAGAAGGAGAAGGCATATTGATGATGGTAAAACCACCACCAATTGGCCAATTATCACTCTACGTTAATAGGATGTGATTTCAGATTAATAATTTTGCTAGTATATATATTATTAATTTCATTATAACCATGTACAAGCCTTTAAGCTTATCAACTAAAATTAATAAATTTATAAATAATGAAAATGAACAGACTTACATTCTACTTTCCTTCCATTACATCAGAATAAGAAGGTGAGGCTACTGCAAGTAATGGGGTGCTTGAAATCAGCAGGCATTTTTTGTTGTATGTGACCTTGAAGAAGTCATTTATATTTATGGTGCCTAATTTCTACATCTTTAAATCAAGCAAGAGTGCAATTAAGTAATCATAATTTTATTTCAAACTTACTATGTACCAGGCAGTGTACCAAGTTCTTTAACTACAGTACATAATTAAAACTTATCACGATTATACAAATGGTATCACCCCCATTTTACAGATGAAGATATTAGTATGAGAAACAATAAGGAGTAAATTTACCAAGATAAAAAACTGAGTCTATGGCAAAGCTAGGATTCGTGCCGAGGAGTGTCTAACTCAGAGTGCAAGCTCCCAAGGCTACGCTACCTTTTCACAGACTTACCCAGGATCCCTTTCAGCTACAACACCTTTAAAATTTACATTAAAAAGGGATGGGAAACAGAGCTTAATTTTGTTATGTCACTTGGAGTCAAGTAATTTTTGTATCCAATATAAGTTTCTCGTTCTCTTCCTCAACATGTTTTAAGTTCTATTTGTAGATTCCTGTCCTCCCTTGCTCCCAAATATTCAAAACTGGTTTTAATCTTTGTGCATGTGTTTCAGCTTCATTCTTTTGGCTATCTCTCCTGAAATCTGTAGTGGTACAATAGTGCCACAGATCAGTTGACAGCTTTCTGTAGAAATTTCATATTTGTCAGGCTTTAATCTAAAAAAGACTGGAGGACATTTGTCATCTGCCAAGTGAGGTCCTCACAGCTTCTCTTCTCCTACATTCTAGAAGTGACATATTTGTGACCTTGCCCACTCCTACACTCTTGGGTGAGCAATTTCAAGGAGACGTGCACTCTACTTCCCCCAAGGGTTGTTGCTAATCTTAAAACTCTAAAACACTTTTCATATTTCTTTTTTTCTGTTACTCAAGTTATTTTTAAATTTTTTTTTACACTGCATTCACATCTCTAAGGACTTGCTGTGGGAACATCTGTGATTCATATATTTGAATGGATTTGGGGTAAAATTGAGTCAAGCAGAGAGAATCATATTTATCTGTCATATTAAGACTAGAGATCCCTATGTACTATTATTTTTACTGATGTATTAAAGTTATTTAGAAAGAATCAATAGGATATAGATGTAGATGATATAAAATCTGAGAGGAAATTATTAGGGAAATTGATTCTCACTGTCAGAAAGGCCAAGAAGCTCCAAGAAAGGCCATCTGCAAGCTGGAGACCCTGGGAAGACAATAGCTTGGCTCAACTCAAGTCTGAAAGCCTCAGATACCATGAAAGTCAATGGTACAGTTTTCATTCTGAAGTCAAAGGCTTGAGAAGGGAGTGGCAGAATTAGAGGGGTGGGCCTGCTAATCTAATCTAAGTCCTGGACTTTCAAGGCAGAGAGCCTGGAGTTCCCATGTCGAAGGACAGAGGAAGGAGAATGTTTCAGCTCCAGGAAAGATAGCAAAAAGGTTCCTTTCTCTTTTTTTTTTTTTTTTTGTTTAATCTGGGCCTCCAGCCAATTGGATGGTGCCTGTGCACACTGAGGGAGGATATTCCCCACTCACTTCACTGATTCACATGCCAGTCTTTTCTGGAAACACCGTCACAGACATAGCCAGAAGCAAAGCTTTACCAGTACTCTAGGTATCCAGTAAATCAGTCAAAGTGGCATCTAAAATTAACCATAACTCAGTTTTGTTTTTGTTTTGTTTTGTTTTAAGGGAGCTTACTGGCCTTCACATTAGACTAAACAAAACAAAGCACTTTTTCTGGGAATTATTTATTTCTTATGTAAGACTTCTGATCTTTTGATGTAAAAGTTTTAACAGTCAAGACTTTTTTTTTCTCATTTAAATGGATGTTTTTCACAACACCAGAAATACCAAACACATAGCCATAGAAACTCTTTGTTATAAAGGCAATATGTTTGTTACATTTAATACCCTAAACATGTTCATTTTCTTTCTGCTGGTTTTTTATTTAAGTGAAATGAATAGCTAATAACTGTAGTTATGGGAGGAACATAAGTGTCACAGAATTATGATTCCTGTGCTAATTTTATTTAGCTTTTGTGTATACATACATGAAAACACTGTTTTTAAAACTAGCTTCAAATGATAAACGTTGAAGGAAATATTAGTTTGAAATATGTATTGCTAGATCATAGTGGCTTGTTAATTGTAATTTATTATTCAAATGGGAAAATTTTTAGAGCCAAAGGGATACTAATCTGAGGATGACAAGATAGGTGCAAACTGGGAAGTTCTCATGCCAGCTAGGATATGGGTTTCTCTAGATGTGAGAGATAAAGTACTTGTACATGCAAAAGATAAAATCCTCCATTGTTTGGCTCATAAGTCTATGTATGTATCCTGACCCACCTCTGACTTTGCTGGGCACAGAGAGAGTTTCTTCCTCTTGGCTATACACTTGAGTCTCAATCATGTTTGTCATTGAAGTGATATATGATAGAGTGAAACAGAGATTTCACATCCAGAGGTTAATTAAGCCATTTTCTATGTGGCTTGAACAGGGTAATTCTGAGCCTGTGAGGGAAGGAAAACAGCACCTACATAAGAGAAACCTTTATGTCCTGGGATATGTTCAGATCTTCTACTTTTTCTTTTAAATTTATTTTTTAATGACATATAAAACCGTATTATGTACAACGTGATGTTTTTAAGTATATATACATTGTAGAATGGTTAAATCTAGCTAATTAACAAATGCATTATATCACATAGTTATCATTTCTGTGGTGAGAACACTTAACATCCACTACCTTGAAAGCATCACTGCTTAATCTATGGAGTTATATATATTTTTAATGGTGTGGAGTAAGATATTTTACTGAGAACTCAGATGTCTCTTAATTCTAGACAAGATAACACATAAATTCATTCAAAAATGTTTATGAATAATAAATAAACAATGGTAGGAGAAAATAAAATATCACTATACTAAAAAGAAAATAAAAGGGAAAATATAAAAATAAATTTATGAAAAATTTACTATTTGCTAACGCATGTTCTAATTTTGTATGCTTGATCCTCACAATAACCCTATGAGATAAGATTGTCATTATATCCATTACATAGATGATGAAAATATCAGATGAAAATTTTCCAAAGTCATGTAGTAAATAAGTGGAGAGGTTGAGACTGAATCCAGGTAGAACACATGAATAATAATATCTATATTTCAGTGAGGGATAGGACAATGACATTTTTAGAAAAAACATAGTCCAATAAATTGGGCATTAAACGTTTTATTTTAGAGGAGATCGGAATAATCTTAAGATATGGGGCAATGAATACTAATATTTGAAAAATTATTTTATAATAGTTTCAGATTTATAGTAAAGTCATGAAGATAGCACAGAGTTCCCATTTACTTCACACCCAATTCTCCTATTGTCAACATCTCTATTAGTATATTTGTCAGAACTAATAAACCATAATAGATATATTATTATTATTAGCTAGTCTATACTTTATTCATACTTCCCTAGTTTTTACTAATATTTAAAGTGATTTTATGATCTTATTGTTTTATTTTAAATGACTAATATGAGGCAAATATTAATTTTAATGTAACACTGATTAATTATATACATACATATATATATGTATGTATATAATTATCCTGTCCTTCTGTAGTGATTTTTGAAACTACTTATGTAAAGGAAATTTGGTATGAACAGATCTTTTTTTCCATCAAATTTTTGAAAATTGCCACATTGCATATGCTGCCCATAATTTAATAACATACATTTACTTTGATGTTAGGTCTCTGTGGACAAAATAAGCTATTTGAGTATAATTTCAAGTAAGAATTTAAGAGTCAAGTAAGAATTTAAGCTGCATTAATTTTTCTGAAGTAAAAGAAATATATATTTTCTTATCTAGAGGTGAAAAGAAGCTTGGTAAAAAAAAAAATATGGCCTCAAAACAGGTGTAATGCATCAACTGAGTTAGGAATGTCAGCAGAGCAACCCACAGAAATTCACGTTTCAAGGCATTGCTTAGTTCCATCTGAAAAACAGTAAGTATCATCAAATAACTATGAAAGTAAAATGTATAATCCACTTACTTTTCTTTTAAATGTTATTAATCTCTCCCATTTTATAGTATGGTCTTTGGAGTCTGAAAGGACAGGTAAAATTCCAGCTGCTCTCTTTAATGCCATTTTTGGTAAGTAAACCTTTCTCTTCCTTATTGGCAGAATTGGGATAATTGATCATATTTGTTGTCTGAATTAATACGTTAAGCCAAAGTACCTGATATGTGGCAAATGTTGCTAACAAAAACAACACAATAATAACTTTGATAGTAAGAGCTGACAATTATTGTGTGCTTACCCTGGGCCAGTCATGCAAGACACTGAAGAGTGTGCAAGTTTTCAATTATTTTGCTTTCCTGCTTAGTTTGGAAAAAATCCATGCATTTCCCATTTCCCTTTAAAATGCATAATCTACACTTCCATAAAATACTTTGCATTATAGTCAGTATTATAGCAGGTTACCATACTCATCATTGTATGGTAATAATAGCTGGGAGTAATAGCTGATATTTACTGAATATATGCCAGGTACTTCATATGAATAATTTATTTTAAAATCTTATTGTTTCATTTTTTCTTCGATTGTACCTAAATTTATAATCCATTAATTCCATCACCTTATCACTCTCCATCATGCCTTGATGAATTCCCTGTTTTATGAACTGAATTGTGCCCTCCCCATGAAATTCATGGGTTGAAGCCCTTAACCCTTAATGTGACCGTATTTGGAGATAGGGGCTTTAAGGAGGGAATTGAGGTTAAATGAGACCACAAAAGTGGGGCCCCAATCTAATAGCACTAACATGCTTATAAAAAGAGGAAGAAATGCCACAGATCTGTCCCTCTCTTTAGGTCCACACAGAGAAAAGGCCATGTGAGGACACAGCTAGAAGGCAGCCATCTGAGAGCCAAGCAGACAGGTCTCATCAGATGCCAGCCCTGCCAGCACCTTTATCTTGGACTTCCACTCTCCTAAGTTGTCAGAAAATAAATTTATGTTGTTTAAGCCAACATTCTATTCCATTTACTCTGTTATAGCAACCTGAGCAGTCATACCCTCTCTCTCCTCCTTATTCCACTTAGCATCCATAGTGAGTAATAATAATCATTTAATGGTAACTCTTCAACTTCCTTGCCCCTTGCATCCTTCATTTTACTTGATGGGTCAACTTTATCTTTCCACATGACCCACTTAATCTATCTTTCCACCTGTTGCTTACCTACAAAATGAACATGGCTAGAGAAGAAGTCACACACCATGCTGACTTTCAATTCATGAACATAAATATCAAGTGAGCTCATGGAGTCACCCAAAATTTGAGTTTCCTTCGATCATTCATTCTTCTACTCCTTTTAATATTATATATCTTTCTGATTAAAACTCAAGCATCTCCCCTTCACTTTCCATATCTGCTGATGCTTTTGCTTTCTAAACTACTAAGTGATCAGAATCAAATAGAAAAGGGTCTTCATAGGCCCAGTGCGGTGGCTCACGCCTGTAATGCCAGCACTTCAGAAAGCTGAGGCGGGCAGATCATGAGGTCAGGAGATCGAGAGCATCCTGGCTAACAGGTTGAAACCCTGTATCTACTAAAAATACAAAAAATTAGCCAGGCGTGGTGGCGGGTGCCTGTAGTCCCAGCTACTCAGGAGGCTGAGGCAGGAGAATGGCATGAACCTGGGAGGTGGAGCTTGCAGTGAGCTGAGATCGCCCCACTGCCCTCCAGCCTGGGCGACAGAGCAAGACTCCGTCTCAAAAAAAAAAAAAAAAAATAGGGTCTTCATAAGCTTCCATCATTACTTGCACTCATTTAACATATTCTGTTCTGTACCAACAAATGCTGCCTTCCTCTTGAAACTATAAACTGTTCATGTAGTTCACTAAGATGCTTAATTTCATCTTCTCTCACACACTCAGGACACCTCCTTAACAACTCTCTTATTTTCAACATTATCCACTCTATCCTGTGCTACTCCCCTCAGCACACACCTATGCTGTTATTACCTCCTTCTCAAAAAATTTCTCTGGACTTTACTTACACCTCCAGCTACGATCTAATTTTTATGTAATCTATGAATAATTTCGTAGTAATATATATAATTCACATATACTTAGAAAAATACCTAGAAAATCATTTGACTAAACTTTGAAAAGTAGCCATCTCAGAGTAATGGATTATCATATAATCTATTTCTCAATCATACTTTCTGTAAGCCTTGATAACTGCCATGCATACATATTCAGTTATGAGTGCACATAATTATATAACTATATAAAATATGAATCAGATAATTCAATAATTAAATAGAATTATTGCATATAATTAAAATGCAAAATAAAGATAAAAGTACGACCATGTTTGTGGCATTGTAGATGGCACATCTGCCTTGAAAAGCAATGTGGCAATCTCTAGCAGAATTACAAGTGTACATTCCTAGAAATCCAACAATTTCATTTTTTAAAATACACTTCAGAGGAAAAAGGATACCTATGTAAGGATTTACATGGGAGAAATAATTGTAATCATGGACAATTTGAAATAACCTAAATATGTGAGTAGAATGCTTAAAATGTTGGTATTGGTTCCAGATCCACATAGGAGATATTGAAAATAATGTTATATAAAAATAGAAAGAGAGGATAATACATAGAACACGTTGCTGTGCAGTGTTTAAGAACACATATAAGATAATCTTATAGTAAATAGGATGGAAGGATTCTCATAAAAGTCAGATAGTTGTTGCCCCTGGAGAGTTTGAATAGGAATATTACTGAGGGTATTCATCAAAGGGGACTTAGCTAAATCTCTAAAGTTTTATTTTATTTTTGAAAGAAAATGAGAAGCAAATAAGACAAGATATTAGCAGTAGATATTCTAGGTGATGAAAACATGTTTATATTGTATCTAAAAGTATATGTGTGTATATATCCCTGTGTATGTGTGTGTGTGTGTGTGTGTGTGTGTGTATCCATTTCTATAATTTAAATTCTTTTAAAGGAAAAAGAATTTTAAAAAGAGGAAGAAAAACAGATACACTAAGGTGAAAGTACATGGTCCATAGAAATTTGACTGCTAATAATCTTGACAGATCTCATTTACAGATGCAGAGATGAGAATTCTTTCCATTTAATGGCTTTGCAACATTACATATTATTTCTTAAAAGATATGTGCAGGAAGGATTATTTTTATGCAATTAAGATGGTGAAAAATTAAGGTGCTGACAACTCCAAGAATAAGAACTATTCTGTGGGGAAGAAGGCTGAGCAAAATGTTCAGAGAGAAGCTTCTAGTGATCATTCCCCACACTTCAGGAACACCACATTGAGCAATTGTCTATTCAAAAAAGCACCTTTATAAGTTCCAAAAACCAGGTGAGAAATCACAGTACCTGGTTTTAATATTACATCAAGGAAAGAAGCACTGCAGAGGACAGAAAAGACAGTCTTGAATTGACAATATTTTTCATGTGGAGTTGAATTTAGTTTGACAGTATTTTGTTGAGGATTTTTACATTTATGTTCATCAGTGATTGCATCTCCTATTTTAAGTGATACAAATGGTTACGGATTGTGTTCTTAATTACACAGCTTTATTTGGTTTTGAATGTTCACATCAATCTTTGTTACTAGAAGTCCAGTAACTTCATAAATGTTACTACACACAATTTGTGATTTTCCCTGTCTAAACACTTTAGTAACACACATCTTATGATTCCAAGCAGTAATCTTGTCTTAAAGTGTTTACTTGCCTTCTTATTTCTCAAAAACAAGCTAGAAACAGCTGCCTGTAGCATAATTCAATTAACCAAAATGCAGAAATAATCAGCCTTATTCACAGCAAAAGTGAACCTTTATGGAGCCCTGCCTTGAAAAAAATCTGACTGTAATCTATACAACCAAGACCTGCATATTATAAGCAGTGAAGATCTATGAGATTAGGGGGGAATATGTTTTTCAACTGTCTTGTTTTTAAGGATGCATGTAAATTTAGCATATTTATTTATCTGAACACTTAATCAAAAGATATAAGAAATGTATCTTGGAGAATATTTGGAATATTAGAAAACATGTGGACACAGATTTTTAGCTTTCTTTCTATACTCAAATATGGTCTGCTAATATGATGATGTCAACATGATTAGAAGTATTGCTGGTAAATAATTGTTAAACTGCACTCTTTACAAGATGCTGAAGATTGCTTTTCTGATATTTTTTGTCTAATTCCATGCCAAGGATTATTATACGCACAAACATAATTAATATATAAATACCTCATGCACCCTGACAATGTGTGCTACAGATAACCAGCAATACTGGCTCTTAACACTTGCGATCTCACTAAAACAAAGTGGAAAGCTAACTTTATACAGTAAACCTATATATACTATAATAAAACTTTATTCAATCCAAACTGCATTTTTATCATTGTTTTTTCTGTTTTCTTGTCTACTGCATTCATTACGTAGAATATCCCAAAGCATGCAATATTGGGTGGCAGTTTATTGAAAATGATTTTAATATATTTTGTTCAGAAGAATTCCTATCTTTTTATTAGACTAGCCAATGATGATTAATATTTAGAACTGAATGCTTACAGCTAGACAAAAATATGAAAAGAAAAAATATTGAAAGAGAATCAAACTCAATGCATTTCTGGAAGAATATGGTTGCTCTACCTGACGTTAGTGAAATTTTATCTCCTTTAGTAGTACATACTTCAGAAATGCTGTAGAACAAACATGAATGAATGAAACACGTACGCAACCCTCATCTGATGTGTTAAAAAATAAGTCCCAACAAGGAAGTTTTAGCAATAAGCGCCAACATCAAAAAGTAGAAAGATATCAAATAAACAACCAAACATTATACCTCAAGGAACTAGAAACAAGAGCAATCCAAACCCAAAATAAGGAGAGGGAAAGAAATAATAAATATCAGAGCAGAAAGAAACAGTATAGAGACTATGATATATCAATAAGACAGAGAGCTGTTTTTTAAAAAAGAAACAAAATCAACAAAACTTTAGGTAAACTAAGAAAAAAGAAAACTCAAAATCTGAGAGAGATGAAGAAGACATTATAACTGATACCACAGAAATACAAAGAATCATAAAATACCACAATGAACAATTAAATGCTAATAAGTTGGAAAACTTAGAAGAAATAGATTAAGTCCTGGATACATACAACTTACCAACAATAATGATGAAGCAATAGGAATCTTGAACAGACCAGTAACAGGTAACAGAATCAGGCAGTCATACAATTAATACAATATCCCTCATAAAAGAAAATCCTAATGGTTTCACTGCTAAATTCTACCAAACATTTAAAAAGAATTAAAACCAATTCAAGTCAAATTATTTCAAAAATAAATGAAGAGGTGGGACTTCCAAGCTCATTCTATGTGGCCAGAACAGGATACTAAAACCAGACAAGGACACACACACATAAAATTACAGGCCAATATCCCTAATGCACATAGATGCAAAAATCCTCAACAAAATATTAGTACGCTAAATTCAACAACATTAAAACAATTGTTCACCATAATCAAGTGGGATTCATCATGAGAACGCAAGGATAGTTCAACATCTGCAAATCAATAAACATAATACATCACATTAACATAATCAAAGACAAAATTCATATGATCATTAAAATAGAGTTGAAAATGCATTCAGTAAAATTCGACATTTTTTATGATAAAAACCCTCAACAAACTGGGTATAGAAGAAACATACCTCAATGTAGTAAATGACATATATGACTAACATATAATAGCTAACATCATAGGGAATAAGGAAAAGTTAAAAGCTTTTCCTCCAAGGTCTGAAACAAGAACAGGATGCCCACTTTCACTTTTATGCAACATAGTACTGAAAATTCTAGCCACAGCAATTAGGCAAAAGAAAGAAAGGGCACCTAAATAGAAAAGTTGTCCCTGTTTGCAATTGAAATGATAAAATATATATATATATATATATACATATATCATATGTGTATATTTATAATATATATTAGTATAATGACCATTAATGTAATGACCATAATACATATGGTTAGTCTAATAAAAACAATAAAAAGTTTTTTGTATCCTAGTCTAATAAAAATAAGAATTCTTCTGAACAAAATATATTAAAATGTTTTCCCAATACACTGTCATCCAAGGTTGCATGCTTTGAGATACTCTATTTACATTATGAATGCAGACCAGAAATATATATATATATTATGGTCATTACACTAATGATCATTATACTAATATATATTATAAATATATATAATCATATATATCTAAGGTTTTGTGGAGTCTTGAGGGTTTCATATATATACTTAAGGTTATACGGTTATATCTGGAGTCTTTAGGGTTATATGTACATACATATTTAAGGTTATATTTATAGATTAATCCTAAAAACATGTATGTATATATAACATTTATGTATATATACACACATATGTATTTAAGGTTATATTTATATGTTTAAAGTTATATATAAAAATATAACTTTAAATACATGTGTGTATATTTAGGGTTATATTTGGTATATATACATAATTTATATATGATATAAAATCCTAAAGACTTCACAAAAAACTGTTAGAACTAATAATTGGTAACGTTGTATACAAACTGAATTTATAAAAATCAGTAGTGTTTCTATGTGCCAATAGTGAACTATATGACAAAGAAATCAAGAATGTGTCTATTTACTATAACTACAAAGAGATACTTAAGAACAAAAGAAAGGAGGTGAAAGATCTCTACAATAAAAAGCATAAAACATTGATGAAAGAAATTAAAGAGAACACAAATAAGTGGAAAGATATCATATGTTAGTGCACTGGAAAAATTGTTAAAATGTCTATGTTACCCAAAGCAATCTGTGGATTTTATGCAATCTGTATTAAAATGCCAATGACATTCTTCAGATTTTTTTAAAAAGTCTTAAAATTCATATGGAAATAGAAAAGACCCCAGATAGCCAAAGCAATCTTGAATATGAAGGACAAACTGGAGGTATCTCAGTACCTGACTTCAAAATATACTACAAAGCTACAGTAACCAAAACAGCATGGTACTGGAATAAAAATAGATACATAGATCAATGAAACAGAACAGAGAACACAGAAATAAACCTATGCATTTACAGCTTACTGATTTTTGACAAAGGTGTCATGTAGACACACTGGGGGAAAAGGCAGTCTTTTCCATAAATGGTTCTGGGAAAACATGGATATCCATATGCACAAGAATGAAACTAGACTTTTATCTCTTACTGTATAAAAATAACAAATCCAAATGGATTAAAGACTTACATGTAATATGTGAAACTACAAAACTATTATAAAAACATAGAGGAAATACATTATGAAATTGGACTAGGCAAAAATTTTTTTGAGAAAGACCTTAAAAGCACAGGCAACAAAAGCAAAAATAAACAAGTGGGATTACATCAAATTAAAAAATTAAATTTAAGCATTCCTTATGACTCAGCAATTCCATCACTGGTATATAACCAGAGGCAATGAATTTAGCATGTTGAAGAGATATCTGCACTCCCATATTTATTGCAGTGATATTCACAGTAGCTAAGCTATGAAATCAACATACATGTACAACTACAAATAAATGGATAAAGAAATGTATATGCATACAGTGAATACTTTCAATCATAAAATAGAATGAAACCTTGTCATTTGTGACAACATAGGTGAATCTGGAGGACATAATGTCAAGTGAAATAAGCCAGGCATAAAAAAATAAATACACATTATCTCATTCATATATGGAATCTAAAAATGTTGATTTCAGAGAATTTGATAGTAGAAACTGATTACTTGAGGATACGGAGGGCAGGGAGGATGAGTTTCTCAGAGAGGCTGGTCAATGGGTACAGAGTTACAATTAGACAGGAAGAATAAATTTTGTTCTTCTATCACATAGTAAGGTGACAATAGCAAATACCAGTGTAGTGTATATTTCAAGATAGCTAGAAGAACAAATTTTGAATGTTGTCACCACAAAGAAATGGCAAGTGTAAAATGACGGATATAGTAATTAACCTAATTGGATTATTATACTCTATATACAAGCATTGAAACACCACATTGTACTCCATAAATACGTAAAATTTTTATGTCAATTATAAAAAATTAAAAAGTTATTTCATTAAACCCTCATTCATAACTCTCAAGTAGTATTTATATATATGTAGTATCCACAAGAGTTAAGATATCACATCAGGAAATTACGCTGTAATCAAATTAATCCATCTACATAAACAACTTTCTGAGTTCTACTTTGTATTTTATATCATTCCAGAAGGCATTGAGCAGGAGGAGAAAGGAATACACATTTTAAAGGAAAGAATTCTTTAATTCATCTTGATATTTGATAACTTTCAATCTGATGAGACCAGTTTTAGTGTGGGCTTTCACCTTTTGGCAACGGTCAACTAAAATAAAAATTATTTAAACCAACTCTGCTGTTAACAGTACTTATAAAGCCATCATTTGAAGTTTAATTTTGTCCCATTTATTATGGAGAAGAGCAGGTGATAAAGGTTTTGTTTTTGCATACAATTTCACCAAAACAAAGTTTGACATGGGGGCAAAAAAACTCCACCATTATGTTTTCTAAAGATATCAGTACATGCAATCAAAACACATTTCAAGCAGGTTTACATTTTAAAATGTTTCATTTGTTTTTGCAAACTTTAGGCTACCAGAACCCTCTCCCCTTTTGACAATTAAGAATCTGTTTTGAGAATATCATTTCATGGGAGAAATAATACCTTAGAAAGTATTGAACAAAGTCCAGAACATTCATCCATTGCAAAACATAGCCTAAATCTATCCACCTGGGTATATTCTTTATTCCCATTCACCACTCCATTCTTTTCCTCACGTCCTGAAAGATTTAAAGAAATCCTAACAAGTATCAAATCTCAAACAGCACATTCTCTGAAAGAATTGCTGCACTCAATGGACTTGTAAAAGTCAGTGAAGTAATGTAATTCAGCATCTCTAATCAAAGAGTAAATTAAATGAAAAATTATAAGGATAAAAGCAAACTTTTGAGGAAATATTTCAAACTGTGAAGTACATGAAAAATAGATCAAACATTTTGAATGGATGAGGACAAAACACTTAGAATTTTTATTTCTTCAAAATTTTTATCCAAATTGGCTGTTGTGTAGGAGGAATTTATGGTGTTTTCAAACTTATAATATCTTCAATTATGCAATAGAAATTATTCCTGCACTTCAGCTATTTTTCAGTGATGTTCAAGGAACTAGAGGAAATATACATGGATCGTACCATATTTAAAAGAACATAAGATAATCAAAATGAAGTATCATTTGGATATTGCCATGAAATGAAGTGTTTTTATAAGTGAATGTTATAATAAATAAATTTTATTTTCTATTTTGATAAACATTTTAAAACTGCAATGCTTTATCTCTACAATAAATTGATTATGGAACACTCTGTACATTTTTAAGTATCAGTGATGTCATTATAAACATGTTTTTATTGCTTGTGCTGCAATAAAGAGATGTCCAAAGGAGTGATTAAGCTTTCAGAACATTTTGCCACTATAATTTTTAAATCTGTTCGTAAAATCATTCCCCATTTTTTTGCATTTGTATGATTCACAATCTTTTCTCATTGCTATATGTTTAACTGGTACTTCCTTTTATAATCCTCTCATCCATTAGCACCTTTTTAATGTACTTCTTCTAATTTTCTATAAGCTGGAAAAGGTTTTGCTAGACAAATGGTCAAATAAAAAATACATGTTGATTAAAAACAAAAGCTGCCTATAAACAAAGTAGGTATTAGAACTTGATGTGCATGCCGTTTTTCTTGACCCTTCTGATGTCTCAGTTTCTCATTTATGTTTCCCGGCAGTATTTCCTATACTTGAAAATATTCTATATATAAAATTGAATTTTATTCAACAATTACTTAAGTCAAACTCTTTTTTTTGCAAAACATTTAGTTAGGCCCTGTGAATGATGGAAATGTGACAAAAGCAATCTCACCAAGAGTTTATAATAAGGACAATATATAGGCTTTCTTTATAATAGAACATTGATTAAACTATTATAATATGTAATGCCTTCTCTCAGAAGGTCACAATCTAAAGATGGAAATGTCTCTTCTCTACAATAGAAAAATATTACAATAGACATAAAATGCATTAATATGAGAAACAGAGAAGGGGGAAGATATGCAAGTAGGAATTCAAGCTATTAGCCATTTTAAAATTGAAAATAAAAGGTGTGAATATTTGTATTTATGAATGAGTGAGAAATTTATAAAAACTCTCTAATCAGTGTACAATTGAATCTTTTTAGATTTGTATATTTCATCTCTAAAGACTAAAACTTGGCCACCACTCTTTTACAAACATTAGACTATTTTAAACTCTTTTTTTGTTACGGAAATGAATTAATTCATATTTGTCTATATTTATAATTATTTTATCTAACAGTATTTTCTATTACACATTTTATTTTCTATTTAATTCTTTTCTCATTTTGTTCAGTTGATCAAGTTTCTATCTTTAAAGGGATATTAAATCTATCTCTACCTACTGTGATATTAAAATTAAAGAACAAGTGTTCCTTTATATTAGTCTTTTTATCTGTTTCCCCATCTCTTCATTAGCGAAATAAAACTATTATTTTAATTTTCCAATTATGTTTAAGTATAAAAACTAGAATATTTGTTATAAGCTATCGTTTCTTCTCTTACCTGTTTGCATGTGTGTAATCTTTAATACATTTTTGTCAGTTTCTAGTTGTATCATCATTATTATATTCATATATTAATTTATTATTAAAACATTACTCACCATTATTTATTATAATCTTTTTCCCTTATCTTGGAAATTTGTTCTGATTTATTTTAAATTTAAATAGAGTAGTTTCCCAAACAATTTCTTCATACAGGTTACTCTGAATCCTTCTACTGGAAAAAATATATTTAGTCTTTACATAGGACTAATCTAAGTGTAGAATACTTGGATGGCATTATTTTTCTTCATTAAGGTCTATCACTTTTGTTCTTTTTGATTAGTGTGGCAGATGATAAATTAAAACACTGACTTAATGTCCTTAATTAAAATATTCTTTCTGCCTAAAAGGGACATGTATTATTTATAATTAGATTCAGCTTCAAGGTGACTAATATTAAAAAATAGTAGCTTAAACCAGGTAGAAGTTCATTTTTCTCTCATGTAAAAAAGGCCAGAGATGAAGAATTTAGTATTACTTTGGGGAATCCATATAATTGTCAGAGACTGGAGGTCCTTTATTTATGTCCCCTAGGACACAGATCTTGTCTGCATGGTCTGATATGTCTGCTTGAGTCCCAATTAACACACTTCCATTCCAAGAAACAAATGGAAAAAGGAGAAGGAAATGAAACTTTTAAAAACAATTTTATTAAGGTATAAATTTCACGTGATAAAATGCACCTATTGTTTTTAGGTCAGTGAATTTTGACATATGTATATATTTGTGTTATGAAACCAAAATCAAGATTTAGAACATTTCCATCATTCCCAAAAGTTTTCTCATGTCTCAATCACTTTACTCTCTCAGATCTAAACAAATACTGATCTGTTTTCTATTGGTGTAGATTAGTATTGCCTTTTTGAAATTTCACACAAATGGAATCACACAGTATCTAATCTTTTGTGTCTGGTTTCTTTCTTACATAATGTTTTTGAGATTTATCAGTGATTTTGTGTGTCTTGGTAGAGTGTCCCTATTTATTGCTGCATAGCATTTATGAGTTGTACCACATAAAATTCCCAGTAATTTTTCTTTGCCTAGTCTTGTGACTTATCACCCTATACATGTGAAGTTTAGTATTCAACCAAGTATTCAAGGAGATCACCTGTATAGATTTCTAAGTCCTTTTTATACATATCTCACTTCTCTCCTGAATTATGCCCGACAAATTCCAGATGTCCAGCAATCTCTATTTCTTCAGCTCAGTGACATAGCTGGTCTCTAAATTTTCCCATCTTCTCCAATATCTAGAATATTTTAACCAATATCTAGATATATTCACCAATATCTAGAAATATTCAGATAGAACACTGGGGCCACTATTGGGGTTTGCCTCATTTGCTTTCCCTCTCTTTGGGGGTCATAATTATTTTGTAAAATGTCCAAAAAGAGGCACATATTTAACTGTTTTATAGTTGTTTTTATGGGGTGAGCTAGTCTGTTTTGAGTTATTCCATATTGACTAGAAGCGAAGAGAAAGACCCTTGATATTTAAGTAGACTTTCCAAAAGTTCCACTCAGTATGTCTGCTTACATCTAATTGGTCAGAACTTAAATTCATGACTACACTTACTTACAAAAGAGAATTGGATGTATAGTAATATATGTACTTGATAATGTAATCAGCTGCAATAGAGTTCTACTATAAAAGAAGTAGAAAGAGTGGAAATTGGAGGGCAACCAGTAGTTGTATAAAAATTATATGATTTTTCTCTTTGATTTAGATCAAATATACAAGAATATTTCCAGGAAAAAAAAAAGGATAAACCGTTTGGGAAAATGGAGAGACAAAAACCACATCAGAGGCAATAAAAATTGTGATGCACAAATAAAAGAAAGCCCAATTGCTCTGGCAATTAAGAAAATTAAAATTGAGTAGATTGCAAAAATTGTCTCCCATTCTGTAGGTTACCTGTTCACTCTGATGGTAGTTTCTTTTGCTGTGCAGAAGCTCTTTAGTTGAATTAGATCCCATTTGTCAATTTTGGTTTTTGTTGCCATTGCTTTTGGTGTTTTAGACATGAAGTACTTGCCCATGCCTATGTCCTGAATGGTATTGCCTAGGTTTTCTTCTAGGGTTTTTATGGTTTTAGGTCTAACATTTAAGTCTTTAATCCATCTTGAATTAATTTTTGTATAAGGTGTAAGGAAGGGATCCAGTTTCAGCTTTCTACATATGGCTAGCCAGTTTTCCCAGCACCATTTATTAAATAGGGAATCCTTTCCCCATTGCTTGTTTTTCTCAGGTTTGTCAAAGATCAGATAGTTGTAGATCTGTGGCATTATTTCTGAGGGCTCTGTTCTGTTCCATTGGTCTGTATGTCTGTTTTGGTACCAGTACCATGCTCTTTTGGTTACTGTTGTCCTGTAGTATAGTTTGAAGTCAGGTAGTGTGATGCCTCCAGCTTTGTTCTTTTGGCTTAGGATTGACTTGGCAATGCAGGCTCTTTTTGGTTCCATATGAACTTTAAAGTAGTTTTTACCAATTCTGTGAAGAAAGTCATTGGTAGCTTGATGGGGATGGCATTGAATCTATAAATTACCTTGGGCAGTATGGCCATTTTCACGATATTGATTCTTCCTACCCATGAGCATGAAATGTTCTTCCATTTGTTTGTATCCTCTTTTATTTCATTGAGCAGTGGTTTGTAGTTCTCCTTGAAGAGGTCCTTCACGTCCCTTGTAAGTTGGATTCCTAGGTATTTTATTCTCTTTGAAGCAATTCTGAATGGGAGTTCACTCATGATTGGCTCTCTGTTTGTTTGTTATTGGTGTATAAGAATGCTCGTGATTTTTGCACAATGATTTTGTATCCTGAGACTTTGCTGAAGTTGCCTATCAGCTTAAGGAGATTTTGGGCTGAGATGATGGGGTTTTCTAGATATACAATCATGTCATCTGGAAACAGGGACAATTTGACTTCCTCTTTTCCTAATTGAATACCCTTTATTTCCTTCTCCTGCCTAATTGCCCTGGCCAGAACTTCCAACACTATATTGAATAGGAGTGATGAGAGAGGGCATCCCTGTCTTGTGCCAGTTTTCAAAGGAAATGCTTCCAGTTTTTGTCCATTCAGTATGATATTGGCTGTGGGTTTGTCATAAATAGCTCTTATTATTTTGAGATACGTTGCATCAATACCTAATTTATTGAGAGTTTTTAGCATGAAGTGTTGTTGAATTTTGTCAAAGGCCTTTTCTGCATCTATTGAGATAATCATGTGGTTTTTGTCATTGGTTCTGTTTATATGCTGGATTACATTTATTGATTTGCATATGTTGAACCAACCTTGCATCCCAGGGATGAAGCCCACTTGATCATGGTGGATAAGCTTTTTGATGAAGGGTTAATATCGAGAATCTACAATGAACTCAAAGAAATTTACAAGAAAAAAAACAAACAACCCCATCAAAAAGTGGGTTAAGGATATGAACAGACATTTCTCAAAAGAAGACATTTATGCAGGCAAAAGACACATGAAAAAATGCTCATCATCACTGGCCATCAGACAAATGCAAATCCAAACCACAATGAGATACCATCTCACACCAGTTAGAATGGTGATCATTAAAAAGTCAGGAAACCACAGGTGTTGGATAGGATGTGGAGAAATAGGAACACTTTTACACTGTTGGTGGGACTGTAAACTAGTTCAACCATTGTGGAAGTCAGTGTGGAGATTCCTCAGGGATCTAGAACTAGAAATACCATTTGACCCAGCCATGTGATTACTGGTTATATACCCAAAGGATTATAAAACATGCTGCTATAAAGACACATGCACACATATGTTTATTGCGGCACTATTCACAGTAGCAAAGACTAGGAACCAACCCAAATGTCCAACGATGATACACTGAATTAAGAAAATGTGGCACACATACACCATGGAATACTATGCAGCCATAAAAAGGATGAGTTCATGTCTTTTGTAGGGACATGGATGAAGCTGGAAACCATCATTCTCAGCAAACTATCGCAAGTACAAAAAACCAAACACCGCATGTTCTCACTCATAGATGGGAATTGAACAATGAGAACGCATAGACACGGGAAGGGGAACATCACACACCGGGGCCTGTTGTGGGGTGGGGGGAGGGGGGAGGGATAGCGTTAGGAGATATACCTAATGTTAAATGATGAGTTAATGGGTGCAGCACACCAACATGGCACATGTATACATATGTAACTAACCTGCACATTGTGCACATGTACCCTAGAACTTAAAGTATAATAAAAAAGGAATAAAAAAAAGAAAATTTAAATTAAAACCACAACAATATGAGGAAAATCATTAAAAAGGATAGCAATAAAATGTTGGAAAGAATATAAAGCAATGTAAATTAACTGAGAGTTGAAGTTTAAATTAGTACAATTACTTTAAAATGCAATTTATATATGTCTAGTATAAATGGAAATACATGTAATATCTATTCTAGCCACTCCATTTCTAGGCATTCACCTTAAAGAAACTCTTCCACAGGAATACAAGGAAATTTATATGAGGATGTTAAGCAATACTCTTTGTAATAGCAAAAAAATAAAAAAGTGAGCTCAAAATGTATAAATAAAATGTAAATAACAATTTTATGTCATTCAAGGGAACACTTCATAGCAGTGGAAATGAGCTAAAAGGAGCTTTCATTGAACAGATTTTCTGCTGACTCATGTTAGTGTGTATCCTCTTAATATGCAGGTCTGTTTGTGTTTCTTGGCAAGAGAGTTGGACTGAAAAATCGGAGACATTAGGGCAAGAACATCTTCCCCAGAGGTGCAAGGGTGATTAGCAAGTCGTGTTGAGGTGACTCTACTCTCAGGTGCAAAACATATAGGTTGTTTTAGTCAGGTGCTATAATTACCCTTGAGAACTTTTGACTCTAACAGTTGGCCTCCACAAAGCTACAAGAGTATTGCCCCACTCATGTTCCAAAAATAGTTTTACACAGACCAGCTGATTCCCCCTTGTTACACTGATATAATGGATTTGTCTATAAGCTTTGCCTCAGGTTCCACTAGAATAGAAGACTTTTTTCCCAAATATCTTTTTTTTCTAGCTTCTGTCTACTAAGGCACTGGACAAAGACATTTCTATTTTAAAGATCTCAGCTACAGTATATGCAAGCTTTCCATCAGGATCCAACAACCAGCCATTATTGGATTAGTAGCAGGAAGCAGTAAGTGACAGGGTATCATGCTGTTGTTGAGGCTGTTTATTTTTTCAGGGCTTACAAATTTATAACTCCCAATTTGCTTTCTCATCTAGAAACTAAACCAAATGCAAATCATTAAAGTATTATAAGACATTGGGAATAACATTTAGAGTTTTACCAAATATTAGGAGAAATTCTTATTTTGAAAATATTGATAGTACTAAAGATGCTGGTCCTCGTAAGTACCTGTTATACTGGCAACATATCTGCACTTTATTGCTATGTATTCTGAGCCACATTGCCAATGACATCAAAGCCCCTCCTTTGCCAATGTAATTACACAGGTAGTAAATACAATATGCCACCTACATAATACAATAATTGTCTAGTGATTGCAGCTTTTTCAATTGTATCCACCATGCTCCCTCACTGGAAAGTTAGCTTTAGTGTTAAGAATAGAAATCTATTTTCACTATGAAAAGAGTATGTTACCTGAATCACTCCATTCTTTCGCATGCTCAATATAGATTTAAACAAAACAAATCAAAGCAAAACCTCTGAATGTATGAATAACCTTCTAAAAAAATGCCAAAAATATACAGCAAGGCATTGTACTACCTACTCATCAAAGTCACCCACAGAGAAGACAATCAAACTGTTTTTTCCATTACTGAACAGAGTTGGAGTTGTTAAAAAAAAAATAAAGCCAAAACATTTTTTTGAAAAGGAACATCCACTGGCATTATAAAATATGAATCTACTCTTGAAATTGCAAATCAAGCCAGTGAAAATAGTCCAGATGAACTGGCAATAAAAATTAGGCATTATGTCTGTTTTTAACATTGACAACACCCAATATTCCTACATAATTTATATCACAAATGTACTAAAAAGTTATTTAAAATAATAATGCCTTATACATAGAAAAAATCGGTTTCTGAAAAGACAGTGCTTTATTATGCACCATTCCTGGAACAATATTTGAGTTCAATAAAGCCAGAATAGTGCATTCTGAACATCCTATATTTCTGTTTTATTTTTTTGATGATCTCTGAATAGCTATTATATAAACTTTCACTTTTTAAATACTCAATTATTATCAAACAGCAATATATATTAATATAAGAGAGGCATTTCTAATGCAATGATTCCAGATTGACATTAGTATCACCTGGGGAAGTTTTAAAAGCCCAATACCCATGTCATGCCTCACATTAATTAAATCAAAATGTGTGGGAGGCAACACAGGTGTCAGTTTTTAAACATTCCCCAGGTGATTCAAATGTGCAGTAAGCTTTGGTGATCACTGCCATAATATGTGTAATCACACAATAGTTTGAATAAATGCCATTTTATTTATTTTAGCTATGCATGGTACTCTAACTTATTTTTTCAAGAAATTCTGAATAAACTGTTTCAAAAAATTCTGAATGAATTGTTTTTTGTTGTTTATAGCCCAAATATCAGTATTTTCTTCACTTTCCCAAGTTAGTCTAAGTTTTCAAAACTGGGTTTAAAACCACTGCCTTAATTGGTAGCTAACTGTCCAATAATCCTTTCTAAGCCTACTGGAATAACAAGATACAACTAAATGACCAGACAAAACTCATTTGTAATCTACAGTGTTATTTTCATATAACTAGTATACTAGATTATTTTCAAATAGTTGTTTCTTCAGGATTGTTTCCTGAAATCACATTAGTATCATTAAAATACTTATATAACATCTTCTGTTCATAGCACAAAAATGCATTTCAAATAAGCATGAGAAATTATCACAATTTAAAAATAAAGTGGATTGTATTGTGACAGAAGACAGATCTTTTTAATTGCTTACTGTGTTATATTAGTCCATTTTCACACAGCTGTAAAGAACTACCCTAAGACTGGGTAAACTAAAAAGGACAGAGGTTTGTTTAATTGACTCACAGTTCTGCATGGCTGGGGTGGTCTCAGGAAATTCACAGTCACGGAGGAAGGGGAAGCGGGCACATTCTTCACAAGGTGGCAGAAGCGAGCGAGAGTGAGTGAAGTTGGAAGAGCCCCTTACATAAACCATCAGATCTTGCGAGAACTCACTCACTATCACGAGAACAGCATGGGGGAACCGCCCCGTAATCCAATCACCTCCAGTCAGGTCCTTCCCTCCACACCTGGGGATTACAATGCAAGATGAGATTCAGGTGGGGACACAAAGCCAAACCACATCTTGTGTCTTTGACTATTCAACCACCTTTTACTGTCTGATGGGATTTAAAAGTTAATATCTAAATGGTAAGACAAATGTAATGCCCACTAATCTCCTGATCATGGAATTTGATGTATATAAGTCTGAAGTTAGTTAACACCGTAAGTTTCCAACCCATGACTAAAAATTCTCCTATATAAATGACGTTAGAATAGCGCAAAAAATAGATGTCTTTTTTCATATTGAAAGTCTGGATATAACATCTAAAAATATCTTTATTTCAAACCTATTTTCAATCAATGAATTTTGTCATGTGAATATTTACAGATTAGTAATTTGAAATTATAGGTTTTGCAAACAAACTGAAGTCCAAAATTAATCTGAGAGCATGAGAGCACAACATTTGCTAGTAGCAAAGCTGGGTCAGAGGCCTTAATTTTATGACATCCTACATGATAGTACCTTCATAGCCCAGACAATGGAAGATCATAAATGTGGTGCAAGCTGATGAAAAATCTTGTCTTCTAAACTATAAATAATAGCCTTATAATGCGAAAAGACCTGAAAATTAGTCAAAAGCCCACCTGAATATAGACAGAATGAGTAAGAACCAGAAGTAAAACAAAAACAACAAAATTACCGAATGATCCCTTTATAGCTGGGTTCCAAAAGGTACAAACTTTGTACTCTTTAAGAGATATTAGGGAACTAATTTCATTGTTATTGTACTTCTAGGGCCCAAATCACAGTAGAGAGCATTCACTTCAGAGCAAGGATAATATGCAACCAGAACACATCTGGTTAAACATATTGTTTTTTTGTGTCAGCAACTGTTCTGATTAACCATGGCATTTTGAAGGCTAGTCAAGGAACCCAGGGTAATAGCTTTGTTCCCAAGCCTTACCCATTTATTAGATACTTTGTATATCACTCCTGCTAACAACACTATCAAAAAGCCCACAGTTTAAAAAAATGCTCTATGAAGACAATTATTACATTAAATAAGAAAAAAACAAAAAAGACAAAAGGCTAATACCACTGAAGTTCTATTGTTAAATCACAAGAATCTGCTAGACTATAGAAACAAATGTGTAGTAGTAATGTTTAAAGAAGTAGGCTTTGACACATGTGAAATGTTTTAAGCAAAAATAAATTTCCAAGCTGCTTGCATCATTTTAATGATAAAGTTAAATGCTAATCTCATTTCAGTATTCACAATGCTAGAATACATATAAGCTTTTACTTATCAACATACAATATTAGTGGCTTCTGAAGATTATAAAACATAATAAACTACTTTGACCCTGAGAAATCACACTTGCAAATGTATTACATAAACAGAACATTTATGTCCCTGGAATATATTTTTATTACAAAGTTAGTTCACTCTATATCATTTATAAATTTAGTTAAACTTTGTAGCTCTAAATATCTTATTGGTTATCCTACACAGCAGATGGTTTATAGAATATTCATAAGGTGAAGAAAATTTAAAATCATAATTTAGTATTGCTAAACCTTATCCCAAGATAATTAAGAATAAATGAAAGTCCTTTAATTTGACTTCTTTATATGTCATAATAAAATTATGTGGCATTAGTGTGGCATTTAGTAGGACACAGCAATATGCCAATTGTATTGATAAATACTTGCAGATGTTGAAGATTAAAGAAGCATCATTGTAGTCCAATTGATAATTTTTGAGCTGTGGGGGTCTTGTGACCCAATTTAATTTTTCACCTTTATTCTTTTATTTTTAGATCAATCGGTATCTTAAAAGCATTAAGTAAAAACACAAAATTCTTTGCTTTCAATACTTGCTGGAATTTAGAGTGACATGTTGTAAAAATGCTCCCCATGAAACACTTCTTTAACATTCTGGTGACTGAAGGAGCCTCCAGGCATCTGGCCTTCTATTCACTGTTTATTAGATGGTTCATTCTTAACACAGACTTTTATTTTTGAAGCATGATCTAATGAGCTAAACTAAAATGAAAATGAAATGATTCCCTTGGTAAGAATGCTGTTAATAAATACAGACGTAATGATGCTGAGTGGCAAGATTAAAGAAAGTTTGTCCCAGATTTGAATGAGGATTGTTAATTCTTGCTGGAACTACTCAGTGTTGGATTTTTCAAAAGCAAAAGTGGAATATTTCAGCAAATTTGTGACAGATTTCATCTGTTAATCAATCCGGGAAGATATTAGAGACAGATGATGTGATGGTGACAGATCACGCTCAGAATAAGGCATGATTTTTCCACTAGATTTTACTTCTAGTCAGCTCTTCTTTCAGATGAAAATGCGTCGCTTTTAAAACAAGAGAACCTAGACTGAATTATCTTGTTGGCAAGCTAGAAAATGCATATTTGTTGCCAATCTGAAATACCATAACTTAATAACTTAGAATTTCTCCAAGCGATGTACTTCCCACATCACCACACGCTTCAAGATCCATAGTAGCATTCCAAGCAAGGTCAAGGTAGGATATTAACTGAAAGAGGAAAAGGAGGGACTCCATTTCCCCTAGAAGAAATGACACAAACAAAAGAGCAGATATATGAAGGTAAAAAGTACTTTCGGAAAATGAAGCCACATTCAGTGTGCCTGAAAGGTATGGTTCATGGTTGGAAATAAAAATAGAAAGCAGTTTTTATGCTGATAGTCAAAGCCTTGTATGTGAGACTAAGGCATTTGACGTTTATTTTCTGGGAAATATGTAGTCACTGAATGTTTTTGAATAGAGTGGGAACGCAACTCTTAACAAAGGAGGGGGTCTGTGGAAGATTAGATTGACAGGTATGTGCAGGAAAGATTGAAGGAGAAATCTTATATTTTACTTTTGTCAAATTTTTGGTAAAAGTTTGAAGTACTGACTAAAGATATAGCAAGAACATTATCCCCAAATGAGAGAATATGGCTCATTTTTATTTAATCTCTCATATTTAGAATCACCAGACATAAGGGTACCCTGGAAAAGTGAGGAAATAAAAAGGCTATATCATTACTAGTAGCTAGTTTTGATTTCCTGCTTGGTATCAATGCAAGGTTAATTTTAATATTGAACACAATTGCATTTTTTTAAACTTGTGACTCTAACAGAATTTAACTGATCCATTACTAAGGCAACTTGATATATATATAACCAATAATATATAGAGACAATTCTAAATAGGCCTTCTTCTTCCTTTTCCTGTATAGAACATTGTCATTTTTGGAAGAAATAGAAAACAAACAAATAAACATCTTTGACCTTTAAAAGTTGGCAAATAATTCATATCTCTAGAAAACCAAACAAATTTCACTTTCATCAATTTTGCATTCAAATTTTTTTTTATTAAAAGAACCTTAAGAATTTTCTAAAGAATAGTGAAGATGTTGAATACATCTAATAGGTATGGGCTTCCTGTTCTAGGGGTGAGTAATATTCCTATGACCTCTAAGTAACTGATCAACTGAGAAAGGATTCTAAAAGGAAAATACTATGGTAAGTCTGCAGCGTGCAAATATGGTGATGGTTTTATTTCAAATAAAACAAGTCCCCAAGAGAAGTAAATTCTCAGCAGTTAGTGGCTTCTCTTAAGAGGCAGTATGGTTTGGAATCTTAAGACTCCAAATCAAGATCGACACATTGACTAACAAAAATTTCCTTCTTGGTTAAATAATAGTTAATATCCTACCGTTCCAATAATGTGTTGAGAGGATTGAATACATTATTTAAAATAAAAGTAATATTTCAACTGTTGCACCTTTCCCTATAAGCTAACACTATTCTATAAAAATCTTTTATAAGAAAATAAAATTATTACTAATATTAGTAATAGACATAGCAATACATAAATCATAAGAGCTATCATGTATTGAATGCTCATCTTATGCCACTATCAGCTAAGAAAATATATATTATTGTTTGTAATTCTCAAAGTAATCCTATCAGGTTGGTGTCATTATCCACACCCATTTTAGAAATGAAGACTAGGAGGTTCACAGAGATCAAACAGCTTGCCCATGCCCATACATTTAGTCAGGAGCAGGAGCTGGCTGCAGTCCCATGTCATTGTTTCCTTCTGCCGGGTGCAGCAGTAATTCTTCTGGTATATGACCTACAAAGAAACATAATGCTATTGGTTTTTTATTTTTTATTTTTATTTTTATTATTTTTTTATTTTTTTGATATGGAGTCTCACTCTGTCACCCAGGCTGGAGTGCAGTGGTGCGATCTCGGCTCACCGCAAGCTCTGCCTCCCAGGTTCACGCCATTCTCCTGCCTCAGCCTCCCAAGTAGCTGGGACTAGTACAGGTGCCTGCTGTTTTTATTTTTAATTTAGAAGAAATATGATAAAATAATTATGTACATTATTAGAACAGTTGCTTACCAAATTCATGTCTGGCTCAAATATGAGGAGGAGAGCTAGAATGTCAGTGTTAGGATACTCACAGTTCCTGCCGGATTGTAACAATGGGATTCCTTATAAAGATGGAGCCCATCAGGATTGTGTTGCTCCCCTGATCTAGGTTCTATATGAAACCATGCAAATAAGGAATTGGAAAACACCATTTACTTATAAGTTGTATTAACAGTAAATTCAATGCCAGGGAATTGTGTATCGCACTGGCTAAAGCCAGAACTATGCTTCTTAAAAATCTGCCTCCCACTCGGAGGTTACAGTGAGCCGAGATCGGGCCACTGCACTCCAGCCTGGGCGACAGAGTGAGACTCCATCTCAAAAAAAAAAAAAAAAAGTAAAGTACACACAGGTATCTTATGATAGATGTAGATGGAAATTAAGTCTGCTATATTCAGCAATTGAAGAAAGCCTGTCACAACTCAAGACTATTAGAAAAAAAAAATCTGCCTCCCATTGCTTAAACACAATACTCTTTTCATTATGGCACTCTGGGCTCTTCATATTTTGACTCCACTTACCTTTATAGCCTCATTGTCTTCCATATATCACCAGCCATCCTAAGTTAACAAAACCACTCTCCAGTCCCAGAATAGGTTGGGCCTTTTCATTGTATTTCTATTCCATTTGCTAGTACCTCAGGTAAAATATATTTTTTCTCTTCTCTATTTTAAAATATTTATCAAGGCCAAACACAAAAGCTAGCTCTCTCCGCTGTGATTAATGCATGTTATTTGTGCCTATCATTTGTATCATTCTGCTTTTTAAAAATAATTTGTAATTTACAAACTCTTATTTTCCTTCCTTCAATGCCTCATATAGAACTTACCACTTTTCAGACTGTGATAACATTTGTTGCACATAACCAAATGTTTTCCAGAACAAAGTAATGATTGCACTCTGGTAAGATCAGCTCATACCTGTGTATCCTTTGGGGTAGCATATTTTAAACCAAAGGTTGACATGAAACTCTTTTCCAAAGTAGGTAACCCAGAATGATCCACGGACTCAGAAATATGTTGAAGGAGGTTGAAAGTTGGTAGGCTGAAAATACAGAGACAGAATAATTTCTCTTGTTCTATCTAGTTTCCAGAGAGCTGAGAAATAATCAATGAATCACAATTTCAAGGTGGCAAAGACAAAGAAGGGTATTCTAAAATAGTGTCTAATAATGAAAGGCGCATGCAGCTACAGGTAGTTTTGGTGTATATTGAAATACCTTAGTGAGAATGATTAGTTTTAGAAGACATTTTTGAGAGAGTGTGGGAGAGGTGACTACAGATTGCTCAAAGATTTTTTGAAAGATGTTGCATTACATCCTGCATGGCAAAACTTCAATACCATTCTTTCCTCAAATGCTCAAGCATAATGTTTGGTTTCAAGCGTCATCAACAGCAGTATCTAAACCCTTAGAACCTTGACTTCAGGCACTCCACCTTCATAGTCTCAAAGTTCACTTTAAACACTTTATATGCTTCATTGACTATATTATAAAACATTATGTTATTCAATTTGTACTAGCTCATAATTTTGTAGAAAAAGCCGGGTTCCTATCACACGACCAGGAAAATGTAGGCACATGACGTACTGTTAGGGTGACTAAGGAAGGGTTTATAGGGTAAAAAAGAGAAAAGGAAAAAGGGATTCTCAGCAAAGCAAGAGAGAGTCCTGCTAGCAGGTCTCCCGCTTCACAGATTGCATCCCAGGTCACCACTGAGGAACTGAAGAGGCCAGGCTCCTCCCCACTGCAAAGGGCACAAACTCTCCGTCCTCTCAGTGCACAGGTAGGCATTATTTCAGCGGGGAAAGGGCCGGCTTCACCTATGACCAGCAGTCCGGTTTTTCACCCTTCAGTCTGTTTTAGGCTTGAAGACAGGGTTTTGCCGGGGACCCTTAGCTGTCTCCTGTCTCTATCATTCCTTGCTCTGAAGAAGTACATCTAACTGCCTTTAGAATAAAGGTAAGGATAAGGATGAAGACCGATTTTAACTGCTTCCTGCTGATAAGGGGCACTGTTTTGGGAAAACAGCAGTCAGATCTACCTCAGAGGCCTATCTAAGGGTTCGCTGGAAAAGGGGCCACCATCGTCTTGAGGCTCCGGTTGCATGACCCTTTGGAGCTTGATGGCGTGAAGCTGAGAAGAGACAAACCAGGTTATTAGAAAAGAATGTATTAAAACAAAACAAAGCGGCGGGGGCTGGGCGGGGGTGGGGAGAGGGTAAGGACAGCTCGAAAACCCCAAGGCCTTTTTCCGTTTGCACGGGGAGAGGAAGGCCAAATGCCTGGCTGGCAAAATCAACCTTTTGCCCTTTTGCCAACATGCCAGGCTTTTGGGTTCCCTCACCCCAAGCCCAATCCTAAGCCAACCAGTTTAAGGTTTGGGAAATTAACTTTTCCCAGTTTGAAGGATGCATCCGAGGGGAGTGTCTCATAGTACGGAGGCACAATTACTTATCAGTGAAGAGGGGTGATAAGGTTTGGCTATGCCCCACCCAAATCTCGTCTTGAATTGTAACTCCCACAATTCCTACATGTTGTGGGAGGGACCCAGTGGGAGGCAATTGAATCATGGGGGCGGGTCTTTTCCGTGTTATTCTCGTGATAGTGAATAAGTCTCATGAGTTCTGATGGTGTTATAATGGGGTGTTTCCCTGTACAATTCTCTTCTCCTTCTGCTGCCATGTGAGATGTGCCTTTCACCTTCTGCCATGATTGTGAGGCCTCCCCAGACACGTGGAACTGTGAGTCCATTAAACCTCTTTCTTTTTTAAATTGCCCAGTCTTGGGTATGTCTTTATCAGCAGTGTGAAAACAAACTAATACAAGGGGACAGAGGAGGAAAAGGAATAAAGGAAGGCACTTTTTTAAAGCAGTCCCAGGGGTTTAGGATGACCCAAAAGGGATACAGACAGAAGATGATTGGCTACTCATCTAGAAAGTGGGGAGCAGGCATCCCTGGTTCCTTTCTCTTCCTAGCAAATTCCTGAGGTATGTGAAAAAGAGAAAGTGAGGTGTTCCTCTTTTTTTCTTCCATCCTTGTATCCCTGAGTCCCAGTGACCACAATAGGATGCCACCCATGGGTGTCAAAGCAGCTTTCACGCATGTTAAAAAGGGAGCCTAGAGAGTGGCAGTATCCATTCTTACCCTTGTATGCCCTATCTCTCCTGCTGTCAGTAGACAACCCCCTGCTTCCCTAGACTGTAGACCCCATCTCCCCTGCTCCTCTATACCCGATTTATGCTATGGACACTAACAAAATCTTTATCCATGAAACAGAAAGCTTAGCTTAATCAGCAGGAATCAGTCATGCTCATTTGTGCTGTGCCTTTTAACTTTAGTTTTCATCGGCCTCTGGATCACTCAGATCTAGTTATCTTTCCTACGGCTTTCACTGGAAGCTTGGAATTGAGTTTGGGGCAAAAATTTGTCTCGGGCAGGTTGCATGGACTCCTTATCATAAACCGAATGCTAAGATGAAGCTGTGGAATTGAGTCCTCCTCCAACAAGGGAGAGAAAAGGATGTCTTGTGACATACCCAGATAACTGGTGGCTATAGTTATGCTTGCTAAGATTTGGGTGTATAGGGCTTGGCTTTGATTAGCTTCCTTGGTTTTACTTTCCCAAAAAGGAAACCTCCAGGTGATGGGAACCCTATTTATTCCCATCACCTGGCAGGATTTGCAGAATAATTGCTCAGAATTAGAATATCAATCCATATTTTTACATCAGCCATCCCTCTTGTTCTTTCTGAGCTGCAGCTGGAGACTGCTGGTTGGTTCAAAGGAAAAAGCAGGGTTGGTCTAAAATCTAGGCAAAAACTTGAAAACAACAAATGAGTCGAGAATTTAATGATGAATGTATGATAAGTTTTGAAACATAACTTCTCTCACTGCAGTCCTCATTTTTGTTAAAAAACACACGATAATAAGACTGAGTTGTTTGCAAAATAGACTTTATTCTCATACTTTGCCTGGTTATTTGCATAAAGCACAGCAAGAATAATAATTTCTACCTAGGTCTTTTGGATTGACTTTGATGGAACTCTGTTCCGCAAGGAAGTACCCTCAAATACCTGTGAGTTGGGTTATCTTCTTCTCTTAAGGTACCAAGATAAACTTGAAGCTCCTGGGGACTTACACAGGTCAGGAACCCTGTTTAGGGACTGCCTATGCAAGGGTATGAGGCCAGTTTTCCCAAGGGGCTTTTATCAGCTCTGCAAGCCAAGTTTGACTCCTTAAAGGGACATGTACCCTTCCAGTCAAAACCTTGGTAAAACAAACAGCTTCTCTAATTGCATTCTATTGCAAAAGTAAATGGATTCTTATTGCACTGATACAAACAACTATATTGCCATCAGTTAAGAATACTCACAGCTAGCTTCCAAATTCTGGGGAAACCAGGCAGAGAGAGAGAGAAACAGGCTCTAAATTTTGTTCATAGGAGTATACCTTACTAAATTATTAAAGGCCATAAATAATTCAAAATAAGTTTCCTTGACTCTGAAAAACAAAACAAGGATCAGCAATATTCCAAGCAAGAGTCAAAAAGATGGCTTCAGTTTTCTGAGTTTAGTCCATTTAATTAACTCACATTTTGCTTGATATTTGGGAAGATTTAAGCTCTTCATAAGTCCTGTACATTTTTCTTTATTCCAATGTCACAATCTCCAAAGTTATCAGAAACCTGTATTTGAGAGCACCTGTCAGAGTTCTGTAGCTGATTATAAACCATATTTTGAAAAAGATCAAAACAAGACAATTGTCTGTGACGAACAAAAGGCCAGAGTAGTTACAGTTAAAAATACAATTGCAAAAATGTTTGGTTATTTCTGTGGTTTACAATAACTTAATAACATAATAACTTTAATTATGATGAATAGCATATACTTTAGGCATTAGAATTTTAGAAATTCCATACAATTTTGGAACATATATTAGTATTATTTACCAAAATATAACATAAAGAAGATTGAACACCATTTTACCAATCTCATGTATCCTAACATGTCAAATAATCTTGTTTACCTCTCTTCTGGATACTCTAGGAGGCTTCTGTAGCATCCAAAAGCCAGGCATCAGGAAAGACAGTTTTGAAACTTAAGTTTGATATTGGGAAGCCTGTCAAATGTTAGAGGTTTGTAACACTTGATGTTATGAAATAGAATTCCAGATTACCATAAGTTATTTATTTTGCCAAAATGATGACTCAGAAATTTTAAAAAGCAAAACCCTTTTATAACCATTTACGAATTTTGCTAAAGAGCAGATTAGTACCTTAAGAGTACCTTGTTATGCTTTTATTTCAATGCTCAATTGAGACAAAAACCATGTAATAACCTTTTGAATTTAGTTAACATGGTCACACATGGAATTTTTGCAAGATTAATTTTTATAAACCTTCCATTATTTATTTAGACCTTCAGCTTTATCTTATTAAATTCAAAACAATCATTTAACCCTAAGCAAAAATTTACATTTTGATGACATCTGCATTTTACCAATAATCTTTAAGGCTGCTTTTATTTCTCAAAGATTAAAGTCACATGAACTAAAAGGTACCACAGCTTTTATCTTCTCTTTAAAAAACATTTGATTCAAGCAGTTATTTTTCTTTAGGCCAATTAATTAGAGTTTTTTTTTGTTTTTTTGGTTTTTTTTTTTTGAGGCAGAGTCTCACTCTGTCATCCAGGCTGGAGAGCAGTGGAATGATCTGAGCCCACTGCAACCTCCGCCTCCTGAGTTCAAGTGAATCGCCTACCTCAGCCTCCTGAGTAGCTGGGATTACAGGTGCTCAGCACCATGCCCAGCTAATTTTTATATTTTTAGTAGAGACAGGGTTTTGCCATGTTGGCCAGGGTGGTCTTGAACTCCTGACCTCAGGTGATCCACCAGCCTCGGCCTCCCAAAGTGCTGGGATTACAGATGTGAGCCACCACATCCAGCCTAGGGATCTTTTTTATAGCCATCACACACAACACATATATAACTACACAGACAGGCAGAAGAAAACACAGCAGTCGTAAGACTTCATTTGCCAATTTCTTAATTTGATTATTGGCCTCTCATGCATGCATTAAGAATGGGCAAGACAAAATGGAGAAAAAGAATTCAATTGACTGAGAAAAAAAACTTTTCCAGGAAAACAAGATCTCAGAAGAGAAAAACATAAAGGCCTTTAAAATATACCTATAACTTGGATATCCACTTTTAGTTAAGCTGAGCACTCTTTAAGAAAATCCTTTTAAATTTGCTATTACCCGACTTTAGCCACACCCAGTGGCCAATATTTCTGGCTTTCAAACCTTACTAAAAGTGTTGGGAGCAAGCCCCCCAAAATCTGGCCATAAACTGGCCCCAAAACTGGCCATAAATAAAATCTCTGCAGCAATGTAACATGTCCATAATGGCCATAACACCCAAGCTGGAAGGTTGTGGGTTTACGGGAATGAGGGCAAGGAACACCTGGCCCTCCCAGGGCGGAAAACCACTTAGAGGCATTCTTAAGCCACAAACAAAAGCATTAGCGATCTGTGTCTTAATGGCGTGTTCCTGCTGCAATTAATTCGGCCCATCCCTTCGTTTCCCTTAAGGGATACTTTTAGTTAATTTAATATCTATAGAAACAATGCTAATGACTGGCTTGCTGTTAATAAATATGTGGGTAAATCTCTGTTCCGGGCTCTCAGCTCTGAAGGCTGTGAGACCCCTGATTTCCCACTTCACACCTCTATACTTCTGTGTGTGTGTCTTTAATTCCTCTAGCGCTGCTGGGTTAGGGTCTCCCCAACGGAGCTGGTCTGGGCAAAAAGTAACCTCACAAGTGAAACCAACAAGCTTCAATTAAGGTTATGATTTAACTACAAGTATATGAGGTATTTTCTATGGGGGTAAGCAGTTCTTACAAAATTTAGAAGCTTTAAAAGTAACCCAGAGAAAGGAAGATTTAAGAAAAAGCTAGAAGTTGTTCATGGAGGGGAAGAAAATCAGCAAATGGCACAAGTCACACAGATATCACCTCGAAAGTATTCATTTTCTAAGTCAGGATTGAACCCAGGTGCCATTGTAAAATGGTGAAGGCTAGAATAAAACATTGCCACATGGCTACAGGTCATGCTCCCAAGGGCATAACACAAGATAGAGGCCTGCAGCAGTTTGCTGCAGACCGTACAGAAGGTGATACAAAGCACACCAGATTGGCTATAGCTGAAGAACAACCTCACAAATCCTTTTTCTTAATTAAAAATTTACAGAGAATATAATCAGTGATCCTTATCATTCCTGGCCTAGTAAAATGTCTTCTAAAAGGAAAAAAAAAAAGCTCTTCCTTAAGAGTTAACTGCTGACACGGTAGAGAGAAGGAAGAAAAAAAAGTTACAATGCAGGGTTGGAAAGATGCCCAGCGGAAGAAGGTCTTATTCTTATACAAATGGATTCCTTTCCCCCTGGCTCAGACCAAGTGAAAGTCTGGCCAGCCATCGCACAGGGCCTGGGCTCCTGAGGCTTCCTTGGGGCCTGGGCAGTGGCTGCCCTGCATGGCTGCTGGACACCACACACACATGCTGCAGACACAGTCATGTGCCGCCACCAGGAAGGAAGTGGGGCAGGGAGTTGCCGCTCTCTCAGCTGTCCTGCACGCAGGCCTGTGGCCATTGGGGTGGGTGTTGACCACCTCCCATATTTTAAAAGAAATGATAGATGCCATTACTCTCCCCCGAAAAAAGAAGAAAAATGCCATACGACCAAAGGCTCAAAAATGAGTGTGAGAGGTTTTGGGTCCACATTTCACGCACCCTAAGGCCCCACATTGGGCACCAAAAATGTCGTGCAGAAAAACGGGTTCTTGTCACACGACCAGGAAAATTTAGGCAAACGGATGCATTGTAGGATGACTTGGGCAGGGTTTATTGGGTAAAAAAGAAAAAAGGAAAGAGGAACTCTCAGCAAAGCTAGAACGAGTTCTGCTAGTAGGTCTCCCACCTGATAGATTGAATCCCAGGTCACTATCCAGGAAACGAAGAGGCCAGGCTCCTCACCCCTGCAAATGGCACAAACTTCCTGAGTCTCCCTCCCATCCTCCCAGTATGCATTATTCAGAGACAATCAGCTGGCAAAGGGCGGGCTTCATCTAGGACCAGCAGTGGAGTTTTTCAGGCTTCAGGCTGTTTTAGGCTTAAAGGCAGAGTTTTGCTAGGGACCCTTGGCTATCTCTTGTCTCTATCAATAATATTTACTCATTTACTCATGACCACAAATTTAAATAAAGTCTCCACTGATTTCAGCCTGAATGTAAGGCACCTTATAGTGAGCAAGTAAGACAAGGTAGATAAAAACATTTCTTCTGCCTTCATCACAATCATTAATAAAGTGGAAATAATTCCAGGCTTAGAAAATTTCATAAGTTAAATAAAAAGCAGTGATAAACTTTTTTAGACTCTTGCTTTGTAAGGTTTTGAAGGCTTCACTAAAATCGTTGAAAATTAACAATAAATTCAGGTAGGAAATTCAGAACAGGCCACACAAAAACTTCAGTTAAGACTATTTTATACAATTTGAATCACACATTCCATCAGTTAGGATTCTAACCAGAAACCCAAAGCTTAAATCAACAATTAAGATTCCAACATATTATATTTGTGATTATTAATACATTTTAACATTTCTGCATATATATATATATAGTTGTTGTTGTTTTTAAGGCAGAGTCTTGCTCTGTTGCCAGGCTGGAGTGCAGTGGCACGGTCTCAGCTCACTCCTGGGTTCAAGCGATTCTCCTGCCTCAGCCTCCCGAGTACCTGGGACTACAGGTGCAGGCCACCATGCCCAGCTAATTTTTATATTTTTAGTAGAGATGGGGTTTCACCGTGTTGGCCAGGATAGTCTCAATCTCTAGACCTCGTGATCAGCCTTCCTCGACCTCCCAAAGTGCTGGGATTACAGGCGTGAGCCAGCATGCCCGGCCTTTACATATATTTTTAATCACTGTGGTAAAGTGTCATAATCCATTTCCCAAGTTTCTCAGGAAAAAGCGACTATTAAGCAAAATGCAATTATATATAATCACTAAGTGTGTGATCTCCAGATGCGTTTAAAAAAATTTAATGAAACTTATAAAAGTTCATAAAATTGAACTTGACAAACATCTGATTTTAATTTTTTTTTGGTATTTAATAGAGGTAATTTTAATTTAAACGATGAAGAATGTCAATCACTGGTATTTTCATGGGCCTAGGTATCATCTTGATACAAATACAGAAAAGTGCAAACAGTAAGTTCTTTAAACTGACAGCTGTACTTATAACTTGTTTCCATCAAATAAAAGTGATAATATTTATAAATATGCCTAAATTATTATATCATGCACATTTTAAATTTTTCTTATTAAAATTCATTTTAGAAGCATACATAAAATATTTAACACCATTGGGTGAATAGTTTTTTCTTATAGAATGTAAAGCTGTTAATTCAGTTTAATTATAGACTTGGTATACATAAATCACATTATTAGTTATTAAAAGATGAACTGTTTTGTATAACACAAAGCTTAATTTTAAAAAAAATTGATTGAAATACATCATATGCAGAATTTGAGAAAAAAAAAAACACAATTTAATACCCAGTTCCCATTTGCTTTGTAAAAATTAGGTAATTCAATTCAATGATCTTTAAACTGCCTTTTGAGAATTAATGAAACTAATGGTTTTTGAGCTTTCATGTGAGGTCAAACCCTTTACTAAGTAACTTAACACATCTGAGTAAGTTCATAACTAATATTTAGGGAAAATTCAATTACACAAAAAATATAACTTATTTGTAACTGTGCACACAAAGGAGGAGCCAGACCACTCACCACTGTTTTTGACCCCTCACAGAAATTACCACTATTATATCATACTGTCTCAGTTTGGAATCCTTGACAAATCTAATGAGTTAGAGGGGGTACAAAGACAAAGAAAATGAAATAAATTGTTTCAGGGATAGGAGTGAAGGTTTTTCAGGTATTATGAAAAGTAGACTATGTTTTTCTTGTACTTTTTCATCCACAAATTTCCCCTAATAGTTCAGATTAGAAGATATTGAGTATTTTCCTGTCCTTTCCTCTTTATTCTCCTTTATCATACCTTTGTCATCACATTCTCATTATTTTTATTATTTTGCTTTAGTTACAATTTTGTAATAAGAAATACTTTGGATAAGAATCAGAGTTACAACTTTGATGCATACTAGATATAAATAAAAACTACATTCTAGTGCCTTACTATCTGAAGTTTGTAAATTTTGGACAAGTGATAATCACATTTCTAATAGCATAAAATTAGTGTATGTAAGCATATCCAATCTATTAAATCAGAAACAGAAGTATCTAACTGTATCTTGTGATTATTCATAAGATAGTCAAAAGAAACCCTTTACTGAGATTTAGTGCATATTCAAGGAGTCACTGTCTATTTAGATCAGTGGTGGTAAGTAGTCATTTTAAACGTACAACAATAAGAATTTAAAACTAATCTTCTCTGTCCACCCACACCCTCATAAACCATAGTGGAATTAGGCATTTATGTAATTTCCGGACTGCCACACTGTATTATGTGCATTCAAAATAGGCTTACATACCAAGAACCTTAGGGGACTGAATGTAATTGCTCTATTTAGAAGGTAGAATGCAGTTTAGGTCTTCTGTTCATAATGCATCAGGATTGTACAAACCTACTATAATTTAAAGTCATTATTGAAATCTTCATAGCATGAGATAACTCCTTTTGCATCTTTGAGTGCCTTGGTATAAAGCTCCTTATGTTCAAGGACTATTCCACAATGGCATAGTTATTCAAATAATGTGTAGCACAGGAAAAATGTTCCATTGTTATTGAACACTTAGTAACTAAATGATCCACTAAACCATGCTATATTTAAAAAATATGATTTAAACTTCAAGTTAGTAATGTATTTATATTCACTAAGCATGGAATATATACTGTCTCTTTCATAATTCCTTTCTGGGTAGACACAAGACAGCACACATGTTAATAAGTTATATAAGACTACGCACACTGAATATATCCCCTGGTTTGTGAGATGGATGTCTTATTAGGCTGTTGGGTTTCCCCCTTATCTGCTCCTTGTTTAGACCAGCAGTGTAGATTCTGTGTTCCGTGAGATACGAACAATGGAAAGCACTGGTAAAGTCAGTGTCAAGACGAAGTTTCCCTTAAAGCTTCTGACTTGGTTGACAACGTGTTCCCCATGAAGTTAATCTTTGTGTTACTTTCAGAGCATGCCAAATTTGATTTCCTTTGTCATTTCTGACAAGAAGCAGAGGAGTTCCCAAAGTTTTGCTCTACTGACAGCTGAGGAGGAAAACATAAAAGGCATTAATTAGGAATATAAATATGGTCTGTCTCTGAGAGTCTTAATCATAGGTGGAAAGTAGCTCTCTGGGATTAGAAAGTGCCAGATACATTTTGTCCTCAGGTACATGTCAAAGCTCACAATGCTTTCTCAGAGGCATAGTGTTCTTCCTTTCATTCAGCTTATCTTTTAGTAGTTTATCCTTTTTATTACAACAAGGAATCAAAATTTCATGACTTAAACTTTCAGGCTTGCTCCGTCTGTTAAATCTTTAATATCTTTTAATTATTTGCATAATTAAACAGGAAGGAAAAGAGTGAGTAAATTTACATTTGTTGAGCAACTATTGTTCCATGTTGACAAAATACTAAGCATTTAAATTAATGGAGAAAGTTCCTGAGGAGAGGATCAGAAAATTAATTATAACTCAACCCCATACAAATTCCTAGAAGACAGAATAAAACACAATTGACAGAGAAAAATATACAAGACAATGAAAATTACACAAAACAATATACTGTTTCTTCAAGATATTTAATAATAATGTAAATAATAATTGTCTTACCAGGCACATAGTTACTTTAATTCTTGGCCTCTCTTAATTTTCCACTCTATATGTCCATTTCTTCAAAGCTGCTCAACATTATATGTGCATACTTTCATTTCCACCTGCTTTAAGGAAAGATTAAAATACACAGGTTTACAAATTTTAATTGCTTACAAATTAGGTTGACTCCATTCTCAAGCTGTAAAGAGAGCTTTAGAATGTTCAAAAGTAGCTTGTCCCTCAATGATTTTTAGCTGGGTTATTGCTAGGAATGTTTATTATAAACAAATAAATTGTCTTCAGGCATGTAGATTTGTGTTAAAATGTATCTCATAGGGTCAGTTTTCTGACTAAGGTTCGTTCCTGAAACTATATGCCTGAATTCTTTCTTTCTTTAAACCATGGGATTTTTTTTTAGTCTTGCACTTATAAACTAGGCTTCTACAAATTGATTATAATGATTATTTAATAATTTATTTTAATAAAGAAGGAACTATAATAGAATAAACTAAGCTAACCCTCCCATGTTAATGTGGTCTTTTGTATTTAAAAACTCATATTATTTGGCTCTGTGTGCCCACCCAAATCGCATTGCAATTTATAATCCCCGCATGTCAAGGGAGGGACCTGGTGGGAGGTGATTAGATCATGTTGGTGGTTTCTCTCATGCTGTTCTTGTGATAGTGAGTGAGTTCTTATGAGATCTGATGGTTTTATAAGGGGCTCTTCCGCTTCTCTCTTCACTCTTCTCCCGCCTGCTGTCATGTGAAGAAAGTCCTTGCTTCCCCTTCACCTTCTACCGTGATTGTAAGTTTCCTGAGGCCTCCCCAGCCATGCAGAACTGTGAGTCAATTAAGCTTTTTTTCTACATAAATTACCTTCATAAACATAAAAGTAGTTCTTTATAACAATGTGAAAATGGACTAAGAAAAAACTATGCTTCATCCATGTCCCTACATCCATGTAGGATGAAGCATAGTTTTTTCTTAGTCCATAAATGACGAGTTAATGGTTGCAGCACACCAACATGGCACATGTATACATATGTAACAAACCTGCATGTTGTGCACATGTACCCTAGAACTTAAAGTATAATAAAAAATAAATTAATTTAAAAAAAGAAAAAACTATGCTTTGTTTGACAGACTTAAAATTGAAAAAAATCAGAGCAAATATATTTAACATGGCTGGGTGTGGTGGCTCATGCCTATAATCCTGACAATTTGGAAGACTGAGGCAAGAGGATCATTTGAGGCCAGAAGTTCAAGACCAGCCTGGGCAATTTAGCAAGACCCCATCTTTACAAAAAAGTAAAAAAAAAAAAAAATAGCCAGGTGTGGTGGCATGAGCCTGTAGTCCCAGCTACTCTGGAGGCTGAGGTGGGAGGATTGCTTGAGCCCAGGAGGTTGAGGCTACAGTGAGCCATGAAGGCACCACTGCACTCCAGCACCCTGAGGGACAGAGTGAGACCCTTACTCAAATATATATTTACCAAAAATCTGAAGGAAACTACTCTGTATATTAAATTGTTTTTGCTTGGAAATAAACATACACAATAGGAAAACTTTTCAATGATTTCTTTTAAAGATCTTGACACAAGTCAAATCATGGGTCATTTATATAACACTTTGGATGGTCTTTTCAATAGATACGAAGGTTTTAGGGTTGAAATATACTTGGCTGCCACACTCATGCATTACTCTCTTCTTTTTATATTGATGAGTTTATTTTAATAAAACCTACTATTTCTTAAGAAATGTTACCATTTGGTAAGATCTGGAGTTCTTTTTTTTTTTTTTTTTTGAGATGGAGTCTCTCTGTCTCCCAGGCTGGAGTGCAGTGGAGCAATCTCGGCTCACTGCAAGCTCCACCTCCCGGGTTCACGCCATTCTCCTGCCTCAGCCTCCCGAGTAGCTGGAACTACAGGCGTCCACCACCACGCCCGGCTAATTTTTTGTATTTTTAGTAGAGATGGGGTTTCACCATGTTAGTCAGGATGGTCTGTATCTCCTGACCTTGTGATCCGCCCGCCTCGGCCTCCCAAAGTGCTGGGACTACAGGTGTGAGCCACTGGCAGTGCCCGGCCTGGAGTTCTTAATACTACATTTTTAAACACTTTTCAATACTTTCTAGGCTTCCCTAGTCTCATTCTTATCCTAGTCTCTGAGATATCTCAACTTCCTACACACCTTCAACTATCAAAGTCTAATGATTAACTCACAAAGTCCTATTTTCTGCTCAGCTGTCTCTCCCATGTTCTAGCTTGCCACTTTTTAGTGGAAATCTATACATCAATGTCTTCCAGATGCATCAAATGTGACTTCCAAACTGAAACTTTTCTTATTCCTTCTTCTCTTAATTCCTAATTTTAGTGAGTGGTATCATATTTCTCCCCTAAGACAGGAATCTGAGGGCTATTTTTGACTTTTCCCGCTACCTCACCCCTCTGTACCTAATTGATAACAGAGTCCTGTTGACTGTGCCTTCTTGTCCATCATTATTAAAATTTTCTCTTTCTCAGATCCCCTGCCTACCATTTTGGCTCTTTCTAATCCATTCATTGTATGTTGCTAGCATGATCTCGAAATTAAAATATGGTCATGCCACTTTTCTGTTTCAGATGCCTTAGGGTGCCAAGATTGCAAGTGGACTCACAGGATTTATGAGACTTTCAGCACCTGACTAGTAGCTTCCTCCTCAAACTGCTTTCTAGGCAATTTTCTTACTCCTGCCAAGCTACAGTCATTGGGATTCATTTCAGCTCCACAGCTATGCCAGGCTCTGTCTCACTGCTTTACTTCCAACAGGCAGTGCTTAGAATATGTGTATATTTAGAATATTGTTTGCCTTCTCCTCTCCCTTCTCCCCATTCACTGACCTAACTTGAAATCAAACATGTCTTAGTCTGTAGGTCAATCCCCTTAAAAGACTTCTCATGATTCCCTCTTAACATCTCCTCTAGCTTGGAGTAGGAGTCCCTTCAACATGCTTCCATTGCACACTGTATTTTTTTCTCATATTATCCATCACATTTTACTGAAATTTCTTATTTAGCCACTTACAAAGTTAATAGTTATTTTATTATATATCTCTACCATTAGATTACCATCACCATTTGAGACTTTGTTGATCTTTTCTTAAATTGTGTCTCCTTTGCCGAGGGCAGTGACCAGGTATAGGTGCTCATGTTAATATTTATTGAATAAATTAATGGCTGAGTGTTGGTAAGCTCAGTTAATTCTGAACAAACAATATATTCAGGCATCATTGGCTAAATAATATGCCCACGGTAAATATATTAACCGCCTCTTTATTAAGCAACCTCAAATACTAAACACATTCATTAGAAACTGAAAGTTTCAATTTACAGAACAACTGGAATGTACTAAATAATAAAGCCTCAAAATATATAGAGCAAAAATGTCTAAATTCCAGAGAAAAATTTGCAAAGATACACTGCAGTGGGAAATTTTAACACACATCTCACAATTATTGATAGTTCAAACAATTAAAATTAGCAAAGTTTTCAAAATATTTAAAATGTGTATATAAAATGTTTGATTTATTGGAGGTTGTATTTCTATAAAATATCACTTCGTAAAACTGATTTAAGAAGAAATCATAACATAGCACCTAGAAATAAAAAACAGCAAAACCTTCATAAATATAAAAATATAAAACTTTATTTAATACATTATAGTAATGTCTTCATATCTAACAAGATTTCATACCATAAAGATGTCATTCTCTCCAAACTGATGAATAAATGTAATTTAAATGAGATTATTTGATGACTGATGATAATACAAGTACTCCTGAAAAAGAAAAATAGGAATAAGTCATAGAGCTAATTAAGTCCATGACCTATTGGCACAGGAATAGAGAAGTACCAATGGAATGGAATAGAGATATCAGAAACAGTTTTACGTTTGACACATAAGGAAGATGGCTTCGAAGATCACTTGGGAGTGGATCAATCAGGAAACAAATGGTGCCAGGCCAATTGCATATCCATTAAAAAATAATTGCAGTGGGCTTCCTAACTCACACCATACATCAAAATTGCTTCTTCATAGATTCAAAGCTTTAATGTTATGTTAAAATGGTAAATAAAAAAGAAGGGAGTCAATGAAATGAACTAGCACTTTATAGAAGGGGAAATAACTACCCATATGCGTATAAAAAGTATTAAACTTCATTAGAAACCACTGAAATTGTAAAACATCCATATTATAATATTATTTAGTACACACTTAATTTTTGCAAAATTTAAGGCATCTGATAGTTTCAAACATTGAGTGGTGACTTTTACGCAATGTTTATGACAGTGAAATTTGTTATCATATTGGATACAACTTATCACTCTCTTAAAATTGTGGATCTTCTCATTATCTGTAGAAATTTTACTGGGCATATATGCCAGAAATTCTGGAAGATGCATTAAGAAACCTACCCAAGAATGTTCATTGCAATATTGTTCACAATAGCAAAATCTGAAAATACCTCAAAGTTCCCTCAACAGGAGATGGATAAATATGCATCTTTTTAAAGAATAAAATATTACAAAACAGTGAAAGTAGGTATATATGCCTATAGTAAAATTTCTAAAGAAAGAGAATGAAGATAAGAAGAATCAAGAGAAATAAAGGAAATTAAAAAAAAGTTTAAATAGTGGTTATCTTTTGAAGGGAGGCAGGGGACAATGGAATAGGGAATGGACATGTAAATTTGATGATTTTGATGATATTCTGTTCTTTGGTTGGATTATAGGCTTTTATTTTGTTGTGAACTTTATAGCACATATATATCTATATACATATACATACTTCATAGTATATATATATATACACACACATATACACACATATATGTATATATTTGTATATATTGCATATTTTATTTTATATTAACTGATATTTTATGCCATGTAAGCAATTTAAAAATCATGCAACATGTGATTTGCTTTCATATTCCCAACTAAGCAGTACCAGCACATAGTAGACTCTTCATACATATTTGATAAACAAAGAATGAACTATTAAACATTTATAGTGGAAAGAGAAAGACTTTACAATACTCCAGAAAAAGGAAGGCAAAATACTGTAGAACAATAAAGCATTTTGATTGAGAACAATGCCCAATTTAGGACATAAAAGAAAGTATATGACTGACAGGCATCTCTTAAACCACTGAGTCCATTTAGCCGGATGTCATTTCACTTCTAGGGAAAGACTGCTGTAGAGCTCCTCATATTCATAATCTTAAAATCTCCTTGTAAGGGCAAAAAGACTAAGGTCAAATAAAAATAAACATCATTAAAATCTAAGATACAGGATTTATTCATAAAGGATGTAAGAGGGAATTCAATTCATAAAACAACATTTTCAGACAAAAGGCCATAAGTTTTGGGATTCTTTATGAATTATCAAATACTCTTTTAAGTTACTAAAGAAAAATGCTAAGCATGCTTTTAGGTAGATCAGAATTCTGTGTACCAAGATATCAATTACCCCATTTTTATTTTAGGTTCACAAAGGGAAGTTAAAATTAATTACTATGTTTTTGTGAATGCTACAACTTGTTGAAGGCTTGTAAATAAATAATGTTCAACTGATAATTCAAACAAAAAGCTTTTATCAAATGGATATATTTCTTTTGGGTGGTTTAGCAAATGTGTGATTTGCTTGAAATTCATGGCCAAGTCACAGAATGAGCAATATTACAGTCTAAAAATATGCTTCTCACAGAAACCATGAAACATGGCTAAGTCTTTCACATCACCACCCAGAAAACCTTTACTACATAGCTTATTGGTTAAGAGCTCTTCTCCAAAGCCAGACTACTTCAGTCCAAATCCTGGTTCTGGAAGAACCAGCTGTATTAATTCGGGTGAGTTAATTAATTCTTCTTTGCCTTAGTTTCCTCATCTGAAAGTGGGAAATAATAATAACACTTAATTCATAAAGTGATTGTGAGAATTGATATCTAATACATGGTAGAAAGTTTTTAAAAATTCTGCAAATATTTTAATGATGCTATTATAAACAGAAATAAGTTGTCAACGAGCGTAAAATATTATCTTCTGAATCTCTGTTAATATTCCCAGATACAATGCTTGGCAAATGGTGGACATTTGGTAAAGAATTATACACTGAACATATTTCTGTATACTGTTCATTATCAATTTTCCAGTGAAAGATGAAAACCTACTAGCACTGATTGTAAAGGACAAAACAACCTTGAGAGAGAGCTGGGACTGGGGATAGGGCAAGAGTGAGTTGAGGTGCATAGCAGAAACGTTGTAGGTATTCTCCCCTTTCTACCATATTGTCATCTCTACACTTCACAGTGATAAAAGCTAAGAGACTATTGGGAAATTCGTTAATGCCTTGATTAATTCAAACAGCATTCATTCAGAAGGTTCTAGACAAGAAACACTGTTCTGTGGTCAGTAAAAAAATGATGTTCCAGTTCTCAACGAGTTGTTGCACAGACAGGTAAATAGGAAATCAGAAATGTATCATTTTTTTCACAATTTTTCTAAAAAATACAACTGATTTTAACCTGCCAAAAGTAGGGAACAGGCTGAATACTTTCTCTTCTATTATCCCATATCTAGGCAGAGAAACAAATTACCTTATCCTAAAATTTATTTGCCCCATGGTGGTGTCTGGTGGTGAGACAAAGGGGAAATCCCATAGAGTTCTGAACAGCTACCTACAGAATACAGAAAAGTTGCTCTCACTACAGGCATTTAGGATTTTTCTGGTATAGAATGTACTTCTTTATCTTTTTCTCTTTTTTAAAATTATGAATTATCATCAATTATTAAGGCCAGAGATACTAGTTCATACTACCTTTCTAGAGCTTTAGCTAATATGCTGTCATAAAGATTACTTAATGTCGGAATCTTGGTGAAAACTGGGTCACATAAACTCACCATTTCTTCCACTTAACACATACTACATAGAATATTTATAAGATTAAAACTACATAGTATCAAAAATGAGCATGTGTATGTATGTCCACATGATATGGTCATTCATGGTATTGACTTAAATAGTATACGCTGCTGGATTATATTTAGTGCAAAGTGAATTTAATAGCTATAATTGCTCATACCATTTCCTGAGGTTAAGCCAGTTTTTTTTTTAAAGATCTGAATACTGCAGATACTGAATTCAATGTTTGTTCACTTTTAATGGAGATTTTATTACACCATCTTTAAAAAGCTATTCCACATGAAAATATCGTTGATACCCTACTCCCTTTCTTCTCTGCAGCTATCAACCCTGAAAAGGGGGATATGAAGCAGCTTCCAGAAAACATATACAAGATTAAAAAGCTGAAAGTTGCCTTTGCTAATTCGCAGTATGCCATGAAATAATTATGCATGTGCTAACTGGCACTTTTCGCTTTTTGTGTGTGCTTCAACACTCAGTTTTCAGTAGATCATTTAGAGCGGATCAGCATTCTTCAGAAACTAAAAACACAACACAAGGCAGGGCAGCACGGCCTGATGCGAAAATAATGCAGCCCACAAAGGTGGTCTTTGTAAGACTTGAGGACATGCTGGTGTCTGTTTCTGAATTGGCAGGCTCAATGCTTCCCCTAGTGTCTGCTCCTGAAATACTAAACTCACCCGTGTTGCAAAGCAGGACTCTAAGACACAAGTAGGCTTTTAAGGCACCAAAATAAGCTCCAGAACAAGAATTCATTTTACAGATTTTGGTGAAATCTCTCCTGTAAAGAAGCTTGATGTTGTGCAGTGGGTTTTGGTGAAAGCCCATTCAGTTTGTTGACTTTTTTATGGGGCTAATAACTCCTAAGTTTCAAAGTGGTAATTAGAATAATGGGGACCTTGACATTTTCTAGAAATTTATTGAGTTCCCTTATTGCACTCTATTGAGTCTTGAGCTGTTTTATTAACAGAGGACAACTACAGCATTTTACACTTAGTTTTAATTTCTTCAGGCCAATTTTAAAAATAAGTTACTTTGAAGTTTTATAAACTATTTTAAAAGTGACTTTATTAGTATCTGAAAATATTTTCTACTTAAACAAAACCTTAAGGATTTACACCTTATCTGGTTACCACACTGCATTCAATTTTCCATCTTTACCGTGTACAGTAGGCACCCTGTGAACTTTAGCATTGGACATTAAGTGATCTAAGCTGTCACGTCCCATTTAAATAAGGGTCTAATTCCAATGGCTAGATAAGCTAATATTCTAGCTCCTTCTTTCTTTTCAAATTCAGTGCTTATGGTGTCATTTTAATTCTTTTTGTCATTTTCAAAATTTCTTTCTCTCAATTTATAATTACCACATTCCTCAGCCATCATGGAATCTGCTGGAACGTTCAGTGTTAGAATGGTGAGGCAGCACCTTATTTTTGAGGCAATTCAAAATATTATAAAGCACTGAATTATTCTGCTGCTACTATGCTACATATTATTATTATTTACAGGGAAGTAAGAATGAATTAAGGTTTTCTATAACTGCACGTTTAATTGAAGTTATTATACATTCCTCCGCCCTGTAATTGCAAAGAAAACTTCAGCATTTTCTGAAGGAATCCCAGTTCTTTTCTATCTTATTCTCTTTATTGTTACATGTAGACTTTTTTTTGTTTATTTTTAGATGTGTGTCTATACTATTACACTTATACTCTGTATTTGCTTTTTAATGTTTCTGTAATAATGATGTGCTCTACCATCTATATATATAACATATATAGATATTGTCTATATAAGTTGACTGTAGGGCACATCATCATATATAATATAGACAATATATTTAATACATCATTATATATGTATGTGTATATATACAGACTATAAAGCACATCCTATATATATGCATACACACATATATTACATATAATACTATGTATAGCACATATAATACCTATATATAGATTTTGCACTGACGCCCTTTCAAGTTATTTTCCCTTTTGTCCCTTACTAGCCCCCTAGGTGGTGAATGACTTACCCAAGTTCATACCACTTTTACATGGCAGGATGGAAACACAGAGTCAGGGTCTCTAACTTTAAAGTCTCTATCCTTTTCTTTTTTATGGATCCATTTCATATTCAATAATAGAGTATTGCTTTTCATGTATGTGTTTTTTCCATCTTTAAGAATTTAGTGCAAACTTCCACTAGAGGCCAGATGATACCACTAACTTTCCAAAATGTCCTTCGCAGTGGCACATTTGCCTATAAAGAACAAATTTTTCTGTTTTAAGCCATGAAGGCACTGACTTGCAAAATTAACTGGAAATAGGTGTACGCCTACCTTGTGAAAGGAATATATTTCAATACAGAATAAGACAACTGGAAATCCCAAAGAGGAGGAAAACCAATGTGAATGTCAGCTAATAACTGAGGGTAGAAAAATTTTAACAGTAACTGAAATTAAATGATTTTCTTACTTAGCTTACTGTTGCTAGGTGTGGTGGATGAGAGAGATGAGAAAATGCCACGTTGTGAACGATTGACAGTTGTTCTTTAATACTAATGTCTTTTACCTTTATCTTTATATGGATAGACTATATTCCTTTTTTTCTGTGGTTTTCTCCTCTTGTTTTCCACAATTAACAATAGAATGGAAATTTTTATATATAAATGAATAAGTTACTTATTATTATTATCATCATTATTTAGATACAGGGTCTTCCTCTGTTACCCAGGCTGGAGTGCAGTGGTGAGATCTTAGCCAACTGCAGCCTTGAACTCCTGAGCTCAAGCGATCTTCTCGTCTCAGCTTCCTGACTAGCTGGGACTACAGGTGCACACCGCCAAACCCAGGTAATTTAAAAAGTATTTTGAAGAGACAGGGATCTCACTCTTTGCCAAGGCTGGTCTGAACCTCCTGGCCTCAAGTGCCTCTAATTCCAATATGTCAACGTTATTTCTATTTTCTAAACTATGTTTCACAGTTACATTTGTGCTTCATTTCTTAAACACATGTGCATTTTATTAGGTATCCTGTTATTTTTATTTACTATTATTTAAGAAAGATGTGTTAATAGCAAGTGGTTACATTTAATTTAATTGCTTTATTGTCATATTGAAACATTTTTTCACATTGTATTTTTTATGTATGCTAAATCGGTAGACTAATAGCTATATCACAAATTCTCAAATTTCTCAGGAATTGGCACCTCACTGTTGCTTTTGCAGGAGGCTGCACTCTGTAACTTATTCCTCCTTTGTTTTGTCTAGTTTGAAGGTGAAATAGATTTTACTCATCTGTGGGAGAAAATAGGTTTCAGGTATTGGCACCATATCGTTTTTGCTTCAAATAAGGCAGTAAATAAGGGAGTAAATAAGGTAGTAAATAAGGGAGTAAAAGGGGGCACTATAAGTAATTAATTCTGGGTGATAGATTTAATCTTTATTTTATAGGGAAAAGTGGGATATAAAGTCACTCTACTTTTAAATAAGTATTATGTTCTTTTATAACCTTTTCTATTAGCTTCTAGAAAGGCACTAGAGACTCTAGTTCACAGATGCCACACTCTCAGCACCATCAAAGAGGAGGTGCTATCCACTTGGTGAAGAGTATGCCAGATTTGGCTTTCAAAGAAGCAGACATCCATGTATACATATGTAACAAACCTGCACGTTGTGGACATGTACCCTAAAACTTAAAGAAAAATAAATGCAAAATACAAATTCCTCTGTAAGACTTTTAAATTATCTTTTAAAAGTAAAAGTTAAAGTAATTATATAATAGGCATTGACTTTCACCCATTCTTTGGTTTGCATAATAGAAATCACAAAGTCTATCACTACTGATCACAGTGTTGAGATCAGAGAGAACCTCATAGGATTATCCACTTATTTGGATAGGGTTGAAACGCAAGCAAATCCTGCAACACCTGACTTTCAAAGAAGATTTGGCTTTTTTTAAATGGTAAGACACTTTCATAAGATGCAGCACATAACACATCAATATTCTGGAGAGGATAGTGCTGGGAATTTTTTACATTATATACCACCATTACAATCGTGCAATATCTATTGCATTTCCTCCCAATTTGCTCCTGTGCTGTGGTGACTCTACATAGGGTGGAACCATCCTATGAATGGTTATTCATAGGATAGAGCCTCGCAATTGAAGCATCTTTTATTCACAGCCATAGTGCATGAATGGGAAAGCAAATTTAAAGTTGTTTCCTGAAAGAGAGTTCTACATTTAAGTGAGGAAAGTGAGTACAAAATGTACCCCAGATTAGAGAGACGGAAAGTGGTTGTTAGTAGGAAACTGAGACAGAAGGGATGGAGATAGAGTTTCTCGAAGTATTGAAAAAACAGAGTGAACACTAGGAAGTTCAGATCAGGTATTCGAAATTGGTTAAAACAAGGTAACAGATTCAGTCGACAACTCATGAGTGTATTCACGTGTGTTTCTAGGACCTGCCTACCTGGGCATGTTGGATCAATTTAAATGGATTGGAGCAAATGTGCAGTGATGGTGCCTAGAGGAATTAGTTAAGCTAGAATTTAGAGATATGGCAGAGGGTTAAAAAATGAATACATGAATGAGAAATCTGTAGATTTTGCTTGTATAATAACAAATGTAAATAGATTCATCGACTTTTAATTCCTGTAAAGTAGAATTCAGATATTACATGAGAGTTCTGCGTCACCAAAGAAATGGTGGTTGCCCTTGTTCAGTCTGATGCAGAAAATTGGAAGCCCCCTCCTTTCAAGCCCTTATTATAACACACAACTACAATATTTTCAGTCTAGTAATTTAGTTTTGAAAAGTGATTTTTGAGAATATTCTTTTTTTTTTTTCCCCCCCCAGCATCTAAGACAGGTAAATCCTACATTTACCTTGTAGGATTTTTTCTTTTTTCTTTCTTTCTTTTTTTTTTAAATTATACTTTAAGTTCTAGGGTACATGTGCTAAGAACATTGGTATCATCAGTTGCTTTTCTCCCATCCGTGAACACTGCCGATTTGCATCTACTGCAACTTAGGCTGCACCTGTGGCTCTAAGATGGTTGCCATAGACAGTGTGAGTTGGGGGGCCCAGGACCCATCCAATGCTCTTACACACCTTAAATTAATTTCCTGCCTTTTGTCTTAATCTCCACTTTACCACCAGCTTCTCTTACTAAATTTGTAGTTGTTAAGGACTCTATTCGAAAGCCCATCCTTAACCTATGATAGCCTGGCAGCCCCTCAACTCTGTTTTGAACCTCTGTCATTCCAATGTCTTCTTTTAGTCTTCCAGAAAGTTCTCGAAACGTTCAAACTGCAGATCGCATCTTTATTTTCTTTCTTTAACACTATTATTAATTTTGCATTTTTATATTTAAATATTGCTTGTCTTTTAAATAGCTTTTGGGTAGAAGGTGGTGCCAAATTGTGGACTTTACTGAATAATCTGATATGGTAATTATAAAATTTTACTGTATAAGATATTCTGTTCCTTGATGATTCAAAAGACTTTTCCTTTAAAGCCATCTGGTTGTGATGTTTATTTTGAAGGCAATTATTTGATAGTTTTGTTTTAATATTTAGCGTTCCAGTTGGGTTATTTCAATTTCCAATTCTCAAGACAATCTTAATAATTTCTATTTTTCTAAAAAATGTGTCAGTTTTGGACATATTTATAGAGGAATTGACCTAGAGCTGTACATAGTATTCTCTTATAATTTTTAATCTTTTATTTGCAGTCATACTTGTTTTTCATTGATAATTAGGTATGTTTATATTTTCCCCTAAGTAGACTTGTAAGAAGTTTACATATTTTCCTAAAATATGAGAGCTGACAAGAAGAATATTTTTCATTTTGTATCCACTCCACAGGTATTTATTTTTAACTTTTATTATGAAAAATTTAAATTTATGCAAAAGTAAAGAGATACTCTAATGAACCCCTTTACCTGTCACATAGTATCAATAGTTATTAAATCATGAAAATCTTAATTCATCTCTATCCTCTTCCATTTCCTCTCCACTGAATTCTGTTGGTGAAAATACAAGACATTATGTCACTTTATACATAAATATTTCAGAACTTAACTCCAAAAGACAAGAGCTTTAAAAAATCACCATCTACTAACATTGTCACATCTGAAAAAAATTAACTGTTAATATCATCAAATATCTAGTAAGAGTCCACATTTACTAAATAGATTTTTCTTGTTTGCATATGTTGATTTTGACCCCCTCTTTTTGTTTAAAATTTTCTGATTGTATCCCCATGGGGTGATCATGTCTCTTTGCACCTTGTATTTCTCTTGTATTGGGAGTTAGAGCTCAAAGTTTATCAGTTATCAATCTACTGTCTCTTAGTTCAAAATTCACCTATTCCGACCTTGCTTGTGACCCTGGAACGTTTTCCCCTCACAAGTCAACTCAGTGTAAAGCTCTATCAGTGAATGGTACAATAGGGATCCTGGAGGAGGAAGGCATTTGCTTCCCAGTTCTGGTGTACTCTTTTGGCAGTCTTCCGTAACGCAAGGTGGCCAGCAGCACAGGGCACCTTCCTATGGACAGCTTCCCCAGCACACTTTTGGGCAGTTTTGCAGTAAGTTCCAGGGCGACGACACCTCTCCTTTGGCAGTTTCTTCAGCTACCCCAGAGTGTGATTTCCCAGTGAGTTCCTCTGGTGTGGAGTCTCCTCTTGGACAGTTTCCTCTATACCCTAGAGGGCAGATTCTCAACAAATCCCTCAGTATAGCACCTCTACGAATTCATCATTCAATGTGACTTGACTATGCCTTCTTCAATGAGGTCTGGCTCTCATGACAGTTGGAAGTTCTCTTCCAGATTTGTATATTTCTTGGGTGTCCTGTCTCAGCCCTGAGGGCAGTGGCTGTTCCTATCTGTCACTCCTATGTTTTTTATATTTCACTTTACCACATATTATTCAATCCTTTATTAGACTAATCCTGTGGTATAGTTAATAATTTTTTATATTAAACTCTTCTCCAAATTACTGTCTGGTTTCTGTCTTATGATTGGCTCCAGCTTGAGGCAAAAGACTTGATAAGAGTCAAGTTCAGTTTTTGGTTTTGTTTGCTTGTTTGATTTTTGCAAGGCAACTTCATAGGTGTTTGCATATGCATCAGTAGATACATGATGCACATACAATGAGTCTTCTGTCTGTCTGTAATATTAGGAGCCATCATTGATCATTGCCCATTTTGTCAATTTGTTAAGGTTTGCAAAATGGTGATATTCTAATTTTATAATTTATTTTTTATTTTCTACTGAGTAACTCACAAATGTCTATGAAATAGGAATATCCCTTCATCAACTACTTGGTTACTCTGAGAAATAGATGATAAAGAAAAGATACAATAAATCTATAATTATTTTTGACTTTTCCCTTGATTAACTTTGAATCATAGTTGATTTCACATTAAAAATAATAACTTTGTGGTTCTGACTTGCTAGTAGAATTATTTATCTTTTTTCTCTCTTTTCTTTTGTATCATAAGGAACTCATGAATATAAACATATGAAATATGTTCAGTGTGTTACAGTTATCTTTATTAATGTTCCAGTTGCCTCAGCCTTGGATAGTTGGATCTTTCCAAGGTGGTTTCAGTGTTCTTACCTTTTAGTATGATGAAATATTCTATGTTTATCTTATATATTTCCTCCTTTAAATCTAGAATCCACAATTTCTCCAATAAATAGTATTCTATTTAATAGGGAATGATTTAAAATCTCTAAATCTATGTGCTTAAAATGCTTATTGGGAGTAGGTTATCCATGGCTTCTAGCAACTTTCTGTGCTCAGAACTAGAAAACGGGTATTTTTATGAGAAAACATATCTTGGATTTATACTGATAACTTAAAAATCAAATTTTCAAATTCAAGATTAAAGAGTTTTTATTTTTTTGGTGATATGTGACTTGATGATATATGATGATATACTAAAATTTAGAACCCAAAATAATATTAGTAAGTGAATTCTATATTCTTTTTTTTTTTTTTTTGAGACAGAGTCTCCCTCTGTCACCAGGCAGCAGTGCAGCGGCAGGATCGGATCTCAGCTCACTGCAACCTCCACCTCCCAGGTTCAAGCGATTCTCCTGCCTCAGCCTCCAGAGTAGCTGGGACTACAGGCCTGCGCCACCACGTCCAGCTAATTTTTGTATTTTTAGTGGAGACGGGGTTTCACCATGTTGGTCAGGCTGGTCTCAATCTCTTGACCTCATGATCCACCCACCTCGGCCTCCCAAAGTGCTGGGATTACAGGCGTGAGCCTCCGTGCCCGGCTGTGAATTCTTCTTTCTATAAACTCTCCCCATTCATTTCTACAAGAAAGCCTATTGGAACTGTTAGTACACTTGTGTTGAATCTATAGACTAATTTGTGAAGAATTGACATTTTAACAACATCGAATTTTTTGACTTATAAATGGGATATGTCTCTCCATTTACGTAGTTTTTCCCCAATACTGCTCGTCAATGTTGTGTAGTTTTCAATGTAAATGTCTTGCACTTCTTTTGCCAGAGTTTTTCCTAAGTATTTTATATGTTTGATACCTTTGAAAATTACATTGTTTTATTTATTTCAATTTGTGGTTTGGTTCTTACATAAAAATACATTATATATAATGTGTTTTATATACATTTAAAACATTAAAATACATTTATTTTAATAGTTTTATATAATGGATAAACACACACACACACACACACACACACACACACACATACACACAGTCCTACAATGTGGCTAAACATTCTTAAAAGTTCTAGTAGATTTTGTTATAGATTGCGTCAGGTTTTCTGCATAGATGAGCATGTCCAGAACTATTTTATATAAAGATGTTGAGAAAAGATATCCTTGTCTTGTTCTTTTCTTAGGAGAAAAAATCTTCATTTTCTCACAATTAGATATGATAGTAGTTCTAGGTTTTGTATAGATGCCCATTATCAAGTTAAGGAAATTCCCTTCTATCCATAGTTTCCTGAGAGTTTGATCAGGAATGGATATTGGATTTTGTCAATTTTTTTTGTATAACTATTGAAATGCTTGTTTGGTTTTTCTTTCTGAATTTGTTAATATGGTATATTGCATTAATTGATTTTCAAATTGCTCACATAGTTGTGGGGAAAAGAAAATTATTGTAAATAAAATAAAATAAAATAAAATATAATTTCAGGTAACAGTAAATGCTTTGTGGAAAAGTAAATTGATTTAAAAATAATGGAGAAAGCAAGCCAGAGGTTTGTCTGCATAAAGTCGTCAGGGAAGGCTTCTCTGAGGCAGTGATGTTTCAGCTTATACTAAATGAAGCATAGATCTGAAGACAGAACATTTCAGACACAGGAAAGATCTAGTATAAAAGTTGTGAGGTGAGGCCATGCCTGGCAAAAGTTCAGAGTGCCTGGAGTACAGAAACTAAATATAACTCGTATAACTCTTATGAGGTGGGCTCACATAAGCACGGCCCTGAGATACAGATTATCTCATAACACACTGATCTTATTGAGTTTCTAAATGATTTAAGCAGATGACTAGACCTTAGTTAGTGATACTCAATTAAAATATTACCCCTAGAAAACCCTGTCCAAGAAGCCAGCCAAACATCTGTAAGCACATTCTTTCCTTGAGTCCATTTCAAAAACCCTGACTTAACATCAACAATAATGTTTCGTGAGTTGTAAACTGTACATATAGACATGTAGCCGTGTTATAAAACATTAAGCCTGTTGTATCCTAGAAAGACTCTTGGAAAGAACTATTGGCTTTCTAATGCGAAGATAGCCTGGAGCCAAAATTAAATAAGAATATTTTCTTTATAGATTATAACTTGGCTCTGATTTCTTGTGATAAGATGCCTGATCCTCAAAGTGAAAAATTATTGGACATCTTGAACTTACTATCACACCCTCCAAGAATTAGTGGTAATTCAAACCAAGTTGAAGTCTTTCAAATTCAGAGCAGGGTAAACAAAATTAAAACAAAACAGTGTATTTAGATAAAATTGCATTTGGAAGAAAATTTGTCAATATTGTCCAACTTTTTTCTCTTGATACCACACACAAATTCCTTTTCTCAAATATGTCAGTGATTTTTCCTGGATGGTCTTTCTTAGAAAAAAATCACTATCAGGTTTCAAAAAAAAAATAATGCATCATAGTTCATCCATGAAAAAAATGTATTGTCAAAATTGGCAAACCTATTTTTCTTATCATTCATGAACTTTTTCCCTTGAAATATAATGATGAAGAGAATTAAAAACATGTACTCAATGGAAATCTCAATTTAATATTCCATATTAAGATTCCCTATATGAACAATCAAGGTCATTTTATGTATAAAGTTATATATATGTATAAAGTTAAATATAATTGGCCGGGCATGGTGGCTCACCACTGTAATCCCAGCAACTTGGGAGGCTGAGGCGAGTGGATCACGAGGTCCGGAGATCGAGACCATCCTGACTAACAAGGTGAAACCCTGTCTCTACAAAAAATACAAAAAATTATCCAGGTGTGGTGGCAGGCACTTGTAGTCCCAGCTACTCAGGAGGCTGAGGCAGGAGAATGGCATGAACCCGGGCAGTGGAGCTTGCTGTGAGCCAAGATTGCGCCACTGCACTCTAGCCTGGGTGGCAGAGTGAGGCTCCATCTCAAAAAATAATAATAATAAAAAATAAATAAATAAAAAAGTTAAATATAATTATGCATCACTTTAATTATGTTTAGGTAAATTTTGGAAAGTTTAATTCCCAGATTAGCATTTAAAACACAGAGAAAACAAATTATATTAATTCTGCCAAGACAAGTATATTTATCAGTCTATAAAGACCAAAGAGATTAAGATGTGAATGGCAAGTAATTTAAGAACTTAAGAAGTGAATGAGAATTGTGATTACTTCACTTATAAAAATTAAAACAATCTTTTCATTGCCAAAAGGATAATAGGTAAAAAGTTATTGACAGTATTTTGAGTGTGCTATGGTGATATACATATAACTATATACTCTTATATATGTATATATTTTTCCTTTCTCCATGACCTCCTCTGGTCCCTGATTATGAATTGTAACATTCAACAACCTTTTTGAGGATGGAAAGACTTCAATGCTACTTTTTTCAAGTGCCCCGACTACAGGCATTTACAATTTAATAAAGTGATTTATGAATTCCACCACTGTTTTGGCCAAATTAAGTCAGAATGGACACAGAATACCTTCATTTTTGTGTCTTGATAATTTAGCACTTGATCCTGGAACAGAAGCTAGTTTCGATAGACTTATTGAGGGAAACCTTAAAGATTGAAAATTCAATTGATCTGTGAGATAGTTCAGGATAATAAATGTCTTTACACATATGTGGGCTTGCTGATTTTTTACTCTGAATATTTTAATTATACATCAAAATTATATTTGTGTTTCTGAGACCTAGAAAAATTGCACAGGGCCAGCCCCATGCCTCCCTTCATTTTCAATTCCCTTCCTCCCTATTTGTACATCCAGAGGAACTGCTTGTTCCCATAAAATGAGTCAGACCAGATGGGAAGAGTAATTTGTTTTTAATGAATATGTGTCAATCCAAAAATGAAAGGGTTCTGTCATTCTGGACAGCATAGATTCTAGTAGGCTTAATGTTTTGGCAGGAAGGCATCTGCCCTCTGATACTTCTACTCGTAGTTTCTGACTTATTAAATTATTTCTTAAAAAATCGCTGTCCTTCAATCCATCATTAGAAACAAAGACTAAAATCCAAATCTCCTTGGAGCAATTAACATACTAAGTTTACGTAATCAACATGACAAATAACCAAAATAACTCATGTTGATGGCTTCCTTCAGCTCGCCTTTTTTTAAAAGGCATTCAGAATGTAATATACACAATCAGGATGCTAAACCAACATGAGGTGTTCCTCTTAGATATAACGTGCCTGCGATTTGCTCAAACCTGGCAAGGAAGGTAAAGGCAAGGAAAAGTGAATTTTTACGTCCTATATGCCCTAAAAATATATAGAGTCAGGCCATGAGATTTCATCCAAGGTCAATGTTGATGAAGTTCCATGGAGAAAGCATTGCACAGGGTGCTGGAAAGCCTCTATTTCAGATCCAGTTCCTCCAGCCCCTTATCCTAATTCCCTAGAGAGTCACTTCAGCATTCTGTTTCTCACCTATAGAATGAGTCTCCATTCCAACCTTTGGATGTGCAAGCAGTGAAACAAGACAAGATTAAATTGCAGTTAGGATTTGGAACCACACACAACTTGCTGCTCATTACACCTGTGAGACAATTTCAGTGAATTGTTTTACAGGTGGAACATACCATACAACTGCCCCATCTGCCAGTTTGGAAGCAGAGGAAGGTTGACAGCTATACTCTTCTTGCTTAGAAGAAAAAGAGAAAGTACCAAGAATTTTGTTTTATTTTCTTTTGTTTTGTTTCCCCAGTTGCCTTCTTGTTTTTCTCATATAAAATATATGTTTCTAATTGACTTTTTCTTTAATTTCATCTAAGCATGAACTGTAACCCATGCACAATTCTTCCCTTTTGTGTGATAAATTAATGTGTGCCAGATAGATATAATAGGAGAAACTTTGGATGAAGTAATCATTTTTTTTTAAATACAATTATTTAGACATTTTAAATGCACAAGAGTGGTTGGAAGAATTTTCCCTTGGAAACATTCTGTAACACTGAGAGGTTGAAATTGGATTCATCCTGAAAAACTGAATCCAAACTTAGTCCTGTGTACAGGATATAAAAAAGTCCATCTGGCTACATTGGAAAAAATAAATAAACAAATAAACCTTAGTCTGGAAGAGAGTGAAGGAAAGGCTGGACTTTGGGCTCCACCATACTTTCGAAAGACAAGGCCTTGACCTTTCAGGCCTTTGGCTTGCCAAGCAGTAACAATAAGGGAGAAAGCCAGACTTACTTAGACATGGTTCACTTGGAAGCAGCTTGACTTATTGTTTGTGTTAAAGAAAAGATGAGGGACGTTCTGAACTGCTTCAGCCTGGATAAATCTTTCAAAGTTTAATTATTTGTTATTGATCTTAGATATATGAGGACTTTTAGTGATGGAGTTTAAAATACAGGGAAACCCCAGTTTGGGGAAAAAAATCAATAATTTTATATGGCTCAACCTTAAAAAAAACTACCTTTATTCAGAAAGCGGTTGGATCAATGTAATGATTAAAAGCATCAGAAAGAGTTATGAGAGTTGCCCAGACACCAGTAGAACCCCTGACACTGGGTTGTATCTGGTATTTTTATCCAAGAAGGAGTCAAAGATGGTACACTAACTCTCCATTAGAATGGGCAATAGATCGCATGTCTTTGTTTCATGAGATCTAAAAGAATCTAACACAATCATCTAAAGTAAATATAAAATCAGTAACATTGGCATGCTCCACCACAATAAACAGAAAACAATCACCGATAAAGGAAAGAATATGCCACCCTTTGAAGATATACAATTCCCTTTTTATGTCTAGAGCATGGCATAGGTATTTTGGACCCAGAAAGATTTTAAGAATCTAAGGATAATCAGAAAAGAGTCCTAATAACTCAGTTTATAATCTCTCAGCAGTTAAAGAGAAATGTAATATATAAAGTGGTTGGCAATTTTCACAAGCAAAATTTATTTACCATGATAAAGCCCAAATTTTGCATGTGGAGACCACATGAGGACAATATGCTTTAACCAAAGTACCACAGTCATAACCTGTAAAACCACTGGAAGCAGTGTTCCTGAGAAGGAAGAGTCTATGGAATTAGAAATGGGATTCAAAGGGCAAAGGGTATTACCAGGAACCAAGGGGCAAATAGATTCCCATCCTAGATGTTATGGATGTTAATGGAATCTTGAGGGAGAATATCATGTGTCTTCAAGGCTCCTTTAGTTATGTATATCAGTTAGGGACAAAAATGCATTTTTGACTTGAATTATGAATACTTGCATCTGGGGAAGTACCATGCTTTCAGCTAAGTATAAGAAACACAGATCATCATTCATCACTCTCCTGAAGTTATAATCCAAATATGTATGCTTAGTCTTCTTTAGAGCACTTGAGCTTTATTCCACAATATAAAAATATTCTTGTCTCTTAAGTTATATAAAATAATGCTATCCTGGATCTCCATCTATTTCTTGCCTATTTCTTCTTCTTTCTTGCAAATGCAAGGAAAGCATTAGGCTCTGTCCTTGAACCAAGGCATTATAAACTTCTAGAGGGAAAATCATAAATTTGATATTATAAATCTTAATTCAAGTTCCAGTTCTGTCACTTTTCATTTATGAAACTTTGGATAATTCAATTTTACAAGTCTTTCATGTGTAAGAACTATCTCACAGGATTTCCACACAGGTTTTTACAGAGTACATTACAGCTTCAACCCCACCCATTGTCAAAGGCAGTTTACTCCGTCAAAGGTACATAGCGGGGATAGCCCTCCAGTTTAGGAGAGTGATCAGATTCAGCTCTGAGCTGTGTTTGTGAATTCACTGCTACCGTTATGGTGTCCCTGTTTTACCAGCCCTGTTATACTGAAAGTCAGCTTCTGTTGGTTGATTCAGCCATTGGATGTTACACCTGGCTCACAACAGCATGCCTGCTCCTGAACACTCTCTTAGACACTCTCTGCCACTCTCTATGACCCATAGACTGATACCACCCCATTCTATACCTAGTTCTCCTTGAACCTGGTGTGAGTCTAAGACCAGGGTTCCAAGTTGACTGAGAAGAGGCCAAATGGAAATATGATAAATTAAATTATAAACATAAAATTTCTTTGTAAACTTTAAAATACTGAAGTCATTTATTTATTTTAAATATATATTGGGTCTTAAAATATATATTGTTCAAATTACAGCATAAGCAGGAAATAATACATACTGCACTCTCATGAAGCATCTGGAACAGACAAAAGTGTACAGATTGAATGACAAAATTTATCTGTATGTACTACAGTGCAATCACTTTGCAGCGAGTAATTTCAGCTTAGAAATAGGAAGAGCCACATAGAAAAAACTCTGGGGCTGAGCCTTCAAATATGTGCAGATATTCATCAGAGAGAACGTGCAAGGATGGCAAGGGAAAAGTGTAATCAAAGCACAGAGACACCGTTTTGAGAGAACAGCAATAGGGATCTGAAGTGTGATGCTCAAAAGCTATAATGCTGGAGGAGTAAGCCATAGCAAGTCATGAAGGGCCTTTTATGTCATTTAGGGATTTTCAGAAAAATTCATACCCCATTGACTTACTTTTCTCAATGAAGCACGTTTACTGAGAGGGGAAAAAATTCCTTAGAGAAAATGGTGGATTCACAAATGGCTGCTGTATGAATGCAAAAGGATCCATAGTGGGGAATGCTGTAGAGGATGCTGAGGATCGCAGCACAAGCATGCATCAATTCAGTCTAGCCTGTTATGCATCTTTCCCCAGCGAGATGAGCAGTCTTTCTCTGAATAAACAATATTCTTCTGGGAACTTAGGCCATTGCCATCATTTCAGTTATCATCTACCTGTAGATTTGTCTTCAGTGTCTTGAATTGTACTTACTTTCGCTGTTAATATTTTTACTGACATTTTTCCCTCTTAAGTTTATTGGGGAATAATAGACTGCATCTATTTAAAGTGTATAATTCAACAAGTTTATATGTATATGCTCAAGAAAGCAACACCAAAATTCTAATACAGGATATTTCCATCATCCTCAAAATATTCTATTTGCCCTTTAAATTCTTCCCCGCATTAATCCTTGCTCAATACAGCTGATCTGCTTCTTGTTGATATAAATTTATTTTCATTTTACATAAATAGAATTTTACAGATTGTGTTCTTTTGTAGACACTGGCTTCCTTCACCAGCATACTTGTTTTAAGATTCATCCGTGTTATTGGGTGTATCAGTACTTCATTCCTTTTTATCGCTGAATAGAATTCCATTATATGGATACACGAAATTGTGTTTATACATTCATTTATTTATAGAGATTTGGGTTGTTTCCAATTTTGGGGTATAGTAAATAAAGATACTATGTACACTTATGTATAGATTTTATGTGGACATATGTTTTCATTCCTCTTGGAAAAATACCTAAAAGGGAAATGGATAGATCAAATAGTATTTATATTGTTTAACTTTTTTAGGGAACAGACAGATTTACAACCAACCAGCACTATAAAAGAATTCTATTGCTCCACATTCTTACTAGCACTAGTTTTGTCAGTCTTTTTAATTTTAGCCATTCTACTTCATTTGGATTGTCTAATGATGTTCAATATTTTTTAAAATGTGCTTCGTGTATATTCATATATCTATTCCTTTAAGATGTCTGTTCGGATCTATTGCCTATTTTTCATTTGACCACTTGTCTTAATTCTGAGTTGTAAAGTTTGCTTATACATTTTGGATATAAATCCTATATCAGATAGATGCATTTGCAAATATTTTCTCTCATTCTATGACTTGCCTTATTGTTTATGTACTGGTGCCTATAGAAACAGTTTGAAATTTTGATAAAGATCAACTTAGCTTTTTGTTTTTTCTATGGTTAATCTTTTCTGTTCCTATGTTGTGTCAAAGGCTTTGAAGAGTTTAGAATTTTAATATTTCTTTTTTTTTTTTTTGAGACGGAGTCTCACCCTGTCACTCAGGCTGGAGTGTGGTGGCGTGATCTCCGCTCACTGCAACCTCCGCCCTGCAGGTTTAAGCAATTCTCTGTCTCAGCCTCCAGAATAGCTGGGATTACCGGCGCGTGCCACCACATCCGGCTAATTTTGTATTTTTTAGTAGAGATGGGGTTTCACCATCTTGGCCAGACTGGTCTTGAACTCCTGACCTCGTGATACACCCACCTCGGCCTCCCAAAGTGCTGGGATTACAGGCGTGAGCCACCAAACCTGGCCACGAATTTTAATATTTCTTAGCTTTTACGTTTAGATTTTTAAATTATTTCAAATTATGTATTGTGTTTGTTGTGTACTAAGGTTAGAGGTTCACTTTTTTTCTTTATGGATATCTAGTTATTCTAGCAATTTCTTAAAGATTTTCTGCTTGCCACTGAAATGCCTGCACCCTTTTGCCAAAAATCAGTTAATCATATGTGTCTGCATGTCTTTCTAGATTCTCTTCTATTCTGTTGATCTATATGTCTATTATTCTACCTATACCACATTCCACTGATTACTGAAGCTTCATAGGAAGACTTTATTTCAGGTGGTAGAATGATTCTATAATGTTTTAAAATTGCTTGCTATTCCAGGTCATTTGCATTTCTATACAAATTTTAAAATTGTTTTATTACTTACTAGTATTTATAAAACTAGAATTTTACATAAAAAACTAATACTTTGATTGAAATTGTATTGATTCTTAAAATAAATTTGGTGACAAATTAAATTTCTAAACACATTGAGTTTTCTAACCTACAACACGGCATAACCCTGCATTATTTGGGTCTGTAATTTTAGTCAGCAATGTTTTCAGTATTGTGGCCTTGCATGTCTTTTGTTAAGTTAGTTAAATTTATTCGTAAGTACTTTATGGCTCTAATATAAATGGAATTTTAGTAATTTCATTTCCAAATGTTTACTGCTATTATATAAAAAAGACAGCTGGCTTTTTAAATCTTAAACTTATCTCCTACGGCCTCAATAAATTCAGTGTTACCACATCCTTTCTTATCAGTATGCCAGATGTTTCTTGACTTAATGCGAATGGCTACAATCGTTAAGAACAACATTTAATGTAGAGGTTATAATGTAGACGCTCTTGCCTTTTTCCCAAGCTTAGGAGGAAAATGTACAATAGTTTAGATTTACATATGTTACTAGCCATATTTTTTGGTAGAGGTCCATTTTTAGATTGAAAAACTTTGCTTCTATTCTCAGTTTTCTTAGCCGTTTATTATAAATGAATGTTAAATTTTGCCAAATGCTTTTCTCTGCATCTATTGAGATGATCATATGGGTTTTCTCCTTTATTTTGTTAATACAGTGAATCATATGGATTGATTTTGAATGACAAACTAACCTTGCATTCCTGGAATAACTCTTGCTTGTCATGATGTATCAGTGTTTGTTTGAATATATGCTGGATTGAATTAGTTGAAGTTTGTTAAGGATTGTTCTATCTATGTTCAAAGAAGTATATTGGTCTATAATTTTGTTTTCTTATACATGTTTGTCTGATTTTGGTATCACAGTAATGTTGGCTTAAAAGAATGAGTTAGGAAGTGTTTCTATCTCCTCTATTTTCTGAAAGAGTTTTTTAATAGTAGTATTTTTTCCTTAAATATTTGGCAGAGTTTACCAATGAGGTCATCTCAGCCTGGAGTTTTATTTGTGAGAAGGTTTTGTGAATGTGTGTGTGTGTGTGTGTGTGTGTGTGTGTGTATTATCCTTGTTATTAATACAATTTATTTATTTGCAAGTTAATTTAATTTTTAATGATGGCTCTATTAAACAACCAGCTTGCAGAATTCCTAAAAATTTAACCATTAGTTCTGGTACAAACTACATGGTATAAACACACTCCTGGATCATGGTATCCTTACTTGATTGTTTCACTTTTTTAATACTTAAAGTTTTAAAAATTGATGTAGCTAGAAATATCAAAACCTTGTCTTTTCAGACTTTGGCAGTATATTAAAAAGGTCTCCTCTTGTTATTATATTATAATAATGTTTGCATTTTCTTAGAGCAGTCTTAAAATATTATATTTACATATCAAAATCTTTAATTTACCTGAAATTTATTTTTATGTAAAGTGTGAGGAAAGGGTCTAAATGTTCCTCTCAAATGCTAGCCTGTTGTCATAATGTCATTTATTTGAATAAACTGTGCTTCTACTTCACATTTATGACAAACAAAATTCTGATAAATACTTGAATCTGTTCTGTGAATTTCTGTTCTGTCCCATTGATTTTCTATTTTTTATGGTCAGTGTCACACTGTTCTAATTAGTAAATCTTAAAAATACATGTGTTTTTTTCATTTAGAGCATCTTTAACACTACTCTTTTAATTTTTGTTTCAGAGCTATTTGTGTATACTATCATTTCAAATGCATTACATAATCATTTTTGTAATGTCAAATAATCACATTAGGATTTTAAGTACTTTAAATTAAATGTTTTGCTTCATCACGATATTGAATCCTATCCAACAACATGATATTTTATATATTTATATGCTGATAGTTATATTGGCATATAATTCAAATTTAAGAATATTATTCAAATATTCTTAAATTTCATGTAGTTAAGGATTTTTTTGTATGTTTTCATTTTTGTTTGTTTGGATGCACCCATGAATGTGTTATGTCCTTCTATTTTCCCATTTTTTTAATTGTGGTAAAATAAACATAACATAAAATTGATTATCTGAACTATTTTTAAATTTACAGGTGAGTGGCATTTAATACATTCATATTGTTGTGCAATCATCACTACAATTCATCTCTAGAACTCTTTTCATCTTGTGAAACTAAAATTTTATACCCATTAAACATTAATGCTCCATTTCACCCTTCCCCACCCCCTGGTAACCATCGTTCTGCTTTCTTTCTGTATGACTTTCACTACTGTAAGTATCTCATTAAGAGTGAAATCATACAGTATTTGTCCATTTGTGACTGGTTTATTTTGCTTAGCATAATTTTCCAAGGTTTATCCATGTTGTAGCATATGTTGTGATTTCCTTCCCTTATAAGGCTGAGTAATATTTCATGAATGCATATACCACATTATGCTTCTCCATTAATCAGTGGGCATTTGAGTGGTTTCCATATTTTAGCTACTATGAATAATGCTTTAGTGAACATAATGTGCAACTATTTCCTTGAGACCCTGCTTACAATTCTAGGCACATACCCAGAAGTAAAACTGCAGGATAATACAGTAATTCTATTTTTTAATTTTTGTGGAACCTCAATAATGTTTTCTACAGTAGCTGTATCATTTTACATTCCAACCAAAAGTACATGAGAATTCCAATTACTTTGCATCTTAGAAAACACTTGCTATTTTTTTAAATAATGCTTATCCTAATGGCATGTCATTGTAGTTTTGATTTGCATTTTCCTATTTTCCTGATGATAAGTGATGTTACATATTTTTTTTTCATGTGCTTACTGGCCATTTATATATCTTCTTTGGGGAAATGTCAATTCATATCCTTTGCTTATTTCTAATCTGATTGTTTTCTTGTTGTTGAGTTTTAGGAGTTCTCTATGTATTCTAGATATTAATTATCAGATATATAATTTGCAGATATTTTCTCCCAGTTCCTTGGATTTGCCTTTTTACTCGGTTTATAGTGTCCTTCAGTAAACACTTTTTTAATGAAGTTCAATTTGTCTATTTTTTCCTCTTGTTGCCTATGTATTTGGTATAATATCTAAGAAATGATTACCAAATACACTGTCATTGAAGGTTTGTACCATGATATCTTACATCTGGGGCATGGATTCATTTTGAGTTAATTTTTGCATATGGTGTTATGTAACATCCAACTTCATTGTTTTTGCATGTGGATAGCTAGTTTTCCTAGCACGATTTGTTAAAAAGATTGTCCTTTTCCCATTGAATGGTCTTGGCATTCATCAACAATTATTTGACAAAATATGCAAGGGCTTATTTCTCCTTTTCCCATGCAATGGTCTTGGCATTCATCAACAATTATTTGACAACATATACAAGGGTTTATTTCTGGGGTCCTTATTCTATTCATTGGTCTCTGTGCCTGTCTTTAATGCCAGTACCACACTATTTTGGTTACTGCAGCTTTGTAATAAGTTTCAGAGTCAGAAAATATGAGTGATACAGCTTTGCTCTTTTCAAGATTGTTTTGACTATTCAGGATCCCTTAAGATTCCATATGAATTTTGGGATGGGTATTTCTATTTCTGCAAAAAAAAAAAAAAATCATTGGTATTTTCATAGAAATTGCGTTGACTCTGTAGATTGCCATGGGTAGTATTGACATCTTAAAAATATTAAGTCTTCTAATCTATGAGCATGGGATGCATTAATGCTTATTTATGTCTTTTTTATTTCTTGTTGTACAAGTTACTCACTTCCTTGGTTAAGTTATTTATTTATTTATTTATTTATTTATTTATTTATTTATTTAGAGGTGGAGTCTTGCTCTGTCGCCAGGCTGGAGTGCAGTGGCGAGATCTCTGCCCACTGCAACCTCTGCCTCCTGGATTCAAGTGATTCCCCTGCCTCAGCATCCTGAGTAACTGGGACTAGAGGTGCGTGCCACCGTGCCTAGCTAATTTTTTGTATTTTAGTAGAGACGGGGTTTCACCATGTTGGCCAGGATTGTTTCGATCTGACCTGGTGATCTGCCCACCTCTGCCTTCCAAAATGTGGGGATTACAGGCGTGAGCCACTGTGCCCGGCCAATTTTTAAGTAATTTTTACTTTTTGATGGTATTATAAATTATATTGTTTCCTTAATTTGATTTTCAGCTTGTTCACTGATATTGTATAGAAATGCTACTGATTTTTGTGTGTTTACTTTGTGATCTGCTTCTTTGCTGGATTCACTTATTCTAACTTTTGTGAAATCTTTAGATTTTCTACATATAAGATTGTTATCATCTGCAAAAATAGATAATATTACTTCTATTTTATTTTTTCAAATTTGAATGCCTTTTATTTTTTTTCTTGCCTAATTCCTCTGACTATAACTTCCAAGGCTTAGTTGAATAGAACTTAAGAGCATACATCCTTTCCTTGTTCCTGATCTTAGAGAAAAAAACTTTCAGCTTTTCACCATTGAGTATTAATTTGCTGATTTTGTATAGGTTACTTAGTTTGTTGGCACACAATTATTCATAGTATTCTCTTATGTCTTTTTTTTATTTCTGTGGAATCAAAAGTAACATCCCCACTTTTATGTCTGATCTTAGCAAGTCTTAGACAATCTAGCTAAAAGTTTGTCAGTGTCATTGATATTTTCAAAAAAACAACTTTTGCTTTAATTGAATTTTTTCTATTCTCTATTTAATTTATCTCTAATATTTGTCATTTCTTTCATTTACTAGCTTTGCATTTAGTTTGTTCTTAATTTTATAGTTCATTAAGTTGTAAAATTAGGTTGCTGAGTTAAGATCTTTCTTTTCGTTTAATGTAAACATTTATAACTATAAATTTCTTCATCAGTATTGCTTTAGTTGTGTTCTATAACTGTTGGCATATTGTGTTGTACTTTAATTTTCTGTTAGTGTTTTCTAATATTTCCCTTATAATTTTCTATTTGACCTATTCATTGTCTAAAAGTGTGTATTTTTAATTTTCACAGAATTTTGACATGCACCGTTTTTCTTTTATTATTGACTTTTAACTTTATCCTATTGTGGTTTTAGAAGATACAAAGTATCCATATGTTTAATGCCCCAAATTGTTTACTATTGTATTAAATATTCAATATCAATGGAATATAGATGAAATTATTTGTACAACAAAGTGGTTAAATATTGTGCAATTATTAAAATAATAAAAATCATATGCAAAGATGGTCACATATTCAATGAATCAAAATAATAATAGATATAAATAGAGGAATTAGAGCTGCAAAAATTATAAGTGCTTTTGGTAAATATTGTTGAGAAATTCACACACAAAAAAATTATAGCATGGTAATAGGATTATATTTAATTTGTTTTTATTTTGCTGAACATTTAAACAATTATTTTACAGTTTTATTTTACTGTTAAAAATTGTATATAGTTACAGCATATAATTGATACATAAGTATATTGTGAAATAACCATGACATTCAGATAATTACCATATCCATCTCCTCAAATAGTTTTTCTTTTCTTTTCTTTTTTTCTTTTTATAATGTCATGAGAACAATTAGGATCTGCCTTCTTGGCCAGGCGCGGTGGCTCGTGCCTGTAATCCCAGCACTTTGGGAGGCCAGGCGGGCGGATCACCTGTGGTCAGGATTTCGAGACCAGCCTGACCAACATGGTGAAACCCCATCTCTACTAAAAATACAAAAAATTAACCAAAAGCAGTGGCGCGTGCCTGTGGTCACAGCTGCTCGGGAGGCTGAAGCAGGAGAATTGCTTGGACTCGGGCGACGGAGGTTGCGGTGAGCCGAGATCGCGCCACTGCACTCCAGCGTGGGTGACAGAGTGAGACTTCGAGACTTCGACTCAAACAAAACAGAAATCTACCTTTTCAGCAAATTTCAAGTATATAATAAAGTATTGTTAACTACGGGCACTATGTTTTATATTAGATGTCCAGGAATTATTCGTCTAGCATAACTAAAACTTTATACCCCTTGACCAACGTCTCTCCATTTGCTTTCCCTCCAATTTCTGATATCCTTCATACTACTCTCTGCTTCTCTGCTATGAGTTTGAACTTTTTATATTCCACCTGAGAACATGCAGTATTTGTTTTTCTGCATTTGTCTTATTTCACTTAACGTAATGTCCTCCAGGTTCATCTATGTTGTTGCAAACAGCAGAATTCCCTTTGTTTTTAAAGCTGAATAATTTTCAATTGTGTATATACACATTTTTGTTATCCATTCATCTGTTGACATAAAATATTAATCTTTTAAAATCTATTGAAATTTAATTTGTGGCCTAACATATGGCCCTATGCCATATGTTGGAAAATGCTCCAATGCACTTGAAAATAATGTGTATTTGGTTGTTGCTTGGAAGAACGTTCTGTACATGTCTGTTATTTTTAATTGATTTATAATGTCATTTCAATGTTCTATTTCCTTACTTATCACCTGGCTGGTAGTTCTATTTATTATTGGTTGTGGAATATTGAAGTCTTTAACTATTATTGTATAACTCTCTATTTGCCGTCTAATTCTGTCAGTTTTCAGATTTCATATTTTGATGTTCTATTAATACGTATGTAAATATTTTTGATATTTCTTCTTCCTACATTGAATCCTTTATTAATATATAACATCCTTCTTTGACTCTTTTAACTATTTTGTTTTAAAGTCTATTTTGCTTTGGGGACTACAAATGATGGAACAGTAGCAGGGGGATGAAGGTTGAAAAATTACCTATTGGGTACAGTGTTCACTATTTAGGTGATGGGTACACTAAAAGCCCAGACTTCTGATAATGCAGTTTAGGAGTGTTAGAAATCTTACTTGTACCTACTTAATATAGAAAAAAATAAACCCTTTCAGCTTTGGTTTTACCATTTTTAAAATGAAAAAATTAAAATGAAAATAAACTCAATTTTATTTGATGTTAATATAGCTGCCCATACTCTGTTTCTGTTTGCATTAACAATCTTTTGCTGTCTGTTAACTTCAATCTATTTGTGCCTTTGAATCTAAAGTGAGTCTTTTGCAGACAGCATATATTGGAATCATTTTTTAAAATCCTCTCCACCAATCTCTTTAATTGGAGAGTTTAATCCATTTACATTTAAAGTAATTACTGATACAGAGGAACTTATTTCAGTCATTTTGTTAATTGGTTTCTTCATTCCTTACAGCTTTTTTTCTCTCACTTTCTGCATTACTCTTTTCATATGTGTTTAATTGATTTTTTTGTAGTCAAGCATTTAAATTACTTCCTTATTTGCTTTTGTGTATATCATATAGTTAATTCTTTCTGTGATTATCATAGAGATTATATATAACATTCTAAAGTTATAATACTCGAATTTAAATTTATAACAGCTTAACTTCAATCACATACAAAAACTGCTCTTTTATAGCTCCATATCTACCCCCTTTGGTTGTCTGAGTCTCCAAATTGCATCTTTGTACATTGTGTGCCCAAATGGTTGCTTAAATTGTGTTAAAACAAAATATGAAGTTAAAAAACCAAAGTTACAATAATACTAGTGTTTTTTGGTAATAATTTTGCTTGTTTAAAATTCATTAGCCTCTTGACCGAGGGCGGTGGCTCACGCCTGTAATCCCAGCACTTTGGGAGGCCAAGGCAGGCATATCATGACCAGCCTGGCCAATATGGTGAAACCCCCATCTCTACTAAAAAAAATACAAAAATCAGCTGGGTGTGGTGGCATGCACCTGTAGTCCCAGCTACTCGGGAAGCTGAGGCAGAAGAATCCCTTGAAATCAGGAGGCGGAGATTGCAGTGAGCCGAGATTGTGCCACTGCACTCCAGCCTGGGTGACACAGCGAAACCCTATCTCAAAAAAAATAAAATAAAATAAAATAAAATAAAATTCATTAACCTCTGAAATCAGGTTGAAAACAAAAGGTGTAGTTACAAACTTTTGTTACGATAACATTAGCTTTGATAATTGTTCTTTTTTTTACCTTTATTGAAATCTTTATTTCTACATACAGCTTTGAGTTACTGTCTAGTTCCCTTTTATTTCATCTTGCAGAGTGCCTGGAAGATTTCTTGCAGGTCAGATCGAATGGTGATAAACTGCCTCTGCTTTTATTTATATGGAAATGTCTTAGTTTCTCATTCTATTTTGAATGACACTTGCTGGATATAGAATTATTGGTTAACAGTTTTTTTTTTCTTTTAGTGGTTGGTGAGATTGTGGAGAAAAGGCAACACTTACACACTGTTAGTAGGAATGTAAATTAGTTCAACCACTGTAGAAAGCAGTTTGGAGATTTCCCAAAGAATGTAAAACATTACTACCATTTGACTCAGATATCCCATTCCTGGGTATACCCTCATAGGAAAATATATCATTCTACCAAAAGGACACATGTACTTGTATGTTTATTGCAGCACAATTCACCATAACAAAAACATGGAATCAACCTCAGTTCCCATTAGTGATGGACTGGATAAAGAATGTGGTATGTACATATCATGGAATACTACGTAGCCATAGTAATGAATGAAATTATGTCCTTTGCCACAACATGAATGCAGCTGAAGGCCATTATCCTAAGTAACTAATGCAGAAACAGAAAACCAAATACTGCATGTTCTCACTTATAAGGGGGAGCCAAACAGTGGATGCACAAGGACATAAAGATAAACACAACAATCATTGGGAACTCCAAAACATAAATAGAGGGAAGGAAGTAAGGCTTGAACAACTTTTCACTGGGTGCTGTGTTCACTATTTGAGTGACAGGATCTAAGGAAGCCCAAACCTCAGCATCATGCAATATAACTGTGTAATAAACCTGCATATGTACAACTGAATCTAAAATTAAAATACAAATAAAGTTAGTTGAAAATGATTTTTAAATCTTCTATGTCTGATATGGTTTGTGTCTGTGTCCCCACCCAAATCTCATGTTGAATTGTGATCCCTAGTATTGGAGAAGGGGCCTGGTGGGAGATGATTGGATCATGGGGCTGATTTCTAATGGTTTAGTACCATCCCCCTATAGTGTCTTGTGATAGAGTTTTCATGAGATCTGGTTGATTGAAAGCGTGTGGCTCTTCCCCCTTCACTCTGTCTCTCCTGCTCTGACATGTAAAGATGTGTTTGCTTCCCTGTCACCTTCTGCCATGATTGTAAGTTTTCTGAGGCCTCCCCAGCCATGCTGCCCGTACAGCCTGTGGAACTATGAGTGAATTAAACCTCTTTTTTAAACACATAAATTACTCAGTCTCTGGAAGTTCTTTATGGCAGTGTGAGATGAACTAATATTAATACAATATCTTCTTGCTTTGTTGTGTTTCTCTAATTGCTGAGTGAAGGGTATTAACACCTACTTCTGTAATTGTGGAGTTGTTTTCACTTTTAATTCTCTCAAGTTTTTAAGATTTATTTCAATGTTCTATAATAAGGTGCATACTTATTCATAATGTTTTGTTTTATTGATACAACTTACCCTTTAATATTTTGAAGTTATTCTCATTATCTTCAGCAATACTCTGTATTGAAGTGCCTCTCATCTGATATTTACATAGCATCTTGGGCTTTCTTATGCTTACTCTTTGAATGATACATCTATTTTTTGTCTTGTTACTTTTAATCTATATCTGTCTTTATATTTAAAATAGTTTCCTTGAAGTTAGGTCTTGCTTATTTTATCTATTTTGATTATCTCTGATTTTTAATTATAGTATACTGCCTTAATATTTAATATAATGATTGCTATTACAGATTTAGGTTATGCATTGTTGTTTGCTTGGGCATTGCTATGGTTTGAATGTTTGTGTCCCCTCCAAAATTTATGTTGAAATTGAATACCCATTTCAACAGCGTTAAGAGATGAGACTTTTAGGAAGTATTAATAATTAGATTTTTGCCTTATAAAAAAAAACTGGAGGCTATTTTTGCCTTATGGCCTTTCGTCATGTGAGGAGCCATCTTAAAAAGCAGAGATAGGAGCCATCTTGGAAGCAGAGGCAAGACCCACACCAGACATAAACTTGCAGGTGCAGTGATTTTGTGTTTCTGACCTCCAAAACTGTGAGAACTGTCTTTAGCCAAAATAATTTATTTTAGCATTTTTTGTAGTGTAGACCTGGTGGCGACACATTTTTTCAGTTTTTCTTTATCTAAAATTTTTTTTACTTCATCTTAATTTTTGGTGAATTTATTTGGTGGATATAGAAACCTGAGTTTACTTGTTTATTTTGTTTTGTTTTATTTTTTCTCCAGTAATTTAAATGTCAGCACTGTCTTCTGATATGCAAAGTTTATTTTTAAAAAGTCTACAGTTCCTTGAATTATTGTTCCCTAGTGCTTACTGTATTATGTTTTCTCTGGCTGCTTTAAAGATTTTCTCTTCATATTTGGCTGTCAGTGGTTTGATCATGATGTGACCAGTAGTTTCATTTAAATTTAACCTTTGGTGTTCCCTGGCCTCTGTAATCTGTAAATATGTCTTTCACCAGATTTGAGAACTTTGGTTATTATTTCTTCATATATTTTTCCTGCCTTATTTCTTTCTTCCTCTCCATCTAAGACTTTGATTGTATGTTAGGCCTTTTGAAATTGCCCCACATGTTCTCAGAATTGTTCCTTTTGTAAAACTGTTTTATCTACTTCTTTAGATGAAATAATTTGTAATGGTTTATCTTCAAAGTTTACTGACTTTCTTACTATCTCTAATGTGCTGTGATATGGTTTGGGTCTGTGCCCCTACCCAAATCTCATGTTCAATTGTAATCCCCAGTGTTGCAGGTGGGGCCTGGTGGGAGGTCACTGGATCATGGGGCTGGATCCTTCATAAATGGTTTAGCACCATCACTTTGGTGCTGCTCTCATGACAGAATTATCATGAAATCCGGTTGTTTAAAAATGTGTGGCACCCCACCATCTCTCTCTTCCTCCTGCTCCAGCCAGGTAAGATGAACCTTCTTCCCCTTTGCCTTCCACCATGATTGTACGTTTTCTGAGGCCTCCCCAGCTATGCTTCCTATACAGCCTGTAAAAGTATGAGCCAATTAAACCTCTTTTTAAAAAATAAGTTACCCAGTCTCAGGTATTTCTTTACAGCAGTGCACGAACAGACTAACACATGCTGCTAACTCAGTGTTATAAATTTTTATTTCAGATAAATTGCCCCTTTTATTCTTGTTCATGCATTATCTTTCTCTTTATATGCTGAGATTCTCTTTTATTTCATTATGAGTATACTTTCTTTTTCTTCATTGACAAACCAAAAAAATATTTTGTTTAAAGTTCCAGTCTGATAATTCCAGGTTCTGGGTTATTTTGGGTTTGGCATCTGCTGATTTTCTTTCTCTTTGACATTTGACCACATTTTCCTAGCTCTTCATATGTTTTGCAGTTTTAGATTTTATCCTGGACATTTTTGATATTATGTTGTGTAGACCCTGGATCCTGTTATATTGTTCCAAATAGTGTTGATACTTTTTTTATTATTTTTAGCAAGGTATTACCTGCATTGGACTAATTCTGAGACCATTAAGCTTGCAGTGGGCAATGGTTTAGTTCTGAGTTGAGCCAACCTGGTTTTATTTTTTTAAAAAAAACAGTGTGATTCAGGAGCAGTCCAGAGATTGAGTTTATGCCCAAATTTAGTGGTCTCCTTCTCTGGCACCCACATTTTGGGATTTTCCCCTGATTTTCCAATTGCCCTGTTTGTCCTGGATCCTCTTCTCTTGGTTACTCCAGACAGAATAATGACATGTTTTTCTATTAGAATTTCAGGATCTATGACTACAATCACATATATGCAGTAAAAACCAGAAAGTCTCTCCATGCATATCACTTGCTTCAAGTTTCAGTTGACCTTCAGAAGCTACCTGGTATTTATCAGCCTCCTAGGCTTGTCAGGTAGTTGTCATTTGTGTTTTTCTCCCCACAGTTTGTAGCTATTAGTGGAAAAACAAGTTTTATAGTCACTCATTTCTCAATTTCGAAAGTGGACATTCTAATAATTAATCTTAAATTTGTGTTTTGCATGATACATTCTTTCATTTTGCCTTCTGTTTGTTTTGAATTATTCTTGCATAGATGCCTTGTCATTACTTTTTATTTTGCTAATGATTTTCATTAAGACATTCTTTTTTGTGACCCAGTGTGGGTGATATTTTTTTGACTCATTCTCATCTTTGTATACACCTGTTCTCTTTTGGATCAAGCTTCAGTTTGGAGGCTGATGCTGTATAACAATTGTTAATACTATGTGCTAGGCATCGGGCTATGAATGCTTTCTATGTGCAGTATTTTACAATGTTCACAAAACTTTATAGTTACATGATTTCTCAATTTAAATCATAGGAAAATCAAGACTTACAGTGGATACATAACCTGCCCATGTTGATAGAGTCAGTATGTGGTAGAAATACATCAAAGTTTAGTAAGAGTTTTCAACACCATGAAATTATCCAGCTTCCCACCTGTCTTGATTACTTTCATTTGTGTATGCTGAGGAAAAGAGAGGCTATATTAGTTTCATATTGTTGTCATAACTAATTACCACAAATTGGGTGGATCAAACAATGCAAATTTATTTTCTTACCATTCTGAGTTCAAAAGTCTTTCATGGCTCTTATCCATTCAAAAGTCCTTCATGGATTCCTGAATCAAGGTGTTGGTAGGGCTGTGTTCCTTTAGGGAGTGTTTAGAAGAGAATCCATTTAACCTGTCTTTCTGGCTTGTACAAGTTGTCTGTATTTCTTTTGATACATGGCCTCCTGATTCCATCTTTAAAGCCTTCTCTGGCCCTGCTTTTATAGTCATATATTTTTTCAGACTCTCTTCTTCATCTTTCCTTTCACTTTTAAGGATTCTTGTGATTAAACCGGGTCTATCTTGATAATCCAAAATTATCTCCTTACCTTAAGGTGAACTGATTATCAACCTAAATCTCACATGTAACTTTATTTTTCCTTTTCCATGTAAACTAATATATTCCCAGGTTCCAAGAATTCACACTTGGATATCTTTGGGAGAGCCATTAATTATTAGCCTACTACAGAGCCTAAGAGCAGAGCTCGATAAGATCTTAGGTCTGAAGTCTCTTGTATTAGGTCAACTGGGGAGAGTGGTCCCAGAATTCATCCTCCTTTACATATTATGAGTAAAAATCCTGAAGAAGGGTTAATCCACTTCAACATAATTATACCTATTACAATGAAGGAAAACTTGGGCTTCACTAACTCAAGGAGGATGTCTTCACTGCAGAGAGAAACAATGAGCTACAATATTCACATGCTCACATTCATTGACCTCTCTCTGACACTTATCTCGACATCACCCCTAGCCAGTGGAGGGAGCAGTTAGATCATACCAACACATTTTATCCCAGTTTATTGGTTTTCAGAGAACTTCTTACTGGTGTTTCCCTCTCAATTAGAAAATCATATTATTTTGTGCAACATTTTACCATCTATATTTATTGCTGGGTATAATGGGCACTGGCAATAATGATCATTCTCCTGAGCTATCCAGAAATCCTTTATTTTTTTCCTTTTATGTTTCTCTGAAAAAAAGAAAGAGACTGAAATTCTTGTAGAAAAACTTCTTCTACTCACTTTACACATCCTCAAGTATGATTATTTTCAGACTGGTGTGTATTAGCAGATTTTTTTTTTTTTTTTTTTTTGAGACAGAGTCTCTCTGTCGCCCAGGCTGGAGTGCAGTGGCGCGATCTTGGCTCACTGCAAGCTCCGCCTCCCGGATTCACGCCATTCTCCTGACTCAGCCTCCGGAATAGGTGGGACCACAGGTGCCCGCCACCATGCCCAGCTAATTTTTTGTATTTTTAGTAGAGATGGCGTTTCACCATGTTAGCCAGCATGGTCTCGATCTCCTGACCTTGTGATCCACCCTCCTCGGCCTCCCAAAGTGCTGGGATTACAGGCGTGAGCCACCGCGCCCGGCCTATTAGCGGAAATTGTAAGGATTTAACCTCTCACTTTTCCCTAAATACTAGCTAATTTTCTTACAATGATGAGGGATTTGGATTAGAAAGTGTAGGAAACCAAGCTGAAACAGAGTAAGTATCACAGGTTACAAAATTATATTGGGTACTTTCTTTGGTTTAAGTATTACTATTAATAATCGCCTCATTGAGCTTATCATGTTATTCATTCCATTGGGTTCTCAAGTATAGAGCTTTTATCCTTTGGCCTTATTCTACCTTCTGATGTTGAAAAAGTTATATGCATGTGTACATGTATGTAAATACATACATACCTGTATATAGTACATAGTATATACATGTGAAAGATTCTACTTAGAGTCAACCACGTTAATATATTTAAAATAAAAGACTTTTTATTCACATTCTTATACGTTTGGTATGTTTGCTTTGTATGTACATGTTTTTACTTTACTGAAATTAAGCCATGTTGTACATTTCATACTAATTATTATTTTATTATTCAAATGTTACATTTTTTAAATGGTCCATCTATGTTTTCATGATTTTATAATTTTCATAATTACATTTAGTCCATTGATTCCAACAGCTTCATTATTCTACCACCACGACCAAGACCCATTTCTTACATAACCCTCTGGTGATGGAAAGAAGATTGGTTGCCTCCATATCCCTGATGTCAAATATGATGCTGCTGTGAACATTCTGTCACATATCTTCTCAGTAATGTGTTTGAGAATTTGCTTGAGTCTGTACTCAGGATCAGAATTTCTGAGTTAAATGGTACATGTATATTTTATTTGACTACATTCCAAAAGCTTGCTCTGCAGAATAGTTAATTAGATCTCCATCCCCAACACTGCATGAAGGCTTATATATTCCACATCGCTGTAAACAAGAGACATAGTTATAGGAAATGTCTAAACAAAAGGTAACTACTTTAAAACACCAAGAATATTTGATTCAAAAATGTAGATTATTGAATTCACAATTTTTAAAATGTATCATAATAAATACTTGAAAAAATCTTATAAGTGTAAAACTCAGAGTAAATGCAAGTTAACATATTAGTTTCAGACAGTTCAAAATACAGAATTTATTATCAGTATTGAAGGATAAACTTAATTGTTTAGGTTTGAATGTCTGGTGTAGAGGAATGGAAAAATATGGTCAAGATGACATAGAAAATATCCTAGAAGAGTTATAGTATGAGCAAAGTCAAATATTTTTATGACACTAATAATTATTTAAAGTTATCCTGCTTAACTGCATTCCATTCTGTGAATCAAATTGCCTTATCTTTGTCTTAAAAAAGTTATATTTTCTGTGAATGTTTATAACAACGTTTGATAGTTATTTTCTTTGCTTAGTCTCTTGGATAAATCAAAGTTTGTATCAGTCTATAATTTATTCTAGGAAATTACCTAATAAAATATAGAGGGTTTTTAAATAATAGTGACAATAATTCAAAAGTGTTTTGACAAAATGAAAAATAATAAAATAAATACTTAGCATTTTAAGTAGTTTTGGGACAAACTGAACAGTAATGGATTTATTGAACACATCAATCTGTAAAACAGGTAGACCTTCACTTGATAAAATTGGCTTAACTTTAATAATTTTGATTCTAAAAAAAATCCAGCTCTGCAAGTCTCTGACTGTAAATTAAGAGAAATTTGATTGATCTCAGAAATATAATACTTTTTTTGTTTAATAAAAGTTTTTTGGTTTAGTGTAAAATGAAGGAATCAGACAATATGGCTACAGTTGGTTAAGTCAGAAATAAAGATGCAATATTTTTAATTACTATATATCCCAAAAAGCATATGAATATGAAATATATTTACACAGTAAATAAAATATACCATTGTTAATATTCCAATAAATATTTTGACTTATAGGAAAATGGGTTATTGTGAAATTTAGAGCTACAACTGAGACATTGCCATAACGCCTTGCTACTGATCCTCTACTGGATAGTTGAGGCTTAAAGGCATATTCTCCACAAAGTCTCCAGGGATGGAAGTACCTCAAGATTTTTAGGTTTGCTTTTACCTAACTATTCCTCACAGAATACGTACCTGCCAACATTAATAAGCTTTCTCTTCTGACCAGCACAGCTATTCTCACTGATTCTGCTCTTTGAAAGGGCTCAAGTGACTTGGGGGCTGAATAGTGACAGAAGTCTCTTTGGGTATAACTTGACCAAATAGTACTTAATGGTAGCTGAGGAACATTCGCATGTGCTCAGTTTATATCATGTTTTCAGAAAAGTTAAGCCACAGTTTTGTTCTCTGTACAAAATACTGAATATGTGGTATTTTAAAAAATATATTCTTTCATAGTGAGAAGCTCCACAGTGTTCTTTTGTAAAAGATTTTCTTTTGAGAAATGTTTTAGGTTCACAGCAAAATTAAAAAGAAGGCACAAACATTTCCTCTGTAACCTCTCCCCATACACATGCATAGCCTCCCACGTTATCAACATCTCCCACCAGAGTAATATATTTGTTACCATTGATAAACCTATATTGACACTTCACCATCACCCAAAATGTATAGTTTACTTAGGGCTCTCTTTTGCTGTTTTATATTCTACAGGTTTGTAGGAATGTATAATGGCATTGTTTCATCATTATAGTATCATACAGAGTATTTTCATTTTTCTAAAAATTCTCTCTGCTTCACCTATTCATATCATCTCCTCACTCTAACCCCTGGAAGCCACTGATCTTTTTACATTCTCTGTAGTTTTGCTTTTTCCAGGTTATGGTATGGATGGAATCATATAGCCTTTTCAGATTTGGTTTGCCGGTATTCACAAAATTACATGCTGGGATTTTGATTGAGAGTGTATCATATCTATAGAACAAGTTGGGAGGAACTGGTATCTGAATAATTTTAAGACTTCTTACCCATAAACATGGAATATCTCTTTATTTAGTTCTTCTATGATTTAATCATCAGAATTGTGTAGTTTTTCTCATATAGATCTTGAACATGTTCTGTTAGATTTTACCTAAGTATTTTTTTGAATGCTAATTTAAGCGGTATTGTGTTTTTAATTTTAATTTCCACTTGTTAACTGCTGGTATATGTGAAAGCAATAGACTTTTATGTATTACCCTTGTATTCTACAACTTTACTATAATTGCTTATTAGTTCCACAAGTTTCGCGGTCATTGTTGATTCTTTCAGATTTTCTTCATAGATGTTCATGTTATCTGTGAACAAAGACAGTGTTACTGCTTACTTCCCAATCTGTGTATCCTTTTTTTTTTTCTGGTCTGATTGCATTAGCTAGAACTTCCATTATGATGTTGAAAGAGTAGTTAAGAGTGGACATTTTTTCCATACCTAATCTTAATGCAAAAGATTTGAATTTCTCACAATTATGTGTCATGTTACTTGTATGTTTCCTGTACATGTTCTTTATCAAGTTGAGAAAGTTTCCTTCTATTCTTAGTTTACTGAGAGTTGGGTTTTTTTTTAATCATGAGTGGGAGTTGTGTTTTGCCAAATGCTTTTTCTGCATCAATTGGTATGATCATATGATTTTTTTTAGATGTTAATGTGATGGATTATATTAATAGATTTTGGAATGTTGAATCAGTTTTGCATAGGGATAAATCCCACTGGATTTGGTGTATAATTCTTTCTCAACATTGGATTTGATTGCTAGTATTTTGTTGAGAATTTTTTTGTTTTGATATAGGGTCTCACTCTGTTACCCAGACTGGAGTGCAGTGGTGAGATCACAGCTCACTGCATCCTTGACCTTTCAGGCTCAGGAGATCCACCCTCCTCAGCCCCAACAAGTATCTGGGACTTTGGGCATGTACCACAATGCCTAGCCATTTTAAAAAAAATTGTGTAGTGGTAGAGTCTTACAATATTGCCCAGGCAATTGCCCACTCCTGGGCTCAAGAGTGCTGAGGAGTTTTGCATCTATGTTTATGTATCTACATCTATTTAGCTGTAGTTTTTGTAAATTCGTTGGTTTTGTTATTAGAAAACAGTCCCTTTGCTGCTATCCTCTAAAAGAGACTGTAGAAGATTGATATAATTTCTTCCTTAACTGTTTGGTAAAATTTATTATTAAACCCATCTGGGCCTGGTGGTTTTTGTTTGGGAAGTTATTAACTATGGATTCAATGTCTTTAATAGATGTAAGTCTGTTCAAAGTTGTCAATTTCTCCTTGTGTGAGTTTTGGTAGCTTATGTCTTTTAAGGAATTGATCCGTTTTATCGAAGTTATGAAATTTATGGGTGAAGAGTTCCTAATAGCATGCATTTATGATCCTTTTAATGTCCATACGATCTATTGTAATGTCACCATTTTCATTTCTGATATCAGCAATTTTTATTCTCTCTTATTTTAATCTTACCAAAGACTAGTCAATGTTTTTTTATCTTTTAAATACCAGTTGTTTTTATTGATCATTAATTTCCTGTTTTCAATTTTATTTCTTCTCTGTTTTTTCTTATTTTTCTTATACTTACTTTGTGTTTAATTTGCTCTTCTTTTTTCTAGTTTACTATGGTAGGAATTTATATTATTGACTTTAGATCTTTTCTTCTAAGCATGATTTTTGCTGGATCCTACAAATTTTACTAAGTTGTGTCATATTTTCACTTAGTAAATATTTTAAACTTCTCTTGACATTTCTTTGACTTATGTCTTATTTAAAAGTGTGTTCTTTGTTTAACCTCCACATATTTTGCAATTTTTCAGTTAGCTTTCTGTTATTGATTTCTAGTTTAATTTATTTGTAGTCTGAATATAGGTATTGCTTGATTTCTACTCTTTTAATTTTGGTAAAGTTTGTTTTATGGCCCAGCATGTAGTCTACCTTCATGAATGATTCATGCAAGCTTGAGAAGAATGTGTATTCTGCTATTGTTGGATGAAGTAATCTATAGATGTTCATTATAGATTACTGTCTATAATGTCTAGTTGATTGATGGTGTTGTTGAGTTTAATTATGAACTCATTGAAATTCTGCTTGCCAGATCTGCCCATTTTTGATGAAGTCATATCGAAGTCCCCAAGTATATTAGTGGATTCATCTATTTCTCCTTGAAGTTCTATCAATTTTTGCCTCACACAGTTTCATGCTCTGTTGTTAGGCACATACACATTAAGTCATTATATAATGCCCTTTTTTATCTGTGATAAGTTTCCTTTCTTTGAAGTCAGCTCTATTTGAAAATAATATAGCTACTCTGTTTTTTTATATATATATTTTTTATTATACTTTAAGTTCTAGGGTACATGTGCACAACGTGCAGGTTTGTTACATATGTATACATGAGGCATGTTGGTGTGCTGCACCCATTAACTCATCATTTACATTAGGTATATCTCCTAATGCTATCCCTCCCCTCTTCCCCCACCCCACAACAGGCCCTGGTGTGTGATGTTCCAATTCCTGTATCCAAGTGTTTTCATTGTTCAATTCCCATCTATGAGTGAGAACATGCAGTGTTTGGTTTTTTGTCCTTGTGATAGTTTGCTGAGAATGATGGTTTCCAGCTTCATCCATATCCCTACAAAGGACATGAACTCATCCTTTTTTATGGCTGCATAGTATTCCATGGTGTATATGTGCCACATTTTCTTAATCCAGTCTATCGTTGTTGGACATGTGGGTTGGTTCCAAGTCTTTGCTATTGTGAGTAGTGCCACAATAAACATACGTGTGCATGTGTCTTTATAGCAGCATGATTTATATTCCTTTGGGTTTATACCCAGTAATGGGATGGCTGGGTCAAATGGTATTTCTAGTTCTAGATCCCTGAGGAATCGCCACACTGTCTTCCACAATGGTTGAACTAGTTTACAGTCCCACCAACAGTATAAAAGTGTTCCTATTTCTCCACATCCTCTCCAGCACCTGTTGTTTCCTGACTTTTTAATGATTGCCATTCTAACTGGCATGAGATGGTATCTCATTGTGGTTTTGATTTGCATTTCTCTGATGGCCAGTGATGATGAGAATTTTTTCATATGTCTGTTGGCTGCATAAATGTCTTCTTTTGAGAAGTGTCTGTTCATATCCTTTGCCCACTTTTTGATGGGGTTGTTGTTTTTTTCTTGTAAATTTGTTTGAGTTCATTGTAGATTCTGGATATTAGCCCTTTGTCAGATGAGTAGGTTGCGAAAATTTTCTCCCATTCTGTAGGTTGCCTGTTCAGTCTGATGGTAGTTTCTTTTGCTATGGAGAAGCTCGGTAGTTTAATTAGATCCCATTTGTCAATTTTGGTTTTTGTTGCCATTGCTTTTGGTGTTTTAGACATGAAGTCCTCGCCCATGCCTATGTCCTGAATGGTATTGCCTAGGATTTCTTCTAGGGTTTTCATGGTTTTTGGTTTAAGTCTTTAATCCATCTTGAATTAATTTTTGTAAAAGGTGTAAGGAAGGGATCCAGTTTCAGCTTTCTACATACGGCTAGCCAGTTTTCCCAGCACCATTTGTTAAATAGGGAATCCTTTCCCCATTGCTTGTTTTTGTCAGGTTTGTCAAAGATCAGATAGTTGTAGATGTGTGATATTATTTCTGAGGGCTCTGTTCTGTTCCATTGGTCTATATCTCTGTTTTGGTACCAGTACCATGCCGTTTTGGTTACTGTAGCCTTGTAGTATAGTTTGAAGTCAGGTAGCATGATGCCTCCAGCTTTCGTCTTTTGGCTTAGGATTGACTTGGCAATGCGGGCTCTTTTTTGGTTCCATATGAACTTTAAAGTAGTTTTTTCCAATTCTGTGAAAAAAGTCATTGGTAGCTTGATGGGGATGGCATTGCATCTATAAATTACCTTGGGCAGTATGGCCATTTTCATGATATTGATTCTTCCTATCCATGAGCATGGAATGTTCTTCCATTTATTTGTGTCATCTTTTGTTTCATTGAGCAGTGGTTTGTAGTTCTCCTTGAAGAGGTCCTTCACATTCCTTGTAAGTTGGATTCCTAGGTATTTTATTCTCTTTGAAGCAATTGTGAATGGGAGTTCACTCATGATTTGACTGTTTGTTTGTTATTGGTGTATAAGAATGCGTGTGATTTTTACACATTGATTTTGTATCCTGAGACTTTGCTGAAGTTGCTTATCAGCTTAAGGAGATTTTGGGCTGAGACAATGGGGTTTTCTAGTGATACAATCATGTCATCTGCAAACAGGGATAATTTGACTTCCTCTTTTCCTAATTGAACACCCTTTATTTCTTTCTCCTGCCTGATTGCCCTGGCCAGAACTTCCAACACTATATTGAATAAGAGTGGGGAGAGAGGGCATCCCTGTCTCGTGCCAGTTTTCAAAAGGAATGCTTCCAGTTTTTGCCCATCAGAATGATATTGGCTGTGGGTTTGTCATAAATAGCTCTTATTATTTTGAAATATGTCCCATCAATACCTAATTTATTGAGAGTTTTTAGCATGAAGGGCTGTTGTAATTTTGTGGAAGGCCTTTTCTGCATCTATTGAGATAATCATGTGGTTTTTGTCTTTGGTTCTCTTTATATGCTGGATTACGTTCACTGATTTGTGTATGTTGAACCAGCCCTGCATCCCAGGGATGAAGCCCACTTGATCATGGTGGATAAGCTTTTTGATGCACTGCTGGATGCGGTTTGCCAATATTTTATTGAGGATTTTTGTGTCAATGTAAATCAGAGATATTGGTCTAAAATTCTCTTTGTCTGTTGTGTCTCTGCCAGGCTTTGGTATCAGGATGATGCTGGTCTCATAAAATGAGTTAGGGAGGATTCCCTCTTTTTCTAATGATTGGAATCGTTTCAGAAGCAACGGCACCAGCTCCTCTTTGTACCTCTGGTAGAATTCGGCTGTGAATCCATCTGGTCCTGGACTTTTTTTGGTTGGTAGGCTATTAATTATTGCCTCAATTTCAGAGCCTGTTACTGGTCTTTTCAGAGATTCAACTTCTTCCTGGTTTAGTCTTGGGAGGGTGTATCTGTCCAGGAATTTATCCATTTCTTCTAGATTTTCTAGTTTATTTGCATGGAGGTGTTTATAGTATTCTCTGATGGTAGTTTGTATTTCTGTGGGATTGGTGGTGATATCCCCTTTATCATTTTTTTATTGCATCTATTTTATTCTTCTCTCTTTTCTTCTTTGTTAGTCTTGCTAGTCATCTATCGATTTTGTTGATCTTTTCAAAAAACCAGCTCCTGGATTCATTGATTTTTTGATGGGTTTTTTGTGTCTCTATCTCCTTCAGTTCTGCTCTGATCTTAGTTATTTCTTGCCTTCTGCTAGCTTTTGAATGTGTTTGCTTTTGCTTCTCTAGTTCTTTTAATTGTGATGTTAGGGTGTCAATTTTAGATCTTTCCTGCTTTCTCTTGTGGGCATTTAGTGCTATAAATTTCCCACTACACACTGCTTTGAATGTGTCCCAGAGATTCTGGTATGTTGTGTCTTTGTTCTCGTTGGTTTCAAAGAACATCTTTATTTCTGCCTTCATTTCATTATGTACCCAGTAGTCATTCAGGAGCAGGTTGTTCAGTTTCCATGTAGTTGAGTGTTTTTGAGTGAGTTTGTTAATCCTGAGTTCTAGTTTGATTGCACTGTGGTCTGACAGACAGTTTGTTATAATTTCTGTTCTTTTACATTTGCTGAGGAGTGCTTTACTTCCAACTATGTGGTCAATTTTGGAATAAGTGCGGTGTGTTGCTAAGAAGAATGTATATTCTGTTGATTTGGGGTGGAGGGTTCTGTAGATGTCTATTAGGTCCACTTGGTGCAGAGCTGAGTTCAGTTCCTGGGTATCCTTGTTAACTTTCTGTCTCGTTGATCTGTCTAATGTTGACAGTGGGGTGTTAAAGTCTCCCATTAGTATTGTGTGGGAGTCTAAGTCTCTTTGTAGGTCTCTAAGGACTTGCTTTATGAATCTGGGTGCTCCTGTATTGGGTGCATATATATTTAGGATAGTTAGCTCTTCTTGTTGAATTGATCCCTTTACCATTATGTAATGGCCTTTTTTGTCTCTTTTGATCTTTGTTCATTTAAAGTCCGTTTTATCAGAGACTAGGATTGCAACCCCTGCCTTTTTTTTGTTTTCCATCTGCTTGGTAGATCTTCCTCCATTCCTTTATTTTGAGCCTATGTGTGTCTCTGCACGTGAGATGGGTTTCCTGAATACAGCACACTGATGGGTCTTGACTCTTTATCCAATTTGCCAGTCTATGTCTTTTAATTGAAGCATTTAGCCCATTTACATTTAAGATTAATATTGTTATGTGTGAATTTGATCCTGTCATTATGATGTTAGCTGGTTATTTTGCTCGTTAGTTGATGCAGTTTCTTCCTAGCATTGATGGTCTTTACAATTTGGCATGTTTTTTCAATGGCTGGTACTGGTTGTTCCTTTCCATGTTTAGTGCTTTCTTCAGGAGCTCTTTTAGGGAAGGCCTGGTGGTGACAAAATCTCTCTGCATTTGCTTGTCTGTAAAGGATTTTATTTCTGTTTTACTTATGAAGCTTATTTTGGCTGGATATGAAATTCTGGTTTGAAAATTCTTTTCTTCAAGAATGTTGAATATTGGTCCCCACTCTCTTCTGGCTTGTAGAGTTTCTGCTGAGAGACCAGCTGTTAGTGTGATGGGCTTCCCTTTGTGGGTAACCCGACCTTTCTCTCTGGCTGCCCTTAACATTTTTTCCTTCATTTCAACTTTGGTGAATCTGACAATTATGTTTCTTGGAGTTGCTCTTCTCGAGGAGTATCTTAGTGGTGTTCTCTGTATTTCCTGAATTTGAATGTTGGCCTGCCTTGCTAGATTGGGGAAGTTCTCCTGGATAATATCCTGCAGAGTGTTTTCCAACTTGGTTCCATTCTCCCCATCACTTTCAGGTACACCAATCAGACGTAGATTTGGTCTTTTCACATACTCCCATATTTCTTGGAGGCGTTGTTCATTTCTTTTTATTCTTTTTTCTCTAAACTTCTCTTCTTGCTTCATTTCATTCATTTGATCTTCAATCACTGATACCATTTCTTCCAGTTGATCAAATTGGCTACTGAAGCTTGTGCATTCATCACGTAGTTCTCGTGCCATGGTTTTGAGCTTCATCAGGTCCTTTAAGGACTTCTCTGCATTGGTTATTCTAGTTAGCCATTCGTCTAATCTTTTTTCAAGGTTTTTAACTTCTTTGCGATGGGTTCAAACTTCCTCCTTTAGCTCGGAGAAGTTTGATCGTCTGAAGCCTTCTCTCAACTTGTCAAAGTTGTTCTCTGTCCAGCTTTGTTCTGTTGCTGGTGCAGAGCTGTGTTCCTTTGGAGAAGGAGTGGCACTCTGATTTTTAGAATTTTCAGTTTTTCTGTTCTGTTTTTTCCCCATCTTTGTCATTTTATCTACCTTTGGTCTTTGATGATGGTGACGTACAGAGGGGTTTTAATGTGAATGTCCTTTCTGTTTGTTAGTTTTCCTTCTAACAGTCAGGACCCTCAGTTGCAGGTCTGTTGGAGTTTGCTGGAGGTCCACTCCAGACCCTGTTTGCCTGGGTATCAGCAGCAGAGGCTGCAGAACAGCCAATATTGCTGAACAGCAAATGTTGCTGTCTGATCCTTCCTCTGGAGGTTTCATCTCAGAGGGGTACCCGGCCTTGTGAGGTATCAGTCTGCCCCTACTGGGGGGTGCCTCCCTGTTAGGCTACTTGGGGGTCAGGGACCCACTTGAGGAAGTCTGTCCTTTCTCAGATCTCAAGCTGCATGCTGGGAGAACCACTACTCTCTTCAAAGCTGTCAGACAGGGACATTTAAGTCTGCAGAGGTTTCTGCTGCCTTTTGTTTGGCTATGCCCTGCCCCCAGAGGTAGAGTCTACAGAGGCAGGCAGGCCTCCTTGAACTGTGGTGGGCTCCACCCAGTTCAAGCTTCCCGGCCGCTTTGTTTACCAACTCAAGCCTCAGTAATGGTGGGCACCCCTCCCCCAGCCTAGCTGCTGCCTTGCAGTTCGATCTCAGACTGCTGTGCTAGCAATGAGCAAGGATCCGTGGGCATGGGACCCTCTGAGCCATGCGCGGGATATAATCTCCTGGTGTGCCATTTGCTAAGACCATTGGAAAAGCTCAGTATTAGGGTGAGAGTGACCCGATTTTCAGGTGCCGTCTTTCACAGCTTTGCTTGGCTATGAAAGGGAATTCCCTGACCCCCTGCACTTCACGGATGAGGCAATGCCTTGCCCTGCTTTGGCTAACACTCGGTGCACTGCACCCACCGTCCTGTACTCACTGTCTGACAAGCCCCAGTGAGATGAACCCGGTACCTCAGTTGGAAATGCAGAAATCACCTGTCTTCTGCGTCGCTCACCCTGGGAGCTGTAGACTGGAGCTGTTCCTATTCAGCCATCTTGGAACCCTACCTCTACTGTTTTTTTTAAAAAATTCATGTTGGCTTGGTCTATCTTTTTCCATCTAGTTCTTTTAATCTCTATGTGTCTTTATATTTAAAATGGGTTTCCTATAGGCAAGATTTGGGTTTTATTTTTTGATCCACTCTCATAATCTCTATATTTCAATTAGTGCATTTAGATCATTGATTTTCTAAGTGATTGTTTATATAATTGGATTAATATCTACCACATTTGGTACTGTTTTCTATTTGAAAACCTTTGTTCTTTCTTATGTCTTCCACTCTTTTTCTTCCCTTTGTGGTTTTAATTGAGCATTTTATATGATTTCATTTTTCTCCTTTCTTAGCATAATATATATATTCCTTTTCTCAATATAATATTTGCTCTAGAATTTGCAATATACACTTACAATTAATTCATGTTTACTTTCAAATAACCTTATCCTGATTCATAGGTACTGTTACCACCTTTTAATAACAAAATAATTATAATTCCTTCCTCTCATCTTTTATATCATTGTCATTCATTTCACTTATATACAAGTGTATACACACAAACACACACATAAACAAGCATCCCCCCATATCCATGCATTCTGCATCTGTGAATTCAAACAACCATGAATCAAAACTATTTTTAAAAACAATAAAAATGAAAATACAAAAAAAAGTAGAACAACTATTTACATTTATTTACATTATCTTAGGTATTATAAGTAATCCAGAGACAATTTGAAGTATATGGGAGGATGTGTTAGGTTTTATAGAAATGCTACATCATTTTATATGAGAGACTTGAGCATTCATAGTTTTTGGCATCTGTGGGAGGTCCTACAACCAATCGCCTGTTAATACTGAGGAATGACTGCATATAAACATACATAAGTGAATACATTGGTGCTATTATAATTTTGAACAAACTCTTATTAGATCAATCAAAAATAAGAAATATAAAAGTTTTTAATTTATCTTCACTTACTCTTTTTGTGATACTCTTCCTTTCCTTAAGTAGATCCAAATTTTTGACCTATATTTTTGCCTTACAAACATTTTAACATCTCTTGCAAGACAGGTCCACTGGCAACAAATTATCTCATCTTTGTTTCGTCTGAGAAATAATTTCTTTTTCTTAGACTTTTAAACGTTAACGTCATAGAGTACAGAATTCTAGATTAGTGTTTTTTTTCTCTAACACTTTAAATATTTCACTTCATTTGCATGGTTTCTGAGAAGCCAGATATGATTTTTATTTTTGTTCCTCTATACATGTTTTATTCTCACTTAACTTTTCAAAAAATATTCATCTTTGAATTACTGTAGTTTAAAAGTTATATGCCTAGGTATAATTTTTTGGCATTTATTCTGCTTGATGTTCTCTGAGCTTCCTGGATCTGTGGTTTGGTGTATGACGATAATTTGGGGAAATTCTCAGTCATTATTGTTTCAAACATTTCTCTGCTCCTTTTTCTTTTTTTCATATTTTTGTATTCCCATTACACGTTTCAACTTTTGTAGTCAATCCACAGTCCTTACAAACTCTGTTGTTTTTTTTTTTTTGAGTCTTTGTTTGCTTTGCTTTTCAAAATTTCTATTGCCATGACTTTCAATTCTTTCTTCCCTCAGCCATGTCTAGCCTACTAATAAGTCCATCTAAGGAATTCTTCATTTCTGTTACAGTGTTTTTGGTCTCTGGCATTACTTTGTGGTTCTAAGTGTTTCTATTACTCTGATTACGTTGCCAATCTGTTCTTGCATGTGGTCTATTATACTCGTGAGAGCCTACAGAGTATTTATCATAGTAGTTTTAAATTCCTGATCTGATAATTCCAATATCCCTGCCATGTCTGCTTCTGATGCTTGTTCTGTCTTTCAGATTGTGGTTTTTTTTGCCTTTTGACATGCTTTTTAATTTTTTATTGATAGCTGATATGATATACTAGCTAAAATGAACTGCTGTAAATAGGCCTTTAGAAGTCTGCTCGTGAAGTGTGGGAGAGAATGAAAGTGATTCATAGTTAATTAGGTCTCAGTCTTTTTGTGAGCCTATGGTCCAGATTATGAACTTTCACAAGTGTTTACCAGTTTTCTAAATTATTATTATTATTTTTTTATTTTATTTTATTTTATTTTTATTTTCCATTAGGCAGCAGAGGATGGCTAGTGTAGGCTAGAGCTGGGTATTTCCTTTCTCTCATATGGAAACCTAGAGTTGACTGGAATTGAGTATTTCCTTTCTATCAGGTCCCTTAGGCTCTGATAATACCCAGCCTTTTAGGCAATTATTAACTTATTCTTTTCCCTGAAATTAGGTCAATATTGCCCCAATCCCCTGGCCATGGACTGGTACTGGTCTGCGGCCTATTAGGAACCAGGCTGCACAGCAGGAGGTGGCTGGTGGGGCAGCAAGCATTCCTGCCTGAGTTCTTCCTCCCGTTAGATCAGTGGTGGTATTAGACTCTCATAGGATCTGGAACCCTATAGTGAACTGCACATGCGAGGGATCTAGGTTGCACTCTCCTTATGAGAATCTAACTACTGCCTGATGATCTGAGGTGGAGCAGTTTCATCCTGAAACCATCCCCCACACCCCATCTGTGGAAAAGTGGTCTTCCATGAAACCAGTCCCTGATGCCAAAAAGGTTGGGGGCCACAGTTCTAGAGCATTTCAACATGATTTCTTTTTCCTTTCCATTTTCCATTGCAAGGATGAGGGGATTTTTCTCTGATATTTACTGTGAGAACCTGGTTGAACTTCTGGAGGTAAGTCTCGCAAAAGTGTGCCCCATCCCATAAGTCAGTACTCCTGGAGTTTCTGGCTTTCAGACTTGTCCACAATGAGCCTTCAACAATGTATTAATTACAGCTCAGGTTTTCCTACTTGAGCACTGGCTCCAGCTGCAGTTTCTGCTAGTGAGTCTCTGCTTCAGTAAGTTGTGATTTCTGGTATTCACCTACTTCTCTCTACAATCTTGGATGCTAAGATTTGCCCTACCTTATCAATTATTTTACAGATCCTAGAAAAGTTGTTGATTTTGCAGTTTGTTCAGATTTTTACTTGCTGTTAGAACAGAGTGTTAACTTCCAAGCTCCTTACATGTGGAACTGAAAACTGGAAGTCTTGTAATGTTCATTTTTAACAGATCGCACCAGTACCAAAAAAAAAAAATGCAGAATTATAGGAGACACTTACTGTAAGTTCTTAGCATTTCCTCCCTGCCACAAACACAATCACATGTGTACAGTTACTCTATACAAAAATATTTCTTGATTTTTAATAGCCTTTAAAATATGTATATGTTTTTATGCATTCCAGTGTAGTTTAAAGAACAATAAAAATGTAACATTGTGTATATCATTAAGGAATTGTTCTAAAAATTCTTCTTTTCTACAATTTATTCATTATTTTTAATGTGGAATTTCACACTATGCTGAAAGTTATGAATAATATACATATATATGGTCATATGCTATAATTATAAACAAATTCATTTCTATGCATAGATAAAACATTACAAAACACATTTAAAAATTAACAGTGATAACTTCTGAATTGACTACAACGTGATTTTTTCCTTTCCGTTTTATACTTTCTAATATGTTGGAATTTTGTGCAATTATATTACTTTTATAATAAAAAGAAAACTATTTGAAAATGTGAAAGTAAAATATTTCTAACGCAATTGGGCATGTAACTCCACAAATGGGCTTGAGTAAACAAAATACAGAAAAAAATATGCTCCACTCTTGAGATATTCTAAAAACCTGGTTGTTTTCTCACCAACTTACACTTTTTAAAAATTTGAAATATTTTATTTATTTACATCTTTATTTATTAAACATTTTGCAGCATGTTTCATGTGAAAAGTATTTGACAATTCTAACAACACTAATAAAACCTATTCGGTTTTTATCTAAAATTTATTTCCTATGTTTTCTAAAGAACTAGTTATAAAAAGGGGGTGGGGTGTTAACTTTCAATGTTCATATTGTTGAGTTTAGTAATTATTATCTTCAAACTGCAATCTAAAATAACTGTGTACCTAATTTTGGTAGTTTGTTTTCTTAGCTATACAACATGAAAGTCCACGGTTATCTATCATTACATTCATTAAAACTAACACAGTTCCAGCAAATAGCAATTTCTTAAAACAAAGGTTTGTTCAATAAATATTTTTTCAAACATTTTATCCTAAGCTATTCATAACTCCAAAATGTCTGGAAATATTCAATTTCTAATATACACATACTTTTTGTTAAGTTTTCCAGAATCACAAAAACAAATGTTCAGATAAAATTATGTACAGTGAAATGCACAGATTTTAAGATTACAATTCAAAGAGTTTTGATTAATGTATCAAACCACATAACTCCTACTTCAAACAATATATAGAACAAATTCTCTCATTCTCCCATTTAGTCCTATAGACAATCCCTTCTCTTATTTCTATTACAATTGAGTAGTTTTCCCTGCTGTTAAAATTTATGTAAATGGAATCATATAGGTCATACTATTTTGTGTCTGGATTCTTTCATGTAACATAATATATTTTCAAATTGACCCATGTTAGTGCTTGTTCAACTATTCTTACTTCTTTTTTATTGCTGAATAATATTCCATTATCTGACTGCACTACATTTTGTTCATTCATTCTCTTGTTGATGGATATTTGGGCTGTTTCAAATACTGGACTCTTTCAAATAAAGATGCTGAGAGCATTCTTGTACAATTTTTTTTGTTAATATACATTTATTATTCTTTGATAATTATCTAGTTGAGGTATTGCTGAGGAGGTGGATATGTAACTTTTTAAGAAAATGCTAAGCTGTTTCCCAGAGATGTGGTGTATTTTTACTTTCATATCTAGGTGTATGAGAGTTCCAGTTTTTCCACATCCTTGACAACACTTGGTGGTGTCAGTCTTGTTAATTTTAACCATTCTAATGGTTGTAAAATGGTATTGCATTGTGTTTTTAATGTTATTTTCCCTGATTTGCTTTTTGATCATTTGCATATGTTCTTTTAATAAATGTCTGTCCAAAACCTTTGCCCATTTGAAAAAACTCTGTTTTATATAATTATTATACTTTAAATTTTAGGGTACATGTGCACAACGTGCAGGTTTGTTACATATGTATACATGTGCCATGCTGGTGTGCTGCACCCATTAACTCATCATTTAACATTAGGTATATCTCCTAATGCTACCTCTCCCCCCTCCCCCCCACCCCACAACAGGCCCCGGGGTGTGATGTTCCCCTTCCTGTGTCCATGTGTTCTCATTGTTCAATTCCCACCTATGAGTGAGAACATGCGGTGTTTGGTTTTTTGTCCTTGTGATAGTTTGCTGAGAATGATGGAAAAAACTCTTTTTGGTAGCAATTTGTGTTTTTATTTTTGTTATTGATTTGTAGGATTTTTTTTATTTTCCAGATAGAAGTTCAAGTCAAATAATTCTGCCATAAATGAGAGTTTTGCTGTGCTGCCTACATCAATGTTTCAGAGCACATTACATCTTGTTTAAAAAGTCTAACCTTGATAAGTAAAAGCAGCAGCTATTGCTTTTCCCTTTATTACTTTTTAAAGAACATATTTAGCTGCATAAATGTTTTCTTTTGAGAAGTGTCTGTTCATGTTCTTCGCCCACTTTTTGATGGGGTTGTTTGTTTTTTTCTTGTAAATTTGTTTGAGTTCATTGTAGATTCTGGATATTGGCCCTTTGTCAGATGAGAAGGTTGCGAAAATTTTCTCCCATTTTGTAGGTTGCCTGTTCACTCTGATGGTAGTTTCTTTTGCTGCGCAGAAGCTCTTTAGTTTAATTAGATCCCATTTGTCAATTTTGTCTTTTGTTGCCATTGCTTTTGCTGTTTTAGACATGAAGTCCTTGCCCATGCCTATGTCCTGAATAGTAATGCCTAGGTTTTCTTCTAGGGTTTTTATGGTTTTAGGTCTAACGTTTAAGTCTTTAATCCATCTTGAATTGATTTTTGTATAAGGTGTAAGGAAGGGATCCAGTTTCAGCTTTCTACGTATGGCTAGCCAGTTTTCCCAGCACCATTTATTAAATAGGGAATCCTTTCCCCATTGCTTGTTTTTCTCAGGTTTGTCAAAGATCAGATAGTTGTAGATATGTGGCGTTATTTCTGAAAACACATGAAAAAATGCTCATCATCACTGGCCATCAGAGAAATGCAAATCAAAACCACAATGAGATACCAGTTTCAGCTTTCTACATATGGCTAGCCAGTTTTCCCAGCACCATTTATTAAATAGGGAATCCTTTCCCCATTGCTTGTTTTTCTCAGGTTTGTCAAAGATCAGATAGTTGTAGATATGCGGCGTTATTTCTGAGGGCTCTGAAAAAATGCTCATCATCACTGGCCATCAGATAAATACAAATCAAAACCACAATGAGATACCATCTCACACCAGTTAGAATGGCAATCATTAAAAAGTCAGGAAACGACAGGTGCTGGAGAGGATGTGGAGAAATAGGAACACTTTTACACCGTTGGTGGGACTGTAAACTAGTTCAACCATTGTGGAAGTCAGTGTGGCGATTCCTCAGGGATCTAGAACTGGAAATACCATTTGACCCAGCCATCCCATTACTGGGTATATACCCAAAGGACTATAAATCATGCTGCTATAAAGACACATGCACACGTATGTTTATTGTGGCATTATTCACAATAGCAAAGACTTGGAACCAACCCAAATGTCCAAGAATGATAGACTGGATTAAGAAAATGTGGCACATATACACCATGGAATACTATGCAGCCATAAAAAATGATGAGTTCATGTCCTTTGTAGGGACATGGATGAAATTGGAGATCATCATTCTCTGTAAACTATCACAAGAACAAAAAACCAAACACCGCATATTCTCACTCATAGGTGGGAATTGAACAATGAGAACACATGCACACAGGAAGGGGAACATCACACTCTGGGGACTGTTGTGGGGTGGGGGGAGGGGGGAGGGATAGCATCGGGAGATATACCTAATGCTAGATGACGAGTTAGTGGGTGCAGCGCACCAGCATGGCACATGTATACATATGTAACTAACCTGCACAATGTGCACATGTACCCTAAAACTTAAAGTATAATTAAAAAAAGAACATATTTAGAAAACAAAATTGATTTTATTTGTCCAATCATTGGTATCATTTTGCATAATTTTACTTAAATACTTAGTCAAAATTTCAATTCAAATGACAGCTCATCCAGATACTTGGAGGGCACCAATGGTTGTACCTGCTTTCTTAACAGCAATCCATTCCTATTTTATTAAAATTGTTTTGGCTCAAGGATTTGGGAACCTGGGAGATTTATTATTTTATTTTATTAATTTACATTTTATATGTTAGAATTCTATTAATTATCTCCCACAGGCACAAGTAGATTTTCCTGTAGTATATTTTCGTATTAATCTTCACTCTTTCTGGAGTAATCTATACCACGTTTTGAAGCCAAAAGGTAATTTATGTGTTCAGTTCCTGGGTATTCCAAGAACATCTTGGCTATGATCTTAGTCTAGGTGTCTATTTTCTGAATATTTTTATTTTTCCATAAGTTTGTATTACATATAACCCACAAAAGTTTGAGTCTGCTTTTTTTAACATTGAAGCTAGACTTAACATAATTTATATCCAATAAAATTTAAATCTGACACAACCAAAATTAACTGAAAAGAAGTTTAGAATTTATTTAAAATCTCTTAAATAATGTTGAAGTATGTTTCACTCAAATGCACATCAAATTTTTTTGGGAAACATTTTATTTTGTCTATTCTGTCACTAATAACAGCTGTCTCCAAAATCTTTCTCCAACTTTGATCCATCTCCCTTAAACTACCTTCTACTTAGATGCTCAAGCTATTTATGAGTCTTGCATTGTTATAATAATGTTGCAAAGCAATAACTATCAGACTTCAGGCATATAAACAATAAATATGCTTTAGTTGACAAAGCTGAGGGCTTTATTAAATTTGGGCTGTGCTTTCCCATGCATCTATGTTTGGCTACAAGTCAGCTAGGTGGCTTTGCTGGTCTTGGCTGCACTTATTGATCAATCTAAAGTGATCTTGACTAGGATGGCTAAGGGAACTTGGGTCTGTTACATATGACTCATCCTTTAGCAGTTTCACCCAGACAGGCTTTTTTCATGGTGATAGCAGAAGCCAAGAACTATCAAACCAATTGCACATGTGCTTTTCAAGTCTCTACTTTCATTACGTGCAACATTTTATTGCCCAAAATATATCACATGGCAGAGCCAAACATCGGAATCAAAGTTAGAGTTAAAAGCAATGAGTCTCATTGTAGGTAGGAGAAAACTGGGGCCATTAATTCAAGCAATCTACAAAAGACTGTTTTATTTCTCTCATTATTTCTGCATGTGTCAGGGGAGGGGATGTGTTCTCTACCCAGTTGCAATCTCTTCTTTTCCAGTAAAATATCTACATAGCCTCTTAGGCTACCTTAATTTTTCCATTTAAATCTACTCTGGTTTGTATAGTTAAAACACAGAAGTAGTTAAGACAGAACTAACATTAGTGTGGTTGTGCAAATTAGGAGTGTAATTTGAATGAACACTAAATAAAACTTATTTTGTTTGAGGAGAGGAAGAGAAGATTTGAATTTTTCATATGTTAATGTTTTTAACTTGTCACTAAAAAGTAATGTTGATAGAGAATATATCTTAAGAGTGTATTCTTCCAATGCAGAAGCTACCTCCAGAGAAAAACATAGACTTTGCTCTCAGCTATTAGGGATTCATTACCTCTTGGTCTGTTCATCTGAATGCAGTATTATTCAAAATCAGATATCTCACTGGAGAAATACAGTGTCCCAGATGGTCAAATAATAACATCTACTCTCCCAGTTTTTCTAGGCTCAAAGAATTTATCTCATACTTATTGGTGAATAACTGTGGGATGAAACTGCTATTATCAAGTGCTCTAATAGATCGAAAGTTTTCCTCAGATACTTCAATGATCCACAATTTTGTAAATGTGGGGTGTGGGCAATGAGACAAGTCAAATTCTCAATTTTTAAAAGCAAATATATTTTTTGCTTCAGGACCATCTGATATTCAAACTATGAATCACAAGCCAGAGGCCATAGAATCAGAGAAAAATGGTTTTGATTCCACTGCTTACCTCTTATTGATTCCATGTTCCTTAGAGCTTTAACTAATACTGTTGTGCATTACTTTCCTCCTTAATGTAATCAAGACTGTAAGATATATTTTTCATAATTAAATGTAATAAAATCAAAATATATAATGCAAAGCCTTGTACTATGAATAGTAGTACTCCTTACTCCTTGGTTCCTATCAAGAATCAAGTCAATATATACTCTGGGGAAAATGATGAGGAGGAATAATTTCTATTCTTTCTGTTCTGGCCATGGTTCTTAACCTTGGCTGCATATTAAAATCACCTACGGAGTTGAAAAACTTTATATCTAGATTGTACTATGGACCAATTAAGACCATATCCCTGAGAGTTTGGAGCCCAGGTATTGTCATCTAAGAGACCACCATGTAGTAGAAAACAGAGCTTTATTGTTGACATTGGTTTCTAAAACTAGGAAGAGAAAGTCTCCAGCATGGAATGAAGGTGCCCTCTCTTCAAACAGGGGAAAGACAGGTTGGGTTTTATGCCTGGAAGAGGCAGTGTCATACATATTCAGCAGGTTTGGAGGAGAGGTTATTCATAATTATGAGGGGAGTCAAGTGCATACTCAGTGGGTAAACAGATATGTAATATAGATTCTGTGTTCACTTGGTGTGGCATTTTAGCATTAAAACGAGGTTGAATTTGGCCCTTTATATCAAAATGTGAACTACAAGACACAAAGTTTGTGTGCAGCATCTGTAAGCTGGCTGAAAGTCTGCAATAGTTTACCAGAAAAGAATGTTTGTAAGGTTGGTCCTCTGTCCAGTCAGAGTTGTAGTGGTCAGGGTTAAAATCAGAAATGATGGCTCCTAGTGTTAGGAAGTTTAACCATAGGAATTTAGAAATTTTCCATGCCAAACATTTCCTTAACCCTCAACCCATAGGTAACTTAATTTCCCTAACTTTGGGTCCATCTTGATTGATTAAGGGGCATCTATTTTGATTTCTCAGATCACAATATTCATGTCTAATTATAAAATTCCCTAGGTGATTGTGATGCACTATTGCTCTAGTCCAGTGTTTCTCAGTGGAGCCCTCAGACCATCAGCATCAGCATCACCTGGCATTTGTCATTAATGCAAATTATTGGGCCCCTCCCTAGACCTGCTGAATCAAAAACAGAGAGTGGATAACATCAGGGTGAGTTTTAGCAAGCCCTCCATGTAATTCTGATGCACAGTGAAGTTTGAGAACCACTTATGTAGTCAGTGGTAATCAAATTTAATGAATAAAATAATCATCTTAAGTGCTTGCTTAACATGTATTTGGTGTATGTCAATACTTACAGAACTTTCCACTAAAAATGTTAATTTTACAGTATGCAAATTATACTTAATCTCCCCCAAAAATGACCAAAAAATGCCAATTTGGGGGCTCTGCCATCAGAGATATTGAGTCAAAGTGTAGGGACTCAGCAAACCTCATTTCAAAACATGAATATTCTGTTTCAGTATGCAACTAGACTGCACCTCTAGTGTGGGTACTATTATCTATTGTCCTATATCACTGCAGATCATGCATGAGAGAAGATACCAGTATCTTTGACCAACATCTCGTCTTACAGAAGATACCACATCCTCACAGAAGTGCCTTATAAAAATTTGCTTTCATGCTACCTTTGGTGTAATATTTGCAGGTGTCAAAATAAGAAATGGCTTCATAGCAAAATGTTCTTTATAAATGTTTTTTATTGTGCAGTAGTCCTCTTTATGAAACCAATATAACAATTTACTTATAGAATTCATTCCCAAGCAAATTTTCTTCTGTCCTGATAGCTGAAATAAATGTTCTTATTCAAAAATTGTAACATTTATATTTCATTTTTTTCTGTAGTTGCTAAATAATTTAGCACCACTTTTAATGCCAGTTGCAATAACTATACTAATCTAGAGTTCTGACACATATATATTTTTCCATATAATATTTTTTCTATATTAATAATTTTCTTGAATGTATACTTTTTTTGTCACCTTAAACCCTTTACAAGCATAACAGGATGAGAAATCCTGTAATAAATAGTAACCCTCAGGGTAAGTCAAGTTCCATTTAGGACATTCAGCTATCCTGAGATAGTAAATGTAATCCACTGAGTTAAGAGATTCTAAGCAGAGGAAAAACAGTTACTGGGCAGTTCTTAAAAAGATAGCCAGAAATCAATTTTAATACATAAATGCTGACATTTTTGTGCTTAGATAAATCTCATAGCACATTCTTACAATTGTCTGAACATATTAGGCAATATAGAAGACAAGACTGTTATGTGAACTCAATTTCTGATTTTCTTTGAGGAATAACAAATGTATTTTCTTGATTATGTAAATCTATATGGAAAAATACTTGATCTGATAATACAAACGCTTCTGAGCCTAATTCTGGTGACTGATAAATTTTCTAACTTTGCAAGACTCTTGCCCATTTCTCTGTCTTTACATAGAATTGTTCTCAATCTGTTCCTGTGGGTTAGCAGTCAAAATTTAAAATTTCCATAGAAGGAGACTTTAGAATTTGCAACACAAATATCAGAATGTTCACAGGTTTTCTCCAAAGAGCCTCTTAAGTGAGTTAGGCTCACAGCCATGGTGTTGCCCCTGCCCCCCAAAAAAGGTTAACTTGGGAATACGACCAACCATAGACCTATAGAAGAATTTCATTTTATTTTTAAAAGCAGTCAGGTTTATGAATGCTTCCTTAGAAATGCTCTGAGAGATAGTAAATCAACATATTTTACATATTTTCCACACTTCACTTAGCTTTTATTAAACCAGTGATTCCAATGGTGTGTCTAAAAATTCATATTTCTGTATCCATAGAAATCCATGGAATACTGTCTGCATTTATTATGATGAAAAAATACCACTGCAAAAACAGATGTTTATGATTATCTTTTTCTAGAAAACATGTGCTTCTAAGAATGTCACGTGTAGGGAGAATCTCAGCATACAAAGTAGCCCAATTTCTATGTCTAGACAAGGATGTTTTTTGAACCTTAGACGTATTTTTAAATTTAAAAAAAAGCAAATTTTTTTGAAAACTAATTAAGCATATCTTATCAAGCAGACATTTTTGAAAGCAGAATACTATGAAATGTTGCTGAATTTATGGATGAACTAACCTATTATTATTACTATTACTATTATTTTGGAAACAGGATCTCACTCTGTCACCCAGACTGGAGTGCAGGGTTGTGATCATGGCTCACTGCAACCTCAACCTCCAAGGCTCAAGTGATTCCCCCACCTCAGCCTCCTGAGTATCTGGGACCACAAGTGCATACCACTACTTTTTAAAAATTTTTTTGTGGAGATAGAATCTTGCTATATTTCCAGGCTGATCTTGAGCTCCGTAGCTCAAAAGATCCTCCTGCCTCAGTCTCCCATACTGCTAAGATTATAGGTGTGAGCCACCACACTTAGACAGTTAACCCATTTGTATGCATTTGTGTGTACATTTTATAGTTTTAAACTTTCTGGTTTAACACATAAATACAATCACAAGACTCATAAATATATAGCTTAATAAATTAGCTGCACTGCCACTTTTAGAATAAAAAGCATGAAGTAAATACATAATGATTAGGTAGCTGAAGGCTGTAGGGGTTCAGTAACACCATATGAATGAATTTCTACCACCTCAGGAAGACTAATCCAGAGGGTAGCTGGGTTTGGCATTAATGAAGATAAGTCTCTGGCCTAAAGATTTGTAATAAAGAGTTTGACTCCATTTTTGATGTTTGACTGTTGACAGCTTTCAAGTACTGTCACTTCCTCTTCTCTCACTACCCTACATCTGGGCAAGCTGATAAGAAAACCCACTTGCTCCCTCCTTTGACACCAATGAGTAGTTCAAACCTTGCAATACCTGACTACGTGGGAACCCATTCTAGCCCCACCTGCTAACTACCAGGAAACCCCAAACCAATCACTCCTCCATTCATTTTTGGACCTGATTGAGAGACTGCCTTGCTGTTCACAGAAATGCTCATTTTGTAAGTAATATGCCTTTTCATACCCTCTTTGTGCATGTGTGATGTCATCAGTGTTCACAGTAGAACCAAATTTTGGGATGGGGAAGTAGATCCCTCCTCTGTGAAAGTAAGTAAAACAATGTTGAATTACACATTATATCCCCGACTTGAACACCTAATTCTACAACTTAGATGGACCTTCCTTTCTCCTTTTATGTAAGAGAAAACTTCTTCATAGTCAACTTGGCCAGCATCACACGTATGATTATGAAAAGGCTTAGTTGAGTTATATGTTCCACGATGATGACATTTTTCTAACTCATATACAGAACATTTTTTAACTCATAACAACACTTAAAAGTGAACACATAAATGTGAATGATATAGAGGTAGCATTAACACTTGATAAAGATAATTTAATTTGCATTCACATTTTAATAGTATTATCTTCACCTTTAAGCAGTTCCTACTCCTTTTGTAAACTTTAAACTTCTATTATACTATCAATTGGTATATTAAAGGTTGTTGGCTACTTTCTTTAGCTAGTTCATCCTCCTTATTTCAGACTGTTACATTTATAGTTTTCCTGCAATCCTCTTTCCTTTTTAAAATACTAAACCTATATTAATTAAGGACTCATTAGACTAATATTTCTTTGAAGGTCATGATTCTGTCTTTTTTGGTTATTATTTTCAATATCAAGAAAAATAAAAGGGATTGGAACATATAAATAATTTATGAATATTTTTAATGTATGAATGAATCCATATTTGTAGCTTTTCTTATATATTCCTCATACATTCATGTTGCCTTTAGAAACTTGAAGACTCTCATATTTTACAGTAGGAACATCAACAAAAATTGAAATAAAATTATTTGCTGCCTTTAATAATACCAATTACTTATTAAGCACTAGTGTTTCCAGCATTGGGCTGTTTTATATGCATTATCTAATTTAATATTTTTGAGAACCCAATAAGATAGATAGTTTCCATTTCATAAGTGAGAACTAGTTCTTATGCAGGATAATTAACATGACAAATATTGTTTCTCATTTCTTTCTCTTTTATATAGTTATAGTACTGAACATCCCATATTCCAGGAATTCTCCCAGTCCCAGGTAAAAGCCAGGTTAGATTACTGTAATTGGATCATTAGTGTTTTTTTTTTTTTTTTTTTACTGTTATAACATTACTAAATTACAGATATAAGCAATGTTTTCCTGTATTATATTTTATCAGTAATAATGCTAAAATTAGGGTTTTTCATCTGCTTGCTTATTTGTCTTAACTTTTAATTAAATTTGAACTCAGGGATAGAAGAATAATGATATTTATCAGGCTTCCTTAGTAACCCAATCATCACGTTTACCTTCAAGGCTTTTAATCCAGATGGTCTGCATTTCATCTGATGCATTGGTTCTTTTCCCCTCATTCTTTTAAATCTTTGCATATTCTTTTCTCATAGCAATTAACAGACAAAAAAGTCCTATTCAATGATCTTGAATCCATGGATCATAAAATCTGAGGTAAATTATGGCAGGGACCCTAGCTAGCTATTTTATTCACTATTATATGCCCAGAAATTAGTACTTTACATGGACTTTAATAAGCAATGAATTAATATTCCTTGAATATTAAATTGTCTTTTCTTGAGTCACAGACTTTTTAAAGAGGCCTCATAGTTATCTTCTATCCACTTATTGTTATAAGTATCAGACTCATTTCTTACATTTACACATGAACTGTATTAAGTCATAGACGGATATGAATCCCAACTGAAATTCTAGGAGTTGAAACAGAGGAGTTCAGCTTATACCTATTCCTGTTTTTAGTTACTTGTTTAAATTGTTTTCATCACAAGGATATTCAAGTGTTTATCTTCTTGATATTTCTAAATCTCACCCAAATGGTATATCTAAAAATGTCATTTAATTATCCAAATATGTGAATCATTCTTACTTTCACAATGATATCTTACTTTTTGATTATTTGTAAGGCTCTGAGATTTCTGACAGACCTCTCTCTGCTCATGCTATAATTATATGCCTTTGTATATGTATGTTCTTGAGCAAGATCAACATTATAAAAACAACTATGAGATCCTGAAGGCTATTATTTTTGTGTGTTCACCACCGAAAATACCCATTTTAAACTCATTCCTGGAAATCTCTTGTAAAATAGACTGTAGTTGTACACTAACCTAAAAATGTTTTTTTCATAAAATTGATATCTACATTGATAAAGAGTTGAATGTAGATTTTCTGTTGATTATGTGAAATATAGCTCTTTGGTATATCATTCATAAATTGTCTTTCAAGAAATTTCAACTTTAGTGCAAAATAAATCACTGAATTATCCAACTAATATTTAATAAGTTCTTATGTGGCAGATATTATACTGCTCTTCAGATGCTTGAATAATAGAGAAACTTTGGCCACCAAGCATGTATGGCCTAGCAGAGAAGACCAACACATGAATAATTATTTGTGAATATGGATGGAGGAAAAATAAATATCCAGTATTTGTCTACATACATGTATTGTAGGGATGTTTATTAAAAAATTATCAATTCATTACATTAGAATTATTTTATCTTCTAACAGATAAAGAGACTATGTCAAAGAGGTCATCTCTTGGTTGAAAGTCAGAGTGGTCCTTGCCAGTGTATACTAACTTTTACTTAGGTTTTTTGAAGGACTATCTATAAGAAAAGCAAGCCAACAATTCCTTCTCTTCCTCTCAGTTTTTACCTTTATTAGTTACCTTTTAAATATAAGATTTTTGATTGCAAGTAGAATGAACTTACATGTTCATGTTTATACTCTGAGAATGAAATAATGTGACTTTCAAAATAGAATTAAAAGCCTAATTTTAGGCTTGAAATTCTGAACCTTCTTTCAGAATCTCCTACTATACCTTTGTTCCTACTTTTCAAAGAATTGTTATGTTTCATTACTTTTTAAAATAATGAGCTACTCTGATTCTTGATTTTATACATACCATTCCACTCTTTTTTATGGTCAGACATTTCTTTACCATGCCTCACCCTCACATTCAATTTTTTTTTTTTCATTTTGAAGGTGATCCTGTATAAATTTCCTAGGACCCAGTAATGCCATTGTACATCATATACATGTTTATTGGAGTTGTTAGATTCAGCCACAATGCTTTATCACTTACGTTCTTACACAATTCATTTATATGTGTCCCCACTGAATAGTAACATAGTTTAAAACAAGAACTGGTTATTCCTTTGTCTTAATCTGCCCTGTTGGGATATGAGTTAAGTGCTAATATCTTATGTAAATTATTTGAAATAAATGGCAATTTAATGACTTAAAATATATTTTCTCTGATACTCTATTTTATTCTCAAATACTGAAAAGAAAGAAATAGCTAGTTTATTCTTCCTTTCCAAACCTAGGGCTACCATGAATATTTTATCTGTTTATATCAAGAAAAAAGTTCAAATAGAAATTAGAAATATTGCTCCTACCTAAGAATGTTAATTTTGCCATCAGGAATGAGGTTACATGTTTTATAAAAAGATGACTATAATTTTTAATACAATTTTTCAAATGCAGATATGGAAAGTTGTCATCTATTAGACTGCTATGATTAAATTATTTTAGGATGATGCAGAAAGCCATAATTGCCTCATATCATGATGTAAACAATCCAAATAAATTTATCTATAATTATGATGTTAAAATTTTCCTTTGAATTTATAGGACACAAAATATTTCTATATGTGTATGGCAGTGTGTGTTTAAAACACACATATAGAAATGAGGATATAATCTCAGAAACATTAAGAAAGATGTATCCCCATCAAGCTACCATTGACTTTCTTCACAGAATTGGAAAAAGCTGCTTTAAATTTCATATGGAACCAAAAAAGGGCCCGCATAGCCAAGACAATCCTAAGCAAAAAGAACAAAGCTAGAGTCATCACACTACCTGACTTCAAACTATACTACAAAGCTACAGTAGCAAAAACAGCATGGTACTGGTGGCAAAACAGATATATAGAACAATGGAACAGACCAGAGTCCTCAGAAATAATGCCACACATCTACAACCATCTGATCTTTGACAAACCTGACAAAAACAAGAAATGGGGAAAGGATTCCCTATTTAATTAAATGGTGTTGGGAAAACTGGCTAGCCATATGCAGAAAGCTGAAACTGGATCCCTTCCTTACACCTGTAAAACCTTCCATTAGGTGTAAATGTAAAACCTAAAACCATAGAAACCCTAGAAGAAAACCTAGGCAGTACCATTTAGGACATAAGCATGGGCAAAGACTTCATGACTAAAACACCAAAAGCAATGGCAACAAAAGCCAAAACTGACAAATGGATCTGATTAAACTAAAGAGCTTCTGCACAGCAAAAGAAACTATCAGCACAGTGAACAGGCAACCTACAGAATGGAAAAAAATTTTTGCATTCTATCCATCTGACAAAGGGCTAATAACCAGAATCTACAAATAACTTAAACAAATTTACAAGAACAAAACAAACAACCCCATCGAAAAGTGGGCAAAGTATATGAACAGACACTTCTCAAAAGAAGACATTTATGCAGCCAAGAAACATATGAAAAATGCTTATCATCACTGGTCATTAGAGAAATGCAAATCAAAACCACAGTGAGATACCATCTCATGCCAGTTAGAATAGTGATCATTAAAAAGTCAGGAAACAACAGATGCTGGAGATGTGGAGAGATAGTAATGCTTTTACACTGTTGGTGGGAGTGTAAATTAGTTTAACCATTGTGGAAGACAGTGTGGCGATTCCTCAAGGATCTAGAACTAGACATACCATTTGACCCAGCAATCCCATTACTGGGTATATACCCAAAGGATTATAAGTCATTCTACCATAAAGACATATGCACATGTATGTTTATTGTGGCACAGTTCACAATAGCAAAGACTTGGAACCAACCCAAATGCCCATCAATGGTAGACTGAATAAAGAAAATGTGACACATATACACCATGGAATACTATGCAGCCATACAAAAGAATGGGTTCATGTCCTTTGCAGGGAGATGGATGATACTAGAAACCATTATTCTCAGTAAACTAACCCAAGAACAGAAAACCAAACACCACATGTTCTCGCTCATAAGTAGGAGTTGAACAATGAGAACACATTGTTCAACCCACGGAGGGGAACATCACACACCAGGGCCTGTTGGGGGGTGGTGGGCTAGGAGAGGGATAGCATTAGGAGAAATACCTAATGTAGATGACGGGTTGATGGGTGCAACAAACAACGATGGCACGTGTATACCTATATAACAAACCTACACGTTCTGCACATGTACCCCAGAACTTAAAGTATAATAAAAATAAATAAATAAATAAATAAATTTAGTGTAAACTAAGTGTACAGTGTTTTAAATAAAAAGATCTTCTCTTACAAAAGATGCATTAGAAAACTGTATGAAATATGCTGTACAGTTGAAGTTTGGGTGTCCTTGACCTACAATAGTCACTGTCTTCAGGGAAATGCCGAGGCAGTTGGATTTTGGCATGTGTGGTGTCAGAGAGTTGGAAGTAAAGGTGAGAGTAAATTAGGCTCTCCAGGGCACAATCAAATGGCCAAAGCCCTGGTTCAGGTTCCATGTAGTCAAGGCTAAAATAACATATTTAAGACAGCATGAGATGTAAATCCAGTCAGTCTTTGGGGACAATGCAGAGGTTAAGAGCACGTTTGATGCCATGGCTGAGAGCTGGGGATGAGGACACAGATCAGGAATAGAGAGGATTATGAGCAATCGTTGCAAGTAACAATTGTTCATTTTGGGCTGGTGTTTATATGGCTCTTAACTGGTTTGGAATGATTTGAAATGTAAATAGTACGAATCACATTGTAATAAAGTGTCACATTTGGATAAGCCCACCTAAATCTAGTTTTGTCCTGTGAAACGATGAATGATTGGGTCCTTTGCCTGTTGCAAGGAGTCCATCTGAGTGGCCATTGTTTCTATATTGGAATGCAAGGAGTCCAGACAAAGAAGCCCATCTATGCACGGTCTTCCACTATAGCTGTCCCTTAGGATGATAAACACTGCTTTTCTCTCATAAGCATGTATAATCTCTAATTCATTAATGATGCCTGTTTGTGTTAGTTGATTACTGACCTTTATCCTCTCATATAATGCTGTCAGCAAAGAATTCATAGAGAAAACTGACAGTGTAATTTGATATGCTTCTTAAATTGATATTTTTGTTTCATGCATAATTAAAAGTATTCTTTTGTTTGTCATGCTAGAAACCTCACATTCTTCTCAATAATTTTATAAAAGTTTATTGTCATTAACTCCATATTTAAATCATAATATGGTTATGAAAGAGGTCCGTTATGATTCAACGTAGAAATAAGACTAGAATATTTTCTGTTTTGTTCTTATTTACATAATGTGTCTAATAACAAAGCAAGAAGAAACACATAAAATGTTAGGTGGCTTATCACAATCAAGTAAAATAAAATGGGAATCATTGACAAAATTCTTATTAAGGGCCAAGATGACAAACTAGAAGCAGCTCATGTGCATGGCTCTCACGGGGAGGAAACAAAAGGGCTGGTGAACACTGGCCCTGCAGACCAATCATCTGAGAAGCCTTGTGGGGATCCATTAAGGCAGCAGGGACACACAGAGAGCAGAGAAGAGTGAAGCCGGGCGCCAGCCTGTCTGACTCAGTGTGGAGACAGGAGTAGCTCTCCAACTTGGAAAAGAATGAGTGAATGAGCGCCCCGCTCATTCGTGAGTGGGGTATTCACACTCTCCACAAGGAACTATGCAAAACTGGGAATGGAAGAATCTTCCTGGAACCCACTTCCCATCATGCCCCACTGCACTTGTAGGCTGAGGCAGATGGCCACCTGGATGTTTTGCCGGTGCAACTCATGATTCCAAGGGGACCTCTACAAGCGTTGGGCTCTGGAGCAGACCAGCACTGATGCCATCCCAAAGAGAGGCCACAGTCAAAGTGCTTGGGAGCAGTAAGATTGCTCCACCCCCTCCTTGCCAGACAAGGCTCTGTGCCAGCTCCCGACTCGGCAGTCCCACTTCTGCTTACTCAGCCAGCAGCTGAAGCCTCTTATTGTCCTAGGAAGCACCCAAAAGGCAGGATGTGTGACCCCACCCTCCCTTATTACTGGTAGCAGGCAACACCTGCCAGAGCTTCTGGCCCAGTGGTCCTACTTCTGAACACAGCCAGAGGATACAGCCTTCTGTTGTCCCAGGAAACAGCCAGATGGCAGGGTGGGCGACCTCACCTACCTCTGCCTCTGGTAGCCAGGAAGTTTATGCTTGCTAGAGCTTCCAGCTGAGCAGTCTTTCTTCTACCTGAATTTGTCAAGGTACACAGCCACCTTTTGTACTGGAAGCACCAGATGGCAGGGCAGGAAACTTCACTCATTCCACCTCCTGTGGCCAGATGGGTCACATTGCTAGTGCTTCCAGCCCAGTGGTCCCACTTCTGCCTAAACTCTGCAGGCAGGCAGAAACCTATGCTTCCCTGGGAAGGACGTGGACAGCAGATTAGGGCAGACCAAGTAAGCATAAGGCATATCTGCCAACTGTGGCCCCTGCCTAGCGGAGCACTATGGACCAGAACACCCAAAAATGGAATTGTGGGCATAGATACAGTAATTGAGGGTCCTCCTCCAAGACCTAGGAGCAGTCTAGAATCAAAGCTGGCTGATTGAAGCTACCTTCTACCACAAACAAATACCCAAGGGATTCAATGAATATAAAAGAAAAAAAAAAAAAAAGACAACAACAAAACCATTCTAAGGACAGCAACCTTAAAAACTGAAGATGAAGGAACATCAGCCCACACAGATGAGTGAAACCAGCAGAACATTGGCAATTTAAAAAGCCAGAGTGTCTTTTTAACTCAAATAATGGCTCTAGATCCCCAGCAATGGTTCTTAACCAGACTGCAATGGCTGAAATGTCAGACATAGAATTCAGAATATGGATAGAAACAAAGATTACTGGCATTAAGGTGAAAGTCGAAACCCAATTCAAGGAATCTAAGGAATACAATTACACAATACAGGAGATAAAAAATGAAATGGTCATTTAAGAAAAAGCCAGACTGAACTGATAGAGCTGAAAAATTCACTTCAAGAACTTCAGAAGACAATCGCAAGTATCAGCAACAGATTCCACCAGACTGAGGAAAGAATCTTTGAGCTCAAAGACTTGTTGTCCAAAATCTCAGTCAGATAAAAATAAATAAAATGTAATAATGAAGAATAAGTAAAACATCTGAGAAATATGAGATTATGTAAAGAGACCAAATCTACAACCCACTGGTGCCTCTGAAAGAGAGGGAAAGCAAGCAACTTGGAAAACACATTTCAGGATAACATTCATGAAAATTTCTCCAACGTCACAGGAGAGGCCAACATTCAAATCCAGAAAAAGCAGAAAACCCCTGTGAGGTACTGTATGAGATAACCATCCCCAAGACACATAGTAATTAGATTATCGAAGGTTTAAATGAAAGAAAAAATGATAAAGGCAGCTAGAAAAAAGGGGCAGGTCACTTGCAAAGGAAACCTCATCAGGCTAACAGTGGACCTTTCAGCAGAAATCCTACAAGCCAGATGAGATTGGAGGCCTATATTCAGCATTTTTAAGGAGAAGAAATTCCAGAAAATTTCATAACCAGCCAAACTAAGCTTCATAAGAAAAGGAGAAATAAGATCTTTTTCACACACACAAATGCTAAGAGAAGTTGTTACAACCAGCCCTGCCTTGCAAGAGGTCCTTAAGAGAGTGACAAATATGGAAAAGAAAACCATTACTGATCACCACAAAAACACACTTAAGTACATAGACCAATGACACTATAAAGCAACTACACAATCACATATGCATTATAATCAGCTAACAACATGAAGATAGGATCAAACCTGCGTAAATCAGTATTAATCTTAAATGTAAACAGGCTAAATGCCCCAATTAAAGGCCATAGAGTGGTCAGTTGGATAAAGAAACTAGACCTAACTGTATACTATCGACAAAGACCCATCTCAGATGTAATGACACCTATAGGCTCAAAGTAAAGGGATGGAAAAAAATCTACCAAGCAAACAGAAAACAGAAAAAAATCAGGAGTTGCTATTCTAATTTCCTACAAAGCAGACTTTAAACCAACAATGATCAAAAGAGACAAAGGGCATTAGATAATGGTAAAGGGTTCAATTCAACAAGAAGATCTAATTATCCTAAAATACATGCATCCAAAATAGGAGCACCCAGATTCATAAAGCAAGTTATTAGAGACCTATGAGGAGACTTAGATAACCACACAACAATAGTGGGAAACTTCAATACCCTACTGACAGTATTAGACAGATAATCAAGGCAGAAAACTAAAAAAATATTAAGGCCTGAACTCAACATTTTACTAAATGGTCCTAACAGACATCTACAGAACACTTCACTCAGAAACAATATGCATTCTTCTCATCTGCACGTGGCATATACTCTAAAATTGACCCTGCAGTTGACCATAAAACAATTTTAGCAAATTATAATTTTAAAAAATTATATTAAACATGCTCTCAGACAACAGTACAATAAAAATAGAAATAAATACTAAGAAAATACCTCAAAATCATACTGTTACATGGAAATTAAACAACTTGCTCCTGAATGGGTTTTGGCTAAACAATGAAATTAAGGCAGAAACAAGAAATTATTTGAAACTAATGAGAACAAAGATACAACATACCAGTATCTGTGGGACACAGCTAAGGCAGTTTTTAGAGGGAAGTTGATAGTGCTAAACACCCACATCAGAAAGTTAGAAGGATCTCACATTAACAACCTAACATCACACCTACAGGAACTAAAGCAAAACAACCCCAAAGCTAGCAGGAAACAAGAAATAACCAAAATCAGAGCTGAGCTGAAGGAAGCTGAGATTCAAAAAATAAAACCAAAGATCAAGGACTCCAGGAGGTGGTTATTTGAAAGAATAAGTAACATTGTTAAACTGCTAGTGAGAATAATAAAGAAAAAAAAAGAGAAGATCCAAATAAACACAATCAGAAATGACAAAGGAGACATTACCACCAACCCCACAGAAATTTAAAAACCCTTAGAGACTACAATGAACACTTCTATGCACACAAACTAGAAAACCTAGAAGAAATAGATAAATTCCTGGAAATATAAAACCTATCAAGTTTGAACCAATATGAAATAGAATCCCTGAACAGACAAATAATGAGCTCCAGAACTGAATCAATAACAAAAAGCCTATGCCAGAAAAAGCCCATGGCCAGATGGACTCACAGCTGAATTTTACCAGATGTATAAAGAAGCACTGGTACCATTCCTACTAAATCTATTCCAAAAAATTGAGGAGCAGAGATTCCTTCCTAACTCATTTTGTGAGACCATCATCACTCTGATATCAAAACCTGACAAAGACACAACAATAAAAAAAAAAAAAACTTCAGGTCAATATTTTTAATGAACATTGATGCAAAAATTCTCAACAAAATACTAGCAAACTGAATCTGACTGAACATCAAAAAGCTAATTGACCATGATCAAGTTGGTTTTATTTGTGGGATGCATGGTTGGTTCAAAATATGCAAATCAATAAATGTGATTTACCACATAAACAAAACTAAAACCAAAATTACATGATCATCACAATAGATGCAGAAAGGTTTTCAATAAAATTCAACATCTCTTTATGTTAAAAACCTTCAAAAAACTAGTAACTGAGGGAACATACTTCAAAATAATAAGAGCCATCTATGACAAATCCACAGCCAAAATCATGCCAAATGGGCAAATGCTGGAAGCATTCCCCTTGAGAACCAGAACAAGGCAGGGATACCCACTGTCACCACTCCTATTCAATATAGTACTGAAAGTCCTAGCCAAAGAAATCAAGAGAAAAAAAATCATCCAAATAGCAAGAAAGGAAGTGAAAATATTTCTATTTTCAAACAATATGATTCTATACTTAGAAAACACCATAGTCTCCACCCAAAAGCTCCTTTATCTGATAAACAATTTCAGCAAAGTGTCAGGATACAAATTCAATGTACAAAAATTGGCAGCATTTCTATATACCAACAACTTTCAAGCTGAGAACCAAATCAGGAATGCTATTCCATTCACAATAGCCATAAAAAGAATAAAATACTTAGGGATACAGCTAACCAGGGAGGTGAAAAATCTCTACAATGAAAATTACAAAACATTGTTCAAGGAAATCAGAGATGATGTAAACAAATGGAAGAACATTCCATGCTCACGAATAGTAAGAATCAATATTGTGATAATCAATATATGGCCCAAAGTAATTTACAGATTTAATGTTATTTCTATCAAACTACCAATGACATTCTTCACAGAATTAGGAAAAAAAACCTATTTTCCAATTCCTATGGAACAAAAAAAGAGCCCCAATAGGCAAGGCAATCCTAAACAAAAAGAACGAAGCCAGAGGCATTGCACTAGTCAACTTCGAACTATGTTATAAGGCTACAGTAACCAAAACAGCATGGTACTCTACAAAAACAGATTCATGGACCAATGAAAGAGAATAGAGAACCCAGGAATAAAGCCACACACCTACAGCCAGCTGGTCTTCATCAAGGTTGACAAAAAGAAGCAACAGGGAAAGGACTCCCTATTCAATAAATAGTGTTGGGATAACTGGGCTAGCCATATGCAGAAGATTGAATCTGGACCCCCTGCTTACACCATATAAGAAAATCAACTGAAGATGGATTGAAGACTTAAAAGTAAAACCTCAAATTATAAAAACCCTGGAAGACAACCTAGGAAATACCATTCTGGATATAGTCCCTGGCAACATTTGCTGAGAGATGGAAACACCATTTCTGCTACTCTTATATTATTATCCAGCTCCAGTCCAAATAAATGTCTGGAAATTGATAAGGAGGAAAATAAGAGACGTTTTCTTTGTTTGATTTTTCAGTCAAGAAGGAATGCTTAAGAGGTATCTGATTGCCTCCTCATTAGAGAAGAAATGGGGAGTGGGACTCTCCTCTACTATGCAAGCCATATGTGGAGGTACATAATCTCAAGTTCATTGTGGATCTGTACATAGTTTCTCTTAGAATTTGAGCCTCACAGAGACTGATGCTTAAATCTCCTGAAAGATTCTAAAGGAGAGAATGTCTGGAACTGTCACTGATTGAAAAGTGTTGAGAGAAGATTTCATTCGAAGCAGTCTGCATTTTATAGTTTGTCAGGAAAAAAGTGCCAAGATTTCCTTGGCGTAAAGTGGGCACCTCAGAAGGTAGAAAACTCTATAAGCAGTGCTTCCTAATAGAGTATAAGTAAAAGATTAATTTAACCTTAAACAGATAACAGAAGCTTAAATAATTTTATTTCTCTACTTATTTGGAAGATAAATAACCCAGAACTGGAACAGCACTGTTCAGTGTCAAAAAGCCAGGCTTCGTCTATCTTATTGCTACACAATTCATGTTCTCCCTTCCCAAGGCAAACTGTTGTCCAAGATAGCTGCTTTCATTCATGTGCATCTATATTCTAGACAGCAGAAGGAGAGAGACAAATGGCATTTTAATGGACACTTTCTAGAAATTACATATGTCAAATATGTTAACTATTGGCTAGAGTCAAATCAAATCTGCAATGTATTAATAGCTAGGTGATCATTTTGGAAGAAATATGGTATTGATTGTAAGTGCAGGAGTCAGTCTGAATCTGACACATAAAACCCCAGATTAACTCTAAGTTGGATAAAACTGATTATACCTCACCTACATGTTAGATTTTATTTTAATCATACAGCATCGATGGGATACTTGCTACTGCCTTTGTATTTGTGACCTGCCCTTTGTCTTAAGGCCGCCACATTTTCTTTGCATGCTTCTGTATTCTGAATAGCTACGTGCAAAGCAATCTTTATTTTGTCTTAAGAATAAAAAAAAGGGGGGAAATAGCTTGATCAGAAATAGATTATTTAACTTGCTAGACCACATGCTCATTCAATGAGGCTGAACCTCAGATTAAGGTATCTGGCCTTGTTTTCTCTACAAAAATGCTAAGATTCTGACCTAAATTGAAGTTTTCAGGTTGCCAAACACAAAGACTTTGGAAACTGATCACACAGGAACTATGTTGTCCACACTAAGATAAGCCTCCACTGAGTTGTAAGACAAATGGAATCCATCCATTCCTAAGTTAGTCACTGGCAGAAGTGATTTTCCCCTCCCTGCTTAAGGCTTATTACCAAGAATTCCAACCTAGACCTAGCTGACATAGAATCTTGATCTGGTAACATAATAATATACCTTAATTTCTTTGTGAGACAGACCTTTTTTAAAAACTTGGGAATGGAAATAAGAGCAATGAAACCACAAACTATCCACTATTCAGTAAATTGATTTGTTTATAGGATTTATACTCAGGCTACTTCCAAAAGGCCTTGAGGTAGTTCAGTCTTCAAAACCTTATTGTACTATTGCCAAAGGTGGTTCCTGGCTTGGTATCAAGAACAGTTTCACATCTTAGAAAGAGTTCATTGTGGCTAATCTGAAGGTATAACCCCGGCAATATGACCTCCTTGTATGTCAAAATAAAAACATCCCGCCATTCCCATGACAACATGTGGGCCCTTCCAACCCACTAGCATACCAGGGAAAGTAATTATAACCCATCAGCAAAGAGCCTCCTAATTTTGAAGATCATGCAGGCATATTATGCACAAGTGCTGCATGCACGGGACAGTGAATGAATCCCTGTGGAGCATTTTTATAGTAAATGGCTGTTTATCTTATTTCGCTTTAGCTTTCAAGGTTAGGATTTAGGATATCTGTCTTATTTATTTTGCTCTCTTGCCTAAGATATAAACTCATCCAGTGATCTCCTACTTTTTGATAGGCATAAATAACTATATATACTTCCTCTCTCCTGTTCCAAATTTCCCTTTCTCACAAATCATTACATACATCCTATGAAATAATTTTTCTATGATAAACACCCTTCTTAACATCCTTAATGTCTATGCCAAGCACTCCATCTTTGCTTTATCTATTATCACCTTTCTTAAGGATTTCACTGCTCTTCAACACCCTGTTTATTCTAACACAGCCAACTCACCTTGTCATTCAGTATGGAGATCAGCAATGTCACTTACAGACCACCATGCCCCCATCCTCCTTCAACAAGCCCCGTGCCTCCCATCTACAACAAACACATTCTAATCTTCATCCCTGCTATCATTTTCTTGCTTCCCTGTCATCTACTCTTGTGATTTTGTAATTGTGTCATTTCCCAACTTTAAGCCAGCTGCTATCCAGCATGACCCTACTATGTAATGAGGGCCAGCTTTCCTCTGGCTAACGATTAAGTCATAGAAATATAGAGTGTTTTCCCTTCTCCCACATACCTTCCAACCACATCAACAAGGCTCCAGTATAATAATAGTGAATTAGAGATGAAAGGACTACAAGGATCACTCTCTATTTAAGAAGGAATTTTTAGAAAAACCCAAAATCAAGAAGGGAGACAAAAATCAAGAACAGTAGAGAGATTTGAAACTTTGGGCACCTACAGTATGGCAAACATGAAACGCAGATAAACTCCTAGGCAGATTAACATAAAACTTCACATTAAAGACCTGGTTAACTTAGGTCCTGTTACTCAATCCATGATGTCCAACTTTCAACAAAACATTTCAAGGCATGATAAAAGTCAAGAAAAACATAGTCTACATAAACAAAGCAGCAACAAAAGAAGACTCAGATATGGCAGAAATGTTGGAATTACCAAACTAGGAATTTAAAATAACTGTGATTAATATGTTAAGAGATCAAATGAAAAATGCAGATCAAATGAGAAATGCAGACAACTTGCAAGAACAGATGGGGAATGTAAGCAGAGAGATAGAAATATGAAAAAGGAACCAAGGAAGTACTACCAATCCAAGACACTCTAAGAAAAATGAAAAGTGCTTCAATGATCTCAAGAACGGACTGCTCACAGCTGAAGAAAGAAAATTGAGCTTAAAGATATGTCAATGTAAATTGTAAAATGCAAAGCTAAAGAAGAATGGGAAAATAAAAAGAACAGAACATCTAAGAATTGTGGGACATTTTCAAAAGGTGTAACATGCATTATTAAAATAGCAGAAGGAGAATAAAGATATAAAAAAAGCCAAATGAATATTTGGAGTAATAACTGCCAATAATTTTCCAAAATTTGACAGACACTAAAATATAGATCCTGAAAGTTCAGAAGGCACAAAACAAAATAAATGGATTCTGGGTTTTATCAACTGCTTCCTGCATTGATTCATATGATTATGTAATTTTTTTTTCTTTAGCCTGTTACTAAAGTAGGTTTTATTCATTGATTCTCAAATGCTGTACCAGTTTGCATCCCTAGAATAAACTCCATTTGGTCATGGTATTTTCTTCTTTTTTTACATTGCTTAATTCTATTTCCTAAGCTTTTGTTAAGAATTTTTACATCTGTATTTAGGAGAAATATCTGCTATTTTCTTTTGTTGCAGTCTCTTTTTCTGATTTTGATAGAAGGTTAATCGTGGCTTCATAAAAAGTACTAGGAAGTGCTCTTTCTCCTTGGGAAAGCAATCCCTTCTTTTTTATTTTCTTGAACACATTATATAGAACTGGTATTAATCCTGATTTATTTGTTTGGTTGAATTCTCCAATGAAAATATCTGGGCCTGTAGATTTTGATTTTTGGAGTTTTAAATATGAATTCAATTTTCTTAATAGTTACAAGGACTATTCAAATTATCTCATATCACATGAGTTACAGTAGTGTATATATTCTTGTTGTTGTTGTTGTTGTTTTTCTTCTTTTTTGTTTCAGTGGAATCCCTTATCTATATAAAGTTAGAAGTCAGCATAGACACTAAACACTACTTTTGTTTATGTGAAGGTGTGGCCTGGAGTCCCACTGGCTCCACCTCCTTTTTTTTTTTTAATTATACTTTAAGTTCTGGGTTACATGTGCAGAACGTGCAGTTTTGTTACATAGGTATACACGTGCCCTGGTGGTTTGCTGCACCCATCAACCAGTCACCTACATGAGGTATTTCTCCTAATGCTATCCCTCCCCTAGCCCCCCACCCCCCAGCAGACCCCTGTGTGTGATATTCCCCTCCCCGTGTCCATGTGTTCTCATTGTTCAACTCCCACGTATGAGTGGGAACACGCGGTGTTTGGTTTTCTGATCTGTGATAGCTCAATTTTATCTAATTTGTAAATTGTCAAATGTATGTGTGTGGGCTTGTCTATCGTATTTCTTCATTATCATGTTTTATATCTAAGGGATTTGTAATGATATACCCTGTTTCATTCCTGATATTGTTAACTTCTGATTATTTCTTTGTTTCTTTGGCAATCTTGCTAGTGGTCTGTAAATATTATTGTTTTTTTTTGTTTGTTTTTTGTTTTTTGTTTTCAGAGAAACAGATCTTTGGTTTATTAGTATACCCTATTGTATTTTTTTCTATTTTCAATTAAATTGACTTCTGCTTTTATTTTTGCTCTTTTCCTAGGTTCTTTAAGTGGAAGTTTAGATTATTGGTTTGAAACTTTTTCAAATGTATGCATCTAGTGCTATAAATTTCCCTCTCAGCACTGTTTAGTTGTGTCACACAAACTTTGATATGATTTTAATTTCACGCAGTGCAATGTATTTTTTTTCTCTTGAGAGTTCCTCTTTGACCCATGGATTATTTTGAAGTGTGTTTTTACCTTCCAAGTGTTTGCAGATTTTTCTCTATGCTTTCTATTTTTTTATTCCTAATTTGATTTAGTTGGAGTTAGAGGATCCACTCTGTATGATTACACTTCTTTTTAATATGCAAGAATTTATTTTATGGCACAGGACATGGTCTCTATTGTTATACACTTTATGGTTACTTGAAAAGAGTGAGTTTTCAGCTATTGTTGGATAGATAGTTCTAAAAATGTTGATTAGATCTTGTTGGTAAATGGTGTTGTTGCTGACTTTTTTTGTCTATTCATCTATCACTGAGAAAGGGGTGTTGAAGTCCTCAGATATAATTGTAGATTTATCTATTTATCCTTTCAGTCCGTTGGATTTTTGTGTCACATATATTGCAACATTTATGATTGTCATATATTCTTGTGGATTGATCCTTTTTTCAGCATATAATGTCCCTCTCTGTCTCTAGTAATTGTTTTGAAACCTACTTTGGATGGTATTAACATAGGCACTTATGCATTCCTTAGATTAATGTTTGCATAATATGTTTTTCTCCATTCTTTTTCTTTCAACTCACCTATATGATATTTGAAGTGAGTTTCTTGTAGACAGTGTACAGTTGAGTCATGTTAAACCACCTGCCAATTTGTATTTTAATTGTCATACTTGAACTTATTCCATAAAACCTAGAAAGTAATAGATGATCAACAAATTCATGTTGGATTCAATCGCATCCTCATTTGTGGTTTTCCACACACAGCTTTGTGCTGTGTGTGGTGCTTACCAAATATGGACTGATTAAATGTCTCAAACTGCTGACTTCACGAAGATGGCAGATAAGAGGCAGAGCTAACATGCATCTCCCACTTGGATGAACAGAACAGTGTGTGGAGACTCACACTGAACTTTTGTTCCAAGAACCACCACAAAAATATACTAGGAAAACCAAAAGAATTCACAGATCCTTTGAAAGAAACAGCACATTGCTGCAAACTCCACAACACAGGCAAAAAACTGTGAGTTCCCAAATCGTGAGAGGGAGAAAACCTGCCTCTAAACACACATCCTTATTAGGGAATCTGAAAATCCAGATCATAGGAGAAGGATTTAATTTTGCCTAGAGCTGGAATAGATTTAGGTAGTCGTGCAAACTATAAGTAGAAGCAGCAGTGAAAAGAGTCTAACACGAACTTTCACTCACCAGCTTGAGCCCAGAGAAGCCATCCCTGACTATATCTCTCAGGGGCCCTTGGGGAAAGCAGCCAATGGAATTAGGCAGGGGTTACAGGGTGAAAGAAGTATCCAACTGAATTTTGTGATAATTTCAAGTGGGCACAAATTTTCTTGAGCAGAATCTGGGGGGTGAGCAGGAATTGCTGCAGATATGAGCAGCGCAGTAGCTGCCTACATTGTGGGCAGATGGGGAGGGATGTAGCCTGAAAGCTCTGCTTGCTTTCTTAGTGGGGAAGCTTATGACCTGGGGCAGGTCTGAGTTTCACACACAGGCTGCCTGGATCTAAACTCAGTGCTTTTAGCAGGGAACTGCAGGAGTGAGACTGGCCTCGCCAACTGTGTGGGAGCTGGGTGAGGTTTTTCACTACCAGCTATCCCCACAGCCCTTGTGAACTATACTACATAGCAGAGGCAGCCATAATCCCCTCTGGAATATAACCCCACTGGCCTGAGAACTACTCCCCACTTCCCTACAGTGTCCGTGTGAAGCCCCACCCAACAGATTCTGAGCTTAGACCTCCCTAATCCTGCCCCAGCATAATGCCATATCTCTACTTGCCCTGGTAGCTGAACACAAAGGAAAAACTCGAGGGAGCTTTATGGCCCTGCCCATCGCCTGAGAAATCAGAATACTTCCCTAGGCCAGCATTATAAGGCAAATTCAAATCCCACTGCTAATACTGCAGCTGGTGCTCTCTTGAAAGCGCCACCTCCTGACTGGAGGCCAAGCAACTCAGGCCATTACTGCAACTCTTATCAGAATAACCCTGATCACAGAAAGGGGAAGACAATACCTAATTCCATTTCCTGCAACATCCTGGCTAACCAGAGATCCTGAGTGTGTACACATGACAACTTCACTGCTAGCACAATCAAAACTAGAGAGAGCTGGTATACTAAAGCTATCTACAACCCAGGATTCTCACAAAGTCTACATCACTCCCCTGCCACCTCCACCAGAGTAGATGCTGGCATCTATGGTTGGGAGACCTGAAGACTGATCACATCACAAGATACTTTGCAGACATTTCTCAGCACCAGCCCAGAGGCTGGTACCTGCACTGGGTGGCTAGACCAAAAGAGCAATAACAATCACTGCAATCCAGCTTCCAGGAAGCCCCATCCCTAGGGGAAGAGGGAGAACATGACATCAGTGGATCATCCTATGGCACAAAAGAATCTGAACAGCAGGACTTGAGTTGCTATATATTTATATATGAACAGCAGGACTTGAGTTCATATATATATATATGAAAAGAGGTGCCTGTTTGATCTGAATAGCTGAAAAACTAGGATAGGAGTGAGGCTGTGAGGTGAATAGCTTTCCTATTGACCTGACAGAGGAGCTAAAGTAGCTCCCACTCTTCACCTTGATAAAACTTCAGCACATCTAATTGAGAGTTCCCCCAGCTGCTCTCATCAAGGCTGAGACCTTGGCCCACCATTGGGTATTACATCTACTAACCCGCCTTAGCCACAACCAGCGCCTAATCAGAGATACTTTCCCTATTGACCTGAAGTCTGAATTATAAACTGAGTAAATAAAACATTTGGAAAAAAATTAATAAATAAATAAGTTGTACACCATGAGAAAATGACATAAACTTCAACAGATCTCTGACATTCCAAATCCATAGGAGACTGTGAACTCACCCACACACCAAGAATATAACTGCTACAACCAGCTTTGGGAAAGTGAGTGCACAAGACTTTCAATAACTAAGAATCTCATAAAGAGTCTTCACCCCCACAAGCACCAAATAAAAAATTAGGCAAAAATAAACATTAAAGTCTGATCTTTAAGAGAGAAAAAAAGAAATTTAAATTAAAAATAACACAGAACAATCAAAAATGAATTTAAGAACAATTTTAGGAAGTGATCCACCCAAATGAGGAGAAAACGGAAAAGTAATTCTAGTAATATGAAAAAACAGGGTTCTATAACACCCCAAAAGATCATACTAGCTCCCCAGCAATGGATCCAAATCACAAAGAAATCTCTGAATTGGCAGATAAAGAATTGAGGTTTATTATTAAGCTGCTCAGGGAGATACCACAGAAAGCTGAAAAACAACTTAAAGAAATGGAAAGAGAGAAAATAGATGAAAAATTTGCTACGTATATAGATATCATTAAAGAAATTTATCATTAAAGATATCACAACTTCTGGAAATGAAAGACATACATAGGGAAATACAAAATGCACTGGAAAGTTTTAACAATAGATAAGAACAAGTAGATGCAAGATTTTCAGAGCTCAAAGATGAGGCTTTCAAATTAACCCAATCAGACAAAGACAAAGAAATAAATAATTTAAAAAGTAAATAAAGTCCCCCAGAAATTTGTGATTATCTTTTGTGTTTTTTTTTTTTTTTTTGAGATGAAGTTTCACTCTTGTTTTCCAGGCTGCAGTGCAGTGGCACAATCTTGGCTCACTGCAACCTTTGCCTCCTGGGTTCAAGCAATTCTCCTGACTCAGCCTCCTGAGTAACTGGGATTACAGGCACCTGCCACCATGCCCAGCTAATTTTTTTGCATTTTTAGTAGAGATGGGGTTTCACCATGTTGGCCAGGCTGGTCTCAAACTCCAAACTTCAGGTGATCTGCCTGCTTCGGCCTCCCAAAGTGCTAGGAATATAGGCATGGGCCAGCACATCCCGCCTGTGATTATTTTAAATGGCCAAACCTAAGAATAATTGGTGTTCCTGAGGAAGAAGAGAAATCTTAATGTTTGAAAAACTTATTTGAGGAAATAATTGAGGAAAGTGTCCCTGGCCCTGCTAGAGATCTAGACATCCAAATACAAGAAGCTCAAAGAGCTCCTGGGAAATTCATCACAGAAAGATCTAGTGTATTGGTCCATTTTCATATTGCTTTAAAGAACTGCCTGAGACTGGGTGATTTATAAAGGAAAGATGTTTAATTGATGCACAGTTCAGCATGGCTGGGGCAGACTTGGGAAACTTACAATCATGGTGGAATGTGAGGGGGAAGCAAGGCACCTTCTTCACAGGTGGGAGGAAGGAGAAGTGCCAAGTGAAGGGGGAAGACGCCCTTATAAAACCATCAGATCTCCTGAGAACTCACTCACTATCATGAGAACAGCATGGGGGAAACCACCCCCATCATCCAATTACCCTCCACCTAGTCTATCTCTTGACATGTGGGGATTATGGGGATTATAATCCAAGATGAGATTTGACTGGTGACACAAAGCCTAACCATATCACCTCAACACATAGTCATCAGGTTATCTAAAGTCAAGACAAAGGAGAGAATCTTAAGAGCTGTGAGACTAAATCATCAGGTTAATTTATACAGAAAAACCTATCAGATTAACAGTTGATTTCTGAGCAGAAACCATAGAAGCCAGAAGAAATTGGGATTCTATCTTTAGGCTCCTTAAACAAAACAATTGTCAGCCAAGATTATTGTATCCAGCAGTACTAATCTTTATAAATGAAGATGAAATAAAGTCTTTTTCAGACAAACAAATGCTGAAAGAATTTGCTACTACTAAACCAGCACTGCAAGAAATGCCTAAAGGAATTCTAAAACTTAAAAAAATAAAATCTTGAAATACACCCAAATAGAACCTCCTTGAATTAGTCCATTTTCACACTACTGATAAAGACATATCCAAGATTGGGCAATTTACAAAAGAAAGAGGTTTATTGGACTTACAGTTCCACGTGGCTGGGGTGGCCCCACGATCATGGTGGAAGGTGAAAGGCATGTTTCACATGGTGGCAGAGAAGGGAAGAGAGCTTGTGCTGAGAAACTCCCCTTCTTAAAACCATCAGATCTCATGAGACTTATTCACTATCATAAGAACAGCAAAGGAAAGACCTGCCCCCATGATTCAATTACCTTCCACTGGGTCCCTCTCACAACATGTAGGAATTCAAGATGAGATTTGGGCGGGGACAGAGCCAAACCATATTATTCTGCCTCTGGCCCCTCCAAAATCTCATGTCCTCAAATTTCAAAATCTATCATGCCTTCTCAACAATCTTGCAAAGTCTTAATTCATTTTAGCATTAACTGATAAGTCCACAGTCCAAAGTCTCAGCTGAGACTACACAAGTCTCTTCCACCTATGAGCCTGGAAAATCAAAAGCAATTTAGTTACTTCCTAGATACAACTGGGGTTCAGGCATTGAGTAATAGAGCCATTCCAAATGGGAGAAATTGGCCAAAACGAAGCAGCTACAGGCCCTATACAAGTCTAAAATCCAGCAAGGCAATCAAATCTTAAAGCTCCAAAATGATCTCCTTTGACTCCATGTCTCACATTCAGGTCACACTGATGCAAGAGGTGGGTTCCCATGGTCTTGGGCACCTCCACACCTGTGGCTTTGCAGGTTATAGCCTCCCACCTGCCTGATTTCATAGGCTGGCATTGAGTGTCTGTGGCTTTGCCACACACAGTGCAAGCTGTTGGTGGATCTACCATTCTGAAATCTGGAGGCCCACCCCTGCAGCAAACTTCTGCTTGGGCATTCACGCATTTCCATACACCTACTAAAATCTAGGTGGAGGTTCCCAAACTTCAATTCTTGACTTCTGTGCACTCTCAGGCTCAACTCCATGTGAAAGCTGACAAGGCATGGGGCTTCCACCCTCTGAAGCAACAGTCTGAGCTGTAGCTTGTCCCCTTTTTGTCTCAGCTGGAGTGGCTGGGATGCAGGGCACCAAGTTCCTAGACAGCACACAGCAGAGGGACCCTGGGCCCAGCCCACAAAACCATTTTTCCTCCTAAACCTCTGGGGCTGTGATAGGAGGGGCTGCTGTGAAGACCTCTGACATGCCCTGCAGATATTTTCCCCATTGTCTTGAGGATGAATACTTAGCTCCTCATTATTTATGCAAATTTCTGCAGCTGTCTTGAATTTCTCCTAAGAAAATGGAATTTTCTTTTGTTTATCACATTGTCAAGCTGAAAATTTTCCAAACTTTTGTGCTCTGTTTCCCTTATAAAACTGAATGCCTTTAATAGCACCCAAGTCACCTCTTGAATGCTTTGCTGTTTAGAAATTTATCCCACCGGATACCCTAAATCATCTCTCTTAAGTTCAAAGTTTCACAAATCTCTAGGGCAAGAACAAAATTCTGCCAATCTCTTTACTAAAACATAACAAGAATCACCCTTGCTCCAGTTCCCAATGAGTTTCTCATCTCCATCTGAGACAATCTCAGTCTGGATTTCATTGTCCATATCATTAGCAGCATTTTAGTCAAAGCCTTTCAAAAAGTCCTTAGGGAGTTCCAAACTTTCCATATATTCCCGTCTTTTTGTCAGCCCTCCAAACTGTTCCAACTTCTACCTGTTACCCAGTTCCAAAATCTCTTCCACATTTTCAGGTATCTTTTCAGCAACAACCCACTCTTCTAGAACCAATTTACTGTGTTAGCCCATTTTCATGCTGCTGATAAAGACATACCTGAGACTGGGCAATTTACAAAGAATGAGGTTTATTGGACTTACATTTCCACATGTCTGGGAGACCTCCCAATCATGGTGGAAGGTGAAAGGCACATCTCACATGGCAGCAGACAAGAAGAGGGCTTATGCAAGGAAACTTCCATTTTTAAAACCATCAGATCTTGTGAGACTCATTCACTATCATGAGAACTGAACAAGAAAGACTGTCCCCCAGAATTTAATCACCTCCCATTAGGTTCTTACTCCCACAGCATGTGGAAATTGTGGGAGTTACAATTCAAGATGAGATTTAGGTGGGGACATAGCCAAACCATATCACTCCTTAAAGCATGACTCTCACAGGGCCTAGATAATAATAACACAATGAAAAATTCCCCAGGATATTTAGGCAACAACTAACATGATGAATAGAACAGTACCTCACATCTCAATACAATGTTGAATGTAAATGGACTAAATCCTTATACAGAATGTCAGAATAGATAAAAATCCACCAAGTATCTGATGCCTTCAAGAGACTCGGAACTAACACATAATGATTCACAAAAAAGGTAAAGAAATGGAAAAAGATGTTTTATGGAAATGCTAACCAAAAGGGAGCAGGAGTAGCTATTCTCATATCAGAGAAAACAGACTTTAGGCAACAACAGTAACAAAAGACAAAGAGGCATATTATACAATGATAAAAGGATTTGTTCAACAGGAAAATATCACAATACTAGATATATATTCACCTAACACTGGAGCTCCCAAATTCATAAAATGATTACTACTAGACCTAGGAAATGGGATTGACAGCAACACAATAATATTGAGGACACTTCAATACCTCCACTAACAGCACAATTCAGGTCATCATGGCAGAAAGTCAACAAAGAAACAATAGACATAAACTATGCCCTAGTAAACTATGCCATAGTTTTCACAAACTATGAAATTAACAAATATTTACAGAACATTCTACCTCACAACTGCAGACTATAGATTCTTTTCATAAACACATGGGGTATTCTCCAGAATACACCACATGGTAAGTCACAAAAAAAGTCTTAATAAATTTAAGAAGTTTGAAATAATATTAAGTATCTTCTTCAACCAAAGTGGAATAAAACTGAAAATTAACTCCAAAAGGAACCCTCAAAACTATATAAATACATGGAAATTAAATAATCTGCTTCTGAATGATCTCTGGGTCAACAATGAAATCAAGAGGGAAATTAAAAAATTCATTGAATGGAATGATAATGGTCACACAACTTATCAAAACCTCTGGGATATAGCAAAAGTAGTGCTAAGAGGAAAGTTCATAGCATTAAATGCCTACATCAAGAAGTCTGAAAGAACACAAATAGACAATCTAATGTCACTTGTCAAGGAACTAGAGAAACAAGAACAAACCAAACCCAAACCCAGCAGGATAAAATATATAACAAAAATCAGGGTAGAACTAAATTAAATTGAAACAAAAATACACAAAGGATACATGAAACAGAAAGCTGTTTTTTTTTTTGAAAAGACAAAAAAAATTGATAGACCATTAGTGAAATTAATCAAGAAAAGAAGGGACAAAATCCAAATAAGCTCAATGAGAATTGAAACAGGAGATATTACAACCAATATCACAGAAATACAAAAGATAATTCAAGGTTACTATGAACAGCATTATGTTCATGAGCTAGAAAATCTAAGAGAGATGGATAAATTCCTGAAAATATAAAACCCTTCTAGATTAAATCACACAAAAAATGGAAACTCTGAACAGGCCAATAACAAGTAGGAAGGTTAAGACCGTAATTAATAAAATTATCAACAACAAAAGTCCAGAACCAGATGGATTCACAGCTGAATTCTATCAGACATTCAAAGAAGAATTGGTACATTTCCTACTGAAACTATTCCAAAAGATAGAGAAAGAGGAAATTCTCCCTAAATCATTCTATGAAGCCAGTAGCACTCTAATACCAAAACTAAGAAAGGACATAACAAAAAAGAAAACTACAGAACAATATCCCCAATGAACATAGATGAAAAAATCCTCAATGAAATACTGACTGACCGAATCCAACAGCATCTCAGAAAGATAATACATCACGATCAAGTGGGTTTCATACCAGTGATGCAGGGATGTTTTAACATATGCAAGTCAATAAATGTGACACATCACATTAACAGAATTAAAAACAAAATCATATGACCATCTCAATAGACAAATAAAAAACCTTAGACAAATCCAGCATCCCTTTATGATAAAAACCCTCAGCAAAATTGGCATAGAAGGGACATACTTCAAAGTAATAAAAGCCATCTCAGACAAACCCACAGCCAACATCATACTGAACAGGAAAAAGTTGAAGGCATTCCCTCTGAGAACTGGAACAAGGCATTGATGCCTACTTTCACCACTTTTATTCGACATAGTACTGGATGCCCTAGCCAGAAAAATCAGACAAGAGAAAGAAATAAAGGGCATCTAAATCAGAAAAGAGGAAAGTCAAACTGTCAGTGGTTGGTGATGATATGACTGTATGTGTAGAAAAATCTAAAGACTCATCCAAAAAGCTCCTAGATTTGATAAATAAACTCAGTAAAGTTTCAGGATACAAAATCAATATACATAAAGCAGTAGCATTGCTATATACCAATAAATACCAATCTGAGAATCAAATCAAGAACTCAACCCCTTTTACTTACAACAGCAGCAAAAAAAATGTAATACTTGAGAATATATCTAACCAAGGAGGTGAAAGATCTCTACAAGGAAAACTACAAAGCACTGCTGAAAGAAATCATAGACAACACAAACAAATGGAAACACTTACAATGCTTTTGAAAGGGTAGGACCAATATTGTGAAAATGACCATAATGCCAAATACATCTATAAATTCAATTCAGTTCACATCAAAATACCATTATCATTCTTCACAGAACTAGAAAAAAAATCTTAAAATTCATATGGGGCCAAAAAAGAGCTCACATAGCCAAAATGATACTAAGCAAAGAGAACAAATCTGGAGGCATCACATTACCTGACTCCAAACTACACTACAAGGCTATAATAGCTACCAAAATAGCATGGTGTGGTATAGAAATAGGCATATAGACTCATGGAAAAGTAGAAATATCCCATAAATAACCCAAAGAAAAAAGCCAAATACTTACAGCCAACTGACTTCAATAAAGCATACAAAAAACATAAAGTAAGAAAAAGACACCTTATTCAGCAAATGGTGCTGGGGTAATTGGCCAACAACATGTGGAAGAATAAAACTGGATCCTCATCTCTCACCTTATACAAAAATCAACTCAAGATGGATCAAAGACTTAAATCTAAGACATGAAACAATAAAAATTCTAGAACATCAAAAAACTCTTCCACTTATTGGCTTAGGCAAGGAATTCATGGCCAAGAACCCAAAAGCAAATGCAACAAAAACAAAATTTGGCAAATGAGACCTACTTAAACTAAAGAACTTCTGCACAGCAGAGAGAGAGAGAGAGAGAGAGAGAGAGAGAGAGAGAGGAAACTATCAACATAGTGAACAGACAACCCACCGAGTGGGAGAAAATATTTGCAAACTATGCATGTGGCAAAGGACTCCTGTCCAGAATATATATATGGAATTCAAACAAAGTAGCAAAAAAAGCCCAAATAATCTCATCAAAAAGTGGGCAAAGGACATGAATGACCAATTATCAAAAGAAGATATACAAATGGTCAGCAAACATGAAAAAAATGGTTGATATCACTAATTATCAGAGAAATGAAAATTAAAACCACAATGAGATACCACCTCACTCCTGCAAGAATGGCATAAGTAAAAAAATAAAAACAATAATATATTTTGATTGATGTAGATGTGGTGAAAAGGGAACACTTTTACAGTACTGGTTAGAATGTAAACTAGCATAACCACTATGGAAAACAGTATGGGATTCCTTGAAGAACTAAAAGTAGAACTACCATTTGATCCAGGAATCCCACTAGTGGGTATCTACCCAAAGGAAAATAAGTCATTATATGAAAAAGACACTTGCACACACATGCTTATAGCAACACAATTCACTAGTACACAATTCACAATTGTGAAAATATGAAATCAACCTAAATGTCTATCAACCAATGAGTGGATAAAGAAAATGTGGCATTTACACACCATAGTATACTACTGAGCTATAAAAAGGAATGAAATCATTGCATTAGCAGCAACCGGGATGAAGTTGGAGACTATTATTCTAAGTGAAGTAGCTCAGGAATGAAAAACCAAATATTGTATGTTCTTACTTATACGTAGGAGCTAAGCTATGAGGACACAAAGGCATAAGAATGATATAATGGACTTTGAGGACTTGGTAAACAAGGTGGGAGGTGGGTGAGGAATAAAACACTACATATTGGTTACAGTGTACACTGCTTGAGTGATGAGTGTACCAAAATCTCAGATATCACCACCAAAGAATTTATCCACATAACCAAAAACCACCTATTCCTCAAAAACTATTGAAATAAAATAAAACAAAAAGTCTCAAACCATTATTTCATCTTTGTGGTGTGGATTTTCCACCCTCCTCCATTTTTACTCCATCTCTCTTCCAAATTATATAATTTTATAGTGTCACAAATTATTCACTTATAATGTATCTATGGCAAAAATGAATACCTATAGGTAGAAAGAATAAAGCCTGCAAAATTAGAAATTTGATTCTACTGTTAATACTTCAAAAATGTAATCTTAACAGTTTAATAAAAGTCTTTTCTAGTATGTTTGTTTTTCTGTCTTCAATATTTTTAGTATTATGCCTTTACAATGACAATAGTATTTCTGCATACTAAAGTTTGTGAAGCAACGTGGTGTAACTGATACAATAGCTTTACTATAGTTTTACTATGTTAAGATGTCTGAACCTCAAGCTATCCTTTATCAATTCATTTTGAGCCAAATATCTCAAGCACTGTATTTTTGATATTACATTCCCTTATTGTGTGTTACCTGGCTTTTGTTGAATAGTTAAAAGCCTAACCCTGTTCATTTTATACTAACATTTGAATACTATTTGAATGAAAGTTTTTCTACTTGTAACATAGAGTAAAGCTTTCATCACACGGAAGCATCCCAAAATTTGTTTTGAGGTGTTAACTTGCCAAAACTTTGGGTGCACTGTAAGATTTTTCATTATTTAACTTCAGATAAGTTGCATTTCTCTTGTGGGTGAGTAATTTCTTTTTGCCAAAAACACATTAAATTTTTGATTAGTAGCAAGGAGATGAGCCATGTTGCAGACGATGCATTACAAAGAAGACTTGTTTTGGTCTACATACTTATATCCCTGTTGATCCTCTTTGAATATCAAACACATAACATGTTCCCAGGTTTGTTTCTTTTTTTCCTTAAAAGTTGTTTTGTAGGATAATAAGTTTAGATCAACATAAAATACTTTTTTCCAATCTGGCATTTGATTCAGTGAGTTTTATTCACAACATTTTATTATATAACCATCTAGATTATCATTACATTGTATTAGGCTTATTTCATCTACCACTTAATCCTCTTCGGAGAGATTATGAGTGGGACAAAGTTAGAAAAAGTAAAGGAGTACTTATGTTAAGGTGTTTAAGCTTATCTGATAACAGACAACATTAAAACTAATGGTTGTTGGTAGTGACAACTAGATCTTTGCTCTATATTTTTCAGATATATAATTAAGAAGCTCCTTGCATTTTGCCCCTTCCCTGTGATTAAAAGAAAAAATAGCTTCACCATCCAAAAAAAGTATCTACTTTTTGTTTGAATACTTAGGATAAGTTAATACCTGTATGATCTATATCTAATCTATCTATCTATTATCTATCTATCCATCTAGCTATATCTATCTATAAATCACAGAACTTGCTTAATATTAAAAAACTTAAAGCTTATATGATCACTCTAACTTTATATATGAGAAAACAGAAATCTGAGACATAAGTAGGTTTTCTAACATCACATACCTAATAAGTGTTAGAGTTTGATTCAGGCCATATCAGTCTGGCTTGATAGTCTATGCCTTTCTATTATGCCAAATCTACTGCTTAGCCAGTGTTGAAAGTACTCTGACAGTGGCCTAATGGTATCACAAATATAAAGAGCTAAACATAATTTACAAAATAACATAAACAGATGGAGAAACACTTTAGTTTTCAAGCAGTAAGTTTTGTGATTTAAAAAACAGAGACAATTATCCCCAAAAAAGACTAGTTGTCAAATTCTTTTCTGCTAATGCTGTCTAATTTGCTTTCAGAGGCTTAGGAGACCTCTCGGGCCCAACCTTACAGAGCTTATTGGCAGACTGGAGTAGTCTGAAGCAAAATTGTAGAGACTAGAGGCAGAAATGCTAGGAGCATGTGCAAATTCTAGTGAGGATAGATTTTCTTCCTAGCAGAGCAGCTTAAAAAATTTGTTATGAGGAGATATTTTGAGGGCAGAGAGCTGCAAATATCAAGAAGTTTCAAGAATTAGGTAGAAAAATTTTCAACTAGATCATAGAAGAAACAATTCTTCTGGCAATTCAGCTGATTCTCATGCGCTTTGGGTTATCTGACATGAGCCTAGAAGTGATACGCTTGGGCAGATAAAGAGTTTTAATTATTCTCCATTGGTTTAAATATTTATTCAGGGTCTATAAACAAATAAGTTTCAGCATGTCTATATATCATACATATCTAAGGTAAATATGTTCCACATATGTTGGAAAATACATTTTTAAATTTTTTAAAAAATATTAATCTGTCTTTCCAAAGAGCTTTGAGCTTCAAGAGCAGTAAAGACTGCATTGAAATCAACTATGATTTAAACTAGGATTAAAATATTTTTATTTTGTAATACTTTATGTTATGCTTAGTACTATTCTAAAATATAATATCAAATAACATTTAATCATTTTTTACATAAATATTTCATAAACTGGGACTAAATGGTAAAGTAAGATTAAAAATATTTTATACATGAAAGGATTATTTATCTTCTAAATGTGAGAATAGGTCAAATTACATTGTATGAAAAAATATAACAATAGGAAATCTCATTTATCAGGCATTTTCCAAAATATACATTAGATAAAATCATATATAGATCAGGCACTATTAAGTGACAATACACACAAAATATTATTAAAATAAACAGCAGAATATTACAGATGATTCCAGATTATTCTATTAGCATTTCACATGGAATTTCCTTTTGGAAAGTTAGTATCAGCAAGATGCCAGGGGCGTTTCTGAGAGATTTAGAATGGCTTAGAAGTGGAGTGTTTGTTCCACTTCTTTCTGAATGATAGTCTTTGGTTCACATTTTCCCCTTCATTCACTTTAAAAACTCATTTCTATGAATAGCTAATTCATACCATCAATTTGATTAGGAAACATTACTATATTATAAAATTAAAATGATTTATTTGAAAAATTATATAACACCATCAGAGAAATAAGCATAAAATGTAAAGATGATAGAATAGATAACATGAAAGGGAAAAAGAAAACATTAGATGTCCTATTAGAGGAAGGGCAAAGTTATGGTACTAGAAGCATTATAGTAAATAGATAAATGCCATAAAATTTTTTTTGCACAAGATCGTTAAATAAAAACTGTTCATTAACTATAAAATTGTGTATATATTTTCCAAACAAAATGTAAATATGTATGAGCAGAAAAAATTAAGATGACTTACTAGATTTTTGCCATGGTTTTTATTTTTATGTTTAAAGAAGATGCAATGAAACAATCACTTGCTTCCATCACCAGAGATGACCAGAAAGTTTAGTAGTCAAGCATTCTGACACATAGAAAAGATTAGAAAAAAACATTTTCACCATTGAGTTACCCTATGTCTTAAAAAAGATCACTGTATAGACAATGAGACACATATTCTTTATTTTCTTTTCCAATCTGGAATGATGATTGGCAAATAAATGCTTCTTACCTGTTGAGTGAATGAATGAAGTGTGAAAGAAAGCAGGGTATGTTTGAATTATTGAGAAGATTCACTTTGTATGTAATTTTCTTATTGGTCATCCTGTTGTATGTTTGGTGGTAACTGGTCAGAGACTCGAAGGAACATGAAATTTAATTCATATAGAGCTTAAAAAATAGAAGAAAGAGTATTGAATGAGGAATAGGTACATGGATTTTAGTCCTCACTCTGCAACTGTAATCTTCAGCAAACCATTTCACCCTCCTCAGTCTTCTGATTTATAAAAGTCAAGAAAAGTGATAAAATATGTATTGTTTCTCCTAGGTTATCCTTCTCGGGATGCCCCAGTTCTTGTTATCACATTCTTGTAAATATTACATCATGCTATATGTAAACATTTAAAGCACAGTTTAGAATAAAAATATTTTTTATCATTTTTTTACTTATTTTTCCTGTTAAGTCATCCTTATCACTATGACAAAATGCTTACATTGACTTTAGGGTGCTTTATAAATTATGAAATCCTGGTGAAATATATGGCATTACTATGAGCCACATTCATTTCCTCATGTCGAGGAACTGAATTTTTCTCACTGTTATTACTTAGATCTTCCATGATGGAAAAAGTTATATACTTTTGTGAAACAAGAAAAACAAATAGGAGACACTAACTTATCTTTTTCTCCAGAATTTAAACAATAGCAAGAATGCAGAAAGCAAAATAGAAACATCTATGGGCTACTCTTTAAATAATTTGAAATATATTGTACATAAATATATATTCATTCTAAGACATGGTAATGAAACTAACACTGATGTATCCACCACTTACATTAAGAAATAGAATATCGCCAGTTCTTGAGAGTCCCCCAATGTGCCCCTCCCTAAACACTTTCCCTCACCCCTAAAGAGGTAACTACAATCCTGAATTTTTCCTAATCGCTTCCTTTCTTATTGTGGTAGTTTTGTCTTATTTTATATGTACTCCTAAATAATATTTTATAGTTTTACTTTTATTTTGAAATACAGTTAACATATGGCAAAATAAATCTTAAGTGTACAATTTGATAAAATTTAAAAACAGGCTGGGCACAGTGGCTCATGCCTGTAGTTCCAGGACTTTGAGAGGCATTTTTGGGAGAATTACTTCAGGCCAGGAGTTCAAGACCAGCCTAGACAACAAAGTAAGACCCCATCTCTGCAAAAATTTAAAAATCAGGGAGGGTGTGGTGGCCTGCACCTGGAGCCCCAGCTACTTGGGAGACAGGTGGGAAGAACGTTTCAGCCCAGAATTTCGAGGCTGCAGTGAGCTCTAATGATGCCACAGAACTCTGCCTGGGTGTTAGAGCAAGACCTTGTCTCAAAAACACAAAAAAGAATATGTATATGTAAACCCCTACCCAAAAAGATGTAGAGCATTTTGATCAACCCAGAAAATCCCCACATACCCCTTTTCACTCAATATCCCCACCACCGATTCTGAGGCAAACATTTTTTCTGATCTTTTATCATGAATTAATTTCATATTCAATTCACTTGTTCATATGAATTGAATTCTATGGTACATATTATTTTGAGAATGACTTATTTTACATAGCATCATGTTTATCATATATATGTTCAAAAACTTAAAAATGGTAATAATGAGTAAACAAACCAGGGAAACCTAGCAGAGAAATGAAACTCCATATAAACCTAAAAAGGGTTCTAAAATTTTAAAGCACAATATATGATATGAAAAGTTTACTAGTAACATGGAATTAATTTACTACTGTTGAGGACTTAAAATTCAGCAAGTGCTGTAGCTGACCAAAGACATAGATTCTTTCCCTATGAGTTGTTTATGTAGCTATGGAAACAAATCAAATTCTGAAAAATACTATAATAAAAATTACAGGAGAATTCAAGGAAACAGTGGTAGAGATTTGACTATCCTTTGACTAATTGCAACGCATTAATAAAATATTGGTTCTAATTTTTCAGGGAATAATAAATTGACTTTAGGCTGTGGTGATAAGAGAATACTTCATGGAAGAATCAAATGTGGAGCTAAATATTATATAATATATAAAGTTTACATAAGTAGAGAGGAGAGTTAGGAAATTCTCTCCAATGTTGAAGAGTGGAAAAATTTTAAGTTATGTTAAAAGAGTATTAAGCAAAACAGACTCTTAAAGTATCTCCTCAAGATAAGTCAATCCATCTGAATACTAAAATGATTCCAACTTCTTTGTTCCTCCATATCTTTACATAAATCCTTCTAAATTACTGCTGTAGAGAAATTATAAAAATTAAAATGAAAACTGGAGCTTTGAAGAAATGACATCTAGTTTTGAAAATCTAAATTTTAAATATTAATTTAGGACTAAGGGAAAGAGCAGTTAATTTGTGAATAAATGGGCCTTCTTTAAATGTTTTTCTTTAAATACATCACCAGGAAGTTATTAGTGGATGCCTGCATTAAGTGAATGATGCACAAGTGAAGGAAAAGTGAATAAATGTAGTGGCACAAGGAGATCAAGAAAATATGTGACACTAAGTATCACTGAGAAGTAAAGCATAAAAACAGGACTTGACAAAAGATAAATGGGAAGTTACAGTAACACAGGAAGGTATAATATTTAGCAAAGCATCTTGTGAAAGATGAGGAAAAAGAGCAAATGGCACGGAATCAGTAGACTGAATTTAATTCCCAGTTTAATAACTTATAAACTGTAATCTCAGCAAGACATTTGCTTCTTTCTTCACTTTATTTTAGCCTCTAAAGTTTTCTCAGAGTTGGCATGGTGAACTAACTTAATGGTGACGCATGCAAAATTTCGTAAGTTTTGTACTTAGCAGATTTGACTAGAACTCAGATCATGAATATGAAATGATTTGTAAATGATATGAAGGTATCTGTAGAATTTTGCTGAAGAATTTTAAATTTGGAAGGAGTGCAAACCATAGGCTCTGGTGAAGAAAAGAGGATTAAGTGACATATTTTAGGGTATGTTTATTTTTGGTTAGTTGTTAAAGTTTGTCTCCTACATACTGGAATCCAACATCACATCTGAAAATTTGTGACTGGTATGTTCTAAGAGAAAAAAGACTTAGAAGGATGTCTGGGGAGAACATTTTTCTGAATGTTCTGATGCCCATAATTATTGCCAATCAGCAATAAAATTCATGTATCTTGATTTTAATGAAAGTATACACATACAACTTTTAATAAAGGTATTTATCATAAGTGATACACAGTTTTATTCTTAGATGTATGTCAAAGAATACTCTGGGAACCTAATAGAAATGCCAAATGTCTTTACTGGATATTATAAATATTATACGTGTATATATTGTATATACATTTATATATAATATATACATTTATATATATACACACACATACAATTTTCATGTAATTTCAGCCTTCACAAAACCCTGAGAACTCACCTAATGAGGAGGTTCAAGCATTCATGATGAAGGATTCCTGTTATAGGTCATGGTGGTGGTTGTATCTTTCCACGAAGCAAAAGTACTCGTTATATTATTTTAGCACAACGAAAGTGTAAATATTTACATCAATACTTTTGAATTGAATATATATGGCACACACATTTCCCTCCACACACAAAAATGTTATATCAAATATCTTTATAAGACTATCTTATTTCAAACTACATTGGAGTAAAAAGAAAATTCAGCGGTTTGGAGATTCAGTGATTAGAGAATAGAGCAAGACAGGAATAGAGAAAGCTAACTTAGAATTCTAGAACAATGATATGGTTTATTGCAGCTCCAATTCAGAAATGAAAGCATGTGTGAGTGAATAAATGAGTGAGTGAATGAAATGAAATGTGTCTTCAGAGCCAGCCAATGAAAACAGCAATGGCAGTGAAGGGGCAAGGTGGCTGCTGACTTTTTTTCTTTATCTTTTTTTTTTTAAATGTCCAGGCAGCTATGAATGCAGCTATGAATGCAAAACCAGTGGCATAAGAGTTACCCATCTTTTAGCTTCTAATATGAACTGAAAATATCTGTGTCGTTAGATCTTTTGCAGCTGAAGACACTTTATTATTATTATTTTCTAATAAAACATAACCTCTCAACAAACCAACCCCCATACTCCATTCCACCTTCCCCCAGTGTTACCTTTCTAATCAGACTCAACCACTGAAGGATTTAAAACTTGGCCAGTCAAAAGGGGAAAGAGTCTCTCTTCTGTGAAACTGTGTCTGTAAAGCCTGGCTTTTGCCCAAGCCACAGGAACTTTAAACAGTCTGCTAGCTCTGTAGGCACAGACAGGTTCAAGCACAGAGTGGGATGAAAGCTGCTACCAGGCTTTTAATCTTGCAGGTTGCAGAAGCCCTTGATGTTTTATGTCTTATTCTCTCAAAGATGGTTTATAAATTTATGACAGCAAAGTAAAAATATTGTTAAAATTTATTTGTTATGTTATATCAAAAGAGGGAAAAGTGGACGAAAAATAGATAAATTATTCTGAATATGAGTATTTATTTAGATTCAGAAAACGATTCAGATTGTCAGAAAGATTTACATTCACAACCTTGGTTTTACGTTTAATTCAACTCCAACATTTTTCAAAAATAAACTTTATTTTCATTTTGACGGCATAAAATAAAAGGAGAGCAGCTCTGAACCCTAGCTTTGACAGTCAATGCCTATGTGACTTGGGAGAGTTCCTACCTCAGTATCTTTGTTTATAAAACAGGAAAATTATTATATATGTTGACTAAATACATAAATGAATATGTGAATGTGTGAAAGAAGTGCCAAGAAAACACAAAACTTCAATAGTTAGTCAATTTTATTAGCATTAATAGCACTACATCATTTTATTTGGCTTTTATACATACTGGTAATTGGATACTCTACCTTTTAAAATGTTCAAATGAATATGGAACATATAAGTCATATTGGAACTTATACTCAACAGATAGGTTTGGAAAGTATTGACCTACATTTGCCACTCTGTTGAGATTTCTGGCTCAAACATTAAACCAACTAAACTACACCTAAAAATGTCCTGATCATTTTGGGGGTTAGTGTATACAGATAATAGATACCCATTGTCTAGGTGCTACACTTAAAGAGTAAATAAAGAATTTTTTTTTAATCTGGCAGCATTACACAAGTTATGGGGGGTGGGAGCAACCTCCAATGTGACATCTGAGATCATGATTCATTCCAATAAACAAAGTATATGACCCTTTAAGAAAGCTTTCTTCACACATTCTTTCAAAACTCTTTTTATCAAAAAATAATTTTATTTTTCTTAAATGTATACTACTCATCATGCATTTTTTTCTCAGTTTACCTCATCCTATTATTGGCACAAAAAAATAAATCAAATTACCTCCAAATTTTACTGATGTCTATTACACATTTTTTGTCCTGATTCAGCCCTGATATGTTGATCCATAGGCTATGTGAAGGACTTACCCTACTTTTTTTAAATTCTAAAAATCTAAAGAATGAAACAAATTACAGAAATTATATTTAACTGTAGATGAAATTATACAGAAGAAAAGACGTTTTAGGAGTGATACTACAATAAACAATCCCTACATAGTTTTTGAAGTGAACAATTAGGTGACTTTATTCATACTTAACATTTGAACATGAATAGACTGAATTTCTTCAAATATATGTGTGGAAAAAAACTTGTCAGGAAGAAGTTTATAAAAATAAAAGTAGGTAGGATAGAGTTAAGAGACAATTTATAAATTGTCCTCTGATATGATTAAGAGGCTTTTAAAATCATCAGAGTCAGTCATAACAATATAATTACTTTATAATCTATGTGGTTATTCTTTTTCATTTACATTATCAGTTTCTGCACTTTTACTACTTCGGCTCCCTTTCTATCCCACTGTCTTTAACTATTGCATTTGCATTTCTTTTTTGTGTTACAACTGAGAATATTGATTATAAAGTACAATGACATATATTTTCTGAGGTTGCTCCAAGTAGTGGTGGGTGTAGGTAAAATGTTTACCGAAAGACATTGCTAAGTTTAAACAGGGCCTACAAATATTTTATGCAGTGAAATCTTTTGCAGATGTAGAGATCTTTGAGTCTGTATTGTCAAGAAACTCCCAAAATTGTTTTCAGAAGTTTTACTGAACTTCTGAAATTGAATTACACTAACCTTATTTGTCTACAGAAGTTGTAAAATATGATCTGCTTGAAATAATAATGTAGCCAGTAGATATATTTATTACTTAATGGTAAAGACATTTGCATTCTTCTCATTCAGTTAAATTTAATTCAACAGGTTCATGGGACAATTGACCAGACATGATGAGAGCTAATCATAGTCTATCTCTTTAAAAAGCCCAACTTTATGTTATGTTTGTAATGTTTTGCCTCATTATTTTCCCTTATAACATCCTGGTAATAGTAACTAATAATAGAAATGAGTTTGGGAAAAGCATTATCTTAGTAATTTCTGATACAATCTCCTTCTCACACAACCATTCTTGTTCTTCTATGCAAGATGTTCTTTTTTCTCTGATTATGTTCTTGCTCTGCAGGCTGTAGTGGTTTGCAAGAGTGATTGAAAGCTTCGGAAGTGGAGTTGAAAACTTGTGAATCACACTGTTTACCAAAAGGCAAAGAAAGAAAAGTTGGCCACTGCTCACACTTATCCAGTTGCTTTTATGATGTCTTTAGAACAGGGAAAATGATGCTAGCAGCTACATTCCAGTTTGTGTGGGGTGAGTGGGAAAACAGAAGAGAGGAAGGCAGGGTGCTCCAGTGACCTGGATAAAGACTTGATTACGGCAGTTTCCTTTTGTGTAAATAATTCTCAAGTAAAAAAAAAAAATCTAAAAGTAGAATAATAGAATAAAGGGGTGGGAAAACATCATAGTTTGAAACTGTGTGAGATATTATACACTTAAATTTACAAAGGGAGTTATCATTAGCTAAAAAGGCTATTGATATTATTTATTATTTATTTTTTAAAATAAGATATAAAAGAGAGATTAGAAACATTTTTATTTGAATACTTCTTTAACAATTTTTCCTGCACTTACCCTATTGAATAGTATGTGTGCAATTACTATTCTGAAATTTAAGCTACAAATGAACACTTAGCACTTGAGATAATTCACTTTCTAGACACAGAACAAACAACAACACTCAACACTAAAGTAGTAAGTAATTCACAGTAATAATCCCAGATCACTTGGAGAGGAGAAAAAAAGAGAAAAACTAAAATAATATCATTTTTTCAAAATGTGGATTTTCTTTTCTTCTCTTATTTGTCCCTCTCGTCATTGGGTGAGAGTGGTGTCTACATAGGACAAAAAAATAACAATAATAAGGTTTTTTCCTGAAGCAAAAGTTGGCTTCTTAAAATATGCTTCCTTCAAATTGACTTTGTTGTATGAGCTAACGCAATGATAATAAGGGAAGGCAGTTAACGTAGTAACAAGTTTGAATTCAGAAAATGTGACAGGCAATAGGTTGCTGACTACTTACAATATACTTGAAGGCCTGTCCCCCTGTAGAAATGAATAGTTGTATACATGATAAAATCAGGATAAGAGGTTGAATTTAAGTGTATACAATAAGTATAAGCTGTAAGTGTAAACTGAATACAATAACAATTTATAACATGAATACATGTAAATTACTCAATATCTTAAATATATTGATATAAAATCAGCTTAACTCATTTTTTTCTAATATGTGAAAGTAGTTGCTCATAAATGATCTTACATATTCTGAAAAGCTTCATGTGGAGTAGAACAGTAGTTTTTATATTAGCTTAACCTTCAATAGCTGAAGGATTACAAATTAATGCAAAAATTTCCTAAAATTAAAGCTGCTATGTGGAAGAAATTAAATGGGGTATGATCTTCCTTTGGGTTTAAGGCATGCAGAGGGGACAGTCTAATTTTTTTTCCAAAATGAAATATTTCCTAATTTAGTTTTTACTTTCCTTTCTTAGTTATTTCTCTTTTATTCATAAGGCTCTAGTTAAAAGAACAGTAATTAATTTGTTCCTTTCATTTACTTGTGTAATAAAATAACCTGAAAAGTACTCTGTGCTCACACTCCTGTTTGACTCAGTTATAACAGACCAGTTCTTAGATGTTTTTACAGCTAGTCCCTGAGACCTTCCAAACCAAGTGAATAAATCCTCAATAAATTGTCTGACATTTTCAAGTGCTAAAATAGTTCAAATAGTTTCCTATATCCTGTGCCCCTCCTCATTTTATTTCACATCTGTGTTTGCCACTAATTAAAGCCATCTCTTTTTTATTATTCTTCAAATGTGGAGGCTTTAAAAATATTTTTCTTTAAAAAATATCTGTTATACAATTATATATTTTTACTGCTATGCAGGTTAATTTGGCTGACTGGGGTGTACCCCCTGCCTCAAGCGAGAATGTTTTAAATTTTTTCTTAGGGAAACTAGTATGAAGTAAAGTTAATATTATATTTATAGTAAGGTAACAGGTATTTGTCCTATTTATTTGGATATAAATTAGATTTTAAAACAGATTTTAATTATAACTTTATTTTGATTTCTGTATGCATTTGACCCAAAATGGCTAATCAAAAAATAGGAAAAAAGTTTTAAGAATTGCTTATTTTGTTTTCAACATTTTATGAGACTTACGATGCTACCACCAAGTCCTTCTTTTTCTTTCCTTCCCCCACCCTGCCCAGTAAAGTACTTCAGTAGGACTGCAAGGGAATGCAAAGAAAGTTACCCAGGTTACCAATCTTCCCTTGAGGGGTATGTGTGCATATCTATGTTTTACATTTTGGGGTGTCACATTTATTTTCAGTCATGCTGAAAAACAATTGTATTATGAATATTTATGATGCCATTTATTCTGGATTTTCTTACTATTTATTTTCACATGTATAATAAATCTTGTTTATATAAGAGCCCCTATAAAGATTCTCTCATCACTGTTACATCATATTTTCTACATATAATATGACACACATAATATTCAGATAAAACTTCCAAACTCACTGGTAACTATACAGCCCTAAAAAGAGGCAGTGGGTGCTTTACACAGGAGTACCAAAGGTAAAGAGGTACCCACACTAAAAGATTCAATTGTATGAATCGAAACTCCAAAAATGTAAAAGAAAACAAAAACAAAGGCAGAAAAGACTAGTAAATTTGGAAAATTTGCTTTTATATTTGCATGGTGTCTGCTTTGCAAATGTGTATGGGATGTAATAGGACACAAAAGCAGTATCTCTTTCTTCTGTTTTTCTTCTACCCTCAAACATTTTGAAAGTTCCAGTGAGCCAACAATTGAACATGAGTGTCATGCAAGAATTGTAATAGTAATAGGAAAAAGAGTATCTATTTTTGCAAAACATTGCTTTTCATTCCAGCAGTAGAAAATATGCACGGCTGTTTATCTTGGTTTTGCTGCTCCTTTGCACTGTCCAACATGGGCTGGCTGGCTGGAAGTCTTTCCACAGTCGCTTACAAGAGCTTCACTATTCGTTAGAGCAATAAGGAGATGCTTTTGAGTGTGTTGAGTTAAAAGCTCCATTTAGTCTTTCAATCAATCTGCTTATGTAACTTAAATATTTTTAGTGCCCAGGAGTTCAAAGCAGCTAATGTGTTGTGTTTCAAAATGACAAATAGAACACACTAAAAACAGCATTAGAATGTTTTCCTAAGCAAGTTTCAGGGAAATATGTGGTGCTCTGAATGGAACTCCACATAGCATTTTGGCCATCTGAGCATTTCCTTCTCTGTGCTCAGGCTTCAGTGAGTCATTGTGCCTGGCCTTCTCTGCTCCCAAAAGGTCTGGGCCTGACCATGAACAAGCAGTAAGCAGAAGCGGATTTCAAATGCAGCTCCCCAGTGACAGAAAGGAAATATTCCTTCTGGTTATTTATTGATGAGCTAAGTCCAGATATAGATGCCAGTTTCACTCAATAGGGCATCTTTGTGGCTTGGCCCTAATCTTGAATGGCAGCCAAGAAATTCCTACCAGGAGTTACCAAGAGAACAAACTCTTTCTTACTGAGGTATGAGATATTAATAAACTTGTAGAATTAATTCATTCTAGGGAAACTATTAAGAGGCATTTTTACTATAGACTGACTGTTACCAGGAAACTAGTTGAGATATTATAATAGCTCAATAGCATTTTAGCCTCCTTTCATTTCCAGAGGCATTTATTAAAATCTTATTAGTTGAAAATATCACAGTCTTGACTCACTTGCTGATCAAAATGTGACACTAAATGTATTCTCTGGAGAAAGAAAATAATTCTTATTAGTGCACTTCCTTCAGCAGTTGCTGTCTTAAAATTAAAAACTTTTTTAAAATACTGAATTTTATTTAACTATTGTAATTAGAATACAAGGTCCAGAATAAAATTGCAAAAGCTATTTTTATCACCCCAAATGTAAGGAATACATATAATTCAGTTGCTTTTCACATAAATTGTACACCACATGGAAGGTCTGTTGAGTAAGAATGTCAGTTTGTAGATGGAAAACTAAAAGTTTCATTGATGGTCATGTTATAGGACATCTTTCTTATAATAATATACTAAAATATAGTCCTATGTGAAGATTCATTTTGATTACTTGAATATATAGCCACGTACTTTAATTCAAAAATTTCCAGCTTGTAAACTAATGCGTTTAATTTGAGTTAGCCAAACAATTGATGTATGCTAAGAAAACTTAAATTTATCCCACAAGAATATGTGACTGTAAAGTTTGATAAGGCTAATAGATTTTTCAGAACATGTTTTGAAGGCATATTGCTCTCCTCAAAAAATATAAGACCTCTGTATTTTAATTACATAATACATTTAAATGTATTTGTATTCGTCCCTTTTTATCTTCTTTCGGCTTCTAAGACTACCTATATCAGACCACTCCCAAGTCTTCACACAAAAAGGCTTGCATGGTGATGACTCACTATTCTCTACAAGTTCAGGCCTACAAATTAGCATACATAAAAGAAGTTATGGTCATTAATTACAAAACGGGGTTATTTTATACCATTTTCTCAATCTCATTTTCCAACAATGCATTGTGACAATCCTTTCACATTAACCTGTATAGATCTAATTTATTATTTTTAATAAATTATCAAGTAGCTTTGCCTTAATTTATTATCCATTTCTATATTGATTTATATTCAATTTTTGTTTATTTTTATCTATTACAAGGTAACAAACTTATGCTTTTATACTTATAGGTGTTTTGTTTCCCTGTGATGAACACCCAGGAATGGAATTTCTGGGTTAAAGGCTCAATGTATTTTGTATTTTAAGAAATATTGCCAGGCTCCTTTCCAAAAAGGGTTGCAGCAATTTACATTTCCATTAGCAATATGTGAAACTACCCTTTCCCTAGGAAAATAAGTATTCTAGCTCTTATAATTGTTGCTGATTTAGTGAATACAGAATCATGTAGTATCATAACTTATCAATTAGGAAAATGTAAATTAGAAAGTTACTCATCTTTGGTTTGCCAATTTCTGGGTTAAAGGCTCTATGTATTTCTGACATTTTTAAGGAAATATTATTGTTAACACTTTAAATTCCATCAGCAATATGTGAAACTAACCTTCCTCTACGAAAATAAATATTGTAGTGCTTCCTAATTGTTACTAATTTAGTAAGTACTAAATAATATAATATCATAATTTAATTTTATTATCAATTAACAAAATGTAAATTAGAATAACAGTTAATAGTCTGACCATTTAGATTTACCTTTCTGACTTCCTTTTTTGGCTTTTTATTTTCTATAGGTTATATTTACATATTTGCTGCCAACATTTACGTTGAGTTTTTTTTTTTTTAATTTCTAGGAACTCTTTGTCTATTCTAGATAAAATCTCTCTATTTCATTTAACAGTATTTTTTCCAAATTTCTTTTTTTCTATTAAGTTCCATATAATATGCTTTACTATAAAAAGCTTTAATTTATAGTAAATTATTGAATGTAGAATTTTTGAAAAGCCTCTTGGTTTCCAGTTTGGGTTAAGAATTCTGCAATATTCCTGAAGTTTGCATGAGATGTCACTCCCTGATTCATTTGTAATACTTTATTTTTTAACGTTGATATGTAAAATCCTTAGTCTATCTATCTGTAATAGATTTTTGTCAGTGTGTCAGGCCCTGCTCTATGCATGATTGTGCAAGGCTTGCACTGAATAACACTATGAGGCACCATTCACAGAACAGGTACAATTATCTTGACAATTTCTAATAGATGGAAACAAAGTTGAGTAAGGCAATTAGTAAATAACACTAGTTTACTGTCATAATAAATTATTATAAAATTCTGTATTTGTGTTCATAAATAACATTTCTCTATAGTTTTCTCTAGTTATATTTTTGGGGGGGGTTATAGTGGTATTAGAAAATAAACTGGACACTTTCCCATCATTTCCCATGCCTGAAATTCTTTTAATAGTATTGAATTTTTTTACATGTTAGATAAAGTATGGCCCTTATCTAATCTATGTCTTTTTGTATTAGTGAATTTTAATCAGTTTTCTAACTTTTCTATCATTATTAGTCTATTCAAATTTCCACTTGATCTTGGATCAATTTTAGTAATTTGTACTTTCTAGAACAATCCTATATTTCCCAAAGGTTTTCAAAACTATTGCTATGGAATTCTGTGTATTAGTCTTTCAAAAATTGTGTAAGCTTTCTTGTGGTTTTAATCATATCTTCTTTCTTCATACTAGTTTTAAAAGTTATTCTTTACCTAGTGTTGTTTTCTTTATTTTCCTTAATTAGGCATATAAAGTGTTCCTTTTACTAGCCTTTGTGTAGAATCAGCTTTTGGATTTATTTACCCATTCTAATATTTTAGGGGGCTACTAAATTTATTAATTTTAATTTTAAGTTTAATTAGTCTAATCTATTTTGTTTTTATTATTTTGAATTTTTTTAAGTTAATTACTTGGTGCCCTTTAAAAATGTTCTTCTGTCATGATGAAGGCATTTAAGTTTTACACTTTTCTTCCTTTAAATACTGAGTTGTGTATAATCATTAGATTTTAATATAAATTGTTCTCATTTGTATTGCTTTCTATGTTGTATATAATTTTTCCTTTTAATTTCCTAAATGTTTCAAGTGTTGTTTAGTATTCTTAATTTTACATATAATGTACTCTGATCAAACCTACATGTTTTTCTAATAGTACTAGATTATAATACACAATGTGTGCTGCAACACCTCCATTATTTAATACTTTTTTATGTTTTATTTTTTTCAAGTAGCTATTTGAATTTGTGTAAATATTCACTGGTCTAAAAAATGCTTATTTTCATTTCAAAGGCAATGCTTTAAACAAATATAAATTGTTTGATTATTTGCCTTTGTATATCCACACTTGTATTTCAGCTTCCAGATGTATCAAATGTAGAGAAGTGAAATCATCCTACATAATTGTATTTTTGTGTATTCTCTGTGTATTTCTAACCGTTTTTACTTTTTATATTTAGCTGCAACTTTTGTGTTACAGATTTTTTACTATGATTTCTTTCAGAAAATCATATAACTATGTAATGAAATCTTGTTTAAATTCAACTTTATTTGGTATTACTGGAACTGCTGCTATTCCACTTTAAGTGCACTTCCTGATTTCTTTTTTACCAATTTCTTTATCTTCACTTTTTAAATCACATTATTATTAGTGTTTCTGTAGATGGCACCAATAATCGTTTCTAATCTAATCTTGCCATTTCTATCTTTTAATAGTACTATTCATTTACATTTAGTATGAAAAATATTTAATTTTAGTTTTTTCTTTTATTATATTAATACATTTTTACATTATGAATTGCTCAATTATTTCACCTTTTCTAGCTAATTTTAAAGTTTATTTACTTTCTCTTCCTTGCAACTTGTAATAAAAATAGCTTACTCTACTTTATATAAAAAAAAATCAAGTTTTTCCTTCACCTACTATTAAGGGCTCTTACTGCTTTCCTCCACATCCTAATAAGATGAAACCTTTAGAATTATCTTCATTTTACATCCTCCTTCCCTTCTCTCACCCATTAGATAAAATTTAGAAATAAGTTTATTAATATCACTTTATCCAACTCTAGGGTGTGAAATTTTCTTGTGTTTTATTTCTTCTATAGTAACCATACTTCATGTTACACTTTATGTTAACAAACAATCTAGCATTATCCATTTTTATTTAACCATACATTATATAAACCAAATTAGATATATCAAATTAATCATGTATTCATCTATCAGATAATTTTGGAATGCTTATTTTATGTGACTCTTCAAGCTCTGGAGTCTAGCCATGACAAAACAAACACTTTTGCTGTCATGGAGTCTGCATCCTAGTAAGCTTTTCATCATTTAGTCTACTCCTTGATTTCTCCATCTCAAATCCCATTATGGCTGATTAGTAGTAGACGGTGGTATTTAATCAAATATTTTCCTTTGATAAAATAAGTGAATGCTGTGGTTTGAATATGCCCTCCAAAGTTCATGTGTTGGAAGTTTAATCCCCAGTGTAACAATGTTGAGAGGTGGGGTGTTTAAGATGTGATTAGGTCACAGGTTTCTGCCATCATGAGTGGATTAATGCTGTTGTAATGAATGTAGATTAGTTACTGTGGGAGTGGGTTCCTAATGAAAGAATGAGTTTGGTCCCCTTTCTCTCTCACATGTGTGTGCTCTCTTGCCCTTCTGCCTTCCACCATGAGACAATGTGACAAGAAGGCTCTCATCAGATGGAGCTCCTTGATCTTTGACTTCCCAGCATGCAGGGCCATAAGCCAAATAAACATCTATTGTTTATAAATTACCCAGTCTCAGGTATTCTACTATAGCAGCACAAAATAAACTAATCCAGTGAACAATAATTTTCTTGAATTTTTTCAGTTTGCTGAATAATATCTTTGGGCAGCCTTTTTTACTCTACTGTAATGTCCCATGTTGCATATGAGAAATTAGATGCTAATCTTGCATTTTACCATTTGTAGATAACTTAAAGAGAGAAGTATACGTGTCTATACTTGTGTGTGTGTGTGTGTGTGTGTTTCTGTGTGTATGATAGAACTAAAAAAAAAAAAAAACTGTGGCTATTAGTTGGATAATGATATGGTTCAGCTCTGTCCCCACCCAAATCTCACCTTGAATTGTAATAATCCCCACATGTCAAGGGTGGGACCAGGTGGAGATAATTGAATAGTGATGTTAGTTTCCCCCATACTGTTCTCATGATAGTGAATAAGTCTCATGAGATCTGATGGCTTTATAAATGGGAGTTTTCTGCACAAGCTCTCTCTTTCCTGCCACCACGTAAGATGTCCCTTTGCTCTTCCTTCATCTTTCGCCATGATTGTGAGTCTTCCTCAGCCATGTGGATCTGTGAGTCCATTAAGATTAAGCCTCTTCCCTTTATAAATCACCCAGTCTCAGGTATATTTTTATTAGCAGCATGAGAACAGACTAATACAGATAAAAATGTGGAAGACATAAATAAAAGATGACACGCATATACTGTATATACATTTACTGTATATAGCTTAAGAAAATGGTTGATGCTGGTAAAATTTAATGAGGTAAGAACCGCAACTGGGAGAACAAAATTAGGTGGAGATGGGTCGGGCGCGGTGGCTCATGCCTGTAATCCCAGAACTCTGGGAGGCCGAGGTGGGCGGATCATGAGGTCAGGAGATGGAGACCATCCTGGCTAACACGGTGAAACCCCATCTCTACAAAAAATACAAAAAATTAGCCGGATGTGGTGGCACGCACCTGTAATCCCAGCTACTCGGGCGGCTGGGGCAGGAGCATCGCTTGAACCTGGGAGGTGGAGGTTGCGTGAGCCGAGATCGCGCCGCTGCTCTCCAGCCTGGGCGACAGAGCGAGACTCTGTCTCAAAAAAATAAATAAATAAAATAAAAATTTAAAAAAATAAAATTAGGTAGAGATGATGAATTTAAATCAGAATTCTGGGATCAAACCATGAAGAGACTGAGGTTAAAAACAGGAGAATTTTCAATGTTCTCTTTCACTGGTAATTGTTCTAATTACTGCGAAGAGATAGGAAACACTACGGAGAAGCTGGGCGCAGTGGCTTATGCCTGTAATCTCAGCACTTTGGGAGGCCAAGGCGGGCGGATCACCTGAGGTCGGGAGTTCAAGACCAGCCTGACCAACATAGAGAAACCCCGTCTCTAGTAAAAATTAAAAAAAAAAAATTTAGGCCAGGTGTGGTGGCACATGCACATTCCTGTAATCACAGCTCTACGGGAGGCTGAGGATGCAGTGAGCCGAGATCGCGCCATTGCACTCCAGCCTGGCCAACAAGAGAGAAACTCCGTGTCAAAAAAAAAAAAAAAAGAAAGAAAGAAAGAAAGAAAGAAAGAAAGAATGAAGGAAAACACTATGGAGAGACTCTCCTAGAGAAGCCAGAAATGTCTTAGGACTGTTTTGCCAACAGAAAGATATATGCTAAGTTTTAGGGGGTATAAGTTTTAAAATTAAGAAATATAAAACTTGCTATGCAAATTTCTGAGTTTTGGTTTCCTTATGTCAAATAGTTGTAATCAATGCACTGAATATGGGTTCACAAGTCAAGAAGGAATTCTTCCCACCGAAGTAGTATGTACAGTAGTTAAGCAAATAAACTCTAGAGCCAGGCTACTGTGGTTTGGATGAAAGTTTTCCTCTATAATACTTCTGTGGTATTGGCTGAGCTAATATTCTACTTAAATATTCTTATCTGAAAAAGTATATTAAATCCAACCTCACAGAATTTTAGCAATAATTATGTGAATTAAGTGAATTAATAACTGTATAATTCTTATGAAAATAAGAAATTGGAATTTTTTGTTTGTATTTGGACATCAACTACTGCAGAATGTGTTTCCACATTAAATGTATTTACTTGTCCTGATTGTAGCGCTTTAGCATGAACTAGCAGATTAAGCATTGTTTTCAGGTTTTCACATATATTATTTGCTAGCACAGGTACATAGGATAATAACAAATAAATCCAAGATTACTCTAATGTTTCTGTTTGTGGTATGAGACCACTAATGTTGACGAACATACATAACATTCATTAATGTTTAACATGTCATCATAGTAGGACATAGTGTTGCTTTGTATCAAAAGTATTAATTTCTGAAACAAAACACTTGATGCCAAAAAAAGTCAAAGCCAGTAGATCTCCTCATGGAGCAAATATATAGAAATAATAAAAAAGATGTAATAATAACCACCATTATCCCCCAAACATGTGGACATTTCAAGATCAGAAATCCCTGAGAAACAAACAAGAAAGAGTAGAGTGAAGTAACAGTAATCATGAGAAACTGTGGTTGAAAACAAGCATGGAAACATTCTATCATGGAAAATAAAAAAATATATATATTAGAATATTCAACTCAGTAAGAGAGGTATAGCAAATGAAAAACCTTATATTCGAGACATAGAGATACTTGAGCAATATAGAAAGGAGTTTAAAATAAATTTAATGGTAAGCTGTAAAGAGATAAGGGAGAATAATATATCAAGGATCAAAAACATTTTGTTATAAAAATAGCATTATTGAGAGTTAAAAAATTTAAACAAAATTAATATTAAAATAAAAATTTTGATCAATGAAATCATTGCAAAATTGTACACTGCCAATGAAAATATTAGTAGGCTGATTGTCCAAGCCAAGTGTTTTATTTCCCAGAGACTGCAGTCCAAAAAGACAAAATTATTTTAAAAAATGGAGAACTGTGGAGAATAAAAACTAGAAGTTTCAATATTTATTAATAGTAATGGGGAGAAGTGAAGAATGGATAAACTAGAGAGAATAACTTTAAATATAATGATCACAATTTCTCAGATCTGAAGAAAGTTATAGTTTTTTATTGAAATGATGCACTAATACCTCTGGATTTAAATGACCACGTTTAGACAATTTTGCTGACATTTTTGAAAATAAGGGATAATGAAAGAAATGTAAAAGTTACCAGAGGAAGAGGTAGATAATACACAAAGAAATGACCTTCAAATTGGTAGTTTATTGTTGTTAATAATACTGAACACAAACAGGTAATAGAGAAATATATTTGTAACCCTGAGAGAAAATGACATCATAATTTTATACCCATCAAAATTATTATTTCAAAATGTAGGGTAAAATACACATATAATTACTTGGAAGGCTAACCTCATGAACAATCTGCAGGAAATATTATTGGAAAATATTTTATAGCAGGAAGAAAACAAATCCAAGATATATAAGATGATGCAAGCAGTGATAAAAAGGTATTAAAATAAAAAAGTTAGGAGGGTATATGACATAGGATTGTTTTAAATTGAAATACATATTTTCATCACAGTATCATATAAATATCCAAGAGTGAATGTTTACCTTTAACATTTCAAAATGTATTATTTTTACCTTTAATTTAACAAGATTATAAAAATATTGGAGAAAATGCTTATTGAACACTGTCAATCAATTAGTATTCACTGCTAACTGAATATATATCCAACTGACAGAATGAAAGATTCTATGGAATCTCTTCTAAATGAGATTTGGTGTTAATGGAAATGTCCTATAAAAATAAATATAAGACAATGAAACTAAGTTTTTTCACATATGAGAAAATAATTCAAAAACTTAAATGTTTGTTGTTATGGGAGTCACAAGAAATTCTTGTGAAGTTTTTACATTATTGGAGAGACATTGCAAATAAATGAAAGTTAAAAATTTAAGCTAAATTTTAAAAAATGTCAGTGATATCTCAATGCAATATCAAGAATAAATGCCAATTAAGAGTTAGGGCCACTAGTCTCTGATAAAAGTAATTAAGAGATGCTCAGTTATTAGGGCAATGAGGCTCAAGATGGACCTTATAAAATATGCAGAATTTGATCTGCATAAGACATTCCAGGCAGAGAAAATACACAGGAAATTTACACTATAAAAAATAATTTATCCCATTTTTGCTCTTAAGATTGGTCTGTGCTCAGGAATAATGTGAAATAAGTCGAACAATGTTCACTGGAGGGCAATCCACAAATAACTAAAAAAAATGGATAATTGAATAAAAGAGTAAAAGTATGACTGAATAACTTCCATGGCAGGTTTTTGTGTTGTTGTTGTTGTTGTTGTTTTAAAGAAACTCCTTGTCTAGAGTTAGAAAGAGTTGAAATATGTACATAAATGTACATGTAAGTTGCTGTAATTATGGAGATTTAGGAGGAATTAATGAGAGTTCAACAAGTGAAAAGGATCTTCAAACGCATAAGTGTGAGAAAGAATATCATAAATATGAGATTCTTCAAAGAGCTTAGCAAGGTTCAAGATATTTGGCAAGTGATGGTGAATAAAACTAGAAATGTCACCAGTGCTCAGCAACTTTGTGAAAAAATAATTCTGTCCAACTGCCAGCCTGGTTTCCTATGATGTTGGTCTCTGCCATTTGTCTACAGGAAAACTCTGGAATTCATATACTGAAAAATCCCAGGTTGAGCACTGTGGTAGACAGAATAATGGCTCCAAAAGATGACTGCATCCTAATCCCCAGTATGTGTGAAATGTCAAGTTATATGGCAAGAAGGAATTAAGGTTGCAGATGTGGTTAAGATTCCTAAGAAACTGACCTTAAGATGGGAGGTTTTTCTGGTTTATCTGGTTTTCTTTTTAAAATAGCTTGGTACTGAGTTAAGTTGTCATATATATAAATATAACTTAACATTATATATGACATTATATAATGTCATTTTATATATATATATATAACATTATATATGTCATATATAATGTTACATTCTTGACATACTACTTGTGCAATGAAGAATACTAAACCATTCACCACTTATCATTAAATACAACATCTAAAGGAAAAGTGAATAGTGACTGGGCAGGGCCACAAAGCAGTTATGCACTGTGACATTTCCATGTATGCATAACTATATCATTTTTATTCTTTTATAGTAGGTGACATTTCTACAGTGCTTCCTTCATAGTAACTCTGCTAGTCACTACCCCATCATTTTACTACAGATCTTCAAATCCATGCTTCTTATTTACTTCTCTCATGACTCTTCCTAAAGACTCATAATTAATGTCTTCCTACACAAGTTCTTTCCACTCTAGACACACTCCGTTGCTGAGTTTTTCTTCATAACTCACTCTCCTATTTATGTCATACAAAACCTCTTAACAGGTATTTGTTCTTAATAAATGTAGGTCCAAATTTCTTAGTGAGAATTTTAATACCTTAAAAATTCTGCCTTCTAATTACTTCCAATTTTATGCATATTATGCTTCTTGCAAGCTGATATACAGGTGTACTCCTTACATATCTTTTACTTCTAACACTTTAAACAAGTTCATGTTGCTCATGTTGTTTTCTCTTCTGAGAACTTCTTTTCCTACATTTTCACAAGTCCAACTTGTAATTCTGCTCCAAGCTTCAGAGTAAATGTTACCTTCTCCATGAATCATGCCTTGATCTATCAGTTGGAAGTTCTCTTTTGTTTCTGGAATACCATTTTATTTATGAAAAGCAAAAGGAAAGTCATTGAATCCCTAATAGGTGTTAGAGGATTTACCTACAATATCTCATTAAGAAATGAAATAAAGGGAATAATCATTTTCTCATTTCACAGCTGAAGAAAGAGTCCGAGAGAAGTTAAGAATCCTATCCAAGTCTATACAACTCATAAATTGTAGAAATGGCCAATCTTCCCAAACATCAGGATCTTTCATTCTTGTCCATTAAAGTCAAGAGATGCATGTTGGTGTGTTATTTATTAAGAATAGAAGAAATTTATGAATGGTCTTAGTATGTGTAGAAAAAAAGTTAGTGTAGTTAAATTTATGAAACAAAATGTGCAAAACATAAAAATAAATTCTGTGCTCCATACTGATAAGGATTGACAAGAAGAGAGCAAATACAAGGAAATATCATTTACATTTTGTATCTCTTGTCCGTAATTTTTTACCATGGCAAATTAATTTCTAATGGTTTTTGATTTATCTTAGCTGATATGATCAGTTATGATACCATAGTTTTAATGCTTTCTAAATTTTAAGTTAATTTAATTTCGAGGAAGGAGAATAAGACCATAGTTTAATAACCCCAAAATACAAAGTGAAAATCCCTCTTCCATTTCATTTAGACACCCCTGTTCCTCAATCCTGGTTAAAGTCAACACTAATCCTTCCCTGCCTTTTTTTTTGTTTAACCTCCAAGTATCTTTATGAATGCACATTGAAATGTAAACATAGGTTACTTTGCATCATTTTACCAAAAAAAAAGCCTATTATACATTTTGTTTTGTATCTTGCTTTTCATTATCAAGATAGAAATATTAACACTGGACCTACATGTGGATGTTCTAATTCTTTTGTATAGCTGTCTTTTTCTTGTTGTTATTTTTGCTGCAATTTGCTTAATCCCCAAGTGATGGACAGTTAGGTTGTTTCCAAATGTTCCCATTACAAACAATGCTGCAATGGATAAACGTGTATATGATCATTTCATATTTTTGCAAGTAAATCTGTATATTAAATTCCAAAAATAGAATGGACTATTTTCATTTTTCATTTCTATAGGCTGTAAACATAGGGTAAGTCTGTGTGCCTTACTTTTATGCAATGCTTTTATATGAATAATATTAATATACTACTCTATTAATATGATACTTTCAAAAATATTTCAGATGGTCTTCAAGGAATAATAGCTACGTGGCTTTGGAAAAGTTATTGAAAATCTTTGTGATTCAATTTCATCACAAGTTAAATGTAAGATAATAGTCATGCCTATCCAATAGAGATAAAGACCAAATGAATCAATATGTATTAAGCGTTCAAAAAAAGAGTTTGGTTTTGTGGTTTTTAAATACCTTGCTTACTGTAGTTAATTTCTTTTCAACTTTCATCATATTATAGGACTGACAAATAACTTTAGGAGTTTAAAGGTTAAAAGTATTCTTTCTGTCATTTTCTGATTGTTTTTTCATGCTTACATTATGATTATAAACATCAACCTAGTTTTTTTGCAGTAATATTTTTCAGGCATTTTCCATTTGTATTATGTTTAGTTAATGGTTATGTGTTGAAATATATTGAAGTGATATAGCGGACCCTTCCAGATTGTCAAGCACCTACTGTCTCATTAGAGTACTTTTTATGTGCTCGTACACACATTTTACTTGTTAGCCAAATAACTTATTGTTCAACTGGGCCAATTTTGAAAGTGAAAGGAAATATTATTTAACAATTTTATTGGAAAACAGGAGCTAAAATTACTCTGAGCATACTAAGAGGAATTGTCATCCAACATATATGCTAATATACATTGTTTGAGAACTTTAATTTTTTATCTTGAGATAAAAGTAAATGTAAGTAAAAGTTACAGTATTTTCTCTTGCACTGTAGTGACCAGTTCACTACATAGTTCACTGCACAGATTCCGGGTTTTGTCCATCCTAGTTGAGAGATCATTGGTCTAGACAATTTCTTTAAAAAGTTTTGCTATAGATTGAAGAAAATATGTTGGTAGATAATATTTTAAAATTTTGTTGAAAAATCAGAGAATGGAAATATTTTGATGTAGAGTGGCCCAGTGATGTGAAGCATAAAGGAGCTTGAACACATACATGGGTTCTATTTCTAGTTCAGCAAGTAACTCACAGGATGTTCTCCATGACTTCAATTAACCTCAGTAGCCTGTTTGTTCATCTGTAAAATAGGAGAGTTCAACTAATGATCTTTACTTCATTGATTTTTGCATACAGCAATTACTTTATTAGAAATATAGTTTGTGTAATCCTCACTTGCTATTTGGGAAAACTCACTATTTGCCAAAACTTGACAAAACATTAGCTATGTCAGAAATATTGAGGACAATATAAGGGATAGCATAAAACACTTTCATATTCTTCCAGTATCCTTTTGATAATTTGCATATAATTTACTCTTTTTCCCTATTGCTGTTTTTTTCAGATTTTTACTTGTATGTTTATTCACAAATTCCTATTGAATCTGCGGTGGAGATGTCCCTGACTCCAACCTCAGTGTTATTTTCATGTTTCTTTTTATTTTAAGAATTAATATAAATTATTTTTCTACTTGGGAAATGGAGAGAATTTGGAACATTTAAAATTTTTTCCAGTTATCTCATATGGTTAAGATCTAAATTATTTGGTAGAATCATAACAACTAAATCATATGTTATAGACATGGAAAGTAAAAATAGTTTTTATCTTCAAGAAAATGTTCTTTTGTTGTAAAGTTCAATTAAAATGTGCAATAAATAATGGACATGAGTATTTCTAATAGGCTTCAGTCTATGTAATATCATGAAAACATGCTATAAAAATGAAAATTTAAATTAACAAATTATCTGATTTTCAAAATGTGGTATAATTAGTCTGATTAAGTTTCTTAAAAAATCAAATGCACTGAATTGTTTGCTATGTTGATATCATGCAGAAAGCTATGAATAAATCTTGGTCATGTTTACTTGCAGAGGAAAAGATGCAAGCAATAATTTCACATTATTTATTTTGTAAAAAGTAACACTTGTTTTCATTTAGAAATTAAACAGTAAAATTTGGATTGTTATTATTCACAGCAATAATGAAAGCTTTGTGCTAATTTCACTATGTTCCTGGTGACTAATTTGGACATTCACATTCAGGAGAGCTGGGATGAGAAAGAGCGCATGGAGAGTCTCTACTCCCTATTTGAAAAGAAAACAAAATTTACATCTCACAGAAAGAACAGAACCCATACTAAAACTTTCTAAGTAGTTTTTTTCCCTCAGAGGTGCAAGCCTCTTAAATTGGTGCCTAAAAATAGAATACCACTATGTTATTCAAAACCTACCCCCCAGGTGGAAACAGTTCTCAGAAGGTGTGACTTAAAGACAAGACTATAATTAAAGCATACTTTTAATTATGTTATGTGGTTCACAAAATGTGTATAAACATCAATGTTTATATATGTGTATCACTCTTAAATGATGAATAATGGATGAATAAACACCATTAACTGATTAAAATTTTGCATGTTGTTTCAGGAATAAATATTAATGTCATACTGACATGATTGTGCACTTCTTTGTGAAAAAGACTGTATTACTCATGTTATGGTCATTTTCTTATACAGTTGTCATGACAATCAAATGAAGGTGTTGTTAGAATAACCATTTTATAATTGAGAAAACTGAGACTTTGAGAGGTTAAATAACTTGCCAAAAATAACAGATAGCCCCAAAACCAGATCATAAATCCAGACCAGTCTAAAGAAAAACTACATGCATTTACTAGTCTATCCTAGGACTTATCATGTTTCATACTTCTAGTCATTGAATATGGCTGTTTTGCTCATCACCAATACCTAGTTCAATCCTTAGCACAAAACAAGAAGATAGTAACAACTATACATGTGCCATGTTGGTGTGCTGCACCCAGTAACTCGTCATTTAACATTAGGAGTATCTCCAAATGCTATCCCTCCCCCGTTCCCCCACCCCACAACAGGCCCCGGTGTGTGATGTTCCCCTTCCTGTGTCCATGTGTTCTCATTGTTCAATTCCTACCTATGAGTGAGAACATGCGGTGTTTTTTTGTCCTTGCAATAGTTTGCTGAGAATGATGGTTTCCAGCTTCATCCCTAAAACTTAAAGTATAATTTAAAAAAAAGAAGTAAAAAGAAACAGGTGACATTTATTTTAATAAAACATTTTATTGAAGTCAAAAAAAAGAAAATAGTAACAACTAATGATTATGGAGATATTACCCCATGGGAAGCAATGCACTATGGACTATTTGATTTAATCTTTACTAAAACCCTGTGGAAAAGAAATTGTAATCTTTATTTTAAAGATGAGGGAACCAAAGTTTGGAAAAGTTAAATTGCTTGGCCCAAGTCACCTGGCCAGTATGAAGTGAAGCTGAGAAACGAGTCCAACCTCAGAGACTCTGCTTTTTACTAGAATTTCTTAGTATATATTCTAGTATATATTCTATAAATTATTCAAACAACTTAAAAGATTTTACTTTGTCATCAAGAAGAATTCTTCTTGTGATAATTCAATCTTAATTCAATGAGTATTTGCTGAGAACTATAATATCCAGATGAAGGAAAATCTATTGAAAAACAATTAAGACCCATCTGGAAACCCAGAAGAAATGAAGGAAGAAAAGCTCTGAGGAAAACATCTGTTAATACTCTATTATTTTATTTAAACTACCTTAGAGACATGAGCTTTTAGTACCACAGTAATAGACTCAATATTTTAGTGAAATAAGTGTTTTGACTGGAAATTTTATTTTTCTTTAGTTTATAGACTGTAGTAAATCATCAAGGATTTAAAAAGTAGCCAAGGAGAAGTAAAATTAGAATTACAGCACTAAGTTTAGACAGCAAAGGCAAGAAAAAAAGTATCAACTTAATGATGATCATATATATATATATATATATATATATATATAAAACACCCTATCTTTCATGTCTCCACAGCACCTGAAATGTTATTTTTGCTATTGAGTAAATCATCTAGTTTTTGGTGAATAAAGATTATCAGCACTAGCTAAAAGAATATTCATTCAGTAAACATAATCCTCTTTAAGACAAAAAGTAAGTGGCACTGAATTCAGGAAGATTTCAAGCAAAAAATAATGAAATGATTTTCAGTAAGTTTTTACTGAAACAACTCATTTTTCAAAACAGATTACTGCATGTCTTATTAGATTAATTATCACTACCACACATGCTAGTAAATATATTGCTGATATATTAAAGGTTCCTATTTATAGGCAGTTTATTTAAAACAAAGGCAAGATAAAAAACTTAAAAAGCTATTGAATTAACAGAAAAAAATAGCTGAATCAAATGTTTTATGGTAATTATATTAATAAAATAAAAGTAAGAGTTGTTGAATTAACTTGCAGTTAAGGTAGCAGATAGAATGTGTACACTCATGTCATCTCCCTTATTGAGTCCCATTTGAATAAAAACAGTTGTAATTATGCAAGGATGAGAGCAGAAGAGAACATATAATAAAGCACAAGACATTTCAATAATTTGAGGGCTAGGGAAAACTGGTGAGTTTTTTAACCAACTGAGTGAATAAAGTTCCAAGTCACTGCAAAAGGGATATTAGCAAGTAGTAAGTCTATTTATACTACAAAACTCCACAAAGATTTGTTTGCTGATAGTGTAATCTTATATTTGCCAATCCTAAAGACTTCTCCAAAAAAAACTCTTAGACATGGCAAGTGAATTTAGTAAAGTTTCAGGATACAAAATCATTGTACAAAATTCAGTGGCATTTCTATGTACCAATAACAATCAAGCTCAGAACCAAATCAGGCAATCCCATCTACAATAGCTACTAGATAAATAAATACATAAATAAATAAAATACTTAGGAAGATATTTAACCAAGAAGATGAAAGCTTTCTACAGGGGACTCTACAAAAAACTGATGAAAGAAATTGTAGATGACACAAACAAATGGAAAAATATCCCATGCTCATGGATCAGAAGAATTAATTGCATTAAAATGACCATATTGTCCAAAAACAACTTACAGATTCAATGCAATTTATTTCAAATTACCAATATCATTTTTTCACAGAATTAGAAAAAACAATCCTAAAATCCATATGGAACCAAAAAAGAGCCCAAATAGCCAAAGTAATCCTAAGCAAAAGAACAAAGCTGGAGGCATTACATTACCTGACCTCAAGTTACACAAGGCTATAGTAACCTAAACAGCATGGTAGTGGAAGACAAAATAGACACATAGACCAATGGAATAGAATAGTGAACTGAGAAATAAAGCCACATATCTACAGCCAACTGATCTTTGACAAAAAAAAAAAATACAGTGGGGAAAGGATATCCTATTAATAAATAATCCCGAGAGAATTGAATTGTTATAGGCAGAAGAATGAAAGTGGATTCCTACCTCTCATCATATACAAAAATCAACACAAGATAGATCAGAGACTTAAATAAGACCTGAAATGATTAAAATAGAAGAATAAAACCCAGGAAAAAACTTTTCTACACATTGGCCTAGGCAAATAATTCATGACTAAGACCTTGAAGGCACAAGCAACAAAAATACAATTAGACAAATGTTACTTATTGAACTAAAAATCTTCTGCATAGCCAGCAAAATATAATCAACAGAGCAAACAGATAACCTGCAGAATGGAAGAAAATGTTTGCAAACCATGAATCTCACATAGGGCCTGACATCCAGAATTTCCAAGGAACTCAAATAACTTAAGAATAACAACAAAATAACCCATTAAAAAGTGGACGAAGGACATGAAAAGACATTTTCTCAAAAGAAGACATACATATTAAAATACTCAATGTCATTAATTATCATAAAAACACAAATTAAAACCACAATGCAATGAGATATCTTACAACAGGCAGAATATCCACCTATAAAAAGATTGAAAAAAGATTTTGATAAGGATGCAGAAAAAAGGGAACACGTATACACTGTTGGTGGGAATGTAAATTAGTAAAACCTCCATAGAAAACAGTATGAAGATTTCTCAAATAACTAAAAAAAGAACTACCATTTGATCCAGTAATCCCATAACTGTGTATCTACCCAAACAAAAAAAAAATCACTATATCAAAAAGATACCTGCATTTGTATGCTTATTTTGCAACATTATTTACGGTAGCAAAGATACAGAATCAACCTGTCTATCAACGGATTATGGGATAAAGAAAATTTGTAATATATATATCTCTCTCTCTCACACACACACACACACACACACACACACACACACACACACACACACGATAGAACCCTAGTTGGGCATAAAAAAGAATGCAGTTATGTCTTTTGCAGCAGCATGGATAAAACTGGAAGCCATTATCCTAATGTAAACAACTCAAATGGAATGTCAAATGCCACTTGTTCTCAGTTACAAGTGGAGCTAAATAATGTGTATACGTAGACATAGAATGTGGAATAACAGCCACTGGCGACTCATGATAGTGGGATGATGGGAGGAGGGTGAGGGATGAGAAATTACTTAATGAGTGCAAATGTACACTATTCAGGTGTGATGGTTACACTAAAATTCCAGATTACACTACTATGCAACATATCTATGTAACCAAACTGCACATGTATCTGTTAAATGTATACAAATAAAATAATGATAATAATAAATATGGGATGCCTGTTTTCTAAGGAAAGGGTGACATGTGAGCTAGAAAGAAGGAGACTGATGAAAATTCTTTATAAGGGAACCATTATTAAATCATATCATTGTGAAATACCCAGAGAGGCAGAAAAATGGGTGACAAAACAGATTCTATACCGAAGATCAGGCATCAGAATGGCATTATGGTTCTCAATAGCAGCAGTTGAAATCTTGTAAACGCCTGGATTCTATACCCAGCTAAATAATTAATCGAGGATGAGGAGACTGTGGTCTACAAAATTATTTCTGTTATTCACCCTCTCCTGGGAAACCCAGTGAGAATATATCCCACCAAAATAACGGAATAAGCAAGAATGAGAAAAAAGTATGATCCAAATCACAGGCACCAAAAGAAAAATGTTAATAAAATTCTTAGCAAAAAAGTGAAAGAAAATTTTGGGATCTTATAACTATGAAACAAATCCAATCTGAGTAAGGAGAGAGAGAGCTGAGGTGGGATGTTATCTGAAGGGAAAAATTAAAGTGGTCAATAATCTGAGAGATTTCACTACTGGAAAATTATATCAAAGGCTATGAAAGATAATAGTAATACATAGTTCACTCTAGTTATCAATACAGCCAAGTATTTTTAAATAAGTGGGTATTAACTCCATGAAGAACCCACAAAAATGAAGAATGGAAACATCATAACAAAGTACAAGGCCAACAATAAGCAATATTTATATAATGCAAAATCAATAGATACTATTTAAATGTTTCAATTAAATATACTATTATAGACATTTTATGTATGGGAATGCTAGAATGAACAGCTAAAATACCATCATGTGCCACATTATGACATTTCAGTCAATTATGAACCATCTATGTGGCAGTGGTCCCATACGATTATAGTACCATATTTTAACTGTACCTTTTGTGTGTTTAGCTGTGTTTAGATACACAGATATTTACAGTTATGTAACAGCTGCCTACAGTATTCAGTACAATAACATGTTGTACAGGTTTTTACCCTAGGAGCAATAGTGATTTTAATTATATAGTGATTTAATTATGATGATTTTAATTATGTTGGGATTACAACTTCTGTGGCATATCAAAACTGTGTATTCAGTTCTTAAAAAACTGTCAAACTCTTTTCCGAAGTGTCTGTACCATTTTACATCTCCTTATGAAATGGATGAGATATCTAGTTTCTCCAAAGCCACAATGACATTTGATAATGTCACTGTATTTTATTTTAGCTGTTCTTATGACTGCTTAATGACACCTCATCATGATCTTAATTTGTATTTTTCTAGTGACTAATCATGTTGAGACATTTTCTTCTTAAATCCCTTTATAAATGAACTTTAAAATTTATGATAGTTTCAGATTTACCAAAAAAGTTGTGATGATAGTATAGAGATACTCCATATAGCTACACCCAGTTTCCTCCATTTTAAAGTAATACCTTACTTTAGTATGGTACATTTGTCACAATTAATGAACTAATATTGATGCATAATAACTAAAGTGAACGTTTCATTTAGAGTTTTTTAGTTTTACCGAATGTCTTTTTTCTCTTCCAGGATCCCATCAAGGATCCCTCATCACATTTAGTTATCATGTCTTCTTACGATCCGCCTGGCTGTGATAGTGTCCCATACTTCTTTATTTTTGATGATCTTGACACTTTTGAGGAGTACTGGTCATGTATTTCACAGAATCTCCCTCAATTGTCTCATGATTACACTAAGGCTGTTGGTTTTTAGGAGAAAGATGTAGAGTACAGAGCTGATGTGCCACTCTTATCACATCGTATCAAGGGATACACAGTATCAACATAACATCACTACTGATGTGGACCTTGATCCCTTGGCTGATGTAGTGTTTGTCAAGTTTCTCTACTGTCAAGTTACTCTTTTCCCACCTTTCCATATTGTAATTTCTGAAAGTAAGTCAGTATATACAGCCCATGCTTTCAGAGTGCAGTTGCTGGGTATTTTTATTCCTATTGAAGAAACATTTCTTCAAGGCTTTCTCAGCTGACAAAGCAAGGAAATAGATGCATTGTCTTGGCAAGCACAGGGCTGCCATATTGAATACCATAAACTGGTTGACTTAATCAACAACAGAAATTTATTTTTCACAGTTTTGGAGACTAGTATTTCAAGGTCATGGTGCCAGTATGACTAGGTTCTGGTGAAAGCGCTCTTTCAGGTTGCAGATGGCTATTATGTGGATGGACTCTCAAATGGCAGTAAAGGAAGAACCTAGCCCTCTGACCCATTCTCATAAGGGCACTAATCCCATTCAAAAAGGATTTTTTGACCCTTTCTTTGTGACCTAAATCACTTGACCTAATCACTTGCCCAAAGCCTCACTCCATATACCATCACACTGGGGACTAGATTTCAACATTCAGTCCATAATATGCATGTACACTATGTGTATGTGTATGTGTGTGTGTGTGTGTGTATATATATATATATATATATATATGTATTTTTATATGTTACCCTCTGTATCCATCTTATGCTAAATATGAGTTGGTACTGATTTGTCTAACTCTATTCCATTACCAGGTGGAATATTCAAGCCCTCTTCCCTTGTTTGCCTAAAACCTTCCAACATCAGTAAGAAGGCATAACTTGTACCATCCCACATTCATTTACTTAATTGTTCAATTCTGGTATACATAGAGAGTGGTTTCAGAAATTGTTATGGGAAACAACCTTATCAAATAGAATAAAATGTTTATGTAGGATTTTTTCTGTCTTTATTCTTTTATAGTCCTCATTCATTTTCAAAGTTACTTAGGTCATTATTATCTTCCCCACACTCCCTTCAAAGAGGTTATTGCATATATTTTAGTACAATTAGATTATTTTGTGAGAGTCTGTATTGCATACTGGACTTCCTAGTTGTTTTTTCTTTGAATTTTGCATGCATTAAAGTTAACTTCATGATATAAAGATGTATGAATTTTGACAAATGCCTGGTGTTATACATCCACTATTATAGTACCATACAGAATATTTTCACAGTCCTAAAACAATCTCTTATGCTTTACTTTTACAAGACTCCCCCTGCCACTGAACCTAAGGCAACCACTGACCTGTTTATTATCTCTAGAGTTTGACCTTCCACATTATGTAAGTAAATTGAGTTATATACTATGCAGCCTTTTCAGACTGGCTTCTTTCACTCAGCAATATGCATTTAATATTCATTCATATTATTGCATGGCTTGATAGTTCATTCTTTTTATTATTAAATAGTATTCCATTGTGTGAATGTATCATAGCTTATTTATGTATTCCTCTATTGAAGGACATCTTTATTGCTCCCAGTTTTGGGCAATCATAAATAAAGCTTCGAAACAATTTTGCATATTGGAGTTTATGTAAACATGAATTTTTCTGTTAATTGAGTAAATACCTAGGACAATGATTGCTGGAGCATAAGATTATGTTTATCTTTGTAAGAAATTTACAAATGTCTTCAAAAGTGGCTAAGCCATTTTGTATTCCCACGTGCATTAAATGAAAAGTGTTGCTCTTCAACTTCACCAGCAATTGGTATAATCAGGCTTGTGATTTTAGACATTCTAATCTGTGTGCAGTGGAATGTCTTTTTTGTTTGAATTTCTCATTTTCATAGTGAAAAATGATGATTAAACATTTTTGTCATACGCTTATTTTCCACCTGTCTATATATTTTTTCTGAATGAGGTGTCTGTTCAGATTATTTGCCCAGGTTTGTTCATTTGTTTCTTATTGTTTTAAGAATTCTTTGTGTATTTTGAATGTAAGTCCATTTGGATGTGTATTTTGCAAATAGTTTTTCTCACTTTTGTCTTGACTTTTCATTATCTTACCAGTATCTTTCACAGTGCAGAAGCCTTTACTTAAGTCTGGCATACTTTTTCCTGTCATGAATTATGCTTTAGTTTATATCTAAAACTCATAATCAAACCCTATATCATAAATATTTTTTCTATGTTCTTATCTAGAAGTTTTATAGTTTTGCATTTTGCATTTAGGTCTATAAATAATTTTTATGTAAGTTGTAATGTTTGTCTTTAGATTTAATTTTTCACATTTGTATTTCCAGTCATTCCAGCACCATTGGTTTAAAATGATCTTTTCTGCATTGAATTGTCTTTGTGACTTAAAAAAAGAATAAGTTGACTGTATTTATGTGGGCCTATTTCTGAGCTCTCAATTTTGGTTCATAGATCTACATGTCTATTATTTTACCAAGAACACACTAGCTTACTTACTGTAGCTATTTCAGCTATTTTTCCTTGTGTGAGTTTTGGTAGTTTGTGTCTTTCAATGAATTCATCTGTTTTCATTTAATTTATCAAATTTGTAAGTCTATAGTTGTTCATAATTGTTCTTTTATCATGATTTTACTGTCCATGGGATTAGTAATAATGACTTCTCTCTCATTACTGACATTGGTAATTTTTACTATCTCTCTCTCTCTTGTTTTTTTCCTGGGTTAGCCTGGCTAGAGGTCTATCAATATTATCGATCTTTTCAAAGAACTCACTTTTGGTTTGGTTTATTTTAATCTATTGTTTATTGGTATTGATTTCCTTGTTTTCTACTCTGTTAATTATTTATTTCTTGCTTTAGTGTTAATTTGCTTTTCATTCTCTAGCTCCCTGAGGTGGACGCTAGAGGTTATTGATATTAGAAATTTATTCTTTTCTAATATATGTACTTCATGTTATACATTTCCCTTTAAGCACTGATTTCTATGCATTACACATATTTTGATATTTTTGATATTATTTTTATTTAGTTCAAAATATTTCAAAAATCTCTCTTGCATCCCCTTTTGTGACTTATGAGTTATTTGAAATGCGTTGTTTAATTTTTAAATATTTGGGGGTTCTCTGGCTACCTCTCTGTTATAGATATCCCGTTTGATTCCCTAGACATCTAAGAACATACTTTCATTTCTATTATTTAAAAAAAAATATATATATATATATGGTGTTTTTAAATGGATCAGAATGTGATTTTTCTTGGTGAACGTTCCATGTGAGCTTGAGAAGAGCTAGTATTCTGCTGTTGTTGGATGAAGTATTCTAAAAATATGAATTAGGTGAAATTAATTGATAGTGCTGTTCAAGTCATCTTTGCCCTTACTGATTTTTACTTTGCTGATCGTATTAATTACTAATGGAAACATATGGAGGGCTCCAAGTATATTATTGGATTTGTCTGTTTCTCCTTGCAATTCTCTCAGTTTTTGCCTCACATAGGTTAATTATTCAAATATTATCAAACTATCAAAATATTAAAATATATCAAAATATTTTTAAAACCTTGATCTATTAGCATCTTATAAACAGTGTGTAAATGCTCTGCTACAATAGTTGAAAATAATGATTTTAATTTACATTTTTGTTATTTTATAAACCACAATAGGAAAATATAGTTTTGCTGAAGTTATCTTGCAGATAAATACAAGTTAGAAATCCAGTTGATATGTTTTTCTCTATTATAAAGTCTTCACATCCTTGTATACATTTAGAACTCAGAATTTTTTTCTGTTAGAAATTGTATATTCCATTAAAAAATGATGGTAGGTTTTTTAAGCAGGAGTTCTAAGATGTCAGGCAACTATTTACACACAAATTGCTTTCAGAAAGAAAATCAATGTATATAGATACTGTAGAAGAACAAATTAATACTTCTTGTGTGAAATATAATAATGGGAAATGTAAAATGACATACTTTTATGAAGTGAAGGATAATTAAAATATTCAAAATTAAAACATAAATGTCAATCTGACATTTTCTTTTCCATTTCTTTATCTTTTTTAGGTTTTTGAAGATGTTTTTATCAAGCTTCTGTTTTTTTTAATCACCTGCATAAAATCACTGGTAGTTCACCAGTCCAAATGCAAATTTATCCCATGATCTGCTCTATGGCCTGAAAACGTAAACTTCAAATATTACTGATATTCTAAAGAGTAAGATAACAGAAAAATAGACTACCATTCAGAAAATACATTTTGAGAAAAACATTATTTGCAAGTTAATATTTTAAAATGAAATGTCATGAATGTTAAACTCTAACTTTCAAAGATTACTGATTTATAGTGGAAGAAAAGAAGGAACCTTCCATAAAACTCCTGGTAAATTTGTTGTTTCCACATTAGCAAAACAAAATGTAAATCTAAACTGTCTGATAAAAACATCAAAAGCATGCTTTTATTCTCCTGATTAAAATGAATAAATCTATAACCAGAAGATGATTCCTTGTACTAGTCTCTCAGCAATGTTGGTCCTATTTTGCATCCTAATTTTTTATACCTAAGAAAGTAAGATTGCATTTTTGTATTAAGGAGAAATATTACTAAAACTTTCTAAAATATATATTTAAAATGATTTTAATATTATTAAAGTTGAAAAACAATAATTTAAAAAATATTAAATCAACTTTTCCTGAGAGCTACAAATCTGAAAATTTTCCACTGAACAAAAGTATAATCGCTTAAGTGATAAAAATTTCCTGAACTAAAAATTAGAGATAATTCTAAACTAATTTTGAAGACAGAAAAATATCTTTCATGATGTTTTTATTGGTTGCTTGTCTGTCTATTTTGATTGTCTGGATGTTCAGTAGTACATTTGTTTGAAGGCTGAATCATTCCTGAAATAAACTATATTAACTCATTCTCACACTGCTATGAGAAAATACTTGAGACTGGGTAATTTATACAGAAGTTTAATTGACTCCCAGTTTCACATGGCTGCGAAGGCCTCAGGCATGGTAGAAAGTGATGGGGAAGAAAGGCACCTTCTTCACAGGATGGCAGAATGAAGTGAGTGCTAGCAGGGGAAATGCCAGATGCTTATAAAATCATCAGATCTCATGAAACTCACTCACTATCATGAGAATAGCATGGGGAAAACTTCCTCTATCATCCAATTACCTACATTTAGTCCTGACCTTGACACGTGGGGATTTTTGGGATTACAATTCAAGGTGAGATTTGGGTGGGACACAGAGCCAAACTATATAAGTAACTTACTATCATGTTCATGTGATAGAATTATGAGGTAAGAGGAAAGACCCTTGACTAATAATTTGCCACTACTGCTTAATGTTGTGGGTTTCACAAAAATTTCTTCATAGACAGTATTCTTGGGGTCATTCATATGTACTTTCTGATACTGCAACATGAAAGAGATTATTGTCTCATGAAACATATCATTAGTTTCACTGCAACAAACAAACTCAAATTGAAGGAAAGGGTAGAGAAAAAGCCTTGGAAGCCACAGTGAGAATATGACCCAGGTGAAGGGTCATATGGACGATGCTCTCTGCCAGATGCTCTATTTTCATTTCTTTTTTTCTTTTTCTTTTTTTTTTTTTTTTTTTTTGAGATGGAGTCTCACTCTGTTGCCCAGGCTGGAGTGCAATGGCACGATCTTGGCTCACTGCAAGCTCCACCTCCCGGGTTCACGTCATTCTCCTGCCTCAGCCTCCCTAGTAGATGGGACAACAGGTGCCCACTGCCACGCCTGGCTAATTTTTTGTATCTTTAGTAGAGACGGGGTTTCAGCGTGTTGGCCAGGATGGTCTCGATCTCCTGACCTCGTGATCCGCCCACCTCGGCCTCCCAAAGTGCTGGGATTACAGGCATGAGCCACCGCGCCCGGCCCAGATGCTCTATTTTAAAAACTCATTTGATTTTGAATTATGTTATATTAGCTATCATTTTGTAAAGCCATCCATCAAAGTCATCTAGTTCTGAAAGTTTAGATTTTTATCATATATGGCTTTTTCTATAAAATCTATTTCACCTTGAGGTACATAGTTAGAAGTGCTTCATTTTTAACTGCTTGTCCCTAGACTTGCTTACCCTGATGGGTCTTTATAAGGCTGGCAACTTCTAAGAATAACGCTCTGGGTCATGATGCTCCCTTTAACATGGTTAAACATTTAAATGATTTTATATTTTATTTCAATTAGTATATAATTCTATAGATAACTTTTTTTTACTTCCTCTCTATACTTAGTTGGTAGTTAACTGAGTAAAAGACATTTTAAAAAATAATGTTGCCCAAATATAATCTCTCTATGAAAACTATAGTTACTATGATGAATAAAACTCATGATTTTTTACATATCATGGCCAGAATGTTGCACAGCTTCTCCAGTGGAAACCCAAAGAAAAGCTTCAGGGTGGCTCACAGCCCCTTTGTGACACAGAAGTCAATAACTAAGCTGTATCTAAATGCCTTGTCCAGGCCAAAATGCAAGCATACTGCCCAGAACTCAGCTTGCACCTGCCAATTAGGAAGCCCACCAGAGGAGCAGAGCAAAGCAGAGGACAAATACATTAAATATTAGGTAGGCTAGATTATTTCCCAGTAGCTTGTCGTCTCTCTTATTTTTTTAAATAAGGCAAAACTTAAATATAAAATGTACCCATTAGAGTTTATGATTCTTCTAGTTTTGAAAAATGCATAAAGTCTTGTAACCACCATTAATAAAGACATAGAAAATCATCAACTGCCTCCCAAATCCTCCCATTGTCCATTGTAAACAACCCCTCCACTGACTTAGAGCCCAGGACAAGCACTAATCTGTTGTCTGTACCTATATATTTTGCCTTTTCAGAATATCATCTATGATGTAGAATATAAAAATTTATCAAATATTGTATTGTGCAAACATTTTTGCCCTGCGTAATTTAATTTTCCTTTTCATTCTTTAAACTGTCTTTTGAATAAAATTCTTAATTCTCATGAATCCCAACATATCATTTTTTAATTTTATTAATCATGCTTTTGGTGTTGTTTAAGAAATCTTTGCCCACTCCAGTGACACAATGTTTTGTTTTTCTTAAAAGTTTTACAGTTTGATGTCTTATATTTAGATCCATAACCAATTTTAAGTTAATTTTTTTATGTGGTACATATTATGATTAAGGTTTGTTTTGTGTAAATAGATGACCAATTGCTTCAACAAAATTTGTTGAAAAGACTATCCTTGTTCCATGCATTTGTCTTTAGAAACATTGTCAGAAACGAAAAGTCCATAAATTTGTTGTTCTATTTCTATATTCTTAACTGTGTTCTTTGATTTTTTTGCTTCTCTTTTCACCAGTACTATACTATCTTGATTCCTGTGGCTTTACAGTAAGTCTTGAAATCAGGTAGTGTTAGCCCTTTAAGTTTGATATGGCTTGGCTGTGTTCCTACCCAAATTTCATCTTGAATTGCAGCTCCATAATTCTGACGTGTCATGGGAGGCACCCAGCGGGAGGTAATTGAATTGAGGGGGTGGGTTTCTTCATGCTGGTCTTGTGATAGTGAAAAACACACATGAGATCTGATATTTTTATAAAGGGCAGTTCCCTCTGACCACTCTCTCTTGCCTGCACCATGTCAGATGTGCCTTTGATCCTCCTTCACCTTCTGCGATGATTAGGAGGCCTTCCCAGCCATATGGAACTGTGAGTCCATTAAACTTTTTTTTTTTCTTTATAAATTACCCAGTCTCGGGTATTTCTTCATAGCAGTATGAAAATGGAGTAATACATTAAATTAGTACCAGAAAGAGTGGGATGCTGCTGTAAAGATAACTGAAAATGTAGAAGTGACTTTGGAACTGAGTAACAGGCAGAGGCTGAAACAGTTTGGAGGGCTCAGAAGAAGGGAGAAAAATGTGGCAAAATTTCTAACTTCCTAGAGACTTGGAGGGCTCATGAGACAGGAAGATGTGGGAAAGTTTGGAACTTCTCAGAGACTTGTTGAATGGCTTTGACCAAAATGGTGATAGTGATATGGACAATAAAGTCCAGGCTGAGGTGGTCTTAGATGGAGATGGGGAACTTTTTGGTAACTATAGTAAAGGTCACTCATGCTATGCAAAGAGAGTGGCAGCATTTTGCCCTTGCCCTAGAGATCTGTGGAACTTTGAACTTGAGACAGATGATTTAGGTTATCTAGTGGTACAAATTTCTAAGTGACAAAGCATTCGAGGGGAAGCAGGACATAAAAGTTTGGAAAATTTGCAGCCTGATAATGTGATAGAAAAGAAAACCCCATTTTCTGGGGAGAAATTCAAGGCAACTGTAGAAATTTGTATAAGTAATGATATGGTTTGACTGTGTCCCTATCCAAATCTCATCTTGAATTCCCAGCTGTTGTGGGAAGGACCTGTTGGGAGGTAACTGAATCCTGGGGCAGGTCTTTCCTGTGCTGTTCTCATGATAGTGAATAAGTCTCATGAGATCTGGTGGTTTGAAAAATGGGAGTTTCCCTGCACAAGCTCTCTCCTCTTGTCTGCCACTATATGAGACATGCCTTACACATTCCACCATGATTGTGAGGCCTCCTCATCCACGTATAACTGTAAGTCCAATAAGCCTCTTTCTTTTGTAAATTGCCCAGTCTCAGGTATGTCTTTATTAGCAGTGTGAAAATGAACTAATACAAGTAAAAAGAAGCTGAATGTTAATCACCAAGACAATGGGGAAAATGTCTCCAGGACACTTCAGGGATCTTTGCCCCTGCCCTAGAGATCTATAGAACTTTGAACTGGAAAGAGATCATTTAGGGTATCTCATGGAAGAAATTTCTATGTGGTGAAGTGTTCAAGAAGAAGCAGAGCATAAAATTTGAAAAATGTGCAGCTTGACAATGGAGTAAAAAAGAAAAACTCATTTTCTGGGGAAAATATCTTCAAGGTATGTCAGAGAACTTTGCGGCAGCCCCTTCTATCACAGTCTTGGAGGACTAGGAGGGAAAAATAGTTTCCTGGGCTGGATCCATGGCCCCTCTGCTGTGTGCAGCCTTGGGACTTGGTGTCCTGCATCCCAGCCACTCTAGCCATGGCTAAAAGGGGCCAAGGTACAGGTTGGACTATAGCATTAGAGGGTGCAAGCCCCAAGCCTTGGCAGCTTTCACTTGGTGTTGGGCCTGCAGGTGCACAGAAGTCAAGAATTGAGGTTTGGGAACCTCTGCCTAGATTTCAGAGGATGTATGGAAATGCCTGCATGTCCAGGCAGAAGTTTCCTGCAGGGGTGGAGCCCTTATGGAGAACTTCTACTAGGTCACTGTTGAAGGGAAATGTGGTATTGGAGCCTGCACACAGAGTCACCACTCAGGCACTGTCTAGTGGAGCTGTGAAAAGAGGGCCACCATCCTCCAGATGTGAGAATGGTAGATCCACTCTCAGCTTGCACTGAATGCCTGGAAAAGCTGCAGACACTCAAATCTAGCCTGTGAAGGCAGCCAGGAGAAGGGCTGTACCCTGCAAAGCCACAGGTGTGGAGCTGCCCAAGACCATGGGAACCCACTTCTTGCATCAGCGTGACCTGGATGTGAGACATGGAGTCAAAGGAGATCACTTTGGAGTTTTAAGATTTGACTACCCTGCTGGATTTCAGACTTGCATGAGGCCTGTAGGTCCTTCATTTTGGCCAATTTCTCCCATTTGGAATAGGTGTATTTACCCAATGCCTGTATCCTCATTGTATCTAGGAAGTAACTAATTTGCTTTTGAATTTATGCACTCATAGGCAGAAGGAACTTGCCTTGTCTCAGGTGAGACTCTGGACTGTGGAGTTTTGAGTTAATACTGAAATGAGTTAAGACTTTGAGGGACTTTTGGGAAGGCATGATTGGTTTTGAAATGGGAGTATATGATCTTTGGGAGGGGCCAGTTGTGGAATGATATGGTTTGGATGGGTCCCCACTCAAATCTTATCTTGAATTGTAGCTCCCATAATTCCCATGTGTTGTGGGACAGATCCAGTGAAAGGTAATTGAATCATGGGGGAAGGTCTTTCCCATTCTGTTCTCATGGTAGTGAATAAGCCTCATGAGATCTTATGGTATTAAAAGGGCAGTTTCCCTGCACATGCTGTCTTGCCTTCTGCTGTGTAAGACATGTCTTTAATTCCCCTTCACCTTGTGCCATGATTGTGAGGCTTCCCTAACCATATGAAACTGAGTCCATTAAACCTTTTATTCTTTGTAAATTACCCAGTCTTGGGTATTTCTTCATAGCAGTATAAAAATGGACTAATATAAAATTCTTTTCCAGAATTTGTTGGTGATTCTAGTCTACATGAACATCAGAAGAAGCATTTGACAGTTTCTTAAAAAATTCTAGATTTTGAATAAAATTGCCTTATATTTTTGGTTCAGTTTGGCAATAATTGCTCTCTTAATAATACTGAGTCTTTCCATCTTGAACATAAGATATCTTCATTTTTACTTAGTTCTTCTTTGATCTTTCATCAGAGTTTTGTAGCTTTCAGCACAAAGACTTCACACATATTTTGTACACCTATATCTAAGTAATTTGTCTTCTCTGCTGCTTTCTAAATGGTACTGATTTTTAAGTTTCAATTTTTTATTGTTACGTGAAGAAAAGTAATTGATATTTGTATATCAATCTTGTAGCCTGTGACTCTGATAAGGAAAGTGTGGGATTGTCTGAATACTCTGCGAATATCTCACCTAAAGAATAATGCCTGCCCTCTTCAAGACCCACCTCTGCCACCCCTCAATGCCTCTGAGTCAGAAAATAGAGTCATATCTCAGTACAGCCAAGTGTGGGAATAGTTCTTGTTTTGGCACCAAATAGATTACATATCAAGGGACTTTTGTCCCCAGCTATGTATAGAAAAGTTATGTTTGTTATTTTCATTTATTATAAGAGCCCTCTCTCAACCCTGAATCAAGATAAAATAAAGTTGCAGAGGGAATTACATAAATTAGTGTGACTATCAAAATCTTAAAGAATGAAGAGGGGATGATCTCCTCAATTTCAAAGTCATCAACATATTCTCTCCAGAAACCAGACTGGTCATGTGAATGATGGTAGACTACCATAAACCAATATTATACTATTGCTAGTTGCATTTGTAATACTAGGTATTAGATATTTACTGAAGTGATTCACACAGCTTCTGACATTTTATGTAGTTATTGATCTGGGAAATATTTTCTCAAAATACATAAATAATGAAACTCAGAAGCATTAATTTTTACATGGGAAGAACAGAAAAATACATTCACTGTCTGTGCACAAGGCCATGTAAAATGTTCTGCTCTCTCTCAAAATATAGTCAGCAGGAATCTTATATATTTTGACATTCTGCAGAATGTTATAAGGGGCTACCATGCAGATGATACTATGTATACGTGTAGCTATAGGAAATAACCAGTGAAATAACAAAATATACTGTTAGGTATTGTACCTATTGATGATGCATTTCTGAATAAATTCAGGCATTCAATGCAATCCAAGGATAATATATATTCAGTATAACTGAAGTCTAGACTTTTCTTAAATATTTAGAAGTCATTTATGGCTCTGAAGTTGAAAATCAAATATATTAATAGTTTAAATTGGAAATCCTTCTGAAAAAGTAATTGCTTCATGGGCAAAGAGTAAACTTAACTTTTTCTTACTTAAACCAAATTTCTTTTTAAACTGGAAAGTGGCTAAATATTCCAACAAATAACACAAAATATTATTTTTTTTCCGAACTGAAAGATTTGTATGTCTAGGTTCATTATATTTAACAATATGTTTGAGAAAGATTGGGGAGGACTACTTGACATTAGCCTATATTTTTGCATGAATTAAAGTTTATCACTGATTAAAATGAGCCTTCCATTTTTGAAGTCTGAATTGCATGGAATTTTAAGGTTTGCATCACAACTATGACCTTTCTGTCAATTGGCAGAAGAAGACTGATTATTTTTAGCAGTTTTAAATATCAAGAGCTTCGTGGTTTTCCTTTCAAACCCAAGTAACAATATCATACTTTTAAAAGAAACAAAAATGACATATATGTTTGATCGATAGCACAATAGGATTCCCCCTCTGCATCTTTCAGTGTATTAAGCATTCTTTTTAAATGTGTATCTTAAACAAAGACAAGCAAGTTACAGAATTTGTATTTGTCACTCTGCCAGTAAGAACAAGTGGTCTATTTTAAGTTCCATCCCTTCAATTTCATGCCATCTAAGTGAAAATTCCTTCTCTTGAGTCATCAAAAGCTCAGAAAACAAAGGGCTTTTAAGGACACACAGGAGGTAATGAGCTTAATTGGTGGCTTCTTGCCTTTTGTTGACTTTCTCCATTAAAACACTCAGAGTTGGGCCATATTTCCTGATAGCCCTGAGAGACTTGCCTTCTTCCTTGATTGTAGAGTTTGTTTCCATTCATTTTCTACTCAGATTTCTAGAGATCATTAACCCTACTATGCCAATTGCATCTGGCCATAATTCATTTTTTCAAATCAAGAGGGATTCATTTTTTCAAATCAAGAGAGATTATTGATTGACTAATCTATGTTGAAAATTCCCTCATGGAGAAAATAGTTTAACAGTTAATTAATTTATATCAGTTTTATCATTTTATTGCTGGTAATTTGTTTGTCCCTATATATTTCTGGGAGTTAAGTGTTACACAGTATTAAGGGAGGAGGCCTGGCTTTGAATCCTGCTCTATTAACCATTTGCTCTGGGACTTTATTTAAGTAACTTAAACATTTTATGCCTCCATTCACCCATTTGTAAAGTAGAGGTATTGATAATATTTATTGTACAAGATTTTTTGTGAGAAATAAGCCAAAGATATCTTGGCAGTTTTGACTAGCATATTGTCATTTACTAGACCCTCAAAAATTATAAATCATTATAATCATTATAAATATTAATGATCATTATAATTATTCCAATATAGAACAATGACATGTTCTATATTAATCTATCCAATATAGAACAATGACATGTTCTATATTAATCTATCCAATATAGAACAATGACATGTTCTATATTAATCTATCCAATATAGAACACTGAGCACTAAACTCTAAGAAGAACCAAGTGTTTCAAACAGAATCATGGAGGAACTTGTTCCTTCCTGGAATTGCTGAGGTTTGTTATTGGGTAGCAGTGGTAGAAAGCACAAGGTCAAGGTAATCACAGATGTGAGTCTACCTACCAGGGATCTCATAATCAATTCTAAATGAGAATTCACCATGCATTTTATAGATTATCTGTTTTTAATATTTTGAAAATAGATTTTAAGGAAGATGCATACACCATTGATTTTAAGATGCATCATTATTTTATGTAACATATGGGAGGAAAAATGAAAAATTACCTAATAAACTATGACATAACACTAAGACACCATCTGTTGTATGGCCTATTTTAATTTCAGAGATATAAAATGTAAAAAGGAAATGTTTCTCCCAATAGATTAATTGCCATTGTTAATAAAGGTTAGAACAGCTGATATATTTATAAAATAATAATTTCCTTTCAATTTTTATCTGTTTTTGAGATGTTTGAGAATATGAATTAAGCCTAATAATTTAAAAAAACTCTAAAAACAGTATTCGGTATATATAAGCACTCAGCAATTTGTTGACGTAATTAATTGATAGAAAAACAGAGAACATGTTGGACAGACACAACTTGACATCGTTAATCCTTGAGCAAATCATTTATAAGGTAAGCTTCTATCACAGGTGCTTTAAAAGTTAGGCCAGTTTGCATCGAAAGTTCTTGCCTTTTTTATTTGCCAATAACATTTCATCACACCCATGGGAGACCTTTTCACTACTTTGCCCTATTAAGTAAAGTCTTAGTTGACTTTTTAATCACTCTGTTTTTGCTTCATCTTTGCTTAGGCTGTCAATACTCAAAAATAAAAAAAATATGTAATATAATAAAGTCCTTAGTACTTTTATTATTTTGTCTGCCTAATCTTTGTTTACTTAAAAAATTATAGAGATGATGTGGGTTTTAGATACCTTCCAATCTAATTTCTTCCTTTTATTTAAAAACACAAAACCAAAGAAAATGAAAATGCTCAAATCCTAAAAGATGTTAAAATTTAACATGTTAATGAACTAGAATTGCAACATGAATCCTTCAAGTCTGATCATAATAATCTTTCTTCTGGATTATGCTCTATATTTTTTCAGGGACATCTCAGTTGTCTATCCTCCCAAGAAATATTGGTCTCATGACTAGAGATTATAACCTTCTTATCAATATTAACAGTATAAAAGGGTGGCTTATATATATAGTATTAGCTGCCAAATTTATCATTACCTATTCCTTTATTTGAACAGCTGGAGTTCCATCAATCTCATGTAAAATATGAAGAATAACATTTTTAGAAAATGGCTACTTAATTTTTAATCTTTAACCTATTATTTTACCCACCGGTGCTACCTCTCCCTTGGACCTCTGCATGTAAACACTAACTTCCACAGGAAATTTGACATTTGGACAATACATATGGAAATCTCACAACAAATCTCTTACATGAACACTAATCTCATTCCAACACATGATGAAATAAGAGTCCTTTTTGCAATGGTGAGAGATTCTGGTTAGATATCTGCTTTTGGTTGCAAAAATCATGTTGATAATTCAATAAACAACTATCAAAGGAACTCCTTCACTTCCAATCAATGATAGCTCTACTCCTAAACACATTTATATGCATTATGAGATTCTTTATGGAAACCGATCTTAAATAAAAACTTGCCAAGAGAATTTTAGGAACTTGGCGAATGATCTGCCCTGAGAAAAGTTTTCACTGGAAACAGGCTTGCCAAAATATGAATCAAATGTCAGACAAAAAACATTTTAATTTGTGGGGACATGAGATCCTTAAGCCAGACAGCTTAAAAAAAAGCTGCCGATAGTCAGTGTCTCAATGAATGAATCCACTACCTTTTGATTAAGCTAGACTTTTCTCTAAGGATCTCATTTACATTAATTATTTTTAAGCTTTCCCACATTTAGAAAATTAGCAAATTTGCTAATCATAAACACTTTCATAGAGAAACTTTCCAAGATATTTTTCTGGGCAAAAATTTTTTTAGTAATATCCCAAAAGTACAGGAAACCAAAGCAAAAATAGACCAATGGAATCATGTCAATTTAAAATGTTTCTGCACAGCAAAGGAAACAATCAACAAAGTGAAGGGACAACTAACAGAATGAGAAAAAGTATTTGCAAACTACCCATCTGACAAAGGATTGATAACCAGAATACATAAGAATATGAAATGACTCTATAGGAAAAATCTAATATTCTGATTTTAGAATGGGCAAAAATTTGATTTTTGTACATTGATTTTGTATCCTGAGACTTTGCCGAAGTTGCTTATCAGCTTAAGGAGATTTTTGGCTGAGACAATGGGGTTTTCTAGATATGCAATCATGTCTTCTGCAAACAGGGACAATTTGACTTCCTCTTTTCCTAATTGAATACCCTTTATTTCCTTCTCCTGCCTAATTGCCCTGGCCAGAACTTCCAACACTATGTTGAATAGGAGTGGTGAGAGAGGGCATCCCTGTCTTGTGCCAGTTTTCAAATGGAATGTTTCCAGTTTTTGCCCATTCAGTATGATATTGGCTGTGGGTTTGTCATAGATAGCTCTTATTATTTTGAGATACGTCCCATCAATACCTAATTTATTGAGAGATTTTAGTATGAAGGTTGCTGAATTTTGTCAAAGACCTTTTCTGCATCTACTGAGATAATCATGTGGTTTTTGTGTTTGGTTCTGTTTATATGCTGGATTACATTGATTGATTTGCATATATTGAACCAGCCTTGCATCTCAGGGATGAAGCCCACTTGATCATGGTGGATAAGCTTTTTGATGTGTTGCTGGATTCGGTTTGCCAGTATTTTATTGAGGATTTTTGCATCACAAGCATTCTTATACACCAATAACAGACAAACAGAAAGCCAAATCATGAGTGAACTCCCATTCACAATTGCTTCAAAGAGAATAAAATACTTAGGAATCCAACTTACAAAGGATGTGAAGGACCTCTTCAAGGAGAACTACAAACCACTGCTCAATGAAATAAAAGAGGATACAAACAAATGGAAGAACATTCCATGCTCATAGGTAGGAAGAATCAATATCGTGAAAATGGCCATACTGCCCAAGGTAATTTCTAGATTCAATGCCATCCCCATCAAGCTACCAATGACTTTCTTCACAGAATTGGAAAAAACTACTTTAAAGTTCATATGGAACCAAAAAAGAGCCCGCATCGCCAAGGCAATCCTAAGCCAAAAGAACAAAGCTGGAGGCATCATGCTACCTGACTTCAAACTATACTACAAGGCTACAGTAACCAAAACAGCATGGTACTGGTACCAAAACAGAGATATAGATCAATGGAACAGAACAGAGCCCTCAGAAATAACGCCGCATATCTACAACTATCTGATCTTTGACAAACCTGAGAAAAACAAGAAATGGGGAAAGGATTCCCTATTTAGTAAATGGTGCTGGGAAAACTGGCTAGCCATATGTAGAAAGCTGAAACTGGATCCCTTCCTTACACCTTATACAAAAATTAATTCAAGATGGATTAAAGACTGAAACGTTAGACCTAAAACCATAAAAACCCTAGAAAAAAACGTAGGCATTACCATTCAAGACATAGGCATGGGCAAGGACTTCATGTCTAAAACACCAAAAGGAATGGCAACAAAAGCCAAAATTGACAAATGGGATCTAAATAAACTAAAGAGCTTCTGCACAGCAAAAGAAACTACCATCAGAGTGAACAGGCAACCTACAAAATGGGAGAAAATTTTTGCAACCTACTCATCTGACAAAAGGCTAATATCCAGAATCTATAATGAACTCCAACAAATTTACAAGAAAAAAACAAACAACCCCATCAAAAAGTGGGCAAAGGATATGAACAGACACTTCTCTAAAGAAGACATTTATGCAGCCAAAAGACACATGAAAAAATGCTCACCATCACTGGCCATCAGAGAAATGCAAATCAAAACCACAATGAGATACCATCTCACACCAGTTAGAATGTCAATCATTAAAAAGTCAAGAAACAAGAGGTGCTGGAGAGGATGTGGAGAAATAGGAACACTTTTACACTGTTGGTGGGACTGTAAACTAGTTCAACCATTGTGGAAGTCAGTGTGGCAATTCCTCAGGGATCTAGAACTAGAAATACCATTTGACCCAGCCATCCCATTACTGGGTATATACCCAAAGGACTATAAATTATGCTGCTATAAAGACACATGCACATGTATGTTTATTGCGGCACTATTCACAATAGCAAAGACTTGGAACCAACCCAAATGTCCAACAACGATAGACTGGATTAAGAAAATGTGGCACATATACACCATGGAATACTATGCAGCCATAAAAAATGATGAGTTCATGTTCTTTGTAGGGACATGGAAGAAATTGGAAATTATCATTCTCAGTAAACTATCGCAAGGACAAAAAACCAAACACCGCATGTTCTCACTCATAGATGGGAATGGAACAATGAGAACACATGGACACAGGAAGGGGAACATCACACTCTGGGGACTGTTGTGGGGTGGGGGGAGGGGGGATGGATAGTATTAGGAGATATACCTAATGCTAAATGACGAGTTAATGGGTACATCACACCAGCATGGCACATGTATACATATGTAACTAACCTGCACATTGTGCACATGTACCCTAAAACTTAAAGTATAATAAAAAAAATTTGAATAGACATTTCCCAAAAGGAGACATACAAATGACAAGCATATGAAAAGGTGTTCAACATCAGTCATCATCAGAGAAATGCAAATCAAAACTACAATGAGATATCATCTCACCCCAGTTAAAATGGGTTTTATCCAAAAGACAGGCAGTAACAAATGCTGAAAGGATATGGAGAGAGGGGAACCCTCGTATACTGTTGGTGGAAATGTAAATTAGTAAAACCACTATGGAGAACAGTTTAGAGTTCCTCAAAAACTGAAAATAGAGTTACCATATAATCCAGCAATCCCACTGCTGAATATATGCCCCAAAGAAGGAATATCAGCATATCAGAGAGATATCTGCACTCTCATGTTTGTTGCAGCACTGTTCACAATAACCTAGATTTGGAAGCAACATAAGTGTCCATCAACAGATGAATGAATAAAACAAAATATGGTACATATACAGAATGCAGTACTGTTCCGCCATAAAAAGAATGAGATCATGGTCATTTGCAACAACATGGATGGAACTAGTGGCCGTGATGTTAAGCGAAATAAGCCAGGCACAGAGAGACAAACGTCAAGTTCATTATTTGTGGAGTGTAAAAATCAAAACAATTGAACGCACAGAGAAAGGAGGGATGGTTTCTAGAGGATGAGAAGGGTAGCAGGGGGTGGTAAGAGGTGAGGAAGGTTAATGTGTACAAAAAAAAGTTAGAAAAAACAAATAAGACCTAGTGTTTGATAGCACAACAAGGTGACTAGAGTCAATAATTATTTAATTGTACATTTAAAAATAACTAAAAGTGTGTACTTGGCCTGTTTGTAATACAAAGGATAAATGGTTGAAGGGATGGATACCCCATTTTCCATCATGTGATTATTAGGCATTGTATGCCTGTATCAAAATATTTTATGTACCCCATAAATATATACATCTACTATGTACCAAGAAAAATTAAAAATTAATAAAATATACACTCCTTCACCACCATATCCACAAGCTGTGAAGCAGTAAAAATGTAAACTTATCAATATGGGTCTACTATTATCATGAATCAATTTCTTTTTAAAAGTTTAATATAGATAGTATCTCTAGAAGTAGCAAAGTGTCTAGTGTCAGATAATACTAATAACATTTACAAACACTAAAAATATATAATCAACAATGGCTTGAAGCCACTAAATAAGACCAAAAGCAGCCAGAAAATGGCTGGAAAAGGCCTGTGAAAGAAGAAAACACAGTGGGTGAGACCCATGTGAAATCAGCTTTGACCTGATGGCAGTATCAGTCTGTCCTTCTATACAGAATAGACTCAAGTAGAAATCAGCAGTCTTATTTGAGAATTTAACTATCAGAGTTCAAAGCTGACTGCAAGGCTAGCTGGAAATGGAGCAGGAAAGTTGAGGAAAGTGTAGAGCTAAGAGAGAGAGCCAACATTTTGCATGCAAAAATCCCATCAAGTCCTTGGCTAATTCCCTAATTCATATGACTGGAACATGTCTGCAGACTCAACTGAAAGTAAGAGTTAGGCTAAAAGACCTAATTAGCTATTTCAGCAACTGACCAATGTTGGGAAGAAAGAGTTCAAAATTCAGTTTCAATTTATAGGGTCTTGGTAAATACTTCAAACTTTCTATTGAAACTCAAGGGCCATATTTGGAATCCCTAAAGACGATGAGAAAAAAAACTGAGGGCAGAAAAAATATCCAAAGAAATAACGGACAAGAAGTTTTTAAACATCATTATGCCAATAGCATACAGTCTTGATTACTGTAATTTTAAAATAAGTATTGGAATCAGGTAAAGTACTCCAACTTTGTTGTGTTTGGTAGTTTTTCCTTTTTTTCAATTTTGAGGGCTCAAGTTCTTTATACTTCTATATAAATTTTATTAGGTTGGTGCCAAAGTAATTGTGGTTTTTGGCATTACTTTTGCACCAACCTAATTAAATCAGTTTGCCAGTTTCTACTACAAAAATACCAAAAGAATCAATAAAGCCTGCTAGGTTTTTGATTGGCATTGTACTAAATCTATGGAAAAAATTAGGGAGCGTTGTCATTTTAACAGTAGAGATGTCAATCCATGAAAATTGCATATCTCTCCATCTCTTAAGATATTCTTTAATTTCTGCAAACAGTTATGGTTTTAGTATATAGGAAATGCCATGTTTTTAAAATAATAATCTCTACTTATTTTATTTTCTGGGTGTATTATAATGTTGTTATTTTTTAATTTCTGAATGCTTGTTTCTAGTATACAGAATTGGAATAAAATTTTGCTTACCAGTTCTGTGGTATTCCGTACTTTGTAACTTTCCTAAACTCATTAATGCCAGTATTTTTTGAAGATGCCTTACAATTTTCATATACATGGTTATGTTATTTGTAAACAAATATCTTTTGTTGAAAAAAATATTGTTGAAGAAAAGTGGTTGAGTAGACATCCTTGCTTTGTTTTCAATTTTATGGGGAAAAATTAGTCTTTCATCATTAAGTATAATGTTCGCTGTAGATTCTTCATAGATACTCTTTTATCAGTTTGAGAAAATAAATTTTATCTTCTGGGTTTTTTTTACATTTCTCAAATAATTCCCTTTGTTAGTCATCATGTGAGTTACACACACTGTATAAATACATATGTGTAGTGTACATATATGCTTATGTAAGTTTGTATAAATACATTTGTATATTATATCTATATAACTTGAGATATACATGCATACAAACACACATATATACATATATACACATATATATAATTTGTTAAGGATTATTTTTGTGATATTTTAGTTTATGTATATGTTTATATAAGTGTGTATAGATACATTTATATTTATATATTATACCTATATAACATATTTACATACATATATAATACATAAAAAACTTGTTAAGAATTTTTTTCATATTTTATCTTCTTATATTAGCTTTTTCTGGTTTTGGTAAGTGGGTAATTCTAGCCTCATAAATATTTATAGAAAAAAATTATTGCAAGAATGACTTTTGTCTTTTAGTCAATATTTTAATATATTGGTTCCAACATATTTTGATAATTAATGCTTTATGTTATGTTTTCATATATTGAAATAAATATTCTTAACAGCCATGTCGTTATAGATGTAAGAAGTCAAAATAATTTTCTTTGGTTATATATTTTATACATTATAATTATAAAAGTCTGTTTTATCTATAGCATAGAAAATATTTTTTGTAAGATATGTGCACACCTTTAAATAATCCAGTCTTAAAGACTAGCTTGTTTAAATTCTATCAAATGTGTGTAGAATTATGACACACTTAGGTAGTCAGTGAGGCAGCTTATTTTGTAAATATTATTATTATAACCGGTCTGTAGAAATGAAGAAAATGAGTGATAAGTAGTTGCCACTAATCAATTAATTAACTGATTTCCTAAATACATGTTATCAAACTTATAGGCCAAAAGTGGCAAGATATTCTTCTCCATAGTTGGAGGGAAATAAAAACAGATGAAATGTTTTTCATCATCAAAATATAATCAGATTTTTTACTGTCTACCTACCCACTTTTCCACTGCTGAAAAAAGAAGACCCTACAAAGCAAAACCTTGCCTGAAGCACATTTATAAGCATGCCATTATTTTTCAATCAAGTGTTCTTTTTTTCTGAGAAAATTTCATTATAAAAATATTATAAACAATGGAATTTATAATTTCATTATAAAAACATTATAAACAATAGAGTTTACTTGACTACAGTTAAGTGCGGTAGTCAAGTAAATAAACTGTTAAGCAAATTCGAGTTTTCTATATCAAATTACCATCTCAAAAAATTTGTATTTTGGCAATAGAAAAACTGAAATGGTCTAGACGATTGGAAGATAAGTGAAATCATGGTGACCCAAACATGTAACAAACAAATTCCATTTCATTGGCAGAAAATCTTCTATCCAGCTCTGTTTTTTAAAAGGCCACCTTTGACTTTGACCATGCAAAAACAAGAAAATAAGCAAAGATTTGGTTCAACCTTGCACTGAATGATAAAAGGATAAATAGTATAAGGCAGTGATGGCAGTGGCCGCTGACATCATGCCAGCTGCAGCAGAGAGGTGCACCTGGGGCTGCACACTCCATGGAGCCCCCACCCTTTCTGAGTTGGGGCAGGAGCTTCCCAGGCGCCACTGCAGCCACCCAAACCGGGCTGCAGACCCAAGCCTCCCGCTCCATTGAGCAGGCAGGAGTTCTGTTCTCCTGGGTAGGGCTATAGCCACCCAAACTGCCCCTGTGGATCCAAGCCTCCCTGTGCTCTTGAGGCGGGGTGGGAGCAGACAGGATCTGACCTCCCAGGTGCAGCTGCAGCCAACCCGGGCTGCAGACTTGGGCCTCCTACTCCACAGAGCAGGCAAGGAGTCTGGGACAAGTGAGAGCACCATCCTTCCCGAGTTGGTGGAGCAGCAGCTCCCCAGGTGCAGCTGTAGCCGCCCTCCCAGGTGCAGGACCCGGGCATCTTCACGGGCCTGGAAAGCCCCACAAACCCTGCGGGCTCGGGGGTGTCTGCTCCTGCTGCCTGGCCTTTCGCCCCTCCCGGAGCCTGCTCAGATCTCCCGGTGGGGTTGAGGCTGAGCCCCAGGGCCATGAATGGCAGTGGGAGACAGACAGGTTCCGTGGTTGAAGCGGGTGGTTCCCTGTAAGGCCCTCCTTCAGGTTAGGGAGGGCCTAAAGGCTGGGGACCGGACTGCCAGTCCCACTGAGCTGACCGCATTGGAGACTTGTGTTGCCTCCTCTGGGCCTGCCCATGGCCACCCATAGACCAATCAGCAGGCACTTCCTCCCCTCTGAGATCCATAAAAGCCCCAGGCTAAGGCAGAGCAGGGCAGAAGAGTCAGAGCAGGGCAGAGGGCAAAGAGACTACGGGATGACCAGCTGCAGGGAGGAGCTACAGAGGAGATACCCTCTCCTCTGATAGCTGGAGAGACTGGACGACTGGCCGGCAGAGAGGAACCATCCTCTCCAGGGCCTCCTCTTTGCGGAACTGAACACTTCATGAGACGATCTACCTATAGAGAGGAACTACCCAGTGTGGGCTTCCTCTGAGCTGTTGTAACACTCAATGAAGCTCCTCTTCATCTTGTTTACCTTCCACTTGTCTGGCACTTCTTTATTCCTGGACACAGGAAAGAACTCGGGCAAAGGCACCATTGGCCACAGAGGTTTCCGGCCAGAAAAGCCACACCCCAAAGAGGTTTCTGGCCAGAAAAGCGACACCTCAAAGATCCCGTAACAGCAGCATATCTCAAGGAGGTCCACAGAATCCTTTCAGAGTTCATGAAGTCTTCATAGTAATACTAACATGGTATTTATATTTTTCACTTTTATTCTTTCACAAGTAGAGTGAATTTTTAGAGACTTCATGCTGTGTGATTATCTCAGTGAATTGAAGACAGAATAATTTTGATAATCCAGCTTTCTTCTATTAAACCAGTCCTTAAATAGATATGCAAAAATGTAAAGCAAAGAGGTTAGAATTATCCATATGGTAGTGGATTACAGTTGGATACATAATATGAGGATAGGTTTAGGTTATATAGATACAGTTCATTGCATATAAAAATATTTATAGATACATGAACATGCACTATTTAGTATTCACACATTTAACTATTTGCTGTGTCAGCTGAGAAGAGCTAGAAGCAATCACACTCTTAGCAACAAACACACTTATCACTAGATCCTGGTTTCTAATACCATTTTCAAAAGAAAGGAACCAAGGTGTCCCTATTAAAATGGATGATTTTAGGCCTGGTGCAAGTAATACATAAAATTATTATGGAGCTTCCTGTAGGGAGAAAACATTAGAAAGTGTTCAAAAACAGAGCAGAACAAAACAAAAGTCCACGATGATGGGAGTATGTCAAAGTGACATAGAAGCCAACTGAATAAGCTCAAAATACTCAAAGTTGAAACACTGGGGACAGCAGTAAAAACAAAAAGTAAATAAATATAGTTCCACAGGCACGTGGAACTGTGAGTCGAATTAAACTTCTTTCTTTTGTAAATTACCCAGTCTCAGGTATGTCTTTATTAGCAGTGAGAAAACAAACTAATACAGCAAATTGGTACCAGTAGAGTGGGACATTGCTGAAAAGATACCCAAAAATGTGGAAGTGACTTTGAAACTGGCTAACCAGCAGAGGTTGGAACAGTTTGGTGGGCAGTATTAGATTATATTGAATGTACAAATTAAATACCCATGTAATCTAGGTACTTGGAAGTTTGAGGCAGGAAGATCCCTTGAGGCCAGGATTTTGAAACCAGCCTGGGCAACATAGCAAGATTTTATCTGTAAAAATTTTTTATGTAATTAGCCAGATGTCGTGGTGCATGCCTGTAGTCCCTGCTACTTGGGAAGCCAGACAGGAAGATCACTAGGGCCTAGGAGTCCAAAGCTGCAATTAGTTATAATAGCATCACTATGCTCCAGGGTGAGCAACAAGTAAGATCCTGATATGGTTTCGCTGTGTCTCCACCCAAATCTCATCTTGAATTTGAACTCTCACAATTCTCACGTGTTGTGGGAGGAATCTGGTGGGAGGTGATTCAATTATGGGGGTGGGTCTTTCCTGTGCTGTTCTCATGATAGTGAGTGAGTCTCATGAGATCTGATGGTTTGATAAGGGGAAACCCTTTTTGCTTGGCTCTCATTCTCTCTCTTGCCTGCTGTGATGTAAGACTTGCCTTTCGCCTTCCACCATGATTGTGAGGCCTCCCCAGGCACGTGGAACTGTGAGTCGAATTAAACTTCTTTCTTTTGTAAATTACCCAGTCTCAGGTATGTCTTTATTAGCAGTGAGGAAACAAACTAATACAGTAAATTGATACCAGTAGAGTGGGACATTACTGAAAAGATACCCAAAAATGTGGAAGTGACTTTGAAACTGGCTAACTGGCAGAGGTTGGAAGAGTTTGGTGGGCTCAGAAGAAGAGAGAAAAATGTGGAAAAGTTTGGAACTCCCTAGAGACTTGTTGAATGGCTTTGACCAAAAGCCTGATAGTGATATGGACAATAAGGTCTAGGCTGAGTGATCTCAGATGGAGATGAGGATCTTGTTGGGAACTGGAGCAAAGGTGACTCGGGTTATGTTTTAGCAAAGAGACTGACAGCATTTGCCCCTGCTCTAGAGATGTGTGGAACTTTGAACTGGAGAGAGATGATTTAGGGTATCTGGTAGAAGAAACTTCTAAGTAGCAAAGCATTCAAGAAGTGACTTGGGTGCTGTTAAAGGCATTCAGTTTTATAAGAGAAGCAGAGCATGAAAGTTCGGAAAATTTGCAGCCTGACAATGTAATAGAAAAGAAAAACCCATTTTCTGAGGAGAAATTCAAGCTGGCTGCAGAAATTTGCATAAGTGATGATGGGCAGAATGTCAATCCCCAAGACAATAGGGAAAATATGTCCAGGGCATGTCAGAGGTCTTCATAGGAGCCCCTCCCATCACAGGCCCAGAAGCCTAAGAGACAATGGCTTCATGGGCCAGGCCCAGGGTCCCTGTGCTGTGTGTAGCCTAGGGACTTGGTGCCTTGTGTCCCAGCTGCTCCAGCCATGGCTGAAAGGGTCCAACGTAGAGCTCAGGCCCTGGCTTCAGAGGGTGCAAACCCCAAGCCCTGGCAGCTTTGACATGGTGTTGAACCTGCCAATGCATAGAAGTGAAGAATTGGGGTTTGGGTATCCCTGCCTGGATTTCAGAAGATGTATGGAAATGCCTGGATGCCCAGGCAGAAATTTGCTGCAGGGGCAGGGCTTGCATGGAGAAGTTCTACTAGGGCAGTGTGGTATGGAAATGTGGGGTGGGAGCCCCCACACACAGTCCCTACTGAGTCACTGCCTAGTGGATCTGTGAGAAAAGGGCCAGCAATCTCCAGACCCCAGAATGGTAGATCCACTGAGAAGCTTGCACTGTGCACCTGGAAAAGTCACAGACACTCAATACCAGCCCAGGAAAGCAGCTGAGAGGGAGGCTGCACTCTGCAGTGCCACAGGGGTGGTGCTGCCCAAGACACTGGGAACCTACCTCTTGCATCAGCATTACTGGAATGTGAGACATGGAGTGAAAGGAGATCATTTTGGAGCTTCAGGATTTGACTGCCCTGCTGGATTTAAGACTTGCATGGGGCCTGTAGCCCCTTTGTTTTGGCCAATTTCTCCCATTGAGAATGGCTGCATTTACCCAATGCCTGTACCTCCATCATATCTAGGACATAACTAACTTGTTTTTTTTATTTTACAGGCTCATAGGAGGAAGGGACTTGCTTTCCCTCAGAGGAGACTTTGGACTGTGGACTTTTGAGTTAAGGCTGAAATGAGTTAAGACTTTGGGGGACTGTTGGGAAGGCATGATTGGTTTTGAAATGTGAGGACATGAGATTTGGGAGGGATCAGGGGTGGAATGATATGGTTTGGCTCTGTCTCCACTCAAATCTCATCTCAAATTGTAACTCCCACAATTTCCCCGTGTTGTGGGAGGAACCCTGTGGGAGGTGATTGAATTACATGGGCACGACTTTCCTGTGCTGTTCTGGTGATAGTAAATGAGTCTCATGAGATTTGATAGTTTGATAAGGGGAAACTTGTTTCATTTGGCTCTCATTCTCTCTCTTGCCTGCTCCATGTAAGACGTGCCTTTTGCCTTCTTCCATGATTATGAGGCCTCCCTAGCCACATGGAAATGAGTCAAATTAAACATCTTTCTTTTGTAAAGTACCTGGTCTTGGGTATGTCTTTATCAGCAGCATGAAAACAAACTAATATAGATACTGTCTCTAAATAAATAAATAATAAAATAAATATCCATAAGTCCAATTGATATACATAAATGATCAGTTAAATCAATAAGTGGAAAAAAGAGACAACTCAACCATGTGGAAAAATTTCAAATGTTTTATGAAGACCTTCCACTCTTAAGGAGGTAGAGCATGACTTCTCACTCCTTAAGTATGGGCTGTGCATAATGACTTGAATATGATTCCAGTCTACATGGAAATTGATAAATTATGGAAATAGAACTAAAAAACTGAGACAAATTTAATAAGAACAAATAAAAATGGCAGGATAAAAAATAATTTTAAAAACTTGTCTCTTGACTTTGGGATCAGGGTATCCATGGAAGCAGAGAAGGCTTTGAAGTGACTGTTAAAAATAGCCTAAAGTATTTGAAGGGAATGTTAATGGAAGACTATAGAAACTGGAGGAGACTGATAGTGAGATATTAATGGAAAGTGAGAAAAATATTATTAGTATCAGCAAGAAAATGTGCCATTTTATGTGGAGGTGGAAACTTTGGCAATGCTATTTCTACGGTAAGGTGAAAAGAAAGAAATGTACCCAATCAACTCAATGATCTAGTTGAGGATAATTCCTAGCATAGCAAAATATTGAAAGTGACATCTAGTTTCATCTTGCTGCCTATGATTAAAATGGGAGAGGACAGAAATGAACTAAATAATAATTTGTTATATATGAATGAACAGGAAATTTCTGAGTTCAAAAATAAAACTTTCTCATTCCCAGCTACTTTATGACAATTGATCTTCAAATTAAGAATTGCTTTCAGAGCAAATATCAAATCCAGAATTGGACTACAAGTTCCTTTGTTAAAACATCAGAAATTATTAAGGCGTAACTTATAGAAACTTCCAGGCACAGAAAAAATTATCTAAGAAGTTTCAATATGCCTCAGAGATTCTATTTAATAGTGAGATTTTTAAGAATCCAAAGAATGTTGTTACACAGCAATTTCACAGGAAGCCCAAACATAGAAAATATTTGTGGATTTCTAATGGAGTGAATTATATATTGATATCAAGAAACCCTATGAGATTTTTAAATAATCATTTCAATTTAGACTGAATGGAAATGAGAGAGTATAAAATTAAAGGACGTCATTGAACCCCCAAATTCCATGGTAACGAGGCACTGTCAGAAAATTACTCAGCTGCAAAGAAGATCTGGTTTGCATGGGAAAAGATGACCGTGATAGCAGCAAGAACCCAGAGGGCAAAGCCAAGCATTATGAAGAAAAATTTTCAGCAAGTAGGACTGAGCTGTCTTCAAGAATGTAACAACATATGCCCTGGTGGATTTTAGAATTTCTAGGACCAAAGTTTGCTCTGTGCTTTTCATTTTTTTCCTTGTTAGATTGGACATACGTACAGAAGTTATTTGATCATTTTTGCACTGCCATATAAAGCGTGGGTGGTATACAAATATCTTGTCTCTTTAGATTATGGTCTTTAGATTGAGAAGCATGCTATTCAATAAGCTGTATCAGAGAATTTTCATTATTAACTAAACCTGATTTAAAATATGAGATATTGTACTTTTAGTTGATGTCATTATTGAATAAGTTTGAGACTCTCGAGAGAAAGATAACTATATTTTGCATGGGGGAGGAATATAAACTATTGTTCCCAAAGAACAAAGTGTGAATTTTCCGAAGGTAACCACAAAAACATTATTTATCTAATGTGCCCTTCTCATAATTTGACATTGATACTATCCCATAAAATGATGAGTTCTGTATCACCACTCCTTGAGCCTGGCTGGGACTTAATTGCTACTCAATAGAGTATGACAAAAATGACTTATGTTACATCTGATGCTAGATCATAAAGTTGTCATGTACTTCTGCCTTGCTCTCTTAAGCTGCTTACTTTTGAATCTTGGATGCCATATTGTGAGGAAGTCTAGGCATAGACTGTGGGAAGAGGAAAAAACCTTCCTTCAGTCTATAGCATTGGCTGGCTTCCAAATCAGCCATCAATACCAGTTGCCATCCTCTTGAATAAGTTTTCTTGGAGATAGATATTCCAGTTCCCAGTTAAGCCACTCCAGCGGAGGCCACACAAGAAAAACACAAGCTACCCTCTGTTTTGCAAGCTATGGATTCATGAAAAAATAAAAGTTTATGGTTGTTCAAGTCACTAATTTGGGGGATAGGTTGCTAGGCAGCAGTAGAAAAGTTAAAAAGAAATAAATATCTCAAAATCCTTTGTAAAAATAAGTGAGATTTAAATATGTAAAGCTTAAATTAAAACACTAAATTTGATTAGTAGTAACTTCCTGGAGTTAGCCTCTGTGCTTCTTGTGCTTCTTTTTTTTTTTTTTTTTTTTTTTTTTTGTGACAGAGTTTTGCTCTTGTCACCTAGGCTGGAGTACAATGGCATGATCTCAGCTCACTGCAACCTCTGCCTCCCGGGTTCAAATGATTCTCCCGTCTCAGCCTCCTGAGTAGCTGGTATTACAGGTGCTTGCCACAATGCCTGGCTAATTTTTATATTTTTAGTGGAGACAGGGTTTCACCATGTTGGCCAGGCTAGTCTCGAACTCTTGACCTTAAGTGATCCACCTGCCTTGGCCTCCCAAAGTGCTGTGATTACAGGCATGAGCCACCATGCCTGGCTGTGCTTCTCTAATCAATGTTTTTGTTGTTGTTGTTGTTGTTTGTTTTTTTTTGTTTGTTTGCTTTTTTGCATTTGCTTGTTTTAGACTATTTCAAGAAAAAAATACCTCCAGCACTTACTGGAGAAGAAATTATCCATCCTTTCATTTTGTAGTGCTTATGAGTTCTTAGAAGATATAATTGGAAAAGCCATCAAAATGAATTTTGCATTGTTTAAGTTACAATAGAGTAATTGATCTGTATGACCTTGGGAAAAATAGAGTCTCTAATGCACTTGGGTCCTTATACGAAGGGCTTTTTTCAAGTCCTCCAGGTCTTATATGAAGTGACTCTAAACACAATGACTGTGCAACTGGGAAGGAGCCTGTTAGGGGCAGAAATCTTGGAGACGAAAATAGCTAGACTCATTGGAATCCATTCTACTTGGCTGAATCATACAAATATATAGTACTGCTAGGATCTTTCCAGCTTTTGAGAAGCTTAAAGATAAATGACACATATTTAGAAATAAAACATGCATCATTTGTTTGTACAGGCAAAGTGGAAAACAAAACAAAACAAAACCCAAAAGGTATAACTATTTGAGCCTAGTCACTCAGAAACACTTGTTTGGATTCATTCTAGCAAGAAGAAAATCATGTATTTGAAGTAAAACACAGCCTGATACAATTATTTGACATCTTATTAAGTTTCCTGCAAAGAAAATGAAAAGACATTGGAGAAAATAAAATTTCTCCTTCATTAGAGAACCATAGTGCTGAAAGGTTATCATTTTCCCTTTCCTGATAAAGTTATATCTCTCAATCATATTAATCTAGTATCCAAATTGTTTTGAAAATTTTATTTTGTTTAATAAATATTATACCTTGTTAACTCAGGGAATGCCAAAGTTAAATGGAGCCTTAAAGATGATGACAATTTTAATCATTCAACAAACAGCATGAGAGGAACTATGCTAGGTTAACAAAGCATAGTCCCTATCCTCATAAGATCTTACCTCCTAATAGTTAAGTATTAATAAAATAATCCGAAGAAGCACAAGTAAAAAATTATAAGTACAATAAAATCTCAGCGGAAAGGTAAACAGCAACTTTTGGAGGATCAAGGAAGACTTCCTAAGCTAAGTAAATTAAATAGCCTGAGATATGAAAGATGAACAGGCATTAGAGTCATGCAAGGTATTGTAGACAGGAGCAGCAGAGATGGGTAAAATAATTCTAGATAAACAACCGTGCCAGAGAAAACACTGTGGCAAAGGTAGCATCACATATTTGAGGATATGAATGGAGCTAAATGTGGCTGGAGTGCAGAGTGCAAGAGAATCATTACCTGAGCAGAAAACGAGTCAGATCAAGGGGCTGGTGGACCAGGATAAAGAATTTGATCTCAATCCAAAGGGCAAAGGGGAGTGTTGAAAGGCATAGGTAAGATTAGGTTTCAGCATCATTCTCAGCAAACTATCACAAGGACAAAAATCCAAACACTGCATGTTCTCATGCATAGGTGGGAATTGAACAATGAGAACACATGGACACAGGAACGGGAACATCACACACCGGGAACGGTTGTGGGGTAGGGGGAGGGGGGAGGGAATAGTATTAAGTGATATACCTAATGCTAAATTACGAGTCAATGGGTGCAGCACACCAACATGGCACATGTATACACATGTAACAAAACTGCACGTTGTGCACATGTACCCTAAAACTTAAAGTATAATAATAATAATAATAATAATAATAAAAGATTAGGTTTCAGTTTTGGAAAGCTCATGTCAGCTACTTTGCAAAGAAAGATTGAAGGGGACAAGAGTGGAAGTAAGGAGAATAAAAAGAAAGATTTTATGCTAGCAATCATGACAGATCATAAGAGAAGTTGCTAGGAAAGGCTGTGGAGATGAAAAATATTTGGGAAAAATTTATCATACGTAAGGCCTCAGTGACGCACTGAATACAAACTACTCCCACAAGGGAGTGTCAAGAATGAGACTGGGTATAGTGGCTCACACCTGTAATACCAACACTTTGGGAAACTGAGTAGGAGGATTGCTTGAGGCTAGGAGTTCAAGACCAGCCTGCACAACATAGTAAGACCCTATCTCTACAAACAATTTTTAAAGATTAGCCAGGTGTGGTGATGTGTGCCTATAGGCCCAGCTACTGAGGAAGTTGAGGTGAGAGGATGGCTTGAGCCCAAGAGTTAGAGGCTGTGGTGAATTATGATCAGGCAACTGCACTCCATCCCCAGTGACAGAGTGAGATATTGTCTCTAAAATGTAATAAGTAAATAAATAAATAAGAATAAACTCTGGTTTTCTGGCTAGAACTTTTGAATGATTCTCTGAGATAGGAATCCTGAAAGAGGAGGTAGGTTGCAAAAATATAGTTTCAACAACATGGAAGAGATTCACTGGCAAAGACATAGACATTGGGTTTGACTGGAAGGAGTGTTTGCTTGAGCACTAATCTAATACTAGTCATTCACTAGTAATCAAACTTGTTCATGAAATAATGAATTCTGTTTTACAAACTAATAACTGCATAATTACATGCACTATAATTTTTACCCAGATAAAGAGTGCTCACTGTACCATTCCACATGTTTATTTACAATGCATATGTTCTGTTTCTCCTTTTAATTTTTACAGTTCTGGTTGTTATAATAAATACATGCCAAACATGTATTTTGACAAATCTCAAAAAGTATAGTGTCTTAAGATAGTATAATGAAAATGTAGGGTCAGGAGGTTTTCTTTCCTGTTTCGTCATTAAGAAATTTCTGTTCCCATGCTCTATCCTAGAGCTCTTTCCTCCTCTGTTACTCTTTAGCCCTTTGCTGAATTTTATTTTCTTCAAATAACTTTTAACTATCTCAAGTTATCTCTACTCACTGTACTGCATTTATTTATTGTTTGTCAACTTTGTAGGATTATAAACTTCTGTCACCCTTAGAAGACTAATCTCCATGAGAGCAAAAACTTTGTCATGTTTACCAATGTATCCCCAATCTTCAAATATTTGTTGAAAAAAACGAATATATACAGTAAATTCTCCATAATTATTTCACAAGTGAATTATAATGCATATTTATATCCACATGTGTGTTTTGTGCACTAAGCCTGAAATTTTTTTAAATCTATAAAATGAAAATATTACAAATACACTTAGAAAAAATATTTCCACCCTCATCCTTCACTACCAAATGACAATTCTTCAAGAATGAAAAATAGAGAAAAAAAAGCAACTGAACTGAAGAGGATGGCTTGGTTTTCAAAATTATGCCTTCAATTCTGACTTCTGCTTTAGTCAATTGCTTCTTTAAGGTTAAATATGAAAAGAAGACCTATATAACAGTAAAATTCCCATGCATCAAAAAGTATGATAATCCTCATCTATAAAAGTCTTACTCAATCTTTCTAGCTGGAAGCATAGTTCACTCTCTTCTGAGTTCCAATTCCCTATCTCTTCATATACCGTTTTTGGCAAAAATTTCTACTTTTAAAAATTACATCTCTTTATGTTTATGTCTTTCTAGCCCTAAATCGCTATATGATCCTCTATCGCCCAGGCTGGAGTGCAGTGGCGCAATCTCAGCTCACTGCAAGCTCCGCCTCCCGGGTTCACGCCATTCTCCTGCCTCAGCCTCCCCAGCAGCTGGGACTACAGGCGCCCGCCACCACGGCCGGCTAATATTTTTGTATTTTTAGTAGAGATGGGGTTTCACCATGTTAGCCAAGATGGTCTCCATCTCCTGACCTTATGATCCGCCTGCCTCAGCCTCCCAAAATGCTGGGATTACAGACTTGAGCCACTGCACCAGGCCTATAAAACTGATTTTTTTGATAGAAAGGGACTTTGCAAAGAATGACTCATAGTATTGTTTAAAGTCAATCGATTCTCCAATGTGAATTGCTTATTTATTATTTATTATTTCCCATTTATTTATTTTTAAATGTGTTTGCTTTCCTGGGCCAATAACTATCAGAAAACTAAAATAATGGCAAAACAATTATTTATGTTTTTCTATAATGTTTTGATGTTCACACTAATGTGCGCTGTTATGCTTTGTATAATAATTGATATACCTTAATAAACAATAAATCAACAGATTTTTAGCCCAATGATACATTTGTCCTAAAGCAACTCTCCTACCTTAGCTAATATTTTCCTTGAGAATTGCTTCTATGGCTTGAACAAATGCAATTTTAATGTGTTAACACTCATACAGATTGTTGACAGTTTTGCCTGTTCAGGAATCTCGCTTCTTATGTCAACAGAATCTCTTTCTGTTTGTAAATTATTTTTCCCTATCTGTTTCAACCACAACTTTCTAATCTAAAATTTGGATACATAGGAACTAATCTGAGATTGTCGATGCTTTTCTTGTGATATATCTAAATAAAGCTAAGAGCTAGGTCTTTTTCTACCCATGGTCAAATTCTTGTCCACATGGAGATGCCAGGATAAATGAAATAACTGAAACAGAGAAAAGTGGAAATAAAAGACTAAGAAGGAGAGTCCTGATGCCATTTGAATTCCTGGTTTCCACATCCTCAAGATGAGCTCCTCTCTGTGCTTGCAGTGGTTTGGTAAAATGAATGATGGTGAATTACCTTATTCATTATTTGAGTTACTTTAAATTATATTTCTATTCTTGCAATCAAAGTTGAGTTAAATCAAGTCTTGGAGGGTATTTACCTTAGATATTTTGGCTTTAACTATAGAAAATATGATGAAAACTATGAATAGAAGACCATTGGCTGAATATTCCTTTTGAGAATTTATTTTTGCAGCCAAGTATAATAAGCCACTATACATGATCGCAAAGTAAAAAACTGGAAACTCTCTGTTTTGTTCTACTGTCATAAAATGTCATACAAATTCATACAAACAAGAAGTAAACTTTTACACGGGGCAAAATGGATTAAAGGTTGTAGTACTTTAACAAAATGACAAGTATTTGTAGAATTTTTCTGGAAATACTAAGTAGGCATTTTTAATCATGCTACCTAAAAACGAGTGCAAATTAAGAAAAGTGTTAGTCTGTTTTCACACATTGTATATACTTATTTCTCACTTTATTTAAATGTCATGGCATTTTAGATGACTTCCTTCTGTGACATTTTGAGTGAGGAAGATAGCAGAGGTCACAACCACTGGTGGTCAATAAACAGTTCTGTTCCACCCTCTCCCAGAGTAGGATGATTCAGGCTGGTTATTAATTCAGGTGGTCTGGCTAAAATCCATCTTCAGCAATTACATATCTGTCTACATGAAATTGATAATGTAGTTTCAGTGAGAGAACTTATTCATCTTTGTCATCAGTTTAGAAAAAAAGCAGAGACACAAAATCAACAAACATCGTATTATGCTCTAAGTAAAGAAGAACAAAGGTTTAATTTTTCTCTAATGTTGATGCTATCTAAGGCTAAAATAACTAGGCAGATAACATTTACTCTGTGGCATCATCTAGGACATTTTAACAAAAAAAATAATATATATAAAAGTAATTTATATAAAAGTATTTTAGAAAGTCAACTCTAATTCCTCTCTCTTTTATCCACTTACCTTTCTGTTTGCCATCCTTGATCAACTTTCACTTTCTCGTGGAATTCTTTTGTGGTCTACCTAACACATGCTAAGCTAAATTAGGTACCCTTTACCATTATCATGGAACACCCCATTATAACACATATTGTACTATCCCTGCTCCTGTTGGACTGTTACACCATTGAGATAGGAGCCTCTCTATTTTTTTTATACATTCCAAATCTAGCACCATACTTTGCACATGGTGTATACAAGTCTGCAATAAATGTTTACTGAACACAAGAATATCAAATTAGCATTTTCTGCTCATTAAAATTGGGAGTTGGCCGGGCACAGCAGTTCACTCCTGTAATCTCAGCACTTTGGGAGGTCGAAGCGAGTGGATCACTTGACATCAGGAGTTCAAGACCAGCTTGGCCAATATGGAGAAACCCCGTGTCTACTAAAAATACAAAAAAAAAAAAAAATAGCTGGGTGTTGTGGCGTGTGCCTGTAATCCCAGCTACTTGAGAGGCTGTGGCACCAGTACCCAGATTTACAGTTTCAGGCAAGATCAGGAAGAGGAAATGCTTAAGGTTTGTAAAGAATTAGATATAGCATCCCACTCTGTGTCTTTATAGTAAATAACCCAACCATTTCCCTGTTGATAGACATTTAGGCTGCTTTGAGTATTTTTCTGTTACTGCAATAAAAACTTATGTACAGTTAATTTCAGATGTGTAAATCTTTGCTATAATTTCCTAGAGGAGAATTGATGGTCAAAGTGTTAGCACTTTATAATTTTGATACTTATTGCCATACTACCCTCCACAGAATTTTTAGGATCTTATATAATTTTCCAACAATATATGAGTGCTTTTTCTTACATGTTTGTCAATCCACATTGTTATCTTTCTTTGGTATTTGCCAATCTGATAGATGAAAAATAGCTTGGGTATAGTTTTAATTTGTATTTCCCTTCTTGTATGGGATGTTTGCATCATTCTTATATTTAAGAGCTGTTTGAATACCCTTTACTATGTGTTGTCTATTTATATCCATTGCCTATTTTTCCATTGGATATTTGGCCTTTCTCTTATTGACTTTTAGGCACACTGTGTTTATTAGGAAAATTAACCCTTTGATGTGAGCTGCAAATATTTGTTCACAATTTATTTTCTTCAAACTTTACCAACTTTGATTTTTATTTTACAAAACTTTTTAGTTTTATATAAACAAATGTGCAATATTTCCTGAAATTAAGTTTTTTTCTATCACTTAGAATGGCTTTTCCCTATCAAAATTAACAAACATTTGCTTGAGTTCAAATTCTGCTTCTCCTCTTACTAGCTGTACTACCTGGACATGTCATTTAATCACCCTGGGCCTGTACTTTTCTCTATAAAATAGGGTAACAATAACTTAATAATCAAATTTTTAGAGATAATATTGATAATGTGTTCAGCATAATGTTATTGTATACTAAGTATATAATATTATTATCTTCTTAGTATATAATGTTGTAATGTTATTATATACTAATGAGATAATAATAAAATAACAGAGAGTTGCCCTATTGCTATTGAATGAAATGTGTACTGAACTGATTACCCTTTTCACGAGATAACTTACTTTTTTTTTCTATTTCTTACATTGGGAAACGAAAGCACTAGTGAGTCAGTGTTTCTGTTTAAAAAATTAACCTCATCACTCCTCTTTTAAAAATCTTTACTAAATGTGAACAAAGTTGTAACTAAAAGGAAACTTTAGGAGTTAACATAGGAAGTAAATATTACCCAATAACTTATTCTGCTATTGTAAACAAAGCATGCTGAGAATCAAATTCCTGATGTATGCTGAAACTCTCCAGATTCTGCTGATCATATCTGTTTGAATGTGCAGCTGCTGTGTTGATTTCAGAGTAGTTGGATTTATTTATGATTGCCATAGAAATGACTTGAAGATGCACTTTCCACCAAATACACTTAGCAACTCTGTGGATGTCTGTATATTCAATTTACCCATGGTTACCCTGGAGATTACTCAGAATATGAATTCTTCTACCATTTCTTCAAGCTCCCAGTTGTAAACTAGCATCTTGGTCATTTTGTTTCCCTGCCAGTGAAAGAAGATTTTTCCATGGTTACATGCTTCTACCCCCAGAATAGATTGCAAAGCAAATGTCGACCTAAAATAAATGCAATAATTTAGAACCTTTTGTATTGTACAGTATTTGCAGGAAATGAGTTTGTTTTATATACAATTGTACTATTTATTGAGAATTTCAGCATTTCAACATGTGCTGCACATACAAATTTCAGTACTCCTTTTTTCCTCTTTTTAAATGGGTTAATTAAGTTGTTCACCAAATATCACAAAACCACATAAACTTATCACAATCAATAACTCAATGCAAATTATCATCAACATTATCAGTATCATCTTCCAATACACCAACTCTATTCCACAAAGATTTAATTTTAGTCTAAAATAGTTTTTTAAATTAATCTCTGGTCAAATTATAATATATTAATTTTTACTCTAATGCTTGTTAATAAACTGTTCCTCCATTGATGTTCTGTAAAGAGACACAATGTTAAATTATATAGCTGGTAAAATCTTATTATAGAGCATTAAATAATAAAATCCTAGACTTTGGGCCTTAAAAGGACTTTAAAAATAGTCTTTTCTTTATTTGAAAGGTTATTTAAGTAGGGATACAAAACTAGCTGGGAACTGACGTAGGTCTAAACTCAAGAGCTCTAAACTGATAGTCACTAAATAAATATTTATTTATTTAACATCTATGATAAGCCTAACAAGACTTGGGTTATGAGAATATAAAAGTATATATGACATAGGAAGAAATTCACAATACAGTAAAGAAAAGCTCATAATCTGTAATGTCTCTGGTTTCTTCACTCTTCTTCAGTTGATCTGAGTACTTTATTTTCTAATTATCTAAATCGGTAGTAGAACTCAGATAATAGGTAAATTAACATGGCATAAAAAACTAATTGAAGGGAAGAGTTAAATGATCTATAACTACTGGATATATCTGCAAAAACAAGATCCCAGAGAAAGGGAGAGAAGACACCCTTGACCCTCAGGTCTTAAAATGAGAAGGTAGAGATTTATTCTTCTGTGGTCACAGAGGAAGAAAGAAAAGGAGATGAACCTTTTGGCAAAGTCTGAGGTAGATAAGAAGAAATTTAAGATTATAACCTGAAATTGGACTAATATTCCTGGCAAATAAGAACAAAAAAAGAAAAAGAAGTATAAATTATTTCAATCAGAGACTTAAAAAATAACATCATAGGCATCCATTCAATAACTATTTAACCTCAAATATATGCATTTAAACTTAGAAATGTGGTACTGTAGAAAGAACCAGACAGGTTTGATTCCATTTTCAAGTGCTTATTGAGTAAATTGCTATGTGTCAATCATTCTGCTAAGTGTGGAATATGAGGTTGAGTGTTATTCTCTACCAACTGAGCTAGCTGGGCAACTAGGATATAAGGATAAACACACTTTGTGCAGCCCCAATCCCAGGAACTTTCTTTATTAGGTGCTACAGGCAAGGAAACAGACAATTCCACAATGTAATACGCCCTTTGATATGAAAATTTCAGTTTTCTATGGATCACTAAAGAAAATTTATTCCACACAGAGGACTAGCTTATAAAGATTCAGAGATGAAAGAATACATTATGCACCTTAGAATTTAAAAACAAACAAACAAACAACTCATTATAGATTACAGCGAGTAATGAGAGAGGAAGCTGGTTCCACTGTCCGAATCACATAATTCATGGATTTGTAAATTCTGAAAAAGTGTTAGGATATATCAGGGATCAGTGGGAAAACACATAAGAGTTTCAAATAGAAGAGTAGCTTCAGAAGGAATACCTTGAGATGGACTACACTAAAGGCATACAAATCAACTAAAGGCTTAATCAATGATTCTGTAAGGAGATTACAGTGACTTGTACTAATACATGGCAGTAAGGATGAAGAGCATTTTCTTGCCAGGATAACTGTATCAGGTGAGATAACATGACTTGATAGTAAAAAAAAGAAGAATCAGCATTGCTTGAGCAGATATTAAACTAAGTTTTGGATAGACTGAATCTAAAGTGTTCTTCCAAATGGAGGTATCTAAAAAGAAGTGTAATGTACAGTTTTTATTTAGATTGAGGATTTGGGAAAATCTCGATTGAAATGGCTATTAAAACCATGAAAAAGGAGACAATACAGAGAGTTTATAGAGTGGAGAGAAACAAAGAACTGAGGGTAGCATTCCAAGGAATATCTACAACTTGGGTATGCAGAAAGAAAAAGAAGTCTAAAAAGAAGACCAAAGAATGATGACAAAGGTGAGATAAAGAGCAAAAGTTGAGAAGACAGGGAATGTAAGCAACTATTTCAAGAACTGTGACCCTTGTTGGAAGATAAAGTGACTATTAAATAGGATAGGAAAGCGAGAACATAAAATAAGATATATGTCTTAGAAACCTTTCATTATAATTATGTCTAAATACTAAAGAGAAGGCGCTATTACAACAAAGAATCTGGAGATATAGAAAGGAAGAGTGGTTTTGGTAGAGTTGGTTATTGATTGAACTAAATTTCTGAAATAGAGAGAGGAGTTGGGAGCCAGAACATCAGGGAGTTCAGATTTGAACTAGAAGACTTGCACTACTTTCCTTGTAATGTAGCCACAGAGAAAAAAATAAGACATAATAGAGATGATTTTTTGGCTGTGATTGGAAGAAGTTAAGGTAATGCCTTCTTTCTCTGCTGATTAAGAGGGAAGATCATCTGCTATACATGCATTGGAAGTGGTGGGGTCAGACATTAGAAAAAGAAGGGAAATTCTAAAATTGTTTCTTTGGAAAACCGAGAAAGACCTCACTAGGAAAACATAAGGCAGGAAACACTAGGAAAACATGTATTGCTGAACTGCACTGAGGGCCCAGTCAAATTTGAAGACCAATCATTTCCAGTGTCTCAAATCCTAATAGAGGCATGAATTCCTCATCAGTGTTGAGCATCACAGGAGAAATGGATTGAGGCAGGTTTGTAATTTTGCCAGGCAGATATCATAGATATTCAAAGAAGTAAGTTACTGAAGAAAATAGATTGTTCTGAGCATGTTTGAAGTAACTGACCATTTAATCTAATTTTTTTTACAGAAAAATAAGTGAATCTAAGAAGACATTGATAACTTTATGGGAAAATGTAGAGGTTAGAGAGCCTGTGAGCAGAAAATATAGTATAGAGAAAGAGACTTTATGACTGAGCAGGAAGGCTATGGTATCTGTTGATTTAAAAAAATCACCCAATCATATACACGTAAATGGTGCACATTTCATTAATAATATGTGACTTAATAGCCCCAAAACATTGCAGAAACTGTCACTGAAAGGAGATATATGATTAGGACAGATGTATAAATTCATTCACATAGAGAAAGTTATTTAGTAATATTTTGTTGTTCTACTTTGTTTTAAAAGGTTGAGGTTTCCTGTTGAAAATTGACATTACAAACTGTCTCCCAAAAGAAGTTTAGAAGTTAGAGATAAGTGTTAACATAGGTCTAACACTTACACATAAGTAGTATGTATAACATGGGGTAAAAATATTTTTATGTTAGATCTGACAAGACTAGCATAAATATACAAGGAAACTCTAATATTGCATATAACACATCATAAAAAATTGAAGAAGAGAGGCTTTATGTTATCATATAATGCAATCTTATTGGATTCATGAGCAATTATGATGAATTTCTTTAAAAGCTTGTTTTTCCATTTCAGAAAAAAATGTAAACCTTGAGAATCTTAGATGATAGGGCATGGAGTGACAGAAATGTGGAATCTGTAAAAACTGAATGGTCATAAGAAAGTCACTCAAACCTAACTGGTTTGACTTACGACATTTTTGGAAGAATAACATGAGTTAATACATTTGTGTGAAAATGTCTGCAACTGTGAAGATGTGGTGTTTGAAGTATTAATAAAACTGTAAGATAATTATTAAAATGTATTTTATATCTTCAAAAAATGTGTTATGAGATTTTTAGATGTAGCTTTCTTTTAAGAATATGTATAGGAATAATAATATCAATATTTTACAGTCACTTAATCTCCTCCAAGAGTTACACATAGTGCCCAACAAGTGATAAGTATTATCTAACTTTATTCTCTCAATCCTATGATGTAGGTAATACTACAGCGATGATAATCATAGTTACTATAATCATATAATCACAATCACATTTTACACAAGATAAAATTGAGGCTTAGAAAGCTTAAATGACTTAGCAAAATTACTCAGCTGACATTTGGTTCTTGATTTGCCTAGCACATTTATGACCACAGATAAAACCAAAATGAGAGTTTAGTAATAAAATTTTAAAGCGGAGTTCAACAGTATTTGATTACACAGTATCAATAAGGATATTTCCAATTGCTATATGCATTACAAAGACACTTGAAGAAACACTGATAAAATAACTGAATTAATCACAACTATCTAGTATTATAAATCTCTCCAAAAATACAAAGGATAATTTGTTTATTCACAGTGAGTCATTTTAGGTATTCTGTTTTATTAGATAAATGTGTACAAATTATGTTCTGCACTCTCTTGTACTCAGATTATCATGGAAAAAAAAATAAGCTCAGACAATTTTGACTCATTAACTCTACTTATTTACTCTCGCTCCTCTGGACAGGCTGTGCCCTTGAAGAGGAACTGGCAAGGTTAGGCATCATCCTCCTGGTGATGCTGTCCAGGCATAGAGGCCTGTGATAAGCATTCAATTAAAAGCAGCTCAATTATTTATAAAGACTGTTAGATCAAATAATGCTTAATGCTAGCTTTCATTTCATTTATTCATTTTCTAATTGACAAAAATTGTGTATATTTAAATTACACACACACATACATGACTTTTTATATGTAAACATGTTTAAGTGCCTAAATTGAGCTAATTAATATGTGAATTCCCATATATATATATATACCTAAATTTTGTGGTGAGAACACTTAAAATCTACTTTCTTAATTTCTATAATTTTCAAGTATATAATATATTGTTATTAACTATAATCGTCATGTTGTAGAATGAATCTCTTGAATTTATTCACTCTGTTTATTAAAATTTGCATCCTTTGACCAACATCTCTATAATCCCTCAGAACACCCTAACCTCTGGTAGCTACCATTCTACTCTCACTTACTATGAGTTTGCCTTTTTAGATTTCACACATAAGTGACATCACTGGTATTCAACCTCCTGAGCCTCACTTATTTCACTTAACATAATGTCCTCCAAGTCCATCCACGTTGTAGTAAATGAGAGGATTTCTTTGTGTTTATATTCCATTATGTAATATACCACTTTTTCTTCATTCATTCACCCATTGATAGAGACAGGTTGATTCCATATCTTGGCTATTGTAGATAATACTACAATGAAGTGGGAGTGCGAACATCTCTTCACATATTGATTTCATTTCCTGTGTATATATGCTCAGTAGTGAGATTGTAGGATCATATGGTAGTTCTATGATCCCTCCCTTTAACTTTTTGAGGAACCTTTATAATGTTTTCCAAAAGAGCTGTACTAATTTACATTTCTACCAACAGTGCATAAGAGTTCCCTTTTCCCCACATCCTCACCAACAATTATTACTTTTTGTCATTTTGTTAATACTCATTCCAACAGGTGTGAGGTAATAACTTATTATGGTTTTAATTTTCATTTGCCAGATGATTAGTGATGTGGTACATTTTTCATAAACCTATTAATCATTCATATGTCTTCTTTTGAGAAATGTCTACTCAGGTCCTTTGATCATTTTTGTCAGGTTATTTTCTTTTATTTTTTGCTATTGAGTTTGAGTTCTTTATATATTTGGGTATTAATCACTTATCTGATTTGCGCATTTAATCATTTTCCCCAATTCTGTAGGTTGTCTCTTTACTCTGTTGTTTCTTTTTCTTCCAAAAGCTTTTTAGTTTCATTTAATTCCATTTGTGTATTTCTGCTTTTGTTGTCTGTGCTTTTGGGGTCATATCCAAAAAATCATTGCCAAGAATATTGTCTTGAAGGGAATTCTAATAAGGCTATTAGCATATTTCTCAGCATAAACTTTACAGGCCAAGAGAGAGTGGGGTGATATATTCAAAATACTGAATGAAAATAACTGCCATCCAAAACTACATTATTTGTCAAGGCTGTTCTTCAGAAGAAATGGAGAGATCGTTTACCAGATAAACAAAAGCTGAAGGAGTTCATCACCACTGAATCTGCCTTACAGGAAATGCTAAAATGAGTTCTTCAAACTGAAAGAAAGGGTGCTAATTTGTAACACACAACATAAAGTATAAAACTCACTGGTAAAAGTAAGTACATAGCCAAATTTAGAATACTCTGATACTGTAATGGTAGTGTATAAATCACGTATTGTTAGTATGAAGGTTAAAAGTCAAAATTTTTAAAATAATATAGCTATGATAATTTGTTAAACCATATGCAATGTGACAAGATAAATTATAACATTAAAAATGTAAAATGTCAGGGGGAGGAAGTAAATATGTAGAGTTTTTATATGCAAACAAAATTTAAGTGTTATCAGCTCAAAATAGCTGGTTATAATTATAATTTTTTTGTAAGCCTCATGGTAACCATAAAACAAAAACCTATAGCAGATAGGCAAAAGATTAAAAGTGAGGAATGAAACCATACCACTAGGGAAAATTACTTAATCAGAAAGGAAGACAGCAGGAGAGAAAGAAAGAAACCAAAAACCAACAAAACAACCAGAAAACAATTAACAAAATATCAGTAGTAAGTCCTTACTTACGAATAATTAACTTGAATGTAAATGGATTAAATTTTCTAAACAAAAGACATAAAGGCTGAATAGATAAAAAACAAACACCAAGACCCAACTATATGTTGCCTGTAAGAGATTCACTTCACATCTAAGGACACACATACTTTGAACATGAAGGAATGAAGAAATGCTAATTTATATTTATGTGTATAAAAGTAGCTTTTATAAAGTATTCCTTATTTTGTAAGTTAGCTTTAATTGTGGTGAGCGACCACAAGTATAATATCAATACCTTGGTCACATCATGGTGATATATAAAGTCAGACTTTTCGGAAAATGTGTATCATGCTTTCTATTGTTAATGTATTTGCCAAAACAAAAAATCCAACTTAAATATCCAATAATAAATATCATATGAAATAAGTAAAAATTTAAAGCACAGATTAATTTACTATAATATTATAATAGATTTAACCTAATCCTGCAAATATCCTTAGGCTTGTGCAGAGTTAGCAGACTCTAACTCTTCGAAGAGAGACACGTTCCCTAGGCAACCACTGCTCTATGATCCCAACCCATATTTTTATCTAGAATGTGAAGAACAACTTTGTTCTTTGCTTATGAGCCACATGGCTCTGCTTAAGCAGGTATAAAATGATGAGAAATTACATATTCCTTGTATAGCCATACAGTGTTCTTCCACTCTTCACTACGAGCATCACCCTTCTCGTCCCCACTCCCTGCAGTATAGCCCCACTGATCTTCAGGTTATGTGGAGAATGCTTCTCAGAAAATGAAGCCCTTCAGTGGCAAGCGTAATTAAAAATGGAGAAGGAGATGGGTTATGGTTGAAAAGACTCTGGCATTGGACCAAGACTTCTCAATTACATGAGCCAATAATTTCTTATTTTTAAAAAAATTGCAAATGTGAGTTTCACTTCTACAGTTGCTGAAGGAATTAATTTTAGTGACTGCATCTTCTCGGCTTTCTTCATCAATTATATATTTATCATTTAATTCTTTAAATATCATTCTATCTTAGAGTAAAACAGAAATAAAAACAATAACAGAATTGAATGCTCATGCTGTTCTGTGAGTAAGCTCATTCTAGACTGTTGTCCATTTCTAGGTTTCCTTGTTAGCTAACTTGGTTTGTCAGAATGAGCTGTTGAGTCACGTATGAGTTATAGATTCATGGATGTACTGATCCTTGTACTTCCTGGGTATAGCTGGATGGAACCTGAAGCTGCTAGAGATACCATAGCCCTTTATCAGAGAGTACCATATTAATACAATAATTGTCTGTTTGAAGTTGTGAAGCATCAAGCTAGATCTTGTGTTATTCCTAACTTACTTAGAAGCCTGAATATATGTTACACATTAAACACAAATTACTGGAGATTTTGATTCAGTAGGTCTGAAGTTGGATAAAATAATCTGCATTTCAAAAATCTCTCTTGATGACTCTAATTATCTTCCAGGTTAAGAAACATCAAACCAAATAAATATTTCAAATTATGAGATTAAATTATTCTAAGTCTGCTTTAAATTCTGTTATGGGGTTACATCACATGGGAACATTAAGTTTTAGAAATAGTTGATTAAAACATCACAAAGTTGTTAAGAAGAAATGACCATGGCATATCCTCCTTAGTCAATACCCACAATGCAGCATCCCTGGTAGCTGTGCCGAAATGTGCCTTTTGGGGATGGGATTATACCTGCTGAAGATACGTGCCTGCATTACAGAAAGCATGTGGCAGTGAATATGTTCCTTAAATGGCCTTGCTTAATGCTTTTCCTGCCATGAAGTATCTTAGCAAGTAGGATGGTGGAAAAGCAAACAAACAAAAAGTACAGTCAGTTGTTAATTATAAAGCTTAAGAAAAGGCATTTCATGTATGGTATTGATTTTTTCCTCAAACCATAAAGACAAAATTTATCATATTTTACCGACAAAGACGACCTTTTTAGAAGTCCAAACTTTCTTGAAAGGAAAAAAAATGGCTCTGAAAAAAATAATTTTTATTTTATATAAAAACCTTTGTCCATCTCTGAGATTAAGAATAAATGTATCAGAGTTGAGAAGGTGGATTCAGGTTGACACATGGAATGCATAACAGCAGGCACTCTAAATTAAAGATAGCTGTCTTGGCAATGGAATTAGTATGATGCAAGATAAACACCAAAGCTTTTAAGGATGCCTTCTTTTTTGTTTTTTTGGAAAAATTTCCTTTTGTCAAAATGGTGCACTCCTAATTAAACACTGGCAAACAAGGTCATTCAAGGCAGCATGGTATTGGAATGAGGCTATGAGTAATAAAATGCTATCTTTTATCAAAATTTCAAGTTATCAGATTCAAATAAACATAATTCTGTTAGACAAAGTGCAGGTCAAAATATAACACTGATTAGAGATAATTAATTCCCCATGGAAAATACTTCAGAAGATGCCAAAGTGCTTGTATTTGTACTCTATAAAGAAGTCAATAATTCTTCATGTTTTCAATGCCTATGTTAATTGGAATTGCAGTTTAACATAAAGTTACTAATTAATTGTCCAGTGTTTATGCAATATTAATGTAACACTGCTTATTTCATTATGAATATTTATATATCAAATTTATGAAAACATATTACTAGTAGGTTGAAAAGCCTAATATGTCATGGCTGCAACATGGTCGAGATGTTGTCCACTTAGAGATGTTTGATTTTATTGAGTTAGTAGAAATAATAATGCTTCTCAAATATATAACATTGAAAGACATGTTTTCCACTATAATAGCAAGACCACATCAACTAAAACCATATGAAAACTACTAAAAAATCTTCTGTCAGAAGATGGAATCATACAAATAATGAATTATAATCTTCAGAATATATTTAACTGTAGTCTGGAAAAGTAGGTGAAAATTTTAAAAGTTAGACTTGAGATATATAATACTGGAGATGAACTATTTTTATATGTAACCATGCTTCTAATTTTCAAATATACAGAATATAAAAATTGAAATGTATAGACAATCTGAATTGATAGATACTATATAACAAACTTAAAATTCAGATATTATTTAACTATGTAACAGGTTTTTATCACCTAGATGTTACCTTAACCAAATGATCAACTTAACATCACCAATCATGGGTTAAGTTGATATCAGGTGCTTCTTAAATTAATGAGCTGAGAAAAACACAATATTACTTTGCTTGTGTTTCTGCCAAAAATGTTGAGCCTGATTCTAATCATGAGAAAATAATTAGATAAATCCAAACAGCAAAGCAAGTGGTCTAGAGTCTTCAAAATATCAATGTCATAAAGCATGAAGGACTTTTTTTAAAATTTTATTTTATTATTATTATACTTTAAGTTTTAGGGTACATGTGCACAATGTGCAGGTTTGTTACATATGTATACATGTGCCATGTTGGTGTGCTGCACCCATTAACTCGTCATTTAGCATTAGATATATCTCCTAATACTATCCCTCCCCCCTCCCCCCACCCCACAACAGTCCCCAGAGTGTGATGTTCCCCTTCCTGTGTCCATGTGTTCTCATTGTTCAATTCCCACCTATGAGTGAGAACATGCGGTGTTTGGTTTTTTGTCCTTGCCATAGTTTGCTGAGGATAGTTTCCAGTTTCATCCATGTCCCTACAAAGGACATGAACTCTTCATTTTTTATGGCTACATAGTATTCCATGGTGTATATGTGCCACATTTTCTTAATCCAGTCTATCGTTGTTGGACATTTGGGTTGGTTCCAAGTCTTTGCTATTGTGAATAGTGCCGCAATAAATATACGTGTGCATGTGTCTTTATAGCAGCATGATTTATAATCCTTTGGGTGTATACCCAGTAATGGCATGGCTGGGTCAAATGGTATTTCTAGTTCTAGATCCCTGAGGAATTGCCACACTGACTTCCACAATGGTTGTAAAAAGAGTAAACTTGGGCCGGGCGCAGTGGCTCACGCCTGTAATCACAGTACTTTGGGAGGCTGAGGCAGGTGGATCACGAGGTCAGGAGATCGAGACCATCCTTGCTAACATGGTGAAATAATCCCGTCTCTACTAAAAATACAAAAAATTAGCCGGCGTGGTGGCGGGCGCCTGTAATCCCACCTACTCGGGAGGCTGAGGAAGGAGAATGGCATGAAACTGGGAGGCGGAACTCGCAGTGAGCCGAGATCGTGCCACTGCACTCCAGCCTGGGCGACAGACAGAGAATTTACTAGATGCAAAAGAATGAAAATGAGAGAGAAAGAGGGAAAGAAAATGTGGCAAAATATTAGAAATTGATAACTCTTGATGAAAGAAGATATATATTTAGTGTACGTTTCTTGCAATTGTAATGCAAATTCAAAATTTTTCAAAATAAAAACTTTTTGAGGAAATGGGATATTTTCTGGCTTACATAATTCATATACTCAACAAACCTCTATGGCTTAAAAGACTTGATGAGAAAATAACCTGAGCTGTAATAAAGGAATGAGGATGAAGGGAGAAGTATAACATAGTAGGTCTGGGATGAGGATCCCTGATTCTAATTCAGGTTGACCAGCTGACAGGTCATGACCAATCATTTCATATTTCTTGGCATCAGATTGTTCATTTGTAGCATGATAGAACTGAACCAAGATGAGCTCAGAAGTCACATATAATTTAGAGCCAATGGTGTTTAGAGACAGAATGACAGGAAAGAGACAATCCTAATTAAAAAGAACTTGAACATAATCAATAATCCACGATGGATACTTGGAACTATACTTCTTTTGGAAAATGCTAGAATCTGGGCAATTAGCAGGACTGTTTAGTGCTTAATATTCCAACGAACTTTGATGTTCTTACTCTTCACTATGATTCTTCAAGGAAAAGCAAACACTGGACTTGGAACATTATCAACCTCACTAAATTATTACTGCTAGCATCTGGTAGAGTACCTCGTGCTGAAGGAATTTCTACAGAAATGTAAAAGTTAAAAAATGAGCAAATTGCCTAATGATTGATGTGCTCAACAATCCACATATGGAAGGAGGAACACATTTTATAGCCTTGAAAAAGCACATCAGTTATATGTTTGCACAGGCACATAAACTGTGCTGCTGTGCACGTCATTGAGGTTTTTTAAAAAAATCTATTGTAGGAAAGATATTTAACATAGAGTAAACTTCGTCCAACAGATCACAGATTAATCCCTGGCTCAGGATTCTTAATAGAATACTAGGGAAATTTCTTTGTTATGTTCATTTTATTATGTTTATTAAAGCAGTTTTTGGAAAAGTTGAAAAGGCTGGTTGTCTTAAGACACACTGAAGTACTGTAATTACCAGGAGAATAAGAGAACATGAGATCCAGAAAAAAGGAGACATGCTGATTTATCATAAAAATATGGTAATTCCAATGTGGTTATTTTCATTGGAATGACATCTCAATGCATATGAAGTCAAGGACACGCTTCTTTCCTGAGACTTGAGATCCTTCCAGTTTAGTCTCATTCTTTATATAAAGCATAAAATTCTTATACCTGACACTATGAATTTATTATACTGTTAGCATTTCCTGGACAAATATTGTTTCCTCTCATATTTGTGTCTTTGGCAAATTAGTAAGGTTATAATACCATCTCCAAGGATCATTCCCCTAGGAGGCAGTATAGTGCAGTGTTTAAGAGGATAGAGTCAGAAAATCAGTTTTTGAGCTTTGAGTTGTAGGAGTTTCTTACATAATCCCGCTAAGCCCTAGGCTTTTCATTTAAAAAAATTGATATAACAATAGTTTTTATAGCATACATTTATTAATATGATTAAATGAGAGAATTTACATACAGCAATTTGCACAGAGACTACCCCAGAGCAAAAACACTTTCTTCACAATTCCCCTCCTATTATTTTCATATTTTATTTGTTCTTTTGTGGTGCCTATCACATTCTTGCAAGAGCCGTGCAGTCCTCATCATTAAATTATAAATTTCCTGTGAACAGGTAAAGTATGTTACCCATTTTTTTATCTACAGAACAACAAAAGTAGAATATACAATAGAGGTTTTTAGTAAATGTTTGTTTAAATGACTTGAGTCATTGAAATTTTAACACAAATACTTTATCTTATCTTTTGGTATTAATGCAGAATCTACTGAATCTACTATATTAACACTGAATATTCTAAAAAAATATTCAAGTTTCAGCACATTGACATAAAAGCAAATTATTTTTTGAGACTATTTAATACTTTCCCTACATTCTTGATATTCTATGTTGCTGTAGTTCAAATTACAGCAAACTACAACTTTATTGGCTCTGGTGCTCCATAATTTGATTCACCTTATGACTGAAGAGCTACTTTTAAATTTCCTTTGAGACATCCAGCCTTTCACCCATTCACCCATTCTGTAAAAATTTAAAAAAAAATGCCCACCAGGAAAGCCCTGACTTCCCATGATTTACTGATTTCTATGATTCATCTTAGAGATTCCGATCATTTAAATTAATTTTGTGAATCAGGCTGTGTATTCTGTGCTGTGAAAATAAAAACCTAATGTTCCACAACTGACTCAGTTAAAAATGACAATCAACAGAAAAACCCACACAAAGTCACCCAAAAGTTCAGCTTAGTCATCAAACCATGTTTGCTGAGAGAAGTTAAAATTTAAATTTATTTTCCAACATGATTATTCCTAAATTTTGCAGTTTTCAGAAACAGAAACTTTTAACATAGTAAATATGATAAAGGCAACATTTTTGCCTTTATGCACCGTTTCTTTTTTTTTCTTTTTTGGACAAAAAGTTTGTAAAATGCATAATCTAGCTGTATCACATACAATTGAATTATATAGTATCTCCCTCTACTTCCATGTATGGGCTGTCTCCACTTAGGATTATTTACCCATGTTATTTCCCCTAAACACCCTATTCTTTTTCCACCTTTCTACTTTTGCGCAAACTGAATCCTCCATCTAAAAGTTGTTTCTTAACTTCAGAATTCTCTTTCCACCATTACATATTCTTTAAGACCTAGCTGTGGTTCAAGTTGTCTCTCACTGTTATCATTTTTCAGCTAATGTATTATTCAATATTAATGTTTCCTTATTTACATAAATATGCTCTGCTTCAATCCCATTACTGGGTATATACCTAAAAGATTATAAATCATTCTCCTATAAAGACACATGCACACATATGTTTATTGTGGCACTATTCACAATAGCAAAGACTTGGAACCAACCCAAATGCCCATCAATGATAGACTGGATAAAGAAAGTGTGGCACATATACACCATGGAATACTATGCAGCCATAAAAAAGGATGAGTTCATGGTCTTTGCAGGGACATGGATGAAGCTGGAAACCATCATTCTCAGCAAACTAGCACAAGAACAGAGAACCAAACACCGCATGTTCTCACTCATAAGTGGGAGTTGAACAATTAGAACACACGGACACAGGGAGGGGAACATCATACACTGGGGCCTGTCAGGGGTTAGGGGGCTACGGGAGGGAGAGCATTAGGAGAAATACCTAATGTAGATGAATGGTTGAGAGGTGCAGCAAACCACCATGGCATGTGTATACCTCTGTAACAAACCTGCACGTTCTGCACGTGTACCCCAGAATTTAAAGTATAATTTTAAAAAATGTTCTGCTTCTGCTGTAAGAATATAAGCAGGCTCAAATCATTAATGTTTTTCCTTCACAGTACCTACCTGAGGAACATGAGCTGACTTTGTGTGAAATGCTTTCTAGTGCAAGCACATAGAGTATCTATGTATACACAGAAAGAAAAGTGCTTTGTAGATTCTGGTCAAGCTTAAAATAGAATGACAGGTTTGCATAGAATAGAATTATAGGCTCATAAGACTGTTATCTTATAGAAATGAAACAAGGTAGTGAAATTGAGAATGCTTTTGCTTGGCTTTCCCTCTGCACATAGATTTCTGATGATAAATTTCTTTCTTTTGATTATAAGAGCATGGAGATGACAAGGCACGTTATAAATAATCAAAGACATGACTTTATAGCTTTACATAGAGGAGCATAAATAATATCTGCATTAACAAAATATGCAAAATTCTTGAGACCAAAGATAATCATATGTGGTGAACGGGTTCTGCGTTTGTTGGTTGAAATCTCATTGTTAACTTTTTGCATTTATTGGCTGAAACTTTCTTGTTAACTTTTTAATTTTTCTGTCATAGTTAAACATTTAACCATCTGACAAAAAGGGAAACACATTTATGCTCATTTGTAACACTGTTTGATTCTTCCTAATACTGTGTAAGTTATGCTTTTTGAATTTGTCAGAATTCTATTTTAGATGCCATAATTTATTTAATAATTCATTTTCTACAAGTGAAAATTATATCTTTAAAAAATCCCTCCCAAATAAAGGAAAAACCAAATCTTTAGGAATCTTAATTATAAATTTAATTTTTTTCATGATTACGTGTATGAGATGTGCCTTGTAATTAGAACTCATATTGCTATTTAAGTAAAGCAATTAAAGTTTGTTTGTATGTATGCTAATAAATGAGGCCAATGAATACAATCATGAAATTTATGTATTTTATTTGAATGTTTTGTATTAATGCTAGGATGAAATACTACCAATAATAGGTAGAAATTTGAGAGGATTCTACTTTTGAAAGAAGAAAACTGTACTGGATGAACTCCACATTTATAGTTTTTCCCCAGAGGACCAGCCACAGTCCATGTAGTGCAGTTTGATTAGCACTCAGGGAGACAGCCATGCTTTTATGGCTTGAGCCATCAGAGAATGGATTTTAGATCTCCCAGTAAAACCTGAATTGGAGAAGAAATATTCAGATGAGATGAGAGCCACAAGGTAGGAAACCCCCATATCTGCATATTAACTCCCATGAACGCTGGCTGAATTGAATGCGTGTTTATAGTAGTGGAGGAGGAACTTCAAATAACCCATTGAAAAGCAGTTGAAAGACTAAAAAGGCAGAGTAAAGATTGGAGTTTTAAGTTTAAGTCCTGCATTTTTAGATGGTCTTGATAAATAAATATTACATTCCATTTAAATTTAGGCATTACTACACTGTACAAATGAAGACATACCAGGACAAAGAGATTCATCCTAAAACCAAGAAAACCAAATAGATATATTATCCAAAAGTTCAAAGTAATTAGACATTAATTTCTCTGCTTTCTAGAACTGACATCAACACTCTTCATGAAGATAATAAAATCCAAATCATTGTAAACATATTCCGAACATCTGTTATCTACAATAAAAATAATCAAATTAGAGAAAATAAAGGAAGAATGCATAAATTACCAGTATCAAGAATGAGAGAGAGGATATTAGTGCTGATACTAATGACAATAAAAGTATAATAAGGGAATATTATGAACCACTATATAAAAATAAATTTTAACAACTTGTAGAAAGTGGATAAAATTTCTCTAAAAATGAAACTTTAGTGTTACTAAAGGTAACAGCAAGAGATATAGAAAATTTGTTAATAAATTTATTTTTTACCAAAATTAATGAAATGATATAGAAGTCTAAATTCTGTACCTACCTATAAAATATATTGCATTCATTTTTTTTTTTTTTTTTTTTTTTTTTTTTTTTTTGAGATGGAGTCTCGCTCTGTCACCCAGGCTGGAGTGCAGTGGCGCGATCTCGGCTCACTGCAAGCTCCGCCTATTGCATTCATTTTTAAAACTATCCCACAAATAAAGTTTAGATCAAGAGGACTTAGTAAATTCTACAAATATTTAAGCTTTCATCAATAGAACATTGGTAAATTCTACAAATTTTTAAGTAAGAAGTAATAGTTTTACAAAACTGTTTTGTAAAATAAAAGAGAGCACATCACGAATCTTTCATGAGTATAGAATTGCCCTAATTCAAAAGTCTGCCAGTATTATGAGAAATAAAGGTGAATATAATAATGTGAGTTTACGTTCCTGTTGTAATGTTGTTAGCTAGTTACTTTGTAGTCTGAATTATGTAATTGCTTTATAGGATCTGTAAGCTTTCTACTTACATTTGCTTTTATGATGGGCAAGTATCATTCTTCTATTTCTATATTTAAAACTTCTTTGACATTTCTTGTAGGGCGAGTCTAGTGATGACAAATTCCCTTAGTATTTGTTTGTCTTGGAAAGACTTTATTTCTGCTTCATTTATGAAGCTTAATTGGGCAGAATTTAAATTCTTGGTTGGCATTTTTTTTTCTTTAAGAAGGCTGAAAATAGGCCCTCAGTGTTGTCAAGAATCTGAAGAAAAGTGAATGGTTATACACTGTTGGTGGGAATGTAAATTAGTACAACCTCTATGGAAAACAGTATGGGATTTTCTCAAAGAACTATCAGTAGAACTACCATTTGATCCAACAATTCTATACTGAGTATCTACCCAAAGGAAAGAAATTGTTATATCAAAAGACACATAAACTCATATGTTAATTGCAGCACTATTCAATAGCAAAGTCATGGAATCAACCTAAGCACCTTCCAACAGATGACTGGATAAAGAAAATGTGGGATATATACATCATAGACTACTACACATTTCTAAAAATCAATGCAGTCATGTCTTGTGCCACAACATGGATGGAGCTAGAGGGTACTATCCTTGGGCAAAATCACTCAGAAACATAAGTAATCTCACTTATAAGTGGGAACTAAACAATGGGCACACATAGACATATGGAGGAATATAGTTGGAGACTCCAAACGGGTGAAGGGTGGGAGGGAATTGAGGATTGGAAAATTAATTATTGGATACAATATTCATTACTCAAAAGATGGGTACAGTAGAAGTCCAAACCTCACCATTATGTAATATGTCCATGTAACAAACCAGCACATGTACCCCCTGAATCTATAAAAATAAAGACATCTTTTGTAGTGTTAAAAAAGAAGTACAAGTTATACTTGAAAGTTCCTCTTGAACAGTCAATAATATATAAAATTTATAATGTGTCATATTAGATGATGATCAAATGAGGTTTATCCCATCATTTGAGGGTTTTTAAAATAATTGTAATTTGGCATATTAATGAAAATAGTGAGAAAATAATATAATGATCAAACCATGAGATCATCTAAATGTATACAAAAAGAACATTTGATAAAATTAAACTTCCATTTGTGATTTAAAAATAAACTTTTGCAAACTGCAGATAGAAGGATTTCCCTTAATATGATAAATGGTATCTACGAAAAAAATCTATAGCTAACATGAAACAATAAAGAAATATAAAAAGAAAACAAAGATTTCCTTTCACAAGATTCTAGTCAATATTTTACTAAATATCCTAAGGAATCAAATAAGAAAAAGAAAAAGGCATAGCATAAATATTGGAAATAAATAAAAGTGCATTTATTTGCAGATGATGTAATTGCTTACAAAGAAACACTAAAAATATGAAAAATAACCTCTAGACTCAAATAATTTAGAAAAGTTAGTGGATAAATGTATATGTACAAAAATCTATTATAATTGTCAATACCAGCAGCAAACACTTGGAAAGTTAAATTTAGAATTTATTTAAACATTTTGCTTACCATAGCATGAGAAACACATTTAAGGATAAATTTAGCAAAAAATGTGCAAGGTCTGTATTCTAAAATCTTCAGAAAAAACTGTGAAAAATTAAGAAGACCTAAATTAATTGAGAGATATGCATGTTCATAATTTGGAAAATTAAATATTGGTATGTCATCAATTGCTTCCAAATTGACCTAAATGCCAATATAATCCAACCTAAAATCCAAAATTTCTTGAGAAATTTGATTTTAAAATATACATGGAAGTGCAAAATATCTATAATATTTAAAACAATATTGAAAACAAAGAAGTACAGAGGATACACACTGATTTATATTTATAAAGCTATAGAAATTGTGATAATGTGGTATTTTTATAAATATAGACCAATTAATGGAAAAAACTCAATTAATGTTTGAGAAAGTCACCAAGGCAAGTCAATGAGGGAAAGAAAAGTCTTTTCAACAAGTGGTGCTGGAACAACTAGAGAAACATATAAAAACTATCAATGAACTCTATCTCCTTCTATTCTAAAAAATTAATTTGGCCGGGCACGGTGGCTCATGCCTGTAATCCCAGCAGTTTCAGAGGCTGAGGTGGGTGGATCACAAGGTAAAGAATTTGAGACCAGCCTGGCCAACATGGTGAAACTCCATCTCTACTAAACATACAAAAATTATCTGGGCGTGGTGGCAGGCGCTTACAATCCCAGCTACTTGAGAGGCTGAGACAGGATAATCATCTGGACCCGGGAGGTGGAGGTTTCAGTGAACTGAGTTCATCCCATTGCACTCCAGCCTGGACAACAGGACGAGACTCCATCTCAACAACAACAACAAAAAATAATAATAATAATAATAATAATTTGGGGTTGTTCACAGGCCTATATGTAGATGACAGAACCATAAAGTTTCTAGAATAAACTTTGATGTAAACAAATAATTATCAACCAAGACACAACAGCACCAGCCATAAAAGATGAAATATTAGTACATTGATCATTATCATAATTAAAAATTTCTGCTTATTGTGGGACACTGACAAGATAATAAAAATTAAGCCACAGACCAGAAGAAAATATTTACCATACATATATCTATCAAAGAATACAACCTAGAATATATAATAAAATTCTACTAATAAATATATCTAATTAATGACAAAAATACAAAATACTAGATTTTCAAAAGGGAGCAAAAACATTGAATACACAATTTTTACACACACAAAAAAACAGAGGAATGGCTGATAAGCATATGCAAAAGTTCTCATCATTATTAGTTACCAGGAAAAAGCAAATTAAATACTCCATTTAAAATGCACCTAAAATGGCTAAAATTAAATGACCTGACAAAAGCAAATGTTGACAAGGTTGTAGAAAAGCTAAGACATTTACACATTGCTGCTAAGAATGTAAAATTCTACAAGCACTTTAGTGCACCTATCATATGATCCAGCAATTCTGCTCTTAGAGTATCCCCAAGAGAAATAAATAGACTTATACATGAATGATATATCAGTTTTATTAATAGAAAGTGAAAAAGTTTAAACAAGCCAAATATTCTGAAAATATATGCAGGAAATAGGGAATGGTTAAACAAATTATGGTATATTCATACAATGCAACTGTACTCAGCAATAAAAAGAAATAATCTACTAATGCAAGGAATAGAATAAAAGAATATCAGAATTTTCAGTTGAACAAAGGAAGCCACAACCGTAAGAGTATATAGTGACTGTATAGTCCATTTTATAAGGTTCTAGAATAGATAAAACTAATCTACAGGAATTTTAATCATAACATTAGTTACCTATTGAGACAATGACTGTCTTGTGTGATAGAAATGTTGTGTATCTTTTTTAAAAAAATATTTCCATAGGTTTTTGGGGAACAGGTGGTATTTAGTTACATGAGTAAATTCTTTAGTGGTGATTTGTGAGATTTTGGTGCACCCATCACCCTAGCAGTATATATTAAACCCAATTTCTAGTCTTTGTCACCCCCTTCCCATCCTTTCCCTCTGAGTCCCCAAAGTTTATCATATCATTCATATGCCTTTGCGTCCTCAGAGCTTAGCTGCCACTTATGAGTGAGAACATAGAATGTTTGGTTTTCCATTTCTGAGCCACTTCACTTAGAATAATAGTCCTCAACTTTATTCAGGTTGCTGTGAATGCCATCAATTCATTTCGTTTTATGGCTAAGTAGTATTCCATCATATATATCATATATATGATAATATGATAATATATATGATATATATGTGAATATATGTCATCATAGATTATATATATTATATATATATATATATCACAGTTTTTTTTTATCCACTTATTGATTGATGGGCATTTGGGTTGGTTCCACCTTTTTGCAATTGCAAATTGTGTGGCTATAAATATGCATCTGCAAGTATCTTTTTCATATAATGACTTCTTTTTCTCGGAGTAGATACCCAGTATTGGGATCACTGGATCAAATGGTATATCTACTTTTAGTTGTTTAAGGAATCTCCACACTGTTTTCCATAGTGGTTGTACTAGTTTACATTCCCACAAGCAGTGTAGAAATGTTCCCTTTGCAGTGATGCTTACATGAGTGTATACTCTTATCAAAACTCACCAAATAATATAGTTAAAACCCTTATGGTCTATGTAATTTGAAAAGTTGATTAACCACATGAAGTTGCTACCAAAATGGCAGATTAAGTTACTAACAAACTTTTATGTGCTAGACATTTAGATTGGCTTTGTGGAAATACCCTCCCAATTTCCATCCCTCACTTTTTTCAGGTTTATGATTTAGTAGAGAAATAGAACTCCAATGTACAAGTCTAGTAAAAGAAAAAAATCAAAATAATTTTAATTTCCAAAATTAGGTGCTATAATACAATAGTCCAGTTTTGTCACAAATAAAAGGATAATTAATTTTAATACATAGGCTTTCTTAGAACAAAGGATTGGGACTTGTTGTTCCTGTGGCAAGTTTTTTTTAAAAAGCAATTAAAAATTTAAAAGGAATGAGTACACACATATATATTCTTGCTCTGTAAGCTAAGAGAGCCTAGAAGCAATAATACCACAGTAGCAAAAAGCACATGTAGTGCAGTTCTTAATTTCTACTATCATTCTCCAATACAAGGAATCAAGGCTCTTTGGAAAAACAGTTGATTCTAGGACTGGAGGAGGAAATATATGAGATGAACTTGGAACATTTTGTAGTACCAGAAAGTTAGAAAGTCCTCAAAAGCAACAATTACATTCCACAATGATGGGGAAATGTCAAAGGGACAAAGGAACCAACTGAGAGCTCTTGATGCTGAAAGCTACAACAATTTGAGCAATAAATATAAACTAAATATCTATGAATTCATGCTGATGTAAATAAATAAATGATTGAATAAATGAATGGAGAAGAAGATATAAGTCACCCATGCAGAAGAATTCCAAATAATTTATGTAGATATTCAGGGAGGTGGTACATAACAACCCACTCATTAAATGTGGGCTGCACATAGTGACTTCCTTCCAAAGAGTACAGTATACAAAGTGCCAAAAAAAAAAAAAAAAAAAATCAAAAAAACGCCTGCCGCGGTAGCTCACGCCTGTAATCCCAGCACTGTGGGAGGCCAAGGCGGGTGGATCACGTGGTCAGGAGATAGAGACCATCCTGGCTAACACGGTGAAACCTGGTCTCTACTAAAAATACAAAAAATTCACGTTGGGAGGCCGAGACGGGCGGATCACGAGGTCGGGAAATTGAGACCATCCTGGCTAACACGGTGAAACCCCGTCTCTACTAAAAATATAAAAAAATTAGCCGGGCGTGGTGGCAGGCGCCTGCAGTCCCAGCTACTCCGGAGGCTGAGGCAGGAGAATCGCATGAACCCGGGAGGCGGAGCTTGCAGTGAGCGGAGATGGCGCCACTGCACTCCAGCCTGGGCGACAGAGCGAGACTCCGTCTCAAAAAAAAAAAAAAAAAAATTAACTTTGCAGCGAATAAACCTGACCAACACTACTTCAGCTAAGTGTTCGAGCTTAACAGCAACAATGTTAACTCATGGCAGCACATACCCTTGATATTATGTGATAAAAATGTCACTTTACCTCTCTGGTCTTCCTCCTGAAACCATGTAATATCAGTCTAATCATGATAAAAAAAAATTAGAAAATTCTCAAATGAGGAACAGTTTATAAACTAGTACTCAAAACTCCAGGTCATCAAAAACAGGGAATGTGAAAGTGTAATAGCTAAGAGGAGCCTAAGGAAACATTAACACTAAATGGAATGTTGTATCTTAGGTGAGATCCTAGAGTAGAAAAAAGACATTAGGCAAAAACTGAGGAAATATGAATAAAGTATGAACTTTAGTTAATAATGTGTCTATCTTGGTTAATTAATAGTAACAAGGATACCATACTTATGTTCGATATTAATAATAGAGGGAACGAGCTGTGGGGTGCATGGGAACTCTTTCTACTAGCTACTCAATTTCTCTGTAAATCTAAAACTGTTCTAAAAATGTATTTTTTTAAAAACTGGAATGTACAAAGCCATAGATATATGAAATTTTAAGTAGTTCCATATGACTGGAGGGTGTAGTATGCGAAAAAGAGTGAAAGGAAATGAAGTTAGAAGAGTAATCGTGGTGTTATTTCACTTGTTGGCTCCATATGCCATGATAAAGAATCTGGATTTGATTCTCTATAGGAATTAATTGAAAAATGACCTCACAGAAACAAAAATAAATAAGTTCATAGTATTTCACCTCAAACTGTCCTTCACAAGAAATTTGTGCCCTGACGTTGTCTTTCTACTTGTAAAATTATTCAGCACAACTGGAAGGGTAGGAAGGTTGTCAAAAATAAATACTGAAGATAAAGAAATCTGGATCTATTCAATATACAACACCTAGTTTTTGTCGGTCTTGTTTTATTTTGCTTTGCTATGTTTTGCTTGATTTTTATTGCCAATGATGTTTCAGGCGAACTAACATGCTTTTAAGATACAGACATACTCTTAATGTTTACATTCTAAGTGTTATTACTTTTCAGTAAAAGATGAATGGGTTAAATCACAGCCTTTGGGTAATAATTATTATAACTATTTAGCGTTTAATTGAGTATCTGTTATGTGCTGGGCCTTCATACACTTTTCTTTTTTTTTTTTACCTCTTTCAACGTTTTTTGAGCATAATGTCTGCTTTCTTGTTTTTTTTTGTTTTTTTGTTTTGTTTTGTTTTGTTTTTGAGACAGAATCTCGCTCTGTCGCCCAGGCTGGAGTGCAGTGGCGCGATCTCAGCTCACTGCAAGCTCCGCCTCCCAGGTTCACGCCATTCTCCTGCCTCAGCCTCCGGAGTAGCTGAGACTACAGGCGCCCGCCACCACGCCCGGCTAATTTTTTTGTATTTTTAGTAGAGACAGGGTTTCATCATGTTAGCCAGGATGGTCTTGATCTCCTGACCTCGTGATCCACCCTCCTGGGCCTCCCAAAGTGCTGGGATTACAGGCGTGAGCCACTGCGCCTGGCCGAGTATAATGTCTACGTCTTAAACAATAAAAATCAGGCTCAGGAAAGTTGACGTACTCAAATTCAAAATGTAGTAAAGAGGATTCTAAAAAAAGAGAATTAAAAATCAGTAAAGAATATTGTTTTGCGAGCACATCCTGATGTTTTCCCAACATTCACTGTGTAGATCAATGATGTCCTGAGTCTTGGCCAACTCTGCACACATTCTGCGCAGACTGAAGCAAAGACTAAATGTGAATTTGGTCAATATCTTAACTTTACACATTAACGATGTAAACACTTTTTTAATTATTTTCAAAATTCTCACTGGAGAGAGTCCTGCATTTTTTTTTCTTTTTAAATAATGTCTTTGCCTTGAAGATGCAAACACAATCTGGGATTCAGTAATCAAATGTTAGCCGAACTTACCTTGCAAGCAAAGTAGGTCATTTTAATTGGAGAACACTTAGTTTTGTTTACTATTTTGATGAGTTTATCAAAATACGTGTTTAGAGGCAGATGCTCTATCTCATGCAAGTGCAAAATCAGCCAAATGGGCACAGTGTAGAAGAATCACAGTACTCTCACCATTGGTGGGCATAACCATAGAGAGTACTTCTAAGAATTAATAGGACTTTAGGGCTGCTTACATACTCTTTGCTGAGGCATATACAACATAAAGGTCATTATTCCCTGTCTCCAGTCAGAAATCTTCAGGAAATTATACATGACTCAGAATTGACCATGTGAGAGTGAATTCTTAGAAGAGCCTGAAACTTGCTGAGTTCCAATGAGGGTAACTTTAGCATGAACACAGAAACAGCATATATGGATACAGGAGCTGTTGTAGAGCAGGAATCCCTGATCACAATAAAGAGTAATCTTATGGTAAGAATTGTTCTGAGCAGAGGTTGAAATATCAAGGAATGGTTCACAGAACTGATACTTTTAGTGTAAAATGTTCTGTAATATAAATTGTGGGCTTTTATGGATTTCCAGAATAATATTTTCTCTATTCACACCAAAACTAGATATTTAGAGTTAGATTTCTATATTTCACATTTTATTTTCAAATCTGGACCTTGTTGAGATCTTATATCTTAATTTCCTGTGATATTTTTCTTAACACTTGAAAATAAAAGCATTTGGGGCTGATTTTATATTTTTTCCTGAATATGAAATAGACTTTGGGAATAAATTAAACTTAAACATACACACTAAGTTTCATCATATGTAAGTAGGTTTCTTCTATTTATGATTTAGAATGTTAGCGTTCTGGTTAAATTTATTAAATGCCTTTGCAGTTTCTTTTGATATGATTTGTGGATTTTTTCTTTAATATTTAACAAAATTGTGCTGATGGATTTATAATAATGAGGTACTCTTGAACTACTGGAATATATATTACTGAAGATATTATTTAACTACACTGCTCTTTGCTAGTACTTTATTTGTAAAGTTTTTCATTTTTCATTATAGGGTTTTCATGCAATTGTATTTTTGTACTCTTGACAGATACCAAGTTTTGGTATTAAAATTATGTTGACATCAGAAAGTAAATGGAGAGTGTTTAAGTTAGTATAGATAAGCTCATTCTGCAGAAACAAACAGAAAATTTTGGCTCAACACATTTGAAATACTAGTGGTCTTTCTGGAAGAAGGCATAGAAACATTACAAAAAAAATGAACTGACTATTAGATGTGTCTGGACATGAAACTCATCACTTCTGCTCATATTTAATTCACCAAAGCAGGTCACGTGCTCAGTCATGACTGATCTCAACAAGATGGGGAATGTGTTTCTCCCCAAAGAAGGTCATCGGATAGGGTGAACATTAATTTGATTTATCTAAACAATTTTCTATGGCTTAAAATGGTTATCTCTAATAATCATTTCAATAACTCAGCTGTAATTCAATTTACTCCTGGTTCCTTTTATGTATGCAGACAGATAGAGAGTAGACAGATAGAGATATGATAAATATACATATATGTAGATATAGAAATAGGACTTTGTGTGTGTGTGTGATTCGAGTATCTTAATTTGATCTGTGAGCCTTCTGTTGAATGCCCTCTGGGATAGTTTGCCTCATTTTATATAGAAATACTTATTTTTCATTAAGCACAAATGGAGATCACCTCCTTGCATAGAAAACTTAGCTTATCCATCTGGGCAAAAAATAGTTACTACATGAAGATTTCTGCTAAAAATATCAATTTACTTCTTTTTTTCCATTTTATTTATTTATTTTATTATACTTTAAGTTCTGGGATACATGTGCAGAACATGCAGGTTTGTTAAATAGGTATACACCTATGCACCACATGTACATATGGTGGTTTGCTGCATCATCTACATTAGGTATTTCTCCTAATGCTATCCCTCCCCCTAGACCCCACTCCCCAACAGGTCCTGGTGTGTGATGTTCCCCTCCCTGAGTCCATGTGTTCTCATTGTTCGACTCCTACTTATGAATGAGAACATGTGATGTATGGTTTTCTGTTTCTGTGTTAGTTTGCTGAGAATTATGGTTTCCAGCTTCATCCATGTCCCACAAAGGACATGAACTCATCCTTTTTTATGGCTGCATAGTATTCCATGGTGTATATGTGCCACATTTTCTTAATCCAGTCTCTCATTGATGGGCATTTGGGTTGGATCCAAGTCTTTTCTATTGTGAATAGTGCTGCAATAAACCTATGTGTGCATGTGTCTTTAGAGTAGAATGATTTATAATCCTTTGGGTATATATCCAGTAATGGGATTGCTGGGTCAAATGTTATTTCTGGTTCTAGATCCTTGAGTAATCTCCACAGAGTCTTCCACAATGGTCGGACTAATTTACACTTCCACCAACAGTGTAAAAGCATACTTTTTTCTCCATATCCTCTCCAGCATCTGTTGTTTCCTGACTTTTGATGATCTCCATTCTAACTGGCGTGAGATGGTATCTCATTGTGGTTTTGATTTGCATTTCTATAATGATCAGTGATGATGGGTGACTCTCGACCAAGCAGACCTAATAGGCATCTACAGAACTCTCCACCCCAAATCAACAGAATATACATTCTTTTCAGTACCACATCACACCTATTCCTTTATTTATTTATTTATTTATTTATTTATTTATTTATTTCTTGAGATGGAGTCTGGCGCTGTCGTACAGGCTGGAGTTCAGTGGTGTGATCTCGGCTCACTGCAAGCTTCGCCTCCTGGATTCAAGGCATTCTCTTGCCTCAGCCTCCCTGGAACCTGGGACTACAGGCATGCACCACCATGTCTGGCTATTTATTTATTTATTTTGTATTTTTAGTAGATATGAGGTTTCACCATGCTGGCCAGGCTGGTCTGGAACTCCTGATCTCAAGTGATCTGCACCTCTTCTAAAATTGACCACATAATTGGAAGTAAAACACTCCTCAGAAAATGCAAAAGAATGGGAATCATAACAAATGGTCTCTCAGACCACAGTGCAATCAAATTAGAACTGAGGATTAAGAAACTCACTCAAAACCACACAATTACATGGAAACTGAACAATCTGCTCCTGAAGGACTACTGGATAAATAACAAAATGAAGGCAGAAATAAATATGCCCTTTGCAACCAATGAGAAGAAAGACACAACGTACCAGAATCTCTGGGACAAAGCTAAAGCAGTATTTAGGGGGAAATTTATAGCACTAAATGTCAACAAGAGAAAGTGGGAAAGATCTAAAATCAATACTTTAACATCACAATTAATAGAACTAGAGAAGCAAGAGCAAACAAATTCAAAAGCTAGCAGAAGACAAGAAATAACTAAGATCAGAGCAGAACTGAAGGAGATAGAGACACGAAAAACCCTTCAAAAATTGATGAACCCAGGAGCGTTTTTTTTTAAAGATTAACAAAATAGATAGCCTGCTAGCCAGATTAATAAAGCAGAAAAGAGAGAAAAATCAAACAGACACAGTAAAAAATGATAAAGGGGATATCACCACTGATTCCACAGAAATACAAACTATGTTCAGAGAATACTATAAACACCTCTAGGCAAATAAACTAGAAAATCTAGAGGAAATGGATAAATTCCTGGACACATACAACTTTCCAAGACTAAACCAGGAAAAGTTGAATCCCTGAATAGACCAATAACAAGTTCTGAAATTGAGGCAGTAATTAACAACCTACCAACCAAAAAAAAGCCCGGGACTAGATGGATTCTCATCTGAGCTCTACCAGAGGTACAAAGAGAAGCTATTACCATTCCTTCTGAAACTATACCAAATGATAGAAAAGGAGGGACTCCTCCCTAACTCATTTTATGAGGCCAGCATCATCTTGATACAAAAACCTGGCACAGACAAAACAAAACAAAACAAAACAAAATTTCAGGCCAATATCCCTGATGAAGATCAATGCAAAAATCCTCAATAAAATACTGGCAAACCAAATCCAGCAGCACATCAAAAAGCTTATCTACAATGATCAAGTTGGCTGCATACCTGAGATGCAAGGCTGGTTCAACATACACAAATCAGTAAACGCAATCTATCACATAAACGGAACCAATGATATAAACCACATGATTATCTCAGTAGATGCAGAAAAAGCTTTCAATAAAATTCAACACCCCTTCATGCTAAAACTCCCAATAAACTAGGTATGATGAAATGATCTCAAAATAATAAGAGCTATTTTTGACAAAACCCACATCCAATATCATACTGAATGGGCAAAAACTGGAAGCATTCCCTTTGAAAACTATTTAACGTAGTATTCAAAGTTCTGGCCAGGGCAATCACACAAGAGAAAGAAATAAATGGGATTCAAATAGGAAGAGAGGAAGTCAAATTGCTTGTTTGCAGGTGACATGATTGTATATTTAGAAAACCCCATCGTCTTAGCCCCAAATATCCTTAAGTTGATAAGCAATTCAGCAAAGTCCCAGGATACAAGATTGGGACTGTGCAAAAATTGATGTGCAAAAATTACAAGTATTTACATATACCAATAATAGACAAACAGCGAGCCAAATCATGAGTGAACTGCCATTCAGAATTGCTAAAAAGAGAATAGAATACCTAGGAATAAAACTTACAAGGGATGTGAAGGACTTCTTCAAGGAGAACTACAAACCACTGCTCAAGGAAATAAGAGAGGACACAAACAAATGGAAAAACATTCCATGCTCATGGATAGAAAGAATCAATATCATGAAAATGGCCATACTGCCCAAAGTAATTTATAGATTCAATGCTATCTCCATCAAGCTACCATTGACTTTCTTCACAGAATTAGAAAAAAGTACTTTAATTTCAAATGGAACCAAAAAAGAGCCCCTATAGCCAAGACAATCCTAAGGAAAAAGAACAAAGCTGGAGGCATCACGCTACCAAACTTCAAACTATACTACAAGGCTAAAATAACCAAAACAGCATGGCACTAGTACCAAAACAGATATGTAGACCAATGGAACACAACAGAGGCCTCAGATATAAACCTACACATCTACAACCACCTAATATTTGACAAACCTGACAAAAACAAGCGATGGGGAAAGGATTCCCTATTTAATAAATGGTATTGGGAAAACTGGCTAGCCATATTTAGAAAACTGAAACTGGATCCCTTCCTTACACCTTAACTCAAGATGGATAAAAATTAACTCAAGATGGATTAAAGACTTAAACATAAGACCTAAAACTCCAAAAATCCTAGAAGAAAACCTGGGCAATACCATTCAGGACATAGCCATGGATAAAGACTTCATGACTAAAACACTAAAAGCAATGGCAACAAAAGCCAAAATTGACAAATGGGATCTAATTAAACTAAAGAGCTTCTGCACAGCAAAAGAAATTATCATCAGAATGAACAGGCAACCTATAGAATGGGAGAACATTTTTCCAAGCTATCCATCTACTAAAGACTAATATCCAAAATCTACAAGAAACTTAAACAAATTTATGAGAAAAACAAACAACTGCATCAAAAAGTGGGCAAAGGATATGAACAGACGCTTCTCAAAAAAAGACATCTATGTGGCCAACAAACATATGAAAAAAAGCTCATCAATTTACTTCTTATGTACTTAAAATCTTAAGCATGTGGTTTCTCTTTCAGTGAGAAAGGATAATGTGGCTGTTTGATGAAGACTGAGCATTTGACAATATGTGATATTTGAGACAATCTAATGGAGCCATAATTTACAAGAGAATCCTAAGCATAGCAATTCTGTGTTTGAATTCTGACACTAGACTGGCTGGGTACAATTCAGGCATCACAACTTATGAGCTGTGTGTTTTTGAGCAAGTCTTTTAATGGAAATGGTCCTTAATTCTATAGATTGCAAAATGAGAATAATACAAATCTCTCTCTTAATTCTATCATTTGCAAAATGAGAATAAACACATCCCTCATATTTTAGGTCTAATAAACCAGAAACACACCTGTTGTGTAAAATCTTTATGGTCCATGGCACACATATAGGATAATAAATATTGTTGAAAACAGAAGGTTTCTTTCTGTCCTGTTTTTAAGCTTTCACTCTTTCAGAGAAATCTCTTCCACATGTTAAAGTTACATTTTTGGTTTACATAGAAGGTAATCAGAAAAAAAATCAATTTAACTGTAGTTTGAGTATGAATTTATATATTCAAAAAACATACATTCAGAATCTATTTACTAGATTTTAATCTAGTGCTCCTAATATGTTGCCTCTTGTATTTAGTAGCAAAAAAAATGAATGTCTCTTCAGATAAAAAGCACAATATAACTAGGATCCACTTTTACTTTTCTTCTAGAAAATCTGTAACCAAATCAGTCCTTATATGAATAAATTAACTTATTCCAGTTACATAGTGACATCCACAACTTTGCTTCTAATAATCAATCTTATTTTCATTGTATTTTTAATTTTCCCATTTTGTTTTGTTTAATTTTACACTATATCACAATTAAAAGAGTATGAAGGATATTGACAAAATAAATCAACAACAGAGTTCAGCTATAATATAATAATACAATAACAGAGTTCAGTTCAAACATAAAATTGCTATTCTTAGCTAAAATGTGGAGTGGTATGAACGTAAACATACAAGTCCATTTTGTACAAGTTGATACTGCTATTGATAAAATTGTTGATGTATATTTAGTGTCTTCCTTTTTTCTTAACTATATATGTTTAAGGATTTTTAACAGTAAATGTATTTTTGTAATCTTGTAAACAGAGGTATATTAAATAAGTAACAATCAGCTTTTAGTGGGCCAAAATGCTAGCTGCTTGGTAGTGTTTGCTGATTTTGAGCTATCACAATGAAGTCACTAAAAGTGGTACTGAGAAGAGATGTTCAGTACCCTACTAGAAAATGGTGTTTCTAGTATAAAATGCAATAAACGTAAGTAACCTCAAGAGCATAGATAACACTAAAATGTATTAACATAATCAATACATAATTATTTAGAATTTATTACTCTTGCTTTAACATATCTGTTAGTTTATGTAATTTAATATTTAATCATGAGCATGTTCAACTCGCAAAATTCCTGAAACCCAGGCAGGTATAAGCCAATTGTAGCACACAATGGCTCACACATATCAATATACGTGTTTTAAGTACCTTTCAACTGAATATGTTTATACTTTCGCATATGTTTGCCCAAATTTCAAAAAATGCCTTTCAGTTCTCTTTCAGAATGACTATTTCAGATTTCAATTGGATTGAAACAATGACTTGGCATTCTCAAGGTATAAACCTCAGTTTTCCTCTGTTCTCTAAACTAATTTAGAGAAAGTAAATTGACTGTGGATAATTATTCAGTTTGACATCTCATATCTCTTTTAAACAAGCTGATGTGATGGAATTCCTGCTTTCACACAGGGCTGGGAAAACACAGTGCTAACAATAATAGGAAACCCATCCATCTCTAGGACATTATATATATATATATAATTTTAAGTGCTCCTAGCCACTTTCAGATAACACTACATTTGGAAAAAAGAGCAAGATACTTTTAGGTACTTAGTAACAAATGACAACACTTTACTGTCAGTGTCTGAACTTGGAGAAGGAGTGGGAATCAGTCACTGTTGGCAAAGTTCTACCACTTATATAAGTGTCCTCCATACTGGTTTTATGCAGTTAAAATAGGAGGAGAAGGAAAAGGAGGAGAAGGAGGAGGAGGAGAAAGAGAAAGAGAAGGAGAAAAGAAGAAGAAGAGGAAGAAGAAGAAAAGAAGAAGAAGAGAAGAAGAAGGAGGAGAATAATAGGAGGATGAAGATGAAGAAATGGAGGTTTAGGAGGAGGAGGGAGGAGAGTAGGAAGAGAAGAGGAAGAAGAAGAAGAAGAAGAAGAAGAAGAAGAAGAAGAAGAAGAAGAAGAAGAAGAAGAAGAAAAAGAAGGAGAAGGAGGAGGAGGAGGAGGAGGAGAAAGAAGAAGAGGAAGAAGAAGGAGAAAGAAGAAGAGGAAGAAGAAGAAGAAAGAGGAGGAGAAGAAGAGGAAGGAGAAGAAGCAGAGGAAGGAGAAGAAGCAGAGGAAGGAGGAGGAGGAGGAAGAGGAGAACGAAGAGGAGGAAGAAGAGGAAGGGGAGGGGGAGGGGAAGAGGAAGGGGGAGGGGGAAGAGGAGGAGGAGGAGGAGTTTTGGAGATGGGTACCTGGCAGGGAAGCTAGTGGAGTCATGTTAAGACAAGAAAGCTTCCAGTTTGACACTATTAGAGACGTCCTTTGAGGCTCAACTAGATTAATAGCTTCTTAAGGATGTATTGAAAAGTGTTATCATGTGAAACTTTCAAAACCAGACTTACAGTGTTAGGAAATATGTTGTAAGGAACTGTTCAAATTTAGCAGGGGAAACACTAAATGAACTAATAGTCCTTTTCCTCCTCCAAATGTAATAATGCTATAATTTGTGTATTTTGGCTCAATTAGAGCAGTTCACATAAGGTTTTTAAATCCTGTATTTTTTCCCCAGGTTAACATAATGTCTGCATTTAAGCACTAAATATTTTTAATGTGAAAACTTTCGGCTGAAGAAAATGGCTACTATTTGCTACAGGGTTTGAAGCCTTCTCTCTACTTAATGTTACTTTTACTGACACTTTAAATGAAAATAATCCAGCTATAAGGTACGTAGTTACTGAATAACAGTACTTAAAAATTATTGCTAAGACATTTGGTTTTATACTATTCATAACACTAGACCTGTCAACAATTATGACTGTCTTTAAAATTATTTGTATAAGAAAAACGTACAATTTATGTGTGGTTGTTTTATTTTGAAAATAAGTTACTTTATGTAAGAATAATTATACATGAATGTCAGATACACAAAAACAAAGTAAAAGTAGAAATGAGGCAATAATAAGATCATTCCAAAATGTACTTTTAATTACATTGTCATGGGATCCTTGGGTTATCGCTTCACCAGCTGGGAACCTCTGTGACCGGTGGCATCTCTGCCTGAGTTTTGCCTGGGTCCACTGGGCTCACTTTGCTCACTTGGCCTGACAGGCTGTGCTCGGCTGTGCTACTGGCCCAGATCTCACACCTGTCAAGGGCAAGCCAGGCGCAGAGTGGTGAGGAGTCTGGCCACTGCGCACAGACAGGCATGCCAGCTGTGGCAGGGTGGGCAGCTCCGGGTGCTGGAACAGGTGCCGGCTTCCTGCAGTGCTGCATTAGACCAGGCGTACTGCAAAAGAGGATGTCACAGCTGTGGCTTGAGGAGTTCCTAGGTCTGGGATCCCCAAAGGGCAGCAGCTCTTCTTTCCTTCTGTCTTCTCTGCTTCTCCTTGCTGGCAACTGACGAGCGCAGAGTGGGGATGTTGTTTCAACCCTGTTTCTATTAAAGCTCTTTCAGTCCCACCATTCAGCAGGTCCCAAGTTCTTGTCCCATGTCCAGGGAGAAAGAGGTAGGCAGGCAACTTGAGTGTGAGCAAGGTGAAGAGGTGCTTTAATGAGCAATGGTACAGCCCTTAGGGGACCCAAAGTGAATAGCTCCTTTCCACAGGCAGCTCATCCCAGCATCTGTGCAGCCCTCAGCAGAGAAAAGACCGACATTGGATAGCTCCTCTCCACAGGCAGGCCTTCCCATCCTCTGAGTCTGGCTAAATCCAGGCTCTTTAAGGAGGAAGGGCAAGCTGATTGGTCCATGGGCATCCATGGGCGTCTATGGGCGGCCCAGAAAAAGCACCAGAAGTTCTCACTGTAGTCTGCGGAACTGGCAGCCTGGCCCTGCGCTTTAGGCTGTCCCTGGCTTGAAGACGGAGCTTCATTAGGGGCCCATCCCTTTCTGCCCGGGGCTTGTCTGTCTCCTGCCGCCATTTATGGTGCCCAGGCTCTTCCTGCTGAGGGGTGCCTTCAGTCTAGAGATGAGCTGCCGTCAGCACCCCCTCATCCTTGCTCCCTTGCTCGTTGGGTCCAAGGTCCAGAAGGGGCCGAGACGCAGAGGACTGGTGTGTCAGCACTGCCCCGATCTCATGTACACTGGGCAGGGTTGGGACAGCACCCAGGCTTGGCCTCAACTTTGCTCCAAAATTGGAGTGGGTGCCAGAAGCAGGGAGAGGCCTTGCAGGGAAGCAGGCACTTCCAAGCCTGTGGGGACAGAGGGGTTTCCCAGGCCCCCAAGAGCACAGGGATGTCCGGGTCCGGAGCTGCAGCTGTGCTTGGGAGAGTGGGGCTCCCACCCTGCCAACTCAGACGGGGACGGGGCTTCCACCTGTTCCCAGCTCCCGCCAGCTCTGTAGAGCATGCAGCCCTGGCCGCACCTCCCCACTACAGCCAGCGTCTTCAAATCGGCTGCTCCAGACAGCCACCGCTGCCATTAACATGACTTCAATATAGGGCTATATTAAAAAGTATGGGGCTATAGCTACATCTTATCTATGAATAACAGCTTTAATCATGTACTTTATTTAGAATGGATAGCATTAGAAGAACTTTTCAAATCTTAAAGGAAGAAATGGGGAAGAAAGGAAGAAACGAAGGAAAGAAAGAAGGTAGGAAGAAAAGAGAGAAGAAGGTCCTAAATAATTATTACAGTTTTTATTCCCTTACATTGAGCAGGTGATGTCTGCTGTTATAGGTTTTTAAAGGAATGGCTAGAAAATCACAACTTTCAAGCCCTCGGCTTCTTCCTCTATAAAATGTGAAAAGCTGATTGGATGACCTCTAAGATCTTTTCCAAGCCTAAGTTATCATTACTTTACTAATATGGATAAACCAGATAATGTATCATAAATGCTGCCAATTTGAATTAACATTTTTATTTTTTAAAAAAATGATGATAATATAAGCACAGAACCTGAGTCTTATATTTCCTCTAGCTTCTCTCTTATTTTCTTTCTTTGCTTTCAATCAGGAACATCAGAAAAGTTAAATACACCTCTTTTTAAATAAGAACCTACCACTAAATTATTTTTCAGTTAACCATAATCTTCTTTCTATCCCTACCATTCACTAAAGTTGCTTCTGCTAAAATTACCCACCGTCTTCTAATTTCCTAATCCAATGAATACTTCTAAATTTGATCTTATTACTTTGTAGTATTTGATAATGTTAGTCTTGTCTAACCTTCTTAAACAGGTTTCTTACCCTGACTTCCTTTTCAACTTTGTACCTCAAAAACCTAGCCCAGTGCTTAGAAAAAAAAAAAAAAAGAAAGAAAGAAAAAGAAAAAGAAAAAAAAAGCTCTATCAAAATATTAGTTGAGTAAATGAAGTGCTAAGTGATTTTAAAACAATCCCTTCTCAAGTTAGTTTTGGTCATGTCATCCAAGATATGTTCTTCCTAAGCATTACGTTAATATTCAACAATGATACTCATCAACTAAAGAGTAAGGGATACCAAAATGACCTTTCAGTTTTTGCTTTTCATAACTTGGAATTTTGGTATATTTTTCCTACCTACTTGGGCTCCACCTTGGCTTCCTCTCTCTCCAGACTGTCCCAGACCTGGCACTGAGTGTGGCCGCTCAGCTTTCATCATTTGTTCTGGCCAGCGGAATGTTCCCTCTGATGCACCTCCCTTGGCTGGCTGTTGCTCCCTACTTTCATTTTCACTACGGGTACAGCCATTCACCAGCTTCCACTGGAAACATTTTTCCAGACATTCCTTTAGGATTAGTGCCATTTTCATAACTGGCCGCTGGGTTCTGTAACTATTTTTCATACTTCCCTATTCTCAAATTTGTCTTTTTCAGCTTTATAATGACAGTAAAGAGGTTTTTTTTTTTTTGCACATTACTTTGCTTTTATCCTTATGAAAAGCATGTATTTTATTTACTCTTGTGTAAGAAAACAATTTTTGCTCAATGTAACTTTCTATCTCTTGTTTTTCTATTTTTTCTTTCTGTTCGTATTTCTTCTTCTTGGGATTCTTCATAAAGAAGTGTTTTGATTTGACAAAAGTCTTAATCATGGTCTTTAAATTTAAAAAAAAGATTTATTTAGTCCTCAACCACAATGATAAGAGATTCTGTCTTTTCCACTTGAGATTACTTGTAAGCGACAATAAAAATGTATAGCCCTCTATGATTTCTATAAAATTTCTTGGGATATTAAACCCTGATTATCTTCTTTTATTGATTGAAATATGAGCTCAGTGTTGTCCTTTGATAAACTTCTTACCTTTTCCCACATTGTTCTTTTCACTTGGATTACAACTAGATGGGAAATAAAGGTGGAGTCTCCCCTCTTCCCAATCCCATTTGAAGTATCTGTGACTCCCTATCTCTGATTTGGAAACATATTTATTTTCCTCTGAATAAATTACCTACTGAAGAATTTTTCAGAAAATCAAAGTTAGTTTTTCAAAATCTGACTGTAGTAGAAAAGTTTACAGAATGGTAAGATTTACCGTGGTCTAGATGTCTTCTGTGTTCTTCTTGCAGTAAACTATCTGACTCTAGCGGCTTTCTTCCTATGCTGCTTTTCAAACACGTAAGAGCTGAAGACTCTCCAATAAAGTAACCATAGGAACATAGAGTTTTCTTTAAGTATTTCATTTCTCTAGAGTTTTTGTATGGGCTTGAAGTTATCTTAAAATAAAATATAATAATGAATGTAAATGATGAGTTGATGGGTGCAACAAACCAACATGGCATATGTACACCTATGTAACAAACCTGCACATTTGCACATGTACCCTAGAACTTAAGGAATAATAATTATATATATACATATATATATATAATAACTATAAGAAGTTTTATATAAGCCCCATGGTAACCACACACAAAAAATCTTCTATTAGATACATGAAAGGTAAAGTGAAAGTGATCAAAGGATACTGCTACAAAAATTCAACCAATTACAAAGTAAGACAGCAATACTGGAAGAAAGGAATCAAAGAACTACAAACATGCAGTAAATGATTTACAAAATAACAATAGTAAGTCCTTATATATCAATAATTATATGTAAACAGATTGGATTTTTCAATCAAAAGACATAAAATAATTGAATTGATAAAATGCCAAGATAAGGCAACATGCTGCCTTCAAGAGACTCACGTTAGACTTAAGGACACAAATAGGCTAAAAATGGAGGGAAACAAAACGATATTCCATGCAAATGGTAACCAAAAAAGAGCAGGGAAGGCTGTACTTATTTCAGACAAAATAGAATTTCAAACTTTGTCAGAAGAGACAAGTAAGGCCACTATATAATGATAAAGGGATTAAGTTATCAAGAGAATATAAAAACCGTAAATAAATATGCACCCAACATCAGTGCACCTAAATATATAAAGCAAATATTAACAGGATTAAAGGAGAAATAGACAGCAATACAATAATAATAGTAGACTTGACTACCCTATGTTCAACATTCGATAGATCACCCAGGCAGAAAATCAATAAGGAAAATCTGGACTTGAATAACACAGTAATAAACCAAAAGCACCTAAAAAACATATATAGAACACTCCATCTAAGATCAGGAGAATATACATTTTTCTCCAGCACACAAATATCATTCTTCTGTATAGGTCACATGTTGGGGAACAAAACAAGTCTTGATAAATTTAAGAAGATTGGAATCATCTCAAGTACCTTTTTTACCACAATGATATAAAACTAAAAAGGAGGAATTTTGGAAAATCTACAAATATGTGGAAGTGAAATAACATGCTTCTGAACAAAAAATGGATTAAAAATAAATTGAAAGGGAAGTCAAAAAGTATTTGAGACAAATGAAAATAGAAATACAACATACCAAAACTTGTGGGATGCAGTGCTAAAAGGGAAGTTTATAGCAATTAATGTATACATAAATAAAACAGAATTACCTCAAATAAACAATCTAAGTTCACACCTCAAGAAACCAGAAAAAGAAAAAAAAAACTAAGCCCAAAGTCAACAGAGGGAAGAAATTAATAAAGTTTAGAGAAAAATTAAATGAAATAGAGGCTACATAGACAATAGAAAGGATCAAGAAAATTATGTTAGGTTTTTTAAAAGGATTGATGAAGTTAACAAAACTTCAGAAAGACTAACCAAGAAAAAAATGAGAAAAGACTCAAATAAAAAAAAAGGAGACATTACAACTGATATCATATGAAACAGAGGATCATAGGAGACTACTACAAACAATTATAGGCTAACAAACTGGATAACTTAGAAGAAATGAACAAATTCCTAGAAACATACAACCTACCAGGACTGAATCATTAAGAAATAGAAACTCTGAATACACAAGTAATAAGTAAGAAGAATGAATTAGTAATCAAAATATTCCTATGAAAGAAAGGCCCAGGACCAGATAACCTCATAGGTTAATTCTATCAAACATTTTTTTTGCTTGTTTGCTTTTAGCTTTTTCTTCTTTTTTTTTTTATTATACTTTAAGTTTTAGGATAGACGTGCTCAACATGCAGGTTTGTTACGTAGGTATACATGTGCTATGTTGGTTTGCTGCACCCATCAACTTGTCATTTACATTAGGTATTTCTCCTAATGCTATTCCTCCTCCAGTCCTCCACTCCCCTACAGGCACTGGTGTATGATGTTCCCCTTCCTGTGTCCATGTGTTCTCATTGTTCAACTCCCACCTCTGAGTGAGAACATGCAGTGTTTGGTTTTCCGTCCTTGTGATAGTTTGCTGAGAATGATGGTTTCCGGCTTCATCCACGTGCCTGCAAAGGGCATGAACTCATTCTTTTGTATGCTGCATAGTATTCTATGATGTTATATGTGCCACATTTTCTTAATCCAGTCTATCATTGATGAACATTTGGGTTGGTTCCAAGTCTTTGCTATTGCGAATACTGCCACAATAAACATACGTGTGCATATGTCTTTATAGTAGCATGATTTATAATCCTTTGGGTATATACCCAGTAATGGGATCGCTGGGTCAAATGGTATTTCTAGTTCTAAATCCTTGAGCAATTGCCACACTGACTTCCAAAATGGTTGAACTAATTTACACTCCCACCAACAGTGTAAAAGCATTCCTATTTCTCCACATCCTTTCCAGCATCTGTTGTTTCCTGACTTTTTAATGATCGCCATTCTAACTGGCATGAGATGGTATCTCATTGTGGTTTTGATTTGCATCTCTCTAATGACCAGTGATGATGAGCCTTTTTTCATGTGTCTGTTGGCTGCATAAATGTCTTCTTTTGAGAAGTGTCTGTTCATATACTTTGCCCACTTTTTGATGGGGTTGTTTGTTTTTTTCTTGTAAATTTGTTTAAGTCCTTTGAAGATTCTGGATATTAGACCTTTGTCAGATGGGTAGATTGCAAAAATTTTCTCCCATTCTGTAGGTTGCCTGTTCACTCTGATGATAGTTTCTTTTCCCATGCAGAAGCTCTTTAGTTTAGTTAGATACCATTTGTCTATTTTGGATTTTGTTGCCATTGCTTTTGGTGTTTTAAATTATTCCAATCAATAAAAAAAGAGGGAATGCTCCCTAAACCATTTTATGAGGCCAGCATCATCCTGATACCAAAGCCTGGCAGAGACATAACAAAAAAAGAAAATTTTAGACCAATATCCCTCATGAACATCAATGTGAAAATCCTCAATAAAATACTGGCAAACCGAATCCAGCAGTACATCAAAAAGCTTATCCACCACGTTCAAGCTGGCTTCATCCCTGGGATGCAAGGCTGGTTCAACATATGCAAATCAATAAATATAATCCATCACATAAACAGAACCAACGACAAAAACCCCCTGATTATCTCAATAGATGCAGAAAAGGCCTTTGACAAAGTTCAACAGCACTTCATGCTAAAAACTCTCAATAAACTAAGTATTGATGGAACGTATCTCAAAATAATAAGAGCTATTTATGACAAACCCACAGCCAATATCATACTGAATGATCAAAAACCGGAAGCATTTCCATTGAAACTGGCACAAGACAAGGATGCCCGTTCTCACCACTCCTATTCATCATAGTGTTGGAAGTTCCGGCCAGGGCAATCAGGCAAGAGAAAGAAATAAAGGGTATTCAAATAGGAAATGAGGAAATCAAATTTTCCCTGTTTGCACATGACATGATTGTATATTTAGAAAACCCCATCATCTCAGCCCAAAATCTCCTTAAGCTGATAAGCAACTTCAGCAAAGTCTCAGGATACAAAATTGATGTGCAAAAATCACAAGCATTCCTATAAACCAATAACAGACAAACAGAGAGCCAAATCATAAGTAAATTCCCATTCATAATTGCTACAAAGTTAATAAAATACCTAGGAATCCAACTTACAAGGGATGTGAAGGACCTCTTCAAGGAGAACCACAAACCACTGCTCAACAAAATAAAAGAGGACACAAACAAATGGAAGAACATCCCATGCTCATGGACAGGTAGAATCAATATCGTGAAAATGGGCATACTGCCCAAGGTAATTTATAGATTCAATGCCATCCCCATCAAGTTACCAATGACTTTCTTCACAGAATTGGAAAAAAAAACTACTTTAAATTTCAAGTGGAAGCAAAAAAGAGATCGCATCACCAAGACAATCCTAAGCAAGAAGAACAAAGCTGGAGGCATCATGCTACCTGACTTCAAACTATACTAAAAGGCTACAGTAACCAAAACAGCATGGCACTGGGTACCAAAACAGATATATAGACCAGTGGAACAGAACAGAGGCCTCAGAAATAATACCACACATCTACAACCATCTGATTTTTGACAAACCTGACACAAACAAGAAATGGGGTAAGGATTCCCTATTTAATAAATGGTGCTGGGAATACTGGCTAGCCATATGTAGAAAGCTGAAACTGGATCCCTTCCTTACACCTTATACAAAAATTAACTCAAGATGGATTAAAGACTTAAATGAAAGACCTAAACCCATAAAAAATCCTAGAAGAAAACCTAGGCAATACAATTCAGGGCATAGGCATGGGCAAATTCTACCAAACATTTAAAGAAGAATTAACACAAATCCTTCTCAAATGCTTCCAAAAATCAGAAGATGAGGAAACATTTCCAAACTCAATTTACCATGCAAGGATTACCCTAATACTAAAGCCAGATAAGGATGCTACAAGAAAGGAAAATTATAGGCCAACATGTTGATGAATATAGATGCAAAAATTCTCAACAAATTTCTAGAAAACTAAATTTAATAGCACATTAAAAGAATCATTCACCATGAGCAAGTGAGATTCATCACAGGGATATAAGGATAATTCAACACATACAAATTAATAAATGTGATGCACTGCATTAACGGAATGAAGGACAAAATTCATATTTCAATAGATGAAGAGAAAGCATTAACAAAATTCAACAGCCTTCCATGGTAAAATAGTCACAACAAATTAGGTGTAGACGAAATAAATCTCAACATAATAAAAGCCATATGTGACAATCTCATGGCTAACATTATATTCAACAGTAAAAGGCTGAAAGCTTTTCCTCTAAGATCAGGAACAAGACAAGGGTGCCCCCCTCACAATTTCTATTCAACATAGTACTGAATATCCTAGCCAGAGCAATTAGAGAACAAAAAGAAATAAATGTCACCGAAATTAGGAAAGAATAAAATTATTTTGTCTGCCAATGACATATAGAAAACACTAAAGACTCAACCAAAAAAAGTTATAATTTATACACAAATACAGTAAATTTGCAAGATACAGAATCAGCATACAAAACTTACTTGCATTTCCATACCCTTGAAACAAACCATCTGAAAAAGAAACTGAGTAAATTGTCTATTTATAATAGCATCAAAAAAGAACACAGGCCAGGCACAGTAGCTCATGCCTGTAATCCCAGCACTTTGGGAGGCCGAGGCGGGCAGATCACCTGAGGTCAGGAGTTCAAGACCAGCCTGGCCAACATGACGAAACCCCATCTCTACTAAAATTTTAAAAAAGTAGCCTGGTGTGGTGGTGGGTGCCTGTAATCCCAGCTACTCAGAGGCTGAGGCAGGAGAATCACTTGAACCGGGAGGCAGAGGTTGCAGTGAGCCGAGTTTGTGCCATTGCACTCCAGCCTGGGCGACAGACCAAGACTCCGTCTCAGAAAAACAAACAAACAAACAAACAAACAAACAAATCGAATATGATACTTGGGAATAAATTTGACCAAGGAGGTGAAGGATTTGTACTATAACTATAAGAAATTGTTGAAAAAAAATGAGGACAACAAAAATAAGTAGAAGGGTATTCCATATACATGTGTTGGAAGAAGTAGTATTTTTTAAATGTCCATACTTCCCAAAGTGATCTACAGATTCAGTACAATCCCTATTAAAATTCCAATGGCATTATTCACAGAAAGATAAATTTTTAAAATTCGGGTAGAACCACAAAAGACCCCGAATAGTCAAAGAAATCTGAGAAAGAAGAACAAATCTGGAGGCATCACACACTTTGATTTCAATGTATACTTTAAAGCTATTATAATTAAAACATTATACTACTGGCATAAAAACAGACACACAGACCAATAAAACAGAATAGAAAGCACAGTAACAAACCACCAAGTATATGGTCAACTAATCTTTGATAGGGATGCCAAGAAAAGACATGAGGAAAAGAAAATCTCTTCAATAAGATATATTAGTCAGGGTTCTCCAGAGAGACAGAACTAATAGGATAAATGTATATGAAAGAGAGTTTATTAGGGAGAATTGGCTCATACAATCACAAGGCGAAATCCTACAACACACCGTGTGTAAGTTGGGTAAGAATTAAGCCAGTAGTACCTCAGTCTGTCCAAACGCCTCAAAAGCAGCAAAGTTAACAGCCGTCAGTCTGTGGCTGAAGTCCTGAGAGCCCCCAGCACACCGCTGGTTTAAGTTTAAGAATCCAAAGGCCGTGGAAGCTGGAGTCTTCCGTCCAAAGATAGGAGGAACATAAGGAACCACTCAGCACCAGAGAAAGATGAAATACAGAAGACTCCCACCTACTTCTTCCTGCATTGTTCTTGCTACGCTGGCAGAGACTGGATGGTGCCTACCCACATTGAGGGTAGGTCTTTCTTTCCTCATCAGAGAAATGCAAATCAAAACCACAATAAGATATCACCTCACACCTGTTAGGCAGGCTATTATCAAAGAGACAAAAGATAACAAGTGTTGATGAGGGAGTGGAGAAAAGGGAACCCTTGTGCATTGTTAATGGGAATGTAAATTGGTATAGCCACATGGAAAACAGTATTGAGGTTCCTCAAAAAAGGAAAAAGAGAACTACAATAGGATTCTGCAATGCCACTTCTGTATATATATATATGTGTATATATATATATATATATATATATATATATATACACACACACACACACACACAGGAAATTAAATCAGTGTGTTGAAGAGATAGCTGCAACTCCATGTTCACACAGCATCATTCATAAAAGCCAAGATATGGAAACAACCTAAGCATGATTCGCAAATGAATGGATAAGGAAAATGTGTATGTGTATGCATGAATGTAATGGCATATTATTCAGCAATAAAAATAAAGAAAATTCTGCCATTTGTGGGAACGTGGATGAACCTAGAGAAAATATGTTAAGTGACATAACCCAGGCACAGAAAGGCAAATACTGCATAATCTCCCTTTACATAGAATCTAGAAATAGGAAATTTATACATGCCGAGAGTAGAATAGTAGTTACCAGGGGCTGGAGGGTGGAGGAAACAGGGAGATGTTGGTTAAAAGGTACAAACTTTTAGTTAAAAGATGAACAAGTTCTGGGTATTTAAGGTACAGCATGGGTAATGATGGGTGTATTAATTTGATTGTGGTAATCATTACACAATATACATGTACATGAAATCATCACACTGTATACTTTCAGTATATGCAATCTTATTTGTCAATTAAAAATTTAAAAAATACATTTTATTTCCCTCATGATATTCTGAAAGGAGGTTTCAATATCAAGACATTTAAAAATTATTATTATAACAAATTGGGTATGGCAGCTCACACTTGTAATTCCAATACTTTGGGAGGCCAAAGTGGGAGGATCACTTGAGGCCAGGAGTTCAAGACCAGCCTGGGCAACATACTGAGGCCTTGTCTCTACAAAAAAAATTTTTTGTAAAAATTATCCAGTCATGGTACCAATGACCTATAGTCCTAACTAGTCAGGAGGCTAGGGCAGGAGGATTGCTTGAGTCTAAGAGTTGGAGGCTGCAGTGAGCTGCGATCATGCCACTGCACTCCTGCCTGGGGAACAGAGGAAAACCCTGTTTCTAAATAAATAATTAAAATAATTATAACCATTGTTTGAGATATATATATATTTATATATATAGTTTTATATATATTATATATGTACTTTATAACAATGATTATATGTAAATTATATAAAGTATATATATAGAAACAGATACATAGTTGTGATGGTCTAACAACTCTTATAACTCAAAGAAACAATTGTTTAAACCAGTTTGTTTTAAAATCATGCTTTCAAGTTTCACTTTTACCTGTTCCTTTGTAGAATATTGTCTCAGAGAGTCTGAATGTTTTCTCAATGTAAAAATTCCTTCTTATGCTATTTCCATAATGTTGATGGGGTAGTACCTAATTTATGAATTTTGGAGTATATTCTGACTAAAATCTGTTTATTGCATTTATTCTGCCCTACTAATGTAAATTTCATTTTTAAAATTTTGTCCAATTCAATAATGTAATTATTTTGGGATTTTTTTCTTGAAAATGGTATGTCTCAAATGACTTCCATGAGGGATTTAAATATTCCTATGAAAATCAGGTCAAATAATTTGTTGAAAATTCCAATTAACTGTTTTCTATTTTTAATTCATAAAGTTGTTACCTTATGAAGTTCCTTCTTGGCATCAGTAGAAAACCATGAATCATATAATGAGTAGACATCAGTGTGTCATAAGGATGTGAAGTGATCATGCTCAGTTGAATCAGCTAGGTGGGAAGAAAAGGGAGCTGTTCCCTTGTGGAGAAAGTAAAAGAAGCTTCAGGTGTACCTGAAGGTGTACTGCTCACGCCTGTAATCCCAGCACTTTAGGAGGCCGAGGTGCGTGGATCACAAGCTCGGGAGATCGAGACCATCCTGGTCAACATGGTGAAACCCCGTCTCTACTAAAAAATACAAAAATTAGCTGGGCGTGGTGGTGCATGCCTGTAGTCCCAGCTACTCGGGAGACTGAGGCAGAAGAATTGCTTGAACCAGAGAGTCGGAGGTTGCAGTGAGCAGAGTTCTCACCACTGCACTCCAGCCTGGTGACAGAGCGAGAATCCATTTCAATGAAAAAAAAAAAAAAAAGCTTCAGGTATTTTTAAGTTTCAACTCTCTCAAGCTAAAGCTGGTTATATTTATTGTCTTCCTGTGAGAGAGAACATTTGTCTGTTCACAAATTTTTCACAAAAAGTTGGATAACTTACTACATTTTTATATTTGTGTATCTGAATTGCTGCTGCCATAGGTTAAATGGAATATGATCACGGCAAATTGACAGTCAAACCTAGCCTGAAAATGAATAAAGAACGTCAGTCTACAGAACGTTTTCCATCCCAGAACTCAGGCAAGTCAGGGTTCAAAGATACTGAATGAGTCCAATGCCTGAACACAGGCTGAAAGTTTTAGCAGAAAACTACTATTAAAAGCAAATTGTAGCTGATTCATCAGAGATTTGCAGATTTAAATTGAGGTAACTGCTGCCCTACCTTTGGGGAACTGGTGAGTAGTGTAGTTTAGCAGTAATGAAAATAAAATGACTCAAAATATAAGTTAAAATGTGAAAATAAAGAGCTAATAAGCATCTTAAATGATTTGTAGTATAAAATATTTGGAACTTACTGACACTTTGAAAATAATGTCTATTCCACGACACCAACAGCTGTTAAATTTTGTGGTGATTGCTGAAATGGAAAAGAACGGGCTTGTAAAGGTGAAGAGAGTCTAAAATTAGTATTGTCTGTGTTTGTATGAAATGAGCTCATTCCTCATGTCCATATTTGAGAACTTTACAAGACAATAATAATTATTAGTATTGTCTTGTAAAACTGTAAGTCTGATAATTTATTACCACTTTCACATGAGTATTGCTATTCAATGTATCTACCAATAAGGAAAACAAAGCCATGAATGGGAAAAGCAGTTGTCCAAGATCTCACAGTCAAAATGTGGTAACAATTTTACTGAAATGAAGATTCTTTTGGTTTCAAAGCTCTTATTCTTTCTGCTGGCTACACTGACTCTAGAATAGGTATAGTGTAAGACTTTCAAAATGCTGATAGGGCATCAACGCCTGTTCTTAATTTGATTAAAATAAAAAGCATACAAAGTGTATATTTTCCTTTCTTGGAATTAACTGAGGTAATTTTGTTTTTCCTCCCTCATTTGTCCTGAAGACAGTTTACACTTGGTCGGACCACACAAGCAAAGTTTCAAGAAAAACAGGCATTTTAAATGAAAGATCTAAGTAACTGGCAGGCAAGGATTAGAATGGAAACTATTTTAAAAGACAAGTATATCATTTAGCCTTTGGTAATCTAGAATATACATACCCATATCAATCACATTTTACAGTTTGCAGACTTAACAGAAATGCTTGTACAAACAATGTTGATAATCAAAAGCAAGTTGACACATGAGAATAAGATAATATGTAAGTTCTACTTAAATATTTTCATTTTGCTATTGCCTTGCAAATGTTGGCCTGTAATTAAGCTTATAAAATATGAAAAATGCCATTCATTTTGTCTTGTGGTTTTCTTAGAGAACTGTGCAGCTTCTACAAGATGGTTTCAAATGACTATTGATTTAAAGTCCTAAATCAAGTATTTACTATAATATATATTTATATATGCTATATGTTAAAATACATAAAGTATATTTATGAAGCTCTAAACAATATATATAATACAGAAAGATATGAGCAAAACAAAAAGAAATATATTATTGTAAAGTGTATTATATCATCATAAAGAACATCATATAAGGGATGTAATATATAGTGGATACATATTTACAAACACTTTTGCATGTTTTTTATGCCCTCTTGTTAAAGGAGAAAACCATTTTTCTTGATTCATTACTTTGTCATAGATATTTATTGAGAACCGAATATGTGCCAGACACTATTTCTAGGCACTGTGGACAAAGTTATGAATGTAGACAAGTCTTTTTACACGTGGAGTTTTTACATCCTAGATGAGAAAAGGCTTGGTAATAGTTTCTTCTCAGAACTGTATATTCTAGTCACATCACTCTATAAAGATGTTTTTGAACATATATATTTATACGTAAATGTCTTAATTATATGCAAAATAATAAAATTAAAGTACAAAAAAAATTGCCTGTACTCAAAACTTGCTTGAATGCTTTGGAATGGTAACTTACAATTTTTCCACCAAACTAGGTGTGAGCAAAACAAATACAAGACATTGGTAGGAAGTAAATATACACAACGATTTATCAAATTGCTTCCAAAGGTTGTTTTTTTTTTCTTGTATTTAATGATAAAAAAGGCTACAAATTGACAGTGATTCATTGTGGGTTTTCTTCTTTGCTTTTTTTTATTTTAGTAAAATATGCATCACATGAAATTTACCATTTTAACCATTTTAAAGTGCACAATTCAGTGTCATTAAGCACATTCATGATGTCATGTAACTATCACCAATATCTAGTTTTAGAATGTTTTCATCATTTTAAATGGGAATATCACATCCAGCTAGATATTCACTCTCATTCTTCCATGCTGCCAGTCCCTAGCAACTGCTTATCTGCTTTTTATCACCATGAATTTACCTATTCTGGATATTTCATATAAATGGGATCATAAATATGTGACTTTTTCTGTGTGTCTTCTTTTACTTAGCATAATGTTTTAAAGGTTTCTCCATGTACCAGCACTTCATCCCTTTTTATAGTTGAATAATATCCCATTGCATGGTTATATCACATTTTGCTTATCTATTCAGCTATTAATGGACACTTGTGCTATTTCTACTTTTTGGCTAGTGTGAACAGCGCTGCTATGAACATTTGTGTACACATATTTGACTACCTGCTTTCGATTCTTCCAGGTATCTTGAAGTGAAATTTCTGGGTGATATGGTAATATTTAAAAAATCGTTGCCACTTCCAAGATACTGATTATTTGGCCTTTGGTATAGGGTAAAACTGGCCCCATAAAATGAGTCAAGAAATATTTCTTCCTCTTCGATGTTTTGGAAGAGCTTGAAAATGACTGGTTAAATCTTTAAATGCTAGGTAGAATTCACCAGTGAATCCATCAGGTCCTGAACTTTTTGTGTTATAAGTTTTTGGTTATGATTGTAATCTCTTTACTTGTTATAACTCTGTTCAGATTTTCTATTTATTCTTGAGTCAGTTTTGGTAGTTTGTGTGTTTCTAGGAATTTGTCTATTTTAATGGGTTTACTTAAATTGTTGGTGTACAATTGTTCATAGTGTTTTCTTATAATCTTTTTTTAAAACTTCTGTAAGGTTAGTGGTAATTTGTCTCCACCTTCATTTCTGATTTTAGTTATTTCTGTCTTTTCTCCTTTTGTCTTAGCCTAGCTACAAGTTTGTCAATTTTGCTTTTAATTTCAAATAACTAAATTTTGGTTTCCTTGATTTTTCTCTGTTGTTTTATTTTATTTATCTCCTCTCTAAGCTTTATTGCTTTCTTTGTTATACCAGTTTTGGGTTTAGTTTGTTATTTTCTGTCTAGTTCCTTAAAATGTAAATTTAAGTCATTGATTTGAGATCTTTTCTTGTGTTTAATGCCTGCATTGACAACTATAAATTTTTATCTGAACACTGCTTTCTCTCACTTCTGTAAGTTTTGTTATGTTTACTTTTGTTTTCATTCCTCTCAAAGTATTTTTAAACTTCTCTATGATTTCTTCTTTGATGCATTGGTTGTGTAGGAGTATGTTGTTTTATTTGCATATATTTGTGCATTTTTCAATGTTCTTTCTGTTATTGAGATCTAGTTCAGTTCCAGGTAATAGGAGAAGATGCTGTACTTTGTATGATCTCAATTTTAAAAAATTTACTAACACTTGTTTTTTGGCCTCAACATATGGCCTATCCTAGAGAATGTTCCATGTGCACTAAAGAAGAATGTGTATTCTGCTGTCGTTGGGTGAAAAGTTCTTCTAATAATATGTGTTGTTCAAGTCCTGTATTTTCTTATTCATTTTCTGTCTAGTTGTTGTATCCATTATTGAGAGTTGAGTACTGAAGTCTGTAACTATTATTATAGAACTTTCTATTTATCTCATAAACTCTGATCAATTTTACTTTATCTATTTTGGGTCTGTCTTGTTATGTGCAAATATATTTATTATATTTTCTTGATGGGTCTAACTTCTTATTAATACATAATGTGCCTCCTTATCTCTTGCAAAAATGTTTGTCTATTTTGACTCGTATTTATACAGACACCCCAGCTCTCTTTTGGTTGATGTTTACATGCGATATCTTTTTCTTCAGTCTTTTTGCTTTCAAACTCTTTATGCTTTGGGATCTGAAGTAAATTGCTTGAAGAAGCATATAGATGAATCATTTTTTTATTTGTTTTGTTTTAATATATTATGCTAATCAATGATTTTTAATTGGAGAGTTTAATCAAACTATATTTAATATAATTAGGGATAGGGAAGAACTTTATTCTGCCATTTTAGTTATTTTCATATGCCATATATCTTTTTTTGTTCCTCAGTTCCTCTTTTACTGCTTTCTTTCCTCCTTAAGTAATTTTTGTAGTATACCTTTCTTTGTTCCCTTATTTCCTTTTCTGTGTAGTTTTATATTTTCTTTTATTTTGGGTTGACATGTAATAATTTTCTGTATTTATGGTAGATAGAGTGATTTTTGATGCATGTATGCAATGTGTTGAGCAAACCAGGGTAGTTAGTATATGCATTCATACAACATTCAAATATGAATACATAGCATTTCTGTGGCAATATTAAAATCTCCAGCATACAGGTTGGTGAGTTTTCACGTAGGTAAGCCCCTAAATAGCTACCACCAAGATCAGGATATAGAGCATTTCCTGCACTCTTGTCTGTAAGTGGATTATATTTCTATTTTTAAAAAGACATGACACAAAAAAAGACTCACGACTGTTCATTCAGTCTACGGTTCTCTGTGTTGTATTCTACCTTGTCATTTTTCATGAATATTAGAAAGTTTATGTATGTCAGGCAGTATTTTGTATGGTATTAAAACAAAAACCTAAGATATCCACGTCAGGAAATAGGAGATGTAAAGCTCATAAGTGTTTTTGGTGATTTAACCAAGTATTGGCTCTATTTTCCTATGACAGCATGTGTCCATAAGTGAGTAGTAACATATATTATGCTAAAATAAAGTCCTGTCATAAAATAAGGCTGGGAAACCCTGTGTTGAATAAAATATAAAAGACTTATCAGAGTCTTCAATCGATTATATGTACATTGAAAATCTAGAAGCATTTTATAAACTTATTTGGTTATGAAAACATTTTATAAAATAAAATACTTAGGGAAAAATTTGGAATATATTTTTAAAAGCCTATTTTTGTTTACATTAAAAATGTTATTTTACGATTTGCCTTTGATTATTCTATCCTAACATAGACTTCTCTATCATACATCAGCATTATATGTAAGTCAATAAATTAAAAAGATGTAAATTAAATTTAAATTTTAAAGGTAAATAGATAAATATGGTTTTGGTAGTACAGCATTTTCCCCAAAAAAATTATAAGTGAAACCTCAAAATGTATAAGAATAAAATAAAATTACCCTCTTTGGTCCAACCTGTCTCTCTGCATACCCCACAAATTGTCATTTTGAGATGCTTATTTAGAAACCTAGATTTCCATGTAAAAGTTTCAGAAAGCAACAACTTCATACCACCAGCTTAAAGAGCTGATGTTTTGAGAGTGACCTGCAACCTCAAGGTTGCAAAGCAGATTGATAGTAGTATAGGAAGGAGAACACAAGATCCTGCTTTAACTTCATTGCTTATTTCATGATATCTAATTGTTGCACAATCTAATTTAAAGAACTAGCTTATATAAAATGGAATATAAAGCACATTCTTTAAAGAAAAGTGAATTCTTTTTATATTAGTAACTAAAAGTGAAATTTGACATTTTCTTAAACCAATTAAATAGAAGCGTGTTTTCTTAAAGATGATAGATTTTGGTTATCACTTTAAATCTGCTTCAGTCTTTGTGATTTCTAAAAGTTATTTTCTATTTCTTAAAGCAAATGCATTGGATGGATTGGGCTTCTTTTAAACACAAAATGAAGATAATCTAGTTGATTTGATAGGTTCAGTATTCATAATTAAAATACTATAAAAATATATCAGTAAAATAATGGCTGAATGATCTTATAGCTATTTTTTTCTATTTACAAGAGGCTGCAAAAAATTTCGGTTTAATCACTAATAAAGCAGGGAGCAAATGAAGCATATATGATCTACTGGTGGCCAAAAAATATTAAACCCATTATTTTTTGTATGTTTATTTTGTATATGCTAGAACTATATATTGGTTCTCTCCTTGGAGTAACACAAAACATGAAAACATACATTGATAACTTGTGAAAGACATTAACACTTTCAGTTTGCAGCTGCTGTGCAAAAGAAATGTCACTTTTAAAAGTATTTTTTAAACTTGAAGTCTACACAATTTTCTATATCTTACTACTAGTTCATTGGGAAAATCCTAATAACTGACACACACAATTATGTCAGGTAATTAACCAGAAGTCCATTAAATCAGTCATATTTCAAATATTGCAATGGATATACGACTGTAATCCTTGTCTGCACTGGCTCTTACTTACAGACTTATATTTTTAAACTATGGTTTTTAGCTTTTGGGTGTCATCTTTTCTAATTATTTTAAGTACAAACTTACTGACAAATTTATACTATGTTGTTGTAATTCAGAAGAAGTATTTGAAGTACAAATCCTTAACCAATGTGTTTTATGGCCTGAGGGTTCTGGGTCAGTATCCTGAGTACCGTGGCCTGGCTTTGTCATGAATTAGCTTCAAACTAGTGTAACTCGGTTCTGTACTTTAAATTACATGCTTAATGTTTTTGTCTTTTTGAGATAATGCTCACAGTTAATTCTTTCTGCTTTCCTCTAACAGCTCCATGTCATTGGATATGTTTTTCTCCCCATACTCAGCCTTATTCTAGAGTGGAGTCCTTTTTCACACCCCTTTTGAAGTTCTGGCTGGTGTCAAGCTAGAATAATAGGACTGAATCTTTAGTATGATGAAATAAAGTTAATAAGATTCAATTAGCACAATAGCACACTGAAATTATTCCATAAGAGTTATTCAATATTAACAAGGAAGACATGCTCATTTTGTAAACATTTCACTTTGATGCCTGAAGAATTCGAAATGTCACCAGTTCTAATCCATCTCTACTCTCCGCCTCAGTGTCCAGATCCAAACTATTGCATTCCATTTTTAGTATTTACTGAAAATTAGGACTACAATGAAAGAAGAGGAGTAAAATATCCCTAAGCCTCCATGGGAATGAGAAAAACAAGGGGAAGAGAACAAAGAGAAAGGATGATAATGGAAAGGGAGAACATGTGGATGATTTGAAAGTAGATAGGGAAAATAAATAATTGCTCTATACTGTTACTCAAGACTAGTAATAGATTGAACATTGATGGACTAGTAATAGATTGAACAATGATTGACTATCTGTTATGTACTGTCATGTTCAATTATGCTCATAACTCTCAGCCTTTACAATAACCACTCCCAAATCAAGGTGGTGCTTCCATTTCTAAGTGTGTTAATATTTAATTGAATGTTAGAGAACAAATATATCTCTATTGAAATAATATATTAGGCAGCTAATGTGTCCAAAACAGTTCAGAACCATCTTCTCATAAGAATATTATAATTCTGTTTGCTCGGCTTATGAAGCTTTTATGTTCATTGCAGCTCTATTCACAACAGCAAAGACATGAAATCAATCTAAGTGCCAATCGATGATAGACTGGAAAAAAATGTGGTGCATATACACAGTGGAATAGTATGCAACCACAAAAAAGAATGAGATCATGTCCTTTGCAGGGATATGGATGGAGCTGGAGGCCATTGTCCTTAGCAAACTAAGGAACAGAAAACCAAATACCTCATGTTCTTACTTATAAGCAGGAGCTAAATGATGAGAACATATGGACATACAGAAGGAAAAAACACGCACTGGTTCCTTTTGGAGGATGAAGGTGGGAGGAGGGAGAGGATCAGGAAAAATAACTAATGGGTACTAGGCTTAATACCTGGGTAATGAAATAATCTGTACAACAGCCCCCATGACATATCTTTACCTATGTAACAAACCTGCACTTGTACCTACTAAATTTAAAATAGAAGTTAAAATAAAATAATAAAATAAAATAAAGGATATTATAATTCTAACCGCATCTTCTCATATTCAACAGAAATTTCTCCATTTTTGTCAGAAGTGGATATTGCATCCACCAAGAGCTCTCTCTCTCTCTCTAACAATTTGACTATTTTTATAACCTTCTTCTTTCATAGCATTTCTCTTAGTTTCTTGAATTGCACACTTTCTTTCTCACCAAAAACAAACTCTCTGGCATTTTGGATCATATTTAGTTACCATCTCTCAATATCCAATATAACTAATGGTCTCAGGTTTTTCAACACTCAACTTCATGGAAATAACTATGCGCAATTTTTTTTCTAGTAATGTTATACAAGTTTATGGTGTCTAAGGAAAATTATATTTAAAAGAAGAAAACAAAATGACATGACTATGACATGACATTACTATCCTGTTTGGAACAATAAAACACATTTACATTTGATAGCAAATTCCAACTGCAATTTGCCTAGATGAATCTGCTTTTCTAAGGAAAGATAAGACAATTAAATTTTTGTGTGAGTGAGATAAGTGACTCTCTAGAAGCTCAGGTATAGAAAAATAGTTAATATTCTAAAGAAACAAATATGTAATCTGGAAAAAGAGATATAAAATACTACAAGTTAAGCTATAATGCTTAAAATTTAAATCCATGACTATAATAAATTATCAAAATTTATACAACTGATGAAATTTTGTGTCATATTCAATTCAATATAACAAAAATAGAAGTTGCAAACCTAACACTGTTCTAAACATAAGAAATAATGTAATATTACTTTGGATGGATATTCTTTTATAGCATTAAAACATATTCAGGGACAATTTGACTTCCTCTTTTCCTAATTGAATACTTTTATTTCCTTCTCCTGCCTAATTGCCCTGGCCAGAACTTCCAACACTATGTTGAATAGGAGTGGTGAGAGAGGGCATCCCTGTCTTGTGCCAGTTTTCAAACGGAATGCTTCCAGTTTTTGCCCATTCAGTATGATATTGGCTGTGGGTTTGTCATAGATAGCTCTTATTATTTTGAGATACGTCCCATCAATACCTAATTTATTGAGAGTTTTTAGCATGAAAGGTTGTTGAATTTTGTCAAAGGCCTTTTCTGCATCTATTGAGATAGTCATGTGGTTTTTGTCATTGGTTCTGTTTATATGGTGGATTATGTTTATTGATTTGCATATGTTGAACCAGCCTTGCATCCCAGGGATGAAGCCCACTTGATCTTGGTGGATAAGCTTTTTGATGTGCTGCAGGATTCGGTTTGCCAGTATTTTATTGAGGATTTTTGCATCAATATTCATCAAAGATATTGGTCTAAAATTCCCTTTTTTTGTTGTGTCTCTGCCAGGCTTTGGTATCAGGATGATGCTGGCCTCATAAAATGAGTTAGGGAGGATTCCCTCTTTTTCTATTGATTGGAATAGTTTCAGAAGGAATGGTACCAGCTCCTGCTTGTACCTCTGGTAGAATTCGGCTGTGAATCCATCTGGTCCTGGCCTTTTTTTGGTTGGTAAGCTATTGATTATTGCCACAATTTCAGAGCCTGTTATTGGTCTATTCAGAGATTCAACTTCTTCCTGGTTTAGTCTTGGGAGCGTGTATGTGTCGAGGAATTTATCCATTTCTTCTAGATTTTCCAGTTTATTTGTGGAGAGGTGTTTGTAGTATTCTCTGATGGTAGTTTGTATTTCTGTGGGATCAGTGGTGATATCCCCTTTATCATTTTTTATTGTGTCTATTTGATTCTTCTCTCTTTTCTTCTTTATTAGTCTTGCTAGCAGTCTATCAATTTTGTTGATCTTTTCAAAAAACCAGCTCCTGGATTCATTAATTTTTTGAAGGGTTTTTTGTGTCTCTATTTCCTTCAGTTCTGCTCTGATTTTAGTTATTTCTTGCCTTCTGCTAGCTTTTGAATGTGTTTGCTCTTGCTTTTCTAGTTCTTTTAATTGTGATGTTAGGGTGTCAATTTTGGATCTTTCCTGCTTTCTCTTGTGGGTATTTAGTGCTATAAATTTCCCTCTACACACTGCTTTGAATGTGTCCCAGAGATTCTGGTATGTTGTGTCTTTGTTCTCGTTGGTTTCAAAGAACATCCTTATTTCCGCCTTCATTTCGTTATGTACCCAGTAGTCATTCAGGAGCAGGTTGTTCAGTTTCCATGTAGTTGAGCGGTTTTGAGTGAGTTTGTTATTCCTGAGTTCTAGTTTGGTTACACTGTGGTCTGAGAGACAGTTTGTTATAATTTCTGTTCTTTTACATTTGCTGAGGAGAGCTTTACTTCCAACTATGTGGTCAGTTTTGGAACTGTCCCTGTTTGCAGATGACATGATTGTATATCTAGAAAACCCCATTGTCTCAGCCCAAAATCTCCTTAAGCTGATAAGCAACTTCAGCACAGTCTCAGGATACAAAATCAATGTACAAAAATCACAAGCATTCCTATACACCAATAACAGACAAACAGAGAGCCAAATCATGAGTGAACTACCATTCACAATTGCTTCAAAGAGAATAAAATACCTAGGAATCCAACTTACAAGGGATGTGAGGGATCTCTTCAAGGAGAACTACAAACCACTGCTCACTGAAATAAAAGAGGATACTAAAAAATGGAAGAACATTCCATGCTCATGGGTAGGAAGAATCAATATCATGAAAATGGCCATACTGCCCAAGGTAATTTATCGATTCAATGCCATCCCCATCAAGCTACCAATGACTTTCTTCACAGAATTGGAAAAAACTACTTTAAAGTTCATATGGAACCAAAAAAGAGCCCGCATCAGCAAGTCAATCCTAAGCCAAAAGAACAAAGCCGGAGGCATCAGGCTACCTGACTTCAAACTATACTACAAGGCTACAGTAACCAAAACAGCATGGTACTGGTACCAAAACAGAGATATAGATCAATGGAACAGAACAGAGCCCTCAGAAATAATGCTGCTTATCTACAACCATCTGATCTTTGACAAACCTGACAAAAACAAGAAATGGGGAAAGGATTCCCTATTTAATAAATGGTGCTGGGAAAACTGGCTAGCAATATGTACAAAGCTGAAACTGCATCCCTTCCTTACACCTTATACAAAAATTAATTCAAGATGGATTAAATATTTAAATGTTAGACCTAAAACCTTAAAAACCCTAGAAGAAAACCTAGGCAATACAATTCAGGACATAGGCATGGGCAAGGACTTCATATCTGAAACACCAAAAGCAATGGCAACAAAAGACAAAATTGACAAATGGGATGTAATTAAACTAAAGAGCTTCTGCACAGCAAAAGAAACTACCATCAGAGTGAACAGGCAACCCACATAATGGTAGAAAATTTTCACAACCTACTCATCTGACAAAGGTCTAATATCCAGAATCTACAATGAACTCAAACGAATTTACAGGAAAAAAACAAACAACCCCATCAACAAGTGGGCGAAGGATATGAACAGACACTTCTCAAAAGAAGACATTTATGCAGCCAAAAGACACATGAAAAAATGCTCATCATCACTGGCCATCAGAGAAATGCAAATCAAAACCACAATGAGATACCATCTCACACCAGTTAGAATGGCGATCATTAAAAAGTCAGGAAACAAGAGGTGCTGGAGAGGATGTGGAGAAATAGGAACACTTTTACACTGCTGGTGGGACTGTAAACTAGTTCAACCATTGTGGAAGTCAGTGTGGTGATTCATCAAGGATCTAGAACTAGAAATACCATTTGACCCAGCCATCCCATTACTGGGTATATACCCAAAGGATTATAAATCATGCTGCTATAAAGACACATGCACACGTATGTTTATTGCGGCACTATTCACAATAGCAAAGACTTGGAACCAACCCACATGTCCAACAACGATAGACTGGATTAAGAAAATGTGGCACACATACACCATGGAATACTATGCAGCCATAAAAAAGGATGAGTTCATGTCCTTTGTAGGGACATGGATGAAGCTGGAAACCATCATTCTCAGCAAACTATCTCAAGGACAAAAAACCAAACACTGCATGTTCTCACTCATAGGTGGGAATTGAACAATGAGAACACATGGACACAGGAAGGGGAACATCACACTCCAGGGCCTGTTGTGGGGTGGGGGGAGGAGGGAGGGATAGCATTAGGAGATATACCTAATGCTAAATGACCAGTTAATTGGTGCAGCACACCAACATGGAACATGTATACATATGTAACAATCCTGCACATTGTGCACATGTACCCTAAAACTTAAAATATAATAATAATAAAATTAAAAAATACATATTCAGGTGAAATGTGACATTATCATTTATTATAGGATACCAAATACTGAACTTTAGGTTGTTTTTTTAAAATTTACTATGTATAGCCTTCTTAATTCTATCATCATCTTCTATGCATTAGGATACTCTTAAAAATGCAGAAGGAATTTTAAACTCAGGATCCATTAGTCTAGAATCATGATTCTAAATCTAGACTAGATGTAAATGAACATTTAATTTCATTCTTTTGATTAACTATGATCTTGCCTTCATATTGAGCTGAACTGGAGGGAAGACATTTCATTCTTTCATTTATTCAAAAACATTTATCAATTATATATTAGGTTCAACATACTGAAATAAATACAAAGCAGAATAAAGCAGGGTTTTGACTCAATAGTGAAAGAGCTAAGGTTTGAGGATAATAATTCTGATAAAGGGAAAAAGAAGATATTTGATGTAGGTGGGGCTGAAGTGCAAGCCTCTTTAGGTGATGCAGATTGTTTCTAACTGAGAGCTTCAAAGATTACACTGGAGGAGATGAGGTTCAAGATGACATTAAAGGAAGTAGACGGGCCATTTTAAATGGAGAAAAGGTGTAGAGCAGAGTCATATAGGCCAGTGACTTGGCAATGTTTAGGAAAGAGCAAATATTTAAGTTTAAATAGTGTTTTAGGCTTGTTAAAAGCAGGGGCAGATTACTGCAAGATTCTGAAGGTCCCTAAAGAGTAGCCTAGAGAGAATGAATTTTTACTTTTTTAGGCAGTAGGGAGTCGCCAAAGGCTGGAGAAAAGTTTGGTTGATTAGAGCTGTGCTGTACTAAGATGACTCTCTGGCTGCCAATGTCACACCTAAGTCAGATCATGCCAACCCTCTGACCTGAGCCCTGCGGTGACCATCCATCTCATTCACAGTAAAAGAAGAGTTGAGGTCCAGGATCCTCCCACTCTCCTTTTTACTCAGGAAATTCAGCCACGCTGGCATCTGTGCTAAACCAGATTCACAGCGTTGTTTCTGGCTGTCCTCAGCCTGGGATGCCCTCCTCTCTCACAGCCACATGTCTCTCTCTCTCTACTGTGAATTTTTTGCTCCAACATCACCTTCTCAATGGGCAAATCTGACTACAATTATAACACTTTTCTCCACTGGGATCCCCATCCCTGGGATCCCTACTATAAAAGGCCCCACATATCACAAACACACAAAATAAATTTACTAAAATGCCCATGGGTGCCTCTGTCACTCAGGATCCAGTACCTAGTGCTGGTACATGATAACCCACAACCCCAAACAGCTTATCTTGTGACTAGCAGCATTCAGTCTAGTGATTGCCTGAATGAGCAGAAACTTTGCGGGATGTGTCAGTCATAACTTCAAATATGGATGCTGCTTTAGAGTAGGAGGAAGATTTGAATAGAGAACTCACGTAAGAGAAATGATTCATTTATTAACTTGTCAAGTTCATTTTTTTAAGATAATATGGATGCTGTTTCTTGTGTAAAGAAGTATAACTTTCTTGTAGTGGCAAACATCCACTTGCTTGCTTTGCTTTGTTTTCTAATTTGTATTCCAGATGTACTCACAAATGAGCCTGGTATTTATAAAGAGCAGTTGAGAAACAGTCTGCAATACTAAGTACTTCATATTACTTTAAAATTTTAAATACCTATTTGAACAAATATGTATATGCCCATATATAATCTAAACAATATATACGACGTGTGTGTGATACTGATTATCTGTGGATAGAGATACTGCTTCAAAAACTTACAAAAATACAATAAAATGATAGAAATTTATAAGAAAATTAAAATGTCTGTAATATTTTCTGCTTAATGAAATTTTATCATGTGACCTGGTTATTGTGTTTGAACATGACATGTAAAGTTATTTGTTCATTTTAAATGTAAATATGGCTTTAAGGATTTCCTCAAGAAATATAGTTGTTACTGTCTTAACAGAGCAGATATTCCAAAGTGAAATTCCTCTTAAAAGAAAAAAAAACTATCCAAAAACTTCAATGGCTCAGTAGTAATTGCCTAGTCAGCCATTACTATCAATAAAATGTAAATTATGTGGAAATTCTGATTTTATCAACCTAGTGATTTTGTTGAAATGAAGACAATAAATTTTATGAAACAAATGCACAATAAATTATGTATGTATTTTTAAGTACTCATCCAAACATCAGTGACCTATCAATAAAACACCCAGGAATGTGCAATAAAAAGTAAATTTAGAAGTTTTGATATTTTGCTTAATTTTAATCACATAAAATCATGTGTGATTTTACATACAATATATGTAAAAATTTTATTATGATGATATTTTATCAAGGTGAGATGACAAATGTAATTCATACAATAGTTTGTCTGCTTGATTTACGAATTTTAAATATTTAGATGAAAGGCGTGAGAATTTCCACAGGTATCCTTGCACTGGCATTGCAGAAGTGAAAGATGGGACTACAGATTTCCTAAAGAATTACACTGCTTTCCTAGGAATCTTGGGTTATGGATACATGTGGGGTCATGAGAAAGAGTCATGTAGGGGAAAATGGTCAGATAGTTTCTGCCTCTGTTTTTCCTTAGAAAGAGAGGTAGGGTCACACACAAGATTCTACCAAGACCTGACATTTTAAAAAATGAAAATTTCAGCACCACAAATGAGCAAATAATGAAATAAATATTTACTAGGGAGATGATAACTAATATTTGTTGAATATGCCAAGAAAAGCTCTGCTCTGAATTATTATGTGACAGGAATAATTCTAGGCACAATACATGTTATACAATTTAACAACAAGAAAACACTGTGAAGTAGGAGGGTATTATTCTTATTTTTAAAAAGAGAACCCTCTAGATAGAATGGTAAGCAATTTCTTAAAATCCTAGTTATCTCACTTGGGCCTTGTTATTCCTTGATTACTTTTCTTCCTATTTTTTTTTCCTAATATTCCATGGGCCTCGGGGCCTCATCCCCCTCTCTCCTCCTCTATGTAAATGACTCAATTCCAAAAGATATTTTTTTCCAAGTTTACTGTGTTGAAATAGTAATATGTAGTATCTCTGACCCTCTTCTTTCCAATTGTTCCCTAAGTAAGAGGCCACATTCTTTTCATTTTAAGGGTTAAATTGTGAATCATTACAGAGAGGTAAAAAGAAAGGTGATAGCAAAATGAATAAACATAGGCAGTCTATAAAATTTATGAAGATTTTTACTGTCATATTGTCATAGTGCCCAGTTGGTAGTTCTTTTTTTCCTATGAGGTACTAAATGTTAAACTTCTATCCTCAGGTTTTTATTATTTGTTTTTGTTGTTTTGATTTTTTATTTTTGTTTTGTTTTGTCTTGTTTTTTGTTTTGAAGGTGAGCTTCAGCATTCTTGCTCTTCCCTCACTGCTCCTTCAAAGTCCAATCACTGCCTTTAGGAAAAGACCACTTAAAAAATCTTCCTTGTGGTGGACCTTCTCCCTAGTATGCATTTACTCAGAGAAAAACATAATAATCAATTCTGGCAATGTAATCGGTCTTCAAATTGTCTCACATGGGCTTCTTGCATCTCGGTGAGCCTCTGGACTAGGTGACTCCAAGTTCACTGCACCTCAGTCTGGTTTAGGAAAGATCCCTCTAGGGCATCTTATCATAGCCACAAAGCAAATTGGTAAAGTAAAAGCTGTATTTATCACGCCCAAAGCTGTTCTCATTCTTCCACATTTCTGGTCTCTTCTGTATTGACTCTTTCAAGTCCTTCAGGCTGTGTTGGAGTCCGCGACCCAAGCAACTGACTGCTGCTGATAGTTTCCTGTGTGCCCTTCAGCTCTTGGGCCTATCACATGACACAAACCAGCACGGAGGAGGCCTCACAGAGTGCTTGGGATTATTCTCCATACAGTGAATGATAGTGATCACCCATGAATATCTCTAGGTCCCCATTTAGAAGGCTACATCCTAAGCACACAGAAAGCATAAAGGATGGTGGAGAGAGAGCAATGGGAATATAACACGTCTTTTTGAGCATTCTAGATTTCCAGCATATATATACCTGAGTTCTGTTTCATGGTGAAAATGAAGGCTGAAGAGCTCCAACTGAGCTGCAGCTGCAGGGAGAATTTTTTGCATGGGGCTGTAGGCAGAAGTCAAGCCACAAAAGTATGATCCTGTGTTCCTAACTTCTACTTTGGTTTAGCCATGGAATTTGGAAGTATTCAAGTAACATTTCCTAAGATTATGTTTTAATTTTTGAGATTTCTCTGAATGTATGATTTGAATATTCACTTGAAAATCCAGTGTTTCAACTTTATTAGGAAAACTTGAGGAATAATTTTAACTGTTAATTTTTCTTCCTTTTACAAGTAAGCTCATAGGATATTTATTTCAGTGTATTTTCCAATAATAAAACACAATAATGAACTAAAAAAAATAGTACATCCACTCAGGGAGGCCTGGGTTCAAATTCTGGCTTTGTTTTTATTATGTGACATTGTATAACTTCTACTCTAGGAATCTCAGTTTCTTTAACTATAAAATGAAAATCATGTAATATGACTTGCAGATTTTGTAAAATAATGTGTCAAAGTACCTATTACAGTGATCCTATTACATAGTTAGCATTTAGTAAATATTAGTCAAATATGAATTTGACTATCTGGAGATAAGTTAAAGTATTTATGAAGGACCTACAATAGGCTAGACAGTGGGGTTCCAAAAATAGAAATATGCTGTTTAATATTATTTAAGACCACAGCCTGTAAGGAGGGAAGACCTGTAAACCAATAATTACAAAACAACGTAATGTGTGATTAGGTGATATTATGAATGCCTTCATCCCAGGTCCATTTTTATTTATTCAGAGAATCAGCCACACTTCCTCTCAAGGGCTTTGATATAAATATTCACCACAAAGATAGTTAATTAAAGAAGTACATTTTACTAATTGTAGAACACTAGGGACCATTTATTTTTGTCTGGAAAGTCAAATATAGGCTGTCTCTTTCCACTGTGCAAAGCCCATCCCCAACCCTGTACCTGAACCTTGGATTTTTTTTTCTCATATATTTAAGAAAGCACAATCCTGTATACATTAGCAAGAAGCAAGGGAAAATTTTTCCCATAGCTGAGCAGTTTTAGCTGAGATCACAAACCTGAAGGGCAGGAAGACAGAGACTTCCATTGGAAGGGCAGGTAAGTCAGAGCAAAGAGCATGTATAAATTTGAAGGTGGATGACAGTGTGCCATGGTTTCATCTGGGGAAAAGCGGGGAGCTCAATACTGCTAGCACAAAGTTCAGGTAAGAAGCATCAAGAGATGAAACTGCCGGAGTAAATAGGGGTCAGTCCCTGGAGGTTTTTCATGCCTCATCAAAGAATTCACTTTATCTTGTGGGCAATGAGGGCTTATTGAAAGATGATAAGCAAGCAAGGGATATAAGCATAAACACACTTTATAAAGACAAGTTTGCCATGAGTGAGAGGAACTTGGAGGGAGGGAACTGAAATGAAGAAAAAGATAATGATTATTGCAATAGTGCAGGTGGAAAATCTTGAGAATCTGAATATTAACATTCTTTTTCTTCTTTTTTCTTTTTTTTTTTTTTTTTTGAGACAGAGTTTCACTCTTGTTGCCCAGGATGGAGTGCAATGGCATGATCTTGGCTCACTGCAACCTCTGCCTCCTGGTGAACATTAACATCCTTAAGGTTGCAAAACTAGCAGTTTTCAGACCCAGGGCTCATATCCAGTTCTTATACCATGATCAAAGATTCATCAGCTTACCCTGAAGTTGTCAAAGATAAGTTAGGATTAATGAAGATCCAAGCTATGTGACTGTTAGCAAGTGACTCAAACTACATGCTTCTCATCTGGAAAATAAGACTTTTTTTTTAAGGAAGGAACTTTTTCACATAAAATTTTTAAGAGATATAAGGTCCATAAAACAGTCTTTCATTTGGTACCAGAACAAGAGCATGTAACAGTCTCTGTTCCAGGTACAATGGTGGCTGAGAGTGGTAATGTGGCATTATGTCATAATGTAGCTCCAGGAAATACTCATGCAGCCTCCTCTCGACTCACCGCACTGCTCCTCCCAACCCCACTTCTCCGCCCAACCCCAGTTCTCTAGGTGTTAGCTGGGCTGCCCACCATGCTAGGCAGAGCAGCTCAATCACACTGATCATTACATCAGTGGAAGCTGAGCTTGCAGAGGAGTTCAGTAGAGATGGCACAGTTGATGTAGTAGATAGGATTGTTGATAAGACTATGAAATGCTTCCAAGGTACCCCAGAAGTGATTATGGGTAAGCCAGGCATACAATTTCTAGGAATATCTATAGGTCCAAATATTTCACTGATGGCAATTTCAGTGAGAAAATCTTTCATGTTCCTGAAATTTGTAATCTTCTATGTTACTGAATAATTGCAATCTATTAAAATGTTTATCTGAAACATATTTTAACTTTTATTTTATTTTTGGGAAAGATGATGCCTACCTCAAGGGCCACTGTTAAGCTGATAATCACTTGAAAGTAGAGGAAGCCTTGATGCTAAAAACAACTTGATCTCTACCTCCAGTGAAGCAACCAGTAGTCATCCCACATGAGGGAATTCAAATAACAGAATGTTTTAAAATTGCAGTCTTCACTTATAAACTGCCTACTTCCCAGGTGTCTGGCACGGCTCTGCTGATTAGGGCCTTTGGGGTCAGGCCACTTCGAGAGCAGGAAAGACAGGCTTGGAGAACTGCCTCTTCAAAGCCCTAATCTGTCTATCTCACCTGTCAGCCCTTGTAGAAACTTCACTTCTGACTGAGGAAATCACATTCCTTAATGATACTCCCTCTGAACACATGGCCCTGACACTAGACTTATCCTGGGTTAATTTTTCTCCCTTTCAGCCTATTCCTGGACACTCCCTAACAGACATCTACTTCTCATCGCCTTCCCAACATTAACTGGATAGTAGAGCTTCTTGCCTCCATGACAAAATTCCTGCTTGAAATGCCCTCAGCTCCTTCTCCTGAATCCTGGTTGCTGAAACCTCAAGCTCTTGCTAAAGAACTCTTTGGGTGGAGGCAGCCCCAGAATGTGACTGCAGAAAGTTCCTGTCTGTTATCTGTTATAATCTCCAATGTTATTCTGGGATTCTAATTTTATCTTGAGATCACATACACATATAGAATACATATATAATACATATACATATGTATATATAATACATGTATAATAGACATAATAAATTATTAGATATAAAAATATTATGTATTTTATATAGTATATTAATCATGTATTGATATTATCATATTATGTATATAATATATCATATAATGTATCATGCTGGATACTATATGTGTTATATATTATATATACATATATGATATATGTATTACATTGTTAGAGATACATATATTATATTTATATATAATATATTATATAATATATGTATTTTATGTGATGATACACACACAAACAACTAACAATTCTGAAGAGACAAATTTTCAGTATAAAAGGAAGAATATTTAGGGTCAATACAGCAAACATGAAAAACGTGCTGGGAACATCTCTTAGCTTCCAGTCTTTGGTGATCCTCAGGATTCTCAGTCCACATGAACACATAAAATGGTTAAAATGATTCTGTTTTACTGGGATGGCTTGAATTAGTTGCACATTCAAAGCATGTGTCACTGAAGGGCCTCAGGCTCTAGTAAATGTCCAAACACTGAGAGGTTACTATGTGTAAGACAGTCATTAGTACTTACGGAGTGGTAAAAAACATAGGCTTTGTTTCCTAACCAGGTTTCAATGTGGTGAGATTTTATACACACACACACACACACACACACACACACACACACCTTTTACAATACAAAATGTATATTTATTTGCACTTATTTAAAAGAGTTTAAATTTAATAGTGCAACTTACTTTAAAAATATGTAAATCAAGATCTCCAGCTGATATTATGAATTCTTTTTGCAATGTTATTAAAATCCAGTTTATTTGCTCATCCTCCCAAGATGATAAATCTCTAAACCTAAACAGCCACTTTTATTCTGATGATTAAGTGCCTTATGCATTAAAAAAAAGTTCCTCTGGGTTTAAGTTAATGAAATAATTCACTTAGATAAAAATATCCAAAGGAGTAGAAGCAGACTAAGGCAACACTAACATAATTAGATTTAAGGTTTGTTGTAAGTAAAATGTCTGTATGTAATGATATAAACTTTCATTTAGGACTAAACTCTAAATACAGATATATGGCCTGTGACATGTGCTATTCATCCAAGTCTTTAGAAGGACATTTATCTTAAAATAAAATAAATTAAAATAATAAAAAACACATCCAAGTTACTACTTCCATGTTTGTCTTTGCTTCTTTTACCACAATATAGTAAAATTTAACAGTACTTCTTGTTGAGGAACTCTATAATCTAGCAACTTAAAATATAATTCAATGCAACTAGGAAAATCAAATTAGGCATTTATGATCAATGTGAAAGGATCTTATCGACAATCTCAGGAAAATACATTTAGACCTTTTTATTTTACAGAAACTTTAAAACTTTGTTAGTTCTGATGAAGTAATGAGAAGAGAAGATGTATCTCATACCCAAACTCAAAAGCATGTTTCAAAGACCATTAAGATGCAGTCATTTATTTAGCAAACAAATGCCTACTACGTGTGCTAAGGAATCAAAATGAATCATAATCTTGTTGAGGGGATGGGAAATAATTAGGAAAAGATAAAATTATCTTTCTCTACAATGAAAAACATTTTTTCCTTCTGCTATGATCAACAGAAGAATATCTATCATGTATTAATGAGTGATGGTTTTCCTATTAATCAACAATATTTATTTATGATAGCATAGCTATATAACTAATAACATAAGGAAGGAATAAATGAGATATATGAAAAATCTCAAATCTTGCCTATAGTGGACATTCTACAACACATTTTCTCTTGCTCATTTTTGCTTTTTCTATACAAATATTTAAAAATTGCATCACGATACATGTATGGCCTTACCACAACTAATCTTGTTTTTAGTGTCTTGTTTTTAGTGTCTAGAAGTTGTTTATTCTAGATACCACATTTTAATAGTTACCAATTCTAGATACCAATTTTAATAGTTTAGCTCTGTGAAGTTTGCTTCTGTATTCATTTTAAGTGAGAATAAGATTATCCTTTATATCACTCAATATGCCCCATAGGAAGTTACACAATTGAAAATTTTATTGGAAGTTAGTACTTAGAAAAAAAGGTCTCTTAAAAACTATGAACCTCCTAGTTTTTGTGTCTCTCCCTGTGTTTCTCCTTTTGTTTTAAATTCAAGAAAGTGGAGTCAATGGGAAACTTAGATAAACTAGGCTTTTCACGTTTCTTCTTTCTCCATTCTTATGGTCCTCTCTCATTTCTTTTTTATATTCTAAGATATGCCTTCCAGTGAAGTTCTCACTCCAAAATCATTTTTAAAGAAATTAACACAAATAAATTAAACAAGAACAGAGTTTTAATGGAAAAAAAACTATAGTTTAGCAGGAGAGCAGGAGAGTACAATATCACATTAAAGGGATGAGGAGAACAAAGAAAAACAGGAATGGCCAAGCTTCTTTCCAAAAGACCAGTGAAAGCATGAAGACTCTGCAACCAACAGTGGTTGATAAATGCCCTGTTAGACATTACTTCTTTTGGGGGAATCTGCTAATGCTCAGACCAGCCAAACTCTCTGAAATATCACTTACCATGAGGACCTTATTTTAACATCACATGACTCATGGGATATGAAAATGTTTAGTTTTTATATCATACTTTCTCTCATGTATTATTCAAAATTTTTATTATATCATACTTTCATGTATTATTCAAAATTAAAATCATATAGGTAGAAGATGATATCTTCATATTATCTTGTCAGAAATTCAAAGAATAAAGTATTTTACAAAGCAAATTCTAATGAAAAATTACTTTCAAGAGAAATCAAGCATCAAATAAATTTGAGTAAAATCTGTTGGTCAAAGACAGATCAATAACACTTGTGCATTTAATCACTTCCTTGCACTAAACCTGCTTCAATGGCTTCCCATTACCAACAGAGAAAACAAACGCACAAACAAACAAACAAACAAACGAAAACCATAAATTCCTTAGCTTGATATTTACCGTGGTCTAGAATCAGACCTAGTCAGAATCTAATTTTCTTTTCTGGTTTCTTACCTCCCCACCAGCCCTTCTATACCCTTGGGCTCTAGAAACACCACGTGATGCTCATTTATCTGATCGTGCTGCATGCGTCTTTATCTGGATGCTTTCTTTAATGCCTTTCACTCTTCAGGAAATGCTCTTCCACATCCCTTTCACCTCTAGTGAATTGTGGCCCCTCCGGATCATTGAGCATCCGAACCCCCAGGAATCTTTACGAAAGGCTCAGTTTTTTTTTCCTGTTGCGTAAGAGAAAGATACCATATGCTTGCTTTTCTCTGTTTCAGCAGGAATATGGACACTCATAATAGACTCTGCCTTTTTCATCTGTGGATAACAATGCAAAAAAGATGAACCAGGAAGAATTTGTTTCTGGCATCAGAGACAGTTGCAGCGCAAGAAAACATTCCCAACATTGTAGTGACAGCATTATGGTGGCATAAACAGAGGCTTATTCTCAAAGCATGATTTGGAGTCTTATGCCTGTCTGTATTGCCCTGGGGATGATTCCCTAGCCCTCCCAGAGATGCTGTGATGTCCTTAATATATTCCAACAAGTTCCTCTCCTGCTCAAATTAATTAGAGTACATTTCTGAAACTGAAGATCCTGGATGCTACACAATCTATCAAATCCTTTTCAAAATTATTTAGGGATCAGGACAAATTCCACCATCTTTATGAATCTTTGTATTTCTAAATGGTAATAATGCCTCCATTTAATAAAAATCTTATAATATTTAATGTGCATATTTCCTTATAAAACTTATCTTCTACTCAGTAAATATTTGTTTTTAAGTTTTATGTTTACAACTATAGTGTAAGCTCCTTGAAGGCAGGAACTGTGTCACGTAAAACATATAATCCTGCCTTACAAAACCTGAAATAGCACCTTCCAGATTGAAAGGTCTTGTGATTGATTGAAGTGATTGAAAGAATAACCCAATACAAGACACAAATATTTATGAAACTGTTTTGACTAGGCTTATTAAGAGGGTTAAATGAGGTCATCCTCTTAAGTCAGATGTCTTGCTCATAGTAAACAGTAAACACCAAATAATACTGGCTATTTTTACTGACTTTTCATATATAGAGATATGCATATATACATACATATGTATAAATGCAACTGATTTATATATGTGTGTGTGTATGTCTGTTAAAGTCAACTGTTGATTTTAACAGTTGATATATAACTGATATATATCAGTTGACTTTAACAGCTGAGCTACACAGAAATTGGCATGAAAATAATTTGTTCCCCATTCCCGTGTGAAGAAAACCTGCTCTAACTTCTCCAGTTGAGAACAAGCAGGGAGTTGCCTCCCTCTTGGGAAACTATAGATATGTTGCAAATCATTCTGCTTTTAACCCTAAGGGGATGAGGGAGAGAAGGAAATGTGAACACGGTGCTTGCCATAATGCGAAGAGGCATTATTAGGCATGTTGTGGTTAAGAGCATGCATTTTTGCACCAGGTTCTCACAGTTTGAATTGTAGACCCATCACTTTACAAGATGTGTGATCTTGGGCAAGTTATTTAACTACTCTATTTCTTCCTCTGGTTAAATAGACACAATAATGACATCTATTTAATAGGAATTTTGTAATGATCAAATATTTAATATATGTAAAATACTTAGATCTATAACAAGTAGTTCCAGGAAAGAGTAAATATTTTTTTGGTAACTTTCACCCATCACTACTGTGACTGGTGTTTTACCTAATCTGACTTCCGTCCCATCACCTGTGCCACTTGTTACCCCAACAATCTCCCTTTCCATACATTTCCTCATTCTGTAATTCTGTTCTTGGAGAAGGTGCAATAGCCTCAAGAGTTTACCTTCTTACTGTATACTGTTGGCTAGATAGATGTCGGCAAGCTAACTTGGTAACTTAGAGGCCGTTGTTTCCATAAAAATAACTCATGCTCCAAAGCATTCATACTCACTTCAATTTTTAAATATAATTATTTTGTTAGGATGCTGAAACTGGCATGCCTGGAGGTGAAGGAGACATTTGTGTGTGACTACAGACTGCAAGTAAAGTGTGGTTGAGAGATTAATATGTTTCTTTGTGAAAATGATCCGGAATTTATGCAAAATGAAGGCAGTGTCTTAGAGAATAACCTTCAAAATACTTTATAATGTTTTCACAAACCCCATTTTTTCATTAGATAACTTTTAAGTAATTTGAATTTTATAAGAAATTATTGTGGGAGTTATTTATAAGAAGAAAGGCTAATTTTACTCAAGAAACAAATCATAGAGCATTATTTCTATTAAAAAAAATTCTATTTTTTTCAAAAGACAAAAGTGAAAAAAGTGTCAATTCTACTATACTACGTGAAAAGCGTCTGTTAAAATTAAACCAATAGTTATGTTTTTAAAATTTATTGATATAAAATTCATTTTTCAACTTATATAAAATAATTTTATGGTCCTTTGGATCCCAGTCACTATAAGGATAGGACATCCAGTGAGGAGGAATTATAAAAGAACAAATAGCAATTTTGCAAATTGGGATTTTATTTGTTTCTCCTTATTTTCCATCAACCCTCGGTTAAAGATATTTAATGACTGACAAATTAATTTGTCTCAATTCTAATTTTAAATCTTGGTATTCTGTCAATGTTGCAATCTGGTAGCACTTCCTGGATTATCTGAGCTGCCATAGATACATTGTTCATCACACATGAAAAATTATATTTTGTTGGTGGCACATCATTAACTTATTCAACCATAATAGGGGCTTTGCATATATTTCAATTGTTGAATCTCAAATAATTGAAATGAAGGTGAAGATAATTTCTGAGCTATTTTAAAGAAAATCTATATATTGAAATGGAGATTCATTACCTTTTTTGGGTTGAAAAATATGAAAGGCAGGTTCATTCCACTATTAATTTGCTTTAATATTGGCATTATACAGTATTTTTTATCTCAGTGAATATTGAGCAAAATCGTCTCTCAATATGAGTAAAGAATATCAAGCAAACATTTTTATCTTTTTGTGTCAATACTCAAGTGAAATAATACAGTTTTGGAATTTTTACCTTAGTTTTAATAATTGTTGTGTTTTATTAATATATATTTATATAACACAATAATTGTATATATTTATGGGGTACAATGTGATTTTTTGATCTATGTATACATTGTACATTCAAGAAAGCTAATTAACATATCTTAATAATCATTATTAAAGTTGCTACTGTCAGGTTGAAAGTGTCCAACATCAACTTTGAACGAGAAACATATATCTTCAGCATAAAATGCAAATATAGTTTTAAGTAACCATTATTGAATATAACTGTCTTCCAAAAATATCAGGGGAAGGAAAGAAACATTCATTTATCAAGTATCTGGACTTTTTAGGAATTTTGTGTATGCTATTTTACTTAATCTTTACCAAAATCCTGAGAAGTACAGATTATCTTCATTTTACTAAGAAAGCAAGAGAGAAAAAGGGAGGAAGAAGAAAGAAAATAGCTGAGACTACTAAAGGAATTAAGATTTATCCTGTCACACCCAGTAGTTGGCAGAGCTAGTAATGCTCAGTAATCTGCCTAGATGTGAATCCAAAACCCATATTATCAACTTTAAGTTTCATTTTAAAAGCAGAGAAAGCCCACTTAGCATGCTCGTATATTGCCATGTGTGACTTGCTTTTGATCTACCTCAGCACAGCATGAGAAAGCCTTATCAAGATGAGACTAGTAATTTCAACCATGTTCCAAGTGGACAAGTTACATAAAATCTAGCATAAAAACAGATGCCTTACTAAGGCATAAATAAAACTAATTTTTATTTGCTTCTATTATCATTCTTTAAATCAAGTACATGTTATCCATGTAACATAGATAACCCACAGACTATTTTTTTCTTACCCTATTCTGGAGAATGGTAGAGGGAAATGAGATTAATCTAGACTCTACAGATAAATAGATATATTCATCTATAAACAAGTCTACTGTATAGACATCTATATAGTAGAAACATGATGAGAACCACACAAATTATCTAGTAACCATATCAAAAAATGGTAAAAGAACCGAGGAAGCTAAATTTTAATAAAATATGTTATTTAATCAAATATATCTAAAATATTATCATTTCGATTTGTACACAATAGTAAAAAGTGTTAGTGAGATATCTTAAATTTCTTTTTTATACACAGTAGTCAAAATTTAGTGTGTATTTTACACTGAAAACACATTTCAATTCTTACAGTAAATATCTTCAGAATTACTTGATTTTGATTTACATCTATCTTTATCTAAAACCTCATTTTGATTTAAATTTCATGAAATTTATGGTTAAAAAGTAGATTCACAAACTCAATTTGTTCTGAACATACTTTGAAGTTTTCTAATAATTAGCTGAGTATTAGCTTATAATTTAAATTTAATGTAAATTAATTACAATTTCAGTTCCTCGGTCATATCAGCCACATTTGAAGAGCTCAGTAGCCACACATGGCTAGTGGTCATTGAATTGGATAACACAGAGCTCGGGAAGACAAAGTGAATATCTCCTAGTGATGCTATGAGCATTAGGGTAAGAAAGGAAATGTATTAGGTTGATGCCAACGTAATTGCTGTTTTGCCATTATTTTTAATGCACCCACCTAGTAAAACATGAGTCCCAAGTTTTGGGATTGGACAAGAGCTAGCTGACTGTTCTATTTGCTGAGATGAGAAATAGAATGAGAAGGCATTCCAATTTCTTCTGCTTTAGTGAAACTGAATGCTAGCTGAGCTAATTCTTTATTTGTAGATGAATCCTGACTGGCTCTGACTTGGTTGGTCCTGCACTGTACTTTTCAGTAGCAATATCTCTCAATGTGGGTGTGTGAGTGTGTGTGAGAGTGTGGTGTCTACGTCCAGAGAGCAGGAATTCTTAAGTAAGTTACATTCCACAACCATCCCCCGTCACATACATTTCAATCTTGGGGATTTCTACTGTTTTTTAAATTTACAATTATATACTTTACTAATGTAGTCATAAGTACATATTAAAAACTAAAGTCATTATTAATTTTTATTCTTCTTTAAAGGCTTCAAAAGAAGGGTATATAAAGCAGTCTTTTACATCATGTTTATGTACTTTATAACAATTTACAACTTAATGTTTTAAAATGAAAAAGTTGTATTTTGAAAATTGTCAACCATATGCTTAACTTTTTTCTAGATTAGGTAAATTATCAATCCTATGGTTTACTACCATTGAAAAAATTAAATCGATGATTGATAAGGATGTTGTATATGAAAACTGATGGTTAGAAGAATGCTATGAAACGTAAGGGTAACTTTGGAAGTTACGTTATATTTATTACATGTGGTATCTTCCTGAGTACTTTAGACGTGTTAATTCATTTGATCCTTAAAATAAGCTATGATATAAGTTCTTTCATCATCATCATCTCTGCTTTAGAGAAGTGGAAACAAGGTAAATAACAAAGCCAGGCTCATACAAATGATTAGACCCAGAGACAGATTTTCATGTTGAACTTCCTATTGGTGAATTTTGTGAAAAGAAAGAAGACTTATTTATCAAACTTGCAGAGCCCCAAACTGAGGGTGACAGTCAACATATAATAAAACAAAATTCACATTCAAAATGGCCTTAATAGAACCAAAATTTTGCTTTATTAAAAATACCAACATTCTATTCCTGCTTGGAGATTAAAAATGACAACAACAGCAACAAAAGAATGCACAAAACAGAGTGAAAAATACAGTCTTGATACCAGTTGACTTGAAAAAGAAATTGGAGTGCTTAGTTGACCACAGCTTTCAGCAACCAAACCAAAGATGATATCATTTAACGATGGTCACCACCAAATCCTTCTTCCAAGATGCCAGCTACATATTTCTATATTGAATTAATATAAAAATATTGTTCACATATTTAGTACTAGTCAGACCTCAACTAGAATATTGGATCCAGTTTTAACATCATGGTTTCAGACCAAGTAGAGAGAATTGAAAGTTTAAAAAAATTGATTTTTTTTTGAAATATGGTCTGCGTATTATGCCATAAAAGAATGATTGAAAAACTACAGAAAGGAAGATTTAATTGAAGATATAATAGAATTCTTTAATACTGGGAGGTGGGGTGGGTGCATCATGTTCAAGAAGGTATAGACTTATTCTCTCTAAAGTTAGAAAGGGAAATTATAAGATAAATGGGTAAGACATGGGGACGTGCAGGAAGACAGATAAACTAAATTCAATAATGTAAATGTTTATCTTGTGAAGAAAGGAGGTCACATCCCTGGAAGTAAGGAGCCAGTGAATGAATGAATGTCAGCACTATTTTTGTAGTGCTCTCTGAGTTGACGGATTTATATTAAATGACCACTGAGGACTGCTCAGATTCTATTAATTAATCTATTTTCACATTACATCTCTATTTTCTTCTGTAGCTAAAATTTTATTAAATGTTATTCTATCTTAATGAGATAAATGTTTGCTAATTTAGTAAACATCAAGTATAAATATGTTAGATACAAATTGAATGAAATAATAACTGTCCAAATAAACTTTTGTCTACAATTAAATTCTTGCAATAATCTCCAAATTTATTTTCTAAATCATAACACACTGAAACCTTTTAAGATAAAAATTTAATAAATTGGCATAAAGAAAAGCTAATTAATGGGATTTGAGTGTCCCTTTGTACCTGTGAGGACTCTGTCACTAAACCAGAAAATCTACTTCATTAAACAGTTGACTATGCTTATCTAAATTTTATGTTTGATAGGACTAAACACTCCACAATACACCTTTAAAATATATATTGTACTGTAAGAATCTATAGCTCTCTCTGTCTTAAGATAATTTTAGCTTCAAACAGAGGATTCAGGCTGTAGCGTTTTGAATAAATTCCTTGGCACTTTATGTTTTTGAAGTTCTTGTTTAATTTTTGTTATTAAAGATTTTGCTGGATTGAAACTATCCATTTGATCTTTGCTAAAGAGACTAAAGGCTCTGGAAACAAATGCCAGCTAGCTAATTATTTTAAACACAAATGTTCAGCAGAGTCTACATCTTAGACCTGACAGGAAACACATGATTTTTTTAACAATTACTCAGAGCTGAAAAAACAAAAATACACAGAGGTTTTCTGAGAATGCAAAAAAAAAAAAAAAAAAAAAAATGACTGGTGAGTAATTCATTTCAAATTCAGCTTAGTTTCTGCAGTTTCTCTCCTATATCTTAATTGAGACAGGAAGAATAGTGCGTTTTTCCTGAGAACAACAAACAGCCTAAGTATCCTAGAAAGTCCAAAACTGATATTAATAATGGCCTAACAACCCCCCAAAAAATACAACCATGGTAAATAATGCCACATAGTGACATTGCTAAATTTAAGTTAAAAACATATGTGTTCAGCGGCTCTGAGAAGCATTTAGAGTGATTGAATTTTATCTTGCTTATCAAATCCATACCTTGCTGAATGGTTTGGTGATATTCATAACACGTAGAATTATATCCATGGATGAAGAAACTGTAACCTAGGAATTTTAATATTTATTGAGTTACTACAATGTTTTTTGATTTGCTTAGTTTTTAATTCCATATCTCTAAGTTGTGGTGTGAAGTTTAATTCAGGATGACCTGTTATAGATGACAAATTACACAAGCTTATCATAGCATATGACTGGGAAAGTGTTTCATTCCCTATTTTTTCTCTCTTTTCCCTTCACCTTCTCATCCTCCTTTTACTACTTTTATTCTCTCCCTCCTCCTCTTTCTCTATTTTCAGTTTAAAAAGAAGCATGCTGTAAAAAGTTTTAATTCCAAACTATTTTCCTTTTACAGATTATTTTTGCTTCAGTCATAAAATATTCTTATGAAGATGTAATGTTAAATGCAGACCAAATATTAAGAGCAAACAAAAAATTTTATATTTATTTGTGATTCTAGGTCATTAAAGATTATATGTTTCTGTATATAATTTAAATATTTTATTATGAAAAACTATATCTAAAACTATAAATTTGAAGACTATTTTAAATTGTTTCCAATTTCAGTTTCCTTAATTTTAAAGCTTAACCTGGTTTAGAACAATAATAACCATTTTAAAGATTTTCTTATACATTCTTGTTCTATGGCTCATTCTGTATTTACTTTGCTCACATTTATGTCAGTGCATGCAGCACACGTCTGTGAATATGTTGAAGAAATACATAGTAATAGAAATTTGTGTCCCATAGTTGGAGTTCTAAGCTTACCTGATCATAGTGTGATAATTTTTTAAACTCCCCAATGCATTTCCAAAAGATGTGCATTGGCAAAAATTGATGACCTCTATTTAGAGATGACCACATGACATCATTTAACTCTGCTATGACAAAATAAGATTAAAAATTAAAGAACAGATAAAGGAGGGAGAAATGAGCCACATTCATTTTAAAGACTTTTTTACTCAGGACTTATCCAACTGGGATCTTTCTCAGTTTTCCTTTGGGACTGTTCCATGGCAGGAAAAGAGGAAAAAAAAAATTCTGTCACAGCAAAGTTTATGTGTGAGGACAGCCTATCCTGCCAAAAAGGTCACAGATCAATGCAACCTCAATTCCCATTTTAATGACCGATGCAGTCATTCTTTTGAAAGAACATTCCAGTGACTGGTGGAGAAGAATGAGGAGGAGGAGAAGAAACTCAGAGAACATGCAGGAAGATTTTTGACTAATGGCTTGATACTAAAATTTTCTCAGGCAGGATTCTTTTCAAGCCTTCTTATAACTCCCAGGTTTTCCTTCCACTTTTCAGTAAAGTACTCAAGGAGCAGCAAGACCAGCAGGAGGTCACTTTACTACTAGAGGGAATACTGAGATGCTAGCCATGAATGTGTCTACTTCCATGAGTCCAGAAGAGCAGCATATCTTTACTGAAGCTAACCATCCCATTGAAACTAATCTTTCAATCGGGAGATTGACTGACAGGTGGAAATCTTTAGAATGAAAAAATCTCCACAGTCTGTGTGGAGGGTGAGGAAAGTTAAGTAAATAAAAGGGGAAAAAAGAGTTTAAACCCTGACACATATGGGTTTCCAAGTAAGGGCTTTACGTTATCAAATAAAAAATATTACCCGGGTCTTCTTTCTAGCCATTTAATACATAGGTTTAAAAAAGGCAATGAGATCTCTGTGTAGCTTTCACATGTCATTTGTATAGATAGCTATATATCTAGAAAATAGACCTTTGTGTAAGAACATGTGCAATAATGCAGAAGAAATTATTAGGGGGTTTAAATTAAGCAAAAATTATATCCCTTTCCTGGCCTCTATCCCAATAATCTTTCAACTTGATTTTATAACACCATGGATTACAATGTTTTCAAAAGACATTGTGAAATTCTAAAATATATACAACAAAATTTTATTTAATTTGTTTGATTTTGAAAATGAAACAATATATGACATCTAGAGCATTTAGGAGGTAGTAGCTATGGGAAGGGGGTGGTAGAATATCCAGTTGTGTGTGACATCTGGACCTAAGACCAGCAGTTCCTGCTCCAGGAAGGGCACGTGAGAAGTGGGCCCAGTGGTTCTTCAAGCTACTCTTATCTAAAAAATGGAAGAAAACCATGTCTTTGCCACCCAAAGGAATGCCTTTAACAATGCAATTATTCTTTTTCAATTGTAAAATAAATCTTTAACACAAACACAGAGTAAAACAGTGATGTTTGCTTGTAATCACTGCAGGTCACTTTTGGCTTTCCTAAAAGACAAGAAATATACAGGGCTACATCATGGGTGCATAAGGGACATTGCAACAGTTATTTGTAGGTGGTATCACAACGAAGTTTAAATTGAACAACAGAATGTTCTGCAGTCTTCTTATCTTTTTAAGGTAAATATACTTGTAGGAAGAGCCCTTCGTGATGCCAGAGAAAGTGGTTGTTTAGGTGGAAGATTTGAAAGACATCTGCCAGCTAATCCAAAAATATTTCTGCCCACAGCTTATGGTGTTACCAGAAAATTTCTCACCACTCCTTTGGAAGCTTATCTCTAAAATATTTGATAAAATGCAAACATGTTACTTTATAGCTGTTACAATCAATTCATCATCATTCTTTTTACTATTAGCAAGATTGTATTTGCTATGCAAGTCAATTTAGGCTGAGATTGAGAAAACAGGAGTTTAAGAACAATAACAAAAAAAAGCTGGAAGGAACATGATGCTCTGTAGCATAGCCCTGGGGAACCATAAGTGCTGAGATCAAAAAGGATGAGAGGGGCAAGGGCAAATGAAGTCAGTGAGAAATAAGTGATAGAAGTTAGGTCACTGCAGAATTTTTACTATATCTGGCTGTACATTCCTAAATTTCAGAATGATTTGTTCTTCTTTATAACTTCCAAAGTACTTTGTATTTCACCACTCATATGACAGTCATTTTATACTTCCTTGTTTTGGCACTGGTTGCGTGTCTGTTTGTCCCTTGCCTATTTTTAATTGCCCAGGCTCTGTGTGTCCGGAAAAATTCCAGTATTCCCATAACATCTAACTGGAGGCCTTGTCCGTAAGTCCTGGACTAATACTTATTAAATTAATAAATAAAAACAATACAATGAGGATGGTGACACTAAGATTATCGTAAATGTGGAATCAGATTGTTGTTTTCACATAGTCCAAGATATAAAATTGGTGATCAAATTGCTTACCTGACTAGTTAGCATAATACATTCTATGCACTCATGGGCTAATATTACTTTGTTCATTTATAGGTCCTGTTTGTTTTGTTTTGTTTTACATCTGTCTCCCTGACTGAACTTAGTATTATGGGATGGATGAGACCAAAATGTATTATCTTTTTAATATCTTTTATATCATCTTTAATATTTTTCTCCCTTTTCTCTAAACTGCAGCAGTTACCCCCCCCAACCACCTCAATGTCTCTGACCACATCTGGCATATGCCAAAGAAGCATGTGTGCTTGAAGTATGAAAGAAAAGAGAAATAAAGGAGAGAAGAAGGAAAGGAGGAATGAAGCAGAAAAAGAGGGAGGGAAGAGGCAGGCAATAAGAAATATATTTATACAATAATGTTATTTTCCTCCAAGGGAAGCTATGACTAAATGATATGCGCAAGCGAACAGCATTTCTGTTGGTGTACCATTTCGTGAGAAGGGGCTGCACACTTGGGTCCTTGTGCTAACTGGAGCAGGCTGAGGTCAGGAATCAGCCCTGCAAAGGGAAAGTTACAGGGTGATGCCAGCAGCTTTATGTCTATTTCATCACATCACCACTCTTCCAGAATGGAACTCTTTACATGATCGTTTCATGTCAACTGCTTTTCTTACTTTGCAGGTTAAACAAGCTTAAATGTAATATGCCCTTTTCCTGGGGTGTTTTACAAAAGGTTTTTGAGACATTAGAGCTACATTTCATGAGATTCTTAATTTAATGCTGTCCTCAAATTCTGCTTTTAGGTATAGAAGTTCAACAAATCCATCTTGTCTTTCGGAGATATTGTTGAGAAAGAGTTTATTTTATCAAAGTCCATGAGTTCATGGGTCATTAGCATGACCATGCAGCTACTATACAAAAACTGCCCAGGCAGCAACTTTTCTAAACAGGTCTCTGGAATGGCTCCATTATCCCTTGGTCTTTTATGGCAGTGCTTTAATACATGGACTGGATGCCTATGTTTTGACTGCGGGTGACATCAAGCTTCTATACACAGGGTTAGTTTGTCAAGTTTGTTTTTTTTTCTCAGCCGACAAAAGCATACAATGCTACATGTATTAGGTAAAATCTTTGTTTTATTCTTCCATTCCCCTGTACACAGAGCCTACACACAAAAGGCATTTTTAATGAATTTTGAATGAGTGCACTTGCAATTCTGAGTAAACCAAAGCCTATAAACTTTTCTTCCCCCAGCAATCTGATATAACTACAAGGATGGACTTCCTAGTTACATTTGGGAAAGGCTCATTAAAGAGGAAACTGATGGTTCAGATGTCAATACCAGTAGTTTCTCATTATGAGATCTGTAAGGGGGGATTCAGAGAACCAGAATAATTTTAGTATTATGAGGTAAACTGACCATTCCTGATTTTTGTAAAAACTGTGTTATAGTTCTTTGGAGACTTCTGTGAGCCCTTCAGAGCCATTAAATGATTGAGAGCCACATATAAGGGTGGGGAGAAATGTGGAACACATTTTTCAACATGATTTTGGCTCCAGGTGGATTTGAAGAAGCATGGTTTTGTCATTTGTAAAGCTTCCATTGCTTGGTCCCTACATCCTAAGAAAACCAAGATAAATGAAATTATCACTGTAAAACAAGTTTTAAAAACACAAATTGTCTATATTTCTAAAAAGAAAAGTTTAACTTTAGTATACTTTTTCCAATGTGCCTTGGAAATTCTACAAGATTTATGCTAGTGCAGAAAGAATGCTTCCACCTTGGCAGCAAGGATTCACGTGATGATTCAGCAGTGTTTTTGGCTTTGTAAAGCCAACACTTTCTAGCCTGCCGCAATACTCATGATTATAATGCATAAGAAAGAAGAAAAATAAACACAGTATACTATAACTCTAAAGGATTTCAAAGACTTTCTGTAATTCCTTGAGAAGTTTCCTGGAGTTAGGTAGGGTAGAATTCTGTTACAGCAAATGGGATACTCAGAAACTCTTGTAAACTTTCAATGTTTAGTAAATAGTTGAGTGAAGTAATTTTGTTGTCTTCAATCTGTAAAACTATGATCCTTCCCTGCTTCTCAACTAGTTATCCAACAAATAAAATACAATTTTATTAAAAATATGATTAGGCTGGGCACTGTGGCTCATGCCTGTAATCCCAGCACATTGGGAGGCCTACATGGGCAGATCTTTTGAAGTCAGAAGTTCGAGACCAGTTTGGCCAACATGGTGAAACCCTGTCTCTACTAAAAATACAAAAATTAACTGGGCATGACGGTGTGTACCTGTAATCCCAGCTACTCAGTAGGCTGAGGCATGAGAATCACTTGAACCCAGGAGGCAGAGGTTGCAGTGAGCTGAGATCATGCCACTGCACTCCAGTCTGAGATACAGAGTGAGGCTCTATCTCAAAAAATATATATAGGATTAAAGAAGAGGACAATCTGATTTTGTGTTAAGACTCAAAGGACAAAGGTTGTCACAAAAGGAACATGCCCTAAAGTTTCATATGGCCTCTATTGAACAATAAAAATACTGGAAAGAAATGTGGAACAAATTTGAAAGAAATGATCCTTTCTATACAGAAGTGTCCCAAGTCAGCGGTCATTCAGCTCTCTTAAGAATGATCCCAGATGTCTCCTTAGTAACAAATTTGGTAAAAAGTCTATAAAGTGCTTCTGATGTATCACTAAGAGTAAGTCAAAAGTCTTGGAGAATTCTCAAAATATACTTAGACATAAAATAGATTATTGGTTTGGGTAAGACTGTGGGATGTGTGTTATTGCCTCTGAAGGTATTTACAAGAAAGCCATTTCTTATAGCCTTCCGTGGAAGTCATTCACTCTCAGTCTACAGAAACCAATGTTCAGACATGTAATTCAAAACCTCAAAACAATTTCATAACGTGGACATGCATATATACACACAACTCTGAAGAGATGTACCGAAGGAAAAGAAGAAGACAGACGGCACAAGCAAAACACTACCTAGGGTCTGTAGGAGCAAAAGTATTAATACTTGTCAGTGTAAAAGTATTACAAGAAAGCTTGAGAGAAACAAACAAAATTATTCATTCTGTTGAGGGAGTTCAGTAAAGTGGTAAGATTTTTAAAAAATCATTTTTATTCCAGCAATATCTAGGTAAAAAATGTAATCAAGGATTATACCTTATACAAAAGAAGCAACAAAAATATAAGACACTTAAGACTACTCTTAATCAAACCCAAAATATATACATAAAAATATTAAGCTTTGTTGATAAGCTTTAAAAATAATTTTTATAATTATGAACAAGAAGACTAGTTAACATAAAGATCTCAATTATTCCCAATGTAATTTATTGGCCTCCTGAATGCCAATCCAAATTCAGGAAAGGGAGGAAAAATTTTAAACAGCTAAAAATTTTCTGAGAAAAAAAAAGTACAGACAGTCCCTGATTTACAATGGTTCAATGTAAGATTTTTTTTCAGTTTTATGATGGTGCAAAACTGATACAATTCCAATATAGTAGTCAATAAATTATATGAGATATTTACTTCATTAAAAATGGCTTTGAGTTAGATGATTTTGCCCAACTGTGGGTTAACGCAAGTATACTGAGTACATTTAAGGTAGCCTAGGGTTAGCTATGATGCTTTGTAAATTAGGTGTATTGAATGCATTTTCAAAGTACAATATTTTCAACTTATGAGAACATATACTATCAGAACATAATACTATAGTAAGTTAAGCAACTGTAGTAAGAAAAATTTATCAAAAACTTTCTAGATATAAAAATTAAAGTAAAAGGAATAGGTGACATCAGCAACATGGCAGAATTAGAAGTTCCAGATTTTTCCTCTGTCCATGGATTCACCAAATAAACATCTTTTCATGGATCAACGTCCTTTGAGAGAAAGGAAGGGATGAATTGAGAGACTCGTATTAATTGGGCAACTAAGAAAATATCCACTTCAAAAATGTAGGAAAAGCTGGTCACAGACCCTGCCCTGGGCACTGTGTCATAAAATTGAAAAAGGAATCCCCAACACCCAGGTTGTCCCTGTGGAAAGGAGGGTTTGAACTTCACATCTAGCACCCTCACTCTAAAGTTCCACATAATTCACCAATTCTAAGAGCAGAGGGGACAAGACACACAGTAGTCTCTCTAGACCACCGGAAAAAAGTGGCAGTTTTATACAGGCTCACAAGCACTTCCATGGACTTAATTCCTCAGGAGCAGGGCAGAAAAGGAGCTTAAAATAATATAGCCTCCTTTTTCTCCTTGAAGGAATTTAAAACACACTCCTCCAGTGGCTACTCAATGACCTGGCTTCTAACTAAGTTACACTGGGGAGTTAACAGGCAGACAAGTATTAACCCATCACGAGCCTGAGAAGCACATTGGAGCTCACTCCAGTGATAACTCTCATTCTATTAATCATTCCTGGAGACAGTTTGTCCATACATTAAGCACTCCGAGTTTTACAACTTTCACCTGAGGAACTGCATCTTAAACCTCCTCCCTCTGGGTATCATAGAAGACAGGGGATTTTAATTGGGTGTACAAACACTTCCAAGAGCTACATCTCCATGGAGCAATGCAAACTGACTTAAGGACACACAGCTCTCATTTTTTATTCAGAAGGGGATTATAGCACACACTCCAGTGGCTTCTAATGAACTTACATTGGGAAGCCAACATGGCAAACAAATAATAGCCCTCTGGCAGTTGAAGCCAAATGTTACCACTTCACAAGTCTTTCCTTCAGCTTATCTTAGTAATAAATTATGGTCTACTCATTCTTTCTGGAAAGAGTTTGGCCACACACTGAGTGCCACAACTTCTATAGTTCCCACCCAACAAATTGTCTCCTTAATGTCTTAGTTCTGGGAGTTAACGGAGCTTTGCATTCCTGAGTGGCCTTATGCCACAGGAAATAAAGAGTTGCCTATAAAATAGACCCCCTTCCATCAGCTATCATTCCAAAATCAGAGGGTGCAGCACTCTAAGTACAGGCATTTGCTACCAATGTCCTCCTTGGCTTAGTGCAGAGCGAGGGGGAGACAAAAGCCCACATTAGCTTAATCATAAAGATAGAAGGAATTGGAACACACATCTAACCCAAACCTTTTCAGTTATGTCTATGGAGTCTGACTTCTATCAGTTTCAGGGTGCAGACAGGCCGTGACACATCCTAAACTCCAGGGGCCACCAAAAACAGAGACAGTATTCTGGACAAACACACATATTTGAGAGGCACCATAAAATCCGGGAAGCCAGATGAATTGGTCAACTTCTTCAACAAGAAGTCAGTCTGATAAGACTGGGAGAGGTATTTGTCTCATATGATGCATGGAAACCAATACAAAGAGTCAAGAAAAATGAAGAAACGGGGATATATTCCACACACAAAACAAAAAAAAAAGAAACAAGATACATCTCCAGAAATCAACCTGGGTGAAGTGAAGGTATATGATTTACCTGATAGGAAATTTCAAATAGTCATAAAGATGCTTACAAGGTCAGAAGAGCAATGCAAAAACAAACTGAAAATGTTACCAAAGAGATAGAAAGTACAGAAACATACCAGAAAGATGTTATAGAGCTGTAGAATACTCTCAACTGAACTAAACAATACAAGACAAGCGTTTGACCACAGACCACATTGAGCAGAAGTGAACTTGAAGACAGGTTAGTGGAAATTACACAAGGTGAAGAGCAAAGAAAAAAAGAATGATAAAAAGTGAGGATGGTTTCAGAGACTTATGGAAATGATCAGGCATAACAGGATATGTACTACTGTTGTACCCAGAAAAAGAAGAGAGAGACTTTTTCAAAAAAAATTATGATGGAAAAATTCCCAAGCCTGGGAAAGGAACAAAAATCTAAATAGTGTAAGCATAAAGGACACCAAATATGATTCCACAGATATACACACTGATACACATCATAAATTGCCAAAAGCTATTAAAGATGAGTTTTGAAAACAATAAGGAAAATTGTTACCTATATGCTACATATGTGTATTGCTACATATAAGGGAACCTCTGTAAGATTATCAACAGACTTTTCAGCAGAAATCTTGCATAGCCCAAATGAGTGGGATGATACAATCAAATCCTGAAAGAAAAAAAAATTGCCAAACAAGAATACTATATTCAGCAACATTTGAAAATAAACAGGTAATACAGACTTTCTCAGACAAACAAAAGCTGAGAGAGTGTATCACCTACAGAACTTCCTTACAAGAAATGCTGGTATTTGATAGTACAACAAGGGTACTATGGTCAATAATAATTTAATTGTCCATTTTAAAATAGCTAAACAATGATAACTGGATTGTTTGTAACACAAAGGATAAATGCTTGAGGGGATGGTTACCCAAATTTCCAAAAAATAGAACTACTATTTGTGCCAGCAATCTCATTACTGGTTATATTTCCAAAGGAATTTAATTTAGCATGTCGCAGAGATGTCTGCACTTTTATGCTCGTTGCAATATTATTCACAATAGCCAAAATATGGAATCAACCTAAGTGCCTATCAACCGATGAATGTGTTTTTATTTTTAAATAGCGTTCCTAGACACAATGAAATACTATTCAGCGTTAAGAAAACCAGGAAATTCTGTCATTTACAACATGGATGGACCTAGAGAAGAATATGTTAAGTGAAATAAGCCAAGTGCAAAGAGATAAATAATACATGATCTCACTTCTAAAAAGAATTTAAAAGTCAAACTTATAGAAGTAAAGAGCATAATGGATGTTACCAGAGGCTAGGGAAAGGGGGATGTGTGGGGGACCAGGCAAGGGGACACATTGGTGAACAAGTACAAAGTTTCAATTAGATGGGAGGAATAACTTCTAGTGTTCTATTGCATAATGTAGTGACTATGGTTAATAATAATGTATTGCTAAAATACCCTATTTTAGCTATCAATATAGCCAAAAGAGAGGATTTTAAATGTTATCATCAGAAAGAAGTGATAAATATTTGAGATAATCGATATGCTGATTAGCCTGATTTGATCATTCCACAAGGTATACATGTATAGACACACCAAATTGTGACTCACAAATATATATGTAACTATTATTTGTCAATTAAAAATAAGTTTTAAAAAAGTAAAACAGAAAAACTTTAGAAAAAAGCAGTAACTATAACAAAAACATAACCAATATAAAAAACAAATTTCAGTAGAAGACATTAAACAAATGCAAAAAAAGAAATTTAAGGCAACAAAAAATATTTAACATCATTGATAATATATCTCTGGTAGCCATGTAAACTTATATAACTCCCACAGTAAAATTATGACGATGTATACAAAAAGCTTTAAAAAACACTCTCTCCTGTTAGTGAGTAATTCATTTCTAAGGATGTATTTTATAGAAATAGAGATATGGGTAGAAACATATATATAATGAGATCTTGTCTTTTATTTAAAATTGATGATGAAACCTAGGCACATTTTTTGCAAGTTTCACATCCCTAAAATAGCAGAATGTTTAAAAACTCTATAAAATTATATACAATTGTTAAAATATTTTTTCAGAGAATTGTAATATCAAAAATATTCATTAAAAATGATAAGAAATGCAGAACATAAAATGACTTACATAATACAGTTTTCAATATTAAAAAACTATACATGCAGTGTATATTGCTCTCTCTCTAAAGGTATACATATATATTTAGATAGTATGTATCCATGTATGTATCATGCTATATATTATACAATATAATAATATATATTTGTATATTATTTATACATAAATAATATGTAAATGTTTAGATATGTTTGTGTATCAACCTTATAAATTATAAAAATACACACTTGCATAGGTATCTGTTATTATAGAATGAATGTGCATTTTCAAAATTCTTACATGGAAGCCTTAACTTTCAGTATAACTGTATTTCAAGATAGGACTTTTAAGAAGGTAATTAAAGTTAAATAAGGTCATAAGGATAGGGTCTCAATCCACTAAGACTGGTGTCCTTGTAAAAAAGGGTAGAGACACCAGAGAGCTGTTTCTTTGCAAGTACACGTGGCCACATGAGGACACAGAGAGAAGGTGGCCATTTGCAAGGGAGAAAGAGGGTCTTACCAGAAACCAGTCTTGCTAGCATCTTGATCTTGGACTAAGAGCCTGTAGAACTGTGAAAAAAATAATTTTCTGTTGTTTTAGCCACCCAGTCTGTGGTGTTCTTTCAAGGCAGCCCGAGAAGACTAACACATCTGTGTATAAGGATTTTTCTGAATTGCTTTTAATAGCGAAGAACAGGAAAGAAATTAAATGTTCATCAGTATAAAAATCTTATACATTCTTACATATTCATTCATAGAGTGGAATATACACAGATGTTCAATATAACGAGGTATTGTTTTATGTACCATTATGACAATGTCCAAAAGATGAGAAATCAACTCAGAACAAGTTATCTTATTTCTGTTTTCTAAATGAAATGCTCTATTTTTAAATATATAGTATTCTTTCTTATGAAATAAGAACTAAATGTGTAAAAATATACCCACTCCTTATTAGCACTGATTAAATCTGGGGATGTGAGATGGAGTAAGGGATTTATTCATTGTGATGAGATGCTAAGCGGTGAATGAAGGATATCACATTTTATTAAATATATTTATTTATTTGAATTTTTTAAAACACCCACATAATATTTTGTAACTTTAAAATAATCTAACTCAGGACCCTCAGATTATGAGACTGACGCATGCTTAACTGTGCTTAGGAGTACTGGAAGTCTTGTCTGAAGAATTAGGCAAGAGAAAGAAATAAAAGGCATCCAAATAGGAAAACAAGAAGTCAAACTATCTCTATTCACTGATGATATGATTCTATACTTACAGAACCCTTAAGACTTTACCAAAAAGCTACAAGAACTGATAAATGATTTTAGCAAGACTTCAAAACACAAAATCAATATACGAAAATCAGTAGCAGTTCTACACATCAATAATATCCAGCCTGAGTCAAATTGAGAACACAGTCCTGTTTACAATAACTACAAAGAAAATAAAATACCTAGGAACACACTCAACCAAGAAGGTGAAAGAGCTCTACAAATAGAACTATAAAACACTGCTGAAAGAAATCAGATAAAACACAAATAAATAGAAAAACATTCCATGCTCATAGATTAGAAGAATGAATATTGTTAAAATGGCCATACTATAGAAAGCAATTTATATATTCTGTGCTATTCCTATCAAACCACCAACCTCATTCTTGGCTGAATTAGAAAAAAAACTATTCTAAAATACATATGCAACCAAAAAAGAGCCTGAATAGCCAAAGAACAAAGCAAAAGAACAAAGCTGGAGGCATCACACTACCCAACTTCAAACTATAGAATAGGGCTACAGTAACCAAAGCAGCATAACACTGGTACAAAAACAGACATGTAGATCAATAGAACAGAATAGAAAACTCAGAAATAAAGCCACACATCTACAACCAACTGATCTTCAACAAGGCAAACTAAAACAAGTAATTAGGAAAATGGTGTTGGGATAACTGGCTAGCCACATGCAAAAGAAATAAACTGGACCCTTATTTTTCATTATATATAAAAATTAAATCAAGATGAATTAACTTAAATGTAAGATGAATTAACTTAAAAATAGATAAATGAAATAAAATAATTGTAAAATGTAATTTCACAATTTGAATTTAAAAATCCTAGAAGACAATCTACAAAATACCATTCCCAACATTGGTGGCCTTGGCAAAGAATTGTTGGCTAAGTACCCAAAAGTAATTGCAACAAAAACAAAAATTGACAAGTGGGACATCATTAACATAAAGAGCTTCTGCACAGCAAAAGAAACTATGAACAGAGTAAAGGGATATCATTAACATAAAGAGCTTCTGCACAGCAAAAGAAACTATGAACAGAGTAAACAGACAACCTACTGTTTAGGAGAAATTATTCACAAGCTATGAATCTGGCAAAGGTCTAATATCCAGAATCAATAAAGAACTTAAATCAACAAACAGAAAATAACCCCATTAAAAATTGTCAAAGGACATAACAAACACTTCTCAAAAGAAGATATACAAGTGGCTAATAAACATATGAAAAAATACACATCATCACTAATCATCAGATAAATGCAAATTACAATCACAATGAGACGTCACAATGGTTATTACTGAAAAGACCAAAGGAAAAAAAAAAAAAAGATGCTGGCAAGGCTGAAAGGGAACACTTACACATTGCTGGTGGGAACGTAAGTTAATTCATTAATTCAGCCACTGTGGAAAGAAGTCTGGAGATATCTGAAAAAAAAAAAAAAAAAAAAAAAAAAAAACTTAATAAAGCTATCCACGTAAGGAAAAATAGAACATTTTACCAAAAAGACATATGCACTCATATATACATTGTAGCACTATTCACAATAGCAAAGACATGGAATAAACCTAGATGCCAATTAATGGTAGAATGGATAAAGAAAATGTGGTACATATACATCATGGAATACTATGCAGTCTTATAAAAGAATGAAAACATGTCCTTTGCAGCAACATGGAGGCAGGTGGAGGCCATAGCCCTAAGTGAATTAATGCAGGAAGAGAAAACCAAATACCATATGTTCTCATTTATAAGCAGGAGCCAAACATTGAGCACATGGGCATAAACATGGGAAGAGCAGTCACTGTGGACTACTAGAGGGGAAGGGAGGGTGGTATGCTTTGTGACACTACCTATTGGGTACTGTGCTCACTACATGGGTGCAACATACCCAGGTAACAAACCTGCTCGTGTATTCCCGCCGTATCTAAAATAAAAGTTGAAAATTAAAAATATATAAACAATAAAAATAGATAAATGAAATAAAATAATTGTAAAATGTGAAATTTAAAAAAAACCCACAAGCAGAGAGTAATATTTCCAGGTCATGAAATTAAATGTACTGCTTAAATTTCTTCATTATGTTTTGCATATATATATGAAAATACTTCTCATTTTAATATTTTAAGATATGGCATACTTTAATATAAGGGCACATAAGTCAACACCTTGATAAATGTTTTACAAATTAAACACAGCTGTGCAATAAACACCAAAATCAATAAAGACATTATTAGCAGTCCCCCACCCCAATTTCTTTTGCTTTCTCTTTCAGTGTATTTTTGTTTCCTCAAAGATAACCACTATTCTGACTGCTGAGAGCATAGATTAATTTTGCTTTCTTTGTATTTTCTTAGAGGTAGAATCTTAAAATATCGACTTTTTTTGTTTGACTTCTTTTAGTCAACATTATGATTGTGAGATTCATCTGTATTATTGCATAAAAACCATATTTTATAATAGAATATTTACCTGTATTTAACTAGAGCATTAGATTGATTAAATTCTGAAATAAAAGTTTAATAACAAAATTAATTGTTTTGCTGCAGATATGGAGAGCAAAGGAATTGGCCTTTGGTTTACCAAAAAATAAAACAACAAAATTTTATTTTTGCCAATTGCCATGATCTGAATGTGTCTCCCAAAATTTGTATGTTGAAAGTTAATCATCAAAGTGATAACATTAAGAGTTGGGGCCTTTAGGAGGTGATGAGGCTTTGTCCTCTTATATAGGATTAAAGCCCTATAGTAAAGCTTCAAATAGCATTTGCCCCTTTTTCCCTTCTACTTTCTTCCAGTGAGGATACAGAATTCAAGGCACCATCTTGGAAGCAGAGACTGGGCCCTCATCAAACACTCAACTACTGGCTGCTTGATCTTGGACTTCCCAGCCTCCATGACCGTGAGCAATAAATTTATATTCTTTATAAACTACTCAGTCTCAGATATTTTGTTAGAGCAATAGGAATGAACTAAAAGACCATCTCGGTTAATAATTCACATTTTTCTTTTGCTTTTCAACTGTCAAATGCCTTGATGCTACAAAGAATGGTGCTGACACTTTATTCTCACACAAATATAACTTTTAAAAGCATCTTGGATAGATCAACCTTTTATTGACATTGCATCTGTGAGCTACAAGATGCCAGTTTTTCTTGATCTAGAATGGTATACAGCAAAAAGTGATTGGTGTCTGCAAGCCAAAGATGAACTTGATTGGTATAAACATTTCCAAGTTAATTATATTGTAAGTCAGACATTGTTTCAAATCCAGGATGGAGAAAAAATAGTCTGAGAAATTGGTTTAAAATAACTTTATATTTGTCCAAGACATTATCAAGAACTAGCTGTAAAGGTTCATATCCTGCCCAAGAAATAGACATAAACAAACCAAGTCTGTCCAGCCTAGGAAATTCATGGAGACGGCTGATTCTGCACCTGGCCAATGATGAATGAAGTTCTGAAGTTTCAGAGGTACACAAATTTACCCTAAACCTGCATTGCAGAATAACTTATTGAAATGTATGTCTGCCGTTTATTTGTTATTGTGAAAGACACCAAAGAGTAAGTGCAATTATCATCATCCTACATCTCCCTGGAAAAACCAACTTTAATGTTCTGGAAATCAGGCTTTCTTTTTTGTCTAAAGCCTATGGTCTGAATGATGAGATGAGAGAGATGGGCTTGGCAAAAGAAGAGGACAGGTGGATCTCTGGAGCCCGGGAGTTCGAGACCAGCCTGGGCAACATGGTGAGACCCTGTCTTTAAAAAAAAAAAAAAAATACAAAAATTAGCTGTATGGGATGATTGGTTCCTGTAGTTCCAGCTACTCAGTGGGCTGAGATGGGAAGACTGCTGAGCCTGGAAGGTCAAGGCTGCAGTGAGCCATCACACCACTGCACTCCAGCCTGGGTGACAAAGTGAAATATTTGAGGAGACAGTCTATGTGTTTTCATCACTTTAACCTGAGACCATGTACAGTGAGTGGCACATAGTAGAGATCGAAGGTCACTTATTTGGTGAAATGATCTCTTGTATTGCCTCAGTTGAATTTACACACTCTTATAGTAGGTCTTATAATCCCAACCTGACTATAAGCTCCTTGATGACTGATCAAAAAACAATTTATATATTTTTTAACTTTTTAATTGTGAAATAATTAAAACTTACAGTAAAGTTGCAAGAATAGTACAGGGAACTCCAGAGCACACCTCACCCGGACTCATGGATTGTTTATTTACATTTCGTCACATTTTCTACATGATTCATTTTCTGTTTCTCTCTGTGTCCATATATACAAATATAGAGACAGAGATAATTATGATGTTATATAGAGACAGATATAATTAAATATATATAGAATAATAATAATGTTTGTTGAGTTCTTAAGAAAGTTGGAGATTTCCTGTCCTTTTATGCCTAACTGCTGTAATGTGTATTTTCTAAGAAAAAATACATTCACTTTTATAACTACAGTAGAATTTCCAAAATCTAAGAATTAACATGAGTATAATAATAATGTATATATTTTATTTAATTTCACCAATTGTCTCAATAATCTTTCTGGTAGTAACTGTTTTTCTGATCCTGGATCCAGTCCAGGATCACATATTATATTTAGTTTATATTTTATTTGATCCCCCTATTCTTTATAAAAAAAGAGTATTATAATTCCTTATGTTTCATTCCACTGTATGCAATGTTACAGCAAGTGCACAATAAACATTACATATGTGTGTTCATGTATTCAGCTATGAATCACAGAGAAATGCAGAACTAAATTATTTTTCCTCTTTTTTCATATTAAAATAAAGAGCTCAATGGTGTCCATCTGTTTTATAACCAACAATTCTATGTTACCTTTTAAAATTCATTGCATTCTCATTCTGCAGGGAAGATCTCTAAGAGAAACTCAGATGGCTTTAAAAAGGATGCTATTAGCCAGTTCTAACTTCTTTCTTCCATTGGCTAAAAATCAGTATTTATGTAAATGGAGATTTTTACAAGTTATGTTCAATTAAAAAATACACAAACGGCACAATTTAAGAATGTTTAAGGAGCATTCATTCAGGATTGAAATACTGATGACTGACCTCTACATATTGCATAGTTTTTATTTAATAAGTTGTGTTTTCTAATACCCATGTAAATTAGTAATGTAATGTAAATTATCCCAAGGTATAAATTAATTAATCAGTTAAACAAGATGCATAGGAAATTAGACACCACAGAGTGGGTTTCTGGTGATGAACGGACTTGGGCAAGAAGTTAGAATTTTGTACCTGCTCTAGCTAGGTCAATTAGTAAAGAAAAATAAATAAAAGGCTACCAGATTGGAAAGGGAGATGTAAACTACCTCTATTTGCAGATGATATGATCCTATATACAGGAAACATGGATAAGAGTCTCGTATCCAGAATATATAAAGAACTCTGTCTTTTTGTTTGTTTGTTTGTTTTTGTTTTGTTTTGTTTTTTGAGACAGAGTCTTGCTCTGTCACCCAGAGCTGGAGTGCAATGGCACTATCTCAGCTCACTGCAACCTCCGTCTCCTGGGTTCAAGCAATTCTGCCTCAGCCTCCCAAGTAGCTGGGATACAGGTGCCCACCACCATGCCTGGGTAATTTTTGTATTTTTAGTAGAGTCAGGGTTTCACCATGTTGACCAGGGTGGTCTCGAACTCCTGAACCTGTGATTCGCTCTCCTTGGCCTCCCAAAGTGCTGGGATTACAGGTATGAACCACTATGCCCAGCCAAGACCTCTAAAAAAAAAATTAAAAAAAAAGACAACCCAATTGAAAAATGAGCAAAGGATCTGAAAAGACATCTCTCCAAGAAGGACATACAAATGGTCAATAAGCACTAATCATTAGAGAAATACAAATCAAAACCATAAAGAAATGCCACTCCACATGCACTAAGAGGACAGTAATTACAAAACAGATAAGGAGAACATGTGTAGAAATTGAAATTCTTAATTTCAGTGCTGGTAGAAATGCAAGATAATGCAGCCCTTTTGCAAAGTAATATGGTATTTCCACAAATTATCAAACATAAAGTTATATATAACTAACATAAAGTTATATATATATATATAAAACTTTGTATATATATAAAACTTTATATATATATATATATATATATATATATGATGCATCAGGTTCAAGCAGCTGTGCGGGAATACAAGATAAGAGAAACACAGGAGTGAGAATATAAAGAAAAAAATACAAAACAAACAATAGAAGACTTAAGTCCTGTCATAAAAATTAAATGAGGCCGGGTGCAGTGGCTCACGCCTGTAATCCTAGCACTTTGGGAGGCCAAGGCGGGAGGATCACAAGTTCAGTAGATCGAGACCATCCTGGCCAACATGGTGAAACCCTGTCTCTACTAAAAATGCAAAAATTAGTAAGGCATAGTGGTGAGCACCTGTAATCCAGCTACTCAGGAGGCTGAGGCAGGAGAATCGCTTAAACCAGGGAGTCAGAGGTTGCAGTGAACCGAGATTGCACCACTGCTCTCTACCCTGGTGACAGAGTGAGACTTTGTCTCAAAAACAAAAATTAATTTAATGTAATTTAAATAGTTTATATCTGCCAATTGAAAGACTGAAATCAGCAAAATGGATAAATAATGTAGTCCAACTATTTGCTATTCAAATTCATAGATATGCCAAAATTAAAAGGACTAAAAAAAGATATGCTGTGCAAATATTAATTTAAAAAAAAGCATGAGTGGCTACATCAACATCTGATGAAGTAGACTTCAGAGCAAAGAAAATTACAAGACAATGAGGAATATTACATGATGATATAGGAATCAATTCATGGGAAAGATATGATGATGCTAAATGTGTATACACAAATCAACAGACCATCAAAATACATGAAGGAAACTGATAGCACTGAAAGAAGAAATAGACAAATTTACAACTATAGTTAGGGACTTCAACATCCCCTTTCAGCAACTGGTAGAATTAATATACAGGAAAACAAGGACATAAGAGATCTGAACAAAGTAGAATATCCAATAGAATATAATTAATGTATATAGAATACCCTGTCTGACAACAGCAGAATACTTGGTAGGTTGTAGATCTTCTTAATCACATTGATATAATTTCAGCTATTAATTCTTCTTTAAAGGTTGGTGAAATTCTCCAGTGAAACCATCTGAGCCTCGAGAACTCTGTATTAGTTCTTAAAACTGCATGTGAATGTACAATTATCTTAGCAAAAATTTCAATTGAAACAATAAAACTTGGATGTTGAAATTTAAAGTTGCACTTAAAGCATTTTTCTTTTTTTTTTTAAGGAGTGATTTTAAGATAAGTGAAGATAAACAAAGACAAGGAGCAGCAAGCCTAACATTAAAGCAGTGGGTTATAAAACAAAGTAGAAATTAAAAACAAAAAAAACAAAAAAAAAAACAACAAAAAAACAGCAAACAGCAAATAAGGGCAAAGAGAATTCCAAAACAATGCCAAGATAGTTATTGACAACAGAAGCTGCCTCTGTAATAAAACAAACAAGAAGACAGAGAAAAAGATAAGGTAAGGTGGATGCCCAGTGATATTATATTTGGAAATAATGACCAGCTGTGGACAATGTCAACACAGGAGGGAGTTTAGAACAGGTCTTAAGACAACTTTTCCTTTTTTTTTGAGATGGAGTCTCGCTCTGTCACCCAGGCTGGAATGCATGGTACAATGTCGGCTCACTGCAACCTCCACAGTTCTCTTAGCAATTCTCCTGCATCAGCCTCCCGAGTAGCTGAGATTACAGGCATCCACCACCATGTTGCCCAGCTAACTTTTTTTTTTTTTTTCTATGTTTCGTAGAGACGGGGTTTTACCATGTTGGCCAGGCTGGTCTCAAACTCCTGACTTCAGGTGACCCGCCCCCCTCAGCTGGGATTACAGGCATGAGCCACCGCACCCAGCCGACCCTTCTCCTTTTTATTCACCCCATGTACCTGGTTTGAGGGGTACTTTCCTGTTATAAACAGGTTCCTATTAGACAAGCGCAGGGACCCATAACCACGAATAAACCAAGGAAAGAATATACAGGCCTCATGTGTTTCCCAAATTCATATCTCTGGTTTTGACCTCTTTTCTGAACTCCAGGTCAGTATGCTCATTTGTCCAATCAGTACCTGTAACTTCATCCTGCATCTTTTTTAAATTCAACATCTCCACAAACATTCCCTCTTGCTTTTCCTTCATACCTTGATTAAGGTAGCATCATCTTCTATCAATCTTCCAAACCAGAAACCTGGATTTCATCCTTGAACCTTCCCTATCCATTACTTCTTACATCCAAACATTTACTAAATCTAGTACATTCTATTTCTTTCTTTCTCCCAGCCCTTGCTTTGCATAAGGTGACTGTCATTTGTGGATTACAAAGGCCTCCTAATTGCTCTTATGAGGAGTTTCTCACATACTTAAATCTGCTCTTTACATGGAAATCTATAAAGTATCCTTGCAAAACATACATACTCAGAACACACCATTGTATAAAATATCCACTGCTTCCTTGATGCAACATAGGGTAGTCATACAATTTATGTTCACATCAGGATGCTATAGAGTGACAGGAGACTACAGTGAAAATTAGGATGAGACAAGGGTGTAAATCAGACCTGTCCTGCAGAACCTGGAACATGTTATTACTTCATTTTGACTAATGATGTATTCAAAGCCCTTCACAATCTGGCCTACACATCTCCCCCTGAGAGTTTCCCCTACTCAGGACTTGCTATATAATTTGCATGTCCAAATGCACAATAATGTGAGGACCCTTGTTCAATGGCTAACAATTTCAACTTAGCCACAGCAAATAATTAAATCAAGCACAGGGTCCTTCTGAGCACAGGACTTTGTGTAACTGTACAGCTCACAAACCCATCAAGCTGCCCTGCCTCTACCCCTAAAAGTATATATTCCTACCAATAGAAAATTCTCACAGCTTTGCAGGTACACAAAACCATTTCATAACTACTTATCTCTGTACACTCTTTGAATTATCTATTCCATCGTCTAAGAATGACTTTTTCTGTTTCTTTCACGCAAGGCACAGGTGAAATGACACCTCTTGAATCAGACCTTCCCCTTATCTCACTACCAATTCATTTATTCTGTTCCATGTGTTGTTGTTTTATGTCTATTATAATATTTACCAACTTTCAGTATAATAGATTGCCTTTCATGATATCTTTATCAACATACCTTTTAGCAGTTTTGTGCTAGTTTATTTTTTTCTTTTTTAAATTTTTCTTTATTTTAATTTTTATTATTATTATTTTTTTGGGACAGGGTTTCACTCTGTCACCTAGGCTGGAGTGCAATGACATGACCTTAGCTCATTGCAACCTCTGCATCCTGAGCTCAAGAGACCCTCCCACCTCAGCCTCCTTAGTAGCTGGGATTACAGGCCCATGCCACAACACACGACTAATTTTTGTATTTTTTGTAGAGATAGGATTTCACCATGTTGCCAAGTTGTATTAGTTATTTTAAAGGTTTTGCTTGATAATTCCAAGAACTGGGCCATCTCTGTGTCTGCTTCTATGGACCTTTTCCTTTATTGGTCATGGGCCCCATTGTCCTACCTGTTAGAACTTCTTACAGTTTTTAATTATATACAAGAAATTTTGTATAAAAGAATAATAAGCACTAAAGTTAATGATCTTAACTTCCAGAAAATGTCATGCCTCTTCTTTTGTTTGAATGCTAATGTGGAAGTCTTCATCAATATGAAATGCAGTTGAACTAGACTGACTTTATTGCAGCTTTAGTTATATTAAATTGACCACTGACTTCATGTGGTTTGCAGGGAAGATCTAAACTTTCCCTTCAGCGTGGCTTAGGATCTGAGCCCTAGTCAGATTCAGGAGTTTTATTTGTGCTTTAGAGCTGAACCACTACTTTTCTGTGCCAGAAATGATATCGCTCTGTTTTATAGCTCAGCTGCCAACTTTTTGATTCACTGTAAAGAAGTCTTTGCTTTCCAGGGTCATCCTTGGTTTTCAACTCTGGATATCTCTTTTCACCCTGATTTCCATTCACCAGTCTTACAGCTATGAAGCACTGGAGTGTGTCAAAATTTTTATCCTTCTTTGTCCCAGCCTGTGTAGCTGAGAGACCAGTGGGTCTCAACTCTCCTACTCATCACGTCCCTCCCCTTCAGTTGGCTGCTCTATTATACTTAGGGCAAGCTCTGCCTGCCTCAGGGGAATCTCTCTCAGCTCTCTTGCCTTGTTTCCAGTATTTCGGTGTGTATCATCAAGCACTTGTGGGAAAGATTTGGTGGGTGGCTGCAGATTTGCTCTGTGGTTTAGGCTTCTTAGAAATCTAAACTCTCATGCCAGCCTACGCACAGCCATTAAAAGTTCATTAAAAGTTTAGCTGGTTTCTCCTTACCCCCTTCTACGGTAGGTACCTCCTCCCCCACTACTTCACACGACATGAAAACATCTGTGGAACTCTTCTCTTCTGGAAAGGCTTGTCATTTTTCTGGAAATTAGTTTATTTAGGTTTTATTGCATCCTTAACTCTCTGAAGGATTTTTTAAAAGAACTATGTGTTTTTGAAGTTTACCCAACTTCTTTTGGTTGCTAAGATGAAAGCAATGATTTCCTGTGACTCTGTATTCTAACCAAAAGTCCCACATAATATTTTTGTAATTTGTCAATAATGTTTGTAAGTTTCTGAGTTGTGAAATATTTATCATACAAGAAAAAGTTATCGTCCACATTAAGTGTTTCCCTTTACAATCACTTTCTTAGGTAGCAAGTTTATTTTATTTTAGGTTTAAATGCTATAATGGCAGGATACTAGATTATTTGAAGTGAATTTTTAAGATTTCTTTTTCATTTGACCCATGCTTGATCTACAAATGCATACCCAAGTCATCATCATCCTTGAAGTATAAGATGACCTGTCCAACTGAAAATTTTGAAGAAGACATTGTGAAATCTTTATTTTTGGGGATCAACTTCTTTGACAGTCACAACAATTTTAGAGCCAGTGACTGGACAATAAAACTGATGCCATACTTTGAACTGATACAATAACTTTGAACAAATTAAGATTCAAATAGAGCACTTTTATGTCTGCTGTAACCGCTAACAAGCCTAAGAGTTTTCAAATACATTATCTTTCTGGTGCTTCACAACCACTTTCTTATGTACACAACATTAGTAAAGATAATTAATATTACTCTCTTCCTACAAATTGATAAATTAAAGCTAAAGACTTGCCAGAGGTTACAAACATTGCTGTAGGTCTTCTAGCTCCAAGCCCATACTTATTCCACTGACATTCCTACACTACACTCTGTTAAAAACTATAGGAATGTAAACACATTTTTCAAGGTATATTGACTTTTAGAAATGGGACTTCAGTCTCAATAAAGATAATTATATGAAGGAATAAACAGTTTTGCGTAATTAAATCTTTTCTTTTTTCCCTTCTCCAAATGCATAATGTGATTTACTTCTAGAAAGAATCCTGTTCTTATTTCTTGTGGTCTTTTTATAGCAGCCATAGCACCCAGGAACTATGTAAGAAGATGAATTTACTCCAGTGTGGTGTGTGAAATGCATGGTAACTTGTCTTTTGAGCTTCATGGACAGAGGATAAATCTACATATCTAAGACTGTTTTATGGTTTTCTTGACTGTCCTCTCATATATTAGTAGTTTCCACACTCTTACCAGTAGGTCCCTATTTTCTGCGGAATAAAGTTTCAACTATTCAGCCTATCATTGAAAGATCTGCACAATTTTATACCACCTACCTTTCTAGCCTTATCCCCTGTCACGTGATGCTTATTCTGGCTGTAAAAATCCATGAACTGTTTGCTACACATAAAGATAAACTTTGAGGTTGTGGAAGAAACACTAGACTGAGAGTTGAAAAGCAGATTTGAGGAATGTATATATCATATATTATATAATATATATAATATATTATATATATTATATACATAATATATTTATATATATTTTTATGTATATATATATATATCTTTGACTAGTTTCTAAATCTGCTTAGACCTCATGTTGTTATATCCTTGTCTATATATATTATAAACAGGCTGGTATAGAGACTATCAAAGTTCTCTTCAAATTCTAATAATTTTTTATGAAGTAGTTTTATTTCTGTTCCAACTTTTAGTTTGTTTTTGTTTCTGAAATAGCCCAAATTTTAAAAAAATGACATTGTTAATTCTCCCATGCTGTTACCTTGGGAAAGAATTACTCTAGCCTGGGAGACAAAGTGAGGCTCCATCTCAAAAAAAAAAAAAATCTAATTGTTTAAATTTATTTTAATAAAAATGTCATATGAGATTTGTTTCTTACAAGTTTGGATATTAAAACTGCAACAGAAGCAAGTTTAAGGTTTAAGTCTTCAAGCTTACTTGTGCTTTTAAAGAAAAGACAGGAAGAGAAGCATTGACTTCACTTATAAGAACATTTAGTTCATGAAACTTCTCAACAAATTTCCATACCTAGGGACTGAATACAGACTATGTTTCCAGGAATTTCTTATCCTCCAGTCTCACTAAGAAAGTAGCTAGACCATTTGTCAACAAAGGAGAGCATTTCTCCTGAGGTAATTTACTAACCAGATGCTGAGATGGTCATCTCCTGCCAGGGTGTATTCTGCTGCCAGGGACTACACCGTCTATTTCAGGTTTTATGAAAATCTATGTTTTAAGAGTGGCTTCAGATGCTGACATTGGTGAGGCACTGTTTTTAAACAGATAATATATCTGGATTGGTTCACCTCAAAATAGGTCCAGGAGACAGCCTACCCATTTCATCCAGGCAGTAGGTCTAATGCAAGTTTTCTCCTTTCCTTGCTTTTGGCATCACCCATCCCTGCCAATGACAATTGAATGACTTCAGTTAAGTTCAGTAAGCCAACTCAAATGAACTATTACTGGTAATTTAATTGGACATAGAGCTAATTTTTCTGAAAATATTCTTTCTTAGGGCCAAAAACTTATGATTTTTTGATAAGAAATTAAGCACTTGATCTGAACTTTTGCTTGCACAGAATTCTTCTGGTGCCTTGTCTGTAGTAACAATTTCAGGTCCTTGAATATCTACTTTATGAAAGCAATCACTGACTAAAACGCCAAATAGTAAAATGATGTTTCTTGCATAAGTTATTCATTAACATAATCATAGTCATTTAGAAGTATAGCCATCAACAAAATCTTAGATAAAAATGATTTCAGCACTTTTACTGGAAATGAGAAAAATAAATGAAAATTGAATTCTTATTTTTGAACGAGAACCTACAACAAACCTACTTTGTACATTATCTACCTAAATTTAATCCCATGCTAGCCTTATGAGATAGAATTGTTCATCTTTTTGAACAATGGAAATAAGATGTGGAAATACTCTGCTTCTTGCCGAGGTCACTGAATCCAGGTCTTCCTGACTGTTAAGCTCCATGCTTTTTTAGGACACCTTACTGAGACCCACTTAAATCGTTTTTTGACCCAGAAAAAGTTTGCTGGCCAGATGTGGTGGCTCACACCTGCAATCCCAGCACTTTGGAGGGCCAATGAAGAAGGATCACTTGAGATGAGTTCGAGACTAGCCTGAACAATATCACAAGAACCCCCACCAAGAAAAACCTTCAATTTTATCTGAATTGGAGGAAGGGGTTGAGCCAACTAAAAAGTATCAGTAGAGAAAAAAAATTATTTCAAGGATGAATATCTGTCTTTGAAATTGGTTAACTTTTAAATATAATTTTAATCAAACAAATACTTCACTCTTTAAAAAACAAAAAGAAAAAATATGTAGAAAGTAAATTTTTAAAATTGTAATGAAGCAACAAAGATACATGCAATAGTTATAGAAGTGAGATACTCGTTTACTCTTTTGTTCTTCAAGCCTTTATTTTAAAAAAGCTTTTTTTAGCAGAGAAAGTTAAGACAAAGGCTAAATACATGCATCAGAGCAAAAATCATAAGGCATAAGAGTGAAATTTAAACTATCTTAACTAACTCATAGCACTGATGTGAAAATAAATTGAGTATATTCTGTCTTAAGTTATATACAAGTATCCTAAATAAATTTTGGTTAGTACATATTAAATTGACTCTATTTTTGTCTTGATATATCGAACTAGGTCCTAATAAGATTAAGAAAGAGCTTGACAGAGGAGACAAACATTTTCATTTGTTAAGAATCAGGCAAATTCATGATTGACATTTGGACTTATTTATCTTATGGGACTTATCGAAGTGAAAGTGAGAACAGAAGAAATCTTACAGTTTTGTCCCCCCGAAGTTATAAAGATTCATTTCCTAAAAGTCAGAACCAAAATGACACAGACACTGGACTGAGAGGAGTGAATTAAGCACAAATTATAGAATTTCTTAAACATACCAGACTCTTTTTTTTCCTATAATAAAATGTGGCAGTGTAGTACTTCAGGTTTTTTACAACTTGGATGTACTCTAGTTTGAGGTTGTGCTATAAAACTGGAAGCTTCCAGAAGCTGTGGGCACATGGTTTTATTGGATAGTGAGAGATGCTTGCTGCTGATGAATCATTATTTCTTCAAATTTTTTAAATTCACTAATATTAACATCACTGTGTCATTATTCACTGTGTGGTGTGTAAGAAGGGACATTTTTTATCTAACTCATTCCACATAGTCAGGGATTAGGAATGGGTCATTTTCATCCAGGAAGCAAAGGCCCGGGTGTTACTGAAAATGAAGAGAGTGTAACTGTGGAAATAAATCCAGTCACCTCTATGTCTCCTCCATTACTCAATACCAAAATGAAAAGAAAAATGCCATCCTTTGAGCCATAGCCACTATAAACTATAAGTGAAACATATATGCTAAGTTAGGTAGAAATTGATGATTATGTTTTCTTTTATAGAAATGTGTGTGTGTGTGTGTGTGTGTGTGTGTGTATGTGTGTCTGGTATAATACAACTCATTCTATGAAAAAAATACAGAAATTGAAAAATTTGTGTAAAATGATTTCCATATTCTGTATTTGCTCTCATATATACTAAAGTGTAACCAATTACCGAGTTCCCAGCCAGACGAATTTCAAATTGATATACATACAAATGAGGTTATTCTATGTTAGTCAGCAAATCATTATCAAGGATTTTTCATTGTTCTATTGGAAGGGAATAAGTGGCAGAAAAAAATTCTAATATTATTTATTATCCAATCTGAAAACTCATTGTAGATTATCTCTTAAATTGACTCTTGTTTTGATGATAAATTAATTCATAGGACTTTAATTTGCAGAAAAATGGAAACCTTCCTTAAGATTTATTTTTTAAAGAAAAGTAACAAATTTCTTAATTTGATGCCAGTTTTTCTCCTTTACTAACACTATATTCAATAGCTAAGGGGATAAAACAGATAATTTATATGTGATGTAGCAAAAAGCTCACCAAATAACTAAAAAGTACAAAGTAGTCTAACATTTACATTTTTTAATCTAGATTTTTTGCATTATTAAAGTTGATAAAATTATATATCTTTCTAAATTCCTGCTGAGTTTGTGTAAAATATTATTTCAACTTTACAGTCATGAAGACAGTCAAGTGATGTATGTGTATGGCACACAATAAGACGTGACTAGTCAGTGTGCTCTACAATTTTTCTTAAACTCTGGTTCCTAATTCTGACTCTCATTCCTATTTTTCTGGGGCTTTTTAAAACTACCAATGCTTAGGCTCCACGCCAACTAATTGAATAAGAACTTATGGTTCTGGGTAACCAGCCTTCCAATTTTCTGTAATGTCCCAGTAGTTCTAAGTTGAACCCAGGGTTGAAAAGTAGTTCCGTCTTTCAACGATATAGGAAAATGAGATTGTTAAAGGGTACAATACAAAGGAATCTCAAAATCCTACCGACTTATCCAGTGGATTGAATTCTAATATTCTATTAAATAAATGAAGGACATTTTCATCTGTAGCCAATAACAGTTGACCATGTCCCACTTAGGATGAGAAAATATTTAAATAGCTTCATTTAGTTGGCAGAAATCCAGCAAATACACTGCTGCATGTTAAGTAGCTTCTTCCACATTGAATTCAAGGGTTAGGAAATGCATTCATTTATTCATCAAAGACCTTTGTAGATTTAATAATTATGTGCCAGGAATCATTCCCAGATGGAATCATGAAATTAAGTTGCCGGGCGCGGTGGCTCACGCCTGTAATCCCAGCACTTTGGGAGGCTGAGGAGGGCAGATCACGAGGTCAGGAGATCGAGACCATCCTGGCTAACATGGTGAAACCCCGTCTCTACTAAAAATACAAAAAATTAGCCTGGCGTAGTGGCGGGCGCCTGTAGTCCCAGCTACTTGGGAGGCTGAGGAAGGAGAATGGCGTGAACCCAGCAGGCGGAGGTTGCAGTTAGCCAATATCGTGCTACTGCACTCCAGCATGGGCGACAGAGCAAGACTCCGTCTCAAAAAAAAAAAAAAAAAAAAAAAAGGAAAAAGAAATTAAGTCAAATATGACCTCTCCATTTAGTAATTGTTAGTAAGAATGTGTATGTTTATTCAATATATATAATTGAGTCCCATTATGTAGCAAAAATTTTTCTTAGAATAGATACCTCATAAAACAAAGAGGTAAAAACCCATGCTCTATGAAGCTTGTTTTCCAGGGGGAATGTAGGAAATATTAGATGTGAAAAAAAATGAAAGCAATGAAGGAGAATATGGAGTGTTGGCAGGAAAAAAGATGGGTACAGTGTAAATGGGATATTTGGAAAGGCCTCATTGAAAATGTGACATTTAAGAAAGCACCTGAAAAACAGAAGGGGTAAGCCATGCAATTATTTGTAGAAGAGAGTTCCAGGTAAAGAAAACGCAAATGCAAATATTCAGAGCCAGAGACTTATCTAGGATGTTCGAGGAAGAGTGAGGCAACCAGCCACGGTGGATGGAACAGAGGAAATGAGAGAGTTATATGAGGTGAGGTCAAAGAAGTGACAGTGGTCATATGGCATGGGGACTAGTTAGGACTTGGATGTTCTGGGGAGCTGGTGAAGGGTTTTCAGTAAGAGACTGAAAAGATCTGATTTTCCTTTTAAACAAATTACTATAGTTATTGTGCTTAGGATTGACTGAAGGGAGCACATATGGAAGGAGGAGAACAGTTAAACTATTATTATACAAGATTCCAGCTTAGATGTGCCCTCTGCAGAAGATGTTCTGGTAGTAGAAAGAAAGAGACATATGCTTTTACCAAAGTGTTCAAGGGAGGCTTTATAAAAGTGTGTGTGTTTCATGAATCTTCAAATCATAAATAGGAGTAGATCATCTGGAAAGAAGGAAAAGGACATTCTTCAAAAAAGGGAAAATAAACAAAAGTGTACAGCTACCATGGTGCATTTAGGAGTGATTTATTATACATTAAAGTGCGGCATGCATGGCATGGGTGGGGCGATTGGGACTGGGATAGAGACTGGAGATCCTCCTGTACTATTCTGAGTAGTTTGAACTTTATCTTACAAGCAATAAAGGAAAATTTAGAGTTTTTAGCTAATCTGAAACAATGTGGAAGAAAGGTTAGAATGAGGGGCAATTGGAGACAGACACAAATTATAAGATTTTTTGTTTTGTTTTGTCTTGTTTTGTTTTTACTGTGACCATAGTCTATTAGAGAATATAAGTAAGTATTCACAATTATGGTGAGAGAGCTATAACAATAGCGTACAAAGAATTCAATAGGGGAGGAAGAAGAGGAAGCAAGTTAAGCTAAGTACAAACATCAAGAATGGCTTCACCAAGGAAGTAATCTTTAAACTATATCTTGAGAAATTACCAAATTATTTTTTATTATACATGGTGAAGAGAAATTCCAGGCAAAGAGAGTATCACAGGCACAGAGACCTGAAAAAACATGACAAATTAGAGGATGTAAAAGACTAATTTAAGCACAGGACATAAGTAGAAAAAGGGCCAAGAAGGCAGAAGACAAGGGCAAATGATTTTATGGAGTATAAACATGGTTCTCTAGGCAATGGAGAGAGAATGAAAGACATTAAGTGTGATCAGATTATGCTTAGATGTGTGTTTTATTTTATTTTTTATTATACTTTAAGTTCTAGGGTACATGTGAACAACGTGCAGGTTTGTTACATATGTATACATGTGTCATGCTGGTGTGCTGCACCCATTAACTCGTCATTTACATTAGGTATATCCCCTAATGCTATCCCTCCCCCCCTCCCCCCACCCCACAACAGGCCCCCGTGTGTGATGTTCCCCTTCCTATGTCCAAGTGTTCTCATTGTTCAATTCCCACCTATAACTGAGAACATGCAGTGTTTGGTTTTTTGTCCCTGCAATAGTTTGCTGAGAATGCTGATTTCCAGCTTCATCCATGTCCCTACAAAGGACACGAATTCGTCCTTTTTTATGGCTGCATAGTATTCTATGGTGTATATGTGCCACATTTTCTTAATCCAGTCTATCATTGTTGGACATTTGGGTTGGTTCCAAGTCTTTGCTAATGTGCATAGTGCCGCAATAAACATACGTGTGCATGTGTTTTTATAGCAGCATGATTTATAATCCTTTGGATATATAACCAGTAATGGGATGGCTGGGTCAAATGTATTTCTAGTTCTAGATCCTTGAGGAATCGCTACACTGTCTTCCACAATGGTTGAACTAGTTTACAGTCCCACCACAGTGTAAAAGTTTTCCTATTTCTCCACATTCTCTCCAGCACCTGTTGTTTCCTGACTTTTTAATGATCGCCATTCTAACTGGTGTGAGATGGTATCTCATTGTGGTTTTGATTTGCATTTCTCTGATGGCCAGTGATAATGAGCATTTTTTCATGTGTCTTTTGGCTGCATAAATGTCTTCTTTTGAGAAGTGTCTGTTCATATCCTTCACCCACTTTTTGATGGGGTTGTTTGTTTTTTTCTTGTAAATTTGTTTGAGTTCTTTATAGATTCTGGATATTAGCCCTTTGTCAGATGAGTAGATAGCAAAAATTTTCTCCCATTCTGTAGGCTGCCTGTTCACTCTGATGGTAGTTTCTTTTGCTATGCAGAAACTCTTTAGTTTAATTAGATCCCATTTGTCAATTTTGGCTTTTGTTGCCATTGCTTTTGGTGTTTTAGACATGAAGTTCTTGCCCATGCCTATGTCCTGAATGGTATTGCCTAGGTTTTCTTCTAGGGTTTTTATGGTTTTAGGTCTGACATTTAAGTCTTTAATCCATCTTGAATTAATTTTTACATAAGGTGTAAGGAAGGGATCCAGTTTCAGCTTTCTCCATATGGCTAGCCAGTTTTCCCAGCACCATTTATTAAATAGGGAATCCTTTCCCCATTTCTTGTTTTTGTCAGGTTTGTCAAAGATCAGATGGTTGTAGGTGTGTGGTATTATTTCTGAGGGCTCTATTCTGTTCCATTGGTCTATCTCTGTTTTTGTACAAGTACCATGCTGTTTTGGTTACTGTAGCCTTGTAGTATAGTTTGACGTCAGGTAGCGTGACGCCTCCAGCTTTGTTCTGTTGCCTTAGGATTGTCTTGGCAATGCGGGCTCTTTTTTGGTTCCATATGAACTTTAAAGTAGTTTTTTCCAATTATGTGAAGAAAGTCATTGGTAGCTTGATGGAGATGGTATTGAATCCATAAATTACCTTGGGAGTATAGCCATTTTTACGATATTGATTCTTCCTATCCATGAGCATGGAATGTTCTTCCATTTGTTTTTGTCCTCTTTTATTTCGTTGAGCAGTGGTTTGTAGACCTCCAACCTGCTCTGTAGCAGTGCTCAGGAACAACTGAGATTTGCTGAGACTAAAGGAAGAATTGAGAGACAGGAGTAGCTGGATTTCCTAGGCCAACTAAGAATCCCTAAGCCTAGCTGGGAAGGTGACCACTTCTACCTTTAAACACAGGGCTTGTAACTTAGATCACACCCAACCAATCAGATAGTAAGGAGAGCTCACTAAAATGCTAATTAGGCAAAAACAGGAGGTAAAGAAATAGCCAATCATCTGTTCCTGAGAGCACAGTGGGAGGGACAATGATCAGGATATAAACCCAGGCATTTGAGCCAGCAATGGCAACCCCCTTTGGGTCCCCTCCCCTTGTATGGGAGCTCTGTTTTCACTCTATTTCACTCTATTAAATCTTGCAACTGCAAGCTTCTGGTCCGTGTTCGTTACGGCTCGAGCAGAGCTTTTGCTTGCTGGGCACCACTGCTGTTTTGCCACCATCGCAGACCCACCGCTGACTTCCATTCTTCCAGATCTGGCAGGGTGTCCGCTGTGCTCCTGATCCAGCAAGGCACCCATTGCCACTCCCAACTGGGCTAAAGGCTTGCCATTGTTCCCACATGGCTAAGTGCCTGGGTTCATCCTAATCGAGCTGAACACTAGTCACTGGGTTCCACCATTCTCTTCCGTGACCCACGGCTTCTAATAGAGCTATAACACTCACCACATGGACCAAGATTCCATTCCTTGGAATCTGTGAAGCCAAGAATCCCAGGTCCGAGAACACGAGGCTTGCCACCATCTTGGAAGCAGCCCACCACCATCTTGGAAGGGGCTCGCCATCATCTTGGAAGCTCTATGAGCAAGGACCCCCGGTAATATTTTGGTGACCACGAAGGGACATCCAAAGTGGTGAGTAATATTGAACCACTTTCGCTTGCTATTCTGTCCTATCCTTCCTTAGAATTGGAGGAAAATACCGGGCACCTGTGGGCCAGTTAAAAACAATTAGCATGGCTGCGGGACTTAAGACCCAGGTGTGAGGCTATCTGGGGAAGGGCTTTCTAACAACCCCCAACACTTCTGGTTTGGGGACACTGGCCTGCCTCGAGCCAGCTTCCACTTTCAGTTTTCTTGGGGAAGCCAAGGGCCGACTAGAGGCAGAAAGCTGTCGGCCCGAACTCCCGGCAGTAGCCGGTTGAGATCATGGCGCAGCCAGAAGTCTCTACTCAACAGTTGCCCATGCGTGCGCCCCTACATTTCCTTCTGACCCATACCTCTCCTTCTGATCCATACCTCCTGGGTCCCAACCACAACTTTCTTCAAAGTGTAGCCCCAAAATTCTCCTTACCTCTGAATCTATTTCCTCTGATTTCTGCCTCCTGGGTACTAATGGTTCAGACTTCCATTTCCTCTAGCAAGTTGTATCTCCAAAGGAATCTAAGGAAGCTCTATGATGTGTCCTTAGGCACCTAGGCTATAACCCAGGGAGTCTTATCCCTGGTGTCCCTCCCAATTTAGGTATATAGCTCTTGAATGGGCAGTTATGTGGGACCCATTCCCCACCACCCTTGCCAGGGCCCCAAGTTTGTAATGGCTAAGAGAGAGACACGGAGAGAGAGAGAGAGGGAGAGAGAGAGAGAGTCAGAGAGAGAAAGAGACAGAGAGAGAGACAAAGAGGGAGTCAAAGAGCAAAAGAAAGAAAAAGAAATAGTTAAAAAAAAAAAAAAAAAAAGTGTGCCCTATTCCTTTAAAAGCCAGGGTAAATTTAAATCCTGTAATGATAATTGAAGGTCTTCTCCGTGACACTATAAAACTTCAATGCTACTTTGTTGTCAGTGTAAATAAGGGCATAGCCCGAAAGCACTGAGGCCACTGACAATCCATAGCTTTCCTATCAAAAATCCTTAACCCAGTAACCCACGGATGGGCCAAATGCATTCAGTTAGTAGCAGCAACTGCTTTGCTAAAAGTAGAAAAGTAACTTTTAGAGGAAACCTCATTGTGAGCACACCTCACCAGTTCAGAATTACTCTAAGTCAAAAAAAAAAAAAAAAAAAAAAGGAAAAAGGTAGCTTACTAACTCAAAAATCTTAAAGTATGGGTCTATTATGTTAGAAAAGGGTAATGTAACTCCAACCACTGATAATTCCCTTAACCCAGCAGATTTCCTAACAAGGGATTTAAATTTTAATTACCATACAAAGGTCTGACCAGACCTAGGAGGAACTCCCTTCAGGACAGGACTATAGATGTTTCCTCCCAGGTGATTGAGGAAAAAACCACAATGGGTATTCAGTAATTGATACGGAGACTCTTGTAGAAGCAGAGTTAGAAAAATTGCCTAATAACTGGTCTCCTCAAATGTGCGAGCTGTTTGCACTTAGCCAAACCTTAAAGTACTTACAGAATCAAAAACACTATCCGAATCCTGACTCAAAAGGTTACCTACACCCTCTCTGAAATGAATTTGCATAAGAACTGCTTTTATGGGAATGCATCTTGATGGGGCAGCTGGGTTGTTATGAAATACTCAGGAACCCAGCCCAGCTCTAGGACTCACCCCTGAGTGCAAAGGCAATGTTGGGCACGCTGGTAAAGGACCACTAGAATCCAGCAGCCCAGACCCCTTTCTTTGTGGTCAAGAGAGGTGGGAAAACAGATGCAGGACTGCTACATCAGTGAGCATAACTAATCTGATAAGCAGAGGTCCATGGGTTGTTACGCACCCTGGGAAGGAATAAGCATTAGGACCATAGAGGACGCTCTAGGACTAATGCTCATCAGAAAATGACTAGGGGTGCTGGAATCCCTATGTTCTTTTTTTCAGATGGGAAACATTTCCCCCAAGGCAAAAACACCCCTAAGATGCATTCTGGCGAATTAGGACCAATTTGACCCTCAGACACTAAGAAAGAAATGACTTATATTGTGCACTGCAGCCTGGCCACAATACCCTCTTCAATGGGGAGAAACCTGGCCTTCTGCGGGAGGTATAAATTATAACATCATCTTACAGCTAGACCCCTTTTGTAGGAAAAAGGTAAATGGAGTGAAATGCCATATGTGCAAACTTTCTTTTCATTAAGAGACAACTTGCAATTATGTAAAAAGTGTGGTTTATGCCCTACAGGAAGCCCTCAGAGTTTACCTCCCTATCCCAGCTTCCCCCCACTCCTTCCCCAACTAATAAGGACCCCCCTTCAACCCAAATGGTCTAAAAGGAGATAGATAAAGGGGTAAACAATGAAGCAAACAGTGCCAATATTCCCGATTATGCCCCCTGCAAGCAGTGGGAGGAGGAGAATTTGGCCCAGCGAGAGTGCATGTACCTTTTTCTCTCTCAGACTTAAACCAAATTAAAATAGACCTAGGTAAATTCTCAGATAACTCTGATGGCTATACTGATATTTTACAAGGGTTAAGACAATCCTTTGATCTGACATGGAGAGATACGTTACTGCTAAATCAGACACTAGCCCCAAATAATAGAAGTGCCGCCATAACTGCAGCCCAAGAATTTGGCGATCTCTGGTATCTCAGTCAGGTCAATGATAGGATGACAACAGAGGAAAGGGAAAAAATTCCCCCACAGGCCAGCAGGCAGTTCCCAGTGTAGACCCTCACTGGGACACAGAATCAGAACGTGGAGATTGGTGCCACAGACATTTGCTAACTTGCGTGCTAAAAGGACTAAGGAAAACTAGGAAGACTATGAATTATTCAATGATATCCACTATAACACAGGGAAAGGAAGAAAATCCTACCGCCTTTCTGGAGAGACTAAGGGAGGCATTGAGGAAGCATACCTCTCAGTCATCTGACTCTATTGAAGGCCAACTAATCTTAAAGGATTAGTTTATCACTCAGTGAGCTGCAGACGTTAGAAAAAAAAACTTCAAAATCTGCCTTAGGCCCGGAGCAAAACTTAGAAACCCTATTGAACTTGGCAACCTTGGTTTTTTATAATAGAGATCAGGAGGAGCAGGCAGAATGGGACAAATGGGATAAAAAAAAAAGAAGGCCACCGCTTTAGCCATGGCCCTCAGGCAAGTGGACTTTGGAGGCTCTGGAAAAGGGAAAAGCTGAGAAAATTGAATGCCTAATAGGGCTTGCTTCCAGTGTGGTCTACAAGGACACTTTAAAAAAGATTGTCCAAGTAGAAGTAAACTGCCCCCTCATCCATGCCTCTTATGTCAAGGAAATCACTGGAAGGCCCACTGCCCCAGGGGTGAAGTTCCTCTGAGTCAAAAGCCACTAACCGGATGATCCAGCAGCAGGACTGAGGGTGCCTGGGGCAACCACCAGCCCATGCCATCATCCTCGCAGAGCCCTGAGTATGCTTGACTATTGAGGGCCGGGAAGTTAACTGTCTCCTGGACACTGGTGTGGCCTTCTCAGTCTTACTCTCCTGTCCTGGACAACTGTCCTCCGGATCTATCACTATCTGAGGGGTCCTAGGACAATCACTCACTAGATACTTCTCCCAGCCACTAAGTTGTGACTAGGGAACTTCACTCTTTTCACATGCTTTTCTAATTATGCCTGAAAGCCCCACTCCCTTATTAGGGAGAGACATTCTAGCAAAAGCAGGAGCCATTATACATCTGAACATAGGAGAAGGAACACCCGTTTGTTGTCCCTTGCTTGAGGAAGGAATTAATCCTAAAGTCTAGGCAACAGAAGGACAATATAGATGAGCAAAGAATACCCATTCTGTTCAAGTTAAACTAAAGAATTCCGCCAGGCTGTTTTTCCTCTATACCCAGCTGTACCTAGCCCTTATACTCTGCTTTCCCAAATACCAGAGGAAGCAGAGTGGCTTACAGTCGTGGACCTTAAGGATGCCTTTTTCTGCATCCCTGTACATCCTGACTGTCAATTCTTGTTTGCCTTTGAAGATCCTTCGAACCCAACATCTCAATTCACCTGGACTGTTTTACCCCAAGGGTTCAAGGATAGCCCCCTTTTATTTGGCCAGGCATTAGCCCAAGACTTGAGCCAATTCTCATACCTGGACACTTTTGTCCTTCAGTACATGGATGATTTAATTTTAGCCACCTGTTCAGAAACCTTGTGCCATCAAGCCACCCAAGAGCTCTTAAATTTCCTCGCTACCTGTGGCTACAAGGTTTCCAAATGAAAGGCTCAGCTCTGCTCACAGCAGGTTAAATACTTAGGGCTAAAATTATCCAAAGGCACCAGGGCCCTCAGTGAGGAATGTATCCAGCCTACACTGGCTTATCCTCATCCCAAAACCCTAAAGCAACTAAGAGCGTTCCTTGGCATAACAGGTTTCTGCGGAATATGGATTCCCAGGTATGGTGAAATAGCCAGACCATTATATACACTAATTAAGGAAACTCAGAAAGCCAATACCCATTTAGTAAGATGGACACCTGAGGCAGAAGTGGCTTTCCAGGCCCTAAAGAAGGCCCTAACCCAAGCCACAGTGTTAAGCTTGCCAAGGGGACAAGACTTTTCTTTATAAGTCACAGAAAAAAAGGAATAGCTCTAGTAGTCCTTACTCAGGTCCGAGGGAAGAGCTTGCAACCCATGGCATACCTGAGTAAGGAAATTGATGTAGTGGCAAAGGGTTGGCCTCACTGTTTACAGGTAGTGCTGACAGTAGCAGGCTTAGTATCTGAAGCCGTTAAAATAATACAGGGAAGAGATCTTACTGTGTGGACATCTCATGATGTGAACAGCATACTCACTGCTAAAGGAGACTTGTGGCTGTCAGACAAATATCAGGCTCTATTACTTGAAAGGCCAGTGCTGCGACTGCACACATGTGCAACTCTCAACCCAGCCAAATTTCTTCCAGACAATGAAGAAAAGATGGAACATAATTGTCAACAAGCAATTGCTCAAACCTATGCCACTTGAAGGGACCTTTTAGAGGTTCCCTTGACTGATCCTGACCTCAACTTGTATACTGATGGAAGTTCCTTTGCAGAAAAAGGACTTCAAAAAGTGGGGTATGCAGTTGTCAGTGATAATGGAATACTTGAAAGTAATCCCCTCCCTCCAGGAACTAGTGCTCAGCTGGCAAAACTAATAGCCCTCACTCAGACACTAGAATCAGGAGAAGGAAAAAGGGTAAATATATATACAGACTCTAAGTATGCTTACCTAGCCCTCCATGCCCATGCAGCAATATGGAGAGAAAGGAAATTCCTAACTTTCAAGGGAACACCTATCAAACATCAGGAAGCCATTAGGAAATTATTATTGGCTGTACAGGAACCTAAAGAGATGGCAGTCTTACACTGCTGGGGTCATCAGAAAGGAAAGGAAAGAGAAATAGAAAGGAACCACCAAGCGGATATTGAAGCCAAAAGAGCCACAAGGCAGGACCCTCCATTAGAAATGCTTACAGAAGGACCCCGAGTATGGGGTAATCCCCTCCAGGAAACCAAGCCCCAGTACTCAGAAGAAGAACTAGAATGAGGAACCTCATGAAGACATAGTTTCCTCCTCTCCAGATGGCTAGCCACCAAAGAAGGAATAATATTTTGCCTGCAGCTAACCAATAGAAATTACTTAAAATCCTTCACCCAACCTTTCACTTAGGCATTGATAGCACCCATCAGATGGCCAAATTATTATTTACTGGACCAGGCCTTTTCAAAACTATCAAGCAGATAGTCTGGGTCTGTAAAGTGTGCCAAAGAAGTAATCCCCTGCACTGCAGGCCATATATTTCAATCCCTGCATCTTTAACCTCCTTGTTAAGTTTTTCTCTTCCAGAATCAAAGCTGTAAAACTACAAATCATTCTTCAAATGGAGCCCCAGATGCAGTCCATGACTAAGATCTACCACGGACCCCTGGACCGGCCTACTAGCCCAAGCTCCAATGTTAATGACATCGAAGTCACCCCTCCCAAGGAAATCTCAACTGCATGACCCCTACTATGCCCCAATTCAGCAGGAAGCAGTTGCAGCAGTTGTCGGCCAACCTCCCCGACAGCACTTGGATTTTCCTGTTGAGAGGGGGGACTGAGAGACAGGACTAGTTGGATTTCCTAGGCCAACTAAGAATCCCTAAGCCTAGGTGGGAAGGTGACCACTTTCATGCGCGTCCATGTGAAGAGACCACCAAACAGGCTTTGTGTGAGCCACAAGGCTGTTTATTCACCTGGGTGCAGGCAGGCTGAGTCCAAAAAGAGAGTCAGTGAAGGGAGATGGGCTGGGGCCGTTTTATAGGATTTGGGAAGGTAATGGAAAATTACAGTCAAAGGGGGTTGTTTTCTGATGGGCAGGGGTGGGGGTCACAAGGTGCTCAGTGGGGGAGCTTCTGAGCCAGGAGAAGGAAATTCACAGGTTTAGTCACTCAGTTAAGGTGGGGCAGGAACAAATCACAATGGTGGAATGTCATCAGTTAAGGCGGGACGGGGCCTTTTCACTTCTTTTGTGATTCTTCAGTTACTTCAGGCCATCTGGACGTATACGTGCAAGTCACAGGGGATGCGATGGTTTGGCTTGGGCTCAGAGGCCTGACATTCCTGCCTTCTTATATTAATAAGAAAAAGAAAACAAAATAGTGTTGAAGTGTTGGGGCGGCGAAAATTTTTGGGGGTGGTATGGAGAGAGAATGGACGATGTTTCTCAGGGCTGCTTCAAGCAGGATTAGGGGCGGTGTGGAAACCTAGAGTGGGAGAGATTAAGCTAAAGGAAGATCTTGTGGTAAGGGGTGATATTGTGGGGTTATCAGAAGAAACATTTGTCGTATAGAATGACTGGTGATGGCCTGGATACAGTTTTGTATGAATTGAAAAACTGGAATAAGAGAAGGAGAAAAACAGGTATAAAAGGTCTAAGAATTGGGAGGACCTAGGACATCTGATTAGAGAGTGCCTAAGGAGATTCAGCATAGTCCTGCCAGCAAAGATTATTTATTTACTTCAAGAGTTTAGAGTGGCAGTTTGGGGATAGCACCAGGAGATATCAGCTGTGATGGCTTGGAGAAACAGTGTAAACCAGCAGTGTAAATAAGAGCAGGGCATGTATGAGTAGTTGAGAATGGTGAATAGGAGTATGACTAGACAAAAGATAGTAGGGATGACAAGTTTTTTTGAGGGACAGTCTAAGTTGGTCTGGTGTTGAATGAGACTGGGGCCTAATAAAAAGGAGTGTCTTCTAGGGTTTTTATGGTTTTAGGTCTAACGTTTAAGTCTTTAATCCATCTTGAATTGATTTTTGTATAAGGTGTAAGGAAGGGATCCAGTTTCAGCTTTCTACATATGGCTAGCCAGGCATTACCATTCAGGACATAGGCATGGGCAAGGACTTCATGTCTAAAACACCAAAAGCAATGGCAACAAAAGCCAAAATTGACAAATGGGATCTAATTAAACTAAAGAGCTTCTGCACAGCAAAAGAAACTACCATCAGAGTGAACAGGCAACCTACAAAATGGGAGAAAATTTTCGCAACCTACTCATCTGACAAAGGGCTAATATCCAGAATCTATAAAGAACTCAAACAAATTTACAAGAAAAAAACAAACAACCCCATCAAAAAGTGGGCGAAGGACATGAACAGACACTTCTCAAAAGAAGACATTTATTCAGCCAAAAGACACATGAAAAAATGCTCATCATCACTGGCCATCAGAGAAATGCAAATCAAATCCACAATGAGATACCATCTCACACCAGTTAGAATGGCAATCATTAAAAAGTCAGGAAACAACAGGTGCTGGAGAGGATGTGGAGAAATAGGAACACTTTGACACTGTTGGTGGGACTGTAAACTAGTTCAACCATTGTGGAAGTCAGTGTGGCGATTCCTCAGGGATCTAGAACTAGAAATACCATTTGACCCAGCCATCCCATTACTGGTTATATACCCAAAGGACTATAAATCATGCTGCTATAAAGACACATGCACACGTATGTTTATTCACACACATGCAGCACTATTCACAATAGCAAAGACTTGGAACCAACCCAAATGTCCAACAATGATAGACTGGATTAAGAAAATGTGGCACATATACACCATGGAATACTATGCAGCCATAAAAAATGATGAGTTCATGTCCTTTGTAGGGACATGGATGAAATTGGAAATCATCATTCTCAGTAAACTATCTCAAGAACAAAAAACGAAACACCACATATTCTCACTCATAGGTGGGAATTGAACAATGAGATCACATGGACACAGGAAGGGGAACATCACACTCTGGGGACTGTTGTGGGGTGGGGGGAGGGGGGAGGGATAGCATCGGGAGATATACCTAATGCTAGATGACAAGTTAGTGGGTGCAGCGCACCAGCATGGCACATGTATACATATGTAACTAACCTGCACAATGTGCAAATGTACCCTAAAACTTAAATAAAAAAAAAAAAGGAGCGTCTATACAGGAGCTCAAATGGGCTGTACCTTGTAGCATTCTGAGGACAGGCCTGAATTCTGAGAAGCGAAAGTGATAAAAGTATTGTCCAGTCCTTTTTAAGTTGGTGGCTGAGCTTGGTGAGGTGTGTTTTTAAAAGACCTTTAGTCCGTTCTACTTTTCTTGAAGATGGAGTACCGTAAGGGATATAAAGGTTTCACTGAATACTAAGAGCCTGAAAAACTGCTTGGCTGATTTGACTAATAAAGGCTGGTCTGTTATCAGACTGTATAGAGGTGGGAAGGCTAAACTGAGGAATTATGTCTGACAGTAGGGAAGAAATGACTGTGGTGGCCTTCTTAGACCCTGTAGGAAAGGTCTTTACTTATTCAGTGAAAGTGTCTATTTAGACTAAGAGGTATTTTAGTTTCCTGACTCGGGACATGTTGAGTAAAGCTAATTTGCCAGTCCTGGGTGGGGGCAAATCCTCGAGCTTTATGTGTAGGGAAGGGAGGGGGCCTGAATAATCCCTGTGTAGTAGTAGAATAGCAGATGGAACACTGAGAAGTTATTTCCTCGAGGATAGATTTCCATGATGGAAAGGAAATGAGAGGTTCTGAGAGGTGGGCTAGTGGCTTGTACTATAGCATAGCCTGCCTTTGCTGGTGTGTGGCGATTAGGCCTGGTGGAACTGCCATCAATAAATCAAGCATGATCAGGGTGAGGAACAGGAAAGAAGGAAATATGGGGAAATGGGGTGAATATCAGGTGGATCAGAGAGATACAGTCATGGGGGTCAGGTGTGGTATCAGGAATAATGTGAGAGGCCAGATTGAAGTCCGGGCCAGGAACAATGGTAATTGTGGGACTTAAATAGTGAGTACAGCTGAAGGAGCCAGGGAGCAGAAAGTATATGTGTCAGGTATGAGGAAGAAAATAGATTTTGGAAGTTATGAGAAATGTAGAGAGTGAGTTGAGCATAGTTTGTGATTTTTAGGGCCTCTAACAGTATTAAAGCAGCAGCAGCTGCTGCACACAGACATGAGGGCTAGGCTAAAACAGTAAGGTCAAGTTGTTTGGACAGAAAGGCTACACGGTGTGGTCCTGGCTCTTGTGTAAGAATTCTGACCACACTAACCATGCCTAGGAAGGAAAGGAGTTGTTGTTTTGTAAGGGATTGAGGTTTGGGAGATTAATCGGACATGATCAGCAGGGAGAGCACGTGTGTTTTTATGAGAATTATGCCAAGATAGGTAACAGATGAGGATGAAATTTGGGCTTGGCTGAAGTAATGGGGGCTGTCTGTGAAGCCTTGCGGCAGTGCAGCCCAGGTAATTTGCTGAGCCTAATGGGTGTCAGGGTCAAACTAAGTGAAGGCAAAGAGAGGCTGGGGTGAAGGGTGCAAAGGAATAGTAAAGAAAGCATGTTTGAGATCCAGAACAGAATAATGGGTAGTAGAGGGAGGTATTGAGGATAGGAGAGTATATGGGTTTGGCACCATGGGTTGGATAGGCAAAACAATTTGGTTGATAAGGCACAGATTCTGAACTAACTTGTAAGGCTTGTCTGGTTTTAGGACAGGTAAAATGGGGGAATGGTAAGGAGAGTTTATAGGTTTTAGAAGCCCATGCTGTAGCAGGTGAGTGATAACAGGCTTTAATCCTTTTAAAGCGTGCTCTGGGATGGGATATTGGCATTGAGTGGGGTAAGGGTGATTAGGTTTTAATGAGATGGTAAGGGGCGCATGATTGGTCACCAAGGAGGGAGTAGAGGTATCTTATACTTGTGGGTTAAGGTGGGGGAATACAAGAGAAGGACGCAAAGGAGGCTTTGGATTGGGAAGAAGGGCAGCAATGAGATGCGGCTATAGTCCAGGAATAGTCAGGGAAGCAGATAATTTGGTTAAAATATCTCGGCCTAATAAGGGAACTGGGCAGGTGGGGATAACTAAAAAAGGGTGCATAAAAGAGTATTGTCTAAGTTGGCACCAGAGTTGGGGAGTTTTAAGAGGTTTAGAAGCCTGGCTGTCAATACCCACAACAGTTATGGAGGCAAGGGAAACAGGTCCTTGAAAAGAAGGTAATGTGGAGTGGGTAGCCTCCGTATTGATTAAGAAGGGGACGGACTTACCTTCCACTGTGAGAGTTATCCAAAGCTCGGCGTCTGTGATGGTCTATGGGGCTTCCGAGGTGATCAGGCAGCGTCAGTCTTCAGCCGCTAAGCCCAAAAGGAGTCAGTCAGAGAGCCTTGGGCCAGAGTTCCAGGGGCTCTGGGAGTGGCTGCCAGGTGAGCTGAACAGTCCGATTTCCAGTGGGGTCCCGCACAGATGGGACACGGCTTAGGAGGAATCCTGGGCTGCAGGCATTCCTTGGCCTGGTGGTCAGATTTCTGGCACTTGTAGCAAGCTCCTGGGGGAGGAGGTTCTGGAGGAACGCCTGGCTGCTGCAGTTCAGGCGTTTGGAAGTTCTTGTGTGCTGGAGATGTGGCTGGGGTTTGTCTCACAGTGGAGGCAAGGAATTGCAACTATTTTCTGTTATTGCACACCTTGAAGGTGAGGTTAATTAAGTCTTGTTGTGGGGTTTGAGGGCCAGATTCCAATTTTTGGAGTTTTATTTAATTTCGGGAGCAGATTGGTTAATAAAATGTATATTGAGAATAAGACGGCCTTTTGACATTTTAGGGTTGTAAAGTGTCTCAGGGTTGCTGCCAAATGAGCCATGAACTGGGCTGGATTTTTATATTTGATGAAAAAGAGCCTAAACGCTTCTGATTTGGGATAAAGAAAAAGGAGCATTAACCCTGACTATGCCTTTGGCTCCAGCCACCTTTTTAAGAGTAAATTGCTGGGCAGGTGGGGGAGGGCTAGTCACGGAACGAAACTGTAAGCCAGACCAGTTGTGAGGAGGGGAGGTGATAAAAAGATTATAGGGTGGAAGAATTGGGACCTAGCTCAGCCTGGCGAGGAGGGGAGAGGTCAGATAGGTTTGTAGAAAAGGAATATTAGAAAGACTCAGTGACGCTTGGGGTTGGGACTGAGGGGACAGGCAGGGGGGAAAGAAGGAAGATTTGGGATGAGTTGCACTGGGCACAGAGACTAGGAAGGGACTGATGTGTAAAAGAATGCCTGGACATCAGGCATCTCAGACCATTTGCCTATTTTACAAGAATTATTCAGATCTTGTAGGATGGAAAAATTGAAATTGCTGTTTTCTGGCTATTTGGAACTACTGTCGAGTTTGTATTGGGGTCAAGCGGCATTGCAGAAGAAAATAAGGCATTTAGGTTTTAGGTCAGGTGTGAGTTGAACAGGTTTTAAGTTTTTGAGAACACAGGCTAAGGGAGAAGAAGGAGGAATGGAAGGTGGAAGCTTACCCATAGTGAAGGAGGCAAGCCCAGAGAAAAGAGTAGAGACACAGAGAAGGGGTGGGGGGTTCTTGCCCTCCAGAAAAGCACAGAAGGGGTTGGGGCATGGAAATAAGGGATTGGGGCACAGAGATAAGAGGTCAGTGTGCGGAAATAAGGGATTGGGGTGCAGAGATACGAGGTTGGGGCACAGAAATAAGCGATTGGGGCACAGAGATAAGAGGATGGGGTGCAGAAATAAGGGATTGGGGCACGGAAATAAGGGGTCGGGGCATGGAAATAAGGGGTCAGGGCACAGAAATAAGGGATTGGGGTGCAGAGATAAGAGGTTGGGGCATGGAAATAAGGGATTGTAGTGCAGAGATATAAGAGGTTGGGGTGCAGAAGTAAGGGATTGGGGCACAGAGATACGAGGTTGGGGTGCAGAAATAAGGGATGGGGAACAGAGATAAGAGGTCGGGGTGCAGAAATTAGGGATTGGGGCACAGAGATAAGAGGTTGGGGCACAGAAATAAGGGATTGTGGTGCAGAGATAAGAGGTTGGGGCATGGAAATAAGGGATTGGGGGTTCTTGCCCCATAGAAAAGTGGGACTTGCCGCTAAGGGTGAAGGAGAGGGGGTTGAGGGGTACTTGCCCCTCTCCCAGAAAAGCAGAGAAGGAGTAGAGACAAGGAGAGAAGGGGTTGAGGTACTTGCCCCTTCCCCAGAAAAACGGGACTTGCCGCTAAGGGTGAAGGACCAAGGCAGGCGTCCCTGTGTGGTCTGACACCCTTGAAACCTGTGTGTTTAATCAGAGAGGCATCCCTGCAATGATTAAACACCAAGGGAAGACTGTCTTCCCAGTCTATGACCAGCGCCGGAGTTTTGGGTCCATGGATTAAATATGTCTCCTTTGTCTCTCCCAGAAAATGAAAGGAATTGAAATTAAGAGAAGGGAGAGATTGAAGAGTGGAAAGGAGAAAGTGGTTGAGGGACAGTGAGAGAGCTTGGAGAAGAGAGTAAGAAGAGGCTGCTTACCCAATTTAAAATTGGTGAGATGTTCCTTAGGCTGGTGGGTCTGAGGACTCGAGGTCATAGGTGGATCTTTTTCATGGAGCAAAGAGCAGGAGGACAGGGGATTGATCTCCCAAGGGAGGTCCCCCGATCCGAGTCATGGCACCAAATTTCATGCGCGTCCGTGTGAAGAGACCACCAAACAGGCTTTGTGTGAGCAACAAGGCTGTTTATTTCACCTGGGTGCAGGTGGGCTGAGTCCGAAAAGAGAGTCAGCGAAGGGAGATAGGGGTGGGGCCATTTTATAGGGTTTGGGAAGGTAATGGAAAATTACAGTCAAAGGGGGTTGTTTTCTGGTGGGCAGGGGCGGGGGTCACAAGGTGCTCAGTGGGGGAGCTTCTGAGCCAGGAGAAGGAAATTCACAGGGTTAGTCACTCAGTTAAGGTGGGGCAGGAACAAATCACAATGGTGGAATGTCATCAGTTAAGGCAGGGCAGGGCCTTTTCACTTCTTTTGTGATTCTTCAGTTACTTCAGGCCATCTGGGCATATACATGCAAGTCACAGGGGATGTGATGGCTTGGCTTGGGCTCAGAGGCCTGTCAACCACTTCCACCTTTAAACACAGGGCTTGCAACTTAGCTCACACCCGACCAATCAGATAGTAAGGAGAGCTCACTAAAATGCTAATTAGGCAAAAACAGGAGGTAAAGAAATAGCCAATCATCTGTTCCTGAGAGCACAGTGGGAGGGACAATGATCAGGATATAAACCCAGGCATTCGAGCCAGCAATGGCAACCCCCTTTGGGTCCCCTCCCCTTGTATGGGAGCTCTGTTTTCACTCTATTTCACTCTATTAAATCTTGCAACTGCAATCTTCTGGTCCATGTTTGTTACGGTTTGAGCAGAGCTTGGCTTGCTGTCCACCACTGCTGTTTCACTGCCATCGCAGACCCGCCGCTGACTTCCATTCTTCCGGATCTGGCAGGGTGTCTGCTGTGCTCCTGATCCAGCAAGGTGCCCATTGCCACTCCCAATTGGGCTAAAGGCTTGCCATTGTTCCCACATGGCTAAGTGCCTGGGTTCATCCTAATCGAGCTGAACACTAGTCACTGGGTTCCACCATTCTCTTCCGTGACCCACGGTTTCTAATAGAGCTGTAACACTCACCACCTGGCCCAAGATTCCATTCCTTGGCATCCGTGAGCCCAGGAACCCCAGGTCAGAGAACACGAGGCTTGCCACCATCTTGGAAGCAGCCCACCATCATCTTGGAAGCAGCTCACCACCATCTTGGAAGCTCTATGAGCAAGAACCCTCAGTAACAGAATGACTGGATAGTAGACTATTGAAATAGACCAGGACAGAAATAAGGGATTGCATTAGACCAGGAGTACTTATAGTGCAAAGTAAGTGCTAAGTTTTCTTTTTCTGTTTTTTTTTTTTCCTGGAAACTTTTTAAAATTTCAACTTTGATTTTATATTTAGGGAGCATGCATGCATGTTTGTTACAATGATGTATTGTGCAGTGCTGAGGTTTGGGTGCAATTGATTCAGATAGTGAGCATAGTACCCAAGAGGTAGTTTTTCAGCCCTTGCACTCTCCCTCCTTCTCCCCTTTTGGAATCGTCAGTGTCTAGTCTTCCCATGTTTGTGTCCATGTACATCCAATGTTTAGCTTCTTCTTATAAGTGAAAATATGTGAGATTTGGTTTTCTGTTCCTGCATTAATTTGCTTAGGATAACAGACTCCACCTAATTCCATGTTTCTGCAAAGGACAAGACTTTATTCTTTTTTATATTTGGGTAGTATTCCATGGTGTATATATACCACATTTTTTTTTATCCAATTCACCATTAATGGGCATTTAGGTTGATTCCATGTCTTTGCTATAGTTTATAGTGCTGAAATTAACATACATGTACATATGTCTTTTTGGTAGAATGATTTATTTTCTTTCAGGAGTTGAATGGTAGCTCTGTTTTAAGTTCTTTGAAAAATTGCCAAACTGCATTCCACAGTGGGTAAACTAATTTACATTCCCACCAACAATGTATAAGCATTCCCTTTTCTCTTCAGCCTCGCCAACGTCTGCTGTTTTTTGTTGTTGTTGTTGTTGTTTGTTTGTTTTTTGCCTTTTTAATATTAGCCATTCTGACTGGTGTGAGATGTTACTGTTTTGATGATTACTGTCTCTGATGATTAGTGATGTGAAGCATTTTTTCATGTTTACTGGCTGCTTGTATGTCTTCTTTCATGAAGTGCTTGTTCATGTTTTTTATGCACTTTTTAATGAGGTTATTTGTTTTTTGCTTGTTGATTTGTTTTAGTTCTTTCTTGATTCTGGATATTAAACCTTTGTCAGATGCATAGTTTATGAATATTTCCTCTCCTTCTGTAGGGTGCCTGTTTACTCTTTTGATAGCTTCTTTTGCTATGAAAATGTTGCATTTAAAAGGTGTTGCAGAAACTAAGTCAATTGGATTTGGTGATAAATTATATGTAGTTAAGTGAGAGAGAAAGAAATTTCAACAACATGCAGGTTTCTCTCTTGGACCTCCTATAGTAAGCAGAGAAAAAGAAGCAGGTTACATGATAGGGGTGGAAAGAACCAGTTTGCTTCTGAACATACTAGGTTCTAGATGGAACACCTAGATTTAAATGTTTCATAAACAACTTGAAATATGCATTATGAGCTCAACACTTGAAATAAAACAGGCATTCCATTAATATTTTCTCAATGTTCAGATGCAAAATTTTAAATGAGATGAAATTAGGCCAGCTTAACTTGTCACAGTTGCAATATATTCCAACTCTTCAAGGAATAGTCTTGTATTTGCATCACATATTATTCTTGTGCTAGGTAATGCAGTCTGTGTCCTAGCCCAGCTTCCAGGGCTAAATTCTGCACTATACTACATTACTTGTGACCCAGACATAAAATCAACAGTGCAATTACAGAAAGTGGCTCTGAATCATCTCCCTGCAAGAAACGCTATTGCGTTTCCATTTTTCTTTGGTACAATTTAAAAGGTATACTGTCACATCGTTTTACTAAATGTTTAACTACTATTCTTGAATTAGAAAATGTTTAATTTGGATGTGATCACAAAGAACACAATACACAAAAGAGAGAGATGTGATGGGCCTTGGAATTAGAGGCATATTTTTTTCCATTCTTTGAGCTAATACTCTGTTACAGTTCTAAAAATGTTACAGAGCTACTTTGCAAGGTGAATGGAAAAAGTGCTTTCCATAGTTTTTCATTATGACAAAATATAATTCTGTTTATTTCATTAAATAATCATTGAATCATTAAAGAATCCATACAAATTAAATAACTTACTGTGCTTTATAAGGCCATGTTAAAAGAAACTCCATGAAAATTTGTGGCATGAATGAAAGCATTTTCTATTGAGATGATCCTTACTCTTTAAGCTAATAAGAAAAAGATATTTATTCCTTGTGGGTCATAAAAGGACTCATAACACTCATGAATTATGAAAATCTTCTGTAACTGATGAGAATTAGTAAAAGAATCACGAGATTACATTATAAATTAATATAATTTAAAGTGTGTTTTTCTTTCCATTTGCATACTGATTTATTGCTTTCATATCACTGTCTCATTAAATAATGTAAATATAATTATAACACACATAATTACATATCCTAGTATAAGTTCCCTGTCAAAGGAAGAAAATTGCTGTGTTTATTTGAGGATACTTAATTATTACATATACAATTTGTGCATATGTCTTACTGTGTTTTTCTAGAAAGAGATGCTACATATTAAATTAAATTATATCCAAAATTATTAGTTTGTTTTTTATTCTTCCTGATATTAACAACCATGAAGAACCTCAGATAAAAAGGCCTCAATATTAATAGAAGCAAAATTCACTAATATGACATTTAACATAGGTCATTTCATTAATCCTGAAAATCTCACATAGTAATACTATTGACTCAGGCTTAAAAAATAAATATTTTGCCCCCAAATCACATACCTAATAATTGACAGAGCTATCTTAGTCTCAACCATCTACTTTAATTCAGAATGTAAATCTTAACATTTGCTCTCTACTCCAAAATGTGCTACGAAAATATGACACTGATGTAGAATGATTATTCTTCTGATCTTCCATCAGTATGACATGCTCTTTGTGCTTCCCACATGAATGGGAATACTATGTCATTGATCCATGCACAGTCTTAGCCTAATTCCTCCTAGCAATTATCCATCCCAAGGATCATATTTGGAGATGGTATCTGCAAGTTAGAAGCAGAATTATTTGTGACTTAAAAGAAAGAACAATGAATAAGAAGTCATTGTTTCCAAGTTCTGCTTCTGATTCTGCCAAGTGACCCCAGTTTGTGTCTAGAAAAGTCAAAACAGGTAACCATTCTGGATCTCTCTTCCCTAAGCTGAGACATGAAGAGATGGACAGATGAACTCTGATACTTCATTCCAGACTTTGATGTTTTTCTTTGTACAGACATAATTGTTCACACTGGGACTTGATGCATGTCCTTGGCTTCATTGATGGAATGAATGAACTTCTACATGCTGACTGGTTGAGACAGCAAAGGAAGACAATGGTTCATTCTATGGTTTATGATAAATACTAAGTTACTGAAAGAAAGATGATTCAGTTTTAAAAATTGGCTCCCAGGTCAGGATTCAGATGATAAATAATTCCAGTCAAATAGTTATTGTATTCAAAGAAGTTTCATAATATCTTTTCAATTGGTCACTATGGACAGAGGGTCATCAAAATTACTGCTGGAAATGTCCTAAATGTACTAACATTGTTAGGCAAGAATAAAGTAAAATATTGCTGTAGCTGTTGGTGAAACCTGAGCTTGAATATTTGATATTGGACTTCGCCTTGGTAGAGAAGAGTCTAAGTGGACTATTGAGAAAATAGCCCATTTCTTGAAGTATGGATCACTAAGCTTAGAATCAGAAATCGAAGATTTTGAAACTGTTTGATGTCTGATTTAAACTAAATGTCTTGAAAATGCCCTTGGTTGCTTTATTAGAAAACAATTATGCTGTTAATGTATTATCACAGGAAATATTTTCTTATACAAAAGACAATATTAATGTAATATCATAGGAAAGTGCTAATAATTGCAAAACAATCACTTTGTATTCAGTTCTACTTGTTACTATTCAGTTCTACTTATTCAATTATCCAGTTCTGCTTATAACCAATTGTTTATTTGAACTTTTAAAAAATAATAAGAGTTTCATTCAAGTGAGCATACCATGGCAACTATGAACAGGATTTCTCGAATATATAGAGAAACAGAAATGATTCTTTTCAAGGGAAAGGTAAGGAATGTTATTCAAGAATCTAGCTAGGTGTAGTTTTAAAAGGCCTTACTATGTGCCCTAAATTACTCTTAAGTATTTGGGTAACACTTTTCTTATGCTCTCTGAGGCATGTTTCTAGCAGAACACACATACCCATCATCTACATGGCCACAAGGATTCTTACCCTATCATTAGGATTTTTGGTTTAATAGAAAATCCACCAGTTAACTGTTTTGATTACAAACAGGGGTGACAATTAAAAACAAAAGTTTCATATACAGCTGAGCAAAAACCAAAAAGTATCATATGTAGCTGAGCAAAGAAAGTATATTTCAAAAATGCTACTGACATGAAAAAAATTGAAAAATCAATGAAATTTTAAGCATGCTTGAGGTGACTTTATTCAATTCATGAAATAGTAGATGCTAGAGCCAATTATAAAGCAATTGGTTAAGGCTTGGTTTTTGAGGACCTAAAGGGAAGACATTGCTCTATGCTGCTTCCTGTTAATAAGACCTGATTTTATTTTGGTAATTTCATTGCCACTAATATCAGTCTGAAGCTCCAAACTGATATGGTGTAAATTCCATTATCAGACCAATAAAAATTTAGCATCTGCAACTCTTCATACAACTTTATTACTTTTTTCTATTATTATTCTTGTTAAAAAGAGTACTATAATAGCACTCTTAACCAACATTCTTATCTCATACTTCCCTAACCTTGTGATTGTCTATGATTTTTTTTTTCCATTTCATCAACTCATGAAATAGGTTTCTTAAAGGGGTACTATGGGTACTTTTTACAAGAGTACTTCATGGTTTCCAAATGCTAGTGACAGCCCCACAACAACTACAACTACATTTGCCATCACACGTGGCTCAATAGGGTGGTTGAGAACCATTCTAATGTATATATTGTAATCCCCCAACAAGACAGACCCAAAGTTATCTTCTCTTTTGTAGCATTTGCTCCATTCCTCGTTTATCAGTATATTCCAGTGGAATTCATTGCCATCTTTCTTACCACATTTTGCAAGTAGGTTAATTAATTTCTTTCCTACCTCCCTTTTTCCCTTCTACTTCTTCCTTCCTTTTTTTCTCTCCCTCTTTGCTCTCTCTCATTCTTTTCTTCCCCCCCTTTGCTCTGTGTGTCTAGGTGTCTCTCTTTCTCTGTCCCTCTCCTTTTCCTGCTACTCTCTGAGCCAACTGAGGACAAGAACGCTGTGGCATACACTTCTTTGTCTATAGCATACCCCAAAGTGCCTGGCACAGAGTAGGCATTCAATAAATGTTGTTGAATTGAATTAAATTGTTCTTTTTCACAAAAGACTGCAAGCTCTTCCAATCTAGAAGCACTTTAATTATGCTAATTGGCATCAATTTAATTGTGACTCCAAAGCCAAACCTGACAGCACCAGAATTATTTAGAGAGCTTTTAAAAATGCAGATTCAAGGGCCTTACTCCAAAACTACTGAATCAGAATCTGCATCTGCAAGGAAGCCTAAGAAATGATATTTTGGCAAAGTTTTACAGTGATCTCATTCCTTTCCTGAGCCTTGGCTTTAAGTAAAACCCTTTTAATTACCTTGTGCTATTGAGAAAATAGAAAGGTATTTGTATTAGTTCATTCTTTCACTGCTATAAAGATACTACCTGAGACTAGGTCATTTAACCTCCATTTATTTATAAACCTCCAATTAAAGGGGGTTTATCTGACTCACAGTTCTGTATGGCTGGGGATGCTTCAGGAAAGTTATAATCATGGTGGAAGAAGAAAGGCATGTCTTACATGGCAGCCGGAGAGAGAGAGCAGGAAAAACTGACACTTTTAAAACCATCAGATTTTGTGGAAACTTCCTCACTATCACTTGAACAGCATGGGGGAAACCACCCTCATGATCCAATCACCTCCTACCAGGTCCTTCCCTTGATACATGGGGATTATAATTCGAGATGAGATTTGGGTGGGGACACAGAGTAAAATCATATCAATACTCCTTAAAAAAATCAGGTCTTTTTCTATATTATGAGATACCCTACAGGAAAACAGAGAAACTTGAAAAGCATTCACAAGATAAATGCATTGAGTTATCATATATTTTTGACCACATTAAATAATAAAGTATACTAACAAGCTGTTATCAAGATGCAATTTTAATTATTCAATTACATGAATAAAATGCTGGGTAGAGATAAAAATTTGAAAGTGTTTTCTCCTTTGTTGAAGAAGTGTTTTAAAATAAACACCCTTCTAACAATTCCGATGCTCATCAAGCTTTTCTAGTGTATTTACGTTTGAGATAGTCCTTATATATTGTTCTTTTTACTGTGGCAAATGCAAATACTATGACCCACAATGCCATTTAATGGCATTTACATTTGAGCTTGGAGTGTTTGCATTTGAGCAAACATTCAAATTTTGAGTGGAGTATTTGCATTTCAGCTTGGAGTGTTAGAAGTCAGCTTCACCCTTTCTTCCTCTTCCTCTTCCTCTTTGGAATATGTCTATATTCCTTGTTTCAAGGTACCTCAAGTAAACATATTTATGTGTAGTTGAAAATCATCATTAGAAAAAAGGATGTGCGATTGGAATGCTGTTGGGTGACACTAGGCTATAAAAGTCAAGAATGTCCAAATCCCGCCTTGCTTCAGCCATTTCTCCCCCAAGTGAGGTCCCCAAGGGAGACCAAAATATAATGAAAATAGTAAAGGAAATTGTCATTTGTGCTTTGTTGATAGTGACCCAACTCAAATATAGCTATCCCTTAAAAACTGGGATACAGTATGTGATTTTGGCCTATAGAGGTTTCCTTCCCTCTTTTCCTACCAGAAACTTAATTCTGACCATTGTATCACCTTTAGATCAGAACATGTGGAACAGGTTAATGAAGAGATGAGGTTGATGAGCACCTCAATGAGAAATGGCCTGCTCTTTCTCTGAGTAGGTGAATAGCCCTAGCCTATTACTACAGTTGTTAGAAGGAAGGAGAAAGAAGTTAGCTGGTAATTGTATGGGCTTCCTTGCAACCAGGTGAAGGGAGAGGATAATGTCAACAAAAGCAAATAATCAAGTTCCTTCCATTTCAAGGGAATATATTACCATGGAAAAGAGAAGTAGGCAGAGAGTGTGTGAACTTCAGTGAGACTAGTAAACCAGCCCTTCTAGGGAGTGGAAGGTGAAGGGCTGGAGGATGAAGCCCCACTCTGGTGTAAGGAGAGGTACCTAGCCCCACTCTCCTTTAGAGGCCTAAAGCTACAATTTGTTTGGTCCTTACTAAATGGCAGGCACTTTTCATAAACCAGTGCAGTAGAAATAAAGACTGTCCAAATGAAAACAAACAAAGGCTATTTATTCAGAGCTTGCTATAGCCGCCAAATGCAGCCACCACTTTGCATTTGGCAAACTCAAAGGCAGGCAGAAGAGTAGGAAAACTTTATAGTGAAAAAAGGGAAGGCTTTAGGTATGCCCTGATGTGAGGCTCTTGGCATATAAAGCTGCAGGTGGGCTAAGCAGAAATAGGATATCCTACATGATTGGCTAAGAATGCATATTTGGCTTTTTCTGTAGGTTTAAAGTTGGAAGTGGAAACAAAAGTTAGGGCAGCTGTCAATTATTAATCCAATTCTGGCCATTTTCGGCCGAGTGCTACAGAGATTATCACTTGGCTTCCTCAATTATTACTAGAGATAACATTCTGACTTCCAAAAGTTCTGACTTATAGCAGCTTGGCTTCCTGGGCTGATTATTATTGATAAGGATTGGCTTCCTGGACCTGGTTGTTACAGCTTATGGATCAAATTTCTTTTTTTAAATATATGATTGGTCATTGTCTGTTTGTATATTCAGTCTCTCACTTATAATCTTGCTGCTCAAGGCATGATCTATGAACCAGCCATGTTGGGGTCAACTGTGAGCTTGTTAAAAATGCAAAATATCAAGCCCCTCCTCAGATCATTGAATCAGAATCTACCATGTGATTCTTACCAACATTAATGTTTGAAAAATACTAAGTCATAATTCACCCTAATTTCACCACAGGGAAGCTTTATCCCTGTTTTTAAAACAAGGAAATAAAGGCTCAGAGGCATTGGCCCTAGGTTGTAAACCCAGCTGACTTCCAAGCGCTGCCTTTTGTGCTCAAATGAACCAAACCATTATTTTTTTTCTCAACAGAGTAAGGACTAATAAGTATCATGAGGTGACACAGAACCACATGCCAGTGGACTACAAGATAACCTATTCTTCACAAGAAGCACCAGGCAACATAGTGAAGTATCATTGTAGACTTTGATGAGGTCTCATGAAGAAATATCAGATTAGTGAGCCATTGGATCCCCAAGGAAAGAACATTTCTGCTGTTATGGGGAATCTTCAAAGGGCTCTAAATGGAGCAGGGACTATTGAGCTTAGATCTGTGATATTTCTTTCTTCTCATAGGAAACAAATGTAATCTATTATCACTATTCTTAAGGCATTTCACTTCACAGAAAATAAAATCATATAGATTACAACAAAGGTAGAATCATGCAATACACACATTTCTGAATTCCTTCTTTGTCCAAAAATAATACTTTTATCATTTTTATTCTCTGTTTTAGGGAATAAGGAGGACTTGCACTTGATGTCCCAAAGAGCTAGAAAGTTGTGATTATATGTTTCACCATTAAAACTGCCATAAACAAAATTAGAAAGTTATAAAAGTGTGTCACCAAGGGACCACAGTTGGTGCATCCAGTGAAGCTATACCAAGCTATAGCTATAAGTTTTTTTTTTTTTTTTCTTTTGCCTCTGAAGGAGTGAGTTGGTCATACCTAAGAAGCTCAGCTGAGGGTTATAGCAGACCCTTCCAGGTTCCCAATGGTCAGGTAAGAGACAGCAGCTTCTAGAAACACCACATGTGACAGTTAAAGGTTAATTAACAAAGATTGATGTAATTTGAAGTTCCAATTGAAAATAGGGGCTCATGGGAGTTAGGTTTAACTCTTGCTTCTGTCTCTCCTTGTCTACCTTCTACCTATAGAGAGACAAGTCAGGTAAAAATGCAATTAATTAATTGACAGTATTCTTTGTATAAAGGATTACATATTTATAGAAAAAAGTATGACTAAAGAAATTTTTCTCTCATTTCTTGTAACAGTAGTTGAGAAAAATGAACCTTTTTATTCATATTTTTTCAACACATTTATCACTTGATGATAATGAATACAAAGACCAAAAATAAAAAATTTAAACAGGGAGTAGTCACAAAATCCATCAGATGATGGCAGTTACCAATTTTTAAAATAGGCTCTACTACAAAAATATAATAAAAGATACTTTAAATATTTTTATTTATATTTAATCCCATGAGAAAAAAATCAGATTCTGTATGAATAAAGATCCAGAAGAATGTAGCTGAATTGTCTACCTAATAAAGAAACAGAACACATTCTATAGGGTAAACTTTCAAAACAAAATTTAAACTCAGAATAACTGATATACCAGTTTTAAGTAATAATCCACCAGTAAGAGTGAAAAAAGAAGATGAACCCTCTAATTGCTCTCTTTCTCTCTCTGTCACACACACATACACACGCACAGTGTGTATATTTTTTTACAGAATACAATTTTAAGCTTTCATTCTTTTTCCATGGCATGTATAGTCTCATGCTTTACTTACAGAAAAAGACATTAAGCAAAAGGAAGCCATTTCACTTCGTTTTGAGATGGGAGACCTTCCTTAGGATATTGTGTTCAGTCAGGTTCACGTTTTATTTGTACAGAAAGCTCAATACTGTGAGGTCATGGAAACATTGGGGATTAACTTTCATGCATCTGAAAACCAACTGATAGAGCTAGCAGACCTCCAGGTGAAAGAGTAGAAACAATTCTGTTGGTCATATTTTCAAAAATCTACTAAAGTTGTTTCAGGGAATCCCAGGGCCAAATGGAAGTCAGTGTGAAAGCTCCAAATCAGTGTGGCAGCTGAATACATTTGAGCAAATTTAACATAATTTTTCTTGTCACACACACAAACTGCATGTATTCTTTAAAAGGCTTAAATGTCTCTAAAATATTACAGTTCATCTATCTGATATACATTCACTCTACTTCACATATTTTTCTAAAAACTTAAGCATATGCATAATATTAAGACTATAGGTAAAATATTTTTTCAAGCACAAATAACAGTAACAAAATTGTAATACAAGACACACAGAGAACCAGAGGGAGAAGTCTTAGATCCTGGAATTTCAAATGAGACCAAGCAAAAGTTATAACCACAATCATCCCTATTTGGAAATGTTTATTATTAATTTCAAAAAGTGAATATAAATGAAACACAGACATCATCCAACATTTAAAAGCCCCAAAATGACAGAAAGTATTTTAATTACAAACTTAATATGCACCATTCACATTTATTAAAGAAGTCAAATTGCAATATTATTTTTACTTTATAAACATTCCCTTTGGTATTCAAACCCAGAGAAGGCATCATATTTCCACTTTGACTGCAAATTCAGTAGTAGTGAGGAATACTTAATAGGTGCTTGTGGTGATTTCAGGGTAAATTCAGAGAGTAGAAGTCTTGCATGAGTCACAAAGACAACATCTTTAAGTACAATAGAAAATGCTTTACATATGGTGCACATTTTTCCTGTTAAGAGGATAGATACCCTCAAGTTCAGGAATATAGAAAATAAATGGATGTAACGTTGGTTTATCTGTGACTACAGAGCAAAAATTTATTCATCTGGCATTTAAAATAATGCCCTATACTCTAAGCAACAGGTGCATAGTAAATTGAGCTAAAAGGTTATAATAAGGATATAGGTCTAATTTGGAAAATACATATTTTGCAATGGTTGTATTTTTTCTAATTCTCAAAATAAGTATTGTTTCTCAATGGATTGAGCTAAATACTATCAAAACCTGAGTGCGATTGCTTCAGGTGAGACACGCTCTTTTAAACCTATTTCTTAAAAAGATTCCTGTTGAACTTAGAAGCAGTAAGATAAAGACAGAAAAACACTGTAAGAAGAGTCAGAAATCTCAGGGTCCTGCTACTCAATTGATGTGGTTTCGGTCACATTACCAATCACTTACTTCACCTCACAAGTTCAAGAAACCAAAGCTCTCTCCAGTGCTAACCTTTTATGATTTTATTATTTCTTGAATGTTTCTCTTTACAATGATAGTAATAATAGCAACAATATCGACAGTAATACATTAAAGAAAAACAACAGTGGGAGTCAGACAATTTATGTTATGATTACTTTTCTTTCAGTAGATTGTGAAATGATCTAGCATGAGTTTCTTCTCTGAGTCTTGGTGTCTTTTTTCTTTTCTTTTTATTTATATGAAGGACAAGAACAAAGCTCTTTCAATCAAATTCTACTTAACTCTAAAAGACAAACCTGCAAACATGCATACATATGCATGCACACACACAACCACACCTACATATATAGTAGTTGAAAAGCAAAACAAAGCAAGATGCCTACTTAAGTATGTATTTTTCCCATTATAACACACTGACATCCATCAATGCATTGATTAGCATTGCCTCATTATTTTGTTTTGTGTTGACCCTTAAATAAAACGTGACCTGATATTTCTATTTAATTGAAGAATATCCTGAGATTTTCAGAAATTTGGGCTTAGATATTCCTACAAATACTTCCGTAATGCATGATACAGAAAAAAAATGCATGATTTTAAATATTTGTTTTATCAGAACTGTTTTTACTGAATGACTTTATAGTAAATAAGTTATAGAAACTGAACTTATAAATTATATGAAAAGCATTGTTTTGTATATTTTTTTAATTTTGTATATTGGGACTCCAATAGAAAATTTTACATAATTTCAAAGACTCATATTTTTAAGCTTGAAAATCTTGAATCAACTGTTCTATAAAGTCTCCGACCTTGAATAATTTTAAACAATTGGCCAGAGAAGAGATCTAAAAGCTATACTAATTAGATGCAGAGAAAGCACTAGTTATATTCTCTACCAAGGGTGGCTGCTGGCTGAGTTTCTTCTATAGAAGCTTTGAATGCAGAGAAATGTCATTCTAATCCTGGGGAAATCCTGACAAGAATCCAAAGTCTTGGTAAAAAAAAAAAAAAAAAAAAAAAAAAAAAAATACATTTCAATGCATAATGAAAATTCCAAAATGAGCTAGTCTCTTCTTTTAGTGAAAATACAGACGCGCTGACTGGAGGTCAGTCTTTCCTGGGGAAGGAATGTGCCCATCACGCCACGAGTATTAATAGGACGAATTCCTTCATAATAGCAAGAGGCGGCAAATGCTTTCCTGGCTGTTGTTTTACTGGGGAGAAATAGCGCAATCCTTGCCTGCTTTAACTTAATGAAAATTGCCATGCTTCATTTGCTTAAGATTTTGTGCACAGTACTTTGTCATATTATATTAGTGATTTTGGACTACCTCCCTCTATTTAGTAGACAAATTCTCAGGAAATAAGACACAGATTTTAAAAGAGAATGGGAATGAAAGTGAGAGCTTGGATCATTGAATTATTTTTCTCTCTTTTCTAAAGAAATTGGGGAATAAAGTAGGGGTACTGTAAATGACATGTTACCAGATTAATATTTGACTCTCCATTGGATTGGTCCAATCCTAAGAATTTGTGAATGAAAACACTTGTTTGCCATAATTTTCTGAAATAATTAATATTCTCCTTTTGGTATTTCATGATCCTAAGAGTTTCTTTTGTTAAGCCATTCTGAGCCTGTCCACCTATGACATTTGAAATACTACTCTATTTTTCAAAGCTCAATGCAAATCAAATGTCACCTCACCTATTAAAGTTTTTTCATTCTCTCAGTATTCTAATTTTGCCTCTTTCAAACACCAATCAAAGCTCTAGCAGAGATATTTATATGTCGTTACTACTTTATCACATTATTAGGACAAAATAGAGGCACTTTTTAAAATAAACTAACAATGTGCATTCTCATAAAATATGAGCAACTGTATCATAGGAGTGAAAAAATAATTATTTTATATCTTCAAAGGAAGGAGCATTAGAGAATGAAAGAGAATAAATGAAGCCAAAGAATAATCTGACTGAATAAAAATAATAGAATTCAAACATGTGTTAAGCGACCACCACTTTCTTTTTTTAAAATTTTATTTTATTTATTATTAATTATACTTTAAGTTTTAGGGTACATGTGCACAATGTGCAGGTTAGTTACATATGTATACATGTGCCATGCTGGTGCGCTGCACCCATTGACTCGTCATCTAGCATTAGGTATATCTCCCAATGCTATCCCTCCCCCCTCCCCCGACCCCACAACAGTCCCCAGAGTGTGATGTTCCCCTTCCTGTGACCATGTGTTCTCATTGTTCAATTCCCACCTACGAGTGAGAATATGCGGCCTTTGGTTTTTTGTTCTTGCGATAGTTTACTGAGAATGATGATTTCCAATTTCATCCATGTCCCTACAAAGGACATGAACTCATCATTTTTTATGGCTGCATAGTATTCCATGGTGTATATGTGCCACATTTTCTTAATCCAGTCTATCATTGTTGGACATTTGGGTTGGTTCCAAGTCTTTGCTATTGTGAATAATGCCACAATAAACATACGTGTGCATGTGTCTTTAGAGCAGCATGATTCATAGTCCTTTGGGTATATACCCAGTAATGGGATGGCTGGGTCAAATGGTATTTCTAGTTCTAGATCCCTGAGGAATTGCCACACTGACTTCCACAATGGTTGAACTAGTTTACAGTCCCACCAACAGTGTCAAAGTGTTCCTATTTCTCCACATCCTCTCCTGCACCTGTTGTTTCCTGACTTTTTAATGATTGCCATTCTAACTGGTGTGAGATGGTATCTCATTGTGGTTTTGATTTGCATTTCTCTGATGGCCAGTGATGGTAAGCATGTTTTCATGTGTTTTTTGGCTGTATAAATGTCTTCTTTTGAGAAGTGTCTGTTCATGTCCTTCGCCCACTTTTTGATGGGGTTGTTTGTTTTTTCCTTGTAAATTTGTTTGAGTTCATTGTAGATTCTGGATATTAGCCCTTTGTCAGATGAGTAGGTTGCGTTGTTAAAACCATAAAAACCCTAGAAGAAAACCTAGGCATTACCATTCAGGACATAGGCATGGGCAAGGACTTCATGTCTAAAACACCAAAAGCAATGGCAACAAAAGCCAAAATTGACAGATGGGATCTAATTAAACTAAAGAGCTTCTGCACAGCAAAAGAAACTACGATCAGAGTGAACAGGCAACCTACAAAATGGGAGAAAATTTTCGCGACCACCACTTTCTAAAGAATATGTCATTAGGACTATTTCAGGCATCTGTCAAGGAGCAGGAGTTGTGTGCTCTTGTGGAGGAGTAGTGACTGCAGCTAGCTAGGAGCCTCCCTGAGACTGCAGCCATCAGCAAGCCTGCTGCGGCGCACTGTGCACTCCCCTCTAAGTAGACTGAGAGCTCCTCCAGCACAACCGTTACTGTAGGAACCCTACCCAGTAAAGAAAAGGAAATGAGTGAATGAAGTAATGCTGAAAATGCTCATTATTCTTAGCATTTTAGTTTAGAAGAATCCATAAATTTGCAAATACTCATTCTGAGTTGTTTAATGAAATACTTTGTTTTGATAAGTTATTTGTTAAGCCATGCCTGATCCAAAACATCCCTTTACTTCTGCTACCCTGTTAGTAGCTTTATAAGAAGTTTTCTGTTTTCTCTGGGATTCAGGCCTGAGAATGATTTCTGTCTTCAATCCATTCCTGTTAATGCAGAGCTGCAGTCAAGCATTACGAGAGAGGTAGAGGTAAAGTAAACCCGATGAAGAACTTCAGGCTGCTTTTATTCTGTCTGTTCTGATTGGTTCTTGGTATGCAAACTATCTTTGAGTGACATGATTCAGGCTGAAGTTCTCACTGAAATTCTCATACAAGTTTCTTTTTAGACTTGAAAGCAATAACATAGCAACACGAAGAAAATGATTGTTGACTGAGATTCAGCCAGTTTTAAAGGCTGCATTCAGGCTCTTTGTTTACATATAAATGAAAAAAATAGAGACAAATCACCTTTGTGACCTGTATTATTAATTACAGCTATTCCAGGGATGGTTGAGAGGAGGTGAGTTGACCTTCATCAAAACCTGCAGAGGAAATCTGTTCAGAACAGCTATATCAAACATTATAAGATCATTTTACTCCTAGTATCTTCTGTGTCCTATGCTTACTTGTTGGCATTAGAGCAGTATGTTACTTGAATAGCAGCATGTGCCCTTGTCCTGGCACGGCTGGAAGTGCAATAGCAAGAATAATGATGTGTCATTCCAGCTTGTAGATTTTGCTAACTCCCAGGCAAATTGAGCGGTCTGTCTTGCTGTAAGTTATTACACGGAAGTTTGACACTCAACTCCTAATAAATTCTGTAACTCTATCCTGCTGTTGTTTTTTTTTTTTTAATTTGAAGTTTGGAATTCAATACCATTCTACTTTTTCTGGCTACTTCTCAGCATCTAACAATTTCTTTTATCTATAGTAGTCCACAAACCATATTTCAAATGCTTAATGCTCACCTTCCTCACCACCACATACACATACATGTTTGACATTTGTCATAGTTCTTTGCCCTCGTAATTGGTTCTCTGTTCTAAAAGAAACACCTGACAAATATGAAGATCTCTCATTTTTGCCTAAACCAGTAGTTGTTTTCAATGTGATGTCTGTGAACTATGTTCCTGAGCTTTATCTGGGCTGCTTACTAAAAAGGCAGATCCCCAAGCCCAACAACCTCAGTTTATAGAATCAAAATTGCTAGAGGTAGTGCTGAGACATCTGCAATCTCTAATACATAATTTTTTAGATGATTCCTAAACTGCATTTTGAGAGACACTGAATTATATAAATGTATAACCTTTGCTCTGCATGCCTATTTATAAAACTAATCAGCTGGAGTGGTGGCTCACACCTATAATCTGAGCACTTTGGGAGGCGAAGCTGGGAGGATCACTTGAGCTCAGGAGTTTGAGACCAGCTAGGGCAACATGGTAAACCCCTGTCTTTGCAAAAAATACCAAAAAATTTAGCCAAATGTGATGGTGCAAACCTGTGGTCCCAGCTACCTGGGAGGCTAAGGTGGGAGAATCAATTGAGCCTGAGGGGTCGAGGCTACAGTGAGCCGTGATCATGCCTCTACACTCCAGCCTGAGCGATGGAATAAGACTCTCTCTCAAAAAAATGAAAAAAATTAAAAATTAAGAAACTAACCAAGGTTGAATAAGCAATATCAAACCTCACATTCCTGCTTCCTGAAGTCCAGTCAAAAGATCTCCACCAGCACTCACTACCCCACCTAACCACCGTCATCTTTCATGTTGCTAGCTAATGAAGGTGCACTTTTATCTGACACTGTGGCTGGGGCCATTGTGAGTGGAAGCTTTTCAACTGTGTTAAGAAGAACCCCTAATTCCTGAAAGCAGAGATCATAGGTGACACACCAGCTGATTGATCACCAGGCATTCATTCTATTGGCTCAATTTGGGTGATCAGATTGTAGCTTGCATGATTCGCTGTAAAATGAAGCAAAAGGTTAGAGGTTGGAAAGTTCTAGTAAACATTAGATGGTGTCAAAAGCATCCCTCAGGTCAACATGTTACCCTTTTCGTTAAACCTTGTTTAAATTACAGGTCATTAAGATTACTGCTCATACCTTTAGTAAACCCAGTGAAAGAAAAGATAAATTCACATGCTCTACTGGGTGAAAGATAATTACTAAAATAATAAGATGACATAAGCAAGCAGGGGTTAAGGGAGGAATTACATAATTTTTTAATAGAAACCACTTATGACTTAAAGGATTCATTGTTAGCTATTTATTCAATTTTCAAACATTACAGTCAAAAGAGTTTTGTAGGTAATTAACTAATTTTTTTCTCTCTTTTTTCCTTCTCTTTGAAGATCTCAGGATTCATGAAACCAATTATATTAAAAAGCATCCCATTCCAACACTTTTGATTATTTTGCTACAACGTTCTTCACCAGGCTTAGACAAATTTTTCCACTTTTGAAGTCCACAGCTGGTTCTGGATTAGCAATCTGGTGCCTCATTATCAATGCCAGTTTTGGACCTACTGGATAAACTTTTCATATAATTAAAACAATGCTTATGCCCACACTTTTTAAGACACAGCACACATTCCTTGCCCCTGTGACATTTTCAAGTCCCCTGTGTCCTCACTGTGTTTGTCTTTGGAGAAGTACATGCTACCTATGTCTCCTTTAGAATGTGGGACTCTGAACTGAACAGAACATCTGAGGTGTGGTGGGACAGCTAGTTTGTCATATAATAGGTTCTGGATACTGTGTTTTTATGGTACACAGTAAGATTCCATTAGTTTTATTTTTCAATCATCACAATAATATTCACATGCATGTGAATATCAGTTAAAACTTTTAAGTGTCTCTCCTCACTACACATCACCTCCATGCTGATATTTAGCCAAACCACCTATATTCTATACCAGGTCCTTTAGTTTCTTAAAATATGTAAATATAGAACAAAATTAATTCACTGATACATTTTTATCTTGTTTGTTTTGAATAATTCAGTTCACAGAATTAATAATAATTATTTTGTCCAAAATGTAAACTTCCCCACCAACCACCATGTCATCCTTAAACTTACAGACTTTTCATTTTTGATGGAGATATTATGTAAAGTAAACATTATTGATAAGTTTTTAGACTTTAAAAACATTTTCAAAATGTATGTATTATAAAAAATTAGTAGACCAAGATTTTATTTACCAAATTACTTCTACTTGTTTTTAAATGTATATGATATACATATATATCATACATTACTCTATTTCAGTGTAGCTATCTTTATCTTGGATTGTATTTAAAAGGCAGCTTTATGTAATTTCATTTAAATTCATTAGAATTGAACGTTAGAATTGAACATTTGTTGAATGCTTGTAATTAATGTATTTAACAAATATTTTTTCGGTACCTGACACAGTGGCAGCCATAGATGCTGAGCATATACTGGTTATGATAAAATAGCATAAAATAATCCTATTATCTGTCTCATGGAGCACATACATTACACTGTAGTGGTGAAGACAGAAAATTAGCATACATGCAAAAAATACATATATAATTACGACATGAGACAAATGTGATAATGAAAAGGAATGGATAGAGAAAAACAGGTTGAATTATCTAGTTAGATAGGGTAGTCTGTACAACTTTGTTAAATCAACCCAATATAAAGTATCCCTTACCAATAAGAGAAAGCAATTCCATTACACTAATAGTTTATAATGGCTATTTGCAACAATGCATCTATTCAAAGATTTTTGTGACTCTTTGAGTAAGTCTTAAAACATTATTATTATTTAATTTTGAGATAGACAATGTATTTTATTGGAATTATGGAAAAAATGATGGTTGAAATTATTCCATGACTTTAAACAGGGATCTGAGTTTTCGGTTTTTCTGCGGGATCCTTAGGAAAAACCCAGAATTCATAAGTGTAACCCTTTCACAAATTTATAACTATTTCCAAATGATATCAAAGAAAACATTACAAAGTCTTCAAAAGAGAGCTGTGCAATTTTGTGTTTATAGTTACATCCCTTGATAATAGGTTTGCTAGGAATTTCCAGGCTGTGAGCAGTAGCAGTTTGCTGGAATTTCTTAAAACCACCATTTGGCTATCTAATGCAGAGCTTATTCTCAATAAAATAAAATGAAATAAATAGTATTAACTAACTTCATCTATTCTGATTAATAAAAGCAGATGTACTGTGTCTGCTGTGTTTGCTACTTTGAAGGAAGTGCCTATTCAGAGTTTAATTTCACTGATCAATATCAGAGTTTGGAAAAAGCAATTAGTTTGATTTAATCCAAGTATTGTTGATCTGGTGGGAGAAAAGCTAATCAGAGTCCAGGGAAGTAGGCTAATAGCCAATGCTCAGAATTCAAACAAAAATGCCATATCAGAGACCCTATCCAAGCAACGGCATAGACCATTTAGATCAGAATTGGTATGAGGACTTTCTCTAATTCCAGGAATAATAAATGTGGGTAAGATTTTAGAAGTGAATACAGAGACAGGGCAGTTGTCAAACATAAGACAAGTTAATTCTAAGCCATTCCAAAAGACCCTCAAAAACAGGGATGCTAAGAAGTAAATAAGGCCCAAATCACAGAAAATGAGCCTGGCAATAAAATAGGTCCCAAGATACAAGGTGGAATTTAGAACTGATATCCCCACTTTTTCTATCACTACTGGTACCTTGGCATAGACAAAGAAACTTCTGGTAAGGAAGAGACCCACCCAGCAGATATCCACCCAGCAGATATCAGCCTGGTAAGCTGCCTCTCCTTTTACTTGGCAGGACAAGCTGGAAATAGGTAGCTCTTACCCTATTAAGTTTCTAGGAAAGTATTAGTTTAAACCACCAAGCTGTAGAGCATGCTTGGGCCCATGGAAAAGTTGCATTCATGGCAGAAACACTTGGGAGAATTCCTGGGTTTTAGGGAAATTGGTTAGACAATGAAGCTTGAGGGGAGGACCAAAAATCTGATCAACTTTGAACTAAGGTATAGCAGGAATTAGCTCTAGGGATACATGGAGGTAAGAGGGACAGTGACGTAGGGGCCAGAGTGACAGGGAGATCTGATCTAGCCTAGTGAAAAAATAGTTTCAGAAGTGTGGAGGGAAATAGATTAAGTACTAAGTTCCAAGTCCCCTCTCCCCAGGATTTCTTCCCAGGCAGGAAACAGAAATCACAGGGTTGATTGGACCCCAGCTCCTAGTAATTAAACTCTAGAAAGAGCTGGATTGGGTATAACCTAATCTGCTGACCAATGTCGGGGCACTGGTTAATGCAGGAAGGGGAAGCTCTGGTATTCAGTTGGGGTCCAGTTGCCTGAACATTCATAAGAAGCATTCAAAATAGACTGTTCCATTGGTAAAACTGTAGGAACTAGGGCACAGTGGAGAAAAAAACTAAATTTAAAAGTTTTCTGAGGTGGAGCTGAGGAAAATTAAGAAATAATGGCTCAGAGAGTCTTTGGAGTTATAGCAAAGAGTCTACAAGTCAATTGACACACTGATGTTGGGAGGGCTTTTGATTTAATTATCTCAGACTTATCATTGTCTGATAGAGAAGGCAAGCAGCTCTAAATAACTCATTTGCCTAGTGGTACCCTCTGGAACAGACTGGTTGGGAGCAAAGGCTGATAGCAGAAGCCATGAGGTGTGATGTAGCTGGATTTTCAAGAGCTTGACATTTATGCAGAACTAATAACTGTATCATTTATCACACTCTCCTAGTATGCTGGGTATGTGAAACTTAACAATTTGGTAGCAGTGGAAAGCAGTTTCTCTAAAGCATAGGTGAAGCAGTGATTTAATTGTCATCTTAATGGAACCAGGCAGATTAAAAAATCACAGGGATTATGGCAAGGAAGCACAATTGCTCCCACACTTATGGGCTGAGGAATGATGTTTGAGCCTTTGAAGATGTTGTCCTTCTCCAATGAGATGACAGGAGAATCAGCAGCAGCCAGATCAGCTAGATTAATGCAAGTGCTCAATGAGAGGGCAAGAATTGCAGTTGGATCACACTCACAACAAACAATATCACAACAAAATAATGGCTATTTCACAACTTTTTCAATATCCATGTATACACAACCAAATGAAGAATTTACAGTGGGCTCTGCACACATAGATTCTTCTAGATACAAAGCAACTTGGTAAATAATTAAATTACATACATTCCAGATTTAAATCCTTGTTGTGTTAGCTTGAGAGAATTGTTTGATGTGAGGTGTGTCTCCACAATGACGAACACCAAGCAAGAAATTGGAAAGTAATAGGTCAAGTTAATTAGTTTTATCCAAAGAATAGCAAACAATAGATTAGACCAGTTTGGTTTTTCCCTCCAAAGACATTAGTTTCATTCTATTAAGAGGATTTCAAAAGCAAACAAAAATAGTTGGCAAAAGAAAAATATTACCTGATAATGTGGTTTTATTGTCCCGCTTTTTGAAATAGATTTTGTTGTTTCTTTTTTTTCAAACATTAAATGAGGAGGTAGCCACATATGCCAAAGTAAATTCAATTTTGGAAAAAAACAAAGTATAGTCATCCCATGGTATCCAGTGTGGATTGATTCCAGGACCTCTCACCCTCCACAAATACAAAATCTGCAAATGGCCATGTTCCTAATAGAAAATGGCATAGTGTTTGCATATAACCTATACACATTCTCTCATATACATTAAATCATGTATAGATTACTTTTAATATCCAATATAATTTAAATTTTATGTAAATAGTTGTTATACTATGTTGTTTTTATTTGTATTAATTTTATTGTTATATTGCTTTTTTTTCAAATATTTTCTATCAGTGGTTAATTGAATCCCCTCAAGCAGAATCCATGTACACAAGGGGTTGACTCAATATAGCATAATCAGATATAGGGTCATAAGTAATGGGGAGAAGAGTAAATAATTTATTAAACCCCACAGAACAATTCCTTATTTGCCAAAAATAAAATATACTCTGCTTTCCTTTTGGGTTAAGAAATTGTAGCTCCCTAGCAAATATGAACTGTTTTTTGGAGAGTTCAATAATTCATTCATCACCAATCATCAGTCATAGCTCAAATTATTCCCAGGTGGTTGGCTAGTTATCAAGATGTGACTTAAGGGTGCTTATCAGAGCATTCTAACGTTTTGCTGAGTTAACACTTCTATCCACTATGAACCAGAGGTCACTCCACAAAGATGAGCCATGAAATCAGCTCTATATGTTAGTCCTATTTTAATCCTCTTCAATATATACCCAGTGCAGACTCTGAATTCTGTTATTCTTCTTCTAGAAATTAGCAAATTTCCAGTGGAATCTGTTATCAATTTTTGAATACCTTACTATAATTCTTCTTAATCACAATTTATATATAATTTAATAGTTTAGTATATTATCATATAAATCTCATTCTACACAAAACAACTGAAACTAGGAAATGTCATATTAAGTGGTAATTGTACAATAACTGCTTAAAAACTAATCCATCTCCAATTAAGAAACTGTGAAACATATGGGCTATTATCCTTCATTGATTGTTTATATGGTTTCAATCTTAACATTATGTTATCTAGGCCTTCTAAAATGTGTTCAAGATAATGACATAACTCCCCTTTTCTTTTTTAAAAATGTTTTCCATTTTTAAAAAAAGAGTCCCCTCGTATTAAAAACTCTCAATAGACTAGGTATTGATGGAACATATCTCAAAATAAGAGCTATTTCTGACAAACCCACAGTCAATATCATATTGAAAGGGCAAAACCTGGATATTCCTTTTGAAAACCGGTACAAGATAAGGATGCCCTCTCTCTCCATTCCTATTCAACATAGTTTTGGAAGTTCTGGCCAGGGCAATCAGCCAAAAGAAAGAAATAAAGCTTATTCAAATAGGAAGACAGGAAGTCAAATTGTCTCTGTTTGCAGATGACATGATTCTATATTTAGAAAACCCCATCATGTCAGCCCAAAAACTCCTTAAACTGATAAGTAACTTCAGCAAAGTCTCAGGATACAAAACCAATATGCAAAAATCACAAGCATTCCTATACACCAACAATAGAAAAGCAGAGAGCCAAATCATAAATGAACTCCCATTCACAATTGCTACAACGAGAATAAAATACCTAGGAATACAGCTAACAAGGGATGTGAAGGACCTCTTCAAGGAGAACTACAAACCACTGCTCAAGGAAATAAGAGAGGACACAAACAAATGGAAAAACATTCCATCCTCGTGGATAGGAAGAATCAATATTGTAAAAATGGCCATACTGACCAAAGTAATTTATAGATTCAATGCTATTCCCATCAAACTACCATTGACATTCTTCACAGAATTAGAAAATAATAATTTAAATTTCATAAGGAACCAAAGAAGAGCCTGTATAGCCAAGACAATTCTAAGCAAAAAGAACAAAACTGGAGGCATCACACTACCTGACTTCAAACTATACTGCAAGGCTACAGTAACCAAAACACCATGGTACTGGTACCAAAACAGGCAAATAGACCAGTGGAGCAGAATGGAGACCTCAGAAATAGCACCATACATCTACAACCATCTGATCTTTGACAAACCTGACAAAAACAAGCAATGGAGAAAGGATCTCCTATTCAGTAAATGGTGCTGGGAAAACTGATTAGCCATATGCAGAAAACTGAAACTGCACCCCTTCCTTACACCTTATACAAAAATTAATTCAATATGGATTAAGACTTAAATTTAAAAATGTAAAACCCAAAGCTATAAAAACCCTAGAAGAAAACCTAGGCAATATCATTCATGGCATAGGCATGGGCAAAGACTTCATGACAAAAATGAAAAAAGCAATTGCAACAAAAGCTAAAATTGATAAGCAGGATCTGATTAAACTACAGAGCTTCTGCACAGCAAAGGAAATTATCATCAGAGTGAATGGGCAACCTACAGAACGGGAGAAAATTTTTGCAATCTACCCGTCTGACGAATGGCTAATATCCAGATTTTACAAGGAACTGAAACAAATTTACAAGAAAAAAACAAACAACCTCATCAAAAAGTGGGCAAAGGATATGAACAGACACTTCTCAAAAGAGGACATGGCCAGGCATGGTGGCTCATGCCTGTAATCTCAGAACTTTTAGGAGGCCGAGGCAGGTGGATCATGAAGTCAGGAGATCGAGACTATCCTGGCCAACATGGTGAAACACTGTCTCTACTAAAAATACAAAAATTAGTGGGCATGGTGGCTTGTGCCTGTAATCCCAGCTACTCAGGAGGCTGAGGCAGGAGAATCTCTTGAACCAGGGAGTTGGAGGTTGCAGTGAGCCTAGATCATGCCACTGCACTGCACTCCAGCCTGGTGACAGAGAAAGACTCCTTCTAAAAAAAACAAAAAAAAAATACATTTACATGGCCAACAAACATATAGAAAAAAACTCAACATCACTGATCATTAGAGAAATGCAAATCAAAACCACAATGAAATACCATCTCACACCAGTCAGAATGGTGATTATTAAAAAGTTAGTAAACAATAGATGCTGGTGAGGCTATGGAGAAATAGGAACACTTTTGCACTGTTGGTAGGAATGTAAATTAGTTCAACTATTGTAAAAGACATTATGGTGATTCCTCAAGGATCTAGAACCAGAAGTACCATTTGATCCAGCAATCCTATTTCTGGATATATACCCAAAGGAATATAAATTATTCTACTAAAAAGACACATGCACATGTATGTTTATTGCAGCACTATTTACAATAGCAAAGTCATGGAACCAACCCAAATGCCCATCAATTATAGACAGGATAAAGAAAATGTGGTACATATACACCATGGAATACTATGTTGCCATAAAAAGGAATGAGATCATGTTCTTTGCAGGGACATGGATGAAGCTGGAAGCCATCATCTTCAGCAAACTAACACAGGAACAGAAAACCAAACACCCTATGTTCTCACTCATAAGTGGGAGTTGAACAATGAAAGCACATGGACACTGAGGGGAACAACACACACTAGGGCCTTTTGGGTGGTGGGGGATGAGGGGGAGAACTTAGAGGATGGGTCAATAGGTGCAGCAAACCACCATGGCACACGTATATGTATGTAACAAACCTGCACATTCTGCATATGTGTCCCGTTGTTGTTGTTGTTGTTGTTTTAGAATAAATCAAAAAAAAAGAAAGGGAAGATAAATGACACATCAACAATGCGAGAGTGAGATGCTGATGGTCCAAGCCCTAATCCTGCTTGAAGAAAAGCATGTCCTGCTCCATTTATGAACATTTATGGACAGAGGCCCTTTCACAATAAAGAATAAGCCTCTGCAAGACATGCACCTCACTGTGAACGCAACATTTGATTTGCATGGAGACCATCTGGATCATTTCTGGCACTGTCACTGTCTATGACACTGAGCAGGTGCTTTGACCTTATTTTGGTCCCCTCAGGCACCAGCACAGCTCACTGGTGACTCAGAAAGTGACTGCTGGATTTCACGTGAGCATCCAGCGGATCACTCTGAGATCTGCTGGACGCTCCTGAGAGAGTGTCTCCAGCACCTGCCTGGTGTCCTGATCCCCCAGGGTCTTCAATAGAAACACTCTTGGTTTACAACTTTGCGCTGTGATGCATGATTAGAGATGATTTTCTTGTCTCATGGACAATAGGAATCAGAAAATGAAACAGGAGTTTGGAGTTCTTTATGAACTCACTGCTTCCAAAATAATTGTCAAGACATTTGTGTCCTGAATAATTTGGGGTTTATTTCGAACTGCATTTATTAGCATTTTGTGAAGTAGTTACATACTTTCAGTTCATATCCATAGATCCTTATCTTTACATATTGATTTCTGACTCACTTGGTCTGTGTACATGCCACACTCTCATATCCACCACTGCCCTGTCACATACAAAATGTAGACAACATTACTTAACAATGAAATCTGAATTTCTTATTCATAGAAACATAGTGGCTCCCACAATTTTTTATCAATTGAATTAGTAAAAACATCCCTATCCTTCATATTCTCACTATTAAGGTATTTATAATCCTAGAATCCCACTTCAAAAAATAGTTCTCATTGCCTTCATTTATATGAATGGTTCAGATATAATAGTGTATCTAAGGGCACATCAGCAACTCGAACACATATTTTGGCTTTTTTCTGACAAAGGAAGACCCAGCCCCTGAGAGGAAACCTCCTCCCCAGCCTCCTGTGCACCTGCTCTGGGGCTGGAACCCATAATGGGTGGCTTCTGAGTGCTCCCTGTAGCCCAGCCCTTGCCTTGCAAGGAGGTTCCTGTCAGGGCTCACAAAGCATTTTTCCCCAGCTTCTCTAGCCCAGCATGAAATGGCTGCGTCCTGCTTTAGAATACTCCTTTGGTGACACCATACGCTGCTGACACCATCTTTGAAAAAATTATCAGCTTTACTAAACCTACTGATCTCTGCAGGAAGACCCAAAGCAAGGATTCGGACACAGGAGGGAGCCCCTTCTCTGAAGCTCCAGATGCACTGAATCAGTGGTGGACCCAATATGAATCCAAAAACTTGCAGGAGTTTTGGGAGTTCCTTGTTTCTTCATTAATCTCTTGCAGTTGAATGTCACATCTGAGAATACCAGCAGGTGCAGATACATTCAGATTAAAGCCCAGTCCATGTCTTCTATTCCAATAACACATATTTTCCCTTCTTCCTAGTATCTAGCCTATAGAAAGTGCCTCCTACACTGACACTAGGCCCAGGTACCTGACTTCTTTCTCCTAGAGATCTAAAGCAAACAGGTGACAAGTGAAGACTTGGGAAGTGCATGCAGGTTGTTATTTTCCTTTTCTCAGCTAGGAACCCAGAAAAGGCCCCATGACAAAAGAACCTAAGGTCAATGAAGAAGTTTCCAAGACCTTGGTCTTAAAAATGTTGATGTCAGGGGCTTCAGATTGCTCTATTGTCCTTTTCTTATTCTCTGCCATTGTCTTTCTGTTCCCCTATGTTTTCCTCCTCAGGTAGAGTCTGTGCATTGTCACACTTTCATCTTTAATCCAGAGACATCATACTGGTTAGAATGTATTGTACAGTGCAAGTAAGCACTGTCTGTTCTTACAATGGAAACCTAGAAACTCAATCGGCTTCCTCCCTTGGGCTGGGACCTTTACCAGGCGTCTCCAGGGGAAAACCTCATTTGGGGCCGTTACTCCCTTTTATGGTTCCAGAGTCCTTGAACTATTTAATTACATCTTACCCCTACTGGCTAACTTTACTCATTCATATAATAATGGAAGAATGGTGTAGAAATCTGAAATCTGGAATGGAAGTTATTTTTGTTTGTTTGTTTTTTGTTTTGTTTTGTTTTTTCTCACATAGGATAAGGTTCTGGAAAAGTCCTTCCCTGTAGAAGCTTTTGGGGAAAGCTCCTGATGTGTTTCTCAGTAATTAATCTTCTCCAGTTCTTAGCCATAGGAAATGTATTTGGATTGCATTTTGTAGAGTCTGGGGGTTTCTGGAGAGAAAGTCCAGAAAATTGAGAAGTATAAGTCTCTCTGAAACTGCCACCTTTACCTAGTCCACATCTGTGGTTCAGACATCTATAGTGCTTAGCATGTAAGTGCCCTCAACAACTTGTGTCTTCTGCAGTTTATGTTCCATTTAAGCAAGTGTCAACTGCGATTCTGGACATGTCTGTCTCTCCAGTTTTGGGAGTGGGTAATTTTTCTTGCAATTTCAGTTATTTAATAGATTCCAAAAGGTATTGACATTCAGATTGTGCAGATGTTTCTTGACATAAAAATGGGGGTGATGAATTTTATAATTTACATGTGGGAGCAAAAACCAAAAGTACAATCATAGGTCATCTTTGATGTGTTACTGGAGGCAGAATTCTGATCTCATTAGAAATAAGTGCACCTAGTCTGACACAAATGAACAGGCAAGGGCACAGAGGAAGGACATGGCACAATATTTATGAAAAAGTCTTAGCAATTTTAATATTCTTCCGAGGAAGCTGAAATTGTGAAAGTAAAACAGTGTGAACTGGTCATGTCTCAGGTGATGTTGTGTTCTGGAAAGTATCTCCAGTCCTGGGCTGGATCCAGTAGGTGCACCTGAGCACTCAAACCTGAAACAGGGACTCTTATTCCTTAAACATAAGACATTCCAATGAGAAAGCTGTTCTCAGTTGAGTTGCAGAGCACGGAGGAGGATATGGAGGTGTCCTTGGCTTCCCAGAATTGCTGAAACTGAAAAACCAAGGCCATCTCTGAGGGTCAGAGATCCACCTATGAGTACATCACATTAGCACTGTCTTCAGAAATCTTTGGCTGTGGGGGAGAATAAGGAATGTGATTGATTTCTTTATGCTAACTAAATGTGCTTCAGAAGAAATGAAATGAAAATTCAATAAATATGTTTGTTGCCGTAAAAAACAGAAACAAACAAAGCCTTTAACTTTCTTCCAGTCAGTTGAATAAAGATCAAGGCTGTTAATATGAGAGTTTAATATAATTTTATGTGACATTTAAATCAATGTATTTTCTAAATAAAATATGGAATGTGTATATTTGTAGATTTTTATGCTTGAAGAATACAGAAAAGAATTTCTAGTGACTATGGACCTCCCTTTAAGTAAACTTAGTCCTTACCTCAAGTGATCTGCCCACCTTGGCCTCCCAACATGGTGAAACCCTGTCTCTACTAAAAATACAAAAATTAGCAGGGCGTGGTGGCACACACCTGTAATCCCAGCTACTCGGGAGGCTGAGGAGGAGAACTGCTTGAACCCGGGAGGTGGAGGTTGCAGTGAGCCAAGATTGCGCCACTGCACTACAGCCTGGGTGACAAGAGCGAAACTCTGTTTCAAGAAAAAAAAATAAAGAAAAAGAAAACTTAGTCTACTCCCAGTAGCTGATTATCAAGACACGACACACCTCAAGTATTTTCAGCCAGAAGAAATCTCCTCACATTTTGATTATGTTTCATGCAATTTATTCATGCAATGCCCCTAAAGATGGAGGGTAATGCCAGAATACTGTCTTAGATTTTTTAGTGAAATTAATCTTGATAAATATAATCAAGATGTCATGAGAAGTTATTTTCTTATATTTTGGAATTTTAAAAAATTTTATTAATAAGGACTGCTTTTGACTTTTTTCACTGATATGTAATAGTTGTACATATTTATAAGATACATGTGATATTTTCTTCTTCATTTTTCTCTTTGACATTCATATTCTTCTTTAAAATCATTATTTCACCATGGTTGTATGCCCTGCCAGTCATTGGAAATACAAAGGGAAAACAAATATATCTGAATCCAAGCTTAACACTTCATTCATTATTATCTACTTCCATTCTCTATCTTTTCACCTACTACTAGCTGACCTTTAAAAAAAAAAAAAACTTTCCTGGTGTCACTTTAAATTCACAAGTAAGGTCCAGAGTTCAGCTAAGCTTTGATGATAGGGGAGAGATTTCAACAGAAAGGGTAGAATCACTCACAACAATATACTTAAAGTGAATGAGTAACAATTTTTCCAGGTTTCTAATATTTCCTTTCATGTGAAGGGAATTCCAATAGACAAGAAGTAACTCAACCTGAAGCAGTACACTTAGAAGGAGAAACTAAGTATGTGTGACTCTTATTCACTTTTTCCTAGAAGCCAAGGTGCCAAGAGAGAGCTCTGCTCTTCCAAGTTGTATGGCCTCTAAGTTGTCTACATGTGGAAGCCTACAATTATTAGCACAGCTTGTGCCAGTGACCAAGCTATTTTACGGAGGTTTGATGTTAAGAACCATATGCTAAGTCTATTCTCCAATATTACTTTTATCAGTATAAAGCTAACTTTTTTGCCTCATTTATAAATTGGTAGGAAACTTGAGTGGATGGATAAAAACATTGAATATATTGAGCCTTCTCAAACAATACATTTTTCTTTGATCTTCAACCCCACCCCACACCACCCGCATTGAAAAGTTTAGAACTAGGCCTCCAGAAACAATCTTCATTTATATTTTGAGAATACCCAATTAAAGTTTTAATTCTTCAATGTGAGATTATGTTACATTTCAGCACAAAATTCCCACACACCACCACCCAAAAAAACTCATAAATATCCCAGATATTCTCTCTCAGTTATAAAATCAGTAGAACCCTAGTTAGTCAGGGTATCTCATAAATGAAAAGTGGAGTTCCAAAGATTACTAATGTTTGAAACACTAAATATTTACTTTGTAGACTTGACCCAGCCAGCATATATCTAGGTGACCTTATGAGGTCTACAGTTCTACCAGCTGTAGTTTGAGACTGAAATAGCAGTCCCATTAGAAAAAAATGCAAGCAAGTTAATATTTATTATTTCTGTGGTATTTCTTTTCTGTTTCTTATTTCATTCAAATATGTCACATTCCAAAGATAGTGCCCATAATCTATTAATATAGGTATTAGAACAAATAGACTACAACCATAATTGAGGGATGGGGTGTTTGGAGGAGGCCAGAATCATCATTGCTTGTATTATGAGCGTTTTAGACCCAAAACTATGGAAACTGGAAAATGCTATTGACACGTCTGCTGATTGGTAAGCCAATATCTGTTTATTCTCATTGCCAATGACTCTTTAGTCAAAAGGGTAGAAACTACCACAGAGGTGGAAGGAAAAGGAAAAGACAATTCCATTTCCCTGGCTTAGGGGGTTTGGGGAGAAGGAAAATTTTTTTAAAAAGAGTCAGGAATGAGACTTTATTTATTGGATTACTTACTTGCCCCTCAGATTTAGAACAGAGTGAATGAGGATCATTACCTATGTTATGAGAAAGAGGGCACAGGTTGGGGGAGGGAGTTGACAGGGGGAGGGAGCTTTTAGTCTGCTATAAATGTGGAAGGCTGGGAGAAGTTGTCCTCATGGGCTGCCTCTGCACCCATGTGGCACTAGGCAAGAGGAGGAACATTAAAGCAAACTCATAGATATAGTTAAGTAGGTAGTTGCAGGATCTGACTTAACTTTCCCAGATTCTCTTCAATCCCACGTGGCATGCATGAGACACTAAACTTCCCTCTCTGTTTCCTACATAGATGCACATTGCCACAGTTGTATTTTGTGTTTGTTGTTATTTATCTGTCATCTGTATGTTTGATTTTACTGACATGCTAGCTCAGTATTTACATTTCGAATAATCCTCATGACATTTCTACCTTAATAGGCAAATCTGGAGTTGTTAGAAGTTAAACATCTTTTTCTGCTATCTCTTCTCTCACCCTAGCAACCAGTTACCTATCCTTAATTTTGCTGAAAATACCAAGAGGGAAGAGTGTCCAATCCAGAGTCCTCCTGAATGACTCTGTGGTGACTTAAGCACTTAAGGTCAATTATTTCTAAACATGAGTCCTTCTATTGCCTCTAAAACAGAAAGCCCTCGTGTGCCCTTGAGACTATTCATTAGTCGGAGGTGTAACTAAAAGTGTGGGCACTCAGAGCAATTAGTCCCTCAAATTTCACAAGGACATATACAAGTGCCAATAGATCATAAGCCTGATGACTCAGTGAAGGTCACTGGGATACCAGGGTTCACATTACTTTACATCCGAATTTTAGTAACTCAGCTGAGAACCACTTGCCAATGACAGCCCTGAGAGGGCTGTACAAACTGAAGGCTACTAAAAAGAGAAGAGATCCTGCAACTTCCTTTAGGCAAATGCCAGCCTCCCAAGGGCTCACAAATGTTACATCTTCTTTTCGTCATACTTGACAAGGGTTTTTAACATGTATATATAAATGCCACAAGCCTTACAGCCTTTGGTTAGCAAGTGCTCTGAAAATTTATTCTGAAACTTCACTATCAGCTGATACTTGAAATATTCTCTATTTTCAGTAAAATCTATAGAAATTAAAAAAGAAAGACAAAGTATTTCAACATTTTAAGTGCTGATTTAAAAATTCTTTGGATGATTTAAAACACCAGCTTCCCCATAATTAGTTTTTCACTGGAAAGCAGGTGGAAGTTCTTAAAATATCTTCACCATTCCAACAGCCTCTTGGCTGCTTTCTGTGCTTCCATACTTGTCCTGCTCCTGGCTGTTTTCAGTATGGTAGCCAGTGCTTAATTTCTTTAAATATAAGTCAGATTAAGTTACCACTTTACTGAAAACCACCTCATAGCTTCTTATCACACTTAAAATCTCAAATTCTTACCACAACCTACATGGTTCTATAGTAGCTCCCCTGACAATTCACCACTTATCTCTTTGCTGTACTTTTAACACACCGAGCACACTCCACTCTCAAGGCATTTGTACTTGCTACTCCCTCTGCCTAGAATTATCTTTCCCTAGATATGGGCATGCTCACCCCCTTACTTTATTTGGGTCTTTGTCCAAAATTATCATCTCAAAGAGGAAGATCCTGACCAATGCCCTTAAAAGAATATACTCCTCTTACTTTGCTCTATTTCAATGCACAACCACTATCTGACATTACAATATATGTATTTTTTTAAATTAATGTATTCCCCAAAATAGAATCAAAATTCTGTAGATCAATAAATTTCTTTGATTTCTAGTGTATAAAATAGTACAATAGTAGTCACTCAATAAATATTTTTGGCTAAATTAATTTTAGTTTACTCAAATGTAAATAAAATCACTGTATTTATGTGATGTGATCTTGTTGCCTGATTTGTTAAGTTTCGAGCATGTGTATCATTGGTAGACATAAGAGCATACCATCTGTACCTTATCAAATTAGTTTTATAAGTGGCAAGTCAACTTGCTATTTTTTTAAAATAATAACATTGATGGCATTTGTGATGAAGTCAATAAAGAATTGGTGACGTTAATTTACACATAGATTTTCCATGGAGAATCTGTGTCTTTTGTTTTAAAAATTATGAGCCAGAGGTTTCATTTGACACAGTAAAAGAATATAAACCAGAGAGTACTTGGAAAGGATCATTGTTCTTTGAGTTTAACATAAATTTTTTGCCATGTTTGGTGGCAGATTTTCTTCTCATTTATATTTTTATTTAGTTAATATTACAAATAAATAAATATTTTTCCAATTCATATTAGTGTATATAGAGCAAAGTCTTTGGAGATAGGCTAATTCTGTATTAGGGACTCAATTCCAACACGTAGTGAGTTGTATATTTCCATCTTCAACTCCAATCTGTTTTCTCATCTGTTAGATGGGGATCAAAATACCCACATTGCAATGTTTGAGAGTGGGTAGTTATTGAATTAAATTTCTATAATGAATGTAGCCTACTACCTGGCATATGGTAGGGGCCAATTTCTTTCCCCTTCTCTTCCATTTCCCTTTCCCTTAACTGTGCCTAACCCAAACCTTGCTGGGAAAGTAAGGGCAGACTCACTCACAATTTTTCAGACACTATAGAAAAGTTATTTCCTATGTTTGATATGAGACTCATGTATTCCTCAGTAAGTTGAATCATCTTTTTTTCTAATATGTTTTTCCTTTTTAGAGTAAGAAGTTTGGCACGTTGATATCAATCTTTTTTTTTTCCTACATCCATCTTCACAAATGCAACATTTTCTGTGGCTTTAAAGTTGTCAGCAGATGTTACAGTAAGACTTGTTATATTGGACACATTTGGTGACCTCGGCCATCCACATATAATTCTGATTAACATATTCTGGCTAATCCACTGCCTATGTTCACTGCTAGAACTCAAAATCCAAGTACATGCCATTCCATTGTATCATTCCAAGAGATTCAAGGGATTATATTTAATTACAGGAAACATAAATTTTCAGTGTTGTTGCTCTTAATCTGTTGAAGTTTTGCTAGATATTTTAGATTGGTTGCTTTGTCTATGATTTTGAATGTATGCAAACTTAATCTAAGTTAATATAAATGAAAGCTGTTAAGTATTAGTTATATCCCTTGTTCTACAAAAGCAATATCTACTTATAATGAATTAAAATTGAACTATACTAGTTTGATATGCATCAATAAAATATTATAACAGTTCTACTAGCCTGCCTCTATTGACCTAAATTACTTAAAATTAATAAATGTATGTAGGAATACAGAAAATTGAGCATGATATATATTTTTAGTGAGAAAAAGGGAATTAATACTCAAACTCAGCTCATTTTAAGTACTTTGTGATTCATAAGTGTGTGCATATGTCTGTCTGTATACATATATATAAACTTAGATTGTTTGCATACATTATATATATACATACATATATATATATATATAATTAGATACTCTATGTGCTAAGCCAAGAAGAAATAATAAATTATTATGCTCACTTTAGAAATGAGAAAATTTGGGTTAAAATATGTAAATAATTTATTCAATATTATATATTTTTGAGTGCAAAGAGGTAAACTTTCTTATCCAGTGCTCTTTCTAGGATACTAATGGCTTAAATATCTAGAAACTCAAAAGTGATAGGAAGGCACAAGCGTGATATGGAAAAACACAGGAGTATCAGAAATCACTTCTGATTGCAAGACTCTTGAGGAAAGGGAGAAAAAGGGCTGTCATCAAAAAGAATACACACACACACACACACACACACACACACGCACACACATTTGTTAGTTCTATCTATCTGCCAAGAGGGCTAGAAGCAAGTGTCATTCTAAAAGTGCAATTATACCCAGATCTTGGATTCTAAATGCCACTTTTAAATAAAGGGAAGTAGGCCTGCTTGAAGTACGGCTTGATACCAAAGTTGAGAGAGGGAAAATCCAAAATGTGCTTGGAGAATCTTATGGTGCCAGAAATAAAGTACTCCGAAAAAATCAAAGAAAGAAAGAAAAGAAAAAGGGTAGGTAATGAAAAGACACAGGAACAACCTGAACCAGCTTCCAATGGTCAAGATCATTAAAACAAAAAACAAGGATAGAATGAGAAACTATCACAGAAACTATCACAGGATGTACAAGCCCAAGAAGATATGAAAATGAAATGCAATGTACTATCCTAGATTTGTATTAAATCCTAGATATATAAGGAACTTAACTTAGAAAACATTGTGAAATCTGAGTAAAGTCCGTAATTTAGTCAATAATTTTGTACTAATGTTAAATTTTTAGTTTTGACAAATGTACTGAGGCTATGTAAAATGTTAACTTTAGGGGAAGCTGGATGAAGGGCAGGTAGAAATTCTATTCTGCTTTTACAGTTTTTCCATAAACATAACATTGTTCCAAAATAAAAAGTTAAAAATCATTCAGCTTTTTTTTCTTGCTTATTTCTGCCTAAATGATGCATGATTCTAATCAACAGATTATCCACACTCTCATTCAATGGAAGACTGTGCCCTCACATTGGAGAATTTTATTGCCCACCATCCTGAAAACACAATCTCAAATACTCTGAGTGCTTGACCTAATGTTGGTTTATGGAACTGGTGGGAAAAAGATATAGGTTGTTTCCTGAATGCTATGTGGACTGAGTACACGAAATTTTAAACGTAGGTATTTCTAGCTTCCCTAGGGCATCCATCAAACATAGCAGCCTGCTGTAGAGGACCTCATTGTAATAGTACATAAAATAAAAGAAAGTCACATTTTAAATACTTAAATTTCTCACACAATTAATATTTATGAAGCATTTGTTATGCTCCAGGTACTCTACTAGAGAGTAGGAATATAGTGTTAAATGAAGCAGACATTGTTCCTATCTTTAAGCAGTTTACTGTAAATAGACTGACTGTGAAATACCCTTCCCTTTAGTCTCCAAGGCCAGAAGCTATTTTGTTTATGACTGTTGCACTCCTCTTATCTTTAATTGAGAGTCCAAAATCTATTTAATATTAATCAATTTAAAGGCAGAACTAGAAATGTGAGGGACCTACCTGAAAGGTTGAGTCAATCTTTTCTTCATTCCCTTTCCCATAATATTGCTGATTCACTGTTTATTAATGCCAACCCAGCTAATTTCGTTAAAAATGTTACTTCTGCTGCTGCTTCAAAAAGTATGGGGAACAAAGTTCATGAGACTGTAGAAAAAATTTAAATGTTGAAAGTTAGCTTTTACTTTCAAGGAGAAAGATCAACAAGAGGAAAATTTGATGCCAAGTATAGAATTTCTTTAATAAACAAAGTTTCACTTAAACTGCATACTTCTTTCTAAGATAATAATTTCAGTGGTTATTAAACATATATAATTGGCTTAATTCTAAAAAGTTTAGATTGTATTGCCATGCTATTATTCCTATATGATTGTATATGCCTTTTACAATCTTCTGGGTTTTTTTAAAAAATTAAATTTTTAATTATTTTGGGTACATATAGTTGTATTTATGGGGTAGGTGTGATGATTTGATACAGGCATGTAAATAAGGATAATTGTGTTATTCATCATTTCAAGCATTTATCATATCTTTGTGTTACAAACATTCCAATTCCACTCTTAGTTATTTTACAATATACAATAAATTATTGTTAACTATAGTCACCAATATTTATGGATTGGATTCCTCCAATCCATAAACATAGACCATCTTTTCATTTTTTACATGTATCCTCTTAAATTTCTTTTATCAGTGTTTTATAGTCTTCATTATAGAGATATTTCACTACTTTGTTAAGTTTATTTCTAGATATTTTGTTTTATCGCTATTGTAAATGGGATTATTGGGAGGGTCAGATTGTTTGCAGTTGGCATATAGAAATACTATTGTTTTTTTTGCATGTTTATTTTGTAGCCTGCAACTTTACTAAATTTATTTAACATTTCAAATTGTTTTTTGAAGGAGTCTTTAGGTTTTCCTAAATGTAAGATCACATTGCCTGCAAACAAGAATAATTTGACTTTTTTTTTCTTTCCAATTTGGATTCCATTTATTTCTTTCTCATGTCTAATTGCTTCATCTAGGACTTTCTGTACTACGATGAATAACAGGGGTTAAAGTGGCCATCCTTGTCATGTTTCAGTTCTTAGAGGAAAGGCTTTCAGTTTTCCCCCATTTTGTATGATATTAGCTGTGGATCTGAGGTATATGGTTTTTATCATGATGAGGTATGTTTCTTCTGTACTCAGTTTTTTGAGAGCTTTTAACCATAAAGAGATATTGAATTTTATTGACTGCTTTTTTAGCATCAGTTGAAATGATCTTATGGTTTTTGCCCTTCATTCTGTTGATGTTATGTTTTATGTATCACATTTGCTGATCTGCATGTGTTGAGCCATGCTTGCATCCTGACATGAATCCGACTTGTTCATGATGAATTATTGTTTTAATGTTTGTTGAATTCATTTTTCTAGTATTTTGATGGAGAGTTTTTGTCCATGTGGACTCAGTTTCCATTAATAAAAGCATAGGTTAGATGTCTCACATTTAAGCCCAATTTTTTAAAAAAGAGGGAGGGTGGAATTTGTCATAATAATATTTGAATGTCTCATGTAATCAAGTAATAATATCTGGTCTTCAGGACCTCTGTACCTTTCTGCATGTCTTCTTCATCGCTCTCTCTAATCATCACTACCAGTGGCTTCAAACTTGGGTTTGAACATGGTGCTGCCATTTATCAGCTTTTTCCCCTTGGAAAAGTTACTTAATTTCTCAGTACTTAATTTTGTTAATGTATAAAATGGGTTTGAAAATAGTAGCACCTACTTGATTGGGTTATTACAAAGACTGAATCAGTTGCTGTATATAAAACACATAGAACAGTTGCCTGGCATAGCAAGCATTCTAGAAGTGTTAGTAATTGTTACTTGTATTCCAACATCTCCACCAAAGTTTTACCCATAGCCATTAACTTTTAAAATAAGAAAAATTAGATTTTTCTGAAGTAGTTCACTAAAGGATGAAGATTACCACAATAATTTTTACCATCTAATTTAATTAGCAAAATTAAAGCACCATTTTATTTTTAAAAAATTGACAAAGGCTCTAGAATGTGGACAGAGTCATTCTACCTGGTTAGGTCAATGTTTTGCCATACAAAACATCTTCATACAGCTGTCTGGATCACAGTAACCTTGGGACAACCTTGAGTGGCTATGAAAAATCGGTGCTACAGCATACACTAGAAGTTAACTAAATGAATGAGAACAAATGGAAGCCAAGAACAGGAATGTAAACTAGATGCCTCACCTGCCACCTATGTGCAACCTATGGCCACAAATTCTAAAATGGGGCATCAGGAAATAATGGAAAAACAAAAACTGATATTTTGTTTTGCTTTGTTTTTGTCCTTGTATTCTTCCCAGGGTTCTGTCTTACTGAATTTGGTCCTTTACTTAGCCCATTAAATAATTCTGAAGGAGAGGCAATAGCGCCTCTTAGATTATCTTATGACCAATCTTATTTACATTGTCAAACCTTGTATTTTACCCTATTTCTTGATCATCAATTTAAATATGAATATTTCAAGTATAGCAAAAATAATGAACAAGCAAAATAAAGAGGCTGAATGAACAAGTCAAAAAAAGGGATTTCAATAGTGGGTACTCTTAAGGAATGACAGAGTTAAGAGAAAAATTCAGGTTGAGAAAATGAGACAAAAAGAGAACATTATAGTTGTTGAAGGATGCTTGCTACTTAATTCAAATGTTTTATAGGGTTTGACACACCTAGGATTTGAAGGGAAAGTTATAAAGCTAGCCACATGTATTGGCACTTACAATGTCAAAGTACTCTTCTACCAGCTTCATATGTACTAATTTATTTTATTCTCATAACTTTATGCATAATACCTCATTCCCACTACAATTGAGGAAGCTAAGCCCAGAATAGCTAAGTAAGGTTATGTAAAGTCACACAACTAGTAAGAAACAGAGCCAGGACTTGAAAATTTGATAATATATAGGAAGCCCAAGACCTTCAAATCTATCTTTTATTATTCTACTTTGAAAAATAACTAGATTGGAAGCTGAATACTATCAAGCAAAACTCAAGAGCTAAACTAAAAGCATGAGAATAAAGGGAGCCAAAAATTGCTCGTACTTACAGCCAAGCATTATGAAAAGGAGTGTGAGGAGATATTAATAAACAAAAACTTATATTTTGTTCTATTTTGTTTTTGTCCTTATGTTCTTCCCAGGACACATTAAAATGAATGCTATTGAGGTTAAGAAAGTCCTATGTGAGAATGAGAGTATGACCTCTATGATTACATTTGCCAACATAAGAAAAGACAGAAGTAGGTGTTATTATTATACTTTTTTACAAGGTCTTGGATTTAAAAATAGAATTCTCTTAAAAAGAAGAGAATTTTTTCTTATCTTATTTAGAAAAACACTATGGAATATTTTTAGCTTTTGAGAATCATGGATTCAACTAAACAGAAAACTCAGAGACAATTGAATAAATGAAAACAAGATATTTGCATGATTCATTTCAAGTTTCAATTTTAAATAAAAACAGCAAAGACTTAAGGAGAAAAATAGCATTATATTACCAATAGGCAGAATTTACCCCCCTGGTATAGAAATACGGATTAAAATTCAGAAATCGTTTACATTGGTACAGAATATCAATATGTGAAAGTATTTTTAAAAATCATATGATAGTCATAATATATGCCACAAGTTATTTGCTAAGATCCAATATTCATGACTAAAAACAACTGTTAAACATTATAAATGAAAACATATTTTAGCATGTTAAGAATTCATGTTTAAAACCAATAATCAGCATTCTTTCTAATAATAAAAATACTAAGAATGTGATGAAGCACTTAATATTGTTTTAAAATCAGGAAGAACAACAAAATGCCCATGCTGTTGTGAAATAGAAACTAGTCATATGATTATTGATAACTGATATGGTTTGGATTTGTGTTCCCACCCAAATCTCATGTTGAATTGTAGGAGGGGCCCTGATTAGATCATAGGTATGAAATTCCCCCTTGCTCTTCTCATTATAATGAGTGAGTTCTCATGAAATCTGATGGTTTAAAAGTGTGTGGCACTTCCCTCTTAGCATTCTCATTATCCTGCTGCCATGTGAACAAAGTGCTAGCTTACCCTTCACCTTCCAACATGATTGTAAGTTTCCTGAGGACTCCCAGTCATGCTTCCTGTTAATTCTGTGGAACTGTGAGTCAATTAAACCTCTTTTCTTCCTAAATTATCCAGTTTCAGGTAACTCTTTATAGTAGTGTGAGAATGGACTAATACAGAAAATTGGCATTACAAGAATGGGGCACTGCTATAAAGATACCTGAAGATGTGGAAGGGACTTTGGAACTGAGTATTGGGCAGAGCTTGGAAGAGTTTGGAGGGCTCAGAAGAAGACAGAAAGATATGGGAGAGTTTGGAACTTCCTAGAGACTTGTTGAATGGTTTTGACCAAAATGCTGATAGTGATATGGACAACGAAGTCTAGGGAGAGGTGATCTCAGATAGAGATGAGGAACTTATTGGGAAATGGAGTAAAGGTCACTCTTCCTATGCTTTAGCAAAGAGATGGGTGGCATTTTATCCCTGCCCTAGAGATCTGTGGAACCTTGAACTTAAGAAATATGATTTAGAGTACCTGGTGGAAGAAATTTCTAAGCAGCAAAGCCCTCAAGATGTGACCTGGCTGTTTCTAAAAGTGTTTACTTATATGTGTGGACAAAGAGAGGATCTAAAACTGAAACCTACATTTAAAAGGGAAGCAGAGCATAGAAGTTTAGAAAATTTGCAGCCTTGTCATGTTGTGGAAAAGAAAAACTTGTTTTTTGGAAAGAAATTCAAGCCTGCTGCAGAAATTTGCATAAGTAAGGAGGAGATGAATATTAATAGCCATGACAATAAGGAAAATGTCTCCAGGCCATTTGAGAGACCAGCAGCCCCTACCATCACAGATCCAGAGGCCTAGGAGAAAAAAATAGTTTTATGGGCCAGGCCCAGGACGCAGCAGCTCTGTGCAGCCTCAGGACATGGCACCCTGCATCCCAGCCATTCCAGGTCTAGCCTTGGCTAAAAGGGGCCAAGGTACACCTTGGGCCCCAAGCCTTGGCGGTGTTGGGTGTTGGGTGTTAGTGCTGGGCCTGCACGTGTGCAAAAGGCAATAATTAAGGTTTGGGAGCCGCCTCTTAAATTTCAGAGGATGTATGGAAATGCCTGGATGTCCAGGCAGAAGTTTTCTGCAGGGGCAGAGCCCTCGTGGAGAACCTCAACTAGGGCAGTGTGGAGGAGAAATGTGGGGTTGGAGGTACCACACAGAGCCTCCACTGGGACACTGCCTAATGGAGCTGTCAGAAGAAGGCCACCCTTCTCCAGACCCCAGAATGGTAGAGTCAGAGAGCTTACACTGTACCCCTGGAAATGACTCAGGCACTCAATGTCAGCCCATGAAAGCAGCCATGTAGGCTATATCTTGCAGAGTAAAAGGGACAGAGATGCCCAAGGCCTTGGGAGCCCATCTCTTGCATCAGTGTGCCCTGGATGTGACACCTGGAGTCAAAGTAGATTGTTTTGTAGTTTTAAGATTTAATTACTACCCTGAGAGGTTTCAGACTTGTACAGGACCTGTAGCCCCTTTGTTTTAGTGAATTTCTCCTATTTGGAATAAGGGCATTTACCCAATTCCTGTACCTTCCTTGTATTTCGGAAGCTACTAAATTGTTTCCTATTTTGCAGGCTCATAGGTGGAAGGGATTTACTTTGTCTCAGATAAGACTTTGGACTATGGAGTTAATTTTTTGAGTTAATGCTGAAATGAGTCAAGACTGGGGGACTGTTGAGAAGAGATATTTGTATTTTGCAATATGATGACATGAGCTTTGATAGAGGGTCCAGGGGCAGAGTGATATGGTTTGGATCTGTGTCTCTGCCCAATTCTCATGTCGAATTTGAGGAGGGGCCTGGTGGAGGGTGATTGGATCATGCGGGTAATTTCCCCCTTTCTGTTCTCATGATGGTGACTGAGTTCTCATGAGATCTGATGGCTTAAGAGTGTGTAGCACTTCCCACTTCGTGATCTCTCTCTCTCTCTGTCTCTCTCTCTCCTGCCACCACATGAAGAAGGTGTTAGCTTCTCCTTCACCTTCCACCATGAAGTTCTTTATAGCAGTGTGGGAACAAACTAATACAATAACTATAGACATAAATACACTAGAACTTCACCATTGTCCACTAAACCTCATTAAAATGTTTAGAGCTTATGAAATAATTTGGTAAATTATCTGGTTATAATATACAAATATCAATAGCTATCATCTGTATCAACAACAATTGATATGACCTATTTCGCATTGGCAACCATAATCCTAAAACATCTAAAAATTAGCTTTCCTTAGAGGCTGGTAGGACGAAAACTATAAAAGTCTACTGCAAAAGATAGAGCACTTTAATAATTGGAGGCATATGCCAAGATCCTAGAGAGTAAGTTTGAATATTTTGAAGATATTATTTTACCAAATTAATTTTATGTTTAATATGAGTCTAATAAAAATTCCAATGGGATTGTTTTTGGTCTTGATGAAATGCTTCAAAAGTTCCTATGCCACAATAATGAAGAAGATTTTCTAAAATATTTTTAAAAGATGAGTAACTAGGGGGAACTAGCTTATAGCTATTAAAAGATACTGGAAACCTATATTGTCTTTTATGGCTGCTCTGTTTTTGATATTTAGTGATAATTCACATATTTTATAGTTAAATTTTGTTCATAAAAATAATATTGTGTATACAATCTTGTCTAAATTACTTACATATGTTCAAATAAAGTGATCAAAGAGTTAACACACAGAAAATTAGTATTTCAGGCATTAGAGACTCACATTGATTTGAAATATATGCCACTTACGAATAGTATATAGAAATGCATCATAGCTGTTTTTGTTGCTGCCCAAATTCAGATACCTTTCATCTCTCCCCTGACTATTGAAATAATTTTTTACCTGGTCTACTCAGTTTCTGCAATACATCATTCACAGAGCTGAGAACGTTACCTGTACAAAAATAAATAACACACTTCTTCCAACCATTGGTGTTTCCCTGTTAGCTACTCAGCTGACATGTCAGTGTGGCTCACTGCACAGCTCTAACCTCATTCCCCCCACCCTTCTGCTATGAACTTATGTCCCAGCTGCCCAGAACATCTTATCCACAATCTCTTATTTATATCATGGTCACTGTTCTTTGCACATAATTTTCCTCCTGACTAGAATGCTATTGCAATATTCTATTCAAACACATCCCAATACTGTGAGTCTTAATTTAGATATCAAATTTTTCATTATTTTTATTTTTGCTATTTCATGAAAGGTCTATGATGGCAGTGGCTAGGTGGCCTCCCTCTCCATCTGCAATACCTAGACCAGGGCCTGCCACATAGTGGAAGCTCAATAAATATCTGTGACATGAATGAACAACTACTACAGCTGTATCACATTTTTTATAATTATTTGCTTAATTTTTTTACACTATTTGAGAATAAGAATGTGTTTGGAGGGTTTTTTGTTTTAAGTTTGTTCTCAATGCCTGAGCACATGGTCCACTATTGCTGAAATGGAGCAGATAGTTTTAAAAAAAGGTTAAATGACTAAATAAGTAAATTTAAAAATATAATAGTACAACAAAGAATACAGGCATTACAACTAGCACAAACTATAATAGTAACTATTTTTTAAAAGAGCCAGTGAATATGAATATATATGTATATATACACATATATATCAGTTATATATAGTGATATATATAGTTACATATATACTATTTTATAATTTTTTAATATTTGTTGCTACTGCAGGCAAATATGCTTAGATATTTTCACAGCATTCTTTTTATATATTACATTATAACAAAATAACAATTATGACTCTTCAGCAGTCATTTTCTACTGTACTGCAAGTGTTAAGCACTGATGCTGTTTCATCACTTACATTACCCATTTTAACCTAATAGGGACTTTCTGGAGAGCAGCCTTTCTTAAGGGTCCCTTTATTGTACAGAATCTTGAGCTTCAGTGCTAATTTTGTAATTTCTTTTTGTCAAACACTTAGCATTACTTGTGTATCACTCCCCAGGGAATTGTTTTCTGAGTAAACAAAAATGCAAATTAAAACTTGAGAAAAATGCTAAAAATAACATTTTTGAGCACTCTCAATAATATCGCATATATGTGTGTGTGTGTATATATATATATATATATATATATATATATATATATATATATAGCAGACAGTCTAATTACAAATCCCACATATATCTTTTATAAAAATTTTATTAAGATATCTCTGTAGAGAAAAATGAATATATTCACTTTCTATCTGTAGAGTTATTTGAGGGCAATAAGTCTGACAGTTTTTTAAAGAATTCTGTCATTAAAATTTGTCTTTAATTCAGATTATTCAAATCAGCCTAAATTACCAATATTTATTTTATAGACATACCTTGTTTTATTGTGCTTTGCTTTATTGTACTTTGCAGATATTGTGTTTTTTACAAATTGAAGGTTTGTCACAATCCTGTGTCAGCAAGACTTTCCTGTAAGTGCTATTCTTCTAACAGCATATGCTCATTTCATGTCTCTTTGTCGTATTTTGGAAAGTCTTGTAATATTCTAAGTTTTTTCATTATTATTGTATCTGTTATAATGATATGTGATCAGTGATCTTTGAAGTTACTATTGTAATTGTAATCTTGGTGCACCACAAACCGTGCCCATATAATCAATAAATGTATGTGTTCTGAGTACTCCATTGACCAGCCTTTCCTCTATCTCTTTCCCACTACTCATGCCTCCTTATTCCCTCCAAAACAACAGTATTGAACTTAGCCCAGTAAATAATTCTACCATGGCCTCTAAGTGTTCAAGTGAAACGAAGAGTTGCATATCATTTACTTAAAATAAAAGGCTAGAAATAATTAAGCTTAGTGAGGAGCACATGTTGACAACCAAGATAGCCAAGAGGCTCTTGAAGGAAATTAAAAGTGCTACTCCAGTGAAGCCATGAATGATAAAAAAAAAAAAAAATCGAAATAGCCTATTACCTATATGGAGAAAGTTTTAGCAGTCTTGGTAGAAGATCAAACCAGCTGCAACATGTCCTTAAGCCATAGCTTAATCACTGCAAGACTCTAACTCTCTTCAATTCTATGAAGGCAAAAAGAGGTGAGGAAACTGAATAAAAGTTTCAAGCTAGCAGAGGTTAGTTTATGAGGTTGAAGAAAAGAAGCCATCTCCATAACATAAAAATGCAAGGTGAAGCAGCAAAGTTGCAGCAGGTTATGAAGAAGATCTAGTTAAGATAATTGATCATTGATGAAGATGGGTACACTAAACAACAAATTTCCCATTGCAGATGAAACAGTGTTATATTAGAAAAAGGTGTTATCTAGGATTTTCATGGCTCAAGAGGAGAAGTCAATGCCTGGCTTCACAGCTTCAAAGGACAGGCTGACTTTCTTGTTATAGGTTAATGTATCTAATGACTTGAAGTTGAAGCCAATGCTCATTTATCATTCTGAAAATTCTAAGAGCCTTAAGAATTATGCTAAAACTACTCTTCCTATGCCCTAGAAATGAAACAACAATGCTTAGATAACAGAGCATCTGCTTACAGCATGGTTTACTGAATATTTACAGCTCATTGTTGAAACCTAATGCTAAAAAACAAAGATTCCTTTCAAAATACTACTGTTCATTGACAATGTACTAGGTCACCCAAGAGCTCTGATGAAGATGTACACAGAGATTAATGTTGTTTCCAAGCCTGCTAACACAAGGTCCATTCTGAAGCCCATGGATCAAGAAATAATGTTAACTTTCAAATCCTATTATTTAATAATTACATTTTGCCAGGCTAGAGCTGCCATAGACAATGATTCCTCTGATGTAGCTGGACAAAGGAAACTGGAAATCTTCCGGAAAAGATTCGCTATTCTAGATGCCATTAAGAACATGTGTGATTCATGGGAGGAGATCAAAATATCATTACAGGAGTCTGGAAGAACTGGATTCCAACCTTCATGAACGACTTTGAGGGGTCCAAGACTTCAGTGGAGGAAAATAATTGCAGATGTGATAGGAACAGTAAGACAAGTAGAATTAGAAGCGGAGCTTTGAAGATGTGACTGAATTGATGCAATCTCATGATAAAGCTTGAATGATGAAGTGTTGCCTCATATAGATGAGCAAAGAACGTGGTTTATTGACATAGAATCTATTCCTGGTAAAGATGCTATGAATGTTGTTGAAATGACAAAAAAAGATTTAGAATATCACATAAAGTTAGTTTACAAAGCAATGGCAGTGTTTGAGAGGACTGACTCCAACTTTGAAAAAAGTTTTACTGTGGATAAAATGCTGCCAAACATCCTTACATGCTACAGAGAAATCTTTTGAGAAAGAGTCAATCAATGCAGAAAAGTTCATTGTTATCTTATTTTAAGAAATCGTCATTACCACCTCAATCTTCAGCAACCACCATTCTGATCAGTCGGCAGCCATCACCATCAAAGCAAGACCCTCCATAAGCAATAAGATTATGACTCTCTGAAGTGTCAGACATTCGTTAGCATATTTAGCAATAAATAATTTTTAACTCAAGGTATGCACACAGTTTTTTAAGATGTAATACTATTGCACCCTGAATAAACTATGAACATAACTTATGTATGTACCAAGAAACCAAACAATTTGTGTGATTTGCTTTATAGTGATACTTTATTGCAGTTGTCTGGAACCAAACCCACGATGTCTCCAAGATTTGCCTGTATTTACAGGATTCAGGTAGCTTATCACTCTTTGTTACAAATTGTTTTCTCATGTGGCAAACTGTTCTGTTAATGAGCAGATTTATACATTTAGATTTTTCTTTTCTTTGAGACGGAGTCTTGCTCTTTCGCCCAGGCTGGAGTGCAGTGGCGCGATCTCA